>NC_000009.12:10000-2510000 GCF_000001405.40 Homo sapiens
TAACCCTAACCCTAACCCTAACCCAACCCCACCCCAACCCCAACCCCAACCCAACCCTAACCCTAACCCTAACCCAACCCTAACCCTAACCCTAACCCAACCCTCACCCTCACCCTCACCCTCACCCTCACCCTCACCCTCACCCTAACCCTACCCTAACCCCTAACCCCTAACCCCTAACCCCTAACCCTTAACCCTAACCCTAACCCTACCCTAACCCTAACCCTAACCCCTAACCCCTAACCCCTAACCCTAACCCTAACCCTAACCCTAACCCCTAACCCCTAACCTCTAACCCTAAACCCTAAACCCTAAACCCTAAACCCTAAACCCTAACCCTACCCTAACCCTAACCCTAACCCAACCCGAACCCGAACCCGAACCCGAACCCGAACCCGAACCCGAACCCTAACCCCAACCCCAACCCCAACCCCCACCCCCACCCCCACCCTCACCCTCACCCTCACCGTAAGCACATGAGGAATGTGGGTGTTATATTTTGGGTATCATGTGTGCATTAGGAATGCTGCATTTGCGTTCCGACGCTGCAAGTGGACCCTGCAATGCAGCCCCTCCCCTTGCCTTGGGAGAATCTCGGTGCGCAGCATTCAGAGGGGCTTTTGCTTTCCCGTTTTCCGCACTGAACCGCTCTAACTGGTCTCTCACCTTGATTATTCATGGCTGCAACCGGGAAAGATTTTATTCACCGTTAATGCGCCCCGAGTTGTCCCAAAGCCAGTCAGTGGCCCCAACGTCTGTGCTTAGGGGAATGCTGCTCCACCTTTACGGTGACCCCCAGGTCTGTACTGAGCAGAACGCAGCTCCGCCCTCGCGGTACCCTCAGCCCGCCCGCCCGGGTCTGACCTGACGAGAACTCTGCTCCGCCTTCGCAGTACCACCGAAATCTGTGCAGAGGACAACGCAGCTCCGCCCTCGCGGTGCTCTGCGGCTCTGTGCTGACGAGAACGCAACTCCCCCGGCGCAGGCGCAGAGAGGCGCGCCGCGCCGGCGCAGGCGCAGAGAGGCGCGCCGCGCCGGCGCAGGCGCAGAGACACATGCTAGCGCGTCCAGGGGTGGAGGCGTGGCGCAGGCGCAGAGACGCACGCCTACGGGCGGGGGTTGGGGGTGCGTGTGTTGCAGGAGCAAAGTCGCACGGCGCCGGGCTGGGGGCGGGGGGGGGGGGGGGGGGGGGGGCGCCGTGCACGCGCAGAAACTCACGTCACGGCGGCGCGGCGCAGAGACGGGTGGAACTTCAGTAATCCGAAAAGCCGGGATCGACCGCCCCTTGCTTGCAGCCGGGCACTACAGGACCCGCTTGCTCACGGTGCTGTGCCAGGGCGCCCCCTGCTGGCGACTAGGGCAACTGCAGGGCTCTCTTGCTTAGAGTGGTGGCCACCGCCCCCTGCTGGCGCCGGGGCACTGCAGGGTCCTCTTGCTTACTGTATAGTGGTGGCACGCCGCCTGCTGGCAGCTACGGACATTGCAGGGTCCTCTTGCTCAAGGTGTACTGGCAGCACGCCCGCCTGCTGGCAGCTGGGGACACTGCTGGGCCCTCTTGCTCCAACAGTAGTGGCGGATTATAGGGAAACACCAGGAGCATATGCTGTTTGGTCTCAGTAGACTCCTAAATATGGGATTCCTGGGTTTAAAAGTATAAAATAAATATGTTTAATTTGTTAACTGATTACCATCAGAATTGTACTGTTCTGTATCCCACCACCAATGTCTAGGAGTGCCTGTTTCTCCACAAAGTGTTTACTTTTGGATTTTTGCCAGTCTAACAGGTGAAGCCCTGGAGATTCTTATTAGTGATTTGGGCTGGGGCCTGGCCACGTGTATTTTTTTAAATTTCCACTGATGATTTTGCTGCATGGCCGGTGTTGAGAATGACTGCGCAAATTTGCCGGATTTCCTTTGCTGTTCCTGCATGTAGTTTAAACGAGATTGCCAGCACCGGGTATCATTCACCATTTTTCTTTTTGTTAACTTGCCGTCAGCCTTTTCTTTGACCTCTTCTTTCTGTTCATGTGTATTTGCTGTCTCTTAGCCCAGACTTCCCGTGTCCTTTCCACCAAGCCTTTGAGAGGTCACAGGGTCTTGATGCTGTGGTCTTGATCTGCAGGTGTCTGACTTCCAGCAACTGCTGGCCTGTGCCAGGGTGCAAGCTGAGCACTGGAGTGGAGTTTTCCTGTGGAGAGGAGCCATGCCTAGAGTGGGATGGGCCATTGTTCATCTTCTGGCCCCTGTTGTCTGCATGTAACTTAATACCACAACCAGGCATAGGGGAAAGATTGGAGGAAAGATGAGTGAGAGCATCAACTTCTCTGACAACCTAGGCCAGTAAGTAGTGCTTGTGCTCATCTCCTTGGCTGTGATACGTGGCCGGCCCTCGCTCCAGCAGCTGGACCCCTACCTGCCATCTGCTGCCATCGGAGCCCAAAGCCGGGCTGTGACTGCTCAGACCAGCCGGCTGGAGGGAGGGGCTCAGCAGGTCTGGCTTTGGCCCTGGGAGAGCAGGTGGAAGATCAGGCAGGCCATCGCTGCCACAGAACCCAGTGGATTGGCCTAGGTGGGATCTCTGAGCTCAACAAGCCCTCTCTGGGTGGTAGGTGCAGAGAGGGGAGGGGCAGAGCCGCAGGCACAGCCAAGAGGGCTGAAGAAATGGTAGAACGGAGCAGCTGGTGATGTGTGGGCCCACCGGCCCCAGGCTCCTGTCTCCCCCCAGGTGTGTGGTGATGCCAGGCATGCCCTTCCCCAGCATCAGGTCTCCAGAGCTGCAGAAGACGACGGCCGACTTGGATCACAATCTTGTGAGTGTCCCCAGTGTTGCAGAGGTGAGAGGAGAGTAGACAGTGAGTGGGAGTGGCGTCGCCCCTAGGGCTCTACTGGGCCGGCGTCTCCTGTCTCCTGGAGAGGCTTCGATGCCCCTCCACTCCCTCTTGATATTCCCTGTGATGTCATCTGGAGCCCTGCTGCTTGCAGTGGCCTATAAAGCCTCCTGGTCTGGCTCCAAGGCCTGGCAGAGTCTTTCCCAGGGAAAGCTACAAGCAGCAAACAGTCCGCATGGGTCATCCCCTTCACTCCCAGCTCAGAGCCCAGGCCAGGGGCCCCCAAGAAAGGCTCTGGTGGAGAACCTGTGCATGAAGGCTGTCAACCAGTCCATAGGCAAGCCTGGCTGCCTCCAGCTGGGTGGACAGACAGGGGCTGGAGAAGGGGAGAAGAGGAAAGGGGGGTTGCCTGCCCTGTCTCCTACCTGAGGCTGAGGAAGGAGAAGGGGATGCACTGTTGGGGAGGCAGCTGTAACTCAAAGCCTTAGCCTCTGTTCCCACGAAGGCAGGGCCATCAGGCACCAAAGGGATTCTGCCAGCATAGTGCTCCTGGATTAGTGATACACCCGGCACCCTGTCCTGGACAAGCTGTTGGCCTGGATCTGAGCCCTCGTGGAGGTCAAAGCCACCTTTGGTTCTGCCATTGCTGCTGTGTGGAAGTTCACTCCTGCCTTTTCCTTTCCCTAGAGCCTCCACCACCCCGAGATCACATTTCTCACTGCCTTTTGTCTGCCCAGTTTCACCAGAAGTAGGCCTCTTCCTGACAGGCAGCTGCACCACTGCCTGGCGCTGCGCCCTTCCTTTGCTCTGCCCGCTGGAGACGGTGTTTGTCATGGGCCTGATCTGCAGGGATCCTGCTACAAAGGTGAAACCCAGAAGAGTGTGGAGTCCAGAGTGTTGCCAGGACCCAGGCACAGGCATTAGTGCCCGTTGGAGAAAACAGGGGAACCCCGAAGAAATGGTGGGTCCTGGCCATCCGTGAGATCTTCCCAGGGCAGCTCCCCTCTGTGGAATCCAATCTGTCTTCCATCCTGTGTGGCCGAGGGCCAGGCTTCTCACTGGGCCTCTGCAGGAGGCTGCCATTTGTCCTGCCCACCTTCTTAGAAGGGAGACGGAGCAGACCCATCTGCTACTGCCCTTTCTATAATAACTAAAGTTAGCTGCCCTGGACTATTCACCCCCTAGTCTCAATTTAAAAAGATCCCCATGGCCACAGGGCCCCTGCCTGGGGGCTTGTCACCTCCCCCACCTTCTTCCTGAGTCACTCCTGCAGCCTTGCTCCCTAACCTGCCCCACAGCCTTGCCTGGATTTCTATCTCCCTGGCTTGGTGCCAGTTCCTCCAAGTCGATGGCACCTCCCTCCCTCTCAACCACTTGAGCAAACTCCAAGACATCTTCTACCCCAACACCAGCAATTGTGCCAAGGGCCATTAGGCTCTCAGCATGACTATTTTTAGAGACCCTGTGTCTGTCACTGAAACCTTTTTTGTGGGAAACTATTCCTCCCATCTGCAACAGCTGCCCCTGCTGACTGCCCTTCTCTCCTCCCTCTCATCCCAGAGAAACAAGTCAGCTGGGAGCTTCTGCCCCCACTGCCTAGGGACCAACAGGGGCAGGAGGCAGTCACTGACCCCGAGACGTTTGCATCCTGCACAGCTAGAGATCCTTTATTAAAAGCACACTGTTGGTTTCTGCTCAGTTCTTTATTGATTGGTGTGCCGTTTTCTCTGGAAGCCTCTTAAGAACACAGTGGCGCAGGCTGGGTGGAGCCGTCCCCCCATGAAGTACAGGCAGACAAGTCCCCGCCCCAGCTGTGTGGCCTCAAGCCAGCCTTCCGCTCCTTGAAGCTGGTCTCCACACACTGCTGGTTCCGTCACCCCCTCCCAGGGAAGCAGGTCTGAGCAGCTTGTCCTGGCTGTGTCCATGTCAGAGCAACGGCCCAAGTCTGGGTCTGGGGGGGAAGGTGTCATGGAGCCCCCTACGATTCCCAGTCGTCCTCGTCCTCCTCTGCCTGTGGCTGCTGCGGTGGCGGCAAAGGAGGGATGGAGTCTGACACGCGGACAAAGGCTCCTCCGGGCCCCTCACCAGCCCCAGGTCCTTTCCCAGAGATGCCTGGAGGGAAAAGGCTGAGTGAGGGTGGTTGGTGGGAAACCCTGGTTCCCCCAGCCCCCGGAGACTTAAATACAGGAAGAAAAAGGCAGGACAGAATTACAATGTGCCGGCCCAGGGTGGGCAGCGGCCCTGCCTCCTACCCTTGCGCCTCATGACCAGCTTGTTGAAGAGATCCGACATCAAGTGCCCACCTTGGCTCGTGGCTCTCACTGCAACGGGAAAGCCACAGACTGGGGTGAAGAGTTCAGTCACATGCGACCGGTGGCTCCCTGTCCCCACCCCCATGACACTCCCCAGCCCTCCAAGGCCACTGTGTTTCCTAGTTAGCTCAGAGCCTCAGTCGATGCCTGACCCAGCACCGGGCACTGATGAGAAAGTGGCTGTTTGAGGAGCCACCTCCCAGCCACCTCGGGGACAGGGCCAGGGTGTGCAGCACCACTGTACGATGGGGAAACTGGCCCAGAGAGGTGAGGCAGCTTGCCTGGGGTCACAGAGCAAGGCAAAAGCAGCGCTGGGTACAAGCTCAAAACCATAGTGCCCAGGGCACTGCCGCTGCAGGCGCAGGCATCGCATCACACCAGTGTCTGCGTTCACAGCAGGCATCATCAGTAGCCTCCAGAGGCCTCAGGTCCAGTCTCTAAAAATATCTCAGGAGGCTGCAGTGGCTGACCATTGCCTTGGACCGCTCTTGGCAGTCGAAGAAGATTCTCCTGTCACAGTTTGAGCTGGGTGAGCTTAGAGAGGAAAGCTCCACTATGGCTCCCAAACCAGGAAGGAGCCATAGCCCAGGCAGGAGGGCTGAGGACCTCTGGTGGCGGCCCAGGGCTTCCAGCATGTGCCCTAGGGGAAGCAGGGGCCAGCTGGCAGGAGCAGGGGGTGGGCAGAAAGCACCCGGTGGACTCAGGGCTGGAGGGGAGGAGGCGATCTTGCCCAAGGCCCTCCAACCGCAGGCTCCAGGGCCCGCTCACCTTGCTCCTGCTCCTTCTGCTGCTGCTTCTCCAGCTTTCGCTCCTTCATGCTGCGCAGCTTGGCCTTGCCGATGCCCCCAGCTTGGCGGATGGACTCTAGCAGAGTGGCCCAGCCACCGGAGGGGTCGACCACTTCCCTGGGAGCTCCCTGGACTGGAGCCGGGAGGTGGGGAACAGGGCAAGGAGGAAAGGCTGCTCAGGCAGGGCTGGGGAAGCTTACTGTGTCCAAGAGCCTGCTGGGAGGGAAGTCACCTCCCCTCAAACGAGGAGCCCCGCGCTGGGGAGGCCGGACCTTTGGAGACTGTGTGGGGCCCGGGCACTGACTTCGGCAACCACCTGAGCGCGGGCATCCTGTGTGCAGATACTCCCTGCTTCCTCTCTAGCCCTCACCCTGCAGAGCTGGACCCCTGAGCTAGCCATGCTCTGACAGTCTCAGTTGCACACATGAGCCAGCAGAGGGGTTTTGTGCCACTTCTGGATGCTAGGGTTACACTGGGAGATACAGCAGTGAAGCTGAAATGAAAAATGTGTTGCTGTAGTTTGTTATTAGACCCCTTCTTTCCATTGGTTTAATTAGGAATGAGGAACCCAGAGCCTCACTTGTTCAGGCTCCCTCTGCCCTAGAAGTGAGAAGTCCAGAGCTCTACAGTTTGAAAGCCACTATTTTATGAACCAAGTAGAACAAGATATTTGAAATGGAAACTATTCAAAAAATTGAGAATTTCTGACCACTTAACAAACCCACAGAAAATCCACCCGAGTGCACTGAGCACGCCAGAAATCAGGTGGCCTCAAAGAGCTGCTCCCACCTGAAGGAGATGCGCTGCTGCTGCTGTCGTCCTGCCTGGCGCCTTGGCCTACAGGGGCCGCGGTTGAGGGTGGGAGTGGGGGTGCACTGGCCAGCACCTCAGGAGCTGGGGGTGGTGGTGGGGGCGGTGGGGGTGGTGTTAGTACCCCATCTTGTAGGTCTGAAACACAAAGTGTGGGGTGTCTAGGGAAGAAGGTGTGTGAGCAGGGAGGTCCCCGGCCCAGCTCCCATCCCAGAACCCAGCTCACCTACCTTGAGAGGCTCGGCTACCTCAGTGTGGAAGGTGGGCAGTTCTGGAATGGTGCCAGGGGCAGAGGGGGCAATGCCGGGGCCCAGGTCGGCACTGTACATGAGGTCGTTGGCAATGCCGGGCAGGTCAGGCAGGTAGGATGGAACATGGATCTCAGGCACCTGGCCCAGGTCTGGCACATAGAAGTAGTTCTCTGGGACCTGCAAGATTAGGCAGGGACATGTGAGAGGTGACAGGGACCTGCAGGGGCAGCCAACAAGACCTTGTGTGCACCTCCCATGGGTGGAATAAGGGGCCCAACAGCCTTGACTGGAGAGGAGCTCTGGCAAGGCCCTGGGCCACTGCACCTGTCTCCACCTCTGTCCCACCCCTCCCACCTGCTGTTCCAGCTGCTCTCTCTTGCTGATGGACAAGGGGGCATCAAACAGCTTCTCCTCTGTCTCTGCCCCCAGCATCACATGGGTCTTTGTTACAGCACCAGCCAGGGGGTCCAGGAAGACATACTTCTTGTACCTACGGAGGCGACATGGGGGTCAGGCAAGCTGACACCCGCTGTCCTGAGCCCATGTTCCTCTCCCACATCATCAGGGGCACAGTGTGCACTGTGGGGTCCCAGGCCTCCCGAGCCGAGCCACCCCAGTCACCCCCTGGCTCCTGGCCTATGTGCTGTACCTGTGTCTGATGCCCTGGGTCCCCACTAAGCCAGGCCGGGCCTCCCGCCCACACCCCTCGGCCCTGCCCTCTGGCCATACAGGTTCTCGGTGGTGTTGAAGAGCAGCAAGGAGCTGACAGAGCTGATGTTGCTGGGAAGACCCCCAAGTCCCTCTTCTGCATCGTCCTCGGGCTCCGGCTTGGTGCTCACGCACACAGGAAAGTCCTTCAGCTTCTCCTGAGAGGGCCAGGATGGCCAAGGGATGGTGAATATTTGGTGCTGGGCCTAATCAGCTGCCATCCCATCCCAGTCAGCCTCCTCTGGGGGACAGAACCCTATGGTGGCCCCGGCTCCTCCCCAGTATCCAGTCCTCCTGGTGTGTGACAGGCTATATGCGCGGCCAGCAGACCTGCAGGGCCCGCTCGTCCAGGGGGCGGTGCTTGCTCTGGATCCTGTGGCGGGGGCGTCTCTGCAGGCCAGGGTCCTGGGCGCCCGTGAAGATGGAGCCATATTCCTGCAGGCGCCCTGGAGCAGGGTACTTGGCACTGGAGAACACCTGTGGACACAGGGACAAGTCTGAGGGGGCCCCAAGAGGCTCAGAGGGCTAGGATTGCTTGGCAGGAGAGGGTGGAGTTGGAAGCCTGGGCGAGAAGAAAGCTCAAGGTACAGGTGGGCAGCAGGGCAGAGACTGGGCAGCCTCAGAGGCACGGGGAAATGGAGGGACTGCCCAGTAGCCTCAGGACACAGGGGTATGGGGACTACCTTGATGGCCTTCTTGCTGCCCTTGATCTTCTCAATCTTGGCCTGGGCCAAGGAGACCTTCTCTCCAATGGCCTGCACCTGGCTCCGGCTCTGCTCTACCTGCTGGGAGATCCTGCCATGGAGAAGATCACAGAGGCTGGGCTGCTCCCCACCCTCTGCACACCTCCTGCTTCTAACAGCAGAGCTGCCAGGCCAGGCCCTCAGGCAAGGGCTCTGAAGTCAGGGTCACCTACTTGCCAGGGCCGATCTTGGTGCCATCCAGGGGGCCTCTACAAGGATAATCTGACCTGCAGGGTCGAGGAGTTGACGGTGCTGAGTTCCCTGCACTCTCAGAAGGGACAGGCCCTATGCTGCCACCTGTACATGCTATCTGAAGGACAGCCTCCAGGGCACACAGAGGATGGTATTTACACATGCACACATGGCTACTGATGGGGCAAGCACTTCACAACCCCTCATGATCACGTGCAGCAGACAATGTGGCCTCTGCAGAGGGGGAACGGAGACCGGAGGCTGAGACTGGCAAGGCTGGACCTGAGTGTCGTCACCTAAATTCAGACGGGGAACTGCCCCTGCACATAGTGAACGGCTCACTGAGCAAACCCCGAGTCCCGACCACCGCCTCAGTGTGGTCTAGCTCCTCACCTGCTTCCATCCTCCCTGGTGCGGGGTGGGCCCAGTGATATCAGCTGCCTGCTGTTCCCCAGATGTGCCAAGTGCATTCTTGTGTGCTTGCATCTCATGGAACGCCATTTCCCCAGACATCCCTGTGGCTGGCTCCTGATGCCCGAGGCCCAAGTGTCTGATGCTTTAAGGCACATCACCCCACTCATGCTTTTCCATGTTCTTTGGCCGCAGCAAGGCCGCTCTCACTGCAAAGTTAACTCTGATGCGTGTGTAACACAACATCCTCCTCCCAGTCGCCCCTGTAGCTCCCCTACCTCCAAGAGCCCAGCCCTTGCCCACAGGGCCATACTCCACGTGCAGAGCAGCCTCAGCACTCACCGGGCACGAGCGAGCCTGTGTGGTGCGCAGGGATGAGAAGGCAGAGGCGCGACTGGGGTTCATGAGGAAGGGCAGGAGGAGGGTGTGGGATGGTGGAGGGGTTTGAGAAGGCAGAGGCGCGACTGGGGTTCATGAGGAAAGGGAGGGGGAGGATGTGGGATGGTGGAGGGGCTGCAGACTCTGGGCTAGGGAAAGCTGGGATGTCTCTAAAGGTTGGAATGAATGGCCTAGAATCCGACCCAATAAGCCAAAGCCACTTCCACCAACGTTAGAAGGCCTTGGCCCCCAGAGAGCCAATTTCACAATCCAGAAGTCCCCGTGCCCTAAAGGGTCTGCCCTGATTACTCCTGGCTCCTTGTGTGCAGGGGGCTCAGGCATGGCAGGGCTGGGAGTACCAGCAGGCACTCAAGCGGCTTAAGTGTTCCATGACAGACTGGTATGAAGGTGGCCACAATTCAGAAAGAAAAAAGAAGAGCACCATCTCCTTCCAGTGAGGAAGCGGGGCCACCACCCAGCGTGTGCTCCATCTTTTCTGGCTGGGGAGAGGCCTTCATCTGCTGTAAAGGGTCCTCCAGCACAAGCTGTCTTAATTGACCCTAGTTCCCAGGGCAGCCTCGTTCTGCCTTGGGTGCTGACACGACCTTCGGTAGGTGCATAAGCTCTGCATTCGAGGTCCACAGGGGCAGTGGGAGGGAACTGAGACTGGGGAGGGACAAAGGCTGCTCTGTCCTGGTGCTCCCACAAAGGAGAAGGGCTGATCACTCAAAGTTGCGAACACCAAGCTCAACAATGAGCCCTGGAAAATTTCTGGAATGGATTATTAAACAGAGAGTCTGTAAGCACTTAGAAAAGGCCACGGTGAGTCCCAGGGGCCAGCACTGCTCGAAATGTACAGCATTTCTCTTTGTAACAGGATTATTAGCCTGCTGTGCCCGGGGAAAACATGCACCACAGCGCATCTCGAGTCAGCAGGATTTTGACGGCTTCTAACAAAATCTTGTAGACAAGATGGAGCTATGGGGGTTGGAGGAGAGAACATATAGGAAAAATCAGAGCCAAATGAACCACAGCCCCAAAGGGCACAGTTGAACAATGGACTGATTCCAGCCTTGCACGGAGGGATCTGGCAGAGTCCATCCAGTTCATTCAACACCTGGTTAGAAAACTGGGGCCAGCACACAGGGGAAGGGTAAGCTGGTTTCATGATCGAATCAAGGCTCAGACAATTTTTAAAGGCCAGAGGGTAGACTGCAATCACCAAGATGAAATTTACAAGGAAGAAATGTGAAGCCCAACATTTAGGTTTTAAAAATCAAGCGTATAAATACAGAAGGTGGAGAGAACTTGCTTTAGACACAGTTCAGGTGAAGAAAGACCTGGAAACTTCTGTTAACTATAAGCTCAGTAGGGGCTAAAAGCATGTTAATCGGCATAAAAAGGCAATGAGATCTTAGGGCACACAGCTCCCCGCCCCTCTTCTGCCCTTCATCCTTCTTTCAATCAGCAGGGACCGTGCACTCTCTTGGAGCCACCACAGAAAACAGAGGTGCATCCAGCACCACAGAAAACAGAGCCACCACAGAAAACAGAGGGTGACTGTCATCCCCTCCAGTCTCTGCACACTCCCAGCTGCAGCAGAGCAGGAGGAGAGAGCACAGCCTGCAATGCTAATTTGCCAGGAGCTCACCTGCCTGCGTCACTGGGCACAGACGCCAGTGAGGCCAGAGGCCGGGCTGTGCTGGGGCCTGAGCTGGGTGGTGGGGAGAGAGTCTCTCCCCTGCCCCTGTCTCTTCCGTGCAGGAGGAGCATGTTTAAGGGGACGGGTTCAAAGCTGGTCACATCCCCACCGAAAAAGCCCATGGACAACGAAAAGCCCACTAGCTTGTCCAGTGCCACAGGAGGGGCAAGTGGAGGAGGAGAGGTGGCGGTGCTCCCCACTCCACTGCCAGTCGTCACTGGCTCTCCCTTCCCTTCATCCTCGTTCCCTATCTGTCACCATTTCCTGTCGTCGTTTCCTCTGAATGTCTCACCCTGCCCTCCCTGCTTGCAAGTCCCCTGTCTGTAGCCTCACCCCTGTCGTATCCTGACTACAATAACAGCTTCTGGGTGTCCCTGGCATCCACTCTCTCTCCCTTCTTGTCCCTTCCGTGACGGATGCCTGAGGAACCTTCCCCAAACTCTTCTGTCCCATCCCTGCCCTGCTCAAAATCCAATCACAGCTCCCTAACACGCCTGAATCAACTTGAAGTCCTGTCTTGAGTAATCCGTGGGCCCTAACTCACTCATCCCAACTCTTCACTCACTGCCTTGCCCCACACCCTGCCAGGGAGCCTCCCGTGGCACCGTGGGGACACAAAGGAACCAGGGCAAAGCTCCCTCAGCCCCATTCAAAGAGGCCTGGCCCACAGGCTCACGGAAAGTCAGCCTCTCATGCCCCAAGAGCTGAGTGCAAGGGAGAGGCAGCGCTGTCTGTGCTTCCCATGCAGAAGCACCCCCCTCCCACCCCTGTGCAGGCCGGCCTTCGCGGCAGACCACCATACACCACGTTCCAAGCCACACTGAGGCCTCCCTCCAAGCCTGCAGCCCCCATTTCCAGACCCTGCCAGGGCAACCTGCATATCCACCTCCCTACCCTGCCCCCCTCTTCCAGGAGTCTGCCCTATGTGGAGTAAGCACGTGGTTTTCCTCTTCAGCAACTATTTCCTTTTTACTCAAGCAATGGCCCCATTTCCCTTGGGGAATCCATCTCTCTCGCAGGCTTAGTCCCAGAGCTTCAGGTGGGGCTGCCCACAGAGCTCCTCAGTCTAAGCCAAGTGGTGTGTCATAGTCCCCTGGCCCCATTAATGGATTCTGGGATAGACATGAGGACCAAGCCAGGTGGGATGGGTGAGTGTGGCTTCTGGAGGAAGCGGGGACACAGGACAGCATTCTTTCCTGCTGGACCTGACCCTGTGTCATGTCACCTTGCTACCACGAGAGCATGGCCTGTCTGGGAATGCAGCCAGACCCAAAGAAGCAAACTGACATGGAAGGAAAGCAAAACCAGGCCCTGAGGACATCATTTTAGCCCTTACTCCGAAGGCTGCTCTACTGATTGGTTAATTTTTGCTTAGCTTGGTCTGGGGAGTTCTGACAGGCGTGCCACCAATTCTTACCGATTTCTCTCCACTCTAGACCCTGAGAAGCCCACGCGGTTCATGCTAGCAATTAACAATCAATCTCGCCCTATGTGTTCCCATTCCAGCCTCTAGGACACAGTGGCAGCCACATAATTGGTATCTCTTAAGGTCCAGCACGAGGTGGAGCACATGGTGGAGAGACAGATGCAGTGACCTGGAACCCAGGAGTGAGGGAGCCAGGACTCAGGCCCAAGGCTCCTGAGAGGCATCTGGCCCTCCCTGCGCTGTGCCAGCAGCTTGGAGAACCCACACTCAATGAACGCAGCACTCCACTACCCAGGAAATGCCTTCCTGCCCTCTCCTCATCCCATCCCTGGGCAGGGGACATGCAACTGTCTACAAGGTGCCAAGTACCAGGACAGGAAAGGAAAGACGCCAAAAATCCAGCGCTGCCCTCAGAGAAGGGCAACCACGCAGTCCCCATCTTGGCAAGGAAACACAATTTCCGAGGGAATGGTTTTGGCCTCCATTCTAAGTGCTGGACATGGGGTGGCCATAATCTGGAGCTGATGGCTCTTAAAGACCTGCATCCTCTTCCCTAGGTGTCCCTCGGGCACATTTAGCACAAAGATAAGCACAAAAGGTGCATCCAGCACTTTGTTACTATTGGTGGCAGGTTTATGAATGGCAACCAAAGGCAGTGTACGGGTCAAGATTATCAACAGGGAAGAGATAGCATTTCCTGAAGGCTTCCTAGGTGCCAGGCACTGTTCCATTCCTTTGCATGTTTTGATTAATTTAATATTTAAAATAATTCTACCAGGAAGCTACCATTATTACCACAACTTCACAAATGAGAACACCGAGGCTTAGAGGGGTTGGGTTGCCCAAGGTTACAGAGGAAGAAAACAGGGGAGCTGGATCTGAGCCAAGGCATCAACTCCAAGGTAACCCCTCAGTCACTTCACTGTGTGTCCCCTGGTTACTGAGACATTCTTGACAAACTCGGGGCAAGCCGGTGAGTCAGTGGGGGAGGACTTTCAGGAAGAGGTGGGTTCCCAGTTGGTGACAGAAGAGGAGGCTGCAAAGTGAAGGAGCAGGGGCTCCAGGTCTGGCGACAACCAGGGAAGGGACAGGGCAGGGATGGCTTGGACCACGAGAGGCACCTGAGTCAGGCAGTCACATACTTCCCACTGGGGTCTACCATGTGAGACATGGTGTGGGATCCTGGGAAGGAGACCAAGCCTCATTTCAGTTTGCTTATGGCCAAAGACAGGACCTGTGTACCCGACAACCCCTGGGACCTTTACCAAAAAAACAGCAAACACCATTCACTCACTCATGTTAGATAAACACTGAGTGAAGTCACTGGAGCCCAAGGACTGTGCGAGGTCAGCACTGCCAATACAAGAAGCTGCAGCCCTCCAGCTCGCCTCCCTCAATGGCCACTCCGTGCTCCAGCCATGCTGGCTTCCTTTTAGGTCCTCCACCTCCAGGCTGTAGTTCATGTGCTTCTTTCTGGAATGTTCTTCCCAACCTACCCACTCAACCCTCAGACTTTACCATAAATGTCATTTCCTCACATCTGCCTTCCCTGACCTGAGACCAAGCCAGGCTTCCCATGACGAGCCTCACAGTACCCCATCTCCCCTGAACAGATGCAGTAATAACCTACATAACCCGGGGCCATGATCTATGGCTTTGAATCCTGGCTCTGTCACTAGGCCAGGTCTCTCAGCCCTTCTGTGCCTCAGTTTCCTCATCTATAAAATGAGATGACGGCAGTGCCTGCTCATGAAGTGTGAGTTAATGCACTCAAATCAATGGTTGTGCACGGTTTATATGAATATTAGTGATTACAAAATATTATCAATAGACCTTGTCACAACTGTTATTGAAGAACTAATCATCTATTGCTTATTTAGGTCTTTCTCTCCTGCCAGAATGTGCGCTCCAGGTGGAGAGGTATGTTGCCTTATCCGTGGCTGGATATATAGAGATTCCCACACTGCCTTGCACACGAGCACTGCTGGGTAAATATTTGTTGGCTGCAGGAAAACGTGAAGGAATAGGCCCTCCAATGGGAGGAAAAGCATGAGTTGTGAGAGCAGAGCCACCACAGGAAACCAGGAGGCTAAGTGGGGTGGAAGGGAGTGAGCTCTCGGACTCCCAGGAGTAAAAGCTTCCAAGTTGGGCTCTCACTTCAGCCCCTCCCACACAGGGAAGCCAGATGGGTTCCCCAGGACCGGGATTCCCCAAGGGGGCTGCTCCCAGAGGGTGTGTTGCTGGGATTGCCCAGGACAGGGATGGCCCTCTCATCAGGTGGGGGTGAGTGGCAGCACCCACCTGCTGAAGATGTCTCCAGAGACCTTCTGCAGGTACTGCAGGGCATCCGCCATCTGCTGGACGGCCTCCTCTCGCCGCAGGTCTGGCTGGATGAAGGGCACGGCATAGGTCTGACCTGCCAGGGAGTGCTGCATCCTCACAGGAGTCATGGTGCCTGTGGGTCGGAGCCGGAGCGTCAGAGCCACCCACGACCAACGGCACGCCCCCACCACAGGGCAGCGTGGTGTTGAGACAACACAGCCCTCATCCCAACTATGCACATAGCTTCAGCCTGCACAGATAGGGGAGTAGGGGACAGAGCATTTGCTGAGAGGCCAGGAGCGCATAGATGGGACTCTGCTGATGCCTGCTGAGTGAATGAGGGAAAGGGCAGGGCCCGGGACTGGGGAATCTGTAGGGTCAATGGAGGAGTTCAGAGAAGGTGCAACATTTCTGACCCCCTACAAGGTGCTTGCTACCTGCCAGGCACCCTTTCCATACCTTGTCTCAGTTCAGCTCCCCACCTTGGATAAACAAGAAACCTTGGTTGCAGAGGAAAAAAGAGGCTGGAAACAAAGGGGTAGAAATGGGGTAGCAGGGGAGATTGCCTGATCAACTGCCAAATGGTACACAGTTCTGGAAAAGCACAAAAAATGTGCACACACGGGTTCTTCCCACTTTAACCCCTGAGGAATCTGAGGCCTGCTCCTGAAACAGACTGGGCAGTGGCTAGTGACTCTAGGTATAGGAGTATCCAGCCCTGCTCACCCAGGCTAGAGCTTAGGGGGACAAGAGGAAAGAGGTGCCTGTGGGGGTGGAGGACAGGAAGGAAAAACACTCCTGGAATTGCAAAGTGAGGGCAGAGTCTATTTATATTGGGTTTAATTAACTCCTCTCCCTGGTGCCACTAAAGCAGCAATCACACTGCAGACAGCACTGATTTGATTGGCAAGAGATGCACCAGGCAGAATATTAAGGGACCAGGCCCCTATAAATAGGCCTAATCACAGCCCCTCACTGGAAAATGGTAAGGAAGACATTAATCAGGCCTGGCACTGTGCCCTAGACCTGCTCCCCTAGGCACTACAGTGGGGCCCTTGGTTGCAACACAAGTAGGTATGGATGGATGAGTGTGGCATGAAGGGCCTAGGAGATTTCACTTGGGTTTAAAATGCTGTGACCTTGAGTAAGTTGCCGTCTCTGAATCTGATCCTTTCGATTTCCCATTCTCCAAACTGAGAACTAGCACTGCTGAGACGTGGTTATTTCCAATAATAATTTGTATATTTTACATAACGCACCACACCAACATCTTCACCCAGTTGGAGCCTACTCCTTTGCTCCCGCTGCTGGCTTCCCCAGCCCTCCCTTCTGCCCTCCTCAGGCCAGCACTTTTCAGTGAGTTCCTCCTTTGCATACAGGCTTTCCAGATCTGTACTTGCCTTGAATACTCATCAGAGCCCAGGAGTTACTCCTCACCTCCCACTTATTTTTCCTCCCATCAAATAACTAAAGCATGGCCAGCTGATGCCCAGCCAACTGAGAAACCCAACCCTCTGAGACCAGCACACCCCTTTCAAGCATGTTCCTCCCTCCCCTTCTTTGTATTTATACTGATGCAAGTTTGCTGGCTGTCCTAACTTATTTCTGTGCCTCAGTTCTCCCATATGTAAGATCACAAAGGGGGTAAAGATGCAAGATATTTCCTGTGCACATCTTCAGATGAATTTCTTGTTAGTGTGTGTGTGTTTGCTCACACATATGCGTGAAAGAAGAGTACATACACAGATCTCCTCAAAAAGGAGGCAGCAAGCCCGTTCAAGAATGGGACTGAATACACCTGATGAGTGGTTTACTTTCTGTCTGCAAACATCTACTGATCATCTGTTAGGTGCAGGCCATGATCACAACAAAGACGAATAAGACACTACACTAGCCAGGGAGAGTCTCAAAAACAACTAAACTCAAATTAAATTCATTCTACTCCAGTCATGGGTACAAAGCTAAGGAGTGACAAATCCCTCTTGGAGTTAGGGGAGTCAGGAAAAAGCTCTTAGCAGAATGTGTGCCTCTCGGCCGGGCGCAGCGGCTCACGCCTGTAATCCCAGCACTTTGGGAGGCGAAGGCAGGCAGATCACCTGAGGTCGGGAGTTCGAGACCAGTCTGACCAACATGGTGAAACTCCATCTCTACTAAAAATACAAAATTAGCCAGGCGTGGTGGTGCAGGCCTGTAATCCCCGCTACTCGGGAGGCTGAGGAAGGAGAATCACTTGAACCGGGAAGGTGGAGGTTGCAGTGTGCCAAGATCGCGCCATGGCACTCCAGCCTAGGCAACGAGGGTGAACCAGGTCCAGGAAGAAGGTGCAAAGACAGCATTCCAGGTAAAAGAAACAGCTTGAACAAAAAGTGTGTAGGGGAACCGCAAGCGGTCTTGAGTGCTGAGGGTACAATCATCCTTGGGGAAGTACTAGAAGAAAGAATGATAAACAGAGGCCAGTTTGTTAAAAACACTCAAAATTAAAGCTAGGAGTTTGGACTTGTGGCAGGAATGAAATCCTTAGACCTGTGCTGTCCAATATGGTAGCCACCAGGCACATGCAGCCACTGAGCACTTGAAATGTGGATAGTCTGAATTGAGATGTGCCATAAGTGTAAAATATGCACCAAATTTCAAAGGCTAGAAAAAAAGAATGTAAAATATCTTATTATTTTATATTGATTACATGCTAAAATAACCATATTTGGGATATACTGGATTTTAAAAATATATCACTAATTTCATCTGTTTCTTTTTACTTTTAGAAATCACATATGTGACTTAAATATTTCTTTTCTTTTTCTTTCCTCTCACTCAGCGTCCTGTGATTCCAAAGAAATGAGTCTCTGCTGTTTTTGGGCAGCAGATATCCTAGAATGGACTCTGACCTAAGCATCAAAATTAATCATCATAACGTTATCATTTTATGGCCCCTTCTTCCTATATCTGGTAGCTTTTAAATGATGACCATGTAGATAATCTTTATTGTCCCTCTTTCAGCAGACGGTATTTTCTTATGCTACAGTATGACTGCTAATAATACCTACACATGTTAGAACCATTCTGACTCCTCAAGAATCTCATTTAACTCTTATTATCAGTGAATTTATCATCATCCCCTATTTTACATAAGGAAATGGGGTTAGAAAGACCAAATAACATTTTTTCAACATCAAAACACTAGCTTGAGATCAAGCCCAGACTTGGATCTGTCGTCTGAATTCCAAGCTTTTTGTTATTTATTGATATGTTTTGTTGTTTTCATGCAATAATGCAAATATTAGCCCAAACATTTTGTTAGTAGTACCAACTGTAAGTCACCTTATCTTCATACTTTGTCTTTATGTAAACCTAAATTAGATCTGTTTTTGATACTGAGGGAAAAACAAGGGAATCTAACACTAACCAGCCCGTAGTGTGTGGTCAACACTTTCGTTACTTTAGTATACATCACCCCAATTGTTTGTCTTCACCACACACTTTGGAGTTAGGTAGTAGTATCTATTTTTACAAATAAGAAAACCCAGGCACAAAGGGGTTGATTAGCAATTATCTTTTGAAAAGCCTGTAGTTGCTCATCTGAAGAAGTGACGGACCACCTCTTATTTAGTGGACAGACAGTAACTAGTTGAGAAGACAGGGGATTTTGTTGGCGGAAAAAAAATTTTATCAAAAGTCGTCTTCTATCAGGGAGTTTTATGAGAAACCCTAGCTCCTCAGTTCCACAGTGGGTAACTGTAATTCATTCTAGGTCTGCGATATTTCCTGCCTATCCATTTTGTTAACTCTTCAATGCATTCCACAAATACCTAAGTATTCTTTAATAATGGTGGGTTTTTTTTTTTTTTTGCATCTATGAAGTTTTTTCAAATTCTTTTTAAGTGACAAAACTTGTACATGTGTATCGCTCAATATTTCTAGTCGACAGCACTGCTTTCGAGAATGTAAACCGTGCACTCCCAGGAAAATGCAGACACAGCACGCCTCTTTGGGACCGCGGTTTATACTTTCGAAGTGCTCGGAGCCCTTCCTCCAGACCGTTCTCCCACACCCCGCTCCAGGGTCTCTCCCGGAGTTACAAGCCTCGCTGTAGGCCCCGGGAACCCAAAGCGGTGTCAGAGAAGTGGGGTCCCCTACGAGGGACCAGGAGCTCCGGGCGGGCAGCAGCTGCGGAAGAGCCGCGCGAGGCTTCCCAGAACCCGGCAGGGGCGGGAAGACGCAGGAGTGGGGAGGCGGAACCGGGACCCCGCAGAGCCCGGGTCCCTGCGCCCCACAAGCCTTGGCTTCCCTGCTAGGGCCGGGCAAGGCCGGGTGCAGGGCGCGGCTCCAGGGAGGAAGCTCCGGGGCGAGCCCAAGACGCCTCCCCGAGCGCGGCTCCAGGACCCCGTCGACCCGGAGCGCTGTCCTGTCGGGCCGAGTCGCGGGCCTGGGCACGGAACTCACGCTCACTCCGAGCTCCCGACGTGCACACGGCTCCCATCCGTTGTCTTCCGAGCGTCAGGCCGCCCCTACCCGTGCTTTCTGCTCTGCAGACCCTCTTCCTAGACCTCCGTCCTTTGTCCCATCGCTGCCTTCCCCTCAAGCTCAGGGCCAAGCTGTCCGCCAACCTCGGCTCCTCCGGGCAGCCCTCGCCCGGGGTGCGCCCCGGGGCAGGACCCCCAGCCCACGCCCAGGGCCCGCCCCTGCCCTCCAGCCCTACGCCTTGACCCGCTTTCCTGCGTCTCTCAGCCTACCTGACCTTGTCTTTACCTCTGTGGGCAGCTCCCTTGTGATCTGCTTAGTTCCCACCCCCCTTTAAGAATTCAATAGAGAAGCCAGACGCAAAACTACAGATATCGTATGAGTCCAGTTTTGTGAAGTGCCTAGAATAGTCAAAATTCACAGAGACAGAAGCAGTGGTCGCCAGGAATGGGGAAGCAAGGCGGAGTTGGGCAGCTCGTGTTCAATGGGTAGAGTTTCAGGCTGGGGTGATGGAAGGGTGCTGGAAATGAGTGGTAGTGATGGCGGCACAACGGTGTGAATCTACTTAATCCCACTGAACTGTATGCTGAAAAATGGTTTAGACGGTGAATTTTAGGTTATGTATGTTTTACCACAATTTTTAAAAAGCTAGTGAAAAGCTGGTAAAAAGAAAGAAAAGAGGCTTTTTTAAAAAGTTAAATATATAAAAAGAGCATCATCAGTCCAAAGTCCAGCAGTTGTCCCTCCTGGAATCCGTTGGCTTGCCTCCGGCATTTTTGGCCCTTGCCTTTTAGGGTTGCCAGATTAAAAGACAGGATGCCCAGCTAGTTTGAATTTTAGATAAACAACGAATAATTTCGTAGCATAAATATGTCCCAAGCTTAGTTTGGGACATACTTATGCTAAAAAACATTATTGGTTGTTTATCTGAGATTCAGAATTAAGCATTTTATATTTTATTTGCTGCCTCTGGCCACCCTACTCTCTTCCTAACACTCTCTCCCTCTCCCAGTTTTGTCCGCCTTCCCTGCCTCCTCTTCTGGGGGAGTTAGATCGAGTTGTAACAAGAACATGCCACTGTCTCGCTGGCTGCAGCGTGTGGTCCCCTTACCAGAGGTAAAGAAGAGATGGATCTCCACTCATGTTGTAGACAGAATGTTTATGTCCTCTCCAAATGCTTATGTTGAAACCCTAACCCCTAATGTGATGGTATGTGGAGATGGGCCTTTGGTAGGTAATTACGGTTAGATGAGGTCATGGGGTGGGGCCCTCATTATAGATCTGGTAAGAAAAGAGAGCATTGTCTCTGTGTCTCCCTCTCTCTCTCTCTCTCTCTCTCTCTCTCATTTCTCTCTATCTCATTTCTCTCTCTCTCTCTATCTCATTTTTCTCTCTCTCTCTTTCTCTCCTCTGTCTTTTCCCACCAAGTGAGGATGCGAAGAGAAGGTGGCTGTCTGCAAACCAGGAAGAGAGCCCTCACCAGGAACCTGTCCAGCTGCCACCTTGAACTTGGACTTCCAAGCCTCCAGAACTGTGAGGGATAAATGTATGATTTTAAAGTCGCCCAGTGTGTGGTATTTTGTTTTGACTAATACAACCTGAAAACATTTTCCCCTCACTCCACCTGAGCAATATCTGAGTGGCTTAAGGTACTCAGGACACAACAAAGGAGAAATGTCCCATGCACAACGTGCACCCATGCCTGGGTAAAGCAGCCTGGCACAGAGGGAAGCACACAGGCTCAGGGATCTGCTATTCATTCTTTGTGTGACCCTGGGCAAGCCATGAATGGAGCTTCAGTCACCCCATTTGTAATGGGATTTAATTGTGCTTGCCCTGCCTCCTTTTGAGGGCTGTAGAGAAAAGATGTCAAAGTATTTTGTAATCTGGCTGGGCGTGGTGGCTCATGCCTGTAATCCTAGCACTTTGGTAGGCTGACGCGAGAGGACTGCTTGAGCCCAAGAGTTTGAGATCAGCCTGGGCAATATTGTGAGATTCCATCTCTACAAAAATAAAATAAAATAGCCAGTCATGGTGTCACACACCTGTAGTCCCAGCTACATGGGAGGCTGAGGCGGGAGGATCACTTGAGCTTGGGAGATCGAGGCTGCAGTGAGCTATGATTGTACCACTGCACTCCAGGCTGGGCGACAGAGAGAGACCCTGTCTCAGAAAAAAAAAAAAAAGTACTTTGTAATCTGTAAGGTTTATTTCAACACACACAAAAAAAGTGTATATGCTCCACGATGCCTGTGAATATACACACACACCACATCATATACCAAGCCTGGCTGTGTCTTCTCACAAATGCACTGCTAGGCACCACCCCCAGTTCTAGAATCACACCAGCCAGTTCACCCTCCAGATGGTTCACCCTCAACTTCATAAAAGTTCCCTACCTAATCTACTGACAGGCTCATCCCCGACCTAATTTTAAAGATTTCCTAGGAGCTGCAATGGGAATCCTGGACCTCAGCCTGGACAAAGAACAGCTGCAGGTCATTCTCATGTGTGGACACAGAAGCTCTGCCTGCCTTTGCTGGCCAGCTGGGCTGAGCGGGCCTGGGAATTAAGGCTGCAGGGTTGGTCCCAGGCAGTCTTGCTGAAGCTTGCCACATCCCCCAGCCTCCTGGATTTGCCAGGATCCAAGAGCATGGACTTTAGGAATTCCTGGTGGAGGAGTGAAGAAAATGTGACAGGGTGTCCTAAGCCCCGATCTACAGGAAGAAAACTGGAAATAAGACTGAGGACTTAGTTTAAGATGTTCCTACTCAGCCTCTAGCTTTTGTGCTACAGTTCTGGGAACAGACTCCTCTCTCCTGAAAACCACTTCCCTCCGCAGCATTAAATTTCACCAAGATGTCTTGCTTGTGGGAAAGACTTCCAAGGATGCCTGGAGAGAGGAGGATGGAAATGTCCTGCTCTCTAAACAGATAGACAGATGCAGCCAGACAGAAAATAGTTTATCTTGCTGAGGTTTCTAATGTATTTGAAAGAGGCCTGGGTCTAGAAGTCTACCCAGAGGGCTCTGTGTTGTGCACGCAAAGATAAGAACCTTCCCTGTGGGAGTTCCAGAGCCAATTTTCCTAAACACCCATCGGTGACTGTGTTCAGAGTGAGTTCACACCATCCTGACCTGCCCTGAGTTAGACCTTACATGGTCTTCCTCCTCTAGGAAGCCTCTGCAGCCCAGGAACCTCCCCTTATCGGAAATGAACAGCATTTGAAGCTTCACCCGACAGACCAGACAGCTTAGCCCTCGTGTTGTGCCATGTGGGTTGTTCTCTGAGAGGCAGGAGAGCATAGTGGTTACTAGGAAGGGAAGGACTTTGGGACTAGACTGCCTCGGCTGGAGTCCTCTTTCTGCTTCATAGCCACGTGATCCTAGGCATGTTACCTGTGCCTCAGTTTTCACTCTGTCAATATGTAATAACTGAATCTGTCTTTGTGGTGAGGATTCAGTGAGTTAACATATTTGAAGTGCTTAAAAATGAGGCTTGTGTCCATAGATTAATGAGTGAATACACAAATGGTGATATGGACATACAGTGGAGTATTAGTCATAAAAAGGAAGGCAGAGCTGATCCATGGCACCATGTGACAGAACCTCAAAAGCATTAGGTTAAGTGGAAGAAGCCAGACACAGGTCACCTATTGTGTAATTCCATTTATAGGAAATATACAGAATATGTAAATCCGTGGAGAAAGAAAGCCGATTTCCAGGGGCTAAGGGGAGGGGAGAATGGGAAGTGGCTGCTTCATGGGTACAAGGTTTCATTTTGAGCTGATGAAAATGTTTTGGAACTACATAGAGATAGTGTTGGCACAACATGGTGAATGTACTGAATGCCACTGATTGTTCACTTTAAAATGGCCAAACTTATATGAATTTCACCTCCATTAAAAAAAAAAAAAAAGGACCAGATGTGGTTGCTCACACCCATAATCCCAACACTTTGGAAAAAGGTGAAAGTTTTTTTTTCTTTTTTTTTTTTATATACTTAAGTTCTAGGGTACATGTGCATAATGTGCAGGTTGGATACATAGATATGCGTGTGCCATGTTGGTTTGCTGCACCCATCAACTTGTCATTTACATTAGGTATTTCTTCTAATGCTATCCCTCCCCCAGCCCCCCACCCACTGACAGGCCCCAGTGTATGATGTTCTCTGCCCCATGTCCAAGCGTTCTCATTGTTCAATTCCCACCTGTGAGTGAGAACATGCAGTGTTTGGTTTTCTGTCTTTGTGATAGTTTGCTCAGAATGATGGTTTCCAGCTTCATCCATGTCCCTGCAAAGGACATGAACTCATCCTTTTTAATGGCTGCATAGTATCCCATGGTATATATGTGCCACATTCTCTTAATCCAGTCTGTCATTGATGGACATTTGGGTTGGTTCAAAGTCTTTGCTATTGTGAATACTGCCACAATAAACATACATGTGCATGTGTCTTTATAGTAGCACGATTTATAATCCTTTGGGTATATACCCTAAGACCTGGGACGCATTTAAAGCAGTGTGTAAAGAGACATTTATAGCACTAAATGCCCACAAGAGACCTCTGCCTGAGAACGTGGGTTTCAGCCTAAGAGTTGTAATATGTGTGCCCATTCACAGGTGCTGCATCAGAGTCCCAGGTGGGAAGAAGGCAAGCATACACAAAAATGGTAAAAGGCAGAAAGGAGCCCAGTCTCGTTCTTTTTAAGAAGTTTTCCTAAGAATCTCCACCCAGCGACTTGCTCTCACATCTTCTTGGCCAGCACTGGACCACACAACTCCTTCTAGATACAGAGGAGTCCTAGGATTCTATGAGAAAGAAGGGGAGGGTGGGCAAAGGGCAGCCAGCTGTGCAGCATCTGCTGGAGACACCTAACCCTTGGTGGAGGGGTTGTGGTGCTGGGAGAAGGCTTTCTGGACGGTGTGACAGCAGAGATAAACTTAAAGGCCAAGTAGGAGTTACCCTGGTGAAGCAGGGCAGGGTTACAAGCATTCCAGCAACATGAAGCAGCAGGAGTGTTTTAATTAAAAGAAGGCAGTTGCTGTAACCAACTATAAACAAATAAAGGCTTAAACACAATGGAAGTTTATTTCTCACTAAGGGAACATCCAAATCCATGATACTTTAAGTCAGGGACCCAGGTTCCTCCCATCTATGGTTCTGCCATCACTAATCTGGGTCTTCCACAATTGCCGTGCTCCTTGGAGGTGGGAAGAGCAGGCGGAGGACACGTGGGAGGTTTTAGAGACAAGCCTGGAGGCAGCATGCGTCACTCCCATGCAGAGTCCATTGGCCAATGCTGGCTCCGATGGCCACATCTCACTGCAGGGGCAGCTGGGAAATACAGTCTGGCTGTCTACCCAGGAGGAAGAGCAGCCAGTTTCTGCTGCTGATGATCAGGAGGTGGAGAAAATGTTCAGTCAGGCAGGGAGTGGGAATAGACAAGACCACAAGCAGCTTGGTGCCTCTGAAAGGGAGAGGGGTGGAGGGGAGACTAGAGAGGTGGGTAGGAATACTGGATTCCACTGACCACGTGCTGGATGTCACGCTTAGCCCTCCTGCTCTGTGCCGGGTTAGGCACCTGGTGTTTTACGTACATAATCTCAATTCTGTGAGGGCATCCGACCTGTGGGAAAAGAGCTGTTTGTTTCAAATGCCAGTCCTGCTTCCTAACAAGTGTTTAGAGCTTAATCGTGTTCAAAATACATATACAATGTTTAATACTTACAAGAATTTGGTGGGGAAAATATTACCATCTTTCCCTTTTGTGATTGGAGAAAAATGAGGCTTTGAAGGGTTTAAGAACTTGCCCAAGGTCGGCCAGGTGCAGTGGCTCATGTCTATAATCCCAACACTTTGGGAGGCTGAGGTGGGAGGATCGCTTGAGGCCAGGAGTTCAAGACCAGCCTGAGCAACATAGTGAGACTTTGTCTCTATAAAAAATAAATAAATAAATAAAAAGAACTTGTCCAAGGTCAGACAGGCAGCCTCTTAGTAAGCACACATATCCTCTATATTATACTACCTCTCATGGAGGATCTCCTGTGTTCTACAAATAGTCTGGACTTGAGCCAGAATGTGTTATAATCCTGGGATCACGGCCAGTGGGCTTAGAAGAAGCCATCTCTTTCTCATGCCAAGATGAGGCTCCCCCAGATTTGCTCAGACTTACCTATAGTCAGCAGCATCGGGGGTCAGGAAAGACTTCACGAAGCCATAAATGCATCCTTCTCGGGGCAGCACCTGGCTCTCCCAGGTGAAAGAGGACTCCATTTTCACAGGCAGGCGTGGGAGCTTCAGCACCCATCTCTGGGCCCAGAATGACCCACTGGAGACCTTACAGCTCTCCTGTCACCCCCAATTCCTGCCCCCTCTGCAGCCTTGGAGGAGAATGGAGCTGAAGGGCCTGCCCTCTGTAGGGTGAGAAAGGGAGGCTAAAGCCTGGTGCCCACTGCCCTGGCTGCTCCGCATTGCAGGAGCTGCGCCCTTCCTTTCCTGGCACAGGGTCCACAGCCCCGAAACCCCGTTGTGTGGGAGCTGGGCACAGGGCAGCAGGACTAATCCTTGGAACAGCTCAGGGAGGATTATCCCAGCCACTGTCAGCAGCGGTGCAGCTGGCTCATTCCCATATAGGGGGAGGCCAGAGCCAGGGGCCTGCCACAAGTTGGAAGGCTGGGGAAGGGGAGGCCAGCAGAGGTGTCCTGGCTGTGGGTGGCTCTGAGGGGGCTCTCAGGGGTGGGGCTAAATCTCAGGGGCAGGATTATGTAAATCAAACCAATTCTAGCCACAGATTTAAAGTTTGGAAAAAAAAAAAAACCCAGCCTGGCGGAAAGAATTTAAATTATAAAAACTTAGAAGTATGGAATGTGAAATCATCCTGTAGGTGCTTATTTAACAACGAAATCATCCCGACACAATGAGCCATATGTGAAAAGTCATCCTTCCCCAACACATCCCCCAACAGGCACTCCTCAAGCCTCTCCCACCCAAGTGCTGGCATCCTCCCTGTCCTGCTTCACCTGAGACACCCCTTGTCTCATTAGACATGCAACTACGGGAGGGGTGACAGGAAGACAAGACACTATTTCCTCAGGCCCAGTTTGGTGTGGGGAGAAAGCCTCCTGATCCTGAAAGCAAGAATTTGACCAGAGCAGAAGTAATCAGTATGCAGATTGATTCTGTGGTATGTTAATGTTTATGCATAGATTATGAGGACCAGGTGAAAAGTGGGCCAGGGGAGCCAGATGTGTGTGTGAGTCATGGGTGGCTGAGATGAGGACAGGAGGGAAACTGGTTCGGAGGCTGCTGGCGATGGGGTGGGGGTGCCAGGAGGAAGGGAGGCAGTTGTTTGAATGTCTGCATGAAAAAGCGGACGACAGCGGGGTCTGGGTGAATTCGGGCAACCATTTGGACCGTGGAGAAAACTGCCTGCGTGCGGCTGAGGACCTGCACTATTAATTTGTTTTTTAGCTAAGGCAAAGATAAATATAAAAACTGATACTCCACCCAGTTACCAGAAAACATTTAGGTATGTGTGAGACAACTTGGGTATGTGAACCTACCTTTTCAATGTAAATTCAGTGAAATCTAAGTGCAGATCCCATATTTCCAATAAAAAGGTAACATCCAAACTCAGATGTCCTATGAGTATAAAATACACAAAGATCTTCTGGACTTAGTATGAAAAGGGATTTTTTTTTTGTCAGGTACCTCACTAGTTATTTTTAAAATAGGATTGCATGTTGAAATGATAATCTTTTGGATATATTGGGTTAAATAAATTTATTATTAAAGTTAATTTCACTTAAAAATGTTTAATGTAGCTACTAGAAATTTTAAAATTAAGCATGTTGCTCACCTTATGTTTCTATTGGACGGCTCTCTCTAGATACAAAGGCTGCCAAGAGGGACCTCACTCTAGCTTCAGGGAGAAGAGAGGAATTAGCAAGGCCAAGCAGAGGCTCCTGAGGGCAGGGCCAAGGGCGGCTTGGTGGGGTGGGGATGGGATGCACAGAGATAACTCCAACCCTTAAGAAGGTGTTTCCTAGAGCAGGCTGTGACCTGTCAGTTTATATACTGAGGCTTAGGAGCCTCTTGGATGCCCCCAGATCTGCACCCCTGAATTGCCCTGTGCCCCTGCCGTCTTTGTTCCTGTGCTGGCATAGTGGTCTCACCTCCGGCAGTATCACCACCACTGGGCACAAGCTTCTCCAGCACAGCAACTGTGTCTTATTTCTCCTTGTACTCCCAGTGTTCACACCATGCTGCACTCACAGAAGACTCTTCGTTGATATTTTGTGGACAGAGAGAATGCCTGTGAGAGTGGGCTGAAGTGTGCGTTGGGCTCCAGAGACCTTAAGGAGGGGAGACCAGGTCCTGAGTAAAGTTGAAGGGGAGGGGCTGAGTCCTGCTAGCCAGGAGTCTCATCCCCTGGGGAAGTTCCAGGGACCCCTCAGAAGTGCAAGGGGACGGTGTTAGTGTTAGTCCAGTAACACAGCCCAGAGCCTGCCTTCCACGTGGGTTTGACAGGAGCCTCCTAACTGCTCTTCTGCTTCCATTTTTGCCCCTTCAGTCTATTCTCAACAGGGAAGCCAGAGGCATCCTTAACCATGTCAGATCATGTGGCTCCTCAGCTCAAAGCCTCATCTCAGAGGAAAGCTCTGGTCCCTTAGAAATGGCCCAGGTGGTGACAGACAGACTCTAAGGTGAGCAGACTGTTGCTAGATATCTGGGCTCGGAGGACTCGCCACTGCTCAAAGGCAGTGAGGATTTTCGCACTAGAAGCTGGAGGACAGGGATCCTTGTTAGGTAGGAGCAGAAAGCTTAGAAAAGTGGTCTCCTGCAGTTACGTGGCAAACACATCATGTAAGTGATAAATTGGGTATGCAGTTGAGGAGATTTCCAAGTAAAATGTTGAGGATGCTGCCTGGTTTCTTCTTACTGCTTATAATATAGTGTGAGAGAAGAGAGATAAATTGAGAAAGAGACTGGTTTTTAAACTGTTAAAATTGAATCAGGACTTGATGATTTTGAAAATTGTCAGTCTCCCCACATGGAAAAAGATGCTGAAATTAACAAATGGCTTCTGAGCATGTGGCATAGGGTGTAACTGTACAGTCTTTTGTGATTATGCATAAAGATCAAAGGATGGGAGTAGCAATGAGTCACACAGAGGTCTGTTGCAAGAGATTACAAGGGTGTACCATGCAGAACCTCTCCACCAAACCTTAGGGCCCTTGGGAAGCTTCAGTGAGTTACCCTGGGGGCCATCTTGGCAGGAGCTGAAGGTAGAAAGGTAGAGTTTATCTCTAAAAGATTCATGGGTATGGCTCTTGACAAATCGACTATGAGCCCCACTGAAACCCACAGAGGACAGGCAAAGGGTTTGGGAAAGCTGTTTCACCCACAGTGCTGGCAGATTGGTCTGTAGGGGACAGAGTGCAAAATGAAAGAAGACTGTCAGAGACCCCAAACTCTGCTGTCAAGAAGAAGGCTGATAAAACTACTTGGCTGCAAACACGTGGATCTTTCGTGAGAAAAGAAGGATGACCCAGAGGCAGAAGCCCAGAAGGCAGAGCCAAGAGACATGGAATCTTCCCACATCTTAAAACCTGTTTAGGGAACACCAGCGTCTGCCCAGCTGGATTTCAGAACCACCATTCCTTCATCCCTCCCCTGCTGCCTCTTTCTGAACAGCGATGTCTCAAGCTTTACCCACCATTGTGTGTTGCATATGTAGAGGGCAGATAGCTTGTATCTTTAGTTTTCCAGATCAGAGGAACATCCAAAGAAATCTGTTCTACACCTAAACCCGATTTAGATGAGATTCGGGACTGTGAGCATGAAGGGATCTCAAGAGGGGTGAATGTGTTTTGCATGCACAAGGGACAGGAGTCTTGGGGACAGAGGACAGGCTGTGGTGGCAGATACTAAGGTGACCCCCACAACCCCCACCTCTGCCATTCACACCCTTGAATAATCCCCTTCTCTGGTTGTAAGCAGAACCTGTGGCTTGCTTATGAAGGAGGTGGTATATATGTGATTCATGTACTGATCATATTGTATAAGATCACTGGCTGGATGCAGTGGCTCGTGCCTGTAATCCCAACACTCTGGGAGGCTGAGGCGGGTGGATCACCTGAGGTCAGGAGTTCGAGACCAGGCTGGCCAACCTGGAAAAACCCCGCCTCTACTAAAAATACAAAAATTAGCCAGGCATAGTGGTGCACGCCTGTAATCACAGCTACTCAAGAGGCTGAAGCAGGAGAATTGCTTGAACTCAGGAGGTGGAGGTGGCAGTGAGCCAAGATCGTGCCACTGCACTCCAGCCTCAGTGACAGAGCGAGACTCTGTCTCAAAAAATAAATAAATAAAATGTTAAGATCATAACCTGTCTTTCTGGGGACTCTCTCTTGACGCCTTTGAAGAAGCAGGCTGCCATGTTGCAAGCTGCCTCATGGAGGGGATCAGCTGCGAGGAGCTAAGAGCCCCCTCCAGTCGATGCTCACCAGGAAGCTGAGGTCTTGTGTCCAGCACCCTGCATGGAACTGAATGCTGCCACGTGAGCTTGGAAGCAGAGCCATCCACACAGCTGAGCCCCAGATGAGAACCCAGTGCTGGCTGACACCCTGATGACACCTTACAGAGGACCAGTTAGGCTGTGCCAACTCCTGACCTGCAGAAGCTGGGGAACATTGGGTCATATTTGCAGCTGCTGGATTTGTGGGAATTTGTCACACAGCAATTGGGAGTCACACAGCCTGTGACGCCCCAACAATCCACACCTCCTGCATCTCCCTGCCTTCACTTCCTAGCACACTGCCCTGACTCCCTCTGCCGTAGCCACACTGGCCCTCTGCTGTTCTTCGAAGCCACCAGGCCTGCATTGGCTCCCAGCCTTTGCTCTCACTGCTTTCTCCTCCTAGAGAGCCCTTCCTGCATGTATATGTTTGACTCACTCCCTTGCCTCCTTCAGACTTGTACTTAAAAATCTCGGTAAGGATTTCCCTGGCTACCCTTTTAAAAATTGCAACCCACTTCCATCCCCATCCCCAACATGCCATATTTCCTTTCTTCTTCTCCTTCTTCCTTTTTTTTTTTTTTTTGACACAGGTTCTCTCTCTGTCACCCAGCCTGGAATGCGGTGACATGATCTCGGCTCACTGCAACCTCTGCCTCCCCAGGTCAAGAGGTTCTTCTGTCTCAGCCTCCGAGGTAGCTGGGACTACAGGCACACACCACATTGTCTTTTTTTTTTTTTTTTTTTTTTTGTAGATACGGGGTTTCACCATGTTACCCAGACTGGTCTTGAACTCCTGGACTCAAACGATCCACCTACCTCAGCCTCCCAGGCTTTCTTTCTCTCCAATGTGTTTGCCTGTTTTATTTACTGCTGTATCCCCGGGTCATAGGAGGTGCTCACTAAGTACTAGCAGAGAAAATGAGTGAGCAGTGGGGATTCATGGATGGAGGATGGTTATGCTGATGAGCAGGAAGAGACTGGGAGGCTGGAGGCCATTTTCTGGCTGGCGGACCTCCAGAGTCAGAACTCCAACATGCTCTTCCTTGACACATCCTTTACGATAGAATATGTAGTCTTGCAGGAGGGGAATGGACTGTGAGTCTATTCCTATGTTCTATAAAACACCGATGACTATGGATATACATCTGGTTGCTTTAAGTGTGTGCAGTGACCTGCACAATGTCACACCTAGTAACTGGTCGGTAGTAACAGAAGTGCCTCTCCTTTCCTCCTCTTTATACATGAGGATGGCTGGATACAGAGTGGTCCAACTTGACCAAGGTCACTCTCGTCATTTCATTCCAGATCTAGGAGACAGAAAGGAGTTCTCCTGATGCTAGTCCCCAGCTGGAGAAAGTGGCTTGGTGCAGAAACATCCCCAGGGGCAGCCAGCCTTCTAGGGAATGGAAAGAGAGGCAAGAGCAGTGGGTTCGAAGCCAGCTCCATTGGGAAGTGCAGACAGCCTCAGGACAGACCTCCACCCTGGTGGGGAGCCACCATGGTCACCTGGCTGAATGTGGGTTGAATTTGGATCAGACAGGATGACGAGGGAGCTGCCACTTGCCGGACGCCAGATGCCCCCGGGTGACACACAGAAGGGCAGATGTGGTCCCGGCTCCCAGGGGAGCAGGGTTCTCTGGGCGTTGGCCAGGCAAAGAAGAGCCGGAGAACCAGAGTGGCCCCGCCAGGCCTTCCTCTGTCCAGCTCTCCTGTGCACTCCTCCTCCCCCTTCCTTCCCTCTTCTGCCTGACTTCCTCTTCTGGCACTGTCCTTCCTTGTTGCTGTTTCCCCCTCTCCCTCTTGTCTTTACCTCCTTGGGTTTATTTTATTTTATTTTAAGCTCTAGGATACATGTGCAGAATGTGCAGGCTTGTTACATAGGTAAATGTGTGCCAAGGTGGTTTGCTGCACTTATCAACCCGTCACCTAGGTATTAAGCCCCACATGCATTAGCTATTTGTCCTGATGCTCTCCCTCCCCTCACCCCCACAACAGGCCCTGGTGTATGTTGTTCCCCACCCTGTGTCCATGTGCTTTCATTGTTTAGCTCCCACTTATGAGTGAGAACATGCAGTGTTTGGTTTTCTGTTCCTGTGTTATTTTGCTGAGGACGATGGTTTCCAGTTCTATCCATGTCCCTGCAAAGGACATGATTTCATTCCTTTTTATGGTTGCATAGTATTCCATGCTGTATATGTACCACATTTTCTTTATCCAGTCTATCACTGATGGTCATTTGGGTTGGTTCCATGTCTTTGCTATTGTGAATAGTGCTGCAATAAACATACGTGTGTATGTGTCTTTATAAAAGAATGATTTCTTTTCCTTTGGGTATATACCCAGTAATGGGATTCCTGGGTCAAATGGTATTTCTGGTTCTGGACCCTTGAGGAATTGCCATGCTGTCTTCCACCATGGTTGAACTAATTTACATTCCCACCAACAGTGTAAAAAATTCCTGTTTCTCCACAGCCTCCCCAACATCTGCGTTTCTTGACTTTTTAATAATCGCCATTCTGACTGGCATAAATGGTATCTCACTGAGGTTTTGATCTGCATGTCTCTAATGATCAGTGATGTTGAGCTTTTTCTCACATGTTTGTTGGCCGCATAAATGTCTTCTTTTGAGAAGTGTCTGTTCATGTCTTTGCCCACTTTTTGATGGGGATGGGTTTTTTTCTTGTAAATTTATTTAAGTTCCTTGTAAATTCTGGATATTAGACCTTTGTCAGATGAATAGATTGCAAAAATTTTCTCCCATTCTGTAGGTTACCTATGCACTCTGAAGATAGTTTCTTTCACTGTGCAGAAGCTCTTTAGTGTAATTATGTCCCATTTGTCAATTTTAGCTTTTGTTGAAATTGCTTTTGGCAATTTCATCATAAAATCTTTGCCCATGCCTATGTTCTGAATGGTATTGCCTAGATTTTCTTCTAGGATTTTTATAGTTTGGGGTTTTACATTTAAGTATTTCATCTATCTGAGTTAACTTTTGTATAAGGTATAAGGAAGCCCCTCTTGTAGCAGTGTGGGGAGTGATTAGGAGTGGGATGGGACGGGAGGAAGAGTAAGCCATCTTGAGGCAGTTGTAACAGTCATAGGGAGAGATCAGATCACAAGATCTGGAGCTGGTCCACAAGCTCAGGGCTGGAAAATGTAGTTGTTCCCAGTTAATACTTCTGGAGTTGGAAAGTATAAAGAGCTATGTCAGTGTCAAGATCCCTGGTAGTTTGGGGCAGGGTACAATTACTCCTCTGGAGTGGATCTCATCGTGGCCCTCTGGGTGTCTGGAGGGCCCAGACAGAATCCCTTACTATGGACTGGCGTCTTGCTGGTATTCCCATTGAGGACTGGTGGGGAGAGCCATCATCACCATGGCAGTCCCCACACCTTGCAACCTTAGTACCTGTGTGATTGGTGATGGGTGAGGAACAGAACATCATTTACATATATAAAGAACAGCACGCTGTCTTCTTCCTTGAAGAGGAGCTGACCCTCCTCCCTGCTTGGCCATCATGCTCAGCCATGGGCCTGGGCTTGGTTGATGGGAGGGAACAAAAAGAATATGGGCCATCTGATCACATGGCTCTGGTTTTGAGCCCCAGCTGTGCTACTTAGTAGCTGAGTGATCTTGGGAAGCCACTTCACTTCTCTGAGCTTCATTTTTCTCCCATGCAAGATGGAGATAACAATTCTCTTGTAACTCAACTCTATCTTTATCCCTTAGTGAATCTTACCTAAATCCACATCTTCAATTTTTTTAATTTTTAATTAAGGTAAGATTTACATGCAGTAAAATTTATACGTTTTAGAGTGTAGTTCTGTGAGTTTTGACAAATGCATACAGTTGTGTAACCACATCACAATTGAGATACAGAGCAGCTCCATCACTCCCCAAAATTCACAACCCTCCCCACACCTCCTTGCAGTCAGCTACCCCCATCTCTGCCCCAGGCAACCTCAGATCTGATTTCATCACTAAGGATTAGTTTTTCCTAGAGTTTCGTAAAAATTGCATCATACATATGTACTTTTTTACATCTGACTTCTTTCACTCATCATGTTGTTACATGGACCTGTAGTTTCTTTCTGTTGAAGAGCAATATTCCATTGTATAGATGGACCACCATTTGTCATCTATTCACAATCCATGCACATTGGGTTGTTTCCGTTTGAGGGTTATAATGGCTACAGCCGCAATGAACATTATTTTGCAAATTTTTCAGTAGACAAATGATTTTATTTCTGTTGGGTAAATAGGAATGCAATGGCTGAGTTGTATGGTATGTATATATTGAAATTCTGTAGAAACTACTTGTTTTCCAAAGGAGTTGTACAATTTTCCATGTCCCCCATAATATATGAGGGTTTTGGTTGTTCTGCATCCTGGGAACATTTAGCATTGTCAGTCTTTTAAAATTTTATTCATTCTAGTGTGAAATGGTATCTCATTGTGGTTTTAACTTGCATTTTTCTAATGGCTAATGATGTTGAGTACTTATGTATTTATTGGTCATTTGGATAATCTATTTTGTGAAGTGCCTGTTCAAGCCTTTTGTGTGTCTGCAATTTTTACTAGAGAGTTTATTTCTTCTTATTTAAACCTCACTCTGGGCCCCGGACAAATATATCAATGGAATTATTCATACTGCTGCTTGTATGTTTCGAAAGGACCTCAGCTGAACATAAAGGTAAACTTACAATTTTCTCTCTCACTCTTCCCCCCTCCACTTTCAGACCTTGGCCTCCACCACTGACACATCCTCTAGTAGATGACCTCATCATCCACACAGTGGCACAGACCAGAAACCTAGGCAGCATTCCTGATACCTCTTCTCATCTGTTTCCCTACTCCCACCCAATCCATCGTGTTTCCTCCTGCCTATTTCTTGAACCCAATCAATTCCCCCAAATTCCTCCATCTCCACCATTGCCTAAGCCACCATGGTCTCTCACTTGCATTACTGCAATAGCCTCCTTTCTTTCTTTCTTCTTTCTTTCTTTTTTTTTTTATTTTATTTTGGAAAGGAAGTCTCTGTCACCCAGGCTGGAGTGCAGTGGTGCAGTCTGGGCTCACTGCAACCTCAGCCTCCCAGGTTCAAGCAATTGTCCTGCCTCAGCCTCCCAAGCAGCTGGGATTATAGGTGCTCACCACCACAACCCGCTAATTTTTGTATTTTTAGTAGAGACGGGGTTTCACCGTGTTGGCCAGGCTGATCTCAAACTCCCTGGCCTCAAGTAATCTGCCCACCTCAGCTTCCCAAAGTGCTGGGATTATAGGCACAAGCCACCACACCCAGCCAATAGCTTCCTTTCTAACAAGTCTTGTTCCCTTCAGGCTGTACTCCATGTACCAATCAGTGTCAGGCCTTTAGAAAACACAGATGTGATTGTAAGACTCTCTTATCCAAATCCTTAATGGCAGCCCATAACTCTTAACATAATTATTTGTTCCTTAATGTGATCTGTAAGACGAGCCATGCCCCAGCCAGACGGTTGTCTTCGAGCCGTGGTTCTAGGCTCCTTGTGTCTCAGGGCCTTTGCACAGACTGACCTGTGTTTGCAACACTCCTTCTCTCATCTTCACCTCACTAACTCCTGCTCATTCTTCACATCGCAGTTCAAATTTCACTTCCTCCAAGAAGTCTGCCCTGTTCAGAGACAAGATTAGGAATGCTCTACGCTTCTTTCATAGACTTATCTTATAATGATGTATTTCTGGGACTATTCAAAGTATGTTTCTCTCACTAGACTAATAAGCTCTGTGGGGAACGAATCTGTTTCGTTTGTGGTGCGTCCGGGTACCTAACACCAGGACCGGCTACGTAACATGAGGCCCAGGGCAAAATGAAAACGCAGTGCTTCTGTTCAAAGAGCAGGAAAAAGCGTCATTGAAGGTGCTCAAATATACGGTGTTTTCCTTTCTTCTGTGTTCTCTCTCACTTGACTTGTCATGGTATTTTTATTTGCTATTTAATGTCATGCTAAGTTAAAAAACAAATTTAAGGCTGGGTGCGATGGCTCACGCATGTAATCCCAGCACTTTGAGAGGCTGAGGTGGGCGGATCATGAGGTCAGGAGTTCGAGACCAGCCTGGACAACATAGTGAAACCCCATCTCTCCTAAAAATACAAAAAATTAGCTGGGCGTGGTGGCGGGTGCCTGTCATCCCAGCTACTCGTGAGACTGAGGCAGGAGAATGGCTTGAACGTGGGAGGCAGAGGTTGCAGTGAGACAAGATTATGCCATTGCACTCCAGCCTGGGTGACAGAGCGAGACTCCATCTAAAAAAAATAAGATAAAATAAAATACAAAATAAATTTAAATTATCGTGACTTTTTACCATTTGTTTTTATATTGTAGGACGCAAGGTATAAATGAAAATATTAGCATTGACCTCATATGTAGAATCAACACAATTACACAATTCACATTCCACAGCTCATCCGTGTGTATGTATTTCATTCTTGCTAAACCAGTAGATACGCTGCACAAAACTAGCCCAGCTCTTTCTATCTCACTTCCTGACACCCACACACTCCAGCAACACTCTCTACCTTGGGATCATGCACACTAACGAAGGACTGAAAGGACAGGAGCTATAGGCTGCTCTCTCTTCCCCTTTCCTTGTTCCATACAAGTACTAACGAGGCCAGGCCCTGCTTAGCTTCTGAGACAGATTGGGCACCCTCAGGGCACTGTGGCCATAGTGTCCTGCCCTTTCCTTTCATGTCGTCTCAACACAGGGGTCGGTTAGCACGGGGAAGTAACTCCAATAAGAGAGGATACAACAGGGCTCCTCAGTCATTTGTGTCTCTTCAAATGTCATTGCCTTCTTTCTGTGTACAAGCGCATTCTGGTTTCAGTGGAAAGTGAGGCCTCTCCAGATGGTTAGTGCCCCGCTCACTCAGTCACTGACTAACAACCCTGCCTCTACTCACAGCATGCTGAGTTTCCTGCACATCCCACAGCATGGCTCCCCAGGGGCATGGAGAAGATTATGTGAATGGGGCGGCAGGGAACGGCGGCCACACACATCACATGTGGCTCCTCTGCTCCTGTGCATGCCGCCTTGTCCTACAGGACTTCGCTGACAAAACAGAAGTGTAAAGATATCGTTATTAATGTGACAGCAGAGTGTTAAACCGAATGCGGGGCACTTTCAAGTGCAGGACACTATGCAACTGACTTCGCAGGACTCAGAAAGTGGCCCTGCCTAGCACATGGCCACATAGCAGATGCTAATCAATGTGTTAAGTAAAGGAATGACGGGTTGTCACCTGATAGAAGATAAACAGTTCTTCTGGTTTTGATACAAACTAAAGGCCTCTCTCCTCCATCACCTTGGAGATCCCACATAAATATCAGAGGGGCACCACTGCCTGTGACTGCCTATCTTTCTGGAGAGGAGAGAGGGAGTTGCTCTAATATGTCAGAGCAAGAGTGAGAAGGAGGGTATGAGGGGAAGCTGACAGGGCTTATCTGTGAATTAATCACCACACTTTGCATGTACTGCAGGTCACACCTTGTATCCTATGCTCTTAAGACATGGTCCAAGTGTGAACTAAGCTCATAGCTCACTGCCTTCATCCACCTCTGTCACCGCTCCAGAAGAGAGCTCGAGTTGCTACTTCGTTAGCAGAAGGCCTCTGGACCCATCCTGGAGGGGTCCGGGAGCAGAGAGAGCAGCTCAGTCAAGGTCAGAGCCACAGGTTGCTGGACCTTCTCAAATTCCTCATGTACTGCCTTGATTTTCATCACATGCAGAAAGATCTCTGAGAATCACAAAGCCCAAGAGCCAGGAGACCTGGGTTCAAAATCTGGCTTTGTGTGAGCCTGGGCAAGTGATATCTTCTCTCTGGGCCTCATTATCTGCTCCATTAAATAAGAAAAGGAACTAGTTAAGTGGCCTAAAAGCAATGTTTCCCAGGAGCTCTGATGTCTCAGGAATTGCACTGGTTGGGACAGGGGAGATTCTCCCCAGCTTCAGTCAGCAGTAATAATAATAACAGGAGGCCGGGTGCGGTGGCTCACGCCTGTAATCCCAGCACTTTGGGAAGCCAAGGGGGGTGGATCACAAGGTCAGGAGATCGAGACAATCCTGGCCAACATGGTGAAACCCTGTCTCTACTAAAAATACAAAAATTAGCTGGGCATGGTGGCGTGTGCCTGTACTCCCAGCTACTTGGGAGGCTGAGGCAGGAGAATCACCTGAACCTGGGAGGTGGAGGTTGCATGAGCCAAGATCGCACCACTGCACTCCAGCCTGGCAACAGAGTGAGGCTCCGTCTCAAATAATAATAATAGGAAACATTTACAGAGTACCCACTGCCCCAGGTGCCATCATAAATGCTTCACATACATTCACTCATGCAGTAGTCACGATATTCCTATGAGATGGGTTTCAACTTCTATGCCCATCATCAGATGAGAAACTGAAGTGCTGAATGTCTAAGTGACTACTCAAGGTCACACAGCTAGTAAATGACAAGGCAAGGATTCGAGCCTTTGTAGTCTGGCTCTAGGGTGTGTCTGCTTAACTACACTATTCCCATTGTTTTACCTCCCTCCCTCCCACCAACCCATCCATTCACCCACCCATTCATCCAAACATCCACCCATACATCCATCCATCTGCCCACCCACCTATGCATCCATCTCGAGTTTCATGTAAGAGTTTATTTAATAAAGGAATTCTGAAGAATGATAAAAAATAAAAACTTGAAAACTACTCAAGATTGCTATTTAAACTGCAAAAGTCCTCAGGGGTGGGGTTCTATGACTCACATTGCACTTAGAATAAAGAGAAATTCTTTTTATACAATATAAGTTCCTGCAGAATGCAGACACTTTCTACTTCTCCAGCCTCTTTTCGACTCCTCTCCTACTGGCTTCTGTATTTAAGCCACATTAGACCTTTCTTCAGTTTTTATATCGACTTTGTTGCATCACACCTCAGAGATTCTGTACATGTTCTTCCTCCTGCCTAGAAAGGGTCGTCCCTCCACTTTCGCCAACTAATCCCTGCTCAACTTTTCATCTCAGCAGGAGGCCCATTCTGTTTGGCAATCCTCTGGCCTCCAGCCCATTTATTATATACTCACATGTCAACATGTACTTCGTACAGCATGTAACACAATTGCACTTTTATATTTTAACAAATTACATTTCCCATATTGAACTGTAAGTCTCCTGAAAGCAGGAATTTTGTTCTTGCTCATCATCAACTTTTTCAACATCCAGTGCACCATTTAGAACTTAGATGTAGTCAATACAGGTTTGTGGAATGAAAGAGGAAAAGAAAGAATTAATATTCCTTTAAATTAGGATGGCAAAGATCGTATATAGAAAATTGGCTACGTTGTGGTCCATTCATGTTTGCTCCCAATTAAGGAGCACAGCTATGAAAAGGAAGGCTTCAAATTAATAACCAATAGATTTTTTAAAAAAGAAAACTGGCCAGGTACTGTGGCTTATGTCTGTAATATCAGCATGTTGGGAGGCCAAGGCAGGATTACTTGAGCCCAGAAATTCCAGACCAGCCTGAGAATTTGGCAAAACTCTGTCTCTACAAAAAATACAAAAATTAGCCAAGTTTGGTGGCATGTGCCTGTAGTACCAGCTACTTGGGAGGCTGAGGTGGAAGAATAGCTTGAGTCTGGGAGGTCAAGGCTGCAATGAGCTGTGATCGCACCACTGCACTCAAGCCTGGGTGGTAGAGTAAGACCCTGTCTCAAAAAAAAAAAAAAAAAAGAAAAATCACTAAGCAAAATAAGACATGTGAAGGATCATGTCAAAGGTAAGAAAAATTAGGGGAACATTAAAAGCTTTCTTCCCAAGCCACTAAATCAACTTGACTAACAAAATTACCACTTGATTTAGCATTAGAAAATTACATTACATATCAAACATAAACCCATTAATCAAATACTAAAGAAATTTCTGAGTTAAATGGTATAATGTTAGCTTATGCCAGAGCTGACCTTGAAAGATTGTTCAAATATGGCTCAGTGTGACTGAAAGTTCTGTGTGAATATGTTTTTGGAAAGATCCAACAGCAACACCTTAGTGTATGTTTTTGAAATAAAATGTATCTGAGTAGCAGCAAAGTTATCCATTTCTTCTAGGTCCTCCAATTTGTTGGCATAAAATTGTTCATAATAATCCCTTATGAGCATTTTTATTTCTGAGGTATCTATTGCAATGTCTCCACTTTCATTTCTGATTTTATTTGAGTCTGCTTTTTTTAGTGAATCTAGCTAGGAGTTTGTAGATTTTATTTTTTCAAAGAACCAACTTTTGATTTTATTTATATTTTCTATAGTTTTACTATACTACATTTTGTTTGCTTTTGTTCTGATCTTCATTATTTCCTTCCTTTTGCTCACTTTGGGTTTAGTTTGTTCTTTCTTTAGCTCCCTGGGGCATAGTGTTAGTCTACTTATTTAGATCTTTTTCCTTTTTTAATCTAGGCATTTATTGCTATAAACTTCTCTCTTAGAACTGACTTTGCTGCATACTGTAGGTTTTGATACATTGTGTTTCCATTGTCATTAATCTCAAAATATTTTTTAATTTCCCTCTTGATTTCTTCTTTGACCCGTTAGTTCATCATAAGCATGTTGTTTAGTTTCCACATATTTGTAAATTTTCCAAGATTCCTCCCGTTATTGATTTTTAGCTTCACACCATTGTGGTTGGAAACAATACTAGAAGTGATTTCAACCTTTTTGAATTTGTTAAGGTTTATTTTGTGGCCTAACATATGGTCTATCCTGGAGAATGTTCTATGTATGCTAGAGAAGAATGTATATTCTGCTGTTGTTGGATGAATGTAGGTCTGGTAGGTCCATATGGTCTGAAGTATAGTTCAAATTTAGTGTTGTCTTGTTAATTTTTTGTCTGGTTGATCTCTCCATTGTTGCAAGTGGAGTACTGAAGTCCCCTATTAGTGTTATATTGCTGTATATTTCTTCCTTCATGTCCACTAATATTTGCTTTACATATTTAAGTGCTTCAATTTTGGATGCATATATGTTTACAATTGTTATGTCCTCTTGATAAGATGACCTCTTTATCATTAAATCATGACCTTCTTTGTCTCTTGGAACAGCTTTTTACTGGAAGTCTGTTTTATCTGCTATAAGTATAGGCATCCCTGCTCTCTTTTGGTAACTGTCTGTTTTCATGGAATATCTCCTTCTATCCCTTTACTTTCAGTATATGCCTATTCTTAAAGTTTAAAAATGGGTCTCTTGTAGGCAGCATCTAGTTGGATCTTGTTGTTGATCCACTCAGCCATTCTATATCTTTTGATTGGACAGTTTAACCCATGTACCAGCAAGGTTATTATTGATAGTAAAAGACTTACTCCTGCCATTTTGCTAATTGTTTTCTGGTTACTTTGTAGATAATTTGTTCTCTTCTTCCTCTATTGTTGTCTACCTTTGTGGTTTGGTGGTTTAGTTTTCTGCTTTGTGGTTACAATATTGTTTTTTAAATATTCAACATGAATACACTTTCTTGTTTGGATAACGTGTAAAACGTCTACAAGGAGGGATAGATAATAAGTTTTCCCTTCAGAATGCACTGCTTTGCCTGGGATGAGGAATAATTTATAATGGTAACTGTTGCTGGTTAAAATTTGGCTCCTACCCACATTCATGCAAACTCAGCATTCTAGATTAAAAGAGATTTAAGAGACTTGCCAAGCAAATGCATGGCATCCTTAGATGTATCCTGATTTGAATAAAACAGCTATAAATAATAATATTTTGGGGATTATTGAAAAATTTGACTATAGATTAGTTTTCAGGTGATATTGGAGAATTAATGTTATTATTGTTAGGTATGTTAGCACGGTCATGCAGCAACGTGTCTTTCTTTTTAAGAGATGCATACAAAAATATTTGGGTGTGAAATGTTCTCGTGCTATAATTTGCTTTAAAATTCTTCAGAAAAAAAAAGATAAGCAAAATAGAAAAACAAGATAATGGGTACATGTTATCTATTTCTTATTCTCCCTATTTTTTTGTGTGTTCAATTTTTAAAAGAAATTTACTCCATACATATATCCCACCCCCTCCACTAAGGACCCCCAAACTATAAATTGCTGTGAATATAAGAAAAAGTGAAACAATTCTATGATTTTGAGAGAAAGTCAACACTGTAGGAAAAAGAGAGCCCAGGATTTGGGCTAAAAATCATTAATCTGACCCTGATCAACCCTGTGGCCTTCAGCAGTAACTGAGCCTGTCAGGCCTTTGATTTGTTGATGTGTAAAATGAGGGTCATTGTCATTTAGACAACGACCTTCAGGGTATGTTTTAATGTTAAAATTCAGAGTCCTTCCATATCAGATAAGCATCAACTATTCAATAGTTTATGCTGAAGAGTACAGGGGACCAAGAGACCACCCAAATGGGTTCATGAGCCCATCATGCCACTTCTTTGTTGGATCACTTTGGGCACCTCACTAAATTTTTCTGAGCTAGGTCCTCTGCACCTTGCTTGTCTATCATCAAAGGGTCACTGTGAGACTATAATAATATAAGAGGAAAGGAATCGTGATTATTAAGGCATATACTGAACCACATACCTCCATTGGCAACATTAAACTTCACTCCAAACTCTCCCCCTGGTCCTCCAGGGCAGTGGCTGGCTGTTAGAATGATTCCACCAGCTGCCTTGATCTTCCTGATAATGCAGGAGACCGCAGGTGTCGACAAGACGCCATTCTGTCCAATAATCAGTCGTCCAATCTAAACCATCCAAAAAAAAAAAAAAATCAATCCAGTTGCTTGGGATTAAAGGCATTTCAACAGGAAAGTGCCCCAGGCTCTGTTAACATACAGCCAATCACTTGATAAAAGAAACAGAGTAGGCTTTAGATTAGGGGAGGCAGGGTAGGGGGAGCACTGACATTGTCTCTCCTATCTAATGTCTCTAAGACCATTTGGTGCACCTGCATCTAGCAGTCAATTATTAACCTGTAAATAGGATATGCCTCACTGATCTTCAGTCGTTTGAAACATCTGCTTCTGATAATCGAGGAGTTAGCTTGAATCACACAAGAAGTTCTTAGTTTGCTACTGACTCAGAAACTATGCATGTGAACATGCTAGAGATTACAAGAAAAAAGAAATGGAGTGCTTCTCTGCTTCTTCTGCTTCCTGTAACTTAGAACAAGCTCAGAGAGCAAGGGGACTGATTTACTACAACCTCATCATCTGTAGGCATATTTTAACTGTAATCTTCAGGAATGACTTTTCTCCTGAAAGTAGGAATTCTCTTTCTGCTGTTAAGTGACAGCATGTGCTGGAGACATTGGAGAAATTACCCAGTCATGCTAAGCAGAGATCTGGAGGTCATCCATGGATGCAGCCAGATTCTTTCTAGAGCTACAAAACTGACTTTCTAAAAAGTCAGCAACACAGCGCTGAAGAACATTTATTGCTACATCTTGTTTTAAAATTGGATTCAATATCATCCAATCTAGTAGTTCTCAATATTTCTACAAAATAGAATCACTTATGAAGCTTTTCAAAATCCTAGTACTCAAACTGCATTCTAGACTGATGATATTGCAATCTCTGGGGTTGAGAGCCCAGCATTAGTAGTTTTAAAGCTCCACAGATGATTCCAATGTTCAGCCAAGCTCAGTAATAAAGCCCCCTTGTTACTCAAAGGGCTGGCAGCATGGGCATCACCTGCAAGCTTGATAGAAATGCAGAACCTCAGCTGGGCATGGTGGCTCCACCTGAAATCCCAGCACTTTGGGAGGCTGAGGTGGGCAGATCACTTGAGCTCCAGAGTTCGAGACCAGCCTGGTCAATGTGGTGAAACCCTATTTCTACTAAAAATACAAAAATTAGCTGAGCATGGTGGTGCACGCCTGTAGTCCCAGCTACTCCGGAGGCTGAGGTGGGAGAATTGCTTGAACCTGGGAGGCAGAGGTTGCAGTGAGCTAAGATGGCACCACGGCACTCCAGCCTGGGCTACAGAGTGAGACTCTGTCTGAAGGAAGGAAGGAAGGAAGGAAAGGAAGGAAGGAAGGAAGGAAGGAAAGGAAGGAAGGAAGGAAAGAAAGGAAGGAAGGAAAGAAAGAAAGAAAGAAAGGAAGGAAAGAAAGAAAGAGAGAAAGAAAGAAAGAGAAAGAAAGAAAAAAGAAAAAGAAAGAAAGAGAAAGAAAAAAGAGAAAGAAAGAAATAGAAAGAAAAAGAAAGAAAGAGAAAGAAAGAAATGCAGAACCTCAAGCCCCACCCAAGGCCTACTGAATAAGAACCTGTATTTTAATAAGATCCTCTCCTCTCTTCCCAGATAATTCATTTGATAAGTACTGATATAACCAACAAGCCAAAACAAACCTTAACATACAGTTCAACAACAAAGTTGCCCTGGCACCATCATTGCTAGAGGTCAGTCACTGACCAAATATAACAATCAGCGAGATCAGGGGAAAAAAAATTACAGAAGAGATCAAAACACACACACACACACACACACAGAGCTCAAAAGCAAAGTGGCCTTGGGATGATTTAGTATGGAAATCCACAAGATCCCCAGGCTACATATTTTCAAGTAGAGGAGACAGATTATAAACAAATAAGCAATAATAATAATAGTTACTAGTGAGGTACATATTAGGAAGGAATTAGACTGCTGTAATAGAGAATAAAGGATGTCAATTTTAATAATGAGATAATAATAATAGCTAAGGGAGCTTAGATTTTATTCTAAGTACAACCAGAATCCATTGAAAGGTTTTAAACAGTGGAAGTGACCTGATGGCATTTTTAAACATCATGGGCTGAGCAGCCCAAATGTTCCTATTAAAAAGTAAGTCACATCAAGTCACTAAAACATTCCAATAGCTTTCCTTGTCCCCCACCAACCCAAAACAAAGCCAAAGTCTTCATTGTAGTCTACAAGGCCCTACATAATCTGACCTCCATCATGTACCATTCTCCATCACCCTCCCCTCCCGCCCTCCTCCTTCTGTTCCAGCCACAACGGAACAGAACAGCTATTCCTCAAACATACCAAACACGATCCTGCCTCAGGGCCCTTGCATTTTCTTTTTCCTCTGCTTAGAATACTTGCCCAGATATTAACATACCTGCCCTCTACTGTCTTTTGGGTTTCTGTTTCAATGTAAGCTAATCAGAGATAGCACCCTTGACAGCCCTATATAATACTATAGCCAGAAGTCCCTAACTTTTCTATTGTTTCCTATTTCCTTCACCGTGCTATAATTTTCTGGATCACATATGTTGCCTTTAACATTTTCCATATTATTTATTTTCCCACTGTATGTAAAGCCCAAGGACTTTTCACTGCTATATCCCAAGAACCTAAAATAAATCTGGCATGTGGTAAGCGTACAATAAATATTTGTTGAATTAATGAATGGAGAATAATGAATGCATGATGAATGGCTTCTCTGGGAGAAATACCTTGAAGGGGGGCAAGAGCAGAAAGAGGAATATCAGACGGGAGACTCTTCAAGTCAAGTGTTGATAGAGTCTTGGACTAGGCTAGAGCCAACAGAAATGAAAATTAGTCATTTGGTTTGAGATACATTTTTGGAAGGAGGATCAACAGAATATGCAGGTGGGCTGGAATATGGAAGAGAGGGGCTGTGGTAAATAGCCTCCAAAATGGCCCCAATGGTCCTTGCCTTTTGGCATTTGTGCCTTTTTGTGGTCCCCTCCCACACTGAACGATGCAGATCTGGGTAATCAGTATATATTGCAGAAGTGATTGTGTGTGACTTCCATGGTGAGGCCATAAATGGCATGGACACTTCTGCCCTGCTCTCTTGGACAGCTTATTTTGGGATAGGCCAGCCGCCATGTCATGAAGACACTCAAGAAGCCCTGTGAAGAGGAAGCAAGGCCTGCCAACAACAGCCAGCACCAACTTTCCAGCCAAGGGATTGAGCCATCTCACAGTGGATCCTCCAGCCCCCACCAAGCCTTCATATGACCAAACCAACACCAACATGTAACTGTGACCTCATGTGAGTCCCCAAGCCAGAATACCCATCTCCTGTCTCAGAAATGATGAGAAATAATAAATATATGTGCTCACACATATTACCATCTAATTTTCTACATTATATGTTTATTTCCCCACTGTATATAAGATCCAAGGACTGTTTTTTTTTCACTGCTATATTCCAAGAACCTAGAACAAATCTGGCATATGGTAAGTATACAATAAATATCTGTTGAATTAATTAATGGGAAAAAATAAATGAATGATGAATGGCTGCTCTGGAAAAAATACCTTGAAGAGTGGCAGGAGCGGAAAGAGGAGGATCAGATGGGAGGCTAACAGCCAGCACCACCTTGCCAGCCAAGTGACTGAGCCATCTTGCAGTGGATCCTCCAGCCCCCATCAAGCCCCAACTAAGCCACTAAGTTTCATGGTAATTTCTTACACTGCAATAAATAACTAATACTGGACCAGTGAGAAAAGGAGTCAAGAATAATCTCAGCTTTCTACCTTTAATAACTTAATGGATAGTGGTGCTATTAATCAAGTCAGGAAAGAGAAAGGACAATAATTACACCTATAGTATTACCCAAAGTCATGATAAATTATTTTCCATATGCTCTTGCTAAAATTTATGTAGTCATTCAACTCATTTTATTGAGTATCTACCATGAAACCGGCAATATGGAAGAACCTTCTGATATAGAACTGAATATAATTTAGTCACTGCCCTCAAGTAATAAGTCTGGAGAATCAAGAATCTGAAAAATGTTTGTAGCTTTTGTTCAAAATTTTCTCTCAGCCATTTAAAGGGAAAATTATGAAGATTGTATAGTGGTGAGAGACTGGGATAGCAGTCCACAAAAACTTAGGAAGCCCTTCCATAGCACAGAGTCAATGCTGAGGAACAACTGCCCAGCCAGGTGCTACATTTTCCAACCCACCCTTGCATCTAGGTGTGGCCACATGGTGCATTTGGACAATGGGTGATAAACTAGTATGAGAATAAGAACAGAAGTAATGTGTGTTTTTTCTAGGCTGAGGATATCAGAAAACAGACATATCATCTCTACACTGCTTATTTCTCTTTCTACAGATTCAGTACAGGTAATCATGTGGCTCTAGGCAATGCCAGAGTCACAAGAGGGAAGGAAACTGAGTCCCCATCCCATTTGGTAGACAAGAGTCTTTGCCCACCAGGGACATCCTCACTGGACTATTGTGTGAGTGAGAAATAACATTCTATTGTTTTTAAGGCAATAAAAATTGCCTACATTTCAGGTCTATTTATTACAACCACCCACATTTTCCTAAGCAGTAGCGAAAGAAACATAAACAATAGTTTAATGCCAAATCAAAAATGTCAAATGCAAAATTATTTTATGCTATCACAGTATAAAATTATGTCCACTTTGGGGCAAGGACTTAGAAAAATGCAGAAATAAACATGTAAAGTTATTAAGTAGGAACGATTGTGGATACATTTTTATCTTATTAAATTTCAGTTATTTTTGGAAAGGTAATACACATTCTGTTTAAGAAGGTTAAAGTGAGTAATTACACTTGAATAAAGCTTCAACCTGAAATACTTTAGTTATAATTGGAGAATTAACAGAAGATTAAATTCTAGATATCTGGAAATTTTACCTATGTGAGATCTGCTCATTAACCCATCAATACCAGAGAGAAGAGGTATTGCTGGACACGGTCCTATCATCTGGGGGATAAGTACTGGAGGAGATGTGAAAGAGAGGGTGATGGGGCTTCTGAGGTAAGACATGGAAAATTGTGAAGATATTTGTGTCCCTTATGGACACTCACCAGATGGTGACCTAGGCAGAGGAGGATTTTAATAACAGGATGACCAGTTCTGTGGATGTCAATGAGTGGCTTTCCCCCAGCCATTGCTGTCATTGTCCAATGGGCTCATGAGCCAAGTGGCTGATACGGTTTAGATGTTTGTCTCCTCCAAATCTCCTATTGAAATGTAACCCTCAGTGTTAGCGGTGGGGCCCAGTGAGAGGTGTTTGGGTCACGGGGGTGAGTCCCTCATGAATGGCTTAGCACCACGTCCTCGATGATAAGTGTGTTCTCGCTCTGAGTTCACATGAGATCTGCTTGTTTAAAAGTATGTGGCACCTTCTCTTTTGTTCTCTTGCTCCCACTCTTGCTGTGTGATATGCCTGCTCCCACTTTGTCATCTGCCATGTGTAGAAGCTCCTGAGGCCTCACCAGAAGCCAAGGAGATGCCGGCACCAGGCTTGTACAGCCTTCAGAACCATGAGCTAAGGAAACTTCTTTTCTTTGTAAATTACCCAGCCTCAGGTATTTCTTTATAGCAATGCAAGAATGCTGTAATACCATGGCCGTGATGGCAGGGATGAAGGCTATGCATGGGCTCAACAACATGGAGGTTCACTCACCAAGGCTGACCTGGCTATGGCCACTGCAGAGTGCCTACTCTACCAGCAGCAGGGACCAACACTGAGTCTCCTTATGGTACCATTCCCCAAATGATCAGCCAGCTACCTGGTGGTAGATTGGTTAATTTGGGCCACTTCCATCACGGAAGATGCAGCACTTTGTCCTTACTAGAATACACACAAAGAAGAGGAGATATGAAGACAGATGCAAAGATTGGAGTGATGCAGCCACACCCGGGAAGCCAAGGAATGTATTCTGCTGCCAGAAGCTGGAAGAGGCAGGGAGCAGATTCTCCCTAGAGCATCTACAGAGTCTGGCCACGCTGATACCTTGATTTTGACTTCTGGCCTCCGGAACTGTGAGAGAATAAATTTCTGTGATTTTAAACCACCAAATATGTGGTAATTTGTTATGGGAGTCCTAGGAAATGAATACAAAGTTTGTAATGTAATACAAAGTTTGTATGAGCTTCACAAGGCTGCTATAACAAATTGCCATAAACTTGGTGGCTAAAAGTGATTAAAATTTATTCCCTTACAGTTCTGGAGGCCAGAAGTTCAAAATCAAGGTGTCAGTGGCGGTCTGCCTCATCGAAAGGCTCTAGGGGAGGACCCTCCCTTGCCTCTTCCAGTTTCTGTTGCCTCCACATATTTCCGAGCTTGTGTTCACGTCACTCCAATCTCTGCCTCTGTTTTCACGTCACTTTCTTCTCTGCTTGTCTATGTCTTCTCTTCTGTTCACCCTCTCTCTACCAATTAGCCCAGGATAAATGCCATCAGAAAAGGTATGGCTTTCAAGATCTAGTCATTGATAAAAAGAAATATAACTTTTGGAAGCCCTTTTGTATAAAGAAAAAGCACTCAACTTGAAGTTAAAAGGCATAGGTATGAGTCTTGACTCTACCCCCTGACATAGGATCAATCATTTAACTTCTCTGAGGCTCTGCGTCTTTATCTGAAAAGCCAAGGAAGAAGAGGGTTGTTAAAATCCACCGAAGATCAGATTCTATAAACAAAAACTCTTTGTTAAATTAACCATGACACAAATTATTCTATTGTCTTCCCCCAATCCCACAACCCCCTCCAACATTTAAAATTCATCTTTAGATAGCAGATTATCCCTTAAAGTACCATTTTACTCTCTGAAAAAGTCCTAGAAATACTACCCTCTGTCAATGCAGCAGACCGCTACCTTGCAAGGAAAAGATGGTCTACTTACATAATTATCCTTAGTTATGTTTACAGCATTGAAGCAGACAATATCTGACTTTCATTCCTGAGTGAAATCCAGACCACAGCCCAGGGAGGACCAAGCCATGGCATTCTGTTGCTCCCCGCTGAACGTCCCACACCATAGGGTCTGGCTTTGGCTGGAAGAAGGGCAACCTCACCCAGTCCTCCAGAAGGTGCACACACCCAAGTGGATGCTACTGCCATTAAGGGGCATTTCCTTCAACTCCCACGCGGAAAAGGGGGCAAAGTGGACCCTAGTCCACTGTCACTCACACACATGTACAGATCCCAGGGTCCACACAGATACAGATCCCAGGGTCCACATCTATCACATATATGAACATTATCACACAGACCCCTGCAGACACATCTGTGAGGCATATGCATTCCCAAACACACAGACAGACTCATGATAAATTTGTTCCTACCCAGCCGTGACTTCTAAATGCTTGGGGAAACCAAGACATAGTAGAAAGGAGTGTGCAATTATCATTTCCCATGGTGCCGTTACTTAAGAACTCTTTGTGTCCGTCCTTCTAATGGCACCAATGCCTCCCATCAAGCCTTAAACCTCACCTAAAGTATGTCATTGGGCTTTTTCATCCATAAATGAGCATACCAGGTGCCAAGGGAATCAATATGCCCTTTCACATGCCTTAGACCAGTGTCCAAAGAAAGATAAAATGTTATTCTACAAAAGCTTTCTCCCAGCATTTCTATTCCTTTACATTTTGTGCCATATACAACTATGGTTTTTTAATGATCTTATTTCTGACAGCTGTTTTTCTTCAGAACATCAACAGCTTCTTTCCTAAATTAGTTTTAGTATGAGTTCCATTTCTAATTAGCTCAAATTAAAGTCCTAGAGAGCAGCTAGGTAATATTTAAACCCTCAGGCTAACATTTCGGAGTAGGTGCAGAATGTTGACTCTAAATGACTTTTTCCTGTGACATAACACGCATTGAAAGCAGGATTTCTTTCACGTGTGAAATGTCTTAAATCAGACTTACCCTTTGTGATTCTTTTAGCTTTAAATGTCATTTAAGAAAAAAAAAGAAAAGAAAATTAAGCATGACATTCCCCAATATCCTCTGCTCACTGTGTTATAATCCCTGTCACTCCCCAAGTGAATTGGAGAGAGTGAAGACACAATGAACAGAAACTTCCCTGATGCTTCACAGAGGAAGTGTTCTCCGGGACCACACAGCCTCCACCATGTCCATCTACGAAGGGCTGTGGCAAGCCATATACACAAAGATGCCTGTTTCCTGTCTTCTCGGTTAAAAACAAAAACAAAACACTGGAAGGAACCCCAAAGCCAAGCTGCCATGGGTTGCAGAGTGCCAGCCCTTAAGTAGTGTTGTCCATGGGTAAACAGGAGACGGATAAGGGCAATTTCAAGAAAATAACAAACTCAAGGCATGAATGTGGTTATCCAAACATCAAGGGACTCCTTCATTTGCATTTGGATAATTGTGCAGTTATATGATTTGTTACATGGAGACCAGATGGAAGTAAGAGAGCTCATCCTCAACTTCCTGTACCTCTGGAAGTCTTTACACACATGCTGGAGAGACAGATTCTTTACACACATGCTGGAGAGACAGATTCTTTACACACATGCTGGAGAGACAGATTCTTTACACACATGCTGGAGAGAGAGACGAGAGTTCATGAGCATCAAACCACCATGGATTTCATAATCAATTCCTAACATCTGAATAGATGCAGAAAAGTCACAGGCATCTAGAAGTGTGGCCCAAGTTCTGTTCTTCAATCGGCCCACCCATTATCCCTATGTATCTCGATTTTGTTATCTAAAAGATCACATGATGGAGGATGTAAGCAAGTAACACAGCCAAGACCCAGTTTACAGTGTCTAGTACCTAACAGACTCTTGACACATTTCACTTGCCCTTGAGTCAATCTTTCCATGTCACTGAATATTCTTCCACAACACGATTTTAATGGATATAGTCGTCCGTTGTTTAAATGTACCATTATTGACCAATGTAAAAATGTTCTTTGATCTCAAATTTTTATATGTAAAACAAAAACATGTTTGAGGACTAAACCCACACTGTAGTATAAATTAAACTGGATGTAGGCCAGGCATGGTGAGTCACACCTATAGTCTCAGCATTTTGGGAAACCAAGACAGGAGGATGGCTTGAAGCCAGGAGCTCAAGAGCAGCCTGGGCAATACAGCAAGACCTCATCTCTACAAAAAAATAGGAAAAATTAGCTGGCCATGGTGGCGTGCACCTGTAGTCCCAGCTTCTTGGGAGGCTGAGGTGGGAGGATCCACTGAGCCCAGGAGTTTAAGGCTGCAGTGAGCTTGGATAACAACTGCACTCCAGCCTGGATGACAGAACAAGAATCTGTTTCAAAAAAGAAAAAAGAAAAAAAAACCTAAAAACTAAAAACTGGATGTAGTTTGCTAATAACTAAACAGCAAATTAATTGTAACATGCTTACATATCAACGATGTCTTTCTTCTTTAATCATAAACCTGCTAAGAAGCTGCTGAAGTCCATGGTAGTGACAGGTACATGTCTGCATCCTTGTCCTGACCTGCATCTTCTTCGATTGTCCCCATCTGTGTCTCCGACTGGCACTGCCAAACCGGCTTGCTACCTGATCAGTGTTGTACTGAACCGGACTGCTAACTGATCAATGTTGTTGAGCTCACTGCACAAAGCTGTTCTTACAAGGTAGATTTCTGCCTGGAATAGTCATACTTACACTGTTTATATTCCTTACTCCTGACCCATCCAACGCAGCACAAGTTCTATTTATTGCCATAGAAACATAGGTCATTTGGAAACACCTCCTTCATTTCTATGGAATATTCAAACATTTCTGACATTTTGGACTCTGTTCTAGCCTCTTGTTAAATATATCCAGAAAAGAGACAAAGCTTTATGGGGGGGCTATATGCACACATATGCTATAGAATAAGCTATCTAAATGCTTAAAAATACTTTCCATCTGGCACCGCACCTTAATAGGTAGACAGAAATTAAGACAGAAATTATACATATCTGTATAGATACGTATAAATATATATCCCCAAAACAAAAACTCATTCTCTTACTTATACATAGGTAGAATATAGGTGAATATACATATACATTTATAGGTAGAACAAAAAAACCCCTCAGCCTCTTTAGGGCCATGTGTTTTCTCTGAGTAATTGTCACAATTAATTAAAATACATGTGTATGCCTTTTTAGATAAATTCCATCAGACCAGTTTCTGTCTGGTTGGAAAATAATAACTGCCTATTTGCTAAGTGCCCCTGCCCCCATACTATGTTCCAGTGAACTAAAGACCTCTGGCAATCATAGATTTACAGCTCAGCAAGATTAAACAATTTATTGTTATTTATGACATCCAAGCTGGATCTTCCGTATTATATTCCACATTCGCATCTATCACTTTACATTTGGGAGATCCTGTCCAAAAAAAGATTATGCCTCCTAACCAAACATTCAGCAGGGCTGCAGGAACAGGCCCCCTGAACAAACATCCTGCCGAAGTACTTTAAAGCACCGTGAGCTCCCACAGCTGTGCATTTTCAGACGACTCAGCAGATTAACGTGGAGTCTCTTAGCCTCTGCTTGGTCTGTTCCTTTCAGTGATCTCTCACATGGCCCAGTCCATTCGGTTTGAAAATCCTCATGCAATGAGCAGATTAAGATCTGGCTTCAATAGAGGGCCATGGGGTGGGCATGGAGGGGAGAGGGTTTGCTCTTAACACAGCCTGAGCCTCAGAAAGGTTTCAGATGGAAAAGCAGGGCACTGACTCAGCTCATGCTTAACAGGAAATAATGCACAGACCACACCAAAAAAGCCCTTTATGTTGTGTGAAAGTCTATGCCGGAGCAGCTGCTGCCACCTCATGTACTGTGATAGAGTGTGCATGTGTGTGTTTGTGTGTGCATGAGTGTGAGTACGCACACAAATGTGTGCCGGGAGGGGGAGGAGCTCACACCTTCAACAGTCGCCACCTCAGCTTTAGCTAGCAGCATGGAGAAATGCCAAAAGTCAAGAGGAAGCTGCACCAAAGCAACTGTGATCACCACATCAGCAGGCGCTTTCTGGTTAGTAAAGCTACTGGGAAAAAAACACACACGATCTCGTCCTTCTTTTATTTTAATCAGAGCAAAATATTTTTATAATAATTGTGTTATATGAATAAATAATTCATAATGCTGTAACCCATGATCACATTCAATCCTCCCAACAACCCTAGAAGATATGTAGACAAGTATTATTACTTTCCCTATTTTTATAAATGAGGAAATAAACCCCAGGAGGCTAGGCGACTTCCCCACGGTCATATAAGTTGCAAACAGTAGTATCATGATTCAAATCCAAAGCTTCTCCTTTTGTCTTTATCATTTTAATTTTGAAGGTAATGCATATGCATGTATGATCTTCTCAATCCAGAGATGTATATGGAATAGATAGGAAAAGGGACTCTCCTTCCCCATTATACACCCCCTCCACCAAAGCTATATCCACTGTTGACTACAGTATGTCCTTTCAATCCTATTTTCTATGCCTACATTATATACAGAAAAGCAGGATTACGTTACACACAATATTCCAGTCATTGCTGTTTTTCACCAATAAGCTATCATTCACATCTTTTTCATACTACATATAAATTTATATCCTTTATTTTAGTGGTGTATATTGTGCGGTTGTGTCATAAATTATGTACCTGTTCTCTGTTGAACATATAGATTTTTTCTGAGTTTTTCCTTAGCAAAATGCTGCAGTGAGTACCCTTGTACATAGATGTTTGTACATTTGTTCTAGAAAAATCTACAGTAAAGATTCTTAGATTAAGAGATTCCCAGGTTATTAGAAAACTACTCTATTAATTTAGATATATACTTCCAAATTGCCTGACCAAAAAGTTATGTCAATTTAACTTCTATGAACAGTATACAAACATGACAATTTTCCATCACCTACACCAACTCTGGGTAATTTCATCTTTTTTACAAGTTGATGGATTGTTTTAATTTGTATTTCTCTGGTTATTAATAAGGTTGGCCACCTGTTCATGTGTTAGTATTGATGATATTTGTATTGAATTGTTTGAATTTTCTTGATTTGGAAAACCTTTTTACATGTCATAGACATTAAATATTTGTTGTAAAACTCTCCTTCCAGTATTTTGTATGTGTTTGGTCAAGTAGAATAAACTCTTGTCCTCTGATTTCAGATTCCTTTCTCTTTCCATTAGAAATCCCTAAATGTAAAACTACATATTGATAGCTAAAAACCAGGATGTTTACTAGAGAAAAAGAATACGAAGGCAATAATTAAATATTATATTTATACAAAATACCTACTAGTACAAACTTAAAAAGAGAAAGTAAAAGTCAAATGCTTCTACGACTTCAGACTAAGAAAAAGAACTTTTGAGGTTGAATGTTCCTGAAATTTTTCTTTTCATGCAACTACGGACATGACTTCAAAAGTTGATGTTACTAAAAATGTAAGATATGAAAGATATTTGAAGACTCAGAGAAGGTGGATTTTCATTTTAACAAGTCACATATATATTCTAGATATCCTCTTATTCGTAACTAAGAGAGTCAAATCAGATGAAAGAATCTAAAAATTTCCCTTTGACTGTGTTAAGTAGAAGTAGTAGAGGCATATTGGCCAAATCTTGAGTGTTTGCAAATTGACTCTTAAGGCTATAGGCTGGCACAGGTCATTGAAGCCCTAGCTTTTTATCTTTAATTTTAAAATCCCCAAACAATTTATACTAATTTTTCTTGTCCATTATTTCCAAATAATCTTGTTTAAATGTTATTACAGTGCTTGCTCATGTTACTGTTGTCTAACAGAAGGGTATCCAGGGCCTTAAAACTGAAAGGGTTAGGATTAATGATTCCAATACCTATGCTTGGACATCTCCAAAAGTGGGTACCAACTTCTTGTCCTCAAGTCTGTATAGAAACTAGCAAACTTCCAGAGTTCACAAAAGGCTCAAAGAGAACAGATGTTTTATAGAAAATTCTTAGAGCAAGTTTCACGCATAATGTTGCTGATGTGTGTCTGCCTTTTCAATAAACATCACTATGCTTTATCACAAGATTTAATAAAGCAGCTTAGTTAAAAATGCCATCTGGGTCTCTGGACACATTAAACAAAGCTTAAAATAACCACCCCAGCAACTGGGAGGACCCAGCTGTTCTCATAATCTGTCCCACTCCTTTTACTTCCCCATAAAAAGAGTGAATGAAGACCACAGACTAAAAGCATCCAGAATGAACTGACACAAACAGGGAGAGAGATGGAGCCAAGGGCTCCTGTAAGTTTGCTATTGCTCACATAATAGATTTGCTAATTCCACAACCTGGGGATGGTGATTCAGAAAGGGAAGCAGAAAGAGAGAAGAGAGAATCATAGAAGGGCTCATTCAAGTTTTCTAATGTATCACAAACCTGTCCTCCCTAATGTCTGGATCATAGCAGCCCATTCCATTCACCTATTCTGTAGTGAACGCCAGTAGAAAATACAAAGCCATCACCACCCAGTTCTTTCTCCCTTCTAGAGATGAGATATTAGCCACCCAATCCCAGATTCTCAGATCCATTCCAGGAAAGAAGCCCTAGGTATTGAAGCACAGCTTTCCCTCCCTCCCTTCTTTCTTCCACCCCAAGATTTGTTCCCCAGATAGTTCTAGTAAATGCAAAACCAAGTATATTCTCATTCTTTAGAGCAACCAGCTTTTCATGGCCAACTGGAATCAAATACAACCTGCACAAACATCTATCTGGAGGACACTCCCAAGGCTCCTACTGAGCCAGCCTTCTGCATACCACTGCATTTCAGCTTCCTAGTTCACAAGACACTGAGACATTCTTGAATTCTGCAAGGTGCACTGTGTGTTAATATCATTGCTGCTCATCATGTGGCCAATAAAGTGCATGACTAGTCAACAAATAAATTTTCTCTTGGCTAAAACTTGCAACAAAACTGTAAGCTGTTTACCAAGGGGCCCACTACAGGTTATATTCAATATATACAGTCAAATCATAATTATCTGAGATATATTCAGTTGACCATACACCTTTATATTTCAGTAAAAGGTCTTTACATTTCCCAGTGCTATCGATGTTACAAAGTGCTTTCATATGCAGTGCTTCATCTGATTTCCAGGATAATTAAATGATCCTGTCATACCTGATTTTTAGATGAGGAAACAAGTGGTTTCTGGGTATTTCAAGAGGCTAACGCATCTGCCCTCCAACTTGTATGTGAAAACCAAAAACAAAATTCCAAGGCCCCTCAACCATCTGAATGGACTTCGACTCTTTTGGTCAATATATGCCAGAGCTAGGAAAAGAAGGTGAGTCTTCCAGCTGCTGATACAGGGTTTTTTCTGCCATACTCCATTACCTCCAAGGCTAAAGTCAAAAGAGGGTGTGGTTATCACATGAAAAAATCTGGTTTGGATTTCCCAAATGTGTATGTAGTATTTGGTGATTTACCTTAATTTAACCTACAGTTCTTTTGGGTTGTAACAGTCTGACTCCATTTTTGAAAACAAAACAAAATCGATTTTAAATGCTGAATTATAGATCTTTGCTGTCCAGTATGGTAGCTACTAACCACTTATGGTTATTTGCATTTCTATTTTAATTAATTAAAATTAAGTAAAATGCAAAATTCAGTTCTTCAGTTGCTCTAGCCACATTTCAAGTGTTACAGTAGTCACATATGGCTAGTAGCTGGGACAATGCAGATTATAGAACAGTTCCATCATCAAAGAAACTTCTATTGAACAGTGCTATTATATAATGTCATCTCCAGAGAAAGAAGACTTTAGAAAAAGTCAGAAACGGCCGGGCGCAGTGGCTCACACGTGTAATCCCAGCACTTTGGGAGGCCAAGGCAGGCAGATCCCTTGAGGTCAGGAGTTCAAGACCAGCCTGGCCGACATGGTGAAACCCCGTCTCTAGTAAAAATACAAAAAATTAGCTAGGCGTGGTGGTGCATGCCTGTAACCCCAGCTACTCAGGAGGCTGAGTTGGGAGAATCACTGGAACCCAGGAGGCAGAAGTTGTAGTGAGCCAAGATTGCGCCACTGCACTCTAGCCTGGGTGACAGAGCAAGACTCCATCTCAAAAAAAAAGAAAAAAGAAAAAGAAAAAGTCAGAAACATCTTGAGGCAGGCATAGTGCTGTCATCTGTCCAATATTGAAGATGATTTAAGAATAAGAAAGAAGAAGAGAACAAAGAAGAGAAAAAGAAGTTGCCTTAGGTGTACCCACCCAGAAAAGGACAAAGGCATTCTTGTAGTCATTGTGTTGTATTTTAGCTCTTAAACTTTTTAAGAGATTAGAATAATTTGACACATAGAAGATCTAAACCACTGAAGAGGCTCTGAAGCAGATAAAAGTAGAAAGAAAATTAAAAACTAATTAGTTACAAACTAAGCTTAACCACAATTCATTTAAACGATACTATTTACTCTTCACATGATTGGTTTTTCTTTTGCTTTATAGTATGACATAGTTTATATCTTTAAAGGGGAATTAAAATATTTCTGGGAATTTTTAAAGGTAAGTTCACATAGCCACATAAAAACTACAGAAACAGATAAAACCTATCTTCTCATTTATTCCCTAATCCATTCAAATTAAATATAAAAATCCAAGCAGCCACAGTGATATTCAAAAAAGCAAAAGTGAGACAAAACAAAATTCATTTGTCACCTGTGGAGGTAGTTAACTCACCTAATCTTCACTCCAAACACCAGTAATTTTTAAAAGACAGAAATAAACATATGTTCTGCCTTCCCGGAAGGAACTATGTTTCAGGGTAGCCAAATAACCCAGTTGTGAAGAAAATGGTCTGCTTATAGAAAAATGCCAGCTAAAACATGTAGATAGAATTAGAGAATTAGAAATTCACCATTTTGAAACCCCTAATGAAATAATCAACTCAAGCAAGGATCATTAATAAATGCTAAAACAATCAAGTAAATATTGATACAGAATATAACTGAATATACACATGGTACAAAGTTCACGTCACAGACTACTGGCTTGACCCAAGGGGGAATATAACAGAGGAGATAGGCAGTGATCGCCCTAACCTTGCGATCATCTCACCATCACTGATGATGGGATGTGAATACACATTATTGCCTATGAAATAGTCTTTAAAAAAAGAAGTTGAACCTGAATCTAACTAAACCTTGCAATGGGCTGAACGTGTATGTCTTCCCAAAATTAATATGTTGACATCCTAACCCCAAAGGTGCTGGTATTAAAAGGTGGGGCCTTTAGGGGGTCATTAGATCATAAGGACAGAGCCCTCATGATTGGAATTAGTGCCCTTATAAAAGAGGCCCCAGAGAGCTAACTAGTCTCTCCCACTATGTGAGGGCCCAGCAAGAAGGCCAATCTATGAACCAGAAAGTTGGTCCTAACCAGATATCAAAACCGCATGCTCCTTGATCTTAAACTTGCTAGTCTCTAGAACTGTGAGAAATAAATTTCTGTTCTTTATAAGTCATCCAGTTTTTGGTATTTTGTTATACCAGGCCTAAAAGCCTTTAGAACTAACTTCCAGTTAACCAGGAAAAAACAGAGTGAAAAGTTAAATGACACCATAAAAAGCAACCAGAAAATTCCAGAAGGGGAAATATTCTACAGGACCACTGACTAGTTTTTCAACAAGTCAATTTCATTAAATAAATACATAAACAAAGAGTGAGGGTATTTTCCAGGTTAAAAAAGTCTTGAGCTAAATAATCAAATGCAATGTGTGTCCCTTGATTAGAAGAAACTAATTTGAACAAACCAGCCACAAAAGATATTTCAGGGAGACCAAGCTGGAAGGATCACTTGAGGCCAGGAGTTTGAGACCAGCCTGGGCAACGTAGTAAGACCTCCATCTCTACAAAAACAATAAATTAGCTGGGCATGGTGGTGTGCACCTATAGTCCTAGCTACTCAGGAAGCTGAGGCAGGAAGATCACTTGAGCCCAGGAGTTTGAGGCTGCAATGAGCTATGATTGTTTCACTGCACTTCAGGCTGTGTGAAAGAGCAAGACTTTGTCTCAAAAAATAAAAGGACATTTCATAATAATTGAGGAAATCTGAATGTGGACTGGGTAATAAATGATATAAAAAAACTATTTTTTATTTTGTTTGAAAAGATGATTTTGTAACCATACAGGAAAATGTTCTTATTTTTTAGAAATCTGCACTAAAGAATTTAGGGGTAAAATATCATTTTCTTTAATATACTTTCAAACACAAGCAAAAAATAATCATGACACAAATATAGCAAAATGTTTACAATCTATGTTCTATGTTTGCCTATGAGTGCCATTAATCTCATCTCTCTGCTTTTCTGAAAGTTTGAAAATTTCAAAGTTTTATAATAAATTTTTTTACATCCCATAATTTTATAATAAATTTTTTAAAGTTTGAAGCAAATCAACAACTATAGCTTCAAAAATATCCTGACCCACAATAAACATTGAACAGGGTATATTTCTCCCATTTCCTAAAAAAGTTGGCCCAGGAAGGAGTATGAGAGCTGCCATAGCTCTCCCAAGGCTCATTATTCTCCATCACTCCATGGGAAATCCCAAAATAAATTTTTAAAAAAGTTGTTTAAATTTATAGTGTTTTTGATTCTATAATAATTTTATAATGTTTTTGATTTTATATTTTTAATTTATAAAAATTTTTATACATGTTTATGTTTGAAATGTCTATTTCAAACTTTATGAGATATTAAAATATAAGTAATATAGTTCATCATTTTAGAAATGCCACGCTTTTCTTCTCCAGCAATTACATAATCAAAGAGTAACTAGTTTTTCCTAGAACATTGCTTTGTAGGCTGGGCATGGTGGTTCATGACACTTTAGGAGGCCAAGGCAGGCAGATCTCTTGAGATCAGGAGTTTGAGACTAGACTGGGCAACACAGAGAAACCCTATGAGTAGTAAAAACACAAAAATCAGCTGTGCGTAGTGGCGTGCACCTATAGCCCCAGCTACTCAGGAGGCTGAGGTGGGAAGATCACCTGAATCTGGGGAGGTCAAGGCTACAGTGAGCCAAGACTGTGCCATTGCACTCCAGCCTGGGCAACAAAGTGAGACCCTGTCTCAAAAAAAAAAAATGAAATTTAATTTAAAAAAAGAAAATTGCTTTGTAAAATTAACTTTTTCAATCAAAACCAAGATTTTTCAGATATAGAGAATGCAGCCCACTGGTCAGATTTGTCAGTTCAAAGAGAATAAATTCTAGTTTCCTATTTTTCTAGCCTGCTTATGATTATCCAATAGGATATCAAAAAAGACCAAAGCCTTTGGGATCCAAGTTCAGTATTCCTGAGTCTAACTCAGGATGCCAAATCAGGAGACAAGCACATTCTCATCAATTTTCAATCATTCGAGACCAATTTTGCTTATAATTATCCAGTTCTTTTAGACCACCTTTCTCCTGAAGCCAGCCTTATGGCTATTCACTTCACTTTAGCATAAGCCCCCAAGAAGGTGAACAAAATGAGGAAAAGATTGGTTAAAGTTGGCTGTTTGAAATTCTGAAACATGTCCACCATTCCCTTCACCCATGCCCACCCCTCTTAGAAGTAGTACTTTCAGATTATTTAAGAGTCGATGCTTCTATGTGGATTTTAATTTGTCATCTGTCCTTTATAACAGCTAGTAGGTTTAATTTGACTCTATTTTAAGCATATATTGACCTATGCTAATTATCTGTTAAAATAAATTCCACTCTTAGAGTTAATAAAGTGTGTTTGTCATGGAAGACCCATTGAAGTAAGAAGCTGAGGAGCCCTTATGGTAAAGTGGGACAAGAAATAATAAGACATAATAATTTTCCCATGCAAATCAACAACCGTAGCTTCAAAAATATCCTGACCCACAACAAGTATTGGACAGGCCATGTTTCTCTCACTCCCTAAAAAATTGGCTCGGGAAGGAGTATGAGAGCTCCCATAGCTTTCCCAAGGCTCATTATTCTCCATCACTCCACAGGAACAGCCTGTCAGAGAAGAGTGAAAGACCATTTGTCAACCTCTCTTCAACTCCCTGATTCTAGCCAAACTTCATCAATCCCAACTGAGGAGCCAGAGAGAAATCAAACCCCATATATCCAGCATCATTGTCTACTGGAGTCAAAAATCACAATTCCACTACCCACCCCAACACCACTGGCCCTGTTTCTCCCAATTGCTTTTTATTGTGTTTTTAAAAAATCCTCTTTCCCCATCCCTGCAACACCGAGAAGGAGGAATTATAGTAGATAAATATGAAGCATGGAGATCCTTTAAAAATGTTTTTAATAATAAATGAGAAAATGAAAAGGAGAGGGTTGGGAAGGAAGGAGGGAATTCAAATGCCAGGGAATTGTTCAGTTTCGCTTTTAAAGATGTTAACACTCATTTATACATCTGCAAGACACTCCCCTTAAAGAAAAGTTCTATGAGTGTGGGTCTGGTTGCATGAATAAGGATAAAATTACTTTTTTAGACGATGTTTCCCACATACAATTCAGAGACCCCTGAAATTAGGTATCCCTCTTGTAGATGTCCTTGAGATGCTGCTGGACCTGGGAAAGAGGAAACTGGGATATGGGTCTATGCCAAAAGGTGCTTCTAGTTATAGGACAGAGAGGAAAGGGGCAGAGGGAGAAAAACCCGAAGTCTGAGAATCTGGATTGCAGAAGACTACCGAGGTCGTGGGAGAAGGGAGAGAAAACAAGGATGAAAACCGAAAGGGGAAGAGGCATGAAATGTTGCCAAATGTCAAAAGGCATTTGGAGAGAAGTTGGGAATTGCATTAAGAAAACCACTGCAAATCTCATTTCAGACCATTTAGAGATATGCCCCCTGGGAACTGCGAGCTCAGGCTGTTTAGCATCAAACAAATGGATCCACTCCATCCCTACCCTAATTAAATAAATCATTCAGTAATTCCACTGGGTTAAAGAACCAAAATATTAAAAACCTTCAGGGCCTACTCTTGCCAAATATGTCAGGGATCGTGTGTGTGTGTGTGTGTGTGTGTGTGTGTGTGTGTGTGTGTGTGTGTGTTCTGAGACACCACTACTGTTAAATAGGCAGAGCTAAGACTTAGGGGACTGGCAGATTATTGCAAAAGGGCACGGGGCAGAGGGACTATGTTGTGAGCCTGCGAAAGAAGTTTGTGTGGGGACTGTGGGCAGTGAACGCGTTGGGAACAATATGGAAAACTGGGAGCCGCCTTGGAATCTACAGGGCCGGGTAAGAGAATGTCCGAAAGAAAAATGAGCAGGTGCGGGATGTGGCAGAGTCGGAGAAGAGTCCAGGGCGCCCGGAGTGGCTCCAGGAAGGACGGAAACCCCTGAGGGCTTTTGGGGGCGGTGGGTACTAATAGAACCCAGTGTCCGGGGTGCGCCGGGGAGGCTGCGAGCGCGGCGGGAGTGGGGCGCTGGAGGGTGAGGACGCGGGAGTGCGGGAGCAAAGCCGGGCAGGGGCCTCCCAGCTGGGCCCGGAGGCAGCAGGCGGACAAGGGCCAGGAGAGGGCGCGGCGGCGGCGCGGCGGGAAGCGAGGGGCATCCGGACACTCGCCCCGTTGGCCGCGGCCATCGGCCCCACGACCTCGACGGCCGTCCTGCCGAAGAACCTGCCGTCGCTGCCCGCCCCCGTGGTGCGGCCCTGACGGTCGCGCAGGCCGACGGACGACAGCGCGCTCCGGATGAAGTTGGGCGGGTAGCTGCGCTGGCCCTGGAAGAGGCCGGTGGGTCGCCGGTGCTCGCGGGGCGCGGTGGGCACTGTCCGCACCGGGATGGGGCTCCCCTCCGCGGCGCCTCCCGGCCGGTCCTGCTGCGGCTCCGGGGCCGGAGGGAATCCGCAGCCGGCCGGGGGCCTCCGCCAGCCTGGCTGCGCGCCGGGACTCCGCCTCGCGCCCGGCCCCCTCTCCAGCAGGTCGGCGCCCCGCGCCCTGCACCCGCCCGCCCGGGGACCGCCCGCCCCTCCTCTCCGCGCCGCCGCTCGCTGACTCCCCCGGCAGGGATTGCTTCTGCCTCGCTGCCAGGTTTTCTCCCGCCCACCTTCTCCGCTGCCAGACCGCCCGAGCTGCCCTCAGTTTCTCCCCAAGTGGGACTCACTGTCGGGGTGTCCCACAAGCCCGATCCCAGAGCCTGCTGGCCCGACCCCGGCGACGCCTCCACCCGCGCTCGCCGCCCTCCGGGGCGCACCCTCCGCCAGAAAACAGCCGGCGGGCGGCGAGACTTCGTGCAGAGTGCGGGCTCCTCTCCGGCGCCAGGCCCGTCCCGTCTCCCTGGGAGTGCGCAGCCTACACGCACCAGTTTCTCTTTAGAACAAGGACGGGGAGGGATTTGCGAGGGGGCTGAAACCTTTTGCCATCAGCGAACAGCCTCAGCCAAAAACAACCCTGGAAAGGCGAGCTAAGAATGGTTATCTCCTGCCAGCGCTGAAATCGGAGGCCGGGCGCTGCGTGTGTGTGTGTGTGTGTGTGTGTGCGTGTGTGTGTGTGTGTGTGTGTGTGTGTGTACCCTCCCACCCCGACCATTTGTTGAAGGGAATCACCACTGTCAGACTTCAATCCAACAGGACCCACTCGAGCCATCCACACTTGCCCCAGCCTCCTCCAAAACAGCACACTTTCCGGTATGGACAATTCTTTTTTTTTTTTTTCACTTATTTGTTTGTTGTGGTGGTAGCAACAGCAGCAACACAGACGACACGTATTTCCCTATTCTTCTCGCCCTTCTCACCCTCCCTACCCAGCTCCTGCCTTAGAAACAGGCTTGGCCTACACTGTATCTGTCCACACTGTCTGAACTCTTCCCTGAATTAATCGTTTTCAGTAGGAGGGGGCTGAATCCCTTATTAATGCCCTACCAGGAGTGAATGAATAAAGCCAAGTTAAAGGAGAACTGGGTACCAGATACTGTGCTAGGTTCGTTTGCATGTACCCTTTCATTCTGCTGGAGCTAAAGATTTTCTGCCTCCTCTCCATAAAACGCACCCAAACTCCAAAACCAGGAAATTCTCCATAGAAAATAGGAGTGAAGAGAGAAAAGACTAACAGGATAAAACTCAAAGCAGGAAGAAAGTTCTATCTCCCATTTCTCTCAAGGAATTTTTGGACCCACCAAGGCTACTGTCCTGAAATATCCTGCTGCTTCTCCTTCCCCAAATATTGTCCACTTCCTGAGAGTAAGGCTGACTTGCCGCAGGCTTATAAAGTGTTTGGTCACAGTAAGACAACTGTGAGTAATAACACACATTGTATACTGTTTTGCAATTGATAAAAGGCTTTGCATCTGTTTTTCCTTTGGAGGCTGAAGAAAAGAAGAATGGTATTCACGCAGTTCCCATTTTACAGATGAAAACAAGAGGACTTTTTCTGTGAAGTCAAGAAAGTGGTTACAATGGTACTTTCAGCCTGTCCGAATTATGTATTGCCCCTCCCCTTTTTATTAATAACATTGAAGTGTGATGGGACAACCACTGAAGCCGTCAGTTGAAACCTGCTGGGACTTTTTAGCCATTCTCTTCAACATAAAGAATGGGTGTTTTTGGAGGGGGTGAGAGGAATGGGGAAATGTTGTCAAAGAGTACAACGTTTTAGTTGAGACAGGAAGAATATATTTTGTTGAGATCTACAGCACAGCATGGTGACTGTAGTTAACAATGAAGTATTGTCTATTTCCAAATTGCTAAGACAATAAATTTCAAATGTTCTCACCACAAAAAAGATAGGTTTTGAGGTGATGAATCTATTAATTCTCTGGATTTAATTATTCCACAATGTATACATATATCATAATATCACATTATACCTCCGTAAATACATACAATTTTAATTTGTCAATTAACATTTTTTTAATAGAATAGTGTGGCCAGTCGGGGAGGTAGTGTTGTTTTTTTTTTTTTCCTCTAGTCTCTACTCAGTCTCCAAGATCCCATTCCCCATAAAGTTCCTGTCACCCAGGTGGAGTGCAGTGGCACAATCATGGCTCACTGCACCCTCTCCCTCTTGGGCTCAAGCGATCCTCCCGCCTACAGGTACATGCCACCACGCCCAGCTAGTTTTTGTAGTTTTTGTAGACATGGGGTTTCACCATGTTGCCTAGGCTGGTCTCGAACTCCTCAGCTCAATCAATCTGCCCACTTTAGCCTCCCACAGTGCTGGGATTGCAGGTGTGAGCCACCAAGCCCAACCCATAAAGTTCCTAACTTTTTATCTCCCTGGGAGTGCACAGCCTACACACACCAGTTTCTCTTTAGAACATACTTAAGAGTCTTGGCTTAGCATCCAACAGACAAAACTTTAACACTTCTAGGGATCTGTGCACCTGTCTATGGCGTGGGGTTTTTAAGATCTCTTTCTAATGACACTTCATTTTACAAAGCAGGACAGTTTCATTCCCAGAAGAGCAGGTATGGTAAATCCTTTGTTCCAGTAACGAAGGCAATGATCCAAACCCTAAGCCTCAGAGAAGCCCAGAAACCCTCCAGGCCTCCATCTCTCTGCTCCTAGCACCTGCCTCTCTCTTGACATCAACATCATTCTCCCCTCTCACAGCCCAGCTCCTTCCACAGACCCAGGGATTAGGCACCAGCACCTCAGACTAGATTTTAGAGAATTACCATTCAAGAGGCAATCCTCTTCCCTTGGTTCCAATTTCAAGGTTCTCAAAGACTGGAACAGGGCTAGTTTGAGGCAATGTGCCCCACCGCATAGCCAGAAAGAACCTTACAGTGAAAAGGAAAACAATTCTTCAAAAGTAAGGGGGTGCTGATCCCCAGAGGGAGGACAGATGGGCAACCAAACAGTAACCGGGCCACCACGTGCTTCACACTCACTGATCAAGGATTTCTAAAACCACTTTTCTTTTCTCTGAATTTATATAGGACTTTGTATCACTCATAAAGGAATGTCTTATAGGCTGATAACACCTTTCTATTCATGCTTATACTTAACATTTAGGCTAGGATAATTTCCTAACCTCAGTGTCCTCACTATAAGATGGGAATTATTATAATCCCTACCTCATAAATTGTTGGGAGGATTAAAATACTTAGTAAAGTGCCTGACTAATAGAAAGGCATTCAATAAATGTTAGCTATTCATGGTGTCGTCATCATTATATTTACCATTATTACTAATCTCCTGTATTGCAAGAATTACAGTTTATATTTTCGTAGACCATCACTGTAGCTAAAGGGTCTTTGGGCCATAGGTGATATTCCATAAAGGTTGGTTAAATTGATCTGTGGTTTTTGACTATGGAAACTCAGAACTCCCTCAAAATGTACAAAACAGATTTACCTGCTAAATAAATCTCTTCAAAGCTGACCCCAGGTTTAATTGAATTAATTCCAATGAATTTGTCACAATGATGGAGAAAGGAAACTTAGAGGGCCCCACAGTTGTTTGCTGGTAAAATGAGAAGTTTGGATTAGATCAATGTTTCCCAAAACATTTTCCTCAGAATGTTAGTGCTCCTTGAATCCTGCACAAAGCAAGAGTTTCATGACCAAGTAGCTTTTAAAACTCCTGTACACTCTACTCCCATTCTTCACAATGCACACTTTCATATTAAAAGTTCTGAGAGATCCTCAACAAAAGACATCACTTAACTTTTTTTTTTTTTTTAAGACAGATTCTCACTCTGTCACCCAGGCTGGAGTACAGTGGCCACCACTCCTGGCCTAAAAATTTTTTAACCTGGTGCTTCCCAATCTAAACTCACAGGGACCAGTTTTCTTAATGAAAGAGAATCAGACTAGCTTGTAACCATAGCTGGTGACCCTCCCCTGCCCCATTCCTTGTATGTCCTCAGTGGACTAGGTCAGGAATAAATAAATTTTCCTGATTCTCAAGGGCTGGTCACTCCTTTGCACTGAGCTCAAAGCTTCTCTGTAGCATGGGTCACAATGAATGGTAGCCCTGATAGCCTAGAGTAGCCTTTCAGCCTTCTCTGAGCCTCTAAAGACTGAGGATCCTTGGCATGAAATAGGAGCAACTGATATACCCTTGCTTCCCCTGGGGACTCTCTTGCTCTCAAAAAGGCATCAGCCATCATCTCCATCTAGAGAATATACTAGCTGACTCAGCTTGACCAGCCTGTCCCAAAATGAGAATCTGGGTAAAATAAGTATTGAAACACTTCATTCCTTGTAGATTCACAAAACACATTAGCATATTAAAGACTATGAAGTTCTGCAGGAAAAAAAACCTATTTAACTTTAATCCAACATTGCCAAGTTTTATTTGACCATGGAAGATTTTTCCAAAACACTTACAAACAGATCAAGGACATTAATCTTTCATGAAACACTTTAGATCCCCAGGGTCCTCTCCAGCTACATCATTCTGTGATTTTCTTTTTTATTTATGATGCATTAAAAGATTAATCTCTATCAGACTTCCATTTAGAAATTCACCAGAATGTGCAAAGGCAGCAGGTAAAATTGCCGAAGGGTATTATAAAAATACCCTCCGGTGATTTTTGAAACTTAAACTGAAATATTTATTTAACTATATATTTCAGTTTGTATATTATATATATATGTATATACACACATATATATGTGTATATATATATTTGTGTATGTATATCTATGTATATATGGCATTATATCCATTTTACAGATGCAGAAACTGAGCTTTAGAGGGGGTGAGCAATTGGTCCAAAGCCACACAGCACACAGGTAGTCATTGATAAAGGTAAAAACAAGAGTTGAAACCTGAGGTGTAAGGACACAGAGACAAGTACACAAATGTTTACAAGTTACAGATATGACAAGTGCCTTTAACATGAATTTCTGGAACATTCATTTAGAGGCCTTACCATGAAGACATCAGAGTGGCAGCAAGTTCTGTTGGAATCAGGGGAGCGTGTTCTTCTATAATCCCCTGGCTGACAGGAAGGCACGCTGATTTGGCCCATGGTAGTTATACACTCCCATTGAGTCAGGGGCCACTTCTATGCACACAGGAGGTGCTAAAAATATGCTGTTGACTCATTGCCTCTAAGAGCAGAAGAAATGCCAAAAGTATAGGACAAGAGGCAGAAAAGCACACAGAAAAATGTCGTAGGGCAGTCCTCTAAGGAAGTGTTAGATCCCTTTGAAATCTGTCCAAACACTTTCTTGTGCTGGGGAAAGTCAATTACATATTTCAAGCAACCCCACATGTCATACGAGTATCTTGTACATGTTTGCGTACTCGTGTCTGTGAACTTACATCTCAGACTTCAACTTCTCGCTTCCCACCCTTATCAATGACTGCCTGCATGGCCTTGGGCAAGTTGCTTTCCCTCTTCAAAGCTCAGTTTCTGCATCTATAAAATGGACATAATGCTACCTACCTCATGGGGTTAGTGATCACATTTAAGGAGCTAATATGTGGAAATTGCTTAAACAGTACCTGTCACATAATAAGGGTTTAATAAGTGTTTGATGTAATTGTTTTGATTATCACTACTATTACTAAAATAATAATTACTACAATAATAATGATTCTTATTCTCTATATTAGTATTATCTTTGAAAATGGGCACGGATTATGTCTATGTAACACTTTTGGCACAATATCTAGCATTATATCACACACAAATTAGAGAATTCATGTTATTAAGCATGAAAAAATATTTTTACTGACCCTTAAATTCTTCGTAAGTAACTGCAAAAGAAGCCATTATCCCAACACATGAAATAAAAAAAAAATTCATTTCCTCTGGAGTTTGTTTTTGGAGGTAGCCACAGGATACCTAAATTTTTTTTTCTTTTCAGAGAGACCGAGGGGCTCACTAGGTTGACCAGGCTGGTCTTGAACTCCTGGCCTCAAGCCATCCTCCCACCTCAGCCTCCCAAAGTGCTGGGATTACATGCATGAGCCACCACATCCAGCCTACCTAAAATATTGAATGCTGTTAATAAATCTCCTGAGGCCAGCATAAGAAGGTGATGGGCAAAACTAATGCAGGTATGTTTTTCTGGCTTTTTCATGTATTGGGCCAAACTTTGAAAAGCACTTACTATTAATGGCTAACTTGCAAAATTTGTGATTTATTAAAAGCAGATTTTAATTGTTTTACCTAAAAATAATAGGCCTCTGATCTGCCAAAGATGAAGATTTAATTTCTAGGTATTCCCCACAATACCTAGAAACATCAGTGTAATCGATTATTAAACACTTTAGAACTATTCTCATCAAAGTTCTTTATTATATAATACAGCAAAAGAAAAGTTTCTTTTCTAAAGGCTTCTCTATACTTTTTTTAATAGTTGAATTTCATCTCTGAAGGCTCCTAAAAAGAATAGAATTTAGATCTTTATTAAAGAGGAAATATATTTTCCATGTTTAATTTAAATTACATTCCATCAGTCATTTGCAATCTTAGCCTACACGGAATTTTTTTTTTTTTTTGGTAGTTTTTATGTTTGGGCTTTAGGAGGGGATTCCCAATAATCTCTATATAAATATTTCTAATCTCCATATAAATATTTTAACATTTCAATGTAAATTAGTTTTTTAAAGCTATTTTATCCATAAAAATAATGAATTTGCATGGCTGAGGATGAAATAATGTGTTATCAGGACCCCTCTGTTTTGGGGGTTGTGAGTAGATCCCATCTTCATGTTCCTCCAGCCCAGCCCAAGCCTGGCTCAGGTCCTCCTCCCCCATTTGTCAGGAACCACCATCCCCAGGGATTCTATGTGCCCTGCCTGACCAGTGTTCTCCATCAGAGTTTACCAATCTTTTGTTCATTCCCTCAGAGCACAGGTAAGCAAGAGTACACTAATTTGAAAATTAACTCAAGCAAATAGAGGAACAATATCCCCAACACATTGCATTTTAACATAGGGTTTCCTGGACACACTGTTTCAACCCAAGAGTTGGGCTAATAGTAGGAGTTCCATCTGCTAAAATACGGCTGTCAGCTTCAGAGGGAAATTCATGAATGTCTTCGTAGTTTGTTTTTACGTTTCACTTGGCACTGTTTCTAAAATTTCCTCTGAAGCCAAAAAATAAGTTATTTCCCAGCACACTGGTCACTTTTCATTTATCATTGGATTGATTTTTGTAACTTGCAGTAGGAGCTGAAATCGACCAGGGGGTTCTTATCCAACAGACAGCAGCAAAACTCTTTGTGTATCTGCGTTCCTTTCAACAAGTGTGACTTCCTCCATGGCATCATTCGTGAGCGTAACACAGAGCTCAGCAATAACGTTTCTTCACTAACCCTACCAGGTATCCAACATAGGATGTTACTTCCTTTCACTGTTTTCCGACTCCTGGCAGATATTAATCATTGGGATTTGGGAACAAGGAAATAGAATTTCTGAGAATGCTTGGGAATTCCCAAATTCATATGATTTTCATAACACTTCACTTACAAGTTTTTGAAAAATAATAAGTGACTATAATAACAAGCAAATAGTCATTTTTTTCTGTAACAGGATTACATGAAAAGTTTTAGTAGTCTTCTGTTTTAAAAAGATATGATAACAAATGATGATTTATTATTATTATGAGCCAACATATTGTAACAAGATTATAAAATCCAATAGCATTAATAGAGAAAACATTAAAAAGAAATGAATATTATCACAAAATAAATGCTAAAGAAAAGTCCTTTAAAGACTGAAAGGTAACACCACAAATACTTAATGCTTTAATCATTGTTTACATGACATTGTTAAACAAGGCATCAATCATCCCCTCCAATACCATCTAAATAACATAACATTCTGATCTCCTGGCAAGATGAATAGCACTAGAAAGAAGCAACTGTCAAAATTGCCGATTTAAGGGCATATTTTGTCTCTAAAACTTGGCATTTCTTAGAACACCTCTCATAGGATTTGTAAAACATATACTATGCCTATGAACACATTAATATTTATTTGCAGAAATGGTTCACTGTTAGCAGTGGACAAGGCCATGAACACACACTTGTAACACAGCAACAGATACAAGAAAGTCTGACTGAGGCTCCTTTACTGCTCCTGTCCTGTTCACCTTAACTTTCGTCTCCACATGTCAGTGCTTCCTCATCTTGCTTGACTTGAAGTCAGTGCATTTCTTCAAGCCAGTAAGTTCTCTATACTGACTATTAAGCTGTAATTTTCACAGGAAAATTAGAATGTTCCTTCCCATTTTCCTAATTTCTCAACTGATTTTTCTCAGAATTCAGAATCCATAAATATTGAAATGCCAGGAGAGAATTTCCAAATGGAAATGCTATTCCCTTCATCCATTTTCAGAAGAAACTGTAGCGTAGTGTTATCCTTCTCTTCTCCAATTTTTTTTTCCTGCAAACTTATGGTTATCACCTCTTTAAGTGCGTAGCTCACAATTTTGCCTCCCCTGCAAATGGTCCCAAAACAGTGAAGTGGGTCCTCTTTAGCTGTGTCTTTAGTACATAATCCTGCATTTCTGACCATATGCAGGGAGTGTGACCCAGTGAAGGATCCCTGACTCAATGGGATTTCTCTTGCTGTCTCTAGAATTTGAACCCCGGAACCCAGACGTACAGAGGCTGGGAGCCATTGTGGTGTGCTATATTGATGACGGCAGCAGTGGGTGGTGTGGGGGCAGTTAATTGACAGCTACCTGTTGCTGACATCCCAGGAACTGCCTGAACCTCCTCTTTCCCAGTCATAAGATATCTAAGATTCTGCAGTATTCTTCATTAAATCCTAGCATGGTTTAAGCTAGCCAGAATTAGGTTCTGTTGCTTTCAATCAACAGAACCTTAGCTAATACATTGTTATTTCCTGGTCTTTGTTCCTTTAATTTTCCAGGAAAAGAAGGGAAAATGGCTTACTGGTTTTAAAAAGAGACAAGGGACAACATACCATTTATGCAAAATTTAGAAGCACTCAAAGGAAACTCTGGAAAGCTCCTGAGACATATATAGGTAGGATCAGCATAAAACTTGAACAGTGTATCTAGATCATGGTTGCCATGGTTGCCTTGACACAATGAACATCTGTATCAAGATCATATTTTCTTGGTGGGACAGAGAAAAGCACAAGGCGGGACTCACATTTACAGTAATCCTTGTTTTCCAGGGACCATACAACCCAGTTTGTCTAGAGCTGTTCATCTTAAGTTTGTTATCCCACCATAATTATAAATAGAACCTCCTTTTTCTCTCAAGAATATCCCACTTTGGATGATAATTTCTGTGACTACCCATTAAGAATATTTAATAACTATAGAAAACTGCTTCTCTATATTTTTTGTATGTTTGAAACATTTTATAACAAAAATATCTTTAAAGTTATCACCTACACAGAATATAGCTGCCAAATGCTCCTACTCTGCTATTCTTTTTTTTTTTTTTTTTTTTTTTTATTGATCATTCTTGGGTGTTTCTTGCAGAGGGGGATTTGGCAGGGTCATAGGACAATAGTGGAGGGAAGGTCAGCAGATAAACAAGTGAACCAAGGTCTCTGGTTTTCCTAGGCAGAGGACCCAGCGGCCTTCCGCAGTGTTTGTGTCCCTGGGTACTTGAGATTAGGGAGTGGTGATGACTCTTAACGAGCATGCTGCCTTCAAGCATCTGTTTAACGAAGCACATCTTGCACCGCCCTTAATCCATTTAACCCTGAGTGGACACAGCACATGTTTCAGGGAGCACAGGGTTGGGGGTAAGGTCACCGATCAACAGGATCCCAAGGCAGAAGAATTTTTCTTAGTACAGAACAAAATGAAAAGTCTCCCATGTCTACTTCTATCCACACAGACCCGGCAACCATCCGATTTCTCAATTTTTTCCCCACCTTCCCGCCTTTCTATTCCACAAAACCGCCATTGTCATCATGGCCCAACCCCAATGAGCCGCTGGGCACACCTCCCAGACGGGGTCGTGGCCGGGCAGAGGGGCTCCTCACCTCCCGGACGGGGCGGCTGCTGGGCGGAGACGCTCCTCACTTCCTATAGGGGGTGGCGGCCGGGCAGAGGCTGCAATCTCGGCACTTTGGGACGCCAAGGCAGGCGGCTGGGAGGTGCAGGTTGTAGCGAGCCGAGATCACACCACTGCACTCCAGCCTGGGCCCCATTGAGCACTGAGTGAACGAGACTCCGTCTGCAATCCCGGCACCTTGGGAGGCCGAGGCTGGCGGATCACTCGCGGTTAGGAGCTGGAGACCAGCCCGGCCAACACAGCAAAACCCCGTCTCCACCAAAAAAAAACGAAAACCAGTCAGGCGTGGCGGCGCGCGCCTGCAATCGCAGGCACTCGGCAGGCTGAGGCAGGAGAATCAGGCAGGGAGGTTGCAGTGAGCCGAGATGGCAGCAGTACCGTCCAGCTTTGGCTCGGCATCAGAGGGAGACCCCTACTCTGCTATTCTAACCATGAATCCCTCTGGGGCCCCTTCCTCCTACGGCGCTTGTGAGGATGAAATGAAATAAGCTCTATGAAGTGCCCAACAGTGACCAACACTGAATAAAATACAGCCACCATAGGTGGCCTTCCCTTATGTTCACCAAACTCCTGATAAGTTATTCGGTGATGTTTTAATCTTAATATTTTATGTAGATTATACATTCATCTGATTCAAAATGCAAAAGGTACAAAAGCGTATACAGTTAAAAGCTTCCCAACCCACTACCATTTATCTCCCTGGAGGCAACTGTTTCCAGATTTTTGAATATCCTTAAAGAATATCATATGTATGGAAAAGAAAGATTATATATTTATATGCATCTGTGTATGCATTTTCCTATGAGAGGCTCACAAAGTCTCCTTGAAGAGATATCATTATTACAAATACCCCTCAATTTACAATGGGGTTATATTCCAATAAACTTATGAAAATATTGTAAGCTGAAAATGCATTTAATACACTTAACCTACTAAACATCATAGCTTAGCTCGGCCTACCTTAAACACTCACATTAACCTACAGTTAGGCAAAATCATCTAACAGAAAGCCCATTTTATAATAAAGTGGGTTTTGAATATCTCATGTAATATAATGAATACTGTACTGAAAGTGGAAAACAGAATGGTTGTATGGGTACTCAAAGTACAGCTTCTGCTGAATGTGTATTGCTTTCAAACTATCTTAAAGTTGAAAAATCATAAGTCAAAATATTGTAAGTCAGGGATTGTTTGTACTTCCACTTTACATGATGAAATTGAGCCTTGAAAAGATTAAGTGACTCGCCCAAGGTCACACTGGCAGTTAAACAGTGAAACTTGGATCCAAATTGTTCAGTCAGTACATGTATTGTCTTGAAATCTGAAAAAGAGGAAGAGGAACTAAACTACTAAATTGAAGGAATATTTTAGGCATAGAAGAAGCAGATGCCTTCATGTCCAAGTGATTGTGAAAAGCCCACTTGCCCCAAAATATGTCTCCTGGTCATATGAAATTCCACCATTTCAGATTTTTACCTGGGGATTTAGAGTAATCTGCTGTTTTCCTAGAGCTCCCCTAAAATAGAAATAGAAATTTTGGAAGGCTAAATATATGCTAACATTGGAAAACTCATTTTCTCCCCTTCGTAAGGCAAGGTACTGAAGGAGGGGGCCCTACAGGCTGTGCAGGGACATCCTGGAGGCATGGGGAGAAGAAACTGAAAGGCAAGGTTGTATGGAACAAAGAATACCGATCTCAGGATTCTCTCTTGAACCTGCCCTAACTTTGTTCAAATAGACTTAGCCACTGACCTGCTGTCAAAAGACCGCAGCCAATCTGACTTGTTTTCAACATAATGATGAATATTGATTTGGTCCCTTCATCCAACATTCTCAGCTGGATCTTTTTTTGACCAAGGATATACATTACTAGGCGAGTACAGGCAGTTAATTCTTCCACAGGGGACTTTGGAGTTTCTGAGTTAACCAGAATCACCCACCTTAACATCTGCCAGTTTATACCCCAAGTCCTGACCAGTGCCCCCTACCTGCTATGCCTCATGTTTTCAATATAGCATAAGATCTGAAATGAAAGATGAAACATCATAGCCAATATCACAGAAATACAAAGGATCCTAAGAAACTCCTATGTATAATTACACACTAACCAATTGGATCATCTAGAAGAAATGGATAAATTCCCAGACACATAAAACCTACCAAGATTGACTCATGAAGAAATTAAAAAATCTGAACAGACTAATAGCAAGCAAGGAGGTTGAATCAGTAAGAAAATGTCTCCCATCAATGAAAAACCCAAAACCAGATGGCTTCCCAGATTAATTCTACCAAATATTTTAAGAAGAACTAATACCAGTCCTTCTCAAACTCTTCCAAAAAGCTGAAGTGGAGGGAATACTTCCAAACTCATCTTACAGGGCCAGCATTACCCTGATTCCAAAGCCAGACAAGAACACTACAAGAAAGGAAAATGACAGGCCAATATCCTTGATCTACATAGATGCAAAAATCCTCAACAAAATCCTAGCAAACCAAATTCAATAGCACATTGAAAGAATCATTCACCACGATCATGTCATGGTTCAACATAAGCAAATCAATACATATAATATACCATATTAGAAAAATAAAGGATAGAAACTATATGGCCATCTCAATAGATATAGAAAAAGCTTTTGACAAAATTCGAAACCCTTTCATGGTGAAAAAAAAACACCCAACAGATCACGTATTGAGGGACTGTATCCCAACAAAATAAAGGCCATATATGACAAACCCATAGCTAACACCATAATCAATGGTGAAAAGTTGAAACTTTTCCTCTACCATCAGGAACAAGACAAGGATGCCCACAGACACCACTTCTCAGGGTAATTAGGCAATAGAAAGAAATAAAAGGCATCCTAATAGGAAAGGAAGAAGTGAAATTGTCTCTACTGACAGCATGATCTTGTTATATATAGAAAACCCTACAAACTTCACTGAAAAAAGGTTAGAACTCAACACAAAGAAGGGAACAATAGACACTGGGGGGACTCCAAAGGTGGGAGGGAAGGATGGTGGGAGCAAGAGTTGAAAAACTGCCTATCGATTACTATGCTCACTGCTTGGGTGGTGGGATCATTAGAAGCCCAAACCTCAGCACCATGCAATATACCTGTGTAAGAAACCTGTACATCTACCCTCCTGACTCTAAAATGAAACATACAATATTTAGAAAACAAAAACAAATAAAATTTGAAAACTGTTAGAACTGAACTGATAGGTGAAATCAGTAAAGTTGTAGGATACAAAATCAACATATAGAGCCTTGAACACAGCAACATCCAGCTGTCTGACATGAAAGTCTCAGGGGCAAGAAAACCTCTATATGAACTCAGAAACAATGAGCTAAGTTGTGTTTATGTCTGAAAGGATGTTAAGAACTGCATTCATGTTACATCAGAGCCAACAGAAAGAACCAACAGGAAACCTGTACCCAACAAACAGAAATGACAAGATGAAGGGAAAGCAGAGGTAAGGGCTTACCTTAGAAAGGGCAAGTGATTAGCTCAATATGCAATACAATGTTTGCTCCTGAGCCAAAAATTTGTACAATAATTTGGATATTACTTGCACAACCAGAAAAATCAGCCACTCATTAGGAAAATGTGTTTCTGTATAAGTCTTAGGACTCAGCTATCTATAATAACATGAAAAGACAATATTTTCATCCAAAATGAGTATTTTTGTTTGTCTTGGCTTGTTATTCTAACGTCAACAGCCTCTAAATAAACTGTTGAAGTACATGATATAACCACCTCTTTCTCCATCTTTCCCATTGCTCCCATAGGGTTTCAGTTGTGCAATTTCACCATTAGCAAAGCTTTTTGCTGAAATCTGGCTTTTCAAAGGGAGAGTATCCAGAAACAGAAGATGCTGCTCTGAGAGGCTCTTCCTAATAGAACTGCTGCTTCAGTTTAGCTTGAAAAAGCCCACACCCAGTTCCTAATGACAAACATCTGAACACCGGGTCTTCCCACGAGCAAGACCATGCTATGCCTCCTGCTCGCTCTGTTCTATAAGCAACCCACAGATTGCTCCCTGTGAAGAGGAGCCTGCCAGGGGAGCAGCATTCCACCAGACCCTGATTTAGCAAGATATTTCCGTATCATTCCCCCAACCAGCTGGAAGTCCTCCACTGCTCTTGTGTAAAAATCTAACTCATCTCGCTGAATTTCCTGATTTAAAAGTCTAATTCATTTCACCAAAAGTGTGACAGAAGGAAACCAAGTACACCATCTCTCTCTTACCAAACCGAAGCTATTGCATGTGCATTCTGGGGGAAAAAATGGTCCAAATATGTTATGGAGGGGGTGCCAGCCCAGTGTCATCCTCTTACTATTGCCATAGGATCTTGGCTGATGGCATCAGAGGAAAAACAAGTTTATCGATTACTTTCAACCATTAAGCTCACTCCTCCATGAAAAATAAGTCACAAGTCCAATGTCTCTTATTAAAATAAGCACTGCAAAATACAAAGGAGTCACAGTTTTAAAATGGGACACACGTTCTCTAAGCGGTGAACCACGTTAGAGGTGCACTGTTTACATTGTATAAAGTCCCCTGGAGCCAGGGTTAGGAAGCGCATCTGTTCTTTGGTGTTCTGGGATGAAGGAGAAAGGAAAATGTGCTGCCAGAAGTGAGTGGGAAGGAGCCCATGAGATAAAGGAAGTAAATCCATTTGCTGATTGCAATAATAATGGTAATACACGAAGCTATACATACATACATACATACATACATGCATGCATGCATGCAAATTTTCACATTTTTTAAAAAAAAGAACTTAAGGCTTCCACACATGTAATCAGCCCTTATGAACTCTCCTGATTAGCTGCAAGGAAAATCTTCCTTTCTCCTTTTTCCTGCACCATCCTGGGCTCCCTTTTGACTTGTTTTTTTTTGTTTGTTTTTTTTTTAACTTATAAACGATCAGCTCATATTCTGAAGTTTGTAGTCCCCTCCCGCCCCCCCTCTCTATACCGCTCATTTACATTGGCAGCTGTCCTGCTGCTGGGCATCCTCAAACCCACCAGTTTCCCTTTTATGTGTGAGCAGACAAACATGATCATGCACTAGGCATCACTGTGCCACTCAAAATGCTTTTTTGTTTTTTTATTGCATCTGAGAGAAATCTCAAGGTTGCAAACCTGGAGTCAGAATTGTCTCCATGTGTCTCAATGGGAAGAGTATCGTGTGAAGAAATAAGTTGATTCTACTAATCAAAAGGATTTTTTTTTGATATCAGGTCATCCTCCGAATGAATTTATATTACCGAGTGGAGGGTCACATGAAGAAAATGGTCAAACAGCACCACCTACAGCAAGAGCTGAGAAGTGCAGCGGAGCCGGGCTGAGTCAGGAAAGAAAAGCAAGCTGGGGCCTGGCTCAGCGCTCTCCCCTCTGCTCCTGTCTGCACGGAAAGATTAGGATGACAGTGGCAGGACGCCTGTGCACCTAGTATGCATCACTTGAAGGGAACACACAGATTCCAGTAAACAGTTGGAAGGAAATGTTAATACCAGGCTCTGCTAAACAATATGAAATGACTCCTAGATGAGACAAGCGACTTTCATCAAAGTTTCCTGATACCTGAAAAGACAGCCCAGGGGATCCTGCACTACATCTGGTGTATGTAAATTAAGCGGGTTTTTTTCCCCTTTGTAATCAAGGCTCATACACAAACAAAATCACACTTTAGAAACGGCCTATTTCAACTTGTAACTAGCTTGCTTTCAGGGGCTCCAGGTCAAAAAGAAATAGAGCACAAAGACGCTTTCTCCTTAGGGATCATACACAAATTCACTCTGTCCGTTTCTTTCCCACATGGAGCAACAAAGCCATCAGACCTCTCCATCCACCCATTGGGTCCTTCCTGATTAAAGTGAGATAAATCACAGCCCTCTCTCTCCAGATGGCAGGCGACAAGAGGGGGATGCTTGCCTCAAGAAGTCCTCCCCATCCCTCTGCATTCATGCAAGCCCGAGCGGAGAGATGCAAGAAATTATGGATGCGTTTTAATTCCCCAGACCCTGCAATTAAAAATGGAAATTTTTTGGCCACGTGTATTGGCTCACGCCTGTAATCCCAGCACTTTCAGAGGCCGAGGTCGGCGGATCACCTGGGGTCAGGAGTTCGAGACCAGCCTGCCCAACATGGTGAAACCCTGTCTCTACTAAAAATACAAAAATTAGCTAGGAATGGTGGTGGGCGCCTGTAGTCCCAGCTACTCGGGAGGATGAGGCAGGAGAATCACTTGAACCCGGGAGGCAAAGTTTGCAGTGAGCCAAGATCACACCACTGCACTCCACTCTGGGTGACAAAGCAAGACTTCATCTCAAAAAATGTTTTTAAAAAATGGAAGTGTTGTTCTTTCATTTGTAAATGTGTTTTGGTAAAAGAGGGGCAGTTTAAGCACCCCTTTTTATTGTCTACATTGTTAAAATTCATCAGACATGGACTCTTGACTCCGTTTTGCCTGGGCAGACCCAATTCAAGCATTTACAACAGCTATAACCTCCTCAAATCAAAAAGAGGAATCAGCATTATTGCTAAGTTCAGATAAGGTCTTGTTTTATTTCATTTTTATTTTTGAATGCAGCCATTCCTCCAGGTGCTATCATCAGGTAAGATTGTCAGTCCTGATTAGGTAAAGGTATTATTACAAAATGCAATTCTTAAAAATTCAGTGTCTAACTACACTTTTAATAAGCCTTTCCCCCTCCCCTATGTATTCTCCCTTAGACACCCCTTCTCAAATTTAAAATCACAGAAACTAAAATATGATGCCTAAATAGAGCCTAGCGACTGCCCAGTCCTCTAATTTGATGAGTGGGAGTACTGAAGCCCAGAGGAAGTCAAGTAATTTGTTCCCAATGTCTTAGATAAGAAGAAAATGACCAGCTGGGAAATCCCACTCATGTCAAGGCAGAGGCACAGGGCCACAGACTGTGGTTGAATTGTGCCACACTCCTACATCCTTCTTTAGGAATCACAGAACATTCCTGTGTTGAGTCGGAGTCACTGACTTCCTTTTCAGGCTGATTGAGTTCTGTCCTTACGGGCTGCGACAAGAAGTTTTGGTATTATGCTACACCAAGACCATTTATCTAGTTCAAGAAATGAGCACAGTCCTTAGAGCCCAGCAACTTTCCCCATGTCCAGTAAATGTAGCTTCTCCATTAGAAGCTGTCAGAATGGAGCCTTCTGGCTCATCTTGATTTTGATTTGTGCAAGAATGAATGGTTGTGCTAAGACAGCTTTCCTAGCTGATAGTGAGCAAACCTTTTTTCTCATAATCTATAATAAAATATTAAATTAGAAGCACAGAGTTTATTTCTTGACTCTTATCTTCCTGCAATTTTCTTGTGGGCATAAATGATTTGTTTTTATCCTGCCTGCCCCAATCCCTTTTCCAAGAGACTAAAAGAGTATCTAGTGCAAAGTAGAGACTCAAATATTTTTTAATAAACAGTGATCCCAGCCGCCCAGTGCATGTTGCCAAATGCCAACCCCATAAGTGATCAAACACATCATCTCATTCAGCCAATCAAAATCAAGTGCTACCTATTTTTTAAGTTTTCATAGCCCTTGGGCATCTGCTTTCTCAGCATTTCCCAAACTTGAGTCATTCTCATCCTGCCTTCATAATTTTGCTCTGTCAATTACCTCTACTATTATTTATTTCATATATTTTTAAATAGCCCCACTTTTGAAACTTAAATACATGCCTTTTAAAAGGAAGCTTTCTTACTACTATACATCAAAAGCCATTATTACTTGTTCTAAGTACTCATAACAACATGTTCACAACTATTAAAATTTAGTAATGTGCATCCACATACTCTCTAAATTCATGGAGCATCTGCACACACTTTAAGAAACAATTCTGCATTACTCACTCAATTTTCTTGACATCCTTCTGAGGCAGGACAAACCTTGGGCCCAAAGAATTGAGGTAGGAGTCCAAGCAAGTTGCCAGCCACATAAAGGCAAACCTTGGCTCGGAAGTCAGGACTACTGCTCTCCAGAACCTCCTATCTCCAAGTGTAGTTAGCAGCCCAGATGCAGCAGCATCCTCTAGAGACTTGTTAAAAATGCAGAAGCTCAGGCTCCACCCCAGGCCTATGCAGACTGAATCTGCATTTTAACAAGGTCCAGGTAATTCACGTGCACATTAAGTTTGAAAAGGCCTGGTCTAGATCAGCAGTTCTCTAACTTAGCAGCACATTAGAACCATCTGTAGAGACTTTAAAAATACCAGTGCCTGGGATTCACCTCCCAGAGAATCTGATTTAAGTGTCTGGGGTTTGCCCTGAGTCTAGGTATTTTTTAGAACTCCTCAGCTTATACAAAGCTGGCAGGGCCGGGCACAGTGGCTCATGCTTATAATCCCAGCACTTCGTGAGGCCAAAGTGGGCAGATTGCTTGAGTCCAGGAGTTTGAGACCAGCCCGGGCTAAAACCCCATCCCTACAAAAAAAAATACAAAAAGTAGTTGGGCATGGTGGTGGCACATACCTGTAGTCCCGGCTACTCAGGAGGCTGAGTCCTCGCTTGAACCCAGGAGGTCACGGTCTGGTCAACAGAGCAAGACCCTGTATCAAAACAAACAAACAAACAAACAAACAAACAAAAAATGCTAGCAGCTTACCAGCTAGGGAGGCCTGTACAGCCAAGTTTTCCAAATGGGGCTACATTAGTTGTTCCAGAACTTTAGCTGCATCAAAACCACCTGGATGGCTTGTTCAGCTACAGAGGGTCTGGCCATGCCCCTAGAGTTTCCAGCTGAGGGTCTGGAATGAGGCCCGATGATTTGCATTTCTAACAATCTCCAGGCGATGCTAATGCTGTGGGTCCAGGGACCACATTTTGAGAATCTATGCTAAATGAACCGGACAAGATCAAAGCTCAAACTTATTCCAAGAACTTTTCAAGGCCCACCTGCAAGTTGTAGTGGAAGTAAGCATCTAAGGGTGCAAAAAAGTTTCACTATAGACTAAGGCCTTTTACCTGAGCTCTCAAATGTTCACATTTCTCTTGTCAACCTAAATAACAAACAGAGAGAGGCTCTCCACAAGAAAAAGATATTCGTTTGGAAACAGAGCCTTGCAATAGAAATAGGCAAGCCAGAGTAAACTATATGCATATTCACGGAGGTAAAGGAAGACAAAAGAAAAAATGAGGAAGATTATATGATCATTTGGAAATGATTATCCTTGGCTACAAAGATCAATAACAAAGGTGATGCCAGGCCCAGGCTGGACAGGCAGTTGTTGGGCAAATATCCTTCAGAAGCATTGTTGTGTGCAAAGTTGCAATGGGCTTTGTGCAAGATTGTGTTTTTTGCAGTCTTCTGTGATAATTTTTTGTTATCAGGCATACAAGCCCAAGAATCCTTTTTTGCATGGCCTTCCCTGGCTCTATTTGTCAGGGTTTTGGTTAGGGGAGAGGTATTTTTAACACTCTCAAGGTAAAAAATGCCATAAGGTAGGTACCCCAATTGCTTGTTTCGTCTTCATAAAATAACTTTTCCACCCGAACAAAGTCTACACATAAATTGTAAAAATACCCTGGCATGCAGTCCCTGGAAAAGTCTGGAGTCATTCTCGGGGTTCCCACCCAGGTGGGCGAGCGGAGCCACCACAGATAAGCACAAAGCAGGGGTGCCCGCTGGGGCGTGGCGGCAGGCAGTGGTCCTGGTTCGGATATTTGGCTGAAAACACAGCTCCTCTTTGTCACCCTCAGGAAGCCATCCCAAACCGCTCGAGGAGTCCTTGAAGCCAGTGTTACCACTAGGACAGCAAGTTTGCCTGAAAACTATTTGCCTTTGCAGCAGATTCATTAAGCCAGAACAAAGAGAAGACCAATGACTAAAAGATTTCTCTCCTTTTAAAAATCATGCTCTTTAACTCATAGCACATTTTCATTGTCCATCTGGGCAAAGCCACTGTCTCATTTTGCTTTTTCCCTCGTCTGTGATGCTCACGCTCATCCTCCCTATCCCATCAGCAACCTCTCTAGTATGTTTGATATGTGTCCTTAAACTTTATATCTTGGCCAGGGGCGCGGTGGCTGTAATCTCAGCACTTTGGGAGATGGAGGTGGGTCTATCACTTGAGCCCAGGAGTTTGAGATCAGCCTGGGCAACATAGTAAGATTTCATCTTTACTAAAAATAAAAAACAAAAAAATTTAGCCAGGTATGGTGGCCTGTGCCTGTAATCCTAGCTACTCGGGAGGCTGAGGTGGGAGGATCACTTGGGCCTGGGAGGTCAAGACTGCAGTAAGCTGAGATGGCGCCACTGCACTCCAGGCTGGACAACAGAGTGAGACCCTGTCACAAGAAAAAAAAGAAAAGAAAAAACAACTATCTCTGTAGAAATAGGCAAGGTTGTTTGATATGCAAATGTGGCTTTAAATTACATAATAACATTATATCAGTAAGCCCATTTTTTTCTTATAGTTGCACTCAACATCATGATTTTAAGACCTAGGCATGTTGCTTTATATTTGACCTCATGAGAACTCACCTTTACACATCTGTTTCTCACACTGAAATCAACATGCTTTTGAGTCAGTATTTAGGACTGAGTGAGGCTGTTCGCTGGAGTTAATCTGACACCAGATGCATTTATCCCTCTTTAGGACTGTAACGAATTCCTTTGCGCTCTGTTCGCCCATGCTCACTAGTTGGCATCACAGGTGTCATCTTTGAAAAAGAAAAACATCTCATCCCTTGGTTTCCTGACAACCACCCCCACCCCCTGCCTTGGCTCTTTTTCATGGAATTTGCACCAAACAGCACAGAGACAAACGTCTCTCTAACGTCTATGATTTATCCTTGCTTACACAAGATCACTCCAGCCTATAAAAAAGTATTTTTAAAAAATATGAAAAGTTACCCCAGTCTTGGATTACAGAGTTTCAGATAAAAATGAAAACATAGTAAAATTGCTTATCAGAGTTTCCTGTTCTTATTCGCCCTTACTCCTTTCGCAGATGTGAGTCATAAATCCACAACCAAATCCTCCCTCCTTCGAGGTCAACTCCTACTAACACCCATGAGGAGGGAATTTGACTCATATAATAACACTTAATTAAAATGTATAATGTCCACATGTACATGAGAGATAAAAAGAATGCTTCTTCGGGTATGTTTCCAGCCCAATCTTTCAAAATACGTGAAGTATTTCTTAATCTACTATACCCTATAAATGATAAATATAAGATACTAAGATTTAAAATACTTTCAATAACACTTTCCTAGGCCTCCAGATGAGCACTACATAAGTTTATAATAAAATATTTAAAATAGCTACCATGTATTATGTGTTTATAATGTGCCAGGCACTGGAGTAATGTGTTTTCACATTTTAATCCTCATAAGCCAAAGACATAGATTTTTTATCTTCGTTTTAAAGTTGAAAGACCTAAGGCTCAGAGATAAATTTTTTAAAAAATCTTTAATCCCTTTATACAAGATTAGCTCATTCTCACAAGCCAAAAATAAAACCCAAAACTCCCATATCTCCCCATATAAAAAAATACTCTTTAACTTCTTTCTCCCTCCAGAACCCCTCCTCCCTCTCCTTTCTATCTTCAGCCAACATCTGGAAGGTTCTGTCTACATTCACGCCTCTCTCTTCCCCTCCTTTCCTTGCAACCTGGTTGCCTCTCACAGCAGTGAAACAGAAAGCTGTTTCCTCAGCCCATAACCAACTGTAACTTTGAATCACTGTGCACCCTTGGCCGCGGCCGCCTCCTCCTTCAATTTAACTCCCTGCCTTGATCTGCCATCTCTGGCATGCTCTACTTACATTCACTCCTCCTCTTCATGTGTTTCTGGGCTGCTTTGCCAACACTTCTTCCTCTGCTGCCCTCATACATCCAGGCAGAGGAGAACAGCTTCTGCCTTGGCCTCCTGCCTTAGTTCTAACTGGTGTCCCCTGAGCATCTCAAGCCCCCAGACTGGAGCCTGTGTCCTGGGGTTAATTCCCTTCCCCACCTATGGAGGCTTAGCTCCTGCCCACCAGTGGGGTTATCACAAGTGCCTGCCTTTTCCTCACACTCTGCCTCTTACAGGGTTTCCGTCGGCTGGCCATTTGTGAGTTGTGTGACCCTGGACCTCAGTGTCCTCCCATAGAAAACAAGGAGCATGAACTAGATTTATCTCTAGTGTCCTTTCTAGGTGTTTCTTTCTTCCTTTATTTTTAAACAAGATCTCACTCTGTCACCCAGGCTGGAGTGCAATGGCACTAACATGGCTCACTGCAGCCTCAACCTCCTGCGCTCAAATGATTCTCCTGCCTCAGCCTCCCAAGTAGCTGGGACCACCACTCCCAGCTAATTTTTTTATTCTTTGTAGAGATGGGGTTGCAATGTTTCCCAGGCTAGTCTCGAACTCCTGGGCTCCTAAGAATTTTAACATTTGAGTTTTCTTCCGACAAAGAGGTGGAGGAAAATATAACTTTATATAAACATGTATAAACCCTGCTTCCCACTTTAATTAAGCCATAAATTCCTGCGGCAGCTAGGGATGTGAAGAGGCAAGTGAGAAGAGGAAATGTGCATAAGACTCTCAGCAGCTTGGAAGTAAACAGGGAGGACTGAAGTGACCCTGTTGCTCCGAAGGTGGCTGTTCATTAGCCTCCTTCTGTCCTTAGACCCAGCTGGAGCATTGCATGCACTGGCTCCCAGGTTGCAGGGGATGTCAGCAGCTCCAGCTCATCCGACTGAAGGAGGCCATGTGGCTTTCCCTGGACTTTCTGCTTGAACAGTGAATCCCTGTAGGGCCTGGATCCATTGCCCTCTTCTCCTCCCACCCCACCCAAGCACTCTTCTTCATGAGTTTGCTTTCTCCTATCTTTTTTTCCTCCACTTTTCCTTCACAAATTGTTGATTAAGCACCTGCTATGGGCCAGACATTTTTCTAGAGGAACACCTCAATGAGCAGACAGGTTCTTGTTCTCATAGATCTTCCATTTTAGAGAGAAAGCTGAATGATAAACAAATAATACAGCAGGTGGTGAGGGGTGCTATAAAGAAGGATGAGCAGGGTAAGTGGGTGAGAAAATGTGCTACTTTGTCCTCTAGAGGCCAGGGAAAGCCTCTCTGTTTAGGTGATATTTGACAGAGATTTGAAGACACTGAAGGAGTGAGCCATTTGGATCTCTAGGGAAAGAGCATTCTTCCCCAGACAGAGAACAGCAAGTGCAAAGGCCATGATGAAGAAGGGAGCTTGGCCAGAGTGAGGGACACAAACGGCAGCCTACGGTGCATGCACGTCTTAAGAGATGAGGTTCCTGGTGCCCTTTGACTGCCTCAGAGATCCCGTGCTCACAAGACACAGCCCCAATCATTCTAAAATACATCTATGCTATAGAAACTTGTCCCAAAATATCCTTTCACAATGATTTACCTTCTGGTATCCCACCCATGAAAGCAGAAATTTCCTGCTTTCTCCTAATAATTACTAATAATTCTCCTAATAATTACTAATCTGTCTCCTCCCCCAAAATGTAAGGCCAAGAAGAGCAGGGACTTGGCCTATTCATTCACTGCTCTATGTTCGGCTCCTAGTTCAGTGCTAAAAAACAAGTGGGCCCTCAATAAATATTTTTGTGAATTTATTTATTTATTTATTTTATTTTTTGAGACGGAATCTCTCTCTTCCGCCCAGGCTGGAGTGCAGTGGTGCGATCTTGGCTCGCTGCACCCTCCGTCTCCTGGGTTCAAGGGATTTCTGGCTAATTTTTGTATTTTTAGTAGAAACAGGGTTTCACCATGTTGGCCAGGCTGGTCTCGAACTCCTGACCTCAAATGATCCGTCCACCTTGGCCTCCCAAAATGCGGGGATTACAGGCGTGAGCCACCGCACTTGGCCAGCCCTCAATAAATATTTATTTTCTAGGTGAAATGGGGAATCTAACTATGCTACATGGTAATGAGGCAGCTGACTTTCTTGGAAGCAGAAGACCTAATTCTAGATGTGGTGACATAAAAGCAATAAAGGAAGGACCTCTATAAATCACTCGTGGAGCTGAGCCTCAGCTCTCAAAGTGTTGGATTAGAACTAGGGATGGCAAAATCCTGTTACAGGCACAACAACTCACCCCCTCCCTTCCATGCCCACTAGACTCTCTAATGAAGCGTGGCTGTCTCTCTCTGGAAAAAACTACGGAATTCTTCCCACCCAGTGCTCCTAGCAGCCACAACCAAAGGGTCAGAGGTGACCCTTACAATGAACCCAATTTGCCATCCCTCAATTAGATGTTTAAGATTCCTTTCCACTTTAACATCCTGTGGTGCAAATCTAAGCAAGCCTGCTTGTTTGGCCACATGGAGGTACATGTTCCTGCAAAATCAACCCCAAGAAATCCTATTGCTCACAGGTAAGCAGGTAACCCCTGCTTCCATAGCAGAGGCAGTCACTAGTAGTACTTGCTTCAATTGGGACAAATATTTTTCACCCGGAAACTAATTCAAGGCTACCTTTTTCAGACTCTTTCGAAGGCTGCTAGAATTGGTCCCTTGAGTAAGCTGAGTGTTGTGGTGCCCCTCAGTTCCCATGCCATAGAAGCTCGAACCTCATTCATTAATACACTAGCCCTAAGGCTTGAAACCGGTCTGGCCTGGCTTGGAGTCTTTAGATCACTCTCTAGCTTCTGGCCAATAAGAATGAGCTTCTAGGCCAGGCATGGCAGCTCACGCCTGTAATCCCAGCACTTTGGGAGGCCGAGGCAAGTGGATCACTTGCATCCAGGAGTTCAAGACCAGTCTAGGCAACATAGTGAAACCCCATCTCTACAAAAAAATACAAAAAATTAACTGGGCGTGGTGGCACGGGCCTGTAGTCTCAACTATTCAGGAGGCTGAAGTGGGAGGATCGCTTGTGTGGGGAGGTCAAGGCTGCAATAAGCTGTGATGACACCACTGTACTCCAGCCTGCATGACAGACTAAGGCTGGAGTGCAGTCTCCAAAAACAAAACAAAACAAAACCAAAAACCTGCAGCCTGCACCACTCCTACTGGTAGGCTTGCTCTGATAGCAGCACTTCAAGCAGGTGATAACAGTATGAGGTTTATTTTTAATTGCTAGGTGTGGTGGTTGTATTTCCTCAGAGTAAAAATGCACTTCCTTCCTCCCTTTGAAGTGAGATGTGGACCTGTGATTTGATCTGGCCAAGGAAGTGTGACCGAAAATGACCTGGACACTTCCAATGGGAGCTTTAAAAGCCAGTGCACAATTTATCACTGATCCTTTTTCTGCTTCAGTCATCGTAGAAGCCCAGGTCAGGATGGAACTCCCACCAGCCTGGATTGCTGATTAAGGATGCTCCATGTTAGAGCAAAAATATAAGTTGTTTTAAACCACAGAAATTTGGAGACATAACTAGTCTCTATTGACTGATACTCCATGGTGTAAGATTACTCATGGGATTTTTCTAGCTCAGAGTTTCTCAATTTTGGTAGGATTGACGTTTGGGGTTAGTTATTGCTTTCTTGTGGGGACCATCCTGTGCATTGCAGGATGTTAAGTGGCCTCCGTAGCCTTTACCCACTAGACACCAGCAGCACCCCATCCCAAGTTGTGACCATCAAAAATCCCTCAACAGTATGATTCCACTTATTTGAGGTACCTAGAGTAGTCAAAATCGTGGAGACAGAAAGTCAAATGATGGTTGTCAGGGGCTGGGAGAAGAGGGAAATGGCGAGTTAGTGTTTAATGTGTACAGAGTTACAGTTTTGCAAAATGAAAAGAGTTCTATGGATGGATGGTGGTGATGGTTGCACATCAGTGTGAAGGTGCTTAGTGCCACTGAACTATACACATGAAAATGGTTCAGATGGCTAATTTTATGTTATGTGCTTTGCCACAATTTTTGAAAATGGAAAAAAAAATGTCTCCAGACATTGCCAATGTCCCCTGGAAAGCAAAATCGCCCCTGGTTGAGAACTAGTGTTCTAGCGGTAGTGCGACACATTCAATTGTAAAATATGTGTAAAAACGTGGGCTTAGGGCTCAGCCCTGCTTTTTGCCATTGAGGGTTAGAATCTCATCTCTCCTGAAATATTTTTTATCCACTCAGATTTTAGGCCAGGATCAATAGGACAATTGAACGGTTTGATCTAGAAAAAGCCCCTGTCTATGGACCCAAAACTGGTGTGATATGAATACACTCTGTAAAAACTCTTACACTGTTTTAAGCTTTACATCTGATAAACAGAGCACAGTAGAGACTCCACTTGGGATAATTTTTCCTGAAACCTACTTGTTTTTCATGCTGTTTCTGCAGTTTAGGTGCCTGGTCTTAAAATGTGTTGAAGCAAAAGAATGGGAAGAGCCAAGGGACACATCAGGGAGTTTCCAAATGACAGAACTGCAAACCTGCAGGGCAGTCCTCTGCTGCGGAAGAGGGAGCTTACACTCTGAATGCATCTTGAGGAGTCTTCTCCATACCCGAGGAATAAATTCAGGCTAACAAGGGGGCCTAAATGGTGATTGGCTCTGCTCTTGACCAATTGAACTCCATGCTCGGACTGGGGCCTAAATGGTGATTGGCTCTGCTCTTGACCAATTGAATTCCATGCTCGGACTGGGGCCTAAATGGTGATTGGCTCTGCTCTTGACCAATTGAACTCCATGCTCGGACCGAGGCAGCAGAGGGCTTCTTACACCCACCTCCACCACCATCACCCTGCCTAAGTCATCTCAGAGAATCCTCTTTCTATCTCAGTATTGGGCCTACATTCTTATGCTTCAGCCCTTTTCCATAATGACCCCTCCAGATTGCCACACTCTAGAACCACTACAGAGGGTGGCGTTACTGCTGTATGGACACTTCATCTCAAAGTGAGGGGCCAGCTCACATGATTTGCAGGGTTCCTTTCTCTGGCCTTCTAAAACATTCTCCAGGTTGAGGCTGAAACTGCTCCCCCAAAGCCCCATAATAGGCATGAACAGATTATCCTCCTCTTCTTGGTTCTCATGGCTAGAATCCTTAACCAATCCTCTCCCCACAAAGTAGGGTTGATTTCACAAGCTGTTATTTCAGCTGCTCGTTCTGCCATCTGCTCTTGAGTTGCTTGGCGAACACCTCCAGCGTGCTTGGAGCTGCACTGTCACGCTTCGCCCCAATCAGCTTCTGGCCCCCCACACTCAAACACATCTGCATCGGCACACCCCTCCCACGCCCCAGTTCTGCCCACAGTGGATCCATCCATCTGCGCTCCAGGCCCCAGCCCCTTGGGAGCTTGCGCTATCAATTACTTGCACTTAGTTCAGAATCTTTAGCCACTCCATGTCCATGGTTATTTCATTTATTCAATGTAGTAACATGTTTAAACCTCTCCCGTCCTGGAAAAAAAAAAAGTCCTACATTTAACCCTATCTCCCTCTTTAGCTTAAAGTCATCTGTAATCTTCCTTGCCATTTATTTACTCCATGTCCCAGGTTGAACAGTATCCACACACCCCCAAAAATTCCTGTTCTCCCTAGGAATCTTAGAATGTGACTTTATTTGGAAATAGGGTTGTTGCAGATGTAATTGGTTAGGAGTGGACCCTTAATCCACTATGACTGGTGTCGGTGTCCTTAGAAGAAGAATAGAGGGAACGCAGAGGCACACACAGAGAGGAGGCCATGTGATGATGGGGGCGGAAACTGGGGTGGTGTATCTACAAGCCAAGGAATGTCAGGGCTTGCAGGAAACCCCAGAAGCGAATGGAAAGGCATGGAGCAGATTCTTCCTAGCATCTTCAGAGAGAGCATGGTGCTGCCAACACCTCGTTTTGAACTTCTAGCTTCCAAAACTGTGAGAGAAAAAATTTCTGTTGTTTTAACAAGACACTCAGTTTCTGGTATTTTGTGACAGCAGACCTAGAAACTGAATATACCCTTTAAACCACCACCGTTTTCCTTTTGGTTCCAAGATTCTTTCGTGTATGACCTGCGAGAGCCAAATCCAGTCTTTATTTGGCCTCTCTGGAGCACGTGCAACTCATTTATTCCTTATTGATGCTTCTCCCCCACATCCTTCTCGGCCTCCTTCATTGCTTCCTAATCTCACAGCCAGCTACCGCATACTGGAGTCCCTGGGTTCATCACCACCTTTTCCCACTCTGTTCATGCTCCACTGCAATCTCATCCAAATACCAGCTCTCCTCCCACCCCCATGCTGATGATTCCCCAAGCCCTCTGGCCTAAGCCTCTCTCCTGAGATCTACTTTGAGTTCCCCACTGCCTCCTGGACATTTCCACCTAGAACTTGTACAAGCACTTCAAAAACTACATGGCTAAAATGGAAGTCATGGTCTAGAAGCCTCCTTCCCAAATAAACCTGCTTTTTCTCCTGTAACCTGCATGTCAATGAGAGGCTTCACGTTCACACAGGGGCATAAGCCAGACACCTGGCATCTTCTTGGGCTTCTCCTCTGCACCCTTGGCCGTGGTCACTGAAGCCAAAGGACTCTGCCTATAAGGGTTTGGGGAATGTATCCTCTGCATCCCTGCTGCAGCTGCTTCAGCTCAGCCTCTTACCACCTCTTGTGGCTAGCGGAGACCTCCACTACACCAGACTTTCATGCTGCTCTGGGAGCACTTTCTTATACCACCTTGTTTTAAGCCATTCCCCTGCTTCGAATGCTTCAGGGTTTCCTGGTCACCTGCAGGATGATGCCCTTAGCATTCCTCCACTTGGAATAACAACGCCTTGTAGCATCTGGCTTTCAGGAGTTTAGAGTGGAGGGGCTCTGCATTCAACTCCAGGACCTACCACATACTTGGTGCGTGGCCCTGGGCAACATACTTACTCTCTCTGTGCCTCAGATTCCTCACCTGAAAATGGGGATAATCATAGTACCTACCTCATAGAGTTGTTGTAAAGATTAAATGAGCGAATATGTTCAGAGTACCCGGAACTGTGTCCAGCATGTCGTAAATGGGCACTAAATATTAACTGCTGTTGCTGTTAAGTATTACCTTTCCCCACTCATTTCTGTACAGCTTCCCATGTGCGTTGTTTTCCAGCCGATCAGAACACTCTTCCATCTTAGAAGAAAAAAAAAAAGCCCTACCTGTGTTCCCCTGGCTCTTGGCCTTGACACACACTGTCTGGAATACCTTTCCCACCACCTCTCATCCCATGCTCCCTGTGAACATACTTCGACTCATCTTTTCTGACCTAAGTACCCTCCCCTGCAGTCAAGCACGCTCTTCACTGAGCCTTCGTAAGGCGCTTGTGCTCACCTCTATTGCAGCACAGATCACACTGCATTATAAAGGACCATCTCCTGTCTCTCCGTCCATCTTTCAGAGTTTGCTGTATTGATCTTAGTGATGTCAGCACGTGGCACTCAGCTAGACAAAGAAAGCAGGCTCAATAAAGGCTGGTAGAATTAAGAATTGTATAAAGGCATTAAATAGAGATGGGGTACAAATATGTCCCAGGCTGCCTGGGATAGTCCTGGTTTAGGCCATGGTCCTGATATAATTACTAACAACACCCTCTTTCACTGTCAAAAATATCTCCTTTGGACAATACATTATAAGGTCACTCTAGGTATTAGAGCTGTGATTCTCACCCTATCAGGCCCAATTTTCTCTTTGCTTAACAGCTATTTTAGAATACCCTATGCACTATCTTTAAATGGGATTGATAGGCAATAGAAACTGCCAATAACAGAATTTCAAAAAAAACAATGTAATACCCTAAATAGAATGCTTAATGGAAAATGAAGCAGATTTTTTTAAAAGTAGCTTAAACTAAAATTATGTGTGCAGTATTTTGATGTGTAAATGCTTAGGTCTTACACTTCTGGCCAAGATGGAGTAACAGAGACCAAAATTACTTTCTGACCTAAAACAACAAAAATACTGGACAAAATATATGAAACTATGGCCCTCAAGCAACAAAGGGAATCAATCACTGGAATCAAGCATCAAAGGGCAGTGATCCTCAAGAGATGAGAAACAAATGAGGCTAGCCCCACAATTGACCTCCCAAACACCTTAGAAAACTTTCCAAGCCACAGCACAGGAAGAAAGAATGCAGATGGAGCTCAGAGATCTTCCTGAGTTGAGAAGACAGAACTGTGAGTCTGGGAAGGCCAATGTGGCTAGAATTCATAGGGCAGAATATTGAGGAGGAGAGGGCTGTACAGAGACAGAGCTCTGGAAATCTGAAGATAATACTTACCCTCCTTGACTGTTTAACAGCGTAGTGATCAGAGTATGCAGGTATGAAAATCGCCTGAGAGGCTGGACCCGGTGGCTCGCACCTGCAATCCCAGCACTTTGGGAGGCTGAGGTGGGTGGATCACAAGGTCAGGAGATAGAGACCATCCTGGCAAACATGGTGAAACCCCATCTCTACTAAAAATACAAAACTTAGCTGGGTGTGGTGACACACGCCTCTAGAGTCCCAGCTACTCAGGAGGCTGAGGCAGGAGAATCTCTTGAACCTGGGAGGCAGTGGTTGCAGTCACCCGAGATCCAGCAAAGCATGGGCAACAGAGCAAGACTCAGTCTCCAAAAAAAAAAAGAAAGAAAAAAGAAAACTGCCTGAGAATGGAAAAAGAATCATCCACAAAGAGAGCCAGCCCCTCTTCCCCCCTGGCTCTTAGGACCCCCATCGCAAGGGGGTGAGACACCCCCCTTGATGCGGGGAGTGCGTGCCAGCCCCTCTTCCCTCCCTGGTTTTTAGGATCCGCGGTGGACTCACAGCCTGTTTACGGTATTCGGAGTGATATCATCTCCCCCTCTGGAAATTATAAACTATTTCACAGATGGGGGTACACCCTCGGTGTGCAGAGGGTGTACAGCCGTCTGTTTTGGGAGTAATATCATCGTCTTCCTCCCTGAATATTAACAACAGCATCACAGCTGTGTTTCTACTGCAGGTGTGATTGGGCGTCACCTCCTCCTCTCCCACGTGGAAATTAGAACCGATATCAGTGGGGGCGTGCACACCTTCTGTGATATTTAAAGTGACATCATCCTCTTCCCTCCAGGATCATGAGAACAATATCCCTGGGGGGGTACACTTTCTGCGATATTGGGAGTAATATCGACCTCTCGGCCTCTGAATATTAGGAACAATATCACAGGGTGGGTGTACACCTCCTGCTCTGTTATGGGGAGTAATATCTATCTATTACGGGGAGTAATATCATCCTCTCCCTTTCAGGATGTTAATAACAATATCACAGGGTGGGTGATCACAGCCTGCGATACTGGGATTATTATCATCCTCTCCCCCTCGGGATACCAGGAACAATATCACAGAAGAGGTGTACACTCCCTGCGATTTTGGAAGTAATATCCTACGCTTCTTCCATGAATATTAGGAGCAATATCACCGGGTGGCTGTACATTCATTGCTATGTTGGGAGTCATGTCATACTCTACTCCCTGGCTATTAGGATCAGTGTCACAGGGTGAGTGTACACCTACTGAGATATTAAAACTAATATCATGCTCTCCATCCCTGGATATTAGGAACAATATCACAGGTAGGTGTACACCCCCTGCGGTATTAGGAGAAATAATACGATTAATTATTAAGCATCAATCTTAATAATATTATTAATTGTTAAACTTCAGTCTTAATAATTATCAATGGTAATATTAATTAATAGTATAACGTTATTAATCATTAATGATTATTTTAAATGTACGATTATGCATGATTAAAATTATCTGTATTAATGTCATTTTTCAATAATATTAGTTATTAATCTTAATATTAATTATTGTTTTATTACCAACATCACTTATGACTGATTTATGTAACATTGATTAATAATATCATTATTTTATTATTAATAGTGATATTGTTATTATTAATAGTAATTGTTAATATTTTTAATCCGTATTAACTTTTACTATCTCTATTGCAATTATTAATATCGATGATTACTATTAATTATTAATATATTTATTACTATTAATAATTAATATAACTGTTCCCGATATCTGTGGGGGAGAGGATATTACTCCCGATGTCGCTGAAAGTGTACACCCCTCTATGATGTTTCTCCTAATTGCCAGGGCGTAGAGGATGACATGATTGAAGATATCGCTGCGGGTGTACCTCCGTTCAGTCATCTTGTTCCTAATGTCCTGGGTGGGAGCGGATGATATGACTCCCAATGTCGCAGGGGGCGTAGACCTCCCCCGTGATACTGTCCCTAACGTCCAAAGGTGGAGAGGATGATATTTCTTCCAGTTTCGCAGGGGATGTACACCACCCCTGAGATATGGATCCTAATATCCAGGGGGCGAGAGGATGATGTTAGTCTCACTATTGCAGGAGGTGTACACTCCCTAGGGATATTGTTCCTAATATCCAGGGACGGAGAGGAAGATCTCACTCCCAATACAGCAGGGGGTGGACACCCTTCTGTGACACTGTCCCTAATAGCCAGCGGGGGAGGGGAAGATATTACCCCCAATATCGCAGGGGGTGTACACCCACCCCGGGATATTGTTCCTTATATCGAGAGGGGGATAGGGTGATATTGTTCCCAATATCGCAGGGGCTGTACACCCCTCCTGTGATATTGTTCTTAATATCCTAGGAAAGAGAGGATGATACTACACGCAATATCTCAGGGGGTGAACACCCACCTCCTTCAGATATTGTTCTTAATGTACTCCACCTCCCCCGACCAGGGATGTTGTTCCTCATATCCAGGGGAAGAGAGGCTAACATTACGCCCAATATCGCAGGGGGTGTACACACCCTCTGTGATGTTGTTCCTAGTATCCAAAGGTAGAGACGATGATATTACTGGCCATATCGCAGGGGGTGTACACCCCTCTTGTGATACTGTTCTTAATATTTAGAGAGGGAGACAATGATAGTACTGTCCATATTACTGGGGTCACAGCAGCCCCGTGACGTTGTTTTTAATATTCAGTTTGGGAGAGGATGATAATAATTTCAATATAACAGGGGACACCCCCGCCCCGTGATGTTGTCCCTAATGTCCAAGGGAAGAGAAATGATATGACTCACAATATGTCAAGGGGTGTACATCCCCTGTATAATATTCTTCCTAATATCCAGGGGGGATTAGAATGATATTACTCCCAGTATCACAGGGGGTGTACGCGACCCCTTTTATATTGTTTCTAATATCTAGGGAGGGAGAGGATGATATTACTCCCAATATTGTAGGGGTGTACACCCCTCCCGTGACATTGTTTTTAATATTTAGGTAGGGAGTGGATGATGTTACTCTCAATATCTCAGAGGGTTTACACTCTTCCTGGGATACGGTTTCCAATATTAAGTGGGAGAGAGGATGATATTATTCCCAGTATCGCAGGGGGTGTACATGTCCTGTTATTTTGTTCCTAATATCCAGGTTGGGAGAGGATGATATTACTGCCTATATCGTAGGAGTTGTACACCCCATCAGTGATATTATTCCTCATATTCAGGGGAAAAGAGAATGACATCACTCCCAATAGCGCAGGAGGTGTACACACCCCTTTGATATTGTTCCTAATACGCAGTGGAGGAGACGATGATATTACTGGCCATATCGCGAGGGGTGTACACCTCCTCTGTGATATTGTTTTTAATATCCAGGGGTTAGAGGATGACATTACTCCCATGATCGTAGTGGGTGTACACCAATTCTGTTTTATTGTTCTTAATATCCAGGGAGGGAGAGGATGATATTACTGTCACTATCGCAAGGGGTAGACACTCCTTCTTTGATATGGTTCCTAATATCCAGGGGGAAGAGTATGATATTAATCCCAAAATCGCTGTGGGCATACACCCCTTTTTGATATGGTTCCTAATACACCGGGGGAGAGTCTATGATATTACTGCCCATATCACAGGGTGTGTACACCAGAACTGCTATATTGTTTCTTATTTCCAGCAATGAAGAAGTTGCTATTACTCCCAAAATGGAATGGGCTGTAAACCCCCCATAAGATATTGTTCCTAATATCCAGGGGGAAAAGGATGATATTACTTTCAATGTTGCGGCAGGTGTATAATCTGCCTGTTATATTGTTCCTAACATCTGGGGTGGGGGCGGCGGGGTGAGAACGATATTACTCGCAATGTCTCAGAGGGTGTACACTGCCCCTGTGATATTGTTCTAAATATCCACTGGGGTAGAAAATCATATTACTCCCAATATCGCAGGTGGTGTAAACGCCCCCCGATATTTTTTCTAATATCCAGGTGAGGTAGGATGATATTACTCCCAATATCACAAGCGGTGTACACACCTTCTTTGATATTTTTCCTACTATTTACTTGTGGAGAGGATGATATTACTCCCAGTATCAAAAGAAGTGTACAAGCCCCCTGTGATATTGTTCCTAATATCCAGGTTAAAAGAGGATGATATTACCCCCAATATCGCAGGGGGTTGGCTGTACACTCCGCCTGTGATATTATTTCTAATATCCAGGGGAAGAGAGAATAATATTACTCCCAATATCGCAGGGGCTGTACGCACCTTGTGATATCGTTCCTAATATCAATGAGGGGAGGAGATGATATTACCCCAAATATCAGAAGAGGTGTACACCTTTCCTGTGATATTGTTCCTAATCTCCCTTTTGGGAGAGGATGATATTACTCACAATATCGCAGGGGTTATACACTTCCCCTGTGATATTGTTCCTAATATCCAAGTTGGGAGAGGATGATCTTACTCCCAATATCGCTGGGGGTATACACCCCTTCTGTGATATTGTTCCTAACATCCACAGGGGAAGAGATTAATATTACTCCCAATATCCCAGGGGGTGCACGTCCCCACTGTTATATTGTCCCTAATATCAAGCGGTGGAGAAAATGATATTACTCCCAATAGCGCCGTGTGTATACACCGCTCCTGTGATATTGTCCCTAGTATCCAGGGGCTAAAGATAGATATTACTCCCAATATCCAGGGGATAGAGGTTGATATTAAACCGAATATCACAGTGGGTGTACACAACTCCTGTCATATTGTTCCAAATATCCAGGCAGAGAGAGGATAATATTACTCAAAGCATTCCTGGGGGTGTACACAGCCCTCTGTGATATTGTTTCTAATATACAGAAAGGGAGAGGATGATATTACTCTCAATAAACAGAAGGGTACAATTCCCATGTGATGTTGTTCTGAATATCCAGGGTGAGAGAGGATGATATTACTCCCAACATTGCAAAAGTTGTAAACACCTTCTGTGATATTGTTCCTAATATCCGGGGGAAAGAGGATGATGTCACTCCCAGGATCGCAGGGGGGGTGTTCACCCCCCTGTGATATTGTTTCTAACATCCAGAGGGGGAGAAGTTGATGTTACTTCAAACATCGCCGGGGGTGTACGCCCCACCTGTGATATTGTACTTAATATTTAGCGGGAGAGAGGGAGGTGATATTACCAATAACGTAGGGGAAAGTCAACCCCCTCTCCCCCGCTGGATATTACGAGCCATGTGACAGGGAGGTGTCCACCCCCCACCATACGGAGAGTAACATCACCCTGCTCTCCCCCCACCTCCAGCTTCTTTCTGCTAAGGTCGCCTTGCCCCTCCAGGTGGCTTTCTTGGGCAGGGCATAAAAGAAATTACGTGGTTTTCTTGCTCAGATTTGTTCGCAAGTCCACGAGAAATACTCAGGGAGTCTTGCAAAAATCCGGTGTTACAGCAGCTAAGTCAGCCAGCTAGCCGTGCCCTACAGTTGAGATGGCATGTCATGATTCCCTCTCTTTCACCTGCTGACTCCTCCTCAGCCTTCCGGACTCTGCTTAGCTGCCTCTTCCTCCAGGTTGTCCGCTCCCGTCCCCACCCTTCCTTACCTGCTCTCCTAATACCATGGGCTGATCCAGCGCAGCATTTGTCACACATCTTACAGCTGCCTCTGCCTCCAGTCTGTATCCGGACTCCACGACCTGAAGGTAAGGGCTGCATCTGCCTTGATCATCATTGTATACCTTGCTCCTACAACAGCGCCTAACACAGAGTAATTCCTCAGTCAACATTTTCTGGATGGGTGAACAAAAAATAAATCTACACATCAAGTGAAAATTAGGCTGAGCAGAAATGAAGCAAGTGATAAAGTACAAGAGAAGGTTATACCTGTTATTCTAGGCGTGCTAATTCTAATTTTAGAATTGCTGTGGTTATTTCATGTTACTCTGCCAGGCTTCAGTGTTAGGCAAGGGCAATTCTCTGTGTAAGCAGGGGATAGCTTTCCTGAAAGGTCCTGTTGGTCCTGGGAAGTGATGGTACATGTGACTCATCCCTCAAACCAGAAGGCTAAGCTAAACTAGCAGGAGAGCTGCAGCGGGAACCTTCTGGCACGAAAGAAACAGCATGCTCTGTGTACCACCCGTGTGTGACCGGAAATAAAGGATGCCCACCATGTGAAGACTGACCAGGACGCAGAGAGAAGGACGTCAGGCAAGATCCCACCCGTGCTTAGGGACATAACATGTTTATTAGCATCATTAAGTACTAGCTGACATGCATAGAGCATTGAGTATGTGCCAGGCACTGTGCTAAGCACTTCACATACACTATTTCATGGAATCCCCACCGTGGCCCTATAAGGTGAAACTTATAAATATCACCATTATATAGATGGGGAAATTGAGGCTTGGAGAGGTTAAGTTGTTTGCCTGAGGTCACAAAGCTGGTAAGCAGCAGAGCTGGAATCCAAACCAACAGAAATTCCATCTAGATACCCGACTCCTCACTGCCGTCTATCCTTGGAAACTAGACTAGTCTCCAAGGAAACATGAATCTACATTTTCTTTCAACTAATAAGAGCTCTTTCCTTACAGTAATTATTTAAATAGTTTTAATAAAAATTTAAAACCTATTTCAAGATTAAAGTTTCAAAGCCATCAAACATCAAATATATATGAAAATACATTTGTATACATTATAAACAGATATATGACGTGACATGAAGTGCTGGATCCAGTGCATCAGAAAATACACGCAAATATAAAATACCCGACAGCATTATATAAAACATCAGCTGCTTGCCAAATCGGCATTAAATACTTAAGCACTGTGACCTGTTGCTTAAAGTATTACAAATCCAGCCTTATCTAAAAATCTCTATTTGTCCTAGGAAACTAATACTTTTTAAAAACAATAATTTGGTAATTTTAATAATATTTAGAACTATCTAAACTTAAAGCCTATATATTTACCACCATTTTACATGCTTACCAGTATTACAGACACAATAAATTTTATCAGGTATTTTTGATAATGTGCTAGGAATTGTTTGAAATATAAAGAAGAATAAGATTTCGTTTTCACCATCTCAGAGATTCCAGATAGTGGTGGACACAGAGACCCGTGAAAATAACTGCAGGATGAAATAGACGAAATTGTAGAAGCCCATGTACCTTGGAAAAATGGACATAGACATGGAAATTTTATTTCATATGCATACTCGTTAAAGAAAGAAGAAGCCTACAAAAGTTAGCTACCTTTGGTTTTTATTACTTATGTCTTACACTCAAGTGAACTTTTTTCTGTCTAATCTAATATCATTCAAATCCTGAGTCCTTTTAATTAAGTTATCCTAAAATGAATTTTCATGAACACAGAATTTGTGCTATTACTCTCTCTGCACCTCATGGATATTACCACATTTTAGATTTTATGTTTTAAAACATAAAACAATATAAAACCTAAAGTTTTAACATAAAATGTCTTTGGATCTTCAACTAAAATACTAAAGATATAAAAAACTTTATTCTCCTCAAGACAAAACTAGATTTAAAATTGTCAATGAAATAGTTGATTGATCATTTATATTTCTATAAATATATGGAAAATAATCTATTTTTTAATTGTAAGACATTACAATTTTAGATTGTATTTGCATTTAGGAAAATTTCACATAATCTTTACCAGATCCATGCTTACTCTGATAAAAATTTGTTTTTTCAATAGTTGATTCTTCAAAATATCTTGACTAATCCTTCTCCCTCTACAAACAATATTATTATTTGCCAATATTCAAAAGTCTGAATAAACGACCTTATCCCTGGGAATATCTTGCCAAAAAACTATTACCTGCAGCTACAAAGTCCAGAATGTCAACTTCTTCAGAACAAACCGTTCAGTTTCTCCCATAAAAAATGCAAGGGAAACAAAAAAAGAGGATTGAGGAAATCTAAAAGAGATATAATAGCCCATATCAACCAAACACAATACGTAACCCTTATTAGCATTCTAATTCAAACCGACCAACTAAACAAAAAGTTTTTAGACAATTGAAGATATTTAAATATTGCCTGGATAAACCGATGCTATTAATGGATTATTTAGGTGTGATAATGGTATTGTGGTTACGTTGATGGGAATCTTCTTTTTTATAAATGGGGTCTTGCTATGTTGCTCAGGGTGGTCTTGAACTCCTGGCCTAAAGTGATCCTCCAACCTCTGCCTCCCAAAGAGCTGGGATTACAGGGAGGAGCCACTGCACCCAGTCTCATTGATGGAATTATTATCTTTTAGAGAAATATTCAAAAATACAATACAATGATAGACTATCTGGGATTTGATTCAAAATAATTCAGTGGGGAGAGGACTGTCAGCAGATAAAGAAGACACAAGGTTGGCCCAGAGGAGAAGTACACACAGGTTAATTATACTAATCTCTTTATAAACATTGTTTGAAATATGACATAATGTATCCTATACAACTGATACCTTGAGTAACACAATAATAGTCCCCTTAATTTTAGGAACTACTGGTCATAAATATGCCCTTACATATAGACATCTCCTCTATACATAGCAAAATCACATTATTTGACAAAAAGGAAATCTCTTAGGTTACGTTTAATCTTATTGTTCTCTTTGCCTGGATTTGGGAATAGAAACTGCTTCACTGGCTAAGTAAATCATAACTGTCCCAAAATATTCTTAATTACTGATTTCAATAAACATATCCCTTCGTTCTAAGAACAATTAAGAAAATGAAGTTTATGTTCAGGTAAACCTGACAATGTTAAGGTAGTTGAGTAACAGGGAAGGAATGATTAACTGAATTTCCTACTGGATTCTCAAATCCTTTTTCTTTTTCTACTCTAATGTTTCCTTTGGATGGGGCGAATTCTAGTATTGTTAGCGATCACCTATGTAACTTTTTTGCAGGTGGTGTAAATGGAATCAATGAATGCTTAAAACCAATTAAAAATAATTTCAGTGATTACATGAAAACACAGCTAGAAAAACTAAAGTATTTTTGTAGAGATTACGAGAGGGTTACATTAACAATCAGAATAAGGTTACTATTTAGACTGTAATCAGGTGTCAATGTGGAAGGAAATTTCCGAGCATTTTTCCGGAAGGCTGGGGAGGAGTGGGAATCCCGACTCCCCACACTTCCCACACAACGTGGTGAAGGACAGGTGCCAACTCAGAAGCCGCCGTTTGCTCAATGTCCCCGCCAGCCTTGTCGGTCCTTACCGCCGTTTGACTCCACTGTTTTTCTCGTGGTTTCTGCTGCTTCTCTAAATTGTCCAACGACCGTTATTCAGTAAAAATGAATGAAACGGGGCCGTGTGATCTAGGCAGCCTGGAGATGAGATTTTGGAATCATAAGCTACATTCCAACGTATAAACCGATTTTACTCGTTTTGGATACTCGATGTACGCGGAATGGGCGCTGTAAAATGCGGCTGCCCCGCCGGAGGCATCTGCTTGGGACTTGCTGGCAGCCGCCGGTCCCCTCTGCTTGCGACCCTCGGCCCAGCCGCCGGGACCCTGGTGCACCTGTTCCTGGGCGTCCTCTCTACTCCCCAGTGGCCGCCAGCTCCACTCCCAGCCTGTGGCCCCGGACCCGCCGGCCTGAGCGTTCGCAGAGGGCCGGTCGTCGCCACAGCCCCGCGTCCCGGCCCCCGCGCCCCTTGGACCTTCGCCCCAGGCCGGCGCAGCCCAGCTTCCCGGGCAGGCTCCACGCTACCGGGGTCCAGTGCGCGGCGACGAAGCGGAGAGCTGTGTCCAGACTCCGGAGAGAAACTCCGGCTCCGCGGGGCGGCGCGGGGCGGCGCGGGGCCCGGAGCTGCCCAACTCCGCCGCCTCGGGAAGGCGGCTTCGGGCCCGCAGGGAGCCCCGGGGAGGGTTCCCGGTTCCGCCGGCAGCGGCGTCGAGGGGTGCCTGGGCTCCTGGGGACCGCGAGAGGAAAAAGAACGGAAATCGCACCGGGGAGGAAGGACGCGCAGAACGCCCCCGTGAAGCGGGGTGCTCCGGTCAGGCGTGCGCGGGAGCGCGGTCCGGGGGAGTCCGGCGGCGCCGTCGCGCGCACTCGGCAGAGGCTTCGCGGGAGAACGCGCAGCCCGGGGCGTGGGGCGGGGAACTGCCCGCGCGAGGCTTTCGGCGCGTCTGGGTCTCGGCGAGAGCAAAGCGCGTCCTGGCACCGGGGGCGGCGGCGCAGAGGCCGGGAGGAAGAAATCCGGGCCCTGGCCCAGGTCGGGCTTCCACCCCTGCGACCCGCGAGAGGCCCAGGCGGGAAAGGCGGCGAGTGGCGTCAGCGGTTCCGAAAGCAAACCTGGCCCGGTGCTACTGCCCGAGGGTCGCCGGGCGCGTTTCCTAATTCCCCCGAGTCTGGAAAACGGAGACTTCCGTAGCGTCTTCTTCAGTGCGTGCTGCGAGTGCTGAAGGAGGACCCGGTGCCTGGACGACCCGGAGCAGGGGAAGCACTCGGCCGACGCTGTCGCTGTCATCGGCGTCATTGGCGGGCAGGACAGTGGGGCGGGTAAGGGGCCTCCCCGCGCCTCCCGGCCCTTCGCGCTCGGCGCCAGCTCTTTGGCTCCCTTCCCTGCGCAGCTCTAGGCTTAGCTCTCAGCCATTTCTCAAGAAGACGATCCCGAGGGTCGAAGGCCGCCCTTGACCCTTGACCACGGACTCTCCGTGTAACTCGGAAGAGCCGTGATTTTAAAACCCGGCCTCGGGGTTACAGAAGCCCGAGATCTGGGAGGCGTCCGGGACCTCCCTCCCAGAACCGCAGGGACCCGGCCTGGGATCCAGGGTGTGGCCTCTCGCTCTGCGCGGTCGGGAAGGCGGCCGGGTCCGGTCACCGCGCCAAGCACTGCGCACCCCTGGGACGCGTCGTTGCGGGGGGCTGGGGGGCTGGGGCGCCTCCACGACGCCTGGTCTGCCCGGCCAGTGCTTGGTGTCGTTGGTGGGTTCGTGGCTGCGACGGGTAAACGTCCGTTCCGCGAGCCGGGCAAGGCAACCCCTGCGGGTCGCGCCCGAAGGCCGGACCCCTCCAAGCCGCCTGGGAGCTTCCAAACAGGTGGACCCGAAGCTCCTGTTTGATCGGAGAATAACGTTCAATTTACTCCGCCGCTGAACTGATGGTTTAAATATTCATCTTTGGATATGGTTTCACATTAGGCAAAAGTTAGGAGCTTGGAGGCGGTTCCGGGAAGGGGCCTGACCCTCAGTCACCCACGTTCGTAGCCGGGTGATCTGCCCTCGGGCAAGAGAAGGAAGATGATTGGGAGGGTGCCAAGAAAGCCTGGAGAAAGTCCCTTCTGGGTTCAGCGGCTGTAGCCGCTCTCCCAGGACGTTTGTTGGCAATAAATGAAGGAAGGTCGGCCCGGAGACGTTTTCGCACAACGGACAGAGGGGAGTTGGAGCGTAAACCAGCGAGAAGCTGGCATGACATAGGATCCCTCTATTCTCAGTTTGTTTCCAAACTCTTAGACTGCCCCAGCCCTGCCGGATTTGCTAAAAGTGGTCTCTTCTGGACGCCGGTGGGGCTATGGGGCTGACGGCTGCCTGTGCAAAGAAGAGGGAAGAATTGGAAGCTGGGGTCTGGGCAGCTACCAAAGATGGGGCTTGGGAACTTTTCAGAACGTCCTCAGAACCGCAGGAGCCAAGAGGAAATCTCCCGTAGGGGATCTCAGGTAGGGCATGCCAAGAAATTCCAAGAGACGGGATGGAGAAGAGAAGCCGGAGAAAAATCGGCCAATTAGACTCCTGTAAAAATGTGTCTCCATGTTTGTCCTCCCTCCTGAAATAAGAAATTCATAGCTGGGGGTGGGGAGTAGATGGGGGCTGGGGGAAAAACTTTCTCACATTCACAGAGCAGCTTCCCTCAAAGCGGCACGGAATCGGGAACCCCACTCGGGACAGGGGAAAACGGCCAAGTTCCTAGAAATTTGTTTTCTTTGTGGGGAGCAATTCATGATGGGCGTTCTTGTCTGGTTTCCCCCCACTCCGTCCCCTGACGCCGAGTAACACTTAAACCTTTCTAGTTGCAAAGTCTTTTCAGAGTTTTTTTTTTAGGAAATAAGTTTTGAAAATTCTAGTGCTTAAAAAATGTGTATATATATATATATATATATATATATATATATATATATATATATATATATATATGTATATTTATAGCCTTTTATTTTCCCTGAGTACATGTTGGCCACTACATTCCAAATTGATCTCAAATGGTTTTCCAGCTTGTTGGGGGGTGAGGAAAAATAAATGGAGAATATATTTACATGCCCTCCTATTCATTCTTTTAGAAGTCTCATAAATAGTAAATTTCCTATTTTAAAAGCCAGGACATTTTCAACCTCAAATATTTGGAATTTTTAAAGGCCATATTAAAATGGATTACTTCTGCTATCTATAATAAATATGAATTGTGAAAATAAATTGAGGGAAAATAATGTAGGTTTTAAAAAGTTCCATTTAGAAAGGGAAGAATGAGACGTAATAGAAAATAAACGATGTAGTGTAGTGACTTAGCATTTTATTTCGTCTATATAACTAGGCTTAATTTTAACACCTTAATTTTAACATTAAAGATGGCACGTCAGACACACAGATAAGAAATCAATGTTCTGAAATTAATATCCTACTTACATTAAACATCCCTATCAGGAAGACACAGAGAGTAGAAGCATTTTGCACTAGACTTAGGAATAATACTTCCAGTTCCAAGGAAGTGAAGAAGGGGGAACATGTTTGGCATCGGAGGCTGTGTTTTTGTTTGCTTGCTTGTTTTTCTTTTAATGCCAGAACAAAATACCCCACTCACGTTCATAGTACCCCAGGACATGTGCAAATCGGGAAAGCCACAGAAGCCACAACCGAAGGCAAGAAAAGATGACTTGACGCCCTGCGAAGGTTACGTTCAGGTGGTTTTTAGAGGAACGTAATCCAGCTGTTTCTTTCTAACCATTTTGCAGGGAACAGAAGTTCGTGTTTGCTCTCCAGCGGGATTCAGATGCACACGCCCAGTATGGGCCGCGCAAGGTGGAGTGAGCAGCTGCGGGTCGCTCCCCACTCCCACCTGGCTCTAGGAGGGCCCTGCGGACTCGGCCAGGGAACTGGGCGTGGGCGATACTAAAAAAACTGGTGAGGTCCCCTCTCCGCCCAAAGGGGCGGCCAGCGATGTCAGCCCAGAGCCCTCTGCCACCGCCTGATACCGCAGCAGCGCCGACGCGGCCGACAGGTGCCCGCCCAGCACCGCGCCCTTGGTGGGAGCGCAGCCGTTGGCGCAGTCCTCCTCCTGATGCCGCTGCTGTTGCTGCAAAATTGTCCGACAGGCTTGACGGTCGCTGGAGCAGGGGGCAGTAGCTCCACGCGGTCGGGGACAAACTCTGCGCAGCCCCTGTACCCGCTCCCCTGACCCCTTGCATGATACTCTCAATGCTGAAAGAGATGCATCCGCCTCCCGGTGGCGACGCCAGACCCTTGCCCTCCTCCCAAGGCTGAGGACCAAGTGAGGGCTGCAGCACGGGAAGGGTGCCGGGGTCGCCAGGTCCGCGCCTTCTGCTTTCTTCGGTGCCCCGGCATAGGCGGGGGCCGAGAGCAGTAGGTAGCGAGGAGGATGCGGGTGCAGCAGAGCGTAAGGGCGTCTCCCGGGGCCGGTGTTGGGGTAGGCCCCCGGGACTGGCTGCGGCGGGGCAGGGGCCCCAAGCAGAGGGCCTGGGCGGGGGTTGTGCAGGGCGGCGTGTGCAGCAGGTAGAGGGAAGGGGTGGGGCAGGTGGGCTCCCGGGGTCGGTTGGTGGCGCTGGAAACGCTTCCTACGCCGGAGAAAGCTGCCATTGTCGAACATGTCCTGGGAGGCGGGGTCCAGGCTCCAGTAGTTGCCCTTGCCTGGGCGGCCCGGCTCGCGGGGGATCTTGACGAAGCAGTCGTTCAGCGAGAGGTTGTGGCGGATGCTGTTCTGCCAGGCGGGGAACTTGCGGCGGTAGTAGGGGAAGCGGTCACTAATGAAGGCGCAGATGCCGCTGAGCGTGAGGCGCTTGTGCGGGCTTTGCAGGATGGCCATGGTGATGAGCGCGATGTACGAGGAGGGGGGCTTTGCCGGCTGCCGGGCATCTTCAGAGGCCGCCGCAGACCTTGGCGGTGCCCTGAACTCGGTGCCAAACTCTGAGGGGTCGCTCGGGCCGCCGCCGCCCTCGATGTGCTCTCGGGGAAGCGCAACCCCGCCCCACCGGGCCACCTGCAGCCCCGGCTGGAGCGACTGCTCTAGGAACTGCTGGCTCGCCGCCTCCTCCTCGTCTTCATCTTCCTCCTCTCCCAGGACATCGATTTTACCGTCTTCCCCATCGGAGTCCCGGAGGCTGCGCTGCGGTGTGGAGCGAAGGCGCTCAGCTCTTGGCAAGTTCATGGCGGAGCAGGTGCTTCAGTCGCAGGGGATGTGGCGGCCGGATCACCTGGCCCCGGCGGGCTGAGCTGGAAGCCCGGGATGAATGTTGCAAGAAGCAGGAACGCTAGTGGTTACCCTTTGGGATGTTTTCCTCTGCTTGTTTCTACGCCTTTGCAACAACGTCCGGCAAAGATGCCTTCGCCTTTTATAAAAGCTTCTTCAAGACCATGTGTGGTGGACGCCTCCCTTTATAACCCTTCTTCCCCTACCTCGGAGCGGTGCCACTTCCTCCTAACGTAGTCCAGGGATGATGGTCTTCTGGGCAAACACCGTCCGGAGAAAAGCCCAGCGCCCTCCTCCTCGCACCCACCTGCCACCAAGGAAGATGCTCTACTCATCCGGTGCAGCCAGACAGTAGGCAAGCCTTTGCACGGGTTCTGTTAAGGCGCATTTAAACCCGCGCAAATAAAAGCGAGGTAGGAAAGTAGGATACTCAACATTCTACGACCACCTCGACATGCAGCCTTCCCGCCTGGAGAAAAGAAATGGTGGGGTAGGAGGCTGAAATGTACACGGTTGTTTGTAAAGGAATGTGTAACCGTGAAAGTATGTTTTTGTGTTTCACAGCTGGTAATCACCCATTTTCATTGGTAGAGTCTGTCCTTACCCAGAATGGTGAGCTGAATTATATTTAAGGTTCTGACAATATTCCCAGGCTTCAGGGGGGTGTTGCTTTGCTCCTTCTACCTTCCTTCCCACCTCCCCAAGATGCTCTCCCTGACTCAAATTTTCAGAAAAGGTTCAAATGTCCCAGCACTAAATTGTGTAAGTTTATTCAGGGAAGGCAGGAGAGCTCACACGGAGTCCTCTGTCCCCTTGTAGCAATGGTTCTCCAATTTCTTTGAATATTTAACCACAGAAATACATTTTATATCACAATCTTACACATACAGACATAATACATAACTAAGATGGCTTTCACGAAACAATATACTTACACTATAGTGATCACTGATATTTCCTTTTAAAAAAAAATGGCCATAACCAACTAAATTGATTTCACACATACCAGTATGGGCCCAGTTTGAAAAATCCTGTTCTTACAAAGTGGCCCCACATACAAGAAATGCACCCACTCTATAAGGGCTTCTCTCTCTCCCTTTCCTCCTTCCTTTCTTCATCCTTTATAACCAATTCATTTTTAGAGACAGGGTCTATGTTGCGCAGGCTGGCTTTGAATTCCTGGGCTCAAGTGATCCTCCCGCCTCAGCCTCCTGAGTAGGTGGGACTACAGGCGTGCCACTATGCCTGGCTCTGGCTCTTCATTCTTTTTTTCCTTTTTTTTTTTTTTTTTTTGAGGCGGAGTCTCGCTCTGTCGCCCAGGCTGGAGTGCAGTGGCGGGATCTCGGCTCCCTGCAAGCTCCGCCTCCCGGGTTCACGCCATTCTCCTGCCTCAGCCTCCCAAGTAGCTGGGACCACAGGCGCCCGCCACCGCACCCGGCTAATTTTTTGTATTTTTAGTAGAGACGGGGTTTCACCGTGTTAGCCAGGATGGTCTCGATGTCCTGACCTCATGATCCGCCCGCCTCAGCCTCCCAAAGTGCTGGGATTACCGGCGTGAGCCACCACGCCCGGCCTCTTCATTCTTTCAGAAATGTCAACATTAAGTGCTTTTACTGTAATAAAACTTGGGACTTCAATGAGGCAAGAAGGGGCTGCAGTGTTGCCTTTAAATCAGTGGGTCCTCATTCACTGTCTGCACTGGGGAGGGGCAATATGACAGCACAACTGTTCATCTCACTCGCTCCACATCCTTAGAAGTAACACGATTTTTAGATTGGCTTCATGAAAATTAGCTCAGAGACTAAAGTAGCACTACAGAGGAATAAAAAAAATATTTGTTATATAAATAAGGATCTTATTAAAATACTAAGTAAGATACTATGCCACGGTATATATTCATAATTTAAAACCCACCTACTTGGGAAAACTTTGAGGTGCCATCTAATAAAAATGCAGCATGAAAGAATATTATGCCCTTGATAGTCACATAGTGTCTATAATTATGACAATGAATGTTCAGTGAGAAATCAAACGCCAACTGCAAGGGCAAAATATAATAAAAAATAGCTTAAAGTAGCTAGTGCCTTCAGGATAAAATCTGGAAAAGGGCTTTCTTGCTGATCTTTTTTTGAAACTTTGCTGCTCCTGAAGTTTTTACCCTTTAAGGCTCCTCAGTTTATATGAAGCTTGGAGGACAAATAACAGACAGGTTTGAGCCTAACAGATTTGTTTGAATCCCAAATTTACCAATGACTGCTTGTGTGACCTACTAAACTAAGCTCCAGGAGGGCCAGGCCAGGTGTCTTATTCAACCACAAAATCCCAGCGCCCCCAGCATGTGAGGCAAATTTCCTCCATCAGCATAGGAATCGGATGACCTGGGAAAGGGAGTATTGTTAGTTTTCCTAGCGCCAGCTTCAATAGGGATTGGGGTTATTTAAAAATACAGGAGAAAAGTAAGGAGGCACTCAAAAACAAAACACAAAACCCACATTGATGGGGGTATGTCAAAGGTGGGAACAGGAGATAACGGAAAGAGTTCCCAATGGTCAAAGCTGGGATAATTTGAGCAACAAAATAAAGCAGTATTAAATTGTAACCCAAAGTATAAAATATTCATGTGTCCACACTGATAAACATAAATGATCGAACTAATAAAGCGAAAGGGACAACTGTCCTTTGCAGAAGAATTTCAATTAATCATGTAGACCACTCCCAAGAAAGTACACTACAACTCCCCATTCCTTTAGTGTGGGCTGTGCATAGTGATTTCCTTCCAAAGAGCACAGTATGAAATGGGGGAAAAGAGTAACTTTACAATGGAGAAACCTGACAAACACTCCTTCAGCCAGGTGATCAGGTCGTCAACATCAACATCAATAACAGTCATAACCTTTTATTTCATGTCATAAAATGGTGACACTTACTTGTGTTAAAAAAATTTAATAACAATGTAATCATTATATCTCTGCAATCAGCTGAAGTTCTAAGAAAAAATGACAATGTTGAAAGTTGTATCATCATTATTATAAACTTTCATGTTCAGTATATGTAAACTCCAAAGCCAATTTCAAAAGATATTTTTGTGAAATACCATTCTTTAAAAAAAAGGATATTATATATAACTGTATGAATGTTAAATGTTTTACAGTACTGATTTGCTACATTTTATGTATGCTGTAAAACAAATACCATTTTAAAGTATATTGGAATTCGTAACTAAAGTAATAAATAAATGCTTGAAATATACCCAGTAGAAACTTATTTTTATTATCCAATCCTTTTGATAAGAAATGCCTCTAGTGTTATGTACAAACTTGATCTTCTTGGAAACGTGTTGTCCACTGCTTTTCTGTTTCTGTCACAGTAGCTATAAACAGCTGTTTAAGGATATCCTTATCTAAATTTCTGCCTGCAAACAAAACAAAATATGACGTGATTACATTATGCTTATTAAAATGACACAGTTCACCTATCAATTCCAGTTCATTAAATGCTTTATGGTGTTTAGAAATTTACAAAAAGAATAGTAATTGAGTGATTCCATCTTTAACTTTCCAGGTCAGTACATCAAAGTCACATTGGTCCTTGGATTAACCACTTTTCTAAAACTGAAGAAGAACAAAAGTCCTAACAAGCTTTTACGAACGTTGTAACGTGATAAAGATGAAACATTGACCACAAGCTTATTTAGTTTTAAAAGAGGACCTGAATGGTTAATCTGTTTAAGTGGCACATGATATCCCTTTCAAATATATTTTTCACTTTGTTTTAAAACTGTGAATCCTTTGAGACTTACCAAGGAGGACCAATCGATTTGTTCTCTCAGTGTCATCCTTCCAGCTCACTGGAGTCTCCTCCAGATCATAGAGCTCATGGACACCCTGGACAATCACTTGTTGTGATTTGTCTTTGATTGACACCAATCCCTGCTCAAAGGAGAATTGACTGAACATTAATCAGCCTCAGTTCAAACTTAAAAGCAGAAATAGAGCATCAATGTTAATGGATTAATTACTGATATTCACTTAAAAAATACAAACTCTTAAGCTGAGAAAATTACTTAATTCCAATTATTTGTGAATTACAAGAAGTTTCTTAATGTTTTTAATTTTCAAAAAAGGTTTCTGTGTATTGATTTTCTTTTTGAACAATCCCCTTTTCTAATGATAAAGTTAATACATATATTAGGATGGTTTTTCAGTGTTATTTATCACAACCAAAACCTGAAACAAAATGATGAAATATGTATCATATCCTATTGATTAAAGATTTTATATAATGTTTCACAGTTTTCGTGGGAAAAGTTGAGAAGTTAAAGGAGTTTGGTTATATTAAATAATTTGTTTTAGAAATGGGTTGCAATCAATGAACAATGATGAAATAAAGAAAAACTATTATATTTATCTGAATATGAGCTCATTGTGTATTGATTTGCAGAAATGAGAAACGAATTATCTGATAAACTGGCTCCTATGGGGATGAAATTAATTTATTTGAAATAATATTCTTAATTTACCAAAAACTTTGTGCACACTTGTGAACACACAAGAGTAGACACTCAACTGACTGGTTAAGCATACACTTTAGAATCACTGCTTCCTAGAAGAAATACCTTTCATGACTTAAATACCCAAATATCAAGTAACGTGAGTGGGTTTCTAAATACAGAACAAGAATTCTTCTAGTCCTTTGTAACTTTGTTTAGAGTATGACAAATGTTTAGTGTCTGCTAAATGCATCAGGAAGCATAATGTTCAGCAGAAGTGAGATTTGCAACATTATTTCTCTGTACTTGGGAACAGAGAGCAGAAGGTAACATTTCAAAGCACACAGGTTTGTTCTAGCTGCAACCCTAAAGAAAGTTGTGCAAATAAATCAAGCCTTATGCAGTGATTTCCAAAGCTCCTTTTCAGTCACGAAAATAATAAAGAAAAATGAAAGTAGACAAAGATGATTTGTACTAAAACAAGTGTTTCTGTTTAAAACCAAATATAGTTTTTATAACAGCCAAGAAAAGGACTTTGTCCGAAAGTCTGCAACAGTAAACTGTACCTTCAGCCTTATGACCTCCATGCAGTGATTGTCCTTGTTTCTCACATTCTTTTCCCACAGGAGATTCTGTATCAAGTGACATATTTTAATAAGACCAACCATCGCTAATAGCAACAACTATGTAACAAAACCATTGATAAATCATTAATCAGTTAAAAATTGCATTCACCTGAATAAACATATTAAGATGTTCTTCCTTTGCATTTCCTGGTACTTCAAATGTGATTGTAACAATACTCTGTAAATCAAGGGAAATAACAATAATTCTTTATAGTAATATCAATGTTTTTTAAATCACAAATTTTAAGATGAAAAGGAACATATTCATGGAATTTTACATTGCTTAAACCATATATATTAGGTATTATACTTTCCTCAGCATATGTGCTGTTTTTTTGGAATTAGCAACTCCATTTCCTACATTCTGCACAGGTACCAATGGATTTAGTATTTACACAAACTACTACCTTGTATTTTAAAAAACTCACTCAAAAACCCTGATGAAGGGGTCCTCATTATTTAATTCATTCTTTCGTGGATTCTCAGCAATAAGAATATATGTAACACATACAATGTACTCACTACACAGGGCCAGGTACTTTTGCCTGAGTCACCTCATTTTATCTTTTGACTTACTCTTCACAACAATCCTGGGGAGTGAAGATAACTATTTCATTTTATAAATTGGGGAAAATAAGGGTCAAAAAAATAAGCTACCCAGAGCCAGGAATAAAACTCAAAACCAAAGTAAATCTGTTCTCTTAAAAAAAAATACAAAAGAAAGGCTTGGCTTATCTTTAACTGAATAAGCATGTGCCAAGAGGAGAAGAGTTCTTAGCGATGAGAATGATAGGATAATGCCCTCTTTGGCTTTAGTAAGGGGGACATCATCATGTATTGAATATTAACTTTAGGATTTATTTTTCTTCTTTATCTTGATAAATCTCTCACTGTCTACCCTAAAGAAACAGAAGCTTAACATTTCCTCTAACAGGTCACCTAATTAAAACCCAAACCTCCCTTTGCCAATATAACCCCAAATTTCAAACTCAGAGATGAAAATACACAAGGGCTAAGCATAACATTATAAAAACATACACCCCACCTTGGAAAATAGAGGCTCAAAAGCCAAGCTCAAAATGAATTTAAAAAGGTAGAAAATAATATACTAAAGCACATCTTTGCATAACTTCCTAGAACTGCATATCTGGCCTAGCAATTTTACTCACCATTACATAATCATACAGGCTTACAGCAGAAAATACAAAAAGACCAAAACTATTTTATAATCCAAACTCAAGAGAATCGCTAAAGTATTAAAGACCAATTTAGGCAGAAACATATGAGACATTTCTTTCTTTCCATAGGTTACTGGGGAACAGGTGGTGTTGGTTAACTTCTTTAGTGGTGATTTGTGAGATTTTGGTACACCCATCACCTGAGCAGTATACACTGCACCCAATTTTTGTCTTTTATTCCTCATCCCCTTCCCACCCTTTCTCCCTGAGTCCCCAAAGTTCATTGTGTCATTCTTATGCCTTTGCATCCTCATAGCTTAGCTCCCACTTATGAGTGAGAACATAGCGATGTTTGGTTTTCCATTCCTGAGTTCTTTCACTTAGAATAATAGTCTCCAATCTTATCCAGGTCACTGCGAATGCCATTAATTCACTCCTTTTTATGGCTGAGGAGTATTCCATTGTATGCATATATATCACAGTTACTTTATCCACGCATTGATTGATGGGCCTTTGGGTTGGTTCCACGTTTTTGCAATTGCCAATTGTGCTGCTATAAACATGCGTGTGCACGTATCTTTTTCGTATAATGACTTCTTTTCCTCTGGGTGGATACCTAGTAGTGGGATTGCTGGACCAAATGGTAGTTCTACTTTTAGTTCTTTAAGGAATCTCCACAGTTTTCCATAGTGGTTGTACTAGTTTACATTCCCACCAGCAGTGTAGAAGTGTTCCGTGTTCACCACATCCATGCCAACATCTACTATTTTTTTGATTTTTTTATTATGGCCATTCTTGCAGAAGTAAGGTGGTATCGCACTGTGGTTTTGATTTGCATTTCCCTGATCATTAGTGATGTTGAGCATTTTTCCATATGTTTATTGGCCATTTGTATATCTTCTTTTAAGAATTGTCTATTCATGTCCTTAGCCCACTTTTTGATGGGACTGCTTTTCTTGCTGATTTGTTGGAGTTCATTGTAGATTCTGGATATTTGTTCTTTTTCAGATGTATATATTATGAAAGATTTTCTCCTTCTCTGTGGGTTGTCTGTTTACTCTGCTGACTGTTCCTTTTGCTGTGCAAAAGTTCTTTAGTTTAATTAAGTCCCAGCTATTTATCTTTGTTTTTATTGCATTTGCTTTTGGGTTCATGAAATCCTTGCCTAAGCCAATGTCTAGAATGATTTTTCCAATGGTATCTTTTAGAATTTTTATAGTTTCAGGTCTTAGATTTAAGTCTTTAATTTATCTTGGGTTGATTTTTGTATACAGTGAGAGAGGAGGATCCAGTTTCATTCTCCTACATGTGGCTAGCCAATTATCCCAGCACCATTTGTTGAAAAGGGTATCCTTTTTCCACTTTATGTTTTTGTTTGCTTTGTTGAAGATCAGTTGGCTGTAAGTATTTATTTCTGGGTTCTCTATTCTGTTCCATTGGTCCATGTGACTATTTTTATAACCGTACCATGCTGTTTTGGTGACTATGGCCTTATAGTATAAGTTTGAAATCAGGTAATGTGATGCCTTCAGATTTGTTCTTTTTGCTTAGTCTTGCTTTGGCTACGCGCATGTGTATGTTAAACCATCCCTGCATCCCTGGTATGAAACCCCTTGATCATGGTGGATTATCTTTTTGATATGTTGTTGGAATCAGTTAGCTAGAATTTTCTTAAGGATTTTAGCATCTATGTTCAAGGATATTGGTCTGTAGTTTTCTTCTTTGGTTATGTCCTTTCCTGGTTTTGGTATTAGGGTGATACTGGCTTCATAGAATGATTTAGGGAGGATTCCTTCTTTCTCTCTCTTGTGGAATAGTGTCTTTAAGACTGGTACCAAGTCTTCTTTGAATATCTGGTGGAATTCTGTTGTGAATCCGTCTAGTCCTGGACATTTTTTTGTTGGTAATTTTTTAATTACCATTTCAATCTCCCTGCTTGTTACTGGTCTGTTCAGGGTAATTCTTCCTGATTTAAGCTAGGAGGGTTGTATCTTTCCAGGAATTTCTCCATCTATTTTAGGTTTTCTAGTTTATGCATGTAAAGGTGTTCATGGTAGCCTTGAATATCTTTTGTATTTCTGTGGTGTCAGTTGTAATATCTCCCGTTTCATTTCTTATTGAGCTTATTTGGATTTTCTCTCTTTTCTTGGCTGATCTTGCTAACGGTCTATCAATTTTATTTATCTTTTCAAAGAACCAGCTTTTTGTTTCATTTATCTTTTGGATTTTTTTTGTTGTTTTGTTTCAATTTCATTTAATTCCGCTCTGATCTCCTTTCTTCTGCTGGGTTTGTTCTTGTTTCTCTAGTTCCTTGAGGTGTGACCGTGGATTGTCTGTGCTCTTTCCGACTTTTTGATGGAGGCGCTCAGGGCCGTGAACCTTCCTCTTAGCACCGCCTCTGCTGTGTCCCAGAGGCTGACAGGTTGGGTCACTCTTGTCGTTCAGTTTGAGGAATTGTTACATTTCCATCTTGATTTCATCTTTGACCCACTGATCATTCAGGAGCAGGTTATTCCATGTATCGGCATGGTTTTGAAGGTTCCTTTTGGAGTTGATTTCCAGTTTTATTCCACTGTGGTCTGACAGAGTGCTTGATATAATTTTAATTTTCTTAAAATTTATTGAGGCTCATTTTGTTGGCTATCACATGGTCTATCTTACAGAAAGTTCATGTGCTGTTGAACAGAACGTATATTCTGTGGTTGTTGGATGGAATATTCTGTATATATCTTTTAACTCCATTTGTTCCAAGGTATAGTTTAAATCCACTGTTTCTTTGTTGACTTTCTGTCTTGATGACCTGTCCAGTGCTGTCCGTGGAGTATTAAAATCCCTCACTATTATTGTGTTGCTGTCTGTCTAATTTTTTAGGTCTATTAGTAATTCTTTTATAAATTTGGGAGCTCCAGTGTTAGGTGCATATGTTTAGGATTGTGATACTTTCCTGTTGGACAAGGCCTTTTTTCATTATATAATGTCCCTCTTTGTCTTTTTAAACTGCTGTTTCTTTAAAGTTTGTTTTGTCTAATATAAGAATGGCTACTCCTGCTCACATTTGGTGTCCGTTTGCATGAAATGTCTTGGTCCATCCCTTTACCTTAAGTTTATGTGAGTCCTTATGTGTTAGGTGAGACTCTTGAAGGCAACAGATAGTTGGTTGGTGAATTCTTACCTATTCTGCAATTCTGTATCTTTTAAGTGGAGCATTTAGGCCATTTATATTCAATGTTAGTATTGAGATGTGAGGTACCACTCTATTCATCATGCTATTTGTTGCCTGTATACCTTGTTTTTCTGGTTTTTGTTGTTTTTCTAATTGTATTTTTGTTTTATACGTCCTGTGATATTTATGCTTTAAAGAGGTTCTGTTTTGATATGTTTCCAGGATTTGTTTCAAGATTTAGAGTTCCTTTTAGCATTCTTGCACTGGTGGCTTGGTAGTGGTGAATTCTCTGTTTGTCTGAAAAAGCTGTATCTTGCCTTCATATATGAAGCTTAGTTTTGCTGAATACAAAATTCTCAGCTGATAATTGTTTTGTTTGAGGAGGCTGAAGATAGGGTTCCAATCCCTTCTGGCTTGCAGGGTTTCTGCTGAGAAATGTGCTGTTAATCTGGTAAGTTTTCCTTTACAGGTTACCTGCTGCTTTTGTTTCACAGCTCTTTCTTTCATCTTAACTTTAGATAACCTGACGACAATGTGCCTAGATGATGATCTTTTTGCGATGAATTTCCCAGATGTTCTTTGTGCTTCTTGTATTTGGATCTAGGTCTCTAGCAAAGCTGGGGAAGTTTTCCTCAATTATTCCCCCAAATATGTTTAACAAACGTTTAGATTTCTCTTCTTCCTCAGGAATGCCGGTTATTCTTAGGTTTGGTCATTTAACATAATTCCAGATTTCTTGAAGGCTTTCTTCATATTTTCTTATTCTTTTTTCTTTGTCTTTATTGGATTCGGTTAATTAGGAGACCTTGTCTTCAGGCTCTGAATTTCCTTCTTCTACTTGTTCAATTCTATTGCTAAGACTTTCCAGAGCATTTTATATTTCTATAAGTATGTCCATTATTTCCTAAAGTTTTGATTGTTTTTTATTTATGCTATCTAGTTCATTGAATATTTCTCCCTTTACTTCTTGTATCTTTTTTTTTATATATCTTTACATTGGGCTTCACCTTTCTCTGGTGCCTTAGCTTAATAACCAACCTAGTGAATTCTTTTTCAAGTAAGTCAGGGATTTCTTCTTAGTTTGGATCCATTGCTGGTGAGCTAGTGGGATTTTTTGGGGGGTGTTAAAGAACCTTGTTTTGTCATACTACCAGGGTCGGTTTTCTGGTTCCTTCTCATTTGGGTAGGCTCTGTCAGAGAGAAGGTCTAGGGCTGAAGGTTGTTGTTCAGATTCTTTCGTCCTACGGGGTGTTCCCTTGATGTAGTACTCTCTCCCTTTTCCTATGGATGTGGCTTCCTGAGAGCTGAGCTGTAGTGATTGCTATCTCTCTTCTGGATCTAGCCACCCAGCAAGTCTACCAGGCTCCAGGCTGGTACTGGGGGGTAGTCTGCACAGAGTCGGGAGATGTGAACCATCTGTGGGTCTCTCAGCTGTGGATACCAGCACCTGTTCCAGTGGAGGCGGTAGGAGGGTGAAATGTACTCTTTGAGGGTTCTTAGCTTTGCTGGTTTAATGTACTATTTTTGTACTGGTTGGCCTGCTGCAGGGAGGTGGCACTTTCCAGAGAGTGTCAGTTGTGGTAGTATGGAAAGGAACAGGTGATGTGTTGGGCTCTAGAATGCCCAAAAACATGAGATATTTAATCTCCACTGTTACTAGTAATAGGAAAAGCAGAAAAGTGCTTTCTTGCTTGATAAGAGAAGTACAAGCAGACTAAAAAAAGGTTCAAATTGAACTTGCAAATGTGAGACTTTTAAAAGTACTTATTTTGTCACAGCAGTCAAGACACTAACAACCACCTAAATGTCCAGGACAGTTGAATGGATAAAATAAATGTGGTAATATACATACAACCAAATATTATGTATCCTTAAAAAAAATCCCGTCATATACTACAACATGGATGAATCTTGAGGACATTACACTAAGTGAAATAAGCCAGTCACAGAAGGACAAATATTGCATGAATCCACTAATATCAGGTGTCTAAAACAGTGAAACTCATCAAATCAGAAAGTAAAACGGTGGTTACCAGGGGTGAGAGGGAGACGAAAATTGGGGGGGGCTGTTCAATGGGGATAATTTCAGTCATGCAAGATGAAAAGGTCCAGAGGTCTGCTATGTAACAATGTACAGACAGTTAACAATACTATATTGTACCCTTAAAAATTTGTGGAAGAAGGTAGGTCTCATGTTAAGTGTTTTTTACCACAATAAAAAATATACAGTCATGGATACATAAAGAGAAATGAGCTGTTGGGCAATTTTGTTGTTATACAAACATGATAGTGCACTTACACAAACCTAGATGGTATAACCTACTACACACCTAAGCTATGCTGTATAGCCTGTTGCTCCTAGGCTACAAACCTGTACAGCATATATGTTACTGTACTGAACAGTGTATGGAAATAATAACGCAATGGTAAGTATTTGCGTGACAGTAATTTTTCAGCTCCATCGTAATCTTATGCAGTCTGACTAAAACGCTGTTATGCGGTGCATGACTATACTTATTTTTAAATCTTAATAAACATACTCTATTTTAAAACTATTTTTATAGCATAAGGTAATAATAATATGCATTTTTAAATGACAATTATTTTATTTCTTCATTAAAGGAATCACTACAATACCTAAAAGTCCACATAAAAATATACAGCAAAAGGTTGTCAAATGAAACATAACTGTCAGTTAAAAAAAAATAAATTTAGTCTTCAAAAATGTTTAAAATGTATTTTAATGCAAGTTGGAAAACTATATTGAGAATGTCGCAAAATACGACTCCAAATGGCTTTATTGTTAAAGATTTTAACTTAATAAATTTTTTTGAGATGGGGTCTCACTCTGTTGCCCAGGCTGGAGTAGAGTGGCACAATCATGGCTTACTGCAGCTTTGAACTCCCAAGCTAAAGCAATCCTCCCACTTCAGCCTCTCGAGTAGCTAGGATTACAGGTACATGCCACCATGCCTGGCTAATTTTTTGTATTTTTTGCAGAAATGGGGTTTCACCATGTTGCCCAGGCTGGTCTACAACTCCTGGGTTTTAAGCAATCCACCCACCTTGGCCTGTCAAAGCGCTAGGATTACAAGCATAAGCCACCACACCCAGCCTAAAGATTTTTATAATGATTTTTGCTTTTATCAGGTTAAATATGTGACTTAATATTTTTAAGGGGTACAATAAACTCCAGTATGAGACAAAAAAGGCTTTAAAAATTAAGATAACGCATCATGGGGCTCAATAAGGATGATCTATATTTTGGAACCAGATGTTTTCCTACACCAATAAACTCTTTTCACGTTAGAAAAACCCTGAAAAAAATCTGTAATTCCCAGTGCAGAAGATAAGGGTCACAACTCATAGTTGGTTCTAATAATAAACTAAACATTATTTGTCACTTGGGTTTTCTCATCTACCTTCCCACTCTCCAAACCCAGGTGTTCCTTATGGGGAATAAACAAAGAATCCATGAAAAATAGATAACTGCATTAAAAATTCAGGGATAGAGCCTTAATAACACATATATACTAGGTCCTAGGTATTACCCATTTCAGACTTTTTTTTTCCAGTTTTTGTTTTGAATCTAAAATTAACTCCTTTTTCCATGTATGCTGACACAGAAAGAAACAGAAAAGTGAGCCAATAATTGAGAAAACTAAAGCAAAATAAGGAATTGTCTCTAAAATAAAATTTAGGAACAACTTACTCAGGTTTGTTTATTTAGTCTGTTTCTTCTTTAACCCACTGGGTTATTTCTCCATTTTCTACTTTTTTGCAAACAATACCTAGCATACAATAACTTTTATAGGTTTTCTTCATCCAGAACACTAAGCCCCCTAATGTGCTTAAACTCAAAATCTGTACCTTCACACTCTATCCCTCTGTTCTTCTTTGCCTGTATAATATCTATACTATAATATCTGGCCACCAGGGACAACTGAATATATGGCATTATCATTCAAATCACTTTGCCTTCCCGATTTTTCTATTTCTAGGTTTCTCTAGTCAATCTAGGCTCGTTTCCCATCACCCCTTCTTTTCTTTCTGATCCATACTCAGTCAGACAGGATATTCAGGCAAGTCTACTGGTGAAACAGCTCTGGATTTATCCCATTTCTAGTCTCACTGTAACCAACATGTTTCAGGCCCTTATCACACAGTATCTTCCCGCATGGTCTCCGGACTCTAAAGTCCAATCTAGCTTACATAACACTCCTAGACAGCACTGCTTGAGTTCTCTTTGTCTAGCAAATTAAAACCTAATACCTTAGACCAGGATTCCAGTACCAACTCTCCACTAAGACTTCTGTACCAGACACCTACTCATCTATAAGATTCTCACCTTCTCATTTTTAAACATCCGTATTGCTCTTTTCCTTACTTCTTCCCGTCAAAAAAAATCCTACCGTCAAAAAAAATCCTACCAGTTCAAGGTTATTTTTTGTTAAGTAAGTCAGAATAGCACTTACCCCTTCTTTGACTAGGAAGGGGCAAAAAGGAACTCTTTACAATTTTGGATATCTTTTGTATCTTGACCTGAGTGGGAGTTAGAAGGATATGTGTTTGAATGTGCATATAGACAGATATATAGGTACAAATATATGTAAAAATACATTGAGGCCGGGCACAGTGGCTCACGCCTGTAATCCCAGCACTTTGGGAGGCCGAAGCAGGTGAAGTCAGGAGTTTGAGACCAGCTTGGCCAACATGGTGAAACCCCATCTCTACTAAAAAAAAAAAAAAAAATACAAAAATTAGCTAGGCATGGTGGTACATGCCTGTAATCCCAGCTACTCAGGAGGCTGAGGCATGAGAATCACTTGAATCTAGAAGGAGGAAGTTGCAGTGAGCCAAGGTCACACCACTGCACTCCAGCCTGGGTGAGACTCCAGCCGGAGCGAGACTCCGTCTCAAAAAAAACCAAAAAAACAAAAACAAAAACAAAACCCAAACATCGAATTGTACACTAAAATTACACATTTGCATGCTTTACTGTATGCAAATAAATAAACCAAAACCAAAACAAACAAACAAAAAACTATCCTCATGAAGCATTTGATGGGGTTCAGGACATGCTATCCCAAAATATGCCAATTCAATATTTGAGAAAATGGCAGAATCAGGAAGGTCACTCTCACCTTCTCTCCTGAAGCAGGTCATAAAACCTAGGAAAGATTTTCTGACCTTCCGCTGATGCAGGTCATAAGACCCTCATTTAAGAGGTGCCCTCTCTATACACAGAGGAAAACAACATCCTTAAGTCTGAATATGAAGGGTCACAGAGAAAAATCTGAGCAAACAGGCCTTGCTAAGTTCTTCCCAGTTTATTATTAGATCATACTGTTTTATCTAATTATGCTTCTCCATTACTATCCTCTTCCATATCATAACTAACAGAAAACATACACAGGTATGTTTTATGAAGGCTCCTGTGTCAAGTAAAACTTACTAAATAAATTTCTATGTTGAAATTTCTCTTGATAGTTGGTCTTCTGTTAGAGAGACCTCAGCCATGAATCTAGTGATAGGCGAGGAAAAGATAAATTTCCTCCCTTACACCTCAGATCCACTAAACCAAATGAAATTGTTCATGCCTCTGAATCCCATAGCCCTTTGGCTGTGATACTATTTTCCCCTATGTTTATATTATCTAAAGCAGGACAGTGCATCAGAATCTCCTACAGAGGTTACAAAAATATAGATATGCCCTATTTAGTAGTAAAGTGACATAGTGTCTGGAATTTGCTTTAATACACTACACCAAGGGCAATAGGTACATACAGGCTCATTATACCATTCTACTCTTACGCACGTTTGAAATTTCCTATTAAAATACATTTGTTTTTTTTAAATACTCCAGGCAAAAGAAATGTTGGGAGGATAGGTGAAATAAAATCAGCTAAATGTTGATGCCATTTAAACTGGGTGATGCATACAAGGGGTTCACTTTACTATTCTGTTTATTCTTTTATATCTTTGAAATCTTCCATAATAAAATGTTAAAAATATACATTAATATACACATACCCAAGTCCCAATCCTGGAGACTGAGGGTGAGAACTACTGAGTTATCGAATTTTTTTTAAAAAGGCTCCACATGCGATTCTGATTTATGCCCCATTTGAGAAACGCAGCTTTTCATTCTTGTAACAAATACTCACTGAGTACCCACCAAGCCCTGTACTAAGCAATACAGATTTTATACGTAAGGAACGTATAGACTCATGCCAGGCAAAAGCATTTCAAGCAAACTGCAAGGCATCGTAACCGCCACAATAGAGGTTCATTCGAGGCTCTATGGATGGAGACACTGGCCGCCCCAAACGCTCATGGAAAGTGAGCGCTGCGTTTGCTTCATCTTTTCATCCCTATGATTCTTGGCATCACGTTCTTTACCCAGAAGCTCAAATGTGCTTCATGTTCAGCTATATGACAGATACTGACTATCATGAAGAACTGGGTTTTTTGTTTTTTTACCATAAATTCTATCTCCAAGGACTTGTATTTCTCTCATTTATTCATTTTAAAGATAAGTGAAGAGGAATATCCTATTAACAAAAGTTTCACAGGGAAAGGTGCCACAAACATAGTGGCAAACCTGCTCATAAATGTGAACCAAAATGAATACAAATGCAAGTAGCTGTTATCTCGGCCCTATTACAACCAATAGCAATTCAAAAACTGAGTGATCACTTGAGAGAGAGGAAGGAAGATTAGGCACACTGCTCACTTACACATCCCCCACTCCACCCCTCAGGGTTTTAAGAGGAACAAAGAAGTTATCCTAAAGCTCTACGATCTATGATCTGCTTAACAGAAACGCAGGTACAGTAAAATTATATTTAAATTGTTCCTAGCATCTTAGATATTTACCTTAGGGATTAGAATTTTAGAGCATGAAAAACATCTTAAGGAGTTCAAATTTATAGTGCTACCTGAAGGTGAAACTCCAAGTCAATTTTTATTTAAATAAGCCATGCTTATATCAGACCTTTCCTTAAACAATTCAACATACTTAAAAACAGACTGCCTATAGAACCCCCAGGCTGCTTTTAAGGAGTAATCCCTATCAGAACTAACCAATATGCTAAGCAATCTACAGAATGGAAAGGCTAGAAAGCATGATTTCCTCAGATTCTAAAACAAATCTGGTTTGATGAATTCCTATTATGTGTTAAGAAATAGAATTAGACTATGTCAAAAGCATTTAAGATTCCAAAAATTATCAACACAGTTCAAAAATACCATTTTAGAAAAAGTTTATAATAAAATAGTCCTAAACATAGCCTATCTAGTTAAAGAGGTCCTTTAAAAACATTGATTAGGAATTTTGGATTTAGATTTTTTTTCTTTACCTGATCAAGGTGAGGTTGTGTTCCTGGCACATGCTGAAGTTTTTTCTGCAAACTAAAAACAACTGATTAGAAATTCAGAGATGAATACACTTCTGATTTAACTTTATACGTTATTTAGTGACACAAGGATAATGAAGTGACTTTCCATAACTGACTATTCTAATATTCTGTAATTGCAATTTTACAAGTTGTTCGCAAATTCCAATAGAGAAAAGCTGGCAGATTAAGTTTTTTAAAAATTTCTTTAAAAAAAACCACACATTCATATATATACATATGCACAGAATAAAGAGAAAAACTAGTCTTTTAGCAACACTATTTTGTATGGTTAAATATGTCAGTAAATTTCTTTACCATTCCAACAGGTTTAATACAAACTTAAATATATATAACCATTCTAGTATTGCTCAGAGTTCCTTAACTTTCTCCTGCTTCCTAATATGAAAATAATGCTGGCACCTAAAGAAAGTTGCAAGGATAAATTTTCCTTTATCAATGTTTTCCCTTGAACTTATTAAAAAAGAAATAGTATCCATAAATATAAATTTGCTATATAGTCAGTTACCAATTGAGAGAAAAAGAAAGTCAGAATGTTAAAAATGCATTGTTCTGATATGAAAAGCACAAGAAGATCAACATGGCATAACAAATTACAACCATAATAACTGTAGCATACATTTCAACACTGATGGGGACAGGACGGGAGGGGGAAAGGACTGAAAACCTTGCAGATGCTTTGCCTTGAAAACAGTGAGGGGTAAATTAGTAACAGCAAGTTTAGGAAAGAGAAAGAACTTGTAGGAACTATTGGAGGGAATGAGTCTCTTTGGGGGGTCCTAGTAGGGAGAATGTCAAATTAAATCCTTCCCAGCTGGTTGCTCAGGAAAAGATTCTCCTGTTTAGCAGTTAAGCACACACAAAAAAGTCATGCAACGGCCTTCCCTATAGTGGTGAGATCACATTAAATAGCTACTTCAAGTGTCACTAAAGCATTATAACTGCTCTTAAGTGTATGTAGAATGAGATTACTTTAGAAAAACATTTCGAAAAATCATATGCTTTTCCCATATGTTCAGTATTTAATGTTGTTGGACAATGACTGCCTAGAACTTCATACGCAGCAAAAAAAAAAAAAAATCTAACAACGAACATTTAAGTTTAGTTCCCACAAGTCTCAGAATTTCATGCCCTCGATTTTTTCCCTATCATACACATTTTTAAAAGACTAATCTAGTGGATAAGGATATGCTATCAAAACCTGAAACTCATGAATCGGAAATCATCTTGCACATTAACTTGTAATCTTATAACAATTTTTGTCTCTGCACACATAAAATGTAAATTCTGCACGCATAAAATGTAAAAAATCTCAAACAGTTTAGTGTTTTGTATATTTAAATCATTATGTTCTATAACAAACAATAATTTAGGTATTGTCAGTAAGATGGAATTAGCAACATTTCTATTTCTCCCAAGTAAAAATATAGAATGATATAAAGAACTGGATGCCTTGATGAAAGTACCTGTATTACAGCAAATTATAGCAAAAGACAGAAGTAGAAAGGAAAAACAAAAATTGATATACTGAATATAGAGGTGGGAAATGATTGCATACTATAATTCTTATTAGTGAAATAAAGCACTAAAGGATACAACATGTAAAGGGAAAAAATAAAATTTCAACTAAAAAATATTCTAGTGTTTAACATATTAAATGACAACCAACTTGTAAGCTCTTGGACCCAACAGAGATAAATTAGTTTAAGAAAGGCAAATTTTGCTGGGTTCAGTGGCTCAGGCTTATAATCCCAGCACTTTAAGAGGCCAAGTAGGAGAATCACTTGAGGCCAGGAGTTCAAGACGAGCCTGAGCAACGTAGCGAGAGCCTGTCACTACAAAAAAGTAAAAATAAAAAATTAGCCAGGCATGGGTGCAAGCCTGTAGTCCCAGCTACTCAGGAGGCTGAGATGGGAGGATCACTTGAGTCCAGGAGTTCACGACTGCAGAGAGCCATGATAGCCACTGCATTCCAGCCCAGGTGTCAGAGTGAGACTCTGTCTCAATAAAATAAAATAATTAAATAAATATGAAAAAAAGAAAAGGCCAAGTGTGGTGGCTCACGCCTATAATCCCATTACTTTGGGAGGCTGAGGTGGGCAGATCACTTAAGCCCAGGAGTTTAAGATCAGCTTCGGCAACATGGCAAAACCTCATCTTCTACCAAAATAAAAAATTAGCCAGGCATGGTAGTGCGTGCCTATAGTCCCAGCTACTCATGAGTCTGAGGTGGGAAGACGGCTTAAGCCCAGGACACAGAGGCTATAGGGAGCTGACATCGCACCACTGCACTCTAGCCTGGGCAATAGACCCAGACCCTGTCTCCAAGGGGAAAAAAAAAAAAAAAGAAAGGCAAATTTCATGCAGCATTGTTTCATTTGTTCCCCTTGTAAACACATTTAAATGTATCACAGGATCTGTAACTATCAAAACTGCCCACAGCATCAAATTAAAAATACAGTTCTAATCCAGACACGGCGGATGAAAGGGATCATGGCTAACTAGTGAAACAGCACTGATAGTCAAATGAAGAGCTGGAACCTTGAAGTAAAAAGAAGAAAAGGATCATCGAGAGAAAAGTTAGGATGGGCTAGACTTCTGGTTATTTCAGAAATGGGTAGCAAAAGACAAAGGCTCTTAACCTCCCAGAATTAGGTGACAACCTCAGCCAATCTATCTCCCTAGTAAAGCCAGAACTAAGATGGGAAAAAAAGACCATTTTTAAATGAACAAACCAAATTTATGCTTAGGGCTGTATTCGCTTAATGGAGGAACAGTCATTTCAAAATTAGTAAAACAAAAGCTTTATATGAAAAAACATAGTATAATTCTGAATGATTTTCATACAATCATTATCAAGCATAAGTGATACTGGATACCTGAAGCTGACATGAGGGAAAAAGCCTCAGGGAGATTTCACAACTTTGTACAGCAGTGGCTTGAAAGGATATAACTATATTTACCATAAAACAAGAAGTAGTCATTTTTACCTTACACAATTTATAAGAATTTTTAGAAAAATAGAAATAACTCACATGTAATTCAGGTATACCAAACTTTCCTGTCTTCCTACTAAATGGAACTAGAAAAGCAAAATGCTGATTTTTTCCAGGTACTCCAAAAATACCTTTATAATTTTAACCGTAATTTGTTTAGTCTAAAAAGGTACTGCTCCAATACCAGAAGCTACAGGTGAAAAACATATCTCTCAACTGAAGACAACTTCTTGAATAACTGTGTCACTGACAAGTTTACTCTCTGAGCTTCAGTTTCCAAACTGAGAAGGAGGAATAACTGCCCTGCCTGTCCCACACTTCTGGCTGCTGAAATAATCTCAATCAATTTCTTTTTTCTTTCTTTCTTTTTTTTTTTACAAACTACATGCAAATTTAATTTTTCCAATTCATAAAGTAAAAGGGGTCCAATAAAACACTATCATGTCCTACCTCACAGGTTACTGTAGGTATTGTTTTCAAAATGTGAACAATACTACAGACTGAAGGTGGAAAAAAAAAAACTAGTTGAAAGTAGAATCAGTTTTTAAGGGCATGGCTAAGGCAAAATTAGAAATATATATATAAGGCTGGGTGTGGTGGGCTACACATGTAATCCCAGCACTTTGGGAGGCTGAGGCATGAGGATCACTTGAGCCCAGGAGTTTGAGACCAGCCTAGGCAACATAGCAAGACACCATGCTTACAGAAAATTAAAAAAAAAAATTAGTCAGGCATGGTGACACATGCCTGTGGTCCCAGCTTCTTGGGAGGCTGAGATGGGAGGATCACTTGAGCCCAGGAGGTTGAGGCTGCAGTAAGCCATGTTTGTGCCACTGCACTCCAGCCTGAGTGACAGAGAACCCCATCTCAAAAAAATAAATAAAAAGAAAAGAAATATATATAGGAATGGGAATTAGAACTCTCAAATGTAGAGCCACCCACTATGCCTACCCTTAAGCAAAATTGTCCCACCAATTCAAAATACCCAGAGACATGTCCATTTTCATGATCTTCTATGGACATATACGAGACTTACGAGATATTCACTGCAGCATTATTTGCAATAGCCAAGCTGTGAGAACAAGTTAAATGTCCACTAACAGAAAAAGGGATAAAGTAAATGTGGTATATGTAGAAAATGGAATATTATTCAGACTTAAAAAGGAAACCTTGCCATATGCAAAAACATGGATGAACCTTGATGACTTTACGCTACGTGAAATAAACCAGTCACAGAAAGACAAATAATGCATGATTCCACTTGCGTCAGGTAATTAAAATAGTCAACCCCATAGAAAGAGTGTAGAATGGTGGATGCCAGGGGCTATGAAGACAGGGAAATGGGAAGCTGCTATTCAAGGGGTATAAAGCTTCAGTTATAAAGAGTGAAACATTCCAGAGATCTGCTGCACATCCTCATGCCTATAGTTAGCAATACTGTATTGTACACTTAAAAAATTGTTAAGAGGGTAGATCTCATGTTAGATGTTCTTACTACAATAAAAAAAAGAAAAAGATACTGATGCACAAGAATAACTAATCTTTCTTCCCTCCCTTACCAAAAAGATTCCCCACAGGAGAAGGCAGAAAACTAATCCATTATTAAAGTGAACAGAGGAGAGAGGAGCCAAGATGGCCAAATAGGAACAGCTCCGGTCTACAGCTCCCAGCGTGAGAGACGCAGAAGACAGGCGATTTCTCCATTTCCATCTGAGGTACCGGGTTCATCTCACTAGGGAGTGCCAGACAGTGGGCGCAGGTCAGTGGGTGCGTGCACCATCCGCGAGCCGAAGCAGGGCGAGGCATTGCCTCACTTGGGAAGCGCAGGGGGTCAGGGAGTTCCCTTTCCTAGTCAAAGAAAGGGGTGACAGACGGCACCTGGAAGATCGGGTCACTCCCACCCCAATACTGCGCTTTTCCGATGGGCTTAAAAAACGGCGCACCACGAGATTATATCCCGCACCTGGCTCGGAGGGTCCCACGCCCACAGAGTCTCGCTGATTGCTAGCACAGCAGTCTGAGATCAAACTGCAAGGCGGCAGCGAGGCTCGGGGAGGGGCGCTGGCCATTGCCCAGGCTTGATTAGGTAAACAAAGCAGCCGGGAAGCTCGAACTGGGTGGAGCCCACCACAGCTCAAGGAAGCCTGCCTGCCTCTGTAGGCTCCACCTCTGGGGGCAGGGCACAGACACACAAAAAGACAGCAGTAACCTCTGCAGACTTAAGTGTCCCTGTCTGACAGCTTTGAAGAGAGCAGTGGTTCTCCCAGCACGCAGCTGGAGATCTGAGAACGGGCAGACTGCCTCCTCAAGTGGGTCCCTGACCCCTGACCCCCGAGCAGCCTAACTGGGAGGCACCCCCTAGCAGAGGCAGGCTGACACCTCACACGGCCGGGTACTCCAACAGACCTGCAGCTGAAGGTCGTGTCTGTTAGAAGGAAAACTAACAAACAGAAAGGACATCCACACCAAAAACCCATCTGTACATCACCATCATCAAAGACCAAAAGTAGATAAAAACCACAAAGATGGGGAAAAAACAGAGCAGAAAAACTGGAAACTCTAAAAAGCAGAGCGCCTCTCCTCCTCCAAAGGAACGCAGCGCCTCTCCTCCTCCAAAGGAACGCAGCTCCTCACCAGCAACGGAACAAAGCTGGAGGGAGAATGACTTTGACGAGCTGAGAGAAGAAGGCTTCAGACGATCAAACTACTCCGAGCTATGGGAGGACATTCAAACCAAAGGCAAAGAAGTTGAAAACTTTGAAAAAAATTTAGAAGAATGTATAACTAGAATAACCAATACAGAGAAGTGCTTAAAGGAGCTGATGGAGCTGAAAACCAAGGCTCGAGAACTACGTGAAGAATGCAGAAGCCTCAGGAGCCGATGCGATCAACTGGAAGAAAGGGTATCAGCGATGGAAGATGAAATGAATGAAATGAAGCAAGAAGGGAAGTTTAGAGAAAAAAGAATAAAAAGAAACAAACAAAGCCTCCAAGAAATATGGGACTATGTGAAAAGACCAAATCTACGTCTGATTGGTGTACCTGAAAGTGACAGGGAGAATGGAACCAAGTTGGAAAACACTCTGCAGGATATTATCCAGGAGAACTTCCCCAATCTAGCAAGGCAGGCCAACATTCAGATTCAGGAAATACAGAGAATGCCACAAAGATACTCCTCGAGAAGAGCAACTCCAAGACACATAATTGTCAGATTCACCAAAGTTGAAATGAAGGAAAAAATGTTAAGGGCAGCCAGAGAGAAAGCTCGGGTTACCCTCAAAGGGAAGCCCATCAGACTAACAGCGGATCTCTTGGCAGAAACTCTACAAGCCAGAAGAGAGTGGGGGCCAATATTCAACATTCTGAAAGAAAAGAATTTTCGACCCAGAATTTCATATCCAGCCAAACTAAGCTTCATAAGTGAAGGAGAAATAAAATACTTTACAGACAAGCAAATGCTGAGAGATTTTGTCACCACCAGGCCTGCCCTACAAGAGCTCCTGAAGGAAGCACTAAACGTGGAAAGGAACAACCGGTACCAGCCGCTGCAGAATCATGCCAAAATGTAAAGACCATCCAAGCTAGGAAGAAACTGCATCAACTAACCAGCAAAATAACCAGCTAACATCATAATGACAGGATCAAATTCACACATAACGATATTAACTTTAAATGTAAATGGACTAAATGCTCCAATTAAAAGACACAGACTGGCAAATTGGATAAAGAGTCAAGACCCATCAGTGTGCTGTATTCAGGAAACCCATCTCACGTGCAGAGACACACACAGGCTCAAAATAAAGGGATGGAGGAAAATCTACCAAGCAAATGGAAAACAAAACAAGGCAGGGGTTGCAATCCTAGTCTCTGATAAAACAGACTTTCAACCAACAAAGATCAAAAGAGACAAAGAAGGCCATTACATAATGGTAAAGGGATCAATTCAACAAGAAGAGCTAACTATCCTAAATATATATACACCCAATACAGGAGCACCCAGATTCATAAACCAAGTCCTGAGTGACCTACAAAGAGACTTAGACTCCCACACAATAATAATGGGAGACTTTAACACCCCACTGTCAACATTAGACAGATCAATGAGACAGAAAACCAACAAGCATACCCAGGAATTGAACTCAGCTCTGCACCAAGCAGACCTAATAGACATCTACAGAACTCTCCACCCCAAATCAACAGAATATACATTCTTTTCAGCACCACACCACACCTATTCCAAAATTGACCACATACTTGGAAGTAAAGCTCTCCTCAGCAAATGTAAAAGAACAGAAATTATAAGAAACTATCTCTCAGACCACAGTACAATCAAACTAGAACTCAGGATTAAGAATCTCACTCAAAACCGCTCAACTACATGGAAACTGAACAACCTGCTCCTGAATGACTACTGGGTACATAACGAAATGAAGGCAGAAATAAAGATGTTCTTTGAAACCAACGAGAACAAAGACACAACATACCAGAATCTCTGGGACGCATTCAAAGCAGTGTGTAGAGGGAAATTTATAGCACTAAATGCCCACAAGAGAAAGCAGGAAAGATCCAAAATTGACACCCTAACATCACAATTAAAAGAACTAGAAAAGCAAGAGCAAACACATTCAAAAGCTAGCAGAAGGCAAGAAATAACTAAAATCAGAGCAGAACTGAAGGAAATAGAGACACAAAAAACCCTTCAAAAAATTTAATGAATCCAGGAGCTGGTTTTTTGAAAGGATCAACAAAATTGATAGACCGCTAGCAAGACTAATAAAGAAAAAAAGAGAGAAGAATCAAATAGACGCAATAAAAAATGATAAAGGGGATATCACCACCGATCCCACAGAAATACAAACTACCATCAGAGAATACTACAAACACCTCTACGCAAATAAACTAGAAAATCTAGAAGAAATGGATAAATTCCTTGACACATACACCCTCCAAAGACTAAACCAGGAAGAAGTTGAATCTCTGAATAGACCAATAACAGGATCTGAAATTGTGTCAATAATCAATAGCTTACCAACCAAAAAGAGTCCAGGACCAGATAGATTCACAGCTGAATTCTACCAGAGGTACAAGGAGGAACTGGTACCATTCCTTCTGAAACTATTCCAATCAATAGAAAAAGAGGGAATACTCCCTAACTCATTTGATGAGGCCAGCATCATCCTGATACCAAAGCCAGGCAGAGACACAACCAAAAAAGAGAATTTTAGACCAATATCCTTGATGAACATTGATGTAAAAATCCTCAATAAAATACTGGCAAACCGAATCCAGCAGCACATCAAAAAGCTTATCCACCATGATCAAGTGGGCTTCATCCCTGGGATGCAAGGCTGGTTCAATATATGCAAATCAATACATGTAATCCAGCATATAAACAGAACCAAAGACAAAAACCACATGATTATCTCAATAGATGCAGAAAAGGCCTTTGACAAAATTCAACAACCCTTCATGCTAAAAACTCTCAATAAATTAGGTATTGATGGGACGTATTTCAAAATAATAAGAGCTATCTATGACAAACCCACAGCCAATATCATACTGAATGGGCAAAAACTGGAAGCATTCCCTTTGAAAATGGGCACAAGACAGGGATGCCCTCTCTCCCCACTCCTATTCAACATAGTGTTGGAAGTTCTGGCCAGGGCAATTAGGCAGGAGAAGGAAATAAAGGGTACTCAATTAGGAAAAGAGGAAGTCAAATTGTCCCTGTTTGCAGATGACATGATTGTATATCTAGAAAACCCCATCGTCTCAGCCCAAAATCTCCTTAAGCTGATAAGCAACTTCAGCAAAGTCTCAGGATACAAAATCAATGTACAAAAATCACAAGCATTCTTATACACCAACAACAGACAAACAGAGAGCCAAATCATGAGTGAACTCCCATTCACAATTGCTTCAAAGAGAATAAAATACCTAGGAATCCAACTTACAAGGGATGTGAAGGACCTCTTCAAGGAGAACTACAAACCACTGCTCAAGGAAATAAAAGAGGATACAAACAAATGGAAGAACATTCCATGCTCATGGGTAGGAAGAATCAATATCGTGAAAATGGCCATACTGCCCAAGGTAATTTACAGATTCAATGCCATCCCCATCAAGCTACCAATGACTTTCTTCACAGAATTGGAAAAAACTACTTTAAAGTTCGTATGGAACCAAAAAACAGCCCGCATCGCCAAGTCAATCCTAAGCCAAAAGAACAAAGCTGGAGGCATCACACTACCTGACTTCAAACTATACTACAAGGCTACAGTAACCAAAACAGCATGGTACTGGTACCAAAACAGAGATATAGATCCATGGAACAGAACAGAGCCCTCAGAAATAACGCCGCATATCTACAACTATCTGATCTTTGACAAACCTGAGAAAAACAAGCAGTGGGGAAAGGATTCCCTATTTAATAAATGGTGCTGGGAAAACTGGCTAGCCATATGTAGAAAGCTGAAACCAGATCCCTTCCTTACACCTTATACAAAAATCAATTCAACATGGATTAAAGACTTAAACGTTTGACCTAAAACCATAAAAACCCTAGAAGAAAACCTAGGCATTACCATTCAGGACATAGGCATGGGCAAGGACTTCATGTCTAAAACACCAAAAGCAATGGCAACAAAAGCCAAAATTGACAGATGGGATCTAATTAAACTAAACAGCTTCTGCACAGCAAAAGAAACTACCATCAGAGTGAACAGGCAACCTACAAAATGGGAGAAAATTTTTGCAACCTACTCATCTGACAAAGGGCTAATATCCAGAATCTACAATGAACTCAAACAAATTTACAAGAAAAAAACAAACAACCCCATCAAAAAGTGGGCGAAGGACATGAACAGACACTTCTCAAAAGAAGACATTTATGCAGCCAAAAGACACATGAAAAAATGCTCACCATCACTGGCCATCAGAGAAATGCAAATCAAAACCACAATGAGATACTATCTCACACCAGTTAGAATGGCAATCATTAAAAAGTCAGGAAACAACAGGTGCTGGAGAGGATGTGGAGAAATAGGAACACTTTTACACTGTTGGTGGGACTGTAAACTAGTTCAACCATTGTGGAAGTCAGTGTGGCGATTCCTCAGGGATCTAGAACTAGAAATACCATTTGACCCAGCCATCCCATTACTGGGTATATACCCTAAAGGACTATAAATCATGCTGCTATAAAGACACATGCACACGTATATTTATTGCGGCATTATTCACAATAGCAAAGACTTGGAACCAACCCAAATGTCCAACAATGATAGACTGGATTAAGAAAATGTGGCACATATACACCATGGAATACTATGCAGCCATAAAAAAGGATGAGTTCATGTCCTTTGTAGGGACATGGATGAAATTGCAAATCATCATTCTCAGTAAACTATCGCAAGAACAAAAAACCAAACACCGCATATTCTCACTCATAGGTGGGAATTGAACAATGAGAACACATGGACACAGGAAGGGGAACATCACATTCTGGGGACTGTTGTGGGGTGGGGGGAGGGGGGAGGGATAGCATTGGGAGATATAACTAATGCTAGATGACGAGTCAGTGGGTGCAGCGCACCAGCATGGCACATGTATACATATGTAACTAACCTGCACATTGTGCACCTGTACCCTAAAACTTAAAGTATAATAATAAATAAATAAATTTTAAAAAAAACTCAAGAAAAAATAAAAAATAAAAAAATAAAGTGAAGAGAGTTATTTGTGTGAAAACGCTAAGCTAAAATTTTCTATGTATTTCATGCATTTTCTCATAGAAAGAGTATTAGACATAGTGTTTGGTGTAGAAGTGTTAACGATTAGCCTCTAAAGTTAACTATCATTTACACTATAATTTCTACAGGAAAATGCAATATGATTTCCAAACAACCAATTAGTAAAACTTCCAAGAATATACCTCATTAAGAATGGTCTTGTATGCCAAAGGAATGGCAGGAAGCTTAAATCATGGATGCAATTGTGCACATCATTCCTGTTAACTATGGGGAAAAAAGGTACATAACAATAAAAGTAACCAAATTATACAAAACATACCTTATTCCAGAGAGACTATCAAAGGCATGAAGATCTAATACATTAGAGAGATCAACTCTAAAAGGAAGAAAACTAACGTGAGCAGTTGGAAATTCTGTGAAATACATCCAGTTAATCAAGAAAAAAAACTCTGACTTAAAAAATTTTATACATAAAATTCATAGAAGTGGGCAAATGGTGTAAGATTTGAATCACAGTTGAATCAAGATTGAAAATTATTTGTTTATTACTTCAATGAATTAGGTTTCTTTAAAACTTTCAATTATCTTTTCAATCCTGAAATTTATGAGCTTTTCAAATACATTTTTATAGCTAAAAAATCAGCTAAAGAACAGAAACTTTTCCAAGCAGCTTATTACTCAAAAGATGAAACAAAAGAAATGACAAATAGAATTAACAAATAGGTACATTCCAGATACCTCTGCAATTTTTGTATTTCTTTTATACCCCCTCCCTTGATATAACATGTAATATAAAAATGAGGAGTCAAATAACCAATGTACAAAATATTAAGTTACTCTAGGACCCTGATCTTCACGTGATTTGATTTCATTCATTCAGAATGGGGCTGCATGTAGGAAGAAAATTCCCACCATCCGAATAGACATTATTTCTCTTAGAATTATTTAATGATAATTACTCATTTAATTGAATCCAATGATTCAAATCAGGTGAGAATAAATAACATATCACAATTAGCATTAGGTTTGGTTTAAATATAAAAAAGCAAATTTATAAAGACTGGTGATTGAGTTATAATTTTAACATAAGCCCAGAAAACCACAGAGGACAGGCCGGGCGCGGTGGCTCATGCCTGCAATCCCAGCACTCTGGGAGGCCGAGGCGGGCGGATCACAAGGTCAAGATCAAGACCATCCTGGCCATGGACAACGTGGTGAAACCCTGTCTCTACCAAAAATACAAAAATTAGCTGGGTGTGGTGGCACGCACCTGTAGTCCCAGCTACTCAGGAGGCTGCGGCAGGAGAATCATTTGAACCCAGGAAGTGGAGGTTGCAGTGAGCCAAGATTGCACCACTGCACTCCAGCCTGGCACAGAGTGAGACTCCGCCTCAAAAGAAAAAAAAAAAAAAAAAGAACAGCAGAGGACAGTGATTTCTCATAATCAAAGCTAAGGTGAAGAAATATTTAAAGAAAATGACAAATGTATAATTTCAAATTTAGATTCCAGAAGCTTGCCAAACATTTGTTAAATTTTCTTACAAGGAAAAAAAACATCATTGGTCAGATTCAAGATTTTTTTTTCTTTAATGCACAAACATATAAGAAAAACATCTCCTTTATCTTAGGACTGACCAACTGTGCCTGCTTTCTTTATTCTCAACAGTCTATCACATACTCGTACTCGTGGCAACAATACTGTGTTAGATTACGAATGCTTGTCTTGGCAAAAGAGAGACAAATTCCCATCTTATTACTCCAAAGTTCTATGTTAGTAGACTATAACAGCAACTCAAATTCTGGGCATTTTAGATGTACAGAATTAGAAAAATGATCAAGCAAAGAAGCAAATGTTCTATGAAGAAATTTCTGAGTATCAGTTTACACTAAAAGGCCAAAGTCTTAATATTAAACATATTTCCTTTTTCACCTCCCCCTCCCCCCGCTACTGAGCATATTTATATTGACAGGTCACAGACAAGGGGCACGGCGGCTCCACTTTGGGAGGCCAAGGTGGGCGGATCACTTTGAGGCCAGGAGTTTGACACCAACCGGGCCAATGTGGCGAAACCGTCTCTACTAAAAATACAAAAATTAGCTGGGTGTGGTGGTGCACACCTGTAATCCCAGCTACTCGGAGGGTGAAGCAGGAGAATCGCCTGAACCCAGGAGGCAGAGGTTTCAGTGAGCCGAGGTCGCACCACCGCACTCCAACTTGGGGGACAGAGTGAGATTCTGTCTCAAACCAGAGTGAGATTCTGTCTCAAAAAGATAAAAATAAATAAAAATAAAAATAAAAATAAACCAAATGAATGAAGTTTCCCTCCAAGTTTGTCATCTTCATCTTAGGAAATAGCTTAAAGTTTAATAAAGTTTACACATGCCAATTTTGTGAATATCAAATTCAACACTTTGGAAACACAAGCTTCTAAATAAACTGTTTCACTGTGACAGTGTCCTTGAGAATACATGCCATCCAGAGGTAATTCTGCTTTATACTCAGATTCTTTCCATACTTCCAAAAAAGGATCAATATTAGACCTGTACAACAAATTACACTCTTTTACAGAAAACAATAAAATATCCAAGTCTCTCACCAAATTTTCAAAAAAGAGGAAAAGTGTAAGCTTCCAGATGAAAGTTTCTATAGCTTTCCCCAAATTTAGTACCACCATGAAAAACAAATTCTTCACTCATTCAAGGCATACGACTAGAAAACTAATTTCCATGGCATCAAATTAATTTCCTCCTTTGGAGATAAAACCATGAGATCTTTTCCAAAGCATTAAAATCGCCAAGAAAAAAAAAAAAAGAAAAAAAAGACCATTACCAGCATTTTAAAACTGAGTAAGAGAATGAAGTAAACAAAAAAGGGAAAGAAAAAGCTTCAAAAGTTCATTTTTCTCCTAATTTCTTGAACTCTCTATTCCAGAAGTACCTAATGTTTTTCTTAAAAGAGAGGCTTTCAATTTTTCCCTATGTCTAAAGGCTGCTTTAAGTAGCCTAAGACCAAGGACAGGAGAGTGAAAATGAAGAGGGTTTTGGCTCTCCAAGGTGGGGGTGGAATTGCAGCTACTGCTTAGGGATATTTTCCAGTGGTCATCTCTTCAAACTCCAGTGAGTCTCACAAACAGGGTGCACCAGCCAATCCAAGTATCCAGTATCTACAATGCAAACTGTAGATACTATCCAAATTGACAGTAGATAGCTCAGTAAATAGCTGAGCAAACTGCAATGATAGCTCAGTCTTGAACTCTGGAAATAAATTTCCAAAAGCCTTCCCCAGTGGCACTTCAAACTCAAAAACGCTTACAAAACTAATCACATTTTCCAAACCTGCTTCCACCACTACCCGACCTGTTGCTCCTCCTTCCTGTATTTCCTATACCTCGGAGATTAGCCTCACATTGAATCTACCTCCCAAGAGGCATGTTGCTTTTAAAATCCTTCACTAACTCCTTGCTCCCTACAGAAGAAAATCCAAACTATGTATCATGGCATTCAAGACCCTTTGTGGTAAGTTCTCTATCTCTTCAGTCATACCACTTTTTCTGTGCTACATAATACCAAGTTTTCTAGCCATTCTAAAAAATTCAAAGGTCCCTGGAATACAAAATCTTCCTTATACCTGGAAAGTTATCCCTACCCTACTCCATCTGTAAAAGCCTTATTCATTCTTTAAGACTCAGGTCAATGACTGTCTTCTCGGTCAATATTTTCCTGACTCTTTTTCAAGAAAAGTTGAGCAATCATTCCCTCTATTTTCCTATTATTATAGAACTCTGTGCTTTTAAAATTCTTGTATTAATATTAATATCTATTATGTTGCCTTTTTGTTTGTTTGCTTCTGTTTCCCCCCAATGACTGATCTCCTTAAAGGCAGAGTTTTTGCCTTATCCATTGCTTATATAGTCCTTAAAATGCTATGAAATGCATAGTAGGCAGTTTGTCAAATTAATTTAACTTATTATTGACCAGCTGTGTTTTGGTTTTCCTCTGTTCAGTCCACTTACATTTCTAAAAATTAAGAAAAAGTCTAGAGAAGATTAAAATGACACATCTTCTAACCTTTTACTCCTACTTCTGAAATCTATGTGGTTCACTAGTACTTCCATTTGCTACTAAATCAACTTAAGTCTTACCACTAAGACGATGCTACACACTATTCCTTTTCCTTACTCTTAACTACTCAAGGTGAGCCTTTTTCTACACATGCTTATAGCAGTTTATTGTCAGTACTTGTCAGCTACAAAATGGTAAAAAAATTTTAAACAAAAAATAAAACAAAACTTCTATAAGAGTGACTTTGACTATTTTGTTAACCAAATCTCCGGTTTTGTTTTTTTTTTTTTTTTTTTTTTTGAGACAGAGTCTCGCTCTGTCACCCAGGCTGGAGTGCAGTGGTGCGATCTCAGCTCACTGCAAGCTCCGCCTCCCGGGTTCACGCCATTCTCCTGCCTCAGCCTCCTGAGTAGCTGGGACTACAGGCGCCCACCACCAGGCTCAGCTAATTTTTTGTATTTTCAGTAGAGACGGGGTTTCACAGTGTTAGCCAGGATGGTCTCCATCTCCTGACCTCGTGATCCACCCACCTTGGCCTCCCAAAGTGCTGGGATTACAGGCGTGAGCCACCGCGCCCAGCCCAAATCTCCAGTTTCTAAACTGGTAAGCTCAAGTTGCTATGCCTCAAGGAATTTGAGAGAATATTTAATGTAAGATTCAGGACCCAATAGTAAGAATTGTACTCAGGACATCTGATCTTCATTGAAAAGGATTCTAATGCAACTTCAGTCCTCATAGCAAGGAAGTACTATTTCAGAAAGTCCCTAGATTCTCAGATGCACTGGCAAGCACCATACACTGAATAATTCACAGAAGATTTTAGTCACTTGCTCACTCATCCACTTGAAGTAAGAAAAATCAATCACTGCATGTTTATTGTTCTATAATAAAGCAAATGTTAGAAATAAAAGTTAGAAATGTCAAACACACTAAATTGTTACATAATAAACTAATCAAGACACAACTTTTATTCAGGACATGGATATTTCTGAAATGAAAACAAAAGAAGAGAATTGACTTAAAATGTTTATAAATACGAATATTATGACAGAACCAAAGCTATTTATGAGCATTATTTTTAAAAGCTTGTTTAAGTATTATGCACTTGTCTGTGTGACATTTTGTAAAGCGGAGAAAAATTAAGGAGAAAGGAATTGTAGAACACTAACAGGAAGAGGACAGATACTGAGGAATGGCTCATAGTATAAGTGAGATTATCAGAGACTTTCTACAATGGAATTTGAAATGCAGGGAGCACATTTGGTGTATGGTTGTAGAGGACTTACACTAAGGGCATTCTTCTGCTACCTCTGCCAGCAGATGAGTGGCTCCTGAGAATGCATACCAAATTAATTCCCCAGCTGTTCACATGCATATAAGCAGCTGCTGCTGTTACTGCCTAACACTTATGGCAGTCTGGCAGCACCTCTAATCTCTGCCATAGCAGACAAGCCACTCACCTAAGGCCTCTGCTGTACTTCCAAAGAAAGAATTTCTCCAGTAGAGACTGAGTGGAACTAGACTGCCAGCTGTGAGCCTCAGAGCTCCTGGCTGCCTGTTGCTGAGTCTATTAGCTGCTGAGCCTTTCTCACCAAAAAAAAAAAAAAAAAAAAAAAAATGAGCTTAATAAAATAACCCTGCACAGAAATTTTCTGAAATTAAGATAACATTCAATGGAAAACAGAATTTAATCTACAGAAATACACTTCACAGATGTTTTAGGAACAGAACCTAGAGAAAATGAAAGTCAAAATTTAATAAAAGAATTTGTCAGGAACTTCAAGGTAAAGACTCCATGTATTTTTTGGCAACTATAAAACACTAAGAAGGCTTTTTAAATATTAAAAAGCCATTTAAACACTTCAAATTAAGATTCCTCAATATACTTCAGATTTCTGTACTGAGTTACCCTCTCGAGTGTTTGGAAGTCTTTTCTTCCTCATTAAGCAAACACTTACACAGTGTTATCATGGCTTTGTATTCTTAGTTTTGAAGACAGGCAAATGTACTAGCCAAATATGCCAAACTAACTTATTAAGAGCATTCCAAACAACATTTTGGATCCAATTCTTTTTAAATGCACTTAGATCTTTCTTATATTAGAATCAAGCATATTTGTCAATTATTTAATGTTTATTATTAATAACTAAAATGATTTGTTATTAATAGGAATAGCTTTTTTAAAGTACCTTGATCTTTGTGTTTCTAAGATTTGTCCTAGTCCATTTATGGATCTGAAATAAATAATAAATGAGGAAGACAAAGTTTAAAAGTAAAAATTAACTTTTTAAAAAAGTATACAAAGTATATTGTTTCTAAAACAGGAAATAAGCATACCCAAATACATCTGGAACCAGAAAAAAATTAAAAACAGAAAAACAAAACTTGCTTTAAAAAATAATTGTGATTTTCCTTCAAACAATAAATCACATATATTCCACTCATACATTAATAAAACATATATGCAAAAATTCGCACAACTGTCAGATTAAGGGCTACTTTGTGGTTAATAAAAAGACACTTCACTTTAGAAAAAATCATTCATAAATAGTCAGTTATCCTAGTGTTCTTAAAAATGAGTAGATACTCAAAATTTTTACGGTGGTCACTTTTTTCCTCAGGCATACATGGTAGAAATGGCTATATACACACTAAAAATAAAAACCTAGTTGCAAGTTGCTTTGCCCCCAGCCTGTCCTTAGTATTCACAGTAATTCTAAGTCACACATCCCAGGTTCCTTTATAGAATAACCTCGTCAGTTACCTAATTAGGCTCTCTACCCGTTATGCCTGTTCTCCCTCTTTTGATACTATAGAATATGGCTTCGTATGGCACCAAAAAGTACCTGTTAAATTCTTTTCAACACACTGTACACCTCATCTATTTATCTTTTCCATTGCCTATCATCAATCATCAATTCTCTATCATGAATTCAATTGTCTTTAGGGTTACTTACCCAAGATTCTTGCTACTTGTTCAAGTTTGTTCTCATGGGTAAGGCTTCCCACATATAATGATTCTGAGGCAAGTCTCTCCACTATTTTACAAAATTCTTAAATCTTCTTTTTTGAATACACTCTAGTCTGATGGCTAATTCCTCTCAAACATGTTTACCTTTTTTCACCTCCCCAAATATCATTCTGAGTCAGTCACAAGTCTGATATAAAGGGAGGGTAAAAGCCAAAAGGGTGTGTAATTTATCAAATTGCTTCTTCCAAATTCATTTCTAGTACTGTTAACAAGCTGGCTAATAGTCAATATTGTCAGTGTCAGAGATTTAGCTTAGGTCTCTATAAGGATATAAAAGTCAAGTAATAATTATCATTCCTTTTATGCCAAAAACATTTGCTAAATAGATTGTGTTCTTCTTAGCAATCACAATGGTGCACAAGATTTATGAAGAGAAACAAGATTAGAAGACCAGTGTCAAAAAATGTAAAAGCAATCTTCATTCATCACTTTCTCCTTTTCAAAATCAGCCATCTTTTTCTTTCTTCCCTTTTTTACTATACCTTGAACTTACTATGTAAGCTAAGAAAAAAATTACATAATAATAGCTAACAGAGCACTTACTATGTGTCAGCACTGTGCAAAGTTTACCAACATTGTCTCATGTAATACTCAAAGCAAACTTATGATAGGCATTATGCCTTTTACAGAGGAGGCTTTAAAAGGGTAAATAAGCTCCCTAAGAAGACAATGAGAAACAGACCAAGGATTAGAACCCAAGCAGATTCCAAGGTCTGTGATCTTCAACACTACGCAACAATACCTACCCTCCACGTGGAGACATTATATTTTTTTATAGTAAAGTTTAAGGACATTACTATTAAAATAAGATGAAATATGTGGAAAAAATATGAATTTCTTTCTTCCACAATCATTAATCATGGCAAATAATCTCCTAATGAGCCTTACCTTTATTGATTCAATTGATAATATATACTATATGAACTGAGATGACAGATTCAAAATCTAATGTCAGTAGAACTTATAAATACTAAGAATAGTAATTTTGAGCCATCACGCTCAAAGCATTGTACACATTAAAGATAACCAATACTAATAGCTACCGAATGTCTCTCTGTATAGGGCTTTTATTAGTTCAGGTCTTACAAAATAATTCAAAACAAAGCCCCTGAACTATAACCTCATTTGAAAAGCCCATCTTTGTTTTCAAAAGGAATGGGAGTCTCCAGAACAGTCAGCAAAATGACTGTTAGCACATATTTGAGCATCATTCATATTGTCCTGATTGTCCTATGCTGATCAGCCTTGGCTATGGACAAAGAAGATATTAAAGCAAGCTGGAAGACAAGGCATGGTTGACAGTTAAGGAAGATGAAGTCAACAAGAGTTCAGGGAAAACTGAGACCACTTGAGTCAGGGAAGACTTCACATAGGAAGGGGGGAGAGACAGAATAGGCTCTATAGAATAAATTAAAAAAAAAAAAAGCAGAACAAGAAAGAACTCAGGGATTGGCAGAGTGAGAATACATTACGAGTAAAGACAGGAACTGACAGGATGCATCCATGGGAAAGTGAATTAACCATCCTGGGTAAAGTTAGGGAAGACTGACATTAGGAAAGAGTCAAAGAGAAGACAGGAAAAGAAAGATGGAGTGCGAAGACCCTGAATATCAGTCTATTAACTGTGAACTATATTCTGCAAGCACTGGGGACTAATTTTATGTATTACCATTTATATAACAATTAGCCATCAACAATATATGTGATTCCCTAACGTTCTTGAAGCAGCTCAACCTTATACCTTAAGTTTCTACAGGGCAACAATCAGAGTAAAAAATATTCTGTGTATACAACATGGATCTGTAGGCACTTAACACACTTATCATTTCGTACCTAATTGTCGTTCTTAATTTCTTTACATCTTCTTCTGGAACCAGGTCTGTTTTATTAATGAGAATGGCATCTGCCAAAGCAACTTGTCTAAAATAGCAAACAGAGAAATGTTAAGAAACTTTAAATAATATACACGCATGCAGATTAATACATCAAAAGAGGAATGTTAACAAATCAAAAATAAATAAAAACGCCTCATGTAGATCAATATATCAGTTAAGAATTATCTAGTGCTCTATAGGAGTGACTCAGTTTACTCCTAATCCGCTAATTTTTCAATGTGGATGAATTGTGTTCATTACTATGCAAGTTCAGATTTCACATTACCCATTCGCAAAGTATTTACTAAGTTCTGTTACTTGCTACTCTTGTGCTACAAAGATAAGTCTCAAAAAGTTTACAATCAAAAGGATGATTTTAAACTCATAATTTTCTTTGTGAAGAAAAGCATAAAATTCAGATATCCAATATGGTAAAAAGAAGAAGAGTTTACCTACTAAAATACTGTAATATTTACCAAAATTTTCAAAGAAATAGAATAACTTCACTTAATACTAAAAACTGTATTAAACAGGTTTTTTAAAACTATACTTCAGAGCTGGGCATGGTAGAGCACACCTGTAGTCCTGGCTACTTAGGAGGCTGAGGAGGGAGGATCCCTTAAGCCCAGGAGTTCAAGTCCAACCTGGGCAACATAGCAAGACTCCATTTCTTAAAAAAAAATAAGCTATACTTCAGAAGATATATCAGGATATTGCCCAAATGTCTTCTTTATCACTATAAATATACTGTATATTATCTCTGTAAAGAATCCAGTTGACTGAATGCTAGATAACAAAGTAGATGATAATAATCAGAAGCTCTATTTTCTATTAGCAGGATAGTAAAACTGGAAATTCTTTCAATTTTCCTCAATTATTCAGGGTCTTATGCTTTATCTCAAAGAATACAACTAAATTCTCAAAACTAAATTCACTTTAGTTCACTGAAAGAGCAGGTTTCAACAGTATGTACATCACAAATCCAATTTGGCTATTTTCTATTTGGCTTATTTATATTTTCTATAATAACCATATTTTCATAAGGAAAACAGTTACAAAAATACTTAAGTTCAGCCAGGCACAGTGGATTCATGCCTGTAATCCCAGCACTTTGGGAGGCCGAGGCGGGTGGATCGAGCTGGTCTCAGGAGCTCGAGACCAGCCTGGCCAACATGGTGAAACCCCATCTCTACTAAAAAAAATAAAAATAAAAATAAAAAAATAAAAAAAAAATGCAAAAATTAGCTGGGCATGGTGGCGGGTGCCTGTAATCCCAGCTACTTGGGAGGCTGAGGCAGGAGAATCGCTTGAACCTGGGAGGCGGAGGTTGCAGTGAGCCTGCACTTCAGCCTGGGTGACAGTGAGATTCTGTCTCAAAAAATAATAATTATTATTATTATTATACATATATATATATATATAAAATCTTCAATCCCAAAGAAATTGTATAACAAGAAAATATTTTTAAATGTTAATATTTCCCGAGTTCCTCAAAATTACAGAACTCCTGTGTTCAGCATTCACTTTATGCTACGACAAAAATGACTTTAAGTAAAAGTTTAGTTATCAGATCATTATAAATAGATAGCAATAATTCAACTAAGGGAAAAAAAGAAAATAAATTTTCCTTGACTATGTTTTAAAATTTCTTAGTTTGTTTTTGGTTTTCATCTTAGTGATTTTTCTCTTTACAATTAGCCAGCAATCAATATATACTTTAAATATGAATACCTAGTAGCTTCATTGATAAGGCCATCAGGTTTCTCTTCTGTTAAATGCTAAACAAAAAAAAGTTGGAATAAAGTTACTATAATACAATAAAAAATCTAATGTCAACACAAAGGATTTTACTTTAGAGACATTTTCTTGCATCTAATAAAAACTTCAACATGTTCTCTTACTGAATACATAAATCCAAAACTAACTTTTCTAGCTAAAAGCATTTTTCTTCCCCATTTGCAATTTTTTTCTACAAGTGAACCTGTGGGGTTTTATAGGGGGAGGAAGAGGGCTTAGGATTTCATACTCCTGACCTTTTCTTTTACTTAAAAGGAAAACCCCTTTGATTCACATAATGTCATAAAAACATAGAAGATTACAGTTCAGATTTTAGGTATTTTCCTTCTTAAAAAACTGTTCTGGTTCTAAATATTCATTATTACTTATTTTTAAAAAAGGATAACCACTGAAATATAGTTTCTTAGAATCTAATATACTTCCCTTCACACCAAACCCCCATATTAGAATCTAAAATACTTCCCTACACCCCAGCCCACAATCATGCACCACGTGAACTCAGTACTAGGCCTTTCAAACACCCTAGAAACAAATAAGTGGTGGGAAGGCTGATTCAGCCCTGATTCTAGCCTAAAAGCAGTTTATCATTTAGAAACCCATACTTGCTAATCTGGCCTCTCAGTGCAACTGTTTATTTTACTGACCTCTCCAGAGTCAGGCTAACTCCAAAAAATATTTTGACACTGACTTAGAGCCCAAGTGGTAGTTTTCATCTCTCTGGAGGCAAGCTTTGTTGTCTGTTTTTTTTTTTTTCCCCCTCATAATCCTGTTTACATCCCTAACGTCATCAACATCACAAGCTTCTTCTCTGGGAAATTACACTTTTACCCTCATTACCTCAAACCTCAATAGAGGTTCCCTGTCACAATAAAAAGCTGGCTACTGAGGTTTAGAGGCAACTAGATTATAGTAATACTCTCTATTTGAAGCCAACTTTACAAATGAATTAAATCCTTGAACCTAACTTTATGAATTATATACATTTTTCTCATTTAGCTTTCATAATAATTATGGGAGATGGCTATTTTCATTTATAAAGGAAGAAACTAAATCTAACACCCTCATCATCACAGGATACTATATTTTATATACAATCACAGGGACTTTTTTTTTTTAATTGAACACACACCCATCAAGTAAAATGACATAATTTTAAAGTCTTTGTGAAATCTTTTATGCCACATAAAATCAGTCTGTGTACAATGCTACACAAATGTCAATAATCATATATCAGAGCCAAACCAGTTTCACAATTCATGGGGAGATGATCATTAGGGGTATCTGAATAGTTTGGAACCTCAGAGCAAGCAGGTAATAATTTTATTTAACAAGCTTGATGAGGTCTATAGAAGAAACATTTTTTCCTTCTAAAAGTTCAGCAAATTCTATTTTGAGGAAAACAAAACTGAAATAAAATCATGGCAATGATACTTCTACTTCAGGCAAAATCTTGTTCAATTCAACTGCAGACCCACTCTGCAATTATGGAAGTCACAGAACTTGACCAGTATTGTATCAAAATTCATTCCATGCCAAAAGACCAAGTTTAATATTTTTTTCATAATTCATCTTGGCCTGAGGCTACAACAAGTCCTATTGTTATATACTCTGCCTCTAGAGAATGAGGCTGCTAACAGACCTTGGAATGGTGCCTGGCACACAGGCTCAAGAAATATTTGTTGAATGAATTGTAATTAACACCTCCTGTTGTGGGGATACATAAAAGATGTTACATGAAAAATGCCATCTAACATGCAGCAACGAATCTCTTCCCATTAAGCAGTAAATCTACTTAACAATGATATATTTTTGGCAAGGCATCTGCCTCTGAATGATCCTATAGTACTGAAAATTCTTTTTAAACTGAAATATTTTTCAAGATATTATATTATTGACCTTATGAAAGCTTTTTTAACGTATGAAATTGCGGTTATTTGGCTATGAGTTTGTGAGGCATAAAAATGATATGACAGAAGAATTACAGATTTATTTTTGCATTTCCATGCCTAAAGGTAACTAATACAATGTTAGTTTCACAAGGTAATGTGCAATGTTTTAAATGCATTTACCTCTCCAAAATATTAGAATTCTTCACTCAAAGCTAACAGTGGTAGACTAACGTTTTACTACTTCCAGGCAGTCAGAAAGTATCAAATATAAAAATAAATGAAAATCACCCCAAATGAGAGCCTGCCAATATTTACAGCTGTATTAAAATTATATGTAATCATATACCATTATAGCAGAAGAGATAAATGTCCTCTTCTATGCCCATAGGAAAGCCATACAAACATTTAAAAAATAAGTGCATATTAACATTTATTTTCTTTAGATATCAGCCCTGCACTTCCCTCATGTGACTTCCTACCTTCCCAAGTCAAACTCTGCAAAAAGTATAAAATCAATGTCTTCTATTCAAAAGAACATTCTCCAATAATACATTCTATACCATTTGGTCATTAAGTCAGATGACTTTCATTTATAAAATAAAACAAAATGGAAATTTTGGCATTCTATTCCACCTGTATAAGTAAATGAAGAAAAAATTTTTGCAAAATATTTTTTAAATATTTTATATTACATAGATGTCCAAAGTATTCCTTATCTCTGCTTAACAACTATGGCTTTTGCTTATATATCAAAAAAGACAAAAATAATTTTGATACTAATTAATCCAACATATTCAAAAGGCTAAGGATCAAAACCCCAATTTAACTTACCACAAGAAACAAAGGAAATTAAAGGGGAGTGGTGTGAGATGTTGGTCAAAGCATACAAAGTTCGTTATACAAGATGCATAAGTCATGGAGAGCTAATTACAGCATGATGACTGTAGTTAATTCTATTGTATACTTGAATCTGCTAAAACATAGATCTTAACTGTTCTTACCACCCCCTCTCAAAAAAATAGCAATGTGAGGTGATGGATAGGTTAACTAGCTCGATTGTTTTATAATGTAATTCACACATTGTATACCTTAAATATATATAATTTTTACTTGTCAATTATACCTCAATAAAGCTGGGGGGGTTAGGGAGAGAAACAAAGGAACTCTCTGAAATAACACCACTGTAGACCTAACTTCATGAAGGGCTATAGGGTGTCCTTTTCTGCAGAAATAAAGAAAGAAGCCGGACCGAAAAAAGAGAAAGAAAGAAAAGAAAAAACTATCTTAAAACCCACTGGCTATGAAAGAACACTGCTGTTGACCAGAGTGGAAATAAATCTAGTGTCAAAGATGTCTGGTGTCATTTTTAAAAAGCAGCAGCAGGAACTATTTCTTTTAAATGGATTGGTTACAGATGTAACACTATTTTAGTTTTTAAAAAATTATTGCATAATGTCAGTCTATTTATTGTTCTGGCCTTTTCCAAGCTAACTGTTTTCTGACTGAATTGTTTCAACAGATTGTGCAATATAACAGACGAACCAAGAAGAAACCTCTCACTTGACCTTCTCTGGGTAACTTCATTCATTGCTTCTATTGCATTAAATGCTGTCACATTTGTGGAACTGAAAAGAACAATGTCAGTAGCCTGGGTGTCAAGTCCTCAGAATAGAGAGCTGTCATTTTAAGTTGTCCAATTCTTTGCCTATGATTAAAAAATGAATATTTCACATCAATGGGTGACAATCCCATTAGCATGATACCCCATGATATCAATTACCACCTCAGTTTCAGTTTGGCTGGCTGGCCACAGGGTACCATTTCTCAGCTTTACTTGTGATGGGCTGGCTCTGTGAAGCATGACATTCTTAAATTGCTGCCCATTATCCAAGTGTCATTACTTGTACTGCCTCAGAATTCTCTGAATCACAAGCAGCTACTGAGGTCAAGCTTTGCAACCAGAGGAATTGGACAAGTTGGAAAATTCTTTATATCAAGGCAAAGTTATTTATCTGGCATCCGACTTAGAAAATCTAAAGTTTCCATTATCCTGACAGTGTGTCAGTTTTGTGTAGGTATATTGATTTAATAATTTAAGAGGTTTTATCAAGGTAGCAGGAGGTTAAACGTTTACTGTGTTTGCATTATTCAGAATGTTGCTTTGTTTTTTTGGCCTCCATCATGCTGATAATAGATTCTATTTAACTCTTCTCCATACCCAACTATACATATAAAATTATTCCTATAATCATAAAATACATAAACAGTTTGACTTTTAGCATGGCATTTTCAGTCTATCAAAATAAAAAAAAAACAAAATGTCTTAGCAGTTATCTGTCACATAGGTATATCAAATTTTGTAATAAATTTATGGAAGAGGTAGATTCAAACATGCCTATAATAAACATTCAAAATGAATAATTTGGGGCTTTTTTGCTACCTCCATAAGCATTTTGCAAGAAATATGATTTCCAACAGTCATTGGAATTTTTCTGCATGAAACTGTAATACTGTATTTGGGATCATTCTTTGATTCTTAAATTATATTCATAAATTCATAAATTGAGATTTTAAACTCTAAAAAAGGAGTTTTCTTCCAAACTTTTCAAATTAGGGCACTCTATCAACGAGGGAGAGAAGGCCCAGTGAAGAGGTATTGGTAGCTATTTGACAAACCTGACATATCCCCTTAGAGCATAATTTCAGCAAAGATTTGGGGAAAAAAAGCAAACTTAAACATTAACAAGTTCAGGCCGGGCGTGGTGGCTCATGCCTGTAATCCCAGCACTTTGGGAGGCCGAGGCGGGTGGATCACTTGAGGTCAGGAGTTCATGACCAGGCTGGTCAACATGGTAAAATCCTGTCTCTACTAAAAATACAAAATTAGCTGGGCATGGTGGTGTGCACCTGTAATCCCAGATACTCAGGAGGCTGAGACAAGGGAATCGCTTGAACCTGGGAGGTGGAGGTTGCAGTGAGCCAAGATGGTGCCACTGCACTCCAGCCTGGGCAACAGAGTGAGACTCTGTCTCAAAAAAAAAAAAAAAAAAAATTAACACGTTCAGATATGAGGTTGGATACAAAACAGACACTAATTTTTAAACACTGAATTTAAACTTCCAAGAACTTACTGCTTTGGGCCCTATCCATATGCTCAGATTGGGAACGGGTCAGTGGGTGGGATGATTTCATTCTTTTCTGCCTTTAGTGGTATTTCACTTGGGAAGTTGAGAAACATCATTTTACTGTATGTAACAACATACTTTTAAAGATCTTACTAAATGCATTTTATAAATTAAACCTCATTTAAATGCATTCTAGGACCTTAGAAGTTAACAAAAACATTCATAGCAGGATGTCTTTTACACTTCATCTTAGCCAAAAGACCAAGAAGCGATGCAAGATGCCTTTTAATGGAGAGGGTCTTCTTACTAATCCTATGTGTATATCCTGATTTTCTTCAATATGTACTTTTTAAATTTTAAGTTCCAGGGTACATGCTCAGGATGTGCAGGTTTGTTACATAGGTAAACGGGTGCCATGGTGGTTTCCTGCACCTATTAACCCATCACCTAGGTCTTCAATATTTTTTAAAAACTCATTTCCAGTGTGTGTTTAATAGTAATTTAACAAGAAAAATAAGATCTCAGATGCTTTATCAAGCTCAGCTTCTTCTATGGAACAGAAAAACTTACCAATATTGGGGTTGAATCCTTGTGAAGAGTTATACATACCAAACTCTACCCTAACCCCATATGCTTATTACAAATTATAATTCCAAATTTTATCACCAAATCAAACTCAGAGTAATAGAAAAGAAATATTTAACACAAACTAATAATTAAAACACAAATTTCACCTATTGTTCAGGATATCTTTTTGAGAAAGGTTTTTGTTAAAGAAAATTTCAGATACAAACATAAAGAAAATTAAACAATCAATCCCCATATTCCCAGCTCTCAATAATGACCCACTCATAGCAATCTTTCAACTTACTTTTAATCCATATTTTGAATCCACAATAGTTATGATACCTACAAAGGAAAAAACATTTTAATCACTTTTTAAAAAGAATGTTTATTAATATTTGTACAACCATACTTCAAAATGAAAATTAAAACTAACCTATTTCAGTTCACAAATACTACTCAATAAAACAATGTACTGTTTTTTTCTCTTGCCAGTGCTGCCATTTAATTAAATTCCAGTAATAAGTCAATGCATTTCCTGAGTGGCTAGCACTATTTTAAGGCACTAGAAACGATATAAAACAAATAAAAATTTTAAATTAAATAAATAAGAAAATAAGATTTCCTTGGCACTGAAAAAGCTTACAATCCAAAATATAAGTCAAATTTCATAACATAGTCAAATGTGATAAGTACATAAGACAGGTTATTTCTAGTTTATTTTCACATAATCAAAATCAAGACTTTTCTTAAGATTTAAATTATTGCCTAAAGAATGAGACATCTTAAGGTATCATTCCTAACATCTCTCACCAAATCCAAATCCAACTCATAAATGTTCTACATAACATATGCCTAAGTTTCCAAACTACCAATTCATTTTGCAATCTCTGAATATATGCTGATAACAAAAGAATGAGTTTAATTATGCCTAAGGAATTCAACCAGTTACCCGCCACATATATTAGAGCTCAATGATGGGGCCCAGCTTAATAATTCTTAAATTTCTTAATGATTATTACTTTTGAAAAAGTAAGAAAATTTCGACTGAGAAAGGGAGAAAACATAGTCGCTTAACTAAGAAAGTTTCTAATATATTTTAAATGAAGGCATATCATTGCCCAAAAGTGTTCAGGTAAATAAAGTAAGACAGGAGTGTTTAATTCTTATCTTCAAGAGAAAATAAAAGCAAAAATATGATCCTCATATTGCCTGGAGGATTAAAATAAAAGGCTCTAACATTATATTAAGGGCATAAATCAAACAACAGAGGATACAGAAAACCTACAAAGCATTTTTTTTTTTAAAGAAAACCTTAGTGGAAGCACTAAATTGGAAGTTGAGTGACATCGAGTTCCACCACTGTCTGGGGTTTTTTAATCTATATGAACAAAGATTTCATCATTAAACTAAAGTGTGAAAAGAACAACAATGCAAGGAATTAAAGTTATAATATGAATGAACAACAACAATAAGCTTAACCATAAAGATTTTACTAAAAAACAAAAGAGGCAGGGTGTGGTGGCTCACGCCTGTAATCCCAGCACTTTGGGAGGCCGAGGCTGGCGGATCACCTGAAGTCAGGGGTTCAAGACCAGTCAGGCCAACATGGCGAAACCCCGTCTCTACTAAAAATCCAAAAATTAGCCAGGTACGATGGTGCACGCCTGTAGTCCCAGCTACTCGGGAGGCTGAGGCAAGAGAATCACTTGAACCCAGGAGGTAAAGGTTGCAGTGAGCCGAGATCATGCCACTGCACTCCATGCACTCCAGTCTGGGCAACAAAGTGAGACTCTGTCTCAGAAAAAAAAAAAAAAACAAGAAAGATAAAAGAAAACTGTTTTTTAACTTACCATCAAGATAAATATCACTCCCTAATTCAGCATCAACCCAAAACATAGAAGCCACTGCACCTGAAAATATATAATATTCATCAAATAAAAATATTTCTTCACACTGAGAAACATGATTCTATCCATGTTTTAATTTGCCCTGATAAAATTAACAGGTAAACACATATATCTTCTTATGGAAATTATAGTGATAGAAGCTTTAACTATTTATAGCAAAAGGGAATTATAGTGATAGAACCTTTTACTATTTATACCCATTCCATTTCCATCTCTCTTGTTATTTCCTTTAAAAAAGACCAATTCTAACCACATATAAACAAAACATCATTCTTCTACCGATGCCATAATAATTTAATTAACAGATATTATCAAACAATTTGAGCAGTATGGCTTTGTGCACATCAGACTTATTTTTATTTTCTCACCTCTTTAATATGATAATCATTCAATCATAAATAGTGAATTATCACTCTAAAGGAAAAGGAAAACAAAACATAGATAATTCCAAAATCACTTGCCCAAAAAAAATTTACTTGTAATCTGTGTAGAACTAGAAGTAAAATTATATACTCTATGGCATTACTAATTATTCCTCACACTATTTATTTAGTACTGTATAAAACCTGGGTCTTAGGAAAAATTTTTCCTAAATAATAAATTAAAACTTGCTTTTGACAGAAATTGGTTCAGTACCAAACCACATACCCTGATTAGTATGCCACAACGCAAGAAAAAGAAAACTGACAGCAAGGAAAGTATTTGATTTTTGAAAGCATCACAGGCCCAGTTAGTGACAGGGCTGTCTAAAAGAATGAGTGTAGGAGAAAAACAAGGATAATCAAACTCATTCCAGCGTCTAAAGCTGTCCACCTACTCTGCCAAGATGTGGTCCCCCAAGCATCACTCGGTGTCAACAATGAAATACCTGTCAGCTGTTTACAGTGATTACTCATGCAAGATATAGCAAGGGCCACAAGATCTAATGGTTTCCTGATACCTATTGATTTTTTTCCCAAAAACTTAATAGTTTTCCAATTTGACTCAAATAGGATTTGTGAGTAACAGGGGCTGAATCAATGTCTGTTCTTTTCAAGGAAATTACTTTACCATGACAATTATTTAACTTAGAACTGGAGCGTGTCAGTCTCCAAAACGGGAAACAACTGAATTGCCAATAAGAATTTTGTTCACTTTCTTGGCTAAAACATGATTTTAATTAATGAGGGGGGAAATTAAATCTACTGTATCACTACTCCAAACAATAAGTCATTTAAAAAAGCATGAATTTTTTCACTCAGTAAAATATCTAACATACATAAATCATTTTGTAATTTTTAAAAATTCATTGATTTTTATTCCAATAAATAGTTTACAAATCCTACTGTTAATATTTGCCTCTTAAGTTGAAATGTAAGAGTATATTAATGCTTTATTCTAAAACTGGTATTTATCTTTGATATAATACTTGCCAGACTACATGAGAAAGATCTATTTAAAATTTGGATGTAGGTATTTAGGGGGAGTAAAGATGAATGAACAAAATTGATCAGTGGCTCTCAAATCAGGGTGCTTTTCTCCCCAGGGAATATTTGGCAATGTCTGAAGATGTTTTTGGTTGTCTTAACTAGGGGAATGCTACTGGCATCTAGTGGGTAGAAGCCAGGGATGTTGTTAAATATCCTACTCTGCACAGGGCAACCCCCTCACAACAAATAATTATCCAACCCAAAATGTTATTTGTGCTGACACTGAGAAAACCTGAACTACATTTTAGAATCTCCCTTCTTCAAAATCTAATAAAACAAAAAATAAAAACAAAAAATAAAACAAAAAGGCCAACATTTTATTAGCAGCAACCAAATATAAAAGGGCCTGCCATAAATTTTGAAGACTGATAGTCAAAATAAGAAACAAAGTTATATGTGATTGATGGTCATTCCCAACTCTACCCCTACCTCCAATAAGAGGTTGTAGGGAAATAGTTTACAAAATCCTAAACACTTACCAGAAATACACTCCAAAATGACAAAAAGTAGAGCCGAGGAATGAATAAGCAACACAAGGAAAAGTCAACAAAAAAATTTCAAGAGTGAGTTTTAACCATCTCTTTGCTTTGGGAAGGAGAAGGTCAGGTCACATTCTAGGGCTCAGAACAAAGAGAAATGAGAGCTCTGAGGTCGAATGATGTCCCCATACAAGGCAAAGGAATTTTATTCATAAGCAGTTGGGCAGACCCAAGAGTGAAATACTTGGTACTTCAAGAGAGCAGAGCCTAAAAGCCACATTGCCCCATTTGGCTCTCTGAATCACCACTTTTCCCTTCTCTTTCCCTCCACTCCAACAATATACAGCTTTCAAACTAGGGCTCAGGAGAAAAACAAACTTGGGTAAGGAGAGTGGAGTATTAAAAATATTTCCCATCAGCACCACATAGAAGTTCTCCCACATCAAGAAGAAACATGTATGCATATGTATTACAGCCTGACAAAAAGAAACACGCACATACAGGGAATAAAAAGCAAGAAAGAACACAAAATGAAGAAATGAATAGGGCACACAAGTGGCAAAGAACCCATTCTGGAAGGATACATAACCCAATAAAAACTAAAGAAAATTCTCAACAACTTCATCATAATGAAGAACTTGAAAACAATACAACCTTATAATAAACAAGCTCAAAAGCAAGAAGAAGCAGAATAAGATGAAAATGCGTTTGTAGCGCTAAAGAAACTTAGAGCCTATATAACACAATGACTTAACCAATTAATTCATTTAAAATATCAAAAACAGGACAGACACTGGAGAAAACAGAATTATTGACAAAAAGAAAGGCTTCAGATGATCACAGTAAATGCAAAGGTAAAAGACAAATCAAAGCAATTAGAATACATACGAACAACAAAAGAAAATTCAGTATTAAAAAAACTGGTGTCATGAAGTAGAGGATCTAATAATTTGACCAAAAAAAAGTATTCATGGTAATAAACAAGGAAAATGTTCTTAGAAGAACTAAGGGCATACTATAATTTAGGGAAAAATGATTATAAGTGACACTTAGATATACCTTGTTTATATTACTGAATTTCAAAAATAAAGAAGAAAACTCTCAGGCATTTTAGATTAAAAAAAAAAATTGCCTTCAAGGAGGTAGGGAGAAAAATCAGACTTTTCTACAGTAACACTAGATGTCCCAAAATAATAAAACAGGGACCACAAAGTTCTAATGAAAGTGTTCCCAAACAAGTTATTTTTCAGGAACGAAAGCAATAGACAGACATTCTCAAGCATTAAAGAAAACAGCAAGCATTGAAACTCAGAGACTATAATACTCACAAATTCTTCCTAATAAAAAGAGAAAACATTGGACAAAGAAATCCAGCCAATCAAACACTAGGAGATTATGGAACAACATTTACAAAGTTGAGGGGGAATAAAGTGTGACTGATAAATTTTATACCTAGCCAAGTAATCCTTCAAGTAATATAAAAACAAAAGACAAATATTTTGAATCAATGAAGTGTATAAGAACCCAAAGAATGCATGCAGTACCTGTAACTTGAAAAGACTGCCTGACAATGAAATTCAATCAGGAGATGGACTAACTCGGGAATGGAGAAGCAACAGTACTGGTAATAAGCACCAAAACTATTAAAACATAGAACTAAAAGAATTATGACAGAACCATGACAACATAAAGAATATGATCAACATGAAACTAGGCCAATTAATATCCTACAATGGCCTGTAAGTGTTCAAGTGAAAGGAACAGTCACCTGTTTCTCACTTTAAATCAAGAGCTAGAAATGATTATGCTTAGTGAGGAAGTTATGTTGAAAGCCAAGATACGCCAAAAGCTAGGTCTCTTGAGCCAGTTAGCTAAGTTGTGAATGCAAAGGAAAAGTTCTTGAAGGAAATTAAAAGTGCTACTCCAGTAAACACACAAATGATAATAAAACAGCCTTATTGCTGATATGAAGTGGTCTGGATAGATGATCAAACAAGCCACAATGTTCCCTTAAGCCAAAGCCTAATTCAGAGCAACCCTAACTCTCTTCAGTTCTATGAAGGCTGAGAGAGGTGAGGAAGCTAGAGAAGAAAAGTTGGAAGGTAGCAGAGGTTGGTTCACAAGATTTAAAGAAAGAAGCCATCTCCATAACATAAAAGTGCAAGGGAAAGCAGCAAATGCTGATATAGAAGCTGTAGTAAACTACCTAGAAGATGTAGCTAACATCATTCATGAAAGTAGCTACACTAAGCAACAGACTTATTTTTTATTTATTTATTTATTTATTTTGAGATGGAGTCTCGCTCTGTCACCCAGGCTGGAGTGCAATGTGCAATCTCAGCTCACTGCCACCTCCGTCTCCCGGGTTCAAGCCATTCTCCTACCTCAGCCTCCCAAGTAACTGGGATTACAGGCTCCCACCACCAAGCCAGGCTAATTTTTGGTATTTTTAGCTGAGATGGGGTTTCACTATGTTGGCCAGGCTGGTCTTGAACTCCTGAACTCGTGAACTGCCCACCTCGGCCTCCCAAAGTGCTGAGATTACAGGCATGAGCCACCGAGCCCGGCCAGCAACAGATTTTTAATGGAGATGAAATGGCCTCCTTTTGGAAGAAGATGCCATTTAGGACTTTCATAGCTATAGAGAAGTCAATGCCTGGCTTCAAAGATTCAAAGGACAGGCTGACTCTCTTGTTAGAGGCTAAAGCAGCTGGTGACTTCAAGTTGAAGCCAATAATCATTTACTATCCTAAAAATTCTAGGGCCATTAAGAATTATGCTAAATCTCCTCTGCCTGTTTTCTATAAATAATAAAGCCTAGATGACAGCACATCTGTTTACAGCACGGTTTAGTTTAAGCCCACCATTGAGATCTACTGCTTAGAAAAGAAAAGATTCCTTCAAAATATTATTGCTCATTGACAACGCACCTGATCACCCAAGAGCTGTGATGGAGATGTACAAGATTAATGTTGTTTTCATGCCTGCTAACACAACATCCATTCTGCAGCCCACTGATCAAGGAGTAACTTTGACTTTTAAGTCTTATTTAAGAAATATATTTCATAAGGCTATAGCTACCATAGACAGTGATTCCTCTGATGGATCTGGGCAAAGTAAATTGAAAACCTTCTGGAAAGGATTCATCATTCTAGATGCCATTAAGAACATTTGTGATTCATGGGAGATCAAAGTATCAACATGAATAGGAGTTTGAAAGATGATTCCAGCCCTCACAGATGACTTTGAGGGATTCCAGACTTCAATGGAGGAAATAACTGCCGATGTGGTGGAAACAGTAAGAGAACTAGAATTAGAAGGGGAGTCTGAAGATGTGACTCAATTCCTGCAATCTCATAAGAAAACTTTAACTAATGAGAAGTTGTTTCTTATGGACGGGAAAAGAACGTGGTTTCTTGAGATGGAATCTACTCCTGGTGAAGATGCTATGAACACTGTCAAAATGACAACAAAGGATTTAAAATATGACAGAAGCTTAATTGATAAAGCAGGGTTTGAGAGGACTGACTCCAATTTTGAAAGAAGTCATACTGTGGGTAAAATGCTATCAAATAGCATCATGTGCTATAGAGACATCTTTTATGAAAGGGAGAGTCAACTAATGCAGCAAACTTCATTATTATCTTATGAAATTGCGATAGCCACCCCAACCTTCAGTAACTACTACCCTGATTGGTCAGCACCCATCAACATCGTGGCAAGACCCTCTACCAGCAAAAAGACTATGACTTGCTGAAAGCTGAGATGATTGTTAGCATTTTTTAGCAATAAATATTTTTAATTAAGGTATGTATGTTTTTTAGACAATTCTATTACACATTTTATAGACTACAGTATAGTATAAACACAGCTTTTTTTTTTTTTTTTTTTTTTTTTTAAGAAATGGGGTCTCATGCTGTCATCCAGGCTGGAGTGCAGTGGTGCAATCATGACTCACTGCAGCCTCAAACTCCTGAGCTCAAGTGATCCTCCCAAGTAGCTGGGACTACAGGCCTGTGACATCACACCCGGCCAAAACGCATAACTTTTATATGCAATGGGAAACAAAAAAATGTGTGTGACTCACTCTATTGTGATATTCAGTTTACTGCAGTGATATGGAACTAAGCCCACAATATCCCTGCGGTATGGCTGTACAGTATAAGAATCACCTGAAGGGCTTATTAAAAACAGCTTGCTTGACCCCCTCCCTTAGAGATTCCGATTCAGTAGATCTGGGTTGGTCAAGAATTTGCCTTTCTAACAAGCTCCCAGCTGAGGCTGAGGCTGCCATTCAACATACTACCAAGTAGCACTGGCATAGAGAGATCCCTGGAATAAAATGTACCTACTTGTGTGTGTGTGTGTATGAATGTGTGTGTGTGTGTGTGTGTGCGCATGTGCATGTGCGTGTGTGTGTGTGTGTACAGTCTTGCTCTGTTGCCTGGGCTGGAGTGCAGTGGCGTGATCTCGGCTCACCGCAACCTCCGCCTCCCAGCTTTCAAGCGATTCTCCTGCCTTAGCCTCCTGAGTAGCTGGGATTATGGGGTGCGCCACATCGCCTGGCTAGTTTTTGAATTTTCAGTAGAGACTGGATTTCACCATGTTGGCTAGGCTGGTCTTGAACTCCTGGCCTCAAGGGATCCACCTGCCTCAGCCTCCCAAAGTGCTGGGATTACAGGCATGAGCCACCATGCCCAGCCCCTACTTGTATATCACAAAAGTGAGATGATTACTTTTCAACTTTCTTCTTTGTATTTTTTAGGTATTTAAATTTTTTTACAATGAATGTTCCATCTTTACCCAAACAATAAAATCTTTATTGTAAAGAAAGTTAGAAGCAAGAAACATTAACATTTTTTATAACTACAATTTGTATAAAAGCTTTCTCTGTGATCTTTAGTTTTTCTTTCTTCCTCTGAAAAGCTGAATCGTGTTTAATTAAACTCTCAAAAGTATCAAGTTTTTGTCTATAAAATGGCAAAACTGGCTATGATGAAATAAACTGATATTTGCTATTTCTAATAAAAGCATACAATATATTTTTCTTTCTTACCAGATTCAAATATTTAACACCAACATATTAGTCCAAGTCCTATCATCAGTCAGATTTATCAGAAAGGTATGAAAACCCATGCCTACTATAAGGACCAAAATAGCCTAATTCAATACTACTTTGAAAACATGGGGATGATGTTATTATGTAATTGTTTTAAGTACAATAACCACTGATCACATTTGAACTCTCAGGATACTTCAATATTTCTTTTGGACAACTATGACCTGTTGAGTAAATTACCCCCAAATACTTTAATATAGTTTTACAAATCGCCCCAATGCCAGAGACCCAGATCAAAAAAAAAAATAATGGTATGGGTCAGATTCACAGAATAAGCACTAACTTTTATGCAAAATGAAAATAAAGATTTTATCTAAAAGTTATTTGGGGAAAATAAGCAGACTTTATCAAGAATTAGAGCTTGGTAAGAAGGTAACAGAAACCCATTGTTAGAAACAGGTTGACTCTGTGTAGCTTTCCATAGTAGAGTTCAGAGTTTCCTGTCATGATTCCCTTATCAATGCAGTGTAATAACTACTTACACAGCACTTACATTGTATTAGGTATTATAAGTAATCTACAGATGATTTAAAGTATATGGGAGGATGTGCATAGCTTATAGGCAAATACTACACCATTTTATGTAAGGGACTTGAACATTAATAGATTTTGGTATCCTCAGAGATTCCGGAACTAATACCCCATGGATGCCAAGGGACAACTGTACTTAGAGGTAGAACGTCTCTGCTCTTCCTACATGTCCTTATTTTTAACAACTTCTGTTCTTACAAATAATCCTAAGTCAATCAATAAAACTTCAAATTCTATTAACAGCTTAAAAGTACCAAGAAATACTCTGTTCATTCATTCAACTGCCAAAGAAAATGACAACCGAGTACTTTTCCTCTTTTAAACCAAAAAAAGTTTTTGGTTTAATACTAACAAAAGCTTTAATCCTCATTTTAGATATTCCTCTAATACATCTATTTACAATATATCACAGAACTATATTCTGGTTATTAATAATCTCACTTCTTACCAGGGTCTGCTAATCCAGTGGTCTCTAACAGTATGTAATCAAATTTCCCCTTCTTTTGCATCAAATTCTCAATAGCTCTAAGGCCACTGTCCCTGGAGAATACCAAAACATAATTTACAGTTAATTACCTAAATATTTTGAAGTGATTATTATAAACACTTTAAAATATATTCAACAACCCGAGACAAAAGTACCCTTGGGAATGTGAAAATTTAACTCACTTCTAACCTTCTAACAAAATGTCCGTCCCATATTTACCAGTGAGAAAACAATAGATGCATATATATAATAGGTAAAAAGAAATCATATACATAATACTTTATCAAAATTAAAAGCAGAGGAAACTTTATCTGACCAAGTATCTTTTTATAGCTTTATGAAATTTTTAAAAACCAACATACAAAATAATGATAAAATGTATTAACTATAGTAGTTTAATATAATAGCTAAAGAGACACTGATATTAAACACCATATAATTCTATTTTACATTAGGATGCAAGGTTTTAATTTCCTTTTTTCTTATTTTATCAAAAGTGAAGGAAAATCCTTAATAGATTATATTTTGGTTGTTCAAGAAAGTCTGTTATAATTTTATCCTTGCCAAAACATTTGACACAAAGTCAAATACCTAAGGGAGTAAATGATGCCGAAGAGATTTAATTCACTAGAATACACAAAATTAACAGTACAAGTAGTCATTTTTATAATTCATTCAACAAATATTTGAGTGCTACTATGTGTTGGGTAACTCTTCTAGGGTCTATGGTAGACTAGTGAACACTGTCCTTGAAAACTTAACTAGTAGAACATAACGTAAGGTTTTTCTCTTTTTTGATAGTCATTTATTTTTTTTATAAGATTGAACACTTAGAAGTATGACCAATGACAGATTAAATTCAGAATAATCATTTTTTACATATGAGACTTTCATGCACTAGAGATTAAATAAGCCCTGACATCAAAAGCAATAAAAACTCAATAAAAGGACCAAAACATTAGAGCAGATAGAAAAGACAGCAAGAAACACTTTAAGAAAATGCTTCCTAATAAGTTTATTTTCTATTTGTTTGAAAATACAATGAAGCAAACTGTGTAAATTCAGTTAAATTACTCAAGAAAATTAAAGCTGGAAATATAATCAATAAACATTTCTAGTAAACCATGTACACAGTAAACACATTCCTCACTTCACTGAACAGCAGAGGCAACCGTTTCTAAGTTCCAGCCACTCTTCATAGAGCTCTCCACCTTGGCTGACAGCTAAGGATTTCTCCAGCGCACTTCCTAGAATAATTAACAAACAGCACTCTTTAGCTTATGTCCATTAGCCAAAAAAAAACAAAGATGAGGATAACTCAATAATGGAGATCTTAAAGCAGAAACTGCATTTTATAACTTATATTCTTTCATTTTATTCATGCAGCCTCGATATCTAAATTACAGTACACTACATTATTTTAGCTTTTATTTAAGATGACTTAAGCCCTGAAAAAGACACATCCTAAACTGATAAACATACCTACTTCCTCCTTAGGCCTCTTACTTGGCCACCCCCATTTCTTAATAAAGTAGCTATCTTGAAGGCATTTTTTTCTTGTCCAGGGTAAACTTTCTAAATAGACCAGTATGTTTTATATACTGGATTTTGTATGCCCTTCAACCTCTTAAGAGACTGCCTTATCTATCTTTTTCTTTTCATTCTTCTTCTAAATTGTTTCTGTTAGACAAACTGCTGAATATTCCCAATGAGTAAAAACCCTAGTTCATCTTGAGGAAGGTTTTTGGCCAGTGTACCACGTGCTCATTTAAAAATTAAACTTATAGGGAGGCCAAGGCGGGCGGATCACGAGGTCAGGAGACCGAGACCATCCTCGCTAACACAATGAAACCTCATCTCTACTAAAATTACAAAAAATTAGCCAGGTGTGGTAGCGGGTGCCTGTAGTCCCAGCTACTCAGGCGGCTGAGGCAGGAGAATGGCGTGAACCCGGGAGGCGGAGGTTGCAGTGACCCGAGACTGCGCCACTGCACTCCAGCCTGGGCAACACAGCGAGACTCCATCTCAAAAAAAAAAAAAAACCTAAACTTTTAGTCAAATTCACATATTTTCCTAGCAATACTTACTTAAGAAAGAATAAACTACATTTGAAATGCTTGTTATCTATAAGAATTATTTTAAATGTTTTACTTTTCCTCTAATAAAGAAATATACCAAACAGTGAAGTTCTAAAAGCCCACTAAGCAAATGAGCTCCCATAAAATCGAGTAGTTTTACACTTACATATTTTTTATATTTCAGCTAGGTATTAATAAAGAGCTTCTAAAGAGGTTGCTACAGAATTTGGACTATATACAGAACATTAATGAAACATGAAGAAAAGTATTGAGAATGCTGTGAAAAATAAAATTGCAAAAATGATCCAGGAAAAAATAAAGAAAATAGTAAGAATAAATGTAATCAGTGTGCAATAGGTTATTTAATAAGATGATGAAAAAAACAGTCTGTTATTAGAAATCTCAGGATTTTTGCCTAAAAAGCACTTTTCTCTTTCGTTTATTAAAACCAGAAATCGAATATAACTGGCTTCCCATCCTGTTCATAAAACCTAGCTCTTTTACTTTTTACAACTGAAAAAAAATAGTACATTTTAAAAGAAATCGTTTAATAGATATTGTTTTTTGGCTAGAAGTAAGCTTTGATTACAATTCATACTTATGAAGAAAAACTTCTATAAAGATAACAGAAGTATTGTGTCTAGAGCTATTTTTTTGACTACAGTTTAATATTTCAGTTGAGAAGTTAAGCACACTTATTTTCACAGATAACTTAAAATACATGAGGATAAAGACCATATGTTTACCTTTATTTTTAAAATATTGAGTTTTAACTGCATTGCAGATAATAAACATTAAACAAAGTTAACTAATAACAGAAGCATTTTCAAGTATTTTTCATGAGTTGCAATAGAGTCCATACAAAAGTGCTTTCCTAATTCCTAAAAAAAACATTTTTTCGCCAGGCATGGTGCCTCATGCCTGTAATCCCAGCAACTTTGGGAGGCCGAGGCGGGTGGATCACAAGGCCAGGAGCTCAAGACCATCCTGGCCAACATGGCGAAACCCTGTCTCTACTAAAAATACAAAAATTATCTGGGCATGGTGGCGCACGCCTGTAGTCCCAGCTACTCAGGAGGCTGAGGCAGGAGAATCACTTTAACCCAGGAGACAGAGGTGGCAGTGAGCTGAGATTGCACCACTGCACTCCAGCCTGGCGACAGAGAGAGACTCCATCTCAAAAAAAATAAAATAAAATAAAAAATAAACGTTTTTTCATATGTCTAGATTTTTACTTCTGGAGTCATTTATTTCATGTAAAAATGTAGTTTAATTCTGTTAATAAGAATTCCAAAGTTATACAAAATAAAATTTTATTAAAACTAATTTCAGTATCTCAACCCATATAAATCTTAACAGAAATTAATCCAACTTTTCTAAAGCTATCCACATCAATACAATACCTTGCATTTTCATTTTTAAATATGGAATATCAATTCACCAGAGGAATAAACAGTCACACAAAATCTTGCAACATGACATTTATTGAACTTTACTTACCTTCCCCAAATTCATTTAAAATGACCGCTACTCTTTTACTATGTTGCTCTGTCAAAATATAGTTCAGAAGTGTTGTCTTCCCAGCACCTATAAAACATATTTTTTGTAAATAAAAAAATTCAAAATAATTTTAAAGATACAAAAAACATATAAAGAATCCTAACGTTTTTGAGAATTTGCGTGCTATTTTTCATATATTATTTTAGCATAGAATATCCTAGAGGATAAGATTAAAGCATCCTTCGAAACCTGTTGCAAAATACTTTATGTAGACATAAAATTTTATAAATATTTACAAACACTCCTACAAGTTGAAACAGCTTCTTCAACCTAGCCTAACCTTCCCTAAAATTTACACACAATCTTTTATTTATAATGACCTTTTATTTCAACATTAACAAGACGCAACTTCAGGCTGACTATATGGCTACTTATAGTATGCTTTAAACAATCTATAAAAGTTTTTATGAAATGGGGAATAGAGCCAGGTAGTGTCAACAATGGACAGAATGTTCAGTAAGATAAATTCATAAAGCTATACCAACTTTATCCAGCAGGTGGCATATAAAACCCAATATGTCAATCTCCAGTAGAAAAAAAATAGTCTTGTGAACCGTACACACTAAAATTCATAGAGGAAAAAAAGAAAATCCTAACTGCATAGTATTGTAGTTCAATTGTATGACTATATCATTTCTTTATCTTTTTTTTTTGTTGGACATTTGGTTTGTTTCCAGTGTTTTACTATTACAGTGCTGCTAAAAACTTTTACATGTAGGCTATACATGTCTTCTGAAATACATTAAGTTTTCTAGTATATAACTAGATCTTCCTATAACTAGGAAGATTTTACGGAGTATTAGGGTATTAATATCTTTTAGGTCATATTCCTTTCAAAGCTTTTTAACAGATGAAGGCTTATATTTAGAGTACTTTAGGAAGCTCAACATCACAAAAATATGAAGTATAGAATGGAAGAGAGAGACTTAGGGCAATGAGGAAAATCTTAAAACCAGTCCAAGCCTGAGACAGAGGCCCTGAACATGAGTGTTTCACAGGGCAGTGATGTGAAAACTGAAAGGAAAGGGTGAATGTAAGAAATCTTCTAAGAGAAGATTTACTAGGGCTTTTTAACCATATTATGAAAAAAAAAAACACTTTAAGACATAGCTCATTCATTCGAAGGTTTCTAATACGTTACAAATTTATGCTGGGCCTTGGTGAAAAAGTGAACAAGATAGTCTCTGCCTTCATAGAGCTTAGAAATATCAAGGGAAGGGGGGAATGGAGGGGAATTCAGTGAATAAGGAGGCAATTATGTCACAGGGTGACATATTCAATAGGAGATGCACAAATTGCTATGGAGAACCTAAGAGGGACATCTAGCCAGAGGAGTCACAGTAAAAAAGTACCTATTCCAAGGGGCTAAAACACTTGGCACCTTTGAAGTAACATTAGTTCATTGTGCGGGGCCAATTTGGCAGGCTGGAAAGGTTGGCAAGATCCAGATCCTACAGGTCCTTGTAATTCATGTTAAGGAATTTGGATTTTAACCCATAGGGATGCCACTGAAAGGTGTGACGCAGTCGGATTGACATTTATAAAGATCATTAAGGCTAACATGCAACGAATAAATTAAAGGGCAGCAAGACTCCAGATTAGTCAGGAGGCTTTTAGAGTATTCCAAATGGTTGGGATCACAGAAGCAGGATTTGGGGGGATGGTAACAGACGAAGTTTCAGACATGTTAAGTTTTAAGTTGTAGGACATCAAAATAGAAATTACACAGGTGTGTAGCTAAAGATGGACAAAGGGGGAAGGAGGAGGGAGCCTTAAAAAGAAGCCAGAGAAGCAGGTGGAAAAATCAGAAGAAAAATGTAGTAGAAGCCAAAAGAACAGCGTTTCAAAAAGGGAAAATGGTCAGGGATAGGAGTGAAACTATCCCTAGATTCAGCAACAAGGTTGCTGGTATTAATTCTCACTCCTGAGCTTCAGATCATTTTCTCCAGTGATCTACTGACCTACCAGTGAGCAATACGGGAAAGGCCCGAGCGGCACGTTTGAAATACATTGTTTTGGACAAGAAATTTGTTCATCTTCTCAGCAGAGCAGCCTCTGAATAACTGTGGGGAAACGCCAAAAATAAATTCCTTTATAAAATTACTTCCGAGCAAAAAACGGGAATAAACTTACAGTCTACAAAGTTTTTAAAAAAAACAAAAGCAGTTATTTCTTATTTTTACATAAAAGGTCACGAAGTGGCCCAAGTCTGTACCTGTCTCTAGCAACAACTAGGAATATTATTTCCCGGAAACAGTATTTTATTTATATTTCTTAACTTTTTCCAAACTTCTAATACAGCCATATATTTGTTCTAGCCCTTCTATTTAACTGTAAGGTTTAAAAATATATTTCTCAAACTTTTCCAGTAAGAAACTTCTAGTGTAAGTGCATAAACCGCCCTTCACGAAACTACCAAGTTCACAAACTTGTGGTTTCGAGTATCCCTGTACACTCTAAACGTTCTTAGTTTGAGAAATAGTCTTGGAGGACAGAGATTTTATTCTTACTTCCTACGCAGTGGTTTACAAACAGACCTCAAAAAAAAAGTGTTTAAGATAGGAGCGCTCCCTGCCAGCTGGCTGGAGGACTCTGGCTCGTGGGGAAGGGGAATCTACTGACGAAAGCCCCACGTGTCGGGCATTTTACAGACGGGACATCCTTTAATGGCAACAGGTAGGTGGTTCCGGCCCTGTTTCACAGGTGACAGGTATTTCTCCATTTTCAGGTGAGGTAGATGAGCGTCAGGAAGGTAAGATAACTTGGTAAGAGGTCACAGAGACAATTAGGGGGGCGTGTCTTAGCGTCAAAGCCTTGCTTCAAAGGCTAACTTTCCATCTCACTTGAGAAATGGGAATCTAACGCAGAGGGGGCCGGGCATCATTAACTCCCAAGATGAGAGGCAACCCATACGAGAAGCAAGTGACCCAGCCCCGACCTCGAAGACATTTGCTCTTGATCATGAGGCCCCAATGCCTCAGGAGAAGAGGCACCGGCAGCCCGCAAAATCCCATGACACCAGAGGTCACGCCATTTTGTGACTGGGATGGTTAGTTACCTAAATACCCGGTGATAATTGTGACTGGGATCTTGGCGCCGAGGCCAGACTTTTCCTCCTCCTCGCTTTGCGTCGTCTCAATGGGAACCAATTCAGGACAATCCTCCTCCGCAGGATCCTCCTCCTCATCCGCAGATCCAACAGCCGGTAACATTCCGGCCTACAGCACGTCCCTACCTCAGCTGAACCGCTGGGACCAACACGCCGTACCGCAGCCGCGCACGCCCAGCACGCCACTCCCGGCCTGCCCGGGGCCTGACGTCATCACATCGCGACGCTCGCTGATCCCGCCCGGATTACCTGGGCTCTGGACGAGAAGCGCCTCGCCCCTTAGCCACACCCCCCGGGGAGGTGGGCTCTCCCCGACGACAGCTGGACACGCCCCTGGGCGTGTTCTGTGAACCTGAGCGACGCTGCGGAGAGTCCCTAGGGCGCACTAACCACCTGTCTGAAGGTGTCACTGGCGCCTAGAGCCTTAATAAGCTACTGGCTGTAGGTAGAGCTGAGGCCAGTCTGCTGGAAATCTGGAGTGGGTAGCCTGACCTAACCAGTTCCCACAGGGCATAGATTTTATCACCTTGATTTTTTAGTCTCGTTAAAAAAAAAAGTTTTAATTCATAGGGGAAAGAATGGAAGGTTATAACATTATAATTTTAATTGTAATTTTTATACCTGAAGGATAACCAGTGACACTTTTTTCTTTTTTTATTATTACATATTATATATGTAATTCCAAATTTTTAGTATTCATGCATCACTTTTATTTACTTTTTTCTCATTATTTATTTGGACCTCAGGTAACCTAAGTTCATTAATCATATTTGCTGGTGCATGACACTCTCATCACTAATCCATAGATAGCCCTTCTTTCTAATATAAATTTATAGTGAACTCCTTTGACGTCATTCCTAACGTAAAAGCATTACCAGTAAGTTACACGTACCTATGTGCACCGCCCCTGCTTCCAATCCACAGCCTGCCCCATAAGATAGTAACAACAGTCATGAATTGGTTCTGGATTGCTGATCATTCCCTGTTTTCTTTTTAATTTTATCACATATCCCACGTACGTACTTAGAGAATATGTTGTTTAATTTTGGGTGTTTTTGAGCTTCATAAAATTATCCATATAATATATAAACTCCTGAGGCTTGCTATACTTTTCAGCATCACTGCTGTCTTGTATTCTATTGTGTGGCTACACGGCAATTTATTCATTTCCTCTCAATTGTTCCAGGTTTTGCTCTTATGAACAGGGCTGCTATGAACATTTTTCCTGATATATGTGTGTGCAACTTCCTCTTGAGTGTCTGTGTAAGAGTTGAATTGCTGGGTCCTAGATTATTCAAATGTTTTACTTCACAAGAAAATGCACAATTATTTTTCAAAATGTTTGTACAAATTGATACATTTTCCCAGCAAATTATAAGAGATCTCATTGGTCTGTAGGTCAATATTATCAGGCATGCATTTTTCACCAATCAATTGTGTACAAAAGAAGACTTCATTGTGATCTTCATTTGCATTTCCTTGATTACTAACAAGGTTGAGAATCTTTTCATGTGTTTTGGCAATATTTAATTCTTAGAATGACCCTGTAGAGTGTTATCCCTCTTTCAAACATGAGGCACCAAGAGTTAAGTTACTTGTCCAGGTTAGGTCATAAAAATCTATCTGATGCACAAGTAGAATGTTTTACTACTATCCTGATGCCAAATAAAAGGTTGACTTTTCCTTCCTTCTCTGAAATTCCCCATAAAATATACTGTGTGTATTCCATTAGTTCTACTGATAAGGACATATAACTTGAAAGTATTTATCACGCCTTTTGCAGAACACAGTTAAGACAGAGGGTTTATATTTGTGCAAATGAGTATATTATATTCACACATACACTCGGTCTGAGAAATCAGGTCTTGAATGCTTTGCCAGCTTTGACAATGTAACCATGAACCAGCTGAGGAAGAAATAAGGCAAATACCTTAGGCGTGGTGGTTCAGTTCACTTTATTCTACCAAAGGAGAGAAGCTGTGATGGGTAGCCCAAAATAGATAGCTTACACCCTAAACACAATGGTTCATAAGCTTTTTCGTTTCAGGAATGCTATGAAGTATTGATTTTTTTGGCAACCTAAGGGAAGGAGTAACATTGCACCCACAGGCATCACACTATTTGCTTGATGTCCCTTCAGCACTGCATTACTGCCTGAATAGCAGCTATTACAGCCCTCACCACCTTCTTTGACATATTTTTTAAAGTACATTCTTGTGGGTTCCCAATATGGCACTGGCTGAATGTTATACTAAAATCCCTCTTTCTGTTTTTTGAGACAGGGTCTCACTCTGTCGCCCAGCATGGATTGCATTGGCACGATCACAGCTCACTGCAGTCCTAAACTCCTGGGCTCAGGTGATCCTCCCATCTCAGCCTCCCAAGTAGCTGGGACTCCAGTCATATGCCATTACATCTGGCTAATTTTTCTTTTTCCTTTTGGTAGAGACAGGGTCTCACTATGTTGTCCAGTCTGGTCTAAAGTCTCATCTCTAACAATGAGCAGCCTGTAACCTATGAGGCCAGCTCAGTCAAGTTGACCAAATAGCATTGTTGTAACAGTATGTAGCCTCAGTGACAGCAAAATAAGTTTTACACATTGGCCAAAAATTAAATGCACCACAAATATCTATCAACTGATAGACAACTAAAATGTGACAAATGGATAAACAAAATATGATCTATCCGTACAATGGAAAATTATTTGGCAATAAACAGGAAAAAGGACTGATACCTGCTACTACATGAACCAATCTTGAAAACATTATGGTAAGTGAAAAAGGCTATTCACAAAAGACCACACGTTGTATGATCCCATTTACATAAAATATCCAAAATAGGCAAATCTATAGAGACAGAAAGTGCATTAATGGTTCCCAGGAGTGGAGGGCTGGGGAGAGACTACAGTGGTTTTTGGGCAGTGATGAAAATGTTCTAAAATTGATTATGGTGATGGTAGTACAACTCTGATTATACTGAAAACCATTGACTTGTACACTTTAAATTGGTGAACTGTATCATATGTGAAATTTATCTCAATAAAGCTGCTATTCTTAAAAGAAATAAACACCTATCTGTGCATCAAAATGGGGTGCCTGTGTACATTTGTAGAGAAACACTGTCTTCAGCAGTTTCAAGTTCTGGCCTCAGGCACAAGTATAAAGATTACAGCTTGATAAAATTTTTCCTTTAGTCTGTTCCATATTCCTCTTCAGTTAAATTTTTATCTATGGATTCTGTGGAGTCCTGTCATTTTATTTTCTCAGATAGAGTTGTAATTTCAGTTCTCCCAAAATAGCTGGGCATGACTTTTTATTTTTATTTCTTTTTTCTTTTTGAGATGGAGTCTTGATCTGTTGCTGAGGCTGGAGTGCAGTGGCACGATCTTGGCTCACTGAAACCTCTGCCTCCGGGTTCAAGTGATTCTCCTGCCTCAGCCTCCTGAGTAGCTGGGATTACAGGTATGCACCACCACGCCCAGCTAATTTTTGTATTTTTAGTAGAGACGAGGTTTCACCACGTTACCCAGGCTGGTCTTGAACTCCTGACCTCCTGATCCATCCACCTCAGCCTCCTAAAGAGCTGGGATTACAGGCGTGAGCCACTGTGCCGGGCTTTTTTTTTTTTTTTTTTAACTTATAAGAGGGTTAAATTGTTAAATTGTTAAATTGAAAATGCCTTTTTAAATAAGTATGAAATTTCTTAATTATAATATTTTAGAATCTATTACAGTTTCTGATGTAACTTAAAAATTCCTCCTCATTTAGCTTTGCTATTTTGTCTCATTTACTTTACGGTAAAACAACAACAACAACAATAGTAATGTGTGGAGCCCGTAAGCATCTGATAGGCACTGTGTGAAGCACATTAAATGCATTATCCCATTTAACTCTCCAAGGTAAATACTATTTGTGTGCCCATTTTATAGATGAGGAAATTGAGGCTTAGAAAAGATAAATACCTTGCTCAAAGTCATACAATCAGTAAATGGCAGCCCTTGGGCTCAATCCAAACCTGCCTGACACTAAATCTCCTGCTCTTTTAAACCAGAAGATCTGCAAACTTTTCTGTAAAACTAGATGATAAATATCTTAGTCTTTACAGATCAAAAAGCAAATTTGAGGACATTGTGTAGGTACTTATATAATATAAGAGAGAGAGCAAATGTCTACAAGTTTGAAATTTGAATTTCATGTATTAAACAAAATTATGAGAGGCCATTGTTTTGGACTGAGCTCCTGCACTAATCCCAAGCAGACCAGACCAAACCAAAATGGAGTCACTCATGGTAAGCACCACAAAATCAAACTAAAACGTTAAAAAACAGGTCCCAAAATAGACGAGTTTTTTTTCTTCTCCTGAAGACAGAAGATTCCAGTATAATAAGGAAGTCCTCTCTGCTCTATCCCTTACAGAAAAGTAACCCAAAGTAACAACAGATTACTTACAAAAAAGCAATCTCAGCCAGACACAGTGGCTCATGCCTGTAATCCCAGCACTTTGGAAAGCCAGGGCGGGTGGATCACCTGAGGTCAGGAGCTTGAGATCAGCTTGGCCAACGTGGCAAAACCCCATCTATACTAAAAATACAAAAATTAGCTGGGTGTGGTGGCACACGCCTGTAGTCCCAGCTACTCGGGAGGTTGAGGCAGAAGAATTGCTTGAACCCAAAAGGTGACGTTGCAGTGAGCCAAGATTGTGCCACTGCACTCCATCCTGGGTGACAAAAAAATAAAAAAGTAATCTGATGTTAACCAATCAGTTTTTTTTTTTTCTATACTGTTTCCTTGTTCCCACCTTACAAAATCCAGTGTTCTGCTATTTTCCAATGGGATTAGAGACCAAATAACTCTATTTATGATGATAAAAAGTGATGTCAATGCCTAAAGTTTTGGGCAACCTCAAAATTAATCATCCTCTCAAAATTGACAGGTTGACCAAAAGGAGGAATTGTTAAATTCATTGTGGCCTAAAGCTGCCTCCTTACATATTTTAAGTTTACCCTAAAGGTTTCCCAGTACATAAAAAACTATATTTCAACTTGATATGTAAAACTTGATATGTAACCTACTCTTGTAACAAGTAGTGAGTCTCAGCCAATCACAGCAGCTGAACTTCAGCCAACCACAGGCAGCCAACTCTTCAAACCAGGTTCAAATAAGGCAAATGCTCAGCTGTAACCAACCCTACTCTGGTTCTGGGGGCTGCCTAATTCACAGATCATTCTTTACTCAATTAAACTCTAAAGTTTTCCTTTCAACATGTATAATTTTCACATCACGAAATAATAATCTTCTTTAATTTTTTTTCCAATGTATTAAAAATGTAAAAACCATTTGCAGGCTACACAATAAATGGTAGCAGGCTATAGATTCCCAACTCCTGATCTAAGCTAATATAATATACTGTTTTCTTAAGCAGAGTTAATGAAATTTTGCAAAATTGGATCCTCCTTGCTCTTTTAAACTCAGTTTGTAAATCACTCACCATTAAAACAATCCTGGACCCTCAAAGGGTTAGGTACCACTGTGCCAATTACCACAGTGCTAATATTCAGAGGAAGATCTGAAGCTGAGAAGCTTAAACTTTTTTCCCAAGGTCACTAATACCTGGCCTGGGAAAGACCTAATTAAGGTGAAACTTGAGTCTTTGCATTGTAGTAGGAGTCCGCCTAGGTGGGAGCAGAGCAGAGCAGATAAGCTCTTAAACTGTCTGGATTTCAGCAGCTCAGCTTTCTGACAATAACCTTGCCATATGTCCTTTGGCACAATTCCCTACTAATTCCCTACTACTCCCCTTTGCTTGGTTCTTCTCTCTTGAATAGTTATGTTAATCACCATAAGAAAAAGAACTGTAGCTATATCCAAATAAGAAGAAAGCTAAAAATAATACCAACTTGGTTTTGTTTTTCGTTTTTTTCTTTCTCATTTTTGCAACTTCCTGCAAAGGAAACAACATACTAGTGGCCAGCAATAGCTACTGGTTTAGAGGAAAGGAAACTGAGAGTTTCAAAATTAACCCAGTTCCTCTTATCTAGCTGTGGCAAGTAAATAAATAAAATATTTTTAAATGTTTAAAGTTTATCAGTTTATTTAACATTTTTCATTGGGTACACATGAACTTGTTGGGAACATATCTAAAAGGCCAGAGGCCAATGGCTTGTATTCTTGTGACTGCTTTGGTTAAGGTTGAATATCAATATTCAAGTGTCATATAGTCGTCTTTTAAGATATACAACCACTGTAAGGACAGGAAAGAATATTTCCTCTCCAGAATACTGAAGATGACTAGCAGGTGAAAAATGTACATTTCAATGTTTTTAGGGGCTGTGACATTAAAGGCTGCAAGTAACATTGTTTGAATTCATTATCTTTGGTGGTTAAACCATTCTATTAATAAGTCTTAGCTTACAGTTGAGTCACTTGTAAGTCAGCTTGCCATGAAATTAAAAAAAAAAAAAAAGAAAACACCATTCAAAGCCCTCAAGCTGACAAGTTGAGTGGTGCACCAATCTCTCTAAAAGAAACTATATTTTAGATACTATAGGAGTGGTGGAATGACAGGAGCGGAGGTTGGGCAAAATGAAAAAAAATGTTTTGCAATGATGTATGGTGTAATAGTTTAGGAGAGAGTCTAAATAATTTCTTCCATTGTCATTAGAAATTTTTAACTGACATTTGTGGCTATAAGTTTCACTTTCTAATTTTTATAGTGTTAGAGAAGGATATTCCAAAATCCATAGACACCTGCTTATAATTCCTTAAACGTAAGTAAAAGGCATGAAACTAATGATCCTTCTCCATTCTTCCTTCCCCTTTCTATTCCCTCGAAGAGTGTTTAATCATACTTAATTGAAATACCATGGTACTGGCAAAGCCAGGTCTTTCTGGCTTCTAGACCAGGGTCTTTTGAGTCCTATAGCTCTGTCCTTCAGTCATTGTCTTAGACCTTTTGTGCTGCTATAACAAAATATCCAATACAGGGTAATTTATAAATAATAAAAATTTATTTCTCACAGTTCTAGAGGCTATGAAGTCCAAAATCAAGGTGCCAGGAAGTTTTTGTCTAGTGAGGGCTGGTCTCTGCTTCCAAGATGGTACCTCAAAAGCTGTGTCCTCCTGAGGGGATGAACACTGTGTGTTCACCTGGCAGAAGGAGACAGAAATAAGCTTTCACATTGTTTAAGTTTCTGTTTATGCCACTGAAACTAATCCTAACCAACTTATTTGATTAATTGTTTTTTAAATAATGTAAGTAGGCTGTGCACAGTGGCTCATGCCTGTAATACAAGCACTTTGGGGGGCTGAGGGGAAAGGATCTCTTGAGGCCAGGAGTTCAAGGTCAACCTGGGCAACATAGCAAGACCCTGTTTCTACAAAAATTTTAAAACTTAGCTGGGCATGGTGGCATGCACCAGTAGTCCCAGCTACCCAGGAGGCTGAGGTGGGAGGATCACGCAAGCCTAGGAGTTTGAGGTTACAGTGAGCTATGATCACTGTACTGCACTCCAGCCTGGGTGAGAGAGAAAGACCTTGTTTCTTATTAAAATATATATATACACACATATATATATGTGTGTGTATGTATGTATATATAGTATTTATATATAAATTATGTATTATACCTGAATGTATTATAACTATAAAAAATTCAAACAGTAGAAAAGTATTAGGGTAAAACGTGGAGTCTCTTTCACTAACCTCAGTTTTACTTCCCTTCACCGATATTATATAAACATTGTGAGCAATTTAATAGACATAGGTCCAGATTTTTTTGGTCCAATATTATCTTTGCCCCTGCCATGTTAGGTATTTTTCTGTGGGAGAAGCAAGATTCCCTCCTGAAAGAATATTCCTGTTTAGACTAAGTCTTATGTATATGAATATATGTATTTGCATACATGTGCGTTCATAAAATTATAACAGAAAGATAGAGTACATTTGTATACATATGTGGCTTTTGTTTTTAATAACTAGGAACATACATAGGCTTTGTTCTGGAGCTTGCTTTCTTCACTTGACAATATGCACTGATACTCTTTCCTTCTCACTAGAATTAGAAATACATCACTCATCTTTTATTTTTTTTTTTTTTTGAGACGAAGTTTTGCTCATGGTGTCCAGGCTGGAGTACAATGGTGCAGTCTTGGCTCACTGCAACCTCTGCCTCCAAGGTTCAGGCAATTCTCTTGCCTCAGCCTCCCAAGTAGCTGGGATTACAGGCACCCGCCACAACGCCTGGCTAATTTTTGTATTTTTAGTACAGATGGGGTTTCACCACATTGGCCAGGCTGGTCTTGAACTCCTGACATCAGATAATCCACCTGCCTCGGCCTCCCAAAGTGCTGGGATTACAGGTGTGAGCCACCGTGCCAGACCATACATCATTCATTTTTTAAACCACTTCATGTTATTCCATAATAGAGATGTAACTATTTCATCATATCTTCAAAAGGGACATAAAGATTGACTAACTACCTCTTCAAAACATGCTCGAAAGTAAATTCAACATATTATCAAGAAATATAAGAAAGTATGTTGATTAGCCATAGCTTGTATGTTTAATAATAAACTTTATTCTTATTCTCCTTTGATATTTTAGACTTGTTAGCTTCGCTTATTGAATTAGTTTACTTCAGTTATGGAAATATCAAATTCAATATATTTTAATATTAATTTCTTATTAACAGTTCTGGTTACTTATAATTAATTTGATTCTACCCATATACTGTATTTTTATAGCAAACTCATATTTTGGATTGTGTATTGCTATCCATAAATTTACACATGTACTTTCATAATTTAATTGTGGTTAATGAGTTTTTGGCAGCAGTATACAATACACAGATTAAAATTAATTCTGAACTGATGCTAGAAGAAAGATGAGTTCACATATTGCATCTTGATAATAGTGCTGGTTTGTGCCTAAAGTATAGCTTAGCTATTCATATCCCTGGGTAATACCACTGGTAGGCCGGGTACGGTGGCTCACATCTGTAATCCCAGCACTTTGGGAGACCAAGACAGGTGGATCACCTGAGGTCAGGAGTTTGAGAACAGCCTGACCGACATGGTAAAACCGTGTCCCTACTAATAATACAAAAATCTGCTAGTGTGATAGCACACTCCTGTAATCCCAGCTACTCGGGAGGCTGAGGCAGGAGAATCACTTGAACCTAGGAGATGGAGGTTGCAGTGAGCCAAGATCGTGCCATTGCATTCCAGCCTGGGCGATAACAGAGAAACTCCATCTCCAAAGGAAAAAAAAAGAAAAAAGAAACTGTTAGTAAGCAGAATATTATTAATCTATATGCTTTTACATCATAATGGTTCCTTTTACTTCATGTATTTTTGTTCATGAAATTCTGTAAATCATACAAGCTACAGATGGTGACAGCAGTAGAAATATAAACTTTAGCACACTTGTGTATGCATTAATATGTTCAAAATATATAAAGAAATGGTATTTATATAAATAAATACATACAATTATTTGATCATAATCAGAGGTTAACATGGGTTACCTTTTGGGGAGAGGAAACAGCAGAGGTGATATGGTTGGCAGACAAAGAGGGTATGGAGAAGTAATCTCCCACTGTATTAGTCTGTTTTCACACTGCTGGGCAATTTGCAAAAGAAAGAGGTTTATTGGACTTACAGTTCCACATGGCTGGAGAGGCCTCACAATCATGGCGGAAGGTGAAAGGCATGTCTCACCTGGAAGCAGACAAGAGAAGAGAGCTTGTGCAGGGAAACTCCCCTTTTCAAAACCATCAGATCTCATGAGACTTATTCACTATCACAAAAACAGCATGAGAAAGGCCTGCCCCCATGATTCAACTACCTCCCACTGGGTCCCTCCCACAATACATGGGAATCCAAGATGAGATTTGGGTGGGGACACAGCCAAACCATACCATTCCACCCCAGCCCCTCCCAAATCTCATGTTCTCACATTTTAAAATGAGTCATGGCTTCCCAACCGTCTCCCAAAGTCTTAATTCATTTTAGTATTAATTCATTTCAGCGTTAACTCAAAAGTCCACAGTCCAAAGTCCAAAGTCTCATCCGAGACAAGGCAAGTCCCTTCCACCTACGGGGCTGTAAAATCAAAAGCGAGTTAGTTACTTCCTAGATATAATGGGGGTACAGCATTTGGTAAATACAGCCATCCCAAATGGGAGAAATTGGCCAAAACAAAGGGGAAACAGGCCCCATGAAAGTCTGAAATCCAGTGGGACAGTCAAATCTTAAAGCTCCAAAATGATCTCCTTTGCCTCCATGTCTCACATCCAGGTCATGCTGATGCAAGGGGTTGGTTCCTATGGTCTTGGGCAGCTCTGCCCCTGAGGTTTTGCAGGGTACAGCCTCTCTCCAGGTTGCTTTCACGGGCTGGCATTGAGTGTCTGTGGTTTTTCTAGGTGCACAGTGCAAGCCGTCCATGGATCTACCATTCTGGGGTCTAAAGAACAGTGGCCCTCTTCTCACTGCTCCACTAGATGGTGCCCCAGTAGGGACTCTGTTTGGGGGCTCCAATCTCACATTTCCCTTTCACACTGCCCTAGCAGAGGTTCTCCATGAGGGACCCACCCCTACCGCAAACTTCTACATCTTCTGATATCTAGGCGGAGTTTCCCAAACCTCAATTCTTGACTTCTGTGCACCCACAGGCTCAAAGCCATGTGGAAGCTGCCAAGGCTTGGGGCTTGCACCCTCTGAAGCAACAGACAGAGCTGTACTTTGGCCCCTTTCATTCATGGCTGGGATGCAGGGTATGAAGTCCCTAGACTGCATACAGCAGAGGGACCCTGGGCCCAGCCCACGAAACCACTTTTTCCTCCTAAACCTCTGGGCCTGTGATGGGAGGGTTGCCATGAAGAACTCTGACATGCCCTGGAGACACTTTCCCCATTGTCTTGGGGATTAACATTCAGCTCCTTGTTACTTATGCAAATTTCTGCAGCCAGCTTGAATTTCTCCTCAGAAAATGGGATTTTCTTTTCTAGCACATTGTCAGGCTGCAAATTTTCCAAACTTTTGTGCTCTGCTTCCCTTATAAAACTGAATACCTTTAACAGCACCCAAGTCACCTCTTGAATGCTTTGCTGCTTAGAAATTTCTTCTGCCAGGTACCCTAAATCATCTCTCTCAAGTTAAAAGTTCCACATATATCTATGGCAGGGGCAAAATGCCCCTAGTATCTTTACTAAAACATAAGAAGAGTCACCATTGCTCCAGTTCCCAACAAGTTTCTTGTTTCCATCTAAGACCACCTCAGCCTGGACTTTATTGTCTATATCACTGTCAGCATTTTGGGCAAAGTCATTCAACAGGTCTCTAGGAAGCTCCAAACTTTCCCACATATTCCTGTCTTCTGAGCCCTCAAAACTGTTCCAACCTCTGCTTGTTGCCCAGTTCCAAAGTTTCTTCCACATTTTCAGGTATCATTTCAGCAGCGCCCCACTCTACTTGTACCAATTTACTGTATTGTTTCATTTTTATGCTGCTGATAAAGACATACCTGAGACTGAGCAATTTGCAAAAGAAAGGGGTTTATTGGACTTACAGTTCCACATGGCTGGGGAGGCCTCACAATCATGGCGGAAGGCAAAAGGCACATCTCACATGGAACCAGACAGGAGAAGAGAGCTTATGCAGGGAAACTCATCTTTTTAAAACCATCAGATCTCGTGAGACTTTTTCACTATCCCGAGAACAGCACAGGAAAGACCTGCCCCCATAATTCAATTACCTCCCACCGGGTCCCCCCACAACACATGGGAATTCAAGATGAGATTTGGGTGGGGACACAGCCAAACCATATCACCCCCCCAAAAAAAATCCCGTTTAGATTTTTATGTTTATGAATATATGTATATGCATACATGTGCATGCAGAAAATTATAACAGAAAGATAGAGTATTACATAAGTAAATATGTATTTTTTATATGTACTGATTTGTAGAATAACAATTATAAGTGATATAAGGTGAAAGAAGCAATTTGTTCATAAGTATGTAGCATGATTCCATTTCAGTAAAAATTAACAAAAACATGCTTGTATGTGCATGGGCATATATTAATATGTGCTCATATATACATGCTATACATATATATATATGTATGCTGATATATGTATGTGGAAGCAATATGTTTGGGATGATACACACCCTTGCAATAACATGAACTACCTCAGGGAGTACTATAGATGACAGAGACAGTGGGGGAAGAGGAGCAATGTTACCTTAAAAAAAAACTTTGCATCCTATTACTGGTTACAAGAGGCATATAAAATTATTTTTAAAATTTTAAATAAATATGTTAGCAACCTTTGTATGGATGGAAAATTTTAAATATGTATGAAAATACTGATTGCGTATACCTTTTGAAATTCTACTGATAGGCATTTATCCTACATATTTACATATACAAACATTTATGACATTCATAGCACTATTGTTTTAAAGGTGAGATGTTGGAAACATCCTAGCTATTTAACTATAGGGGAATGACCAAATAAGTTTGGCTCACTCAAAGGATACCATGGAAGAGCAAGGCTTTGCATCGTATTTCGATATGAAACTGTTAGAAGCACCTTTATTTTGAATAGCCTCTAAGAAAAAGTTGGATAGAAAGAGTCTAAATGAAATATTCTGATTAATAACAGAACCTATACTATAAGATGGTGAATTTCTGATCAGAAAGGTGAAAAGTTCATCTATAGCTTAAGTGGACAAATTTAATTTTCTATAACATTCATATCTGATAGATTAAATAAACAGGTACAATTTCCTTAAGAAACATGCTTTATAAGTTTTATGGTCACTACATTCTTTAAAGTTAAAGGTTACATTCCTGGGAGATTAAATAAAAACTGCAGAGTTAACAGTTGACTTGCCTGAGGAGCTACTTGTTCTTCCTCAGTAGACATTGAAGAGAAAAGTAATGTAATACAACAGAAACAGAGCACGCACCTGGTAAACATGTAACAGCAAAAGGGGGTGCACAGGCCTTTGCCCTACCTGGCGGGTGTCCTCTGTTCGTTGTACTTCTGAGGTTGCCAGAATGTAAATGTTCATTTCACTATCTTAAATGAGCAGAGAAATAACCAGAATCAGACTTTGAATTCTAGAAGCTCTTGGATCAAGAAGATTCTGTCTTTCCAACGTTTGCATCAAATAACATCGTGACCTATACTATCTTTTTTAATATTAAGTGAAGCTTAATCAAAATTTTAGGTTTAAAATACAAGAGTCGTTAAAATGATACATCGTTAGGTAGAAAAACATGCAGAATAGTATGCTGTTTCATTTGGAGGGGAGGAAAAGAAAATAGAAAATGCTTAACATCACAGTTTTTATTTTTATTACCTCATGGAAGAACTTCTCTACAACCACTGATTTTCTTACTTGCTTTCTAAGCAATGTAGAATTTTAGTCACCACTTCACCATTAATTTCTTGTTATTAATCCATTGCCGTTTTCCCAGCTGAAAGAGAAAACTTCCTTTTAATCTTCTAACTCATTTTGAAACAATTTCAACTTACAAAAGTTACAAAAATAGTAGAGATTCACATATACCCTTCACTGTGTTTTCCTGAATGTTAATATCTTACTATCACTACCATGATCAAAAGCAGGTAATGAGCATCGATACGCTACCATTCACAAAACCAGAGACCTTATTCACATTTTGCCAGTTGTCCCACCGAAGACCTGTTTCTGGGCCAAGACCTAATCCAGAATCCCACATTGCATTCAGTTGTCACCTCTCAGTCTACTTTAATCAGAAGCATTGCTCAGTCTTTGTCTTCCAGGACCTTGACACTCTTGAGGAGTACTGGTCAGTTGTTTTGTAGAATGTTCCTTCGCTTGGATTTGTCTTATGTTTCAGCATGGTTAAATTCAGGTTATATATTTTTGGCAGGGATACTACAAGTTGATGTTGCATCCTTCTCTGTGCATCACTTCAGGAGGCACAAGACGTCCACCTGTGCTTTTACTAGAATGTTAACTTTGTCAGCAGGGTTCTGCCACAATAAAATTACTGTTTCCCTGATGCAGTTAATAAGTACCTGATGGGGAGATACTTTGAAACTATGTAAATGTCTTGTGTTTTCATCATACTCTAGCTCACAGTTGATCACCCATTATTCTTTTTCAAAATTACAGCTTTATTAAGGCACAACTTAGCCACTCATTTAAGTGTACAACTCAATGAGTTTTAATAACATTTATACAGTAGTGCCACAATCATCCCAATCCAGTCTTAGAACACTTTCACCATCCCAAAAAATTCCTTTGTGTCTGTGTACAATTAATCTCTTTAGCTTTGGCCCCAGGTAACCATTGGTCTGCCTTCTGTCTTTGTTTATACAATACACTGAATTTTCTCTCATTATTTACTTGCTTGCCTTTTTACTCTGAACACATATTAGTTTATGAGTGAGAAGACAATTTCTAACACATTGTTTGGTATATGACACAGGAAAGACACTGACCAGCCTGGAAGTCAAGAGAAATAATGGATTCTTTAGTGTCAGACTAAACATAAACTTTGAACATTCTAGATAGTAGCAGAACCTAAATTATCCAGTTGCCTTAGATCTTCAGTTAATTCATAAAAATAATTCCAATTAAATTCTTTCTCTGAATTTATAAAGTCAAAAGCATAACCTTTGATCCTTATATGCACAAAGCAATTTTGATTTTATCATGTCAACATGCCTTAGAAAAATGGTAAGGTCCAGGGGTTTTGTTTCTTTGTTTTTTTCTTGTTGTCATTTTGTTTTGTTTTCCTTTGGTTTGTTAGTTTTGAAGGCCTTCACTCTTTGGTTTGCTGTTTAAAATTAGTTTCTTCCGGAGCCAATTTCATTAACCCAGTGAAATATAATTTCAAGGACATTGTGTCTTACCCACACCCTCCAAGGTATGTTTTATATAATAACACAATGTTGTTAAAATCAGGATAATTTTATTTTTAAAAAACGTATATATCTAGCATCTCTCAAAAGAAAATCCTTAGATCTAGCAGTACATGGCCCAAGTTTCCACAGCTGGAGCAAGTTGTGGCCATCCACTTTAGACAGAATATGTTCTTTGGTTTGCCAAGGCCCCACCTATTCCCTATTGAATCACATCACAGCTGCTTCATTCTTGTAAGCTCCTTATCTAGCCCTGTTGGACACTTGAGTTTGTTTATGTATTTATTTATATATAAATTTTTATTTTATATATATATATATCTGTATAACCACAACCACAGATGTGTGCATATTAAAATTTAACTATTTTCCATAGTTAAATTTTGGCAGGGATACTACAAATTGATGTTGTAGTATCAATTGGCAGGGATACTACAAATTGATGTTGCCAATGCCTCACCTATTCCCCATTGAATCACACCACAATAGCTTCATTCTTGTAAGCTCCTTCTCTAGCCTTTCTGGACACTTGAGTTTGTTTATTTAGCCTTAGTAAAGTAAAGCTCACTAATGTTAAACTTACAGGTATCCTCCCCAACACATAAATACCGAATACACTCTACCATTTCTATCTCCCCACACTTCCAACGTTTAATTTTGGTTAGATTATTTCTTTTTCATTATTATGACTACGTAAACAATATCCACAGATGAGCTTTATAGTATCCTCTGATTCTTTTTTCATTCCTACTCAACTTTTTATTTTCCCTGAAATTAATAATTTTATGAGTTATAATTTTTAATGAGTTTTTATTGTAGTTTTGGTTGCATAATACCATATATTTATCATTAATTCATTCCCAAGCTCTTAAAAAGTTGCTTAAATCTCCTTTTCGTATGTTCAGATGAATCCAGTATTCTTTTAATTTCATTTTCTTCAAGAAATCTATCCTCGGGTCTTGTGATCTGCTCTGTGTTGGAAATTGTTGCCCTTTATGTTACATGCACAGCTCAGGGATCTTGCTGCAGATTCCCTTTTCTTCTGTCTTGTGCTGAATTCCCTTGATTCCTAAATCCTATGTTTTCCTCTTTCATAATTTATACCTTTATTTTTTGTAGAGCACATCCTCTAGTAGCTTCCTGAGAAAAAGCGTGCATCGAGTGAACTCTTTGAGACCTTGCATATCTTAAAATGTTTTTAGTATATACATAGATTCAGTTGATGGGGTGGCTCGTTCAGTAATCAGGCTATATTAGGCTATGCTACAGCAACATATCCCTAAAGTCTTAGTGGCTTAATATGAGAGGAGTTTATTTCTACTTGCATCCCAGACCAAAGCAGGCCAGCTAACACTCACACAAGGCTACTTTCATTGGGCAGTTCCAGAAGTTGGGAGTCCTTCACTTCAGCTGTCAGAATGAGGGGGTGAGAGTGCAGAGAAGGCACTACTACTCTTAATTGTCTCAGACTAGAAGTGGCTTCTTATCCCATTCATACTCCTTTTGTGACTATTATTTATACTATCTGGTCTAAGTCCACAGGGACTGGCAAATGTAGAGATGAATATTTGTTTACTTCATATCCTCTGACACAGTGAAGTTGAGAATTCTGGGTTGGAATTCTTTTCTCTCTCTCTTTTTTTTTTTTTTTTTTTTTTTGAGACGGAGTCTCATTCTGTCACCCAGGATGGAGTGCAGTGGCACGATCTCGGGTCACTGCAACCTCCACCTCCTGGGTTCAAGTGATTCTTCTGTCTCAGCCTTCTGAGTAGCTGGGATTACAGGCATGCGCCACCACGTCTGGCTAATTTTTGTATTTTTAGTAGAGATGGGGTTTCACCTTGTTGGTCAGGCTGGTCTCAAACTCCTGACCTGGTGATCTGCCCTCTGTGGCCTCCCAAAGTGCTGGGATTACAGGCGTGTTCCACCATGCCCAGCTAATTTTTGTATTTTTAGTAGAGACAGCGTTTCACCATGTTGGTCAGGCTGGTCTTGAACACCTGACCTGGTGATCCATCCTCCTCGCCTCCTAAAGTGCTGGGATTACAGGCGTGAGCCACCATGCCCGGCCTCTTTTCTCTTTTGAATGTGGTAGGCACTGCTCTGTGTCTTCCAACTTCCAGTCTCCAAATTGCTGGTGAGAAACCAGTTTAATTATTGACTCTTGGGTATGACTACTTCCTGTCTTCTGAGCACGGAAACACATAGGATTTTCACTTTGTTTCCAGTTTTTGTAGGCTGAATTGTGTCCCCCGCCCCACTTTCCACCAAAATTCACTCAGTGAAGCCCTAACCCCCAGTAGTTTAGAATATGACTGTATTTAGACGTGGGGCCTTTAAAGAGGTAATTAAGGTAAAATGAGGTCTAATGGGCAATTCTTAACCTAATATGACTGGTGTCCTTTTAAGAAGAGGAGACGAGGACACAGACAACAGTGACCAAGGGAAGACAGTATGAGGACACAACTAGAAGACAGCCATCTGTGAGCTAAGGAGAGAAGCGTCAGGAAAAAACGAAACTGCTGTCGCCTCGATCTTAGACTTCTAGCATCAAGAACCATGAGAAAACAAATTTCTGCTGTTCAAGCCACCCAGTCTGTGGTGTTTTGTTACTGCAGCTCTAGCAAACTAATATATCGGTATTTTAAAATCGCACAAATAATGTGACTTGGGATGGGTCTAACTCCATTCTTTTTTTTTTTTTTTTTTTCACTCGAGTAGTCTGTTACAATCTGAGAACTCATGTCCTTGGATTTTCTGGAATTATTTTATTGATTATTTCCTTTCTTCTCTTATCTCTGTTGCTCTCTGTGGATCGCCTCTTATTTAGATGTTGGACTTCTTATTTTAGTCCTTTAATTTTTTTCTTTTTCTTTTCTAACTCTCATTTTCTATATTTTTGCTCTGCTTACTGGGAGATTGGCTCCAATTTATCATCCAAACTTTCTCTGAATTTTTTATTCTACTATTATTTATTGTTCAAATTTCCCAGAGCTCCCTTTTTGTTTCTTGAATGTCCCTTTCTGAAACAGCATAAGACTGGTTTGTGGGTGCAATACAATATCTCCTCTTACGCCTCTGTGGATATTTTTTAAAGTTGTGAATCAATTGAAACTTTTTACTTTTTACTTTTATTGGTACATAATAGGTATTTATATTTATGGGGAACATAAGATTTTTTTTTTTTTTTTTTGAGACGGAGTTTTGCTCTTGTTGCCCAGGCTGGAGTGCAATGGTGCGGTCTCTGCTCACTGCAACCTCCGCCTCCCAGGTTCAAGTGATTCTCCTGCCTCAGCCTCCCGAGTAGCTTGGATTACAGGCATGAGCCACCATTCCCAGCTAACTTTGTATTTTTAGTAGAGATGGGGTTTCTCCATGTTAGTCAGGCTGGTCTCAAACTCCCGACCTCAGGTGATCTGCCCGCCTCAGCCTCCCAAAGTGCTGGGATTACAGGCATGAGCCACGTGCCCGGCAGGTATTTTAATGCAAGTATACAATGTGTGATAACCAAATCCAGGTAAATGGTATATCCGTTGCCTCAAGCATTTATCCTTTTTTTGTGTAACTAACATGCCAATTATACTCTTTTAGTTATTTTAAATGTACGGTAAATTATTGTTGACTGTAGTCACCCTGTTGTGCTAGCAACTATTAGATTTATTCATTCTATCTAATTATATTTTTGTACTCATTAACCACCCACCTCCCACCACAACTACCCTTCCAGCCTCTGGTAACCATCATCTTACTCTATCTCCCTGAGTTCAACTGTTTTCATTTTTAGGTCCCACAAATGAGTGAGAACATGTGAAATTTGCTTTTTTGGGCCTGGCTTATTTCACTTAACATAAGGTCCTCCAGTTCCAACCATGTTGTTGCAAATGACATTTCTCATTCTTTTTTATGGCTGAATAGTACTCCATTGTGTATATGTACCACATTTAAAAAAAATCTGTTCATCTGTTGATGGACACTTAAGTTGCTTCCAAATCTTGGCTATTATGAATAGTGCTACAGTAAACATGAGAGTGCAGATATCTTTTCAATATACTGATTTCCTTTCTTTGGGGTATATATCTAGCAGTGGGATTGTTGAATTATGATGGTTCTATTTTTAGTCTTTAGAGGAACCTCCATACTGTTCTCCATAGTGGCTGTACTACGCTCTGTGGATATTAATAATAGTTTTCTTCTCCCAGCATAGTCTTGGTTAGTTCCAAATTATTTTCTTTGTTTGTTTGTTTGCTTTGGTCTCTACCTTTCATGCTGGTAGTTCTCCTTAGATGTCTGATAATCTTTGGTAGTCTATTCAAATTTAGGAGTGAGGTACTAAAAGACCTTATTGGAAGTTCTGATTCCATGAATGAAACTTCTTGTCCACCAGCTTCAACTGGGTCATGTGGCTGGGCCGTTTAGTTGGGTCATTCTTGACATCAGCATCTTTATGTCTTTCCTCTGGAAGTGGTCAGATACCCCAGAGAATAATTTTCTGATCTCTAGTGGTCTGGAATTAGAATGGGGTAGAAGACATGGGGTTCTGTTAGGTTATAAATGTTCCCATAAATTTTCACTACCTCTTCATTTATATTACTGAACTCCATCCCCAAATGTGCCAAATGTTCTCCAGGAGGTAACTTTCTCTATTTACCTTATCCAGCCTCTGCCAGGCTGGGAGAGGGACCATTATCTGGCTATACAGGTTTGAAGAGAGGATGTAGGGATCTAACAACTTCTTATACAGACTTATAACCCAATCCTCCTATTTTTGACCCTACCTTTATCCCCATGTTCAGTGGTATCTGACATTTGGAAGCTGTTTGGGAGGTCTACGATGTAGTCAGGTACTTCTGAGTTTTCTCCAAGACAAACTTAGGGATCATCTTTCTCAGGTGTGTTACCTCTTGTCTCTATGGCTTCTGAATTCCACAACCTTGTTGTTCTTGTCTTCCTTTCTAATTTCATCATCATTGTGGGTTTCTGCCTTAAAAAAATAATCCCTTTACTGTCATTTTATTAGGTTTCAGAAGAAAGCCAAAGTAAGTGCATTTCTATAATTGATCACCTCTACTCAGTAGTCTATTTTGCATTTTTACAAGGAAATGACAAGTTTACTCAGGAGTGTTTGAAGACAAACAGGCCTGCTTTATAATTTTGCTACTGGCCATCCCTACCTTCAGTGCACTTGGTCAACAATTACGTCCACAAAACAGAAATTACAACTCTGACTCGTGCTTTTATCTGAGGAACCACAAGTCATTCACTTTTATGGTTCACTTGTCAACTGTAAGGGAAACTCTAACTGCTAATAACTTTAACTATATAGCCAAAAGGATCTTGTAAAACTCTTCCTATCTTCCTAGCTTTAGTCTCTGCATATAGTTCAAGGTTACTACTAACACTCCCCGACACCTGATTTTCTTCTGAAATACGAAAACCTCCCATTTTTGAGTGTTCAGTGTGTGCTAGAGACTGGGATAGGCGCATTTACATGGATGATCCCATTTAATCCTCCCCAAAACTTACAGTGTCTGGGCCAGGTGCGGTGGCTCACGCCTGTAATCCCAGCACTTTGGGAGGCCAAGGCAGGCGGATCATCTGAGATCAGGAGTTCGAGACCAGCCTGGCCAATATGGTAAAACCCCGTCTCTACAAAAAATGCAAAAATTAGCCAGGCATGGTGGCGCGCGCCTGTAGTCCCAGCTACTCTGAAAGCTGAGGCAGGAGAATCGCTTGAACCCAGGAGGCAGAGGTTGCAGTGAGCCAAGATCGAGGCACTGCACTCCAGCCTGGGCAACAGAGCAAGACTCCGTCTCAAAACAACAACAACAACAACAAAACCCTTATAGTGTCCATGTTATTATCTGTATTTTACAAAGAGGAAAATTGAGGCTCTGAAAAGTTAAAGGATTTGTTCAACTTAACACATCTATTAAGTGGTGAAACCAGGGTTTGAATCCAAGTCAGCCTTACTCCCAACCACTTTCCACTTCATTATGTTGTCTTATTGCTGACTTCCTGCCAGGACTTCCCAAGTGTTCATTTTCACGTCTGCAGCTCATTTAATTACTTTTAGTTCCTTTTTCCTTTTCCAATCCAGTCATCTATACTATTTACCCTATGTCAGTGAATGACATCCAGTTGGTTCAGTATTTCAAAATTTCTGGCCCACCTTCTCTTCTCATCTGTATCTGGTTACCTTTTTATCCACCTTATATATCATTTCCTAGGAAAGATTCCATGACCTCCCAAGGATTGACTTTGTACTTTTCATGTGCTTTTACAGCACAAACAGAATCCTCTTTGCCCTATCAAAGTAGTAATTACCAGGTATAGAAATTATCTGGGCCGGGCGCGGTGGCTCACGCCTGTAATCCCAGCACTTTGGGAGGCCGAGGCGGGTGGATCATGAGGTCAGGAGATCGAGACCATCCTGGCTAACAAGGTGAAACCCCGTCTCTACTAAAAATACAAAAAATTAGCCGGGCGCGGTGGCGGGCGCCTGTAGTCCCAGCTACTCGGGAGGCTGAGGCAGGAGAATGGCGTGAACCCGGGAAGCGGAGCTTGCAGTGAGCCGAGATTGCGCCACTGCAGTCCGCAGTCCGGCCTGGGCGACAGAGCGAGACTCCGTCTCAAAAAAAAAAAAAAAAAAAAAAAAAGAAATTATCTGTTTGCTTATTTACTCCCCAACTACACTAGGCTCCTAAGGACTGTGGCAATATTCATCTTATTTATGAGTCATATCTACAGCCTAGCACAGTGCCTGGCACATAGCAGGTGCTCACTACATATTTTGTTGAATGAATGCATAAATGAATGAGGTTACACACATACCTCTATGACATAGTTTGGATATTAGTTCCCTCCAAATATCATGTTGAAATTTCATCCCTAATGTGGGAGGTGAGGCCTAGTTGGAGGTGTTTGGGTCAGGGGGGCAGATCCCTCATGAGTTGCTTGGTGTCATTAGGTTAGGATTGAGTGAATTCGCGCTCTTAGTTCCTGTGGGATCTGGCTGCCTAAAAGAGCATGGCACTCCTCCCCTCTCTCTTGCTCCCTCCCTTGCCATGTGACATGCCTACTCTCTCTTGGCCTCCCCCCATGGTTGGAAACTTCATGAGGTCCTCACCAGAAGCAGATGCTGGTGCCATGCTTCTTGCAGAGCCTGAAGAACCGTGAGTCAAAGAAATGTCTTATTTTATTAAATTACCCAGCCTCAGATATTCCTTTATAACAATGCAAAATGGATTAAGACACTCGTATTTATTAGTCCATTCTCACAGTGCTCGGCTATTTATAAACGAAAGAGATTTAATTGACTCATAGTTCGGGGAGGCCTCAGGAAACTTACAATCATGGCGGAACGGGAAGCAAACACATCCTTCTTCACATGGCAGCAGCAAGGAGAGGTGCTGAGCAAAAGGCGGAAAAGTCCTGGATAAAACCATCAGATCTCATGAGAACTCACTCACTATCATGAGAATAGCAGCATGGGCTAACCGCCCCCATGATTCAATTACCTCCCACTGGGTAACATGTGGGGATTATGGGAACTACAATTCAAGATGAGATTTGGGGGGGACACAGCCAAACCATATCACAGTGTCTGAATTATTAATAAAATATTTTCTAATCTAAAGTAATATTCCAATGATATTTTAGCATTTGCCAAATAGAGTTCCATAAAAGAAAAGTCTTTAGTGCATATTATTTATTATTCAGGGTGTAGATACTATTTTAACTTCCACATTCTAAATTATAGTGTGGGTATCAATCTATGAAGTAGGTGCTGACAAGTTGTCAACATTACTGAATTTTATGGTGAAGTTTTAAATTTGAATTTTTATTCAAATATAAATGAAAAGACCATTTTATTCTCAGGTAAAAAATCTATCATGCTTTGATGCTTTTCACTTTAATTGAAAAAAGACTCATTATAAAAGTACAATGCAAGAAATATTTAGAAAAATATTCCTGATCTCCAGTTGTTACTGTACCTAGATTTTTCTTGGGACCTATGTGATAAAACTTATCATGATTCTTGAAGAAATAGGAGTTCATACAACTGTTATCAGAATTTATATAAAATGTTTCTCAGAAAATGTGGTTTCTCCAGCTCGAACATTCTATAACTCTAAGCCAAATTGAAAGAGCAGATGGATGGGATAAAACACAAAGTATGGAAATAAATAATAAACTGCTACCCTGAAAAAGCCTACCTCTGCACATTGTTTAAAAATTGGAAAAAATCCAACTTCTGTGCTCTGATATTCAATGCAAGTCATTAGAATAAGGTGAGACTCTTCCTGTGTATTCAGATTGAAATCAGGGATGGTGTAGGGAGGCCATGGTCAACTTTTGAGCTACCCTTGAGGGAAGAAATTAATTGATCAAATATTAACTGCCCAAGTATATTCATAGGATGGCCATCCAGTAATGAGAATGAACAGTCTCCAACTAAAGGCAACAATATAGATGAATCTCAGAAACATGATATTGACCAGACAGAAAAGATTCCACTTACATAAACTTCAAAAGAAGATAAAACTGATCTATGACATTAATAGTCAGAATATTCATTATCTTTGAGGGAACTAAACTCGGAAGCCACATGATAGGGCATCTGGAAGCTAGTAATGTCCTCTTTCTTGATCTGTTACATTGGTGTGTTTATTTCATTAGATTTATTGAGCTATACATTTACCACCGTGTACTTGTCTCTGTATATGTTTTGCATTGAAATAAATTTTACCAATAAAATAATAAAGCAAAATAAAGCGTTAACTGCTTACTGTTTTCAATAATATGCTCCTCTTTCCAAGAGGCCCCCCATACAGGCGAAAGTGCCCTGAATTATGACCCCAAATATGGCCTAATGGCAGGATATCTGAAACTATAGTAACAGGATGTTGGAAAAAAAAGTTTCCCTGGGATAATCGAATACAACAAAAGGGGTATTCCAAAACCAGATCACCATGTGCAGACCTTATCATGAAAATTCTGAGAACCATTTCCATGACTATTGGATTCCACAAGATTTTTGAAGATATTTTTAGGGGGAGGATTTTATCAAGGAGAATTCCCACTTCTGCTTATAGGGAAGAAAAATGAGGAAGGGCTGCTACTTCTAACAAGGCTTCTTAAGACACCTTTCAGAAAGCTTAAATGACCATTTTCATGAACTTAAATGGAGCTGGGAGACCCAGAGGATGCTGCCTGACTCTGGCCCAACGATGCTAAAGTAGCCTGGGGCACCAGGGTAAGGTGGTATTGGAATCAGCAAGTCTTCTCGGGCCAGGAAAGTCATGAGCATTTTCAGTAGAGCAGATGTGTGCCATGTGGGAGAGATCCAGCCAAGGGTCCTTTGGGGTTCTGTCCAGTACGATCACTTAGAGAGCGGAGGGCCCTACCAGCAGGAAGCTAGACGGGGGCTACAAATGCGTCACAAGTAAACACCAAGAACGCATGCAACTAGAGATGCATGAACCAGGTACGATGACCTGTAGGAGAGAAGTCTTCTGGAAAACAGTCTTCCAAAGGACCCAAGCAAGCCCCAGGAAAAGCGTCAGTTTTGAACAACCACCAGGCATAGAATGTGCAAAACCAGATTACATCAGTGTCCATTCTGTAAGAGCTTTCTTGTTCCTTAGCATTCCTCCAACAGCAAGAGGTCAGAAATGGTGGGCCAGCCGAGATGGGAGAAGAAAAGAGAAATGGCACAAAGTGGAGAGAAGACACCGACCATACCTCCTTTCCTCTCTTTCCCACCACAGGTGGACAGCCCAAAGCACACTCCAACTGGAGGAAGGTTTGCCATTAAAGATAAGGTGGAGTTTTGAATATTATCTTGGCTAGTAAAAGTCATGGGGTCTGCCCACTATCGTATGGGAGGGGCGAGGATTACACCTACTTAATGCGCTTTGAAGAGGCATTGGGAAACCATAATAAAGATGTGGGATTTTTTTTCTTTTCTTTCTTTTTTTCTTTCCCTTTGTTTTGTTTTGTTTTTGAGACAGGATCTGGCTCTGTGGCCCAGTCTGGAGTGCAGCGGCACGATCACAGCTCACTGCAGCCTCTGTCTCCTGGGCTCAAGCCAACCTTTCACCTCAGCCTCCAAGTAGCTGGGACTACAGGCACATGCCACCACCATGCCTGGCTAATTTTTTTATTTTTATTTTTTGGTAGGGATGGGGTTTTGCCTCATTGCCCAGTCTGGTCTCAAACTCCCAGGGTCAAGTGATCTGCCCCCCTCAGCCTCCCAAAGTGTTGGGATTACAGGCATGAGCCACAATGCCCGGCCAAGATGTGTTTTGATTTTACCTACTAGTAATGCCTTCACTGTATGGGTTACATAGACATTTACATTAGTATACTCAGTTTTTTAAAAGTTTATTGCTGAACGATGATCTACTCCTGGAGAGAGAACCATTTCAGCATCTTAAGTTCACAGTATGCCTTCCTATACCAGCACTAAGCTCCCCTTTGACCCTGTGCTTTTCCTTCTGAGCTCTGTTCCCCATGTTAGGAATCCTGCCTCTCAAAATACCTACTTAATTGCCATTTTTGCAAACGATTCCTCTCAACTCTGTTCGAATAATCCAAGCTAAAATTCAAGCTAATAAAGGTTTTTAATCACATCTTTTAGGAATATTTTCCTTTTATTTCATGACTCTCAAGCAATGGTTCTCAAACTTTGATATGTAACAGAATCATCTGAGGAACTTGGCATACCTGTAAAGGCCAATACTTCATTTACTTCAATGAGTCTGAGTCTTTGTGTTTGTTATCAGTTCTCCAGGCAATTCTGATACTGCCAAAGTTTGAGAGCTTCTGTCTTAAAAGACACAAATTGCTAATGGATGCGACACAGATTTGGAGACATGGCAGTCATGTTGCCTTGATCTAACATCCAGAGTTGACCTCTTACTCTACACCATCATCATGCTGCTGCATAGTTCACAAGAATCACAGAGATCATGCAGTTGGATTGTGTCATGGTATCATAACCAGTCTCTGCTCCAGCCCAGTCAATTGCTCCAGCCCAGCCAATTGAGAGCTTGCTTTTCCCTCTCTGAAAATGTCCTGGTGCTTGTCACGGTCTCTGAATTGTTATGGTGTTATGTAGGGAAGTGAGTTGGGGTGGAGTGAGCCAGAAGGATATTGAAGAATACTGAAATGGGAAAAAGGCATTTCATAATATTATATGAAATTCGGTCTGATGCTGAGAGAAAGCAGGGACCAACAACATTTCTAAAGATTCTGTAAACCTGCCTGGGCTTTGTCCTCCAAATGGTTCAAGGTATTTAGGGAGATTATAGTTACTTAAAGAGAGATGCCCCAAAGTAGTCACATATTACATAAAAGATGAATATAAATCAATAAGAAAAACACTAAGGCCCTAATAGACAAGTGGGGAATGACATAAACAGACACAAAAGAAAATATAGGGCCGGGCGCGGTGGCTCAAGCCTGTAATCCCAGCACTTTGGGAGGCCGAGGCGGGCGGATCACAAGGTCAGGAGATCGAGACCATCCTGGCTAACCCGGTGAAACCCTGTCTCTACTAAAAATACAAAAAAATTAGCTGGGTGTGGTGGTGGGAGCCTGTAGTCCCAGCTACTCAGGAGGCTGAGGCAGGAGAATGGCGTGAACCCAAGAGGTGGAGCTTGCAGTGAGCCGAGATCGCGCCACTGCACTCCAGCCTGGGCGACAGAGCGAGACTCCGTCTCAAAAAAAAAAAAAAAAAAAAAAAAAAAAAAAAAAAAAAAAAGAAAATATAACTATGTAGTGAACTAACACGGAAAAAATTCAACTCACCTAATAAACACATAAAAATATTTTGAAATGTACTTGTAGCTTATTAAAATTGCAAAAATGAAAAAAACTCAAAGAGGGTTCTATGAAATAGAATTTCTTATAACATTGCTTATAAATTGCTACAAACCAACAAAAAACAAAATTATGTTGGTAGCATTTTACCTTTAATTTTTTATCTTGAAAACATACACACCATGAATTTCTGCTTACTTTTCATCTAGATTCACCAATTGTTTTATTTTATTATTATTATTATTTGTAGTCTGATTCTAATAGAAATTACTAATAGCAGCAGCAGCAGCAGCATTATTGATGACCCCCTAAGAGGAAGTTGTAGACATCATACCATTCTGTCCCTTTTACCCTAAATAATTTAGTGTGTATCTTCTAAGAATAAGGATATTCTCTTTCATAAATGTATTGCTGGAAAAAAAGGGGCCTGATTCAGACCCCAGGAGAGGGTTCTTGGATCTCATGCAGGAAGGAATTCAAGGCAAATTGCAGAGTGCAGTGAGAAGAGAGTTTATTGAAAGTTATTCAGTTACAGAGTAGAGCATCCTTAGAAAGCAAGAGGAGGAATGCACCATATTTGTTTTAAACTCTTCTTATATAGGGGTCTCATCTAAGTAAAAGTAAGCTAAGTTATAGCTACGTGTGGGTGGGCTGACAGCATGACAAAATTTAGTACTTTGTTGATTTAAAGAACATTACCCTTGGGCATTTTAGTGTGTAAACCCATCAAAGCACGACTATAATCACCTTAAAAGCATATATTGTTATGTAATATTGAGGTATCTAGACATTCTGCTGTTGGAGGAATTTGTCCTTGCAAGCATTACTAAACTGCTTCCTTAGCCATATGGCTCTAAAGCAACCCAAATGTCAACTAGTAATAAAATTCACAGCCAAAATGTCCCGAGAGCATACTCAATATCTAGTAATATGCTCTGTGCTTTATGTATATTATCTTAATTAATATTTTTAATAAAAGGTATGGCAGCCTCTTTTCACTGCCTACACAACTCTTCTCCCCTTTGTTCCTCTTTCATTTTGGCAGCTCAAGAAAATGAATCACCATAGTTCTGAGCCAACCATGGGTTATCCACTTTTCTCAGTCAGATATTCTCTCTTTCCCAGCATCCCTTGCAGCTGAGGATGATCATCTGACCCTTTTCTGGCCAGTGAACACTATAGACAAATTTCCTGGAGGACTTCTGGGAAAGATGGAACCTCCCATGGAGAAAGCCCTGGCCTCTTCCTTTCTTCCATTTTGTGATGCTGTGGCTGCTTGGAGTCATGGGAGCCATCTTTTAGCCTTGAGGTCATAAGAATGACAACCAAAGGCCCATGTGCTGAGGACGGCAGAGGGAAGGGACAGAAAGAACCTCAGTTCATACGGCACTGTTGAGTGGCTGGCCCAGTTCTGGACCATCTCATCTGCTTTACTTAGATAATAAATTTAGATGTTTAAGCCACTTTCAATTGGACTTTCAGTACGTTGTTGCTATAGACATTACTAATGGATACAGGTAGTGATAATAATAGAAATAGTTACTTGTCACTTAGCATAAGTGCTTTCTATTATTTAATCTTTATAACCATCCTATGAAAAAGGTGCCACTATTAAGCCCATTTGATGGGTAAAGTTGAATACAGAGACATTAATAATGTGCCAAAAGTCACATAGCTCATAAGGAAAAAGTCAGATGTGAATCCAGGTGTTTGGACTTCAGAGTTCAAACTCTCAACCACTGCATTATCCTGCCTCCTCCTAAGCAAGGACATGGCCATGTACATTATGACATATATGGCCAATGGAAAATTAGTAAATACATGGTGAGAAAGAGTCAGTTGAAATGCTCATAAGAAGGTATAATTATTTCATTTATCTGCTTTCTTATGCTCAATTTTACTAGTCAAGTCTCTTTGTAGCTTACTAATTTAAACAAAAAAAAAATTATCAGAAGGCAGAATAGTGGAGTTGTCATAAGGGCAGACTTTAGGGTCAAACTCCTGTGTTTCAATCCTGATGCCACTAATTACAAGCTAGGTAACCTTAGGCAGTTTTCTTAATCTGTGCCTCAATTTCCTCCTCTGTAAAGTGGAGATAATGACAATGCATTTCATATTTGTAAAATGAAGATAAACTGAAACAATATATTCTTAAATAATACTTGGCATACAATAACTAATCAATCAATATTCGCTTTTGATCAGGAATCTCTCTCTTTTTCCTTCTTCTCGGCTCTGCCTTCTTCCCATCTCAGGCAGCTATCCTGGTGGTGGCTAAAAGGCCACAAAATGTCCAGGCTTACATCCTCTCCTATTTCATTTGCAACAAAATGAGAAAGTCTCCACTGCAAATGGTTCCAGCAAGAGTTCTGGGTTTGAGGCTTACTGACTTTTATTGGTCCTCTGACTTAATTATGAAGGACAGGATGGACATGATCTGACGAGCCAGACTTAGGTTGGAGACCCACTTTTGGTGCCTACAGTGGAGGCAGCTCCATCAAGACTGTGGTCTGAAAACGGAGGAAGCGTCTTTTTCAGAAAATACAGAAAATGCAGATGCTGCTCCCAGAAATGGGAGAAATGGATACTGAATCAATACAGCAATATGTGCCTGCTATACCCACCTCATCCACAGAGCTAGTGGTGACATGTAAACACACACAACAAAAAAGAACAAAATAAATATTTGAGGGCATCAAGATAATGGATATAAAATAGTAAATACAGAAATAAGATTAACGCAGAAAATGAATACAGCTAAATAAATATAAAATGCAAAATTGAAACTTTCCAGCAATGTGACTGTAGCATGAAAGATTAATACATTTTTCATTTAAAAAAGACTGAGAGGAAATATTCCAACATGCTGACAGCTTTGTAATGTGCCTAGAGGTGAGGGGCGGGGGTGGGCAGGAGTTTCTCTCTTAGCATAGTGAGGCCAATATTATAACCTATAAGAAGTAAGGTCAAGATAAATGAATGGGAAGAATATGATTTTTTCATATATATTTGATGGGGGTCTTCAGAAGGAAATTAATTTTTTTCCATAGAAGAATGTTATCCACAGCCTGGAATAGAAGCCCACCACTGGATCTCCCCCAAGCATAGAACAGAGCCCAACTTTCCCCTCTGTAGGGCCAGCAGAAACTGGAAGGGGTGGAGAGGGGAGTTCACAAGATTTGGTGGCTGCCTGGGAAATTGTCCAGACATAAGAACTAGACAAAGGATGTGCAATGGAAGGTTTAGGGAGGAGAAGACAGACTGATGGGGCAGTGGGTAAATAGAGAGGCCTGAGGGAAGTGCAGGGGGAAGTTGGGAGTCAGGAGTGAGGCAGTGACCAGAGGCACGTAGGCACTCAAATGAGGGACAAAAATGACCACACTACACAATCATCTCTTGACTCTCTGTCCCCGTAATTTATTTTTCTCTCCGTGAGATATGACTTTGGGAAAATTGCCTAAATTTTTCCCTAAAGAACTATGTATTTTGCATTAGTGTCCAATATGTGAGCTCAGGTTGAGAAAGGTGGAGCTGACGGTGCCAGGTCTAGGAGACATAATGTTCCCCACCCTCTGCTGCCATGTTCTACTGGGATCAGCAGCACCCTCACTGTGGACAGCCGGTGGCAAGGCCTCCCCCAAGAGACTATGACCTAGATACAGAAACAGCAATCGCCGTGTGCGGGTGTCAACAGCCTGTGAGATCAAGCTCGATCACACTCAGACCCTGCCCACCTCCAAGGCTCTATTTTTGCTACTCACTTCACTCCGCACCCCCGGGCTCCCATCATTCTTCTAGTTCTCAGGATAAGTTGCGGTGTCCCCTGTCTCCCTGCCTTTGCACAAGTGCTCCTTCTGCCTCATGAACTTGTTTAAGACCCAGTTCCACGGTTACAGCGTCGGTATAGTCATTCTTCCTCAGCGTCAATCTCTCTGCCACTACCCTCTCCCAAGAACAAGTCATTTCCTCTCTGTGCTTCCTCACTTGCCCAGGCTGTTATATGGCAAAATGTTCCTGGGCCTGAGCCTCTTCTTTCCTTCTTTACGTGTGTCTCATTCCTGGACTATGAGTTCTGGGAAGTCAGGGAACAACTATTTTTTGTTTGGCCCCTACTATCACCTAGCCCAGTGCATGACATATGGTAACCACTTGGTAAAGGTCTGGAAGAACGAACAGAAGACACACAGATGATAGAGTGAACTTATTCACTCATTAATGAATTAATCCAAAATTCTTTTAGTTATAAAATGCTATGGTACAAATATTCCTACTGAATATGCAATAGCATTGTACATTTGAATATATTCTAAATGCTATATTTAAAACACTAATATGTATATTAAAGTTATATATAAAATATAAAAAATCTGTATGTGTATATATCTAAAACACAATGATAATTTTTTTTTTTTTTTTTTTGAGACGGAGTTTCGCTCTTGTTGCCCAGGCTGGACTGCAATGGTGTGATCTCGGCTCACCGCAACCTCTGCCTCCCACGTTCAAGCGATTCTCCGGCCTCATCCTCCCTAGTAGCTGGGATTACAGGCATGTGCCACCATGCCAGGTTAATTTTGTATTTTTAGTAGAGACGGAGTTTCTCCATGTTGGTCAGGCTCGTCTCGAACTCCTGACCTCAGGTGATCTGCCCGCCTCGGCCTCCCAAAGTGCTGGGATTACAGACATGAGTCACCGTGCCTGGCCTCAATGATAATTTTTAAAGGAAAGTTTGCTAATCTTTGTTCTTTTCATATTGAAAGATTTTTTATGACAAAACAAGGAATGACGTGAAGAAAATTAGGAGCTACAAATTCTAATATCTAAAGTATGGCTGGTTTTAAATACCTGCACTCAAATCTTTCTGTATGTTTCACCAATTGTAAGACAACAATAAAGATATCTACTTGCTGGTTTGATTTTTCAAACCAAGAAACAAATACAAAACAGAGTTGAAAGATATTCATAAAAAGGCACAACTAAAATAAGAGAATAAAAAGGTAAAAACTGTCATTGTCTCCTGAAAGACAAGTGAAACTTGGCCATTCCCATTCAAGTTCACTTATTCATTCATTTATTCAATAAATACTTTTTGAGCACCTACTATATGCCAGGGCTCTAGACAGTAGAGATAGAGCACAAATTAACCAAACAAAAACCTCTGCATTGATGGAACTTTTATTCTAGAAGCATAAGAGATAATAAACAAATAAATAAAATATATAGTATGTCAGATGGTCATAACAGCTATGGAGAAAAACAAAGTTGGAAAAGGAGTTAGAAAGTGTCAGGACAAGGGAAGGGGGCACTGTCATGTTAACTAGATGTTCTTGGAAGGTGACATTTGAACTAAATCTGGGGAGGTCCTGCGTGGTTTTGGGGAAGAAGGAAGGGACATGAAAATGATCACACTTTTTTTTCCTCTCTAGTCCTGTCCTCAGGATCTTGCATTCCACTGCGCTGTGTTTATTGGTAATGACCCACACTTTTAATTAATTAAATGATGCTGTCAGACTGAAAGAGACACTCCATCCAATAGAGATGGAGCATGGTAGCTTGACTCAGACCCTGAGGGATGGGCAGAGACTGGATGTGGTGCGAGGCGAGGACAGCAGGAAGGATAACGTAAGCAGGAAGAGGGCCTGGGCAGACAGGAGCACCGCCTGCTTTAGGGACAAGCTGGAGATCTTCCCTGCTCCAACAGAAAGGTAAAGAATAAAGCTGGTTTTGTGAAGTGGGCATACGAGCTAGCTAGAAAAGGTCACGCTTGGTCATAGAGGCTACAGGAAGTCACCAAAGCTAAATGAGCAGAGAAGAAATATGGTGAAACAGGTATTTTAGTAAACTTCATCTAGTGATAGAAACAGATGAGATAGGAGAAAGAAGAGGCTACAGGCAGTGAAGCCATTTAAAATCTTATTTTTGTTATCTAGGTATTAATTTATAAGGGCTGGACCGGAATGAAAGCCACTGTGAGAACAGTGATATTTACAAAGAAGTGATATTTATAAGAAATAAATGGCAGACCTTGGTAGGTGATTAGATCTGAAGGACACAGGAGGAAAAAAAGTTAGAGCTGACGTATTTCTAAAGTTCAGAGAGAGGCAAGCAGATGGAGTCATTCCAAGATACAGGCCTCTGTGATCCAAAGACCGTGTGACTTACTCGGGATTACACAATTAGCAAAAAGCTGAAGCCAGAACCCAGATTTCCTGCTTTTCCCTCCACTGGATGACTCCAAAGTTTTAAACCTGGAAAATGAGGAAGTAGTGTGCCACCACCGACCCCCCAAAAAATGTGTGATTATGGAGAGATAGCTAGCTTCCAGTTAAGTAGGGTAGATGGAGAATTTTAGTTTTATACTGGAGTTTGAAGATGTTAGAGTACAGAAATCTGGGAAATAGGCAAAACTTTAGGATAGGAAATGGCTCTGCCCTTACTAGTTTGTAATCTTGGTCAAGTCACTTAACTTCTCTAAGCCTCAGTTTCTCCAGTTGCAAAGAGGTATGTGTGGGGGGGTTAATGTTATTATTTAATGGTTGCTATGAATTAATTTTTATAAAGGACTTGGAGCAGTACCCGGTACAAGATAAGTGTTATTTAGTTGTTTGTTCAATAAAATAGGTAAGATGCAATGTAGAGAAAGAGGTCGGCTTTCTGGGGAGGTAAGAAGAAGATGTGGGGAAAACTAGAGCATTTAGGATAATTGATGTATGGTCTGAGATAGAAGTCAAGGGAAGAGTTGTATAAAGGTGAAAAACAAAATTGAATGACACAAAGATACGGAGAAAGAGGAAGGCCAAGAGAGACCATCAGATGCGGAAAGAAGGAGGCCTCCCAGAGTTCTCTCTGGACAGAGGGCTGATGGAAAACGAAAGAGGCAGTGAGAATAAGGAAGAAAGGCACTTGGATGGCTATTTGCCAGCAATATGTGAATGTATCTAACAGCAGATCAAACTTGAAAACAGGCATTTGACTAAATTAATGGATAACACATTCATGGTGAATTGTTAAAAGAGTGTTAAGGAAATCTGGAGACAATTCTAACCATCAAGAAATTGACAGCACAGAGGATAATAATGCTGGCCTAACCTTCATGGTTAGGTACCAAATACTAAATCTATTGCAGTATGATCTGAGGCAAGATGGAAGGTTTTATGATTCCCACATTCACCCAAAAAGTTTCCTTGATTGCAAATGCTGAAAATCTGAGATGCTTTCATTACATTTTATTTATGTTTGTGTGAAACCAGTATATTTTTGTTCTATATGAAAATGTATGTCATAAACATTCAGAAATTCAGAGGAGTTCATCCGAAAGGCTGACATGGTACACCGTGGACCGAAGCCTCTGGGGCAAAATGTTTTCTATGTATCATTCGTTGAGTCTCAGTTTGAAGAAGTACTTACACATTTGTTCTCTTTGTATTTTGCTATCCAAATGTTTGCTCATAAATTCCAATGTAGTAAATAAGGACAGTTTTGAAAGTCAGAAACTCTAAATTTCAAAAAAGCTTTATTTTTCTTTGGGTTTGTTTTCGTATGTAGTCTATTGTAGTCTATGCAGTGAACTTTGTCTTATATGCTTAAAAGGGCACTGATATTTGGTGGGCATTGGGGGGCGGGGAGTTACCTAACCAGTACTGAAAAGTTACTAAACTACCTGACACAGCTGAAACCAGGAAGGAAGGCTGTATCAGGAAGAGACTGAATATAGTCCTTAGGTGGATTTTAGTATTAGGTGACAAATTAGGTTGTATTGGACTGGCACTGTCCAATAGGAATATAATGAGGCTCACAAATGTGAGCCACATGTGTAATTTTACATTTTTAAAAATGCAAACCACATTTTTAAAAGGGGAAAACAAACAGGTGAAATTAACTTTAATAATATATTTTTTATATCCAAAGTATCATTTAACATGCAATCAACATGAAAATCATTAACAAGACATTTTACACGATGTTTTCTGCGCTGTCTTTAAATTCCAGTGTACATTTTACACATCCAGCAGTGGGCAATTCAGACTAACCATAATGCCGAGTGGTCAATAGCCACATGTGGCTAGTGGCTATCATATTAAATAGTGCAGGTTTGAACCAAAAATACTTCGCTTTGGTTGTTTTTTTTTTTTTCTTTTAGACGGAGACTTGCTCTGTCGCCAGGCTGGAGTGCAGTGGCAGATCTCGGTTCACTGCAAGCTCCGCCTCCCGGGTTCAAGTGATTCCCCTGCCTCAGCCTCCCAAGTAGCTGGGACTAAGGCGTGCGCCACCACGCCCGGCTAATTTTTTGTATTTTAGTAGAGACGGGGTTTCACCACGTTGGCCAGGATGGTCTCGATCTCCTGACCTCGTGATGCGCCCGCCTCGGCCTCCCAAAGTGCTGGGATCACAGGCGTGAGCCACCGCGCCCGGCCTGCTTTGGTATTTTTTAAGAGCAAGTTGGTAAATGGAGGCATTATATGGAGAGTGCTCGAGTATATATAGCACAGGTTAGAGCAGCACGCCGGCACCTTGAAGCGAACACGGGCTCCTCCACTCCCGTCAACACTGGGACTTTTCTGTTTTTATCTTGAGTTTGAGGCCGGGCTTCTTAGCAGACCTCAGTCTGAAACTGAAATAAACCTGGACGCAGCGTACCCTTGAATCGCAAGAACGCCGCCTTCAGTGTTTCTCCGGAGAAAAGCATTCACGCCAGGTTGTGACGAAAACATTTTTTGAGAACTCATAATGTTTATTCCTTGGATGAATCCATTATATTTATTTAGTGTCTCAGGAAGGATGATGGGCATATTGCTTGCAAAAGTTGATTTGAATCCTGATAGATTCCACTAACTTTTTTGTCTTTTTTTTTGGCTGCCTTCTTCGAGAATGGTGTCAACCCTTAATAACACCTAGCCTTACGAATCCCTGGGGTGATTCCCGACCTCGCCAGCTTTGTGGGGCTCCCCCGACTTGCCTACATTCCCTGGCAGCCTCGCAGCTTCGGGCAGATGGAGCTTCCGGCCTGCGCGCAGTGGTCGCCTGTCGTCCGCCCGCGCTCCCTTCGGCCGGAGGTCGGCGGCCCCGGGCAGAGCGCGCCGTCTGCCCCAGTATCGGGAGGCCAGTTCCGCGCTGGGCCCACGCCCTCCTCGCCCGCCGCTGCCTGCGCGCCAGGCCGGGTGGCGGAGCCGGCCGTCGCTGCTCCGAGCTCGGACCCTCCCCCGGGGTGATTTCGGCTTAGAAGGTGGAAATGCGGAAGTTTCCAGCGCCGACCGACAGACGAGGTTTGCGCTTGGCTGGGCATGTTCCGCGGCTACTCTGCGGCGCGCCAGGCCCCCGCTTTCCGCACCCCGCGACCCTAGAAGCCACCGAACCGCCGGCGGGCCATGGCCACTCTGCCGAGCGCAGAGCGCCGCGCGTTCGCGCTCAAGATCAACAGGTAAGACGCCCCCCGCGGCGCGCAGGTTGCGGCCGGACAGCCCAGCGCTGGTGTGAAGCGGAGCTTCGCTGCAGGGGCCGAGGCCGGACGAGTCCATTCGCGTCCGCGGCGGGGCGCGCCTGAGACCTGGGGCGCCCGGTTCCCGAGGCTGCGGCGGTGGAGCCGCTGGACGCGCGGCGGCTCCTGCGCTGGGCCCGGCGAGGTCCTCCCCAAGAATCTCGGTGCTCCTGGATGTCCTCAGCCGCCGGGGATCCCTTCCCCGAACAACCTCGCCCGCTCCGCCCTCCAGGTTCTTACAGGTGGCCGGGTCCCAGAAGGGTGATAGGCGCCTGGGTAACCGTGTTGGGCGCGCCACGGAGTGTCTCATAAACGGCTCCTTCCTTTGAGGCAAGTCTGAGCGCGGGGGGAAGAAGTGAAGTGGCTGAAATTAGAGTTGCGTTTGAGGCAGGCTGCAAGCCTTCTGTCGTCCTGAGCAAGGCTCCGTCCTCGCCTGCTTCATTATTCCAGAAAGAGCTTGGCTCCTGGTGGCATCGCTATTTTTATACCCTGGTCCAAAGGAGCCATGAAGTGGAAAAAGTGATTTTTTAAAAAATCTACACTTAAATAAACCAAAAGAAATGGCCTGTGGCTGACATTTTGAGATTTACAGAACTCCAGCAAAAAGCTAAGGACTGGGGGATCCCAACTCACCATCCAATTCCTAATCAAAGTTGCACAAACTAAATATGTAAGCACATTTACTGCTCAAAGTTCTCAGTAAAGGTGCTTTAACTGCAGTTTTTCCTCCACTAAAAACTGCTGACAAGTAATTGGGACATTTTTGTCTTGCCCTGAGAAAGCTAGACTGTCTAGTTAAAAGATAATAGGAAACTCATTCTAAAGTGTCAACTTATTCTATTGCCCACAGGGCTGTCCGATTTGTTAATCTTCACTTAGCTGAGCCTGTGAAAGGTGGATTCCACCGTAGGTTCATCTTTGTGCTGTTAGTGTGTGAAGAGGTTTGAACAAGGAATTAAAAGCCTAGAAAAACAAGGCGATAAGGTCTTCTAGAGGGCATATCGAGCTTTATTGACGATTTTATTTCCACTTGATACGTGACTGCCAGCAAACTGTTTCTCTTACCTTACTATTTCGTCATCTGTAAAATGAGTTTAATTATTTATGTATATTGCATATTAATGTTGGAGGCCAAAAGGTACTAGTCAAAAGGCATAAAGAGGCTGGGTGCCATGGCTCACACCTCTAATCCCAGCAATTTGGGAGGCCCAGATGGGAGGATTACTTGAGCCCAGAGTTTGAGACCAGCCTGGGCAACATAGTGGGACCCCTGTGGCTACAAAAAAATAATTTTAAAACATTAGCCAGGTGTGGTTGCATGCACCTGTAGCCCCAGCTATTCAAGAGGCTGAGACAAGAGCATCGCTTGAGCCCAGGAGGATCACAGCTGTGATCATGCCACTGCATTCCAGCCTGGGTGAGAGAGTGAAACCTTGTCTCAAAAAACAGACAAAAAAAAAAAAAAAAAAGCAAAAACAAGGCATGAAGTATATCAGGGATCTCCCTATGGGAATTTTTTTCTACATTAAGGTTCATAGCTGTTGCATGCCAGGAGGGGTAATTCATTCAAGGAGTATAGGGAATCAAACTGAAGTTACTGATGGGTGTATTATTTGCTATAGCTCCTGATCCTCTGTCTTTGTGAATTTTAGATCAGGAAGTGTGACTGGGGCAGAAAGATGTTAGAAACTATGGGGTTGGGCAGGGTTGATCTGGGGTGAGTGGCCGAGACCCGGACTAATCCTACAGGCAGTCTTGCAAGCAACTGCGGGGTCGGTGTCACCTGGGGGTTAAGAATAAAGGCCCTGGTTAGTGTCTGATCTGCTTGCAAATTGGCTCTCTGCTACAAAGTCACTGTGCAACATTGGACATGTTACTTAACTTCTCTAAGCTTTGGTTTCTTTATGTGCCAAGTAGAGTTGATCATAGTACCTACTTCTTATGACTGTGGGGAGGATTAAATGAATAATAGGTACAAAGTCCGAATTGCCAAGTGCTGGATGTGTAACATACACATTGGAATTTAGAGACAGTACAGAAAAAATAATGCAAAATGTCTTGTTAATGATTTTCATGTTGATTGCATGTTGCTTGTAGTGTCTGGCTCAGAATAAATGGTGAATAATTCTTAGTTGCCATCATTAACATTACAATCAGCTTCACTGCTGTCATTATCTCCATCATCACCATCTTTGAGAGCCTAAGATAGAAAGGTAGGAAGGAAAGCTGAAGTTGGAGAGCTTCAGGCAGAGATCAGTTTGGGTTAGGTATGGAGATGCCAGTGGCTGGCTGGGAGCTTTCTTGGGGCCAGTGTTTCTCCGCCTGTGCCTTCCATCTGGTGCTGAGAACCCAAAACACATTCAATGGAAGAAAATATGTGATGAAATCTGATCAAGAAGAGCCCCCTCAAGTTTAATAAAGTATAAAAGGTTCTATAATCCTCAGGCAAGAAAATGGATTGGAAATTCGTATTCTTAGAGTTCTGTTTTCCTTTTTGAAGCACTCTGTGTGTTGTGTGGGAGAGTTATGCTAAGGAGCTTGGCAGAAATTATTATTCAAAGGAGCAGATTAATAAGGACATACCTAGTATTCATATATCATTTAATTTCACCATTTATTGTTTACTTATTGTGTCCCAGACACTATATTATACAGTTAATGGATTTTATGATTAAATTCTCACAAAAAGCCTATCAAACTCATGAAGTCTTGTACAGAAGAGGAAAAGGAATCTTGGAGATACAGCTGCACAAGGCCATGTAATTTTTTCAAGACCATACAACCAGCAATGGCAGAGCTGGGATTGCAAACTGCTCCAAAGACTGTGCTCTTAATTGGGCCGATTGTTATTTTGATGCATATGTATCCCAAGAATTTCCTTTAAAGCAAGAGGGGAATTAATTTTTAAAAAATCATCATTTTGGTAGCAGCATTGGCAAAGTGTTCTGTTTCTGATTAGTGTTTAATATATAAACATTAACAATGTGATGTTTTGCAATGTTGAAGGTGGAAAAGAAATGTTTTCCCTTACGTGCCTACCTATTATTTTTTTTAAATAGGTCAAATTCCAAAAGTAAGACTGTGTTGAAATATGGCCATTAGTACATTCAGCATGTGCTCATGTTTTTCACCTTACTACTCAGAATAGTGTAAACTATCTCTTAAAAATATTTGTGGGATAAAACCAGTGTGCTTCCTGTTAATGAAGTATTCAAATCTGATATATTAAAAATATTATTTGTAAAGCGTTCAGTTCTGACCACACCAGTCTCCAGAAGGAGTGAGCAGACTATCTCACAGTCTGAGAAGAAAGGTGAAATTAATTTTCTTGTAAGTGCTATATACTTGTCTTCATTTCCATTTTTTTGTTGCTGACTTGCGTGCCAAGGAAAGACTAGATCTAAGTTAGGCAGTTCGTAATAACATTTGCGTTTGGGATTTCAGGTGCTGCTGCATTAAATGTCATAACATGGTACTTGTGGGAACATCTAGTCTTGTTAATTGCCTTTTTTCTTACTGGAATTTAGTGCCTTTGTAGATTATAAAAATTATTACTAGTACTCTGAAAATTTATTAAACAAAATCTTAGTGTCTTTCAAATACAGAATAGATGTAAAATTTGATCAAATATTAAAGTAAAATAAGAACCTTGGATAAAGAGGACGAAAGTGTAGAATGCAGAAAAAAACATTAACCCTCTTGTGGACAGTCAGGATTGAAAGGAAGAAAAAATAATGGCTTACACTTCTAGAATGCTTTCTATGTGGCAGAGACAGTTCTAAATATTTACATATCGTAACTCATTCACCTCTATGAGATAGGAGCAATGACTATCTCCGTTTTACAGATGGAGAAACTGAGTGCAGAGAAGATATAGAAATTGTCCAAACTCACAAACAACTAATTAAGGTCACAGCTGAGATTCAAATGCAGGCAGCCTGGCTCCAGAGTCTTCTCTTTTAATCATTATACCATGCTGCCATCTCAGTTTTATTTTAAAATAATAATAGGTAACATTTATTAATTATTTACTATGTGCTACATATTGTGCTAAGAACTTTATATACCTTCATTTCGTCCTTTCAGAAAAGGAACAAACAGAGCTGGGTGCACTGGCTCACGCCTGTAATCTCAGCATTTTGGGAGGCCAAGGCGGGACGATCACCTGAGGTCAGGAGTTCAAGACCGGCCTGGCCAACATGGCGAAACCCCGTCTCTACTAAAAAATACAAAAATTAGCCAGGTGTAGTGGTGTGCACCTGTAATCCCAGCTACTTAGGAGGCTGAGGTGGGATAATTGCTTGAACCTGGGAGGTGGAGGCTACAGTGAGCTGAGATGTGCCACTGCATTCCAGCCTGGGCGACAGAGTGACACTCTGTTTCAAAATAAAATAAAATAAAAAATAAAAAAGGAACAAAGTATTAGGCATAATAATCATCACCAGAGAGTGATTTTATGAAAGACAAAAACAAGGTGGCAAGAAGAGAGAATAAAGTTACATAAAGATAGCATTTAAGAACAACCACAGGCTGGGCATGGTGGCTCACACCTGTAACCCTAGCACTTTGGGAGGCCTAAGCTGGTAGATGGCTCGAGCCCAGGAGTTCGAGACCAGCCTGGGCAACATAGCAAAACCCTGTCTCTACAAAAAATACAAAAATTAGCCAGCTGTGGTGGCTTGCACCTGTAGTCCCAGCTACTTGGAAGGCTGAGATGGGAGGATCACTCGAACCCAGGAAGTTGAAGCTGCTGTGAGCAGTGATTGCGCCACTGCACTGCAGCCTGAGTGACAGAGCGAGACTCTATTTCAAAAAAAAAGGAACAAACCCAATAATTTTGGGCATAACGACCAGAGCACAATGAGCTACAGAGAGCTTTCTGAGAAGTATTTGCTAATTTTATCTGCAAAGATAATACAAGCATAAAAATATATGTATTCAAATGTATAGATGTGTATCTGCAGTGAGAGCAGAGCTGTTCCTCAGTAGTGGGGGTGGCTGGCAGAGTGAGGTAGTGTGCTTTCAGGAATTGCTTTATTTGTCTGATGTGTTCTAGACCAAAGACCAACAGAGGGGCTTGGGCAATCAGACACAGAATTTTTGGCCTTTCACATTTAGAATCGGTTCCTTCCAGATTCTTGGAAAAGGTCCATTTGTGCTTTAGGCATCTAGTGCTATTCTGAAGATGCCTTACAAAATGTATGCTGAAATAACCTTCTACCAGGGTGAATTTTCTTCATTTGGAGTTCTTTGAGTTCTGACCATTTATGTATATTGATGAAGCTAATGTTTACTTCTTCATAGACCAGTGGAAAGAAAACGTAGTAACATGTAGTTGCCCAGGGAAAGATGAAGAACTCAGGGGACCAAGTCTCCCATCTCAACTCCCCATAAAGGTAGTGATGGAATGGGATGATGTTAAAAACACCTCAACTTTCCGTCCTCTTTAAGGGACCGTGAGAAGGTAGGGATGTTACCATACTCAGACTTCTTGCTGAGAAAGCTAAGAAACAAAAGCATTTAGTTTTTTTCAGTGGCAGGTGCTTATTAACGTTTGGCCTATTTGATAAAGGGTTAAAGCAACAGGAATGTGCTACTGCTGTTCCCACAAGCAGTAGTCTAATTTCTTTCTTTTTTTTTTTTTTTCTTTTTTTGAGACAGTCATGCTCTGTCGCCCAGGCTGGAGTACAGTGGGGCCATCTCGGCTCACTGCAACCTCTGCCTCCCGGATTCAAGCGATTCTCCTGCCTCAGCCTCCTGAGTAGCTGAGATTACAGGTGCGCACCACCACGCCCGGCTAATTTTTGTATTTTTAGTAGAGATGGGGTTTCACCGTGTTGTTCAGGCTGGTCTAGTCTTACCCAGTCAGCAGCAGAAAGGCTCTCTGGGCTCTAGGTAAACACATGAAATTTATATAGTGTGTTTAAGTGTGGTTCCTGTGCTTCTGGAGTTGGCACAGTAGTGGTACCATTTGCTGTATCGACAACAGTGGGGGTATAGACGAAAAACAGATTGACACCTCTGAAAGTATATATGAACACATGTCGATGCAGCATTTCTGGTGAAACTAAGCAAATTGATAAAGTTGGCCTAGGGTACAAGACATTATGTCATGTCCCACTGCATTATGATTAAACCCAAGATTAGAAAGGAGAAATGATGGCAACAGAACCAGTTTCTCCAGCTGTCTATTCTCATGTTCATCATCACAGATAGGAAAGGGCAGCCGGCCCTCTGCATCTGTGGGCACATCCCTGGATTCAGCCAACCACAGATCAAAAATATTTGGAAAAAAATGTAGATAGTTGCATCTGTACTGAACATGTACAGACTTTTTTCTTGTCATTATTCCATACAAAATATAGTATAATAACTATTTACATAGCATTTACATTGTGTTAAGTATTATAAATAATCTAGAGATGATTTAAAGTATACAGGAGGGCTGGCCACCGTGGCTCATGCCTGTAATCCCAGCACTTTTGGAGGCCAAGGTGAGTGGATCACTTGAAGTCAGAAGTTTGAGACCAGCCTGGCCAACATGGTGAAACCCCATCTCTACTAAAAGTACAAAAAAAAAAAAAAATTAGCCAGGTGTGGTGGCAGGTGCCTGTAGTCCCAGCTACTCAGGAGGTTGAGGCAGGAGAATCGCTTGAACCTGGGAGGCGGAAGTTGCAGTGAGCCGAGATCGCACCACTGCACTCCAGCCTGGGTGACAGAGTGAGACTCTGTCTCATTAAAAAAAAAAAAATCATGAACAACTCTGCATGTAAATCAATACAGAGCTGCATTATAATTTACATAGGCTGTATAAAATCCTGTTGATTAGATGTAAAATGATTTATTAAATTAATTTTCTATTATTGGGCATGAAGATAGGTTCCAGGCTGGGCACAGTGGCTCATGCCTGGAACCTGCCTCCCGGTGCTTTGGGAGGCAGACACAGGAGAATCAGTTGAGCCCAGGAGTTCAAGACCAGCCTGAGCAACATAGTGAGACACCAGCTCTACAAAAAGCAAACAAAACATTAGGCAGACAGGGTGGTGCATGCCTGTGGTCCCAGCTACATAGAAGGCTGAGGTGGGAGGGTCACTTGAGACCAGGAGTTTGAGGCTGCAGTGAGCTATGATTGCGCCACTACTCTCCAGCCTGGGCCACAGAGTGAAACCCTGTCTCAAAAAAAAAACACAAAAAACCAAAAGAGATAGGTTCTGACTTTTCACAATAGTGTATAGAGTTTGATGGAGCAGTCTTATACATACTTTTTTCTGCGCTAGTGCAAACACCTCCTTACAAATTTCTAACAGTATAATTGGTCATAGGAAAGAAACATTTTTCAAGCTTTTGATTGCCAAATTGACGCCCAGAAAAGGTATACCTGTTTCTGCTCCTACCAGTGGCCCTACGAATGCTCCTTTCCCCACATTCACACCCCCACCGAGTTTTATCATTCTTTTAAATCTTTATTTGCCAGTGTTGACCTCTTCTCTTAAATGCCTGTAACCTCTTCCTGTTTAGCTTCTCTCCTAGGTCAGAGAGTGAACTCTGAAGTCATTCTTTAGGGATTAAAATAGTCATGCATTTCTCCTTTTTTCTTTGCCTTACATGCAACCATAAATGGTGAGAACTTCTATCCTTTTTCACTTTCTGCTTCTGTTCCTTTAATAGGTGGATTAATGATAAAGGTAGATTGTTCAAACAACTTAGTTATTTCTTAATTTTGTTGTAAGCTCTAGTTGCCAGACTTTAAACTGTGCTTTTTACTTTGCTTAACAATGTAATCCAATCTACCTCCTCCTTTGGGTGCCTAAGCCATAGCCCTTTTAAATAAAATAGCAAATGGAAAATCAGAATCCCTTTCTATCGCAAAATAAGAGTCCAGATTACATAACTCATTGTATGTGTTTTCACTTGGATGAGAGAATAGAGAGTATGGACCTCTTTCATACTTTTTTTTTAATGTTCCTTTTCCTCTAGAATTGGTTTCTGGGGCTAAAAGGAAACAGTAGTTAGTACCACTCTGCTCAGAAACCTCAAAAAACTTCGACTTCTGTCATTCTCATCAAAGGGCAAAATTCATTGTTCTTCTGTGATAGAGACCAAAAATACAAATAGCTAAACTGGAACTAAATTAAGAAAAACAGAAGTTAATAAACTCCACCGCCTCACTCCCATCTCTTCGTAAGTTAGTAGGCTTGTAAGTCCTAGGCTGGTTAGTTCATTCATTTGTTCACTCATGCCAGCCATTGAGGATTATTGTGTTCTAAGTGCTGTGCTAAGCCCCAGAAATACAAAGACAAGTGAGTCATGGGCCTGCCTGCAAGGAGTGAGGAGATTTACTCAAAATTGAGAGCTGGAAAAAGAAAGGCACTTTCCCTGGCCTCATAGCCCTCCGTGACTTCAAAGTATTCCTCTCTGGGGTCATGCCACTAGGGATAATAGCATTATCCAAAAACATTTTTGGAAATCCTTTTAGAATTATTCTCAGGGACTGGAGTACATTTATTTTTAAAAAGAAACTTGGTGTTTTAAAATCTTTTTTTTTTTTTAGGGAGAATCTGCTTTATTATTTGAGAAGTTTCAAAAAATATAGAAAATACAGATGATAATATGGCAAGTATCTAAAGGTCTCCACTTAACAGAATTAACATCTGTTAACATTTTGTCACTTTTGCTTTAGTTGTTTTTTTTTTAATTAAAAAAGAGAACATTACAGATAAATGTGAAGTCCCTGTTATTCTGTTGCCCATTTCTGTTCTCCCTGCTGCTCCCTGAGAGTACTAACACAAAGGTGTACTTCTGGGGTGTGTGTGTATATGCATATCCATAAACAATATATGGTATAGCTTCTGGAGGGATCCAAAGTCATTAGCACTCAAGCAAGCCTATTAAATAAAATAATATCAGCTTGAGTTAAAGATAACATATAGCCGTGAAATAACGGAGCTGATTTTTAGGTACCTTGTCAAATAGTTCTGAAAGTAATTGCAAAGAGGAGTTCCAAAAGTGAGTTCAGAAAGACAGCTTTATCAGAATAAATTGCATGGTACTGCATACAGGAAACTATAAAGAACAACGGTTATTTAGAACTGTTCATTCTGACAGTGTTTTTCAATTACTCCTTAATATTATAACCACTTACTCATTTCCTGAAATCACCAGGAAATTTTTCAAAAAGATTTTTCTCCCCCGATGAATATACCCACGATTTGCATTTGACCCAAGATAAGCAGTTGAGTCGATAACATGTTAATTTTTAAATACATGGTTTTAAAACACAGAATAAAAATTCTACCTCATTGCTTGGAGACTCAATTAAGGAGAGTATGCACATTAGCAAAAAGAAGATGTGATATTTGCTCAGAAGTCTTGAAGTGGATATTTTGGCCTTCGTATGGCTGAATGGTCAAGCTTGACTCTCTCGTTTGCTCAGGGAGGCCCAGTCCCTCTGCTGCCACGGGTAGAAATACTTTTTCCTAAATCGCTGCTTCTTCTCACTGCCATACAGAGCAATATTCAGGACACAGCCAAAACCTTCTTTGGCAGACCTTTTTGAGTTCTCTCTACTCAGCTTTCTGCTGTGTAATATGAGCACTCTAGAGAAGTTGGGCTGTCCTCAGGAAATTACACTTGGGGTCTGTGGTTCCCCAGGAAGACAAACTGGAGCTCCCTAAGGGGTACTAGTCATCATACGGCATTTATACTAGCATTGCAGTCCACTTTCACCTATGCAAGTAGAAAAACTCAGGCTCAAAGTCCACTGACAATGCAGGAGTCCCTTATCTGCTGGTTAACATAAATGTTGTTTTAAGATGATGGCCATCTGTTGTCTGTGAGAACAAGACTATCACCCACCTGTTGACATGCTGGCTGGTTTAATATCTTACTCTTTCATTCCAAATAACTACCTGGTCTCACAGATCCCCTTAGATGGGGTATCCAATTTACCTCCTGTACCTTATTCTCTGTCCAATAATTTCACTCAAATCAACAAGATATTTTATTGCCTATGACTTCCTCTAGGTATTACGGGAGATTCAAAACACAAACAGACAAGCAGCCTATGCCCTCAGAATCCAGCTGGGGTGAGTGGGTGACTATAAATGCAAAAGTTAGAGAGCATGGGGAACAGTGTTTGATTGTGTGGCTGGGGAGGGGTAAGGACAAAAACTCAGAGAGAGAGAAGCCTGTAGCCCTGGCTACAGAAGGGCAACACCTCTGAGGAGATGAGTCTCAGCTGGGCCCTGAAGGGAGGTGACTCACAGATGAAACAAACCTGGTGGGAAGAATAGTTAGCAGTGTGCAGAAGGCATTGGAAGGGATTCCAGGGGAGGAGTGAGGAGGGAGCCACAGTCATTCCGATGTGAGGTAGTGAGATCTGGGATTAGACTGGGTCATCAGAATGGAAAAAAAGGGCCTGCTTCTGCAGACAGTTTAAAGGAATCAGCTGGATGTGGGAAGCAACTACATACTTATTCATTCATTCATTTCATGCATATTGCTTATAGCCTACTATGTGCCTAGCACTATTCTAAGTGCTGAGGATAGAGTCATGAATAAGATAGACAGGGTTCTTATTCTAAAAAAAGTAATATACCAGTGGGGAGACAATGAAGAAATAAACCACTAAATAAACAAGGAAACATCAGATAAAATAAGTGTGATACAGAGAATGTAAACGGGCCATTGAGAGGGCATGGATTCTTTAGATGGGATGGTCAAGGAAAGCATCTCTTAGAGAAAAACCTCTGAGCCAAGATCAAGCAGGGGAATGACGAAGCACATGACTGAGGCAGGAGTAAATTTGATGTGTTGGAAGAAAAGCAAGAACTGGTCTGTCTCTAGTGGAGTGAATGAGGGGAGAGGAGGAGAGCTGAAGAGGGAAGTTAGCAAAGAACGAATCACATAAAAGCCTTAAAGGCAATGGAAAAAATTTAAATGTTATTCAAAGTGCAATGGTGTATTAGTCCATTTTCATACTGCTATGAAGAAATACCCAAGACTGGATAATTTATAAAGAAAAAAAGGTTTAATGGACTTACAGTTCCACATGGCTGGGGAGGCCTCACAATCATGGCAGAAGGTGAATGAGGAGCAAAGGCATATCTTAAACGGCGGCAGGCAAGAGAGCGTGTGCAGGGGAATTGCCCTTTATAAAACCATCAGATCTCGTGAGACTTATTCACTATCATGAGAATAGCATGAGGAAAAACCTGCCTCCATGATTCAATTATCTCGCACAACATGTGGGGATTATGGGAGCTACAATTCAAGATGAGATTTGGGTGGAGACAAAGCCAAACCATATCAAATGGGATGGTTTATGGAGCAGGGCATGATGCGATTGACTTTTGTGTTTAAAAGATCTATTGTACAAAGAAGCAAGGAAACCAGCTGGGAGGCAGTGGAGAATCCAGGGGAAAGATGACGATGGCAAAACTAGAGAGCAGAGCTGAGAAGGAGAGAACCAGGCAGCTCTGGGATAACATTCTGGAGCTAGGGCTGACGAATTAGATATGGGGTGGGGCAATGAAAAACAAAAAAAAAGAGAAATCAAGATGTCTCCAGGGTTGGATATTGATGCTTTTAACAGAGATTGAAAAGACTGGAGGAGAAGCAGGCTTTTAGGGTGAATCAAGGGTTTAACTGGGGACATATGGAGTCTAAGATGCATGTTAGACATTCAAGTAGAATTAGCTACTATGCAGTTTTATTTAGGAATCTGAAACTCAGGGGAGAAGTCAAGACTGGATATTTAAGTTTGCAAGTCAATACCAAACATATTTTTACATAAGAAGGAAAAAATATTGATATGATTTTGATAAGTTTTTAATAGCCAGAAAGCTATATGCGTAATATGGTATCATTTTAATTAAAAAATAAATATATGCATAACTCTCTGCAGAGATAAATGATCAATACATATAACAAGGAGAGAACCAGAAGGACATACGCCAATATGTCATGAGTGTTATCTCTGGGTAGTAGAATTATTGATGACTTTTGTGTACTTGGGACATGCATGTATGAGTGTATGTATGCATGCATATTTTGCAAGTTTTCCTCAAAGGATGCTTTTGTAATTGGAAGAAGAAGCAATTATAAAATAAATGGCACAAGATTTCCATCCTGGTCAAATGGGATAAGGATGATGCCAATGAGAAATTATGAAAATTGGAAATTAGACTTAGTTTTGGGGGGATGATTTTTTACTTCCCTCGTAGAGGTTTTGTTTAAGACGATGTAGTAGACTGTACCTTTACATATATTTGCTGTCCCTCCCGATGGGAGGATTTTACTTTTCACCTGTTGAAGGTGATGTGGTCACTTGGAGGTGAAGAGATAGCCTGGACTTTGTCACATTATCTTTCTCCTATTCTAAACAATCTGCAGCGTTCCAGGTGGTGGATGATCTGTCATCCTGCATCCTGGAGTAAAGATGATTAAAGCAGAGCTGCAGCTGCCCTCTGAAGGCCTTTGTTTTTGTAAACCACTGAGATTTTTGAATTGTTTGTTATCTCACCATAACCTAGCCCACCCTAACACAGATGAACATAAAATACAGAACATTTCTATTGGGCGGCTTGAAATACAGGCTTGGGGCATCAGTGGTAGGTCAGCATGGAAAATGTTGATTAAAAAGTCATCTGTGAGGTGGAGATTGGGACTGAAGAATGGATAAATTTTCTGAATGGAAAGTATAAGGGGAAGAGAAGAGGAATGGGCCTAGAGGAAGAGTCACTGTCAATCCATACAAAAAGAAGAGATACGAAAAGATAGGAGGGGGGATTTGGCCAACACATGGCAGACCGTTGTAGTATCAGAAAAGAGAGCTAGGAGGGTAGTTACAAAGATCACATGCCAAATTATGAGGGCAAAGAGCCATTGGATTTACCCTGAAGGTGGTCATTGAAAACCTCTGAATTAGCAGTTTTAGCGGAGCTGTGGGGAAGGAAGTCAGGTTTCATAAGGTTATAGAGGGAGTCCATGCAGAGGAAATAGAGGAAGCTGGTGGAGGCCACTCCTTTAAAAAGCCTGGATGAGGCCGAAGAGAAATGGGACAAGTGGTAACCAGAAGGCCCCTACAAGGCTGTGACTTTTACACAAATATGACATACAATGCTGAACAAAGGATGTGCTGATCTTACAGAGGAAGGATGTGTTTTATTCCCAAAAAAAACTTTACATATGGGTAAAGTTATTCAAGAGACCCTGTGCTGTCTAATATGCAACAAATTTTTCTTTGCACCAGCATTAAGACTTCTAACAATAAGTAAAATATTCTATTTAGATACTTTTTACAGGAGATTTTGAAACTCTGATGACACTGACATACTACCTTTCAGAACATGGTACTGTTTAAAATTTTATTATTTTTATATTTATCTTCATATGTTTAAATTTGAAAAATTACAGGAAAGAGTACTTTTATAATTATGTTTTTCTGTTTACAAACCACCTCCTGTGTGCTGAATTTTGCCTCCCCAACATTTTTCAGGGGAGCATGGCCCTACTCGCACTTTGAGTTCAGATTTCTGGCCTTCAGAACTCTGAGAAAATAAATTTCTTTTGTTTTACGCTATCCAGTTTGTGGTAGTTTGTTACAGTAGTCCTGGGAAACTAACAAACCACCCCAAAGTTTAGTGACTTAAAACAGCCATTATTATTTCTCACAATTCTGTGGGTTGGCAATTTGGGCTGGGCTCAGCTGGACAGTTATTCTGCTGGTCTTCCTGTAGACATTCACATGGCTGCCATTATCGGGTGGCTCAAGTGAAGCTGTAGGGTCTAAGATGGGCTCACTCACAAGTCCAGGACCTTGGTGCTGACTGTTGGCTGAGCTTTCCCTCTTCACACGGTCTCTTGTTGTTCAGAAACCTAGCTGGTCTTTTTTGCATTCTTAGCTGGTAAAGGGAACATTCTAAGAGAAGGAAGGTGGAAGCTGCAAGGCTTCTTGAGGCTTAAGTCTAGAACTCTCCAACGTCACTTCCACCACATTCATTGGTTAATGCAAGTCATAAGGCAACTCAGCTTCAAAGAGTAGGAGAATAGAATCAACCTATTGAAAGGAGGGGCTGCAAAATAGTTGGTCATTTTAACCAACCACAGCACCCAACCAAAAAAATTAATACTATCCCGTTTCAGATTTCAGAATGTTTAATCAGAAGGCCTTGTCTTTCCCTACGTATATCACAATACCCATTTTAGTGGCAGAGAAACTGAGACCAAATAAAACTGACTCCTTTAAAGTTACCAAGTGAGTCATGCTTTGTGAGAGACATGAAGACAACTATATGTCTGGAAGAGCTAAACATAGTCCTGCCTGGAGGCAGGTATATGAACTTAATAATCCCTTGAGATGCTCTTAAATCCCATAATTACACTGATGGACTCCAGATTGCAGAGCTGTCTGGTCCAGAGATAAAGCAGCGGTTTGAGAGTATCAGAGAGAGAAGGTGCCTGAAAATTGCCACATGTCCCCAAAGGCAGGATTTGAGGCTAAATTAAATGATAAAGAGTTACCAAGCTCTTTATTCTCAAGAGTTACCAAATAAGCTTAGAAACTCAATGACTGCTGCTGTCTAGTGTTAGTTCTGGAATGGGAGAATTAAAAATGAGTAGAAAAAGAAAATAGAGACAGAGAGACTAACATATCTGAAAGATAGGTGCTGTGGGCAGTCTTAGAAGGATCACCCCTATATCAATTAGGATTGCTTTTAGCTGCTGCAAGTAACAGCCAACCAAACCATCCAATGGTTTAAACAAATTAGGGGTTTATTTTTTTCTTTTCATTTATTTATTTATTTTTAAATTTAATTTTATTATTATTATTATACTTTAAGTTTTAGGGTACATGTGCACAACATGCAGGTTTGTTACATATGTGTACATGTGCCATGTTGGTGTGCTGCACCCATTAACTCATCATTTAGCATTAGGTATATCTCCTAATGCTATCCCTCACCCCTCCCCCCACCCCACAACAGTCCCCGGTGTGTGATATTCCCCTTCCTGTGTCCATGTGTTCTCATTGTTCAATTCCCACCTATGAGTGAGAACATGCGGTGTTTGGTTTTTTGTCCTTGCGATAGTTTGCTGAGAATGATGGTTTCCAGTTTCATCCATGTCCCTACAAAGGACACAAACTCATCATCTTTATGGCTGCATAGTATTCCACGGTGTATATGTGCCACATTTTCTTAATCCAGTCTATCGTTGGGCATTTGGGTTGGTTCCAAGTCTTTGCTATTGTGAATAGTGCTGCTATAAACATACGTGTGCATGTGTCTTTATAGCAGCATGATTTATAGTCCTTTGGGAATATACCCAGTAATAGGATGGCTGGGTCAAATGGTATTTCTAGTTCTAGATCCCTGAGGAATCGCCACACTGACTTCCACAATGGTTGAATTAGTTTACAGTCCCACCAACAGTGTAAAAGTGTTCCTATTTCTCCACATCCTCTCCGGCACCTGTTGTTTCCTGACTTTTTAATGATCGCCATTCTAACTGGTGTGAGATGGTATCTCATTGTGGTTTTGATTTGCATTTCTCTGATGGCCAGTGATGGTGAGCATTTTTTCATGTGTTTTTTGGCTGCATAAATGTCTTCTTTTGAGAAGTGTTTGTTCATATCCTTCGCCCACTTTTTGATGGGGTTGTTTGTTTTTTTCTTGTAAATGTGTTTGAGTTCATTGTAGATTCTGGATATTCGCCCTTTGTCAGATGAGTAGGTTGCAAAAATTTTCTCCCATTCTGTAGGTTGCCTGTTCACTCTGATGGTAGTTTCTTTTGCTGTGCAGAAGCTCTTTAGTTGAATTAGATCCCATTTGTCAATTGTGGCTTTTGTTGCCATTGCTTTTGGTGTTTTAGACATGAAGTCCTTGCCCATGCCTATGTCCTGAATGGTATTGCCTAGGTTTTCTTCTAGGGTTTTTATGGTTTTAGGTCTAACATTTAAGTCTTTAATCCATCTTGAATTACTTTTTGTATAAGGTGTAAGGAAGGGATCCAGTTTCAGCTTTCTACATATGGCTAGCCAGTTTTCCCAGCACCATTTATTAAATAGGGAATCCTTTCCCCATTGCTTGTTTTTGTCAGGTTTGTCAAGGATCAGATAGTTGTAGATATGTGGCATTATTTCTGAGGGCTCTGTTCTGTTCCATTGGTCTGTATCTCTGTTTTGGTACCAGTACCATGCTGTTTTGGTTACTGTAGCCTTGTAGTATAGTTTGAAGTCAGGTAGTGTGATGCCTCCAGCTTTGTTCTTTTGGCTTAGGATTGACTTGGTGATGCAGGCTCTTTTTTGGTTCCATATGAACTTTAAAGTAGTTTTTTCCAATTCTGTGAAGAACGTCATTGGTAGCTTGATGCGGATGGCTTGAATCTCTAAATTACCTTGGGCAGTATGGCCATTTTCACGATATTGATTCTTCCTACCCATGAGCATGGAATGTTCTTCCATTTGTTTGTATCCTCTTTTATTTCATTGAGCAGTGGTTTGTAGTTCTTGAAGAGGTCCTTCACATCCCTTATAAGTTGGATTCCTAGGTATTTTATTCTCTTTGAAGCAATTGTGAATGGGAGTTCACTCATGATTTGGCTCTCTGTTTGTCTGTTATTGGTGTATAAGAATGCTTATTATTTTTATACATTGATTTTGTATCCTGAGACTTTGCTGAAGTTCCTTATCATCTTGAGGAGATTTTGGGCTGAGACAATGGGGTTTTCAAGATATAAATCATGTCATCTGCAAACAGGGACAATTTGACTTCCTCTTTTCCTAATTGAATACCCTTTATTTCCTTCTCCTGCCTGATTGCCCTGGCCAGAACTTCCAACATTATGTTGAATAGGAGGTGAGAGAGGACATCCCTGTCTTGTGCCCGTTTTCAAAGGGAATGCTTCCAGTTTTTGCCCATTCAATATGATATTGGCTGTGGGTTTGTCATAGATAGCTCTTATTATTTTGAGATATGTCCCATCAATACCTAATTTATTGAGAGTTTTTAGCATGAAGCGTTGTTGGATTTTGTCAAAGGCCTTTTCTGCATCTATTGAGATAATCATGTGGTTTTTGCCTTTGGTTCTGTTTATATGCTGGATTACATTTATTGATTTGTGTATGTTGAACCAGCCTTGCATCCCAGGGATGAAGCCCACTTGATCATGGTGGATAAGCTTTTTGATGTGCTGCTGGATTCGGTTTGCCAGTATTTTATTGAGTATTTTTACATCAATGTTCATCAAGGATATTGGTCTAAAATTCTCTTTTTTGGTTGTGTCTCTGCCAGGCTTTGGTATCAGGATGATGCTGGCCTCATCAAATGAGTTAGGGAGTATTCCCTCTTTTTCTATTGATTGGAATAATTTCAGAAGGAATGGTACCAGCTCCTCTTTGTACCTCTGGTAGAATTTGGCTGTGAATCCATCTGGTCCTGGACTCTTTTTGGTTGGTAAGCTATTGATTATTGCCTCAATTTCAGATCCTGTTATTTGTCTATTCAGAGATTCAACTTCTTCCTGGTTTAGTCTTGGGAGGGTGTATGTGTCGAGGAATTTATCCATTTCTTCTAGATTTTCTAGTTTATTTGCAAAGAGGTGTTTATAGTATTCTCTGATGGTAGTTTGTATTTCTGTGGGATCGGTGGTGATATCCCCTTTATCATTTTTTACTGCGTCTGTTTGATTCTTCTCTCTTTTCTTCTTTGTTAGTCTTGCTAGCGGTCTATCAATTTTGTTGATCTTTTCAAAAAACCAGCTCCTGGATTCATTAATTTTTTGAAGGGTTTTTTGTGTTTCTGTTTCCTTCAGTTCTGCTCTGATCTTAGTTATTTCTTGCCTTCTGCTAGCTTTTGAATGTGTTTGCTCTTGCTTCTCTAGTTCTTTTAGTTGTGATGTTAGGGTGTCAATTTTGGATCTTTCCTGCTTTCTCTTGTGGGCATTTAGTGCTATAAATTTCCCTCTACACACTGCTTTGAATGTGTCCCAGAGATTCTGGTATGTTGTGTCTTTGTTCTTGCTGGTTTCAAAGAACATCTTTATTTCTGCCTTCATTTCATTATTTACCCAGTAGTCATTCAGGAGCAGGTTGTTCAGTTTCCATGTAGTTGAGCGGTTTTGAGTGAGTTTCTTAATCCTGAGTTCTAGTTTGATTGCACTGTGGTCTGAGAGACAGTTTGTTATAATTTCTGTTCTTTTACATTTGCTGAGGAGTGCTTTACTGCCAACTATGTGGTCAATTTTGGAATAGGTGTGGTGTGGTGCTGAAAAGAATGTATATTCTGTTGATTTGGGGTGGAGAGTTCTGTAGATGTCTGTTAGGTCTGCTTGGTGCAGAGCTGAGGTCAATTCCTCGGTATCCTTGTTGACTTTCTGTCTCACTGATCTGTCTAATGTTGACAGTGGGGTGTTAAAGTCTCCCATTATTATTGTGTGGGAGTCTAAGTCTCTTTGTAGGTCACTAAGGACTTGCTTTATGAATCTGGGTGCTCCTGTATTGGGTGCATATATATTTAGGATAGTTAGCTCTTCTTGTTGAATTGATCCCTTTACCATTATGTAATGGCCTTCTTTGTCTCTTTTGATCTTTGTTGGTTGAAAGTCTGTTTCATCAGAGACTAGGATTGCAACCCCTGCCTTTTTTTGTTTTCCATTTGCTTGGTAGATCTTCCTCCATCCCTTTATTTTGAGCCTATGTGTGTCTCTGCACGTGAGATGGGTTTCCTGAATACAGCACACTGATGGGTCTTGACTCTTTATCCAATTTGCCAGTCTGTGTCTTTTAATTGGAGCATTTAGCCCATTTACATTTAATTTAATATTGTTATGTGTGAATTTGATCCTGTCATTATGATGTTAGCTGGTTATTTTGCTGGTTAGTTGATGCAGTTTCTTCCTAGCTTGGATGGTCTTTACAATTTGGCATGTTTTTGCAGTGGCTGGTACTGGTTGTTCCTTTCCATGTTTGGTGCTTCCTTCAGGAGCTCTTGTAGGGCAGGCCTGGTGGTGACAAAATCTCTCAGCATTTGCTTGTCTGTAAAGGACTTTATTTCTCCTTCACTTATGAAGCTTAGTTTGGCTGGATATGAAATTCTGCATTGAAAATTCTTTCCTTTCAGAATGTTGAATATTGGCCCCCACTCTCTTCTGGCTTGTAGAGTTTCTGCCAAGAGATCAGCTCTTAGTCTGATAGGCTTCCCTTTGTGGGTAACCCGACCTTTCTCTCTGGCTGCCCTTAACATTTTTCCCTTCATTTCAACTTTGGTGAATCTGACAATTATGTGTCTTGGAATTGCTTTTCTCAAGGAGTATCTTTGTGGCGTTCTCTGTATTTTCTGAATTTCAGTGTTGGCCTGCCTTGCTAGAATGGGGGACTTCTCCTGGATAATATCCTGCAGAGTGTTTTCCAACTTGGTTCCATTCTCCCTGTCACTTTCAGGTACACCAATCAGACGTAGATTTGGTCTTTTCACATAGTCCCATATTTCTTGGAGGCTTTGTTTGTTGCTTTTTATTCTTTTTTCTGTAAACTTCTCTTCTCACTTCATTTCATTCATTTCATCTTCCATCACTGATACCCTTTTTTCCAGTTGGTCACATCGGCTACTGAGGCTTCTGCATTCATCACGTAGCTCTTTTGCCTTGGTTTTCAGCTCCATCAGGTCCTTTTAGGACTTCTTTGCATTGGTTATTCTAGTTATCCATTCGTCTATTTTTTTTTCAAAGCTTTTAACTTCTTTGCCATTGGTTTGAATTTCCTCCTGTAGCTCAGAGTAGTTTGATCGTCTGAAGCCTTCTTCTCTCAACTCATCAAAGTCATTCTCCATCCAGCTTTGTTCCATTGCTGGTGAGGAGCTGCGTTCCTTTGCAGGAGGAGAGGCACTCTCATTTTTAGAGTTTCCAGTTTTTCTGCTCTGTTTTTTTCCCATCTTTGTGTTTTTATCTACCTTTGGTCTTTGATGATGGTGACGTACAGATGGGTTTTTGGTGTGGATGTCCTTTCTGTTTGTTAGTTTTCCTTCTAACAGACAGGACCCTCAGCTGCAGGTCTGTTGGAGTTTGCTAGAGGTCCACTCCAGACGCTGTTTGCCTGGGTATCAGCAGCGGTGGCTACAGAGCAGTGGATATTGGTGAACCGCAAATGCTGCTGCCTGATTGTTCCTCTGGAAGTTTTGTGTCAGAGGAGTACCTGGCTGTGTGAGGTGTCAGTCTGCCCCTACTGGGGGGTGCCTCCCAGTTGGGCTACTCGGGGGTCAGGGACCCACTTGAGGAGGCAGTCTGCCCGTTCTCAGATCTGAAGCTGTGTGCTGGGAGAACCACTCCTCTCTTCAAAGCTGTCAGAGAGGGACATTTAAGTCTGCAGAGGTAACTGCTGTCTTTTTGTTTGTCTGTGCCCTGCCCCCAGAAGTGGAGCCTACAGAGGCAGGCAGGCCTCCTTGAGCTGTGGTGGGCTCCACCCAGTTCGAGCTTCCCGGCCGCTTTGTTTACCTAATCAAACAACTAACTCGGCAATGGTGGGCACCCCTCCCCAAGCCTCGCTGCCGCCTTGCAGTTTGATCTCAGACTGCTGTGCCAGCAATGAGCGAGAGTCCATGGGCATAGGACCCTCTGAGCCATGTGTGGGATATAATCTCCTGGTGTGCCGTTTTTTAAGCCCGTTGGAAAAGCGCAGTATTAGGGTGGGAGTGACCCGATTTTCCGGGTGCCGTCTGTCACCCTTTCTTTGACTAGGAAAGGGAATTCCCTGACCCCTTGCACTTCCCGGGTGAGGTGATGCCTTGCCCTGCTTCGGCTCACGCATGTTGCGCTGCACCCACTGTCCTGTACCTACTGTCTGGCACTCCCCAGTGAGATGAACCCGGTACCTCAGTTGGAAATGCAGAAATCACCCGTATTCTGTGTCGCTCACGCTGGGAGCTGTAGACTGGAGCTGTTCCTATTCGGCCATCTTGGCTCCTCCCCTTATTTATTTTTTTCTTACATAACAAGAATGCCAGTGGTTGGCCCTGCAGGCTTGGTGTCATGGCCCCCAAGGTACCACTGGAGACTCTGGTTCTTTGTGTCTTTGTGTCCCACCAACCTTAGTGTGTGGCTTTCATCCTTATGGTCACAGGATGACTCCTAAAACTCTGTACAGTGAATCAGTATTGGAGACAGGAAGAAGAAAGGAGGTAAAAAAGACATGCCAGCTAACTTTGCTCCCATTAGGAAGCTCTTCTAGAAGCTCACAGAATTACATTTGTTTATGTATTTCATTATTCAGAGCTGCGTTAGCTTTGTCTACAAGGGAGATTGGCAAATGTAGTTTTCATTAGCCCAGCACATTGTCACCCCCAACAAAACTAGGGTTGAGTTAGAATGAAGGGGCTAGTGCATATTGATAGGCCACTAGTAGTTTCTACACAGCCTCCAACAATTGCTGTGGATGTAGATTAGTAACAGAACTTCCACTATGGCATCATAGCACCTCTATCCCACTAGTACCTGTAGTAGGTCCAAATCATCTAATTCCAGGAGCCTGGCTTAAAGAAGAGGAATATTGAGGCTTCTAGGTCCAGTATTAATCAAGGTAAGCTAGCTGTGAGAACAAACAATCTCAAAATCTCAGTGAACGAAACCAACAAAAACTTGTTTCATGTTTATATCACAGTCTGATGCAGATCGAGTGGTTCTCCTCCAAGCAGTGACTCAGGGACCCAGGCTGCTTCCATCTTACAGCTCTACCATCTTGTGACTTTCAGATTATGTTGGCATCATTCAGCCAGTGACTAGGAAGAAGAGAGAATGAAAGATTGTGCACCCAATTCTTAAATACCTCCACTCAACACTGGGACACATAGCTTCTACTCACACTTCCCTGGGGAGGACTGCTTACAAGATTCATCAATCTGCAAGGAGGGCTGGGGGAATATATTATAGTTCTTGCCTGGCGGCACTTCCAGCAGGAACACTTCACTATGAAAAGGGAGCACAAGTCTTTGGGGGGACAGCTAGCCTTCTGTGCCACAAAAGCCCAGTCACAAAGAAAAAGCCATTACCAAAATGTTCCATAAACAATGTAGACCTACTGTGGTTTGCTGTTGTCTGATAGATAAAAACTGTGTTGTTTTAGTCACAAGGATTTGGATGTGGGAGCTGCAAGGAAAGCAAAAGCCAAACAAGTACAGCTGAAGCACCTGAGATCCTAGGAGGAGACAAGAAGAATACAAGGTGCCATTGTCCTATCAGCCAGGCAGAAAGATGGTAGGAAACAAGGCCATTTAAAATCTAATTGCAATTGCAAGGGCTGGGTGCTGTGGCTTACGCCTGTAATCCCAGCACTTTGGGAGGCTGAGGCAGGTGGATCACTTCAGCTCAGGAGTTCAAGACCAGCCTGGGCAAAGTGGTGAAACCTAGTCTCTACAAAAAATACAAAAATTAGCCAGGCATGGTGGCATGCGCCTGTAGTCCCAGTTACTCAGGAGGCCAAGATGGAAGGATCAATTGAGCCTGGGAGGTTGAGGCTTCAGTGAGCTGTGATTGTACCACTGCACTCCAGTCTGGGTGACAGAGCAAGACCCTGTCTCAGAAAAAATAATAATAAAATAAAATCTAATTGCAGGCAAGGCCACAGGAAGTGGCAAGTGCAACTAAAGACTTCCTAGAAATCCCACACATTGATAAGCAGCCGGGTTGTTCAGCCAGTTTTTTTTTCTGAGAACAACCAATTTTAAAATATTTTAGGAAAAACCACAATATTGAGATATTTTTAAACAGCTTATATTTAAACAGCATATATTTAAACAAAGTGATTAATTTAGAATTCATATTTTATTTGAGAAAAAAACAAGATGTTCCTGGTCTGGCAGATGACATTCTAAATTATTCACTCCCACTTGTGGAATAGCTGAGTTATAGTCCGGCCCCTCCTCTGTAGAGGAGGATTTATAGGAGAAGATGAGTCACGTTACTTTTTGTGACTATTTTTCTTTGCATTTGTTGACTCCTCTTGTTTTATTCACCTTCTAATCATTGAATAATCTGTACAATCAGACTGCCTTATTCATGTTGGCAGTTGTTTTAATAATAACAATGCACAGAGCCATTGCTACTAACAGAAAGCAGGGCAGACCTTTGAGTCTGAGTTTGGGGATACAAGTTTGATTCCATCCCAGCTCCACTGATTCCCAGCGAGATGTGGTTCAACATCATAGGACCAAATGAAATAAAAAGCGTGAAAATGCTACACAAATCAAAGAGTGCTAAAGACATATTAATGAAACATCTGTAAAATGGGAATAAGTACCACGTTTCTGAGGTAGCATGTAATACAACTGGCACAGGGTTCCACACTTGGTAGATACTCAAAAAAGAAAATAAAAAGTTAACATGGACAAAGTAAAATAAACTGGAAATAGGAGATGGAGAAATGTTAAAACAACAGGCACCATAATAATGTAAAGTAGGATTTCAGCTCATTTACAAGCACAGAGGTTATATGGTAAGTCCTCACTTAATGTTGTCAGTAAGTTCTTGGAAACAGTGTCTTTATGTAAAACAACATAAAGGAAAACCAATTTTGCCATAGGCTAATGGATATAAACAAGAGTTAAGTTCCAGTACATATGTGATGGCATATTTCCAGTTACAAAATATCACCAAACTTCTAAATAAAGACCAAAAGACTCCTAATATTAAACATTGAAATAAATGTGAGCTATACTTTCATATAAGAAAAATTAATGCAAACAAGTACAATAATTATTTACTGAGTTATTCCAGTTCGGGGTCGTGGATGGCCAGAGTCTATCCCAGCCGTCCAGGGCCAAGTTTGGAACCCACCCTGGCCAGGACGCCATCCTATCACAGCTTGCACTCACACACACTCTCACTGGGACCATTTAGACACACCGATTCACCTACTCTGTGCATGTTTGGGATGTCAAGGAAACCGGAGTACCCTGAGAAAGCCCACATGGGGGAACATGCACACTCCACACAGACGGTGGCTCCAGCCAGGAATTGATTTATTTTCTCATCAATGTTATAACTAAATGACTTTGAATGAAACAATGTTATTTGATAACCTGCTGTATTTAGAGTTCACAAAATTTATCCCTCTGAAACACATACACACACGCATGGCCGCACACACACGTGCATGCACACACTGCACACACTTAATGCTAAACTTGAAAGAGATTTAAAGGCTAAAAGGAAAGTTGGACTTTAAATTTCCCCTGGAGCTCACATTTTCTGGGTACTGAAAGATATGGTAGATACATATGATTGCCTTTTCCAAAAATAACTTCTATGGAAAATCCTGAGAGTTATAAGAGACTACAAAGGTGATTTGATAGAGCCACTTAAGTAATGTATGCAATATGATCACCAGGTATACTTGTATGAGAGATGGGAAAGAAAGGAAATATTGAAAGAGCAGAACCATGAAGGAGAAGAAGCAATTGATCCTGAAGAATAGCAACTGTAGTCAGGGATTAGAGACCTGCAAACAAGTTTCCTATTCTTTTCAAAAATGAAGAATAGCTTCTTATTACAAAAGCTGTATATATAAATTATAGAAAAGTCAGAAGTGCAGGTAAGCAAATACTTTAAAAATCAAAATTATCTCTAATTCTTTGACTTATTAATCATTTTAACAGCTTGATTGATATTTTTTCAGATACACACATACATACATACTTCTACAAAACTGGAAGTATGCTTATATATTGTATCATAACCTGCTTTTTTATTTAAAAAATATCATGAACAACTTTTCATGTCATTAAATATTGTTGCATTACATTTCTAATGAATGCATAACATTCCATTGTAAGGATACAGCGTAATTTAACTCAGTCTGTATTGAGCTACATTGATTTCCAGTTATTCACATTAGAAACAGTACACCACTGAATAAATTTATGCATTCATCTTTGCTTACCTCTTTAATGATTCTTCACGATAAATGCTAGAAATAGAACCACAGACTTAAAGGTCTCCATTGATATGTGTGGCTCCCTTGTTTTCCTTTGCAAGGTTTTGTGTGGCATCTGCCTTTAAAAGGTTAAAGATATTTTTACTTATAACATCCCTGAACTTTACCTCAAGTCTTGGGGAAAGTTATTGAAAAGTAGTTTGTATTCAAATAAGTACAAACTGGCAAGGTCAATCTTTTATACAGGTTATCAGAAACAAATCAACCTCATAAGATGGAACTAAACCCATTATTATGATTGAGTCAGCAAACTTAAAGATGTGTTTGGTTTGGACAAATACTATTAATTCCTTAAGTTCCCTGTGGCCACAGTTTTTTTTTTTAATGAATGTTTTTCTGAGTAATCTTGGTCCTATTTGAGGCCATCTTCATATGCACTACCAATATTTCCAGCTATACCCAACAGGTAAACTAGCCCTCTGTAGGCAATTAAATGTATATTTTCCTGAAGAAAGTAAGGTTATATAGAATATAAGTATAAGGTCACCTAGAAGAGCTATTAATGTATTATGGACAATTTCTTTTTATTGCCAGAGCTACATGTTACTTATATTTAAGTCTGATATTTAATTCTCTATTATATTCCCTTATTATTGAATTAATTAATTCATCCATTCATATGACAGATATTTCTTGAGCACTTACTTGTGCCAGGCACTGTGTTAGACTCTGGGGATTTGGAAAGACCCTGCTTCCCTCATGAAACTTACATTCCAATGATGGAAACAGATCATCTGTAAGTGCGTAAACTAATATATCATGTCAGATAATGTCTCATTTCCTTATCTCTTAAATAAAAAAATATTCTATTCCATAGGGCTGTTATGAGAACTGAGTGAGACTATGTGGAAATTACCATACACATGTTTAAAAAATATTGTTTCTTTTTCCTCTTATCTTTTAGAAAAGGGAAAATGATTATTGTTTCTTTTTCCTCTTATCTTTTAGAAAAGGGAAAATGATTTGTATAAATCATTAAATACTCCCTTGATATTACAAAACTAGCAAATTGTTTTTTGATTTTATTTTTTAAATTGTCACATAATAATTGTACATATTCATGGTGGTACATAGTGATGTTTTGGTACATATAATTATAGTGATCAGATCAGGACAATTAGCATATCCATCATCTCAAACTCTAATCATTTCTTTGTATTGGGCATGTTCAATATCCTCCCTTTAAGTATTTGAAACGACACAATACATTATTGTTAACTACCTCATCCCACAGTAGTATAGAGCACTAGAACGTATTCCTCCTATGTAGCTGTAATTTCGTATCCCTTAACAAATCTCTCCCATCTTTCCCTTCCCCCTACCCTTCCTGGCCTCCAGTAAACTCTGTTCTACTTTTTACTTCTATGAGATCGAAGTTTTTTAGCTTCTGCATGTGAGTGAGAATGTGAAGTGTTTAACTTTCTGTTCCTGGCTTATTTCACTTGGTGTAATGTCCTCCATTTCCATCCATATTGCTGCAAATAACAGGATTTCATTTTTTAATGGATACCATTCCAGTGTGTATCTATCCCACATTTTCTTTATCCATTCATTTATTGTCAGACACGTAAGTTGATTCCATATCTTGGCTATTGTGAAAATGCTGCAGGAAACATGGGGGCGCAGATGTCTCTTCAATATAATAATCTTTTCCTTTGGATAAATTCCCAGGAGTGGGATTGCTAGATCATATGGTAGTTCTAATTAGCAAATTCTATATTCCATATTAAAGGAAGGAATAGGTAAATTTTTTTCAAATTTTTTATTTTGTTAAAGATGGAGTAATCCTCCCACTTCAGCCTCCTGAGTAGCTAGGATTACAGAGGTGAGCCACAGCACCTGGCATGGGATAGGTAAACATTTTTTAAAATGTTTGTTTTGTTTCAGGCAAAATTAGGTATCAACTGTTTCTCCACAAAGAAGAGCAGCTTAAGCCTTCACAGCACATAGTTCTGATAATTCAGGTCTTCTTTTGCCATTTCTCAAACATAGCTATCTTGTGTTGGTACATGCGATCTGCAGGGCCTTAGACGAATCATACATTTCATCTCTCTGGGCCTCAGTTTCCTGAAGATGAAGTTATGTTATATGGTTCGTAAAGTTCATTTCAGGGCTAACTTCACTTTGTCCTTGTAAAAATTATCTGCCTAGTGGGTCCACTCCCCACCTCACCACCCCCCAAAAAATGACTGCTGTGCTCCAACCCAAGCCAATCAAAAATGATAAACACTTGACTGTGACTTTTTTCAAGACTCTGTTTTACAGAGAAGTGGAAAGGTCTACTGTGGAATGCTTATATTTTAATTTGTCCTCATTGATAGGAGAGGACAAATGTAAACTAGGAGAAATGGAAAAACCAGTGATACATGTCTTGTTATGTTAAAGGAAAAAGCTAGAGACAATATGATTATTAATAATTATTTTTTAAAATTAATTCTTGCATTTATTGAGCACCTGCTGTATCCCTCATATGCATTACCTTGTATAAGTCTTGTAATAGCCCAAAAAGTTAAGAGTGTTCTTATTCTCCCAAGGATGCAGATATGGAAACTGAAACTGAGTACGGTTATGCAGTATGTGAGGGGCAATGCTGCCACAGAAACTCAAGTCTAGCTGAGACCAAACCCATGTTTTTAACCACTTGCTTCTTGCCTTTGCCAATCATTGCCACCAACGAGTCAAAACTTACTTGTTGCTGGAACATGGTTTCATCCTGGCCTTCCACGGAATCTGTTGAGCTTGTTTTTTTTTTTTTTCCATATGCCATAATATGTTTAGTTTCACCTCAGATGAGACAGAGGATTTACTTTCAAGAAAGTTGGACGCTGTCCACTCTAAACAGTACCAGAGGTAGCCTTACAGCATCAGAAAATCCTGTGGTAGTATCTCTTCATCGGAACTTGGAATATGATTTTAAGAGTTTTTTCTATCTTTTCATTAGAGCAGGCCAACACTGACTTGATTTTTCTCTGAAATTAGCTGTGGACAAAGATTCCTTTTCAAACTAAAGATTCTAAGCTTATTTTCCCCCATCACTTTATCAAAACTAGAAACAATCCATTAAAAACACTGCCCAGCCTTCAGGGGCTTAATCAACTCAGTGGTATAAAGCATGAAACTTGATTCTGAGATCCAGGAGAGAATATTTGGATTGCCGGGAGGTGACCTTTATATGTTTCTTTACGTGTATAACAAATACATTTCAATTCGCGTCTAGCCCCTTAAAACCAGTGCATGTTTCTGACCCTGAGTGCTACTGACATTGTGAATCGCACTGCAAACAGAACACGGGTCACTGTTGTTTTCCTGATCTGGGAAGACATCATGGTGTGGTGAAAGGGACAGTGCGCTGCTGATCAGACTTGGGTTCTGTCTCTCCTCTGCTACCAGTGAAATGAATTTCAGATGCAAAGTGGAAAGATCAATTGTTTCTTGGCCTCTTTGCTGAGATCAAGGGAAGAAGAAAGATCAGATTAGTTCCGTGACAGTCCAATATTTACTGACTGACCCATGTTCTGTTTCATCTCAGGATTTCCAGGGGGCTCCAATTTGGACCACTGCAGCGGTCCCAACTGCCAACCTATGTTTTCCCTTCTTCCCTACCTTTCCCCTGCAGCCTCAAGTGGTTCCAGATAAAGTGTTATTCCATGTATCTCACTGTCTGAATCTAGAGGACTCTGATACCCAAATGTGTTTCTCAGAGTGTGTCAATGAAAGGGACTCTTTGACCCACAATCCCCCTTTTTCTTCACAACTCCATCATCGGCATCCTCAAAGACAATCCATGGTGCCTACTACTCCTCATCTTATTGACATGATTTTAATGTCAGCTCTCGCCGGGCGCGGTGGCTCATGCCTGTAATCCCAGCACTTTGGGAGGCCGAGGCGGGCAGATCACGAGGTCAGGAGATCGAGACCATCCTGGCTAACATGGTGAAACCCCGTCTCTACTAAAAATACAAAAAAAAATTTAGCCGGGCGTGGCGGCGACCGCTTGTAGTCCCAGCTACTCTGGAGGCTGAGGCAGGAGAATGGCGTGAACCCGGGAGGTGGAGCTTGCAGTGAGCAGAGATCGCGCCACTGCACTCCAGCCTGGGTGACAGAGCCAGACTCCGTCTGAAAAAAAAAAAAAAAAAAAAAATTTTAGCTCTCAAAGTTTTCCTCCATGTTCCATGAAAATACACTTTACAATCTAGTATTCCCCCCACCACACACACACACACACGCACACACATATATACTGAAACGAAACCATATCCAACTTCATTTCCATTTCCAATTCATTCAACATTTTCTATTCTGTTCTATTGCATTTAAAAAACGCTGGTCACAAGCCACTAAACTGATCTCAGATCAGACTTTAATAAATCAGACTCCCCCTTTTATACGCACAGAGCACTCTCTACTGTTTCTTCCTAGTACTTGTCACAATTTGTAAGTCCTAAATCATGTGATTGCCTACTTAATGTCTCCCGCAACCTGCCCCTGGTGTTCTGTAAACTTCAAGAGGATATGTTTTGCTCACCTTTGAATTTTTAGATCCCATACAACACCTATCATATCATAAATGTTTAATAAATATTTATTAAAAGAATTAATAAATGAATGTGGCCAAACCTATTCAGGTCTGCATGGTTCCTCCCTAGAGTTCCATCACACTTCACAGATCTAAAGTTTCCTCCCAGTTGTGGAGGTTTGAAGCTCAAAACTGCTGGAGGTGCTTCCCACCATAGCTCGTGAAGGCCCTATTGGTGTTTTCTTCCTAGTCCGTCTCTAGTTGATCATGACAGATGGGCCAGTGTGTTTTGAAGAAGACTGGCTGATGCCTCACCAAATTCTGGGGACAGGTGCCTTTCTCCAGGGGAATTCATGAAGAGACTCTCCAGGGGCAGGGCAGACCACTGGGAAAAACAAGACCCTTGGGTTTTCTGACCACTGGCCACTTGTTTTTCCCACATCAGGAGAGTTTATCATCTGTGCTCATCCACCTCCTGAGGTTGCTTTGCTGGTGCTGATTTCAGGTCCCAGGCCCCTAAGGTCTCACACTCACTCCACAAGCCACCTACACAGCTGTAGTTGTTTTCAGCCGACAGCTAGGTTATTTTGCCTTCCAAGATATTTTCTTTTATTTATTTATTCATTTATTTATTTTTTGAGATGAAGTCTCACACTGTCACCCAGGCTGGAGTGCAGTGGCACAATCTCAGCTCACTGCAACCTCCACCTCCTGAGTTCAAGTGATTCTCCTACCTCAGCCTCCCCAATAGCTAGGATTACAGGCAAGCACCACCATGCCTGGCTGATTTTTTTGTATTTTTTTGTACAGATGGTGTTTCACCATGTTGGCCAGGCTGGTCTCGAACTCCTGACCTCAGGTGATCTGCCCTCCTCAGCCTCCCAAAGTGCTGGGATTACATGCATGAGCCACCATGCCCGGCCAATAGTTTCTTTTTTGATAGGCAGCTCTTAAAGCCCTCAGAATACATCTCTAATGATGAAATCATCAGGCAACTTGACAAAGAGTGAAGAAATTGAAGGGTTCTCTCAATAGCATCCCAAGGAGGCTGACCCACACCCTACTGCCTACCATAGGCTGGCTTCATGTGCTCTAGTGCTGTGAATAAAGGAAAAAACTAACATGTTGAAGCATTTATTTAGTGCCAGGAGGCAGGTACTTTCTCAGATACCCTTTTTCTTCTCACATAATTCCAGGTCATTGGCAGAATAGAGATGCAAACCAAGAACTTGGGCAGCACCAAGATGTAGATGCTAAAACTTTAAACTTGCTGGACAAAATGATAGGGGACTTTGAAATAATTATTCAGACAATTTAGGCAAGCAAACAAAAGCAATTAAAAATTGGGCATCTGGCTGGGCATGGTGGCTCACACCTGTAACCCCAGCACTTTGGGAGGCCAAGGAGGGTGGATTGCCTGAGCTCAGGAGTTCTAGACCAACCTGGGCAACATGGTGAAACCTAGTCTCTACTAAAAATACAAAAAATTGGCCAGGCATAGTGGCGTACCTGTAGTTCCAGCTACTTGGGAGGCTAAGGTGGGAGGATTGCTTGAGCCTGGGAGATGGAGCTTGCAGTGACCTGAGACTGTGCCACTGCACTCCATCCTAGGTGACAGAGTGACACCCATCTCAGAAAAAAAAAATGGGCATCTGGCCAGGTGTGGTTGCTCATGCCTATAATCCCAACACTGGAAGGCCAAGTCTGGACAATTCTTTGAAGCCAGGAGTTTGAGACCAGCCTGGGCAACATAGCGTGACCCCATCTCTACAAAAAAATTAAAATTAAAATTAAAAACAGCCAGACATGGTTGTGAGCACCTGTAGTCCCACCTACTAGAGAGGCTAAGGCAGGAGGATCATCAAAACTGCAGTGAGCTAAGATCGCACCACTGCACTCCAGTCTGGGTGACAGAGTGAGACCCTGTCTCAGGAAAAAAGGAGGCATCCAAAAAAATGTTCCCTTAGATCCATTTTTTGTCTGACAGAGACAGGAGAGGTGATGAAAGGGAATGTAAGAGTATTTAAGGGATTATTTCTTTATGGTAGCAGAAGGACAAAGACATGTTTGAAAAATTTTTAATATTGTATAAAATGATGATATTTTCTTAGTGGTCTTGTTGTTGAATCCAGAGATTGTGGTCATGTAGTTCATAGGTAATTTATCAGTTATTATTTATTTTTTAAAGCTTTTATTTATTTATTTATTTATTTTAGAGATGAAGTCTTGCAATGTTGCCCAGGCTGGCCTAGAATTCCCGGGCTCAACTGATCCTCCTTTCTCAGCCTCCCTAGTAGCTGGGACTATAGGCACACACCACTGTGCCTGTCTAATTTGTCAACTTTTAAATGAGATCATCTGCAAGTTCAAGGAAGTTAGATAAAGGGTGATACCACAGAAAAAAAATGAGATTTTTCTCTTTAAGATGAATATTGAATTTAGAATTCCTTAATTAATATTGAGGATCACATGCGAGCTACAGATAGGGAATATTGAGTATTTAAAGCATTCTGAATGACCTGAGTGTTTTCCTTCTCATGCTTATTAAAAACATTTACCACTTACAGCTGAATTGGAATATAGTTCTACATAAATTGTTATTTACACCTGATACACAGAAAGAAATGTGTTTCCTTATTTATCATACTATTAATTTGAATGTGCTATTCTTTTTTTAATTGCTTTAAAGTCAATTGGGGAATCAGATTATGAATATCTATTTTACTGCTTCCACATTTCCTAAGTTAATCAAATACGACAAGTTAGTGAGCTTGTGGAATTTACTTGAATTTCCTAATCTTTTAACTGAGAGGGTATTTTCGACAGCAAATATTTTGTAGCATCCATTTGTCATTTTTTAAATATTCAAACTAGTTTTTTTTAAAATAATGCCAAGTACACTTAGTGCCTAGTAAATGCTGGCCACTGTTATTGCTGTTATCATTATTCTTTTTTGTTTGTTTGTTTGAGAGGGAGTCTCGCTCTGTCGCCCAGGCTGAAGTGCAGTGACGTGATCTCGGCTCACTGCAAGCTCCGCCTCCCGGGTTCACGCCCTTCTCCGGCCTCAGCCTCCCGAGTAGCTGGGAATACAGGCACCCACCACCACGCCCGGCTAATTTTTTGTATTTTTTTTTAGTAGAGACGGGGTTTCATCGTGTTAGCCAGGATGGTCTCAATCTCCTGACCTCGTGATCCACCCTCCTCGGCCTCCCAAAGTGCTGGGATTATGGCAGAGAAATGTTTGTTTCAAAAGTGTGTTAGTCTCTAAGGAAATGAATACTTCCAGACTAAATTCTGTTTATAGTATTATCATTAATAAATAAACTAAAACATTACTTCTGTTTCATTGCCCCAATGTATATTGTATTAAAATGTTCTTTTCTGATCTTCTCTAAGTTAAAAAAAAAAAAAAGAAACAAAGTTGAGTAAACAAGCTGAGCAAACTTTGTGTTGAAACTTTAATATGTCCGAGGAAAAGAATCTTGCATTAAGTCCAATACAGAGAGTCTGATAATTTGGTGGAGCAGAGAGCCTCATCTGAGGTGGCTTTCCGTGAACAGCATCTCTGAGGTGTCACCTGCTACCACATTCACTGTCCACCCTGGGCTTTGCCCCTCAAGCACCAGGGCTCAGGTCTCTTGTTTTGCCTGTTTCTCCCTATAGTCTCCCTGGCCTGTGCCTTTTAGACAAAACAGATTAACATCACCTTTAAGCCGTCAATACTGAACATTCTGTCTTTATAAGGCCTGACTCATTACCAATTTTATTTGGTCAATTTTACCTTCCTTGCTTTCAAAGGAACACCATTTGCCTATGTCAAGTGTTCTCTTTCTTTTATTTTTCCCTTCCTTCTGTCTTTCCCCTCCTTCCTTCCTTCCTTCCTCCCTCCCTCCTCTCTCCTCTCTTTCTTCCTTCCTTGCCTCCTTCCATCCTTCCCTCCCTCTCTCTCTTTCTTTCTTTCTTTCTCTCTCTCTCTCTTTCTTTCTTTCTCTCTCTCTGTCTTTCTTTCTCTCTTTCTTTCTTTCCATCTTCTTTTCTTTCTATCTTTCTTACTTTTGATGTAGCTGTCACGACCTAATGAAAATACTGGCATGAGTGATGCCACCTTTAGATTCTCCACCTTCCTGTTCCTGTCCTATTCACCAACATGAATTGGTTTGTGGCTGTAAGTACTTGGTGGGTTATTGCTCATAGATTCAGTTGCATTTTTGCTGAGATAGTGCTGTTACCAAAAGCAGGGGTGCTGCTTGAAGAAGTAAACCTAACTCTGAAAAATAGAGACTCTCCAGAAACATCATAATCTTAAGGATGGACATTTGTGGCCTGTTATTGTTACTTCATTCTAGGTGACAGAGTGAAGTGAGTGAGGGCAAAAATGACTGCACACTTATGGAAAGAGGGCTGCCTCCACCACAGACAGGTAGTGGGAGGTCCCACTCTTCCAGGTTGAACCCAATATCCTATCTTCTCCTTCCGCTCTTGGTACCTGTTGTTGCTATTGTAAACACTTCCCTCACCTGGGACTGCATATAGATGAAAGATTGCTGGGGGGTTTCCCAGGATCTTGGGCCAGTGCCAACAAATGGCAAACTTTCAAGTCTAGAGATGGTCCTATGGCATGACTGGGGGACACCACTTCCTTCACCAGAACATTCACATCCTTCCCAAGGTGCCACGCCCAGTTCTTTTGTCCAACAATAAACTCTGCGAAGTGGAGTGAAGTCACCACCCAAGCCTTAGCCTACCTCTGACCACAGCCTGTGACTCCACAAAGATAAATGAAAAGAGGAAAGTCAGTGATGTTTTCTATACTGTCAGCAGCAATCTCACAGCCTCAATACATTTTCTTTCAAAAGTTTAATATGTAATAACTGGCATTTCTTCTTCATTCCTAGTTGGTTAGACTGCATCACATCTGCCATGCCAAACTATTAAGAGTAATACAATTCTTACTCTTAGTTTATTAAGAGTAAAAACTATTACTCTTAATAGTTTAGCATGCTATTACTCTTTTCTTATTTTTTAATTTTTTTAATTTTTTATTTTTTGAGACGGAGTCTCGCCCTGTTGCCCAGGCTGGAGTGGTGCAGTGGCACAATCTTGGCTCACTGCAACCTCTGCCTCCCAGGTTCAAGCGATTCTCCTGCCTCAGCCTGCCAAGTAACTGGGATTACAGGTGCCCACCACCATGCCTGGCTAATTTTTTTTTTTTTTTGTATTTTTAGTGGGCAAGGGGTTTCACCATGTTGGTCAGGTTGGTCTCGAACTCCTGACCTCAAGCGACGCCCCCGCCTCGGCATCCCAAAGTGCTGGGATTACAGGCGTGAACTGCTGCACCTGGCTGACGTGCTATTACTCTTACAGCATCTGGACAATCCCTAACAGTCTGAAAGCTCTATAATGTTGCAGGTAGTCCAAAGGCCCTATCCCTTATTCTAGAACACAGGCTTTATAGCACAGGCTTTGGCAAGTCTGTAACAGTCTGAACTCCTCCACTGTATTCCACATACTAGGGATCTTTTAAGTTGTCATTATGTCCTGGCACAAGCATTTATCATATTTCTGGGAGCATGTAGGGTTCAAGATGCGAGGGCAAGAGAGGGCTGAGTTGTTTGTTATTAAGCTGACAGGAAATGGCCAAGGCTCATGTGCTACTGCTTGCAGTTGGGCAAAAGAGGATAAATTAATTGCTTTGTAGAAATTCCTTTCTGCATTCTTTAGGGAAAATTTTTCCATGTGAGCTAAATGAGTCAAAGGGGGTGGTTTTGGGCTCAACAGCTTTGACATTGTCCCTTCAAGGAATGAAACAATTAAAGAAACTGATCTCCTCTGAGAAAAAGACCATTTACAATAACCTATCTACTCTACATAAAATATTCCCAGTAGACTCATCAAAACAAGACCCTCTGATACCACACCATACTGGGTTTTTCCTTATTGGGATTCCCCCATGTTTTTTCTTTAATGCTTCCCCATGTTTTAGAAACAGATTTGCTTACCCGGAACCTTCCACACTCAATTCCAAATTTATCATAGTACTATCATTTGGGAGTAAACAACATGTAAGGGGCCTACACGGGTGGAAAGCCCATTCAAGAAACTGAGGATGATCAAATAGTAGAGTTGATAGTATGTGTATAATCCCAGGGAGGAGTTTCATGACGGATTAGAAGGTCAACACTGCCTGATGCAGCCGAAAGATCACATTAAAACAGGACAGGAAGGAAGTCCTGGCTGTCCAGCAAAAGGTCTTTAGTGGCTATATCAAGAGAAGCTTTTACAGAAGGGTGAGGGTGGTAGCCTGCGAACATTGGATTAGGAGTGAGAGGGACTGAAGGAAGTAGAAACTCGAGCTCAGGGGAAGGGGAGAGAATGAGCTTGAGGAAGGCCCTCTGATGAAGGGAAGGCTCTTTTCTGATGCCAGTGAGTTGAGCAGACTTATAGGAAGCAAAGAGGAGTCTAGGGACAGACAGGGATTGTCCAGGTAATGTAGGAAACATTTGACAAGGACAGATCTCGAATAAAAACATGAATGCAATTTCTGTTTCAGATGTCTCCTTTGCCTGCCCCATCCCACATTCTAGAAAAATATTTGGTGCATTAACAGATTTTGGACTTCACAGGGCTTCACTTTTATTGTGCTTAATATTTGTTCCTTGGTGAAACACAAAGAGACAAACTACACAAAAAGAGAATCATACTTGATGAAAAAAATCAATGTTTAGAAGTTGCTCTTAAATCTTTTACCCATTGCTAACATGGGTATTTGGATGCCATTTGGAACGTATTCCAGGACTACTTATCCATGAAAGGATTAATGATATTGGAGCCAGGTTCAAAGTCTCAGCAACAAGCTAAAACCTGCTCTTTTTAGTAGTCAGGGGCAAAGCTTAGTATCCTTTCTTCTGAAAGCTTTCGCATGCTAAGCTTTCCATTGCCAAGCCCCCGGGAAGGAAAATACCAGAAGTTTCACTCCGATAGCAGCTTTTTCTGAGATGCGCCTGGTGATAACATTTTCCAGTAGGGCTATCTTCTGTCTCCTTCCTTCTCTGTGTGTACCAGTAAAGCCTTGTACAAGTCTCTTAACCTTTCTTGGCTTCAGTTTCCAAATTTGTAAAGTGAAGATAATAATACCTCCCTCATAGAGTTGTTGTGAGGACTACATGGGCTAACGATCAGACAGAAAGCACTCATTAAGTGTGACTAGCATTGTTAATTGCAGTAATAGTAGTTCTAGTAGCAGGCTTTTCCAGGTTATAAGGATTAAAGATACGCTCATGTTACCTAAGTTAATGGTGCATTATTTTAAGGGTACACCAAAAAGTAAGAAGAATGGGAAACTACTTAACCAGCACATGGGGTGCAGAAGCGAGAGCAATTGTGTTTTCTTTTTTTTTTTTTTTTTTTGAGATGGAGTCTTGCTCTGTTGCCCAGGATGGAGTGCAGTGGTGAGATCTCGGCTCACTGCAACCTCTGCCACCTGGGTTCAAGTGATTCTCCTGCCTCAGCCTCCTGAGTAGCTGGGGCTACAGGCATATGCCACCATGCCCGGCTAATTTTTGTACTTTTAACATAGACGGGGGTCTCACCATGTTGGTCAGGTTGGTCTCGAACTCCTGACCTCATGATTCACTGGCCTCGGCCTCCCAAAGTGCTGGGATTACAAGCGTGAGCCACCGTGCCCAGCCCCAAGGGAATTCTTACAGCCTGACAGGTTTGGAACTCTGAGTCTCTCTGTGTGTCTGTGTCTCTGTCACTCCACCATATGTTTAGCAGGGTTAATTAATTTGCCCAAGATCACACAATTAGTAGATGATTATGCAAGATTTGAACCAGTTGTTATTCATTGGAATATGATTACTGTGTAAGTTAGCATGAGAATATTGAAAATAAATGTCTTGTTAGATTCATTTATTTTTTAAAAAATTCCTATGTAGGTCGGGCACAGTGGCTCACCCCTGTAATCCCAGCACTTTGGGAGGCCGAGGCGGGCAGATCACCTGAGGTCAGGAGTTCAAGAGCAGCCTGGCCAACATGGTGAAACCCCATCTCTACTAAAAATACAAAAAATTAGCCGGGCCTGGTGATGCATGCCTGTAGCCCCAGCTACTTGGTAGGCTGAGGCAGGAGAATTGCTTGAACCCGGGAGGTCGCAGTGAGCCGAGATCACACCACTGCACTCCAGCCTGGGCAACAGAGCAAGACTCCATCTCAAAAAAAAAAAAAGTCCTATGTATACTTCTTCACATCAATTTAGGCAGGCTTTATTTGTTAACTTTTGTTGGTAGCCAACATGCATTTAAACTACTTATTATTGTCCTAATCTAAGAAAAACTGAGAAATGGATGAAGTTGGTCCTAGGGTATCCCAAAGCACAGAGTGTTTTATTCTGTCCTTGGGACAGAGGTTTGATTCAAAATGTTTTTTCGGAAACTAGCCTTGAACACCTAATTTTATTAATATTCTTTTTACACTCCATCCCTCCTGGAAAAGGACTGGACCCCAATTCCCACCATTGCTTTTTTGGGACCCATTATCTTCCTTAGCTTCCTATGCATCTACAGGGTAGTCTGGGCTTCACTTCCTCAGTGTCCCTGTATGAAATTAGGTGGATATAGATTAGTCTGATGTAGGAATATCACACTGTACTAAGGTTTAGTTTGTATGTTATTCTCTCAAGTAACTGATCTTTCAATCGAACTAAACACTTCCTATGTGCTTTAAGGTGGTGGGAATTACAAGCATAGCAAGTTATGATTGGTCACGGATTTCTTTCCTCTTTAAATGGTGACCTACTGCCCATTGTACCTACTCAAAGCAACTTTCTTTAGGAAAAAAGACCACAGTCTACTTTCCTAAGCATAAACTCAGTTCTCATTCCACCTCTACCACCTGCAAGATTTGTTAGGCTTAAGCAGTCCCTTAACTTCTTTGAGTGTTTGTTGCCTTGCCTACTTCATTGGAAGTAAGGCTCTGGAACAGGGAAGGTTTGCCTCCATAAGACTAAAAGTTATGCTAATATAAGAGACTAGCAAAATGGGAGACATATTCAGCTCTCTTCTTGTGGGGAATACCTTGCCCTTGACCAAAAGCCTTGTCCCAGAAAGAGCCGTGTGGGTGTTGGCTTTGTGCCCAACATGTGGCTCCTCTGCCATGATTGATGGCTTCATTTAAGAAACAGGTTTTAGGATTTTTTCCCCTAAAATCTTATTCCTGTTAATTATCATGGATCAACTTTACCTTAGCTCGTTTAATACACAGTCACCTGGTATAAAAGCATGTGAAAACCCCCAGGGATCGTAACCACATTTATGCATTGAGAAAAGAGAGTGAGGCCAAGATTTTGAGATGTGTTCAAATGCAAGAAGCTTTTAAAATGCAAAGTATTCTAAAACTGTTGAAAGTTGAAGCTAACTGTTGTTCCCTTGTTGAAGGTAAAAAGTAAAGCATTTTTAGGAAAGCACTTTTCCTTATGTGTCTAATATTTGGGAACTGCATAGGAGAACAGTTTAATAGGAACCCTGATATTGACAGTAAGATATATTCTTAATGTAGTAACCAGACCCAGGGCAGAATTTGCAAACCCATGGTAGGCATACAGGTGGCTGAAGAAGAATCGGGACAGCAAGATCTCACTGAGATGCAATTCCATTCCTCCATTTGATACAGATTAAGATTTCTGAAAAAGACCATCCTCCTAAACCCTCATGGACTCTGCAGATAATATGAGGCCAGAAAATGAATAATTCCCAACTCTTGCTATCTCGTTACTGGCCAGTGTGTCTGGCTTCGCTGAGTGTGTGCCTTCTGAAGCGTACCCTATAATTATTCAGCAGGTATAGTCCAGTTCGTCCTACTTACTTTAGCAAGATTACCTTTCTTTTATTTTTCCTGTGAAAATCCTTCTCTTCCTTCTTTCCTCCTTTGTCTTTCCTCTTTGTTAACTTTTTAAATCTAAAGTGCCTTGAAAAACTTGTTTACATAGTAGTAAGAAGGAAAATGTTGACTTGTGCTATCCTGGGAACCTTGACCTTCCTGCATTATGGATAAATCATTTCCCTGCAGGTGGAAGTGGAAAATTGCAGATAGAACCACATTGACTCACATTCTCCTTCTACTTCCATTTGAGTGAGCACCAAGTATGCATCACGACTTGAGATTATAAAGTTGGCTTAATGATGAGACAGGTTTCTCAGTCGGGTTTTCCATTGGCTCGAAGTTCACAAGGCAGTTGTTGCTTGTCTCAGAGTGTCCTTAGGTGGACTACATCTGAACCCTTGGCGTTATTATAATGCAGATTCTAGCTGTGCTCAAACCAATGAATCAGAATCTCAGGAGGGTGGCGCTCAGAAATCTGCATGGTTGATCAGTTCTTTAGCAGATTCTTATTTTTGTATGCTAAAGTTTGAGGGTCACCACTGGAGAGATTCCAGAACAGGGCCTGCAAGGGAATTGTTCAAAGTTTGCTCAAGTTAACTTTGTTGTTACAGCATTAGCTTGAATATCAGGAGGTTTTGTATTTAAGTTCTCTAAAAAAAGAAAAAGAAAAAAAGAGAACAGTCTCAATATATAAAAGGAAAGGTTTTCATATATGTGCCCAATTATAAGTATCTTGAGTATTCTAGGAGTCTAAACAGAATGTCTTTAGATCATCCTTATAACGATCCTGAGACTCTTTTGACTGTTTTGAGTTGAAGACAGGTAATAAGAAAGAAATCACCAATTAATGCAGAAGGAAATAAATTTCTGTATATAATAATATTCACATTTGCCATGTCTCTTTTAAAAAGTCCAAATAACAGGCAGAGCGCGGTGGCTCATGCCTGTAATCCCAGCACTTTGGGAGGCCAAGGCGGGCAGATCACCTGAGGTCAGGAGTTTGAGATCAGCCTGGCCAACATGGTGAAACCCCATCTCTACTAAAAATACAAAAATTAGCCAGGCGTGGTGGCACTTGCCTGTTGTCCCAGCTACTCGAGAGGCTAAGGCAGTATTATCACTTGAACCCAGGAGGTGGAGGTTGCAGTGAGCCGAGATCGCGCCACTGCACTCCAGCCTGGGGGATAGAGCAAGACTCCATCTCCAAAAAAAAAAAAAAAAAAAAAAAAACAGCTCAAATAACTTTACCGTACATAACTTTACCATACATGTCCTCTAGTCTCTTATCATTTCTTCATATGAAGAATAATTTATACTCATTGATGTAAATTTTGCTATATTTTATACAACAAACATAGTATTATTTTAATATTGCACATAGAGAAAAATACCTCTTCCCCTCAAAATTAGAAGGGTTGGTATTTTTATTCAGGCTTATTGATTTAAAATACCTGCTTGATCCGTAATTCAGGCCATACGATTTCACCAAAACAAATATCCTAATAGTTGTCATCTTGAATAACTGTTTAGTGCACAGAATGTAGTCTCATTTATTAAGAAGTGATTTAAGAGATTATTACTTCTGCATCTATCACACTAACATGACCAACTCTTTAGTAAGGGAAGAGTAAGGGAACTTATTTTATATCTAGATAGAAATTTTATTAAGGATACAGTATTAGGATTCATAGGGGAAATAGTGGATAGATCACAAGAACGAGGCTCTTTCTGAGCCCTGCAGGAAAGAATATTTGCAGAACAATAAAGGACATGGTGGCTTCCTGGAGAATGTTGGCCGAAGACTGAGCCTTACTTCTGGAAAAGGCTCAGTGCTAGAGCCAAGTGAGCATCGATATGCCAATACAGGCAAGAAAATCCTGCAAGAGGCAGACTTGGTTCTTAGGTCGGAACAGGCTCTGCTTCAGAACTTGATCCGGTACCCAATTCGTTTCTGCTTCAGCTTCTTTTTCTATAAAATGAGGGTAGTACTTATCCCATGAGGGAGCTGTTATGAGGATAAATTTGGCTTTATTGAATGTGCATGATTCCTGGAACCCATAAAGATGTCAAATTTAGAAGCCTCAGAGAGATTTCCTTTGCTCTGTGAATAACTAAATTTGGTTAGCTGGGGTGGGGTCTGGGTACTTTTCCTTGTGAAGAATTTTTCCCTCATTCTGGTCATCTCCTCCCCTCCTATAGAGGCACCATATATTTTTCTTGTCTCAGGTACCTATAGTGATAAAACACCCTGAGCTGAAAGGATCGCTGGATAGGGCAGTCTCAATACAAAAGAATGTGGCAGAAGCTCAGGCTTCAGTGCACATCAGAATAGAAGCTTCATGAGGGCAGAGGCTTTTGTCTGCTTTCCTCATTGCAGTATCCCCAGAACTTTGAGCAAGTGCACACTCGATGAATACTTGAAAGAATAAATCAATGTCAGACATCTGGGCTTATGTCTCATCTTTCTACTGTTCTCAACTAAGAGATTCTCGTCATTCTACAACTTTCCTGAGCCTGCTCTCCTTCTCCAAATATTCACCCTTCCAGGCACTGACTCCACCTCCCACATCAGAGCTTTTTCTTAAAGTAAATAACAGTCAACAATTAATAGCTTCATAACTTTGGAACAGTGCAGTGTCTTTGGTTTAAGAAGCATTGTTTCCATCCTCCAAACTAAAATAAATTTTGAGAAAAGATGGAGATGGTTTGGGACTGGGGAAGAAGGGAATGGAAGAAGTGATTATTTGAGGGCACATTAACTATTTGTACAAAGTAGAATATCTTAGTTAAATTTGGCTACATAGCAAGCAGGTATCATTAAATGGATGTCTGTTAGAATCTTGATTTTCAAATTAACTAGATAGTCAGCGTTAGTTAGACTGAGGGAGGGTGATTACAGTCCTATGTCACTGAGGGAGAATGGTGAAAGGGCAAGAGAAGGCTGGCAGGTAGAGCTGGAATTTTTCTGCCAGCAATAGACCAGTGGTTCCCAAATGTAAGCCTGCAACAGAATCATCTGGAGGGCTTGTTTTTTGTTTGTTGTTGTTGTTTGTTTGTTTTTGGTTTTGTTTTTTTGAGACAGAGTCTCACTCTGTCGACAGGCTGGAGTGCAGTGGCGCGATCTCGGCTCACTGCACCCTCAGCCTTCCAGGTTCAAGCGATTCTCCTGCCTCAGCCTCCTGAGTAGCTGGGATTACAGGCATGTGCCACCAGCCCAGCTAATTTTTGTATTTTTCGTAGAGACGGGGTTTCACCATGTTGGCCAGGATGGTCTTGATCCCTTGACCTCATGATCTGCCCACCTCGGCCTCCTAAAGTTCTGGGATTACAGGCGTGAGCCACCGCGCCCAGCCAGGAGGGCTTGTGAAAACACAGATAGCTGGGCCCATCCCTAGAGTTTAGGATTCAGTAGGTCTGGCGGAGGCCTGATAGTCTGCATTTCTAGCTTGGCCAGGGGATGTTGATGTTGCTGGTCCCAGGACCACATTTTGAGAACCACTGCAATAGAGAGTGTGCATGAAAATACAACAACAATTACCTGATGGTCCTTAGCTTAGTTCAGTTGTCCCCCACAGGTTGAAGCAGTGTTCAAGGGCAAACAAAAACTTTCTCTCTCAGCCACCTCCATAAGTTCCATAGTTTATTTAACAAAGCAAACTCACAAAGAAGGAGGAAGTTAGGACTGCTCCATTTCCCCTTATAGCAAAGGCATGTGTATTTCACAACTGCAATCAGCTTGAATAGCAGAGGCTGGAAGGCTCTCCATGTCTTTACTGAAGTCACGTCACTAAGTCACACAGACATGCTGCTAATTCACTGCCTTGGCCAGCACATCTGAAAATAAATAGCACCATTATAGGCCCTTTCATGAATATACAGCATGTGGCCTCTAAATTGGCCAAGGAGCTGGCTATGCTGGGACAAATAACTTAGATAAATCACAAATCAGAGTGGAGAAATGAGGTGTTTTTAATCAACAGCATCCAACAATGTGTGTTGAGTTTAACTGAATCCAGGTAGAGGAGGGAGTGGGTGCAAGAGCTCAAAGTATGCTGAGAATAGTTTTATTTCAAAATTCCAGGAGACTTAGAAACAACATGGTAATGATGAAAGGAGCCTGAAGAGACTCTTTTTTTTTTTTTTTTTTTTTTTGAGATGGAGTCTTGCTCTGTTGCCCAGGCTGGGGTACAGTGTCACGATCTCGGCATACTGCAACCTCTGCCTCCCGGGTTCAAGCAATTCTCCTGCCTCAGCCTCCCGAGTATCTGGGATTACAGACATGTGCCACCATGCCCGGATAATTTTTGTATTTTTAGTAGAGATGGGGTTTCACCACGTTGGCCAGGCTGGTCTCGAACTCCTGACCTCAGGTGATCTGCCCGCCTTGGCCTCCCAAAGTGTTGGGATTACGGGCGTGAGCCACCATATCTGGCCCTGAAGAGACTCTTAAGATACTTTCATAATAGTTTAAAAAGCTGTATGTGTGTTTACAATTTCTGTCATAAATCTATGGTAACCACAGCACAAACATTTTAGAAAAAGAAAAAAAAAAACAACTCTCGGTTGAGTGTGGTGGTTCATGCCTATAATCCCAGCAATTTGGGAGGCTGAGGCAGGAGGATCACCTGCATCCAGGAATTTGAGACCAGCTTGGGCAACATAGCATGACCCATCTCGACATAAAATTAAAAATTAGGTATGGTGGTACATGCCTGTAGTCCTGGCTACTCTCAGGGGACTGAGGTAGGAGGATCTCGTAAGTCCTGGAGTTTGAGGCTGCAGTGAGCTGTGATCTCGCCACTGCACTCAGCCTGGGTGACAGAGCAAGACCCTGTCTCAAAAAAGAAAAAAAATTCTATTTTCCCACCTCTCTAACATAACTGTGAATAGTAGTATTTCCTTCTAGTTTTTAAGTACACTATTTAAAAACATGGAAGGTTTTCAAATAATGTACTTAGATTTAAATGCATTTTTAAGCTTATACCCATATAATAAGCATAGTAACTAACAGAATGTTCTTTGGAGTCAGATAGTCTTGGGTTCAAATCCTCCAGACATTTCCAGCCCTGAGTTTTGCATTTGTTAAATAGGGATGATAAACCTGGTTCATAGCATTGCTGTGTGGATTCACTGAGGTGCTCATCAAGTGCTCAGCACAGAGCCCTGTGTCATGTAAGCACTCAGTAAATAGTGGCATCATTTTCTGTTTTCACACACAAAAAATGAGTCGACCTTCTGCAATCCTAATAATCAGTAAGTTCTTCTTAATGGCCAGAAGTATACCTATTTTTAGTCTATGCATTTGGCAAAATTTCATTCCACAAATTGTTTGGTGGTCCCAGGAGCTGCTTTCAAGATCTTCTCTGACCAGCTTGTCGAGAGCTTTTGTTATCTGTGTTTTCCTCAAAGATTAGACTCATGAAAGATGTGTGAAAGCCAAAACAAAGGAATGACCACTGGTGCTCAGAGTGAGAGAGATTGGTTTAGTTGTTTAGCCAGGCTATGTGGCTTTGTTCCCAGACCACAGATTATAACCACACCATTGTGGGCACCACATATAGCCATTTTGGTAAACTAGATATGGGTTGCTAGGGACATGGGCAAGAAACCATGGGTGGGGAGGTGTGGACCTCTCAGCCCTGCCCTCTCAAGCCTGGCCAACTTCACATCTGCAACTGGGACTTTGTTTCTGTTCCAGACCTGTTTATCCAACTGCCAACTTGACAGCCACTTGGAGTCCTCATGAGAACCTCAAACTTAGTATGCCCAAATGAAATTTTCAGCTCACCAGAAGGTAACCATACTGTCTTGAGTCTTACAGTTACCCTGTAAACAAAGGGATTAACTTTACTAGATAGCAACTTCCTGCCCATAAAGTTAAGAAAAGAGCCCCTCAATGCAAATGTTGGTTTTGCTTATCAAATAAATGGATTCTTGGTTCTTCAGGATAGTTACAGATAACAATGGGCAGAATAGCCAGTAAATTCAGTAACTCCTTAAAATTGTTGAAAGTATTTTGTGCACTTTCTTTATATCGCTGCTTAGAGTGTTAATTGGTAAAATACTCTGAAGGACTAATACACAAACACTTTCACCCAGCAATTCCAATTCTAGGACTTTATTCCACAGATATATTTATACATGTATGAGTTCACATGTACAGTTTTCTGAATTTTTTTGTGCTGGCAGAAAACTAGAAACAACAGAAATGAATGAAAGAGACTAGTTAAGAAATTATTGCCCAGTTTTATAGTAGAATACATATGCAGCTGTAAAAAAAGAATGAGGGAATTATTATGTATTTATCTATTAAGTGAATAAAGCAAAATGAAGATCACCAGCAAACAGATAAAGAAATTGTGGTATTCATACAGTGGAATACTCCTCCATAATAAAAAGGAATGAACAATGGGTGAACACTACAACATAGACGACTCTCAAGTACTGTATTCCCATTTGTGTAAATAAAAATGTGGGAAAGAATGTATACATGTATTTGCTTATAAACTCTATATGCACAGAAGGAAACACAAGAAATTATTACCCCGGGAGGCAGAGCTTGTAGTGAGCGGAGATCGTGCCACTGCACTCCAGCCTGGGCGACAGAGCAAGACTCCGTCTCAAAAAAAAAAAAAAAAAGAAATTATTACCTAGATTGTCTATGCAGAGGGAACTGGGTACCTGGCAGACAGGAGTAGGAGGGAGACATTGTACAATATGCTTTTTTATACTTTTTATATTTAAAATTGCAAAATATCTTACATGCTCAAAATAAAAATAGAATAGCTTATATAACTATGTCTAAATATTACATGTAGTTTTCTTCTCTGGCTATTTTCTTTTTGGTTTTTATATAATTTTTTAAAATCCACTTACTTAGCCCAGGCACATAAATGGAAAGAAAGATATGCTTAAAATTATGTTATTTGCAAAAACAAATATTTAGATGTTTTAGAGCTAGTATGTTTTTGTTGGTTTCTAGTTTAGTTCTACATGGCATCAGACTAGCTACTCTATATGATTTCTGGACCTTTGCAATTTGTTAAGATTTGTTTTATGGTCGGGGATATGGTCAATATGTAAATGTTTAATGTGTGCAAGAAGAATGTGTACTCTGAAGTTAGGCATAGTGTTTTCTGTATATGTCAATTAGCACAAGTCTGTTTATCATGTTCAAGCTCTGTGTATCTCTGGGTTTTTTTAATCTGCATGATAGAACAGAAGTATGTTTGAAACTTTTATTGTAGTTGTGGATGTAATATTTTTCCTCTACTTTTGCAGTTCTTGCTTTATATATTTTGAGCCTATATTACTTGGTACATACATATTTAGAATTGTTGTGTCTTCCTGGTGGATTGCCCTTTGATTATTTAGGAAATGTCTCTCTCTTCGGTAATGCTTCTTAAAGTCCATTTTGTCTGATAGTACTATAGCTACCTCAGCTTTCTTTTGGCTAGGTTTCATAACTTTTTAAATTCTTTCACTGTCAGTCTTTTTATGTCCTTATATTTAAAATGTGTCAAAAGAAAGAAGGAGAAAGAAAGAAAGAAAGAAAGAAAGAAAGAAAGAAAGACACCGCGATTTACCTATGTTACAAACATGTATATGTAACCCTAAACCTAAAATAAAAGTTAAATATAAATAAATAAAGTGTCTCTTCATGAAAACTTTCTTAGCATCATTAGTCATTAGGGAAATGCAAATTAAAAACACAATGAGATACCACCACATACAACATGTCTAGTATAATGGCTAAAATGAAAAATACTAACAACACCAAGTATTGTTGAACATATGGAAAAACTGGAACACTGATTATGGGAGTATACAACCATGTTGTAAAACACTTTAACTGGTCATTTACCCAAGAGGAATGAAAGAATGTATCCATATAAAGATTTGAACACAAATGTTTACAGCAACTTTATTTGTAATAGGTAAAAACTGAAAACAACTCAAATGTCCATAGACAGATGAATGGATTTAAAAAAAACCATGTTATATCCATACAAAGGAATACTCCTCTATAATAAAAGGGAGTAAACTACTAATACACAGTGCAATATAGATGGATTGCAAAATGATTCTGTTGAATGGAAGAAGCCAGACCAAAAAAAGAGATATATTGTATGATTCTATTTATGTAAAATTCTCGAAAATGCAAAGGATCTACAGTGACAGAAAGCAAATTAGTAGTTACCAGGAGACGGAGGGTAAAAATTAAGAAGGGGCATGAAGAAACTTTTTTATTGTAGTAATGGTCTCATGGGTCTATACGTATGTCAAAGCTTATCTAATTGTATACTTTAAATATGTGCAGTTCATTGCCAGCTAATTATACTCAATCTGTTTTTAAAAGTAAAATGTGCTTCTTATAAGTAACAATTTTTTAAAATGTAGTCTGATGACCTTTGTCTTTTAATTAGAGAATTTAATCTGTTTACATTTAATAACTGATATAGGCAGGGCACGGTGGCTCCCGCCTGTAATCCCAGCACTTTGGGAGGCCGAGGCGGGTGGATCACCTGAGGTCAGGAGTTGAAGACCAGCCTAGCCAACGTGGTGAAACCCCGTCTTTACTAAGAATACAAAAATGAGCCGGGCGTGGTGGCAGGTGCCTGTAGTCTCAGCTACTCAGGAGGCTGAGGCTGGAGAATCGCTTAAACTGGGGAGGCAGAGGTTGCAGTGAGCTGGGATTGCACCACTGCACTTCAACCTGGGTGACAGAGGGAGATTCCATCTCAAAAGGAAAAAAAAAAAACCTGATATATTTGGGTATAAATGTTCAATCCTACTGTAGGTTTTTTTTTCCATTTTGCCCACTTGTTTCTTGTTGCTATAGTCATTACAACAATACATGTTTGACTTATTAGAATCCTAGTATTAATTAGTACTTTTACCATTTCCCAGATGATATAATATGGGCTTTAAAACACATGAAATCCGTTTACCCCTCAAACCTTTTGTGTATCATTGATGTTTTAATTCTATGTATATTTTAAACTTCACATTATTATCATTATTATATTTATATTGCACAGTCACTATCATTTAGATTTACTTATGTTTACCCTTTTGGTGTATTTCAATGCTTTCAGCACTTCTGTGTTTCCCTTTGGGATTGCTTTTCTTCTGCCTCAAAAACTCTCCTTACTATTTATTTTAGTATGGCTCTGCTGGTGATAAATTCTCTCCATTTTTGTTTATCTGGTAAAATATTTTTCCTTCATTACTTATGAAGAATATTTTCACTAGGTAGAAAATTCTAGATTGTTAGTTATTTTATTTCAGCACTTTGAAGATGTCATTGCATTGGTTTGTGGATTTCACTTTTTCAATTGAGAAGTTAATTTTGTTGGTTGCATTATTACACTTTGAAGATAATGTGTCTTTTCCCTGGATGTTTTAAAGATTTTTCTCTTTGACTTTCAGTAGTTCTACTATGATGTGTCTAGGTTTGATTTCCTCTGTATTGATTCTGATGGGCATTTATAGAACTTTATGAAGCTGCGTCTGGTATTTTTGCCAGCCAGTATTTCTTTAAATATTACTTCTGCTCCAGTTTCATCTCTCCTCCTCCTTTGGGATCCAGCTTACACAGGTTACATCTGTTACTTTATGACTCAACACACTTTTCTGGAAAGACTCTCTTTTCTTTAAACACAAGACACTAAATGGTTACAGGTGTTCTTTTAGGTGATTATGCTGCTTCATCAGCAGATGGTGATTATATCAAGAAGGAAACTTATATGATGACATATAAAAGCTGGGGAGAGGAGATGTCTCTGAAGACAGTGAGAAATCCTTCTCTAGTCTTGCTGCTGGAACCCTCAAACACTTAAGTCATCTAATAAACATTCTACTGTCTTCAGAGGAATTTTCTCAGTGAAAGGGATTTGGGACACCCCTGTGAGGAAGAAACATAAGTTCCATGCCTTCCAAATAAGGGGCAAACTTTTCTTTGTAGTCATGTTTCCACCTGTTGAATCCGTTTTATGGAAGTTGTACAGTTATGGCTTGTCTGTTTATGAGAAGAGATAGAGAATATGAGAAACGATAAAACCTGAAATAATCCATTGTGAGGCCACAGGCTGAAGAACTTACAAGGAATTTATTCTAGACTTTATGGCTGAAAATATGTATGCATATATGTATATGAGTGTATGGAGATACAGTTATGGATAGAGATCTATAGATATATGTGTAGATATATAGATACATAAAGTTTGCTACAGAAATTCATTTTGTACACTTTTAAAAGTGCACTTTACTAAAAGCATCCAAGAATGCATCTCAGAAAAAGCCTTAGATTTCTTTTATGTGGTCAACTCCAGGAACTACTCACTCTTGAGATAGATGTGTGTTTTCAGAGCTTATCCATGCCATGCACAATGATCTAACCCTTTGATAGCTGCATCATTCAAAGTCAGTTTTTCTACATGCAACAAATTTTTAAACCTTGATTTTTATTTATTTATTTATTTTGAGACAAAGTCTCGCTCTTGTCCCCCAGGCTGGAGTGCAATGGCGTGATCTCAGCTCACTGCAACCTCCACCTCCCAGGTTCAAGCGATTCTCCTGCCTCAACCTCCCGAGTAGCTGGGATTACATGCACCTGCCACCAAGCCAGGCTAATTTTTGTATTTTTAGTAGAGACGGGGTCTCACCATGTTGGCCAGGCTGGTCTTGAACTCCTGACCGCAGGTGATCCACCCGCCTTGGCCTCCCAAAGTGCTGGGATTACAGGCTTGAGCCACCGTGCCCGGCCTAAACCTTGATTTTTAAAAAAATACTACCCTGCCCTAACCTTGTAACTTAGGAAGTTTGGGGAGAGGGGTGTGTAACAACCTTTCACTGCTTATTTGATGTAAATCATTTCTAGTCCTGAAACAATGGCTATTTTGCAAGGTTTAATTATACTGTGTGTTGTGGTTGCATGCATAGGTACACCCACAAATGTCTGTCATTAATACGTATCACTAGCTTTGTACTTTACACTGTATTTTTGGAGTGTTTTACAGTCGTTCGTTACCAAGAGTAAATTATATATTTGCTTTTCTTTACCCCACCCCTTTCACTATTGTTTAAAACATGTCAGATTCAGGAAAACCTCAAGAGACCCAAACCTCTTTCAATACTTATAGACAAAGTTTTTTTTTCCTTAAATCAGTTTTAAAATCCATCCAGCCATTTTGGCTGCCGGCCATACCAGCAGATAATGAAAGAATTTTCCTTGAGGGTCAAAAGCCAGGGAGAAGCCTTCCAGGGCTGTTTGGTTTCCTAGCACAGCTGCTGGAGTAGCTCGTGGTGCTGATTGATCTGCTTGGAGATTCTTGTGCATCTTCACCTGTTAGAGCTGGAAAGATGCTCAGGACTATACAGCCCAGCCCTTCTGGTTTACATATAATGAAACTAAGGCCCACCTTAGTCAACTAATGTGCTTAAACTCAAGCAAATGGCAAATGGCAAAACTCAGGACTCTGTCAATGAGTTTTCATTCTTTTTCTTTATTCTTCTAGACACATATTTTATAAAGAAATGAGGCAGCATGATGTTTAAAATACTTAAAGTGAGAATGAGAAAAACTGATGTCTACATATCATGAAATGGTTAAAAAGTTTAACGTGCATTGTCTTCTCCATTAGAACTTCTTTTACGAATTTTTTTCTCAAAATCTGGCTCAGAAATCTTGTTTTAAAAGCTCCCTAAACATTCCTAGGCAGAATTAGTAACGCCTTCCTCTTTGCTAACAAGGAACTGTGCATATTCCTGTAATAGAATACTTACCATATTATATTGTAAGTATTAAATTATTCATCTGCCCTCCTCCCACCTACCCACTGGATCAGGCTTCCCAGGAACAGCAACAGAGAGCCCAGCAATTTGTGTGTTCTCAGTGTGGAATGAATGAATGAATGAATGAATGAATGAACCAACCATTCCTTCACAGTCTTGCACTATCAGTGAATCTTATGCTTTATTGAACATAAAAATCACCTGGAATTGCTGACTTAAAATACAGTTTTCCAGGCTATACCACAAGAGATGCTAATACAGGACTGGGGTAGGTCCAGGAATTCGAATTTTTATCTAAGTAGCTGATGACTTAATGCAAATGATCCAGCAGCCACACTTTGCAAGCTCTACGCTATGATTAGTTGTGGTTTGTAGTCCCAATTGTATATCATAATTATCTGCTGATCTGAAAAAAACATAGAGCTTCTCTACCCACTCCTTACCACCAGTCCATCACCACCATTCTGACTCCTTAGTCACAATGGGTATTGACATTTTAAATAAATCCCAAGGCTCCCTTCCGGGAGAATAAAGAGGATAATATTTATAAACTATTTTGAGTTCCTTAGAAGAAGGGTATCTTAGCTCATTAAGGAAATATTATCATGATATAAATCTAACATCATGAAACTTATCTTGGACATGTCAAATTTGGTCTAAGAATCAAATGTAGAGGAAAATAAAACCCACACACAGTACCTGCATGGAAACGGAACCTGTGCAAACACCTGCTTTGGCTATGTTCCTTTTTGTGGAGACAGATGTCCCCCTTCACTAGGACCAGGGTAGAGATGAAGAAGGTTGATTTGGACATTGGGGTGCTATATGTTCTTTTGGGACTGAAGTTCCATATTAGGAAACTTAATAGCTGACATTTACATAACTTTTAAACATCCCAAGTAGTACGCTCTGTCTGCACACTATTTTATATGTATGCAATTTGTTTGTTTTTGTTTTTGTTTTGAGACAGGGTCTCACTTTGTCACCCAAGCTGGAGTGCAGCAGGCATGAACACAGTTCACTGTAGCCTCAACCTCCCAGGCTCAAGCAATCCTCCCACCTCAGCCCCCTGAGTAGCTGGGACTACAGGCACACACCACCATACCTGGCTAATTTTTGTATTTTTTGTAGAGACTGGGTTTCACCATGTTGCCCAGGCTGGTCTCAAACTCCCGAGCTCAAGTGATCCACCTGCTTTGGCCTCCCAAAGTGCTGGGATTACAGGCATGAGCCACTGTGCCCAGCCATATGGATTTTTTTAAAATTATGAACTTACATAACTTCACAGGAGACAGACCTGAATGAGGTAGTTATTAAACTACTTTCTGACTATGGAAAGGATTTCTGATCCTTGTAGTATATTTCCACGTATATTGTTATACTGTTGTGTGTTTGTATTTAGTTGCTCATACTATTTTTTACTGTAGCTTACTTTATATGCAGGTTTCCATGGGTCAACCTAATTTATATTTTTGTCATTTTAAATGGAAAAATGATATCCCATATATTTTGTAGTATTATTTGTTCAGTGTTCTTTCCAATGTGGGATGCTTTGGTTATTTCTAATTATTTGCTATCATGCTATCATATACAGAATTCTTATGTTCATTTCTGCTCAAAATTATATTTTTGTTTGTATGAATTCCACGGTGTATATTTCCCAAAGCGAGATAGTTAGATAAAAGAGTAACAGCAGTTTCATAGTTCTGGTTGCATATTACAGTATTACTTTCCAGACACACAGAGCCAATATACAACCCCACCAGGGGTGTGAGGCATGCTGGTTTTCCCACAGCTTGACCAACATGAAATTTTATCATTCCAGCCTATTTCTGCTAGCTTAATATGTGTGTAGGGCCTCACTAGAGATATTTTATTTTGAAGTTCTTCAAATGATATGAAGCAATTCTTTTCCACGTGGAATGATTCACTATTTTCATTTTAAGGACAAACCATTCGTTTGTATTTGACAGTTTTGAAGTGACAGGTTTAATTGCCTTCTGTATAATTGATTCTGTAGGGAGAGAAAATAGGAGTGCTATTAGGTATTGGGTTAGGCTCAAAGAGTCAAGAAAGAAGATTAGTTGTGTAGTTCTGAATTTGGAAACTTGTATGTGGACGACTGGAACAGAAATACCAGTTGACCCTGTTTAAGAAGGGCTAGAGAGCAGGAACATTCTGATTTCATGATGACAAAAATACTAGAGTTTTGACATAGGACAACAGATCTTGCTTCAAAATGAAAGCAAGACCCTATCCTTCCTGCCTCTTTGATCCTCTCACAGTGCCACTTTCTTTCCTGAACATTTTCAGATATTCTTATTTCAGATAGACCACTCTGGTGTATAATAGGACCAGTTTTAGAGTGGCCATGAAGCTAAGACATGTTATTTGAGAGCTCTTAGGGGAAGACCTGGACACAGCAGTCGCAGGAGAAGTCAGTCTTATCTGTAAAAAGGTCAGCTTGATCACAGAAAAAGGCTTTGGCTTGGTTGTGTTGGCCCTCCATGGCTTATGATCCTCTTTCAAGTAAGCAAATAAATGATTGCAGTGTTGGTTTGAGTCCTGTGGTGCCAAACACAAGACACATTGTTGCTCATGCAATATAGACCTTTGTTTTGGACAGTGGTCTAATCTGCTGGTTTTTAAAACATTGGTGACTGTCCAACTTATAATTAAAATCAGTCTATCAAGCACTTGGAGACAAAATCTGAGGTTATTCTTTCATTCCTAGTTGTCACACTAATTTTTTGCCTTCACTTTTGTCTCTGTAGAATATTTACACGTACACCTATCTATATCTATTTAGATATAATTTATATACTACAAAATTCACCCATGTGTACAGTTCAGTGATTTTTAATGTATTCACAGTCATCACTACAATCAATTTCAGAACATTTTCATTACTCCAAACAGAAACCCCAAACTCATTAGCAGCCACTCTCCATTTCTCTACAATATCCCCAACCTTAGGTGACCACAAATCTACTTTCTGTCTGTATAGATTTTGCAATTCTGGGCATTTCATATAAAGAATCATAGAACATGTGGTCTTTTGGTTTAGCTTATTTCACTTAGGATAATGTTTCCAAGGTTCATTTATGTTGTGGTGTATATAGGTACTCTTTTCCTTTTTATTGCTGAGTAATTTTCCATTGTGTGGATATACAACTTTTTGTTAAGTCATTCATCAGTTGATGGACGTTTGGATTTTTTCCATTTTTTGGCCTTTATGAATAAGGCTGCTACGAACATTCATGTGTAAGTTTTTGTGGGGAAGTGTGGTTGTCTTTTTTTTTTTTTTTTTTTTTGCAACAGAGTCTTGCTCCGTCACCCAGGCTGGAGTGCAGTGGAGCAATCTCAGCTCACTGTGACCTCCGCCTCTCGGGTTCAAGCAATTGTCATGCCTCAGCCTCCCAAGTAGCTGGGATTACAGGCACACGCCACCACACCTGGCTAATTTTTTTGTATTTTTAGTAGAGATGGGGTTTCACCATGTTGGCCAGGCTGGTCATGAACTCCTGACCTCAAGTGATCTGCCCACTTCAGCCCCCCAAAATGCTGGGATTACAGGTGTGAGCCACCACACACTGCCAGAAGTATGTTTTCATTTCTCCTGGGTAAATACCTTTGAGTGGAATTGCTGGGATACATGGGAGCTCTGCTTAAATTTTTCAGGAACTGCCAGATGGCTTTCCAAAATGGCTGCACCATTTTATACTCCTACCAACAGCATATGCGTGCTCCAGTTTCTCCACATCCTTGCAAACACTTGTTATTGCCCCTCTTTCTTGTTATAGCCAGCCTAGTGGTTGTGAAATGGCAACTCATTGTGATTTGATCTGCATTTCCCATTTCCCTCACGGCTAGTAGAATACTTACTTCCTATCCTAGTTTTTCCTTATACTTTTAAAAAATTAAATAAAGAAAACGCTGTAGAAAATTAAGGAGCAAAATGTATGCTTGCAGCTACAGCTTCCTCTGGGGTTTCACACTTCCTTGCCTCATCATGTAACGGGCCACCACTAGGATGAAGGTGCTCCAGTCTTATTCTTCCAATCTTCTCTCCATTTGTCATTCAGAATCCTGGGAAAGAGAGACACTTGTCCTGCCGTGAGTTATGTGCCCACTCTTTTGATTTGTGTTTCTGCCTAGACAGTGCACAGCATGAGTGTTGGCATCTTGAAAGGAAACTGGGGTGCTCCTGAGGGAGAATAGATGCCAAAGTTGGGACAAGAGCCCAGTTTCCTGCCTTTCTAGGTGTAACTCATTGCCAAGGTCGGGAGCAAAGCAAACCATGTAGGAAACCTCATCATGCTGGGTAGTTAATAAGTATGCCCTAGCACACGTTTTCACAGAGAAAACATAATACGCTTCATTTGTAATATTTAAGTATTACATCTAAAGTTACAATGTTTAAAAATTTATATATACCCTTGTTGGATACAAAGCATGTTTAAAATATGTGACCTCATTTGATCCTCAGTAATCTCTGTTAGTTTCTAATTATATTCAGTAGTGGTATTGGTATTGTATGTTTTGGCCTCATTGTGGTTTAAATACACTTTTGTGAACTAGCCTGAGAATCCAACCACCAACACAATGATGTAATGAGAAAACGTGCTCTGAGTTCCAAACAAATGGCTAACAGATAAGTGCTCAGAAGTCAACCTTTTTGTAAGCTGGGGTATCACTGGCCAGCAGTCACATGCCAGCAGGTGTGAGTAGACAGTGGGGAACAATTTCCTCTCATGTGTATGGCTCCCTAAAGTGTTGGCTGAGCATTGTCCACATGGGTGATGCAAAGGATCACTGAACTAGGAGCAGTTGGGAAAAAATACAATCATTGGGAATTCCTGTAGCATCGAAGGTGCCTACAGGGAGGTAGAAGTATTCATACAACAGTTCTCTGGTGTTCTCTGTTGTAGCAACCAGTCAGCCAAAAGGGTTCAGCTGCTTGAAATGAGAATGGCTGGATCAAAATGGCAGCTCAGGATTTAAAGGATTCTAGTCAGATACCAGACATCCTCACATAGAGAAAACTCTGAATGGCTGGGGGAGAAGGAGTCAAATGCCCTGGATCTTTTTCTTGGGCCTCAAAGTCCTCCTTCTGTCATCATCCTTCCAGTATTGGGCAGGACCTGACTGCAGGCATCATGGCCTCTGTGAACTTCTCAAGGGTATGTATTATCTGACAAAAACTACGATGTCCACTAACAGGCCACTGAAAAGGTATCTTAGTCAGTTCTGCTCATTGCCCAGCCAAGGCCTACGTTTTATAACATGATATCAAAGATTGCATCTAAAATTGTGATGATTTCCTAAAATAATCATTTCATTTAGATTTTTCTATTTTAATCCAAGGTATTCTTCAGCGGAAATAAGGAAACAGTTTACTCTCCCACCAAACCTTGGCCAGTACCATCGACAGAGCATAAGTACCTCTGGCTTCCCCTCTCTTCAACTAGTAAGTATGAGTTCCAGGTTTACTTAGCGATTGGTCAAGTGCAAAAGTGCCCAGGGTATGTGTTTGCCTCCTGTTCCTTAGATCTTCCTACCATCACCTCACATTCTCCAGTCACCAGATCCTAACTCTGTGACTGTGTCTGGACATCAGACAATATCCCTCTCTCTCTCTGCCAACCGGTACTTAGGGTACATAATAGAACCTCTGGGAGCTGTGGTTTTGATGTCTCTAGACTAGGTGGGCTTCCAGGTGACTCAGTCTCATCCAAATTATGGTTCATATTTGGGGGAGAAGGGCTAGCCCAAAAACTTACCACCATTTGTAGTATGCATTTTTTTGGAAAAGCATATTCCAAAATCTGAAATGCCAAGTTACAGACCTCCTTTTTGTAAAATAATTTTCTTGCTAGTATAATTTACATATAATAAAATTCACACATTTTAGGTGTACAATTTGGTGAACTTGGGCAACTTAGAGTCACTTAACCTTTCCTCAGTCAAGATATAGAACACTTCTTTTATCCTAAAGCGTTCCCCAGCGCGCTTTTACAATCTCCTCTCCCCAGGCCACACCCTCCAACTCACGCAATCTCTGACTCACTTCTGTCACCATAATTTTGCTCTATCTGGAGCTTCATATCCTGTTACAGTATGTACAAACCTTCTTTTTTTGAGACAGGGTGTCAGTCTGTCACCCAGCCTGGAGTACAGAGGTGTGATCTCAGCTCACTGCAACCTCAACCTCCCAGGATCAGATGATTCTCCTCCCACCTCATCCTCCCAAGTAGCCGGGACTACAGGCGCATGCCACCACACCTGGCTAATTTTTGTACTTTTTGTAGAGACAGGGGTCTCGCTATGTTGCCCAGGCTGGTCTTGAACTCCTGGGCTCAAGCGATCCTCCTGCCTCAGCCTCCCAAAGTGCTGGGATTACAGTGAGCCACTGCACCTGGCCCTAAACCTTCATTTTTAAAACACATTTCCTCTTAAATTGAAGATTGCCTACATTTTTATATCAATGCCAATTGTTGAGTGTGCCTATATGTGTTATATTATTTGAGCACTAAATGCCAGATGTGTGCCAAGTGAGATAAATCTGACAAATGAGATGGTTTGTAAAACCAGCAGTGAATATTCACTTCCTCTGTGAGAGAGCTCCAGCCCTCCTGTACTCACTTCCTCACACAGCACAGCAGCACTCTTGCTGGTTCTGCTGCTTATCTTGAAGAGGTTAGGTTACTTTTTGTTTCTACTTATTACTTCGAAACCACTTCTGCCTTAGAAATTTTGTAACCTTCCGCTCAGTTTCCGGTAACCGCCATTTTGTCTCCTGTAACAATTTACGCGCCGTGTAACTGTGAATCTTTCAAAGGTATGTTTTACTGGAGTGATTTCTGGTTATTTCAGAAGGATAATTTGTGTGTTGCGTCATTAATGAAATAGTAGTACGAAAAACCTATAGCATCTTTTACTGCAGGAGGTAACTTTCCATGCCATTTTTTCAGAAAATCTACTTATGACTTCAGTGGCTTGCTAGACTGGCCTTTTTATTTGTACTTTTCCTGTGTTTCAGAATTGCAGAGTATAATAAAGGCATGTCAAGTGCATATTGTGTCCATTTTCAGGTATATTAGATAAGCTTTACACCAAGATAAATTAGATATGCTTATTGGTTTAATTTGTGCTAATATATATTTAATTGAAAAATCAAAAAAATTTTTTTAAATTGACTGAAGTTGTATTCCAAAACATGCAAAATTTAGTTTAAAATAGATTGGATACACTTTTAAATTTTAAACAAGGTAGAGGGTTTAGTGCTTTGCTTTTTTAAAAAGTAAATGAAGGCTGCAGCTTTCTGCAGTAGTTGTCTTGGGAAGTAGTGTGGACATCACTCCTAAGAGACGTTAAGGAAGTTTAGCTAACAGGCTTTAACCCTTTCTCTCCATACCAGCTTTTACTCTTTTTTTTTTTTTTTTGAGATGGAGTTTAGCTCTTGTCACGCAGGCTGGAGTGCAATGGCACCATCTCGGCTCATCGCAACCTCTGCCTCCTAGTTCAAGCAATTCTCCTGTAGTTCAAGCAATTCTCCTGCCTCAGCCTCCCGAGTAGCTGGGATTACAGGCATGCACCATCACATCTGGCTAATTTTGTATTTTGAGTAGAGACGGGGTTTCTCCATGTTGGTAGGGCTGGTCTCTAACTCCTGACCTCAGGTGATCCGCCCGCCTAGGCCTCCCAAAGTGCTGGGATTACGAGCATGAGCCACCATGCCCGGCCACCAGCTTTTACTTTAATGCCACAGCCTTAAATTTTCTTTCAGGAGAAATTATTTTATGTAAAGTTACAAAGGAAAATAATGCTTAATATCTGTAAGCATTCGTTTGGTAAGTTTGCTGCCTCCTCAGTAAGTTTTGATGAAAGTGAATTTTGATGAATTACTACCTTAGCCGGGTAGTGACGTTAACATGTGGCTTAGCTGTCCATTTTCTAAGATATCAAGAAACCAGCAACAATAAGTAAAATTGTTAAATTATGCAAGAATCACATGTTCCTACCTGTCATCATTTAGTCTTGGTTCTATTTGCATGTGAATATCCTTTAGAATATATTACTCCCAGTTATTCCGCTTTACTTTTCTGAATCTCTTTTCCCATCTCTTGACTTCAACTTCAGTATATGGCTCTTGTTCCTTCTACCTGGAGAACGGAGGCATGTGGAAGCCCAGAGGATTGAATTCTTTTTTTTTTCTTTTCTTTCTTTTCTTTTTTTTTTTTTAGATGAATAGTCTGCTTAGGAAATCCATCTCCATAATGTTTACCTGGTATCGTGTTGTAATGTCAGAATGAAGTGGCTGTTCTTCCCCTTGAGTCATCGTCCCGAATGAAGGTTCCCCAAAAGAAATCATCAACTTATGTGGTGATTTCCTTTTACCTTTAAAAAAAAATTTCTTTTCATGGAAAGATAATGGAACATGTCGGTAAGATTCATTTCTAGGAAGGCAAAGGAGTAGTTTATCATCTAAAGACTCTCAACCTAAAGCTGTTTTAGAAAACTTTCCTTAAAATGAGAAGCCGTAGGTTTTCGTTGCATTATTTTGGCTAATTGAAAAATAAGACCAAGTGCGTTCTGACCTTCGTTTCTCTTACCTTTATTTTTACAACCACCATTTCAATGGCCCACTTGCTGATACAAATGATTGTTTAATTTTAAAAAGCATTTAATTGAAGTCAAGTTATTTAGAACCTAATCATTTACACGTCTTTGTTGTTGCTGCTGTTTTGCAAGAGTGAAGAGCTTGGAGTCAGGTGAATCTGGGATGAGGTACAGTTGTCATTTATTAGTCATGTAATTTGTGACAAGCCACTTAATCTCTCTGAAGACTTCAGTTTCTTCATTTGTAAAATTGGCATAATAATGCTGTCCCTAGTAGGGAATATAGAATTATATAATGGGTCCTTTGTATATATTGGCTAGTATTGCTCTCTTACGATTTGGCACTATGGAGACACTGTGGGAGATTAAAAGAAGATGATGAATAAAAGGTGACTTCAGCTCTGAAGGGCTTTATGATCCATTTGGGAGAACAGGTAATGTAGAATATACTGGCTTCAAAAGTGGCAGGTGTTTAGAAGAGAAAAGGATACATGATGTGATAGGAGGCAAAGGCTTGATTGAGAAGGCTGAGAAGACTTAGAGTAAGGGTTCTCAGCCCTGACTGGACATTAAAATTATCTAGGGACAATTCAATCAGAATTCCTGGGGGTGGGGACCAAGCATCAGTATTTTAAAGTTCCCTGGGGACTTTAACTTGAAGCCCAGGTTGAGAATCATTTAAACAGCTCTGTTATTTATTTATTTAAAATTTTAATGTATTTTTTGAGATGGAGTCTCGCTCTGTCACCCAGGCTGGAGTGCAGTGGCGCAATCTTGGCTCACTGCAACTCCTGCCTCCCAGGTCCAAGCTATTCTCCTGCCTCAGCCTCCCCAGTAGCTAGGAATACAGGCGTGCACCACCACAACTGGCTAATTTTTGTACTTTTAGTAGAGACAGGGTTTCACCATGTTGGCCAGGCTGGTCACAAACTCCTGACCTCAAGTGATCCACCCACCTCGGCCTCCCAAAGTGCTGGGATTACAGGCATGAGCCACTGGGCCCGGCCTAGTTTTACTTTTTTTTTTTGTAATGGAATTTCCCTCTGTCACCCAGGCTGGAGTGCAGTGATGTGATTTCTGCTCTCTGCAACCTCTGCCTCCTGCGTTCAAGTGATTCTCCTGACTTAGCATCCTGAGTAGCTGGGATTACAGGCAGCTGCCGCCATGTCTGGCTAATTTTTGTATTTTTAGTAAAGACGGGGTTTCGCCATGTTGGCCAGGCTGGTCTTGAACTTCTGACCTCAGGTGATCCGCCCGCCTCGGCCTCCCAAAGTGCTGGGATTACAGGCTTGAGCCACTGCGCTCGGCCCATTTAAAAAAACTTTAAAGGTAGACGTATTCCAAATGGGGGGAATATATAAAGAAAGGTAACACTTATTTTGCCCTGTGTGCTTTGAATTTCAGAAGGTGTAGTAAGCAAAGACCACTTACTAACCCTACAGATATATCCTTAGAAAATACAGTGGTTTCTGTCATAAATCTGATAAATCAGATGAGAGGAAGGGTGTATGTTTGATGTTGATTTTTCTTTTTGTTTTATTGGGGTTTTTAAAAACTATAAATATCAGGTCTGATGACTATGTGTATAAACATTTTCTAAGTAGATAAAATATTTTCAAATTTTGCATTTTTTAGTATGAAGGGGATCCATCATTTGAAGTTGGTTTTCTAGATGTGATGATAAACTTGTCCCAGGTCTATTTGACACTCCTACCAAAATCCTTTGTGACCAGGGCTAGAAGGCAGCTGTGGCTAGTAAATAACCCTGTGTGTAGACTCACTTATTGGCTTTGGCATTCTCTATTGCCACAGCTGTGTGAATAGATTAACCAGAGACCCTCTGGTGCCAGCCACCTATTCAGGCAAACAAGTCTATAATCAGTACCTCTGTTAAAATGAAACTGTAATATACTATTGTCTTTTCATTTATTTATTTATTTATTTAGAGACAGGGCCTTGCTCTGTCGCCCAGGCTGGAGTGCAGTGGTACAATCTTGGCTCACTACAACCTCCGCCTCCCAGGCTCAAGCGATTCTCCTGCCTCAGCCTCCCAAGTAACTGGGACCACAGGCGCACCATTGCGCCTGGCTAATTTTTGTATTTTTTTTGTAGAGACGGAGTTTCTCCATGTTGTCCAGGCTGGTCTTGAACTCCTGAGCTTCAGTGATCTGCCTGCCTTGGCCTCCCAAAGTGCTGGGATTACAGGTATGAGTCATTACACCCGGCCTATTTTCTGATTGTTCAAAGTAGAAGCCAGGCACAATGGCTCATGGCTGTATGTAATCCCAACAATTTGGGAGGCAGAGGCAGGAGGATAGCTTGAAGCCAAGAGTTCGAGGCCAGCCTAGGCAACATAGTGAGAACTCATCTCTACAACAAAGTTAAAAAGAAAAATTAGCCAGGCATGGTGGCACATGCCTTTAGTCCCAGCTACTTGCGAGGCTGAGGCAGAAGGATCACTTGAACTCAGGAGTTGGAGGCTGCAGTGAGCCATGATTGAGCCACAGTACTCTAGCCTGGGCAACAGAGTGAGACCCTGTCTCAGAAAAGAAAAGAGAAGAGAGGAGAAGAGAAAGAGAGAAGAGAAGAGAAGAGAAGAGAAGAGAAGACATACAAAAGAAGAGTAACATACAAGAGAAGAGTTAGGAGACCCTGTCTCAGAGGAAAGGAGGGGAGGGGAGGCGAGAGGACAAGAGAAGAAAGAGTTAGGATCTATGCCCTAAGGAAGTAAGGAGGATTTGAGACTGTGTAGGTGGTTAATAACCTTAAGCTACATATTTTATGGAGGGAAAAATCCTATTTTTAAAAGTGAGAATAGAACAATTTTGAAGTGAAATGGAATGAATTAGCTGGACCATAACGGCTCTGACTGAAGAAAAGGATGTAAAAAGCCACATCCTGGATATGTACCAAACACCATGGTTACATGGCATGTTTGTATATGTAACATTTATTTAAAAAAAAAGTCTCATAGCTTAGAAGGCATTTATTTTTGTTATGTGTATAGGCTTCTGTGCAATAAAGCAGCCTTTTTTATTTTACAGCTCATGATGACTTAAATGGTTAATTGCCTGATAAATATGGTCCTCTTTTATTCTTCTGATTCTGTTGTTCTTTTGCACTTCATCTTTCAAGGGGTTGGGCTATTCTTAGGTTTCACTGATTGCACTGGAAGGGACATGACGGAAAATGAAGATCTCAAGATAATTTTCTTGCAAATTCACAATGGAAGATAAAAGGAAAGAGTGGCAGGCATTCTGCACACAGAGCAGACGTTTCTTTATTGTCATTGTTCAGCAGAGGAATCAACTCAGCCTTGGTGAAACTAGAGTGATGCCCATGGTGGCATGTCAGCATCTCCCTCTTAGTGGCATCAGTGCTAGATTGTTGTTGTTGGAAGCAGGAGAGTGTTTAGTCCATAAAGTACAGAACTTCGATATCACAGAAGCTAGAAGAACTTTACTGCCTTCAGCTTCGTTTAAAGATAGTAGAGAGCTTACTCATTCGTTTTAGAAATATGTATTGGGTCTCTATGTCAGGAACTGCTGGCACAGCAGTGAGATTGAAGATACAACAGTGAATACAATAGAGGGCCTATCCTCATAGAGTTTGCCTTTCAGAATGAGGGACAGACGCAGACAAATAGAAAATGTCGATTGTGTCAGGGAGTATTGAGGGCTTTGAAGAATGAAATCGTGACCCAGAAGAGATGCTTTTAGATTGGATCATCCGTGAAGGCCTCTATCTAGAAAGGAGACACTTGGGCAGAATTCTGAATGAACTTGACGGACATCTGAAGGAAAAATATTCCAGTCAGAAGGAACAGTACGTGCAAAGTCCCCAAAACTTCAATAAGTGACGTGCTCCAGAAGCAGCAAGGAAGCAGAATGAGGCCTGAACAGAGTGGGCAGTAGGAAATGCAGTCATAGAGAAAGCAGGGCTGGGTCACAGGCCTCAGAGACTGTAGAACATTGGCTCCTACTCTAAGACAGGAAGCTGCTGTGAGCATTGAGGTTGGGCGTGGAACCATTTGACTTTTTATGAGGATCACTCTGGCTGCAGTGTGGAAAATAGACTGGACGAGGGAGGGCAGTTAGGAAGATGTCACGGTAACTCAGGAAAGCAATACCGGTGCTTTGGACGAGGGTGGTGGCAGAAGAGAAAGTGAGAAGTATTCTGGATATATTTCAGAAGAAAGTGGATAGGATTTTCTGATGGGTGATATGTAGAGTGTAGGAGAAAGAGAAGAAGCAAGATTGACTTTAATGTTTTCCACCTGGGCAATTGGTGGACTGGAATTGCCACTTGCAGAAGTGTGGAGGTATGGAAGGTATGGGAAGAGCAGATTGCCAGGAAAGTTGAGTTAGTTTTGAACTCATTGTGTTTGAGAGGTCTGTTAAATTATCAAGTAGTGATGTTGAGGTGTAATTGGAAAAGTCAACCTGGAATTTATGGCAGAAGTTGAGGCTGCAGATATAAACTTGTAATTTTAAAAATGTATATTTAAAGCCATGGGAGTGAATGAGTTCATTTGAGATTGAATGCAGATTGAGAAGAGATTTAGAATTGAACTCCAGGGCACTGCATAGCAGGAGGAAAACCTAGTAAAAGTGGTATCTGTAAAATAGAGGAACGAACTGTCACAATTTGCCTGGTACTGAGGATTTTCTCAGTACATGAGACTTTAAGAGACTGGGACACCCTGAGACAATTGGTTGCCTTCCATGGGAAGAAAGTATGTCAAGAGGGAGAGAGTGAACAACTGTGTCCAATAAACCAGGACTGAGCAAAAACCATTGAATTTGGCATCATGAAGTCTTAGGTGACTTTGACAAGGCTTGTCTGTTGTGAACAGCCAAGTAAATGTGAGGACCACTCTCCAAAAGGTAAAGAAACATGCATGAGGATACAGGTGCGCCAGCTGGAGACATCATGCCTCTTCCCCGTCCCCACCAGGAGTGGCGTGAAGCCTCCCCAGTGCTGTAACGAGGCAGCCAGGTCCTGTGTGACTGCACATGTGACTTGGGGCAAGTCATTTAACCTCTCTGTTTTCACTATCCTATTTGTGAAATATTGTTTAGATTTGTGGTTTGAGTCAGCTATCTGTATACTACACTGTGTTAGGAGCTATGTAGATTAATTTTCAACAGATATGGTTCTGGGGTTGTAGGAATTTTCAATTTGAGAACAAATTGAATCTTACCCTTTGTCAGGAGAAATAGCCTTTGACATGTGTTAGGGGCAAGGGAAATCTCAAACTTGCTTAATTTTAAAAATGAATATTTGGTTGTGGATAATTTAAGCTTTGGTGATATTTCTAATTATTTTTTGTGTGTTTCTAGTCTACTGACCAGAAGTCTGAAAAAAACAACTAAAAAGAAAGACTGCATAAGCCTTCACTAGAGAAGTATTGAAAATTGCTTGAGGGAAGTGACGGTTTCTTTAGCCTAGTGTCTGTAGGACCCCAGTGTAGTGTTTGTTGAATGAATGAAAGGAGGCGTATCAGTCAGGTTCACTCAGAGAAACAGAAGCTGTAGGAAATCCATATGGATGTGTGTGAAGGTATTGGCTTGCCTACTGCTGGTGTGTGGCTAAGCGAGCTTAAAAGTCCGCAGGGCAGATAGTCAGGAAGGAAATATTCCCAACAGACTGAGCTCCCTTGGGCACAAGCTGAAGCCTGGAGTCTGAACTGCCAGAGAGCCTCTACCTTCTTAGAAAAGGCTTCCCACTGGCTAAGTCAGGCCCACCCAGGGGAATCTCTCCTTTGATTAACTTAAAGTCACCTGTTTAGGGACTTTAATTACATTGGCAATAGTCCCTTCACAGAAGCACCTAAATGACTGATGATGTAACTGAAAAAATGTGTGTGTATGCTACAAAATGGCTGCAGTCTCCCTTCTGTCCTCCAGCTCTTGCAGGAGAACTCTCTTGTAGCTCACCCTGTCTGAAAACATACTGGAAAGGAATTCAAGGAAATGTAGTTCAGCCTAGCCACGTTGACACATCATGAAGCCGTCACAAAAGGTAAAGCCTGGTTTAGGAGCATTTGCATTTGCAGTCTTAAGTATTTTTGTCTTATTTTTCAAAAGGGGTTGGGCACGGTGGCTCACGCCTGTAATCCCAATACTTTGGGAGGCCGAGGTGAGTAGATCACTTGAGGCCAGGAGTTTGAGACCAGCCAGGCCAACGTAGTGGAACCCCGTCTCCACTAAAATGACAACAATTAGCCAGGCGTGGTGGCGCATGCCTGTAATCCCAGCTATTCAGGAGGCTGAGGCACAAGAATTTCTTGAACCCAGGAGGTGGAGGTTGCAGTGAGCCGAGATCCCGCCACTGCAGTCCAGCAACGGAGTGAGACTCTGTCTCAAAAAAAAAAAAAGTAGTTTTGGTTTTTAATTTTTGATTTTTTCTTATGTTATTACATATAACGAATGATATGCATACTCTGAAAAATCATGACATAAAGGTGACCTTGAAATTACTTTGATGTTCATTTAAACTAGTCTTTGGTCTCCACTGGCTAGGAGACCACATATAGCAGAACAGCAGAGAAAGCAAAACAGTTAATTTTCATGTTTGGCTTTTGAGCTTCCAGGGACCCAAGTCTTGCCTTGAACCGATCTTAGGAAATTCCTCATTCCCTACCCGACCCTGTTTCTAAACTGCATCCCTGCTGAAATGCAATGCCACTGTAACTCTCTCCAATATTTGTTTTCTTCTTTGGCTTACCACTAGATGTATGTATATATGTTTGTGTGCCTGTGTGTGTGTGTGTGTGTGTGTGTTGACTGCCTCATAGTAAAGCCTACTCTTGAGATTAAGACTCCTGATAGTTTAGAGAACAGAAATCTTTTTTAGTTCCTGGTTATTACTTGAATTTGCAAGAGGAACAACTGCTAGGAGGCCTAGTTAACAGTAGTTAGGGTCTCCACCCACTTGCCAAGGGCAAGACTAGTTTACACCACATTTGGAATGACCAGTTTCCTCCCACTTTAGTTTCAGTGTAGAAAGAGTAGGGGAGACGAACTATTCAATGTCAGCTTGGGTGTAGTGCCAGAACCGTACTCAGTAATGCTGTCATTGCTGTTGGTGCTTACCAGCTCTTCAGTACTGGAATAGCTTCAGACCTCGAGAGTTTATGACTTTATCATCAACTGGGTGTGTTGCCCTTGGCACATTGCCACACAGTGCTTAATGATGATATATGTTCTTTATCAAATTCCCCCCACCAAATAATGGCATTATTTACGTGTGAGAAAGTTGCACATTTCACCACCTCATGGTTTATTAGAGTGCAATTCCGTGAGAACAACTGCCTGTGATCCTCTGTATCCCCAGTGGCCAACTCAGGAGCTCAGTATGCCCTACCCAGTAGATGCTCAGAACATCATTGCTGAGTGAGGAAGTCAGCCATCATTTTCTCCCTGGATAGTCTCTCCTGTAGATAACAGGGGCCGTTATCAGCCAGGTTTTTCATCATTTGTGGCTTTGAATTTCAGGGACATGACAAGTTTGCTTTTTGTTTCGTTTTGTTTTTTTTTTTTTTTTGGTTTTCTAGAGACAGGGTCTTCCTGTCACTCAGGCTGGAGTGCAGTGATGTGATCACAGCTCACTGCAGCCTCGAACTCCTGGGCTCAGTGTTTCTCCCATCTCAGCCTTTGGAGTAGCCAGCAGTATAGGTGGTGTACCACCACACCCATCTAACTTTAAAAAAAAAAAAATTGTAAAGACAGAGTCTCACTTTTTTGCCCAGGCTGGTCTCATACTCCTGGCTCAAGCAATCCTCCTGCGTTGGCCTCCCGAAGTGCTGGGACTGCAGGTGTGAGCCACCTTGCCTATCCAACATGACAAGTATTATTCTCTGGCAGGAAGTGAAATTTTTTCTCACTGATGATTGCACACAAATGTCATATCTCCATGAGGCTTCTACTCACTAGTTTTACGGCTCATGTCACCTTGCTTCAAACTATGCTTCAGTATAATTTTGAAGTGTATATTTCCATTGCCTCTCCTTGAGTAATTGATATTCTTCACAATAAGTTTACATTTATTATCACTTTTATTTACTTACTATTATTACTCTGAGCAGCCAATCTTATGAGAAGCTCAGAGTGGAACGTGTGGGTCCTGGTAAATATATTATTTGACTCACTTCCAAACACACTTAATATTGCCTGGTGTTTTGATTATTTCAAAATATACAGATTTCTTGAAAGGCCTGCAAAAGGAAACAATCAAAATTATAGCGGTTAAGAATGTGAGTCTGCCTTGGTTTGAATTCCAGATGGGCCAGTCCCTAGCTGTGTAATCATGGGAAAATTATTAAATCTCTAGCCTCGCTTTCTTCATCTGTAAAATGAGCATACAGGCTGAGCATCCCTAGTCCGAAAATGCAAAATTCAAAATGCTCCAAAATCTGAAACTTTTTTTGTGCCTCCATGACGCCACAAGTGGAAAATTCCACACCTGACCTCACGTGATAGGTCACAGTCAAAACATTGTTTCATACACACAATACTTTTTTTTATTTGTATAAGTTTAAGTGGTACAAGTGCAGTTTTGCTACATGAATATACTGCATAGTGGTAAAGTCTGGACTTTTAGTGTCTCCATCACCCAAATAGCATCCATTGTATTCATTCAGGAATCTAGCATCCCTCACCCCCTCCCATCTTCCCACCTCTCCAAGCCTTTCATGTCTAGCATTCTGTGTCCATGTGTACACATTATTTAGCTCCCACTTCTAAATGAAAACATGTGATATCTGTCTTTCTGTTTCTGAGTTTTTTCACTTAAGATAATGGCCTCCAGTTCCATCCACGTTGCTGCAAGAGACATGATTTCATTCTTTGTTATGACTGAATAGAATTATTCAGGCACAAAATTATTAAAAATATTGTTTAAAATTACCTTCAGGCTATGTGTATAAGGTGTATATGAAACATAAATGAATTTAATGTTTACATTTGGGTTCCATCCCGTGGATGTCTCATTTTGTATATGTAAATATGACATGATATGAAAAATTCAAAACTCTGAAACACCAATTGAACTCAATTTGCAGTAAGAATGCATACCTCACAGGGTTATAGTGAGGATTGAATGAGACAATCCTAGTCCAATTTCTTTGCACATAGTAATGCTCAATAATTATTACTTAAATGGGTATAAACTTTATAGTAATGAGGTTGGGGCTGGAAAAAATGCAGTTTCATAATTTCCTATAGAAGTCATTCAATCCTGACTCTAAACTCTGTATTCCATGTGGTGGTTGGGTGGCGTGGGAGAGTCCTCTTTATCCTGTGGGGTTGGTCCTATGGAGGTGTCTGTGGCAGATTGGCAGATGCATTTGTCTTGTGCATAGATGGTGTCTGTTGTTTCCTCTGGCAGAGTTCACCAGTGTCCTAATGCAAACTTAGTCCTCATCTGGCTCCTGCACAGGCTGATCTCTGGCTCCTTTAGCCCCTCATGGTTCCTGTTGTTTCATTTTCAGAGGGACCCTTGTAAGGACTATAGTCCTCTCTTCAGCTGACCTTCAGGTCCCCAGTCAGAACCAAGGGAACCGACTCTGTCCCTTCTCATAGCACCTGAAAACCCCGGGAAACGAGGGGAATGCTTTGCTCTCAGCTACTGAGGTTGTCCTGTCACCTTCTCTTCTGCCCTCCTTTGCCATGGCATAGGATAATGTAAGTCAGCAATCTCATTACTCGGTATATAGCCAGAGGAATATAAATCATTCTACCATAAAGACACACGCGTGTGAATGTTTATTGCAACACTATTCACAATAGCAAAGACATGGAATCAACTTAAATGCCCATCAATGACAGATTGGATGCAGAAAATGTGGTACATATACACCATGGAATACTATGCAGCCATAAAAATAATGAGATCATGCCTTTTGTGGGAACATGGATGGAACTGGAGGCTATTATCCTTTGCAAACTAACGCAGAAATAGAAAACCAAATGCTGCATGTTCTCACTTATAAGTGGGAGCTAAATGATGAGAACTTACCAACACAAAGAAAAGAACAACAGACACTGTGGCCTACTTGTGGGTGAAGGGTGGTAAGAGGGAGAGGAGCAGAAAAGATAACTATGTGGTCCTGGGCTTAATACCTGGGTGATAAAATAATTGTACAACAAACCCCCATGACATGACTTTAGCTATGTAACAAACCTTCACATGTACCCCCAAACCTAAAAGTTAAAAAAAAAATCCCAGACAGGAAGTAGGGCATATTTTGCCTAATTTGCAGCTTCATCCTCACTCCCTAACTTACGCCACTCATGTCTCCTCCATCATCAGGGACAGCAAGAGTGGGGAGGGGACGAGGCCTGCCACATCTCCATTCTCTGATCTTATTTCCTCTTGCCTCTTCAACAGCGCTTTGTCTCTCCTCTCCAGCTTGAAGCCCTTACTCTGGTATGTGATTTCAAAGCGATGAAAAACTGGTTTCGTTAGTACTTCCCTTGGATCTGCCCTTGTCTCCCATCAAGGCAGTGCAAGTAAAGAATCCAAGATATTTGTTTTGTTGGTCCACTGGAGGGTAGAGATAGAGAAAAACAGTAACTTCCCCACCACCCCCAACCTCCCTTGGGCTGATGACTCCAAAGACTGCCATAAATGAACACTTCATAGAGCTGCTATTAATATGACACAAATCTACTTGATCTAAGGGATTCTTTTACTTTCTTAGGGTGGTCATTCCTAAGTCTTTGGATTTCACAGAAAAGAAAATATATTTTAATTGAGGACTGACAAAGGTTGCCAACTTTTTATCAATTATAAGAATTGTTTTTATAATTACCATCAATTTCTATTATTTCTTTTACTCCCCCTCTTTCCAACTGTGGAAGGTAAAATTGAAGAGCAAAGAACACTTATTTCAAAGTGAGTAAATTTAGCTATATGAAAACTCAGCAGATTGCCCTGAGTTTCCTTGCGTAGCTGCAGTCCAGTGGAAATTTCTTCCAGACCAGCACCAGTCGCCCCAGTGACATTTAGAAATCACTGCCCTGGATTGTTTCAGCCACCGAAACACTCGGTGTTCACTGTCAGCTATGATTATATATGAAGTGCTTTCGAGAACCAATGTATAGCATAACTTAGGCCAAAAGAAACACTGTGCCTAAACACTCAGCCAAGGAGTGTTGAGTTTGCCTGGATTTCTGGAAAATTGTCTCCGTTCCCTAGTTCACTGTATTTGGGTAAACAAAACATGGCCTCGGAGAGCCTTTGCGGGAGAAATTATAAAAATTCAGCAAAGCTTTGTGATCTCATTTTGGATCTCCTCAGGATTCCTCATCAAGTTGCAATTAAGGAGAGAAAAATTCCGCCTTGGGGTGGGATTTTAATTACTCATCATGTTATGACTTGACTTTCTGTGCTGCATTTTTTTCCATATCACTACTTCTGTGTTTGACAGCTCCTCCAAAGAGTCGCTCCGTTTTATGCCAGGAGCGAAGTACTTACTAAGTCAAAGGAAAGCAAGGCAAACATCTACTATTGCCTTTGTGCTTTTACCAGAAAACTGGGTGAGAACCTCCTTTTCCTTTTCCCTGCCCCTCCAGCCTCAGTTTTATGACCCTGTGGAGCCAGTGGACTTTGAAGGACTTCTGATGACACACCTGAACAGCCTGGATGTGCAGCTTGCCCAGGAGCTCGGGGACTTCACTGATGACGACTTGGACGTGGTGTTCACGCCAAAGGAATGTAGGACTTTGCAGCCCTCTTTGCCGGAGGAAGGGTAAATAGTTTTCTAAAATGTAGATGTGATTGGGATTGTCATGATTGTTTTCAATAAGTGGGTAGGGGAGATGCCTTCAATCTGAACTTAAAAATAAAATAAAATTACTCAATCCATTCAAATGTGTGGGACAGCTATATGATATCATCATGTAAGTATAGATAGTTTTTAAATTAGTTTGGCCAGAGATTTTGAAAAGCTATGTGAAGACTAAGCCAGTGCAAGGGATGCAGGAGGACCAAATGAAATGCTCAAGAGGAGGTTAAAAGTGCAGGCTCTGGAGCCAGACCACCTGGCTGCCAGCTCAGTGACCTTGGCTGTCACATGACCTCCCAAATCCTCGGTTTCTCCATTTGTAAAAATGTCAAGATTTTTAATAATAATTACTGAAATGCCACCATCCAGAAGCATTTTAATTGCTTACAGTTATGAGACTGGATCAAGTTAGAAACATAAGGTAAACCCACATTTATTGAGCATCTACTATGTTCTGGGTACTGAGATAAAAAGATGAATAAGTCAAAGTCCCTCCTTTAAAGAAAGTGTCATGCAGTGCTAAAACAGTGGGGAGAGCTCTGTAGAATAAATATGTGAATAGCTAATTAGGGCTTGAGTTTCTATAGTTGGCTCTTCTATATGTTTATAGGCTTGGGCATTAGTTTTTGGCATCAAACTAACTGTGGAATTGTAGCTAAATGAAACGCCTGTTGCTTCTAAAATGTAAAAAAAAATGTCTCTTTGGAGGTTTAGGATAAACTTTTATTTACATTTATTTTAAAAGCCAAATTAAGATTCATATCCTCCTGGACAGGTTCCATCTTCTCATCTTCCCCAGAAGGTCCCAGAAAGAAGATCCTGACACACAGCCCCTGCCCTCTTTACTCTGAGATATTCTAGTTCTATTTTGGATTTTATTTCATCACAGTTTAAGGAGGTTGGATGATAATGGGCTGGTATTATTGTGAACCGTTGCTCTCTTGTTCAGACAGTCCTCACTCACATAGGAGAACTGACCATATGTGTAGCTCTGATGTTTTAAAAATACACACTTCCCAGGAAAGAAAAACATTGTCATTTTTGGGAAACATACTCCCCCATTTTCAGTCCATTTATTCAGGTATGACTTTAGTATAAGTTAACACCTACTATTTCATCTTTAGTGAAGAATCATTTAATTTATTCCTTTATGTAAAATTTATGGATGTTTCCAAATATGGTCAGAATCTTGGAAAAAGCTGTTTAAAATGCTTACAGTAGCCAGTCACCGCAGCTTGTTCCTGTGGTCCCAGCTACTTGGGAGGCTGAGGCAAGAGGATCACTTGAGCCCAGGAATTTGAGTTCAGCCTGGGTAAAATAGTGAGACCCTGTTTCTTACAAAACAAAAACAAAAAACAGTACAATGAATTTAGAGGAAGGAGGAGGTTTTTTTTTTTTTGAAATTTGATAAGGAAGATAATTTCTTTACTTAGCATCAGTTTTTTAGTATACTGTTGCCTTGTCAAAAGAATTTATAGGTAACATACCTGTCTGATGTCTTTAAGACAGCCTCTACTATTTCAGTTGTTGCCAAAAAGTCTTCTGTATAATTAAGGCAGGGGAAGGTATCATCATCACACCAGAGTAAACAATAGCTGACTCCTGTTGAACAACCTGTGCCTAGCCCAGAACTTTATGTTGAGCTGTGATGGCGTGGTAGTGAAAAACATGAACGCTACAGGTGAGCTGCCTGGATTCAGGTCCCTGCTCCACCACTTGCTGTGTGACTTGGAACAAGATCCTTACCATCTCATTTTTCTGCAAAGTGAGAATAATAGTAATGCCTGCCCTATGGTGCTGATTGAGAATTAACTGAATTAATACATATAAAGTGATTGCCTCAGTGCATAATGCACAGTAAATGCTACCTAAGTGTAAACTATTAATATCATATATGCGTCTTATTGTGTGCCAGGCAGTCTTCTAAGCACTTTGCACACTAACCGATTTAATCTTCATCAAAGCTGTCTACTAAAAGGGGCACTCTTACTACTCTAACAGCTTTAAGGAGAGGAAACTGAGGCACAGAAGGGTTGAGTGACTGGCTTATGGTCACATAGCTATAAGCGATGAAGCTGGGATTTGGGCAATTAGGGCCCAGAGACTGCATGTGTAACCTTTACAATATTTTATCTAATACTAACAGCATGTCTCTGTTCTTACCTCCTTATCACAGATGAGAAAATTAAGGCTTGTAGCATTTAAGCCTGTTTATTTCTGGTACTAATGCATTTGCAACAATAGCAAAAAGCTTTGCTACAATTGTTATTTTTGATTTCAAGACTCTGAAGCACTTGAAGAGTATTGCTCATGGTGCATTCCTTAAGTAGACATGACAGGAACCAACTGAATTAATGATCACCAACAAAAGCCAGTGTTTGCAATTTCATCAAAGCATAAGACAACTGTTCTTTTTCCTGGCTTTCAAAAAGGAGAACACGCGTGTCCTAACAAGGTTACACATGCATAAAAAATATGTCCAAATTACCCTGTCAGAGATAGGTATTTATACTTATTTTCCTTGTTTTGTATTCGAATACAGCTAGTTCTACCTGTCTTGTGTCTGAATGCCTTCGGGGATAGTTATAATTTAACATGATTCTGTATAATAAAGAAAACCCACAAAGCAAAAAAATGCCAACATGTTTGTCTCATCAAAGTAAAAATGTTTATTGCCCCAGGAATACTTCAGACATTTGGAATGATTGGGCAAGAACATCCTAAGCATTCTCACTGATAAGGATTTAAATTCGTGTCATGTTCCTTGCTCATGATTAGGGGTTGTTTTGTTGTTTTACCCAGTAATAACGTGTTTATTTCATTTTCTACCTCATTAGGGTTGAACTGGACCCTCATGTCAGGGACTGTGTTCAGACCTACATCCGTGAGTGGCTAATCGTGAACCGGAAGTAAGTTACTTTTTTTCCACTTTTTGTATATAAATATTAATTTTATATTGCTAGTTTTTAAATATTTCTTAATACTTTGAACAGTTCTAGGTTTACAGAAAAATTGCATGGCAAATAGAGTTCTCATGTATGCCTTCCTTATCCCCACTCCATATCACACACACAGTTCCCCCTATTATGAACATCTCACTTTAGTGTGGTACATTTGTTACAGTAGCTGAGCCAATATGGATATGTTGTTATTAACTAAAGACCATAGTTTACATTAATGTTTACTTTTTGTGTTGTATATTCTATGGGTTTTGACAAATGTGTAATGACATGTATATGCCTTTACAGTATCATACAGAATTGTTTCACTGCCCTAAAAATCCTCTGTGTTCCACCTGTTCATCCTCCCTCCCTGGCAACCACTTTCCTTTTTTACTGTCTCCATAATTCCACCTTGTTCTTCAATGTCTTTTTGTGGCTTGATAGCTCATTTTTTTTATTGCTGAATAATCTTTCATTGCATGGCTGTACCATTGTTTATTTATCCATTAACTTACTGAGAAAGAAAGTTCTATTTTAAACATAAAGAATAGACTGCAAGCTTGCCCAACCCCTAGCCCGTGGGCAACATGGAGCCCAGGATGGCTTTGAATGTGGCCCAACACAAATTCATAAACTTTCTTAAAACATTATGAGGTTTTTTTTTTTGCGATTTTTTTAAAGCTCATTAGCTATTGTTAGTGTTAGTGTATTTGATATTTGGCCTGAGATAATTCTTCTTCCAGTATGGCCCAGGGAAGCCAAAAGTTTGGGCACCTGGAATAGAGCCTTTTTGTTGTCTTCTAATTCTGATGAATTCCCAGGGGGAAAAATTAAGTGAATTGAAACCTGGCCTCAGCTTCAGAGGTGGCATTCGAGTTTATGACCAAGAAATAAATTACTTGCTGGCCTTCCAGTAAGGGATCTTTCTCTCCTGGATTAATCAAACCTTCTGTGACATTGTTCTGAGCTTTTTCTCTCCATGCCATGGACCTGGACAGCACTCTCTCATGAGAAACATCTATGCACATTGAAATTCTCAGCCTGCATGGGTGTACCTGTTGGGGAGTGAGATGTGGACTCTCTACAGATTAGGGCACACCCCACTAGAGACACGTCACAGAACCTTTGACAAGACATTAGTAGTTTAAAATTCTGATAGCCTCACTCCTCCTATACCTCAGTAAGAATTACTATTCTATGGGGTAAATGATGAAAGACTTTGAGGATTGGGTTTTATCTAGCTCCTGGAAGGGTGCCATTGAGTTTGTGCTGAGGTTTTCTGGAGTAATGTCAATATGCACACATTTTCAGCAGCAGAAAAAGAGAAAGCATTCATTATTAAAAGTTATTAAGAGAAAGTTAGATGCCAATCCATCATCTGTTCTAAAATGAATGGAAAACAAAGTTTGCTGGGCAGTCAGATAAAATTATGGTTTGCTGATAATAAATAAAAGATTTCAGAACAAGTTGTTCTCAAGTTTTTAAATGCTATCATTAGAGGTACTTTCTGGACATTAAAGATCTAAAAAAAATCTGAGAAGGAACAAATAGAAAGATCCATTTTGATACATTTGGTTTTCAGATTTATTTTCTATTTCGGGCTTGTCCACTTTTTCATTTCTCATGGCAATGCACGCTTCTTGGAGTAGTGATTTTTCTTGATCTTGCACAAATGTAAGAGAAAAAAATGACTCTTTTTGGAATACTCGTTGAAATTTTAGAAATAATTATGAAACACAAATCACTCAGTTTCACTCTAGACAGATAATCATCATGAACATTTGATGTCTGTCCTTTGAATAGTGTTGGGTTTTTTTGGTATATATTTGCGTGAAAACTAAATAAGATTATAATATCATTTTTGTAACATGCATTTTCAGTTTTCACAGTAAAGAGTGATTCTCTTCCTTTGCTATTAAATATGCTTCCTCAATACAATGATTGATGATTGCATAATATATTTATACCAAAATTTATTTAACCAATTTTAATATTTAGGTGATTCCTTCCTTTTCAGTGTTGTGCTTAAAATGCAAAAACATCCTTCTCAGGAAAAATTTGTACATATTTATGATTTTTTTCTTTGGAATTAATTCCTACAAGAGGAATTTCTATGTCAAAGGATATGCACAAATTTAAAGATTTGGAATACTAGATCAAACATTATGCCGGGCGCAGTGGCTCACATTTATAATCTTACTCAGCACTTTGGGAGGTTGAGGTAGGAGGATCCCTTGAACCCAGGAGTTCAAGACCAGCCTAGGCAATATACAGAGACCCCACCTCTAAAAAAATTTTTTAAAAAATTAACTGGATATGATGACATGCACCTGTAGTCCTAGCTACTCGGGAGGCTGAGGCAGGAGGATCACTTGAGCCCAGGAGGTCAAGGCTGTAGTGAGTGACGATTGCACCACTGCACACCAGCCCAGGCAACAGAGGAAGACCCTATCTCAAAAAAAAAAAAAAAAAAAAAGCCAGGCACGGTGCTCATGCCTGTAATCCCAGCACTTTGGGAGGCCAAGACGGGTGGATCACCTGAGGTTGGGAGTTTGAGACCAGCCTGACCAACATGGAGAAACCCAGTCTCTACTAAAAATACAAAATTAACCGGGCATGGTGGTGCATGTCTGTAATCCCAGCTACTTGGGAGGCTGAGGCAGGAGAATCACTTGATCCTCTAAAAATAGCTAAACTGGGAGGCAGAGGTTGTGGTGAGCCAAGATCGCGCCATTGCACTCCAGCCTGGGCAACAAGAGTGAAACTCCGTCTCAAAAAAAAAAAAAAAAAAAAAAAAAAGATTATTGACACTACATGCATGAATCCTCAAGAATATTAGATGTTATAATTTATCAACATTTCCAATTTTATTTGATAAAAGGTTGTCTTTTTTTTCATTTTCTTTTACTATTAGATTAGGCATCTTTCTTCTATATATTTCTTGGCCATTTTTTATTTTTCCTGGTGCTCTGCTTATTCGTGAAATTTGTGCATCCCTATTAATGTATTTGTCTAGTCTGATTTATTTTTATAAGCACTTTTTTGGTAAAGATATTAAGCCTTGTCTACCATGTATTAAAAATGTCTTCCCCAGTATGCCTTTTGTCTTTTAAAGTTGTTTTTAATTTTCAACATTCAGAATTATTTATGTCATTAAATCTATATTAATATTTTTCCTTATGTTTAATTTTGGCATCATGCTTAAAATTTGATTCACAAACTTATTATTATTTTCTAAGAGTATGGGATTAAAGCATTAATCCAGATCATTAGCCACTTGACTGTTGCTTCTGTTCCCTTATGTGTCTCCATTTGTTTTTATCTTTTCTACAGAAGCAATGGTTACCCATATATTTATTATATGCAAGTTTTTGCATCTTGTTCCCCTAAAAAAGAAAGGAATATGTGTTTTAATTTTATGTTTGGCAACATTCTAGGGATGGGATTACCATTGGCCCAGTTCTCTGCACCCCTGTGTAATGGAGCAGTTCCCTTCTTAACGGTCACCTAGTGGACAGGGAGAAGTGTACAACTTCAGAACTCATTGTCAGTTTCTGGCAAGCTTTCTTGTAGAAAAGTTGCATCTCTTTCTATCCCTCTGCCTCATTCTCTTGCACTCTGAATCTAACACTCTGCCCATGAAAACTAAAATTCCTAGCACACACTCCTCCCAGGGATCATTCTGTCTCTATATGCACCTGTCGTATTTTATCTGTGGGGAGAATCCAGTACACTATTGCCAGATGTCCTTCATCTCCCAACCTCACACAGTACATTTTTAGCTTATTGTTTTCTGTGAGTTGTATCTGTATTGTTTTAGAATGATGGTAGAAGGAGAAGGACAAGGAGAAGGTGGTGATTCATATAAATGAAACCAGCTGGAAGCTGTGATGCTTTCATAGATAAGCCACTATTATGAAGAAGGAGACTTCAGATTTCTGTATAGACACTGACCAGGGACTCGTGGGCAGGAAGGTGTGCAACACCTTCTTATCTTTATTCAGTGAGTTCCCCTTTGGGGAGACAAAGTTTGGTACATCCTTCTCTTTCCAGCTCCATCTGATCCACAGAGGTTCTGTCCAGATTCAGGCATTAAGTTATCTCTTCATTTGGATGAGTTTCCAGTTTTTCTGTGTCTTCATAAGTGGTTTACTAGAAAGTCGGAGGAGGATGCAATAGGGGTTGCTGGCCATTTGTTAATTAGTGATTAATTATTTAGCTCTCCTTTAATTGGTTATGTGCCAAATCATGTATGATTGTTTTGAAAGAAATCAAGTAATATGGAGGTGCATTAAGGAAAAGGCAAATCTCATGCCTCACTACTTACCAGTGTCCTACCCTTCCCTTAACTCACTCTTCACTGCGTAAAGCCCAGCTGTGTAGCTTCCAGATCTTTTCATACCCTCACAAAAAATATTTGTCTATTTATATTTTTCACATAAAGATATATGTATTAATGTATGTACTTATATATTACAAACATTTCTTTAAAATAACTGTCCATGTCAGAGCTATATCCCATTCTACTGAAATGCTGCCTAGTATTCAAAGGGTGAAGGAATGTGTCCTAAGTTACTGAAACTAAATGACCATTTTGGTTGTCACCATTTTTCATAATTGCAAATAATACTGAAACAAACATATCTGCACATTTGCCCCATACATGTGTGTGAATATTTCTGAGGGTAGAAATGAAGCCAGTGTACATGGTATGCTCTGATAGGTACTGCCAAATTCTTCTCCAGAAAAGTCGTGCTGTTTCATTCCATTACCAACTGGGCATTAAACTGGCGTGTTCCCATATTCTTGCCAGTGCTGGATATTATTTATTAAAATAAAATTTCAGTTCCTCCAGTCTTCTTTTAGTTATTATTTTAATCTGGAAGCTATTACACCTACTTTCTGAATACAGTTTCCTATCACCAAGTTTCCTTTCCTTATGTGTTCTAAAATCCCAGTTAAATATGCACTTAACCATACAACCGTAAGTCCCACTCTTGAGTATTTACATAAAACCTATGTGCAAATACAGCAGTTTAGCAGTTTTATTTGTAATTGCCAAGACTGCATAGCAGTTTTATTTGTAATTGCCAAAAACTGGAAGAAAACCCAGATTGTACTCAGTTGGGTAGTAGATAAACAAACTCTGGTAAATCCATACAATGGAATACTACTCAGCAGTGAAATGGAACAAACAATTGATATATACAACAACATGGATGAATCTCAGATACAGTATGCTAAGTGAAAGAAGCCAGACAAAGGCCGGGCATGGTGGCTCATGCCTGTAATCCCAGCACTTTGGGAGGCTGAGGCAGGTGGATCACTTGAGGTCAGGAGTTCCAGACCAGCCTGACCAACATGGTGAAACCCCGTCTCTACTAAAACTACAAAAATTAGCTGGGCGTGGTGGCACGTGCCTGTAGTCCCAGTTACTCAGGAGGCTGAGGCAGGAGAATCGCTTGAACCTGGGAGGCGGAGGTTGCAGTGAGCTGAGATCATGCCATTGTACTCCAGCCTGGGCAACAAAGTGAGATTCTGTCTTAAAAAAAAAAAAAGAAGAAGAACCCAGACAAAAAAGATAACTGCATGATTCCATGTATCTGACATTCTGGAAAAGATGAAGCTACAGGGATGGAAAACAGGTCCATGGTTCCCAGGGTCTGGGAGTGGGGAAGAGGGCTGACTACAAAAGGACACGGGAGTGCCCTTTGCGTGGTGCTGGGACTGTAGTGCCCATGATGTAAAATCTGCCTTGGACCATTACATTAGAAGAAATCAATTCCAGTTATCCCAATATTCCCTCCAAGTGAAATACTTTGGTAGCATATATAATAATAATTCAATAAGTATTAGCTATTATATTTATTAAGTAGTACCTATCAGAAAACATACTTATATTAGCATGTCAAAGGAATGAACACAAAATTCTCTCCCATATATTGAACGCACCATGGAGGGGGGACCTGCCTTCCTCTGGAGGACCATACTTAGTGAAGCCACTTTGCCTTATAAGGACATGCCTTTGTTATCCAGAACCAAGCAGTCAAACACTGATTTAGTTAGCTCCTTTATTTCTCAGTTATCTCCTGCTGATATTACATTTCTCCATAATATCTAGAGATAGGCTTTTATGTCCTTGCTAGCTGTGGTAATGGTTTTGAATCCCACTTAGGGGGCAGAGGAGTAGAGTAATGGCCACTTGTGTTCCCTCCCACCCTCATCATTCTACAGGGCATTTGCCACTCAAGTACTGTAATTGAGACATTTAAATCATACAAATAATGCTGCCCATGAAGGATAGAGGAAATTTTTAGATTTCCTTTTAAACCTAACAGAGAAAGATTAAGTTACATAAAAATGTAAAATACATGATCTCCAGTACATTGAAGGAAATGTATTTTCTTACTTGAAATGTTTGTGTTACTTAGACTGGAAGATTTATTAAATGATTTCCATTCTATCACTCATGTTTACAGCACCAAATTTGGTGTCCTTGTTCTAAAAACAATAGTACTTTTCTCCCCATGACTTTTGAAAATGATTACTGGTTTACTGATTAGCATGGCGCCATGTTTGCTTGTTTGTCCAACCTTTTATCTGCATATTTTGATAATGTTGTGTGGATTAATATTTGATGACATCCTTTGGGTGATATTAACGATTTTAAGCTTTATTTCTTCTGTCATTTTCTCTAAATGAACCAAAGAGGGATAAACTTCAGAATGTTTTTGATGCCTGGTGGAGAGCTGAACTCTTAAGAAATTAAACTTGTTTACATACTATATTTATTCTTGCCGCAGAGACAGTGAAACATTTCATGAGTGTTATGGGCAGCATCATAAAAGCCTTTAGACTTTGTTTTTCATCTGGGGTGATTAAGGTAATTCTGAAGGAAGGTTGAGCTCAAGGAGAGCTGAGATATCAAGGAATGGGGTATCATCTGTTTTATTACTCCATATTTTACTCCCAGTGAAGTGGTAAACAATTAAAATTCAAACACATCAGTGCATATAATTCAGTTACTCCCAGAACACCATAAAAATGTTTCCCTGATCAATAATTGCTTATTATGACATGCATTTGTTGTGCTAGCTGTCAAGGTGCTTAGCTATTTGCTTTCTAAAAGTATGAAAAGCACGCCCGGCTCATCAGCCTATGTGGTAACAAAGAGCAATCCAGCTGTGGATGTCACAGAGCCACTCTTGACCTGTTGTGCATAGACTCCCTCCCCACAAATCCAAACCCACTAAGACTCTCCAGGCTCTGTTAACACACACCAGCCTGGTTCAGCTTGGATGCCCTCCTCACACCATGTGGGTTCTGATTTTCCATGCCAGGCAGTCCATCTTAAATGGATGCATCCTCACCGTGTTTGGGCTTCAACTTCCTATTCTGGACCTCCTCGGCTACTCCCTACCCCAAGGCATGGAGGGCTGCCTTGTTCTGATGCACCTTATGATTTTAGCACCAAATTGTACAGGAAGGGAGAGAAGGGAAAGGAGAAAGAAGATGTGAAAGGAAAGAGAGGGTAGGGAAGAGGAAAAAGAAGATGAGGAACACGTATTATTTTCTAATCCTCACAATAGGTCCTCAAAATGAGCAACATTTCCCCCTATTTCATACTTGAGGAAGCTGTGACTCAGAGAGACTAAGGCACTTGCCCAAGGTCTCTTAGTACATTAAGGAGCCAGCGTCTGCACCCAGTTCCTTCTGACTCTAGAGCCTGGATTCTGCTGGCTGCACCACACTGTCTTTAAAGAGAACACTCTCAAAACGCGCTTGGTCTTTGGATTGTCTCAAATGTGTTAGAATAGTGTTTTAAGAAAAGGAATGCAGATCTCCTGGGAAGCAATAGGTCGAGTTCATTTCATGAGAATCATTTTTCTAGCCATTGGCCTACTTCCCCATTTTTCTCCTGTCTGCATCTAGGTGCAACAGGAACTTGGCTTTATTTGACTCCATTGCCAGGGTGGGGTAATGAAGCTGGGACTCTCTTGTAGCCAGCGGCAGTGAGCCAGCAGTCTCACTGCCTACCCAGTGATGGTTCCTTCTGTGGCCAGCACTTCTGGAATGAGTCATCTTTACATGTTTGCCAACCCTTGTCCTCTCCTCCCCAGCCAGGTTCACCCTTGCTGCTGTCAAGGAGCTTTGAGACTTTCTGAGATTTTTAAATGGGGAAGTAGATGTTAAACCTAGTATGAGGAAGAGAGGGAAAGTTTGCTCTGGTTTCAAACACACAGTCATAGAAGATGCTAGTCTTAATGCTTTCCATAGCAAAAACCCTGAAGGCTTAGAGTGTACACATTGTGAACTGAACTTTTAACATTATTGTGTAACTCATTTGTTAATGCCTATTTGTCATTGACTGTGGGGTCCATGTGAAAAACTCCCACAAACACTCTAACAAAATGGAAGACAGAAAAGAAAGCAAGCATCATTTGTGTACAATAGCCAAAGAACAATAGCCAAATAAATTTGATGGTCTCAAAAGTTAAGCATCTTTTGAAGAGAAAATTTGATTTTAGGGCCAGGTGGGGTAGCTCATGCCTGTAATCGCAGCACTTTGGGAGGCAGAGGCGGGTGGATCACCTGAGGTCAGGAGTTCGAGACCAGCCTGGCCAACACGGCAAAACCCCGTCTCTACTAAAAATACAAAAATTAGCTGGGTACGGTGGCGCATGCCTGTGATCCCAGCTACTTAAGAGGCTGAGACAGGAGAATTGCTTCAACTCGGGAGGCGGAGGTTGCAGTGAGCCAAGATCATGCCGCTGTACTCCAGCCTGGGTGAAGGAGCCAGACTCTGTCTCCAAAAACAAAAACAAACAGAAAAAAGAATTGATTTTGATTTTTTCAGATACAGTGCATGAACTTTTTATCATAAAATATTAAAGCTGGGGAAAATATCTTAGAATTCACCTCATGTTCATGCTTTACCCTGTGAAGAAACAGAGGCACAGAGAGAAATAACTTGAGGATAATGGAAACAAGCACACATCTGTAAGTGTGTGTGTGTGTGTGTGTGTGTGTGTGTGTGTGTCAGAGAGAGAGAGAGAGATGTTCCTTTGTAAGTAAACACTCTTGGAAATAGCCGCATTTTATTATAACACAAAAAGTAATGCTAAAGCTGATATAGTTCTGGTTGCTAAGCTTCACACACAAAAGGTCTTTAGGTAGCTGCTTCCTAATTTTTATTTCTGTGGCCCAAAAGTCTCCTTGTAAACCTTCGTGTCATGTCATACTAAACCTTTGACATCAATACCCTTTAAAATGTACAAGTCCTTAAAAAAAAAAAAAAGGCAAAGGGCAAATACTAATGTGGGAAATTTGAATTTTAATTAACTGTTTGTTTCAATGTTAGGATAAATTAATGTTAGATAAATTCTTTGGTAATTTTTCCCCCTAAAATTGGATTTTTCAAGAAACATCACTGGTTCAGTATATTGTTATTTGGGGTAGCATAATTTTAGGCGATAACTTAATATTTGCATATATTTGTCACTACTTTGAGTTGGTTTTTGTCCCCTGACCCCCAGCCAGGATGTTAGATCACACAGATTTTTTTTTCTTTGAGCCCTTAGGGAGAGTCCAAAACAGTCACTTCATGTACTAGGAAAGTTTACCCAGTCAGCACACACAGATATGTTGTTGCCTACATTTATATTTGTGAGAGTGACTGTTAAGAAACTAGCAGGTTTATAAAATCCGTGTGAGAATTTCTCTCAAATAACTGTTAATGGACAATCCAGCAATCCTCCCATCTCAGGCTCCCAAGTAGCTGAGACTACAGGCAGGTGGCACCATACTCGGCTAATTTTTTGTGTTTTTTGTAGAGATGCGGTTTCACCATGTCACCCAGGCTGGTCTCAAACTCCTGGGCTCAAGTGGTGCTCCCGCCTTGGCCTCCCAGAGTGCTGGGATTACAGGTGTGAGCCACTGCACCCAGCCTGTACATTTTCCTTGAAATCGTTTTTGGATGTTTAGTCTTATTTCCTTATTCAGAGTTCACCTGTTTATTTTTTTTTTCATTTCCCCAATTTAGCCTGCGTTTCACCCAGCCCTAGCAATATAGGTTTGGGTCAGAGAAATTCAAGCGGCCAGGGGATGCTGAAGATGGCCCATTATGGCCGGGCGCGGTGGCACACATCTGTAATCCCAGCACTTTGGGAGGCCGAGGCAGGCAGATCACAAGGTCAGGAGATCGAGACCATCCTGGCTAACACAGTGAAACCCCGTCTCTACTAAAAATACAAAAAAATTAGCTGGCTGTGGTGGTGGGCGCCTGTAGTCCAAGCTACTCAGGAGACTGAGGCAGGAGAATGGTGTGAACCCGGGAGGCAGAGCTTGCAGTGAGCAGAGATCGTGCCACTGCACTCCAGCCTGGGCGACAGTGAGACTCCGTCTCAAAAAAAAAAAAAAAAGATGGCCCATTGTGGTAAGCCTTGACTTGAATTAGTCACCAAGCTAGTCTTATCTCTTTTCTAGGCTAATTCTTGTTTTTTGTTTGGCTCAAAACAAATTGTTTGTCTTCAGAACACAATAAAATCCAGGGAGAGTGTCCTGTTCTTCCTACAGACGTCACTGGGACATCTTATTCTTTAATTAATTCAGTCAACTAAAATTGGTCAAATACCTGCTCTCTGTGCCAGAGTTATAAACTTTGTATTTGTATAATTGCTAGTAGCTCTCTTACATTTCTTACTTTATCTATCTGGCATTTGATCTACCTAATACCTTCCAATATCACCTCATGTCCCTTTACCAGCTTGGTGGTTTTTCTATAGTTCAGGAAATCAAACAAAATGGTGTGTGACCTGGAGGTACTAGAAAAACAATAGCAAACCAACTCCAAAGCCAGCAGAAGAAAACAAATAACCAAAATCAGAGCTGAAAAAAATTAAAACGTGAAAATCCATACAAAAGATCAATGAAACCAAAAGTTTGTGATTCAAAAAAAAAACAAGGTTGATAGATCACTAACTAGATTAATAAAGAAAACAAGAGAGAAGATCGATCCAAATAAGCACAATCAGAAATGACAAAAATGACACTACAACTGATGCCTCAGAAATATAAAAAATCCTCAGAGACTGTTATAAATACCCCTATGCACACAAACTAGAAAACGTAGAAGAAATGGATAGATTCCTGGAAACACACAAGCCCCCTAAAATTGAAGCAGGAAGAAATTGAAATCTTGAACAGACCAATAGTGAGTTCTGAAATTGAATCAGTAATACAAAACCCACCCCAAAAAGCCCTTAATCAGATGGATTCACAGCCAAATTATACCAGATATACAAAGAAGAGCTAGTACCAATCCTACTGAAATTATTTCAAAAATTCAAGGAGGAAGGACTCCTCTCTAACTCATTCTGCAAAGCCAGCATCATTCTGATACCAAAACCTGGGAGAGACACAGCAGAAAAGAAAACTTCAGGCCAATATCCCTGATGAACATCGACACAAAAATCCTCAACAAAATACTACAAACCAAATCCAGCAGCACATTGAAAAGTTAATTCATCACAATCAAGTAGGCTTTATTCCTGGGATGCGAGGTTGGTTCACCATACACAAATCAATAAATGAGACTCATCACATAGACAGAATTAAAAACAAAAACCACAGGATAATCTCAATAGACACAGAAAAGGCTTTTAACAAAATTCAACATCCCTTCATGTTAAAAACCCTCAACAAATTAGGCATTGAAAGAACATACCTCAAAATAATAAGAGCCATCTATTATTCAACTATCCACAGCCAACATCATACTGAGTGGGCAAAAGCTGGAAGCGTTCCTCTTGAGAACTGGAACAAAACAAGGATGCCTACTCTCACCACTTATATCAACATGGTACTGGAAGTGCTAGCCAGAGAAATCAGGCAAGAAAAAGAAATAAAAGACATCCCAACAGGAAGAGAGGAAGTCAAACTAGCTCTGTCACAGTGCAGGCAATATAATTCTGTACCCAGAAAACACTGCAGACCCTGCTAAAAGGCTCCTAGAACTGATAAACAACTTCAGTAAAGTTTCAGGATACAAAATCAATGTACAAAAGTCAATAACATTTCCACACACCAATAATGTCTAAGTTGAGGGCCAAATCAAGAATGCAATTCCATTTATTTTATCCTTTTGAATAAAATACCTAGGAATACAGCTAATCAAGGAGGTGAAAGATCTCTACAATGAGAATTATGAAACACACTGAAAGAGATCAGAGGTGATACAAACAAATGGACAAATATTCCATGCTCGTGGATAGGAAGAATCAATATTATTAAAACAGCCATAGTGCCCAAAGAGATTTTTAGATTCACTGCTATTCCTATCTTAATTAGCAACATCATTTTTTCACAGAATTTAAAAAAAAAAACCTATTCCAAAATTCATGTGGAACCAAAAAACCTGAATAGCCAAAGCAATCTTAAGCAAAAAGAACAAAGCCGGTGGCATCACACTGTGTGACTTCATACTACACTACAAGGCTACAGTGACCAATACAGCACAGTCCAGGTACAAAAACAGACACGTAGACCAATAGAACAAGATAAAGAACCAGAAATAAAGCTGCACGCCTACAGCCATCTGATCTTTGACGAAGTTGACAATAACAAGCCATGAGGAAAGGTCTCCCTATTCAATAAATGGTGCTGGAGCAACTGGCTAGTCATATACAGAATATTGAAATTGGACCCCTCCTTTTAATCATATACAAACATTAACTCAAGATGGATTAAGGACTTAAATGTAAGACCTAAGATTACAAAAACCCTAGAGAAAAAAACTGGGAAATACTATTCTGGCCATTGGCCTTGGTAAAGAATTTATGAATAAGTCCCCAAAAGCAATGGTAACAAAAACAAAAATTGACAAGTGGGACTTAATTAAACTAAAGAGCTTCTGCACAGCAGAAGAAACTATCAACAGAGTAAACTGATAACCAACTGAATAGGAGAAAATATTTGCAAACCGTAAATCTGAAGAATGTCTGATATCCAGAATCTATAAGGAACTTAGATAATTCAACATGCAAAAAACCACCCCATTTAAAAATGGGCAAAGGACATGAACAGATACTTCTCAAAAGAAGACATACATGTGGCCAAAAAATATATGAAAAAATGCTTAACATCACTAATCATTAGATAAATACAAATCAAAACCACAGTGTGATACCAACTCACAACAGTCAGAATGCCTGTTATTGAAAAGTCATAAAATAGACTGGGCATGTGGCTTATGCTTGTAATCCCAGCATTTTGGGAGGCTGAGGCAGGAGGATTATTTGAAGCCAGGAGGTTGAGACCAGCCTGTGCAATGTAGCAAGACTGTGTCTCTACAAAACATCAAAATAAATGGAAAAAAAAAAAGAAAAAGAAAAAGAAAATTAACTGGGTATGGTGGCGTGTACCTATACTCTCACCTACTGGGAGGCTGAGGTGGGAAGATTGCTTGAGCCTAGGAATTCAAGGCTGCAGTGAGCTATAATCACACCACTGCACTCCATCCTGGGTAGCAGAACGAGACCCTGTCTCAAGAAAAAAAAAAAGGCAAAAATTAACATGTTGGAAATTAGTTCAGTCACTATGGAATGCAGTGTGAAGATTTCTGAAAGAACTTAAAACAGAACTACCATTCAACCCAGCAATCCCACTACTGGGTCTATACCCAAAGGAAAATAAATTGTTCTACAAAAACGACACATGCACTCGTATGTTCCTCACAGCACAATTCACAATAGCAAAGACATGGAATCAACCTAGATGCCCATCGACAGTGGACTAGATAAAGAAAATTTGGTACATATACACCATGAAATACCACACAGCCATAACAAAGAACAAAATCATGGGGGTTTTTTTGCAGCAACATGGATGCAGCTGGAGGCCATTATCCTAAACAAATTAACACAGGAACAGAAAACCAAATACCACATGTTCTTATTTATAAGCAGGAGCTAAACATCGGGTAAACATGGGCATAAAGATAACACGGTAGACACCAGGGATTACTAAAGAAGGGAGGATGGAAGCAGGTGTGGGTTGAAAAACTGCCTATTGAGTACCATGGTCACTATGTGGGTGACGTCAGTATCATGCATACATCAAACCTAAGTGACATGCAATTTACCCATGTAATGAATTTGCACATGTATCCCTTGAACCTAAAATAAAAGTTGGAAAAAAATAAAAGATAAGATATCCCGTATCCTCAATAAAAATAAAAGTGGCGTGTTTGTGCACTTGACTTTGTAACATGTTTTCCAAAGATGTCTTTGAGTCATAAAAATGGGAAATACACATGTTGGTTTCTCTAGTCATCACTTGACAACTTACATGTTTTACCTTTCTTATGATGGTCTGTCTCATTTCTTCAGTGACAGGGCTAGACATTCTGTTTTAAACTCTTCCCACAGCTGTATATTATTCAACACAACTTTAACAGAGTTCATAGAGTGGAGATTGAGGATGTTTGCAAAGTTAAATCATTTATTTTTATTTTTTCTTAACCATGTCCCGCCTGCTTTATTCATTATTAAGAACATTGATGTGAAGATTAAATGGTTTTCTCTATTTTTATCTTCAAACGATCTCTATTTGTGGCTTCTGCACATTGCTAGATTTATTCCAGCCACTTACACTAGGGTCATAGTTTAGCTTCAGCTCGGAGCCAAATGCCCCACAGCTGAAATGACCGCACCTCTGAAGTGGCATTTTCCCAGGCCATGCCTCCCTTTAATAATGAGCCAGCCAGGGGGTAAATTTGTATCTCATTACAACAGAGCCTTGTATTAGGCCTGGAGAATAATTAAATGTGAGGAATTATAATTGGTTCCCTCTTTGAAAGCTCTCTCAGCACCATGTCTACACTTAAGCCATTACTTTTATTTTTAATCTAATGGTTTGCCGCTCTCTCTCCCTCTTTCTCTCTCCAAATTAAATATCAACCATAAAAGAAACCAAGGAAGTCCAGAAATCTGTGGCTTTAAAAAGACTGGATCTCGAAAAGATTTTCACAAGACGCTTCCGAAACAGACGTTTGAGTCGGAAACCTTGGAGTGCAGTGAACCCGCTGCTCAGGTATTTCCTGTCAACAAACATGGTTACCAGGTTACTGGGCTCTTCTGCCCAGGGCATGCTGTCAGTTTTACAAACTAGAATAAACGATAGACGCATAGAAAGTTTGAGTAGGAGGAACTTTACCATCTGAGTCAGTGATTTTTTTTTTCAAACTTATTTGTAGCTGTAGAAATTGGTGTTCAAATGAAAACCCAGAAACCCAATGATTAAAATAGAAAAAAGTGGAAAAGCTCTAACTGGGGGACAGAGACACCTTGGGCCCATCCCTACGACAGTTCCTGCAGAGACTCTTGGTGCCCCTAAGGCAAACTACAGAGTAATGAAAAGCTCTATGCTGAGGCCAGAATACCTGCATTCTCCTAGTGATTCTACCATGTACTAACTCTCTAACTTCAAGCAGGATAATTAAACTTATTGGGCTTCAGTTTCCTCCCCTGGGAAACAAGGATGGTAATACTAACTCATGAGGTTATTTGAGTATTAAATGAGTTAATATCCATAAAGAATTAGAATAATGCCAAGTACACTTAGTGCCTAGTCAATGCTGGTCACTGTTATTGTTATTGTCATTATTCTTTTTCTTTTTTTTTTTTGTTGAGACAGAGTCTCGCTCTGTCGCCCAGGCTGGACTGCAGTGGCACGATCTTGGCTCACTGCAAGCTCCGCCTCCCGGGTTCACGCCATTCTGCTGCCTCAGCCTCCCAGGTAGCTGGGACTACAGGCTCCCGCCACCACGCCCAGCTAATTTCTTTTTGTATTTTTAGTAGAGACGGGGTTTCACCGTGTTAGTCAGGATGGTCCTGATCTCCTGACCTTGTGATCCGCCCGCCTCGGCCTCCCAAAGTGCTGGGATTACAGGCATGAGCCACCACGCCTGGCCAGTTGTCATTATTCTTATAAAGTAATTACAGTTTAAAATTCAAGTTAAAGTGTACATATTGTGAAATGAGCTTTTAACACTATTCTGTAACTAATTTTTTAAATGCCTGGGGTCATTTGAAGAACTCCAGCAAACACTCTAACAAATAGAAGACAGAAAGAAAGCAAGCCTTCATTTGCATAAAACGGCCAAAGAACAATAGCCAAATAAATTCCATGTTTCCAAAAGTTAAGCTCTATACACCTATGCTCACAGCAGCATTATTCACAGCAGCCAAAAAGTAGAAGCAGCCCAAGTATCCATCCATAATGAATGGATAAACAAAATGTGGTCGCCAGGGGCTGGGGGAGGGAGGAGTAGGAAGTTATTGTTTAATGGGTAGAGTTTCGGCATCCCAAGATGAACAGCATTATGGAGATGGATGCTGGTGATGGTTATACTGCAGTGTGAATGTGTTTAACACTACTGAGCTGTCCAACCTGCCCATTTTATAGATGAGAAAAATAAAATTGAGAAGAAAAAATTTGTTCAAGTTTGCACAGAACTTCTTGTAAACTAATATAGTTTTCAGCTTCCATGTGTCTTCATAATACAGGAATCTCACCATGCTGGAAATGATTCGAGGTTTTTAAATAATACTAATTTTTCAGACAAGGTGGTCCCCCTAAAGCAAAGCCCACTACTTACTTGGAGCTTCACAGTAGAATCAGCCATCATTTCCAGCGCTAAATATGACAGGCTTACTGAGGGATAGAATACCTGGATGCTCTGCTCTATGGGAGATTTAAGGAATTTTTCATCAGTAATTTTGACTGAATTCCATTTTCACCCTACATGCTGACCAATTAAATTGTTCCTCTTAATGTTAGTCAGATAGAAGCCACGGTAGGTATTTCAGCAGAAGAAATTTAACACAGGGAATTGATTAAACCGGTTTTGGAGGTCTGAGAGAACCAAAAGGGAAAAATGGAGGCTATCCTAAAATCGTCATTATGGGAAACAGCACACCAGCCTGGGGCTGGGGTATACGGCAGTGGTTCTCCACTTCAGCTTCATCAGAATCTCCCAGAGGGTTTGTTCAAATATAGGTTGCTGGGCCCTGTCTGCTGGAATTTCTGATTCAGTAGGTCTGGAGGGTGAACCTCATACTTTTTAATTAGCATTTCCTAAGTGATGCTGATGCTGCTGGTCCCAGGACCACAATTTGAGGACTGCAGGTCTAGGGGAAGATCTTGGAGTTGTCAGAACGTAGAAGCTCAGAAGAGGAGCCTGAGAGCAAGGACTGAAATCCCTGAGAAGGTACTGCCCAGCTGGTGGTGTTGTCTCAAGATCTCAGAGGGAAAAACCTCATGAAGCCTGGACTCACGCCTCACAGGAGGAGAAATTGCCCGGCTGGTGCTGGTACCTTCAAGGAGGTAAGATAAGGGTGATTCTGGAAGTACCAAAAGAACCTGAAGGCTAGAACCAGCTGTCACTACGAAGGTGAGAGGAATAGCAAGAGGAAGGAGCCAGGCCCTTTGACCTCCTTGAACCATCCGGTAACCCTGTAGTGCTCCCTATTGACAGAACCTAAAGGGAGCAGCAGACACAGCGGAAATATGATTTGCTGACCTAGCATCAAAGAACAAGGCATAAAAGGGTGAATTTGGAGCCCAGAAACAATAGGTGAAGACCAGCGTACACACAAAGCACACGCTTTCCTGCAGCATACTAGCAGAGAACTCAAGTCACTGTGTTGTGTGTGGTTTTTTTTGTTTTTTTTTTTTTTTTTTTTTTTTTTTTTTTTTTTTTTGAGATGGAGTTTTGCTCTTATTGCCAGGCTGGAGTGCAATGGCATGATCTCGGCTCACTACAACCTCCGCCTCCCAAGTTCAAGCGATTCTTCTGCCTCAGCCTCCCGAGTAGCTGGGATTACAGACATGCGCCACCACGCCTGGCCAATTGTGTATTTTTAGTAGAGACAGGGTTTCTCCATGTTGGTCAGGCTGATCTCGAACTCCTGACCTCAGGTGATCCACCCACCTTGGCCTCCCAAAGTGCTGGGATTACAGGTGTGAGCCACCGCACCCGGCCCACTGTCTGTGTTTAAGAGCCAACTTGATCATATGATCCAGCAGTCTCACTACTAGATATATGTCCAGAGGAAAGGATATCAGTATATCAAAGAGACATCTGCACTCCCATGTTTATTGCAGCACTATTCACAGTAACCAAGACGTGGACTCAACCTAAGTATCCATCAGCAGAAGAATGGATAAAGAAAATGTGGTATGTATACACGATAGAATACTATTCAGCCATAAAAAAATGAAGTCCTGTCATTTGCATCAACATGGATGAGTCTAGAGGATAAGTGAAATAAGCCAAGCACAGTAAGACTAATACTGCATGATCTCACTTATATGTGGAAGATAAATAAGTTGATCTCATAGAAGTAGAGGGTAGAAGTGGTAACTAGATGCTGGGAAGGATGGATGGAGAAGGGAATAGAGAGGTTGGTTAACGGTTACAAAATTATAGCTAGATAGGAGGAATAAGTTCTAGTATTTGATAGTACTGTAAGGTGACTAGAATTAATAATAATTTATTCTGTGTTTCCAAATAGCTAGAAGAAAGGATTTTGAATGTTCCCAACACAAAGAAATGATAATTGAGGCAATGGGTACACTAATTACCCTGATTTGATCATTACACATTGTACACAGGTATTGAGATATTACACTGTATTCCATAAATAGGTACAACTATTATGTGTCTATTAAATTTTTTTAAAGAGCCAAATTGTACAAAAGTTGTTTGTTTTGAAATATTGGAATAATACTCATCATGGAGAGAATCTCAGACTGCGAGATGACAGCAATGTTTTCAATTCCACTCTCATTCTTGTGCACCTTCTTATTGAGTAGAATGGTGAGGCCACATAGCTAGATTTATAAAATTTAAACAAGTATATGATAAGATTCCTTGGTACACGTAGATTTTATAAAAATTAGATTATATTATGCATAATATTGCAAAACTTCCTTTTTCATATTAGCAATATACTGTGATTATCTTTCTCTTCCAATTAATACGTGTTCTTTCTTTTTTAGAGACAGAGTCTTGCTCTGTCGCCTAGGCTGGAGTGCAGTGGCACGATCTTGGCTCACTGCAACCCCTGCCTCCCAGGTTCAAGTGATTCTCCTCCCTTAGCCTCCCGAGTAGCTGGGACTACAGGCATGTGCCACGACACCCGGCTAATTTTTTGTATTTTTAGTAGAGACGGGGTTTCACCATGTTAGCCAGGATGGTCTTGATCTCCTGACCTCATGATCCCCCGGCCTTGGCCTCCCAAAGTGCTGAGATTACAGGCATGAGCCACCGCACCTGGCCAGGTTCTTTCTTTTAATGGCTACATAACATTCTATTTTATGAAAGTTCCAAAATCTCTTAACACTTCCTTTTTGGGGGCATTTAGTTTACTTCTATTGTTTTGCTATCACGAACAGTGTTTCAGAGATGCCCTTGCCCTCACATTCTTGCACACTTGCCAGTTATACCCTACGGATAAATTCTTAGAAGTGAAATTTCTAGATTAAGGGATGAGTAATGTTAGATTTTTTTACTTATATGTATCTTGATATCCTTTTAAATAAATTTGGGAAATTAAAGTCATTTTCCTTAAACTCTTATAAATTTTAAGAAAAACAAAAGTATTAATAATCGAAGTGTTAATATTGATTATTTCTAGCACATTCAGTTTGGGGAAAATTTATGATCTAGTAGAGTAGTACTTTTGTGAGGTAGATGTCACAAAAAATGTGTAGTATGGAGAAATTGTCCAGTAGTATGTCCATTTAGTAGAATTTTGAGAATAACATTTTGCCATAAATTTTATAGATATTTACCATTAATCCATTTGTAGTCCTACAACATATAGTTGATTACAGTTATACATTTTTTGCTGAGTCTTTGGTTCAAAGCATGCAGTTCCCAATTACAAAGACATTCCTAATGGAATAAAACATCCACTTTGTGACTGATTTAAGGTTGTTTTCTTAAAGCACACCGCAGCCAAAAGTGGACACAGCTTGAATAGCAAATTTTTTCCTTTTTGTTGTTGTTGCTTCATCCAATAACTGTTACCAAATTCCCGTAGAAAAGTGTTGCCCACTCCCACATCGACCTTTGGAAGCATAACATTCAGCTTTGGTGTCTATACACAATTTAATTTGGAAGGCTCCTCACAAATCATCTTATTTTCCAGTTTCAAAAACCAAGTTCTGAGTGGAGATTAAGACAGGGTCTCTTTATTTCCCAGTGCAGTCTCCTATCTATTTATTTGTGAATGAATGAATTAGTTAATTAATGAGCCAGGGTTTCACTTTGTCACCCAGGCTGGATTGCAGAAGAAGTCATCGTGGCCAAGCGTGGTGGCTCATGCCTGTAATCCCAGCACTTTGGGAGGCCAAGACAGGTGGATCACTTGAGGTCAGGAGTTCAAGACCAGCCTGGCCAACATGGTGAAACCCTGTCTCTACTAAAAATACAAAATTAGCCAGGCGTGGTGGCGCGTGCCTGTAATCCCAGCTACTCAGGAGGCTGAGGCAAAAGAATCACTTGAACCTGGGAGGCAGAGGCAGCAGTGAGCTGAGATTGCGCCATTGCACTCCAGCCTGGCCAAAAAATGTGAAACTCCGTCTAAAAAAAAAAAAAATCCAATCTTTCCTATTGGCTTTATTAAATACACTTTAACTTTAGAAGCTTAGAAGCACAATAATTAGAACTGGCCTAACTTTAAAAAAAATTTTCACAAAGAAATTAGTAACTTGTAGGGTCATTTGTAATCTTTTTCTCTGTTGATTTTTACAGTTTTAAAAAGTTAATACAATAATTTATTTACTTATTTTTTGAGACGGAGTCTCGCTCTTGTTGCCCAGGCTGGAGTACAGTGGCACCATCTCGGGTCATTACAACCTCCACCTCCCGGGTTCAAGCGATTCTCCTGCCTCAGCCTCCCAAGTAGCTGAGATTATAGGCACTGGCCACCATGCCCAGCTAATTGTTTTGTATTTTTAGTAGCGATGGGGTTTCACCATATTGGCCAGTCTGATCTTGAACTCCTGACCTCAGGTGATCCGCCCACCTCGGCCTCCCAAAGTGCTGGGATTACAGGCATGAGCCCAATATTTTAAAAATAGTACATTATTACAGAAGCTAGATGTGCACTTTAAATTATTATCAGAAAATTAGTATGACAGACAAATTCTATGATTGTCCCATCATCTGGGCCTGTGACATTCACACCTTTGTGATGTTCATCCCCGACTGTGGGTGGGACCTGGGACTTGCTTCTGTCAAAACAATATGGCAAAGCATGAGAGGATGTCACTTGTGATCATATTAGATAGCAGCCAAAATGGATTAAAGACTTAAATGGGGCCGGGCGCAGTGGCTCACCCCTGTAATCCTAGCACTTTGGGAGGTTGATGGCGGCGGATCACCTAAGGTCAGGAGTTTCAGACCAGCCTGGACAATATGGTGAAACCCTATCTCTACTAAAAATACAAAAATAACCAGATGTAGTGGCGGACGCCTGTAGTCCCATCTGCTAGGGAGGCCGACGCAGGAGAATTGCTTGAACCTGGGAGGCGGAGGTTGCAGTGAGCTGAGATGGCGCCATTGCACTCAAGCCTAGGTGTCGCAGCAAGACTCGGTCTTTAAAAAAAAAAAAAAGGTAATCATACCTCACTGCAGCCTTGAACTCCTGGGCGGGGTTCAAGCAGTCTTCCTACCTAAACCTCCCAAGTAGCTAAGACTGTAGGTGCACGCCACCATGCCTGGCTAAGTTTTGCTTTTTTTTTTTTTTTTAAGAGACTGAGTCTCATTGTGTTGCCCAGGCTAGTCTTGAACTCCCGGCCTCAAGCAGTCCTCCCACCTTGTCTACCCAAGGACTGGGATTAAAGGCATAAACCACTGCACCTGGCCCAGTCTCCTTTTTGTTACAACTTCCTCCAGCTCTGTTTTGCTCTGGTGTGAGACATGAGCATGGTTCATTAAGAGGCTTGGCCCCCCCAGCCCCAGGAAAGAACAAGCCAACAACCGATAGGAATGTAGTACTGTTTTTAGTCCTTTCCTCAGGACTGGTTTGTCTGCATAAGATGAGTAACTACCTGCTTCCAGGTGAGAAGAAGACATTTAATTTTAGAGTAGTCCAGCCAGGAAGCTGAGATGTCATTCTTATCAAATCCGCAGTTTCTTCAGAAGACTTGAGGCCTGGCTGAGATTCTGTAGTCCCAAATTGGAGCAGTCTTGAGACATCCAAGATTCTTCGGTTCTCATTTTAGACTTGCCGTCTCTCTCACAAAGACCCACTGTTTTCTCTCACAGGCAGGCCCCCGCCACTTAAACGTGCTGTGCGACGTGTCTGGGAAAGGCCCCGTCACTGCCTGTGACTTTGACCTCCGCAGCCTGCAGCCTGACAAGCGGCTAGAAAACCTCCTGCAGCAAGTGAGTGCCGAGGACTTTGAGAAGCAGAACGAGGAGGCCCGGAGGACCAATAGGCAGGCCGAGCTCTTTGCCCTTTACCCATCAGTGGACGAGGTGGGTGCCACTGTTTCCATACTGGAGAATCTCAGTGAAGACTCTGAGAGTCATGTGGACAATTGTGTTGTTCATTATTACTATATAGCAGCCCATGGTGTCAGGGCTCACTTGTATGATTTCTGGGGCCTCGTTTTTCACTCAGGCAAGCCTGTGTGTCATAGCAGAGCCATTATTGATTATCACACAGATGGGATTCTGATAATAATAACAACTGGAATTTTCATAGCACTTTACAAAATATGTTCACTAAGAGCATCTCATTTAATCCCCAAATGTTTCAAGGGTCTACATGTAGTAATCACACCCAGCAAGTCAAACCATCCTATTATTTGAGGGGATGTGTGGTCACTAATCCATTGAGACATACATTACTTAAACTTTGATGTTCTTTAGTGCTTTGTTACTTTCTTTTTAATGGTCTCTATGAGCAACCAGAGAGACCTGCTTTGAAAACATTTCAGGCTAGGATAATCACAGCCCATGCTCCCAATGTATAGAACTTTGGGATCTTGATTGTTTACTTCTTCATTTATTGGAGCTGACTGACAACAATAGGATAATGTAGACTTTGCCTGTGGTCACTGCCTGAGGCACTTTGGATGAAATGAGAGGTGACGATTATTCAAGCCTTTTGTCTGTTTGAACTCCTTATACTGTATAGGAGGCTCTCAGTTTTCCCCTCTGCGTGAGGTTATCTACACTTCTGGGTCTTGCCAGAACAGATTACTGCTATATCTCTGCTGTCCAAATGGTATTGAAAGTTCAGTTGGAAGAAACAGGATTTGAGGAAACTGCATAAAAGATATTCTATCCATCCATGCCTCTAAATATTTGAAATTCGATCCTTGGATTAAGTGAGACAATCAGAGAGCCTGATACCCCCACCCTTCTGGATTGTGTTTGCTAACCTGCCCTTCAGTGAGCTCACGACTGGTCAGCAAGGAGGACAATAAAGGAAACAGCAGTCATGAGATAGGATATCACGTCCACATGGAAATACTATTGTTGACATTGACCTACTCACCATCTAGCACCTTCCTCTTTGATGATCTAAAGGGCAATTAGCCTTCACATCTTCCGAGAAAGAAGAAGCACGCTTCTGCTGAGATAATACAAACACTTAGAGATTGTGCTCATTTTGTAACTAACTCTCTTAAGTTCTTTACTTAGAGCAAACTTCTGTCCACCTTCACCAAATGTGGCAACTTAATGATTGGGGTCCTGAATTTACTCCAGCTTTCTTTTCTTTTCTTATCCTGATTTTCTAAGCACCTTGGTTTCCTCATCTATTTTTATTTTATTTGCAGTTTTTGTCAGCAGCCTCAAATGGTCTTCTGAATGAGGCAGAATATAAAAATAAATTATCTCACTTATATATAGAATCTAAAAAAGTGGATCTCATAGAAACAGAGTAGAAAGGTGGTTATAGCAGGGGCTGTGGGGAGAGGGAGAAGGTGTTGGTCAAAGGCCACAAAGTCTCAGGCGGGAGGAATACGTTTTAGTGACCTATCGCACTGCACAGTGACCAGAGTTAATAATAATGTGTTACATATTTCAAAACTGCTTTAAAAAAGGATTTTTAATGTTCTCATCACACACACACAAAAGGTAAGTTGGTGAGGTGATAGATATGTTAATTAGCTTGATTTAATCTTTCTACAATGTATGCATAGATCAAAACATTACTTGATTTAATCTTTATACGATGTATACATAGATCAAAACATGACACTGTACCCCATAGATGTTCACAATTACTACTTGTCAATTAAAAAATAAATTAATAAAGTATGAATAATGTGAGCAATATCATCATCTCCTTTCCTCAGATTAAAAAGCAACAATTAGGCTAAAGAGCTTTTTCAAGATTCAACAGATAAATTAAATTACAAAATGGGGCCCTAACCCGCTAACTACAAAGTTCGTGTTCCCTTGTTTATGTATCTACATACATATGACTACCTGGTATGTTGGGACACATAACTGAAATCCAAATATGATATTTTTAAATATCATGTAACTTTTTAGTTTCCATCCACGACATTAAGACTTTTTACCAGATTTGTCAAAACATATTAAATCAGACTGATTTGGCCTTTACTTTCCTTCCTCTTCCTCTCAGTTCTGTGATGGAGATGCCAACATGTAATAGAGGGACCCAAAGTGGATGCCAGAAGAGAGAGAACAATTAAAGGATGCAGAGAATATGTCCAGTGAGACGTTTGCTTGTCAGTGTCTCCCTGGTGGTATTAGAGGGGAGAATGTTCCATCTGAACAGATTAAAATAATGAAACGTAGCCTGGTTTTAGAGGAACTTTGTTTTATGATCTTTGAAACAATGCAGACGCTCCATTGGGACTGAATGTTATAATCTGGGAGCAGGCCTAATGGGGCCTGCTTTTATTGAGTAGAGAGAAGTGCTTCGTAATTAGTGTTGCAGTTATTTGTAAACTGGCGTGTCTAAAATGCTTGAGGGCCTCTATACCAGCCCTTTAATATTTTGAAGCTGTTGTCACAGAAATTGCATTTGTATTTATAATTTGTGCTTTCTCCAAAGAAAGTTCTATGGAAGAAAGGTAAATTTCTGCCTACTCTGACATGATTACAAATGCTGGTTTTTTCGATGACACAATCAGATTTTTAAATATATCATTACTTGATTTCCCTGTAAGGAAAGTTAGAAGAGAGGTAAACTAGTATATCCAAGTTATGGCTGAGTCTACAGGAGAAGCAAAAGTTGGACTTAACCACCAAGCTTCTATAAGGCAAGTTCTTTCCCTAATTCATTCTGAGTCTACAAAAGGCGGTTATTCTACAAAAGGCATTCTATGTCAATCCCTAAGAAAGATTCCACTGATACTCCAAATTATAGAAAAGTTTGCTGAGGCTGTTGGTTACAAGTGACAGAACCCAACTAAAACCAATTCAGAAAAAAAGGCTAGGGGAGTACTTCTTGGCTCACCTAAGAAAATCACAGGTAGGCAAATGTGGAGTTGACCTCTGGATCCATTGGGAGAGTAAATGAAAGAATATCATCTCTCTCATACTGTCTCTTTCTCTCTCATTATCTCTTTCATTCCGTTCATTTATATATATTTTTAGGATGATGAAAACAAGAGGTATCCATTAATGTTTCACATTTCCACTTTCTGTTTGCTTGGGAATTAGTTGCCATTTCAGTTAGCTATAAAGCCTGAGGAAATTCATATAGCTTAGAAGAGACTGAGGAAATATATCACCCAAATGTCATATGTGGACCTTGTTTGGATCTTGATTTAACAAAATAACAGTAAAAACAAATTGAGACAGTCAGGGAAATTTGAAACTGACAAAAATTATTTAGTGGCAATAAGAAATTATTAATTTTTAGGCATAATGGTATTGCTGTATGTTTTTAAAAGTCTTTATCTTTTAAAGATATGTACTGAAATATTTATATATGTATATGGTCTCTGGGAAGTTGCTTCTATGTAATCCAGTATTGAGCGAGAAAGGTGGTAAGTGGGTAAATAGATGAAACCAGAATGCCCCTGAATTGAACTTGTTGAAGCTAGATGATGGGTGAATGGTTCTTCATTGCATTGCTCTCTCAACTTTTGTGTATGTTTAAAATTTTCCCAATGAAAATCTTTTTTAAAAGGATTTCAAAAATTAGAATCTAGACCAAAGGCAGTCCCAGAAATCCATGAGTGTCTCTACCTTCAGGTTGTTTTCCAGTTAGGGAGATCTTCCCTTTAGATATGTCTGTTCCAATGATCCTAAAAGGTCCAGATTGCCCTGAGCGAGTAGGCATCAAAACAATGTCTCCTCTGAAATAAACTCAGCCATTCCACCCAGCAACATGGCCAACCGCCGTAACCACAAGGAATGGGGACCACAGGGAGAGGTTGGAGTAATGATGAGCTTACCACATTGATCATTCCATCAAAGTGGGTACATATTTACCAGGAAGGTGACTTTACTGCTATTTGCAAGAATGTTAAGCTTGCTGTGGGGTATTCACTGGAAAGCTCCCAGGAAAAGACAGTGAGATGTGACCCTGTTCTTTGGACCCTTGCGATGGGCAGAGCACTCACCAGTGTTTGGAAAGCATACTGCAAGAGTGGGAATTACTGTTTTCAAGGATTTGCACTACTTATTTTTGCATACATGAATATAATTAACATAGAATGATAGTTCAGATACAGATGTTAAGGTTACAATAGGGGCTTGATATTTCTCTTTAAGTGTTTAGTTTCTGTGCGGTAAAATAAACAGGTAGAGCTCTTAATTTGTCATTACTAAATTTCATATACCTAGCACTTTAGGAAGCTCTAACTGCATAAGCCTGTCTAGAACTTGTCAATTCAACCCCAAGTCTCTATCATCTGTTTAAGAAAACAGTGAACTGAGAAAGTGACTCTGTATTATAGGATCAATGGTTTACAGCCTTAAGTGAACCATTCTGACTCAGATTTCAAATCTGAAACTCACATACTTACTAGTAAAGCCCTTGACAGGAGAAATATTGCAAATGTGTAATTAGAGTGGGCAAAAAACACACAAAAACATCAACAATAGGTATAAGATTTTGCAATGCCATCTGGTGGATGTTACTAAGCCATATCCATGTTCACATTTCCTTCCTTCCTGCTTCAGTCTCTTTGTCTTGAATGCTTGGGTTTCTAAAAGGAGAAACTGTTTTGCTGCAAATGCTGGCTTTGAGGTTGGGGGTTGGAAGAGAAACTTTCTTATAAAAGGCAGAGTGTTAGAAAAAAAGCAAATCTAAGTTAACTTGAGCCGTGGAGGGTAGCCTTCCCTTCCCTGGGTTAACTCTAATTGGAGCTCCCCACAGAATTCACTAATGATTTCCTTACGATGTGATTAAAAATAGGAGGATGCTGTGGAAATACGTCCAGTACCAGAATGTCCCAAGGAACACCTGGGCAACAGAATATTGGTCAAGTTGCTGACCTTGAAGTAAGTATCAACAAACACACTGCCACCGCTTTGAGATTTATCTTGCCTTTTACATACAAATGTTGTGTTTATTATCAGAGCTTGAATCAAAGCGGAGCTCCCAAAATACGTCTAACAGTGGGCAGCTGTGGAGTAGTAGAAAGGGCACGTTTGAGTCCATTCCTGGATTTTTTTTCTACCAACTTCTTGATGGTCATTCTTCTACAATAGAGAAGGCAAACACACGTGTCTACTAAAGTTAGGCAGGTAAGGTCATTGAGTGAAATGACCTACATTAAGAAAAATAGCGCTTAAGTCAGTGGTGTGCTGGAGTCGACTGTACTAACTCGTGAGATCTGACAGTGCATATCTCTTCCTGGGTTCGGTGAAGTCACATTGGTAACTTTAAATTGGCCATGGCGAAAGTATTTACAATGTAGAAATCAGCCAATGCTACACGTTTGCACCACCCTCAGCACCCGGAGATTATTTGTAAAACATTTACCAGTATGCCACTGTTGAAACACAATGATAAATGCAACTGAAACTCAGTGCCAGGGGACAATAGGGAGTGGTGAGGACTGTAGTAAACTATGTTAAGGGGGCACTCACTGCTAGCAACAGACTCTTGCCATCCAAATAAACAGGCCCATTTTTGTCAACTGTCTTTTCTATTTTTTCAAGAGAAGCTGAAAACCCAGATTTTTCTGCATAATATACCGACTCCCTAAATATGTTCTCATTCCCTTTATAAACACCATATAATTAAAACACGACTACAGTCTGGTTTCATCTTGTGGGCCAATTATTTGCCACATCTACTTCAAAGTAGTTGCATCCAAACGTTTCAATTGTATACTATGATAGCAAAAAAAAAAAATCCTCTATAGACATGTATTAATTTTGTACTTTCATATTAAAATATTATCTACATTATAAAACATAATAGAAATTTTAAAGATGAACTAGATAAATCTATATAAATTCTAGTATTTTCTTCTTCCACTGCAATAGATTGTCTTGTGTACCCTCGGAGTGCCTCCATACCTCTCTTCGTCTCTGCAGACTGCTATTTTCAAGAATTAGTTCTCCTTCAAATCCACAGATGAAAACTTTAAAGTTGTACATATTTTACCTAAGCAAAACTACAGAAGCGTAACATTTATTTATATACTATTAGATGGGTCATCCATCTCTCAAAGTCACTTCATAGGTCCCTTCAGCGGCCCCTGGTTTGCAGTGAGAAGGCATCTGGATTCTGGATGTAAGGCTGGGTTTCAACCCCTGGGAACTTCCCTGGGATTTTGAGTTCTTCCCTATAAATGAAGTTGATAGACCTTATGGTCTCAAAATTCCTACCTACCACAAACTTCTATGATTCTAACGCATAGCCTCTGCCAACTTCTTCTGCCTCAGAAAACAAGCCAGCAAGTCTGCTCACACAGCTATGGGTGGTCTCTTGATATTATAGTCTCCTCCCGCTGGCCAGTTCTACCAGAGGGTCTTCAGGGCCTTTTGTACGGAGAAATGAGCAGCCCATAAACCAGCTGAGTGTCAAGTAATGGGCACAGAAAAGCAAGCTCTTGCCCTTGCAAACCAACCTGGCAGTGGGAGCTTCCTCATCTGTCTGGTTGGCGGGAGGACTGAGTGGAAGTGGCTCTTCCCCTCTGCATTGTTTAGGAAGCCTTCGCTATTGTCTGAGGGACACACCTGCCCCGACAGGATGCATCATCAGGCTACTTTTAGATGCAGCGACTATGTCATTTGAGATGGCAGAAATTCTCCTCTATGGTGCTCATAGCCAAGCTTTCTAGACCTCTCCAGTGAATGAGAGGCAGCTGTTCTCACAGGTGGGAAAACATGGTCACTAAGAGAGATATGTGTTATTTTAAAAAAATGTTAATGGAGGCCAAGTGTGGTGACTCACACCTGTAATCCCAACACTTTGGGAGGCCAAAGTGGGAGGATCGCTTGAGGCCAGGAGTTTGAGGCCGGCCTGGGCAATATAGTGAGACCCCCTCTCTACCAAAAACTAACAGATGTGTTAATTTTTAGCCCTAGCTACATTGGGAGGCTGAGGTGGAAGGATCGCTTGAGGCCAGGAGTTCAAGGCTGCAGTGAGCTATGATCATGCCACTGTATTCCAGCCTGAGTGACAGAGTGAGACCCTGTCTCTAAAATTAAAAAAAGAGGAGTCACTTGAATATCTCTTAATGAAAATTGTAAAGTGCAGTTTCTAGTGATGTCCCCGCAACTGCCAAAGCAGAAATTAAGTCGAATTGACATATTTGCCAGGTGCACTTGGCCTGCTCATGTGTTTTAAATAGTATCTATACTAACCTATAACTGCAAGAGAAGAGATAGACCAAAAAGACAGCCCTCCGAGTAACTACTTAGAGTAAACTAGATGAAAGAAAGAAACAAATTCTTATAGGTAAGCCTAGAATGTGACAGTATGAATAGTAAAAATATAAGGGTAATATTAATGGCAAATGTTTTCCCATTTACATTGATATGTAGGATTCTATTCATAATACTACATGTTTTAGCCCCTGAGGAATTTGTTTAAAGTTGTAGACATCTGTAACTGTCTCTGTATTGCTTTTCAGAAATATAGAAACCCTCAAAGATACAGAGAGAATTAGGGTCCTGCCAATTCTGCAAATGTTTGTAACAGAAAAAAAAAAAAAGAATGACAACAAAGTATTTTTCTGTTTTGTGTTTTAAATGGAGAAATATTTTAAGATTTAATACCATCTTATGAAAAGTAATCTCAGCTCTTAGGAGTCTTCTTGATGGTGAAACTTTAATGTGCAGAAAATTTGCCCAGGCAGTTTCTTTTAAATGCAGATTTTGGAGGACCTTCCATAACAATCTCCCTCAAGAGATTCTGGTTGAGTAGGTCTCAGGTGGGATCAAGAAACCTGCATGCTGGCTAACTTCTTTTGCTTCAAAATGCTAGATTCTGGGGACTACACTTAAAGAACAAACACTCACGGAAAAAGCCCAGGTTCTGTGATCAGAGATGGCTGGGCTCAAAACCTGACCGAACACTCACGGAAAAAGCCCAGGTTCTGTGATCAGAGATGGCTGGGCTCAAAACCTGACCGAACACTCACGGAAAAAGCCCAGGTTCTGTGATCAGAGATGGCTGGGCTCAAAACCGGACCGAACACTCACGGAAAAAGCCCAGGTTCTGTGATCAGAGATGGCTGGGCTCAAAACCTGACCGAACACTCACGGAAAAAGCCCAGGTTCTGTGATCAGAGATGGCTGGGCTCAAAACCTGACCGAACACTCACGGAAAAAGCCCAGGTTCTGTGATCAGAGATGGCTGGGCTCAAAACCTGACCGAACACTCACGGAAAAAGCCCAGGTTCTGTGACCAGAGATGGCTGGGCTCAAAACCTGACCGAACACTCACGGAAAAAGCCCAGGTTCTGTGATCAGAGATGGCTGGGCTCAAAACCTGACCGAACACTCACGGAAAAAGCCCAGGTTCTGTGATCAGAGATGGCTGGGCTCAAAACCTGACCGAACACTCACGGAAAAAGCCCAGGTTCTGTGACCAGAGATGGCTGGGCTCAAAACCTGACCGAACACTCACGGAAAAAGCCCAGGTTCTGTGACCAGAGATGGCTGGGCTCAAAACCTGACCGAACACTCACGGAAAAAGCCCAGGTTCTGTGACCAGAGATGGCTGGGCTCAAAACCTGACCGAACACTCACGGAAAAAGCCCAGGTTCTGTGATCAGAGATGGCTGGGCTCAAAACCTGACCGAACACTCACGGAAAAAGCCCAGGTTCTGTGACCAGAGATGGCTGGGCTCAAAACCTGACCGAACACTCACGGAAAAAGCCCAGGTTCTGTGACCAGAGATGGCTGGGCTCAAAACCTGACCGAACACTCACGGAAAAAGCCCAGGTTCTGTGACCAGAGATGGCTGGGCTCAAAACCTGACCGAACACTCACGGAAAAAGCCCAGGTTCTGTGATCAGAGATGGCTGGGCTCAAAACCTGACCGAACACTCACGGAAAAAGCCCAGGTTCTGTGATCAGAGATGGCTGGGCTCAAAACCTGACCGAACACTCACGGAAAAAGCCCAGGTTCTGTGATCAGAGATGGCTGGGCTCAAAACCTGACCGAACACTCACGGAAAAAGCCCAGGTTCTGTGATCAGAGATGGCTGGGCTCAAAACCTGACCGAACACTCACGGAAAAAGCCCAGGTTCTGTGATCAGAGATGGCTGGGCTCAAAACCTGACCGAACACTCACGGAAAAAGCCCAGGTTCTGTGACCAGAGATGGCTGGGCTCAAAACCTGACCGAACACTCACGGAAAAAGCCCAGGTTCTGTGACCAGAGATGGCTGGGCTCAAAACCTGACCGAACACTCACGGAAAAAGCCCAGGTTCTGTGATCAGAGATGGCTGGGCTCAAAACCTGACCGAACACTCACGGAAAAAGCCCAGGTTCTGTGATCAGAGATGGCTGGGCTCAAAACCTGACCGAACACTCACGGAAAAAGCCCAGGTTCTGTGATCAGAGATGGCTGGGCTCAAAACCTGACCGAACACTCACGGAAAAAGCCCAGGTTCTGTGATCAGAGATGGCTGGGCTCAAAACCTGACCGAACACTCACGGAAAAAGCCCAGGTTCTGTGACCAGAGATGGCTGGGCTCAAAACCTGACCGAACACTCACGGAAAAAGCCCAGGTTCTGTGATCAGAGATGGCTGGGCTCAAAACCTGACCGAACACTCACGGAAAAAGCCCAGGTTCTGTGATCAGAGATGGCTGGGCTCAAAACCTGACCGAACACTCACGGAAAAAGCCCAGGTTCTGTGATCAGAGATGGCTGGGCTCAAAACCTGACCGAACACTCACGGAAAAAGCCCAGGTTCTGTGATCAGAGATGGCTGGGCTCAAAACCTGACCGAACACTCACGGAAAAAGCCCAGGTTCTGTGATCAGAGATGGCTGGGCTCAAAACCTGACCGAACACTCACGGAAAAAGCCCAGGTTCTGTGACCAGAGATGGCTGGGCTCAAAACCTGACCGAACACTCACGGAAAAAGCCCAGGTTCTGTGACCAGAGATGGCTGGGCTCAAAACCTGACCGAACACTCACGGAAAAAGCCCAGGTTCTGTGACCAGAGATGGCTGGGCTCAAAACCTGACCGAACACTCACGGAAAAAGCCCAGGTTCTGTGATCAGAGATGGCTGGGCTCAAAACCTGACCGAACACTCACGGAAAAAGCCCAGGTTCTGTGATCAGAGATGGCTGGGCTCAAAACCTGACCGAACACTCACGGAAAAAGCCCAGGTTCTGTGATCAGAGATGGCTGGGCTCAAAACCTGACCGTGCCAGTCCCTAACTGTGTAGACTTTGGCAAGTTCCTTATTCCCTGGGAACCTTGCTTTCCTGGTGTGTTAAATGCAGATAATATCTGCATTACGCTGTAGTTGTGTAAAGAGACTGATGTGTGGAAAGCACTTATTATAACACAATTTTAAGTCTTTAATAAATGTCAATTCTCTTTTTCTTTCTCGGAACCACAGAGGACTTACTACTCAGTACCAACCTAAGTATATCACAGCAATATTCAGGCCCTTTGTGTAGTAGGGAGTAAACAATTAAATATAGATTGAGCATGCCAGGCAGCAGCTGGTGAGCCTAGGCCCAGGAAAGCCTCCAATTGGCCTGGTGCAGTGGCTCACACCTGTAATCCCAGTACTTTGGGAGGCTGAGGCAGGTGAGTCACCTGAGCTCAGGAGTTTGAGACCAGCCTGGACAACATGGTAAGACCCCATCTCTACTAAATATACAAAAATTAGCTGGGTGTGGTGGCACATGCCTGTAGTCACAGCTGCTAGGGAGGCTGAGGCCGAAGAATCGCTTGAACCTGGGTGGCGGAGGTTGCAGTGAGCCGAGGTTGCACCATTGCACTCCACCCTGGGTGACAAGAGCAAAACTCCATCTCAAAAAAAAAAAAAAAGAAAGCCCCCAATTAATGTGCAATTACCTAATAATAGAAAGAATAATCATAGAAATCCTCAACACTGGGCTTTTCGGTGGTAAAATGTATGTAACATAAAATCTACCATCTTTTTTTTTTTTTTTTTTTTTTTGAGACAGAGTCTCACTCTATTGTCCAGGCTGGAGTGCAGTGGCATGATCTCGGCTCACTGCAACTTCTGCCTCCCAGGTTCAAGTGATTCTCCTGCCTCAGCCTCCCGAGTAGCTGGGATTACAGGCACTTGCCACCACGCTCGGCCAGTTTTTGTGGTTTAGTAGAGACAGGGTTTCACCGTGTTGGCCAGGCTGGTCTTGAACTCCTGACCTCATGATCCGCTTGCCTCGGCCTCCCAAAGTGCTGGGATTACAGGCATGAGCCACTGCGCCTGGCCAAAATCTACCATCTTAACCATTTTTAAGGTACAGTTCAGTGGTGAGTACATTCACATTGTTCTGCAACCATCACCACCATCCATCTCCAGGAATTTTTCTCTTCCCAAACTGAAACTCTGTACCCGTTAAACAATAACTCCTTATTCTCCCTACTCCCCAGCCCCTGGCAACTCCCATTCTACTTTCTGCCTCTATGAATTTTACTACTCTAGGTGCCTCATGTAAGGGGAATCATGAAGTAACTGTCTTTTTGTGACTGGCTTCTTTTACTCATAATGTCCTCAGGTTCATCTATATTGTAGTATGTATCAGAATCTCCCTCCTTTTATGGCTAAATAATATTCCATTGTATATATGTAGCATATTTTGTTATGGCCTCATATATGTATCTGTTCATGGACAAGTGGGTTACTTCCACCTTTTGGCTATTGTGAATAGTGCTGCTACTTGGCATTGTTTTTAAGATACATTCACACACATCATTATACGTGATCCTCACAACAACCAGGAAAATGGAAAGGCAAGCATCCTTACCTTATTTTGCAGATAAATAAATGGAATTCAGAAAGGCGAGTAACCTGATTAGGGTCGCAGAATTAGCAGATGGTGGAGGAGGAACAGAGTCCAGGTCTCTGCCTGGGTGCCCTGGGAGTCTGCCATGATTCCAAATTGCCTCATTTCCAAAGGCGCCATTTGAGCAAATAACCCTTTTTGTCTGTGCTCATATTCTGTCCAAATATTCTTCTAAAAAGTCCTCTTTTGAGACAAAGCTATCCATTGATGAGGACATCCTCTCACACATACCTGGAGACAAAACATGACTTTATTGACATGATGTCTGAGGTAATGGTGGACTGGGGCCCTTTTCCTGGTGCTCTCTGCAGGTAACATCCAAAGCCATGGGACATCAAGCTGAGAAACTTGGAAGACCTTCACCAGTGTTCCATGTGCACCTGTAATGTCCACCAAGATACTAAAGGCAAATAATGCACCAGGATTATGCTTTGGGATTCACCGTTTCGAGGGGAATTGGCAATTAGGGCCAATATGAGGGCTCATCTTTCTAGCTCTCATGGGGCCCAGGCACCTCAGTGTTTATCTGCTGTGCTCAAGCCCCTCCCTGACCTCAACTCAGCAACTCCCCAGTAATGGAGTTAGGAAGGGCCAGACATTCATCCCCATCAAAACCCAGCCTTCTTCTGACTGTCCCACTACAAATCTAAGGAAAAGCAATTGAACTTTTCTTTTGTTGCCATCTGAAAAGCCCCATTCCTTAGAATTGAATAATACAGATTCTATCCTTTAAATTTTTTTATTTCAATGGCTTTAGGGTAAGTGGTTTTTGGTTACATGGATGAATTGTATAGTAGTAAAGTTTGAGATTTTAGTGCACCCGTCACCCAAGCAGTGTACATTGTACCCAGTATGTAGTTTTTTTATCCCTCATCCCCCTCTACTCTCCTGCTTCTGAGTCTCCAAGGTCCATTATACCACTCTGTTTGCCTTTGTGTACTCATAGCTTAGCTCCCACTAACATACAGCATTTGGTTTCCATTCCTGAGTTACTTCACTCAGAATAACAACCCCCGGCTCCATCCAAGTTCCTGCAAAAGACATTAATTATTTCCTTCTATTTTATGGATAAGCAGTATTCCATAGTGTATAGATACCACATTTTCTTTATCTACTCATTGGTTGGTGGGCAATTAGGTTGGTTGTTGGTTCCATATCTTTGCAGTTGTGAAACAGATACTATCTAGCAATAAAATGTGAAATGTGAACAAGTCCATTACCTCAGACAGAAAGTCTACCCTCTGAAAACACAGTAGTTACAATAAGAAGGTGAATCACACTAAAGGTCCATTCAGCCCACTCTCTCTTGCAGTGAGTGAGTGAATGAGTGAGATATTCCAAAAATATCCACCATGCTTTTGTAATGTCCACCATGATCTCAAATGATTAGGAATTTTTCACAAACCTCCTATATTTCTCTATTAATATCCCAGTGCGATTCTCATATACTTGGAGTTTTCCAAATATTTCGGGAAACTGCTCATATTTTTAACCAGTTTATCTATCTAGGTGTTTTCAGAAAATTCAAAATTATCTAACTCAAAGCCACATAGATTTTCCTCTCTTTCTATGGTAGGTTCGAGATTGAAATTGAGCCCCTGTTTGCCAGCATTGCCCTCTACGATGTTAAAGAAAGGAAAAAGGTAAGAAAGCAAAGAAAAATCCATCCCTAAGGCACATATATTGTTCATGATTCTTTGCATGTATGTTTTTAAATTTCTTTGCAGCAAGAACCTATCAGATTTGAAAGCAAATGATCTTTGATGAGTCCAGTTCTGTTGCCTTTGCAATTTTTCAAGCAGTGGTCTGAGAATGTAATTTATGATCTTTGAAGAATTTTAGAGGGAGAGGCTACTGGAGGTGCTGGCCTGGTTGGAATAGAGAAAGAATGAAATAGCGCATGGGGTTATGTATAAAACAAACCCATTTAAATACATTTTTAACAAGCTTGGATGCGCATGTAAAGCTTCCTCAGTTTGAGAGTTCTTTGCACTGTGAAATAGGCTCATGACTGAAGGGCATCTTACATGGTAGAGGTCTCAATTTGTCACAGAGTTCAGACCTTACCAACTGTAATGTGCTTTTAATGAAAACAGTGACCAAGACCTCTCGTGTGTTTTTAATGTTTAGTCATTTTGTGACTCCTAGAAGAGGACAGCAATAGCAAATCCAGAGTAGGATGGACACTTCTGCCCTTCTTTACCCATAATCATTCTGTATTTAAGGAAACAAGCATCTCCTGCATAAATATTAATAATCACTGAGATTTGTAGGATAGGTTAACTGCTAAAACAAGCAGAACCCAATCTCAGTGGTTTAAAGCAGTAGTTCTCAAACTTGAGCATGCATCACAATCTCCTGGAGGACTTGTTAAAACACAGATTGCTGGACCTCACCCACAGAGTTTCTGATTCAGCAAGTCCAGGTGGGGCCTGAGAATTTGCATTTCTAACAGTCCCCTGCTGATGCTGAAGCTACTGGTCAGGGGACCACATTTTGAAAACCGCTGGCCTATAAGCAAGAAGTTGCTGTCTTTGTTTCTTTAACCATCCAGGGTGGGAGGAGGGACCCCTCTGTTCCACGCAGCCACTCAGAAATACAGGCTGGCAGTGGCTCCTCCATCTTCAGTATGTTCTCTCCCCAAATTACTCTTGTCACTGCCATTGCTGCCCCTGAAGAAGAGAAAAGAAGGATGGAGGAGGCCTGGAAGTTTGATACATTGCTTCTGCTAACAATTCACTGGAGAGAATTGAGTCACATGATCACCCCTCATTGCAAAGGAGGCTGGTAAATGTAGTCTCTGCCTGGGCAGCCACTCACCACTAAAATTCTCATGGTGATGAAGGAGAGAACCCAACCATACAGTGGCTCTTAAGTAATACGACACTAAGAGAGCCAGGAGCACTGTTCACATCATGCTCTTGCTCAGAATCTTCACTAAGATTCATTCCCTACAACCAGGCTTTCTTCATGATGGCATTCCTCTACCTTCTTTCCATCCATAGTCTATGCAGAGTCAAGCTAGACCGCTGACTAAGCTTCCCCCAGCCGTTCAAGCCTCTGAGATATTTATTCATACTCTAATCTCTCCCTGGCACATCATCACCTTCCACCCCTGCCTATCAGAATCTTCTAAGGCCCATCCATCTCCAGTGCTGCTTCCATGAAAAGTTGTCCTTGTCACCCAACTGCAAATGGCCTGTCACTCTGGAACTTCCACAGTGCTTCTTTGTATGCATGTGGTGACTTGTATTTTGCTTTTACTGTAGTTAGTTACATGTTTACCTTTTCCCTCACCTTTTTTTTTTTTTTTTTTTGAGTCAGGGTCTCACTCTGTTGCCCAGGCTGGCATGCAGTGGGGCGATCTTGGCTTACTGCACCCTCTGCCTCCCGGGTTCAAGTGATCCATCCTCCCACCTCAGCGTCCCAAGTCGCTGGAACCACAGGCACATGCCACCATGCTGGCTAGTTTTTGTATTTTTTGTAGAGGCAGGGTTTCACCATGTTGCCCAGGCTGGTTTCAAACTCGTGAGCTCAAGCAATGTGCCCGCCTTGGCCTCCCAAAGTGCTGGGATTACGAGTGTGAACCACCACACCCAGTCCTTCCCTCATTCTTGATTGTGAATTAATTGAGAGCAGAGGTCCTCCTCTTCTGTAGTGAAGTAACTGATACTCAGGAAATACCGGTGGGTTAATAAACATTTAAATGTTTCAAGGAACATCTCTCAAATGGCTCCAGAATACCTAGACATTGTGACAAAACATTTGTCAGATTTATCCAGGAGCCACTTTCCTAAACCACATCTGTGATTATTACACTTACTCCTTCAGCAAAATTTCTCTGTGGTGTTTTTACTCCTTTTTAACATGTTTAAACCATGAATGCAACAGGTCTAACTTATATTTCACTTTGCTGCTCATTTACAGATCTCAGAAAATTTTCACTGTGACCTGAACTCTGACCAGTTCAAAGGATTTCTGCGAGCTCACACGCCTTCAGTGGCCGCATCAAGTCAGGCGAGATCTGCAGTCTTCTCAGTCACCTACCCGTCCTCAGACATCTACCTGGTAGTCAAGGTAATTCAGTACGATCTGATTTGCCCAATCTGATGTTTTCATTGCTGTGTTGTTCCCAGCACATGTTTGGGGTGCACGCAATCTCAGAATGTGTCCACATATCCTCTGAGATTCACTTTGTTTCCTTCTCAGTTTACCCCTTTTCCGTTCTAAGTAAACTGTTTCAGATACTAGAAAGACTAGGTTTTGGAGACACACAGACCTAGGTTTGAGTCCTGGCTTTACAACCTAGTAATTAAATGGCATTGGCAGTTTCCTGGTCTTTCTGAGACTGAGTTTCCTCATCTGTGAAGTGGAGATAATCACACTGACCTCAGTGGATAGTCATGACTACAGAATAAAGCTTGGCACATCTTGGGCACCCTTCTCCTAATTAAGGAGAGTTCCCTCAGTGACCTGGTGCAAAGAAGCTGCTGTGGAGAAAGGAACAAAATCTCTGGGCTAGAGTTTCCTAACGATGTTCATGTTGCTCTAGAGATGCATAGTTACGTGTTCCCAAGTCCAGCCTCTTACAAGCTGAAGCGTGGGCTGTGGTTTTCAAGTTTCATCCTCCTTTTTTTTTTTTCTTCTTACCATGTCACAGACTGTCTCTAATGAGAGTTGAAATCTATGGGGCAATTGTAAGTAGAAGAGCCTTTCATTCTAGGCTATACTCTTTGCTGTTGTAAGAAAACCAGATCCTTTCTCTGTACACCAAAATGACTGGTTAGAAATTAACAAACATCAGGTATTTTACCTACCTTAGGCCAGATAATTGGTCTTATTGATTCTTTTTTTTTTTTTTTTTTTTTTTTTTGAGAGGAGTTTTGCTCTTGTCACCCAGGCTGGAGTGCAGTGTCACCATGTCGGCTCACTGCAACCTCCACCTCCCGGGTTCAAACGATTCTCCTGCCTCAGCCTCCCGAGTAGCTGGGATTATAGGAGCCCACCACCCCAAACCAGGCTAATTTTTGTATTTTTAGTAGGGACAGGATTTCACCATGTTGGCCAGGCTGATCTCAAACTCCTGATCTCAGGTGATTCACCTGTATTTGGTTCCCAAAGTGTTGGGATTACAGGCGTGAGCCACTGTGCCCGGCCGTAAAATCATTGTAAAAACAAAACAACAAATTCAGGTGTCTGATTTCATGTGCCCCCAGCCTCTTAGGTTTGGAACATTATCTAGTTAGTACAGTGTTTTATGTCTGTAGTCTCAGTGATCGCCCCATGATCTCATGGATTCCAAATAATTCAGGTAGCTTTGAGGTCACTTAACAGATGGCAAATGTCTTTTCACTCTAGCTTCTTTAACACCATATAACAAAGATTATGAGAGGTTACTGTAGCTTGAGGGGAACTTATTTAAGCTTATAGAAGTATAGTTAAAATTATATTGCTGAAAAGACACTTCTATTGTTGTCAAACTTCAATGTGTCTCCTTTTCGTTGCAATATTACTTAGACATACAGGAAAATTAAAGCCCACTATGATAGCCCTGTAGGTAAGTTCACAATTCTCTGTCAGCCTAGGAAACTGAAGAAGCCAACACTAGTTCTATAGAGCCAAATTTTATCTCAAACTCTACTTCCCAGTGGATGACTTTCTCTTGATTAATCCGTCATATTCTGCCAAGTAACAGTGGTTACCCATTGGTTCCTATCACTTACTAAATATGTTCCAAAATTTTCAAATGTATAAATGTGTTCATTTGGCATAACAAACATACTAAAGTGTTTGGATAGGTTTAAGAAATTGAAATCTACTCAGCAAGACAGCCCCTGGTTGGCTTTCTGTTTGCTTTTCTTTATCGTAATGCCATCATTGTTGCTTCTTTCCCTTTAAATATATAGTAAATGGTGTTAAACTATTTAGCACATCCAGGCAGACATTATTTGGTAAGAGGGGCTTCTTTCTTTTTTGTTTATATTCCCAGGCCGAACATCAGGGTCTTTACTGTATTTTAGGTAGCATCATCTAGTTCAGGTGTTGCATATAATACGGCTTTAAGGGATTATTTCCGCTTAAAAGTTTAATTCAAGATTTTGTGAAATTTTTTTTTAAAAAGAATTTGTTTTACAATCAAGGAAAGAAGAGTGAAAATGGGATTGAATTGGAAACTTTTCAAAAATTGTTTAAAAATTGGTATGCCGTGCCCAATTTAAATATTTCATAAGTTGCGATGGGCCTATCCTTATGTAAGGGCCACATAGTTTGAGAAAACACAAAGCAGAGAGCCTAGCACTTTAGAAGTCTTGCAGATGTTAAATTTCCCATCTTAAAGAGTTTACAATCCAGTTAAAAAAACAACTTGGCATTCAAAGAAATGGGTTCAAATTCCTATTTTGCTACATTTGCTGTGTATGGTAGCAAGTTTAGTCTGTCAGTCTAATTGGACAATGATCCCTGTGCCTGAGTGGTTTTGAAGAAAATTGAAATAATGTATGTAAAAACACCTACCCTGTACCTGACATACCATAATTAGGTAAACAATAAATGGCCATGAAATATGAAAAAAATAGGTATGCCAAGTGTTAATCCTACCCCTTCTGAATAGAGCAGAAAGTAGTCTGTTCCCTTAAGAAAAGTTTTAGGTTAATCTGATAGGCTTATTTGCCCTACTTTCCATGGTTATGAGGAGTCATGCATTTCATTACACACTTTTGCATAAATCATGAGGGAACAAACAATAGGTTCTCATGTCGGTCTGCAGCTCCTTCTCATGAAGTACCTGGAGTTCTCCTTGCCCACTGCAGCCAGGGCATAGTATCTGCTGGTCTGGTCAAATCTGACTTCTCCTGCTTCCTGTATGTTCCATGATACACACTACTAGTGCATGAAGCCGTGGCATTCCCCTTCCTTGCTTCAGGGTCCTAATTAAGAAGTTCTTCATCTCTGTTCAGAATTTATTCTAAAGACCACATTTTTAATCCATTCACTTCATGGAAAAATTAGCTTCCTTCCAATTTGTTCTACAAGCTCCTGACTATGAGCTTCAGGAGAATGGGGGCAGTGTTTATCGCCACCTTATCTCCCAGCTGCTACCATATAGAAGGTACTCAACAATAAGTAAACGATTGCTGATTAGCAGGAATACTGGTCAGTTTCTAGCTCAAGTGTTACGTGCTTATGTTTTCAGTGTGGTGCATCTCTCAGTGGGATTCGCCTTCTCTTCATGCTGTGGCAATGGGAGGGGGTTTTGAACTTCTTTGATGAGAAGAGAGACTTCCTGCTTGGAGTCCTCCCTGAAGCAGATATTCATTGAGTAGCCTCATGCTGCTTCCTTTGAAACCCCATAAATGCCCCTTTATCATGGGTATTGTTAAATACTTTGTGCCTAACTCACAGCACCTATTAAGTATGTGTCCCTTTTGTACTGTGTTGACCCAAATTCTTTCTTCAAGGATCATCTCAACTGATGGGACTAAATCCACTGGTTTTACTCTTCAACATCTAAGTTAAATTTTTTTTGAGCAGAGAGTTAGGAAATTTCAAATTTCTCCTTGTCTTTCTTTTAAATATGGTGCCCAAATTTATGACAACTGGCCAGCCAGTCACTTTACCTGAAGCAAGACAGAAGACACTTCATTCATTCTTATTACCAGCATTCATTCCTATCAACAGCCAGTTAGCAAAGCAAGAAGCTGCACATCCCAATGCTTTTGAGTTTCTTTCCAAGTCTGTTAAATCCAGAGAATTAGCCCTGATAGGAATTACAAGGGAGACAATTACAGATAATTTATTCGGTTCAGTCATTCATTTTGTGGAAGGTTTTAGTCCCTAACCCAACTTTCACAGAGACCATATCTCTTTTTTACATTGTAAGCAATAATAAAGAAAATGAGTTTTCCACTTCCTACGTATGTCTCCTGGGTTTTGTTTTATAAAATAACTTTTATTGCTGTTTTTATTATATACATAATACATGTTTATTGTTTAAAATAGAAAATACACATAAGCAATGGGAAGAAAATAAAAATCACACATAATCCCACCATAGAAAGTTAACTACTATTAACACTTGCTGCATTTGCTGAGTATCTACTGTCACCCTTTTAATATGCCTTTATGATTTGTTAAATAAAATTGTATGCTATTCTTTATATAAATTTTTTAATAAAAAAATATGTATCACAGATAGCTTCCTATGTCATCAAATATTGTCATAAAATGTAATTTTGATGGTTGCATAGATTCCTTTTTATGGATGTAATTTATGTGCCTTATTTTAATATTCTTTTTATTGGTAGATTGAAAAAGTCCTGCAGCAGGGAGAGATTGGAGACTGTGCAGAGCCCTACACGGTTATCAAAGAAAGTGATGGTGGAAAGGTATGGTAATTTGAGTGTTGTTAAATGGAGACATCTTAGAAGAAGCAGGTATTTTCAGAAGTGTTACACAAATAGTTAATGGGCTTTAGTCCCTAATGTGTCCCTATATAAGACACTACTACATTTTAATTAAATAAAAGAGGAAAAGAAAACTGGTCACCGATGATGACTTTTTTTTTTTTTTTTTTTTTTTTTTTGAGGCAGTGTCTTACTTTATCTCCCAGGCTGGAGTGCTGGAGTGCAATCACGGCCCCCTACAACCTTGAACTCCTGGGCTTGAATGATCCTCCCCCTTCAGCCTCTTGAGCAGCTGGTACTACAGGCACATGCCACCATGCTTGGCTAGTTTTTTATTTTTTTTTAGAGATGGGGTCTCACTGTGTTGCCCAGGCTGCTCTCATAATTCTGGCCTCAAGTGATTCTCCTGCCTCAGCCTCCCAAAGTGTTGGGATTACAGGCATGAGTCACCATGCCCAGCCTGATGATGATTTTTTAGAGAAATAAATCCTTGAATTTTCTAATGTTGACATACAGCAAGGTCTGACTGCATAACTTGATTGGGGCAAGGCCACCCCCTGTTGTCTTCATTCTGAGGCTCTGACTCAGCTGGTTGGGAGGTCCGTGGAGACCCCAAAACTAAACAGTGCCAGAGCTCTCCTGGCCTTCCTCAACAGCATGGGCCGCTGCCCTTTCAGGTATGCAAATAACTGGGAATTGGCTGCCACTACCATGCATTATATATATTCATTAGCACAGCATAGGTGTTGAGCCTATGAAAAGGATATCTTTTCTCAACAGCAATTTGCAAAGATTCCCAGTGTGATTTTTAAAACATGGCCTTGGCCGGGCGTGGTGGCTCACACCTGTAATCCCAGCACTTTGGGAGGCCAAGGCGGGCAGATCATGAGGTCAGAAGATTGAGACCATCCTGGCCAACACGGTGAAACCCCGTCTCTGCTAAAAATACAAAAAATTAGCCGGGCATGGTGGCACGTGCCTGTATTCCCAGCTTCTCAGGAGGCTGAGGCAGGAGAATAGCTTGAACCTGGGAGGCGGAGGTTGCAGTGAGCCGAGATCGTGCCACTGCACTCCAGCCTGGGTGACAGAGTGAGACTCTGTCTCAAAAAAAAAAAAAAATAGCCTTTCTGGAATAAGACTTACCTTATTAGTATTGTACTCTACAGACTCATAAATGTCAAGTAAGATTTATTGAACTCAAGGCATTTTTTTTTTAAAATCTGTCTTTTATTCTGAACTCAGAAAGAACACCTTGGAAGTATTGTAAACTTCCTAAGGAGTTGTTAGGAAGCTTTTTAGAATTTTTTGGAGTTTTCCAAGGTGACTTTTGGAGAAACAGGTTCACTTGGGAGCTTGGTAGATGATATACTAAACTTGATTTCAAGATTCTTTTATGCAAATCCAAGTCACATAGCTAGCCACCAAAAGAATTGATAATCTGATGTAATGAGTCTCTTTTTGTTTTCGTTAGCTAAAAATGTATTTTACTAATTAAATGTAGCCTTTTTGTAAACTCCTCGTTTTTTAATCTTTATTTCCTTATCAGCTAGACCCAAGTGCATCATTTTTCTGCCTATTCACTGTTTTTATTTTTTAGTGGGAAGATATGTTTTTACTCTTTTTAATCAGTAGGGTTTGGATTTTGGAGATGGCTGTCATATTCAGGTCAGAGGCAGTTGACTTGGTGCTGATGCTTGTTTCAGCTTGTTTCTTTCCATTTTCCTCCAGAGTAAAGAAAAGATTGAAAAACTAAAACTCCAAGCTGAATCCTTCTGCCAGCGTTTGGGGAAATACCGGATGCCCTTTGCCTGGGCACCCATAAGCTTATCAAGCTTCTTCAATGTCTCCACCCTTGAGAGGGAGGTAACTGATGTGGACTCTGTGGTTGGTAAGATTTTCACCTGCAGTGGGAAAGGGAGGGCTCCCCAGTGTGCGCTGCCCAGGTCCACAGCTTACTAGCGGGGACTGGGGGCACAGTGAGGTGTGGGAAGTGGGGAGGCAGAAGGAGATAAATAGAATGAAACACTGTTATGACTGGATTACGTAGATTTGGACGGTGATCTCCAAAAGAAATTATCACGAACATTGGTGAAGATTAAGTATACTCTTATAGTAAGATTTTCTAGATGGTATGACACTTTAAAAAGCTGATTTTTGCTAGCCACCCGCTCTCAAAAGTAAAACTTTAACAAGAAAATGTAGTAACCATCTGTAGTGTGTTAAGCAGAGACACCATGGTCGACTCCTAAACCTAAAAAAAAAAGCCTCTGTTACAAAGGCTTCAAAAAGCAAAACTCAACAGGAACAGGGCGTGGTGGCTCACGCTTGTAATCCCACCACTTTGGGAGGCCGAGGTAGGCGGATCGCTTGAAGCCAGGAGTTCGAGACCAGCCTGGCCAACATGGTAAAACCCTGTCTCTACTAAAAATACAAAAAATTTGCTGGGTGTGGTGGTACACGTCTGTAATCTCAGCTACTCGGGAGGCAGAGGCAGGAGAATCGCTTGAACCAGGGAGGCGAGGTTACAGTGAGCCGAGATCAGGCCTCTGCACTCCAGCCTGGGCAACAGAGCATGACTTTGTCTCAAAAAAAAAGAAAAAAGAGAAAAACTCAAGTTTCCCAGCAAAATTTCCAGTTCGTTAAAGTTTACTTTGCCAAGTGCAATGAAAAAATGGGCATCCAAAGAATATTTACTGTTTTAGTTTATTTAGCATATTTCTTTTTCGTCATCTCACCCGTGATCTGAATCATTCATTCCTACACTGCTTGGTGTAGAAATTTTCAAAAGGGTTGCAAATTTTCAAGTAGACCTGCCCATATCACCTGTGGTGGGGTTTCTCTTTCCCTAAATGCTTTTGTATCCACCAAATATAGAAGTCCATGTTCACATCTTTTCATGCATTCCTTAAGCTAAGGCTTAAGCCACTTCTGAAATACTACCTTGAGCAGGGAAGTGGAGGAAAGGGCATTTTGTGATTGCTGCTGCTATTTTGGAGTTACTGGTACATAATCACCAGTCAGAACTCCTGGGTTATTTCTGGTTCGTCAATAACAAACCTCACTTTACCACATCCTGATCTTCCTGCCACAGCTTTCTTTAATGCCGTCTATGTAGACCCAAGTAACTTATTGATAAGAGTTATGTATAGAGCTTAGAGGGCACACAAGCTAGGTAATTCAGGATAGGGCATGCTGAGGCCTCAATCATCTCTAGGTCAAGGATAACCTGACAACAGAGACTGATTCTTAAGGAGCAACCAGAAGATGCAAAGATGTCATGTATTATACTGAGGCAGAATGGCAAGTTTAGGTGGGTAGAGGTAGCAAGAAATTCTAATTCAACATCATGGTAAGAATTAAGGATAAGAAGATACTCAAAGACGGGTTGGAACTGCTCTAGTTCTAAGCAATTTGATTATTTACAAGAGAACCCATGAGTTTTTGCAATATAAAAGCAACAAGATCTCCACCCAAATCCCAAAAGGGGATAAGAAACAACTGGGCAAACTATCAGGGTCCCAGCCCAAGTCTGAGTGTGATTTGGGGTTCTAATTCCCATTGGGCAGATCACCCAAGGCAGAAACTCAGTCTTGCTGCCTGGTCCACATAATGAGAGCAGAGGAATGCTGGGATTCAGAGTGTACACAGGCTGACCCCAGCATGTTTGGGTCACAATCACAAATGCCTTCAGGGGCATTTGAGTACATGCCTCTCCCAGTGGAATGCAAATATAGAAATAAAAGAAAAGCAAACACTGTGCTGACTAAATAAAGCTTATCAGGAGACCCTGTTCTGGCTATAGCTCTGGACTCTTGCCGGGTGGCATTTGGGCTACCCTAATTTCCATGTGGGAGGGGCCCATGGCTGCTCCTGGCCTCTCTCCTCTGGTCGGAGGAGGATTAAGGACACCAACAGGAGGACTAAGAAAGGTAGGGGCCAATGGAAGGACATTTTCATTCAAAACAAGGATGGCCATATTCAGTGTTCCTGATCAGTGACTTTAATCATACATATTGTGAAGTTAATAACTGCTGTGTGTTTGAACAGAAAGGCATACTTTGGAGTGACAATTGTTTTTCTTAAAGGGAGAAGCTCAGTGGGTGAACGGAGGACATTGGCCCAATCTAGAAGGCTTTCTGAAAGAGCCCTCTCCTTGGAGGAAAATGGGGTTGGATCCAACTTCAAAACCTCCACTCTGAGCGTTAGCAGCTTTTTCAAGCAGGTATCTCTTCACATTACAGTGTGTCTGGATTTTTCCCCATACTGGCATGGGCACTGGAACCCACAGGAGGAGGATACGTAGTGATTAAGAGAGCAAATTAGTTAAGCTCACTCTCTTAGTTCATTTTCTGCTGCTTATAATAGAGTATCTGAAACTGGGTAATTTAAAAAGAAAAGGGATTTGTTTCTTTCAGTTTTGAAGGCTGAAAAATCCAAAGTTGAGGGCCCACCCTTGGTGAGGGCTTTCTTGCTGGCGGGGCCTCTCTGTAGAGTCCTGAGGTGGAGCACGGTGAGCAGCTGAGCATGCTAGCTCAGGTCTCTCTTCCTGTTCTTATAAAGCCACCAGTTCCCCTCCCATGATGCAGATTAATCCATTAATCTGTGAATGGATTAATCCAGTCATGAGGGCAGAGTCCTCATGATTCAATCACGTCTTAAAGGCTCCACTTCCCAACACTGCCACCATGGGGACCAAGCTTCACCATGAGTTTTGAAGGGGACATTCAAACCACAGCATTCACAAAGCCTCAATTTCATTAGCCAGAAAACGGGAACAATAGTACTTAACTTCATGTGGCTAGCAGGAAGGTCAGGTGACATGAGACCTGTCAAGCTCTTCTTAGAGTGCCTGGAATACAGTAAGTGCTCAATGAATGTTAGCTATTTTAACTGAGAGAAGGGTTAGGTTTTGTTCCTTGTGATACCAACTATCCTATTTGAACTATCTTGGCCAATCCATTCATTATGCTATGACAACAGTCTGGCTGGGCCATCTCCTTCCCGGTGGATCTCAGGGTTTCTTGGCCTGGCTATTCATGTGCAAGTTTCCACTTTCACTACTGCTTGATGTGCAAGTTTCCAGGGCTCCCTGCTTGCTCAGAGAGGGTGACCATTCCAGATGGTACTCTTTGTTAGCTCAGTAAACATCAAGACTATTTAAAAAAATAAAAAACTTCCTAGACTTGTCAACGGTATAGAGACAGAAAGTAGAATGACGGTTGCCAGGGTCTAGGGATAGAGGGGTGGGGAGTCACTGGTTAAAGGGTACAGAGTTTCAGATTTTTTTTGCAAGACAAAAGCATTCTGGAGGTTGGTTGCACAACAAAGAGAATGTGCTTAACACTACTGAATTGTGCACTTAGAAACAGGTAAGATGGGCCGGGCGCAGTGGCTCATGCCTGTAATCCCAGCACTGGGAGGCCGAGGCAGGTGGATTATGTGAGGTCAGGAGTTCAAGACCAGCCTGGCCAACATGGTGAACCCCCGTCTCTACTAAAAATACAAAAGTTAGCCGGGTGTGGTGGTGCACACCTGTAATCCCAGCTACTTGGGAGGCTGAGGCTGGAGAATTGTTTGAACCTGGGAGGTGGAGGTTGCAGTGAGCCGAGATTGCCCCACTGCACTCCAGCCTGGGTGACAGAGTGAGGCTCCATCTCAGAAAAGAAAAAAAAAAAGAGGTAATATGGTAATTTTATGTTAGTTATATTTTGCCACACTTAAAATAAACTCGCTTGGTCTGACTCTGTTTTGGAAAGTTTTCCATAGCTACGCAGTCTTCGTGGAGCATTTAAAGGGGTTACATTAACAAACTGAAATGCAAAAGGGATGCTGAGGGCGCCTGTGCACCGTGCCACATCATAGAAATAGTAAAGGTCTGAAAAGGTTTCTATTCAGCATACATGTACCCTTCCCAATCTTATGACCTTGGAGGACAAGGTACTTAACTAAGTCTGGATGGTCTCACTGGGAATAAGACATATCTACCCACTTACCTTACTGGGTTGTTGTAAGGATTGGAGATCATGCATGTGTGCTCCTGACCCATCTTGGGCATATGTGGGGGTGGACAGCATTTATACTTAACCTTGTTCGAGACAAATGTGAAGAAAATGAGATGGAAAGATGCTTTCTCCACCTTCGAACATTTGAAGAAGAAAGTAAACTTATTCTGTATTGTTCCGGGGGGTAATACTGGCATCAGAGGGTGAGAGTTATCGGGGGGAAGCTTTTGGCCTGGTTTTCTAATGGTCAGACGGGCTTCCTTAGAATGCAGCAGATGCCCCATCCCCAGAAGGACTGATAAGAGGCCGAGGCACAGTGAGTCACAGTGATTGAGAAGGATTTAACAAGAAGTGGAGCTCAGTGATTTCAGAGCTGTCTATAATCCTAATTTCTATGAAAGACTTGTGAGAATAAAACTTAAAGGTAAAAATCTTCCCAGAAATCGTTTGTCCCCAACCCAAGAGTCAAAGGTGCATCTACATTAACTCTGACTTTTCTCTTGGCAGGAAGGAGATCGCCTTAGCGATGAAGACTTATTCAAGTTTTTAGCTGACTACAAAAGATCATCATCCTTACAGAGACGAGTCAAGTCAATTCCAGGTGTGAATGACTTATCTTTATCCTCTTTAGCTGTGCCAAAACTGCTTATCGTTAGACACAGTCTTTGTCTAATGCCAGAATTTATAAAATCATGTTTGCCAAGTGAAATGTGAGATTTTGTGTTAGGGGTTAAGAATCTGAATTGTTCTATGTCTTTGGCAAACCTATTAATGTTTTTTTAATTTTCTTAAAGGATTGATTTAGTAAACAAACCTTGTGCTTTAGATCTGGTTTCTCAGATAATGAGATAATTGTTTAAACAGAGGAGCCCCTTTAATCAAATAAAATATTATACTTAGTATTAAAAAAGTAAATGTGAGATGCTTTGGTAGAAGGCAAAGGCATCTTCCTTATCCTCACTCGGCAGCCCTGGAGGTACTTCTGTAGCATCCTCAGGTCCAGGGAAGCCAGTTTGTGTTTGTTTTTGTTTTTTTGAGATGGAGTCTTGCTCTGTCACCAGGCTGGAGTGCAGTGGCACAATCTCAGCTCACTGCAACCTCTGCCTTCCAGGTTCAAGTGATTCTCCTGCCTCAACCTCCCGAGTAGCTGGGACTACAGGTGCCTGCCACCACGCCCAGCTTATTTTTTGTATTTTTAGTAGAGACAGGGTTTCACCATGTTGGCCAGGATTGTCTCGATCTCTTGACCTCGTGATCCACCTGCCTCGGCCTCCCAGAGTGCTGAGATGACAGGCGTGAGCCACCACATCCGGCTGGAAGCCAATTTTAAAACTCCCAATTTTTACTGCTAGCAATGCAGGGAAGTTACTTAACAATGTAAAATTATACTGTGGTAATTCAGGAAAGAACTTTAAAAATCCTCTAATCCATTCCTTCTCATTTTACAATTTCTTGCTTTATATTTTATTTTATAGAGGCTAAATCTCGAAAGTTATCATGACACACTTTTCTCAAGCTGTAGGAAATTAGCTCCAAAACTTTTTTACAGTACTATAGTTTGTTCTTATTTTCATGAAAGAAACACAGTGCAACAATCTTTCTTGATTCCCTCATAACATGACAGTTTCTTTACTAGAACATTCCTATTTTCTCTCTTTAGGCTTGCTAAGACTGGAGATTTCTACAGCTCCAGAGATCATCAATTGCTGTCTGACTCCTGAAATGCTGCCCGTGAAACCCTTTCCTGAAAACCGGACACGCCCGCACAAAGAGATTTTGGAATTTCCAACACGAGAAGTATATGTCCCTCACACTGTGTACAGGTAAGAAACACAGGCTCGGGCTGGGCGTGGTGGCTTACACCATAATCCCATAACTTTGGGAGGCCGAGGCAGGAGGATTGCTTGAGCTCAGGAGTTTGAGACCAGCCTTGGCAACATGGCAAAACCGTGTCTCTACAACATATACAAAATTTAGCTGGGCATGGTGGTGCATGCTTGTAATCCCAGCAACTTGGCAGGCTGAGGCAGGAGAATCGCTTGAACCCAGGAGGCAGAGGTTGCAGTGAGCCAAGATTGCACTACTGCACTCCAGCCTGGGAGACAGAACCAGACTCTGTCTCAAAAAAAAAAGAAAAAAAGAAAAGCAGGTTCTTGGAAAACCGTTGAGCTCACATTCTGAGTTTTATTTGAATAACGTTTTCTCATCCTTCAACCTGTCTTCCTACTTCCTAAGTTTCAGGGAAATGAAATGTGATATTTATGTAACCGTAGGTGATTGCCAAATCTCTTTCTAAACATAGTTTACCTAATTCTCTTTAACAAGAAAGGGTTACTTCAGATGTAATTGTAGTTTAGGATTATAGTGGACATATGTTTTCCAGAGATTAAAAAAAAAATCTGCTAGCCATTACCTTTGTTCTCCTCTGTGCAGAGGGACATATTAGAAAAAGAGCAATGTGACCAAAATGTGCTAGTTGTCAAAAGGACAGGTTTTCAGCTAAAGATTAGCTCTTTCCAACAGAATTTACAGCAATAACATAATAATAGCACACATTCCAATAGCATTTACAGCAATAACAGAAAGTTCTGTATGTGTGCCAGCAGTACAATAGCCACTAATCACATGTAGCTGTTCAGCATTTGAAATGTGGCCAGTGCAATGGAGGAACTGAAAAATTGATTTTAATTAATTTTAATTTAAAGTCAAGTAACTGTATGTGTCTACTATATTGGAGAGTATGGAGCTAGACACTGAAGGCCTAACAGGTTGGGCTGCCTTGGTTTCTGAATCGCTTATGGTGGCACCTGACCTATTCCATGGGGTCTGGAAGGAGTGCTTGTCAACACATATCTGCCAAAGGCATTAATGCTCATGCACTTCTTTATTTTGAGACTATTTCCTTTAATGCAGAAAAGGATGCCTTCTATAAAAATCATCTCTTCCCCACCATCCAGAAATGACATTGTTGTTTTCTGTGTTTTTATATAAAAGAAATACAGTGGTACTGATTCAGTTGAAGTCTTCTTTTATCCCCAGTCTCCAGTCACAGACTTTTACCTCACCTCCTAGACTTTTATCATCATGAAATTATGTATTTCCTATTTTTTCTCCTTTTACACACACTTACACACACATCTGTGAACGCTCAATGGCATTATCTTCATATTCATTTAAAATGTACGCAAATGACTTCACACTCTAGGTCAGGGGTCCCCAACCCCCGGGCCATAGACCATTACTGGTCCTTGGCCTGTTAGGAACCAGGCTGCATGGCAGGAGGTGAGCATCGGGTGAGTGAAGCTTCATTTACAGCCACTCCCCATTGCTGGCATTACCACCTGAGCTCCTCCTCCTGTCAGATCAGCAGTGACATTAGATTCTCATGGGAGCATGAATCCTATTGTGAACTGCATATATGAGGCATCTAGGTTGTGCGCTCCTTATGAGAATCTAATGCCTGATATTCTGTCGCTGTCTGCCATCACTTTCAGATGGGACCCTCTAATTGCAGGAAAACAAGCTCAGGGCTCCTACTGATTCTATATTATTGTGAGTTATATAATTATTTCATTATATATTGCAATGTAATAATAATAGAAATAAAGTGCACGATAAATGGAATGTGCTTGAGTCATCCCAAAACCATCCCCTGCCCCCCGCTGCCACCCCAGTCCATGGAAAAATTGTCTTCCATGAAACCAGTCCCTGGTGCCAAAAAGGTTGAGGATTGCTGCTCTAGGTGTTATATTACACTTTGTTTTTGTCACTCAAAAGATTGATTTGTTTTTCTTTTTTCTTTTTTTTTTTTTTTTTGTTTGAGTATTACTATGGAGTCGTGAGTCATTTTTCTTTCTACTTACCCAGATTTCCACAAGTTTTACCAATGGGAACTTTTTAATGGCTTGCATTTTTGGAAATATCAGTATTGATTCATGTAAAGGTTTGTGGGTTTTTTTGGGGTTTTTTTCGTTTTTTTGTTTTTTTTTGAGATGGAGTCTCACTCTGTCACCCAGGCTGGAGTGCAGTGACATGATCTCGGTTCACTGCAACCTCCGCCTCACAGGTTCAAACGATTCTCCTGACTCAGCTGCCCGAGTAGCTGGGACTACAGGTGCCTGCCACCACACCCAGTTAATTTTTGTATTTTTGGTAGAGACAGGGTTTCACCATCTTGGCCAGGCTGGTCTTGAACTCCTGACCTCGTGATCCACCTGCCTCGGCCTCCCAAAGTGCTGGGATTACAGGTGTGAGCCACCATGCCCATCCTGTTATTCCTTTTAACTGCTGTTTAGTATTCCTTTGTGAAGAGGCCATATTTTATTCATTTCCTTGTTGATACGCATTTAAGTCTTTTTCAAGTTTTCAGCTCTTACAAACACTATGAAGTAAGATTTTTTGTCTTTGCCCCTCTGTACACGTTTGTGAAAGTTTCTTTAATATATCTAAAAGTGAAATTACCAGATCACAAGTAATACACATTTCAGTCTTAAGTTTTCTAAAATTTTACATTTGCAGTCCTAACAGCAGTGTGAGAGAATTCCCATTTTCCAGTTCCTCACCCATACTTTCCAGTATGACGTATGTGGGACTAAAATGCAAAGAACTTCAGAGCTCACCTGATCCAAGCATTCCCACCCCCACATTTCCAGATGCACAAAATTAAGACCCGGAAAGGATAAGTGAATGGTTCCTTGAGGTCAAAAATTACAGCGAGGTGGCCAGACACAGTGGCTCACACTGTAACCCCGCTGCTTTGGGAGGCTGGAGGACTGCTTGAGTCTAGGAGTTTAAGATCAGCCCGGGCAACATAGTGAGACCCCCATCTCTACAAAACATTTTAAAAATTGCCCAGGTGTGGTATTGTGCATCCCTGTAGTTCTAGCTACCCAGAAGGCTGAGGCAGAGGATTCTTGAGCCCAGAAATTCGAGGTTAGCCTTGTGCCACTGCTCTCCAAATCAAGCAACAGAGTGAGACCCTATCTCTAAAAAAAAAAAAATAATTTAGAAAATAAAATTATACTGAGAAATACAAACAGCTATTCACACAGGAATGGAGAGTTCTTCTTTACAGTATTCAGGAGGTATACACTTATTTCCCCATTTAATCCTTCCTGGAGCAGCTCTTCATTTTCAATCCTCATTCCTTACATCTAAACTTAGTCCCCACGTCTCCCTCCTAGAGGAGATAAGCATTCTCAGGATGCAGTAGTTTCGATTCTCTATTCCTTAGAGGAAGATGAAGGCATGAAAATGTTTGCTTATGGATGCTTTGTATCTTTTTAGAAACTTTATCCTATAATCGGGAAACAATGCTTGTGGCATTGGAAGAGACTTGCATCCAATGAATTCTGTAGTTATTCAACTTCCCCTCAGCATTTAATCACCCACAGGTGGCATTTACAATGTTCTCTACTCGTTCCTGCAAACATTATCCCTTAATTACATCACAGTGGGACTTAGAGTGCATTAGTGCACTGAATGATCCAGAAATGTAGGAGGGCAAAGGAGGACAAGTCTGGACGGATTACAATGGACCCAACTTGTCATCATGAGAAACAGACCCACAAATACAGAGTTAATCTTCTTGAGCTGTACTGGCCACTGTAGAAGTGCCAAGGACACCCCGTTAGAAATGCCAAGGCCACCCTGTTAGAAACCAGGTCTTGGGGAATGACAGAAGAGATTTCTCTCCAGTTTGGTTGTGGCCCCTTCTCTTGGCTCACAGTTCTTCTCTGTGGCTCTCAGGCCACCATATTTTATAGTCTATTTAAGGAAAGAGAGAGATAATGAACTTGGTTTGGAATCTTACTTCATGAAAATTTCACAGAATTTAGGAAGCATCTTGTCTAAATATCTTGTTCTAAATTTTTAGTGTTCTTCTCCAGTCCTTGTGTGCTTTAGGGTGGTTTTGATTAGATTGGGCTTGACAGTTACCCAGTCCCAGATGAGTGTCCCCTTTCCTGCACCTCCCCCCATTCACGACATGGAAATGGAAAGAATCGAGTGAGGTCTGAACCCCAGGTAAAATTGGCAAGCTGACTAAGTTCGCCTTGGGTGACCTCACCTTTTCATTTCTGTCCATTTTCCTCTCTTTTTGTTCCTTGCCATCTCCCCATATCTCAAAAAACCTGGACCTTGTAGCTTTTCTATACTGGCCCCCAAAATAAAAGTCTCTTTTCAAGCAACGATCTCTAAACTCATTTGCTATGGTATTGATAACAGGTATGGATTAGTCTTATCACTCCCAAGAGTATTATCATTTTGGGCCAGGTGTGGTGGCTCACACCTATAATCCTAGCGCTTTCGGAGGCCAAGGCAGGTGAATCACCTGAGTGAGGTCAAGAGTTCGAGACCAGCCTGGCCAACACGGTGACCCCTTGTCTCTACTAAAAATACAAAAAGTAACTGGGCGTGGTGGTGGGTGCCTGTAATCCCAGCTACTCAGGAGGCTGAGGCGGGAGAATCGCTTGAACCCAGGAGGCAGAGGTTGCAGTGAGCTGAGATCCTGCCATTGCACTCCAGCCTGGGCAACAGAGCAAAAAAACTCTGTCTCAAAAAAAAGGTATTATCTTGGCAGGGACAGCAGTTCCTATTTCTTAATTGAAGAAATCCAGATTTCTTCTCATTCCAAGAGTCTGTCAGGTAACTTTCACTGTTGATGTTGCTATTTCCATGCCAATCAATAATCCTGATCATACCTGTATCCCTTAAGGAAATCAAATAACTGAAAATGAAGATCTGTGGGGCAGATAAATTCAGGAATATTTCTTCGTTTATAGAGGATTCACCTCATGAATTTGAAATATGGCTTGGCTTATAAAAAGTTGATCTGCCTGGAGCTTGTAGCTAACACCTCTGTCGGGCCAAACAATAAATGCTTACACTGAGAAAGCCAGGTTTGGGATTTCAAATTAATGTGCCCTTAACATAAACTGCAGAGCCCCCCTGGGTGGAGGGAACTATTACCTGGTTCTAATAGCAGATGTTTTCTGGCCTTGAGTGCCAGTGGTAACCAGAGTCACACATTTTAGGATTTTGGTATTGATGAGGGTTTCAGCTGAATATTACTTGAGTTGAACTCCAGTTATCTTTACCTGTCTTAAAGGAGCAGCTGCCATAGTGCCTCAGGTAAAGTTGGCTTGGGATAGGCTGGCATTGCCTTCCAGTCCCCAGCCTCACCTTCCTCCCACCTCTTCACTGCCTCTTTTCTTTGCCCTGCCCCTTCAGGTGTCCTGCGTGGGGCACCATTCGAGTTGCATTCTAGTGTATTAGGTTGGTGCAAAAGTAATTGCGGTAATGTGTGTGTGCTGCCCCGTGTCTCTACCTTATTCAAGTTTCTTTAAGGAACAGCTGTAGATGAGTTCTGGTAGAACTGGGTAGTGCTCCCAGAAGTATCCCCGTGGGTCCGTGAGGGTTGGGCATTCATAAAATAAATCCTTGCTCTAACGATAGAGACCAACTTCTAGAGCCAGAAGTGCTCATCCCAGGAATGACCAGGGGCTCCCAAACCAGCGGCTCGGGCCCTCTGCAGTGCCATGTGCAGCCTCTGTGGGTTAGAGGCATGGAGCTAGAGCAGGGTCCTCTGAACCAGAGCCAGGCAGGACACTCTGAGAAATCACAAGCAGAAGGACAGCAATTCTGAAAGCAGAGCAGAACAGCTGGAAAAACTGAGCTGATGAAAAGGATTATCCGAATCCAAGCTTGGCGTTCCTTGCTCTGTGTCCAGATTAAGAAAATGCTAGTGGTTTGCCTAGGAACACATTTGCACCAACTCCTGGCTTATTTTCCATGTGACCCAACAGCTGGTACTAGAGACACCAGCTGCTTTCTGGTGGGGGCAGAATGAAAACAGCATGGGCTGAGGCCAAGGCCCAGCAAGGTCTTCAAGGGCATCCTATCCTGCGGCCGCCAGAGGGGTATGTGCGGAGATCACAGGCAATGAGGTTGTAATGAGCTGTTAAGCTCCCTGCCGTCCCTTTAATGGGTGATTACAGTAAAAAGAGCCACATAAAGTACGTTTTCATCTCTCACTTCAGCCCCCGAGAGCCTCTGAGGTCTTGTTTATCCAATTATCAGACTTGCTGTGGAGGACGGTGCTTGCTGAGAACAAGCATATCAGTTGGAACATGATTTCTCTGATGGATAATTAGCTGTTTTCAGGACTCCTCCTATTCAGCTGAATGTTCTCAGACCAGAAGTCTGATCTGGCCTAACGGGGATGTGCTCCCATATCGCAGTGGAGTCTTAAGGAGTACTACCCACCTTCTCTTCTGCGGGGGAAAAGGAATGGCGTAGCATGCATGCAGGACCTGACCGGAAGGAATGTCTGCGAGTTATGATTTAGTGACTAGAACTTCTAAGGAAAGAAATGAACCAGAAATAACTGCAAACGAAGTGGTTAGGAAGAGGGGCAGGACATGGGGAGTATCCTTGAAAGGGACTTAATTTCATCCAAGGAAATAGGTTCCCAGTTTAAGCCCAGTTAGCTCTGTATTCAGAGTGGATCTTCTCAGTGCTAGGTGAAGGAAGGGTGGTTGTGCATCAGAGTAAGTGTCCAGCCCCACCCTGAAGACTCCCATTCAGGTGGTCTGGGATGGGGCACTGGTGGTCTGACACTCTCTTTTGTTCAAAATCAAAGCGTCCCCCTCCTTCTCATGGAAGGGAAGCTTCCACCAACCCTTAATGAGTTCCTGTACCATATGGAGTTGTCAAATGCTCCATACCGGGCACAGCGGCTCACACCTGCAATCCCAGCACTTTGGGAGGCCGAGGCGGGAGGATCCATTGAGCCCAGGAGTTCAAGACCAGCCTAGGCAACATAGCAAGACCCTGTCTCTACAACAACAACAAAAAAATTAGCCAGGGGTGGGGGTCCACACCTGCAGTCCCAGTTACTTGTGAGGCTGAGGTGGGAGGATCGCTTGAGCCAGGAAGGTCGAGGCTACAGTGAGCCGTGATCATGCCACTGCCCTCCAGCCTGGGCAACAGAGTGAGACTCTTTCAAAAAACAAAAACAAAAAACTCTGTCCTAAGTATCAGATGATGCGGAAGCCCAGTACTTGGTTTTACTAGGCTTAGCAAGCAGTCGCTTATGGAACAGAAGCTTTTATAAACAAACCATGTAGTTAGGAAGGGCAGTGGCAGCCCAGGCAAAATCTAGTCATTTGAATTAGCCAAGGAACGGAGACAAAGACAAAGTGAATTTCTGGTGCTAGTTGCAACTTGGTCTCGATAATAAATCAGGAACACAATCCCCACATTCCTAATGCCTTGCTCCAAAACTCAGCAATCCTCCTATTTGTAAGAATGAAAAAATTCAGGAGGGAACCAATTGCCTAAGGTTATGACAGCAAAGCTACCGTTCCAGTATAATATTCAGCCACTAGAGGACACAATTCACTCACTTTCTAGATTCAGACACACGACTACCTTTTTCGTTACAAAACATATGAAGTCGTGATTTATGAAAGTAGGACACATATTGTATTTTTTGCCCTTGAAGTGCAAGACCAGGAAAAACTGAAAAGTATTGCAGCATCCTCCGAGATCACTGTTGTCATTTTTTCGCAAAGGATTTTATTCTAGCCTGTCAGTTTCTGCCTCCTTTCATTAGTAAGTCCTGACCTTAGACATCTGGCATTTTTTTGGAAGGTGTAGTGGGGAGGGGGACCAAGAGATGCATCCCTTAATGTAGCTAAAGATCGAAATCTTCTCATTTTGGGGAGAGTTGCTTACTATACATATTTACACATTCACCAATTTTGTCTCATATGTAAACCACAGAATGTGCCGAATTTTCCTAGAATCATGGTTGAGGCAGGTAGGAGTAAGGAGGTGCTGTGTACATTAGTGTCACTGATTCCACCGTTCACAACTCCATACCACTCTCCTTATTTTATACTCTTGAGTCCACAGTGCTTTGGTGTTACAGCCCATATAGAACGGTCCTACCTAAAAGTCCTGCGGTCGGTTTAACAGTGACGAGTGTCATTTTTCCACTGTCCTTTACATAGAATTCAGCAGGAAGCTTCATGAGGCACCCTGTTTCTACATGAGTTGCCCTGGTTGGTGGAGGCAGAAGCAATGGAGAAGTGGTGATGAAATTAAGTCAAAGTTAGGCTTGCATTTGACTCTGATCTTGAATAGTTTGTCTAGATTAGAGGGAGCACCTAAAATCCAAAAAGCCTTTTGTCTTTGATTTCTATACTTTTGTTAGTTTTACAAATTATTATTTAAAATCAGTCCTTTGAAGTGGCTTCTTCTCTTCTGACGGGACAGCTTTGGGAAACTGTTTAGTCTTATTTCTTTTGCTATTGGGAAGTTGTGGGGGACGCTATTTTGCAGCTTTTTCATCCTCAGTTCTGACCTCCTCATGTGCTTTACAGATGCCCCCAAAGGTCAGCATTCATCCACCTTTCACTGAGAGTGTTTGGCCATCTCTAAAGCAGAGGTATTTTAACAGCTCTCCTTAATGGATGTCCTGTGGTTTCAGGCCTCAGACAGGCTGCCCTTGGGCCCTCAGCAGAAGTCGGGAATCGTCTTATACTTCCAGATCGTCTTTTACTCAGGCAAAATATGAGATGCTGTGTCAGGGTTTCCCAAGGGAAGAAACTGAGTGGGAGGTGCAGGTAAACCCCACAGTACAAAATAAAACAGAGCTGTGAGTAGTTGAAAGGACTGTGTTTTGACAGCGTAATAAGGTAATTGTTTAAAACCATGGCTAATTCATCAGATGTCATGTGTCTTTTATAGTTAAAAGATGAAATTTCTTTACCCACTGGTGTCAACAACAGAAAGATTCTAAAACTTTCAAAAAATGTGCCAGTCCTGGCTGCTTTGTTTCATGTTCTTTGACAACTTTCAAAATGTAAATTGAGATTCATGCAACTATTAATGGAAATATAAATATCATGGCTTCATAAGGATAAAATTAGAGGAGCTCAACATAACGGCTCATTTTAATGATTTCTAAGGGGTTTCCATGCCCAGGCTAATAACTGTACATTTAGCAATAAGCAAATCTCAAAGCCTATTTCTTATCTTTCCCTAGAATTACAGCTTTTAAGCCCAAGCTGGTCGTTCCTTTTATACCACTCCACTCACTTGATAGGGGTGACATGGGCTGAGCTTTCTCTCCTATCAGGGCTCAAAGACAAGTTTAGCAGCGTTTCTAAACTTCTGTCAATCAGCTCACAGGACACAGACCAGTTTCGTTATCCCATTAACAGATTTACATTTCTGTTCTCTGGAAGTGTCAGTTAATGTCCTTAAAGGTAATATACACAAATGTACACAATAGTCTCTGAATTTTTCTCAGAAGACACACTCAGAAACCTTAGAATTCTGATTCATTCTCTTTGGCTCAGACTTGGATGAATTTGCTTCTCAGAGTAGGGACATGAAAATTATTCTTAATTTATACTTCATGTAATCTGTTTCTTCTTTCTCCCTCCGCCGCCCTCCAATAGCTCTTCTGAGCTTGTTTGTTCTTCCCCTAACTCCCATTGTTGAAAACATGGCCTCCCCTCATTCTCACCTTTCCAGGAATCTCCTTGTGCTCCTCAAGTTCGGCTCATCGCAAACTTGGAGTTCTGTTTTCTCATGCCCTTCTTTCATTTTCTTCTTTTAAGAGACAGGATCTTGCTCTGTCTCCAAGATTGGAGTGCAGTGGTACGATTCTAGCTCACTGCAGCCTCAAACTGCTGGGCTTAAGTGATCCTCCCAACTCAGCCTCCCAAGAAGCTAGGACCACTGCTGTGTGTCACCACACCAGCTAATTATTTTATCTTTTCTAGAGACAAGGTCTCACTCTGTTGCCCAGGCTGGTCTTGAACTCCTAGCCTCAAGCAATCTTCCTACCTCAGCTTCCCAAAGCACTGGGAGGTGCCACTCTTCTTGTGTTTTTTACCTTTGCATTTATTTCCTGGTTACAATACTTTTAACTTAATGGCTGCTGAACTAGATTCTGCCAATGTACGTGCCGTCCAGGACACGTTCATGCCACTTTAATTTTCTTAGAACATCAATGAGATAGTCTTACTAGGGAGAGATAAAGGGCAGGGGTTTGGTTTTCTGGCAGGTTTTCTTTCATTTTAATAACGAGCCAACCCACGGAGGAAGGAATTGATTGATGGCTGCTTCCTCTTTTGTAAAGAACAAACATCAAATTAGTGGTTTGTCCTCACTTTGCGGATAAGCAGAATAATAACACCTGTGCCTCTCCCTGCATTATTTTGAAACTAATATAATTTTGTTTGGACAGAACGTAGATAGCAACCTTAATGGGGAGGAATGTGGAAGAGGAATTACTGAAGGGGGACCAGTCAGCCTGTCAGGCAGCAACTCTGGTGCCAAAGAATGGACATAGGATCAGAGCTGTGGACCCCCGTCCTGTTTGTAAACTTCCTGAGGGTGGCAGAGATTCATACCCTTTCTCCCATCAGGACAAAAATCAGTGTGTTGGAGCTCACTCAGGAAATGCTCTTTGGGATTGGCATGGGAAGGGGATGAGGCCGATTGACAATTAGCCTAGTTCACTGGGATTTTGTTGTAGGAGCTGGGTGGTGGCACCATATGGCCAACAGGGGATGCCAGCGACATCCCTAATTTCTCTGGCTTCCTGATAGGTCCTGGTAGGGTCGGGGTTCCACCGGGATTTGCCTAGTATGGTCTACCTCTGACTGAAATTAAACTCTAAGTAGGTAACTGGGGAACGCCTTTCTCCAGAGAGAAGGTTTTGATGTGATCTCATCATCGGGGACTGGATTGGACCTGGAGAAATCAGTTTTTCTATAGTCTTGTTTCTAGAGTGGCACCCTGGTCTTGGGCAGGTCAGAAGGACAGATAGTTGGTCACCATCTTCAACACAAATCATGGCTGGAAAAGGGCCCCAGTAGGGAGTGCCTTTCTCACTCACCAATCACCAAGGCTAGAAGATAGTCTGCAGATTCTTTCAGATGCCACAAAGCTGTGATTACAGCTGCCCATTGGCAAATCAGGTACTAGTTTTTGTTAATCACATTGCAGTCTTCCTTCACTGTTTCTTCCCCTGGTCCCGGAATTAAGGCTGGGCTCCATTTGACAAGTTATCTTCTGTGCAGGTAGAGCAGCAGGCTGTGTTAGCTCACAGCATCTACTCAGTAGGCATGGAAATATCCACTGAATGGGACTGAGAAAGTGGAATGGGAGGGGAACGTGTGAAGAACAGGAAGTTTGCCTCTTTATGTCCAAAGTCTGTCTACTTAGAGCAACAGGATGGTGATGATGCTTTCTGGTTAAAGATGTCATGGCAACAGTCTTCCCTAGACAGCTCTCTAGCAATAGCCAGTGGCATGTAAACCCTGCATTTTTGCACTGTATCCAGTGTTTGCAACTCCCTTGTAGAACTTTCCCTGAAGTCAGCAAGAACCCTGTGAGAATCAGGATTTGTCTAGAAATTTAGCATTTACCTAATCAATGATTCTCTAGACATGTCAGTACCTCCAAGTGATTCATATGCATGTTTGGTGGGCGTCGAGCATGTGGCAGTTTGGAGAAGGAAGTGGAGAATGCAGCAGCAGCAGGAGAAATGTTTGATGTTGCTAAACATCAACCCCACAGCAAGCCTAGAACTCGGGGAATGGGAGGCATGGTGCGGGTAGCTGCTGACACACAGCTCTAGAGATAGCTGCCTGCAAAGCTGGATGGGACTCCAGGCAATAGGCTTCAGGGCCTAACTGCTCTTTCAAGGTCACTGATTGTTACAGGAGCCATGGTCTGCAGCATTGAGCATGGAATTATTATTACTATTAAGCATGATCCTCACCGTGATGCTCTTGGGGTGGAACAAAAGAGCCCAGAGAGAATATGCTTATTTTATGCAACCTCTAACGTTTCCTCCCAGAGTTGTGATGAAACTGAACCAAACTCTAGCATGAGAATCGGCATCCCAGGCCAGCAGCCAAAACAAGTGGTGACACTTGGCCAGGCACGGTGGCTCATGCCTGTAATCCCTGCACTTTGGGAGGCCGAGGCGGGTGGATCACAAGGTCAGGAGTTTGAAACCAGCCTGGCCAACATAGTGAAACCCCATCTCTACTAAAAATACAAAAAATTAGCTGGGCGTGGTGGCGGGCACCTGTAATCCCAGCTACTTGGGAGGCTGGGGCAGGAGAATCGCTTGAACTTGGAGGTGGAGGTTGCAGTGAGCCAAGATCGCGCCACTGCACTCCAGTCCAGTGACAGTGTGAGACTCTGTCTCAAAAAAAAAGTGCCGATACTTTATATATCTTCTGAAAGAAATGAAGTCTGTAAGAAGGACTGTTAACCCTCAGAATGGTCTGGGGATGCTACATCCCCTTGTGGACTTGTCACACTGGTATGAGTGTAGGGAGTGGGAACACTTCTTCTCAGCTCCTTCCTCACCATGTGTCATTCAGGGACAAAGGGAGCAGGATATCTTCCCTTTGAAAAATCTCATATGCCTGGCAATACTCGTCACCCTGTGAATAATGTTGATGCATTCACCTAACCAGTATTATAAGCCCCTGCTGTGTGTCAGACACTATGCTTGGTGCTGAAATAGACAAGGAGGGGACTGCCTGTCTTGGAAGGCAAATCCCAGTCTCCTAAGAGACACTAGAACCACAGGCAACCATGCTGATCTATGCAATGACATGTAATGCAACTTTGTCCTGCAACCACCTTGAGATCTTTGAAAGTTCTCCTACCTCCAAAACTCAGACAAGTCCTCTCTCTTGCCAAGTGCCTAAAGCAAGGATATGTTTATAGAGGCAGCTGGGGGCATCTGGCCAATTTATTTCCCAGCAGACCTGCTGCTTCCCCTGATTCCAATACTTTCTTCCCCAACCCAAACCAAGGCGTCTGGCAATGTTAAAAACATCAAGAATGATAAAACAAGCATTTTAATGAAGATTATTGATGTATTCATTGGCTGTTTCTTTAAATGGGTAGAGAACTAATAAAGGATCTACCCCAAATAACCAAAAATATCAGCCTCAGCACCAGCAGAAATTGGAAGCGTTCTGGTATTTATATGTGTTTTTCTCAGCTGGCAGATTTGTTTTAGGAAACTATTTGCAAAGCCTGGGAAAAATGTGCTTTCTCTGTCTGTTAAAGGAACATGCAGGTTGGTTGGTGCTGGTTCTCCATCTGACAGTTCTGTCTGGTGGCCTCAAAAAAAAAGAAAAATACAGCATAGTCCAGATTTGGACTATGCAAATGGTGTCTTGAAACTTAACTTTTAGGTCTTGAGCAAAGCCAAGTATTATTGAAATGTTTATTTTGTTTTTATCTGCAGGAGGTTTTCATTCAAAATGTGGTGCTTTGGGGGAAAAGGAAGGGTGTTTGTACTAGGTACTTTTTAGCATTCTTCTTATTATCTGACCTATCACAGCCTCTTCAGGAGACATTAATTAATTTAGTTCATATAATCAACACTGGAACCAAGGAAAAATTATTTATACTTTTAGAAATTCTCATGTTCTTATACTTCTTTGGAGATTGAATTGACTCCAAAGAGACTATTTTGTGATTAAGAATATTTTTGTGGCCGGGCACGGTGGCTCACGCCTGTAATCCCAGCACTTTGGGAGGCCAAGGCAGGTGGATCACCTGAGGCCAGGAGTTCAAGACTAGTCTGGACAACTTGGCAAAACCCTGTCTTTACTAAAAATACTAAACTTAGCCAGCCGTGGTGACGGGCGCCTGTAGTCCCAGCTACTCGGGAGGCTGAGGCAGGAGAATCACTTGAACCCGAGAGGTGGAGGTTGCAGTGGGCCGAGATCACAGCATTCCACTCCAGCCTGGGAAGAATATTTTTGTGTGGGGAGTCGTTATATTATGTCCTTAGACCAGGAGGTCCAATTGAGGCAGAAATTTTTGAAGTAAAACCATTTTTTTTGAAGGAAACACATATTTAAATATCAAAGAACACTGGACGTATACTTTTAAAAATTTACATACTTGTGTTAGTTATCTATTGCTGTATAACAAAACCTTTGCAGCTCAAAACAACAGTCATTATCTCACAAGTTTATGTAGGTTACGCAGGTGCAGCTGACCTGCTTGGTCTGAGCTTTCGAAAAGTGCAGTGAGGATGTCAGCCTAGGCTGCCGTCACCTCAAGGGTCCCCTGGGGGTGGATCCACTTCCAAGCTCACTCATGTGGCTGTTGGCAGGATGCAGTTGCTCACGGGTTGTTAGGCTGAGGGCGTCGGTTCCTCACTAAGCCAGAGGCTTCCTTAAGTTCCTTAACATGTTTTCTCATGGGGGGCAGCTCACAGTGTAGCAATTGGCTTCGTCAAAACAAGCAAGCGGGAGGGTAAGAGACAGAAAGCAAGACAGAGGCCAGGGTCTTTCACAGCCTAATCTCAAGAGCAGTACCTCATCACTTTTGTCCTATTTTGACAAACGTCGTATTGACTTTTGTCACTACATCAGAAGCGAGTCACTAGGTCTAGCCCACACTCAAAGGGAGAGGATTTCACAGAGCAAGAATATCAGGAAGCAGAATCATTGGTTATTTCATTAGAAGCTGCTGGCACAGTTCTTAATGAAGCTACAAAACATTGAACTGGGAGGAATATGGGGGTAGGAGGGTGACAGGGAGGGCAGGTTAATTTTGTGGATGCTGAGGACAACGTGCCTCATGAAAAGTGTTCCCATCAGACTGGTGTATTTCTGTTTCTTTTCTTTTTTTTTTTTTTTTTTTTTTTTTTTTTTGAGACAGAGTCTCGCTCTGTCACCAGGCTGGAGTGCAGTGGCACAATCTCAGCTCACTGCAACCTCCGCCTTCCTGGTACAAGCGATTCCCCTGCCTTAGCCTCCTGAATAGCTGGGATTACAGGCATGTGCCACCACGCCCAGCTTATTTTTTGTATTTTAGTAGAGACTGGGTTTCACCTTGTTGGCCAGGATGGTCTCAGTCTCCTGACCCTGTGATCTACCCACCTTGGCCTCCCAAAGTGCTGGGATTACAGGCATGAGCCACCGTGCCCAGCCCAGAATGGTGTATTTCTAGGACATCTGCAATGCATCACTCTCTAATAAAAGAAAAAAAAATAGCCACTCCTTGACAGATACTCAAAGGTGTGGAGTCCCTTACTAAACCACACTCCAAAGAAATAAGCCTGCAAAATAGGGAAAAGTTGTTTTTTACCTAGAAAGCAGATTCTCTGCATTTTCTTATTTTCAAATAGTGGGGAGAAACCCTAAGCTGTACATATGAAGGAATGGATTCATTTCTCCTCTTGCACAGCACCCCAGCACCTTGTACACCCTATTCCTCCCTAACTCCCAACCGCACACTCACCTCCCAAGCATCTGCAGATCTACATACATATTATCAAATGTACAGAGTACTGAGTGAAATGGTCACTGTAGCTATGGAAAGGTGAGATTTGCAGGCTGTCTGAAATGTTTCTTGCTAAAGTAGTTCCAATCCTTCCCCCATTTAGAAAAAAATACATTCTTAGTAAATGACTTTCAGGCAGAAAAAGAAAACCACACTGGAAATAGGATTCTAATAAACCAACATGGGGCTCTAGCTGGTGAACATATTTCTGAGCCATCCCTATACAGAAACCACAAGACAAATAAGAAAAAGTAAATCCAGATCACTTAGACCCTTCAAACCACATCCTGGGTTCCAAGGACAGTGGCTGCGAGTTAGGAAAGATACATTTATCCAGTGGACCTTTTGACTGTCTTGTCAATCTTAAGAAAAAAATGTAGAGTAAAAAATTTTGGCTGGGCGTGGTGGCTCACGCCTGTAATCCCAGCACTTTGGGAGACCGAGGCGGGCGGATCACGAGGTCAGGAGATTGAGACCATCCTGGCTAACACAGTGAAACCCCGTCTCTACTAAAAATACAAAAAAAACTAGCCAGGCGTGGTAGCAGGCGCCTGTAATCCCAGCTACTCCGGAGGCTGAGGCAGGAGAATAGCGTGAACCCAGGAGGCAGAGCTTGCAGCGAGGCGAGATTGCACCACTGCACTCCAGCCTGGGCTACAGAGCGAGACTCTGTCTCAAAAAAAAAAAAAAAAGAAAAAATTTGGTTTGGGTCCCTTCCCACCTTCCCTTGCTTCATCACTTTCCTTAAGCCTCTAAGCATCCAGATCTTCCCCAAAGCAGTGCTTCCTAGTCAGTGATTACCCTATCCTCTTTTTATTCCTTTTCTTCATGCACACCTTCAGTCCATAAATCCAAGCTTTTTGTAAGGAGGGAGGGTGAGTAAACCAATTCATACTAAGGTGAGAGTGAATTATATATAAACCTCTTAATATATTAAATCTACCAAGCAGTGTTTCAGAAGGAAATCTGCTAACATGGGCATCTTACTTGAAAAAAATTTCAGTTGGTTCAACAAAGTATGGTTTAGAAATCATTTTCAATCAGGATCGGGGAGAGAATTTTTTTTTTTCTTAAAGCAGTTAGGTTTCCCCAGCAGATTTCGAATGCTTGGATATTTGTGATTCTTTTCTATGGGAATCTGATCTGGATAAGACCTAAGACCATAAACACTCTAGCTTTCCCTTTGGGTCTTTGCTATTGAAAACTAGTTGGACTTAAACAAGTGAAGTGGGTTTTAAGGATGGCTCCTTTCACCCATTTCTAAAAGATAGCATTCTTGAGGGTCTGCTTTATTTAGCAGAAGGAATGCTGGTTTTCCAATCTCTCACTCAAAAGGAACTTTTACTTATCTCATAGAAAAGAATGGGATGGAGATTAATGTAATAGAAAAGGTATTCTACAAATATCATAGCAGCTATATTTAATCAATTCATGTTCAAAGATCAATTAGTAGTAATAAGAGTTGTGCTGTATAAAATCACCATATCTCATATTCAAATTGCAGATCATCAGTTGAAAAAGCATGGATTGTTTTCTCACTGAAAGAAATCTTTAAAAGTGGTACCATAAGAGACATTAAGACTGGCTATTGTTTTATTTCTCTCTCTCTCTCTTTCTCTTTCTCTCTTTCTGTCATTTGATTTCTGACTTTCAGTGGATTTTTTTAACATTACAAAATCATAGAGAAAGAATATTGGACCATTTATTGTAGAGTTTTTAAACAATTTGATACCATTTTTTTTTTCTGGCGTCTTAACTGCATTTGCTGTTTGTGAGGGGTGTAGAGGTCCCTGATGTTCAGAGTACAGTACCAGCGTTTATGTGAAATATTGCAGCCTGGCCTGTGGAGGACAGGGGTTACTAAGGGGCAAGCTGCTGCTTGCGATAACACCCCCAGTGCCTCCTTCTAATCTTGCGCCATTTCCCAGGGCAGACAGCCTTGTGGGGCTCTGACTGGTGCCCTGGAACATGTTTTACCTTCCATTTTTCTTGCTCTGATTTCTGAAGACAGAATGTTCTCTTCAACCTACACATCAGGAGTTTTCCTTCTGTTTTCCTTTTTCACTGGTTCCTTTGTGAATTTGCACTTTTATCTAACCTAAAACATTGGAAACAGGAATAAACACAAATAATGGCATGAGGCCGTGGCCACAGAATGACAAGACAGGACACAGCAAATGTTTTGGGTTTTTTTCACATTTATGAACCTTCTCATTCTATTTATTTATTTATTTACTTACTTATTTCTTGAGACAGGGTCTCATTCTGTCACCCAGGCTGGAGTGCAGTGGCATGATCATAGCTCACTGCAGCCTTGAACTCCTGGACTCAAGTGATCTTCCAGCCTCAGCCTTCTGAGTAGCTGGGATTACAGGCATACACCACCATGCCTGGCTAATAAAAAAAAAATTCTGTTGTACAGATGGGGTCTCACTATGTTCCCCAGGCTAGGCTAGTCTCGAACTCCTGGCCTCAAACAGTCCTCCTGCCTTGACCTCCCAAAGTGCTGGGATTATAGGCCTGAGCCACTGTGCTCAACTGCTTCCCATTCTAAAAAGTGTCTAAGGCAGTTATAGAGGTTATATAACAAGGTATAAAATTTCTGAGTGAAAGGAAAATAAGGAGAGAGAAATAAATCTAAGTGTGTGTAAGGTTAATATGTACACAGAATGTTTATTAAGGCCTTTGACAGTTCCTTTAAAAATTACCTGCAGGCCAGGTGCGGTGGCTCATGCCTGTAATCCCAACAGTTTGGGAGGCCGAGGTGGGCGGATCACTTGAGGTCAGGAGTTCAAGACAAACCTGGCCAACATGGTGAAACCCTGTCTCTACTAAAAATACAAAAATTAGCCAGGTGTGGTGGCATGTGCCTGTAGTCCCAGCTACTTGGGAGGCTGAGGCAGGAGAATCGCTTGAGCCCAGAAAGTGGAGGTTGCAGTGAACTGAGATCACGCCATTGCACTCCAGCCTGGGTGACAGAGGGAGACTCCATCTCAAAGAGAAACAAACAACAACAACAACAAAACCTGCAAATTTGAGCTGCCTAGCAGCCAAGCAATAAAGGGAATCACAATGAACGATAAGATTCATATATCTGCCAATTTAAAAACAAACCAGTTCTCTTGGGTCAGTGCTTCTCAAACTTGAATGTACATTTGAGACACCTGGTGCATTGTTAAAATGTAGGTTCTCATCTAGCAGGTCCATGGTGCATTTCTAACTGGCTCCCAGGCAATGCTATGCTGATGCTGATGCTGACGCTGACGTTGATGCTGCTACTCATTGGACTGCCCTTTGAGTAGTAAAATTTTAGCTCACTCAGAAAAACCTCATAGTTTATTTGGAGTAACATCCCTTTAGCCCTTGTAGATATTATAAGACTACATTACAATAAAGTTCTGGTGAGTCTAATTGTTGACCAGAGAGATTGTTTACTTCAGAGCACCTGGATTTGAATTGCAGTGTGCCACCTGCTGCTGTGTTACCTGGTACAAGTTAATGCATTCTCTTCACACCTCAGTTTTATCATCTTCTGAATGAGGCTAATAGTAGTACCTGTCATAGATGCTTGTAACAGTGCCTGCATAGAGTAAGAATGAAATAATGTTAGCTATTTTTTATTGTTACATTTAAAATAGATTTTGCTGGTAGTGAAATATGAATGATAAAATCATCTCCTCAGCTGTTTTCCTTGCATAAGTACCTTAAAATAATGTATTTGCAATTTCCTTCTGAATCCTTGAATAAAAGACACCAGATAATCAGAAGATGTTACTGACATTAGTAGGCATTTGAAGTTCACTCTGATGGGATCAGTCTATTTACAACAAATTGCTATAGAGAGTAAAAAGCGCCAACCTTTTCCTGTAGTTTTTGAATGACAGCATCTTTGTTCATGCAGTTGGCTTTGCTGCATTTCCACTTCATCAATTTTTTGGCTCTGTCTTTGCAAAAAAAAAAAAAAAAAAAAATTACAGAGGGAGAATTTTAAAACACAAATGAAGAAAAAGAAATTACTTTGAAATTGCCAAAATTGTTTGGCTGAAAGAGCTTATTTAGAAAAACAGAGCTTTTTATGTATAAACCTGTTTCATTGGTGTTGTATCAGAATTGCATGTTGCTAGTAGTTTACTATCAAAACAACACTTGTGTTTCAAGCTGTTAAAAAATGAATAAAATAGGCCAAGTATGGTGGCTCACACCTGTAATCCCAACATTTTGGGAGGCCGAGGCGGGCGGATCACTTGAGGTCAGGAGTTCGACACCAGCCTGGCCAACATGGTGAAACCCCATCTCTACTAAAAATACAAAAATTAGCCGGGCCTGGTAGCATGCTCCTGTAGTCCCAGCTACTCAGGAGGCCGAGGCAGGAGAATTGCTTGATCTTGGGCAGTGGAGGTTGCAGTTAGCTGAGATCATGCCACTGCACTCCAGCCTGGGCAACAGAGCAAGACTCCATCTCAAAATTTAAAAAAAAAAAAAAAGAATAAAATAGAAACACTGATTTTTCTGGTATTTTATACCCTTCCCCGAATATCCATACCCAAGGCATTTTTAAGATTTCCCTAAGCTGGAAGCACCAGACCACATGTTATTTAAAACATATTAAGATGTACCTACTGTATTATGTATACTTTGTATATCATTTTATAACAGTCTGCAAAGTAGCAGGAAAAAATTTTTGCCTTCAGGTTAAACTCAGAAGAGTTGCCATTGGCTAACTGAAAAATTTTGCATTTGGTAAGCATTTAATTAAAAATTTATTGATTTCGGTTTTGAGGTTTTACTTTTCATATTTTTAGAGCCAATAACTTCTGGAATCTCAGACATTTTTGTGGAATCTTAAGTTGTTCATAGATCCTAGGTGCTGTGTTTGTCATCCTGAGAGCTTAAATGGCCCTGTCCAAACCTCAGCCTCAGCTCAGAGTAGGAAATTGTCAAGCACTTGGTAACTGGTAAGCAAATGGATTTTAGTCACTAAATGGAGCGGGAGGAATGGAGTGCTCCCTCAAAAAGAGCATTTCAGCTGGTCACAGTGGCTTGGGCTTGTAATCCTAGCACTTTAGGAGGCCCAGGCATGAGGACCACTTGAGCCCAGGAGTTCGAGACCAGCCTGGGTAACACAGGAAGATTTCACCTCTACAAAAAGTAAAACTAAAAAATTAGCCAGGCATTGTGGTGCCTTGAATCTGTAGTCCTAGAAACTTAGGAGGCTGAAGCAGAGGATCGCTTGAGCCCAGAAAGTTGAGGCTGCAGTAAGCTGTGATCACGCCACAGCACTCCAGCCCAAGCAACAGAGCATAGACTCCATCTCCAAAAAAAGAGGCTGTGACAGAGGAAGGCAGGGGGATGTTAATCAGAGAGACATAGAGACTGGGAGAGTCTGAAAGAGAGGCAGAGAGACTTACACAAATTAAAGACACAGACTGAGAGAAATGGAAAAATGAAGAGAGGATCCCAGACAGATTGATTGACTTCCCAGGTAACATATAATATCTTACAATCCTGCAGAATGTTTAAAGTTGCATTTTAAAAGGCACTCCGTTTGTTCACACAATCCTGGTAAGAAGATCATCTTAATTAGTATCATACTTTGCAGCTTTCAAGCAGTTCTTAGGCATCATTGCGTTTAAGACCTGGCTCCAGCCGTTTTATTACAGATGAGGAGATTGACTTGTTCACCTTACATTTGTAGAGCATTTTGCAATTTTTTTGAAGGACATTTCCACCCATTATCTAATCACAAGTCTCCATAAATCCCATCTCCCCTGGTATAAAAGCAGCTTAAATTACAGGTGCTACTAAGATGCAAAATGCAGCCCACAAAATCAGCAAATATTTTTTCTTTGTTTCCTCCTTTTTTAAAAAAGGCGTAGATTTCATATTACTACTTTGTTTCAGGCCGTATATTGAAGTAACAAAAATAAAACCAAAATTGACACCAATTTTATTTCGAAATAAAATCTACTTTTTTCACTTTCCCACATCATTTTCTAGCTGCTAACCTTCATGCATATTCAATTTTTGCATATTTACAGCCCTGTCAAAGATAAAATTTTATTTTCTGCATTTTCACTCAACATTATACACTGAGTATTGGCCATTTCACTCATCTCAGTGCCACTTTCAAAGAGATACCCAGGAAAAGCAGCAGCAAGGGTTGTTCGACCTTGAACAACTACAGATAATACTTTGGCTCTCTTTGAGATTTTTAAGGCCCTGTAAGTAAAATATTTTCAGATTACAGAAGGCTTGGGATTCTGTCTTTATCACATGACTGATTGGTCCTCCATGTTCTCCTTGGCAGATGTGGGTATCAGTGACACAATGTTTTTTACTCAAAACATGGTTTAGCTTACCAGTACCAGGAATGGCCGATGCATACGCATTCTCATTGTGAAGGTTTATTTGCACCTCCACTCTTCTTAACCAGGCTATTTTCACAGAAGAAATAACCCCAACTTCATGAACCCTATTCCCATGACCTATTTGCCAATCTGTTAAAATAATGGCCAACTCAAATGATCAGTAATGATTGACTCACCATGACATCATCCATCACCTTTGTCACTGGAAGCCCACTTGCCTTAAAGGGTGCAGCATCTTCCAACTTTGCTCCAGCAACTTCAGCTCCTCATTAAATCCCTCCCTGTAGGTCATCCCTGCAACCAGTTGACACTGGAGCTCAGCAGCCAGCTGATAGGGGCCTTCACTCCTCTTGTCGAGCTGCTCCTCTCTCCTCTCAAAGCCCTCTTTCCTTCTCTCCTGCTGGCTGACCTAGAAGCTCAGCTAAAGAGGTGTTCAAAGGGTCCAGTCGCTTAAACAGGTGGCCAGTGTGCTTTCTGCTATAACTCCTTGCTCCTTGAGCTCAGCTCCAAGCTGTAGAAGGCCATGGAAGAGCACATTGATGTCATCTTGGGAATAATTAACAGGGTCCGGTTTTTCTGTTCGTTTCCTTGCACCAGATGAAGAGTAGGATAAACTTGGGAGAAGCCAAAGTGATGTTTTTGTATTGTGGCTTTGAATGATTTCAAGGTCCCTTGGTTAACCTATTCTCAGCAAAAGAAATAGAAGATGGTCCCAAGATGGTAAGAGCAGAGTGTTTGGTTGATAATTTGATCTAAAAGTGACCAGACTCCACAAGTTAACCCCCAGAGCTGCTCAATTACAGCAGTTTAAAAATAAGTTGAGGATTCGTTGCTAAATCAGTGGAAAGAATTTGGAGTTTCCAAAATAGTTTGTAATCAAGAAAAGCCATCTGAGGAGGCCCTGGAGGGAAAATCGCTGATGATTATCAAATGTCCAGTTCTCAATGCGGTGGTATATGTGACTGAAAAAAACCACTTTTGTCCACATTTGGGGAAAGATAAGATTATACTAAATGCCTGGCACATACACTGGACCTTCAGTTACCTAGAAAACTTTCAAAATAACTTTGCCATAACAAGTGGCAAATTATTAAGGTCATGGGCTGTCTTCTCAAAATTACTTAGATAACATGATTCTCTGGCCAGTATGAGACCCTTAATTTATCACGTATGAAGCATATGAGCCTGTTTATCCGTTCGTTAATCATTATTTTTATCTGGCTTGGGCTCTGGGTTACTGGCCATGCAGGCAGATCTTCCCTTCCAAAAGGAAACGTTATTATTCTCTTGTATTCGTTTCTTTAAAAACATGCAGATTTAACAAAACATATTACTTAGCACTCTTACTGATTTAGAAATATGATGACCCTTAGGAAATGCATCTCCTTAAAAGAAATTCCAGGCAAACTCATTTAACCTTTCTGGATGTTAGTTTCCTGACCTTCAAAAAATGGGATGTTGGACCAAATTATCTTGAAGTTTCCTTCCAGCTGTGTGCTCGGTGGGGAGTGCTGGCAGTGTGGGGCAGGACACTGAATATCTGTGGTGGTGATGTTTGGATACAGGGGTGAGCAACCCCTTTGGAAGCAACATGCAAAATTGCTGAGCAGTGGTGGGGGTGCATGGGAATGGGTGGCGGTGCCCCTGTATTGGAGTGTAAGAGACAAGTGTGGTGAGAGCAGTCTGGCAGGGCTACTACTGTTATGATTTACACAGTCCCTTTCATCCAGCTACTTCAAAGCACCTTCACAAACTCTGGCTCATTATTCCTTCAAACACAGCATTCAAGAAAGATTGATAGGCGCCTTTTAATTAATTCAAAGATGATGAAGCTGAGCATTACAGAATATAAGGGGATTCTTCCAAAAGTATCTGCACTGCAGAGGGGCATGATATATAAAGTGTTCATCACAGGTTTCTAACTGAAACAAGGAAATGACCTGAACGCTTATTTTTAGAGGAGACCAGTATATATTATGGCATATTCAGAATATGCAATACCATGCACCCATTAAAATCATGTTTATTAAGAATAGTCACATTAGGGAAATGGTCATAACTGAACAACGTTTAGTGGCATAAAAAAAGATAAAGCTTTGTACATACAGTATGATGAAAATGTTTAATGTGGCTGGGCATAGTGACTTGTGCCTGTAATTCCAGCACTGTGGGAGGCCAAGGCAGGAGTATCACTGAAGGCCAGGAGTTCAAGACCAGCCTGGGCACCATGGTGAGACCCTGTCTCTACAAAAAATTTAAAAATTAGCCAGGTGGTCATGATGCATGCCTACTATTCTAGCTACTAGGGAGGCTGAGGCTGGAGGATCACTGGAGCCCAGGAGGTCAAGGCTGCAGTATGCCATGATCATACCACTGTACTCCAGCCTGGGCAACAGAGTGAGATCCTGTCTCAAAAATTGAAAAAAAAAAAAAAAAAAGGTTTAATGTGTAGAAGGGAAAAGGCTAAATGGAAATGTGTTAAAGTCTTAACGGTGATCTTCCTTGGAGCAATGATATAGTGGGTGGTTGCTATTCTTTTCTTTATACTTTTATGTACTTTTATGTTATGCAAGGTTGAAAAAATGGGCACATATTGCTTTCATAGTCATTTCTGTTAAGATAATCATATGATTATGAAAGAGGGAGTGTGTGTGTGAAAGTGGAATGGACCAATCAAATAGAACAGTAGGAAGACCTCAGAAGATATGACACATGAGCTCAACCCCAAAGATGAGAAGAACCAGCCATTTAGTGAATGGGGAAGCCCTCTGGGGAACAGAAGGCACGAAGGAAGGAATAAGTTTGGAATGTTCTAGGTTTTGAAAAAAGGCCAGCATGGGAGAATGATGAAAGATAAGGTCAGAGCCATTGCCAAGGGCAAGGTCATGTAGGACCCATGACGAAAAGTTTGGGAAACCCTTGTAGGGGACTGACATAATTTATTTTACATTTTTGAAAAATCCTTCTGACCAATATATGAGGAACATTGTAAGAGGCAAGTGTAGAAGTCAAGATCTATTGAGAAGGCGTTGCAGGGGTCCAGGTGAGAATGAGGATGGTTCAGAGTGGAGAGACAGGGACAAGGTAAGTTGGAGTGTGGGTCTGACTTGTTAGCCATGTGGAGGAAATAATTATCATAATAACTATCATGTATGTTTTTAGGGGGCTCTATAACTTCAGTATGTTTTCAGTGTTCACATTTGTAGGTTTACAGAGTTTGTACTTGATAAGGTACAGAAGTAAGTCACTTCTCAAAAATCATGCCTTTAGAAGCATATATCATGCTTCTATTATAGTAATGATAATAATAGAAGTCTACTGCTAGTCATAAAACTTATCTGTTCAGAGAAGGCTTTTTTTTTTTTTCAGAGAAGTCTTCCAGGTTTCAGCTGTTGCTCATTAATGCTCACCACAGCCCTTTGAGGTCGATGCAATTATGCTTTGGAAAAGCTAAGTAACTTGCCAAAGGCCATGCAGCTAAAAGAAGCAAAAGCTGGATTCAAATCTCAGCTCTCTGCCTCCAGAGAGAACACCCTCAATCCCGCTTAACAGACATTAGCTCTGCTTATTTGATTGGTGGCAGTGGAGATGAACAGAAGTGAACAGTGAGCAGAGAGGGGTCTGTACCCCACACACATCCCTGCACCCCAACTGTCAACTGTCTTCCATCATCATTTACTATATCCACGTCCACTCCTGACAGCATCAGTGGCTCAGTCTTACCGACCTGCATCAGGGTTTTGGGCTCTGCCTCTGTTTAGACAGAGCACGATTTGGGAAGTGCTGCTAAGTCAGCCAGTGGCTGAGTAGAAACAGCCCTGCAGTGGGCCTCTGCCTGCTCTGTGGCTCGTTTATCATGTGTCTCATCTTTAAAAGTTGGGGCTCAGTCTAGGTGCCTCCTGGCCTGAGCACCCCAGAATTCTATGCTGATCCCTTCATTGTGACATGGCCTGTCATCTACTCTTCTGGGAAGACCATCTGCACCTCACTGATACTTGAAGCTCATTGAGTATTGTCACATATCAGCCCAGAAAGTCACAGGGTACAGCAACTCATACTTGCTCCCAGCACCAGGCCAGCCCCATTCTGCCTCCAGGGAGTCACCCAAAATAGAGAGATGAGGGTAAAATAAGACCTAGGAATACTATTTATTTGCCTCCATGGCCTTTGAACTTGCACATCCAACGTAACGGCTCCTGTGTGTTCTTGATTGTTCCAATTATCATTTTTCCTCTCGAATACCTGAGAGCATTCATTATTTTGCAAGAGATTTGAGAATCCCTGTGCCCTAACTTTTCTTTCCTTGATGTGGGATGTTCTTCTGTGACTAGGTAAGTTTATCTCAATGTGTCCCCAAATAATTTCTCAGAATGTTAAATTCATAAAAGCTACCATGAAAGGATAAATAAATGAAAGGAGTTCTGAGGTCAAAACATTTGGGGAAAGAAGAGTCTTTCTCCTTCTGAGGCATTCTCAGTGCACAGTAACCTGTTTATCTCGCTTTGCCTTGCTCTTTCCCAAGCACATTTTTGCTCAACGCCCCCTACCTTCCCCATACACTTGTTAACACTTTGCAGAGCACTAGGGCTCTGTGGGACAGGCTGGGAAATGCAGGTTGACATGCCACTGTTAATACCTAGAAAATTAAGGCAAACTTGTCCCTGAGAGATGTCAGGATAGCACAGTATGGAAAGGCCATGCTTATCAGGGCTCTTATCTGAGAGAATACAGTGGTTATGAGCATGACTCTGGAACTAGACAGTCTGGGTTGAATTCCCCGCTCTGCCATTTAGTTATATGATATGGGGTGTATTACCTAACATCTCTGTATCTCATTTGTTCCTCACTTGTGACATGGGGATGATGACAATGATAATAGTACCAACCTATAGGATAGCTATGAGAATTAAACAAATTAGTAAATATGAAGTATTTGGAACATTGGCCTGACTCAGGATAAGTCCTGTTTAAATGTTAGTATCATTATTATTGTTTCTTCAAGCCAGGAATATACTTCATCAATTATGTGTACACTCATTCCTTCATTCAACAAACACTTACTTAATACTCCTGTGTCCTAGGCACTGTTCTAGTGCTGGAGATACATCAGTGAATCAAAAACATGAGAGAAAAATCCCTGTCCTTGTGGAACTTACACTGTAGTGGAATCTACTACTAATAATGCAAATAGAAAGAAAAATATATGCAAGTTACCCAGGCACTGGGTAGCCTAGTACCTGTCCTATAGTTGTCAAATGGATGGATATATTATTCTTATTGTTGTTGTCGTTTACAGTAATTGAGCTTGGAGGTTTGAGCTGCCATCTTAGATAAGAACAGAAAGCTAAGCCAATACGAGTGCCATGCCAGTAAGAAAAGGAAACTATTACATAAAGATTAGGAAGAAAAAAGAGAAGAATGACAAGTAGGCCATTATCTATGGCCATGAGTTTTATTTAAAATGAGCTGGACCTTTTTTGCCTTCTTTATCTGTGTATCAGATAGACAATTACCTCTAGGCAGATTTCCACATTCCAAGACATGAAGACTTTCTAAGCTGCAGCAGACACATCTTTACTTGTAGCAAAACAGAGAGCGATGGGGGTTATTTTCAGATGACTGTAGCTGAAGAGGAAGAATCAAGTAATTCACTCCCCCCAATAATAATTCACTTCTGAGAGGAAAAACTTCTTTGGAAAAAGCACCCCATGAATGGAAGTCTCAGCATTTGCTGAAGAACTTAGTTAAAATAAACTCTAGACCTTTTTCATTGATTCTTTATCTCTTCTTTTCCAGAAACCTTCTCTATGTCTACCCACAGAGGCTGAACTTTGTAAACAAACTAGCATCAGCCCGGAACATTACAATAAAGATCCAGTTTATGTGTGGAGAAGATGCTAGCAATGCGATGCCGGTAAGGAGGGAAACGAACATTTGCCTCAAATCAGGGTGGGCTGCTCACCCCTGTCACTTCACACAAGTCCGGGACTCATCAGTGTACAAAGTCCGTCTATTCCAGGCCAATACTGCTCAGCATGTGCAAGGGCTTCTGTGCCCAGGATATCAGTGGGGAAACAGGGTCAGTCTTACTTGACGATCTCTTTCTCGGCTTATTCTGTAGTGAGCTTGGAACATACAGATCATTTTAGAGGATTAAAAAAAGTCATAAAGTCTTTCCATACTGCCCATAGGACCACCCCACTCTAAAGGCATACAAAGTAAAGAGATGGCTCAACACGTGCGCCATGTTTGCTGAGTGTCTTCCATGCACAAACTGTACACACTGTGTTATACACACACAGTGTTACACACTTACTCAAGCCTCGGACCACAGTGCTGATGAATACAAAGTACCGCCTAGTAATTATAAACACACACCACCTCCACACCTTCTAGGAGTGGATCTTTGTTCTGAGGCAAAATATAAATCAAATTATTCATATATATATATATATATAAAATGCAGTGTGCTCCAAGGAACTCAAAATGCCAGAATTTATACTTTTTAAACCATCTCCTACTAAATGAGATGGTGGTTAGCTATTACTATTTCCCATAAGTCATAGAATTCAGTTAATATAACTTTCTTTCTTTTTTTCTTTTTTTTTTTTTTTTTTGAGACAGAGTTTCACTCTTTTTGCCCAGGCTGGAGTACAATGGCCGCAACCTCCACCTCCCAAGTTCAAGTGATTCTCCTGCCTCAGCCTTCCAAGTAGCTGGGATTACAGGCGCGTGCCACCACGCCCAGCTAATTTTGTATTTTTAGTAGAGATGGGGTTTCACCATGTTGGCCAGGGTGGTCTCAAACTCCTGACCTCAGCTGATCCACCCGCCTTGGCCTCCTAAAGTGCTGGGACTAAAGGCGTGAGCCACTGCACGCAGTTAATATACCTTTCTAAAAAGAAAAAGAAAAAAATCCTTTCTCTTAATGTCCCACCCAAAGAAAAAAAGAAAAAAAAAAACCTTTCTCCTAACGTCCCACCTGTCTTCCCAATGCAAGGTGTCTTAAGACAGCGGTGGGGTCCTCTTAGTCCTCTCTGCTCAGGCCCCTGGCATGCCACTGCCAGGAGTGCCAGATATGCTTGTGCAGATCCTGTGGCAACCAAGATGCCCAGCCAAGAGTGACTGTGGGCTAAAGTCCAGTCTGTTCTTCATTCACTGAGCCATGGGTTCTGGTGTTGGGATTACTGCATCTAGAGGAAAGAGCTTTTTTTCTCTGCACAAAGGTGAGTGCACTTGTTCATAATGCATCCTAAATGCTGCTTCAGGCCCAAGGAGGTATCTTTTTCTAAATGGCACAAATGTGGATAAGGCAGTGGAGATTCAAATCACCTAAGTGAGTAGGTCTGTATGTTTGAGAGAGAAGAACCTGGAACTGGGGATTTCTCACTCAAGACAAAAGTATGTAACTTTGGCCTGTTGGATAGACCTCTAGGCAGTGAGGCAGAGTGGAGAGAGTACTGGTTTTCTAATCTCACAAACATGTGGCCTTTGGTCACTAATATAGCCCCTTGGAACCTCATTTCACCCTTCATAGCCAGTTCCTTTGCACTGGTGTGCTTGGGCCAGTTGTAGTCCCAGCACTTTTTTTTTTCTTTTTGAGACAGGATCTCACTCTTGCCCAGGCTGGGGTGCAATGGTGCAATCTCGACTCACTGCAACCTCTGCTTCCTAGGCTCAAGCGATCCTCTTGCCTCCGCCCCCTGAGTAGCAGGGACTATACGCATGTGCCACCACGCCTGGCTAATTTTTGTATTTTTTTGTAGAGATGAGGTTTCGCCATGTTGCCCAGGCTGGTCTCCAACTCCTGGGCTCAAGCCATTCTCCCACGCCGACCTCCCAGAGTGCTGAGATTACAGGTGTGAGCCACTGCTCCTGGCCAACCCAGCACTCTTAATTGTACAAAATGCAGCTCTATGAGACCAGAACATCCTGTTGGCCTGATGATAGTCAATTTGATGTACCCAAATGTTACTGATAATTTGATCCTTTCTCTACTGGTGAACAGGTCATCTTTGGAAAATCCAGCGGGCCTGAATTTCTGCAGGAAGTGTACACAGCTGTTACATACCATAATAAGTAAGTCTATTTCAGCATTCTAAATATATGCCAAGATGGTTTCATCATCTCCTGGTTTTTCCAAGTCCCGTGGGTGGTTCCTCCTAACTATTTTTATAATTCAGGGACTGAGGGGCAAAGGAAATCCATGCCAGTTCCGTGACTCTGTGTTGAAGATGTATAACTTTGCCATTAACCAAGACTGAGAGAAGAACGTGTCTTCAAGAATCCAATATAGTTTTGACTTTTCCAGAAGCTTCTATTCTAGTATGATGCAAAGAGGTTGTATTACGTTAATTAAGGAAACACATTTCCTAACTTGCTTTGAGACCCTGGAGGGGACCAGAAGCACAGTCCGGCTCCCCTTGCCCTGTGTGTCCCTGTCCGCTCCACTTGACACCTGCCCCACTGTCTGCCTAGGCTGACCAAAGGAGAAATGGAACACTCATTATTCCACCGGCAAATGGAGTCATGGGATAATGCCCACCCTATTATTCATGTTCCACAGGGAAGGGAGAGACACCTGCACAGTGTTGGACGGAATTGGGTTTGATCCGGGCCTGATAACCTGGGCCTAATTAAGTCCTTCATTTAAGCACATTCTGGGATTGGGATGAGGATTAAGTGAGGTAATGTACATTACATACCTACATTACTTTACAATGTACGTAATGTACTTCGTAATTAATGAAGAACCTAGGGCTTCATAATGCAGTTAAATTGGTTCCTTTTTCCTCCTGCCTCATTCATTTGCTTCTACTCTTTGATGAGTGCAGCTAGGTGCTAGGCTTGGTTCCTTGGGTAGAAATGGAAAAAGGAGGTCACAGCAGGAGTCCAAACCTCATCCTTTCTTCAAATTAAGTTGTTGGAGTTTTCCATTGTGTGGGGGAGTTGTTTTTTGTTTTTTGTTTTTTGTTTTTTGTTTTTCCTGACAAAGCCTTTAGTTCATGAACAGTTTTATGTAAGGGAAGTGCATCTAATAACATAAGCTTGGTCTCAGGGACTTCCAGCTTCAGAGCAGAGTAATGTAAAATGAAAAGCAAAACACCAGGCAAATTCTGAGGAGCAAAGGGGCTGTGGCGTTTTACAATCAGAGAAGTCATCATTCTTGCTAAAAGTTATTTGTGTATAATGTGCTTTTGAAACAGGTCTCCTGACTTTTATGAAGAAGTGAAAATTAAGCTCCCCGCTAAGCTCACAGTAAATCACCACCTCCTGTTCACCTTCTACCATATCAGCTGTCAGCAGAAGCAAGGAGCCTCCGTGGAAACTCTCCTGGGATATTCAGTGAGTTGTTTCCAGCCTGCTGACTCACACTGCAGTTGTTGGTGCATCTGAGGTCCCTGCAGAGATAAACAACCAAATTCTATTCACTTGATTTTTTCCAGTCAGAAGTAGCAAAACATGCTAAGCCACATTATAGCAAGAGGCAGAAATGATTTGCCTTAGCAAATGTCAAATTTCAGGAATGGAAAGCTAGCGGGTGATAGATGTTGGAAGAATACTCATCTGTTTTTTAAAAAGCATTGCAGTGTTCACTATTTCCAAATTTAATATCCATGCTTCACGTATAGAACTAGCTTTGTCCCCCAAGAAGAAACCATTTTTTCTTTAAAAGATATAAAAGGTGAAATAAACATTGATGTTGTTCAGACACACACAAACATTGGCTACAGAGAAAAATGCTACTGCTTTAGCTCCAAAAGCAATAAATCATCAATATTACCATTTCAGGAGGTCTCGGAGATTTAAAATGCAAAGAACTGGACAGAAATTACTGCCAAAAAGAGTACTGGTCAATATCTACTCACTGTTTAGTTGCATTTGATTATTGCGAGCTAGATAAATTATCAGAATTATATGCTGTAATAAATACCACTTTATTATTTACATCATCTGTTTCAGTGGCTGCCAATTCTCTTAAATGAACGTCTTCAAACTGGATCCTACTGTCTCCCAGTTGCCTTGGAAAAATTGCCACCCAACTACTCCATGCATTCTGCTGAGGTAATTGGCAAGCTGGCCATCAGCTGTTTCTTGTCCAGCTGTAGTCTTGGACCACCTTCCCAGACTCACTTTCCATTCCCATGTGGCCATGGATGTTCATCATGTTCTCAGAGAGCACATTGTTCTGATAGGATGGGAGGAATAACTGACTGTGAAACCTCATTCTTTTAAATGCCACCAAATCAGAATGTTCAGTAGACGCAACCTACACCCAAGGCAGCATAACCTTGCATTATCTACCACAGAGGGATTCCCAGAATAATGTATTATAGAAGAGGAGGCAAACTAAGGCCATTCATAGTAAACAACTGTTCCCATCAAGGATCCTTATAAAAGATTCCCAGGCCAGATTCATCCGTTTCTTTCTTGGGTCAGTTGTCACAGCCCTCCGGTAGATACCAAGGTATTTATTCTCCTACCAATCCCAATGCCAATAGCCTTTCCCACTTCCTGTTTCTGGCACTTTCTCTTGCTCATCCACTCTGCTGCAGTGCACCCATTTAAAGAGAAGCCCAGGTGGATCAACTGAGGTCAGGATTTCAAGACCAGCCTGGCCAAGGTGGCAAAACCCCATCTCTACTAAAAATACAAAAATTAGCTGGGCCTGCTGTTGGGTGCCTGTAATCCCAGCACTTTGGGAGGCCGAGGCAGGCAGATCACTTGAGGTGAGAAGTTCAAGACCAGCCTGGCCAACATGGTGAAACTCCATCTCTACTAAAAATACAAAAAAATTAGCCGGGCGTGGTGGCGGGTGCCTGTAATCCCAGCTACTCGGGAGGCTGAGGCAGGAGAATCGCTTTAACCTGGGAAGTGGAGGTTGCAGTGAGCTGAGATCACACCACTGCACTGCAGCCTGGGTGACAGAGTGAGACTCCATCTCAAAATAAATAAATAAAAAATAAATAAAGGGAGCCCAGGGGACTGTCCACCCTGACTGCACCAGCTGTCACACTGCTAGCCCACTTCTCAGTTCCTTGCATAGGTTTACATCAATAAGTATTATTTTGAAGTAAATCTCGGACATCATATTTCATTTTAGTCTGCATCTTAAAAGATAAGGGATTTGTTTTTAACCATCACAATACCATTGTCATACTTTAAAATTTTAACTGTAATTTCTTAGTATCATCAAATATTCAGTCACTGATCAAATTTTTAATTATCCCACTAATGCTATATTTTTGACGCTTGCTTTTTAAAATTGGTATTCAGATAAGGTCCACACACTGATATTGATTGTTACATCTCTGGAGACGCTTTTAATCTACAGATCCTCCATCTCTTTTGCTTTCCTTGCAATTTTAAGTTGAAGAATTTCTCAGAAATTTGAATTTAATTTCAACCGTTCCAGTCAACTTTCTTCTCTGTTCTTTCGCCATCTACCGTCTCACTTCCGGCTGTTTTCCTCTTATTTTCTTTTTTCCTTAAAGAGAGAACCAACTTTTGCCCTGGACCACAGGCATGTGTCTGGTAAACCAAAACTTCTCTCATCAAAGCCATCTAAGGGGCAATCCGAGTATGTCCACAGACATTTCCCTGATTGGTCTTTATGATTTGGACATCAACACCTTTCAGTATCCCTCAAAACCACCTTCTTATCATCAAGTTGCACACTCTAATTTCTTAGAACCCCCTATTATCTTTTTAAGCTATAGGAAAGACCTGAGTGTTGGAGAGAGACAAATCTGTGTCCAAAGTCTAGATTCTGCCACTCCCTAGCTGTGTGAATGTTGGTGAGTTGCTTACCCTCTCTGAGTCTCGAAGATGAAACTGAGCCCATATCTGCATATCTGCCTATAAGGTTGCTGTAAGCATTAAATGAGATAATGCTTGCCAAACAACAAACTCAATTCCTAAGTAAACATTAATTCCTTTTTCTTACTTGCGCTATGCTGTGTTTATAGATATACCCTTAGCCTCTCTTAGTATCCTTTAAACCTGCACTGTCTGATAAGATAGCCACTAGCTGTATGTGGCTATTGAGGAAAATATGGCTAGTTCAAACTGAGATATGTGCTATAAGTAAAATATGCAACAGATTTCAAAAACTTCATGGGGAAAAATGTGAAATATTGTATTAATAATTTTTTACATTGATTACATATTGAAACAGTCTTTAGGCTGTATTGAGTTAAATGAAATATTACTTTCACATGGTCCTTTTGTGTTTTTTTTTTTTTTTTTTTTTTTTTAGAGACAGGGTCTTGCTCTGTCACTCAGGCTGGAGTGCAGTGGCGTGATCACAGCTCACTGTAATCTTGAACTCATAGGCTCAAGCAGTCGTCTCACCTCGGCCTCCTTAGTAGCTGGGACTATAGGCATGCACCACCACGCCCAGCTAATTTTTTTTTTTTTTTTCATTAGAAACAGTGTCTTGCTATGCTGCTCAGGCTGGTCTCAAACTCCTGGCCTCATGTGATCCTCCCACTTTGGACTCCCAAAGTCCTGGGATTATAGGTGTGAGCCACCATGCCCGGCCCCTTTTTACTTTTTTAATGTGGCCACTAGATGATTTTAAATTACATATATAGCTCACGTTATATTTCCACTGGACAGTGCTATTTTAGATCACAGATGGCAAACTCAAGTGCCCACAGGATCCAGATGAGTAACATAAATGAATGCCTTGTTCTGGTGGCATCTGTTCACTCTGGAGATTGTCTCTTCCCCATCTGAAGGTCACAGCTGTTCTCTTCACTCTGCAGATTGGTGACATGCTGGGATATAAGGCCAATTTTTTCATTTCTTCCAGTACTCAAATGAAGTTAGAAAAGCAGTCTTTTATAGGAAATTTTCAGGCTTTCAAATATTGGTAATTAATTTTTTAAAGTTCCTAATACTTCAAACAGAACGTGTGTGTAGGCTAGAGCCCACTTTGGGCCCCAGCTTTTGACTGCTTCAGATAGCTTTAAAGGTCTCCATCCCCTGTACACATCTACCTTTCATTATGATGAAAGACATACAAACCTAGGCGAGGCCCTCACTCAACACTGCAGGACATCTCTAAAGGAATGCAATTTCAATGGGAATTTAAGGCAAGAAACTGTCTGTAAGACCTACGAAGGTAATGATATATAAACGTATAAAAGAGTCACTTTGAGTAATTAAAGCAGGAGCCGACCTGGCCTAGAAACATGTGGGAAACACTTGGAAAAACTGTGGTGAAAGGGAAAGTAATATCGGGTACTCAAAAGTATTAAAATTTCATGTCTTGTAAAGATATTCTATACTTTGTCCTGACAATTCTGATTAATGGGGAAATTGCTGGGATCTTAATTTATTTTAATTCCTAGAATCCAGAATCATCAATGCTGGTTTGGAACTTAGAGACAGATTACACCGTTCAGCCCTCTTCTCACAGCATGAGAACAGAACACTAAGGCCCAGAAAGTTTAGTTGAGTCGTCTAAGTAAAAATAACTAGTTTGAAGCGGGGCACAGTGGCTCACACCTGTAATCCCAACATTTTGGGAGGCTGAAGTGGGCAGATCACTTGAGCCCAGAAGTTTGAGACCAGCTTGGGCAACATGGTGAAACCACATTTCTACAAAAAATAGAAAAATTAGTTGGGTGTGGTGGTGTGTGCCTGTAGTCCCCGCTACTCCAGAGACTGAGACGGGAGGATCATTTGAGCCCAGGAGGTCGAGGCTGCAGTGAACCGTGATTGCACCACTGCACTTCAGCCTGGCGACAGAGTGGGACCCTGTCTCAAAAGGAATGAATAAATACATAAATATTAACTAGTTTGGTGTAGAATTGAAGTTGAATCCAGGGCTCCTGACTCCAAGAACAGTTAGATTAGTTTTCAAGAGAGTTCTGTATTTGTATAACCCTGACATTTCCAGTCAAGTTGGTCTGCATTGCTTGTTAGTAATCAGAAAAGGGAATTGGATTGCTAATCTTTTTTTTTTCTCTTTAACACAGAAAGTCCCATTACAGAATCCTCCCATTAAGTGGGCTGAAGGACATAAGGGAGTATTTAATATTGAAGTGCAAGCTGTTTCTTCTGTACACACCCAGGTAAGGAATGTCAAGGTTAATCATGAAGGTAAAGGTGCAGCGGAGGAGCCTTTGAAGGACAGGCCAATAAAAGATCAGTGAAAATCCTTGTCTACAGATAAATAAAAAATAACCCTTTAGTTCTTTGTGGGGACATGCAAACCTCTTTAGGTTTCATTTGTCATTGGAATAGAAAGACCTTACAAAACCGCCGAGCACCTAAAGGAAAGAACCTAGTATCTGCACTGTTGGTGGAGAAACTTTGCAGGGGGACTTGATTTGAAACTCTCATCTGCTGTTACTTCTTTTCCCTCTGTAACTCTGCCACTTTGCCAGCTTTTAAAAAGAAATTCCGTACTCTCTCCTTTACCTGCCACTGTCTGAGTTCTGCATCTGCTGAGACCTCTCTCTTGGCAGTATGCTTACCTGGTACGCTGACCTCTGCTTACAGAACATGTCAGAGCCAAAATTATTTCTTCTTTAGCTAATAATTATTGAAACGTTCAACTTCATGCACCACATTCTACAAAGAAGTTCATAGCCTCGGTCTGAAACATCATGTCTTAGACCTTCTGGTCTGAAACGCTGGATAAGAGGTTCTACCCATAAAGAGCTATTCGATTGTGTTTGTGAATCCACTGGTGAACATTGATGGTATAAAACCCCATGAGGCCTGCCTTCTCCCTTCGCAGGACAACCACCTGGAGAAGTTCTTCACCCTCTGCCACTCCCTGGAGAGCCAGGTGACCTTCCCCATCCGCGTGCTGGATCAGAAAATCAGCGAGATGGCGCTGGAGCATGAGCTGAAGCTCAGCATCATCTGCCTGAACTCCTCCCGCCTGGAGCCGCTCGTGCTCTTCCTGCACCTGGTGCTGGACAAGCTCTTCCAGCTGTCCGTGCAGCCCATGGTCATCGCTGGCCAGACAGGTATGAACCTGCAGGGCTGGGCTGGGAGGAGGCAGGAGCAAGCAAGCATTGCCTTCTTTAATGAAAAATGACTTTCCAGAAATCCAGAGACAATGTGATCTTCCTTTCCACTGATGATGTGTGCTCAAGGGAGGCCAAGTCTTATGCTATTTTTTTTTTGAGACTCTCTGCATGTTGGAAAGAAAAAGAAACATTAAAATAGGGTTCTTAATATTATAGCTTTTTGTAAACTTTATTAAATGATTATAGGCAGTCTTTAAAATTCCATTTCTGGTAATTGATGAATTTATTTTACCTTGAAGATATTTTTGTTTTCTTGACTAACAGGAAATGGAACATTTTAAGGTAAGACAACCTGTGTTAAATGGAGGGAAGGAACTCTCTACATTGAAATGCAATGCAATCAATTTTTAAAGTTAAAACATAAACTCACTATTTTAAAGTGTATAGTTCATTGGTTTTTAGTATAGTCACAAGGTTGTGCAATGATCGCTACAATCTAGTTTTATAACATTTTCATCACCTCCAAATAAAACCCCATCACTCCCTATTCATCCCTCCCCCTAGAACTCATCCGTTCTCTCTTACAGTCTATTTTAAATGCTTACTTTTAACAAGTTAACACTAAATACAATGTGTACATTTTCCCTTAGAAATAATCTCAAAAGCTTATCCTGGAGGCATGACCAGAGTCCAGTGGTTCTCCTAACTCTTCCAGGGTAGACTGGCTGGTATAGGGCATCTTTATTTGCCACCATTTTCAGCTGTGCCTATATAGCTCTTTGCTTTCCAGTCCAGCAGACGTCTTTTGGGTACCATCCATATGCCCAGTACTGTACTAAAAGTTGTAGGCTTTGTGACAATAACCAAGAGCATCTCAGACCTCAGAGGACTTATAATATGGCAAAGAGTCAGCAGCACAGGACAAGACTCCTCAAAGGGACACAGCTAAATTTTGCAGTGGTTGTGGGGAGGGTGGTATCAAAGGAGAGAGTGAGAAAACATCCATCTGGGAGGATGCAGGAGGTCCACATAAAGAGATGGCCTTGAAGAAGGGATAGAGTGAAAACCGACAGAATAGGGGCAATGAGATGAGTGCAGCACTGCAGAGAACCAGAAAAGTGTGGGAGTGTCAGGAAGAAAGTCAGTAGCACAGTTGGTGGTGGAACAGAAGCACGTGTGGAAGTGGGCTGGGACAATGAAGTGAGACGGCTTTTAGAGCCAGGGAGGGGCATGTCCCCTTAATCTCTCACTCTGCTTTGCACCCTGATATGCATCTTCTGTGGTTCCACAGATCAAACGTCCTGTGTTGGAGGCTAACTTTTCATCCATGTAGCAGTTGCCTCTCCAGCTAGATTCTTGCAGAGCTCTGCCCTCCTTCGATTACTTTCTGTGCCCCCGCATATGTGGCACACTGCTTTGTATGTTCCAGCTAGTTAATACAGACTTGTTCACCAGACAAAAATATTTATATGTTTTGAGCAGCTTCTCCATAGCAAGTTGCCACCTTGTGGTGTGAGGACCACAGGGTGTTGGCATAGGCAGAATAAGTGGAGGTGGCTAGTCTACAAGCATTTATTCAGAACCTATTCTGTGTCTCTGCAATGGAAAGCACAGTGGGGGCACAAAAGATGTGAGAAATGCACTTCGCATGGGAAGGATTCCAGCTTTCACAGACAGACAGTTTACCACCAGACATGGCTGGAGAATCATGTAACTCAGTTTCACTTGAGCCCTGTACTGTGTGGAGTCAGACGGCTTCATGGAGGAGGTGGGACTTGTGCTGAGATTCACAGGGTCGGTATGATTTTGTGGATGGGAGTGAGGAGGGCTTCCTAGGCGAGGACAACAGCATGAGCAAAGTCTCAGAGGTAAGAGAGCAGGCATGATGGGACAATACAATGACTGCCTCATTTTAAGGGATGTCGAACTGAGCCAAAAAGGGTACAAGGTTAGATAAGTATATTGGAGCCAAACTATAGAGGCTTAGGGCACCAGAACAAGAGGTTCTATGCAGTAAATCAAATGTGTATGGGCCCACTGTGGGAATGACTTGATATGCAGACATTTTTAGGTTAATCTGTACAAGAATCAGGGTTGTGCAGCACATCTCAAATCATAGTGTCCACAACAGTCACGTGAGCATCTTGTAAAGATGCAGAACCTGATTAATACACTCTCTGGGGTGGGGCCTGAGATTCTGCATTTCTTAGTAGCAAGCAGGTGATAGTGGTCGTGTGTGTCCGCAGCCCCCACTGAGTAGCATCAGTTTACAACCTGGCTTAGAGAAGGAGGACGTCTGGACAGTCTTATGTCTTTGTCATTAAAAACCATCAATGCTATTCAGTGGCAGGAGGAGGAAGTTCAAAAGAGGGAATGTGGAGGCATCTGTGGTACTCAGAGCCAGCATGCCAGAGCTCACCAAAACCATCTACCCTTCCCAGGCCTAGTTAAATTGGTCAGCGGTCAGGACTCATTGTCACTGTCCTGGAGAAACTTCCACCTCAGGCTCCTTAAGGACCAGCTGTGGGACTACCCATTTTTCTCTTGGTTCCTCAGCCAACTTCTCCCAGTTTGCCTTCGAGTCCGTGGTGGCCATCGCCAACAGTCTGCACAACAGCAAGGACCTGAGCAAGGACCAGCATGGGAGGAACTGCCTGCTGGCTTCCTACGTGCACTACGTCTTCCGCCTGCCAGAGGTGCAAAGGGATGTGCCCAAGTCAGGTAGAGTTGCCCTGAGTGTGGGACTCTGGTGGGCGGGGCAACACCACCTCCACCCCACTGCAGTGTAATCCAAAATAAAACATCCTATGCTGGGTGCAGGGGCTCACATCTGCAACCCCAGCACTCTAGGAGGCTGAGATGGCAGGATCGCTTGGAGCAGTGGCTCACATCTGCAACCCCAGCACTCTAGGAGGCTGAGATGGCAGGATCGCTTGGAGCAGTGGCTCACATCTGCAACCCCAGCACTCTAGGAGGCTGAGATGGCAGGATCGCTTGGAGCAGTGGCTCACATCTGCAACCCCAGCACTCTAGGAGGCTGAGATGGCAGGATCGCTTGGAGCAGTGGCTCACATCTGCAACCCCAGCACTCTAGGAGGCTGAGATGGCAGGATCGCTTGGAGCAGTGGCTCACATCTGCAACCCCAGCACTCTAGGAGGCTGAGATGGCAGGATCGCTTGGAGCAGTGGCTCACATCTGCAACCCCAGCACTCTAGGAGGCTGAGATGGCAGGATCGCTTGGAGCAGTGGCTCACATCTGCAACCCCAGCACTCTAGGAGGCTGAGATGGCAGGATCACTTGGAGCAGTGGCTCACATCTGCAACCCCAGCACTCTAGGAGGCTGAGATGGCAGGATCGCTTGGAGCAGTGGCTCACATCTGCAACCCCAGCACTCTAGGAGGCTGAGATGGCAGGATCGCTTGGAGCAGTGGCTCACATCTGCAACCCCAGCACTCTAGGAGGCTGAGATGGCAGGATCGCTTGGAGCAGTGGCTCACATCTGCAACCCCAGCACTCTAGGAGGCTGAGATGGCAGGATCGCTTGGAGCAGTGGCTCACATCTGCAACCCCAGCACTCTAGGAGGCTGAGATGGCAGGATCGCTTGGAGCAGTGGCTCACATCTGCAACCCCAGCACTCTAGGAGGCTGAGATGGCAGGATCGCTTGGAGCCAGAAGTTGGAGACCAGCCCAGGGAACATAATGAGACTCTGTCTCTACAAAAAATATAAAAATTAGCAGAGCATGGTGGCACATACCTTTAGTCCCAGCTACTCAGGAAGAAGCTGAGGCAGGAGGATCATTTAAGCCCAGGAGTTGGAGGCTGCAGTGAGCTATGATTGCACCACTGCACTCCAGCCTGGGAAACAGAGCGAGATCCCATCTCTTAAAACAAACAAACAAACAAACAAACACCCTAAAATTCCATTTTCGTTTTCAGGACAATACAAAACTTACATGAATGCTGAAATTATGTGTTTCTTTATAGATCTTTCTTCCTCCCTCCTTGCCTCTTTTTATGCTCTAAACACTTATTTTGTCTGCCCATTTGATAATCCCTCACTGGTCTTTACCCACTTGCTAATTTATGATTCAGCTGAGAATCTCTTTTTTAAGATGGAGAAGTGGTGACTGATGCCTACGATTCTAGTATAATAAAGGAAATAATATATATCCAATGGCAGTGGTTCTTAAACTTTTTGTTATTAAAAAAAATCCCTTTTCACATTTCCCTCAAACTGAACTATTGAAATAATAGTAATGCATTTCCCCAACTCTTCTTAATTATTTACATAAGTAATAATCAAGTAGAACTTCTTGTCAGCATGATATAAAAATTAGTGTCAGTGAGTTCACAAAATTGCAGGCCCAAATAAACATGACACTTTTGTTGGTCTGTGCAGCCTCATTTCTAGTAAATCTGAAAATTTGATTGAGTTTTTAAAAATACTAGTGATGTGGCTGGGTGCGGTGGTTCATGCCTGTAATCAATCCTAGCACTTTGGGAGGCCAAGGTGAGCAGATCACTTGAGCTCAGGAGTTCAAGACCAGCCTAGGCAACGTGACAAAAGCCCATTTCTATAAAAATTACAAAAATTAGCCAGTCGTGGTGGCGGGTGCCTGTAGTCCCAGCTACTCGGGAAGCTGAGGCAAGAGGATTGCTTGAACCTGGGAGGCGGAGGTTGCAGTGAGCTGAGATCATGCCACTGCACTCCAGCCTGGAGGACAAAGTGAGACCCTGTCTTAAAAAAAAAAAAAATTAAATAGTAATATCTCATAGATTTCCATAACCGCTTGTGAAAACATGTCAACATTTAAAGATGAAAAACAGTGCTGTATACATCATATACCGTAATCCTCACAAGGTTCAGATGACTCTATGGATTTTTGAATCTGAGAAAACCTCACTGCATGAATTGTAAAGTTGTCATTTAAATATTGACAAATTAAAAATATCCACATTTTTAGCTTCTCATGAGAAATCAGAAGCTCTAGCAACCCTGGGGTCCATTTCCCGATGGCAGTAATAGACTGGAGCCAGTAGTACCCCCTGCCTTTGTAAGAGGCATGTGTTGGCTGTTTACCATGATCTCCACCACTCCCTGGTGCCTTATGCCCCATCTACTTCTCTCCAAAAGATTGCCTCCTACCCCAACCAGGATTTGTTAAGAAGTCTCTAATTCCAAGGCCTAATCCGGTGGCTTTTCATCCACCCTATCCCTCTTCAATTCCTTCTTAAACTCAGTAAGTAACTCTGTTCCCCTGTCTGTTGACATGTCTCTGCCTGGTGGGGTGCAGGCGCTCCCACTGCCCTCCTAGACCCTCGGAGCTACCACACGTATGGCCGCACATCAGCTGCTGCTGTGAGTTCAAAGCTGCTGCAGGCCCGGGTGATGAGCAGCAGTAACCCAGACCTCGCGGGGACACACTCCGCAGCAGACGAGGAAGTGAAGAACATCATGTCTTCAAAGGTAGGAAAGATGTCAAACCGTGGAAGGGGACACAGGCTTTTTTATTTTTTAACTAAAACTTGGAGAAGTAACACAGAAGCAACCACTACTGCTGCCCACCATGCTGGTCGGATGCTTTAATGCTCAGCTTTGGAGTGATTAACGTTCTTTAGAACAGATTAAGACCATTCTGACAGATGCAGCAGCAAGACCAGCATCTGAGGATTTGCTGAGAACTACTTAGCTTGGGTAGCAAAGTTTTAAAGCATCAGGGGTTTAGCCACATGGAGTCATGTGGCTAAACCATGCATTTTATTTTCAAGGAAAAAAAATAGCTTTAACTTTTGATACCTGGAAAGGTTGCCTTTAATTTAGTTTTGTTTCTTTAATACCTACCTCTTACGTTCATTAACATCCACAGATTGATTATCTCACAAAAAAGTCCAAAGGAACAGCCGGGCATGGTGGCTCATGCCTGTAATCCTAGCACTTTGGGAGGCCGAGGCGGGCGGATTACTTGAGGCCAAGAGTTCAAGACCAGCCTGGCCAACATGGTGAAACCCTGTCTCTACTAAAAATAAAAACATTGGCCAAGCACGGTGGCTCACACCTGTAATCTCAGCACTTTGGGAGGCCGAGGTGGGTGGATCACAAGGTCAGGAGTTCGAGACCAGCCTGGCTGACATGGTGAAACCCCGTCTCTACTAAAAATACAAAATTAGCCAGGCGTGGTGGCACATGCCTGTAATCCCAGCTATTCAGGAAGCTGAGGCAGGAGAATCGCTTCAACCCAGGAGGCAGAGGTTGCAGTGAGCCAAGATTGTGCCATTTCACTCTAGCCTGGGCAACAAGAGCAAAACTCTGTCTCAAAAAAAGATACAAAACATTAGTTGGGCATGGTGGCGGGTCCCTGTAATTCTAGCTACTCAGGAGGCTGAGGCAGGAGAATCACGTGAACACGGGAGGTGGAGGTTGCAGTGAGCCGAGATTGCACCACTGCACTCCAGCTTGAGCTACAAGAGTGAGACTCCGTCTCAAAAAAAAAAAAAAAAAAAAAAAAATCCCAAGGAGCAATGCCAAATTTTACAAGCATATAAAAACTGACATCCTGAGAGGGTTGATGGCTTGCCCTATGTTGTTTTTCCCTCTATGAATTCTTTATTTTTTTCATGGTAAAGCTTTACTTTCAGAACAGTTTTAGAGTTACGGAATTATATACTCTATACCCAGTCTCTCCTTTATTAACATTTTACATTCAAATGGTACTTTTGGCACAATTAGTGAACCAATATTCATGGAATATTATTCATTAAGTTCATCTTTATTCACACCTTCTCAGTTTTTCTCTAATGTCCTTTTTCTGTCCCAGGATCCCATTCTGAATGCCATATTACATTTTGCAGTCTTGCCTCCATAGGCTCCTCTTGCTGGAAACAATTTCTTAGACTTTCTTTGTTCTTCATGACCTTGACAGTTTTGAGGAGTAATGGTCAAGTATTTTGTAGATTGTCTCTCATTAGGAATTTTTTAAAGATTATGATATTATTCACATACCATAAAATTCACCCTTTTTTAAAAGATGGAGTATACGATCCAACAGTCTTTAATCTACTCACAAAGCTACCACGATGAATTCTTAGCCTGAATTTTTTCTCCAATGATCTGTGGCCTCAGGGTGGCCGAGCTATTAGAGTAATATCATTTCCCCTGATAAAGAGAAATCAAAATCTCTAGGTTTAGACACAGACACAGTTTCACCCTTACAAATTCCAGCCACTTGACACTGTGTGGTGTGAGGAAGGAAATCTGCAGGCCAGGGTTTGGGGCTGGGCGCCAATACTGCCCCGCTGTGTGGCCATGGGAAAGTCATGTAACTGTGCTGGGCCTCATGTCCTCATCTCTGCAGAGGTCCTGGTCCCTGAATGAACTTAAGAACCATCTACCCTGGGTCTTTTAAAAACACTGGATTTGGCCGGGCACCGTGGCTCATGCCAGTAATCCCAGCACTTTCGGAGGCTGAGGCGGGCAGATCACGAGGTCAGGAGATCGAGACCATCCTGGCTAACACGGTGAAACCCCGTCTCTACTAAAAATACAAAAAATTAGCCGGGCGTGGTGGCGGGCGCCTGTAATCCCAGCTACTCAGGAGGCTGAGGCAGGAGAATGGCGTGAACCCGGGAGGCGGAGCTTGCAGTAAGCCAAGATCGTGCCACCGCACTCCAGCCTGGGCAGCAGAGCGAGACTACGTCTAAAAAAATAAAAATAAATAAAAAATAAATGAAAAAACCACTGGATTCACCCCCTGAGATGCTGATGATCTGTAGTTTGAGCCATCAGGAATTATTCGTATTCTATCCTTTTTGACTTACAAAAATCAGTTCAGGGATGTGCTGGAGTGAGCTCATACCTGTTCCCAAAAGCTGATTGCTTAGTTTTCCAGAATTTTTTGAGCCAGTTTTGAAACAGACATTGTTAAAATTAAATCGTATAAACTTAAAATTAAATAAGTTATATTAAAAACAAAGGTAATCTGAATGCAATGTGGTATGCTAGATTGTATCCTGGAACAGAAATAGGACATGAGTGCAAAAACTGGTGAAATCCGAGTCGTTCGTGTTTAGTTAATAGTAACATATCAATGTTAGTTTCTTAGTTTTGACAAATGTACCTTACTATAAAAGATATTAAGAGAAATGCAATGAAAGTCATATAAGAAATACTACCTTTGTAACTTCTCTGTAAATCTAATAATAACTATACAACTTATACTTCAAAATTAAAAGTTCACTTTAAAAAGGTAAACCTAGTCCCTTCCTAATAATTTCACTATATGCTACAATATCTAAGTTCTTCCTTCTTTACGTTTACTGTGTCTGTGTGATGGAAATATTATATAATGGTTTGCTACCACACTGCATTTCTATGACATCGTGTTGGTAGATTGAAATCAGTTATGATGAAAGTATTTGTGGCACAAAAATTGGCAAATGCTACAAATTACCCCTACCCCCCTGACAACTGGTTGTTAAACATTTGCCAGCACAACACAACTCAGCCTCATATTGAAAGCCCCTTTCAGTAATACCACTTTCTGATCACCCAGGAAAGAAGTGGTCTGCAGCTATTACTGACAGCCTTGATCTTTCTATTTTTCTTTAATAAAATGAAAATATTAAATTTTTATGTGGACAGGGTTAGCAATTTTCGAATTATTTTGTTGCATGGGGAGAAAATGTCTGATAGAGCATGAGCACTCCACTTCCCTTCAGAGGTAGTTTTTGACAATGTATTGGTGTTTAGGAGACAGCGTGGTGCAGTACCGTACTAAACCACAGAGAGACACTGTTCCCACACATTTTTTCCTGGCGTCCCCTGAAGTCACAGACTCCTAGAAGGGACTACTCAGCAGCCCAGATTCTTAAATAGTTTTTAACTGTAGGTTGCTACACACAAACTATTAACGGGTGTTGTCTCAAGAGCAAGTAAAATTAGGTATAACTTCACTGTCTTTGCTTTGTTTTATATTTACTTATGGCAATTGTTTTACCTTTGTAACCAGGAAAAAAAATATGTATAAAAAAATGAATTCTGAGGTTGTGATTTCCAGATGTCTGGCTTACCTTTCCATGGTTGGTTGACTGTTAAGCCATGGTTTGTGTATTTTAGATCGCCGATCGCAACTGCAGCCGAATGTCTTACTATTGCTCTGGCAGTAGTGATGCTCCAAGTTCACCTGCAGCCCCAAGGCCAGCCAGCAAAAAGGTACTGAAGAGAGCAATGTGAGGTTCATCCCAGGATAAGAACAGAAGGATTTCCTCATGCCCTCACACTGTGCTTGGGAATAGTCAAAGTGCTCCCCTGCCTGTCCCTGATGTGCTAACACACACACACCCCACACACACTTTTGCAGCCCTGTCCTTTACGCCACATTTGACCACCTAATTGCCCATTAACTCAGTGTTTCTCCCACTTTCTCATGCATCAGAATTACCTGGAAGCCTTGTTAAAACTCATCGCTGGACCCTACCTCCTGAGTTTCTGATTCAATAGATCTGAGCTGGAGGCTCAAGAATTTGCATTTCTAACAAGTTCCCAGCTGATGCTGGTCCAGGGACCACATTTTGAGAACCACTGCATTGGCCTCCTTTTAGTAGAGGGAAAGCTGGGCACAAGTCATCCTTGACAAAAGTGAATGGCAATAATTAGGTATCATTTGTTTCAATACCATATAAACTAATATGAAATGCTTCCTCATAATTCTTCACAATCAGCCTTACCTATGAGTTCAGAAACTTTAAAAGCTGTTAAACTGCTTACCAGGATTTTTAAAGCAACAAAATTCCCCAATCATAGTCCCAGCCTATGTGGTCTGAGGGATGGAGGGAAAAAAAACTGTCTGCCCTAATTTCCTCTCTTCTAGGCACTCAAGAATCTCACCATTATAGTAGCTACTTAAGTTTTTAATGTCTTTGAAGACCTGTATTAAAATGTAAATATGGCAGGGCACAGTGGTTCATACCTGTATTCCCAGCACTTTCGGAGGCCGAGGTGGGTGGATCACCTGAGGTCAGGAGTTCAAGATAAGCCTGGCCAACATGGTGAAACCCCCTCCTACTAAAGATACAAAAACTAGCCGGGCATGATGGCAGGCACCTGTAATCTCAGCTACTCAGGAGGCTGAGGCAGGAGAATCACTTGAACACGGGAGGCAGAGGCTGCAGTGAGCTGAGATCGTGCCACTGCACTCCAGCCTGGGCGACAGAATGAGACTCCATTTCAAAAAAAAAAAAAAAGAAAAAAAGGGTAAATATGCTTATTGCAAAGGATAACACAGGAAGCCATTTGCAAGAGCTGACATCACAGGGAAATGTTTATTAAACAGGCAAGGAGGGAATGAGCCTCCCCAAGTCTCCCTTTGGACTGGATGAGGGAAAGACCAAGTGTGGGAGGGCCGGGGCCTGGTGCTGTGCACTTTGCAGTATTCCAGGCACCATATGTCTAGTGAGAGGTACCAGGATTTAACTATAAAAGGAAAAGTGAAAAAAGATATGGTTAGGCTAAAAACAAATTAGTCCACTTGCTCTAAAATTTAATATTAGGCTATCACAGGCCCTATGCAGTGACTGGTTATAGGTATTATACCATTTTCCTTTCTTAAAAACCATTATTTGCCTACAGCCTGACTTCTTTAACCCATGTCCTGTTTGGTTTCGCAGTTGCCATGTTTTGACTTGAAATGACCAGAATAGAGACATTTTATTTCAAAGGGAAGTTTGGCCAATATGTTTCCTTAATACCTTAGCAGACAGAGTTTTGCTGCTTGGCTATTTTATATAACCTCCAGAGCAAGGTGTTCTTGTAATAATGCTGCCCAGAAAGCAGCATGAATTACTTTAAGAAGCAGCTTATCCTTGTCTAATCTCTTCTTGCCATAAGACCCTGGCAGACAAACTGACCTATTTTCTAGAGGCGACCTTTGAAGCTGGGGGAGCATGTCTTTCCTACAATGAGAAGATCAAGGTGTAGTCCAGTTATAATATGTGCACAGTTAGACCACCTGCTAGACTAAAACTCAACCCCACGCCTCTCTCAAGTGAGACAGCTTCACTTCAGACTCACAACAGCAAACAAATGTGTTAACGCATATTAAAATTATTAAGGTTTGACTAACCTCACAAAACGAAGTGAAACCAGTCGATAAGCTGAAACACCTAAGCATTCTCCATTCCTCACCACTAACCCGCCTGGGATCTAATTGGTTAAAATACCCAAGCATGTATACAGAGATTTTCCTTTTGTCATCTTTTAGTTTAGCTAAGTAGCTCTCAAATTTTAATGTACGCAAGAATTAGTACATTGGGTTGCATGCGTACTGGACTCTGTGGGTAATTTTTTTTTTTTTTTGAAACAGAGTCTCACTTACTCTGTCACCCAGGCTGGAGTGCCGTGGTGCAATCTTGGCTCACTGCAACCTCTGCCTCCCAGGTTTAAGTGATTCTCCTGCCTCAGCCTCCAGAGTAGCTGGGATTACAACCGTGAACCACCACATCTGGCTAATTTTTGTATTTTTAGTATAGATGGGGTTTCACCATGTTGACCAGGCTCGTCTCAAACTCCTGACCTCAAGTAATCTGCCTCCTCGGCCTCCCAAAGTGCTAGGATTACAGGCATGAGTCAACACACCTAGCCCTCTGTGGATAATTTAAACGACTGTCAAGAGCAATGTTTGCTGTAATCAGTTTTTGCTTTAGGTGTTGACTTTAAAACTTAATTTGCAAATAAGGATATGATATTAGGGTGTTCAAATAGCTTTAGCTTTCTTACCTACTTTCTTACCAGAAAAAAAAAATGAGTTTATCTACGTTTATTCCAGGTTTTGTGGGCATAAGATGAAAGAAAACCACAGAAAATTCCCAGACATCATTTTTGGCATTAATTAGGGTGACCAACTGTTCTCATTTGCCCAGGACTGAGGGAGTCCCCAAGATGTAAGGTTTTCTATTTTAGGACCAGGACATTATCAGGCACACTGTAATGGATTGATTGCCCTACCTTTAGTCTTGAACTTCTTCCTCATCAAAATGATTGTCAGGAATATGAACACATAGCCAGATATGCTGTAGAATGGAAAAGGTATAAGTCACCCTGTGCACTATTTGCTACTGAGCAGTAGGTGACTTGAAGGGAAGTGAAGACGCAAAGTGGAGCTGGGGGACTTTCCAAGCATCTGGCCCTGGGACATAGACATTTAGATGTTGTAAGTTAAGGCTGATACTACTATGCCTTTCAGAGCCCAAGATCCTCTCATAAACCCCACCGATCCTGCTTCCCACAATGCCATATGGGCATTATAAAAACAAAAATTGTCCAGTCTCCTAGAGAGTTTAGACACCATCTAGACAGTGGTCCCTAAAGTGTAACCCTGGACCAGCAGCAGCAGCAGCAGCAGCAGCAGCACCCAGGAACTTGTTAGAAATGCAAATTCCCAGGCTATTGAATCAGAATATCTGGGGGTGGGGCCCCCCAGTCTGTGTTTCATCAGGCCCTGCAGGAGATTCTGATACACAGAGGCCGGGCGTAGTGGCTCACACCCGTAATCCCAGCACTTTGGGAGGCCAAGGCGGGTGGATTGCTTGAGCTCAGGAGTTTGAGACTAAGTGGGCAGCATGGCGAAACCCCATCTCTACCAAAAAAAAAGAAAAAAGAAAAAACTAGCTGGGCTTGGTGGTGCACGCCTTTAGTCCCAGCTACTTGGGACTAAAGTAGGTGGGAGGATTGCTTGAGCCAGGGAAGTTGCAGTGAGCGAGATTACGCCACCGCATTCCAGCCTGGGCGACAGAGTGCAGCCCTATCTCAAAAAAAAAAAAAGTTTGAGAACTGCTGCCACCAACCAACTGATTTTATGGATGAGAAAACTGAGGGTGAAGAGAGGAATGGCTTGCACATGGTCACACAGAGAGTTTTCAGCAGGACCCAAGAGGAAAGTAAGACAGTACCAGTTTTAATGGCTACCCAGAATGTTTCCCCCGTAGAATAGAGTTTCACTCCCAGGCTGAGTCCACTCCCTCAGATGTGTCTGTCCTGTGCAGCACTGACCCCAGCCTTCTATGCACCGAAATGTCCTCCAGTCTCAGGTGATCTCAGCACTGACTTTGCCATCCACCACTTACTGCCTAGAACATCTAAGACACATGCTTCAGGAACGAACAAGCTATTAAATTGGGGGGAATAAAAGAAAAGAAAAAAAGTGTTGGTGAATAATAATAGCCTTTGTTTCACAGCCTAATTTTTGTGGTTCTTATTTAGCATTTCCATGAGGAGCTTGCCCTTCAGATGGTGGTCAGCACCGGAATGGTGAGAGAAACAGTCTTCAAGTATGCCTGGTTCTTCTTTGAGCTTCTGGTGAGATTCTTGCGCGTTTGTATCTGTGCTCAATAGGCCAAGAGAAGCACACAGCAGAAAGGAATTGACATTTTGTTCACTGAGTTGCCCCTGCTGAAAACCTGGGGTGGTTTCTTGAAATCTAATAATCTCTCACCCCTCCCATCCTTCTTCCACTAAATTGTGTTGCTTCTACCATGAAAATCTATCGCCGTCCTGTGAGTTCTCATCACCTTCACCACTCTCCACCTGGCCACACACCATCATCTCTCATGTGCCTCTCGCAGTGACATCCTCTTTTTCCTGCCTGTATCCATTTTTGCTCTTGGCCCACCCATTCTGCACATGGCAGCCAATACTAAACAGAGAATGTCACGCTCCTTTTAAAAACCGATCGATGATTTTCACTGCACTGAGAAGAAAGCACAAATTTTTATCATGACCTAAAAAGCCCTTGTATGATTCTGTTGTTTTCCTCCCTCTCTAACCTCATCTCACGCCACATTCCCCCATCATTCAGCCACATGGTCCTCTTTTGGTGCTTTGAAGATGCCAAGGCCATTTTGGCCTCACAGCCTTTTCCAGATTCTCTTCCTGCTCCCTAACTTTCACCTCCGCACCCCCAACACACACAGTTTCTATTCTTCTCTGTAGATTTCAGCTTCAGTGGAACCATCCCCAAGAGGCCTTTTCTGACCACCTAATACTGTAATATATCTTCCTCTATTATCCTCCTTCTGAGCACCCTATTTATTTCTTTCCTAGTGGTTATCACAATTTCTAATTGTTTTTTCTGTCTCAGCGGTTAGATTTTCAGGATTTGGGTCTCTCTTGTGTATTATCCCATCTCTAGCCTCAGCACACTGCTTGGTACCATGCAAGGCCCAATTAATATCTGTTGGAAAACAGAATGAAATTTGTATATCTGTTTATCCTAAAACTTCTACCATTACTCGAGCAGAAAAGCAAAAGGTATAGCCATAATACCTTAATTTTAAAATAAGGGGAATAATAGTGATAACTATTTTTTTGTTTAATTATTAATGGAAGCAAAAGGATTTTCCCATAGAGGCACTAAAAATAAACATTTTCTCAATGTTGATAAACAGAGATGCATAATGAGATGATGTTGAATGAAAGAGGTCTAAAGACATAGACACCAACTATATAAAAATATATATGCAAACAGTTCAGAGGATTTGGAGTAGGTTGAGATTTAGTGATAATGTTAGCTTTATATTCATTGGGTTCTTTCCCCTGTCCCATTAAGTGAATCTTTTTTTTTTTTTTTTTTTTTTTAAAGAGAGTCTAGGCTGGGTGTGGTGGCTCACACTTGTAATCCTAGCACTTTGGGAGGCTGAGGCAGGCAGGTCACTTGAAGTCAAGAGTTCGAGACCAGCCTGGCCAACGTGACAAAACCCATCCCTACTAAAAATACAAAAATTAGCCGGGTGTGGTGGCGGGTGCCTGTAATCCCATCTACTCAGGAGGCTGAGGCAGGAGAATTGCTTGAACCTGGGAGGCAGAGGCAGCAGTGAGCTGAGATTGCGCCATTGCACTGCAGCCTGGGCAAAAAGAGCAAAACTCCATCTAAAAAAAAAAAAAAAAGAGAGAGGGACTAAAGAGATGGGAGGGGTTCCACCTAAGCTCTAGTTTTTGTATGTAAGTTGAAGCCCAAGAAAAAGGGAGAAATGCTGAACAATAGGACACAGAGAACAAAGGGCAAAGGAAACAAATGAACCATCCACTGGGGAGGAAATAGGAAGCAATGTGGAATAGAGTTCAGAAGAAGTCAGGTTCATGCCACAGAAACACACCCAGGATTCAAATCCCATGAAGTTTTGCAAAGTCCCAACCTCTGTTTTGAGAAGGGTCCCAAAGCATGGTCCCAAATCCTTGCCACAGAACCACCTGGAGGTGCTTAGTAAAAATAAAGCAGAGATTCTTTCTCAAAGCACTAAAATTAGGAGGCTGGAGGCCAGCATTGTGCATTTACCTGTCTTCTCAGGTGACTTCTAAGCCTGTTAATGATCCACTGGTCTACACCACCTCTGTTCTGTGAATCCTATACAGAGCTACAGGTCTTTTGGAATTTGTACTCAGACAACACCAGAATTTTTTTTTCATTCCAAAAGCCGAGCTAATTAAGGTGGTGGCTGCAGCTCACAAGTCTTGGGGCAAGAGCATTAACAATGAGACATGAGCTCCATGCTCTGGCAGGAAAGGGACTGGGCCATAAGACCCATTCCCCTCTTGTTTCTTGAGGCATGAGAAGTATCAAAACCGTCACCCCATGCCCTTTATATCCTGCTTCTATTTACACATCCCACCCACCATCATGTCTCTCCATAAAGAAGATTCACTCAGCCTAGCTCTGCAAAAATGAAAAAATTACCTGGGTGTGGTAACATGTGCTTGTAGTCTCAGTTACTCAGCAGGCTGAGGCAGGAGCGTCACTGGAGCCTAGGAGTTCAAGGCTGCAGTGAGCCTTGATCATGCCATTGCACTCCAGCCTGGGCAACAGATTGAGACCCTGTCTCAAAAAAAAAAAAAAAAAAAAAAAAAAAAAGAAGAAGAAGAAGAAGATTCACTTGAGTCATAATCCAGCTATGGATAATTCATACAAATAATTCATTCCCAATGCGGAATTCAGCATTGCTTATTCTGAGTGGTTCCATGTGGCATCTTAGAGCTCTCTTTCCAAAGGAAGTTTGCATTCTCTGCAGGTGTAATGATGTCTCTGTTCTTCACAGAATCCCAATAATAGTTGGCATACCAATAGTTGGCATACCAATGGGAGAAAGAATAATCACATCAAAACTACTGAGCATCTTACTATATATGTGCCAGGCAGTGTTTTAAGCATTTTAAAGCATCATCTAATGTAATCATTATGCAATCTTGAGGCAGGAGGAACTTTTATTATCCCAAATTTACAGATGGGGTTGGAGGAAGGGTGGTGGCCATAAAGAGAGTCTCCAAGTCAGCCAAATGCTTCAGCAGTACCACTTCACTGCCCCTAACTGCTTTTGGCCTTGCACATTTATTTACTAGGGCTTCGTTGGCCCAGGAGAGAAAGCATAAGCTAAAGCACATGGCCCATCTTACCTCTAGGAAGTCCCTTATGGTAAACAGATGAAGTTTTTTGGGAAGAAAGCCCCTGCTGATCTAAGCATATTGCAGGGGTTTGTCAACATGCAGATCACCCAAGACACCAGTTCTACCAGCAGCCTAAAACCTAAGTCTGTCAGGTTCTGGCAGGACAGAGTTTCCGTTGCCCAAAAGGGTTAACTGAAAAGCATTGATCAAAAGGACTCTGCTCAGCATGTATGGGAGGTTCAGGGGCCAATGAGGATTGGTGAGAGCCCCCAGGGTACAGCAGCTGGCAGAAGCCTTTCTCTATGCTAGCTCTAAAGAATCAAGAGTATAGCAGAGTAACTGGGGCCTAGAAAAATCTGGAGGCAGATGAGACAATCTTAGAAAAGGAGCCTGGGGCCTTAGAAAAATGTTGCCACTACCAGGACCTCACTGCAGCAGGGATGAGGGCAGTGGAAGTGAGTAACTACCTGGGCCTCTCTGTTCTCCCACGTAATGATCCCCTTGTTTGTGCTCCTGTTGGCCAACTCCAACTGGAAGCCAAAGGTTAAGGGGGCCTGAGTGATGTGGTCCCTCGAGACCCCCTTCCCAGCATTCAGAGACAGACAGAGAAGGACAAGAAATCCATCAGGGAGCTGGGGTAGGGGCAAATGGAAACTATCATCCCCCAGCCAGAACTTTGCAAGGAAATTGATCTCAGACTCAGACAAGGTGCCCAATTCTTCATACATTGTTTATGCATTTGCCTGACCAATGCCCAGGAAGTTATTTGAAAACCAAAACAGTTTTGTTTTGTTTTTTTCCAAGAAGCTTGAGAAAGACAACAGCTTCCTTGGCCTTAGCCAACAACCTGGGCAATTTAACACCCTCTAGTTGTGTCAGTGCCCAAGCGCTAATGAACAACCACTTTGGCATTAGAGCTGTTAAACACAATGCTTGGGCGACTTTCACACTTGCTAATGAATAAAATCCCTGTGCTTCTAGAAACTGCTGAGCCAGACCTTGGAGAAATAGAGATAAATGGGTGACCTAGTTTACTCACTCAGGACATGAAGTTCCACATTAAGGGGTTCTTTAGAGGTACCCTTACTTTAAATGGGCCACAAAGGCCCATATAGGGGGAAAGATTTCTGTGCCTCGCCCCACTCAACAGGGCCAGGCCTCCACTAGTGTTTCTACTGGATGTTCTTCTCTGGAGATCTGGAGGACACAGTAGCTGGCAAGCTGCTGACAGTCTGGAAAGAGGCCATTGGTTGGAAGTATGGTATTGTGAGAATTATGTATTTGGTTGTAGGATGGCCAAACTCAGCAGACAGGAGCCAAATACAGCAGTGAGTTCTGAAAGCCTTAGTGCTGGGATGGTTAGCCTGCCCAGAATCAGGATTGGCATTGCCCAAAACAAAGAGGCCTTATCTTCTTAAGTCCTTTGTTAGGAGCATAGTGAGAGAGAGGCTTTTTTCGGACAAAAATGGGTCCAGTTCCCACCCTTCATTCGGGTCTTCTCACCAGGTGCATGCGGCCTTGTGGGATATGAAGCCATCTCTGTGTCCCAAACCAAAGAGGATGCCGCCATGAGGAGAAACCATGGTTTCTCTACTGAGCTTTAGGGTTTGATGTCCTTAGGTCTTCCCTGAGCTGGCCATGGCGTTGTCTGAAAACATGAAACACATAAAGCCTGTGTCTCTGGTTTTTTCTTATTTTGCCTTCCCTTTGTTTTTTCTGTTTGTTTCCATGCTAACAAAAATTGCCAGTGCTGCATGCATCCTTAGAAACTGAATTCTGCTGTTAGTGTATTAACGTTCTCTCATGTAGCTCCTGGGAGTGGAAGTCCCCTCTTCTTCCAGTCTCAACACAGAGGGCAAATGTGGGTGGTTCAACTTCCAGTGCCATTAGTAGTAGTAGTAGTAGTAGTAGTAGTAGTAGTATTGCAGTGGCTGTCTGACTAATCTAGACGCATACATGAAAACGTTTTCAGAGTGTAGGGACCCAACCACAAGACCTTCTAGTCTTCCCCATGTTCCTAATAGTGTAAGCAACTTCCAACAAGGATAAGACTCACCCTCAGATGGTGACAAGGGGGCCCATATTGACCTGTGAATCTCCTGGCCCCAAGAAGATGTCCAAAAAATAAGCATGATCTTGATTTAAAATTGTGGTAGGCATTGAGATAGTATTATTCTAGTCATAATGCAGACAGTCACCAATTGACACAAGGATATCTATATATAGATACGATATGTATATGTATGTATATCCATATAGATATATCTGTATATAAATATCTTTCTGTCAGTTGACGAATTGTTTGCATTATATATGTAACCACAGTATACACCAGTTTGTGTCAATTGGTGACTTGTATTGACACAAAGATATCTATATAGAGATACTAGATATAGATAGATAATCTGTATATAGATATTTTTGTGTCATTTGGTGACTGTCTGCATTATGTAACTAAAAATTAGACTTATGGAACTCAAAATTTCCCCTAGAGGTAATGTTTTCCCTGGAGGCAATGTTCTAAATAGTGGTTCTGTTTCCAGCTGGCCAACATTTCCTGCTCAATATATAATATAGCTAAAATTTATAGGAGCAGAAGATAACTGCTGGAAACTATAGAACTGTTTCTGGAAAAACTGTGCTCCCTCGAGAAACACTGAAACTCAAGATAGGAGGAACATTTCTCCCACGTTCTCCTTACTGTAGTTTCAGGAACAGAAAAGACTTTAGTTCGCATCAAGAACCTTGTGATAAACTGTTCCTTTCTGAGTCATGTGTTCTGTCCTATGATAGAGGACACCTAGCTGGTTACAGGAGCCCAGCTCAGGTCTGCCTTCCAGGATGTAGGCAGTTGAGAACACTGTAGCTAAAGAATTAAGCTCCTGGCTTTGTCAGCAGCAAGAAGGGAGCCTCTGACTTGGGGTCAAAAAGAGGACACCCTTCCCACCTCCCGCCACCATGGTAACCATTGGTGTGTCTGCAGCATTTTAGTCCAGAGCTTGCTCGGGCACCACCAGCACAGATAAAGTGTCAGAAAATCCATTGTTAGAGAGCATTTCTGTGAGTCTTTCCCCCTTTTCTGCATTGTACAAGCAGGTCACCAATCTCCATGTTGACATTTCCTCCATCCCCCTCCGCAGGTGAAAAGCATGGCCCAGCACGTACATAACATGGACAAACGGGACAGTTTTCGGAGGACTCGTTTTTCTGACCGTTTCATGGATGACATAACTACTATTGTTAATGTGGTCACCTCGGAAATTGCAGCCCTTTTAGTAAAACCACAGAAGGTAACTGTATTTTACTCTTTATTTTCTAAATTGTTTACCTGGAACATATATTACTTTCATAATCAGAGAAAAATAAGCATCATTTTAAAACAATAATTAAAATATAACTGTAATGACAGTTAAACGCAGTATGTTATACTGGACTGGACCCTGATGTGGGGCTGGAAAATTGTTATAAACAAATTACACACATGAGGCCAGGGGTTCGAGACCTGCCTGGCCAACATGGTGACATGGTGAGACCCTGTCTCTACTAAAAATATAAAAATTAGCTGAGCATGGTTGTGCATATCTGTAATCCCAGCAACTGGGAGGCAGAAGCAAGAGAACTGCTTGAACCTGGGAGACAGAGGTTGCAGTGAGCCGAGATGGTGCCACAGCACTCCAGCCTGGGTGACAGAGTGAGACTCTGTCTCAAAAAAAAAAAAAAAAAGAAATTGCAATATGGACTGTGGTTTAAATGATCATATCAGGCTGGGTGCAGTGGCTCACACCTGTAATCCCAGCACTTTGGGAGGCAAGGGTGGTCAGATCACTTGAGGTCAGGCATTCGAGACCAGCCTGGCCAACATGTTGAAACCCCGTCTCTACTAAAAATATGGAAAATTAGCCGGGTGTAGTGGCACGTACCTGTAATCCCAGCTTCTCGGGAGGCTGAGGTGGAAGAATCGCTTGAGCCCAGGAGGCGGAGGTTGCAGTGAGCCGAGATGGTACCACAGCACTCCAGCCTGGGTGACAGAGTGAGACTCCATCTAAAAGAAAAATGTAGATATGAAAGATAATATTTTTGCTCTTAGGAAATACACCTTGAAGTGTTATGGGGTAAATGGGCATGATATTTGCAACCCATTCTCAAATGGTTCAGAAAAAAATGTTTTTATGTTCATAGAATGATAAAACAAATGTAGCAAAATGTCAAGTATTGATAAGCTTCGTTAAAGGGTATACAGTAGTTCTTTGTACTATTCTTGCACCTTTTCTGTAAGTTTAAAATTGTTTCAGAATAAAAGCTAAAACATATATAAAATGGAATAAATCAAATGTTTAAAAGGCAGCTACAAAAATCTTAGGAAGCAATGTTTATTATTAATCGCTTTGTCGTTATTGAGAATGTGCATAGTACCAAGTGCTCAGGAGATTTTCATTCGGTTATTCCTCATGGCAAACTTTGTTGGAACAGCATGGTATCTCCACATTGGCAGGTGTGAGAATAAGGCACAGTGAGGTTGATAAATTTTCCAAAAGTCACACACAGCCAGCAGTAAAGCCAAGACTGGAGATTTTAGACCCAGATACTGAGTCACGTAAGGCACCCAGGAGGAGTGGCCATGTGGAGAATGCGGAGAGAGTTCGAGGACCTCTCAGCGGCACGGTAGCAACCTCTTTATCAGGTCCCCATCCATCCCAGTGACTTGACTGGTCAGCATGGCCTGAATTTGCAAATTGCATGTTAACAAAAGCAAAATAGTTTCAAACCATATTTTTAATAGTGTCAAAGGAAATTGATTTGTCATTCTGAGAATAAAGGACATAAACATGAAAAACTGAATCCCAGATTGCTCTGAAGCACTGTAAAATCCCTCATAAACAGGAGCACTGAGAAATAATACAAATTAAAAATTTTAAAAATAGGCGTAGCTTATTAATTGGGATTCATGGAGGAATTTACCCTACGGAGTGAATACACCCTGCGGAGTATGACTCTGACCTCTCTTAGGCTGGAAATGCTGCCTAATTGAGGAATAAATTTCTTAGGTAAAAACTAATTCTTTTATCCTGATTGGATTTTCTGTAATAATCCTTAAAAATTAAGAAACTGTCTCATTGAAAACAGTAAGTATTTTTCAAGTCAGTTTGCCAAAAAAAAAGAAAATAGTTACAAAAAAAAAAGTTACCAGGATATAAAAAAAAGTAGGATCCAACATAGTATATAGAGAATGAGGTTAATTATACACATATAAATATGCATGTAGAAAAAAAAGTGACTGGAAGGAAATGCACCTAAATATTAACAGTGCACGAATAATTACTTGATTCAACCTCACAGTCATGGCTTTAGTTAAAGGAGACTCAACTACTTCGCCCAGTGCCACCCAGAAGGACAGTGGCTGAAATAATAGGACCTGTCTCTCCCAATGTTCCCACCAGTGACCTGGAAGTTCAAATCCAGAGTGTCCCACAAAATGATTTGGGTGTTTGTTTGTTTTTAAGGAAAATGAACAGGCGGAAAAGATGAACATCAGCCTGGCTTTCTTCTTGTATGACCTTCTCTCCCTCATGGATCGGGGCTTTGTGTTTAACCTCATCAGACATTATTGCAGCCAGGTGAGTGTCCCCCCCACCCCCACCCCCGAGCGAGCCACTTGGTTCCTTCTCATATAATGTGATGTTCGTTGCCATGGCACGCTGTCTTCTTCATTACTGAGTTGGCATGAATCCTACACATCCTGTGTTTTGCAGCACGTCCCTCATGTCTGTGCCATGGACATTCCTCAGACATGCTGGTTTACCTTGATTCCTGGAGCATTTACCGACAGTGTAGAAGGGTCAACAGATTCATCTGTGGGAATTAAAATTTGTGATATGATCTGAATCTTCAATTTGACATTCAACAGAAAATTAACATGGCTATACAGTGCTTTCAGTCTTTGACAAGTCCTTGCGCTCCCAGTCTGAGGTCTCTTTTCACATATTAGGGTAATTAATTAAATTGCTGTTGTGATGCTCCGACTTGAAAGAACCTTTTTAAAGTGTTCTTAAATAAAATCATTCAAAGAGATTTAATTTCACTGAGCACATAGCAAATATTTCATAAACCAAGTGCATCTATCAGTGCCATCCCCCCAGATTTTTAAATGGAATTATTCATGTGCTGTCTCCCTCAAACTACCTTAACAATAGTAATATAAATAGCAGTTATTGTTGCTGCTCCTCTCCTTCCATATCCCTAATCTAGCCACTAGTACCATCATTACTGCTACTACTACCACCAGCCACCACCATTCTCATTAGTCCCATGCCCACTATCACCACCTTCTCCACCATCACCACCTCCCACCACCTCCACCACCTCCACCATCACCACCACCTCCACCATCACCACCACCACCTCCACCATCACCACCTCCTTCACCATCACCATCACCACCACCTCCACCATCACCACCACCACCTCCACCACCACCAGCATCTTCACCATCACCACCACCTCCACCATCACCACCACCACCACCTCCACCATCACCACCTCCTTCACCATCACCATCACCACCACCTCCACTATCACCACCACCTCCACCATCACCACCACCTCCACCATCACCACCACCTCCACCATCACCACCACTTCCTTCACCACCACCACCATCTTCACCGTCACCACCACCTCCACCACCACCACCTCCTCCACCACCACCACCTCCTCCACCATCACCACCTCCTTCACCATCACCATCACCACCACCTCCACCATCACCACCACCACCTCCACCATCACCACCACCTCCACCACCACCAGCATCTTCACCATCACCACCACCCACCTCCTTCACCATCACCACCACCTCCACCATCACCACCACCACCTCCACCATCACCACCACCTCCACCACCACCAGCATCTTCACCATCACCACCACCACCTCCACCATCACCACCACCTCCACCATCACCACCACCACCTCCACCACCATCACCACCACCTCCACCATCACCACCACCTCCACCACCACCAGCATCTTCACCATCACCACCACCTCCACCACCACCACCACCTCCACCATCACCACCACCACCTCCACCACCACCAGCATCTTCACCATCACCACCACCTCCACCACCACCACCACCTCCACCATCACCACCACCTCCACCATCACCACCACCTCCACCATCACCATCACCACCACCTCCACCATCACCACCTCCTCCACCATCACCACCACCTCCACCACCACCACCTCCCCCACTACCAACAGCTCCTTCACCATCACCACAACATCCACCACCACCATCACCACCACCACCACCACCTCCTCCACCATCACCACCTCCTCCACCACCACCACCATTAGCTCCACCATGACCACCTCCTTCACCTCCACCATCACTTCTTCCACCATCATCATTGTCACCATCATCACCACCACCACCTCCACCACCATCACCACCTCTCCCATCACCACCACGTTCTCTGTGGTTAGTCACTTAGTGACTTTAGATAAGTTTTTCCAATTTTATGGGTCTTAATTTCCTCAGTTTTAAAATAAGAAGGGGGGGTTGAGAGATTTGAGGGCTGATCAACGAAAAGGATAGGACCATAAAAAGCAGTGACATACAAGCTTCATTGAGCAGCACTTGGACAGGGTTACATAAGAGCGGAAGCCCCTCCCAGCATGAGAACAGCCATAGGCCTGCAGTGAGGAGGGGACCATCCAGAGGAGCAGGGGAACTCCCAGGGGAGAGGAGGATTAGGGCAGAAGCTTATAGATCTGGGTGAGGCTGCTCCACAGCACAGTAGGGAGTCTCTGGGTCAGAGAGCTCCAAGGGCTGTAGCAGCTTAGGGCCCTGTATCTGCAAGGCTCTATCTTATCATTAGGAAACAGCTGTCCATCGAGATTTTATGGGGTCTGCAAAGGAGGCAGGCACTAAATGGATGAAAATCTGCTTATATGAGCTATTTTTGTTAATGACTGGGCATGGTAAAATTTGAGTTAGGTATGAGCCAAGGGATCAGCACCAGTCGACAGTGAAGAAATAAACAACCGAGGGGCCAATACACAGAAACAATCTTTGACTTGTTTACATAACACCTCTCCTCCAAAAAAAGAAAAAGACATGACTTTTCTAAAGGAAGTCCTGTCTACAGCCATACCACCCTGAACGCACGCAGTCTCATCTAAGGGAAGTCCTGATAAGGAAGCAGAATAATAAAAAAGAATCCTAAGGAAACATCAGAAGTCCCCAAGCATCCCCATCCCATGCACCCTGACCCCTGCCCTGCAGCGGATCTTCTGTCCCAGGACCCACCAGAATAGAATGGCAGAGGGACACTTCACTCCTCCTTGCCCTCCCTCTTCAGTATTTAGGATTCCAGGTTAGTCTGTTTTCAAAACTTTAAGTTGAGTGTATGAAAGATACCCTAGATCACCACTGCAGACCCAGGCTTAGCTACTCACATGCAGGCTATCTTCATTCCCGACAGGGAAATAAGGCAACCCAAGGTAGATATCTGCCTTCCCTGCAAAACTCATGTTTTTATTTTCTCTTTCTCTTTCCTTTCTTTTCTCTTGCTCACTATCTTTCTCCTTAAATTCTTCCCTTTTCTTTTAGTTACCATTTCTTTTTTTGTTTCTCTCCTTGACTCAAATGCCAAAGATCCCTAGACCAGGAGTCAAGAAGCCTGCATGCTGATTCCTGGGACACCATTAATTACTTCTGTGATTGGGAGCATCAGCCTTTGAGGCATTCATTTCCTCATCTGCAAAAAAACTAGGCTGGATTAGATTTATCCACTGATTCTGTGGTCTGTGTCTGCCAGTGACATCCACGGATGTTACTTAGCACCATTAGTGGCACTCAGGCCTCAGAAGGTCACTGACCCCCATTCGTGGTGATTTAATTCATTGATCCCAGCTCTCTAGATACAGGATGAACTTCATACCTTAAGCAAGTTGTATTCTTACAAAGTCGTCTGACTTTATCATTTTGCATAACCTATTATGTTTTCTGCCATCTAAAGATTTTGTGGCAATGGATATAACCTTAGTCTTTTTTAATAGTCACTAAAAATAGACAAATCCATTTCCTCAATTACTGTCTGTCACTTACAATGTGCCACTAAGCAAACACCCATCCCTTGGGTAGGGGCATTGTGGGTCTTGACCTTTGGGAAGGAAGTTTTTGGAATGCACCTTACTCCTCTTTTCAAAACATCACTCAAATTGTTTTTGAAATGTCTATTTTTTTTCTTTTGAGATGGAGTCTTACTCTGTTGCCCAGGCCAGAGTGCAGTGGCACAATTTTGGCTCACTGCAAACTCCGCCTCACAGGTTCAAGCGATTCTCCTTCCTCACCCTCCCGAGTAGCTGGGATTACAGGTGTGTGGCACCACTCCCCGCTAATTTTTGCATTTTTAGTAGAGACAGGGTTTCACCATGTTGGCCAGACTGGTCTTGAACTCTGGCCTCAAGTGATCTGCCTGCCTCTGCCTCCCGAAGTGCTGGGATTACAGGTGTGAGCCACCACACCCAGCCTGAAATGTCTGTCTTGAATGATGTCTCAAGGGACCTATGAAAGATACCCATAGTGGGGCCTTCTTTTAAGTGCCAATGTGTTGTGGGTTCAAGTTCCGATAGCCGGCTTGACCCGACACCTGTTAATGAGTAACCTAAGTGACAGGCACATGACCAAGTTCTAATCCCTTCAATGTGCTGGTGGCTCCACTGGTCCAAAGTCAGCCAGGAGTGCACATCGAAAGGTTATGGGATCTGGTAACTGTGCTTACATAGAAGTCATATGTTTTGGTTTTAAAATAATATATAATGGCATTTACTTATTTTAAGTGGATGTCTAACTATGAATTAATTCTGTAGGCAATATGTCCCACAACACATTGGCTTCTTGTAAAATGGCTGAAAATATGTGTTCATTTAAATTATATTGTTTAGTCTGTAATCCCAGCACTTTGGGAGGCCAAGGCGGGAGGATCACCTGAGGCCAGGAGTTCGAGACCAGCTTGGCCAATATGGTTAAACCCCATCTCTACTAAAAATACAAAAAATTAGCTGGGCATGTTGATGTGCACCTGTAATCCCAGCTACTCGGGAGGCTGAGGCAAGAGAATCGCTTGAACCTGGGAGATGAAGGTTGCAGTGAGCCGAGATCATGCCACTGCACTCCAGTTCAACAGAGCAAGACTCTGTATCTCTCTCTCTCTCTCTCTCTCTCTCTCTCTCTCTATATATATATATATATATATATACATATATATATATGTGTATATATATATGTGTATATATATATATGTATATATATATATATGTGTATATATATATATGTGTATATATATATATATATAGTTTAAAAAACAAACTACTCTTGAAGTGAGTGAAGAGGAGGCATGTCTATCACAAGGATGATGCTTCATATTTCTGTGCTGGGGTGGGGGGTGATAATGATGAAATATTGAGGAGCTCAAGGTGCATCAGCGCCCCTTCCTTCCCCTATTTTGCCTTTAGAGGAGCTGCCTCTGAGTCTGGGTCTTTCAGTTGTTCAGCTTGCCTGGGGGAAGCAAGGGGTCTCTTCCAGACAGTCACCTTTTTCTGCTTTTCATTGCTTGCTTCATGGTTTATTTTTTAAAGGAAGATTTTTCCTAAAAACTCTTCTAGCTTTCTTTCTCTTTCTTCTCCATTTCCTCCTCTCTCAGTCTGGGACAAGCTCCTTGAGTTTTTTGCAGGTACTATGTACTTTGCTAAACAGTTTGATGCCTTTCTCTAGGGAACTGGTTCTACAACTTTCCAATGGGGCCTTTAATTAGAAACTACGAGAGAACACTTGTAGTATAAAAGTCATCTAGTCATATTCTATTAGTTTCATACAGGCTCATATGAGGTCAACTCCTTTCATTTAGTTTCTCGAACATAGTAGAGTTTTTGTAAAATTAATTATGTTACGGTGAAGATGTACCTCAAGATTTTCAGCACAGGCTTCCCATGGTATTAAAGATTTGATAAAGTGGAAATCGGGATAAGAATCCTCATTCTGGACAGCTACTAGGCTAGAATCACTAAGGGGAACAGTAATGAATGAAAATTTATTAGACCTCTCTGTAATGCAGAATTTACCATCTGTTGCACTATCCCATTAGTTTTTATTAAATTGATTGCCTTAACCTGGAGAGAAAGGATATTTTTGTGTCTGCCAACCTCAACTCCACTTACCTTGTAATAAATGTTTCATTCCTCTTTTCATTTTTCTTCCCAGCTGTCAGCCAAGCTCAGTAACCTTCCAACGCTCATTTCCATGAGGCTAGAGTTCCTGAGAATCCTCTGTAGCCATGAGCATTACCTCAATCTGAACCTTTTTTTTATGAATGCTGATACTGCTCCAACATCTCCTTGTCCTTCCATATCTTCCCAGGTAATAAAAGAATTATTTAACTAAAAGAATTATTCAAGCTATTTCATTTAACTAGCTCAGTTTAATCATGTATTTCCTATAAAGGTTAGTCTTATTAATTTGACAAAAAATCAAACAATTCAAACCAGATCAAGTATGCTACCCTGAAGTTACACCACTAGCTAAGAATTAACAATCTAAGTAATTGGTTTCTCCCCAGGCTCAAGGCTCCCTGATCAGGTTAAGTAAAGCCAAGAATCCAATAAGCCCTATGAAATTTAGAAACTCATAGAAAAGTCTCAAATCTTCCTTTGTCTGACATTAGCCAATTGTTATATTATGCAAATAGAGGATTCCAAAGTAAATAAGTTTTGGAAACCATGTATTCACCAGGTTTCTTTGCAGCAGGCCCTCTAAGAGGTTTTAACTTGTTCATGTCAATTGCAAATGCACGAGAAGCAGAAGAGGAAATGGGAGGAGGTGTGCATGATAAGCAGTGATTCCCCAAATGATTTAACATGGAAACCCCACCCCACCTCATACATTTTTTGAAATGTTACTCTGGAATAACTTTAAGAACATGCTGTTTGATAGTCACATTCCATTTATAGGGAACACATCAGTAGCTCAGAGCATCAGGCAAAATTTCTCATTATTAGGTTATATTTCTGTTGCATATTCCTTGATACTAGTACAAAAGTGAAGGCTTGTCTTACTAATTGAAAAAAAAATCTTAGCCATATATGCCATATGGCATGATCCAGATATTAGCTACATGACCATCTTACTGTGAACAGGGAAAGATCTGACTCACAAGCAGCAATTCAAAATGTATAAACTTTTTGCTCCATCCTGCCCAGCAGCTTAAGTCCTAAAACTTCCCTGGACTAAGCTTACCCTAGGTTCTTTCCCACCTTCCCCTTCTGACTGCCCCAGGGAGTGGCCAAACCCAGGGGCCAGGCTCACAAAACCATGAAGGATTTCTAAAGACACTTTAGATGCTCTTAATGAAATATAAAGTGTGCTCCCAGGATACAAATACAGGACAGGAATTACTGAGGACCGGTAAATCTAATACTTCCCTCCCTGACATCACTTGTAGTTCCAGGCCAGCAAAAGTCTGACAATGTGCTTAAGCCAAATTCAGAAGTGTAGCTGAGGCCGGGCACGGTGGCTCACATTTGTAATCCCAGCATCTTCGGAGGCCAAAGGGAGTGGAATACTTGAGGCAGGAGTTACCAGCCTGACCAACATGATGAAAACTCATATCTACTAAAAATACAAAAATGCATCAGGTGTGGTAGTGTGACTGTAATCCCAGCTACTTGGGACGCTGAGGCATGAGAATTGCTTGAACCCGGGAGAGGGAGGTTGCAGTGAGCTGAGACCATGCCACTGCAATCCAGCCTGGGTAACAGAGTGACACTCTGTCTTTCAAAAAAAAAAAAAAAAAAAAAAGAAGGTACCTGAGTAAGCAGGGCCTTAAACAAAGGGGGCATTTGGTTACAGAGGAATTGCCTGTTCCCAGCCCCAGGACTGGGTGAGGTTCTTATTTCTCTGTCCAACTTTTATGCTAGGATTTTTATCTTCAGCTTTTGATTTCAGGTGGGAAAGGGAGCGTCATTCATTTTTCAACAGACCCGGGGTGCTTTATTTTCATCTTTCCCGCTGGGCAGTCTTCTCTCTGTGGGTATGGGAAAGTGCAGTAACCACTCTGTGCCTCAGTTTCCTTGTCCGCCTTATCTGGCACCAGAGTACCTACCTCACTGGGGAGGGCTCACGAAGCCTGGCTGGGGCGAGGACTCAGTAAACACTGGCCATCGCTATTTTCATTCCAGTTCTTGTGGCTCATAAAATGGCTCCTTACGTTTCTGTAGAACTCAAGCTCCTGCTCCAGCTTCCAGGACCAGAAGATCGCCAGCATGTTCGATCTGACTTCCGAGTACCGCCAGCAGCACTTCCTCACCGGGCTCCTCTTCACAGAACTGGCTGCTGCCCTGGATGCCGAAGGGGAAGGGTATGTTTCTGGCATTTAAAATGGAAGATGAAGCCAAAAAAACAGATGTTCTTTAATAAAATTTGCAGTCTAGCTTCTCACACTTGGTAAAAAACTCTACTGTAGTTGACCAGTTCTGAGGAGTAGAAACATCTGTCTTGAGAATATGGTACCCATAAGCACAAGGCACAAGAAAGGCCTTTCTTGTGTAGAAAGGCACCAGGGATGGGTAAGAACTACAAAATGACTTTTCTTGGTCAACTATTTCAGTGGAATTTACCAGTTCTGCTATAGCAGGTTTCCCAAGGATGCTTTGATTAGTGAACTCCCTAGGAGCAAAGCCATTTTTAACAAAGGGGATAGCATGCAGAGGCAACCACAAGATGTCACTTGGTTCAAAGCTGATGAAGGAAATAATGGCTGCTGAGAAGGCAGCTGTCCCATGCCCAGATTAGGTTTCTTGCAGACAGTGCTTCTCAGGCCAAGAGACACCACACATCCAGGGCTTCTGAATCCTTTTACCTCTTATCTATCTGATTACTCAGGGACATGTGGCAGTATCTAGCCTAGAAGTCAACAGACAGAGAGGTAGACCACCCCCTTCTTTCCTTCTCTCCCTATGCTCCGTGAGCTCATGGAGTCAGAAACCCACAGCCTATCTGATTGGACTGAAAAAGATAATGCCTTCTAAAATATTATTCATTCCGTTCAACAATTATTGAATGCCTTCCATGGGACAGACACAGTTAGGTGTTAGAGTACATCAGAGATATATCAGTGCACAAAACAGACAAAATTCGCTGCCCCTCAAGAGCTCACCATCCAGGGACTCAGATTCAAAGATGATTAGGATTGCAAAGTAGTTGAGATTCAACACTTCTGGTGTTTAGATTAGGCATACAGAATTGCAGGAACTTGCCCACTATTCCATAACAGAGAACGAAATCTAAAGCCATGGTCTTCCCAGTCCCTTCCCAGGACCCACTCTCCTATACCAAACCATCTCCCTGCACAGGGAACCTGTTCCCATGACTCCTATGCTAAAGAGGTTTCCAGAATAATGTTTGCTAATTAATGGTAGCATTGCTGTATGTTATGGATGGATTTTTATCTAAATGGAATTTCTCAAGTTCTCTCAAAGTGCTTACAATTTAGTGAAGGAAACAGGAGGTTCCTGCATGAAACAAATACAGGAGCACATCGAGTTCGTGCAACTGCAACAGTCACATGTGTCCCAAGCTATGTACCCAGGCTGACACCGCTGAAGTGACTCTATGTCTGCGTCTCCTGGCAGGATAGTGTGGGGAATCTCATGCTTTTAGCTCTCAATTCTGCCTCCTTCCAGATAAACTGGCCTGAGTATATCCTTTGAGAACTTCACTTTCCATGGCTTCAATTCTATCTTCTCTTCTCAACTCTAACTAAATTTCTCCCAATTATCTCAGTAGAATGTTCTACCCTACAACTAACATAAATTTCCACAGCAACAAAAAGTGCACCGAACACTTATGCTAATAAGTAAGATACTGAGAAGAAAGTTTGAACACAAAGAAAATTGCCTTCATGCACAAACATGTACATACATTTTCTTAGTTGTCCTTTAATAGCAGTACTTTAAGTGATTTCTAGAAACATCTTTAGTATTTACAATAGCGTAGTTTCTATTTTCTATTTTCATTCTAGCTGGAAACAGCCATGACATTCTGTTCTGGATTCCTTGTAAAATTGTTGCTGTTATATTACTAGCAACAAGGTAGAGTATATTCAGAGATAATCATGTAATTATGTTTAATCAGGTAGATACATTCTTCAAACACACACACACACACACACACACACGCACACACGCGCGTGCACATGCACACACACAGTACCCTTTCTCCCCCAAAAGAGTAATTAACAGTGTAACTCCTTTGGCAACACAGTAATCCCTGATTGCTGGGTTGTCAGTTACTCTCCTGGAAAGTCATTAGATACACTGTCACAACTTCATCATGTAAGCTAAAACCTCAGAAAAATGTCATGCTTCAACAATACTTCCTATTGATCAGCACTTCCTTTTTTTTTTTCTTTTGCTTCCAAGACAGTTGGTAGACTTGCCAACACCTGTACATCCATGGGGCAAGGGCCAGAAGGACGCATCTCAGTACCTGAACCCCTAGGGAGCTACAGCTCCAGTTTCCACTGGGTTTCCCTTGGATCTCTGACACCTGGGTATATCCACAAGTGTCTATGCATCGTTAAATCCACAGTGTTTTTCAAGCATTTAGAAATTGTCTATCATCTTTGTGTTAAGCCAGCAAATTGCAATGCCTAATTCAAAACACAACCCATTGCCGGGACCACAGACTAAGAACAAGAAAAACTTTTGAAATGCAATTTACAATTATCTTACTTTAGCCACAGTGCAAGAGTCTGAGTCATTTAAAATTTTGGTTAATATTTTCTATATAACGTTGAATTCTGATGTAGCCTTATTTTGTTTGAAAGAAAAAAATGTATATATATGTATATATTTTTTAAATCTGGATTCTTTTTTTATTATTATCATACTTTAAGTTCTAGGGTACATGTATACAACATGCAGGTTTGTTACATATGTATATATGCGCCATGTTGGTGTGCTGCACCCATTAACTCGTCATTTACATTAGGTATATCTCCTAATGCTGTCCCTCCCCACTCCCCCCACCCCATGACAGTCCCCGGTGTGTGATGTTCCCACCTATGAGTGAGAACATGCGGTGTTTGGTTTTCTGTCCTTGCGATAGTTTGCTGAGAATGACGGTTTTCAGCTTCATCCATGTCCCTACAAAGGACATGAACTCATCCTTTTTTATGGCTGCATAGTATTCCATGGTGTATATGTGCCACATTTTCTTAATCCAGTCTACCATTGATGGACATTTGGGTTGGTTCCAAGTCTTTGCTATTGTGAATAGTGCCGCAATAAAAGGATTATAAATCATGCTGCTATAAAGACATATGCACACATATGTTTATTGCGGCAAGATGTATATTTTTAAAATTGAACATCTATGACTAGGTTCCAGATACTCCACTATATATTTTATTTACTTTTTATTATAGTATAATTTATATAAAGAACCTGAATCCTAAGTGTAAAGTGCGATTAATATTTCCTGTGAATATATTTGAGTAACCACCAGTCAGATAAAAAATATAATATTCCATTATCCTCTCTCAGTTACAGGCCCCCCTCAAGTAACCACTATTCTGACTCTTATTATTAGAAATTAATACTGCCTGTTGTTGAATTTCATAGTCTTTTGCTGAATGTTGTGACTGTGACATCCTTTAGTGTGGTCGCATGTGTCAGTATTCATTTTTTTTCAACTGTATGTCATATTCCTTTGTCTACTATAATTTCTCTTCTGTAAATTGACATTTGGGCTGCTTTCTATTTGTGGGTATTGGGTATTATGAAAACAGCTGCCGTGAACATGCCTGTGCATGGTTTTGGGTGGACGTTAGAACTCATTTCTTTGGGGCTATAAATACAGCCTATTTTTTATTTTAATATACTGCTCTTGAATAGTTTAATAAATATGTGTACATGGTCTTAACAAAATGTCAAAAGAATATACTCTGAGCTAGGAAAAGAAGAGCAAACAAGTCAAAGCAGGAAGATGGCAGGGAATAACAAAGGTGATAGCCAAAATAAATGAAATAAAGAATAGAAAAACAATCACGGAAATCCGCAAGATGAAAAGCTTGTTATTTGAAAAGAGCAACAAAATTCACCAATCTTTAGCTGAGCTGACCAAGAAAAAAGGAAGAAGACTCAATTACTAAAATCATAATTGAAAGATTCAACACAATCATATCACAAGAGACCTTACAGAAATAAAAAGGATTATAAAAGAATACGATGAACAATTGAAAGCCATCAAATTGATAACCTAGATTAAATGGATAAATTCCTTAAAAGGTACAAAGTACTAAAATTGACTCCAAGAAGATATAGAAAATCCAAATAGACCTACAGAAGTAAAAAGATTGAGTTAGTAATCAAACTTCCCACATACACCTACTATGTACCCACACAAATTAAAAATTTAGGCTGGGCGCAGTGGCTCATACCTGTAATCCCAGCACTTTGGGTGGCCAAGGCGAGTGGATCACCTGAGGTCAAGAGTTCAAGACCAGCCTGGCCAAGGTGATGAAACCCCGTCTCTACTAAAAATACAAAAATTAGCTGGGTGTGGTGGCGGGAACCTGTAATCCCATCTACTCGGGAGGCTGAGGCAGAAGAATCATTTGAGACTGGAAGGCAGAGGTTGCAGTGAGCCAAGATCATGCCAATGCACTCCAGCCTGGGCAACAAGAGCAAAACTCCATCACAAATAATAATAATAATAATAATATATTTTAAAATTTAAAACTTCCTACAATAAAAGCTCAAACCTGGGGGGCTTTACTGATGAATTCTACCAAATATTTTTAAAAGAATTAATTCTAATTTTTTACCAACTTCCAGTCTTCTCTTCCAACGAATGGAAGAGGTGGAATACTTCCCCACTTGTTCTATGAAGCTAGCATTACCCTATACTAAACCAGACAAAGACATCATGAGAAAACTACAGGCCAGTATCTGATGAATATAGATGTAAGACCCTCAACAAACACTAGCAAACTGAATCCAACAGCATATAAAAAGGATTATACACCATGGCTAAGTAGGATTTATCTCAGGAATGCAAGATAGGCTGCATACCTGAAAATCAATTGTTGTACCATATTAATAAAATAAAGGACAAAACCCATACAATCATCTTAGTAGATGCAAAGAAAAGCATTTAATAAAATCTAATAACGCTTCCTGATAAAAACACTCAACAAACCTTTTAGGAAATAAGAGAACTTCCTCAACTTGACTTAAGGGCCTCTATGAAAAATCCACAGCTAATGTGACACTTATTAGTGAAAAACAGTGCTTTATCCCTAAGATTAGGAACAAGACAAAAATGTCTACCCTTGCCACTTCTATTCAACATATTAGGAGTTCTATCTAGGGCAATTAGGCAAAAAAATAAAACAAAAGACATCTAGGCCAGGCGTGGTGGCTCACGCCTGTAATCCCAGCACTTTGGGAGGCCAAAGTGGACAGATCGCTTTGAGCCCAGGAGACTGAGAACACCCTGAGCAACATGGCAAAACGCCATCTCTACAAGAAATACAAAAATTAGCTGGGCATTGGTGGCTTGTGTTTGTAGTCCCAGCTACTTGGGAGGTTGAGGCTGGAGAATTGCTTGATCCCAGAAAGCGGAGGTTGTAGTGAGCTGAGATCACGCTACTGCACTCCAGCCTGGGCCACAGAGTAAGACCCTGTCTCAAAAAAAAAAAAAAAAAGAAAAAGAAGAAAAGAAAAGAAAGCATTTAAATTGGAAAAGAAGTAAAACTATCTCTATTCATAGGTGGCATAATCTTGTTTATAGAAAACCATAAGGAATCCACAAAAAACTCCATTACAACTAATAAATGAATTCAGCAGTGTTGCATGGTATAAGATCAACATACAAGAATCAATTGTGTTTCTATACACTTACGATGAGCAATCTGAAAATGAAATTAAGAAAACAATTTCATATAAAATAGCATCACAAAGAAAAAATATTTAGGAATAAATGTAACAAAAGAAACACAAGAGTTATACACTAAAAATGACAAAACACTGTTGAAAGAAAGATATAAATAAATGGAGGATATCATATGTTCATGAATCAGAAGACTTATTATTAAAATAGCAATACTCCCCAAATTGATCCATAGATTAAATGCAGTTCTTCTCAGAATTCTAGCTTGCTTTTTTTTTTTTTTGGCAGAAATTAGCAAACTGATCCTAAAATTCGTGTGGAAATTCAAGGGACCCAGTATAGCCAAAACAACCTTGAAAAACAAGAACAAAATTGGAGGACTCACACTTCCCAATTTCAAAACTTACTACAAAGCAAAAGTAGTCAAGACTATGGGGTTCTGACATATGATAGACATATAGATCAATGAAATTGGGTTAAGAGTCCAAAAATAAATCTTCATATTTATAGTCAATTGATTTTTGACAAGAGTGCCAAAACAATTCAATGGGGGAAAATAGAATTTTCAATAAATGGTGTTGGGACAACTGGGTATCCACACTCAAAAGAATGAAGTTGGACCCTATATTACACTGTATACAAAAACTAACTCAAATAGATCAAAGACCTAAATGTAAGAGCTAAAACTATAAAATTGTTACATAAAATTATAGAGGTAATCATCATAGACTTAGAAAAGGCAGTGGTTTCTTAGATATGACACACTCGAAAGTATGAGTAACAAGAAAAAAATAGATAACTGGACTTCAGTAAAATTAAAACTTTTGTGATTTATAGGACACCATCAAAAAAATGAAAAGGCAACACACAAAATGGGAGAAAATATTTGCAAATCAAAAACCTAATAGGGGACTTGTATCTGGAATATATATTTTAAAATCTTACAACTCAGTAATAAAAAGACAAATAACTCAGTTTTTTAAAAGGCAAAAGATCAGAATAGACATTTCTCCAAAGAAGATACAGCCATAAGACCATGAAGATGTTCAGCATCATTAGCCGTCAGGGAGATGCATATTAAAATCACAATTAAATACCACTTGATACCCACGAAGATGGATATAATAAAAAAGACAGGTAATAAAGTGTTGGCAAGAATAAAATGGAGTCTTCAGACACTGCTGGTGGGAATGTAAAATTGTGCAGCCACCGTTGAAAACAACTTGCTGATTCCTCTAAAAGTTAAACAGAGGCTGGGCGCTCGGCGGCTCACGCCTATAATCTCAGCACTTTGGGAGGCTGAGGTGGGCAGATCATTTGAGGCCAGGAGTTCGAGACCAGCCTGGCCAAGATGGTGAAACCCTGTCTCTACTAAAAATACAAAAATTAGCCAGGTGTGGTGGCAGGTGCCTGTAGTCCCCGCTACTTGGGAGGCTGAGTCAGAAGAATTGCTTGAACCCAGGAGGTGGAGGTTGCAGTGAGCCGAGATCGTGTCATTGCACTCCAGCCTGAACAACTCCATGTCAAAAAAAAAAAAAAGTTAAACAGACAGTTACCATACAAGCCAGCAAATGTACTCTGAGGTATGTACCCAAGAAAAGTAAAACTTAAAACTTGTATACACATACTCATAGCAGCGTTGGTAAGTCACAATAGCTCAAAAGCAGAAACAATCCAAATGTTTATCAGTTGATGAATGGATAAAATTCACCAATGGAATATTATTTAGCAATAAAAAGGAATGAAGTACTGATGCTACAATATGATAAACTTAAAAACATCATGCTAAACAGCAGACCCAGGGTTAGAACACAGGCAGTCTGTTTCTGGATTCTATGTAGTTCTATCCTATATTGCTTGGTTTTCCAGGGTTAGAACACAGGCAGTCTGTTTCTGGATTCTATATAGTTCTATCCTGTATTGCTTGGTTTTCCAGGGTTAGAACACAGGCAGTCTGTTTCTGGATTCTATGTAGTTCTATCCTGTATTGCTTGGTTTTCCAGGGTTAGAACACAGGCAGTCTGTTTCTGGATTCTATGTAGTTCTATCCTATATTGCTTGGTTTTCACAGTCACCTCATTGCTTAGGAGCGTTTTCATCACTCTTGACTGTTTAAGAGCTCTTTAGTCAATTTCCTTTCACCATAACCTCTTGATTCCTGTGTTGTGCCAACAGAATCAGCAAAGTACAAAGGAAAGCTGTCAGTGCAATTCACAGCCTGCTAAGTTCTCACGACCTGGACCCACGCTGTGTCAAACCAGAGGTGAAGGTCAAAATCGCCGCCCTTTACCTACCTTTAGTTGGCATCATTTTGGATGCTTTGCCACAGCTCTGTGACTTTACAGGTAATGGCCCTTCTGTTTTCTTTCTTGGATTGTTGGGGGCCCCTGCCAAATGCCCCATCCGAATGAGATCTCTGTCATTCGTTCCAGTGCTGATATGTTCATATGAGCAATTCTTCACAAAAATGGTCTCCAAACCTCTTTAACACTGGCCCCAATCAGTTAAAAAAACAAAAAAAGTCACATAGCCCCATATGTGTTTTTTGTTTAGAAATTATTTACTTGTTTCTTCATTCATTCATTTATTCATTCATTGATCTGCTAGTATGGAATGAACTTTATAAACCATACACCACAAAGGATGAAATAATAACAAGATTACTGCCTTTGGAGATCGTGCTCTAACACCTTGAAATAAAGGTGTTCCTTCCCTTTTCTTTTATGAATATGTAAGCAAAAAAGCGGTCTCAAATGAACCCAACTAATTGCTCCATGCAAAAAAAAAATCATGGCATATGTCAATATTAGAAAATTCTATCATAGCAGAGAAATATTGCCCTTGGCACTAAGTGACTAATTTTGAGGTTAATATGTCTAGATTAGCAACAAGATGAAAGGATAAGTTGTCTTAAAGGGGTTTTGTGAAACCCCAGAATCTATTTACAAATTACATTGTGGATTAAGGAATGTAGAGGGAAAAAAATCCTCCCAAATAGAAGAACTTCTTATGTTGACCTGAGAAAGGCAGTCCATTGGCCTACCCTCTCCACAGCGTACGTGTGTGTGCACGTGTGTGCGCGCGTGCACACACACACACACACAATTCCTATCCCATCAGAGTAGTTCTTGCTTTTCCTCCAGCTCAAGGGAAGTTTTGGAAATGTCCATGCTGCTCTCTTGGCAGCTGAAGGGTGCTGGGATCTGGGCAATGCTTCCCTGAGCCAGCCTCTTTATAGTCAGTCATCCTTGAAATCTTGGAACCATCCAGGTTTTCCCACCTCCTCCAAATGGAAAGTGTCATGTGTGACTAAATTGTTTATAATACTATTACGGTGACAAGTATTTAGTTCATGAAAATGGGACCAAACGCCTATAGTCTTTAATTCATACAAATCATAAAATGAAAAGCAAGTATTCCTGTGGAAGTAATTCTCTCCTTTCTTGAAAAAAATCCTCTAGCAAACTGCTAATGGAGTAACTCAGAAGAGAAAGGTTGAGACAGGGGTTAGGGTTTGTAGAGTTCTGTTGGGGCCAGAGTGCAAGGAAATGATAGAAACAAGCTCAGCACACAGGGCTGAGCAAGCTGCACCATGAGGTCAGCAGCTTCCTCTAGCAGCGCCTGATTGCGCGGAATTGAAAATGGAGTTGTTTTTAACATTTACAGACATAATGCAGAGCATGGCATGTGACTTGTAGCCCATTTTGAGAATCCTTGATGGCAAGTTTCTAAAAAGTTCCATTTCAAGAGCTTGCTTGTTCCCAAAGCCAGGAACCACTTTAGCACACATTATCCGAAGTTTTCTTGTCAATTAGAATATTCCGTATCAGTGACTCGGAATCAGAACTTTTCAACATTTGGTCTCCAAGCCTTTTAAACCTCAAAGACTTCTTTGTATATGCGTTGAACTTTATGATCATGATGTAGCTGATGAGAGAAAAAAACAGTGAAAAGTATTTTATTGTTATAGGTTACACAGTACATCTATTAAATATGGAATCTTTAGGTTGATAAACTCATAAGAATACAGTCTTTCAAAAAGATGCATCTGAATTCAGATTCCAGCCCCATTTATTAATATAAGTGACCTTTGAAAGGCTCAACCTTTCCGTGCCTTCCTTTCCTCTGTAAACTATAAAAATGTGATAACGATGTCTACCTTTTAGGTTTACGATAAAGGTGAAACTAGAGAACTTCTATAAAAGCATTTTGCACAGCACATGTTTGTATCTTTCCCGATTTTTCTTGTAACTATAACCCTATGGCAATTAAGGGGAAATAAGAATGTGTCTCTATGTTAGTTGTGATAATGTTATCAGGTCTTGCATAATTTCCATGTGCTGTTTATTTAACCATTTGTTTAAAATCCCAATGGCCTTAATAAGTATTTCTAAAAATTGGGTTTTGGCTCGGTGTGGTGGCTCACCCCTGTAATCCCAGCACTTTGGGAGGCCAAGGTGGACAGATCACTTGAGGCCAGGGGTTCAAGACCAGCCTGGCCAACATGGCGAAACCCTGTCTCCACTAAAAATACAAAAGTTAGCCAGGCGTGGTGGCGCACCTGTAATCCCAGCTACTCGGGAGGCTGAGGTAGGAGGATGGAGGGGCAGAGATTGCAGTGAGCGGAGATGGCGCCACTGCACTCCAGCCTGGATGATAGTGTGAGACTTTGTCTAAAAATAAATAAATAAATAAATAATAAGAACTGGGTTTTGTTTTCACAACTTTAGTAGAAGAAATGTTATTTACACTCAAATTTTTCTAAATAATTGAAGGCCCAGATGGCTGTAATGTCAACAGGTCTAGAAAAACATGAATTTTTAGGAAAACATGAGTGAATCAATCAGTTGTGAATGTTTTACCACACTTTTCCCAGAACTGCTTGAAATATTAATAGTTTTTGATTGTATACTGGTAGCATTCTTAAAAACCAGACTTTTAAACGGTTTATCGTTTTTTTGCTTGCATACATCTAGACCTATCTATAAATATGGGTATGTCTATATTACATAGATACAATAAATTGACATTCATTTTAAACATTTGAAATATGACAAATTATTGCTGAACTTGTGATAATAGCTTATTATTCTATATAAGGTAGTTGCTTAATTCTGTAATTGTAGGTGTCTTCTATTTGGTCATTATTTAAAATAATGCCAATTATTAGAATAGAGAATGAAGTTTAAAAAATTATGTTACAGGAAACAATTATGGAAGGTTTGAAAACTTTTTGTTCACACAATTTGAAAAATTAATTTCTAGCCTAATCTTGTGCTAGACATTGTCTCTTAGCCTGCTGTGTTTTCCTATAGGTGATAGCAGATACATAATGCTAAACATCAGGTTTGAAATTACTGTGCTGACTTTAGTGACTGAGAAGTATCAGTCTCTTATTGGGTAGGGGACATGGGGAAATGTCATGTTTGACTTGACATCACAAACGATGTTTTCATTGCAGTTGCAGATACTCGCAGATACCGCACCAGTGGCTCGGATGAAGAACAAGAAGGAGCCGGTGCCATTAACCAGAATGTGGCTCTGGCCATAGCAGGGAATAATTTCAATTTGAAAACAAGTGGAATAGTGCTGTCTTCCTTGGTATGTTGGTGCACATGTGTCTGGTTGATTTTTCATTTCATGTCTTCTGTCTTCTGTTTTGTTTTGTTTGTTTGTTTGTTTTGAGACAGAGTCTCACTCTGTTGCACAGGCTGGAGTGCAGTGGCGCAATCTCAGTTCACTGCAACCTCCGCCTCCCGGGTTCTTCATGCCTCAGCCTCCTGATTAGCTGGGATTACAGGCGTGCACCACCACACCTGGCTAATTTTTTTTGTATCTTTTAGTAGAGACGGGGTTTCGCCATGTTGGCCAGGCTGGTCTCAAACTCCCAACCTCAGATGGTACACCCACCTCAGCCTCCCAAAGTGCTGGGATTACAGGCGTGAGCCACTGTGCCCAGCCTCTTCTGTCATCTTCTGATGGGAGAACTCAGCTTAGAGCAGGCATTGATTATTTCCGCCTCATTTTGCTGGAAAGAATCATTGTGAGGCTGGCAGCTGAGGTGCACACAAGTCAGAAAGGGTTCTGGCAACAGCAAGAGATGTGCAGATCAAATTCAGGCAGTCCCAGTGGTGCTGAGTTCAAGTTCAAGAAACCGGAAAAGAGGAAAACTTGGGAAATCTGAAATCCTTGCAAAGGAGATCAAACCAAGGCTCTCTGAGGGTGGAGGCTTAGGCTGTGTTCAGTCTATGTGTGTGTAATTCATACAGTGTAATGCCTCCAAAAAAAAAGACTGAAGGAGGCTGGTAGCTTAGCGTAAGGGCTTCTTAAACAAGACTGCAGCTTTTCTAGGACCCCAGGGAGCCTAAGGAGGGTTGTTTGGCTCTGTCCTTTTGCATGGACTCTGTGGGCTCAAAGAGGGGCTCCTCTGGGAATGTATCCTCTGATTCAGTTGAGGTGGGATTCATCTCTGTTCATTGATGAGCTCTGACTATCCCTTGTGAAGACAGCACTGCATCCTCCAATGTCATTTACTTTCACATTTCAATGTAGGGTATAGATGTGCAGAGAATTTAACTTTCTTCTCCCGTGAGAAAGCAGCATCCTGACCTAACTCTTCTTGCTGGATGACTTTCTTGTCTTCCTTCCTGCACTTAGCAAGCTCCATCACCATGAGGATTGGGGGGACAGTGAGGCAGGAAGATGAGACAGAGAAAAGACATTTGAGATTTGACATCACCGATCTTACTGTTGGAGAAATATTGTGTGACCTCCTCCACCTTTCTAATATCCGTCTTACCAAAGTTAGCTGCTTGAGGTGGTATATGCCTTTTACATTATTTGCCTCTAAGGGAAAAACTCAAAAGCCCAAAGTTCACCTGTTAGAACATAGTCCTTGTGAGGTTGTATCTCAAGATTTCCTTTATTCTTGTCAACAAACTCAGAATAACTAAAGTTAAAGTTGCTTTATAACCTCTATTATTTCCATCCAAAACTAACATTTCCCTCCCATACCCACAAATTCCTCATTGCAATTTCACCAGTACATTCCACTGGATATTAGCTACGCTGCATGAACCAAGGGTGCAGCCTCATTGTTGTTGTTTGTGTTGATGAGATGAGTAACAGAGAGTGCGCTCAGCACTTTAAAATGAATACTTGTGGCCAAAATATTAAAGCAAATAGCCTGAACCCCCACACCCCAGCCCCAGGCAAACATAAATTATGGTTAAACTTCCATTACAGAGAACTCCACAAACATGGATTTGATTAATTTGCTGAGCAGTTCATGACCCTTATGTTATACTTTGCACTATGTAACAAAGAAGCTAAATCTTGAACAGCAAGCTTATTCATGGCACCCAGCCAGTTTCCTTCTCCCCTGTAAGTCTAACCCTCTGCTGCCCAGCACGAAGGAGAAATACTTGGAGATCTTAGCAGCATGAAAGCCTCTTTGTATCACTGGGATTGCAGCACGCATGATCAAGGCCCAGGGGTGATCACCAGGCCACACTGCTCCTAAGACAGAGGTACTCAGATACGTGGCTGAAAGCCTAGCTCAAATACTGCCCCAGGTGAGCCTCTTTGCTGAGTAGCGCTACTCAAAGAACACAGCTTCCCCTGCCTAGGGAAGGCAGGGCTACTGGCAATAGATCTCCAGCCTAGCAGTGATGTACAGTCATGGTATTTTAAGAGAACACTTTGAATTTTTCTGTTGCTTGACTGTTAAGCCTCAAATTTTTCTGTTGCTTGACTTCTTCCCTGGCCTCCATCCCCCAATCTGCCTCCCTTCAGCCCTATAAGCAGTACAACATGCTGAACGCGGACACTACTCGCAACCTCATGATCTGCTTCCTCTGGATCATGAAAAATGCTGATCAGAGCCTCATTAGGAAGTGGATTGCTGACCTGCCATCAACGCAGCTCAACAGGATTTTAGATCTACTTTTCATCTGTGTGTTATGTTTTGAGTATAAGGTAAGTCTGGAGTGGCACAACTTTATACCAGCTCTTATCTCTCAATTGCAATTCTGTCTTCTTACTCATCCCCTTTGTTTGGGCCATGGAGGCATCATTAATTTTTCTCATTTCTGTATTCAAATCCATAACCCATTTGTAGGTATAGATATGATCATTTCACAGGGAAAGGATCTCTGCCTTCTGCAGAGAGAACCCCATTTCTGTTGACAGAGTTTTGGCCCATAGGATGCTCCAGAGCAGCATCTCAGTGAAGCACATGTCAAACTTAGCTGGCATCACTGTGGAGTGTACTGTTTTGGTAACTCTCCCCATCAACGGAGATCTCACCAAAGGACATGTCCTCCTACCTCTGTCTTGTCCAGGGAAAACAGAGTTCTGACAAAGTCAGTACCCAAGTCCTGCAGAAGTCAAGGGATGTCAAGGCCCGGCTGGAAGAGGCTTTGCTCCGTGGGGAAGGGGCCAGAGGGGAGATGATGCGCCGCCGGGCTCCAGGTGTGTTGGACTGGCCCTTCCCTGCTCTCTGTCAAGCAGTTTTTCACTGTTTGTGGGGAGGAATGTCCTCCCAACATGATTAGACACCATTACTTTCTTGAGATATTTACGGTAGTGTCAGAGACAGCGGATTCTGGGAGTCTGTGTGTGACATTTGTGTTAGCCCTGTGCCTGTGAGGGAAAGCGCTGTTCTACAATTGTAGGAACCCTGAAAACAGCACCAAATGACATCTTTTAATTAAAACTCGTTGATGGTAAAAGGTCACCTCTAAGAATGTCAGTCATGGATGAGGTGGAAGGTGTTTCCCTCAAGGCTGAGGCCTTTCTATGTGACCTTTGGCTAGTCTATCCGGAGCATGGTCAAGAAACTGAACAGTTCTGGCCCCAAGATCATCTTCTCGATCATTCAGGGCACTATTAGAATGGAACCAGTTCCCTGAAATGGCTTCAGAGTGTCCCAGTCATTCAAGGATTCCACCACAGGAGGAATGATCTCAAAAAGGCTGAGCTTGAATAGAATGAAATCCCCAGGTACCCTCAGTCTTATTCACCATGCTCAAAGTAAAACAGAGTGACAGCTTATTGTATTCGAAGGGACACAGTGGCAGGGAACTTGGAGGGAGCTCATAGTTTTCAGTGGTGGTCAGGCACCCTCATTTGACACCCATACTTTCATACCCAATAATTCAGTAAGCCCCCAGAGTTTCACAGGAATCCTCTGCTCATGAGAAATGTCTCTCTGACACTCAGAAAGGCAGAGGTTCTTCTTATATTCTAGTCTATCAATCAAAGAGCGGGCCAACTTGGACATAGGTGTGGCGACTTTGTCTCCTACCAGCAACCTGCATGGACTCTAATTAGCCCGAGAAATGGTGCTGAGGCTTCTCAGTTGAGCTTGTTATGAACTTCTGGTTATCTTGGAGGGTTTCATGCTAATCAAATTCCTATCATGCATTTCTTAACTCCTAGGGAACGACCGATTTCCAGGCCTAAATGAAAATTTGAGATGGAAGAAAGAGCAGACACATTGGCGGCAAGCTAATGAGAAGCTAGATAAGTGAGTCACTCGGCAACTTTCTGCTACTTTTACCTAAAGTCCAAAACTATTTTTCCCAGGCTGCTTGTATTACTGAAACAACTGCATCCTTCCAAGGGTTAGAAAATGAAACATCATTATCTGTGTAAATACAATTCATCCAGGGACCCAGGATAATCAAAGGTATAGGGAGTTGTGGTTTCCAGCTCTTAAAAATTTGTCACATTGATAAGCATGTAAAGAAAACTAATATTTCTTTAGCAACCTCAGATGGCTTAATAAAAGCAGCTGATTTTGCAGGGAGGGTAGCAGGGAAATAGAGAAAGCAGGACACGGTGCCTAGGACCGTATACTTTCAAATCGATATTTCCTTTCTGGAAATATGTACAAGATATACATTCAGATATATTTATGTCAGTGCTACTTAAAGTTGTTTTTTAAAATTGAAAACATTCTAAATGCTCCAGAATAGAAAAATATATTTAAAAGTTGGATTGCCATCAAAATGTTTTAAAATCATCTTAATGACATGGGGAAATGCTTATGACATAATGTTAAATGAACAAAGGCAGGGTAGACACTTGGTTTTCTAGTAGTGTGTGGCTCACGCCTGTAATCCCAGCACTTTGGGAGGCTGAGGCCGGTGGAACACCTGAGGTCAGTAGTTCGAGACTAGCCTGGCCAACATGGTGAAACCCCGTCTCTACAAAAAATAGAAAAATTAGCTGGGCATGATGGCAGATGCCTGTAATCCCAGCTACTCAGGAGGCTGAGGAGGAAGAGTCGCTTGAACCCGGGAGGCAGAGGTTGCAGTGAGCCAAGATCGTGCCATTGCACTCCAGCCTGGGTGACAGAGCAAGACTCCATCTCAAAAAAAAAAAAAAAAAAAGAACCTCAAATCTCTGATGACATATAGTCAATGTATTTTTTAAAGGCTAGAAGGAAATTTACCAAAATATTAATTGCGGTTTTCTTTGGGTGCTGGGAATATCGGTAATTGATGTTTTCTCTTTTATACTTTGCTATGTTTCCTACAGTAGATGTGTATTATAATATATATTGTTACCAGAAAAAAAATTATAAAGAAATGAAAGAATAAAAAAACCTGTTTGGATCAAAATCTATGCTATAGATGAATAGATATATTGACGTGTATTGCTATATATGCAACAATTTAGACATATGAAAGCTAAAAGTATATATGTTTGACTAGATAGCACATGTTTCCGATACCGTTTAGCCACAGGTAGCCTAATGAGTCCCAGGGTTTGCTGAGCAAAATGTCGTAGAGCTAAAATCACCCCTCACACACAGTTGACAAGGTAGGATACCCCATGGGTGATGAAGCACCCATCAAAGGGGGTATGGGGCAGACTTGATTAGCAGTGCTGTTTTGTAAATAAATGTGAGTTAATATCTTTATTGTTACCACAAGAATGAATCATTCTGGTTAACTTATGGGACTTTGGGGAGTCACATTTATTTTAAAACATTAAAGAAATAAGTATATTTTTATTATAGATGTGACTTGGAAACCCAGTTGTTGGTATCATGCCTATTTGCTTTGGGTATGTTATTCTTGCACTAAATTCCCTGGACTGATTTATAAAATACTTGGATCGGAGAGTCCATACATTCTACTTCGGGCAATGAACAACAACTACAAAATATGCATGCCGTGGGTGCTACAGAATTGCTTAGGTGGTTTAGCTCATCTACTCTACTAGATTAAAAGAAGACCCCTAAGTAGGCCTGTTTTGCCTGGGCTGTGTAAACTGGTGTTTTGGAAAACCTTTCCCTTTTGCTTGCAGGAGCAACACAATATTGGTCCTTACCACGCATGGCCTACCGGTTTGCTCTAGGTTAGTTCTCAGCCCTGCGCTACCTGGTGGGCTGCTGGTTGTCAGAGCTAATGATTCACATCTACAAATTCTCAGGGGCTTTGTGCTTTTTTTTTTTTTTTAAAAGGGAAACCATAGTAAAATTATAACTGTTCAACCTACCTACCTGGAAAATTTATAATTATAATAATGGTGTCTTTCACCCTCTTTCTGATCATTTTTCGATTATTTTGGCTCTGTTTCTTTTAGAGCAATGATCTTCAACTTAGGCTGCACATTAGAATCACCTGGGGAGCTTTAAAACCTGTCAGTGCCCAGCTGCACCCTAGACTACTTCAATTGGAAACTCCAGCAGGACCCAGAAATCAGTATTTGGTAAAACTTCCCAGGTGATTCTATTGCCACCAAATCCATTGTTTTAAAGGAATAGATGGTAAGCTTTTCTTTTCTTTTTTTTTTCTTTTCTTTTTTTGAGACAAGGTCTCACTCTGTCACCCAGGCTGGAATACAGTGGCACAATCACAGCTCACTGCAGCCTTACCCTCCTGGCCTCAAACAATCCTCCCACCTCAGCCTCCCAAGTAGATGGGACTACAGGTGTGTACCACCACAACTGCTTACTTTTTGTATTTTTTGTAGAGACAGGGTTTCACCATGTTGCCCAGGCTGGTCTAAAACTCCTGGGCTCAAGTGATCCACCTGTTTTAACCTCCCAAAGTGGTGGGATTACAGGCATGAGCCACTGCGCCTGGTCAGATGGTAAAGCTTTTAAAAAACCAGATTAGTGTTAGTGATGGTTGCACAATATGAATGTACTTAACACTACTGAACTGTATACTTACAAATGGTTAAGATGGTAAATTTTTATGTTAGGTGTACTTTATCACAATACAAAAATTTGGGAAAAAACAGATTAGGACACTCTAGATTTGTGCTGTCCAATACAGTAGCCATTAGCCACATGTGACTATCAAATGCTTGAAATATGGCTAGTTCAAATTGAGATAATAAATCAAGATAAGTGAAAAATACGCACCAGATTTTGAAGGCTTATTGTGAATAAAAGAATAAAATATTTCACTAGTAATTTTTATATTGCTTACATGGAGACAGTATTTTTTATCTTTTAGGATAAACAAAATATATTAAAAATAATTTCACTTTTTCTTTACTTTTTTAATGTGGTTACCACAATATATAAAATGACATATGTGGCCCCCATTGTTTCTACTAGACAGCATTGCTCTAAATTTAAAACTAAACTAGCAGTCAATTAATTAAAAAGGATGATAAGGGGCCGGGCACAGTGGCTCACACCTGTAATCCCAGCACTTTGGGAGGCCGAGGTAAGTGGATCACGAGGTCAGGAGATCGAGACCATCCTGGCTAACGCGGCGAAACCCCGTCTCTACTAAAAATACAAAAAAGTAGCCGGGCGCGGTGGCGGGCGCCTGTAGTCCCAGCTACTCGGGAGGCTGAAGCAGGAGAATGGCGTGAACCCGGGAAGTGGAGCTTGCGGTGAGCCAAGATTGCGCCACTGCACTCTGCACTCCAGCCTGGGCGACAGAGGGAGACTCCGTCTCAAAAAAAAAAAAAAAAAAAAGGATGATGAGGTTAAAATGGTAAATTTGATGTTATGTGTACTTTATCACGATATAAAAATTTGATGGCTCATGCCTGTGGTCCCAGATACTCAGGAGGCTAAGGCAGAGCATCACTTGAGCCCAGGAGTTCGAGGCTTCAGTGAGCTATGATAGTGCCACTGCACTCTAGCCTGGGTGATAGAGCAAGACCCTGTCTCTAAGGAAAAAAAAAAAAAAAAACTTTTAGATTTCATTTATTTTACACATATATTATCACTTGGAAAATGAGAAAAAGTGTCAAGTGGCTTGGGACCAGAGAGCCTATCCTAAACATGAAAACAAGTAAAACACACAGAAGTACTTATTTTTTGAGTCCTCAGTGGTATGTAAGCAGCTGCAGTGCCCCCATTATTAGGTTAATGGGACGCAAGAACAGGTAAGTGGTAACCCTGGCCCAGGACATATGAGCTGATATAATGATACCCCAACCCCATGGTAACATCTTGGCTACTGAGGCATCTTGGTAAAGTCAATTCTTCATACCTCCCTTTCCTTGCAACTAGATTTGGATGATGATACAAAATATCCCTTTACAGCTTCACTTAGATTTCATAAGAATGGATGGGCTAGCAAAAAAAACCATTCTGATTCCTTAAAGTGAAACCTAATAGAGGAGCGAGCACCAGGCAATTTCCCATTCCCTAGTGGGCAATGACCAGTAATGTCCGGCAGGATATTAGATCACCTGCCCTACAGGAATACAGTCTTGTTTCCCAATGGAAAAGGACGAAAGACCCCACGCACTTGGCTGAGCAACCTCAAGGTGATCTTTGGGAAGTTAAGAGGCTGACTCTCCCCTGACTTGGCTCTGAAGCTCCACCCTTTCCTAACCCAGCCGCATCACTGCCAAGTTCACATCACATCCAGTCTCACTCTCTCTCGCATGTTGCAGGGGCTTCCCCTTACTCAGATCTAGCAATGGTTTTCATGCGTGAAATACAGCCATGGCCCTGAGGCTTTAGGCAACAATCTGAGAGGGGAGCTTAATTGCTAGTAGCAACTAATAACTGCTTCTCTACCCATAGTGTTATTTTTATAATTGTCCTCATCATTATTAATAATAGTGGGGATGAGGATGACCAGGAAACCTTACCTAGACAGTTGTTTCGACAAGACATGAATCACAGAAGGCACCTGCACTGTAGTTACTCAGGGCCAGTTGCTCTGTTTTCATTTCAAGGTTGACTATTTTGGAGATTTCTTTACACCTTGGTGTATAGATTGCCATCATGGGAACCTGGCCAGGTTTGACATGCGCTTTAATTTGACCTCTTGTTGTTTCCTAGAACAAAGGCCGAGTTAGATCAAGAAGCCTTGATCAGTGGCAATCTGGCTACAGAAGCACATTTAATCATCCTGGATATGCAGGAAAACATTATCCAGGTGAGGAAAACAAACACCCAATCTGATTTGTTGGCCATGAATATGTTTACTAGAATAAGGACTTCTTTATGCAAAATTGTGAAAGACATAAATGTGATCCCATAGTACCTTTTTTAAAAAAATGAAGTTGAGAAGTTTACTATTTACAACAGTGTCTACCTTATAAATTCCAGAGATACCAAACATTCTTCTGGCTTCTTTGACTTAGGGCTTACTTGGAGAGGGTTAGGTGTTTGGCCAGCTGACCCTCTTGGTTAAATCTGTGTGAGTATGTACCAAGTTTATAATATGGATGTTGGGTTTATCGTTTAGTATCTAGAACAGTAGTGGTAAGTAGAATTTTTTCTGATGGGTCAACTCCAGTTGAATGATGGTCACTGTCTGATATGGGAGCTATGATTATGACTAGGCTAGGTAAAAAGAGTGCTAAATTTGACAAATGATGTCTTCTTTGGACTTAAATTTGTTAAGGAAAGTCATTTGTACCATGAATTTGCCATCCCTGCTGTAGAAAAATATAGCTTTGTGAACTTTGTACCATACTAATTTTATCTTCTATGTGATTATTTCCACAAATTCCCAAGCTGTCTAGGTAATAATGAGTTTTTAATTACCCTGAAAAATGAGTTCTTACATGTTTCCATTGAGAAGTCATTCATTAGAGTAGGTCCAGGATTGCTTTTAGGGCTAGAAGAAATATCGTTGAAACACAGTGAAATCTTAATTCTCTAACTTTTGAATTGTCTAAAATCAAAGTAATCATCATACAAAAATAAACACAAAAAGTATGTGATATTTTTGTTGACTTTAATATCTTTGATAACTTAAATGCTTGGTATCACATTTACCTTATCTTTATATAGCACAATATTAGGTGCCAAATATCTATACTAGCCCCCAAATATATTTGCAGTTTTCAAAGAAAGCTGAAACCTTTTGTTATTATCCTTGGTGTTGTTAGTCCTTCTGTAGGTGATAAACAAGCTTCTATTTAGAAACATTGCTGCCACCAAGCAGCCCCTGTTGTACTGGGAAGCCCACAATTGTGTTTTGCATCCCATAAGGAAAGCTATGTCTTGTATACAAAGAAAGAACTTTCCAAAAGATGTGACCCAGGATGAGGGAGATGGGCCTTATACCTTCATTTAGGAACCCAGAATTAGGTATAAATCCCAAACTCATTGGAAGCATTGAAATAAAGCCATTTGGAAATAGGTCTTCAGTTCCCATGGTTAATGGATGATACCCATGGTGGCTCACCAAACTCTTAAGACTCACCACTGGACATGGAACATCAGCATTACTGAGCTAATTGTCAGGAACATCCAGTTCATTGGCACAGTGCAGGGATTCAATGATGCTGTTCTTCCATTCCCCCAGGCGAGCTCGGCTCTGGACTGTAAAGACAGCCTGCTGGGAGGTGTTCTGAGGGTGCTGGTGAATTCTCTGAACTGTGATCAGAGTACCACCTACCTGACTCACTGCTTTGCAACACTCCGTGCTCTCATCGCCAAGGTAAACTTGGGATGCTTGTTTTCTTCCTCTTAATTAAGAGTAAGATTCTCATCTAGCTTCATACTTCTCTCTTCAGGTGGACCAAAAGTCACAGAGCATATTAAGTGGCATCACAGTAAAGGTCTTAAGTCTTCCTAGGAAGAAAGCAGATGCCCTGATTCTGTGGGAAGCCACCATGGAGAGGAAAAGCAGTGGCTCCCATATTTGAAGTGTGGACCTAACTCTAGAAGTTTAAAATGGCCATTCGCTGAAGGTCTATGACATGAGAACAGAGATCAACTGAGTGACTTAGCAATTTCACTCTTTCTCTGTAATACCTCTGCTGAGTGAGATTAAATCCTCTATGTGACGCCCATTAGTCTTACAAAATGTCATGCCATAAAATGCCAGGAAGGTCAGAAATGAATTTCTCACGGCCTGAGGAATGAGGATTATCCTGGGGTAACATGCAGATTATTTTTCCCTTTATTTATTTATTTATTTATTTTTGAGACTGAGTCTCGCTCTATCGCCCAGGCTGGAGTGCAGTGGTACCATCTCAGCTCACTGCAGCCTCTGCGCCCTGGGCTCAAGCGATTCTCATGCCTCAGCCTCCTGAGTATTGGGATTATAGGCGTGTGCCACCGCACCCAGCTAATTTTTGTATTATTAGTAGAGACAGGGTTTCACCATGTTGGCCAGGCTGGTCTTGAACTCCTGACCTCAAGTGATCCACCTGCCTCAGCCTCCCAAAGCACTGGGATTACAGGCGTGAGCCCCCGTTCCTGGCCTATTTTTCCCTTTATTGAAGATCTCAATTGGTGCCTTCTACATGGGGTCTTTTAAATTTAAAAAGTAAAATTCTTCTGCTCATCCTTCTCAGGACCATTTTCTCTTTCTTCATCACCAGTAATTTCCCAGGAACCCAAGAAACTCAGGTTTCCTTCCATCATAGTTGTGATTTCACCAGTGAATGCGACCTGGCTCACAGTGCAGTTGATAACACAGCTCTGACCCTTTTAGCTGGACAGTTCATTATTAAATCTCAAGTCTACTCCATTGCTTAAATCCATCTTCTGATTCACATAGCTCATTATCTTTATGGAATAATGCATTAACTCTTCTAGGCTTTTTGCTTGTCCAAATGGACATTTGCATATTTCAACGGTCCAGAAAGTGTATCAAACTGCCAAGTGATGCCTAATGGCCCTTTATGTCTCTCCTAGTTTGGAGACTTACTCTTTGAAGAGGAGGTGGAACAGTGTTTCGACCTATGTCACCAAGTCCTGCACCACTGCAGCAGCAGCATGGATGTCACCCGGAGCCAAGCCTGTGCCACCCTTTACCTCCTCATGAGGTTCAGTTTTGGAGCCACCAGTGTAAGAGTTCAAACCAGCTGAGTGACCTGGAATCAGTAGAGAAAAATTGATGTAAAGCATCAGCTGCGAAAAAAAATAAGGAAATTTTGCAGTATTGCAGTTTACTTCTGTCCTGTGAGAAAGAAACAATTGAGTATGTAGATAGATAGCAGCTTCCATTTTAATTTGCATCTAAAAGTGAATTCATCAGATAAATGCAGTGGTCTCTATCAGTGTGTTTCTAAAATAGACAGCCAGGGGCCAGGAACGATGGCTTTCACCTATAATCCCAGCACTTTGGGAGGCCGAGGTGAGTGGATCATTTGAAGTCAGGAGTTCAAGACTAGCCTGGCCAGCATGGTGAAATCCTGTCTCTACTATAAATACAAAAATAGCCAGATGTGTTGGCGCATGCCTGTAATCCAAGCTACTTGGGAGGCTGAGGCAGGAGAATTGCTTGAACCTGGGAGGCAGATATTGCAGTGAGCCGAGATTGCCCCATTTCACTCCAGCCTGGACAACAGAGTGAGACTTCATTTCAAAAAATAATAATAATAAAATAAAATAACCAGGTGCAGTGGCTCATGTCTGTAATCCTAGCACTTCGGGAGGCCAAGGCAGGCAGATCAGATGAGGCCAGGAGTCCAAGACTAGCCTGGCCAACATGGTGAAACCCCCGTCTCTACAATACAAAAAATTAGCCGGGTGTGGTGGCACACACGCCCGTAATCTTAGCTACTGGGGAGGCTGAGGCACGAGAATCGCTTGAACCCAGGAGGCAGAGGTTGTAGTGAGCCAAGATTGTGCCACTGTATTCCAGCCTGAGACCCTGTCTCAAAAAAAAAAAAAGAAAGAAAGAAATGGAAGAGTATTTTAGATTAAAAGTTATCATCTGTGGGGGAAAAAATACAATAGACAGGTTAGAATTCAGAAGAGTGTTTCCTGTTTCTAAATTCTGACTAGCTAGTGCCAGAATGACCTGTGGAAGAGGATTTTAAATGATCGGTGTCATCTAACCTGAGTTTTATTTTAATATTTTATTTATTTATTTATTGAGACAGTGTCTTGCTCTGTCACCCAGGCTGGAGTGTAGTGGCACTATCAGAGCTCACTGCAGCCTTCAACTCCTGGGCTCAAATGATCCTCCTACTTCAGCCTCCCATGTAGTAACTGGGATTACAGGCACGAGCCACCTTACCCAGCTAATTTTTTTTGCATTTTTGTTGAGACAGGGTCTTGCTGCATGCCCAGGCTGGTCTAGAACACCTGAGCTCAAGTGATCTTCCCTCCTCAGCCCCCCAAAGTACTGAGATTATAGGCATGAGCCATCCTGCCTAGCCAAGACTTGAGTTTTATTCAAAGCTACGAAGACTTTGGAGTTCAGCTTTATTATAGAACAGTCAAGTTTGCTTTAGTTTGTCTAGATTTTGATACCTTCTTTGGAATTTCCATTTGTGGCCATGTTAATAAGTATGCTCAAGTGATATATAAAGATAAATTGGCCCATGGAAAAAAGTCAGCCTCCTCCAAATGTATTAGGGATGATTATTTAAAAGACATTCCTCAGGGGACCTTGAGGTAGCCATGTTTTTCCATGGGCCTGTAAAGAAAGAAGAAACAAAACCTTGTTGCTTACCCGGAGTTCAAAATCTCAGAAATGCTGGCCACAGAAGTCCCCTGATTTATTTATTTAGAGACAGGGTCTCGCTCTGTCACCGTGGCTGGAGTGCAGTGGCGAGATCTTGGCCCACTGCAACCTCTGCCTACCAGGTTTAAGCAATTCTCCTGCCTCAGCCTCTCGAGTAGCTGGAATTACAGGTGTCCACCACCATGCCCAGCTAATTTTTGTATTTTTAGTAGAGGCGGGGTTTTGCTGTGTTGCCCAGGCTGATCTTGAACTCCTGAGCTCAAGTGATCCACCCTCCTTGGCCTCCCAAAGTGCTGGGAGGCTGAGCCAGAAGTCCCTTTCTTTTAATAAAGTTTAAATAAAGTCCCAAGAAGAAACTCTTGGCACAAAAGGATATACTGTATTCTTGGACCCAACTTTATAAGAATCTTCCAGCTTGCAGCACAAAGGCAGCCCAGTCCTCAATGAAAATTTAAAGGGAGCCTGACAGATTTATGTGAGAGCAATGTCCATTTAAACCATTTAAACAACAATATGAATGTTGTGCAAAGTGTAGCTCCCATTTCATTGAGAGAAGAGGAAATAATTAAGACGGGGCAAAGGAAACACTGAGGAGTTGTTTGTGTCTGGCCATGCTGCTTTCAGTTATCTACTGCTAAGTGTGTCTTATTTACTTCATCTTTTTTTTTTTTTTCACTGATGCAGAATTTTGCAAGAGTAAAGATGCAAGTAACCATGTCCCTGGCATCTTTGGTGGGAAGAGCACCAGACTTTAATGAAGAGCACCTGAGAAGATCCTTGAGGACAATTTTGGCCTATTCAGAAGAGGACACAGCCATGCAGATGACTCCTTTTCCCACCCAGGTACACCGAAGCACATACCTTGTCTCATGCATGAGTTTGGGATCTGCCAACTATTGTGTATGTATGTATGTACATATATACACAATTTATATATAAATATATAACATTTGCAAGTATTTATTGTCCAATATGCATGTGCTCTCAGCACTCTGAGAGGTTTTAAAAAGAAATACATCCATCACTGTCCCCAGTCTCAATATGCTAACAGTCTATTTGGAGTGCTCAGTCTCAAAACAATTAGGAGGCAGTACAAGACAAGTGATACATAAGTGCAAACTGTGTGGTAAGGAGCTAAATGCTATGGAAGGTTAGAGGAAGAGAGGTCGTGATCAATAAACAATCTGGTGGCCAGGAAAGCCTGCAGGGAGGGATGACACTAAAGGCTGGGGTAGGATTCCGCTAGGCAGGGGAAAAGTGAGGGGGAAATTGTGAGTAGTTGAAACAATGAATTGTTTGTATCTGTAGGGATGGTAAAGGGACCAGCTTGTCTGGTGAGGGGTAAGGAAGGGCCGAGTTTGAGAGAGCTTGTAAACAAGGTTGTCCTAAGGAAATGTGTAAGGACAGTCATCTCTTCCATGTCCATTACGATGACCGTGGAACTCTAGCCTGTCCCATTTGTCTTTTAACTCCAGCTCCTAGCCTGCTCTATGGTAGGGTCTTAATTAAGTGAGAATGAATGAATGAATGTTTTCTTTTATTCCCTTAGTCTGAGAACCCTATTTCCGGAGTCTGTTTTGCCCTCTCGGGCAATGTTGCATCCTCATTCTCAGAATCTTTTTCCTCTCCTCTACATCAAATCGTTCCTCTCTCATTTCATCTTGACCATACTCCTTTAGTTCCATCATTTATATAGAGGTATTCACCAACAAGACCAATCAAACTATGGGCAGTTTAATAAAGGTCTTCAGTGCCTTCACCCAATGAAATGACTCTAGTGGTAGAAATTTTAGGAGCCCTGGCAAGCTGGCAGAGGGGAACGGGGATAAGACAACATTCTGTGGCTGAGTTACCTGCCAGGGTCTCTAGATCAAGCCATAGTCTCTCCCTGTTTTTGTACTGCAGGCTCCCCTGGACCTCCACTGTTGGTTTTATAATTAAGAATAAATGATTACAAGAGGTTCTAAAATCTCTGAAGCCCTGGGAAGATCCAGGAGGCTTCTGAGACATGGAACTCAAGCTGAGGTCCTAAGCTGCTTCCTACTTGGTATAAAAATCCCTGATATTCCAGAGTAGAGTTTAGAACTTTTCAGGTTACAAATAACTGAAACTGGTTCAAACTAATTTAAACAAAAATGTTGGAGATAGAGATAGTATGAGGATTCAGGCAGATTTCTGGATCTCAAGGGCCAACACACATCCAGGTCTCATAAACTCCTGGGCTGGCGAAGATGAAAACTACAGAGTCAGGTCTAGATGACTCCGCCATCCCTAGTCTCTGCTGCCCTCTGATCCAACCCTTCCCATGGCTTCCCCTTGCATTTCAATGTAATCCTAACTCTTCACCTGGGACTACAAAGCTAAGATTATTTTGAGGCTTACACTTTTTGCAGGTGGAGGAACTTCTCTGTAATCTGAATAGCATCTTATATGACACAGTGAAAATGAGGGAATTTCAGGAAGATCCTGAGATGCTTATGGATCTCATGTACAGGTAAGCTTTCCTGACACACTCAAGGGACACCATTTGGGGGTCGAGGATTTGTCACTGTGGAGTTCTTACTAATGTAATGATCACAGCTAACATGGATATAGTGATTTGGATGATAGCCAAATAATATATAGAAATTAAACATTCAGAGTAGGTTAATTCATATGTAAGTTTTCAGAAGGATCTCCCTAATTTAAAGTGAGGCATAATAATGTTATTAAATATAATAACATTATTAAATATAATAACACTATCTTCTACTTACCACAGAATCAGAGAAAGAATAATTAACTGTTATAGGAATTATTTTCCATATGCTTTTGTTCCAATTATATTCAGACATACATATATAGTTTTACTTTAGAAATCATTTTTTACGCGTAGTTTAAAAGTTGGTCTTCCAGTCCTTGTTCAGGAGAAATTACTTACAGAGGCAAAATTGTTCTGATGCAACATCATACAAAGGGCAGTACTTTTGTCTTCTGTTTTATTTTGAGAGAAAGGAAAGAAAAGGCAGAAATTTGCCTGAGAGCCATTAAAATAGACATCATGTTATCAGGTATTTTTTCCCCATAAGGCTTTTACTAAGTACTATTTCTTGGAGGTCAGCACAGCTTAAACATGGAATAAAAATAGTTGGACTAATAAATGTTTTCTTCTGTCTCGTTTTCTGGAAATATAGGGCAAAATCTCAGGTGGAGGGGTACAGGGAACTCTTGGGGAGAAAAAAAGAAAAGGTCACACAAAGTAGAAGAACAGTGTCATTAACCCACTGTCCTCAAAACTACTTCTCACTCAATCTGTCTTCAGAATTGCCAAGAGTTACCAGGCATCTCCTGATCTGCGGCTGACCTGGCTCCAGAACATGGCAGAGAAACACACCAAGAAGAAGTGCTACACGGAGGCTGCCATGTGCCTGGTGCACGCCGCTGCGTTAGTGGCTGAGTATCTGAGCATGCTGGAGGACCACAGCTACCTGCCCGTGGGCAGTGTCAGCTTCCAGGTAGGGTGTGTGCAGCTTTTCCCTTAGAGCAGTGGTTCTCAACTGGGGCGATTTTGTCCCCCAGCCCCAGGGACATTTGGCAATGTCTAGATACATTTTTGGTTATCACAACTGGGATGGGTGAGTAGGTGCTACTGGCATCTGACTGGTAGAAGCCAGGATGCTGTGAAACATTCTGCAATAGGAGAGCTCCCCTGACAAAGAATTGTCTGGCCCCAAATGTCTGTAGTGCTAAGGTTGAAAAATTCCAAGTTCATACATTACATTTGCTTCTTCTAATTGCTTTCCCATCGTCGTTGGGTTTTTTTTAAATTACTGTTTACAATAATGGCACCTAGCCATTATTAATAGCACTTTAGGAGACATTTGCAAACACTTTCACATGCATGGCTTCATTTGAACCTCCCCGTAAAGCTGTGAGGCAGGTAGGTAGGGAAGGCGGTTATTATTCCCACTTCGCGGATGAGAGAACTGAGAGAGCAAGTTTTCTAAGGTCACTTAAACTCTTTTTCAAAGACTTGTAGTTGACACAGTATACTGACATTGTGAAAGTTTGGAAAACATTGGATAAATGATTTTCCTCCTGGCCCATTCATTTGATTCCACTCTTCAACTTTATAGGGGCCCACTCTCCAATCCAAAAATCAAGAAAGAATCAAATTGACCTGAGAAGGGAGACAAAAGGCTGAATCAGTACCTTCTTAGGATAAGCTGAAAATTACCCACATTTGGCAAAGGGAAATTGTCTGCCAGACCTAAAAGCTGGCTCGGATGGGGATGCTCAGTGGCCACTTAAAGTGTTCTTACTGAATAGTTTAATAGTCTTTAGAGAGAGAGAAAATAAAAAAGCACAATGTTGGGTACTTTTTTTGTAAGAGACATAGTTTGTAGAGATGACCATCCCTGAAACCATGAACAATATAGCTACAGTAATAGAGTGTTTTTCAAGCCAGACTCACGAAGTCATTTACAAGGGTTTGTATTATTCTTGTTTGAATTTACATGGCTGATTTTATGAAAAGCTTTGTTCTTGTTATTGTTCTTCAACACAATTTTGTGATGTTGTATGAACCAGAAAGAAAGAACAATTCAAAGTAGCTTCCCCAGGCTTAGAGAATAAGTCACTGAAACTATGCTGGTGCAGCCAAGAGCTTCTGGTTTTCCAGAACACAGCAAAGCTGGGTATTGCCTCCTATGAATAACTCCTCCTTTCTTATGGTCCTCAAGAACAAAAATAGTCATTCTGTGATTTCATGCTTGGCAAATGAATTTTCTTCTTAATTCAGAAATGTTTGTTATAAAAGCTGATAATTAAATCTCATCCAAAAGCATAAAAATAACACCTGATTTCAAATCACATAGAAGTGTACAAGAAAGTTATAAAAGTTATTTTAGATGTATTTGCTTCTTTTCTCAAATTTATTTTGACCATGTGATACTATCAAAAATAAATATTATAGTACTACTCTTTCAATTCCCAGGAAATTGTAAGGTTTAGCACTTCATATTGTTTCATTTACTAAATTATTTTATACTTCTTTTATTCCTTTTCCCATGACTATATTTTATTTTATATTTATCACTTAAATATCAATTGCATTTCATTATTGACTTTTATATTTAGTAAGCCTTACTGTTCTAATTTTACCTAGAATTCAGTTGATTTGCTAATAATGACATGCCAAAGTGAATCATTATTACACAATCAACAGAAATATTCCACATTATTCCGACATGGGGGCATACAGCTCTATCTGTTCACATATATTTATCCATTGATTCCTTCTTTTAGAGAATATTTATTGAATACTTATTCTGTCCTCATGAACGTTACATTCTAACCAGAGAGACGTAATATAACTAATTATTCCAATCTTTGTTCAGTTATAATTATGAGAAATACTGTTATAAAGAGGCACAAGATATTGTGAGCATTTATGGTCCAGGCCCTGTGGGTCAGGGAAGGGTGAAGAAGGTGAAAAGGAAGGCAGAAGAAACTGAAGTGTGAGGGCTTCTTGATGTAGAGGAGGCAATGAGTTAGGTGTTGTCAGCTACAGAAGAGAAGCCAAATTATATTAATGTGTATGAGTGAATTCTTACTTCTCTCAAATGGGACATACCAAATCAATTTGGAAATGTAGCTGGCAAGTGAAAGGACACCCAACCCAGACTGACAGAAGGTAAAAATGGAATTTATCAGCCCGTCTGAGGAATGTGAGCCTGGAGTAGCACCTGCCATACTGGACCTAGGGGCCCAAACAATGTCAGCAGAGCTCACTGTCATCACCACTTCCCATCTCTGCCATCTGTTGTGTCAGCTTCATTCTTCACAGGCTTCCCACACCACAGTTTAGGTTTACATCTCTAGGTTCAAGTCTAGGAGAGAAGAGAGATGCCTCCTTTCTAGCAGTTGCAGAGAAAGCCTCAGTGCATCTTACTGATCCTGTCTGAACATCTGATCCTGTGCTCATCCCTGAACCAGCCATACTGGCCAGAGAAATGGAGTGCTCTGATTTACTGACCCCGGGTCATGGGTCCACACCTGGAATTATGGGTGATTTCTTCCCCTAAATCAGGATGCCTTACTTTATAGAAGGAGGAAAGAATTCTAGACAGCATTAACAACAGATGTCCAGTGTTGATTTTGCAAATGCTCTGTGCTTTAATTTTCAACCTTGTTCTGCTCCAATGAAATAGAGCTTTTGGAAAAGATTTATAAACTAGAGATAAATAAATATGTGCAAGGAAAATAACTTTGAGGTCACTGAATTCCAGGAAACTGAGATCACTGAAATTCTGTGTCCCAGAGTGCAATATTTATTTCACAACTGTAGATACGGACACATTCTTAGATACTGCTGTTACTTGTACCTCCCTGATCCTGAAGCCAAGAAAGTCTGCAGAATCCTTTTCCTCTGACTACAGCTAATGAGGCTACATAGCTTCAAATCTGTTCCTCTAATGTGGAAAATTGCATACATTCTAATAGTATTAGTATCTTGGGTTATTAAATGCTTTCAACTGAATTTCTTGGATCTTCTGTTGTCACAGAAACATCATAATACATAGGGCAGGTTTGGAAGAAAGACTGGCCACAAAGGCTTTGAGAGCCTCCTCCTATATTCCTAAAACTACGTTACAGTATTGCATGTGAAGAGATAGGGCTATCTATGACAACTATGTCCTGACTGATTGCTAAGGTTGATTCACATGATCTTGCTAACCAGGCCAGAAGGCAGACAGCTTTTAGTTCACAAGCCAACTCTGATCAGTTAGTAGTGGCTGACTGGAGAACTATGCTTAAGAATTTCGAGACTATGTCCAAGCTCTGGGGAAAAAGTGCTACAGTTGATTAGTTATGCCTGCCATGATTACAGCAATAGGAAGGAGTGGCATGTGTGCCACCTGTTTGTAATCCCTAAACTGGGAAGGTTTCCCATTTCTTCTGTTTTTCATATGCATTTCTTCCATAGCTGTGAGCTAGGAAGAAAATGATTCTTGACCTGTCACATATTCACTGCCAGGGCCAGTGCTAGGGTGAAGAGGCACTCACCCTCAGGGTCGAGCGGGTACAAGATCAGTACTTCCATGGCCCTAAAAGCGAGTACCTCTCTAAATTTTGTCTTGGGTTTCTCATTTGGTTCACCCCAACCATGGTCTCTGCATGCTCTGCTAGAGGCTCTAAACGCAATAGTTTATGTAAAGGAAACAAATGCATGGAAACAAAATGTTCAGGAAGAACAAAAACACACACACAGTAACTGCTGCAATGCCATGAAAACTTCCTTAATGAAGACAGCCTCGCTTGCTGTTGTCGTATGTCATGGCTGTTTATCTGAGTCAACTCCAGAGTAGCAACATACTTCAGAAAAACACCACTGTAAGTCAGAGGTCCACTCGGTGAAACAGGGAGCCTAGTTAATGTTAATTGGGTCTTTGCCTTTTGAAAACCAGGACACCAGCCCTATGTCCCTTAGGGTTGTTTCACTAAAGTAACTCAGCTGTTGTGACATTGAGGTAAGTGTCCTTTATACAAAATCTCCTAATGGTTAAAAAGAAAAACGTGAGGTTTGAAGACCAGTTGCTCAGTGCGCCTCTTCTAAATGAATGGCAGACAGATACTCTCGGGGTAGAATTACAGACCTAGTTTAGTCACGGTCTTGGTAAGGATCTGCACACCAGCTTCCTCGTTTCCCCATTCGGGGTTCCTGTGGTCTCTTACTAGTCTGGTCGCCCTGTTCTCCAGGCTTATACTGTGGTCTCTTTCAGAATATTTCTTCCAATGTGCTGGAGGAGTCTGTGGTCTCTGAGGACACCCTGTCACCTGACGAGGATGGGGTGTGCGCAGGCCAGTACTTCACCGAGAGTGGCCTGGTAGGCCTCCTGGAGCAGGCCGCGGAGCTCTTCAGCACGGTCAGTGCCCAGAGGGCATCCCGGGGCCTGGCCTCCCATACTCCAGCTGGACTTGGGGTGCTGGGAACACCTGGTCTTAATGGCCCAGTCAGCCCCACTTCCCGAGGACACGTGCCAGGGTGTGCGGGGCAGGGGATGGGCCCGGGGAGGACTTTGATGTATGCAAATTGCATGAGCTTCCCAAGGGAGCTGAGATAACCTTTCATCACAGTGCCGATCTGAGCTTCACTGTATGCTCATTGGTTGGGCAGCAGTTTCACAGTATTATTTCTATTTAATAGGGGTGGAACTAAGCCACAGAGAGGTGAAATGGCCTGCCCAGGGTTACACAATAAATGATGAGGCATGTTTTCACTCCCTCGTTTTTCCTCTCAGAGAGAAAAAAATTAGGGAGGAACCACTGGGAGGAGAGAGGAGGAATACACAGACAGTGTCTTCCCTCCTAGCCACTGTGCAGTCTGAAGGACCATCACAGACCAGGACCAGCTTACAGAAATGTGGGCACAGAAACCACTGAGACTCCTCTGGTTAACGTAATCTGGATCTAAACACTCCTAGTATATATACTAGAAAAATATATAGAGAGATGAAGTCATTGAGATTCAGGGCAAAGAGGAAACACTCTTGTCTATTTTCTTTTCTTTTTTTGAGACAGAGTCTAGCTCTGTCGCCCAGGCTGGAATGCAGTGGTGCAATCATGGCTCACTGCAGCCTCTACCTCCAGGGTTCAAGCAACTCTCCTGCCTCAGCCTCATGAGTAGCTGGGATTACAGGTGTGCACCACCACACTCGGCCAATTTTTTGTATTTTTAGAGGAGACAGGATTTCACCCTGTTGGCCAGGCTGGTCTCAAACTCCTGGCCTCAAGTGATCTGCCCATCTTGGCCTCCCAAAGTGCTGGAACTACAGGTGTGAGCCACCACGCCCAACTTGTTTTCATTTTAATAATCTCCCTCCTCCTTTACATTTTAAGCCAAGAAAGTATTCAGTACTTTACTATATTTAGCTGACCCAATTTTGTTTTCATCTATACTATACTCATCCTTATTTTCCAGTTTTTATTTCCAAGTTTCCTCTCTACAATTTTATTTATTTTAATTATTGTTTTAACTGTCTTCTCTCTATTCTTGCTTTCCTTTTCAAGATTCAGAAAATGTCTAATATACTCTCATTTTTCCTCAAACTCAACAAAATGAATTAGAATCCTACTAACTCTTTGGAGGCATACATTTAGCATCTGGCTAGAGGAGGACCTCTGATGAAATTTAAATATACTAAAACTGCCTTTCTGAATTGCTGTTAGTCCCTGCTACCAAACTTCTCTCCTGTTTTTTCTTTTCGTTTTGTTTTGTTTTTGTTTTTGTTTTTGAGGCAGCGTCTTGCCTTGTCACCCAGGCTGGAGTGCAGTGATGCAGCCTTGGCTCACTACAGCCTTGACCTCCTGGGCTCAGCCTCCCACCTCAACCGCCCAAGTAGCTGAGGCTACAGGAGCATGCTACCACACCTGGCTGATTTTTTAATTTTTTTGCAGAGATGGGGTCTCCCTATGGTGTCTAGGATGATCTGAACTTCTGGGTTCAAGTGATCCTCCTGCCTCAGCCTCCCAAAGTGCTGGGATTACAGGCATGAGCCACTGCACTCAGCCAGTATTTTTTTTTCCCCCGAAAGCTCTTCTCCTTACTTATCGCCATACAGGACTACTTAGCGAGGTGTCTAGTTCAGTTTGAAGGCTACCACTGTCCCAAAAGTGCTCAGATACCCCTTCTTGCCCTGTGAAATACTGTGATACAACAATAAATTCACTCTCCAGCACATTGTTTGGACAATGACCTCTGGTTGCTCTTCTTAAGTTTCCAGTGGATTAAATTCTCTCTGATGCTCTTCTCCTCTTTCCAAGGGAGGCTTATATGAGACAGTTAATGAGGTCTACAAGCTGGTCATCCCCATCCTAGAAGCGCATCGAGAATTCCGGAAGCTGACACTCACTCACAGCAAGCTGCAGAGAGCCTTCGACAGCATCGTTAACAAGGTAGCCGGGGAGCCTGGCTGGCAGGTCTTGTTACCTGGTGGCAGGCGACCCTGTCCTACAGATGCTTAGCCATCCTTCCTCTCCAGGGAGTGATTTATCTTTAGCACATTGCTTTTGCTCTCACCTGTCAAACAGAAAAGGGCTGAAATTCTTCTAACAGAGGACCAAAATTCCATATGTGAAAACATACAGCTTAAATTACTTTATAACCAGGAAATGTGAGAAATTTTTAAGTGTAATTAAAAGAAGTCCCAGAAATCTTTCATGGGATTCCTTTTGTTGTTATTTCTGAAGTTTATTCCATAAGCATTAAATTTTTTTAAGGAGTAATTTCTGTTTACATCAGCCATAGGAGTAAAATGCTTTGTTAACACAATGAGAGACCCCTGCCCTTTGCAACTCAGTGGCTCCTCAGGATGACATAACTAAGGAGAGCTTTTTATATTTTGTTCCTCAGGATCATAAGAGAATGTTTGGAACCTACTTCCGAGTTGGTTTCTTTGGATCCAAATTTGGGGATTTGGATGAACAGGAGTTTGTCTACAAAGAGCCTGCAATTACCAAGCTTCCTGAGATCTCACATAGACTAGAGGTAAGAAAAGTGATTCTGTGCGCCTGACCTGGTACACTTTACAAAAACAAGTTAGAGTGGGTCATCACCAAAAATAAACAAATAAAGAGTTATGGATTCATCATTGATCTCTACATAAAGTTTTCCCCTTTGCATTTATAAAAGGCAAAGTAGAAAGGTATTAGGTGAGATCATGAGGTGATGTAATATTTTGATAGTTTTTCCCTAATACTCTGTGTATGCTTTTCACAGTTTGGAATTTTATATGGTGAATATTTATTTTGAAGTCTGTGCAAAATTCAATCAAGGTCATGTGCTTTCTTATCACCCTTTCCAAATATTAGTAGTTTATACTAGTAGATAGAGAGTAGTAGAGTTTTTCAACATGAAGTTTAGCATCTTGACTTTGAAGTAATCTAGCCAAATGACTGAATCACCCCTAGATAATGGTGAGGCCATCCTTTAGGTATCACTGGATGGCACCTGGGGTCCTTCTGATGTGGAGCTACTCAGCTGTGGCCAGCCCGGCTCCAACCTGCCAGTGAGTGACATTTGGTCCATAATACAACAGAAAAGTGTAGCATGTTGTTAGAAGCAAAGCTGAAAGCATGGAGAAAAAGAGAAACAGCCTAGAGAAAGGTCAGGACAAAAGAAACACAGGTTATAAGGGCCAAACACTAAGAACTCAGTCAAAGGTGCCTCCCCGATGGGATTTGGATGAACAGGAATTTGTTTACAAAGAGCCTGCAATTACCAAGCAGGACTGGGGTCCTTTGAACTGCTCACAATTAACCAAAGATTCACTCCTTAGGCTTTCATTGCTTTGAATTTGTGCCCTCCTATGAGTGTAAAACTTAAAACATTTGTGTTGCCTAATGGCTTCGTACACTCTCCATCCATGCCAAAAAAGACAAGAGGGTTTATCCTTACTTGACTCAAAGAAGCCATTGCCCAGGGTGGCTGGGTGAGTTGCCCCAAAATTGTTTAGCACATGAGAAAAAGAGCTAGCAATTGACCCCAGTCCACTTGGTTCCCTATATTGTTTCCCCTACTTAGAATTAGAGGTATATATTTTATCTTCTTGTGCACTGTGATTTGCCACAATATGGGAAGGCTGGTGACTTCCAAGTTCCCAGGGTACAGAAGGCGAGAAGTAAAGAGTGTGATACCCCAGGAGATACCTCAGCAAATATAATGATGTTAGCTGAATTAGAGGCCAAGCATACATCTTATAGGGAAGCATATACCAGTTGACAGTGCTATTTTTATTTTTGTCTTAGGAAATGCTGAACTTTGCTCATTAGCTCAGAGGAACTCTCAATAATCAGTGAACATCATTCTACCTTGCACTTGCTCCAAACTTATTTCACTTCCAAGAAGACAAAGAGTTGCATTATGTTAAAATAACCTTTATAAACTGTTGGTTCTTCTTACCTAGGCATTTTATGGTCAATGTTTTGGTGCAGAATTTGTGGAAGTGATTAAAGACTCCACTCCTGTGGACAAAACCAAGTTGGATCCTAACAAGGTATACAAAAATTTACAAAAACTAACCATCAAGCTCTAAATCCCTTCGTTCTCTACCCAAGAATACCTAATGATCTCATCTATCTGGACTCTCCAAGTCACTTAAATGCAGTCAAACCTTTTCGTCTAGAGTTCAACTACTAATTGGTCAGATCTTAAAGAAAATATAGTCAAAGGCAGGAATCATAATAGGAGCTACCACTTATTAAGCACCAACTGTGTACCTGGAACTGCATTAGGCCCTCTACATACATCATTTTATTTCATCCTGCAACGACCCCTGGAAGTAGATTTTGTCATTCCTATTTTAGAGATGAGAAAACTGAGACATGGAAGAGTCAAGCAAGTTTCAAGGTCATGCAAGCAGCAGAGCCAGTACTCAGACTTGAGGTCTGTTGCTTCTGAACCCCTACTCTTCAGCACTGCTCTTTACTGCCTTTTTATAAAACCTTTAAACTCTCCATTTCAAACTCGACAACACTTAGTGGCTTCCTTCTTTAGGCTGCAAGTATTCCTTCCATCCAAGTCCGGGATCACTGTGCTGTTGGGGGAATGGTAAAAACGGCTTGGGTTTGGGTTTCCTCACTTTCACAAGAGGGTATGTTCCATTTCACCCCAAAATGGGTGTACAGTTCTGATGCTAACACGTGGAGGTGGTATCAGCTCCCACAGGGTAAAGGCTCAGTCCTCCTCAAGACTGCCCTGACTTCAGATGCCAGCTTCAAGAGGGACCCCCAGGCCAGCCACGCTTCTGATCAGCCAGCTACAAATTTGGGAGTTTCTATAACCTGTTAGCTTGAAAATAGGAGAAAACAAAGCAAATAATAATAATAATAATAATAATAATAATTTGGGAGTTTCTATGATACCTGTTAGATTAAATAATTCACTACAATGACTCACAGAATTCCAAAAAGTACTCTGGTTACTATCAGAGTATTATGATAAAGGGTGAACATCTTTTTGTGCCTTTATTTATGGCTTCCTGGCTCATCAGTGTGTTCTCCAACCAGGAAGCTCCGCCAAGTCTCAGTGTCCAGAGATTTTGTTGGGGTTTCATTATGTAGGCAAATTGAATACAGTCTCCAGCCCCTCTCCTGTCTCCAGAGGTCATCCAGTTCCTACCCTGTAATCACAGAATTGGTCTTTTTGGTGGCCACTTGGCATCCTGAAGCTATCCAGGGGCCCAGCATGAGTCACCTCATTAGCATCACAAAGACACCCATCACTGAGGAAATTCTAAGTGTTTCTAAAGCTCTGTGCTAGGAAATGGAGACAAAGACCAGACATATTCTTTATTATACCACAAGCTGATGCTGCCCACTCAGCCCAACTCACATGTCCATGAATGAGCTTTCTAAGTTACTGGAAATAGTGCAAGTGCAAGGTATCATTAAGGGCCCTGGGACAGAGGACCATTCACCATCTAGCAAACCTATAAAATGAAAGGTCCAAACTCCCAGTTCCATCTTCCAGGATATGAAGAAGATAATGGAAGAGGGGAAGAATTGGCCAAATTGAAGAGTTTGTTTTTCTACATTTTTCAGAATGCTTTCTCACTTAAGACACATTCCCTAGCCTCGGCTTGAAAGCAGTGGCTGTGGTAAGAGTTTAACTAATCTTCAGACACACATGTCTGGGAGATGGAGTTGGCCGTGTGCCCACAGTGATCTGTACATAGCACAAGCTGTGTAAAATGTGACCTCCCTCAGCCAAGGTGCCCTTTTCCCCTCTTTTAAAATTCCCAGGGTAGGTTGTGAGAGTTTGGAATGAGAGTCTGAACCCAGAGTTACAACCAGATTTCATTATACTAAGTCGTGATTTACAGTCTGAGGTCAGTGACCCCACTCATCCCTTTCAGTGGGTGAGTGTCCCAGCATCTGAACTCATGGTCACTTTTTTTCCTAAGAGATTGTCGTCTTTAATGAGTACTTATTCGCTCTGTGTTTGAGGGTGGAGGTGATGTGAGTGTGTGTTTAAATGAGGCCTAGGCAGTAAAATTCAGTTTTGGTGTTTAGTTCTATGAGTTTTGACAAACACATGTGACTACCTTCATAACCAAGATATAGAACAGATCCACCACTCCAAAATACTTCCCGTGCCCATTGGTAGTCCATGTTGCAATAGTTCCTTCCTTTCCGTTGCTGAGTAGTATTCTGTTGTGTGACTACCTCACCATTTGCTTGTTAATTCCCCACTGGAGTGACATTTGGGTTGTTTCTAGTCTTTGTTATGAATAAAGTTGCTGGAGACATTTGTGTACAGGTTTTTGTATGGACATAAGCTTTCATTTCTCTCCTGTACACACATAGGAGTGGGGTTGCTGGGTCCAATGGTAGTGCAGTTTAACTGCATAAGAGACCGCCAGCTTCTTCTGCAAAGTAGCTGTGCATTTTGCATTCCCACCCTCTGTGTATGACAGCTCTAGCTGATCTCCATCCTTGCCAGCACTTGATATTGTTAGTTTTCTTTAGTTCGGCCATTCATGCTTCCTCATAACTGTGAGGTAGTCATTGTCATTCTGTAAAGGAAAGTTTGTCTCTTTGGAATAGCAGTTTGCAAACTCTCATACCAAGGCTTCCACTGTGGATCAGTTTGCTCTGCTAGGAAGGTGCGGCCGGTGGCCCTCACTCTCCCCACAGGCACATTCCCCTCTCCCTCCTTGCAGCCCCTTCTGTCCTTGGGGGTGGAGAGGAGGAACTTCTGCTGGCCACATTCTCCCCTGCATCTGTAGCTTTTCTGCACTGGGCAGGGCGGTGCCGGCACGCCGTGTTCCTGCATGCCCCTCCATTGCGTCAGGGATGGCCGTTTGCAGAATAGCTCATCTTCTCCCTCCGTGCCTTTTCCCCCTTAGGCCTACATACAGATCACTTTTGTGGAGCCCTACTTTGATGAGTATGAGATGAAAGACAGGGTCACATACTTTGAGAAGAATTTCAACCTCCGGAGGTTCATGTACACCACCCCGTTCACCCTGGAGGGGCGGCCTCGGGGAGAGCTGCATGAGCAGTACAGAAGGAACACAGTCCTGACCACTATGCACGCCTTCCCCTACATCAAGACCAGGATCAGCGTCATCCAGAAGGAGGAGGTAATGCACCCAAGGGATTGGCCACCACTGGATGAGTGGGCTGGGTGGCCTCCCAGGAGGACCCACAAACCTCTTTCACAGTGGATTGGACTGAAAACAAGGAGGGATGCACTTGAAATATGATTATATGGTTGTCCTTTCACTCTCATAGTGCCAGAAAATCCCATTTAGGCAGCTACATATTTTATAGCACTATTGTATATTAAATATTTAATATTTTAAAGTTATATCTTTAGTATAAGTGTGTTTATGTATTTAATTATAATATTTAATATATATTTCAATTATAAACTTGTACAACAGATATATTTACCTTTTAAATATTTTATATAAAATTTTTCTATATTTCAAAGCTTAGAGGTGATTCAAGCATAGTCGTGCTGTTAATTATTGGAGACGGGACCTGCACGTGGGCAGCCCCAGTGAGGCGGTGGTGTGCTGTGGGAAAGGGCCGTGTAAGGTAGACAAGTTCACTGACTAGCTTCTAGTCCTAGCTTCCTCCTGTGATTTTAAACAAGCTACGTACCTTCAGTTTCTTCATCTATGCATTAGCAGGAAAGACCTCTAAGTACAGTACAAGATTATACTCATTTTATTAATAAAAGGACTGGTCAAGAAGGTCTCTCAAACCACAGAATTGTTCAAAATTCTACACACCATAAACAACTTATTATTCTTTAAAACACATATATATACACTTATTTGTCGTCCTTTTTATGCAGGGCCACAGACTTCTCTGTGACTGTGGGTTTGCTGATCACAATTCAGCATTTTCTTTTATAAACCACACCCGTAGTGCTTTGTCCATGATTTTCAGTTTTGCTTTGTGTAAGCAGAGTGAGAGCTTAAAGATCCTTGTTAAACAATTTGAGAGCAGAAGCCTTCTGGATGTTTATGATGTTTTTCTCCCCGAGACTTTGACAGCAGTCTTGTGCACACCTAATATGACAGGAATTTTTATAGCAACTCACTTTCATAATATCTTGTCCAACCATTTGGCTTGGTTTTCATAGAAAGAAATCTTTTTCTTTCCACACCCATGGTTCATCAGTTTCTCCATTATCTAATTAGATTGGGTCATTAAAATAACAAGTATAACAGGCATAATCAAGTTGGTGAACAAACACAGATGAATTGTGGTGAATATATACCTCATCAGGCAGAAGCAGAAATAGCTGAGCTAACTGGAGAGTCATCCAGCAGGTAGTGTTCAGCTGGGTAACCACATCAGGGTGTGGCTTTCACAGAAGCTGAAGAAAGCCTGAAGCAGTGACTCAGTCGGGAGGAGGTGGGTTTAGAAGCCATCTGCTGTACTTCCTATACTTCTTGGTTTGGACTTTTGAACACTGAGACATTCTAGGCATAACACAGATATAAACTCATGGTGCCCAAAAGCATTTCAAAACCTTTTCTTTTCTTCATTCCTGCCTTCCTTTCCTTTCCTTCCTTTCCTTTCGTTCTTCCTTTTTTTCTGTGTCTCTGTCTCTCTTTCTCTCTTTTTCATTTTTGAGACAGGATCTTCCTCTGTTGCCCTAGAGTGCAGTGGCATGAACATGGCTCACTGCAGCCTCGACCTCCTGGGCTCGAGCAATTTTCCTACCTCAGCCTCCTGTGTAGCTGGGACTACAGGCTTGTGCCACCATGCCCAGCTAATTAAAAATACAGAGAGATATATATTTTGTAAGAGACAGGGGTCTTACTTTGTTGCCCAGTCTGGTCTCAAACTGTTGGCCTCAAACGATCCTCCTACCTCAGCCTCCCAAGGTGCTGGGATTACAAGTGTGAGCCACTGCACCAGCCTGAAGTTTTCTTGGCCTTCCTTCGTTCCCCAACAACCTCAACAACAGTTCTCAGCTGTTTGCTAGGGCTGTAGAACAAAGTTCCATAGACTGGGTGGCTTAAACAACTGAAATTTACTGTCTGCACAATTCTAGAGGCTAGAAGTTTGAAATCAAGGTGCCAGCACTGTTGGTGCCTTCTGAGGGCTGTGAGGAAAGGGTCTGTTCCAGGCCTCTCTCCCTGACCTGTGGACAGCCCTCTTCTCCCTGTGTCTCTTCACATCATCTTCCCTCTGTGTTCGTGTCCAGATTTCCTCTTCTCGTAAGGACACCAGTCATATTGGACTAGGGCTTACCCTGCTGGCCTCATTTTAACTTGATTGCCTCTGTAAAGACCCTATCTCCAAAGAAGGTCACATTCTGAGGTACTGAAGGTTAGGACTTCGACATATACATTTTGGGGGAACACAATTCAACCTATAAAATTCAGAAAAGACTCTACCCCAAACCAGCAGAACTTAGCAAATAGATTGATTGACCCTTAAAAGAATTCCATTTACTGGAAATTCACCCTCAGTTGGAGAAGGCACAGGTGATATCAAAAGCCTGTGTTATGATGGGGGAGAAAATCTTGAGTGCTGTGCTTCTACTACAGCTTTCTGCATTGTAAGTTGAGTAACATGAGGCTGTGTGCGGTGGCTCTTGCCTGTAATCCCAGCACTTTGGGAGGCCGAGGCAGGGGGATTGCCTAAGGTTGGGAGTTTGAGACCAGCCTGGCCAACATAGAGAAACCGCATCTCTACTAAAAATACAAAATTATCTGGGTGTGGTGGTGCATGCCTGTAATCCCAGCTACTTGGGAGGCTGAGGCAGGAGAATTGCTTGAACCCGGGAGGCGGAGATTGCAGTGAGCCAAGATCATGCCATTGCACTCCAGCCTAGACAACAAGAGCAAAACTCCATCTCAAATAAATAAATAAATAAATAAGTAAGTTGAGTAACTTGCTCAGTAATAGGAAAAGGCACCTGACAGGGTAGAAAAAACATGGACTTTGAAGATAGACATACTTGTGATCGAATTATGACCTCCTCCCTTACTACCTGTGGCATTCTGTGGAACTTAACCTTACAAATCCCCCTTTGACTGTAAAATGGAGAGTATAAAGAGGTTGTTGAGAGGAATAAATGCTAAATGTATGTAAAGTTCCTGGAACATAAGGAATCAAGAAATGTTAGGCCCATCTTTCTTTTTAACCTGTTAAGAGTATTTTAAATTACTCTGAAAGTCTTTCCCTAGCTGCCTCTTCAAATTCAGGTGGCCTCTCTGTCATAGCTCCAGGCTTGTCCATAGCTTATGAGACCAGACAGTGACTTCCCTATGTTTACGTCTCATGTTCAGTTTGTTTTGACACCGATTGAAGTTGCCATTGAAGACATGAAGAAGAAGACCCTGCAGTTAGCAGTTGCCATTAACCAGGAGCCGCCTGATGCAAAGATGCTTCAGATGGTGCTGCAAGGCTCTGTGGGAGCTACTGTAAATCAGGTAAGCAAAACCAGAGGTGGCAGCTCCTCTGGTTCTTATTATTTAGGTTGTCATTATACGTCTGCACCCTTCTTCCTTGGGGTTGATGAGGACTTTGATCCATAGACAAACACAGAAATGTTCCTACACTTAACCTGAACACCTGTAAGGTTTAGAAGACTTTTAGGAAACCTCTTCCCTTTCATGTAACAACCCCAGGTAAAAAAGAAATCCTAGAGATGAGTGGACCAGGCTTTAAGGAGTACCACTTTCTCAGAGGAGTCTCCACTTCGGGGCCAGACCTGACAATATGATGCAAATCTGGAGTCATGTTGAAGAATGCTTAGTCATGACCAATTCACGCAGAGTAATTGCAGGGCTTGAGACTCACCTACAAATGCCTATAGGAGAGAAGGAAAAGGATCTAGAACATCCAACTCTTGGCTCAGTCAGCAGATGAACCCAGCATGCCAAGGACCTTGACAACCAGGAATGACCTGGGACCTGACTTCTTAGGCTACTTCAGACAAGACTAGATCTTCCTATCAGACTTCTTAGAACGCTGACTCCCAAGTTCAGCATGGTGCTCAAGCAGTCTCAGATGAAGGGAGGTACCAGCCTAATACCTCTGTCCAGTGGGCCTCCTTAATTCAAATCTAGATCTGTTCTTGTCCACACTTCCACGGCAGTTATTCAGTGAGCATCATGAGTCTTTTCTCATTCAGCGTAATTGGATTTCCCCACAAAAGTTCTGAGTGTACTTGACATCAAGGGAGCAGAAACAGAGAAGAGAAATGCCTATTACATTCCCAAGATCAGGAAAAAAAAATGAGGAAACGTTTGCCTTTGTAAGTGCCAATCCTTTGATAAAATGGAAGACTTTCCAAGCCCACAACCATGGTCTATCTGTACACGATGGATATCTCTGACTCAATCCAGCAGTTATGCAAAATGATGTTTGCCATGAAGGCAACTAGATAAGTGAACAAAAATGAATAGATCAAGGCAATCCTGATTTTTAGAAAAGCAACTCAAAGCACATACCATTTGATGTAGTTGTATTACACTTATATATGAATGAAAATCTATTATTAGTAGTATTTGATTGATAAAATAATATTCGGCGCCAGGCTCAGTGGCTCATGCCTATAATCCCAGCACTGTGGGAGGCCGAGGTGGGTGAATCACTTGAGGTCAGGAGTTTCAGACCAGCCTGGCCAACATGGTGAAACCCCATCTCTGCTAAAAATACAAAAATTAGCCAGTGTGGTGGCAGGCGCTTGTAGTCCCAGTACTTGGGAGGCTGAGGCAGGAGAATCCCTTGAACCCGGGAGGTGGAGGTTGTAGTGAGCTGAGATTATGCCACTGCGCTCCAGCCTGAGTGACAGAGTAAGACTCTGTCTCAAAAACAACAATAAAAAAGAAAATAAATTTGGGCTGTGTATGGTGCGCACGCCTGTAATCCCAGCAATTTGGGAGGCTGAGGTGGGTGGATCCCTTGAGGCCAGGAGTTCAAGACCAGCCTGGGCAATGTGGCAAAATCCCATCACTACAAAAAAATACAAAAATAGCCAGGTATAGTGGCACACACCTGTAGTCTCAGCTACTTGGGAGGCTGACATGGGAGGATCACTTGAGCCTGGGAAGTGGAGGCTGCAGTGAGCAGAGATCATGCCACTGCTCTCTAGCCTGGGTGATAGAGCGAGACCCTGTCTAAAAAACAAAAACAAAACACACACACACAGGGAAAATACATTTATACTTCTGAGTGTTCCTCTAAAACTTCAGATTCCTCCTAAGAAATCAAAATTTCCTGAGATGTCCAAGACCTTCCTTATTTTTTTTTGTTTATTTCAAACCAACTACAAAATTAAATGTTCAAACTAAGAAGTCACTCCAATATTTTCTCCCAAGCAATTTAATTTCCTTCATATATGTATGAATATATTCATATATATGTGTGTGTATATATATATACATATATATGCATATACATATACATATGCATATACATATATATGTATGTGTATATATATATGTGTGTGTGTGTATATATATATATATATATATATTTTTTTTTTTTTTTTTTTTTTTTTCCCACCAGGGACCACTGGAAGTAGCCCAAGTGTTTTTGGCTGAAATTCCTGCTGATCCAAAACTCTATCGACATCACAACAAGTTGAGGTTATGCTTTAAGGAATTCATCATGAGGTAAGAAGGAAAATGGCTGGGAATTTCAGTAGAGCAGTGGTTCTCAAAGTGCAATCTTAGACCAGCAGCTTCAGCATCACCTGAGAACTTGCTAGAAAGACAAAGTCTCAGGCACCCTCCAGACCTGCTGAATTGGAATCTCTGGAGGTGTGGCTCAGCAATGTGCAGTTTAACCCGCCCTCCAGGTGATCCTGATGCACACTGAAGTTTGAGGACCACTGCAGCAGAGCAACACTACTTGAACTACTAATGAGTAACTAACACGTCAACTATGAAACGCTTTTGTGGCTAGCATCCCGTGTGCCTCACAATCACTTGTTGTAAAACAAGTATCATCATCTTCCTCATTTTACAAAAGAGGAATCAGAGGTTCAGAGAGAGGAGATAATTTTACTTAAGGTCACACAGACAGTTGGCAGCAGAGATGAGCTCAAACCAGGTCTTCTGAATCCAAATAGTCCACATGTCCATCAATGTGCTGATATTCCACTGATGCACTAGAGTCCCAGAGGTTCTTTGCATTGGCAGTCATTGTAATGTTACAAATCTTATAATATCTTATTTTTAGAAACTTAAAAACATACACTGCCTCAAATTGAGAGAGGCAAGTTCTAAAACCAGGCTTTTCAAAGGTATTATCCTGTGACAGTTCCCCATGTCAGACAAGTCTCATCTCTGTTCCTTAATTCTGCAGTGGAGCTGGCTTCAAGAGCAGTCAGTTAGGAACTGGGTCTTTGGTCAAAGCCTTGTAATTTATTGCAATACAGACAGATATATTGGGTCTCCTATGGTCCTAAAAATATGAGTATGAAGGATGTGATGGCATTTCACCTATAAGAGAAAAGGACTTCAGAAAAATGTGTAGCAATATTTCTTTCTATTCAAAACCTTAGAGAAGAATATTAAGTATAAGAATATCTTCACTTGGCAGATGGGGATAAAGGAGACTAAAAGTTTGCTAAATTCAGTGAAAACTCATCAAAATGCTAGCATTTGTGAGGTTAGAGATATCTCCTCCTTCACAGGCTTTTGCGAGAGGTCCGCAATTTTGCTGCATATACAGGAGACACACTGTGCCCTGCAGTGAATCACAGCCGCTTGGTAATAGGATGTTTGTGTGGCTTTGCGTGTTTGTATTTGTGCATGTGTGTGAACATACTCACAGATTATCTTGATTAATGTTTTGATATTTGAATTGTTTCCTGTATTTGACAACAATTCTGACAGAAAAACTAGTTGTTGTTGTTGTTTTTTCAGTACATAATACGTATCTTTTAAAAGGCTAGAAAAATATTTGGGGAATTATTTTATTATTTTATTTTATTTTGAGACAAGGTCTCACTCTGTTGCCCAGGCTGGAGTACAGTGGCATAATCTCAGCTCACTGCAACCTCCACTTCCCAGGCTCAAGAGATTCTCCTCCCTGAGCCTCCCAAGTAGCTGGGACTACAGACGTGTGCCACCACATCTGGCTAATTTTTGTATTTTTGGTAGAAATGGGGTTTCACCATGTTGGCCAGGCTGATCTTGAACTCCTGACCTCAAATGATCCACCTGCCTTGGTCTCCCAAAGTGCTGGGATTACAGGCATATACCACCGTGCCCGGCCCTATTTTTTATTTTTTGTGGAGACAGGGTCTCACTATGCCGTCTAGGCTGGTCTTGAATTCCTGGGCTCAGAGATTGGGGGCTTAAAAAAATTTTTTTTCATATATTTTTATTTAAAATTCATTATGGTTGAATGCTTCCAAAGTTGACTATGCCCCAGGACCTCTAAAAGGACCTATGAAATGTTTGAAGAGCACTCACTATATTCCAGGCATGATATTAGTTATGGGACTACAGAGATCTGGCTTGTTCCTCTGTTCTTAATGACAGGACATAGCCCTGCATGGCTGAATAATAGAATGCAGCATATGCACAGAACTTTAAGAATGACTAACTACAGGACTATAAAGATCAGAAAAGAGAAATCAGTTTCAGGCTGGAGCATTTGTGGGAGGCGTTATGGAAAAACACCACTTAAATCTTGTCTTGACTATATACGTGGAAGAAAGGCGCTAGTGGGGAAGAGGGAGCCAGGACAGTGGCCCTGCCTGATCCAAGGTATCACTTTCAGCTGCTTTAGTTACCCATGGTTTGAAAGTATTACTTACAATATGATATTCAGAGAGAGAGAGAGAGACCACATTCACATAACTTTTATTTCAGTATATTGCTGTAATTGTTGTTAATCTCTTACTCTATCTAATTTGTAAATTAAGCTTTATCATAGGTATGTATGTATAGGAAAAAAACATAATATATGTAGGGTTCGGTACCATCCGCAGTTTCAGGCATCCCCTGGGGGTCTTGGAACCTATCCCCGAGAATGAGGAGGACTGAGTACCACTGAGTGGACCAGCAGGACCACGAGACTCTGTCAGGAATGCCTGTGATGCACCGGGTTCCTCTAAGTCCAGCTGGAGCAGCGTGTTCTCATGAGCATGCTAGGACAAGGAGGAAAGATTGGAAATATGATAATATCAGTAAATGAGGCTCTGAATACAATTTAAATGTTTAAGAAAACTTGTCAGGAGAGTGATTTTCATTTACTTCAGTTTGCCTCAATTTTTTCTACTAGTTATAAATCTTGCAATCCAGTATCTCACGGGTATGATCCTTTCCATGACACCACCTAGGTAAAATGTACTTACAAAATCCCTACTAAACATGCGTTTCTCATTAGCTCCCAGCCCCAGGAAAAGTTACTCCAAAAAGAACCAGTGCCCAGTAAAACTAGTCCCAGGCAAGAGATACAAGAGGAAATGGACTTTCCTAGGGGTCGCTCCTTTAACAAAGTCATTAGAGTTTCAATAATGAGGCTATCATTCTCCCCAGATGGCCTACAGAAATGTTGGATTTTCAAAATCAAATTCACCATTTTAAAGTTGTTCTCCTACCCTTTTAATGGTGATTCCACATGGGAACCAGTCCCACCTTTCTCCCCACTGGCTGGGCTGCTGCATTGTTCTAGGAGGCCAGGAGACTGTCCATGCTTCCCAGACTTCACTGTTCTTACACGTCACCTGAGGATTTGTCAAAATGCAGATTTTGGCCTGATGCAGTGGCTCCGCCTCTAATCCCAGCACTTTGGGAGGCTGAGGTGGAAGGACTGCTTGAGCCCAGGAGTTCAGGACCAGCCTGGGCAACATGGCGAAACTCTGTCTCTTTAAAAAAATACAAAAAAATACAAAAATTTAGCCAAGCGTGGTAGTGGTGTGTGCCTGTAGTCCCAGCTACTCGAGAGGCTGAGGTGCGAGGATAGCTTGAGCCCGAGGAGGTCAAGGCTGCAATGAGCCATGATCGTGCCACTGCACTCCAGCCTGGGTGACAGAGAAAGACCCTGTCTCAAAAAAAGAAAAAGAAAAATGCAGATTCTGATTCAGTAGGTCTGGGGTTGGTCCTGAAGCACTGCATTTCTAACAGGCCCCCAGGTGATGCTGCTGCTGCTACACTGGACCAAACTTTGAGTGGAGAGCCTGCAAAGATTGCTTAATTTCCTCCCTTTCACATTTCTCCCTATTACCTCTCCCTCCTTCCCTGAGGGCTTAATCTCTTAGGCCATCCTTATCATCATTTACCACTTTTGCCGTCTGCTTCCTCCCAAAAAATAAATAAATAAATAAATAATAAAATAAAATTTTAATGGCAAAAAAAGAAGTTGTAAATCTCAATAAAATTATGTGAGAACAAAAAAAAAAGCAAACATGCTCAAACTGCTGCACCTTGAACCAACTATAGACGTCAGTTCATCCATTCATTCAGCAGTTATTGAGCTCCTACTTTGTGCCAGGCACTGTGCTACATATGTGGAAGGATGAAGTCCCAATATCAGTAGGACAAGGCTACAGACAAAACAGTACTGCTGCTCATTATTCATCTCTATGTGCAAACACAACAGATGGCCTGCCCTCCACTTCATTCTACAGAGATCAGAAGTCGTGGGTGAGAGTGTGCTGATGGTGCACAACTGTGTAAATTACTAAAACTCATCAAACTCTAAACATAAAATGGGTGAATGTTACGGTATGTAAATCATACCCTGAATACAGATAGTAGATGAGGTTCCTCTGTTGCTTAATTGCTTCTCAAGTCCAATCTGGAAGTTACAGCTTTTAATGAATAGAGTAACTATTTTTTCACGTTGTTTGTGCTGTGTATTTTCTCCTCCACTCTGCTAACAGACAGCAGAGGTGACGCAGAAGTGGAAAATATTTGGGGCTTGAACAGCTCTCAGGTTTCCCCTTTAGTAAGCTCCAGCTTCTCAGCAGACTTGGGCTGTAGATCGATAAGCCCAGATTTCCAAGGTGACCATAAATGAGTCTCTGTTGCTGAGAGCTAATAGCGGAAACATTTGCTTGCCAGGTCCACTGCGTCTAGTGCCACCACGGGGCAGCGACCTTTCTGACTCAGCTGTAGTGGAAGCAGAAACAGCCATAAAGAATCCTGGCAGCCTGATTTGCTGCAGCCAGTACTCATCCAGCCAGTCCTGCAACTCTTCAAACTGTTACCAAGCTGGGACCTCAATCAGCTTCTGTCTTTTCCTGCAATAATAAAAAACATCTCGGGTTCAGAAGCCAAGACAAGAAGATAGAGAGATACAATCTTCTATCTTCCTCTTCTGCTCCCCCAAACACCCCGACCATTTAGATTTTTAAATTTTCTTCTTTATACTTATCTGGACTTTCTCATTCTTATAAAGACTAAGTGATGTTAAATTTGTTTTTAATTTAAATAAAAGATAGTAGTACTCACTGGCACCAGTTACAGCTTGCCTTTAAGAGAAGTAGTTTCAGATACACCCTGAAAGGGTTCTGCAGCATATATGTGGTCATAGGCTCAGAAAACAGGCTGTTGAGTGGTGGCGTTTTTAAACTGGAGTTGGGGTCTATGAAGAGGAAGGAGAAGGAATTTGTCCGAGTAGCCAAAGGACAACCAAATGTGTAGAGTGTAGGTGGAAAAAGAAGCAGTAGTTTTAACTTGAGACCAAGGCCATATGCCTGGCTTATAGCTGGAAATGGGGAAATGGCTTTCCTAGGCAGTATATGTGGCGTTGGGGTTGGGAATATGGGCACTCAAGCCAGATTGCCTGAGTTCAGATCCCATTCTGCCTCAACTAGATGTGTGACCCTGAGAAGTTACCTACCCTCGGTTTCCCCAGATGTAAAATCGGAATAATAATTGTACCTCTCCCTTGCAGTTAGTGACAGAATAAAATGAGTTAATACATGGAACTTAGAATAAGACTTCATACATACTAAGGGATCAGTAAGTGTAACATTGTTCAGTGGGGCAAATAGGGGACTGATGGATTTGAGTGGGAAATAGAGAATTAATCTGACTTAAATACGGAGATTGTCTATCCATGATTTGTCTGTCTCTATAAAGTTTGAATCATAAGACACAGTGATGCTGATGAGACATTGGCCTGGGAGCAGCAGGATTCTGGGTTTATATCCAGCTGTGCTGTCCCACAGGTATGTGACTGGACAGGGCACTTCACCTCTTTGCATGTTAGTTTCATCAACTATGAAATAAAGAGACTAGAATACAGCATCTCTAATAGTTTATCATTCTCATATTGTACAAATAGTTCATTTACTTAGCCTGGGTCTGTCAGGCATAATAACGCTACCATGTGCTCTGGCTTCAGCTGTGTGCAGGGACTCTTCTGAACATTTGATATGTTTCAACTAATTTAATCTTTACATTAATTTATGAGGTAGGCTCTTATCACCCACACATCACAGATGAAGAAACTATGACATGAAGAGGTTAAGTAGCTTGTTTAAGGTTGCAAAGCCAGTAAGCAGCAAAGCGGGATTCAGAGTTGAGCACTCTGGCTCCAGAGTCCATCCTCTTAATTGCCATGCTGAGCTGTTCCCTCTAGTGACTATATTCAGTTGCTAGTAACAGAAGGAAGAGTAGCTTAAATAAGAAATTTATTTTTCTCTCACATTAAATAAGATTGGAGGTAGTCGATGTAGAGCTGTGTAGTGGCCTCATAAAGTCATCAGAGACCCTGGTTCTTTTCCAATCCTTTGCCATGCCATCCTGGTTCTAGTGTACCCATTCTCGTGGTCATGATATGGTTGCTAGGGCTCCAGCCATCATGACCACATCTAGGCAAGTCAGGAGTAGAAATGAGGAAACAGCAAAAAGATGTGCCCATTTCCCAGTGCCTTCACCTATATTATCAGCGATCCCTACCTGCATGGGAGGCTAGGAAGTGTAAGTTTTCAGGTGGTCACACTGCCTGGAGTTCTGCCAGTAGGGAAGAAAGAATGGATATTGAGAAAACAACTAACGAATGTTTGTCTGCCACACTGAGGAACCCATGTATGGGCTGTGCTGAAAAAGGGGGGCCAAGGCTGGGTACAGTGGCTACGCCTGTAATCCCAGTACTTTGGGAGGCTGAGGTGGGCGGATCACTTGAGCTCACAAGTTCGAGACCAGCCTGGGCAACATGGCAAAACCTCGTCTTTACAAAAAATACAAAAAAAATTAACCGGGTGTAGTGGCGTGCCTGTAGTTCCAACTGCTCGGGAAGCTGAGGTGGGAGGATCACTTGAGCCCAGGAGGCAGAGGTTGCAGTGAGCTGAGATCATGCCACTGCCTTCCACCCTGCATGACAGAATGAGATCCTCTCTCTAAAAATAGAGGGGGTACCAAGAGATGCAGGGGGGGTGAGGGCAGCATGACTACTCTCTCTGTAGGAGACCTTAACTCTATAAATGGAGGCCCCAAAATGTTACTGCCATCAAAAGCCAGGAATCCTTTTCTGGAGGCGTAACTTCCTGCCCTTTCTAATCCCTATCAATCTGGTTTCTGTAGAACTGTGACTGCTAGAAAACCCCAGGCATATTTGTTCTAAGAAAATACTTGTGTTCGGTGAATTTACCAACAAAGGGAGCATCAGAGGATGTGAGGGAAGTCTGGAATGGTTGTATCACTAAGTGAGAGCAGCACAGATGTTTGTGGACCTATTGAGAATGTTACAGATAAGACCATTTTTGAAAAGTTGTTTGCAGTGTCATTTTATGATCTTGTGTACATTTTCCAAGCGATGTGGCTATTCTCTAGGAGGGATAGTAGAAATTATTTCAATTTTAATCAAATAACCTAGAGAATATAACCCAAATGACTGAAAGGAAGAAATGTAGAAAAAGTATATAAAATAATTTTTTGCATTATAAAAGTTTAAAGACATAAAGTAATATTACTACATAAAATCTAAGTTTTTTACTCCAGCTATTAATATGTTTTTCTTTATAAAACATCACATTTATTAATTGCTGTGTAACAAACTACCTCACAATTTAGTGGCTTAAAAGAAAATTTAATTATTATGCATGTGGTACATAATAATTTTTGCTTTCCTCATTTCTACTCCTGATACTTGCCTATGATGTGGTCATGATGGCTGGGGCCCTAGCGAGGTGTATTGTGGCCATGAGAATGGTTTTGCTGCAACTTGGGGTTGGCTGGGCTCAGCTAAGCAGTTTTTGCCTGGAGTCTCTCAGTTGCACTGAGACAGTGACTAGGACTTGAATTACCTGAATGCTTCCTCACTCATGTCTGGTGTCTGGGCTGAGAATACTCAAACAGCAGGGGCTCCTCCTCTCTCTAACTCTCCTTCTCTCCACATGGTCTCTCCTGCATGACAGCTTTAGGGTAACTAGACTTGTCACAGGATGGTTCAGAACTCTTATAGTACAGAACGAGAGAGAGACAGAGGCCATATTACCTTTTATTAGCCAGTCACACAGTACCACCTCCACCACATCCTATTCAGTGTGGCTGTCACAAAGAACCATCCACCTCTTGATGGGGGCATGGGCAAGGTTCTAGGAGAGCACATTCTTGTGGCCATTTTCAGAAATACAATCTGCTACACTCCAGAAGCATCTGTTTGCCTTATTATCATAGCTTCTGATTTAATTCTCCCAGCAACCCTAGGAGATTATATGAGCTTATTATCCCCATTTTCCAGAGAAAATTGAAGATTTTTATGGTTAAGTCATCCTGCTAATGAGTAGCAGCTTGTTTCAACCGCAGTTGTCTGCATATAACACATTTAACTCAGTCAAGGGCACATGGTGAGCAATCAGAAGGTGTTAGCTAGCTGCTGCTACTTCTGCAAACAAAGACTAAGGAGAGTTTAGCTGATTTTACCAAAGTTGTCCGAGTAGACTTCCCCAAATTAGCTGTTAGCTTTGGCAGGACTCATCCCACCTCCTGTAGCCTGCCAATGTTATAAACTTGGGCCTTGAAGTCATCCTGAAACTGATCTTATTTTACACATGGTGGTAATTGTAACTGTTAGTTAAGAAGCAATAAAAAAATAATAAGGGGTGATATAGATTTCTCAGGATTCAAAGGCCATATGCCTTCCCTTCTATTTCTTCCCTAAAACCGTTAATTCATAACCTTAGCTATCCTATAATTTGCTTCAATTAATGACAAACATAAAAGATAGGTGAAAATCCAGTTAAGGGAGTTCTTTCAGATTCTGTGTGAGTTAAATCAAGTCCTTCTTCTATAGCAGGCTAATTCCATGATGAAGCTGTGGTGCTAAGTTTATTTTTGCCTAGGCAGGTAGCTCTTCCTTGCCACATGCTATCCTCTTCCTCTTTGACTGTCATCCTGAAAATGTGTTCAGTGTTAAGAGGATTTGATAACAATGTCTGGGTATCTCCATAACTTAGTCCAAATCTGGTACCACTGTTAGGAAAATAATGTAAGCCATATTGATCACCCACGTCTTATTCATTTGAAGGATAATATAGTTATTACTAATTATTGCGTGTTAGGTAACATACAGCCATTATTCTGTCCCTTTAAGGTTTATTGATTTGTAAGTTCCCTTGGGTAGAAGAGTACAAAACAAAAGGCAAAACTTCATCATGTTTAAATAACGTGATTTTCTTCTTTGGTGTGTACCGTACCGTGCAGGAGACAGGGAAAACACCAGGTTTAACGGTCCACAAGCCAGATAACCATGATGAGTTCTAAAGATTTTCTCTGTCTTTAATGTTCTTCAGTTTTGTCATGAGAAGACTGGATATAGCTCTGTTGTTGTTCATTAGAGGATTTATATCTCTCTTCAACTCTAGAAAATTACCAGCTGTTATCTCTTTAAATATTGTCTCCCTCTCATTTTCCATTCCCTTGGAGATTCTATTAGATGTGGGTTGGATCTTCCTTATATCTCTATGTTTCTTAACCAATTTTTTCATATTTTTTTATTTTTTAAATCTCATTGGTGATTTCCTTGGATCTGTCATACATTTACTTCTCCAATTATGTCTAGTCTATTATTTAACCTTTAACCTTTCCATTGAGTTTTTTGTCTTTTAGCAACTGCATTTTTTTTTTTTTTTTTTTTTTTTTTTTTGGTGAGACAAGGTCTGGTTCTGTCACCCAGGCTGGAGTGCAGTGGCATGATCTTGGCTCACTGCAACCTCCACCTCCCAGGCTCAAGCCATCTTCCCACCTCAGCTTCCCAAATAGCTGGGACTGCAGTCACCTGCCACCATACCCAGCTAATTTTTATATTTTTTGTAGAGATGGGGTTTTGCCATGTTGCCCAGTCTAGTCTTTAACTTGTGAGCTCAGGCAATCCACCCACCTTAGCTTCCCAAAGTGCTGGGATTACAGGCATGAGGCACCACACCCAGCCTAGTGACTGCATTTTTCTTTTTTCTAGAAGTTCTGTTTGGTCCTTTTCTGAACTTTTCCTGGTCTCTTTTTTCATTTTCCCTGTTTATTTGTTTTTATCATGGATTTTATACCTTTTATTTATTTTCTTTTTTTTTTTCTAGTTACATGATTACTTAGGATTTTATACATTTTATTACCTCTCTATATTAACTTTGGTTTTTTACATTGTTTTATTATCTCTAATTCTTATTGGACTAATTCTTTTGTTTGATGCATCTGTTAGTTTTCCCTCGTGGTGGTTGGTTTCTTCATATGGTTTGTAATTTTTTATTGTGAGCTCATCTTTGGCGAGAGTGGCTCATATGCCCTGATTGAGAATGTGTTCCTCCAGAACAACTTTATGTTGGTTTGGCTGAATCCTAGCAATTTCAGTAATCTTGGACTGGCTTTTAAGTTATTTTCTCACCTTGAAGCACATACAGTCAAGGAATGTACATTTGTAACTTATACTATGTGTGGTGCAAGCCTAGAATTTCCATTTCTCAATATGACTTTCTTTTCCATAAATGGCCCTAAGCTGATAGCAAGTTTTCATTCTGCCTCTCTGGACATCTTGCAGCATTTTTCTAAACCCTCTTTCATAGATGGGATAGCTTTTCAAGGCTCTGGACGATATGCAGGTGGCATATCCAGAATCTCCCTTTGCCCTGGCCAAGGCCACATCACTAATCTTGTGTGAGCTTTGAAGCCCCTTCCCCTCAGCCCATAGACCTATACACAGTCCTAAAATCTTAATGGGCAGTCCTACTGACAGCTGCCTTGTCACCAGCTCCTGTGATCATTCTAGCTTTGATTTTTCTCTTTCTTTCTGGCACCTGGTGTTCCCCTTTCTCTTTCAACAAGTTTTTGCTGTGCTTTCCTAGCACTTCCATATGTACGTAGCAGGAGGAGGCTGAATGCCATCTGCTCTGTCTGCCATGTTGCTGTAAATCACAGTGAGTTTTTTGTAAGTGTAACAGCTTCCATTCTGCAGTGTGTTTTGAGTCTGACTCTTAGATCCATCACTTCCTCACAGTGTTATCTTGGGCAAGCATCCTAACATTTCTGAGTTTCAGAAACAAAATAGAGATAAATGCTGACTTTTTAGGGTTGTTGGGAAAATTAAACAGATAATGCATGTAAAACTTCTTGAAACTTCTTCTGGCACATAGCAAGTCAGAGGTTCTCAATTCTGGCTAGGTTGGCTTCAGTATCCCCTGGGCAACTTTTTAACATTAGACATTTCTGGGCCAGAAGCAATGGCCCACACTTGTAGTCCCAGCTACCCAGGAGGCTGAGGTAGGAGGATCACTGGGGCCCAGGAGGTCGAAGTTTGCCATGAGCTGTGATCATGCCACTGCACTCCAGCCTGGGTGATAGAGTGAGCCCCGTCTCAAAAAATAATAAAATAAGGTAAAAAAAAAAAACAAACACAGAGATTTCTGGGTGCTACCCCTCAGCAGTTATGATTCATTAAGTCTGAGATAGATCCCAGAAATCTGCATTTTGAAAAGCTCCACAGGTGATCCCGATATGCCACCCAGTTTGAAAACGTTCTTAAAGTTATTCGAAAAATCGTAAGTAATTTCATTGTTCTCAGATTTCTAAGCACTTCAAAGTCATTTATTTCTCCCACACTGATATTTTCATCTCAGATGTGGTGAAGCTGTAGAGAAAAACAAGCGTCTCATCACGGCAGACCAGAGGGAATATCAGCAGGAACTCAAAAAGAACTATAACAAGCTAAAAGAGAACCTCAGGCCAATGATCGAGCGGAAAATTCCAGAACTGTACAAGCCAATATTCAGAGTTGAGAGTCAAAAGAGGTAAGAACAGGGCAGAGGAGGCCTCTTCCTGTGGGATAAAGAGCAGCGCATGGGGCCTAGCACCTTGGGGCATGCTCTGCTGCACTTGGGGAGCTGCAGAACCTCGAAAGGGTGGAAGAGGGTCCCACAGTCAGAGAGGCTACCAGAGTGTGATTCATTCTGCCTCTGTCCTCCCCATCCCTGCTCCTTGACCTCTCCCAGACACCTTGGTGTTGGTCTTGTGCCAGGGTATTCCCAGGGCTGAATGATGGCCTGTGTTGGTTTTTTTGTTTGTTTGGTTGGTTTGTATGTTTGTTTTGGCACAGTGTGAAGGGGTCGCAGACCTTTCACTTATTATTTGCTGAGTTGTCCATGACTGATGTCCATTTCTACTGGGTGATCCACCCCCAACCCTTTCTAAAAGGCTAACTGATCTTTTCTTGCTTCTGTACGCTCTCTTTCCCTCTCCTCCCTCTCTTTTCTTAATTTCAGGGACTCCTTCCACAGATCTAGTTTCAGGAAATGTGAAACCCAGTTGTCACAGGGCAGCTAAGAAAAGCCATCTTCATTCGTGGAGACTGTGGCCCTGCAACCCTGGAGAAGGACTTGCTGGTACTTAAAAAATGGGACATTTGCCACCCAGGACTGACTGTACACTCCCTGATCAGCCAGCACTCTGGAAGCTTTGGGATCCCAGGAACCATGGAATTATTCCCAAATGGACTCTGACCAGATTTTTGCCATACTGGGGGGTGGCGGGATGGAGGATGGGTACTCAGGCATGACTGCGTATTTATTAAAGTGTGTTTTTCCACAATGTACCAAACAAGGCATAAGCAGCTTCTCCTGCTGACTGGCCAATCACTGCCCATCTGAGAGATGATTTCCTCTGGCCCATATTTGAATTTATTGGAGTAACTCAAATTGCCTGAGGAAAAATGGAAAAATTATCCACCAGTCGATTCAAACTGAATTTCACTCTTTATAGGAAGGCAGGGCAAACTTGTAGGAGTACGAAACATTTTCAATAAATCTACAAAGGGAAGCCTTACTACAATTCCAAAAATCATCATGGTTGGAAATTTGGGAGGAGATTATTTGTGAACTTGTTACCCTTTTGGTAATGGTGGACTAATTGCTGTATAGTTATTTTTGTTTTATTATTACTGTTACATTAATTTAACATGCATTTATAGAAGAATACATTCAAAGCACTGATGTAGGAGATACACGGTACTTGGAGCAGTCAGCCAGAAATCACAGATACTGCTTTCACTTAAATGGAAACAATTCTCCGATAATGCTTTGCTTTTTTTCTTATGTCACTCTTGTGTACTATCTATTTTTCTCCTCTCTGGGACCAAGTTTCTTTTTATAAAGCAATAATATCTCTGTTTTCATTTCAGAACATTGTGCTGTCTGTCAGCATATGTATATCAGCTACAAAATATATTCAACTTTGACTTCTTTTGACAAAGGACTTTAGGAAAAAGAGGAACAAAGACATTATTTGAGAATTAAATTATATATTTTTAATATGACTGTGACCTTGACTGATAATAAAGATGTAATAAGAATTGCAAGCTAAATGTTTCCCTTTGCAACTCATGCTTTGTGTTTTGTTTTGATGACCTACTCGCTCGTAATGTTTTGTAAGGCACTTCAGAGAGAAGACAGATGCATCATCCTGGCCTCCATCAAATAACACTATCCAAGGTGGCACCTCTTCTGCAATGTTTAACCCTGCTAGTAATGAACGATGACTTAGTTCGGATATTTCAGAACTTTTTGTTTATACCATCAGGTATGCATGAATTTATAATCTGAAAGAGGACTTAAAATAATAATTAAAACTTACCAGCTTAAGTGCTAAACTTTTTATTTTTTAGGTATTTGGGGAAGAACTCTTTTTAAAGTATACACCTAACTGCTTTTTAAAATGAGTACACATGACATACTTTAATTCCATATGTATTCCCCTACTCTTTGGGAGACACTGTGTTGAGACCAAGGTCAAAAAACGTGGTCACCGCCCTCCAAATCGTCTCCGTTCCCTGAGGAAGATCATATACCTGTGTAGTAGCCACAGTACAAAACAGACTAGAACACAGCCCATAGCATGTAACCTTTTCCTGACTAACTCAAGGATAGGCCAACACCTATGGTATTAGATTCTGCCCTAAAACAATAAGAGTTAGATGCTAAGTTATATAGTCCTGGACCTTAACTCAAATAGCCAGAATAGCCCTAGTAACCTAGAATATTCCTGATTAAATATCCCCTGCTTTTAGATACCTGTTGTCCATTTGGGTTTGTTTTTTACAGTCTCTTTTGTACCACAGTGGATACATTTGCTTCATGAGTGCAGGAACCATGTTCACTGCTGCATTCTTACCCCTAGCCCTGCAACAAACACACAAAAGATACCCAATAAATATTTGTTGATTCACTAAATGAATGAATGATGAGTAGGCCTGCTTCTAGAAGTGCACTGCCAATAAGAATGTAATGCAAGCCACATATATAATTTTAAAAATTCTAGTAGCCATATTAAAAATAATAATAGGCCAAGTGCAGTGGCTCATACATGTAATACCAGCAGTTTGGAAGACCAAGGTGGGCAGATCACTTGAGCCCAGGAGTTTGAGACCAGCCTGGGCAACATGGCTAAACCCCATCTCTACCAAAAAAGATATAAAAAATTAACCAAGTGTGGTGGCATGTGCCTGTAGTCCCAGCTACTCGGGAGGCTAAGGTGGGAGGATCGCTTGAGCCCAGAAGGTTGAGGCTGCAGTGAGCCATGATCGTGTCACTGCACTCTAGCCTGGGTGACAGAGTGAGACCCTGTCTCAAAAAATAATCAGCATCATAAAAAGAAACCAGCAAAATTAACTTTACTAGTATATTTAACCCAATATATATAAAATATTATTTCAATATGCTTCCACTATAAAAAATTATTTTACAGTCTTTTATTTCCATATTAAGTCTTTAAAAATCTGATGTGTAGTTTGTACTTACAGCACGTTGCAGTTAGGACTGGCCACATTTTAAGTGCACAGTAGCCACAGGGGGCCACTGGCTACCATATTGGATAGTGCCATTCTAGAAGCTTTCAGCTTTTTCAACTGGATGCCTCTGATTTGTGGACTCAGAATACAGATAACCAAAGAAGTGGGACTAGTGTCTGAAGTAAGAATGACAGGGTATGATTGAGAGCCCCATGAGCTTACCTAGGAGAGAAACTTGTGGGGTTGCAGAATAAGGATTTGTCAATATTGGCTCTAGCTGTTCACACTATTTCTGGGCCAACTCCCAGATCATTTCTCAACTCCAGATAGTTAAGTGGGGAGCATGGCTGCACTTTTTAAAGTGATGGCACAAAAAAAGATATTGAACGTTGGTCCTCTGATTATATATTCTAAATATGCAGTTAGAAAAGAGGCCTTTTAAGAATCCCTAAGAGTAAAGCAAATTAGTATCTTTGTTTCCTGAAAATTAGAGAAACTTGATATGCCATGATAGCCCTCTTCATTTTATTTGGAAAACTCTTCTATGAAAGCTTATTAGAGAAAATTTTCTGATTAGCTTCATGCCTCCCCTCCTTCAGCAAGGTCAAGGGTGCAGTTGTCACTATCACATAAGAATCTCATAAAAATTAAACATGAATATACTGCACAGATCTGATTGGGTTTGTCATGCCACACATTGTTTTAAATTCCATAATTCTATTCTATAAAGAGTGGTTTCTATGACAATAGATCGTTTTAAAAACAAACAAACAAACAAAATTTAGAGTTGTCATTGGTAATTGTGGTTGCAAGTATGCTTTCAAAGACCAGAAGCTTTTGTTTTGCTTTGAATGTAATTTTTTTCTTTTTTCTTTTTGATACGGAGTCTCACTCTGTTGCCCAGGCTGGAGTGCAGTGGCACCATCTCAGCTCACTGCAACCTCCACCTCCGTGGTTCAAGCAATTCTCCTGCCTCAGCCTCCTGAGTAGCTGGGATTACAGGCGTCCACCACCACGCCTGACTAATTTTTGTATTTTTAGTAGAGATGGGGTTTTACCATGTTGGCCAGGCTGGTCTCAAATTCCTGACCTCAGGTGATCCACCTGCCTCTGCCTCCCAAAGTGCTGGGATTACAGGCGTGAGCCAAGCTTCAATATTCTTAAACCCAACCTCACACAGCCTGATTTAAAAACTAAATTTCTGCTAGGCACGGTGGCTCATGCCTGTAATCCCAGCACTTTGGGAGGCGGAGGCGGGCGGATCACGAGCTCAGGAGATCAAGACCATCCTGGCTAACACGGTGAAACCCCGTCTCTACTAAAAATACAAAAATAAAAAAATTAGCCGGGCGTGGTGGCGGGCGCCTGTAGTCCCAGCTACTCGGGAGGCTGAGGCAGGAGAATGGCGCGAACCCGGGAGACGGAGGTTGCAGTGAACGCAGATCGCGCCACTACACTCCAGCCTGGGCAAAGAGCAAGACTCCGTCTCAAAAAAATAAATAAATAAATAAATAAATAAATAAAAAACTAAATTTCTGGCCAGGCACAGTGGCTCGTGCCTGTAATCCCAACCCTTTGGGAGGCCAAGGCTGGCAGTTCGCTTGAGCCCAGGAGGTCGAGACTAGTCTGACAAACATGTCAAAACCCCGTTTCTACAAAAAATACAAAAATTACCTAGGTATGGTGGTGCCTGCCTGTAGTCTCAGCTACTTGGGGGGCTGAGGCATGAATCCAGGAGTTCAAGGCTACAGTGAGCTATGATTGTGTCACTGCACTCCAGCCTGGGCAACAGAGTGAGACCCTGTCTCAAAAACCAAAACAAACAAAAAAGAAAGCAAAAACTAAATTTCTGATAATCACTAAGTTTTTAATTATGAAATTACTAGAGGAAATGCAGCATCACCTTGGTTGAAAACCATTTGGAGAGCCGTGCACATTCCTGATCCCTAAGTCCTTGATGTTGCACCCATCTTGAGGAGCAGTGCTCTCTCTGGACCGATGTTACTGAATCCAACCCAGTTCCTACTTGATGTTTGTGGCATTAGCTTGGCAGCTAGTTTTTACGTTTACTATTTTTACTACATATTAGGAGATGGCAAATTACTGATAGCCAGGATAAGGGAATGATTTTCAAGGCATTATAGCTCTAAAAAACAATTGAGAAATCAGCTCCCTCATCACTTCCTTAATGCAATGAGAGAACACGACACGGATGAACAAACTGTTCTGTTATCCAACAAGATTATCAAGAGTTATTAGTGAGATAATAAAAAAGTATATGTGACTGCCAAAAGTCTCCAGACTAAGGACCAGAAGACCTGGTTTCTTGTTCTTTCACTTTCTAGTCCTGCAATTCTGGCGAAGATACTATACTGCTCTGAGCTTCAGGGTTTTTTTCACTGTGAAAGAGGGTGCAAGTTCCTCCACATTCTTCCAATCTACTGAGGAAACCCAATGAGATAATGCATGGGAACATGTTTTGGAAACTCAAAAGTGCTGCCCAAAATGTAAGGTAACACTGTTTACAATTGACACTTCCAGAAAGTTTAGCCAGCACCCCCACACATGGCATCCGCTTCTGACAACGTTAATCAAAATCAGGCCAAAGGTGCAGGCAGGACAGAGGCCTGACTTACCAGAAAATAAACGTCTGGTCTATTCCACTTGTAGTGCCAGTTTACATTGTCTGGCGAGAGCCAACTACCAGGGCCTCCGGGTAGAAGAAAGAAAGGGTATCAGTGGAACTGAGAGTGTATACAGTGGCGCCTGAAAGCGGGTAGAAGAAAGAAAGGGTATCAGTGGAACTGAGAGTGTATACAGTGGCGCCTGAAAGCGGGTAGAAGAAAGAAAGGGTATCAGTGGAACTGAGAGTGTATACAGTGGCGCCTGAAAGCGGGTAGAAGAAAGAAAGGGTATCAGTGGAACTGAGAGTGTATACAGTGGCGCCTGAAAACCCAACCTCGCCAGGCTTCCCTGTCTCCTGTGTGCAGCATGTGTGCAGTGCATTCCCCTGGAAGGTAAATTCGCGGAGTCCCGCAGCCCACCTGTGTCCACCTAGCCTGTAAGTGCCCCCTGAGGGTATCAAAGCACGCGGACTTCCGCCTGAAGCAAAGCCACCGGGCGGCAAGTTTCCCCGTTAACAACAACGAAGACAGAGAGGACTTGGCAGCTGTGACGGATCTGCAATAATTAAACTGACGTTGCTGTTTAGAAGCCTGGGGGTCGCCTGCAGCCTCCCAGGCTCCACTCCATCGGCTCCAGCGCTGCAGGCGGGCCGTGCATGTCTCTAGATGCATATTAAGCAAAAAGTTTCTAAAGAGGATCGCGTGGAACCCAGCAATTGATTAAGAATCTCAATGGCCCTAATCCCCTGAGAATTGAACTAAGGGCTCCCCAGCAAACACAGCGATTTACATGGGGCCTAGAGAGAGCGAGCACTGCCGGGGGCGGCGGCGAAGGGCAGCAGTGGTGGGACGGGCGGGGTAGGGGGAGTTACTGAGCATGCGCCCGGGTAGGGGCGTGGGGGAGTTACTGAGCATGCGCCCAGGTAGGGGCGTGGGGGAGTTACTGAGCATGCGCCCGGGTAGGGGCGTGGGGGAGTTACTGAGCATGCGCCCGAGGGTGTTTCGGGGCGTCCGAAGCGGGCGTGCTCCAGCCTGCTCAGCAGCGAGTGGTTGGAAATTAGCAAAGTGAGAGGGTGCGTGGCCTGAGGGACTCGGGGAGGCTGAGGGCTTTTTTTCTCAACACTGTGAAGCTCAGGGAAAGGAGTAGAACTGGGAACCAAGTAAAGTAAAATCGTGGCAAGTGGGCATAGACCTGAAATCTCCTTCGTGAGGGAACCCAGAACGTGCAGCTCAATGTATGTTTGGAACGAACAGGTGAAAGGAAGCAGGAGGAGGAGGGAGTTCTAGCGAAGACTTCGGAGGGAAGCAACCCATCCCCTGCCACAAGAAAGCACCGCCACTCCAGTGGGAACGGACACGCGTGCACACAGCCACGAGTGAGGTTTGAAAGAGGCCCCACCCTCCATTACACCTGTGCTCCACCGTGGCCCCCAGCCAAGTTTAATCTCCCATTCAGCACTTACTTCTGGAAGCTTCTTTCCCTTTCCTTCCCACCACTCATTGGCCTTTCACCCCCTAGTTTTTTGTCTGTGTGTGGGACTGTCTTCCCCCACTCCCCTTGACTGAAGTTCCTTGAGAGCAGCAGCCCTCTTTTTATCAGGGAAGAGATTTGAAGCTCAGGACATTCTTATCCAAGTAGGTGCTAGCCACCTGGGTAGTCAAGACAGGGCCCTGCACAGTTAATGTGAATCTTGTCATAATGCCAGGGTTATTGTTTTGCAAGGAGCCGGTCATAGAACACTAGATTGCATTGTCACTGGGAAATAAGCTCATTCTATTAGCTTGTTTCTCAGCTAGCTTATGTAGAAATTTGCCACAGTTGTTACTGCTGGGCACCTGCCCTGGATCTGATCATCAATTATATCATCTCTTCCATCTGATGGACTGCACCTCACCCCTTGCTTTTTCAGAGCTGGCGAAGCTGGGCCAAGGAAAGCGATAGTGCCAGCTGAGTGGAATGTGCAGGAAGGGACCGAGGAGGGGCACTATGTACTGGAGAAAAGAGATGGGGTCTCCAGGACAGGGGTAAGGACACTAGACTGAGGGCACAAAGGAAGGAAACCACAAGGAAGTAGAGTAGGGAAGTGGGGAGCATGCTGAGGAGAGAGGTCAAGAGATGGTGACCGCTCTCTGCATGCCCCAAGGAGATGGTGATGACACTCCCAAGTCCATGTGGGACTCCCTCCTTATGCGGGCCTCAGTCTGTCATCTTCCTTGGAGCAGGACCAAAGTAAATAAGATAAAGTCACAATTTCTCATCCTTCTTCACTCAACTTTTCTTTGAGGTGAGTTGGCATTTTTGTAAAAGAATGCATTCTCTGCCAGATGCGGTGGCTCACCCCTGCAATCCCAGGGTTCTGGGAGGCCAAAGTGGGAGGCTTGATTGAGGCCAGGGGTTCGAAACCTAGGCAACATAGCAAGACCTCCATCTCTGTAAAAGAAATTAGCCAGGCATGGTGGTGCATACTTGTAGTCCTAGCTACTTCGGAGGCTGAGGCGAGAGAATCGTTTGCACTTAGGCATTGGAGATTACAGTGAGTTAAGCGTTCTCCTGTACTGCCATGGTAGGTGGGTGTTGCTAGCCACATGAGGATATGTGAGCCGGTCACCAGGGACTGCGGCTGACTCCCCGAGCACAAGGACAGTAAGAATAAACCTCCGATTATTCCCCTGCCCCCAACCCCAACTTCAATTAAAGAGATATACCCTTATGTGACTGACAAAAAAGAGCCCTGCTCTCCCAGAGTCACATCCCCATACGCCAAAACACTCTTACATATAATTATTGGTGCTTCATAAATGGCTGATAAAAAAACTTTTCTATCAGGGAATACACCCTACCTTATTCACAGCCTCTTATAGAGAGCTGGCCTGCCCACAGTCTCTGTAAGGGGCAGTTGTCTCTTCTGAGTGACCAGTTTCCCTGACCTCCCCTCAAGCCATGACTGACCAAGGAAGTCAATGTCACCACTGAGAAGCAAGGCGTAGCCTCAGACTCTGAGTTTCTAACTCTTTCCACTTTCCTAAGATGGGGTTATGCCTCATTTCTGAGAGATTTCCAACCCTCTGCCATATATTCCTCTTTTTGTGAGGTCACTTGGGGAGGTGTCTGCTTCTTAGCACCAGAAGAGCTCTCTCAGGACCCAGTTGCTGACCCAGTTGCTGCAAATGCTGAAAGTAGGAAATGGAGGTCAAGTGTAGGCCATAAAGATTTTCCCACTCCTCCTCTTGAATCAGGCATGGCCTTGTGAATTACTTTGGCCCATAGAATGCGGCAAAGTGATACTGTACAAGTTCTAGCCTTGGTCTTAAGCCTGCCAGCTTTTGCTTTCACTCCCTTGGAGCCCTGAGCTAGTATAGAAAGAGATCCAGCTGCAAGGACTGGTTACACAATTTGCAGGGATTAGTGTAAAAGGAAATGCAGGTTTCCTTGTTTTAAAATTATTCCGAATTTTAAGGCGGTGACAACAGAGCCCTATACCAAGCAGAGGCTTGATCCGAGCTGGTGCAGGCATGACAGCCAGGCTTCCTGATACATGAGTGATGCTATCTTGGATTTCTGGCCCCAATTCAGCCTCCTAATGGTCAGCATGAGAGCATGAACTACCCTAGGTGAGACCAGTAGAAGAACCCAGCTCAGATTACAAAACTATGAGCAAACAAACGGTTGTTATTCAAGTAAAGCTCACTAAAGCTCTTCATGACAAACGGGTATAGTCATGGGGGCCGCTAAGGCCTGGGTTGAGATTTTATATAGCAATAGGTAACTGAAGCATGAAGAATAAGAGTTTGCAGTGAGTGGTCACCCACCATATTCCAGGCCCTGTGTTGGTGCATTGCATGTGCCAGCTCACCTGATCCTCACAACACCTTTCATAATTCCTTTCTACAGGAGAGAATACAGCAGTTCCAAGGACAAGGGATTCGTACCACTGCTCCTCACTCAGTAAATAGCAGAGACAGAATTTGAACGTGAGTCTGACTGATTCCAAAACCCATGTAATATCCCTGCATTGAAACAGAGGAAAATCCAAGGAAAGTGCACACAGCTTGGAGACTATTGGATAGGGGTCTGATTCAGTCTTTCCTAAATTTCCTCATAAATTTGCAGTTGAAGTATCAGGCAGAGAAATGATAACCAGGTGAAAGACCCCTAATGGGACATCATGACATCACAGCTCTGTGATCATCAACCATAATCCCTAGAGGGTCACCTAGAGTTATCCTACAATGAGGCTTACTTGGGTTTTCTGATAGGTATAATACTGAGAAAATTTGCTATGGTTAGCTATGGGTATTCACCACTTATTTTAGTGTATATCATCCCCCAACAAACCACAGGCACCTGTGATCATCTGGGTATGTGTTCAGGAACTATCTTGCACCCAGAAAGAACAAGAATTTTTTTTTTTTTTTTGAGACAGAGTCTCTCTCTGTCACCAGGGTGGAATGCAGTGGCACAATCTCAGCTCACTGCAACCTCTGCCTCCATGGTTCAAGTGATTCTCCTGCCTCAGCCTCCTGAGTAGCTGGGACTGCAGGCATGTGCCACCACACCTAGCTAATTTTTGTATTTTTAGTAGAGACAGGGTTTCACCATGTTGGCCAGGATGGTCTCGATCTCTTGACCTTGTGATCTGCCCACCTCGGCCTCCCAAAGTTCTGGGATTATAGGTGTGAGCCAGTGTGCCAGCCAAGAATTAATTTCAACATTAGACTCAGCCAGAGTTAATGAAGAAGCTTTCCCCACATGATGGCTCCTCACAAGAAATACTATCTATTTATAATATTCATTGGCTTTACTTGTCTTTACCAAGCCTTCCTGAGTGTCATCAGTGGGTGAGTGAGTGTATGGATAGGTACCTGCCTATCTGTCTGCCCATGGTGATGAACACATCACTGTAGGTCAGCAATGACATTGAGTCTAAATGCTGTTGGCCATAAGGAAAATAGTGACATTCCCTGGCTCAGAGGAAATGCTGGTAGGAAAGCCATATGGACTAGTATTTATAAGTACAAGCTCAGGGGTCAAAGATGCTGAAGTTCAATGCCTTGTCCTGTCTCTTACTAATTAGTGATATTGGACATATTGATTAATTGCATAAGTATGTTTCTCACTTATCTATAAAATGAGATGTATGAGGGCTAAATGAAATGATGCATGTGAAAAACTGAACAAGGTGCCAGGCCTAGGACAAGGGCTCAATAAATGTCAGCGATTATTTTATTTGATGAACAAAAGAAGGCAAATGTTCTTTCTTTGATGCCCCCTATCTTTTCCCTGTGTCGTTTCTCTAAAAAAGTATATGTGTGTAATTTCTATGCCTTCCCTCCACTCTCCCATTATCTACCACTTCATCATCCTCTCACTACCCATGGCCACTTTCCCTCATTATCTTTTCTATATTTCTTCCCTCCTCCCCTGAAATGGGGTTGAGCAGGGGGAGATCAGAGGATGAGAAAAGGCAGGGAGACATTGGTGGCAGGGTGACAATGGAGCACCACAAGCTGTCTAGGCCATCTAGACTTTCCCTGAGGACACTTCAGTATCTCTGAGAATACCATTTTCTCAGGACTCCTCACACTGGGAGAAACCTTAGCAATCATCTGATGGTGTACTTGTTACAGTAGATAGGCAGACATGTGCAGTGCAGGAGAGGGCCCCCCACCCTGACCAGGAATGTCAGGTGACCATCAGGTGATGGTCACATGGTTGTTACACCGTCTCTCTCAAATAATAACTGGTTGCAGCCAGCACCAGGGAAAGGCAGTCTCCAAATAGATAGGAAAAACCTGAAAGTGACAATCAGCAGCTTCACAATAAGATCTCAGGAATTGGGCAGGTGGGCTCAAGCATGTGCACTAAGAGGCAAAGTGGCGGAGTTTAATTGGTAAATGACCTTCCTGTAGGAATGCTACGCTGGTAAGGGAAGAAAGCCTCAAGAAAGCATCTGTACCATTCCAGCAAATACACTGTGCATGCTCCCCTCCCAAATGCTAGCAGGCCACTGCACATATGGACAGCCCACCCCAAGGGAAGAATTGGGAGAAGTAACCCAAGACCCCGAAAGTATGCCAACCTGTAAGACCGCAAGTCAAAGGTCAAACTGTGCACTTGATCTCACAAGGTGCCCACTCGGCCCTCTTCCAAATATACTCTACTTCCTTTCATTCCTGCTCTGAAGCTTTTTAATAAATTTTCACTCCTGCTTGAGGACTAAGCTCTGATCTTTTCTTATCTTCCAAATTCCTATCTAGGGGGTCTGGGGAGTTATGCCCTACAAACCAAAAATTCTCATCAGATGGGTTTTATTTAACCCTATATATTGTGACTTTTTAGTCTGACTCTGGCATAATATTACATGACAAAATCAAAATATTTTATCCCATAACATGTCTCTTTGGCATATTTTGAAATGGCCCTGCAAAGCCATCCTTTGTAGGGGAAAATTTGCATCTGTAAAGAATCTCTGTTAACATAGCTAGATATTTTTCTTCCAGGCGCTCCCATCTGAAGAGATTAAGAGTCTAGCACCTTTTTAAAATTATTTATTTATTTATTTATTTTTGAAACAGAGTCTCACTCTGTTGCCCAGGCTGGAGTGTAGCGTCGCCATCTCAGCTCACTGCAACCTCTGCCTCCTGGGTTCAAGCCATTCTCCTACCTCAGCCTCCCGAGTAGCTGGGATTACAGGTGCCTGCCACCACACCCGGCTAATTTTTGTATTTTTAACAGAGACAAGTTTTCGCCACATTGACCAAGCTAGTCTTGAACTCCTGGCCTCACTGTGATCCACCTGCTTCAGCACTCCAGCCTGGGCAACAAGAGCAAAACTCCATCTCAAAAAAAAAAAAAAAAGTTAGAAAACTAAACTACAAGGTCCTTAAATGCCTGCTCCACAGTATTAGCCAAACATGAACAAGATCCCAGGTGTTAGGCCGGGCGTGGTGGCTCACGCCTGTAATCCCAGCACTTTGGGAGGCCGAGGCGGGTGGATCACCTGAGGTCAGCAGTTCAAGACCAGCCTGGTCAACATAGTGAAACCCTGTCTCTACTAAAAATACAAACATTAGCCGAGCATGGTGGGGTATGCCTGTAATCCCAGCTACTCGCGAGGCTGAGGCAAGAGAATCGCTTGAACCCGGGAGGCAGAGGTTGCAGTGGGCTGAGATCACGCCACTGCACTCCAGCCTGGGCAATGGAACAAAAGACTCCATCTCAAAAACAAAAAAAAAATCCCAGGTGTTCTGGATTCCCATCCAAAAGAAAAGGGGAAACCAAACCCCCTGCTTCCATCTCACCCAGGATCTCCTGTCTTCCCAAAGCACTTTACCGTCTTTCCTGCCCAGCTGTTGAAATATCAAACTGTACCAAGATTTTGGCCATGATGGACTCTGTTCTCTGCACACTAAGAGATTTATCTTCCTGATCATCAGTAGAAATATTAATAAATAATATTGGTTGCCATTTATTGAGCAGTGTGTTAAACATCCATATTATTTAATGGATGTTTTTCTAGCTGTGTTTTAAAGTTTTAAAGTTGCAGCATTTGAATGAATGAATGACTTCTGAGCCAAAGTGAGAAAAAGCAAACAAGACACAAATGAGTTTTCTAAACTATGTGTCTCCCCGAAATTAGCTCTGCTACTTTGCACAAGTCTCCTTTCCTAAGATCCCGCTTCTCATCTGTTCAATGGGGATATGAACATCTACAAGTTTATGGTAAAGTTTAAAAGCACATTTGTCTGATACTAAGAGCCAATAAACAATCGTTACTTTCATTACCCCAGTTGGCAATTTGAGCAGGGCATGACAGGGAGTTTGGGTGACAGGCGATAAAGTAACGGACATTATGGAAAGTCTGAAAGAATGTAATAAGGATAATATATTTTAGATGTATTTTTCTCTTTTATATTTTGTGAATGACTTTTCCCCTGGTTAGCCTAAGGTAATTCTTATGACTCAGGGAGGTTTGAGATTGTTACAGCAGGAATGCAAACAGAAAAAAAAAAAAAAAAGATCTAGCTTTTGATTTCCAAATTTGAGTTCCTAGAATAACTGTCTTTAAAATTCAGAGGTTGGAGATAAAGAAAAGGATTTTCTAGATTCCTATCACTTCCATTAAAATACCAAGGGTCAGAACAATGAACCTGAATTCTAAAGCTATTGGTAGAGAGAAATGACCTTTGATGTAAGAGGTGTCCCTACTGCACAGAAAAGATGGGGTGTTTTTCCTTTCCAAACCAAGGGAATGTCAGGGGAAGAAAAGATAGAGATTAAAGGGGAAAAGTGAGTTTTATGTATCTTGGCTTCTCCATTCAGGGCTGATATCACAAGTAGTAGATAAATTGAAAGAAAGGAATCCCAAAAGAAGAAAAAGACTGTGTTCTGCTCCTCACTTAAAACTCAGCAAAAGGGACCCCCACCAAGTGGCCCATGCCAATATGTAACACAGAAAGGAAAACCAACAGCATGGGCCTCTTGGCTTGGAGGAAGCCAAAGTGCACATTTCTTCAGTCATACTACATCTGGGTTCATCTAGCCACCTCTGCCATGCTGCCCAAGTTCAACCCCAATGAGATCAGTCATATACCTGCCAGGTGCCCTGGTGGAAAACTGGGTACCATGTCTGCCCTAGCCCTTAAGATCAACCCTCTGGACCTGTCTCCAAAATAAGTTGGTGATGACATTCCCAAGGCCACAGGTCACCAGAAGAGTCAAAGGATTACAATGAAACTGACCATTCAGAACAGACAGGCTCAGACTGAGGTGGTACTTTCTGCCTCTGCCGTGAGCATCAAAGCCCTCAAGGAACCAGAGACAGAAAGAAGCAAAACAATCAAGCACAGTGGAAATGCCATTTTTCATGACACTGTCAAGATTGCATGACAGATGCAGCACCAATCCTTAGTCACAGAACTCTCTGGGACCCGTAAAGAGATCTTGGAGACTGCCCAGTCTGTGAGCTCCAATGTTGATGGGCGCCAGCCTCCTGACATCATAGATGACATCAAATCAACAGTGGTGCAAGTAAATATCCAGCTAGCTATGAACTACGAAGGAAAAAATTTCAATAAAGGATCATTTGACAACTAAAAATAAAAACACAGCATGGTTATGACATAGGGTCTGCATGAGTGCCTTTGTGCCTCCTTGAAAAAGCCAGTTTCCCCATGCACAGATGTCAGTAGTACAAGTCAACCAGGTATCCAGAGACATTGCTAAAAGATGTCAATACCAAATCTAATCACAGCATAAGGACCAGTGTATACAAATCTAAAGCCCACTTTCTCCTGCTCACTCCTAAAGCTCACTTTCTCACAACACTGCCACCCCAATATACCAAGAAACCATCTAGAAAGGAGGGCAGACAATAGCCACTTACCTTTAAAAACAAAACCAAACTCTTTACACCAAAACTTCTTCCATATCCAAAGAGTCTAAAATACAGTTAGTGATGAATGTGGATGTGGAGCCAATGAGTAAGATTTGATCAGTTACAGAAAACAAGTGAAGCCACATTTACTTTGCACAACCAAATGTAGTTTGCTAAGTTTTTGACCCCATTATATGAAGAAGACAAATCATCCATAACTCTACCACGCTAAACATCCATTACTTTTTTTTTTTTTTTTTTGAGAGTTTCGCTTTGTGGTCCAGCCTGGGGCGCAGTGGTGCAATCTTGGCTCACTGCAACCTTCGCCTCCTGGGTTTCAGCAATTCTCATGTTCAGCCTCCTGAGTAGCTGGGATTACAGCCACCCATAGATTTTTAAAATACTTCTCTTTCACTTGTCTTGCATAGGCATGATTATTGCAAATAACTGCAATGCATATCAGTCACAATTTTATATCGTGCTCTTTGTAAAATTCATCAAAATTCCTTTTCCATGCTGCTGTGTGTTCTTCCTGGTTACCAATGTTAACAGACGCATAAGCTATTAGTCAAAACTCTTGTCATTGCAAGTATCATAAAGCCAATTCCAACTCAACTGAAGAAAATGGGTATTTAATGGAAGAACACTGGAGTTGCTCATTGACCTACAAGAACCACGCAGCCCTGAGGGCCTAAATGCAGGGGACGGGGGCTTGAAGTCACCAGAGTTCTTCACTGCTCATTCTTCCTACAGACATCTCCACATAAATGTATTAGGCATTTGGCCATGTTAGGTCATTTTCATTAGCCACATTTTCCAAATGGGGACGGAGGGACTAAGGGAGTTAGATGTGACTCACTGCAGGTGATTCAGCTGCTAAATGGCATTGATTTGAAAACCAGCATCTTGATTCAGATTGGTGGATCCATACAAATTGCAAGGGACAAAACTTTTCAAAAATATGTAAGAATAGTCACATAGGATAAGAATATATTTGATTTTTGTGAGGACTACAGCTGAAGGAGAAGAGAAACATGCAAATGGGGTTCCATTTCCCACACCAGGGCAGCTTCTGTCATCTCAGAATGCCCACCTGGCATCTTCCTGACCCTTGGCTCACCCACAAGGAAGTTCATGGCAATATTGTTTTCAGAAGCCAATATTCTCCTGTCTCTACTTGCAAGAAAATAACTGAGCCCCCCCAGTAAGTATAATTGGTGCGAACAGTGATTTATTATATGCCCAGTTCTCCAGATGGCCTTTCATATGGAAATGATTTTTCCTGAAAACAGAAAAATATGGGTTTTTTCCCTTCTCAGCAGGTTATAACAGGTTTACAATCCACTGCATCAAAACTAGAATCAAAAACTTTAACGGAGTTCCCTTAAAACAGAAACACAAAAAACACGTTCCATCTGGTAAATAATTGCCGGAGTTGCATTCCTGTGCATTCAGGCACAAGCTAACTGCTGTACAGCATAAAGCTGTGAAAATGTCTAGGCTTAATGGGGAAACATGAGATAAGATCTACTTAGGTCTATCATATACTCAAATTGCAACCTTCTGGGATGCTGGTTCATGCCAGACTCAAATCACCCATAATCTGATGGGCTAGACAGATGTGTAAGATTATTCCAGGATATCTGAAAATCTCACATGTGAGTACAAAAGGCTAGGTGGACACGTGCAGCCCTTATTCTATGTGAATGAAGGGGAATGTTTACCAAGAAGGTCATTTTCAGATGACCATAGTTGAAGAGCAAAGTCAAATGTGGTTCTAAGTGACATGTCCTCTGCCTAAATAACAGATGAGAAAGTATATCTAAAAAGGCTTATATCATCCTGTGATGGAATACTTAAGAATGGGGAAAGCATTTAGCAGTAAAAAGTAAGTTACCAAAAGGATTTAATGCAGTTAGTATGTAGCAGGTTAATTTCAGTAGATGACTCTAAGTTATGATTTTCATCCAGAAAGAATTATTTTCGTCAGCTTTCCACCAGTGGAACATACTTCCTCCTAAGCTCCCTGCCTCTGAAAGCATAGGCAGGGGAGCCGTGTATTAGAGACGTTGTGGGGAAGATCTCCACATTTGGAAAGCTGAAGATCTGCAGATTAGGGGTGACACTCAAATTCCTTAAGGGGTTGGGCAGATAAATTGTGTAAAATGGTAAGGCATTAGAAAGTGGACCAGACTGCAGAGGACTGGAGAGGCACAGCCCACCTAAAGACATTCAAATTTGGTACAGATGCTTCTTGGCTTACCATGGGGCTACTGTGTCCCAATAAACCCACCTAAGTGAAAAAATGCATTTAGTACACCTAACCTACCAAACATCACAGCCTAGCCTAGCCTACCTTACACATGCTCAGAACACTTACATGAGCCTACAATTGGGCTACATCATCTGACACAATGCCTGTTTTATAATAAAGTGTAGAATATCTCATGTAATTTATTGAATACTGGACTGGAAGTGAAAAACAGAATGATTACACGGTACTTGAAGTATAGTTTCTGCTGAATGTGTATGGCTTTCACGCTATCATAAAGTTGAGTAATTATAAGTCAAACCATTGTAAGTTGGAGACTATCTGTATTTAAAAACAAAACAAAACAAAAAAAAACCCAAAAACAAAAATAGACTGGTCTGGCCAAATAGACCACTTTGGAAGGACGTGGCCTATGGATCAAGAGGATATTTGCCGCTCCTGGACTAGCAAATCCTTAAGCCTTCTTTGCCTGCTGAGTTCTGTGATGTGTATAAAAATAATGCACTTTTATCTAATAAGAGCCAAACACATTAACCTCTGTGGTAGGAGAAAGTGGAGTTGAACAGAAGTATTGAATGTGGTCTCCATCCTCAGAAAACTCAAAACTACTTTAAAATAAGATATGTCCATACAAAGGCAGCCAACAACGGCGGGCAAAAAGCTCATGACGGCTCATTAGGAAGCATTTCTAACTTTGATCTAGATGGGTTCAGAAAGAGCCACAGAATAGGCAAGGCTTGAGTGGGGCTTAAAAGAACAAATAGGTCTGACATAGTGGCTCACACCTCGATCTCTACTCGGGAGCATCGTTTGAGCCCAGGAGGTTGAGGCTGCAGTGAGCTATGATCACACCACTGCACTCCAGCCTGGGTGACAAAGCAAGACCCTGTCTCTAAAAAAAAAAAATAAAGGATGAACATTCAGCTAAATGGAGAGTGTATAGGAGGATAGAGTTGTTAGATAGTAATAGGACAAACAAGAAGCCCAGGGGCGAGGAGGAGGGTCATGCTTGGATCCTTCTGAACCTCTCAACTTCTTCCTCAGATCCTAAAATTGGCTTCCTGTCACCTATTCTGTTCTGAGCCTCCTCCTCAGCCTCTGGACCTCTCCCTTCTTATGAACTAAAAGGTTTCTTAGGGTCACAGTTCCCACAGCTGGGCCCTACCACCTGCAGTCAGAGCCCTTAGCGCTCCCCTTGTATTCGCCTGGTACATATCCCAGCCTCACCGCCTGTTTGCAGACTTGTCAACACAGTCATTGGGCTACCTCTTGGACAATCACCCTTGATGCTGAATCACCCAAGCAAATTAATTGAATTTTCAAGTGACGAGTGTAATCCTAAGCACTTAATGGTCAGAAGTGAGGGGGCACAAACTATTTTCGGATTCGAATTTGTCTTTATTATGTGGTGTACACCTTTGTTGGGGTACTAAGTGCCATCAGTAAATAGCTAGCAGCAATTGATGGCTTACAACGTGCCAGAATCTGTGCTGAGCCCAGGGCATGCATGCCCTCCCTTGCCAACTCAACCTCCAAAATGGGGCACAATATTTTCCCCTCTCTCGAGATGGGTAAACTGAGGCTCAGGGGTTAAATAACACATGCAAAGTCATACAACTAACGGGCATGGATTCAAACCCAAGTCTTCTGTCTCCAAAAACTGACTACAATCACATGTGGTTGACGGTTATCACTGCATGTGATTGTACCATTCATATGGATGTGTAAATGCACCCTCAATGGCACAGAATCACCTGCTGGCCTATCATTGGATGTAAGCAGCTGCCATCTGCCAAACAATACACGCATTTGATGTATGAATTTGTATCGCTGACTCTTCAGACGCAGTAGTCCTCCCTTATCCAAGGTCCAAATATATGAAACAGAAAATTCCAGAAATAATTCATAAATTTCAAGTTGTCCGTGTTCTGAGTAGCATGATGAAATCTTAGCCATCCTGCTCTGCCTGCCGGGGTGTGAATCATCTTTTTGTCCAGAGTATTCACACTATAGAGGCTCCCTGCCTGTTAATCACTTAGTAGATCTGTTGGTTATCAGGTCAACTGTCGCAGCATCACAGTGCTTGCGTCCAAGTAACCCTTATTTTACTTAATAATGGCCCAAAGAGTAATGAGGTCAGAATATTGTTTTATTATATTATAAGTTGTTATCCTTTATTGTACCAAATTTATAAGTGAAACTTTATCATAGATATGTATGTATAGGAAAAAAAAACATAGTATATAGAGGGTTCAGTACAATCCATGGTTTTGGGCATCCTCTGGGGTCTTGGAACATACCCCCTGTGGATTAGAGGGGAGTATGGTAATGCAGCATTCTCACCACATTTGAATCATCTGGGGGCACTAATAAAAAAGCACTGATGCCTTAGCTTCAATCCCCAGAGATTTAGATTTAACTGGTTTTGGTTTGAATCAAACATTGGAATGCTAGAGGAGCTTCCCAGATGATCCTAATGTGTAGAGAACATAGGCAGTGAATAGTTGCTAGGAGTGAGGGCTTGGGGTCTGATTTCTGTTACCATAGGCCAGCTATGACACACCTATGAGTCTTAGTTTTCTCATCTATAAAATGGGAACTACAGAACTGTGTACTTTATAGCACTGATGCAAGGGTTAAGTTAGATGGAAACAATGGAATGCAAAAATGGTAAGGTTCCTGGTGCCATCCCTAAAAGCCTCATTGATCCATAATGAAATGGAAGTTTATAGTCTCTTAGGCAAACACCCATTGGTTATATGAGAAAATGTATTCTCCTGGCTTTCTACTCAGACTTTCTGACACCTCAGGGTAGAGGAGAGGGCTGGACAGGCACTCTTGACAACCTGCTAGCTCTTTCAGAGATGTAAATGCAAAGGCCTTTCAGAGCTAGACAGCTGACATACAGATGTGAAGTAACTGGGATAAGCTATCAGGGCTATTTAAAAAAAGGGAGACAGAGCGAGCAGGTATGATTTGAAGAGAAGATACCCCATAAAAGGGCTTAAAGTTCATTAAAAATAATAATTACTACCAACAAAGTGCTAGCCAAACAAATCCGTCTGTCCCCACATGCAGCAGGTAGGGTGCCAGTTTGCACCACGAGTAGTTCACACCTTCAGCTTTAGAGATTCAGGTCAGTGGCTCCTCCCTGCTTCTGCACTTGTGAGCTGAGGGCAGCTACTTCCCCTTCCATTGGAAGCCAGGGGGTTTCAAGGATATGTCGGTGACTATGAAGGGGCTTGCAGATGACAGCCAGATTTGTTAAAGGCAGACAAGCAGTTATTTGTTTAAAAGTTCCCACCTTACAGAGGGCCCATCTCTGTTTCAGGCTAGCTGTGTGGCCTCACCTAACTTCTCTGAACCATTGCTCACATGTAAAACACGGAAAAAATTATCCACTTCTCAGGGATGTTGTGAAGATTAAAAGAACAAGAGATGTAGAGTGCTCAGCACAGTGCCTCTGCTCTGGGAAGCACTCCAGATGTGTCTGCTTTTGTTGTGATTTTGCCATTCTTCAACAAAGTTAAAAGAGCCTCAAGCACTGTAAGCATTGTTTCTCCCCTTGCCCTGGTAAATTATTTAAATGACATGGTTCATTCTAATACATTACCTCATCCCTCCTTTGAAGCCACAGTCAAAAGCATTGACAAACAAGTTTGAGAGAGATAAGGAGAGGCAAGATAAAAGATATAAAGTGACCAAAAAGAAAAAAGGTAGATAATTTGTTCCTTGTCTGTTCTCAAGGATCACAGGTCTGGTGGCTTGCTGAATGGGGTATGGAGAGGGAACACGGTACACCTCCCACATCTGTGGCCTGCAGTGGCCCCAGTGAGCACTGGGCAGCACCCAGGCAGAGAGAAGGACTTTCTGGATTTCTCTGGGGATAGTTACTCTCAGTGTTTCCAAGAATAAGAATCCAGCATGGGATTCATCCCACCTTCATTGCATTTTGCTTTGCTTTGACATCTGCCATGGAGAATGCAAAAAAAAAAAGTTAGGCCTCATAAGACATAAATGTGTCAATGCTTTGGCCTATCCAGGCCCAGATTTGAGTTCAGAGAGGCCCTGGAAGCCTGGACTAGTCCTAGACCAACTTTGGTTCTTGGGCTTTAAGAAACAGCATTCATTCACCTGATTTTCAACTGGGGAACCACCCTCCACCCTCACTGTCAGTCACTGTGCTTTGGATGAAACTGACTTTATCCCTGTCTTCAGGGAGTGGGTGTGGTATTCAGGCCTGGCCAATCAGAGCATCACATTCCTCTGATCCAGTGATAGATAGTGACCCATTGAGAAATGGGCATGTGAACCCCTCAGAGTCAGAGTGATACAAGGAAACTGTTTTTAAGGGCTTTGTTAAGGTATAATTTACATACCATAAAATTCACCCATTTAAAGTATACAATTCAATGATTTTTAGTAAATTTTCAAAGTAACCACAAAAATCTGGTTTTTGAATATTTCTATAATCACAAAAAGATCTCTTGTGCCATTTGTAGGTACAAGGAAACTTTAGCAGAGTTATTGAGGAAAATTCACCTGTTCCTTTTGTCTGGGTCTGTTTGCAATAATGATTACAAGAGCCTGGATCTACATAGAACCTGAGAATAAAGCAAAAACTGCTTAGTAAAGAGATAGGCTGGGCACAGTGGTTCACGCCTGTAATCCCAACACTTTGAGAGGCCGAGGCGGGCAGATCACTTCAGGTCAGGAGTTGGAGACCAGCCCGGCCAACATGGTGGAACCTCATCTCTACTAAAAATACAAATTAGCTGGATGTGGTGGCGCATGCCTGTAATCCCAGCTACTCGGGAGGCTGAGGCAGGAGAATCGCTTGAACCTGGGAGGCGGAGGCTGCAGTGAGCCAAGATCGTGTCACTACACTCCAGCCTGGGTGACAGAGTGAGAATTGTCTCAAAAAAAAAAAAAAAAAGAAAAGAAAAAGAGAGAGAGAGATGTAGAGAAGCTGAGTCCGGAGGTCCCTGGTTGAGGCTCTGATCAAGCTGAACCTGAAGTCAGAGCTTCCCCTAGACTTCTTCAGTTCCATGAGCTGAGAAGTTTCCCGTTGTCTTTAGCCAGTTTGACTTGTGTTTTCCATCTCTTGCAATGGGATGAATCTCGCCTGACTCCAAAAATTTTTGACCAGACTCTAAAGATTAGAACTGGAACCTTTATTAATTGAATATCAGACAGGAAAGCAAATCTCCAGATTTGCTGTAATCAAAGGATTATTTTACATATGATCATAGATGCCATTTTACAAATGAGGATTCAGCCCTGCAAAAGTCAATTGCTTAACCAGGATACATAGGAGAAACTGGAGAAGTCCGTGTAACTCTGAATTTGATTTTGTAACCCTGAATTTGATCCTGTCTTTCCTCTTGAAGTAATCATCATCGTCGTCATGATCATCATCACCATTACCTCTTACAAAATGTTTACTATGTGTCAGACCTATGCTGAGTACGTACTGTATAAATATTAACTCATTTAATCTTCACAACTGCCTTATGGGGTAGGTATTATTATTATTCTCATTTTACAGATGAGGAAACTGAAGTCTGTAGAGGTCACATAACTTCTCCAAGGTTATATAGCCTGTGAGTAGCAGAGGCAGGATTTGGATGCAGGCACACTGGCTACAGAGGCCACACTCTTAATCTGTGCACTGTACTGCCTTTTATAAATAAAAATTAATCTAACATAAGCTTTTAATCAGTGTTCCAGTGGTCTTTCAGCTAGAGATACTACCTTTTTCTGAACTTATATTTCCGTCATTATAAAAAAATAAAAAGCAAAAACCTCAAATATTTTCTGTATTTTAAGACTCTTCAATTATATAAACAATTTTTATCTGATTTCAAGTAGTCATAAACTTCTGTGCTTCTTACAACTTTGTTCTGCTCTTCTAAACACAGTAAAAGTAAAGTTTAATCATGGCAAAAGTCTAATTTTTATGTCTTCTTGCAGTAAAAAACTAGATGACTGCTCTGCTTTATTGATATTTAATATGATATGGTAATGATATTTAATGTAATTTAATATGAAATTTTACATTTTATATCAGCCAACTGACAAGAAAGTAAGACCTGGAAGTTATTTTTATGTAGAAGAAAGATATGCTGAATTTTAGGAAATTCAGCCAGTGGATATATACAAGATGGTTGAGGAGGGGAGCTGCAGGCACGGAGAACAGCTTAGAAGGCTGCTCCTGCAAATACAGACAGTTCCCAACTTACAATGGTTTGGCTTATGGTTTTTCAAATTTATGATGGTGTGAAAGCCATACGTGTTCAGTAGAAACCACACTGCAAGTACCCCATAACCATTCTGTTTTTCACTTTCAGTACAGAATTCAATAAATTACATGAGAAATTCAAACTTTATTATAAAATAGGTTTGTGATGATGATTCTGCCCACCTGTAGGCTAAGGTAAATGTTCTGAGCGATTTAAGGTAGGCTAGGCTAAGCTATGATGTTTGGTAGGTTAGATGTAAGTGCATTTTCAACTCACAATGTTTTCCATTTACAGTGGGTTCATTGGGATGTCATAACCTCATCGTAAGTTGGGTATCAGTACCTCAGATATATTTGTTTAGTATAGGGAGTCTGTACAAGTTACTTGGGATTGACTTGGCTCCTGGGGCAACAGAACTTTGTTCTAAGTTCTAATGCCATTGTTAAAATCAATGAGTCATCAATAGGGCACTAGAGGTAATTGAGAAGCTGCCCTATTGGGAGGGGTAGATAACTAGAAAAACAGCAGCATGAAGTGTGGATTGGAGTACTTAATGGTGGCACCTGGGCAAATTATTCTAGGCATGTCTGCACAGACCTCAAATGATGGAGGTGGGTTAGAGTTCGGCTTCCCAAATCCTCTGTCAGTGATCTCTTATTGCAGAAGGCAGCCTGGTACCCCTAAGAGTCTAAGACACAGCTTCAGCGGCCCTTTCCAGTTTTCTATTTAAAATTCTTGTAGAATTTCTGCTTCACTCCCTAGGAAAGCCTATGTCTGCCTTCGGGATATGTGAAAATTTGACAAGAAGTAAACACCTTCCCTGTTCAACATAGGCCCCACCTTCCCAAGCTCTCATTTCTAGGTTTCTTGTTCTTTGGTCCATATTCATTCTATGAGGAGATGGTCAACATGGCTACGAACTCCACATGAACTCAGTATTAACTGGTTAATCTACTCCATGAATCCCTACAAATACGGGAGCATGTTGGGGTATGGTTCTTGGGTAATGTGTATGCATTTTGATTGAGGCTGAGGTTTTTGCTGCAATCAGTGGTCTAGCCTCACAATATCCAGTGTGGTGGGAATGTGTGGCTCAAAGAGGAGAGGAGGATGGAGCTTCTGGAGAAGGAAAGGCTTTGGAGCAAGCAGGGATATTAGAGTCTAACAAGTAACAGCAAGTTTCTTACACTTTTGTGTTCAACACTTTGTTGCTCATTCATGCTGGAAAAGAAGACAAGAAACAAGCCAAAATTTTCATTCATCCTCAGATTGTCTTATTCTAACTTGGAGACAAAATCTGGATTTGAACCTTGTTTCTGCCGTTTATGAGTTGTTTGAACTCGAACACATCAACTAATCTCAATTACCTCAACTGCAAAGGAGCAGTTCTGATAACATCCTTCCTGTCTCATTCACAGGGTTACTGGGGGAATGAATCAGTCAATGTAATCAAAAATGCTGCATACAGACAGTGTAAACTGTGACTGTCTTGTAAGAGTCAAGTGTCAATAATGACTGTCACTTTGATTTGGGGTCAGGATTCACTCTTACTGCTGCCTGTTATGTACAATCTCAAGCAGTGTTGTTTATTATTATTCTAAGAATAGCATAGCTTTTGGGTCTGTATTTTACAAACCAAATATTGTAATTTTAGGGATAATGGAATATTAGGGGCATAATGGGGAAAGTTGAAAAATTATGGTCAGTGGAGAGATAGTTAAAAAAAAAGTACTGGAATAGAAGTTAGGAGACTTCACCTAGTACCTCAGTGATCTGGAGTCATCATGGCACCATGCTGGGCCTCAGTTTCCTCGATCTGTAAAATGAGGATGCTTGATCCATTGTTTCTTAACTAGGAGGAGTTTTGGAATCACCTGGAAAATCCCCAAAGGTAGAATTTTTGTTTTGTTTCTTGCTGTGTTTCCAAGGCCTGGAAAAGTACTTGGTGTGGGGAAGCTACTCAATAAATACACATATATTTTATGAATGAATAAACTTTTTCAAAATTCATAGGCCTGGTTCCACTCTGAAATCCTCGTGCAGTTTGGGGTAGAGCCTACATGTGTATTTTGGAAAGGCCTTTCTGATCGTTTTGCCAAGTGCTCCTGGCTAATTAATAACCACCAAGAGCCACTAAACTCAACAATCTCCAAGGTCCCTTCACATGCAGTTGCCACATTTAGCAAACAAAAATGCAGAGCATCCAGCCAAATTTGAATTTCAGATAAACAATGAATACTTTTTTAGTGTAAGTATAGGTCATGCAGTATTTGGTTGCTGCAACTTAAATAAACATAACCAGATAAGACTTCTGCTTAGACTGATAGTTTGGGCCAGAGAGTGGCACCTTGAAACTGGCCCAGATTTGAAAATCAGACAGAGATAGTCTTGGTTTGAGTCTCTGCCCTGATCTTAGCAGATTGCTTAACTTCACTGGGCTCCACAACTACAGTGTCTACCCTGTAGAGTTGGTGAAAGTATTAGAGATAATAGAGGTAAGATGCCCAGCACTTAGCAGGCATTTAATAAAGCTTAGCTATTATTACTATTTTTTATCTGCTCCACGGGGTTTGAAGAAAAATAATAGTATCAATGAGACTGTTATTGGCAATACTGTTTACTCGTAAATTGGCACTTGAAATAACCAAGATTATAGTTAACAGTTCTAGGTAGAGCTTGGCAAAGTTAGATTGAATGCTGACCTTGTATTAAACAATACCTCTATGTCTGGGGGAACAAAACCGTACTAAGTACAGATCATCCAGAATAAATAAAGGAAGGAAGTACTTTTATTTCATTCATTATGAAATGTCATTTGCTTAACTGACTTTTTTGACGTTAAAGATAAATATTTGTTCAGGTTTTATAGGGTCACTCTCTGGGGAAATAGGCTATTACTTGGCCAGCGGAAATACTTCAATCCTGACCAGGTTTTTCTGACTTCTAAGTTAAAGGCATCTTCTTCTTCTAGAGTTTTAGTTGTTTCTAGACATTTTAAATACATCTCCACTGGTTAAACAAATAGACAGTCAGGCACAGCAGTTCACACCTATAATCCCAGTACTTTGGGAGCCCAAAAAAGGTGGGAGGATTGCTTGAGCTCAGGAGTTCAAGACCATCCTGGGCAACAAAGTGATACCTCATCCCTACTAAAATTAAAAAGAAAAAAAAGCCAGGCACAGTGGTGCACACCTGTTGTCCCAGCTAGCTGGGAGCTGAGGTGGAAGAATTGCTTAAGCCCAGGAGGTTGAAGCTGCAGTGAGCCATGATTGTGCTACTGCACTCCAGCCTGAGAACAGAGCAAGACCTTGTCTCAAACTAATAATAATAATAATAACAATAGGCAAACATAGCAGTAAACATAAAATGTTCATTTAAAAAATTATCTCCAGAAAGATCTATTTGGACAAAATCTTTAGATAATTTCATTATCAAATTTAAAAAGAGATGGCTGGAAAATAAATTGCCAAAGTTTCAACTGAGCAACTCTGATATTGGCAAAAATACGTTAAGCTCCCTATGTTTACTTCATTGCTCATTCAACACATATTTATTGTTGAGCACATATTATATACCAGACAGTGTGGTAAGTGCCAGGGACTATGAGTAAACAGAACAAAATTCTTGCTCTTGTGGAGCTTATATTCTGACACAGGAAAACAAATATAAACATAATAAATGAATTAATTAGAATATAGATGGCAATAAGTGCTACGAAAAAAGATGAGGAGAACAAAGATGAGACTATGTGAAGGGCTAAAGTGGCTTTTTTTTTTTTTTTTTTTGAGACAGGGTCTCATTCTGTTGCCTAGGCTGGCGTGCAGTGGTACAACCATGGCTCACTGCAGCCTCAAACTCTTGGGTTCAAGGGATCCTCCTGCCTCAGTCTCCCAAGCACCTAGGACCACAGGCATGTGTTACCATGCCCCATCTAATTTTTAAACATTTTGTAGAGATGTGCTCTTGCCATGTTTTCCAGGCTGGTCTTGAGCTCTTGGGCTCAAGTAATCCTCCTACCTCGGCCTCCCAAAGTGCTGGAATTACACATGTAAACCACCGTGCCCACTCCTGGAGTGCATTTTCTTTTTTTTTTTTAGACAGAGTCTTGCTCTGTCACCAGGCTGGTGTGCAGTGGCATGATCTCAGCTCACTGCAACCTCCGCCTCCCGGGTTCAAGCAATTCTCCTGCCTCAGCCTCCTGAGTAGCTGGGACTACAGGTGTGCATCACCACGCCCAGCTAATTTTTGTATTTTTTAGTAGAGATGGGATTTCACCATGTTGCCCAGGATGCTCTCAATGTCTTGACCTCGTGATCCACCCTCCTCGGCCCCCCAAAGTGCTGGGATTACAGGTGTGAGCCACTGTGCCCGGCCTGGAGTGCAATTTTAAATAGCATGGTGATAGTGGGCCTCTCTGGGGAGGTGACATTTGTGGACAGGAGAGAAAGAAGGAGCATGCTGATTTGGGGCGAGAAAAGGGAAACGTCAAACACAAATCACCTAAAGCAGGAGTGATATGGTTTGGCTGTGTCCCCACCCAAATCTCATCTTGAATTATAACTCCTACAATTCCCACATTTCGTGGAAGGAACCCGGTGGGAGGTAATCAAATCACGGGAGTGGGTCTTTCCCATGCTGTTCTTGTGATAGTGATTAAGTCTCACAAGATCTGATGGTTTTCAAAATGGGAGTTTCCCTACACAAGCCCTCTCTTTGCCTGGTGCCATCCAAGTAAGACGTGAGTTACTTCTCCTTGCCTTCCGCCATGATTTTGAGGCCTCCACAGCTACATGGAACTGTAAGTCTATTGAACTTCTTTCTTTTGTAAATTACCCAATCTTGGGTATGTCTTTATCAACAGTGTGAAAACAGACTAATGCAAGGAACATACCTGGAGTGTTCCAGGAACAGCCAGGAGGCAACGTGGCTGGACAGGAGACAGGGAAGAGGAGAGTAGTAGGAGAAAAGACAGAGTCATTATTGTCATCATAATTGTGACAGAACTCCACAAACCTAACTTCCAGTTTTGAGTCTTAGTTTATTTACTCTGTGACTGTAGGGAAATCCTTAACTGCTTAAATAGAATGATAGTACTTAACTTGCAAAGCATCGATAGTTAGAGATTTATTTCACAAAACTGACTAGAGAGAATCAGTATAGCTTAGCCATGCTGTCGGTACTTACGTGGATAGCTCTGGGTTTATATGCTGATTTACTTACTAGATGTGTGTCCTTGGGCAGGTTACTTAAACCTCTCTGTGCTTCAGGTTTCCTTTCTGTAAAATGAGGCAACTAATAAATGCATCCTTTAGAGCTGTTAAGGGTTGCCTGGACAACTGTGAGGCTGTCTGTGAGAGACAGTCTCACATCACATGCTTAACATAGTGATTGGCATATAGAAAGTACTAAGTAAATATCATTATTTATTATTATTTGAAAAGTTTAAGATTAAATATATTGAAATATGCATTTAAATGTATATTTGAAATATATATTTAATAACCAAAACATGCTTTTGAGAAAAAATATCTTATTGTTATTAATAGTTGTGGCCAGGTGCGGTGTCATATGCCTATAATCCCAGCACTTTGGGAGGCCGAGGCGGGTGGATCACCTGAGGTCGGGAATTCGAGACCAGCCTGACCAACATGGAGAAATCCTGTCTCTACTAAAAATACAAAATTAGCCGGGCGTGGTGACCCTTACCTGTAATCCCAGCTACTCGGGAGGCTGAGGCAGGAGAATCACTTGAACTCAGGAGGCAGAGGTTGCGGTGAGCTGAGATCGTGCCATTGCACTCCAGCCTGGGCGGTCAACAAGAACAAAACTCCGTCTCAAAAAAAAAAAAAAAAAGAAAAGAAAACCAGCTGTGGCCTGGTAGCCGGCCTCCCTGTCTCTGAATATTCACATCCTTGTACAGTCCCTTCCCATATTGTACCAGGGTTGGTTTGTGCGACCATAGAATATGGCAGAAGTGATGGTATGTCACTTCTGAGATTCGGTTATAAAAGACATTGCAGCCACCATCTTGGTCATTCTTTTTGTCTTTCTCTCCATCCCCACTTGGTCTGGAGAAAACCAGCTGCCATGTCATGGGACAGTTCACGTGACAAACCTTTTGCCAGCAACCATGTGAGTTGCTGAGCCTCCTTAGAAGAGTGAAGAAGCCTTCTCAGAAGTGGATCCACCAGCCCTGGTCAAGGTTTCAAATGACAGAAGCCCCCAGTGACATTCTGATTGCAACCTTATCAGAGACTGTGAGCCAGAACCATCCAGTGAAGCAGCTCACTGGATGGTTCTCAGGAACTATGTGAAATGATAAACATTTATAGTCTCATGCTGCTAGTTTTGGGGTAATTTGCTTTTTTTTTTTTTTTTTTGGAGATGGAGTCTAGCTCTGTCTGGAGTGCAGTGGGGTGATCTCGGCTCACTGCAACCTCTACCTCCCAGGCTCAAGCAATTCTCCTGCCTCAGCCTCCCATGTAGCTGGGATTACAGCTACACACCACCACGCCTGGCTAATTTTTGTATTTTAGTAGAGACAGGGTTTCACCATGTCGGCCAGGCTGGTCTTGAACTCCTGACCTCAGGTGATCTGCCCACCTCAGCCTCCCAAAATGCTGGGATTACAGGCATGAGCCACCGCGCCTGGCCGGCAATTTATGTAGCAATAAATACTAATAGTTTACATACATTTTTTTTTCTTTTGAGATGGAGTCTTGCTTTGTTGCCCAGGCTGGAGTGCAATGGTGCGATCTCGGCTCACCACAACTTACACCTCCCGGGTTCAAGCGATTCTCCTGCCTCAGCCTCCTGAGTAGCTGGGATTACAGGTGCACACCGCCATGCCCCACTAATTTTTGTATTTTTAGTAGAGATGGGGTTTCACTATGTTAGCCAGGCTGGTCTGGAACTCCTGACCTCGTGATCCGCCTGCCTTGACCTCCCAAAGTGCTGGGATTACAGGCATGAGCCACCGCACCCAGCAATACATTTTAAGTTTTCATAAACTTTTGAATATAAAGAATTTATTGGGCTCAAGCCCAATTCTATCATTTTTGATCTTTAAAGATCTTCACTGATCCTTGGTAGTTTACAAGCATTCATTTTTTATATAATTGTTATCAGTGTATACATCCTACTTCATATCTGATTTTTCCTCTTAGAATTATTTCATGTATACCAATAGAGTACAAGATTCTTAGCATTTATACTGGCGGTATAGAATTCTCCCCTGTTACTGTGTAACCACGCTACCTCCAATAGTCCCTTTTGTACCTGGTTTGGTCTGTGTGATGATAGAATATAGCAGAAGCAATGGTATATCACTTCTGAGATTAGATTATAAAAGGCATTGTGCTACCATCTTGGTCATTCTAACTTTCTCTCTCTCCCCACTTGCTCTGGGGGAAACCAGCTGCCATGTCATGGGCAGCACTATGGAGCAATACACGTGACAAGCCTTTTGCCAACAACCATGTGAGCTGCTGAGTCTCCTTAGAAGAGCCAAGAAGCCTTCTCAGAAGTGGATCTATACTGGCTGTATAGCATCCTGCCCCGCTACTGTATGTCACACCACCTCAAACAGTCCCTTTTGTTGGAATTTAAATTCCAGTTTTTCAAAATAATAACTGGCACAATAAAAATAGTGCAAATTAGCTGGGCAGTGTAGTGAAAGTTAAATAGATCAGCTCTCTTAGATACATAAAACACAGATAACACAGAAGGGGCAAGTCCTCTTAAAGTACATAGACCGTGAACAAATATTGAACACATGCATTTGTTAAATAAGTGAGCAAATACAAGGCTAACCTAAGACAGCAAGTGCAAAGTAACTAGGTGAACTTACTTGTTTAGATAATAACTTTCTAGAATTCTGTGTGTTTCCTAGAGAAATACAGGAATGACAGCTGACAATAAAGCTTTGGAAAAATCCTGTAAGTAATTGCCTTGGCTCCAAGTATCAAAGCAGAATTTCGGAGAAGGTCCTCCTGCACTAAAGTCATTGTCCCCAGACTATGAGTTTCTGCCTCCTTCTCTTTCAGCATTCTCCTCCCCTCCTCTGGCTGTCCTTTGTCAGACTCTACAATCATGGCTAGAAGAAAAAAGTTGACTTAACCGTTCTTTGTTGAAATTCGGGACTATGTTAGAGATACCAGGTCTCAATCAAATACAGCCTTCAATAAAAGACTCTTACGTAACCAGATCCTATGAGCAGAGAGCCATCGTGCCTCCAACTTAGTTTCTTCAGATTGGCTGGTTTTGGTGCTCAACTTTTGACTTTACCCACCTTCCTGACAAAGTGTTGAGGACCACTAGGTAAGCATGCTATCTTCAACGTTAAAAAAAAAAATCATGATTGAAGGCAGCTGCACTTCATATATCAAGGAGCATTGAATATAACTAACTCTAAAACTTCATCAGGTCATGAGGTTTTATTGACATCAGTGTATTTGGCTTCAGCTGTGATAATCATGTGGCGCAGTCTCTTTTCCTCCCCGCAATGCCTTGCCTCCCTTGGAAGACTCCCTCCACCCCACCCCAGCCCCATTCAGCTTCGTTCAGAAAAACCTTCATTTTTATCTCCCATTAAAGTTTGTCTGATGAAAAGGCTCTGAGGCTCAAATGACAGCTCAGTTGTTTGAAACCTGCTGGGTTAGAGAATGGTGCTATAAGGTTAAGATCAAAAGGTCACCAGGTCAGGGTTTCCTTGCTGAGGAAGAAAAGCTTCAGTGACAGTGACTCAGTGTAAAGTTATCATCACTAGCATAATTAAACACACACACACACACACACACCACAATGCATACACTGTCCCAGCTGGAAGGGGTCAGGGTGGACTTCTGGCTCTGGCCTCCAGCAACCTGGGTTCAAATTCTGCCTCTACCACTTGGCACTGTGGCTTCTTGCAGCTATTTGAACCTCTGTGAGCCCCATTCTTCTTGTCTGCAAACTGTAGATAATAATCATGACTACCTTACAGGAGAAGTAAATTGGTTCAGAGAACACACTTAACTACAGTGCCAAGCATGGAAGTAAGCTCTCAATAAGAATTATTGATTATTAAAACTACATTCTTGGCCAAGTGCAATGACTCACGCATGTAATCCCAGTACTCTAGGAGGCCGAGGCGAGCGGATCACTTGAGGCCAGGAGTTCCAGACCAGCCTGGCCAACAGGGTCAAATCCCATCCCTACTAAAAATACAAAAATTAGCTGGGCATGGTGGCACATATGCCTGTATGTGCCAGCTACTCGGGAGGCTGAGGTGGAAGAATTGCTTGAACTTGAGAGGTGGACGTTGCAGTGAGCTGAGATCGTGCCACTGCACTCCAGCCTGGACAACAGAGCAAGACTCCATCTCAAAATAAATAAATACATAAATAAATTCATAAATAAATAAATGAAAGAAATAAAATTATATTCTTGTTTTAGTTATAACAACATTTTATATGTCTCTCAAGCCAAAGTCTAATAGCATTACAAGTTGTTTTTGCACATGTATCATCTCCCTTTAAAGGACAGATAGTTTCTTGGGATTATTCTTATTTTTGTCCTTTATGAAGCCTAACCCAGCACTTTCAGCACAGCAGGCCTTCAATAAATATTTGGTAAATAAATAAATAAATGTTCTAAATAAAGTGGATCTGCAGGGACAGGTTTGTACACATAATCCCTCTACTTAGGATCCTAGTAGAATGACATACACATTCTGAATGCTCTATAAATATTTTATAATAGTAACAATGATATAATAATTATAATTATGAATGAAGATTACTCTTAGCTCAATTTCCTGAACTAGAATTATGTCCTTCAGCCACGGAGAAAATGTATTCATACAGGGTTCCAGCTTAATGTAAACAGAATTGTAACTTGATTTTTAAAATAACTAAAGCAAATGAACCAATGTGTCCTTTCCTTTCCTTTCAAACAGTTGTTTCCAGGAACCAGAAGTGTGGGGCTATCATATGCAAGTTGTGATAAATTAGGTCTTTTCCTTCAACATTTAGTCTCAAAAAAAAGAAAAAAAGGAAAAGAAGACTCCTTAAGGGCAGTATGACCATGGGCAAGGGTGAGGGAACACACAGCTTTCCTTAGTAAATCTCAAGCCTCCAAGGTTGGCGTTGGAAAGGATCTGCAGGTAGCAAATCCAGCTGTCCCACTGTGCACGCCCTCCCCAGTTCACCTTTTCTCTGAGGGAGACTCATTGGTGCTCAGGTATGCATGTGACTCTTCACACACACACACACACTCACACTCACACTCTTGCCACCATGACTTCCATTTAATGTTCAAGAATTCTTCTCTCACAGCTCTGTAAAATATTTGAGAAGGACAAAAACTTTCAAAAAACCCTTAATTATAACTGTAGTATATAACCATTTTTTTAAATGAAATTAAGGAGAGTATAAATTGGAAGGCTGAGGTGGGCAGATTGCTTGAGCTCAGGAGTTTGAGATCAGCCTGGGAAACATGGCAAAACCTGTCTTGACAAAAAATACAAAAAATTAGCCAGGCGTGGTGGCGTGTGCCTGTGGTCCCAGCTACTTGGGAAGCGGAGGTAGGAGGATCAGTTGAGCCCGGGAGGTCAAGGGTGCAGTGAGCCGTGATTGTGCCACTGCACTCCAGCCTGGGCGACAGAGTGAGACCCTGTATTAACCCCCCACACACACACACCCACACACACAAGAGTATAAAGAAGAAAATTACTTCTAGGGACCACCCCAGTTCCATCCGTCCCAAAGGTCTGGTATGACTTCGGGGATCTCTCGCTGGGGTGTCTTCCTTGCTCCCTCCTGACTTGCTTCCTTGCTGCCATATACCCTCTTAGGCCCTGATGGGAAACTCAGGGCACGAGATTTCTACCTGCAGCATACCCAAGGCTCATTCTGATCCAACTTACTCTGTGAGGTTTGATCCTTACTGCAACTTAATGAAAGAGGCACAGGTAGGTATTACTGCCATTTTACAGACAAGAAACTTGAGGCTTGGGGAGATTCAACAGTTGGGCTATTGCTATTTGCACACAATTCCAAGTATTTAGCAGATAACTAATTGCACCACACGAAGGTCTACTACAGAAATGGGCTGATGGGGTGAAACTCGGAACCAGGGCAGATGCTCTTTAACTACAAAGCTTGTATAACGCGTGGTCATGTTCAGTATTAATACTAGATTAGCTTAACTGAATTCTGAGACAATGGACACAAGACAAATTAGATTTGATGAGAAAGGAGGGAGAGGAAAGGTTCTAAACATGGGCATGCTGTCAGTAGGATAGTCCTCCTTGTGACCCACAACTGACAGAATGGAGGAAAATATTTTAAATCATATATCAGATAAAGACTAGTATCACTTATCAGATATGAATAAAGACTTCTTACAATTCAATAATAAAAAGACACATAATCTAATTTAACAATAGACAAAAGATGTGAATGGACATTTCTCCAAAGAAAATATACAAATGGCCAATACGAATTCTCAACATAATTAGTCTTAGAGAAAAGCAAATTAAAGCCACAGTGAGATACTACTTCATAGCCACTAGGATATCTATAATCAAAAAGAGGATAACAACAACTGTTGGCAAAGATTTGGAGAAATTAGGACCCTTATACATTGTTAACAGGAATCTAAAAGTGTATAGCTACTTTGGAAAACAGTTTGGTAGTTCCTCAAAAAGTTGAACATGGAGTTGGCTGGGCGAGGTGGCTCACGCCTTTAATCCCAGCACTTTGGGAGGCCGAGGAGGGTGGATCACGAGGTCAGGAGATCAAGACCATCCTGGCCAGCACAGTGGAACCCTGTCTCTACTAAAAATAAAAAAAAATTAGCCAGGCGTGGTGGCGAGCGCCTGTAGTCCCAGCTACTCGGGAGGCTGAGGCAGGAGAATGGCATGAACCTGGGAGGCGGAGCTTGCAGTGAGCCGAGATCACACCACTGCACTCCAACCTGGGCAACAGAGCAAGACTCTGTCTCAAAAAAAAAAAAAAAGTTAAACGCAGAGTTATCATATGACCAAGAAATTCCATTCCTAGATACATACCTAAGAGAGAGGAAAACATGTTTATTCAAAAACATGCACTTGAATATTCATAGCAGCATTATTAATAATAGCCCAAAGTGGAACAACCTCAGTGTCCATCAAAGGATGAATGGATAAACAAAATGTGGTACATCCACACAATAGAATATTGTCCAGCAATAAAAAGGAAAGATGTACAGAAGCCCCAGGAGCCACAGCCCCAGATGAAGCTGGCATCCCTGGGCCCAATTCCTGCTGCCACAGTTCCACTATTGCCAGCCCCCAGACCTTGGAGATCCTCCACCGCCGACAAGGCTGCTACCAACTGCCATCCTTGCAGAGGGGGCTCCTGCAAATCTTTTACCTTGTACTTGAAGCAGGGGCCAGGGAAGAGGACTCTGGAAAGGACATGTGGGCCTGAGACACCTTAAAAACAGGAAAAGCCCTGAGGAGCACGAAGGGGAAACTTTTTTACCTGTACCCTTTTGGGGACTTTTGGTTAAAACTGAGAATTACATTGACATAGATCAATAGGAGAAATGCATACGAATTTGTTTAATATAAGTTTTGTGTGGCATAGGAGACTTTACAAGGAAATGAAGACCCAAAGATGCAATTAGAGATGAACATGTATATACTGATTTAGACAAAGAGAAGTACTTTATGAAAATGTGACAAGGAAAAGGGGCTTGCTAGTTAATTGGTGAAGAAGTGGTGAAGAGGATAAGGATTAGTCTAACAAGTTTGTTTGTAATATTTCCCTCAGACTCTTCCCCTCCTTGATGATGATAATATTTCCTTCTGGTAGAGAGAGAACATCTTTTGCATGGGAATTTTATCTGCTGCTTTTAAGAAACAGAAGGAAGGGTAGAGTGATCTTCTTGCACCTGCTGTTTTTTAAGCGCCTTTAACTCAAAATGGTCAACATGCTAGAGTAGCATATTTTTAACTCCTTCAAGCAGCTACAACAAAATGGGGAGAAAAAATAGTTACAACTGTGGCAGTAACCTACACGTGTCAAACATCTCTCATGAAGCAAAATTAACAAGAATAATAAACAAGTGACATGTCAGCTATGGAGTTATCCTCTTACTGAAAGAGATCCCATAGATAATAGGAATTTCAAAAAATCTGTAATGGAAACTGGCTTTAATGTAACTGGTAACTCCATAAGGCTCTTCACTCTGAACCACTCATTAACAAGTGCTTCAGTTGATGAGCAAGTTGGTTCTTATCCTGGACTGCAGATGCCATTAGGTCTCTGCTGGCCCTATGCTGATGAAGACTTTTTTAAGGATGAAAATGAGCCCCATGTTAATTCATGTTCAACTACAGAAAACAACAAGTGAAACTTTGTTTGCTCCAAATTGGAAACTGAAATATGGAAACAGCAGTGTGGAAGGAAATTTAACATATGAAGGTGATTTATCAGAAAACGAAAAGGCAAAGGATACTTTATTCAATTATATTTAAAGGAGGGACCTAAACTGAAAGCCAGAAACAACAGAAAATGTTGTAGAATCTTTCACAGAGGAGCCAAGTGAAGTTTTTCCATACCCTGATTTTCTCCCTCCTACGGAGCTTCAGTACCCTGGACTTGCACAGATGAGGCCCTCACAAAATCTGAAAATTGGAAAGCAACAGGGGAACCTTCAGAAAGCTCTATTATTGGAAATGGAAAGATTACAACATATGACTATACAAAAAGAGAGGTCAAAGTTACAAACTACTTTCTGTACCCCAGCAGTTACTGAATGACTTTCTTCCTCCAAAGCTATACTGAGAGTGGGACAGCCAAAACTTTCTGATTCACTGAGTCTTCAGACATCTCGTGTAGATAAAAGTTGAGAAAAAAGAAAAAAAAAACCAATCGGGTTCTTTCAAGCTTGAGCAAAATGCTTCAAAATGGATTTGGAGCAATGCTGGAAAATATAAATGAAATTCTAGACCACCAACTCTAAAAAGTTCATCCACCACAAAACAGTTGGTTGCAACTTAGGACTTTAAAACTCTTAAAAGTTCATTTTTAAATCCGTGGCAAGAACTTTCAGCAAGGACCAGACAACGCACTGACTGGTTAAAGTGGCCTCAATAAGGTGTCTGCCCCCAAGGTTTTCAGTACCAGTCTCCATCTTTTCTTGAAAATGAGAAGAAATAAATCAAGGCACCAAGAACCAATCACAAACTTTATAAAAAAAAAATAGTGTTGCATAGACCATTCTATATTTAGAAGCTATTTGTTGCCTTCATTTATAGCTAAGGGCTTATGTATTGACTAAAAATAATTCTTTTCTTTCATATATCTCAGTGTGAGCAAATCTATTCCAAGAAGCCCAGCTAAAATATGGTTCATTGTTCCCAGATACAGGTATTCGCCCACGCACAGACATACACACACACACACACACACACACACACCCCAATTGCTTGATATGATATCGATTGGAATTTGTGAAAATTACTGCTGAGAGTATTTTAATTTTCTTAATTGTTACTTTTTAAAAAAATAGAGATGAGGTCTCACTTTATTGCCCAGGCTGGTCTCAATCCAATTCCTGGGCTCAAGCTATCCTCCTGCTTTGGGATCTCCAAATGATGGGATTATAGGCACAAGCGCCCAGCCTCGCGAGAGTCTTTATATAAATCCAAGGGCTTCTATGCTGACATGTTTGACAATCTTTCGCATGTTATATTTCAAGAAATGTTTCACTTAGTAAACGGTTCTATTCAAAGATTGTTCTTTTGTGACAGTTTTCCAGTATAATTCTATCATCAGTAAATGGTATAATGGGTAGGGGGAGGAAGAAAGTACTGAAACATACTACAGCATGGATGAGCCTTGCAACTATTATGTTAAGTGAAAGAAGCTAGTAGCATGTTGTTATGTTCCTAGTTATATGCAACGTCCAGAATCAGCAAATCCATAGAGACAGAAAGTAAATTAGTGGTAGCCAGCGGCTGGGAGTAGGGAGGAATGGGGAGTGACTAATGGGTATGGGGTTTCTTACTGGGATGTCAATGTCTGGAATTAGTGGTGATGGTTGTGTGACTTTGGGAATATATTCAAAACCACTGAATTATACATTTTGGGAGTAAATTGTATGGCATGTGAATTGTATGTCAATAAAATAACTAAATTAAAAATGAAATTTCAAGTATAAATCCACTAAAAATTCAGAATCTGCCATACTTTTGATTGATTCGTTTTGCTTACTCTTGAGGGCCTATCAATGTTTACTGACTAAATGCAAAGAGGGAGAAATAAAGGAGAGGTGAAGGCTGGGAATTCTGGGGATGGAGAGCACTTTTTTTTTTTTTTTCTTAGAGTCGTGCTCTGTCGCCCAGGCCAAAGTGCAGTGGCATGATCTCGGCTCACTGCAACCTCAGCTTCCCGGGTTCAAGGATTCTCCTGCCTCAGCCTCCCGAGTAGCTGGGATTACAGGTGCACGTCACCACGCCCAGCGAATTTTTTTGTATTTTTTAGTAGACATGGGGTTTCACCATGTTGGCCAGGCCGGTGTTGAACTCCTGGCCTCAAGTGATCCACCCATCTCGGCCTCACAAAGTGCTGGGATTATAGGTGTGAGCCAGTGCACCCGGTCGAGGGCACTATTTATTTATTTATTTTTGAGACAGGGTCACACTCTGTAGCCTGGACTAGAATGCAGTGGCTCAATCTCTGCTCACTGCCGCCTCGACCTCCAGGGCTCAGGCGATCCTCCTACCTTAGCCTCCAGAGTAGCTGGGACTACAGGCGCGCGCCATCGCGCCCAGCTGATTTTTTTTTTTTTTTTTTTTTTTTTTTGGTGAAAACAGAATTTCACTGTATTGCCCAGAACTCCTGGGGTCAACTGATCTACCTGTCTCGGCCTCCCAAAGTGTGAGGATTATAGGCCTGAGCCACTGCGCCTGGCCGACGAGCACTTTTAAAATGCAGGAGTCTTCCTGCCTCTGATATCTCATCCCTTATCACCATGCAAACAATTCTCCTTTTCATAGAAGAGTAGACATTTGGGGCGGGGTGGTGGTGGTGGGGGATTTTAGAAAATATCTACTGCATCCAAATGCCCTACTCTACAGACGAAAAAGCAAGGCCCAGGAGGAGGAAAGAGTTTGCTTACTGCCACCCAGTGAGCTGGCAAAGGCGCTGAGATTCAAAATGAGCTTTCCTGCCTTCACATATCTTCCGGCTGCCCTTTGCCTATTCCCTAAACAGTCAGGAGCCATCAAGTTCAGGAATTTGCAGGTGTGCTTCGCTGTGAACTGTGGAAAAGCAGCGTCTTCTCCCCAGAGGCAAGCATGTCGCCTTGTGAAGTTTGATGGCTCTTCACTTGCACACTCACAAAAAAGACTGAGCGTGTGTAACGCCCTGCTGGATGTGTGCGGTGCTAGAGAGCTTGGGGGTGAGGGGAGGACTCTCTCCCTTAAGAAAATCAGTTGACTGCAGAGCTAACATTGTTTTTTGAGTAATACCTGGTTTTTATAAAGTCGTCCCTTCAGTTCCCAAGCTCCTCTTCTGTTTGTTCAAGCCACCTTCAATTTGAAAAAGACTGAAGTCACAGCTTCTCAATCCCTACTAATTTCTCATGGACCTACTGGATTGCTCCAAATCGAGTATTTGGGACTGAACTAGGAAGCCAGTTCAATCCTGAGCCCCCGAGGCAGGCGTTGGGTCTTCTGTGGAGTCCCCAGAGACCTGCAACCTTCTGAACACGCATCCTCCCCTTTCCGCCGAGGACTCTGTCCTGCAGCCGAGCCAGGGCGAATGCACGGAGGTCACAAGGGAGGTGCCCTTGGAGGCGGGAGGTTTCTGGCCGCCGGGGCGACCGTGCTGACGAGGCACCTGCAGGAAACAGAGCTCTGCACGCTCCGGTCCCCCTCACCCGGGGAGGGAGAGGAGGTACAGAGGCGCTGGGGGAGGACGTCGAGCAGGCCAGCCTCGTTGCCAGAACCCCCGCCCCAGCCGGAGATGGGAGCACCGCACCGTCTCACGGGGGCTGGATTTCTTCTCCCCTTGCGGGTGTGTGTGCGAGGATGGACGTGGTAAATACGGGTTGGCAGAAGGAGCGAACCGCGGTGGAGGAAGTTCTTCTGCTTAGTTCTCGCCGCGGCGAGGCCCGCGGGCCAGGCGCGGCGACGAAGGTGCACGAAGGTGCCCCGCGGGCCTGGTGGAGTTGCAGCGGCGCGCAGGCGCACTGAGGGCCGCCCGCGGCCGGCTCCGCGGTACAAAGAGCGCCCCCGCGGGGAGCCGGGCGTCCTCTGGGCGGAGGGAGCAGCCGGGGCTTCGCCGGCCCGCGCCGTTCTTCTCACGCGCCGCTCCGGGGCGCAGCCACAGCTGTCGCCCACCGCGGGTGAGAGGCTTGCTGGTCCGCCCCGGCTTCCCCGCCCCGGCGGCGGCCGTGCGGTTCGGGCTTTAATTCTGGCGCTTGCCAGCCGGGGCCGACTCCGCCCCCTGCGCCCCGCCCTTCCCCGAGCTCCGGGTCCGCGGCGGAGCGAGCGAGCGGCCGGCAGGTTGGGAGGAGCGGCCGAAGGTGAGTGACGCGGCGGGGCCGTGCCGCGCCCCGTGCCGCGGCGAGGTTGTCCCGGAGCGCGAGGCCCCTACCCCTGCCTCGGGCTGGCCCCGCGCGGAGCCGACTTGGCGCGCGCCGGGGTTGCGCGGCGGCCGTGGCGGTGGCGGAGGGCAGCCCCCGCGGGCTCCCGCTCGTGCGGGTGAACCCGGCGGCCTCGGGGCGGTCCTGGGGGGGGGTCCGAGAGGTGGCGTCGGCCCCGCGGCCGTCGGAGTTTGGCGCGCTCTGCAGCGGCGGCGCTCGGCCGGTCTGGAGGAGGGAGAGGCGCGCCGGGCACGGAGCAGCGAGAAAGTTCGGGCCGGGCCGGCCGGCGGGAGGGTGCGGGCGCCTGGCTACCCCGGCCCGGCGCTCTGTCCCTCGGATGCCTCTGGGCCCTTCCCTAGCCCGGGGCGGAACGGGGGACCCTCTCTGAAGCGGCTCTCCGTGGAGTTGGATGTTGCCCTTCGCGGGAGGGAGTGGCGGTCAAGACCCCTTTATCCTCGGCCCCAGAGGGGCAGGTGGCCTCGGGTCGCCCTCCGCCAACTCCGAGGTGGCTTCGGCCGGGGCTGGAGGGCGGGGAGGCGGGGGAGGGGCGTGGGCGCTGCGGCCTCTGGGGCGGCCCAACCCGGCGCGGGCAGCGTGGGTTTCCGAGGTCCCGCGGTTCCAGGTCGAGGGAAGGTGTAGGGGCCCTGAAGCGGGCTGGTCCCCGAATGTTGCGTTTTCTGTGCCGCTTTGGGCAACACGCAGTGGCGCTCGCGGCAGCCACGGCTCCTTGACCGTTCATCTCCTTCACCCGGGTCCCGTGGAACTTTCAGAGGCAACTGTTCTTGGTGGCTCTTGCGGGTCAGCACGAGCCGTGCTGCACGAGCGTGACCTAGTGAAGGCCTTGGGCGAGTTGGCGTTAACAATTTATGGCGTCCGCCAGCGCTCGCTTTCCGCACGTGGCCTCTGCGGAGGGTCAGCCCATCTTATTAAATAGTGGATTCTATTAGACCCTGATACCCGAGGCTAATAAGGAAGCTTAATCATCCAGATGTGTAATCGTGCAGTTCCTTTCCTCACCGTCATTGCCCCCCACCTCTGGAGCTGAATGGAAATGAGGGTCTGTTTGCTTATATTGAATTCCTGAGTTTATTCAAGTTCATTTTTAGGTGGCGTTAACAGCTAAGTAGCTGTTCATCTGCCAGTTTCTCCTTTCATCCAACTTTCTCTACTAAAATGTTGAGCACGTTTTATTTAAAAAAAATTGAAGTGTAATAAACATATAAATTTACTCTTCTAAGGTCAAAATTCAGTGGTTTTTAATATATCCGTAAAGTTATGAAATCATCACTACCATCTGATTCCATTTCGTTGCCCCCAAAAAGAACCCCTATACCGATTAGCAGTCATTCTTCCATCTCCCAGCCCTTCTCCCTCATTTTAAGGCAGCTACTTAGGAAGTTTTTCTAAGATAGAGACTGAGTGAGAAAACTGAGAGGTGATTAACTTTGATCCTTTTTCTGTTACTAGGTTTGGGGAAAGGTGCTGCTGAAGCAATGGAAGAAAAATTAAGTATTGGCTGTCCTATGGGGAGGTTAAAATGAATAAGGATGGAAGAGAAGCTGCCAGTAGAGGAATAATTGCCTCCTGTAGAGACCCACAAGTTGGGAATACATTTTATCCCCTTAGGGCACAGGGATGCTTTCTGGGCTCTAGACTTGCCTAGTCCATAAATCACTCTAGTCGAGGTTCTGCCTCAGCGAAAGTGAGTTCTGGGTGTGTGTGTGTGTGTGTGTGCGTGTGCGTGCGCGCTCGGCAGGGAATGTTAGAAGGAAAAAAGACTAGGCTTAAAAGTAATTTTTTAAAATATCCAAACTGGCCCCAAAGAAAGAAACCAAAAAACCACAGGCAAATGGCCACTGGAATTGATACATTCAAGACTAGTTTCATTTCATGAGTATCAGTTCACAAATAGTTCTGAGTTAATGTGTGCATACATTAACTTTTTATCCCAAGTGGGAGGAGGAGGATGGAAAAGGATCTAGTTGGGGGCAGTGCAAGGAACTGGGAAGAGGAATGGGATAATGGCCGAAAGGGGCAGTGCTTGTGGGAGCTGAGGACTGTTGAGATGGAATAACTATAGGGTGAGCAGATTCTGAAAGAGCAGAGTGGGTCTGTGAAAAGTTGGACACTTCACTCGGGCTTTTTGTTGGATAATGTGTGCATGTTTTAAAAATCATTTTTAGTAAGGAGAGTTGAAGCTATCCAAATTATGCAACATCCACTACACTTCTCACTCACCCTTCAATAAGAAAAGTCAACTTGTTTTCAAGTGTTTCGGGAAGTTTTAGGCCTGTTGCATGGGTGACAGCTTATGCCATCTTTTTTTTTTTTTTTTGGTAATTTAGAACATTGACATAGCGAGACTCCGTCTCTACAAAAAAAATAAAAAATAACCGGATATGGTGGCACATGCACCTGTAGTCCCAGCTACTTGGGAGGCTGAGGCAGGAGGATTGCTTTAGCCCAGGAGTTTGAGGCTGCAGTGAACTATGATCATGCCACTGCACTCCAGCCTAGATGACCGAGCAATATCCTCTCTCAAAACAAGATGAGCTGTACCATAGGTATACATATCCCACACCCCCAGCCCTGCCGACGGAGTTTTGCTCTTGTCAGCCAGGCTACAGTGCAATGTCACAGTATCAGCTCACTGCAACCTCCGCCTCCCAGGTTTAAGCGATTCTCCTGCCTCAGCCTCCCAAGTAGCTGGGATTACAGGCACCTGCCACCATGCCCGGCTAATTTTTTTTTTTTTTTTTTTGAGATGGAGTCTCGATCTGTTGCCAGGCTGGAGTGCAGTGGCGCGATCTCAGCTCACTGCAACCTCCGCCTCCTGGGTTCAAGCGATTCTCGTGCCTCAGCCTCCCGAGTAGCTGGGACTACAGGCACCGTGTCACCACACCCAGCTAATTTTTGTATTTTTAGTAGAGACAGGGTTTCACTATGTTGGCCAGGATGGTCTCAATCTCTTGACATCGTGATGTGCCCACCTCGGCCTCTCAAAGTGTCAGGATTACAGGTGTGAGCCACCATGCCAGTTTTTGTATTTTTAGTAGAGACGGGGTTTCACCGTGTTGGTCAGGCTGGTCTCCAACTCCTGACCTTGTGATCCGCCCACCTCAGCCTCCCAAAGTGCTGAGGGATTACAGGCATGCGCCCCCACACTTGGCTAATTTTTGTATTTTTGTTAGAGACGGGGGTTTTACCATGTTGGCCAGGCTGGTCTTGAACTCGTGACGTCAGGTTATCCATCCGCCTCTGCCTCCCAAAGTGTTGGGATTACAGGTGTGAGACACCCTGCTCAGCCTTTTTTTTTTTTTTTTTTTTTTTTTTTTTTTTTTGAGATGGAGTTTCTTTCTTGTTGCCCAGGCTGGAGTGCATTGGGGTGATCTCAGCTCACTGCAACCTCTGCCTCCCGGGTTCAAGCGATTCTCTGCCTCAGCCTCCTGAGTAGCTGGGATTGCAGGCATCTGCCACCATGCCCGGCTAATTTTGTATGTTTAGTAGAAACGGGGTTTCTCCATGTTGGTCAGGCTGGTCTCGAACTCCCGACCTCAGGTGATCCGCCTGCCTTGGCCTCCCAAAGTGCTGGCATTACAGGCGTGAGCCACTGTGCCCAGCCTGTAGCTATACATCTTAAGAGTACATCTTCACAAATTGTCACAAAGTGAACATAAACATATAACAAGTACTCACGGAAAGAACCAAAATATTGCCAGCATTGCAGAAGTGCCCCTATACTCTTGTCCAATCACTGCCCCTCCCGAAGAGTAACCGTTGTGCCAACTGTGGATTAGTTTTATCTGTTTTCATGCTCTACACAGACTCACACGGTATATAGCTTTTAGTATCCTGGTTTCTTTCTCAACATTATATTTGTGAGATTCAGCTGTGTTGTTGCTTGTGGCTGTAGTTCAGTTATTTTCACTGCTGTGTAATATTCAATTGTATGACTACAATTTATCAATTTTTAGGTTTGAGGGGCATTTACATAGTTTCCAGTTTCTTACATGGTAAGTAGTGTGACTATGAACATTCTAATTCTAGTACACGTCTTGATACACAATATCCAATACAAATGTGTACATTTGTACAAATTCTATTCAGAAGTAGAATTTCCCAGTTCCAAACTAGGATTCAGTTTAGAGGTACAGTCATGCGGATTTCTGAAGTGGTTGTAGAGTTTATACTTCTACCCGTAGTGTGAGAGAGTTCTGTTGTGTCCTTTTTAAATTGGAAGAGCAGTAGATCTGCAGAGTTTGGCAAATGGACAAAATATGACCTATTTATTATTTTTTTTTTGGAGGCGGAGTCTTGCTCTGTCACCAGGATGAGTGCAGTGGCGCGATCTTGACTCACTGGAACCTCTGCCTCCTGAGTTCAAGCAATTCTCCTGCCTCAGCCTCCCGATTAGCTGGAACTACAGGCACACGCCACCACGCCCAGCTAATTTTTGTACTTTTAGTAGACACGGGGTTTCACCATGTTGGCCGGGATGGTCTCCATCTCCTGACCTCGTGATCCACCCACCTCGGCCTCCCAAAGTGCTGTGATTACAGGCGTGAGCCACTGGCCCAATATGACCTATATTTACCCCATCCTAGCAGACTAATTATTTGTTGTCTTCACTTCCAGTGCTTTTCCATGTCTGTTCATGTTTTTATGAAGTCACAATTCTAATATTCAATTTTGTATTTTGTTTCTTAACACAGTATCTTAATATTGCTTCAGTCTCTGACTTTTTAATCCCTGCATATGCCTAAGGATATGCTTTCATTTAATAATCCTCTTATTAGAAATGTGTGTTAATTTCTGGTGTTTTACTAGTACATACCGTTGTGGAAATCATCTTTGTGCATATAGTTTTTACCTCCCTCTTGGGTATTTCATAAATTTGAGATTTTTGTTTATGTGGCTTGGGATCTTTGTTAAACTGCTGCCTGCAGAGTTATCCTTGAACCTAATATGGAATTGATTAAAGAAATCTTTTTTATTTTTTTGAGACAGGATATCATTGTGTCACCCAGGCTGGAGTGCAGTGACAGGATCAGAGCTCGCTGTAACCGTGAACTGCTGGGCCCAAGCAATCCTCCCGCCTCAGCCTGCCTCCCGAGTAGCTGGGACTACAGGCATGTGCCACTGCACTCAGCTAATTTTTCCTTTTTTTTTTTTTTAGTTGTAGAGATGGGGTCTTGCTAGGTTGTCCAGGCGGGTCTCAAACTCCTGGCCTCAAACAATCCTCCCTCCTTGCCCTCCTAAAAGTGCTGGGATTACAGGTGTGAGCCACTGCACCCAGTCTAAGAAATCTTTAAATTGCTAATATGTTACCTGCAAAAGGGTGTCTCATTGGGTTAAATTGCAATTCTGAAAATAATGGTGAGGTTGACCATGATAACTTCTTTAAAAATAGCATAAATTGAACCTTTGTGGCAATTTCATTTAGGTATCACTGATTAATTTTCTTTATATGGTCCTGTTTACAAAGGTATTGAGCCAAGAGCTTGAAAGGATATAAGAAGGATCATACCATTAAGTAGTTGATTGTCCAGAAATTATATCTAATAATTAAAAATACCAGTTAGGCAAAATTCTTACACATGACCAAGGAGTGTTCATTCTACAAATGCAGTGCTTGTTTAAGTTCTGAGGGAGAAGTCTTTCTTGTCTAGATGATTAGGAGCTGCTTCCCCCAAAAGTAAGACTTGAGCTCAGCTTTAAGGAGTCTCTAGAAATTGGCTAGGGAGCAGACATCACTAAAGAGACACTGAGCCTTCTCAAGGAGAGAGATCAGCGGTGCATAGGGAGAGCCCCGGTTGACCACTGGACAGTGGGGTTGGTGATGCTGGCTTCCTTACTATTCTTTTTCTGGAAGATACCGAAAATAAATGAACTAATATATAGGCCGAAAAAAGTACTTGGAGGATTTTGGGAGAAAGCTGTTTGGTACATTCAAGTCAGCATCATGGGGTTTAATGGTAAACACCTGCCAGAGATTAGAATGCAGTAGGCTGCTTTTTTGCCTAATTATAGATCTTAACTCCTTTCCCCTCAGGTAAAATTCAGTGATAATTTCTCTAAGATGAAGGCTGCTAGACCAGCCTTCATTCAGAATAAGCCAATATCACTTAACTTTAGTAAACAGTACTTAAATTTGTATTATGTGCAAGGCCCTGGTGGGGGAAATCAGAGACTAGAAAGCTAAGAGTTCATAGGGAATGAATGTATAATGATGCAAAATTGTATTAATAGGCAAAATGTTAGAAATACTCAATATCGATACAAAAGGTTCACTCTGGAAAGGAAAGGGATGGAGAAATTAATGCTGAGTAGAGAGATCTGGGTGATATTTAGGGGGATTTGGCCTTGAAAAATGTGTATGGGTGGGAATTAGAGTAAAGGGCACTGCATTTAGGCAATAGGTTTTGAAAAAGTAAAAGGTGGCAGTGCTTGACACATAATACCATGGTCAGTCATAGGCTTGGAGACCCAGGTGAATGGCAATTTGAGATTGTACCTTTCTTCCTGTGACTTGTGACTGCTGAGCCAGCCTGGTGATCTCTGTGGAAATATTGTAGGTGTAGGCCCAGGCTGGCTACTTTTAATCTAGGATCTGTTGCTTGCTGTGTGACCTTTGGCACAGTTACTAAACCTCTCTGTGTGTCAATTTCCCATCTATAAACAGGGATAATAAAAGCATCTCCTTTATTGGGTACTTGTGAGGATTGAATGAGTTAAAACCAACTCTGTTGGTTGAGGCAGTCACCTGTCCAGACTCAAGAACACTTAGAAGGGTGGTTGGTATACAGTAAGTTTTATACATGTTTGCTGTTATTCCCTTAATTTTTGAATTTCTGAATTATAGAATTTCTAATACTCACACATAGTGTAAATAATATAAACAACAAAGGGTTTAAAATAAAAACAAAACTCATCATTCTTGTCTGGTCCCAACTCAGCTACAGTCTTGGTTTAGGTGTGATAACTGCTGTTTCTGTTTTTAGTTCTTCTAGTGGTTATTTTAGCAAATTACCCCCCAAAATTTAGTGGCTCAAAAATTTGTTTTATGGTGTTTTGGATTCTGTGGGTCAGGGATTCAGGCAGGGCTGGGCTGGGTGATTCTGCTGCTTTCGGTGTTGACTGAGGTCATTCCCTGGTACCCAGCTGGTGGATGTGCTGGTCCACTGGCTCCAAAAAGGCTTTGCTCCCATGACTATTGCCTTAGTGGGAGTAGCTGGAATGCTGGGCTCAGCAATGACTGTTGAGCAGAGCACCTACACATGTTGACTTCATTTGTCTTCATGGCAACTACATGTCTTCATGGTGACTTCAGCATGGTGGCTCCAGGTAGTTGAACTTGTGTGGCAGCAGGCTTCCCTCATGTGTTACTAAGGGCTCTCCAGAGAAACATAACCAATAGTGTGTGTGTGTGTGTGTGTATGTATATACACACACACAAGATTTTTAAAACAAGGAATTGACTTATTCAGTTTGGAGGCGGGCTAGTCCTAAATACTGCATTGTGGGCCAACAGATGGAGACAAGGAGAGTCTAGAAGAAGACTGAAGGAGGTCTGCTGGAGAATTCCCTCCAGCTCAGGGAGGCCGGTCTTTTTGTTTAGTTCATACCTTTAGTTGTTTGCATGAGGCCCACCCACATTATGGAGGGCAGTCTCTTTTACCCATAGTTACCTGATTTAAATGTGAATCTCATCCAAAAACATCCTCCAAGTCAACACATAAAATTAACCATCATACCCTGCTACGAGCACCTTGGGTAAACCAGTTGGAAGCTTCATGGCCTTTTATGACATATTATCAGAAGTTAATAACTTCCCTTTTGCCAAACTATTGGTTGTAGCACAAAACTTGCTCAGGCTCAAGCAGAGGGGACATCGACCTGCCACTTGATGGGAGTGTCAAAGAATTTGCAGTATAAAATATACTGCCAGTCTATGCTTGAGTTCATAAATTTGACAGTGTCTGTTAACTTCCTGCTAAGGAAGAAGTGGAATTTATATTCCCTCACACCTCTCTTTCCTCTTCTCTCTGCCTCCTGGTTTTTATTAGATATCTTATTATTTTTGCCTTATTATTTTTAGTTGTCTTCTTTTGGTTACCTTTCTGATTTAAAATAAAGCAGTCCATTCTTTACCAGGCCGTAGAGATATGGAAAACTCAGGTTTGTTGAAGGGTATGGTGTTGGGGAGGGACATGGCAGAAAAGCAGCTTCAAATGGTTGAGGCTTGACAATGAGGCTCTTGTTAAAACACTCCAGCCACTAAAAATGGGAATTGCCTATGAGTGTGTCCTCTTTGTGAGCCTAGCAGGTGGCATAATTTGACACTTTTTATTTTTTCTCTTTGGCTTTTAAACTCAGATACCTGTTTGCCTTTTTCTTCCCTACACTTAGCATTTAAATTATGAATGCTGGAAGCAAATGATATTTTCACCAATGAAGAATCTTATTACAGACACATGGTTGAGTTGAGTGTTTGTATGTGGATGTGCTGTCAGAAATAAGTGCTCTCTTGCTTTTTTCATTACCAAAGCAATCAGTTAATTGGAAACAGAGTGTCAGGAGCCCTGTAACTCTGTTGGAGGTGTTTTGGGTTTTTTCTTTTTTTGGATTCATTTAGTTAATACAATTGAGCAATGGGGCTTAGTTTAACTCTCAGAACACATAACTAATCCCTTTTTATAATTATCATCCAAGAAACATATAAGAACCTCTAGTCTTGTTGGTTTGCATTCATTGTATATTGCAGATATAACCTCTTTTGATATTTGTCTTACTAATAAAATTTGACTTGGTTAGTGGCAAGAATGTAAATTTGTGTTTGATATCTGCATAATATTTTTGGCTAAATTTTTTCAGATTTCTGTTGTTAATTCTGACTGGTTCACCCTTTGACCTTGGGAAAAAATAGAACAAAAGCAATTAGAACAAAAGTAGATACTTTGGGAGGCCGAGGCAGGCAGATCACTTGAGGTCAGGAGTTCAAGACCAGCCATAGCCAACATGGCAAAACCCCATCTCTACTAAAAATACAAAAATTAGCTGGGCTTGCTGGTGCACACCTGTAGTCCCAGCTACTTGGGAGGCTGTGGCAGGAGAATTGCTTGAACCCAGGAGGTGGAGGTTGCAGTGAGTCAAAATCACGCCGCTGCATTCCAGCCTGGGTGACAGAGCGAGACTCCGTCTCGAACAAAAGTTGAAATGAAACATAAATACTGTATTCACCTTTTCTCTTTTCTGTCCTCCTCCTCTCCTTCCCTCCTTCTCTTACTCCCTCCCTCTCTTCCTCCCTCTCTCTCTCCCTCCCTCCCTCCCTTCCTCTCTCCCTCCCTTCCTCTCTCCCTCCCTTCCTCTCTCCCTCCCTTCCTCCCTCCCTCTCTCCCTCCCTCCCTTCCTCCCTCCCTCCCTCCCTTCCTTCCTTCCTCCCTCCGTCCCTCCCTTCCTTCCTTCCTTCCTATTCATCTCAATAGAGCTGCTTTTTCCTCTAAAAATAATAGCTTCAGGGTAGCCCTTTTTAGGGGATGGGATTATCCCTGTTATGAGATGGTTCAGCTCACTTTTCTGCCAAATACTCCCTCATCTCCTTTACCCAAATGGAGCCACAGACCAATCTGACCATCTTGGTGTCATATCCCCTTCTAGTCACAACTCTTGCCCCGAGGGTATCCTTACTTCTAATATCATAGATCAATTTAGTCAGTTTTTGAACTTTATGTACCTGAGATCACAGAGCATGTACTCTTTCGTGTCTAGCTTCTCTCCATGTTATATTTGTGAGATTGATCCATGTTGTATGTGGTTATGGGTTCATGCTCATTGCTGTATAGTGTTCCATCATGTGAATATACTGCTGTTCATCCTGTTGTCCATGAACGTTAGGTTTCTAGTTTTGGACCAGTATGAACAGTACTGTCATGAATGATTTTGTATGTATTTTCTGGTGAATATAGGTACACATTTAAGTTAGATATATATCTAGGAGTGCAATTTTTGGGCCATGCAGTTCAACTGGAGTAGGTACCGTCAGAGTGGTTTTATCAAGCGGTATTCCCAGCAGTGGTGTATGAGTTTCAGTTGCACCACAGTGCTTGTTATTGTCTGTTGTCTTATTTTAGCTAATCTGGTAAACGTGTGTTATTGATTCCCTAGATGACTAATGAAGATGAACACCTCAAAAAGGGTTCATACTTTTTATTTTATTGCATAGCAAAGTAGAAAAACAAAGCCAGTTTGACCGGGTGCAGTGGCTCACGCCTGTAATCCCAGCACTTTGGGAGGCAGAGGCGGGTGGATCATGAGGTCAGGAGATCAAGACCATCCTGGCTAACACAGTGAAACCCTATCTCTACTAAAAAAATACAAAAGATTAGCCAGGCGTGGTGGCGGGAGCCTGTAGTCCCAGCTACTCGGGAGGCTGAGGCAGGAGAATGGCGTGAACCCAGGAGGCGGAGCTTGCAGTGAGCCGAGATCGTGCCACTGCCCTCCAGCCTGGGTGAAAGAGCAAGACTCCTTCTCAAAAAAAAAAAAAAGAAAAAAAAGCCAGTTAAAGAATTCATCTAGAGACATTGTATCAGTTCTTTAACCACTCTAGCTTTTCTGTTTCTCTACACATTTATTGTGTTTTTTTGTTTTAGTTTTATGAGAGATGTATTTCAAGGAATTTACTTCTAATAAAAATTTAAAGAACAGAAGTTTATGGATAACTCTACTAGTTCTGAGAATTAAGGTATTTAAAGGATGAAACTGCTCATACTGTATTACTCTTTCAACTTTTCTAATTTGTTAACTCAGTCTATTTATTTTTGCCTTTCACTTTGACATTTTTATAGGAGAATTTGAATCATGTTCTATAGTTTCCAGGAATTAAATTTCCACATAAATGTAAAAGAAAACTTGAGATCCTGATGCACCATTTTTTAAAGGGTTTTAAAAAGGGGAATTGTTAACGTAGGGATAAGCTATATATTGTGAGGCTTCGATGGCAGTGCTGTTAAGTTCTTGTCACTTCTTAGCAAATGAAATGCATAGTTTCAAGGAAACCTCACGTGTGGTTTGATGTGTTTGAGTTCGTTTTGATTTATTTCCTGTTGACATTTTGAGATTTCTTCCTTTAGCTTTTATTCTGGGCACCTATTTTATCCTCTCAGTTGTTTCTTTTTAAGACCTGTATGCCTCTTTAGGAATCCAACATGCAGCTGTCATCTAGCTTTGTACTTCTGTGCATATATTCCATCTTCCCTTAAATATTATTGGTGTATTGCTGATCAGGGGACAGACACAAGGTGGTCTTAAATATCTGTAAGGTACTTACAGGTGTTGTTTGGCCTCTTGGTGGCAAGACTATGTCCTGGGTCAGATTATCTAAAGGGTTTTTGGAGAATTCAGGCTTTTGACCTTGGAGGCAGAATAAGATTTCTCTGCCTCCAGAGACACCAAACTTTTAACTCCTTTTGGAGTTATACTTCAGGAGTAGGAGGAAAGTTTGCTGAATTCCTATCAAGAAAAGGTGGTTGAGAGACATGATTGAAGATTGCTTAATTCATCACAGTTTCTCAGCTCTGGCATGAAACAGTTGGGAGAAGCGATTCAAATAACTGCTGATGAAAGTTGTATATTATTTTTCCTTTTTTGAAGTTTAGGGAATTCAGGGCTAGCTCCCAAATGAGATCATGTGAACTTAGTGATGTTCTTTCTGGTGGGTCTTTATTAGAGTCAGTGGGGAGGGAAGGGGAGCGGTTTTGGCTGTAGAGTGGGATCTGAAAATTGTTCATAATGCTGGGAATGACAGAAATGTGGGTGCGAAGTGCAGTGCAGAGACACTGGCTTGAGGAATAGCAAGGCCTTTTATGATGGGCCCAGGTGGGAGGGGAGTTACTAGGTTATACTTCATAGGCATTCAAAAATACTTGTTGAATGAATATGGATCATTTTATCAGTAGCATACTAAGGCTGTCAGATCTGCATGAAGCTATTGATTCACTAGTTATCATTATAGTGGCTTAGCAGCCCGCTGGGGGGTACCTGTCCTTCAGGTGATTAGGAATTTCATGCCTCCATCAGTGTAAGTTTGAACACTTGGGTTACGAAGAAATTTGTCCTAATGAGGTTTGGCCCCAGATGCCCTGCCAGGTGTGCATCTGAGTGTGGTTTCTATTCTTCATCACCCTCTACACACACACACACACACACACACACACATCCGTCTTGTGTTTTTTGGTGGGCTCAGAGCCACGAGGGAGCTATTAGTTATCCTTCCAAAATTCAGCAAGCTGTTTGTGTTTGTTTTTGTTTTTGTTTTGAGACGGAGTCTCGCTCTGTCACCCAGGCTGGAGTGCAGTGGCGTGATCTCAGCTACTGCAACTTCCGACGGTTCAAGCAGTTCTCCTGCCTCAGCCTCCCAAGTAGTTGGGAGTACAGGCATGCACCACCATGCCTAGCTAATTTTTGTAGTTTGAGTAGAGACAGGGTTTCACCATGTTGGCCAGGATGGTCTCGATTTCCTGGCCTCATGATCTGCCTGCCTCGGCCTTCCAAAGTGCTAGGATCACAGGCGTGAGCCACTGCGGCCCGGCTGCAAGCTGTGTTTTGTCGGGACGGTTTCGATTAGTTTTTAGGCTAATAAAGAACACTGTTTCTTTTTGTTTCTTTTTTAGGTTTATTTTAGCCAACCTGAGGAAACAAAAGCCTACTGTTAGGATATTCATGGGAAAATAGGGAAGCCTTTTTTTTCCTTTAGTGAAATCCTATGTGCCTATAGAGCTTTTTCACACTTTCTAGAGAAGGTAAGCATCTCTTCCTGAGAAAGAGTGGGGATAATATGTCTGGGCTCAATTCTGCCTGTTGTAGGGAAGGGTGTGCCGGTGGGTCACCTTTTGAGGTTAAGAACGAGTAATAAGACCTTGAGGATTCTTTTTTTTTTTTTTTTTTGAGACAGAGTCTCGCTCTGTCACCCAGGTTGGAGTAAAGTGGCGTGATCTCGGCTCACTGGACCCTCCGCCTCCCAGGTTCAAGTAGTTCTCCCGCCTCAGCCTCCCAAGTAGCTGGAATTACGGAGTCCCCCACCATGCCTCGCTAATTTTTGTATTTTTAGTAGAGATGGAGTTTCACATTATTGGCCGGGCTGGTCTTGAACTCCTGACCTCAAGTGATCCACCTGCCTCAGCCTTCCAGAGTGCTGGGATTACAGGCATGAGCCACCTTGCCCGGCCAACCTTGAGGGTTCTTAGCCATCCCCAAATGATCTGATAAAGTAGCCTTAGTACTGTGGAAAAAAGTGTCACTCTTTCCTGCTCTGTCAACTTTGATAGCAAAAGGAGGAAACACTGCTAAAGGGGCTTGAAGTTTATATAGTTTGTGAATCATTTTCTTGGGAACTTTTCAAAAGAAGTGTTGTAAACCTCTGACCTCACATCCAGTTTGACCAGATAACTGTGCTTACCTGTTGAGGCCCATCTGATTTGAGTCCTGGCTTAAAGCGGTTGTTCACATGTTGAAGTCTGTATTTAAGCTCCGCTCCCAGGCTGGGTTGTGTCATCCCGAGCCTCCCCTTCTCCCTCCTTGACCCCCAGTGGCCCAGGGCAGTTTTTACTTTACCGTTTCTTCCTGGCTTTTTACCTATACTTTTCGGCCAGACACTTCAAGGGGATCTGATTCGATGTAGGGGAGGGGTTCGGAGCATGGGTTCTAGAATCGAAACTCTACTATTTCCTGCGAGGTGTATGTTTTCTTTGCTTCTTTGTGTTTGGAAAGAAATATTGATATTGTCATTCCGTGGTGTTTAAGTGTGTAAAGAGGAGGAGCTGGGAGGAAGATGAAGGAAGACCTAGGATGTAGTATTTCCTGACTATAAAACTCCCTAGGAAAAGTCCTCAAAGAGCCACCTTGTTTACTTTAGGCTAGAGGAGCGGAGAAAGGGCGGTGACCCTGTATGACATACAGTGAACAAGAGAGGTGGAACTCTGGCAGGAAGTAAAGGGTAGAGGCAGGCTCAGGGACCCAAGTCTTGTAGGAAACCACAACTCCATGAAGCCTATATGGAGTTTCTTAGCATTGTCTTTAAATTTTTTTTTTTTTGTTTTGAGACAGAGTTTCGCTCTTGTTGCCCAGGCTGGAGTGCAATGGCATGATCTCGGCTCACCGCAAACTCCCCCTTCCAGGTTCCAGTGATTCTTCTGCCTCAGCCTCCCGAGTAGCTGGGATTACAGGCATGCACCACCAGGCCTGACTAATTTTGTATGTTTAATAGAAACGGGGTTTCTCCATGTTGGTCAGGCTGGTCTCAAACTCCCAACCTCAGGTGATCTGCCTGCCTCGGCCTCCCAAAGTGCTGGGATTATAGGCATGAGACACTGCGCCCAGTGTCTTTCAACTTTTACTAGGCACCTTATAATTGTGTCTTTTCCCCCAAAGCCCGCTCTCACGACAGCCTCTGGATATCAAGATCTGTCAGCCTTAACTTAGTAAGTGTTCTGAGTTTCTCTGAACTTCCAACTTCTCAGGATCTGCCACAAATTTGCAAAAGGTGGTGTTGAATATTTTTCCTTCAGAAATTAAGTTTTTAATTCTTGTATATTTTCATAGGAGTAGCTATGAGAGGAGTCTTAACTTTGGGTATTGTTTTTCTTTGGCTTCTAGAGAAAAGTTTGAGAGGTCTAGTGATTTTCATTAAGTTCTTTTTTAAGCAATCATTTGTGAAACTATTCACATCCTCAGATCTTGGTAAGATTTCCATGCAGAGCCTAATACTGAAAAGCTAAAGAAGAACCTGGACTTTTTGGAATGATTTCGACCTCTCATAAAATCCCAGACAATTACATTTCCTTATTTTGCCAGGAGACTGGTATGCCAGTTAAGTTTATAACCTCGATCCTTGTTTTATCCTCCATCAGTTAGAGATTAATTACATGCCTTTGGAATGGTGAGCTGTTGAGCCTTGTCGTCTTTGAACCTACTATTGTTCTCAATAAGGTCTTCTAAAGGTCAGACAAACAAGTCATTTAGATTTTTCTCCTCCCCTTAAAGCATGCATTTATAAGGCAAAAACTTAATGATCATTCATTCCATTCCATTGATCATTAAAACAGCTTTAAAAATGAAGTGGTTTCATTACTCATATTAGTCTAGTTATGCTCAGTGACTTAAAACAATACATTTTAATTTCTAGACTTAATGAGCCACTCCACTCTGGGACATACTTATGGCAGAGGGTAAGAAAAGAAATGACCATAGCCGGGTGCGGTGGCTCACACCTGTAATCCCAGCACTTTGGGAGGCTGAGGTGGATAGATCGCTTGAGCCCAGGAATTCAAGACTAGTCTGGGCAACATGGCAAAACCCCATCTCTACAAAAAATACAAAAATTAGCCGTGTGTGGTAGCACGCCCCTGTAGTCCCGGCTACCTGGGAGGTGGAGGTGGGAGGATCACCTCAGCCTGGGGAGGTTAAGGCTGTAGTGAGCTGTGATCATACCACTGCACTCCAGCCTGCTTGGTAGAGTGAGACCCTGTCTCAAAAAAATAAATAAAAATTAAAAAGGAAGTGACCAGTTCATTCATAGTTATTAACACTTCTGCTTGTGTGTCACTTCTACTCGCCTTCACTTGGCTGAAGAAAGTCATATGGCCAGGCCTGCCAGCAATGTGGTAGAGAAGTGTGGTTAATTCTTCCATCTGGAGATGCTATAAGTCACGTGACAATGGGGGATATAATCCTCTTTCAGGGAGGTTAGCGAATAATTGAAAACAATATAATCTAACATAATGGAAGACTATATTTAACTCAAAAAATTTAATGGCCTGTGTTCTGATTCAGAAATAGTTTTTAGAATTGGTTAAATCTGCACTTTGGGTTTTATTTTGAAAAGATTATGCCTCAGAAATCTGCCTAGATATGGAAAACAGGGTCTAGTTTTTGGACAGGACTGATTAATCTTTTATGAATTGGAGAGCTGTACCAACAACTTGGTAACTTTCCATTAGTTGTTTCCCATGGCTCCAGATCTGTATTTTAATCAAGAAGTTACACTTCTTCCTCTCTTGACTTTTATATCTTGATTTTGCATGCATTGTTAGTATCCTATTGGTCAGATGATTTTTGTTTAATTGCCTGATTTAATATGGTTTTGGCAGCCAATTAACAGTGGATGCTACTGTCAAGAGAAGGGTAGAGATGGGGCCTTTTGACAGAAATAAAATTTATTAAGGCCTCATCAGTCTGTCTTGGTATTTTTCTTTCAAAAATGAAACTGATGAACTGTTGCTGATGTTCTTACTAGGAAATTTCTGTCTTATATAAAAGATATGAAATCGGAATTCTTTGAAGCAAGATGACAAAATAAAGTCATACATTGCTGTGAGGAACAGAACGTTTGTGCCTCAATTGGTTATTCACCATCTACATGTTGAGATTCTTTTTGTGGGGGATCTTGGCCATTTCTGCATGTTCACCCTCACACTCCTTTTTATGAGGTGTGGGGGCCATCTACTTAGGCAAGAGTCTTAGGTAGCTTCTGTAATTTTTATGAGAAAGCTGAAGTCTCTTCTGCTTGGTTGACTTTTAAAAAGTAGGTGCACCAAGCCTCAGCTGGTGTCAGACTGCTGCACTTGGGGTTCTTCCTGAGCTCTTAACCTGCTTCCAGCTCTTAGTGAAAACTTGTTTTTGGGAGATGGTGTTCATTCATGAAATTTCATCAAACACTGGGCACTTGGAATTCTCTACTTTCTTTTCCCTCCAGATTCTTTTTTTTTTTTTTTTTTTGGAGACAGAGTTTTGCTCGTCACCCAGGCTGGAGTGCAATGGTGTGATCTTGGGTCACTTTAACCTCTGCCTTCTGGGTTCAAGCGATTCTCCTGCCTCAGCCTCCCGAGTAGCTGGGGATTACAGGTGTGCGCCACCACGCGTGGCTGATTTTTGTATTATTGGTAGAGATGGGGTTTCACCATGGTGGCCAGGCTGGTCTCGAACTCCTGACCTCAGGAGATCCACCCACCTCAGCCTGCCAAAGTGCTGGGATTACAGGCATGAGCCACTGTGCCTGGCTCAGATTCTTTTATTGAATGAACGTCTACTATGTCTTCAGCTTCCATTATTTAGAAATAGAGAAGAGTTTAAGAAACAGCCACAGGCAGCTCATACATGGTGATCCCTTTTGCCTCTCTCAGTGGCCCTTTTTTGGAGAACTGTTAGAAAAGTTGCTGTAGGCCTTGGTATTAGAAAATGTTGGCACATTTCTTGGGAAAATGTTTGATTTGTTGAATAATGTAAATATTGTAAGAGATTGTGATTTCCTCATTGCTTTGACCAAATTTATATCCCACTGTTAAAAAGAAATGGAGAATTTCATGATGGTTATTTACTAATTTAGGTCTCATTTTACGATTCTGTTTTCCCTTTTGCTGAATTTATTTATTTTTAAATTAAAGGTAAATATAGTTACATCTAGTTTTGAAAGATGCCGCAAGTGTTTTTGGACCAAGGTTGGGTACAGATACATATATCGTGGTTCCTTCATGCAGTTGAAAGTTTTAAGAGGACTCTGTGTGGGGGAGTGCACATACACACAGCTGGATAGCACTCCTAACGCTCCTTTCTGTGCTCACTCCGTCTCTTTCATGGTTTTCACAAGCAGAGCATATGCTCTGTGGCATACTGGGGGTACTCAGTACTCTGTCTCAGTGCTGAGACTTGGAGAAAGGCATTCTTTTTGAGCCCTTTTGCTCATGAGGAAGGGGGTCCTGGTGTACCCCAGGGTTTGTTCTCCAGGCCTGGGACCCACAGTGGGGTTGAACTGGCAGAAGGCAAAGACCATAATGGTTACTTCTGCAGGGACAGATCTGGAAGGGACTTCATGCTGACTTTTGGGTTTTTAAGTTGGTATTTTCTGATGAGTGACTTTGGTATCTCATAGAATTCTGTAAACTCTAATGCACTCCTTAAGCTTAGCAATGTGTGCCTGCCTGTGCTCTCCTGACCACCAGCCTCTGACCTACCCTGGTTTTCACTTCATTACTCCTCCCTTGGTGCTGACAGCTCATGGGAATTAAGCCAGAATTGGCCCAAAAGCTAAATGCCTGCACTGCTGAGCTGTGGTTTCCCATGAAAATGCCTTCCCTGAGTTAATGTTAGCCTTTTGCTTGTATTGATGGATAATGCAAAACATGATCATCTGTAAGGTCTCAGTTCTTGATCTCTTTTCTGTAGACACTCATTCTCGTGGTGACCTCATCTTCTCTCATGGCTTTAAGTGTGGTTGATATTCCAATCATTATCACATTTAGGTCTCCAGCTCTGACTTTTTTCTCCAGTTCCACTCTGTAAGGCCCAACTCCTTCCCCAGTATCTACACCCGAGTGTGTGGTGGCCACCTCAAATTCAACGTCACCCAAACAGAATTTCTTATTTCCCCCAAACTCCTTCTCCCCACAGACTTCTAGTGGTAAAACCCCTAAACTTTGTAATCATCTTCACTCCCCTATCTCATACACCCTACCTTTAATTCAGTAGCAAATCCTGTTTCACCTTCAAATATATGTAGAATCTGCATCGTCCTCCCTCTTTCCACTGCCACCATCCTCTCTCACCTCAATTACTGCACTAGCCTGATACCTGGACTCTCTGCTTCCCTTGCAATCCATTCTCAACAGCCATCTTTTAAAAACAAAAGTCACATTGTGGCACTGCGTAGACTCTCTGTTGGCTCCTTGTTTCTATGGGAGGAAAAGTTTTTACAGTGAACTCCATGGCTGTCCTTGCCCGGTCCCTTGTTATTCTGTAGCCTCTCCTGTGCTCGCCCCCACCTCTGCTCTTCCACAGGTGTCCCTTTTGCCTCCCTTAGGGCCTTTGCACTGGCTCCTTCCTGGGGCTGGAGTGCTCTGTCCTCACCTCAGTGAGGTCCTTGCTCAGATGTCACCATGTCAGTGCTGTGATTATTCAGAGTTATAACCTGTCTTCTCCTGGCACTCCAGGTCTCTCTTAATCCGCTTGGCCTCTTCTTTTTTTTTTCCATATCAAAAATTAACCAGTATTATTATGGAATTTACCTATTATATTTATTGTTTATTTTCAGCATATCCCAGTAGAATACGGGCTTTTCCAGGGCAGGAACCTTTAGCTGGTTTGCTGGTTGGTGGTACATCAAGCTCCTAGAACGGAACTGGAAACGCAGAAGACACTTAAATAGGTATTTGCTGTTAAATGAGCTGCTGATAAGGATTTACTATGCTGTTCAGAACCCATTATGTGAGGAAATATATATTTCAGTTCACTGTTAGGAAAACGTTTATTTCCTTGATGAACAGGGACTCCCAACTTACCTGATTCCCTCTTCTGCTTTGGCTACCAGGATGCCAGGAACTAAGTGTCATGCTCAGTTGTGAAAGTGATTGGCTTCAACTTGCTGGTGAAGTAATACAACCCTTCCCTTCCTTTCCCTTTTCCCCAGCCTTTACTTGATTAAGTCGTTCTGTAGTTTTTTGTTGTTTTTTTTTTCTTGACAATAACTCTGCCTTTTATTGTTTGACTTTTCAAGTAACTTTTTGGAGTGTATGTGTATAAGAATTCAAGTCAATCTTCAAAGGAAGAGAATTCATTTATTACAGAGATTTGTTTATCTTAGCTTACGGCTGGTTTTATTTTAGCTTTGGCCAGGTTGGCACCATTGTTTCAAGTAGTATGTCACTTATTGTGGGGTTTTTTGTTTGTTTGTTTTTGAAACTGTGTCTTGGCCTGTCACCCAGGCTGAAGTGCAGTGCTGCGATCTCAGCTCACTGCAACCTCCGCCTCCCAGGTTCAAGCGATTCTTTTGCCTCAGCCTTCCAGGTAGCTGGGATTACAGGTGTCCACTACGACACCCGGCTAATTTTTGTACTTTTAATAGAGACGGCATTTCACCATGTTGGCCAGCTGGTCTCAAACTCCTGACCTCAGGTGATCTGCTGGTCTTGGTCTTCCAAAGTGCTGGGATTATGGGTGTGAGCCACCGTGCCCGGCTCGTTACTGGTTTTGATCAGTGTTCTGAAATAGTAATTTTGGGTATGCTGTCTCTCTACAGGCTTCTGTTTGATTGAATTTCATTTATACAGGTATTAACATGCTTGTAAACTACTATTGTCTATTGCTTTATTGCTTTGGTTAGTCAATCCCAAACTCTTGCTGCCTTTTTTTTTTTTTTTTTTTTTTGAGGCAGAGTCTCACTCTGTCACCCAGGCTGGAGAGCACTGGCTCACTGCACCAATCTCAGCTCACTGCAACCTCCGCCTCCTGGGTTCAAGCCATTCTCCTGCCTCAGCCTCCCAAGTAGCTGGGACTACAGGCATGCGCCACCACACCTGGCTAATTTTTATATTTTTAGTAGAGACGGGGTTTTGCCATGTTGGCCAGGCTGGTCTCAAACTCCTGCCCTCAGGTAATCCACCCACCTTGGCCTCCCAAAGTGCTGGGATTACAGGCGTGAGCTACTGCTCCCAGCCAACTCTTGCTTCTTAAACCCAAGGACCCTGATTTCTGACAGAATATGTATACATACGTGTGTGTGTGTGTGTGTGTGTGTGTGTGTGTGTATTTATTTGAGACAGAGTCTTGCTCTGTGGCCCAGGCCAAAGTGAAGTGCAGTGGCATGATCTTGGCTCACTGCAACTTCCACCTCCCTGGTTCAAGCGATTCTCATGCCTCAGCCTCCTGAGTAGCTGGGATTGCTGGGATGCGCCGCCATGCCCTGCTAATTTTTGTATTTTTTTAGTAGAGATGGGTTTCAGCATGTTGGCCAGGCTGGTCTCGAACTCGTGGCCTCAAGTGATCTGCCTGCCTCCGCTTCCCAAAGTGAGGCATACAAAAAGCCGTAGAATTTCATATTTTTGAGCTGGCCAGATTTGTCAATGGCTCTAATAAGTGTTGCATTTTTATTTAAGGAGGCATGTGGTGATGTTAGCCCTGTGATATAGGAGAATAAGCAGCAAAGGTTGGGCTGGTTTCCCTGCTCCCCTGGCTGCCGTTTCTCCATTAGAACTGGAATTGGGGATTTCACAAGGACCTCTTGGAAAACTTCACAGTTAGTTTTAAAAAAAAATGCATTTGTCACCCAGAGGATCAATATTTTTCTAAAATTTCTAAAATAAAGGATCAGTTTGTTTCTGAAATTTGGTTACCTGAAGCCATTGACAAATTAGTTGTTTCTTATTCAGGTTACTTTTAATTGAGTTGTGCATGCAAACCCACATGTATCCCTCTCTGCCTCTGAGGAGAATGGGGCCTTTCTTGGAGAACACAAAAGTAGGAATTCTGATTTTATTTTGTGATCTTAGTCACTTTACAATTATAAAAATTTTGGAGCTAATGAGAAACCTGAAAAATTCTGAAGTCTTCAAGGAGTGTGATCCTGGTGCTGTCTCTCAGGCATTTCTCCCAGAGAACGGGACGGCAGAGCAATGACTGTTCCCCAGCCCACAGGTAGGAGCTGGTGGGCAGCACCAGCAGCAGTAGACCTAGAAGTCTTAGACTTAGATGTGATTTGAAATATGGCTTTTATTATGGGAGCAGCACACATAAGACCATCATTGGTTCTCATATGGGAAAAACCCTTGAATATTGGCTCTAGGACAGATTTTAAGGCTGGGTGTGGTGGCTCGTGCCTGTAATCCCAACACTTTGGGAGGCCGAGGCTGGAGGATTGCTTGAGGCCATGAATTCAAGACCAGTCTGGGCAACCTAGCAAGACCCTTTCTGTACAAAAAAATAAAAATTACAAAAAATTATTTAAATGAAATTTAGCAATGTTTTATGTACGTGTCTTCTCATACTTCAAAAAGTCAAGTTGTTCTACAAAACCGTCCATGAAAACAGTAGCTTTCTGCCCTGCTTTTCCCACCTGATTCCCTCTCCTCAGAGGAATCTCTCATCTATCTTCTGATGTTGAACCATAAGAAAATGCTGATATTTGACTGCTTTAGATCTGTGAAAATGACTGTATCTTGAGAAAGCATGCTTATCATGTCATTTCTTGATTTTTTTAAATTCAATTTTGGATATTTACTTTCCTCACACTGTGGAAGATGAAGATATAACTCTTATGACTTCCCCCAACACGTCTCTTCTCCTGCTGTAATATTAATATGATTTTTGTTTGATTAATATATAATGTTTATAGTATTATTTAGACTGGAAATAATTCACAGCCAAGACATGTAATTTAAATATTTCCTTCCTCATACAGCTTTTGCCCACCCAGAGTTAATCATTGTTTTGAGTGCTTGTTTTAAGTACCTGTCACTGACTCATTCCCAAACTGAAGCCTAACCTTCCTTTCTGTGTGTTTGCACACCTCAGGGTAGCTGTCCATTCATCCTTTCTTCCTGAAGGCGTCCCTTCTGAAGTTTCCAGGCCGTTCTGTACCTTCTCTCTGTTTCTCTTCCCTGGATACTATGGTATCCTCCTCCTTTGTGGTTTCTTTTGGTCTCTGGTTTTTGTGTGTTTTTTGTTTGTTTGTTTGTTTGTTTTTGAAATGGAGTTTCACTCTTGTCGCCCTGGCTGGAGTGCAGTGGCGCGATCTTGGCTCGCGGCAGCCTACGCCACCCAGTTTGAAGTGATTCTCCTTCCTCAGCCCCTCAAGTAGCTGGGATTACAGGCAGGCGCCAACACACCCAGCTAATTATGTATTTTTGGTAGAGATGGGGTTTCACTATGTTGGCCAGGCTAGTCTTGAACTCCTGACCTCAGGTGATCTGCCCACCTCTGCCTCGCAGAGTGCTGGAATTACAGGTGTAAGCCACTACACTCGGCTGCTCTCTGGTCTTGGTAGAGAGCATTGGCCAACAGCTTCTGCACAAGGTTACAAGGGAGATAGTCTCCTTGAGATTTGGCATATCTAAATTGTCTTTTTTTTTTTTTTCTTTTACCTTCACACTTACTAGTTTGGCCAGGTGTACAGTTCTAGTTTGAAAGTCCTTTTCCCTCAGAACTTTAAAGAGATTGTTCCCTTAAGTTCCAGCTTTTTATTAAAAAAAAAAAAATAGAGTTTCCCCTCACTTCTCTTTAAAAGTTTTTAGGGGCGGGGCGCGATGGCTCATGCCTGTAATCACAGCACTCCTGATCACAAGGTCAGGAGATTGAGACCATCCTGGCCAACATGGTGAAACCCTGTCTGTACTAAAAATACAAAAAATTAGCCAGGCGTGGTGGCGGGCGCCTGTATAGTCCCAGCTACTCGGGAGGCTGAGGCGGGAGAATGGCATGAACCCGGGAGGTGGAGCTTGCAGTGAGCCGAGATCGTGCCACTGCACTCCATCGAGCCTGGGCAACAGAGCGAGACTCCGTCTCGGGAAAAAAAAAAAAAAAACTTTTTAGGATTTTTCTTTTTGTCCAAGTATTCTGATTGGTCTTTTTGCATTCATTTTTCTGGGCACACAATGGCCTTCTCAAACTGGGAACTTAATGTTTTTCAATTATTGGAACATTTAAAAAATTATATTTAGATAACTTTCCCTCTTTTCATTGAATTTGCATTTTCTAATGTTGGTGGTCCTTCTGGGCAATCCTCTGATTATCTTACCTTTTTCTCTCCTATTTTCTATGTCTTGGTCTTTTTATTCCATTTTCTGGTGGATTTCCTCAGCTTTACCTTACAACCATTTTACTGAATTAAAAAATAACTTTTTTTTTTTTTTTTTTTTTTTTTTTTTTGAGACGGAGTCTCACTCTGTCACCCAGGCTGGAGTGCAGTGGCTTGATCTCGGCTCACTGCAGTCTCTGCCTTCTGGGTTGAAGGTTGAAGCAATTCTCCAGTCTCAGCCTCTCAAGTAGCTGCGTTACAGGTGCCCGCCACCATGCCCAGCTAATTTTTGTATTTTTAGTAGAGACCTGGTTTCACCATGTTGGCCAGGCTGGTCTCAAACTCCTGACCTCAGGTGATCCAGCCGCCTCGGCCTCCCAAAGTGCTGGGATTACAGGCATGAGCCACCATGCCATTTTCAAGCTAATATGTCTCAATTTTTTTTTCTTTGAGGCAGGATCTTATTTGTAAGCCAGGCTGGAATGCAGTCTTATGATCACTGCTCACTGCAGCCTTGACCTCCTGGGCTTAAGCAATCATCCCACCTCAGCCTCCCGAGTAGCTGGGACTACAGGTGCATACCACCACGTCCAGCTAATTTATTATTTGTTGTAGAGATAGGGTCTCACTATGTTTCCCAGGCTGGTCTTGAACTCCTGGACTCAAGTGATCCTCCTGCCTTGGCCTCCCAGAGTGCTGGGGTTACAGGTGTGAGCCACTGTGCCTGGCCCATGGCTCAGATTTAAAAGATGTAAAAGGTGTATAGTGAAAAGCCACCCACTTCCTGTACTAGCTACCATATTCTCTCTTTACAGGCAACTGGTATTCCTCCTTCCAGAGATAACTCTGTTAATATATATATATATACACACACACACACACACACATATACACACACACACAGACACACACACACATATATACACTTTTTTTTTTTTTGAGACGGAGTCTTGCTCTGTCGCCAGGCTGGAGTGCAATGGCGCCACCATGCCCAGCTAATTTTTGTATTTTCAGTAGAGATGGGCTTTCACCATGTTGGCCAGGATGGTGTTGATCTCTCGACCTCGTGATCCACTTGCCTTCGCCTTCCAAAGTGCTGGGATTACAGGTGTGAGCCACCGCGCCCGGCCTCATACATATTTTTAAAATGTGTGTATATGATCATATTCTCTCTCCCTGTGAAATCACAGATGATAATAGACTTCATATATTGTTATGCATCTTTTTTTCATAGAACCATGTGTCTTCAGACTGCTCCATGTGGAGGTATGGGTTTCTTTTTAAAATCATTTTAAAGAGCAGCATAGTATGATTTTAAACTCCATATTTTGTTTAATCAGTTTCCTATTGATTTGCTACATCCAACAATGCTGCAAGGGGTAACTTTGTACGTGTATTATGCTCACACGTGATAGTGCCATGTGTGATGAATATGGAATTACCAGGTGAATGCATATGTGCATTTGTACTTCTCACAGATGTTACTCCAGCTGCCTTTCATGGAAGCTGTGCTAACTTATGCTCTCACAGGCAAGGCATGAAAGCACTTGTTTCTTTATATCGTTGCCAGTACAGTATGTTATGACATTTCTTAATCTTTACCAATCTGTTAAGTAAAAAATGGTATCTCATCTGTTTTTAATTTGCATTTCTCTTAGGAGAATGAGCATATTTTCATAAATTTATAAGAGCTGTTTGTATTTGTGTTTCTGCGAACTGTTCATATCCTTTGCCATTGGGCTGTTACCAAGTTGTATGACATTATACCTAAGGGAAATAAGCCCCTCATGTGATAAGAATTGGAGTTGTTTGCAGTTTGTTCATCTTTTGATTCGGGTTATATTACATTTTTCCATGTTGGTGAATTTATTAGCAGCTTATTTTAAAGTCTTTGGATTTAATATCATGAAGAGAAAAAGGCGTTCCCCATCTTAAAATTATTATTTTTAAAATGTCCAGGGTTTCTTTTGGTACTTTTGTAGTTTCAATATTTTTATATTTAAATTATTTATCCATATTGAATTTATTTTAGTACATATGGATCCAAGTTTACTTTTTTTCCCAGATGGCTACTGGTTTTCCCAGTCATTTATTAATAGTCCATTTTCCCTCTGACTAAATCCCCCATGCCTATGTGTCTGTTTCTTGACTTCTGTTTCTTGACTTCTGTTGTGTTGCTCTGCCTAGCTCTGTGATGTTGAGCTATTCATGTTTTAGTTGTGACACTATTCTAATTGTTAAGAATATGTTTGTATTAGGGAGGATTGGGCTTGTATTAAATATTTTATTGTTGATGTTAATTGTCAGTTTTGTAGTGGTATTTAAAAATGAATTATGTGGCTGGGAGCGGTGGCTCATGCCTATAATCCTAGCACTTTGGAAGGCCCAGGAAGGTGGAGTGCTTGAGCCCAGGAGTTCAAGACCAGCCTGGACAATATGATGAAACTCTGTCTCTATGAAAAATACAAAATTAGCCAGACGTGGTGGGGCATGCCTGTAGTTCCAGCTACTTGGCAGGCTGAGGCTGCAGTGAGTCATGATTGTGGCACTGCACTCCATCGTGGGTGACAGAGTGAGACAACATCTCAATAAAATAAAATAATTTTAAAAAATGAATTATGCAAACTTTAAAGGAAACTGATCATATTTTATGTAACTCAAAGAATGTTTAGGGACCTAGGCTGGTAAAGGTCAGAGTTTTCTAACTCAAGGTTTGCTTCCTTTTTTTTTTAAATCCCTCCAATGAGGGGGAAACAGATGCTAAAACAATAGTGAGAAGTACTTAATTGGCTGGGTGTAGTGGTTCATGCCTATAATCCCAGGACTTTGGGAAGCCCATGCAGGAGGATCACTTGAGGCCAGGAGTTTGAGACCAGCCTGGGCAACAAAGCAAGAACCTTCCCTCTATAAAAAATACCCAGATGTGGTGGTGCGTGCCTATAGTCCCAGCTACTGAGGAGACTGAGGTGCGAGGGTTGCTTAAACCCAGGAGGTGGAGGCTGCAGTGAGCTGTAATTGTACCCCTACACTCCATCCTGGGTGACAGAGTGAGACCCTGTCTCAAAAAAGTAAAAATAAAGTAGTACTTAATTTGGGATCAAGATCGGCTTACAAATCAGAACATTCAGGCTTGAGGAAGAGAAAAAGCAATTAAATAGGTCAACAATTGCAAAGCAAAACTCAATTTGAGAGTTGGATAAAGAGATTTGATTGTGGGGACTCTGTCATTTGAGATGCAACTCTTGGTCCAGTCTCAGGTGATGAAAATACAGCATCAGTAGTTAACTGGAGTACAGCAGCATTGGTGCCTTTCTTTCTGTGAAAAAAGTCTTTATTTGCCTAAGATGTAGAAAAGAGACTGTAGTGAACCAGAGACCATTTTATTCTGAACTGTGGCAGAATAAAACGCCTTCTGGCGTCTGTCCTCACTGTTACTCTGAAATAGCCCATATATCGGGAAAAAATGTGGCTGCTTCTGTGTGTGTGTGTTGTGTGTGTGTGGGCCAGATTGTTGTTGTGTTACATTGTGATACCAAGAGAGAAGAGAACTTTTGTCTAGATGCTCACCTGAGACATCCACCTGGCCTCCAAGCAGCATGCACATGAGTGAGGAATTTCAACAACTTGTTTTTTTCCTGTAAGATAATAAGTGTAAAACATTCATTGGACATGAGCACAAACACAGAGGCGTTATAGACTAGACTGTAAAATCGTCTGTGGGCCACTCTGAGCCCCTGTGGTCAGTCCTTTCCTTGGATGACTCTAAAGGGGACTTGGGCCCCACTTAGGCATAACGGTGAACAGAGATTTAAAAGGAGTTTGAGAGCATTCGTGTACAGAGATTTAAAAGGAGTTTGAGAGCATTTGTCTTTTTTTTTTTTTTTTTTTTTGAGACAGAGTTTCACTCTTGTTGCCCAGGCTGGAGTGCAGTGGCACCATCTCGGCTCACCGCAACCTCTGTCTCACTGGTTCAAGCGATTCTCCTGCCTCAAGCACTTTTTTTTTTTTTTTTTTTTTTTTTACCATTTCAATCATTTTGAGTGTATAGTTCATTGATGTTAAGTATGTTTACATTGTTGTGCCACCATCATCACCATCCATCTCCAGAACTCTTTCATCTTCCTAAATAGAAACTCTGCACCCATTCAACCCTTAACTCCCCATTTCCCTCCACTCCCTCCAGCCCCTGGTAACAACCATTCTACGTTCTAACTGTTTTATTTTTAAATTTAGACATATAGTTGATACTCAGAAGCTTAACATTCCTTATATGAAAGTCTTCACCAAGCTACTTGGCGTGAGCATCTTATTTGCCCTTTAAGCCTTACCCTGGGAATAAAATATAGCCTTTATCACTGTTTTTGGAATATCTTGGAAGTGCGTAAAACTGCTTCAGTTTATTATGTAGAAGTGCATTTCCAGATTTCTGGAGTGTGGATCGAAGATTTTCATACCAGCAGTAGGGTCTCAACCTTGTTTTTCTTATCTCTTGGCAAGAAAGCAAAGCTGGCCATTGGGGTATAATAAACCTTGTGTACACAGCTGCAGGAGGGAACAGGGAGGTGGCTGTGCTTGGAGGCCGGGTGTTTTGCCGACGATAATGGGGCATCTCTGGCACCATGTTGCTGGTCGGAACAGTTTTGGAGTTGGATTTTGTCCTGCAGTGATGTCTTTGAAGAGGAAAGCACTTTTGAATATTTGCATTGCTTTGAAGCCAGTGCCATGGAGATATTGTGACTTATTGCCAGTCAGAGGCAAAGCTGAGTGTGTGAGGTTTTGAACAAAGGTTGTTGAAAAAAGGAGATAATCATTAATTTTTTCAGTAAAATTCATTGAACCCCAAGGGCAATTTGGAGGGGTCATAGCTGTTTTTAGAATCTGTTGCTAATCACTGTATATCGTAGATATTAAGCCTAGGTTAAGAGCATTAGTGTGGGTACAGAGTTTAGATTTGCCAGTTTGTGACTTTAGGCATGTTTAACCTTTCTAAGTCTGTTTTTCCATCTGAAGAATGGACATAGAGAAAATTTATCACTGGGCTTTTTGTGGGGGACAGATGAGGTAAGGCATAATGCATTTAAAGTGGCAGGCACAGTCTAAATACTACCTAGTGCTCCTGCACAGGCATAGAAAATGGAAAATTGTTTATATATTTTACCCTCCTCCAAAACACTCTTAGACCATCTGATTTTTATTTGACTTATCTGAATCCTGAATAGTTTTTACTGGATCATACTCTGGTATCTGGACTGTCCCTGGTTTGAAGGTGGTGCTGCTGGGTGAGAAGCCAAGGATGAGAGAGGCTGTGTTTTGGAGGCCCAGTCTGTCAAAACTGAGGTGGCATTTCTAGTTCCTGATAGAGTGAGACAGATGCAAAGGTCATGGGAGCTTTGAACAGTTTCTATGCATTATGTGTTGTTTTTCATCTTCTGGAAGTGGGCTGGAATTTGTTTTCAGCAGCTAAGTTCATTATGTAGTTGCCTCTAAGCCATGCCTCCCCTTTTCCATGTTTGTGAAAAGCAAAACAAAACCACCAGGCACATTATCTTTTACGAGGACCTGGAGATTGACTAGCTGACACCCCCAGATTTCACATTTATGTTGAGATAAGGAGAATAATGTAAGTCACCCAGACTTTTTGTCATTCTGCATTTTTATTCACAGGGATGAACAGAAGCTTGCAGATTGGGAGAAAGGGGGGGGCAGAACCAGTTGTTTTCAGGTGGACCCAAATAATGCATCTGCTTTGATAACTGCCTATCTCGATTTGCTTGGAAAGGGCATAGAGTAATAAATAGTTTGTGGGAGTGTGAAGAATGAGCCTTTAGACTGACCCAACTTGTGGAAATTCAGAAAATGCAGAAATGTACGTTCTTCCAGCTTGTGAATGTTGAACAATGGAATTGTTAGAAGAACTTTTGAAACTTGTTCTTTTTTTGAAAGTATTATTGTGCTCGGTTGGCTACATGTGCTTTGGTCTCAAAAATTTGTGCCTTAATCACATTGCTGGGGAGGCTGTGGATTTCACTATCAACAGAAAGTAATGTAAGATGTGATATCTTTTCAGCAGGACCTAAGGAGATTTTCTCGAAAGAAAAGGGGAAAATGCCGCTCTTAAGCAAAAAATCTGGACCATGTTGGCAGACATACGTCTTTGAAACATACCAGCAGAGAATTATTTAATCATTTGCCCCTTAGTTTTATCTTGATCACTCCTAGCGTGATTTTTTCCCCCTCTTAGTTATGCAGCAGCCTACTGGCTGACATTTAACTATTGATTGTTCATCCTGGGGAATGAATTACTGTGATTTATAGTCAAGGGTACAGATGTAAAGAGACAGAAAGGATCAGATGTTTCTAGTGCCTTTTTTCTTCCTCTGATGGCTTCTCCCAGAAACTTGATAAAAGCACCAACACTAAAACATGTTTACAATAAGAAAGCTGTTTATTCATCTTAAGTAGAAAATTCTATAAGTTTATGTAAAATTTTGCCCATGTGGGAACAATTAGTCTTTTAATTTGAGTTGTGTATTGTAATTCCATGGATGGAGATGGGTGGAGGTTGGGCCGAGGGGAAGCTGAGGTAAGAAGCCAGACCAGAGAATTTAAAATGATGTCTTTCTTTGAGGATGCCCCCTTTGCCCCTCCTGCTGGGCCTCGCAGCCGTGGGATTGGCCACATCACTTCCTGTCCAAGTTGGCACTGAGAGTGGCACAGTAACTCTGCCCAGTGTTCTCAGACTGCAGTGGGCAAGTTTCCAGCAATAGAGTCACCCAAAGAAACAACGCAGCCTCCTTTTTTTCTTTCTCTGTTGCCTAGGGCAGTTTTCCTCAGACCTCAGTACCTATGTCCCTTGCTTTTGGAATAACCCCATTAGGTCCCCAAACCTTGCCTTTGATGTATGTGGCTTCTTGAGGATCCCCTACATTTGCATCTGTTTCCTTCCCTTATGCAAAGGCCCTACGTCTTCCCTGGGAGAAGAGTCCTCGGGGGCTTTCCTGTGGGAGAAAGGAAGGATCTATTCCTGCCCACACTTCTTTCTCTCCAGATAGAGAAATAGCTCACATTTTTGGTGCCTACTCTGTACTGGGCACTGTACTGTGAGTTTTCATGTGTGACCTCACAGGTACTATGATCATCTCCAAGTGACGTTCAGAGAGGTGGTCTGCCCCAGGTCACAGGGCTAAAATTAGTAACATGTAAGGAAAATGGCTTTACTCTCAGCGTGAGATGAAACAGACAATACAGTACACCTGCTGAGTGACAGAGTTGTCCCTGAGTTGTTAGGGCCTTTGCCCGCCTTGGAGCTCCACTTGCTTGGTGCACAGTAGGCAGCAAATGGGCTGTAGAATCATGGTATTTGTGATTTCCTGTGTCCTTGACAGTTGAGATATTCTCTAAGGCTATTTATGTTCTCTCTACCATGCTCGTCACAAGCAGTCTTCTGGGTCCTCACAAGCAGTCTTTATTGTTTATATTTCTATTAACAGGTCTGTTCAAGGCAACGTAAACCTTTCCTACCATGTTCCTCAAAATTCTTCCAAGCTCCTTCACTACCCAATTCCAAAACCACTTCCACATTTTTTGGTATTTGTTATAACAGCACCCCACTTCCAGGTACTAAAGTCTTTTAGTTTTCTATTCCTGCTGTAATAAAACCCACAAATTTCATGCTTAAAACAGCACGTGTGGGGCGCGGTGGCTCACATCTGTAATCCCAGCACTTCAGGAGGCTGAGGTGGGCGGATCACTTGAGGTCAGGAGTTAAAGACCATCCTGGTTAACATGGTGAAACTCTGTCTCTACTAAAAAATATAAAAAAAATAGCCAGACATGGTGGCGGGCACCTGTAATCCCAGCTACTCGGGAAGCTGAGGCAAGAGAATCACTTGAAACCCAGGAGGCAGAGTTTGCAGTGAGCTGAGATTATGCCACTGCACTCCAACTTGGGCAACAGAGCGAGACTGTCTGAGAAAAAAAATACACAAAAGCACACATTTTTTTATATTACAGTTGTGTAGATCAGAAGTTGGACACAGGTCTCACTGGAATAAAATCAAGAAGTCAGCAGGACCAGTTCCTTCTGAAGGTTTTGGGGAGAATCTGTTTCCTTACTGCTGCAGCTTCTAGAGGTTGCCTGTATTCCTTGGCTTGTGACCCGTTTCTTCATCTTCAAAGCCACCACTGGCAAATTTAGTCCCTTTTACGCCTGACATTTCTTCTGGCTCCTCTTATGTGATCCCATCTTTCTGTCTCTGACCACAGAAATAAAAGACTTTTTAAAAAGACTCATTAGATTGGGTCCATCTAGATAATCCAGGAAAATCTCTCCATCCCAAAGTCCTTAATCTTAATGCCGTCTGCACAATGACTTTTGCCATGAATGTAACATAGTCACAGGTTTGGGAATTAGAAGTTGGGCACCTTTGGGGGGCGCATTTTTCTGCCTGCCACACATGATAAGGTGTAGACACAATACAGTTAACTCTCTTAGTTCGCAGTCGGCACCCCTTTAAGTAAAGTGTGTGGTTTCTAATCAAGCATTTTATTCAGGGTGCATCTGTTCCACCTGGCTGGCAGCACGCACCTTGCAGGTCAGGTGTGAGATGAGCAAGACCCATTGGAAGACTGGAAGCTACCTCCTTCTCTCTTTTAGGACAAGGAAGCGAGAGAGAAGCGAGGAGACCACTTGAGTTGTGACTCTCCTGCTTATGGTGAAATTAAGAACTAAAACTAAAACAACAGGAACCCTTTCATAACGGAAATACTGAAGTATAAAATGAAACCACCTCCTAAACAACTCTTTTTCCTTTGAAAACAAAGCTAAGCTGCGTTGATGCTTGCACCTCTGCTCTTGCGTGGGAAAATTGGACCCCTCTGTGACATTTGGTATGTTACTGAGCAGGGTTCCCTTGGGGAGGACGAGAAGCCTCCTCTCCACTTGACACTTGGAATTTGATACCAGTTCCTGTCTGACAGCTGGTTAGCCTGTCAGGCCCTCACAAGTTAAATCTTGTCTCAGAAAATAATTTGCTAGAAGATCAAAGCATGGATGGGATAAATTAATTTTTCAACAAGCCACAGGTTTGGGATAATTGTCTCTCAAGTGTTGCTAATGTCTTTGATAAACAAGTAATTTGGGGGGGCTCTTTTTTTCTCTTGAGATTATAAATCTTGATTGATTCATATGTTGAAAAAGAACTCTGAAAGCTTGCACCTAAGATGAAGCCCTGGAATAACCTGAAATAATAATAATAGGTATATTTCAACACCTGTGCCATTCGGAGCAGTGATTCTCAACAGGTGGGGGTGGGAGATCGATTTTTGCCCCCCAGGGGCATTTGGCAGTGTTTGGAGACATTTTTGGTTGCCATGATTTTGGGGAGGGGTGCTACTGGCATCTAGGGAGTAGAGGCCAGAGATGCCCAGAATAGCCCACAACAAAGAGTTATAGAATGTCAGTAGTGCTGAGGTGGAGAACTCTTGATTGAGAAAGGAGTGTTTTCTATTTTACTTATTTTCGTGTGTCTTAACACTATTCCTGGATTTAATTTCTTTGAGGATAGGGTCCATCCTTTTATTTTCTCACTCAACACAACAAGTTGCCCTGAGTAGGCTCAAACATTTATTTACTGTTGATTCCCCTCTCTCTTGTTAAGCTATTCATCCTTTTTTTTTTCTGTCTTGGAGCAGAGCTATTGAGGGCAGCACTGAAAAGCAGATGGTAGAGCTGTGGCAGAATCAACATGGTTGGGAGAGCGGAAAGAACACAAGCTCTGGACTTCTCTCAGCCCCTTCTTTCTCGTCTGTAAAAAAAAAAAAGTTAATAATAGTGCCCAACTTAGGATGATTGTACTTGAGAAAGATCGTGTTGCAAAAAATGGGGATGTAGTAAGTGCTCAGTAATGCCTTCTCAGGCAGCTGAGCAGGAGACTGTGTGCAAGGCCCTCTATCTCAGGGCCCTGTTTTTTTGTAAAAAGTTGAGTAAAGGAGGGGCAGACATCTTACACATTTCAGAATTGTTATCAGTTCTCCAGGAAGAAGAGGGAAAGAAAAACATTTATAGCATTTCAGTAAAGATTACTCCATGATTGACAAAACAATTTTGAGGATCCTAAGAGGCACATTCTGCCTCAGGCTGGAGCAGTTTTTAAAACTAAATTGACAGCAACTAGTTCAAGTTGGAACAGTCCTAACTTAATTATAGATACCTGCAGAGGTTCCTTCAAACAGGTGGGTTTCAACAGCGTGGTGCTATCTAGCAAAAGCTATTGTTTGCTTAGTTATTTGTTTGAGAGTCAGCTTAGAACATAAGGAAGGAGTCAGAGTTGGGGTGGAATTCTGTCTCTGATTGGATCAGAGCCTCCATTTTCCTAATTGTAATATGGAAATAATGATTGTCCCTCAGAGGATGGTTATAAGGGACAACATATTTGTTACACATTTGGCATAGTAAGTACTTCATAAATGACACCTATAAAAGTTTTTGTTTGAAAATTTTCCAGCTTTTGTTTTTTATTTATTTATTTTTTGAGACAGTCTCACTGTGTTGCCCAGGCTGGAGTACAGTGACACAATCTCAGCTCACTGCAGCCTCCACCTCCTGGGTTCAAGCAATTCTCCTGCCTCAGCCTCCCGAGTAGCTGGGATTACAGGCATGAGCCACCACACCTGGCTAATATTTATATTTTTGGTAGCGACGGGATTTCACCATGTTGGCCCAGCTGGTCTTGAACTCCTGGCCTCAAGTGATCCACCTGCCTCGGCCTCCCTAAGTGCTGGGATTATAGGCATGAGCCATCATGCCTGGCTGAAAACTTTCCAGTTTTTAAATGTCATGCATGTTTTTGCTCAAGAACGCTTTGGCTGTTTGGGGCATTTTGTAGTTCCATACAATATTTTTTTCCGCTGTAAAAAATTACATTGGAATTTTAATAGGAATAGTATTAAATCTGTAGGTCACTTCGGGGAGTATGAACAGTTTTAACAGTGTTAATTCTTCCAACCCATGAATACAGGATATCTTTCCATTTATTTATGTCTTCAGTTTCTTTTAGCAATGTTTTATAGTTTTCAGCATACAGATCTTTCACCTCCTTGGTTAAATTTATTACTAAGTATTTCATTCTTTCTTTTTTTTGAGACAGGGTCTCACTCTGTCACCTGAGCTAGAGTGCAGTGGTGCGATCACAGCTTACTGCAGCATTGAACTCCTGGGCTCAAGTGATCCTCTTGCCTCAGCCTCCCAAGTAACTGTGACTGCAGGTGTGTACCACCATGCCTGGCTGATTTTTAAATTTTTTTGTAGAGACATCTCTGCGTTACCCAGGCTGGTCTTGAACTCCTGGACTCAAGCAGTCCTTCTGCCTTGGCTTCCCAAAGTGCTAGGATTACAGGTGTGAACCATTGCACACGGCCTTATTCTCTCTTGATGCTATTGTAAATGAAATCATTTTCTTTATTTTTTAGATAGTTCATTATTAGTATATATAATAGAAGTGCTACTGATTTTTATATGTTGATTTTAGTATCCTACAACTTCACTGAGTTTATTCTAACAATCTTTTGGTGAAGTTCTGAAGGTTTTCTATATATAAGATTATATCATCTGCAAACAGAGACAGAGTAACTTCTTGCTTTCCATTTTTGATGTATTTTATTTTTCTTGCCTAATAGCTCTGGCTAAAACTTCTAGTACTATATTGAATAGAAGTGGTTAAGAGTGGGCATCCTGTTTTGCTCCTGATCTTAGAGGAAAGGCTTTCAGCTTTTTACCACTGAGTATGATATTAGCTACGGGCATGCCGTATGTGGCCTTTATTATGTCGAGGTCCATTCTTTATACCTAATCTGTTGAGAGTTTTTATCATGAAAGGATGTTGAATTCTTTCAAATGATTTTTATACATCTATTGAGATGATCCCTTGATTTTTATCCTCGATTTTGTTAACGTGGTATTAGTTAATTTTAATTAATTTGCATATGTTGAACCATCTTTGCATCCCAGGGATAAATCCCATTTGTTCATGGTGTATGATCCTTTTAATGTGCTTTTGAATTTGGTTTGCTGGTATTATATTGAGGATTTTTGCTTCTCTAGTCATCAAGGACATTGACCCATAATTTTATTTTCTTGTAGTGTCCTTGCTGGCCTTGCAAAATGAGTTTGGAAGGGTTGATTCCATCCTCTTCAGTTGTTGGAAAGAGTTTAAGAAGGGTTGGTGTTAATTCTTCTCTTTAAATATTTGATGAAATTCACCAGTGAAGCCGTGACATCCTGGGATATTCTTTGTTGAGAGGTTTGTGATTTCTGATTCAATCTCCTTACTTACTATTGGTCTCTTCAGATTTTCTATTTCTGTATTATTCAGCCTTGGTGTAAGTTGTATGTTTCTAGGAATTTATCCATTTGTTCTAGGTTATCTAATTGGTTGGCATATATTTGTCTATAGTAGTATCTTATATAATCCTTTGTATTTTTGTGGTATCAATTGTAATGTCTCATCTTTCATGTATAATTTTGTCTTTTAGTTCAGCTAAAGGTTTGTCAGTTTTATCTTTTCAAAAACTCCTGGTTTCATTAATGTTCATTTTTTTCCTTCTGCTGACTTTGGGCTGTTCCTTTTCTAATTCCTTGAGGTGTAAAGTTAAGTGTATTTGAGCTCTTTCTTCCTTAATATAGGAGTTGATTGCTGTAAACTTCCTTGTAGTGCTGCTTTTGCTGCATCTCTTAAGTTTTGGTTTGTTGAAAAACGAAAAAAAAACACAAAAAAACAGAGAGCTGGAGGCATCATGCTACTTGACTTCAAAATATACTAAAAAGCTGTCATCAAAACAGCATAGTAGTGGTGTAGAAACAGACATATAGACCAATGGAACAGAATAGAGACCCCAGAAATAATTCATATTTACAGTCGGTTGGCTCTTTGACAAAGTTGCCAAGAACACACAATGGGGAAAAGAGAGTCTTTTCAATAAATGGTGTTGGAAAAACTGGGCATCCACATACAGAAAAATTAAACCCCTTTCTCACACCATATACAAAAATCAACTCAAAATGGACTAAAGATTGGGGGCATGGCTCAGGGGTAGAGGATTTGACTGCAAAATGGACTAAAGACTTAGTAAGATCCAAAAGTATAAAACTACTTGAAGAACACACAGAGAAAAAGCTTCTTGACATTAGCCTGGGCAATGATGTTTTGGATATGACCTCAAAAGTATCACAGAAGCAAACATAGACAAATGGGATTGTGTTAAACTAAAAAAAAAATTCTGCATAGAAAAGGAAACAAACAATAGAATGAAGAGATGGCCTGTAGAATGGGATAAAATGGTTGCAGACCATACATCTGATAAGGGGTTAATATATAAAATATACAAGGAACCCATACAACTCAATAGCAAGAAAATAAATAACCGGATTAAAAAAATGAACAGGCCGGGCGCGGTGGCTCACGCCTGTAATCCCAGCACTTTGGGAGGTCGAGGCGGGCGGATCACGAGGTCAGGAGATCGAGACCATCCTGGCTAACACGGTGAAACCCCGTCTCTACTAAAAATACAAAAAATTAGCCGGGCGTGGTAGCGGGCCCCTGTAGTCCCAGCTACTCGGGAGGCTGAGGCAGGAGAATGGCGTGAACCCGGGAGGCGGAGCTTGCAGTGAGCCGAGATCGCGCCACTGCACTCCAGCCTGGGCGACAGAGCGAGACTCCGTCTCAAAAAAAAAAAATGAACAGAGGACCTTAATAGAAATTTCTCAATAGAAGACATACAGATGACCAACAGATACATGAAAAGTGCTCAATATCACTAATCAGGGAAATGCAAATTAAAACCACAGTGAGTGGCCAGATGCAGTGGCTCATGCCTGTAAATCCCAGCACTTTGGGAGGCCGAGGCAGGCAGATCACTTGAGGTCAGGAGTTCAAGACTGGCCTAGCCACATGGCAAAACCTCGTCTCTACTAAAAAATACAAAACCACAGTGAGGTATCATCTCACATCTACTAGAATGGATATTATCAAAGGCAAAAGGTAACAAGTGTGTTGGGAAAATGTGAGATAAAGGGACCCTCTTAGACTGTTGATGAGAATGTTAGTACAACCAATATGGAAAATAGTATGAGTATGGAAGTTCTGCAGAAAATAAAAACTGAACTTCCATATGATCCAGCAATCCTACTTCTGGGTATACATCCAAAGGAATTGAAATCAAAGAGATACCTGTACTTCTGTGTCCCTCGCAGCATGATTCACAATAGTCAAGTTATGGAGACAGTGGAAGTGTTCATCAGTAGATGAATGGGTAAAGAAAATGTGGTATATGTGTACACTGGAATACTCTTCACCCTTACAAAAGAAGAAATCCTGTCATTTGCAGCAATATAGATGAACCTATTCATAAATGAAATAGCCAGGCACAGAAAGACAGATACTGCATTTTCTCACTTATATGTGGTATCCAAGAAAGTCAAACTCTCACAGAAGCTGAGAGCGGAGTGGTGGTTGTCAGGGGCTGGGAGATGAGCGGTGCTTGGGAGGGCGTTGGTTAAAGGTAAAAAGTTTCAGTTAAGTTAAATATGTTCTGGAGATCTATTGTACAGTGTGGTGACTGTAGTTAATGTATACTTGGAAATTACTAAGAGATTAGCTCTCAAATGTTCTCACCACAAATAAGTGCGAGGTGGGTATGTTAATTAGCTAGATTTAATTTCACGAGGTCTATGTACATCAAACCATGTATATTGTAAATATATACAATTTTTATTTTTTAATTATAACCTTAATAAAAGTGGGAGGAAAAGTGATAAACGGTAATAAGCCCTTAAAGGTAATAAGTTAACTTGTCACCCAACGTATTTATTAATTTTTCTATACAATGTAATGTGCTTGGAGAACATTGAGGCCGGGCACGGTGGCTCATGCTTGTAATCTCAGCACTTTGGGAGGCCAAGGTGGGCGGATCACTTGAGGACAGGAGTTTGAGACCAGCCTGGCCAACATGGTGAAACCCCATGTCTATTAAAACTACAAAAAAAAATAGCTGTGCATGGTAACGGGCGCTTGTTATCCCAGCTACTCGGGAGGCTGAGGCAGGAGAATTGCTTGAACCCAGGAAGTGGAGGTTGCAGTGAATCAAGATCACACCATTGCACTCCAGCCTGGGCAACAAGAGTGAAACTCTGTCTCAAAAAAAAAAAAAAAAAAAATTGAAAATCCGCAAGCTTCAGAAGACACACTACTGCGTGTTTGTCCTTCTACGGAAGTCAGTACAGATCTCAATGACTTGTTCTCATTTCACCAGAAAATGACCATTGTGCATTATGCTGTCAGTGCAGATGGAAAACTAGCAGCAGTTTACAAAGTTTCCACTTGAAAAAACATAACTCTAATTGATTTAAAAAAGTAGTTGATTGTTGCAAGACTTGACATTTCTCTAGTTAATTTCTATGCCTGTTGTTTTGCCCCTTACCGTCTTCAAAATCTGAATCCAAATCCAGGGCTTCTCTATTAGGAGGCTCCATATCATATCTCTTTAATCCTGATAATTTCTCAGTTTTTTGTTTCCTACCTACCTGGCTATTTTCTTACGCTATCTTTATTTGCTTAGTAAATATAACATTTCATGTTCTATTTTATTTTATTTTATTTTATTATTTTATTTTTTATTTTTGAGACAATGTTCTGTTGCCCAGGCTGGAGTGCAGTGGCATGACCATGGCTCACTGCAACCTCCATCTCCTAGGCTCAAGTGATCTTCCCACCTCAGCCTCCTGAGTAGCTGGGACCACAGGTGTGCACCACCATACCCGGCTAATTTTTTTATTTTTTGTAGAGACAGGGTTTTGCCATGTTGCCCAGACTGGTCTCGAACTCCTGGAATCAAGCAAGCCACCCCCCACTTGGCCTCCCGAAGTGCTAGGAGTACAGGCAAGAGCCACTGCACCTGGCCCTGTTAACTTCTTATGTCATTTCCCCACTTTAATATATTTGAGGGCTAGTTCTGTGTCATGTATGTATTTTAACATCACTACCGCATCTGGTGCAGAGAGGGGCATTCTGTAGTCTTCGTACTTCTTATCTTCACTATTGCTGATGAGCCATAACAAATTTGAGATGAGCAATTAATAGATGGACCGGCCAACAAACACTATGTGGAGGAATAAGTGAGGCCAAAGCTGATGGATGATGCAAAGTGAGGACGTAACATATTTCGCTGGGGAACCAGACAGATATGCAGAGTAAGCGCTCTGATAGGGGAAGTACGGGCTGTTATGGGCGCTTCATACTGGGAACATTAATGGGAGGTGGAGGTCGTAGTTGAAGCTGAAACCTGTTGGGTGAGGTGGAGTTCGCCAGGTGAAGTGGTAGACTTGGGGAAGAGGAGAGGAGGGGGAGCATCCTGTGTTTAGAACCAAAGAGAGTTTAGTGTGTGATTATTGGGTGGGGGTGGGAGGGTAGGTCATAAAGGGCCTGGTAAACTGTTAAGAAATTTTAAACTTTATCTCAAGAGTTGTGGGAAATCACTGGCAAGTTTTAAGTTGGTAGGTGAAGTGCTGGCTGGAGGAATCCCTCCAGCTTGGGTATGTGAGGATGGCCTGAGAACGGAGGCACCTGCAGTAATCCCCCAGTGAGAGACACTGTAGCCTGAGCTGACCTTGGGGCTAGAAAAAGGGGACAAATGGCGGCTGAGGAGGAGAATCTCTGTGAGTTGATTGAATGGGGAGAGGCAAACATCAAGCCCAGTGCCCAGACTTCTGGGAGGATCTGGCTGCTACTCAGTATGGCGGTTGAGGAGGAGAATCTCTGTGAGTTGATTGAATGGGGAGAGGCAAACATCAAGCCCAGTGCCCAGACTTCTGGGAGGATCTGGCTGCTACTCAGTGAAAGGAAGCCTGGGAGGTTTGGGAGGGCAGATGGATGAGCTCATTTATGGACAGATTGAGTTCAAGCATCTACAGATCATTGAAGGGGAAATGTGAGCTTGAACCCTGCATTTGAAGTTCAGAAAAGAGAAAGAGCAGAATGAATTGAGTTCTGGGAGTCTTTCCCATGTGGATAGTAACTGCAGCGGATGAGGTGATAAGATCACCTAGTTAGAGGTGGGGGAGCAGAAGAGGGCTTAGGGCAGAACTCTGAAGAGCAACCTGCAAAGGAGACTGAGGAGGAATGGACAGAAAGGGTGGAGGAAATCTTCATGGGTGCTTTTCAAGGAGGCAGTGGTTACCAGCATTAGCTCCTGCAGAGCCAAGAGAATTGAGTCATTTTGCTGGGCTTAGCAACAAGAACTTTCAGGGACTTCATGGCAGCGTGACAGCATATGGAGATGCAGTACTGTTGGCCTGTACAGAGCCTTTTTTTTTTTTTTTTTTTTTTTTTTTAAATTCCCTGAGATGTAGTCTCGCTGCTCTGTCGCCCAGGATGGAGCGCAGTGACTCGATCTCGGCTCACTGCAACCTCTGCCTCACGGGTTCAGGTGATTCTTCTGCCTCAGCCTCCCAAGTAGCTGGGATTACAGGCATGCACCACCATGCCCGGCTAATTTTTTTGTATTTTTAGTAGAGACAGGGTTTTGCTATGTTGGCCAGGCTGGTCTCGAACTCCTGACCTCAAGTGATCCACCCGCCTTGGCCTCCAAAGTGCTGGGATTACAGGTGTGAGCCACCACACCCTGCCAGTACAGAGCCTTTGAAGACATTAGAAAATGTGTGCCTTTCTGGATGGACACAGTCCCTGGCTTGGTGAGTGGACCGTGCATGGGACTTCAGCTCTTATGTGCCACCTTAGCTGGGTGCACTTGTTTAGTGTGCAGAATACACCTTCCATGCGTGGTGGCCTAGGATATATCTGCACTTCTCAATCGAAGGCAATGTTGCCTCCCAGGGAATATTTGGCAATATCCGAAGAAATTTATGATTGTTATAGCTGAATCAGAGAGGGTAGGTGCTACTGTCATCTAGTGTGTAAAGGCCAGAGATGCTGCTAAACACTCTGCAGTGTCCAGGACAACCCCTGACAACAAAGAATTATCCAGCCCCAAACACCAGTTGTGCTGAGAAACGCTGGTGTCTGTGACCCTTTCAGGCTCATGGGAAAAGGCGGTCAGAGAGGGTGATAGCTGGAGGTGGGTGGACCTGAGAACAGGCTCCTTACATACTTTGCTGCAGTCTCATTTGCTTGTGGCAGTTTTCACCTTGCCTCTCCTACCTCTCTACCATAGAACTCTTACTCATCATGTTATAGGTTTTCATTTGTTTATTCTTATGTAGCCATTTTCACTATTCCCTCTCCCACCCCCACTCCCCCAAGCAGTAAATTCTGTAATGCAAGGCAATCTTGTGTCCTTATTTCTGTTTCTGGGCACACTGTAAAACATCTGTATTTTAATAGTATCTGTCAGGAAATTCTATTTTGGCAACCAAGTACGGGCTAATCTAAAGTAGCCCATACTTGAGTGCTATGTTGATAAGGCTCTAATGCATAGTTAGCCCCTTGACTGTCAGGCTTGGAAAAAAGACAGGAAGTATTCCTTGTCTTTGGAAATGAGCCTACTCTGGCTTTGGGAAGGAAAGAGTACAAATGGTTCTCACCAGATAGGGTTGCAGCAGCTCTCCCAGCATTTTGGGAACAAATCAGGTCATTATCTCAACAATGTCAAAATTGTGTTCCCAGATCGGTTGTTGTTTGAAACATTTGGGGCTGATGCGGAGGAGGAGAATTAATTAGCAGCTCCCTCTGTTGGTGTTCTTTTTCAGCCTTCTCACATTGCAGCACGAGAGTCCCTTAGACATGCTGGCTGCTCATTTGATAATCTGTGTTTTGCTCAGTACAAAAGGTTGCTGGCTAAGTTTTGTGAGCCCCTCTAACGTCAGGCTGGCAGTATCTTGGGTTCAATTAACAAGAAAGTCTACAGTAACATTTTGTCAATGGGGAAGGACTTGAATTCACAGAACTGTCTCGGAAAGCCCTGGGTAAGTTTGAAGAGCAAAGTTGCCTTTTCTGTTTTCAGAAATATTTTACCCCGCAACGATGTGTAAATCTAAAGCCTGTGCAAGAATGAAAACGAGCTTGAGTATTAAGATTTGGCACAGTGTGTGCAAGCAATGAGACTGGGTTAAAAACAGGAAGTGTCTTAATTTAAAGATGGTGATGGGGAGACGGATTAAAATAAACTGCTGGCCATGTTGAATCTGAGATAGGCAAGCCTTGGTTGTGGGCACATTCCCTTCTGAATTACTCTATGCAGATATATTTTAGGCCTCTTTCTATTAAATTGTCTTTCACATGGTTTCAAAGATAGGGCTAGTGATAAGAATTCTCTTCCTGCATGGTGGGTACCATTATATAAACGGTATGAGCATGCTTTTCTTGTGTCTCTGTATAACTGCTTGGTCTGGCACTCCACAAAATAGTAAAACACATTTCTGCAGTGGACTAGCCCATGCTGTGAAAGAGGAAGGTGGTGGTGGACAAAAAGTGGTAAGTTTTAGGCTGAAGGATGTTGATGTTAAACTTTATTTCTGATTATGGCAGTCTTTCATCATGTAATTTAAGAAGCCTGAGATCATCTGACTTTTTTTTATGTTTTTTTTCTTTAGGACTGCAGGAAGTGTTGATAAACATCTGTTTAAGTTGTCTATACCATGAAATCCATAATCTTCCTTCATAACTATGATAGCATATGGTTTTCTATAGTTAGGAAAACTATTTCTCATGTATTTCATGGTTTGGCCAAATCCTTTTATTACATTAGTACTAAAAAATTCCTTAGGATTTCTAGAGAAAATAATATGTATTATGGATAAATAAGGGAAAGTAAGATAATTCTTAAACCTTAGTATCAGCAGTCATTCTAAACCACATTACACATCTTCAGTAAAAGTGGTTACAAAAGATTTTTCTCACTTCAAAAGATCCGCCAGGGAAGAGTCCCAGCTTTTTCTTGGTGTTATTTTAGGTATTAACTCAGGAGGGCTTCCTGAAGGTTTGTCAGTGAGATAGTTGGGGGGTTCCTGAGCTTTTTATTGTTGTACGTGAACTTGGTACTTACTTCTTTGGCTTTTAAACTCTCAGCAGCACGTACAGATGCCCTCACATGCTTTCTGGGATGACTTTAACGCTAAATAGCAGGGGTGTTTCTCAAGAATGTTTAAGAAAAGAAAGCAGACATTTGTTTGCACAAACAGATATTTGTGACTTCTGTGAAAAAATTCCAATAGTTGTAATATAGGAAATTTTTATAAACAAACACCCCTACCAACTAACCCATCGTGTATTTTTATGTGTGTATAGAAAAAATGAAAGGATATACTAAAATGTTAATTGCATAGTTTCTCTGGGAATTGAATTTAATTAAAATTTTTTTATCAAGATTTTTAAAGTTTTATAATGACCACGTTATGTTTATGTAATAAAAATAAAATAGAGGCTAGGCACAGTGGCTCACACCTGTAATCCCAGCACTTTGGGAGGCTGAGATGGGAGGATTGCTTGAGTCCAGGAGTTCGAGACCAGCCTGGGCAGCATAGTAACACCCTATCTTTATTTTTAAAAAATAAAATAAGAGAGGGGGACAATAAATGCAAATATATAAATGACAGAAATTTTATGGTCTGGTCAAAGAACTATCATTGCATGAAATTATAGATATGGTCATGTAAGGTTACCTTTTTTCATTATAATTCCACCAATAATTCTAAAGTTTCTTTTCTTTTTTTTTTTCTACTTCTTCCACAGAAAAACAGGACAAAGAAACCTGTGTGAATTTTCAGCTTTTCACCTTCTCTGATTTTATTTCTTCCTCACTCTTCCTTTGACAGTCCTCGCAGTCCGCCTGAGAGAGTAGAGAAGACCCCCTCCCAGAACCTTCCTGTAAGGTCTCCCCGCTGACTTCCTGTAGTGGATGTGACTGTGTGCCAGGTGCCTGCCGAAGACCCCTGTCACTGACTGTGCCCTTTGGGAAAGAGTCAACAATGGCCTCCTCCTATGGCTGACTTCGTTCATGTTCAGGCTCTCCAGCTTGCTAGTGAGAATTGCCAAGGATTGGTTCATGGCAGGATAGAACTAAACTGATAGATGAAAGCTCCACAGTGCTTCAAGACGGGGTCCCGTTCATGTTAAGCAGTTTTCCTTCCTTCAAAATAAAAAACTAGCAGTCCTTAGGGAGGACAGTTTTTTCCTTCCTTTTCCTATTCTGGCTCCAACAGCTGTCTCAACACAGCCCGAGATGGGGAGCAGCCTGGCTTCCACCGGCAATAGCTGTATTGTGGGAGTGTGAAAGAGAAGCCACCTTTTCCTCCCTCTGCCCAAGCCACCTGGCCCCTTTGTCCTTTCTCCTCCTCGTCCTCTGAGGTATGAGTGGCTGTGACTGTATGACATAGGAACTATGAAGCGGGGTGAGGGGACGGTTTGGTGCGTAAATCCTCACGCAGGTGGCGGTTATTGTCTGTGTGGAGGAAATAAGCCCGGTTCTTCCTGGGACTGCTTTCATTTCCCTCTAGCTTCCAGAGGGTAAAATGAACCTTAATGGAGGTTGGGGGGTGGCACGCACAAAGTCCTGGGTTGAGGGGGCAGTGGTCAGAAAGTTCCCTAGGGTAATATACAAAGGAGAATTAACACTGGGGACACTGAGGTGGGTTTTGGTCCTTTCCACATAACTGACACCTTTCAAAGCAAGGACTTGCTTTCTCGTGAGGAATGTCAGCAGTCGCAACACCACTGGGTTGGATGCAGGATAATTATTCAGAATCACGAGTTACCTGTTTGCAAGCAATCACATTGCAGGTGGGATAAATAAGCAGACAGTCTGTGGTAGGTTCCCCCACCCCAACCGCCTCCCCTCCCCCCAGGGATACTGTAATTTTAAGTATTGTTTTGGATATTGGTAATTCTAAAGCTCCAATCTTAACTGGGTTTTATGAAAGCCGTTATAGGGTGTTTATTACCAAAAAAACCTCCTTCTTATTTAATAATACAGTGCCTAGCCACTCCTTTTTCCCTGCATCCGTACATGAAGCCTGATTGCAGATCTCGAACAGTATATTTCTTTGAGCTAAACAGCAAGAACAGATAAGGTATCTTATCAAAACACCACGCCAGGTGGCGTGGCTCACAGCTATAATCCCAGCAATTTGGGAAGCTGAGGTGGGAGGATTGGTTGAGGTCAGGAGTTTGAGGCCGCAATGAGTTATCGCGCCACTGCACTCCAGCCTCAGCAACAGAGGGAGACCCTGTCTCTAATAAAACAAAAACATTACACCATTGTCAGAAAGTGATTTGTTCTTCTTTGTTGGATTAAATTCTCTCACGTGCAAGGTAGTGGCCAGCAGCCTAAGAAGATACACAAGCTCTTCACTGTAGATGTTTGGCGGTGTGGGAGTTACAAGGTTAATTATGAGCGTAAGGCCCAGGCATCTTTTCTTCCTAACAATTTCATTTCATCCTATTTCTTTTTCCATTCTTTCTCCGAACTGTCTATACTTTATTAAAGTCTTCTTTTTCCCAGACTCCAGAATAATTTCCTGTGATATGTTTTAGCAGTTTCTCCAGGAAAAGGCTCCAGGAGTCTTTAAATCCAGCCCTCTTTCTGCTGTATCTTTGTGCCTCACATCTTGAGAGAAGTTGAGTGGTAGAAAGTAAAGGAAAGCAGAAAAAGAGATGGGTCAGGGAGGAAAGCCAAGATGGAAAATGGATGGGAATGAATGAGGAACATGATGTGGGTTGGGGTGTCAATTCATGGTTAATACAACATGTGTGGCTCAGTATAACCAGATTGTCATAAGAAGCTCAGGCAGCTCTCCCCCTCTGTTGCCTGGGGCTTTTCGCAGTTACAATAAAAGTGGAAAGATGAAGAATAAGGGCAAGCAGAAGACACACACATTTGCCTGTTTCCCTCTTTTTGTCCAGATTGAGTAGATGGGAGGCAGGGCTGTTACCCATGATGGTGTTTCATACCAGAGTCAATCTACTAGTTTGCTTGGTTTTATAGGCGTGATTCCCAAATTTTGAATCTGAAGTTAGCTGTCAGTTTAAATTCAGAGGGTCCGCAGTTGTTTTTCAGGTTTTTCTTGATTCTGCCTTTGGAAACCAGGAAGATGTTGAATTTACTTTTCATCTGACAATATTGCACATCTGTGAACCCAACTGATCTGAAAGTGTTTACCTCTTAACTCTGTGAAGTTAGCTGGTTATTCTGGATGGCTGGGACAATGGTGAGGACCGTTTATAATGGTTACTCTCACCTGTGCTCCAGACGCTCCACTTGGTGCTAGAAATACAGCAGTGAACAGACATGGTTCTTGCCTCCACACAGCTTGCAGTTTAGTAGGGCAGACTGACGACATTAAAAAGATACCATCGGTGTTGTTATAATGGTGATAAGAGTTACAAAATAAGGGGCCAGGTGCAGTGTCTCACACCTGTAATCCCAGCACTTTGAGAGGCCAAGGCAGGAGGATTGCTTGAGCCCAGGAGTTGGAGACCACCCTGGGCAACATAGTAAGACCTTGTTTCTACAAAAAAAAAAAAAAATCAAAAATTAGCTGGGTGTGTTGATGTGCACCTGTGGTCCCAGCTACTCAGGAGGCTGAGTTGGGAGGATCACTTGAGCTCAGAAGGTCAAGGCTGCAACGAGCTATGATCGCACCACTGTATTCCAGCCTGGGTAAGTGAGACCCTGTCTCAAAAAAACAAAAATAAAGGGAGCATGTAACAGTAGGATCTAATCTAGCCTAGGCAAGTACGGCATTCTTGAGAAGTGACTTAAGACCTGAAGGACTGATCGAATTGTCTGTGTGAAGATTGGCAGCGGGTGCTCTGAGGGGGAAAAGCGGAAATAGCATATGCAGACACCCTGAGGTAGAAAGGGAGCTCTGGCCTGCTTGTGTGATTACTGTGGGAGAATGAACAGGAAGAAGACGAAAGTAGAAGCAAGAAGACCAATTAGGAGGTTCCAAGGACCTGCCTAACTAAGGTCAGTTAGCCGGTGATTGCCCAAGCCAAGACTCAAACTCATTTTTATGAAGGCCGCACACCCTCATCTCCTCAGCAGTTGTTAAACAATATTTGATAATGGTGTTCATGTCAACCTGGCACATGTCTAGAAGATTCTTAAGTGACTTTTTCTTTTCACATGGCTTTTTGACCTTTTAAATATAATATGTTTTAATATGACGTTATTAGCTGCACAAAGGAAGGGAACTGCTCATTTGAATGAACCAGAAGAAACTTGGAATTTTGCCTGCCTTCTGCTTCAGCCCTGCCAAAATGTAATTTCTTTAATTCATCAAATCACATTCTTGACTAATCTGCTCAAGTCTGTACTATGCCTTGGCCTTTTTCCCTGTGACAATTTAGGGATCTTTAAAGAAAATATTTTGAAATGTTTTCTCTTGATCAGGGTGCTTGTGGTTAGGTATTGCATACACTGCTTTTATTTGCAGAATGAGCTATTTTTCTACCATGTGATCCTTTGTTAGAAATGAACATGATTGTGGCTGGCCGCAGTGGCTCACGCCTGTAATCCTAGGACTTTGGGAAGCCAAGGCAAGAGGATAGCTTGAGCCCAGGAGTTTGAGACCAGCCTGGGCAACATAGCGAGACCCCTTCTCTACAAAAAAATTAGAAAATTATCCAGGCCTGGTGGCACACACCTGTAATCCCAGCTACTTGGGAGGCTGAGGTGGCAGGATCGCTTGAGCCTAGGAGGTTGAGGCTGCAGTGAGCCATGATTGTGTTACTGCACTCCAGCCTGGGTGACAGACAGCGAGACCCTGTCTCAAAAAGAATGCAATTGTAATTTTGTCACCTTTATTTAAAAAAATCATTTATCAGGTGGTTGCAATGAAAAGCAATTTAGTTGTTTACAACCTCTACCTTCCAGGGACTTAAGTGTGTTCAGAAGTATTTAAAATGAAATAATTATCTTAGCTAATAATGATAAAATTACTGTGGAGCATTGAGGGCTACTTTGTGCCAGGCAATCAGCTTTAAACACCTTTGATTTTCTCCCTATGATGAGGGGTATACTGTGATTTTTATTAAACATTTGGGGAAACTGAGGCTTAAAGTGGCTGAGTTTTCTAAGAGCACGCAGGTGGAAAGTGATCAAGCTGAGTCCTCAGCTTCATATCTTCTCAGGGTCCTTGATCTTCCGCACCCTGTAGTTCTGGTTCATTTTAGGCAATTATCAGAAGTCACCTCAAATGCCAAGAACCTGTGTAACACAGGGGATGAAGTAAATGTGAGCAATGTAATGAAGCGTTTCCTTATAAACTGTTGTAAGGATTTTGTTCCAGAGATGAAGTATGAGAAAAATATAAGCCAATTGTTCAGTTTCATATTAGTCACCCTCTTCTACTGAACTTTGGTAAATTCAAAGCTTCCCTCTATACGAATTTACTTTTATAGGAATATTACAAAATCTATACTAAGAAATATTAGAAAATAACCTGTACTTAATAGGTTTAATGGAAATTAAACCCAAATATAATGGAAATCTGAATGAATGCTCATTTAAAAAAATATAATTTATAGCAGTGGTTCTCAAACTTTAGCGTGCATTTGGGTCCTCTGGAGCATTATGTTAAAACACAGATAGCTGGGCTCCAACCCCAGACCTTCTGATTCAGGAGTTCTGGGACTGGCGTACAAATGTACATTTTTGACAAGTTACCAGCTGTATGAGGGTTCTCCAAAGAGACAGCATAGGTATATTAGGAAGGAGATTCATTATAGGAATTGGCTCATGTGATTACGAAGGCCAGGAAGTCCCAGGATGTTCCCCAAGAAGTCTCAAGATCTGCCATCTGCAAACTAGAGAACAAGAAGGCCATTGGTGTAATTCAGTCTGAGTCTGAGGGCTGAGAACCTGGGAGCACCTGGCGTAAGTTTCCATCTCCATCTGAGTCTGAAGATCCAAGAACCAGGTGCGCTGATGTCTGAGGGCAGGAAAAGATAGAAGTTCCAGCTCAAGCAGAGAGCAAGTATTTGCCTTTCCTCTCCCTTTTTGTTCTATTCTGGCCCTCACTGATTGGATGACACCCATCCACACTGATGAGCATCCATGTTGGCGGTCTTAACCCTTTTCCCACTTAGAAAAAAAGTGCGGTTTGTGGCCAGTGCTTATTTAATTTTACATAAACAGGCTGTTGGAGGCTAAAGCAAATCGGACTGATTTTCAGTGTGAAAATAAAATAGAAAATATTATTTCTAAACAGAACTAACATCACAACCATCTGAATTATCAGAATCATCTATTTCAGAAAAATCGGATTCATCAAATGAATCTTCCATCAACTGTTAGAGAACGATGTTAACATCACTCATAGGAATGCTATGTTTTCTAGGATTTGACATTTTCAGCAATTGAGAATTACTATATTTTGTAAATGGAAATGCCACTACTAAAAACAGAATCCTATAAATAGGATGATGTCTTTTGTTTCCAAAGTCGATATACTAGAACGATGTGAAAATTTAAAAAACGAGATCTTTCGTGGCAAGGTTATCTTGGGGTAAACACTGCAGCTGCAAGCACCATGGGCAAGTATTCTCAGGGCAAACAGGAAGAGAGTTAGTGAAGTCTACTAATTCAAATGCTGATCTCTTCTTGGCACACCCAGAAGTAATGTTTTACCGGCTGCCTGGGCATCCGTTTGCCCAGTCAAGTTGGCACGTGAAATTAACCTGCATACCAGGTAATGTTTCTGCTGCTGGCCTAGCGACCACACTTTGAGAACAACTAATAAGTCATAAGACAGTAGAACCCCTGGATAGTAATAAGTGCTCGTGAAATGAGCTGGCCAGTAGCTAATCCCTGAGAAAGCCATTTCCTAGTCTTATACCACGTCAGTAATCCAAAGCAGGATGGCGATCTGAAGTCCTGAAGAGTCAAGGGTGATACGATGACTCTATGGAGCCATCACCACTATTGGGAAGACAGTGGGGACACCTGCCTCCCCTACCTTCCACACCATGTACATGATGGCACGTGACTTAGATGTGCAAACTGTGCAGTGTCAGCTTTGTGATGATAAACTCTTCCACTCAGTCTGCTATGTATATGGCATAGTCACTATACTGCTAAATTAAATAAATCAAATGAGTGAACATAAATCAGGATTCAGATACCAATTAGGTAAAATACTATAGTTTGTATATGATGGGGATTATCCTTTTTCTGGAATGTTTCAGCATCCAACCTTTGCTGCGTTTGTCTTCTTGCAGTGACTGAGAATTAGCTGAAATAACTGTAAAAGCGTAAGATTCCCATTTGGCTGGAGATGAAATCACAGAGGTTGGTTTACTAAGCCTTAAGAAATTCCTTTAGATTTGATGTGTCCAGACTTGTACTGGAATATGAAATATTCAATTTGACAAGATCTGTGAGTTCCTAGTACATACGTGTTTTTAGAAATGTGTTTCTCAAAATACAATTAGGAAAAAATCCCTTTGAAATGCTAAAACTACCTTTAGTGGTGATAAAGATGCCGACAACCCCTTCTGTTTAAATAAAAACAAACAACTTTTAACCTTCATGATGTTATAATAACATCATTAACTTGTGTAGACAAACATCAGTGCTCACATTTAAAGTAATCATTAAACATTTTCAGAGTTATACTTAAAATGACTTTTTAATCATACTATAAAATACTGCTGCAAAGTTGTTGGTGGGGTACTAAGTTGTAGTTCTTATTTCTTCTTTCTCTACAGTCTGTTTTGGCTCTACCTTGGGGGGAAAATACCCAAAGAATTGTAACTGAATACAGAAGCATTTTAAAAAATCTTATTTTAAAGAGGAGGAGAAATTTTAGAGCTATTTCTGATAATAAACCTCAAAAAGTGAGAAGTATTAGAATTTATCTTGGTTAATTTTCTTTTTTTAATTAACGAGCATGCATTGCTTATATAAAACTTTTCTCTGTATGTGTCTGTATCTGATGCAGTTAGAAGTTCAATGTGAGTTTAGTGATTCCCAGGGAAGACTTAGGGAACCTTGGTTTCTGAGTTGTGCTCTCCTCTGACTACGTGGTGAGTCTTAGTCTCTGGAGTCAGCCAGATCCAGATCTTAGTCTCATGGAGTTAGCCATGATCATTTTAAACTTATAATTATTAAAGTGCTATGATGTACAAAGGTGCTTATGAAACTAAAATTTGAGGAATTAGATACAATGACTATGCGGTTTTGCTTTTTAGTAACTGTTTCTCATTACTTCATTGATCCAAAGTGAGATTTTTAAAGCTAAAGTCCTTGTTCCATTAAGATAATTCTGTCATTTGTCCAGTTACTCTCCTTACTCAAATTGCTAGCCCCTTTGGTACTTTTCTCTCTAGCTCTTGCCCTGCTTCATGATGTTCCTGAATAGTTTTAGTTTTCTTTGTTTATTTTTCCACTTTCTTGGGCCAGACCTCCAATTTAATTCTTTTAGTTGAATGAGCTGCTTTCTCGCTTGTTACAGACTCACTTAGGGCTCATTCCTCCCTGCCTTAGTCCCAGTATGGTCTCAGTAATGACATGCAGTATGGGGACTTTGGACTCCTGTTTGAACAAACCAGCTTTGAGATGATAAAAATTTGAATATGAATTGAGTTCTTGAAGATAAGAAATTGTTAATTTTGTTAGGTTTGTTAATGGCATGGTAGTTACTCTAAAAACAAATTTCTGGGCGAGTGTAGTGGCTCATGCCTGCAATCCTAGTACTTTGAGAGGCCAAGGCAGGAGGATCACATGAGCCTGAGAGGTTGAGCCTGCAGTGAGATGAAATTGCGCCAGTGCACTTCAGCCTGTGTGACAGAGCAAGACCATGTCTCAAAAGGAAAAAAAAAAAAAAAAAAAATTTATTCATTAGTTATAAATGCACACTGATGTTCTTATAAGTGAAAAGATATATTGTTTTGGTTTTGCTTTAAGATTCCAGCAAATATAAAACAGAAAAAGAGGGAATATATTAAAAAGGCTGGCAAAATATGTATCATTGTTGAAGCTTAGTGATGGGTGCATTGTATTCAATATAGTATTCTCTTTTGTGTATATTTGAAGTTTTTCATGATAGAAGGTTTAAAAATTTAGAACAAAAATGAATGTGGAGGTTCAGGATCCTACCAGATGTTTCTAAATGAACTTTAAGTGACAATGGGGAAAAATGTCCATATCATCCTGGAGTTTAAGGCAGGGAATTCTTGGTAGGGGGCTATTGAAAAATAGCCAAACTGTTAGTCAAAAATGTACATATGATCTCATGGCCACAGATAGTAATGTAGAAGACAGATCACGAAAGTACTAATCCTTGGGTGAGGAAGAACAGGAGAAGGCAGCCCAAGAACTTAACTGAGGCCCCAAGAACTAAGGAAATCTGTTTTGTAAAAGGACCTGTACGGCCAGGTGTGGTGGCTGACACCTGTAATCCCAGCACTTTGGGAGGCTGAGGTGGGAGGACTGTGTGAGCCCAGAAGTTTGAGGCCAGCCTGGGCTGGTTTAATTAAATTAGCTGGGCATGGTGGCACACGCCTGTGGTCTCAGCGACTTGGGCGGCTGAGGTAGAAGGATTGTTTGAGCCTGGGTGGTTGAGGCTACAGTGAGCTATGATCGCGCCACTGCATTCCATCCTGGGTGACAGAGCAAGACTCTCTCAAAAAACAAACAAACAAACCTATACGAACAATGGTAGGAATGTCAAGGAACCCAGGAGTGAAGATCGGATTAGTCAGATGCTGTGAGAGGAGGTGGAAAAAACCAGTGTAGAATGGGCAGGCACCTTTGAAAAGGCTAGAGGAAAATTTTGGAAGGGCATTAAGGAGGAGCATAGCAAAGAAGTCTAGACCTATGACTTGGAGCTGTTCTGTTATATAAATAGGATATCCAGAGATAGCAAACTGCTCACTGCAGGAAATAGGGGAAATAGAGGATAATTTGGAAGAACACCCCACTGTTATTATTTGTGGCAGTTATGTTCTATAAAGTCGCTGTGGACATAATTAGTGAATACTGAGCCATTGCTCCTAGGGGAACAATACAGAGTTAGATTCCTGTGAGCCTCTGGTTATAACGATTTTGTCAGCTGTCAACCGATCAATACATAGCCTTGTTTTGCATGTGTTTCTGTTTAAAGATACCTTGTTTAATATACATTGTTGATTCATTAACATTGACCTCATGGCGAAGAGCACTGTATCTCATGCCTAAATGAAGCTTAGCCAATGCGTCTCTTCTTCCTAAGGCACATCATGGCCTTGTTGTGATTAAGAACATTAGACGACACTAAGGCATGATGTTTGGGGCTCATTTTAAACAGCAAAATCACCAAGAAACCCACAAAAATGAAAAAAAAAAGCCCTAAAAACTAGCCACAAAAGGGACATTTGTTAATAGTATAAGGGCTAGAACAAAGAGTGTAGGCTGGTTTTTTGGCTTCAGCTGGGTACATGTATGTGGAGTGACTCAAATATTTTGGTGTGTACTTGCTTCAGTGGCACATATACTAAAATTGGAATGATACGGAGAAGATTAGTATGGCCCCTGTGCAAGGATGACACAAATTCGTGAAGCGTTCCTTAATAAAAAAAGAAAAAAAAATTTTGGTTCTCTCCACCTGTGCGCAAATGACCATGAGCATTAGTCTTGGGGTTATAAATAAGTTTTAGTAGATGAATTTGCAAATGTGGAATCCGTGAATAATAAGGATGTACTGTATTTTTTCATCTTTATTTCTTAATTAACAACTGTGATCTGTATTTTAAATGAGCCTTTTTGGGGGAGCTTGATAGGCATTGAGTGTTTTTCCCAAAGATTTGTCACCTTCTTGTGAGTTGTCTAGTCTGTTCTTTTGGTTTTATAGATTTATTCTAAACTAAAAGTTAATGGTAGTTGCCATTTATAATTTCTTGCAGAGGTTTTTGCAGAGATCATCCATTTAATATTTTTGTGCATTGAAGGTTTTAATTGTACAGTCAACACTGTCATTCACTTGTGATTTTCATTTTTTCCAAGCTTAGAAAACTTGAAGGATGATGACTTTTTTATTGGAGAGGTTAAAAAAAAAAAGTAGGTAAAAGTGATGGATGCTTAGGCTGAGGGTGGTGACTGAATATGTGGTACTTGAAATTGAGTTTGAGTGTCCAGGCCTGGTTTCATTATATCTTGGGACACTTAAAAAAGTCTTGCAGAGGCAATCTGCTTGAAAATGCTGTATAAACCTTAAACCTCTAAATTGTAAAATGTAAGTGCATAATAATTTCTGATTTGTAGACTTCTGTTGACAATCTTTCAAGACGGGAGAAGGGTGAAAAAGACGGAAAAGACAAACAGATATTTTTCAGAAATGAAAAACATGTACATTTTCTGACATAGGGAATGAGAGATTTTTCTAAATGTGACCCAGAAGGCTTTCAGGTGATTTCCTAACAAGATTTGAGTTTTCTCGGATTAAATATGGTTGTGGCTCTCTACCATGTGCCCCAGTCTTATCTTTGTTATGCCCCTTCACACATACTCTGTTCTTCACATACTCTTCCTTCTGCTGGCTAGTGCTTCCCTGTTTCTGGAACTTTCTTAAGCATTTTTACCATGTATTATAGTTATTTGTATTGTAGTTACGTGTCATCCTTCTTCGTCTTAGAAGAGAAGTTTCCATCTGACTCCATGTTTTCTATTGTAGACCCTAGTTCAGTGCCTTTTAAACAGCAGATATGGAATAATCCTCTAATGGAATAAATGGGGAGAAGAAGGGATAGTTTGTGGTTACCTGGGAAAGCAGTGTGGTTAAGTCAGCATGGGTTTCTCAAGAACAAGCCTTTCTTGAATTAACCTCATTTCCTGTATAAATCAGATACTTATTGGAGAGAGAATTTGGGTAATGTTGTTGTTAGAGGATATCAGAATAAAAAAACTACATGTTTCATTAAGTTCTTAGGATTTTTTATGGATAAGTTGGAAAAGCATGGGCTTGATTGTAATAAGATAGATGAATGTGTTGCAGGTTGATTAACTGTTGACTTTGTGCAATTCACTGCCTTGCCAGTGCTATTCTAACTTTTCCATCAGGGAACTATTAAGGAAGAGGAAAGTTTATACTTTATTTTGGAGGGTTTAGAGGGTTGAGGGTACAGGAATTGAAGGTTGGATTGTGGGCAGGATGTAGGGAGACTTTAGAGGCACAGCCAGGAGCGAAATGTCTTTGAAGACTCATGTTTTCACATAAAGATGCATTCACTTTGTATTTTTAACATGCCCATGTTTGTTTTAAAATACTTTAAATTATCACCAGATAAAATGTTTGAGTAGCCCTTTCCCAATGTCATGATATTCTAGTTTGAGAAGAGTGGTCTTTGATCAAGAAAGGTGGATCAAATTTGTGTCTATCCCATTGTTGGGAGGGAAGCTAACCAACTGGATGTCAGACATCAGGATAGAAAAAAAAAAAGGCTGCAAAAAGTTGAAGGCAATCAACATGAACAAATACACAATTAAGCTCTACTGAATGCAGCTTCCTAGAGTCGGGGGAAAGTTGCATGTTTATAGAATGGGAGACCTGGATCAGTAGCAGCTCTTGTTAAAAAGATTGAAGGTTTCAGCCAACCATTTGATATGGGTGGCCTTCTCTGGCAGCTTTAATGGCACAGTACTCAGAATTAAGGAGATAATCATCCCGTTGTTTTCTGACTTCGTTAGGCTACCTCCGAGGGCTTGTTTTCAAACAAGTTCTACATTTTAAGAGGGTAAGCCAGGGAAATAAATGGACTAGAAACTATGCCCTACCAGGAATAGTTGAAAGGCTATCGGGGTGGAAAGGAGAGCAAAGTTAATTCTCAACTTCAGGGGGGCAGGATTGGAATTTATGGGTAGACATAAGAAGGATATGTTTTTCTATTTCAATCAATTAAGAATTTTTGCTTTGTAAACACACATAAAATGGATATCATATACTATTTAGTAATCACTTTTTTCACTTGATAGAGCATGTATATCTTATGTAACTATTTGATATGTTCATATGATTTTTAATGGCTACATAGCATCTCTCTGTATGAGTGCACTCTTATTTATTAAAACCATCCCTGACAGTTACTTTGGTCATTTCCAATTTCTTAGTATAAACAACAACTCTACAATGAAGATATCTCAAATACACTCATCACTGTGCATTTGTTGAGTTGTTTCCTTAGGACAAATTCTTAGCAGCAGGACAGCTGAGTCAGCATTGGTACTATTTACTTATGGCTTTTGAATACTTATTGCCAAACTGCTTCTTACCAGTAATAGGAACCGCATGTGTTAAAGAAGTCAGATTACCCCAAATTAGAGATGTTGTCATAGGATTTTGGCAGTGGGTTGAATGTTGGACAGTGATCTAAGGCTCCTTAAAAAATGCATGAAAGTTTTAGTGTAGGACCAGATGACTGTTTCATCTAGAACTTTCACATTTCAGTCTTACTATGTAAGTCACACTGTTAAAGAAAACTGTCAAGAGTCTGTAACAGAGAAAATACTGCAGACGTTTTCTGTATTCAGAAAGCACTGTAGAAATTGACCAAGGAAGAGAGGCTCATGGCAGGCAACAACGCAATGCTGTTAGGTTGCATGTATGATAGAAATAGTAAAGGAATCTTTCAGCAGATTAACCATTTTATAACTTAGGTAAGTTGGGGTTTTCCAAGTAAGTAAATTGCATTTTCTTTTTTTTTTTTTTTTTTTTTGAGACGGAGTCTCGCTCTGTCGCCCAGGCCGGACTGCGGACTGCAGTGGCGCAATCTCGGCTCACTGCAAGCTCCGCTTCCCGGGTTCACGCCATTCTCCTGCCTCAGCCTCCCGAATAGCTGGGACTACAGGCGCCCGCCACCGCGCCCGGCTAATTTTTTGTATTTTTAGTAGAGACGGGGTTTCACCTTGTTAGCCAGGATGGTCTCGATCTCCTGACCTCATGATCCACCCGCCTCGGCCTCCCAAAGTGCTGGGATTACAGGCGTGAGCCACCGCGCCCGGCCCAAGTAAATTGCATTTTCTACACCCTGCCAGAGCTGGGTAACAACTGCTTCTGGGGAAGATGGGAACGGACAAAAAGCTGCTCTAGATCATGTTCCCAGTAAAGAGCTCAAAGTGATTTTGCACGTGTTTTATCCTCATGACCTAAAGCTCAGCTGCAGTGAGATGGTGTAGTGCACTGAGATTATCAGCAAAGGGGATTCCAGCTTCACTGCTTGAGTAAGCCACTGGGCCTCTCTGAGCTGTAGTTTCTTAACCTGCATAGGAGATGAATTACCAATACAAGTCAGAGAGTTACAGTGAGGATTTCCTGAGATGATATATTGGATAGTACTTTCTAACCTGTAAAATGCTTTACAAATATTAGTTGTCAAGTTAGACAACCGATGCTAGTGGAGATTTCCAATTTAAAGCTTTCTAATGGATGAAAGAGCTAGTGAACTTCATCACGGCAGAAGTTGGGTCTGATTTTGCTTGATTTTGCCTTGATGTTTGGCTCATAGTTGCAATTCACTAAATATTTGTTGAATGAAAAAAATGAAATTAGCATTTCATTGTTTTATTAACACATTAGAGAGGCACCCATGAAAATGTGTGCTTCTCATCTTTGTGGAGTAAGTACTGCTATTCATTCTTACAAGCAGGGAAGCAGATCCATCAATTCTCAAATCACTCTCACAGCCAGATTCTGCATTTTTCAGGTGATTTCTAATTACATGAAAGAGATTAGATCAAGTACTCTTTTTTGGTTATTTAAGAGGAAAGATGGAACCAAGCCTGTGTTCTGTAGCTCTATTGTGTAAAATCACTTCGAGCAAATGAATGAAATATTTTGTCAGACTTTTTTTTTTTTTTTACTTACTGACCCTTAATAGAAAATAATTTTATGTGTAGCCCTCCCCAGAGTCTCTGTTGCCAGGAAGCTAATGTTGCTATCCCTAATACGGCAACTTTGTCTATTTTTCTGTTCTTTGTGCATTGTGTTTGGTCTTAAACTGTGAATATTCCATTAACTGAGAACTCTGAACAGCCATTGTGTAACTGGAGTGATAGTCTGTGTCAGTTCAATGCATTGTACTTGAGAATAAACATGCTGTTTTATTTGTGGTGGGACTTCTCTCATTGCCACTAGTAATATGTTGTTAACTGAAAATATAAGGCTATTAATAAGCCTCATAAGTACTTTGCATTGTTGAAACAATCCTTCAGTGTAGGATCACATGATTTTGTAGATATGTATGTGTGTGTCTATATTTTCAAATAGGCAGTAGACCCATTCGTTTCTTATCCTTGGGTGTGAGGTCAGAAGTGTCAGTGAAATTGAGTCCAGAATTGTAGTTATGCGTGCTTTCCTAGGGAGAGGTTTCTCTTCTTTTTAATCAGAATCTCAAAATTGCTCTATGGTTCAGAAATGTTTAGGGACCACTGACGCAGCAAATTCAGTTCAGCCCGGATAGTTTATTTGATCTGTGGTGACTGTGTCACTAGAAAGTGATATAAAATACCTAGACTAGCACAGGGCACACATAGGTTCTACACAAATATTTGTTGGAAACCCAATAAAAATCACTGGTGCTTTTTTTCTTTCTTCCCTGTAACACATTATGGCCTGTGAACCTCTAGAAGACAGGATCTTTGTCTTACTTAGTCTTTGGCAGCTGTGTTAACTTCTCGCGTCTGTCTCCTAGTGTCATAGAATGTGCACTTTCTTTCTTTTTTTTTTTTTTTGAGACAGAGTCTTGCTCTGTCGCCCAGGCTGGAGTGCGGTGGCGCAATCTCGGCTCACTGCAAGCTCCGCCTCCCGGGTTCACGCCATTCTCCTGCCTCAGCCTCCTCAGTAGCTGGGATTACAGACGCCCGCCACCACGCCCGGCTAATTTTTTTGTGTTTTTTAGTAGAGACGGGGTTTCACTGTGTTAGCCAGGATGGTCTTGACCTCCTGACCTCATGACTCCGCCCGCCTCAGCCTCCCAAAGTGCTGGGATTACAGGAGGGAGCCACCGTGCCCGGCCAGAATGCACTTTCTGTAGCAAAGTAGAAGTTGTAAAACTTTTTCTCACCAGACACCCTTATACATACAAAACAATCTGAACATGTGTCCTCAACGTAGACACCTAGTTATAAATTATATACGTGTACATATCTCTATTGAGGATATATGTTCAGATTGTTTTATGCTAATATGAAACATACATAGTTGCAATGTTGAGAGATGAAAAGTAATGTTTTAGCATGTATTGATAACCATGATGGCTTTATATTAATATTAAAAGCTATACCTATTTCTGCCCATGCCTACTTTTGGTGTTCTCATAATCTGAGCATGCGCTCAGCTCTGGCTCTTTGCAGCCGCTCTTCCACCTCCTAACACTCTTTCAGGAGATGCCCTTACTGTTAACTGCTTATTCTCTGTGCTTCTTAATTCATATTCTTGAGAGTCAGCATCTAATTGACTCAGTTCACCTTATCATTCCAGGTCAACTCATGTGAGTCTCATTGACATACAGTGTTGTTTTTGGCTTCTCTTGGGAAGCCCACTCTGGTCCACACAGGTGACTGCATGAAGTGGGAAATGAAGACACTTGGCACAGACATGGCTGTTCAGGTAACAAAGAGTGTGTGCAGGGCGGCTTCACTGAGAAGGAGCCTGGTGAGGCTGGAATGGTGACTGCTTTCACCATTAGACAAATGTCAGTGGGTAGAGAAGAGAGACCAAAGTGTGACTTTAGAAACAGAAAAATCCCCTTTTCTTCCTTTGCAAATCCATACCTATATATTTTGAAGACCACTAGGCATGTCAGGTAAACTTTCAGCAATTTAAATTAATCAGAGAGCTGGAGAACATCTATTCCTGTTAAGATCTTTCCCACCCATTCAACTCCCTGACTAGTTACTGCTAAAGAGAAAAATGGTAGCAGCTTCATCTTTAAGACTTAAGCCATAGTTCTTGCAATGGGAAAGTCAACCCTAAAGAATGGTTTCATGTTTGCTCCCATTCTACCTTGTGCAGACAGTAGTTTAAGGATGTCTTCTGCAGAGCATAACTTGTGTAGTCACCCAAAAGGGTCTTCCAGTTCACTGAGACCATGGTATTGCAGTAAAGAAAGAGTTTAATTGACGAAGAGGTGGCTAGCCGCATGGGAGATGGAGTTATCACTCAAATTAATCTCCCTGAAGTTTTGGGGGTTGAGGTTTTTCAAGGATAGTTCGGTGGACAGGGGACTATAGAATGGATGTTGCTGATTGGCTGGGGATGCCATCATAGGAGTGTGGAAAACAGCCCTCATTTGCTGAGTCTGCCTCTGGGTTAGGGGCCATAGGACCAGTTGAGTCATGAGTCGCAGGTCCAGGTGGAGTCAGCCAGTCGTCAAAAATGCAGCAGTCTGAAAAGACATCTCAAAAGGCCAATCTTAGGTTCCGCAAGAGTGATGCTATTTACCACAGTAATTGGGGAAGTTACAAATCTTGTGACTTCCAGAACAATGGCTGGTTATCATTTATACCTACGCTTTTAACAAAACTTTTATTTTAGGTTCAGGGGTGCATGTGCAGGTTTGTTAATATGGGTAAACTCGTGTCATGGGGGTTTGTTGTACAGATTGTTTCATCACCCAGGTGTTAAGTTAATAATACATAGTTATTTTTCTTCACCCTCTGCTTCCTCCCCAACCTCCACCCTCCATTAGGCTGCAGTGTCTGTTGTTGTCCTCTATGTGCCCATGTGTTCTCATCATTTAGCTCCCATTTATAAGTGACAACGTGTAGTATTTGGTTTTCTGTTCCTGCGTTAGTTTGCTGTGGGTGATGGCTTCCAGCTATCCATGCAAAGGACATGATCTTATTCTTTTTTATGGCTGCATAGTATTTCATGGTGTATATGTTCCACATTTTCTTTATCCACTGTACCACTGATGGGCGTTTAGGTTGATTCCATGTCTTTGCTATTGTGAATAGTGCTGCAGTGAGCATATGTGTGCATGCATCTTTATGATAGAATGATTTATATTTCTTTTGGTGTACACCCAGTAATGGGATTTCTGGGTGGAATGGGAGTTATATTTTTAGAACTTTGAAGACTCATCACATTGTCTTCCACAGTGGTTGAACTAATTTATACTTCCACCAATACTGTGTAAATGTTCCTTTTTCTCTGCAACCTCGCCAGCACCTGTTATGTTTTGATTTCTTGATAATAGCCATTCTGACAGGTGCGAGATGGTATCTCCTTGTGGTTGTTATTTGCGTTTCTCTAATGATCGGTAATGTTGAGCTTTTTTTCCACATACTTGTTGGCCGCATGTGTGTCTTCTTTTGAAAGGTGTCTGTTCATGCCTTTGCCTACTTTTTAATGGAGTTGTTTTTTTCTTATAAATTTAAGTTCCGTGTAGGTGCTGGATATTAGACTTTTGTCAGATGGATAGTTTGCCAAAATTTTCTCCCATTCTGTAGGTTGTCTGTTTACTTTGTTGATAGTTTCTTTTGCTGTGCAGAAGCCTTTTAGTTTAATTAGATCCCATTTGTCAATTTTTGCTTTTGTTGGAATTCCTTTTGACATTCTCGTCACGAAATCTTTGCCCATTCCTATGTCCGGAATGGTATTGCTTAGGTTATCATCCAGGTTTTTGAGTATTACATTTAAGTTTTTAATCCTTCTTGAGTTGATTTTTGTATATGATGTAAGGAAGGGGTCCAGTTTCAATTTTCTGCACATGGCTAGCCAGTTATCACAGCACCATTTATTCAACAGGGAGTCCTTTCCCCATTGCTTGTTTTTGTCAGGTTTGTCAAAGATCAGATAGTTGTAGGTATGCGGCCTTATTTCTGGGTTCTCTCGTCTGTTCCCTTGGTCTGTGTGTCTGGTTTTGTACCAGTGCCATGCTGTTTTGGTTATTGTAGCCCAGTAGTGTAGTTTGAAGTTGGGTAGTGTAATGCCTCCAGCTTTGTTCTTTTTGCTTAGGATTGCCTTCTATGCCTACATCTTAGCAGAATTCAGGCCCTTCTCATAACCCTAACCTTGTGGTGTTTCATTAGCTTTACAAAGTTGATTTAGTTTTGGAAAGTGCTATTCTCATTCTTGCTTTAAAGTTAAACTATAAACTAAATTTTCCCCGAAGTTAGCTTTGCCCATGCCCAGGAATGACGAAGGACAACTTGGAGGTTAGAAGCAAGGGTCAGATATCTCTTACTGTCACAGTTTTGCAAAAGCAGTTTCACTTCCCTCTTCTAAGTACCTTCTGCATTGATTGGAGCCAGCAAAGAGAACTTTTGCAGCATTTCTTAGTTTGAATGTGCCATATAAATGAAACATGTTTGGAAATGTGAAACCAAGTCATCCATGAGAATGTTTTCCTCTGAAAGGCAGCACTTCTTGATAAGTCCCTTCCTCATGGAACTTTGGTGCAGTGTTGGCCCATTTTAAAATTTATTGGTTACCCAGGGAGATGCCCGAGCTTATCAGAATTAGAGTCTCTCATTTGAGTACGTTCTTGCAGTATAGAAGTTTGCAGATGTTTTATAACTTTAAGAGGCCCAGTGGTATTGAATTTAGAGTTAATTTTTAAAACTGGCTCCAAAGTCACCAGCATGGACAAAACTTACAGTCTTCCAAAGAGAGAGTGCCAAAGTTCAACGCTTGGCATTGTTGGTTTTTTTTTTTCTTTGTGCCCATATCAGGTAGCTATGATTATCTTCATTTTACAGAGAAGAAAACAAAGCTCAAGAGTTAATTTGACTAAATTCACAGATGAGTGAAGTATGAGGTAGAGAGTGATCCTGTGTGAGAATAGTTTACATTTATCTTGATGTGGTTATAACCACTACCTTATCTATAATGCATGTTAAAAATCAACTTCTCAAGATTTTTTACACCAAAGGCAAAAATATTCAAATGTTGATATAGTCCCTTCCATTCATTTTTATATTTTTGTTTAAAATCTTCAACATCATACCCAGTTTTCAACCTAACTTTATAAAGTAAGCATTTCCTTAATCTTCATAAACATGTTTAAGATATGTATCATAATTTAACAAATTATTAAGTTTCTGAAATTTTTACAGTAGTGAGGCAGTGGATGTATTTATGTGTAAGTCTGTGGGGTTTTTTTCCTGTCTCTCCCATAGAGGCAGAGACTTGCTCTGTGACCCAGGCTGGAGTGCAGTGGCATGATCGTCACTCTGTTGCCCAGGTTGGAGTGCAGTGGTGCAGTCATGGCATGCTTTAACCTCAAACTCCTGGGCTCAAGCTATCATCCCGCCTCAGCCTGCTGAATAGCTAGGACTACAGGTGTGCATCACCATGCCTGCCTAATTTTCTAAAATTTTTTTGTAGAGACAAAATCTCAATATGTTGCCCAGGCTGATCTCGAACTCCTGGCCTCCCACCTTAACCTCCCAAAGCACTGGGATTACAGGTGTGAGCCACCATGCCTGGCCAAGGTTGATTTTTTAAAAACATTATTTCCTTAGTATGTGTATGATTAGAAGCAAAATTACAGGTCAGAAGTCACATTTTAAAAGATCATGACCACTTAAAAAACCCTTAATATGTTTTGCCAAATTTATATCTTTTAAAAATGGGATCGATTTCCACACTCATCGGGGTATATTTGAGTATGTAGCTCACTGTAGACAGAGCTCCTGGGGAGGGAGGAATGGCTCTGGTGCTCTTCTACCCACCTGTAGAGGTTCAGCTGGGGACCAGCTCCACTGTGGGGCATTGGGAGGCTGTTAGTGCAGAGGTATCTTCTCAGTATCTGCCTGACACACTACTGTATCCAGCTGCCTGACCCAGTCCTGCCCACCTGCCTTCCTTTCTTCCTGCCTCCCCTCTGTTTTATCAACTTTGTCTCAAAAAACATAGCTTCCTATCTCTATATGTTCGTCTCCTATTTATGGTCCCTCAGTATGTTATAGTGCTTGCTAAGGTTTGAATGTCCCATGTGAATCTCATGTTGAAACTTAACCCCCAATGTGGCAATATTGAGAGGTGGGGCCTTTAAGAGGTGGCTCTGCCCTCATGAATGGATTAATCCATTCATGGATTAATGGATTAATGGGTTATCAGGGGAGTAGGGCTGGTGGCTTTTAAGAAGAGGAAGGGACCTGAGCTAGCACACTCGGCCGCCTCACCATGTGATTCCCTGTGCTGCCTCCAGACTCTGTCAAGTCCCCACCAGCAAGAAGGCCCTCACCAGATGCAGCCCTAGACTTTGGACTTCTCAGCCTTTGTACCTGTAAGAAATAAATACCTTTTCTGTATAAATTACCCAGTTTCAGGTATTCTGTTATAAGCAACAGAAAATTGACTGAGACAATACGTATATTCTAATTGTGTTCACTTTTCTTTCATCTAGACTTACCAGAAGTTTACTTCTCTGGTTGGCTTTTCAAGGAAGCTTTTGAATTTCACTTCTATTTTTTCTATTAATGCATTCATTATTAGTGAAGTATTTTGTAATCATTTTTCAAACAGATTGGGTGTTTTTTTTTTCTCATTTCAATATGTAGTTCACTTATGTTAATTATTTAGGGCTTACATTTTTCTCTGTTCTCAACCTTCATCAGATTCCGTAACACTTGATACGTTGTAAGGTTTCTGTTTTCATTCATTATACACCTTCCCCACCCCAGGCCTTTTCATTACTTTCAACACAGTCTCGTATTAGGATTTATGTTTTTTAAAACAATTATTTAGGAGAATAGAATAGTTTTTTTCTCCTTGTATTGGGTTTTTTGTTTGTTTAGATGTCTGTTGTTTCTGTGATGGCTTTGTTTTAATCTGTGCTTGGAGAGTGCTCTCTCATTGCTACTTTGGAGAATGTATTATTCTTTGGCCTAGTATGATTGTGTGTGTACATTTGGGGACAAAATGTTTTTGTGGAGATAATGTAGACTTAAAATTTTAAATCCGTAGCTGTATTTTCGTCACAATGAAAATTTGATGTCCTTAGTAAGCCCCGAATAGAAAGCCTTGACTTGCTTTTTGAGCATAGTTAACAGTGTTGAGATAAGAGAGGTTTGCTGGCAGTTGCACTGATGGCTGCACTGTTGTCCAGTGGGCCCAGCTGGGTGTACAGCTCGCCGTATAAACAGAAATCTAGACACAGGTCCCTAGAAGCCTAATCTGTGACCTAGACCCTGTCTCTGAGGTACTCTTACCAGAAAGTTAATCTGTTAGAGGATCTTTCATCAGCATAAAAGGCAGAAATAATTTTCTAAATGCTGTTGATAAAATGTGAGTGCATGCTGCTTCATTCGATTATGGAAACTGAGCATTGGAGACTTATTCTCCTTTTTAACACCACTTGCCTCCAGTAACTTACACTAATTGTCATCTATACCAAGCCTTTGAAAATTTGTAGTTTTTGTAAGTTTTTAGGAAATATGCATGCTAATTAGATAATGCCTAAATTATGTTGCTTTTCATGTGAATTTAGTAAAGTCATTTAAGACCCGTTGGCTTAGTTTTTCATGAGACTTTCTAAACATGCTTAATCTCTGCATACTATTTTAATAATAATGTAAGTTTTTGACTTTTTGCTATTATAATGGGCAGTGAATATATTTGTGCTGAAATCTGTGTGGAATTTTTTTGAACATCATTTTCTTACTGTATATTATTAGAGGTGAAATGTTTGGGTCAGGAGTTACAAACATATATATTTTTAAAAAACTACTCTAAAGATCCTTGATACATTTTGTCAAATTGATTTCTTGTAAAAATGGGACCAGTTTGCACCTCTGTTGTGGTATGAGAGAGTGCCCATCTCCTTGGGGACCTAGCCCCTTGATGGTTCCAGCACTCCATCGAAAACCAGCTCCACTGTGGGGTGTTTTGTGTGACATGGTGGTGTCATATGTCTTCTCTGCAAGAAAAGGCATTGTTAGCAAGGCAAACAGAAATACTCGATACAGTTATGTATAAACCAGAGGAAGCCTTTGCCAGAGAGATTGTTGACAATTGCTAGAGGGTATGATAATGCAGAAGTTACAGAGTGTTCCTTTGGCAACACGTGTTAATGGATTTGTTCCAGTGTTGGAGCCCTTTTTAATGAAAATTCTCAACACCTACACTGGAAAAATAATAAAATAAAAAGCCTTAGTCAGGAATGTATTGCTTGTTAAGATTTAGCCAAGGAAGTCACATGTTATTTAACAAGGTAGATTACTTTTTTCTTTGTAGTAGGCAAGGAAACAGCTATGCTTCACTTCTAAATAAAAAAAAAAAAAATTTTAAAAACGTTTTTTAAAAAGAAAAACGTGACTAAGATAACTGTCTCATTCCCAGGCACTTTTTAATCTCATATAAATTTACATTTAGAGACTTAACAGTTTGGCTTTTTTGAATGAATGCCAGAAATACAGTTGGACTATAGAGTCTCAGCTGAGAAGCAGACACATGGAGCAAGGTATGTTCTGTCATTTATCAGAAAAGTTAAAGAATTCATTTTGTTTAAAAGGCAGCACATAGATTATTCAGAGAGAGAAAAATATGGGTTTATAGGAAAATTCTTATGTATTTGGTAAGGACTCTGAGTTTGTACTTTAGCTTCATGTCTCATAAATCAAGTCCCAAGTTCACCAGGTGATAGTATTCCCAGGTTACTTGTGGGTGTAGGTGCAGAACAACTCGGAACTTTGTGGTTGGGCATCTTTTTCTGCCGTCCAACTTTGGAGGTTGCTGGGAGGAGATGCTTATTTTCCTTTTTTAGGGCATTTCAGTTTAAAACAAATTAAAAATGGAAAGTCAATGTTTTCCCTCCACTAATACAACTCTTAACTTATGGTTGTAATAAACAGTGATTTTTTTTTTTTTTTTTTTTCTAAGAGACAGGGTCTTGCTCTTTTCCCAGGCTTGAGTGCAGTGGAGAAATTGTAGTTCACTACAGCCTTAAACTCCTGGGCTCAAGGCATCCTCCTGCCTCAGCCTCTTGAACAGCTAGGACTACTTGCTTGTGCTGCCATACCCAGCTATTTCGGATCATGAGGTCAAGAGATCGAGACCATCCTGGCTAACACAGTGAAACCCCGTCTCTACTAAAAAATAGAAAAAAATTAGCTGGGCGTGGTAGTGGGTTCCTGTAGTCCCAGCTACTCGGGAAGCTGAGACAGGAGACTGGCGTGAACCTGGGAGGTGGAGCTTGCAGTGAGCCGAGATCGCTCCACTGCACTCCAGCATGAGTGACAGAGCGAGACTCCATCTCAAAAAAAAAAAATTTTTTTTGTAGAGACAGGGTCTCGATATGTTGCCCAGGCTGGTCTTGAATTCCTGGCCTCAGGCAATCCTCCTGCCATGGCCTCCCAAAGCACTGGGATTACAATATGGACATAAGCCACCATGTCCAGCCCTACTTTTGCTTTTTTGAAGGACATGTGTGTTAAGCAGAAATTTCTAAAGTCAGTGCATTTTTTGCATCAGAACATGTTTTAACTCATGAGTTAAAACATCGCTGTTTCTGGCATAACGGTCTTCCCACATTTCCATCTTTATATTAAAAATTTCTGAAATAAAATTTCTTTTTGGGCTAGAAAAAGGTAAGATTGGATCAAGTGATCCATTTAGGACTTGCCTTTTCATACTTTGCAGTCTCATTACTATTATCACAATGTATGTCCTAATACAATAAAGTTGAGGTTTAACCAAAAGTTCTCTTTTCTTCTGGCATGCTTTGTGAGAAAATATTTGAGCTGGTGTAAATTGTAATTACTGGCAGATATGGAAGAGAGTCTGACTTGGAGTATTCATGATGCTGATATGCTGCTGCAGTCAGTCAAGTGCTGCGTGAGTTGATGTCATTACCAAAGGACAGTCTCTATAATCAGAGAATAAAGTATAATTTGTAAATGTGGAGGAGCTAGAGGAACAACTTGATTTCACTTGTCACTAAACTTATCTAATAAATAAAAATGAGGATTTATTATTATTATTATTATTTTTTTGAGACAGAGTCTCGCTCTGTCACCCAGGCTGGAGTGCAGTGGCGCAATCTTGGCTCACTGCAAGCTCCACCTCCTGGGTTCACGCCATTCTCTTGCCTCAGCTTCCCGAGTAGCTGGGACTACAGGTGCCCGCCACCACGCGTGGCTAATTTTTTTGTATTTTTAGTAGAAATAGGGTTTCACCGTGTTAGCCAGGATGGTCTCGATCTCTTGACCTCGTGATCCGCCCTCCTCGGCCTCCCAAAGTGCTGGGATTACAGGCATGAGCCACCGCGCCCGGTCAAGGATTTTTTTTTTAAAGCCAGAAGTAATATAAGTCGGTATCAGTGAGAAAAGGTGGTGAGGATAGCAGGGATTAAGTAAGTCGCGGGCATTTTATTTTTATCTTAAAGAAAATGTTAAAATGGTTGACGTTTTCTAGCTCAACACTCCCACCCCCACCTCACCCATTGATTGATGGTTTGCTTTCGAAATCCTGAGTGAAAAGACAGGAATTACTTCATTGTGCTGAGAGTGACTGATGTCAGAAGGTCAGTTTTCCTACATTTACAAGATTCATACACACTTCTGAAAGGTTTTCTGTTAGACTGGGTGGACTGTAGATGAACAGGGCACTTTTTGTTTTGTAATTGCATTTAGCTTTAATTAGAGGTTTAGAGTAGAAAGCTGAGAGTTGCTTGGAGGAGCCAACCAGGAGATTAATGGGCTGTGCCCATCCGCCGCAGCTCTGTGCTTCCAAGAAGTTTGCCAGGGTAACCTGGATTTGTCTTTATTGTACTGGAAGGAGTCTTGTCCTGTAGAAGTAGAAATCACTGATGCATCACTAACATCATGTGGCCTTTGTTCTCTGCCGCACATGTTTGAAAAGCGCAGCTCGCACCCACTCTTCCCTTAGGAAAGGGGGCCGAAGCTCTGTACCTGTAACATTCCATAAAGGCTAAGGATCATGAGGATGTTGAGTGGGCAGGGCCCCAGCGGTCTTTACTGAAATACCAGAGCCTGCACTCTGATAATGAATGAGGCTCGAGGGAACATTCCTTTGGCATATTTTAATGCTTGACCTAGTTGACTGGGGTGCTCTGGGAAAATGAGCCTCACTTCCTGCTTTTCCACCTTAAATTGAAGTATGGGGTGCTCTGGGAAAATGAGCCTCACTTCCTGCTTTTCCACCTTAAATTGAAGTATGTCATTTATATGATTGTTAATATTGAAATGAGCAGCTGTACCACTCTGTTCTCAACAGGGAGGAAGCCTTTTTATTTGTAATGTTTGAAAATATTCTTTCTCAGCCGCGCGTGGTGGCTTATGCCTGTAATCCCAGCACTTTGGGAGGCTGAGGCGGGTGGATCCTGAGGTGAGGAGTTCAAGACCAGCCCGGCCAACACAATGAAACCCCATCTCTACTAAAAATACAAAAATTAGCCAGGCATGGTGGCACGTGCCTGTGGTCCCAGCTACTTGGGAGGTTGAGGCAGGAGAATCGCTGACCCTGCGAGGTGGGAGGTTGCAGTGAGCCGAGATTGCACCACTGCACTCCAACTTAGGTGACAGAGTGAGACTCCGTCTCAAAAAAAAAAAAAAAAGAAAAAAAATATTTTTTCTTTTTTTAAGTGTATATATTTTTTAAGTTGAAACCTGTGTTTGCCTTGTCTTTATGCCCACAGGGGAACTTGAAGTCATTTTACATATCAAAAGCATCTTCTCAGGTTATTCTGAATTTTGAGAAGGCTAACATTTGCTAGGCTTTATGTTTAAAAAAACAAAAACAGAAAAAGATCCTGGGCTTCTCCCATCTTGCTTGGCAAATGAGGAGTCTAGGGTACTTGTCTTAAATGTTCTGACATATTTCAATTAAAGCAGTGAACAATATTCTCAAAGACAAGGCAGCAGCTGATACTTGGTAATGTCCTTAAAACTGCATAGTAATAACCTTCAGTGAGATTTGTATAATTTGGAGATAAGCTCCACTTATATCTGTAAAGTTAAAGCACAGAGAAAGTTAGTACAGTATTTGCCTGAGGTCAGTCACGCAGTTGGTGACAAAAGCCACTATTCTTAGTACTTCATGAGACTTCTGTTTTATATAATAGATTACAGAGGCCAGGCACAGTGGCTCTTGCCTGTAATTCCAGCACTTTGGGAGACTGAGCTGGGAGGATCATTTGAGCCCAGGAGTTTGAGACCAGCTTGGGCAACATAGCAAGACCCTGTCTCTACAGGGAAAAAAAAAAAAAAAAAGCCAGGAATGGTGATGCACACCTGTGTTCCAGCTGCTCAGGAGACTGAGGTGGGAGGATTGCTTGAGCCTGGGAGGTTGAGGCTGCAGTTAGCCATGATCATGTCACTGCACTCCAGCCTGGGCAACAGAGCAAGACCCTGTCTCAAAAAAAATTAATTACAGAGATAGTGTTCTAGTTAATAGCAAGGAAAGAATGGCTTAAGCAATAAGCTTGGCCGGGCACAGTGGCTCATGCCTGTAATCCCAGCACTTTGGGAGGCCAAGGCGGGCCCGATCACTTGAGGTCAGGAGTTCAAGACCAGCCTGGTCAACATGGTGAAATCCTGTCTCTATTAAAAATACAAAAATTAGTCAGATGTAGTGGTGTATGCCTATAATCCCAGCCACTTGAGAGGCTGAGGCAGGAAGATCGCTTGAACCCAGTATGTGGAGGTTACAGTGAGCTGAGATTGTGCCACTGGACTCCAGCGTAGGCAACAGAGTGCAACTGCATCTCAAAACAAAAAACAATAAGTTTAATGAATGATTCCCAAAGTATGGTCTATGGACCAGCATCATTCACATCATCTGGGAACTTATTAGAAATTTTAAATTTTTAGGCCCTATCAGACCTACTGCTTACTCTGAAGGTGGGAGTCTAGGAATCTGTGTTTTTACAAAGCCCTCCACATACTTCTGATTCATGATAAAGTTTCAGTACCACTAGCTTCATACCATCCTTTTATAATTTTATGAGTTTAAATGCTCAGGGCTGCTGAGATAACATACCCTTGGGTCCTGAGTGTATACAAGGTAAGAAGCAGCTGGCAGCCTCCTTGAAGGCCCAGCATAGACAACCTTACTGGCCTCCCTTTTAATATACAGATAGGTAAGAAAGCAGAAGAGGAACCAATATTTGCTCTGCTAGGCACTGTGCCTATCTTTCCCACAGTTCCCTTGCATTTAGCCCTCATGCCAATCATATGCTTGTCATAGTGTGCTCCTTATATGTTTTGGGTACTTCATCATTTTCTAGTTGTAATCTCAGTCTTGAGAGCAGGCTCAGACGTTTGCTTCGATTCTTTCACTGGCAATCACGGAGACTTGACATTGTTTCATTTAGGGGACTGTACATTTCCTCATGGGGCATGCAGTTTGTGTTGGAGATACAGAAAGCTTCATCTTGAACTTGGTGCTTCTTCCTGGAACAGTAATTTTATTTCAGGTTTGTGGGAGAGGAAGAGGAGGGACCTTGTTTTTTTTTTGCAAACCATGACATTCCCTGTACGTACCATGTACCTGGTGCATGATAAATAACTGTTAAATAGATTTCTATACTATTAACAGAAAGCTTGTATTGTGTCCGGAATTGGTTCCTTCAGGTGGTTTCTTGGTCTCACTGACTTCAAGAATGAAGCCATAGACCCTCACGGTGAGTGTTACAGTTCTTAAAGATGGTGTGTCCGGAGTTTGTTCCTTCAGATGTTCAGATGAGTCCTTAGTTTCTTCCTTCCAGTGGGTTCATGGCCTCGCTGACTTGAGGAGTGAATCTGCAGACCTTTGCAGTGTTACAGGTCATGAAGGTAGTGCAGACCCAAAGACTGAGCAGCAGCAAGATTTATTGTGAAGAGCGAAAGAACAAAGCTTCCACAGCATGGAAGGGAACCCAAGCGGGTTGCCTCTGCTGGCTCTGGTGGCCAGATTTTATTCCCTTATTTGGCCCCGCCCACGTCCTGCTGATTGGTCCATTTTACAGAGTGCTGATTGGCCCATTTTACAGAGAGCTGATTGATCCATTTTACAGAGTGCTGATTGGTGTGTTATTACAGAGTGCTGATTGGTGCATTTACAAACCTTTAGCTAGACACAGAGTGCTGACTGGTGTGTTTACAAACCTTTAGACACAGAGCGCTGATTGGTGCGTTTTTACAGAGTGCTGATTGGCGCGCTTACAAACCTTTAGCTAGACACAGAGTGCTAATTGGTGTGTTTACAATCCTTTAACTAGACAGAAAAGTTCTCCAAGTCCGCACCCGACCCAGAAGCTCAGCCGGCTTCACCTCTCAGTATCATCTCCCAGATAGCTTGTGCCCACCCTTCAGACTTCTTTGTTTAAGGCAGTTATTCTCAAAATGTCCCTTGACCAGAAACAGCATCACTTGGAAACTTGGTAGAAGTACACATTCTCAAGTTCCACCCCAAACCTCTTGAATCAGAAATTCTGAGGGTAGGGCCCAGGAATTTATGTTTCAACAAGTCTTGCAGGTGATTTTGATTTATGCTAGCATTTGAGAACCACTGGCTTTACGCATGAGAAGTAGGATTTTAAAATTGTACTTTTTATTATAATTTTCTGGGAAAGTAAAGCTGTTTCACCTGTAAACTTTGGGAATAGGAGCACCCTGAAGCTCACAATGGCATCCTGCAAAGCCCCAAAGAGTGCTAGTTGTTGATCATTACCTGTGCACACATCATTCCCTCACTCAGAGCCCAGCTAGGAGGCCTCCTTTCACCTTGTAACCAGGTCACCCCTAGATGTGATCACTTCCTCCACAAGAACTGAGAGAGAAGAGAAGAACACCAGAGGATACTGAACTGGCCATACTGGGGCTTATGGTTTAAAGGGCAGAACTGAGCCAAATGAGGACTCCTCAGAAAATTGCTTTCTCGTTGGATCACCCCAGAAATAAATCAGTAAAAGCATTCACCTTTTGTTTTATTTGCTTCAAACAAAGTAGGAAACATTCTTCTTGCTTTATATATCTAGATACCAAGTAAGGAAGTATGATTTGGATTCTTGAGTCTCTTTATTTTATTTTTCAACTGTGTGTGTGTGTGTGTGTGTGTTTGCCTTTGCTAAGCCATGGAGGGTAAAAAATGAAATATATTAGCAACATTGTTGACATGGACCACAGACAATTAAATGTTTCATTTCTTATTAATCCTGAAAGAAAAAGCCTTTTTTTTTTGTTGGGCGGCAGGGAGGGGGTGCAGTCCTCTATACAAAAATCTTAAAAACTAAATATATCTATTCTAATTGTTTTCCCCTGGAACATCATCATAGTTTAGGAGTATATCTCAATGTTGATTTTAAAAAATAAATATGTAAACAGCTAGATTTATGCACTGTTAAAGCATCAGTGCAAGTTTTAGGAAAAAATCAAGCATGACAATTGAAAATAAAATAACCATTACTAAGTTGGACTCTTCTTTACCCTCAAGAAATTGTACTTGGATGTTTATGGGAGAAATTATTCCAAATCCTACCAGTTCTGTCAGAAAACTAATATTACTCTACATAATCATTTTCTCCCACCTCTGTATAATATTTAACTTTTATTTGAAATGTAGGCTCAAGCTATGCTAAAAATCCCATCTCGAAGATGACGAGCTTATCCATGGGGAGGGGATGGAGGGCAGAGCACTCTCATAACTCTAGGAATTTGACTGTTATATCTTGACTTAATAAATGTCTGCAGCTGAAAATAGGAAAAATTGACTATATGCATGTTTGAACACATAGACATAAAAAATGCCAGCTGAAGCAGAGTATTCCGCATGCAAGCCAAGAAAAATCGGGTTCAGTGAGGCACAGTTTGGCAGGGAAGGCACACTGAAGCTGCAGGGATGGGAGGTCTAGTAACTGGGGAGGTATTCAGTTGAGGGCTGGTGCCCTCCACGTAGCCTTCCCCGACCCACCCACCCTGGGTCTGCTTCCCTCTGCCCCCAGTGTGGGCTCCCGTAGCACAGCTGGGTATTAGCTTGGTAATGGGGAAAGGATGGTATTCAACTGGGAATCTTTGGCTTCTAGGAACAAAACAAACTTGGGGAGGATGTTATCAGGATACTGAAGTCCTCCCCAAAATCCAGGATCTTCAGAGAAAACCTAAGAATCAAAAATAGAAAAGCACAGGAAGTTGAAGGACTCTGTCTCTGTGTGTTGTCCCTGCTTCTCTCAGCTCCATCCTCACCTTTCTGCACTCCAGCTCTGTTGTGTCGTCCACAGCATGCAACACACAGATCCAGCTCCATCTGGAGCCCGCCTGTCAGCTCCTCAGCCCCAATTTTAAAACCCTAGGGGAGAAGCATCTTCTCAGCATAGGTCTCACATCTTTATGTGGTCCAGTGAGCCATGGTGGGGGAGGTAGGTGGGTGCAGGGAGGCAGTATGGGAGGTCCACCTCTGACCCTGTGGCCCAGTCAGAAGACCCCAAAGAGAGGAGTAGCTTGCATAGATGGAACAAAAGCATTCTCCCTATGTTATTCCGTTCACATGTTGCTGTGGGTTCATTAACCCCACACTTAGAAAGTAATCATCTTTGGCTCTAAGAAAATCTGGAGGTTGGACCTGAAAAACCTCAGGCCAGACAGTGAATCAGTCCTGGATTGTGCTGAATTTTCTAATATGACTCCACCCCATGAGGCTTCATGACTGTCAGCATCTGCTGTCTCCAGTGATGCTGTGTCCGAAATTGGTGGGTTCTTGGTCTCACAGACTTCAAGAATGAAGCCACAGACCCTTGCGGTGAGTGTTACAGTTCTTAAAGATGGTGTGTCCGAAGTTTGTTCCTTCTGATGTTCGTACGTGTTCAGAGTTTCTTCATTCTGGTAGGTTCGTGGTCTCACTGGCTTCAGGAGTGAAGCTGCAGACCTTCGCGGTGAGTGTAACAGCTCTTAAGGCGGCGCGTCTGGAGTTGTTCGTTCCTCCGGTCTGGAGTTGTTCATTCCTCCCGGTGGGTTCGTGGTCTCGCTGGCCTCAGGAGTGAAGCTGCAGACCTTCCTGGTGTTACAGCTCATAAAGGCAGCGCGGACCCGAAGAGTGAGCAGCAGCAAGATTTATTGCAAAGAGTGAAAGAACAAAGCTTCCACACTGTGGGAGGGGACCTGAGCAGGTTGCCACTGCTGGCTCAGGCATCTGCTTTTATTCTCTTATCTGGCCCCACCCACATCCTGTTGATTGGTCAATTTTACAGAGAGCTGATTGGTCCATTTTGACAGGGTGCTGATTGGTGCATTTACAATCCCTGAGCTAGACGCAAAAGTTCTCCAAGTCCCCACTAGATCAGCTAGACACAGAGCACTGACTGGTGCATTTGCAAACCTTGAGCTAGACACAGAGTGCTGATTGGTGTATTTACAATCCCTTAGCTAGACATAAAGGTTCTCCAAGTGCCCACTAGACTCAGGAGTCCAGCTGGCTTCACCTAGTGGATCCCGCACTGGGGCCGCAGGCGGAGCTGCCTGCCAGTCCCGCGCTGTGCGCCCGCACTCCTGAGCCCTTGGGTAGTCAATGGGATTGGGCGCCGCGGAGCAGGGGGCGGTGCTCGTTGGGGAGGCTTGGGCTGCGCTGGAGCCCACGGCATCTGGGGGAGGCTCCGGCATGGTGGGCTGCAGGTCCCGAGCCTTGCCCCACGGGGAGGCAGCTGAGGCCTGGTGAGAATTGGAGCGCAGCGCTGGCAGGCTGACACTGCTAGGGAACCCAGCGCACCCTCCGCAGCTGCTGGCTGGAGTGCTAAGCCCCTCACTGCCCAGGGGCCGGCCGCTCCAAGTGTGGGGCCCGCCGAGCCCACACCTACCCAGAACTCCTGGCCTACCCAGAACTCCTGGCCCGCGAGCGTTGTGTGCAGCCCCAGTTCCCACCCACGGCTTTCCCTCCACATCTCCCCGCAAGCAGAGGGAGCCGGCTCCGGCCTCGGCCAGCCCAGAGAGGGGCTCCCACAGTGCAGCGGCGGGCTGAAGGGCTCCTCAAGCACGGCCAGAGGGGGCGCCGAGAGCAGGCAAGGGCTGACAGCACGTTGTCACCTCTCAATGCCTATCTTAAACAGACCCTTTACATGGCATTGGTGGCAAGTGAGACTGGAAATTCTTTGTGAAATGCTTGCATGATACAAGAGCCTTCTCGTAAATCTGTTTTAAAAGTGTCCTTTATTCTGAATACCATTTTGATCCGTGATCCACTGATGGAAGTCAATGATGTTGAACTAAGAAAATACATAGGTTACTAGCTATGAACCATTCTTCATTAGTGCACTTGCTTGGTAATGGGTTAATTTGAATTGGGAATGAATCTTAGTCCACAAACTAGAGGTGCAGAGAATATTGCAGTTTGCTAAATAGACTTAATCTTGACTTTAAGCTTCTACTGCTTTCAGGTAGCAGAAAGATTCACCTCGATTATTCTTGGATTTCTTTCCCATATCACCCTCCCAGAGTTGTGCCAAGGTTCCAGGCTTTACTAATGTCATGATGTCAGGAAGGCCTGAGAAGTTATCCGTTTACACCAGTCCCTACTGCTTCTGGGCTGCATTTGAGGCTAGGGAGGGTGCTTTGTCAGCATCCAGCCATCCTCCTGGGGTTGCTGCACACCTCAGGGTGCAGCCAGAGTGCAGGTATGGCCATCTGCCACTCAGAGTTTCACAGTCATTCACTTCCAAGATCTCCCTTAAGTGTGAGAGATCTTGCTATCTTCTCACCTGCTTTTCTCCTCAAGAAGGTAAGCCAGAGCCCTCGACCCTTGTGAATGAGGAAATTTCAGAGAGAAAAACATTGGAACTCCCCCTGCCCCAGAGTTGGTAACTGCTCAAATGCTGGCTGCCGCCAGGTGGTGCAAGAGGCGCTGCTTCTCTGTGGTCACCTAGCAGCAGTCTCCTGTGGCCAGTTCCCCACGTAGAGGTGGCAACTGCCCTTCTTCATGGCTACTTGCTGGAGGTTTGTGGGAGGAGGGGAGTATGGGGGGTGTGTGTGGCTTTACCTGCCCCAAATTGTCAGGAGGATTTGAGGCATTTCTTTGTTGTTGTTGTTGTTTGGCTGTTTCCAAAACCCATTTGGAAACCTGTTATTCCGTAAGAGTAGCCTTCAAATTCTTAAGCATTTTCTATAAATCTTCAGTGAACTAATAAAAGTATTTCCTTTTCCCTTTTCTGGCAATGGGTAGTCTAGTTCTGTTAATATTCCTGCAAAGAAACTCATCTACCAGCCTCACTCACACTGTGCACTTTTGCCCTCAGAATCCTCAGTGGCTAGCCTAATTGACTACAACCAGTTTAGATGATCAGCTACCTTCCTTTTGCCATTATTTCAGATGCTGCCTTGCCCATAGCACAACCAATGCATTTAAAAAATAAAAACATTTGGGGTGGGAGAACTATGATTAAATAAAGGAGATCTCTGTAGAGTATGGCAAAGCTTGCACACAACTTTAATAAAAATATGCTGTCTTGAGTAACCAGCATATTACAGAGGCTCTGTGAATGCCTCTTCATCTAGAATTTCAGTACAAGCTGTACATAAAATATTTATACAGCACAGTGTGCTTTGCCCCTCACAAAAGCGTGGGTTCAGATGTACACTGTTACTATAGACGTCACTAACATATAAGCCGGTGAAGAACCTTTAATGTATTTGTAATGTTAGCAAAGTATCTGTCATCAGATTAAACTTGTAGTGACTGATAATGTAGCCTTGGCTCCTAGCCAAAAATATTTTTTTTGATATCAGAATGACACTTAATAGTAAAGATATGTCATAGAGGAAGGGGAAGAAGAGAATTTACTAGAGAAACTTAAAAGACTGGTTGGTGCAGAACCTAGTAACTTGGTTTGTGGCTGGCAGAAATGGGAGTAGTCCCTGGGATTACTTCTAAGGAGGAAATTTTACTACAAACACAGCTGGGAATAATTCTGTTACCAAGTCTTTTTTAGGATCAATACAGAGCTTATTTGTAAAAATTAAAATCTAACTATCACTTTATTGTCTATGGGTATCTGTTACATTTTATCTGTAAAAGAGGAATGGAAATGCCTGCCTAGTAGGTTCATCATAAGGACTGAGAGGATACGGGACCTTATTAAGTCCTCAGTAAGTAGCAGCAATTTTGCTTTTGTTTTTATGATGATTACTTCCACTCATGACTTTACCTGCATGTTCTTTAATCTTCAAAATAGATTAGTGAAGTAGTGATGTTTCCATTTTAGAAATAAAATACGCTGGGGAAACGAATTGTAATACACATGACAAAGCTTAATATTAGTATCCTTCTATGAAGGATCCCTCAGTATCCTTATATAAAGATCCTTTATGGCTCTAATATGCTTCAGTTGATTTTGTTCCTTGTAGGCAAAAGTTTCAATAAATATACTGTTTTCTCTCCATTATCAAGGATATATGGATTAATATTAATATATAAATATATAAATCCATTATATAGTAATATATATTAACATATACTTCCTTTATTAATATCCTGGATATATGAAATTAATATCTTGGATATATGAAAAGGTATTCCAGATCAATAAGATGAACACAGTAGTAGAAAAATAGAGAACATGAACAAGAGTGTAAAAAGGTGCGAAGTGTTCAACCCCAAAGATATGCTAATCAAAATTTAAAAATTAAATCTATACAATACAATTTAAAAAATAACATTACCCATTGTTAGAGGGGGTGTGGAGGAGTGGGTATTGTCATGTGCCACTGGGTCAAACATTGTGTAGGGCAAATTAACAATATCAGATCCTCACATTTTCTGTACATTTGACCTTGACCTTATCCCAGGCAAATACTTGATGGTATAGTGAAGGATATCTTTCTCAGCATTACATATATAATCAAAAATAAGAGGTGACTTAAGTGCTTCAAGGGAATTTATTAAAATGGATTATTGATCAGTCATTAAAAATGAAAGCATACAAGACTATTAAATGGTACAGAATTTCTATCAGAATAAGTGGGAAAAACAAGTTACAAGTAATATCATATGATTTACTTTTAGTGAAACTTACATGCACTTACACATTTGTGTATTATGTTTATGTGTCATGCATACATATAAAAGTGGAAGGCGGTTCAACAAAGTGCTAATTATCCTCATGATTTTTATTTTTTCTTTGATTTTTATGAACTTACAGTAAAGAACAAAGTACTACTTTGAAGGAAGAAAAATTATTTTTTAATAATTCAGCATAAATTACATAGGTTATCCAAAGATAGTAATATGGTATTTGATCTGAACCTAGACTTCTGTTCTGTTGATTTGACACATTTTGGTGTCTTTCCTTTTATGTTAAATAAGTAACTATCATTTACCTACAGCAGAAGAAGAATATAACTTAGCATTTGAGACTTGATAACATAGAGCTGTTGAATAGTTCTGTAAGATTTGTTAGGGAACCAAAACCAGGCATGTGAGGATGGTGCTGGAAGAGAAAAGGCGGGAAGGGTTTGCAGTCAACTGTCAGTTATCTTCAGCTTTCAGGCTCGCTGCACATGGACAGGTGAGGACCAAGGGAAGAAGAGCAAGCTTGGGTATTTGGTTGAGCTGTTAAGTTCAGGGTTAGAAAATGACCAGCACAAACCTTTTGGCTTGAGAGCCAAAGTTCTTGGCAGGAAGTCTCTGCTTGTTTCCGTTTGCCTTCCTCCCAGTTTCTCCTCAATGCCTTGCAGTCAGCATCCTGTATCTGCCATTTTGAAAACTGCCCTTAGGGGTCATGAGTGACCCCCTTCCTTATTGTTAAACCCAGTGACATTTTGTCCTTATCTGCAGCATTTGATGTGTTACTCAACTCTCTTTGGGCTTGTGTGCCTCTCCACCCTTGTGGTTATTCTCCTGCCTCTGTAACCACTCAGTGTCTTCTTCCATGTCCCTTGACCCTTCACTGTGTCTTCTACTGATTCCCCTTAGAACTTTCATTTACCCCTGGAGCTTCAACCATCATCTTCAGGTAAAACTCTAGCAACAAGTCATCTTTGCCCGCTGTGCATCATCCTTGCTGCCATTGAGAGTTTGGTCTTAAAATGGTACTTGCAATTAGAACACGTTCACTTTGTCACAAAATCTGACAGACATTGGACATACTTAGAATTCATATCTGGCTTCCTGAGACAGCTGTCAGATTGTCTACCAATGGTCTACCCATTGATGATGGAACAAGCTCCTTGTATCAGCCTCAAATAAAAATGATGGAATTAATAAAAGACGCTTACCTTAAGGCACAAAGGCCTATGAATTTCAAAAAGCATTGACAGAACCGATCCAAAAAATATGTAGTTTGTAAAAACTCTAATACAATCCACACTGAAGTAAAAAGCTTAACTTAGAATAATCCAAATAGTCTTTGTCAGCTGGACAGCTAATCTTGGTGAACATGGAAGAGTAGACAATAATGTTAAGGCATTGTGTGAGGGTTAAATTGTTTGCGAGGTCGGCATTGCTGGGGCTTCGGATTCAAACTGGGCCTTGAAAGAGGGGGTAAGAAAAGTCTATGGGGAACTGATGGGCACAAAGGCAGGGTGTAAGTGTTTGTTCTTGGGAAAATGATCAGACTAATCTGATTGAATAGAAGACGTTTATTGGAAATTAAAGGAAGATAAAGTAGTGATAGATAATGGAAGAACTGAAGGTCAACAGGGGAGTTTATATGTGATGGAAGAGAAAATCATTATCACTAGGGATGTAGATGTAAGAAAACGTTAGGTTTGGAAGTTATAAGACAAGAGAACTTCAAAGTTTGTGGGATTCTGTAAGGTGGGATGGGAATAAGCAATATTGTTGAGTACCTGCTGTGTGATCTGTAAGGCATAAGATGTCATTATTATTTTACAGCAAGCTTTGGAGTAGATGTACTAGTTCCCATTTTATGCATAGTGAGATGGAATTTTGAGCAGACATACTTGTCTAAGTTTGGCAGAGTGGCTGGACCAGGATTCATGCCCAGTGACATCTGACTTCAAAGCACAGTGAGGATGGAGAATGTTGAGACCAGTTCTTCATTTTACAGTCAAGGGGATGGGCCCAGGCCTATTCAAGGTTACAGGAATAGGATGAAAGCAATTTCTCTGTAAGAGAGAGTGGATAGGCTGTGATCTGCAGAGGGTCCAAGTTAGAGGCTCTTGTTATAAACAGATGAGGTATGCCAAGGAAGTTGGGTTCAGCAGTGTGATAGGAGTGAAAAAGAAGGGGTAGAGAGCAGCTGGACATTCGGGGAAAGTGGTGGTGACTGTTAGTGGAAGGTAATGACGAGAGAGATGACTTGAAAACAGTTCCGAGGTTTTAGTCCCAGGGAACTGCCATTAACAGTTTTAGGAGAAAAGCCATGTGTGTGTTATGGAGTGGTCTGAGTAAGTATGATAGACATTAAAAAATACATAAAAATAGAGTGGTATGCATGTGCTGAATTATGTTTGTACTACCAAACACACGGAGGAGGAGAACAGAACAGAAGGTGGAAAGCTATGAGGGATCCAGCGCTTTTCTTTGCAGTGGTGGAGAGTCACGAGAGCAAATAGCTAGCCTTTACCTAAAGCAAAAGGGACTCTTTGCATGATATCTTAGGCTCCCTTTTATTCTGGCCTGCCCCTGCACCCCCAGCAGGAAAGTGGCTTAACTGTACTTTGATTTCCAAAATGCGTAGCAGTCTCTAGTATTGATTCCCCTCTCCTGCAGATCTCAAGCCTAAAAATGAGTATTGTTCCATTACATTTCCCTCAAAAACATTTCTTTTTCCTTTCAGAATGATGGTCACTATACTGGATGGACTTCTGAACTAGTGAATTACTTTCATCTTTTGATCACACTAGGAAATTGTCCACGGAGTTGAAATATTTATTGCAGTAATTTCTGGCCTTACATAATTAAGATAACATATCGTTTTTTTCTTTATAACTATCATGAAGTTGTCATGTTTGTTTCCTTTAACTTTGCTTTTTAGAGGTACGAATCTGTTCCCTAGTCTTTTATGCTCCAATGATCTGTTCAGACTGCTCTTGATCTACAAATGTATGATTGAGAAAAGACTTTTATAGGATGAAATATGAGCAAGCTGTTTTACTCTGAAGAATAAAAGTGAATTGTATTACTCTGCAGATTAAGTCAATAAATACCCCATTTTCATAAACACAATATGCACAGACTAGATAATACTAGGGAAACTTGATACATCAAAAGGAGTATTAAGACTGAAAAAAATGGAGATACTCAATTTATTGCAGGCTTTATTCAATAAACCTAGAAAATAGAGAGTTTAAATCAAAATCTGTTACTCTGTTTCTAGAGATAATCAATGTTAAAATTGTACTATATTATTTTCCAAGTTTTTAGAATATGTGCATGTGTTGTTGTGTTAGCTTTCTCTATTTTTGCAACTTGAGTAACATTTATTACATGCTTGTGCTGTGCCAAGCTAAATACCAAGCATTTTATATATATTAATTTATTCTCATAACCCTTGGTACTTTTATTATCCTCATTTACACACAGGACAATTGAAGCTCAGAGAAATTAGCCAGGCACAGTGGCTCACTCCTGTAATGCCAGCACTTTAGGAGGCCAAGGCAGGCAGATCACTTGAGGTCAGAAGTTTGAGACCAGCCTGGCCAACATGGCGAAACCCCGTCTCTAATAAAAATACAAAAATTAGCTGGGCGTGGTGGCACATGCCTGTAATCCCAGCTACTAGAGAGGCTGAGGCAGGAGAATTGCTTGAACCTGGGAGGCAGAGGTTGCATTGTGCTGAGATTGCACCATTGCACTCTAGCCTGGGTGACAGAGCTAGACTTGGTCTCAAGAAAAAAAAAAAGAAAGAAAGAAAGAAATGACTTGCCCATGTTCACATAGCTGGTAAACCCACACTGGTTCAGAACTTAAACCAGTGAGATACCAAAGCCCATATCAGTGGGCTTTTTTACATACTTCTTTTCCTTAATAAAATGCTTATTTCTTTTTTCTACAGCATCATTTTAAATGACAGCATAGTATTCAGTTATATGGAAATGTAATGGTTTCTCTATCCCATCTCCTTTTATTAGACATTTATATTGTTTCTTGTTATTTACTTTTAGAAATAACATTGCAGTGAACATCTGTCATGCACATCTATGATTATTTCCTTAGGATAAATTGCCAGAAGTGGCATTGCTGAACAATGATAGAATGTAGCACTCAGGTGTTGATGTATTCTGTTAATTTACTCTGTTGATGTACTGTTTTCTCGAAAGGCCACACCAGTTTATAATCTCAGTAGCAGTATATTGAAGTACCTGGTAACTTTCAGCTCTCAGCAACATTGGTAGTTAGCAATTTGAAAAAAAAAAGTGTTTGTTTTTAAAAAACATTCTAGGTATTCCTTTTTAAGTCCATATTATCTCTTGCCTCTAATGCTGTAGTAGTCATGATCTCCTTACTGGTTTATTTCTATCTAGCACCCACTTTGCCACTAACAGAATCGGATAGGGCACGGACTGTAGAGTTAGATGCCTGGGTTCAAATCATGACTGTGCTGTGCCTCAATTTCCCCGTAAGTAAAATGAAAATAGTAATAAAAGCCCTCTGGTAAAGTACTTTAGAACAGTGCCTGACTTTTGGTATGTGTTCAGTAATTGTTGGCCTACTAGTATTGTCTTCCAGAAGTCCCTGCTTATATGATTAAAAAAACCCAAGGTTATACTTGTTTTTGAATTGTAATTATTACCAAATCAGTAAATCACAGTAGAAACTAAAGTGCTGACCTTGAAGCATTGTTAGTGTTAACACTGTGACCAACCTGAAGATCACAAATTACCTTCCGTGACTCAGTTGATGCTGAGAGGTCAGGGATAGAGTAATAACAGGAATAACTAGAATGTTAAAGTGCTTTATATTAAGCTGCCAGTGCACTTCCACACACATTATCTCATTCGATCCTCACAACACAGCTGTGAAGGAGATGGAGCGGGTATTATTAATCTCATCTTACAGAGGAGGAAATTGACTTGGAGGATTAAGTGGCTTGCTCACTGATGGTTGTGGAAATGGTCAGTGGCAGAGCTGAATGTGTACTCTGGGCCTTCTGACTGTAAATACTTACTCTTGATGCTTCATAACATCATGATAAGCTAAGGAGGTGCAGGTGTAGATGCCCAGGTCTGGAGATTTGCTGGAAAAGAAGGAGCAAAAGAGGATGCCACTGGGAGGAGGGAGCAGAGTTGGGGTAAGGAAACTTAGATATACTAAAAGAGAGGGAGGTACCCAGCGGGGAGAGAGGTGGGGAAGGAGTCATAAAGAAAGGGAAAAACAGGGGGCCAGGACTTCCGTGACTACAGGGCTGGCTGAATAGATCAGGGTGGAGGGCTTCATCTTTGAGACTGAAGGAATGCGTCCCCTGAGCCAGGAAGGAGGGAGGAGATGGAGCAAGTAGACACAGGTGATTTGAAATAGAAAGGAACATTAAGAGGGCTGAAGGATTGTGGCCTGAATGAAGAAAGAAGGAAGTATTTATTTCTGGAGAGTAAAAGTGGTAGGTTTGGGGTTTTAGATTTGAGAAAGGGAAACCATTTAGAGTATCTGTGTGGGAAATGGGCCAAGGAATTAGAAATGCCTGCCAGAGACCTCTGCAGGATGCAGGAAGGACCCAGATAAAAACGTCTGGGCTCCAAGTCGACAGATTCTGTGAACCCCTTAGGCATGCTGAGGATTTCCTTGCCAGATGATGTAACTATCTGAGGATGTTTCTTTGTGAGCTCAGTGCTAGACAGGCACAGGAGCAGTATTAGGATGGAAACATTTCTTAATTGCTTGAGGAGTGAGGAAAAAAACGGCACTCTGCAATAACCCTCTTGTTTCCAAATACCAAAGCAGCTGTTGGGCTGTGCTCCTGTCTAGGTACCTTTTCCTCAGGAGTTAAGTGCCACATGATGATATTTATGGTTGCTTTTTAGGGGGTACATGGTTTTTTAATTAGTGAAGACCGAGTAGCAATAGTTTTGTTTTGTGTTCTAATAGCCTTTGTTATTATAGTCAGGGAGGTGAAGTGAGGAGATGATAGATGCTTTCCTAATCTGTGAAATGAGGAGTTGGACTAGGCAGGTGCTCCCCAAAGTCCCTTTCTAACATTACCATTTTCTCATCCAACTCCAGTCTACGCTGCCTCCTCTCCATTTCCTCCTTTACCAGACAGTTTAGTGTGTCTCAAGTTATATTTTATGGTGCTTTAGATATATATATGTATATTTTTGCTTAGAGACTTCATGCATTATTATTAGAGACTTCATGCAGTATGTAGTGACTGTAGAAAAATGAAAGATGTATCGATAAATAAAAGACCTGTTAAAAATATGTAACTTTACCACCATTAAATAACCACTGTTTATATTCTTCCGGAGATTTTTTTTTTTAGGTGTGTATGCCTAAATAAGATTCTTAAATACAGAAATGCACCCTGCTTTTCTCAGTTGAAAATTATAAACCTCTCTGCTTATCAGTAGTCACTGCTGTGTAATTATTAAAGGTTGATGAAGACTCTGTTTCAGGAATGTATTTTAACAAATCTCACTTTGGACATATGCATTAATGTACATTCTTCTAACTGTATTTGTGAGGCTGCTCTGAATTATTTTCTTATAAAATTAGGAAAGAGGTTTAATATATAATACACATTGCCTGGAAGACTGAACCGATTTACAGTTCCATCACCAGTATGCGAGAGGTCTCTTTTCCCACACCCTTAACATTGGATAGTGGAGTTTAAAACAAACAAACAAAAAAACCTTACCAGTTTTATAGACAGATGAACATCTTTTCATATGCCATTTATATTCCTTTGTGAGTTTTCTGTTCATATCCTTTGCCCATTTCTCCAGAGGGGTATTTGCTATTTTTGTTACTGACTTGCAGCAACGAGATTTTAAAGATTTAAAATTTTTAAATGTCTTTTATTATAAAAGTATGTTAGTTGTTTTGATAATTTCTTTGAATTTTTATACTGCTTTTAAATGTATATAAATATTTAATTTTAGGTTGTCAAATCTTTTTCTTTATGGTTTCCATATAGGCTAACTAGGAAGTAAGAATGCCTTGGTATTTGTTGCCCATTGTCAGTTCTTTACATAGCAGAGTAATCTCTTTCAAGTGTGATCACATCTTGGCATACCCCTGCCTGAGCTCGTCATGGCATTCTTGTTATCATGGCCTGCAGGGCCTGGCACGATCTTGCTTTTCCTGCTGTAAAGCCCCACCTCTTGTCACTCACCCTTGAACACTATGTTCCAGCCCCACTGGTCTCTTCTCAGTCCAGGGAATATGCCAACCTCCTTCCTGTCCCTGAAATTCTGCAGGTGCAGTTTCTTTGCTTGGGAAATGTGTGCACACGCGCACACACACACACTCTTTTGAGCACTTGTCAATATGCAATTATTTATTTATTTTTGAGATGCAGTCTCGCCTAGGCTGGAGTTCTGTGGTGCGATCTTGGCTCACTCTGCAACCTCTGCCTCCTGGGTTCAAGTGATTCTCCTGCCTCAGCCTAGCAAGTAGCTGGGATTACAGGTGCCCACTACGACGCCCAGCTAATTTTTGTATTTTTAGTAGAGTCGGGGTTTCACCGTGTTAGCCAGGCTGATCTCAAACTCCTGACCTCAGGTGATCCACCCACCTCAGCCTCTGAAAATGCTGGGATTACAGGAGTGAGCCACTGTGCCCAGCCACAATTATCATTTCTTATTAACTTACTCTTTTCCTGTTTCCCCCTCCAGCCTGTAACACCATAGGGGCAGGGACCTTGTCTGTGTTGACCACAGCGAGGTCTCTAGTGCTTAACATGTGGTATTTGTAGGAGATCGGTCAGGGTGGTGGAAGAAATTGTAGGAAAAGATGCAAACCTTCTTGGAAGAGGTTTTGCAAAAGCTTCAAAAAAGGGTTTGGCTGAAGGCAGCCAAATTCTCTTACCTGGAGCCTGAGAGCAAAGGTTAGATAATAAGGGGATGTAAAGGAATTGATCTAGATAAGTTAGTTTACTTAGGCCTCAGAACCTGGCCTTTAATCATCTGTGCGCAGGACTGCTCTTTCCCAGGGAGCAGCGGGAAGCCGGGGGAGGGGGAACCATGTTAATTACCCACAAGTGTGTTGACTCAAAGACTTTGTCATTACATCCATACTGAATAAATGCCCGCAGCACTGGCTTGTCAGGGCCACAGCTGCTATGACTCTTTCTTTCTGTGAGCACCCCGATCCCCTAGTCCGCTCTTTCACTGGATACCTGTGTCTAAGTACGTTTTTTCATCCATCGCTCAGCCAGAATCTGCCGGTCAGACCTGGCAAGTATTTATAGAAGAAATGAATCAATATTACATCTCTAACCACAAGATTGCACAGGCATTTAACTATATTTACCTTATTGTAGTTTTATGGTTTCATCTCACATTTTAAAATATTTTATCTGTATGAAACTTAGTTTGAAATGTGACTTGAGATAGGAATTAAAATTAATTTCTTTCCCAAATGAATAGCCACCTGCAATTTTTGTAGTTCTTGTTTATTAGAGAGTCCTTACTCAAAGTATAGTCCTTAAGCACTATTATATTGTTTTTTCTTTCTTCTGTTTGCTTTTCTCTCCTTGGGTAGTCCTTTGTGCAAAACGTAAATGCAGAAACTGCTCATTGACTTGAGCCAAATTGCTCATGAGCATGCTGGTTCAATACCAAGAAAGATGATCTTGGCGTCACCCACCATAGCCTACCTTCTAAGAAGAAAGAAGACATCATGTGACTGACTTAGGGAGTTGTACTATTTGTTCAATATCTAATGCTAGTAGACAATCTTGTTTTAGATAATTCTGGCCGCCAGTTTTTTTAAACTGTTGGAACCTGGAAATTTGAACATTCCAGTGACTACCTTTCCTAACTGCCTCTTATCTCTAGATGTGGAATAAAAATCCTTTGGCAGACCATGTGTTCCAGTTTTTGGTTTGGAAAATATGGATTATTATTCTTTTCCTTATTTTAACTCTGAAAATTAAAATTAATGACAAAAGTCAGATGTGCCCATTCTCACATATTCAAACAATAAAACATACAGACAAAAAAAGGATTCTTGTATCCCACTTTTTGATCCTATTCCTAATATAACCACTGCTGAGTTTATTGTATATACTTTCAGACATTTTTTATGCTTAGTGGATATATTAGATCTTTATACATTCCCCCCCCCCATATACTTGCATTTTTTTTTTTGACTAATGTCATAAACTTTGTTATACACCTCAGTGGGATTTAAAAACACCTGAAGCCTTTGTTTTTTGGCTGGTGGCAAAAAAACCAGAGTAACTTAGAGAAGTTACCCATTGATGTTTTCACAGGGCTTTAAACACGAAGACCTGATTTGTTTGTGTAAATCGTTGGATGTAATCTTACAGAGGACCAGGGCTTGAGCACCTTCAGAAACATGGTATCATCTGATCATGATGATTTCCATCCCACGACAGAGGAAGAAATGGAGACTCCAAAGGGACAGAAGTGAATTCTTCCAAATTTATGAAAATGAACACTTAGCTAAAATGTGTTCACTGGGTTATGACAAGTAACTGGACTTCTAGGGAATGGGATGGCAGGTGGGGTGCTATCAGTTTATAAAATTTTTTGTAACCTTGTCTCTTATTTCTGCTTCCCTCCCCCAGCCATGGGAACACAAGATAAATTTGGAGTAGGTGAGGGTGGAGAGCAAAGTGACTCCCTGGGCTGTGCCCTTCACACTGGTTTTAGAAAGCATGCAGCTGACTGCCCTGGGGTCTGATCTATGGTGCTGCGCTCGAGAGAACTGTAAGGTCTGCTGTAAGTGATGGGGGCTGTGGACTTATGCAGAAGTGCACTTGTTGGGGGTTTTCACAGTACCCACCTTATTATACTAGAGAGGCAGGTTTCATTGCTTAAGGGGACAATTTATGGCAATAGGCTTATCTCCTTGTTTTAGCTCTTTATGTTTTTCTGCCTTTAATAAAATGTGAAGTCACAAAGCAATTAAATAGTAGTGTAGTTTTCAGGCAGGAGGTGGAGAAAGGCTAACTAGGGGGAAAAGGCCAACATGATTGACAGAGGCTGGCTGGAGATTTACATTGAGAATAACTCGTTCTTCAAAACTTTCTTCATTTTCTGGTGAGAATTAGGGACAAATCATATACCAGAAGGATGGATGATTAAAAATGTAGGAGTTATGATTTCTTTTTGACTTTGTAAGTCTCTAAATCCTCCACCTTAACATAGAGTTCTCATTTCAAAATGGGAACCAGCCCTGCCAGAGACTAAAGTGAGCCAGAAATACTCTAAAGTCTTAAATAGTTAATAAGTGTGAGATTGTTTATATTTTGTAAAATGTCTTAAGATACAATGAAATGGAGAATCCCTGAGTGTTTTTTTGATTTCCTAAACTCTGATCCACAATTATAGATGTGTCTGAAGGTTCAAAAATATTGAACGTGATTTCAGTTGTTTCTAGAATTTAAAAAAATTAATAATTTTTAATAATGACACTTTAAATGAGGAGAAGGCTTTTAAAACCAAATATAAAAATCTGGAGAGTTCAGATTCCCTGTCTCTCCTCTTTCAACCTTTAATGTATAAAACAAATCCTTTTGATTCAGCCACTGTGTATTGATAATGGCTTATTTATTACAATCAGAGGAATTAAACAAAGATATGTAGATACTTTGTCATCTTTTCTTATTATAGAAACAGTTTGATTTTAAGAATTTTTATTCAGAACGCAGATTCGAAAAGAAAAAAAAGAATTTTTAGAAAAGTTGCCTTTTAATTTAAATTTCTTGTTTTGTCCTAATAATCACATTGAAATAGCCAAAACAAATAATATAAATTAAAATGCAACGATGGCCCGGCATGGTGGCACATGACTGTAGTCCCAGCTACTCAGGAAGCTAAGGCCAGCAGATTGCTTGAGCCCAGGAGTTCAAGACCAGTTGGGGCAACATGGTGAGACCCTGTCTCTACTTTTAAAATGTGGTGATTGGTACCTGTTGAGAGAAGGGTTAACTGAAAGTTATTCACATGGCCCAGAAAGTGGCTGAAAAGTGCTCTTTCTGGTGTGAATTTCTCTTGCTGTGAAAGCACTCTGAAGGGGAGACCTAATGCCATTGCAGGAGCACTTCAGCTCCAAACTTGAGCGTTGCAATCAGAACAAGAACCCGAGGAAAAGCCTGCAAAATGAGCCTGCTGCGATATAGGGTGTGCTTTTGGACAGTTATACATAAGAATTTTTTTCTTTTTTCTTTTTTCTTTTGTTTGAGACAGTGTCTCACTCTGTTGCCCAGGCTAGAGAGCAGTGGCGTGATCATTGCTTACTGAAGCCTCAAATTCCTGGGCTCAAGCAGTCCTCCCACCTCAGTCTCCTGAGTAGCTGGGACTGCAGGAATGCACCACCACATCTGGCTAATTTATTTTTTGTAGAGGTGAAGTCTTGCTTTGTTGCCCAGGTTGGTCTCAAACTCCTGGACTCAGGTGATCCTCCTGCATGGACCTCCCAAAGTGCTGGGATTATAGGCATGAGCCACTGTGCCCAGCCTCATGAGAAGATTTATGATGATAGATAGAAGAATTATTAATTTCCACAGTTTGACAAATGATAACAAATAGCTTTTACAGTTTGAGCATCCCCTATCCCAAACGCTTGGGACTAGAAGTATTTCGGACTTTGGACTTTTTTGAATTTGGGAATATTTGCATATACATAATGAAATTCCTTGGGGATGAGACACAAGTCTAAATAACAAGTTCGTTTATGTTTCATATACACCTTATATACAAAGACTGAAGGTAACTTTATACAATATTTTTAATAATTTTGTGCATGAAATAAAGTTTTGACCGCATTTTGGCTGTAACCTGTCACATGAGGTCAGGTGTGAAATTTCCACTTTTGGTGTCATGTCAGCATTCAAAAAGTGTTGGATTTTGGAGCATTTCTATTTCAGATTTTTGGATTAAGGACGTTCAACTTGTATGCCAAATTAGTAAATATTTTTTGAGTTCCTACCCACATCCCTGTGTATGGGCTCTAGAAGCAGCCATGGTTTAGTTTCCTCACCTGTAAGGGAGGGTGTAGAACTTCTTTTAATGTACATCACTGTAGGTTAAGTTCGGGTAGAGAAAAGACTAAAGGCAACCAAGGCTGGCTGTCCTCTGAGCCCCTATGCTAAGCTGAACTAGGCTTTTGTTTCTGGCAATGGATCATTTTGCTGTCACGGAGCCAGTGATTATTTACCACCCCTGGTTTTGAGTAGGTTTCCTTTTCCCCTGGCAATAGCTCTTAGAGTGTTTCACAGAGAGGCAACGGGATTCAGAAGATGCCCGTTTACACTGGTACCACTGTCTCGTTATGTCATGGTAAAGTAATGAAGTCCACCATCATTACTTTACCAGTTCCCCATTGGTGTTTTGGTCTTCCCTATACATTTTTTTTAACTTTTATTTATTTTTAATGAGATGAAATTCACATAATATAACAATAGGCAGTTTAATAATTGACAATTCAGATGTATTTAGTACATTCATAATATTGTGTAGCTGCCACCTCTCTCTAGTTCCAAAACATTTTTGTCACTACAAAAGAAAACCCCGTACCCAGTAATCAGTAACACACTATTCTCTCCTCTCTCTCATCCCTGACAATCATTAATCTGCTTTCAGTCTCTATGAATTTACAATTCTAGATACCACATGTAAAATAAATGTTCTCATACAATATGTGACCTTTTGTGTCTGGCTTCTTTCACTTAGTATATTCATCCATGTTGTAATGTCTTAGCCATTTTATGGCTGAATAGTCCATGGTACGGATATATCATAATTTGTTTATCCATTCATCTGTTGATAGATTTTTGATTTTTTCCCCACCTTTTAATTCTTATGAATAAGGCTGCTATGAACATGGGTGTGTAAGTACTTGAGTCCCTGTTTTCAGTTCTTTTAGGTTCATACTTAGAGGTGTAATTGCTGGGTTATATGGCAAGTCTGTGTAACCTTTTTGCAAAACTGTTTTCCACAGGGCCAAACCATTTCTAGTCCCACCAACAATGTACAAGGTTCCAATTTTTCCATATCCTTGCAAACATTTATTTTCCCTTTTTAAAAAAATTATAGTCGTCCTTGTGGGTATAAAGTAGTATTTTATTATGGTTTTGATTTATATTTTCCTAATGATTAATGGTATTTATCTTTCCATGTACACATTGGCCATTTGTATATCTTCTTTGGAGACATGTCTGTTGAAGTCCTTTGCCCATTTAAAAATTGTTATTTGTTGTTGACTTGTAAGAGTGCTTTATATATTCTGGATACTAGACCCTTAATAGATATGTGATTTGCACATAGTTTTTCTCATTTTTAAGGTTTTCTTTTTTTTTAATTTTTATTTATTTTTTTTTAGACAGAGTCTTGCTCTGTTGCCCAGGCTGGAGTACAGTGGCAAGATCTTGGCTCACTGCAACCTCTGTCTCCTGGGTTCAAGTGATTCTCCTGCCTCAGCCTCCTGGGTAGCTGGGATTACAGGCATGCATCACCACGCCTGGCTAATTTTTTTGTATTTTTAGTAGAGATGGGGTTTCACCGTGTTGGCCAGGCTATCTTGAACTCTTGACCTCAGGTGATCCACCCGCCTCAGCCTCCCAAAATGCTGGGATTACAGGTGTGAGCCACCACCCCTGGCCTCCCTATGTTTTCTTCTAAGAAGTTATGCTTTTATTTTTTATACTTAGGTTGTTAATTCATTTTGAGTTAATTTTTCATATGGTATGGGGTAGGGGCCCAACTTTATTCTTTTGTATGTAGATATCTAGTTTTCCCAGCACCACTTGCTGAAGAGACAGTATTTCCCCATTTGAATGGTCTTTGTACCCTTGTTAAAAATCTATTGGCCATATATGTGAGATTTTATTTCTGGACTCTTTTTTCTATTGGTCCATATATTTATCCCTATACTAGTACTACACCGTTTTTGATTACTGTAGCTTTGTAGTAAGTTTTGAAATTGAGAAGTGAGAGTTCTTCAACTTTTTTCTTTTTTTTAGTGTTGTTTTGGCTATTTGGATCCCTTTCAGCTTCATACGAATTTAAGGATCTGTTTTTTCATTTCTGCAAAAAGGGCTGTTGGAGTTTTGATAAGGAGTACATTGAATCTGCAGATTATTTGGAGTAATATTGTCATCTTAACAATATTAAGACTTCCAATCCATGAATATAGGATGTATTTCCATTTATTTAGGTCTTATTCTTCAGCAGTGTCTTGTAATTTCCAGTGTGTAAGTCTTTTGCCTCCTGTGTTAAATTTGTTCCTAGGTTTTTTTGTTTTGTTTTGTTGGTTTTCTTTTTTTTTTTTTTTTTTTTTTTTTTTTTTGAGACAGTCTCATTCTGTTGCCCAGGCTGGAGTGCGGTGGCACGACCTCGGCTCACTGCAACCTCCTCCTCCTGGGTTCAAGCGATTCTCATGCCTCAGCCTCCTGAGTAGCTGAGATTACAGGCGCACACCACTACGCCCAGCTAATTTTTTGTATTTTTAATAGAGATAGAGTCTTGACGTGTTGGCCAGACTGGTCTCGGACTCCTGACCTCAGGTGATCCGCCCTCCTCCATCTCCCAAAGTGCTAGAATTACGGGCATGAGCCACCATGCCCGGCCATCCCTAGGTATTTTATTCTTTATATGCAATTATAAATATAATTGTTTTCTTAATTTACTTTATGAATGATTTGTATTTATTATTATTATTTTTTTTTTTTTTTGAGACGGAGTTTCGCTTTTGTCACCCAGGCTGGAGTGCAATGGTGCGATCTTGGCTCACCACAGCCTCCACCTCCCAGGGTCAAGCAATTCTCCTGCCTCAGCCTCCTGAGTAGCTGGGATTACAGGCACACACCACCATGCTTGACTAATTTTTTATTGTTAGTAGAGACGGGGTTTTTCCATGTTGGTCAGGCTGGTCTTGAACTCCTGACCTCAGGTGATCTGCCCATCCCAGCCTCCCAAAGTGCTGGGATTATAGTTGTGAGCCACCACACCCGGCAAGAAATATTATTTTTATTTTTTAAAAAATAATCTCTAGTGGTTATTTTAAAATTCAAGGTAAGAACCCCACTATTCCTCCAAATATTCTGTAGAGTGGTCTCTGTTAAGTTTGATATACATCCTTCTACATGTTTTCCATGCATTTATATACAAACATACTTTCTTACTGTGAATAAAGTCATATACTTTGTCTAAATTTTAACTTACTATTTTACATAATTATAGATTGTGTCTTTCTCTGCTAGTTTACTTATTTCTCTTAAATGCTGCAGAGTAACCCATCATACTGATATGCTACGTAGCTGACCCTTGAACATCATGGGTCCACTTATATGCAGGTCCACGTGCAGGTCTGCTTTTATGCAGATATTTTCAACCCAACATGGATTGAAAATAGAGTACTTGAGGGATGCAAAACTTGCATAAAGAGAGAATTGACTTTTCATATACGCAGGTTCTTCAGGGCTGGCTACAGAACTTCAGTATGTGAGGATTTGGGTATTTGCAGGCAGTCATGGAACCAGTCCTCCTTGTATATCGAGGGATGACTGTACTTTGTTTAAGGCTTTATTTTAATGATCATTTAGTGTGGTGTTGGTGTTTTATAGTATAAATAATGCAACAGTTAACAATTTTATACCCACATCAACGTATGTCCATGTAAGTCTTTAAGGTAATAAGAATTGCTGAGGCAAAAAAAATTACCTTAAATTTTTTTAAAGTTTTGTGTTAGGCATAACACATAATTTACTATCTTAACTGTTTTTTTAATTGCACAATTCAGTAATGTTGTTTACATTCACATTATTGCGCAACCAGTCTCTAAAACTCTTTTTCATCTTTCAAAACAAAAGCGCTATATCTGTTATACAACAACTCCCCACCCCCCTCTTCCCCTGGCAGCCATTCTACTTTCTGTCTCTGTAATTTTGACTATTCTAGGTACCTCATAAGTGGAATCACACGCTGTCTGTCTTTTTGTGGCTGGCTTATTTTACCCAGTGTAATGTCCTCAAGGGTCATCTATGTTGTAACATGTGTCCAAATTTCATTCCTTTCTAAGGCTGAATAATATTCCATTGTAGCATCACATTGAGTAATTAAATGCTTGGAAAGAAAGAAGAAAAAGAAGGGTATGTCTGACTCTTTTCATTCCCATACAATGTGGTAACATACGTAATAATCTAAATAGAATATAAATAAATAAAATGAAGTCCTTTTAGGTATGTGTATGAGCTATATAAACAGGTATTTTTAAATGCATTGTGGATCCAACTTCATATTAGTAGGTGAGGAAACAACTAGTAGCACATAAATGCTTCTTGGGCTTCTTGCACACTTGCCCTCCATACACCTCACCTCATGCCCAACATAACTTTCATTATCCCTCCACCCATTGCTGGCAGTCATTTTTAAATAGCTTTGGATTTTATGCCAAAAGATCTTCTACTTGTTGACAGATTCTGTGAATACCCAGTGTTCGCTTCTTTTGCACTTTCCAAGAAAGATGAGTTTGGGAATTTGCTAACATGTTCTAAAGTTAAAGCTTTTTGTTCTGGGATAACTGAAAAGTTTAGTTATCCAAAAGGCAGCCCACCTTCATTTTTCAGGAGGGTCACTGTGATGTTCTGTCTTTCTGAGTCTCATGTCTCATACCTTTCTGTGCTCTGTCATAATTAACTAAAGCAGAAGGAGGGAGATCCTTTTGTAAAATGCCCAAAGAAAAGAAAGCCAGATGGAAGTGAGGAGTAAGAGTAACCACAGTTGCTTTCCTCTTCCATCAGTCTTTAAAAACTTTTTATTTTGAAATAATGTTAGATTTAGAGAAATGTTGCAAAGGTAGTACGGGGCTCCCATACCCTTCACTCAGTTTCTCCTAATGTTGTTATCTTACATAACCATATTGAACTATCGTTAATATAATTATCAAAATTGGGAATCTAAATTGGTCTAATACTTCCAGCTAAACAACAGACCTTACTAGCATTCTATCCAGTTTTCCGCTATCCTTTCTTTATGTTCCATGATCCAATCCAAGATCCACATTGTATTGAGTAGTTCTGACTCTTTAAACTCCCACAGTTTGTGACAGTTCCTTGTCATTCCCTGTCAGTTATTTCTGGTTAGTTATTTTGTGGAATGACTAGATTTGGGGCTGTCTGATGTTTCCTAGTGTTTACCTTTAAGTTATGCTTTTTTTTGTTTTGAAAGAAGACCACAAAAGCAATGATGTATCTTTTTTATTGCCTCATAACTGGTTACTTGATGTCAGTTTCCCTTATTGCTAGTGCTATTCGTGTGGACTCATCATGGACAGTTACTTCATTCTGTGGGTTATAACCCAATATTATCATCATTATTTTCTTCTTCAAATTATTCTAGCTTTGGCCACTGGGAGCTCCTTCAGGCTGACTCTGATGTCCTTTTGACATGCTTCCATCTTTTTTCAAGTACTTCCTCACATTATGGCATCCCCTGATGCTCTAGGCTAATCTTGTATTTTCCTTGCCCTACTTTTGGAATCAGTCACTTCCCTAAGGAGCCTGGGTCCTTTTACTGGACAATGGTGTTTAGAAACCAATATCTGAGTACCAGACGTGCACATTGCAACTGGGGTGGCTTTTTGTCTTCCATGAGTTTTATGGTGAGCTCTTTCCTGTGAACATGGTTGTACCAGGTCTGAAACTCGTTTTTAACACTTCTAGGTAGTCAGTCACTTTGATGTAAAGTCATTTTGATCACTTAATGTTGAGTTGTTAAAATCAATGCACATACCCTGTAGAAAAATAGGTTCTTTATCAATGGAATAGATTAACTTTTTGTGGAAAAATACTTTTACATTGATAGGATAGCATTAGCATCCAGACATTTTTGACATTCCTTCAATAACTATTCCTGAGTTTCTGACTCTCATTTTTAGCCCATTCCATTTTTATTTATTTTATTTTATTTTATTTTTTGAGACGGAGTCTCGCTCTGTTGCCAGGCTGGTGTGCAGTGGTGTGGTCTTGGCTCACTGCAACCTCCCGCTCCTGGGTTCAAGCGACTCTCCTGCCTCAGCCTCCCAAGTAGCTGGGACTACAGGCATGCACCACCATGCCCAGCTAATTTTTGTATTTTTAGTAGAGATGTGGTTTCACCATGTTGGCCAGGATGGTCTCAATCTCTTGACCTCATGATCCGCCTGCCTCAGCCTCCCAAAGTGCTGGGATTATAGGTGTGAGCTGTTGCACCCGGCCCCCATTCCATATTTTAATGAGAATATCTTTTGGTTAGTTATAGAGGTAAATACCTGGATTTACAATGTGTAACTACAGATTCATCATCCTATAATAAAGTAACTCTTTTTGCATAAACTTTTGATAAGTTATTTTTGTCCTTATAATTTTATGTGTGAAGTCTTTACGGTCAGAGGACATTGACAAAATATTTTAGATTGAAAGCCTGTTCTCCTTGATGATTCAGTATAACTTCTTTTGACTGCGCTTTTAGTTCTTGCAAAATAGATCTTGTTTAGATGAGATTCCAGCATGACTCCTTTGTAATTTTTCATATTTTTGCTATTACATCTCAACTCTTGAAGAGCTATTTCTGTGAAAACCAAACATGCAGTCAAGGCACATTCCACGTGTGGCTGATGGGGTTATCATAGTTACAAATCATATTTATCCACAGTGATAATTATCTTCCTTAGCGTTTTGTTCTACTTCAGAGCTCATTTGTGGGCCTTACCACCTGTTTCTTACATATGGGGAAAGAGTCTCTTATTCTCTTTTGGAATATAGATCTAAGAGTAGATTTATATCAGGATTTGAAAGATGAATCTTTTTCAAGGATGTTTTTCCTCTGGACCGTGGCATTGTGTAAGAAATTTCCCTACTCATCCCATCCCTGGGGCACATTAATTTGGAGATGATGTTAAATGTGTCAGAGTGTGGCACAAATCTCAACTGGCAGATAAAGCCTAGTATTGAATTGTTTTCAGTTCAGAAACGTGGCTGGCTGACTTTGACCCTGAATGTGTAAATTATCTTTGCAGCAATAAGAACTTGAAGTAGCTTTGATAGCTAATCATAGTATGATAACTCAGCCAGAAGAATTCACTAAGAGCAGTTTGTGTGTCTTCCATCTAATGTAAAGGTTAGTAATGTAAGTCATATTCTTGGTGCCTTTAGACCTAGTTATGCAGAGAGACATCACATTGACATTCAGTAATTCTTACTCTTAACAGTTCCTTAACTCTAAAATCATCTTTTTCCTTACCTTTCCCTAGTTCTAGAACAGCAAAATATTTTACTTAGATTCTATCATTAATTAATATACTCGTTTGAATTTTTCTCTTCTAAAAAATGTAGGCCAGGCATGGTGGCTTTACACCTGTAATCCCAGGACTTTGGGAGGTCGAGGCGGGCGGATCACCTGAGGTCTGGAGTCCGAGACCAGTCTGGCCAATGTGGCGAAACCCACCCCGTCTCTACTAAAAATACAAAAATTAGCTGGGTGTGGTGGTGTGCGCCATAGTCCCAGCTACTCTGGAGGCTGAGGCAGGAGAATCACTTGAACCCGGGAGGCAGAGGTTGCAGTGAGCCAAGATCACGTCACTGTATTCCAGCTTGGGTGACAGAGCAAGACTCTGTCTCAAAAAAAAAAAAAAAAAAGTAAAATTATTTTGGCCTTACCATGCTTGGTTTCTTTGTCTTTGTTTTTTCATTCACTTTATGTTTGGGGAGGAGAATGGAGTGTCAGTGATTTCAGCAAAAAGTTGGGGTACCAGTTCATAATAAATTAGTGTCTAAGATTAATGTTACAGCTGATATTCAAAGTACCAAATACGTTATTGTTCTGATTATTCTGGTCCTTAAATTTGTCTCTTTCCTGGAGACGTGGTAAACAATAATGATGATTCTAATAATGACCATTTATTGAATGAGCACTATGTGTCAGACATTGTACTGGTGATGTGGTTTGGCTGTGTGTCCCTACCCAAATCTCATCTCAAATTGTAATCCCCACGTGTTGAGGGAGGGACCTGATGGGAGGTGATTGGATCATGAGGATGGTTTACCCCATGCTGTCCTCCTGATAGCGAGGGAGTTCTCATGAGATCTAATGGTTTAAAAGTGTTTGGCAGTTTCACCCTTGCACCCATGTCTCTCTCTGTCTCTCCTGCTGTCATGTGAAGAAGAGGTCCTTGCCTCCCCTTGGCCTTCCACCGTGATTATAAGTTTCCTGGCCGGGTGCAGTGGCTCACACCTGTAATCCCAGCACTTTGAGAGACCAACGCGGGCAGATCACTTGAGGTCAGGAGTTCAAGACCAGTCTGGCCAACATGGCGAAACCTGTCTCTACTGAAAAAACAAAAATTAGCCGGGCGGGTGGCGCACACCTGTAATCTCAGCTGTTCGGGAAGCTGAGGCAGGAGAATCGATTGAACCTGACAGATGGAGGTTACAGTGAGCCAAGATTGTGCCACTGCACTTCAGCCTGTGTAACAGAGTGAGACTCTCTCAAAAAATAATGATAATAGTAAGTTTCCTAAGGCTTCCCCAGCCATGCAGAACTGTGAGTCAATTAAACCTTTTTTCTTCATAAATTGCTCAGTCTCAGGTAGTTCTTTATAGCAGTGTGAAAATGGACTAATGCAATTGGGCAATGTCTGACAGTTTGCAAATACCATCTCATTTGTTTTTAATAGAAACCTCCTGCTGAGAGTGGTGGCTCACGCCTGTAATCCCAGCTCTTTGGGAGGCCGAGGCAGGCAGATCACATGGTCAGGAGTTTGAGACCAGCCTGACCAACATGATGAAACCTGTCTCTACTAAAAATAGAAAAATTAGCTGGGTGTGGTGGTACGCGCCTGTAATCCCAGCTACTTAGGAGACTGAGGCAGGAGAATCACTTGAACGTGGGAGGCAGAGGTTGCAGTGAGCCCAGATTGAACCACTGCACTCCAGCCTGGGCAACAAAGTGAGACTCCGTCTCAAAAAAAAAAAAAAAAAAAATCTAATACTAGCCATGAGGAAAGATAATCACTCTCAGATAGTAAAGCATTTGCTTAGCCATATGTTAAGCTCTGAATTCAGATGAAGGGGCATCTAAAACAGGCAGAGAGCATCAGGAAGGGCTTCCTGGAGGAGAAAGTGCGTACACTCAGTCTTTAAGAGCACGTGGGAGGAAAAACCAGTGAAGTCCTCCTGCTGTAGACAGAATGATCAGCCTGGGCAAAGGTGTAGAGGGGTAAGAGAGCGTTAAACATGAGGCAGCTGTGTAATATTGTTTCCTGTAATCTCTTCTGTACAGGTGGAGAGGTAGCAAGAGACCCAAATGATGAATGGCTGTGAGTGCCATGCCATAGCAAAATTCTGGGTTTTAAAAGAGAATAAGCATGATCAGGCTGGGGATGTTGAGGAGGGGAAAGAAGGGGGATAGAGATGGAGACCACCCAGTGGCCCGCTCTCCCTCAGTGCTTTGGATTATGGGGAAATGAACAGAGAGCCACTGTGCCCAGATTTTATTATGGGTTGAGCAGTGATCAAGATGGGAGAGAGAAATGGTAATGGGACTAACTGGCCCATACACCAGATGGCATTTGAGGGGAAGGCCGGGTCTGTGTTGTCAGGGGGCCCTGTGTTCTGACTCCCTTCCCATTAGAATAGGTGGTGATTAAACAAGCTATGCCACACCCTAAATTCTGGTTCTGGGTTTTACTATTCAGTCAGTTTTATCAAATTAAGATGATCATGTCTTCCCTTCTGAAAAATTATAGGGGAAGAAAAACCATAGAACTTTCCCCCAGTATATAGCATTGAATTACACATATTCCTACACACACACACACACACACACACACACACACACACACACCACTCACACATATATACGTACATACATATATAATAGAATTTTTATATAATATGTAAAATTTTAAAAATATATATTTTTAGAAGGGCTGGGGGTGGTGGGGGCGGTGGCTCACACCTGAAATCCCAGCACTTTGGGAGGCCGAGGTGGGCAAATCACCTGAGGTCAGGAATTCGAGACTAGCCTGACTAACATGGTGAAACCCCGTCTCTACTAAAAATACAAAATTAGCCGGGTGTGGTGGTGCATGCCTGTAATCTCAGCTACTCAGGAGGTTGAGACAGGAGAATCACTTGAACCCAGGAGGTGGAGGTTGCAGTGAGCTGAGATCCCGCCATTGTACTCCAGTCTGGGCAACAACAGCAAAACTCTGTCTCAGAAAAAAAATATATGTGTGTGTTTTATAAACCTATAAAATATGTGTGTGTGTGTGTGTATATATTTATATATTTATATATATTACATATATATATATGTTTAGAAAATAAAAGATGCAGTATGTCAGTGCTTTCTTATGACAGTTGCAGCTACAAAGGAAGATTAAAGCTTTTTAAAAAGTAGAATTTTTATCTGTTTGTGGAGAGGACTGAAACCAGTAAGCTCTTGAAATGTTTTCATCCTCTCATCAAATATATATGGACCTGCCATATGCCAGGTACTGTTCTTACTACTGTGGAAATAGCAGAAAGGAAAAACAAAGTCCCTGCTCTCAGAAGGTTTAGAATGAGATAAGGCAGGCTACTGAGTTGGCTTAAAAACTAAGAGGAAACTAGTGAAGTGTAGTTGCCCGTTCACATTTTTATTTTTTTAAGTATTTTATGCCCACGGAAAACTGTGGGACTGGGACTTGAATTCTAATTTTATGTTTTCTTGGGTTATTCTTTAAAACAGGGTCTTAGACTAGTAATTAATACAGTGTCACTCTCTTTCACCTTCCTCAATTCCTTTGCATGCTTGTTAGGTCATTCAGAGTGGCACTAAGGTAAACTTTGGCATATCAAAATCCACTTGAAAGCAGATGGTTAGCAAGGGGCAGTGACTTATGCCTGTAATCCCAGCATTTTGGGAGGCCAAGGCGGGTGGATCACTTGAGGTCAGAAGTTCAAGACCAGCCTGGCCAATATGGTGAGAACCCGTCTCTACTATAAATACAAAAATTAGCTGGTGTGGCGACGCACACCTGTAGTCCCAGCTATTTGGGACGGTGAGGCAGGAGAATCGCTTGAATCCGGGAAGCAGAGGTTGCAGTGAGCCAAGATCGTGCCATTGCACTCCAGCCTGGGCGTTACAGCAAGACTCCATCTCAAAAAAAAAAAAAAAAAAAAAAAGGAGATGGCTATGCTTGTTAAACACTGTTTCAGTTGAGTACCTCTCCTGTGGGCTTGTTGGTTCTTGTGCAGATTCCTGCTCCTGCCCAAGTCCAGGACTAGCTGCACATACCTGCACATGTGCCTCACCCAGTCCAGGACGGCTAGCCTTGTTCTCTTCACCCAGCCCAGCAGCAGAGTGCTAGGAAACTTTGCTGGCAGGGCTGTAAGAACCTCTGTAGTTTCTTCCCATTTCCTTGTTCTCCTAACTTACTATGCTGGGAGGAAATAATATGGTGTGGTAACGATTTTAGGCAAAGAAAAAAAGCGCCGAAATGGATGTGGTGGTAAAATTAGGCCAATCTTTTGGAAGCACCTTAGCAACCTCCTTTCATGTTCTTGGTACCTTTACCTGGTTGTATTGTAATGTTCATTTTTCCTTGTGAACATCTCTCTGTGTGTGTGTATGTGTATAATTTATCTAGTACCATGGAATCTTTGAAGGAAAGACTAAAAAACTTTCAGAATTATTATTATTATTATTATTATTTTTTTTTTTTTTGAGACGGAGTCTCGCTCTGTCGCCCAGGCCGGACTGCGGACTGCAGTGGCGCAATCTCGGCTCACTGCAAGCTCCGCTTCCCGGGTTCACGCCATTCTCCTGCCTCAGCCTCCCGAGTAGCTGGGACTACAGGCGCCCGCCACCGCGCCCGGCTAATTTTTTGTATTTTTAGTAGAGACGGGGTTTCACCTTGTTAGCCAGGATGGTCTCGATCTCCTGACCTCATGATCCACCCGCCTCGGCCTCCCAAAGTGCTGGGATTACAGGCGTGAAAACTTTCAGAATTATAACAATAAGTTTCATTTGTTGTATAGCACATTCTACGTGACCATAGACCAACTCTCCTTTATCAATATTTGTGTATTCTCTTAAAGAGCTAAAAGAAATCATTTTTTAAAAATTCTTTATATCTAATGTTGGCCAATGTTACCTATAAGAAAAGATCATTGTTTCAGAGCATGTGAGATGAAGATGATTGACTTTAGGGCATTTACATGTGGGAACTGTCAAGGTAGTTGAAGTTTACAAGAGTGGGCTCTCTCTCTAGTCACTTCGGGAGGAATGCCATCATCAGGACATCATCACGACTGACTGATTTGGTCAGTCTGTCTTTCATCAAGTCAGGGAGATAAACAGAATTGAAAAATTGTTCACAAAGGTTGTCAGTTATTAGGGTGTGGCTGACGAACCACACCTGAAGAGCTACCTAGATGAAGGCAACTCACAGAGTTACTTAACAACCTCCACCCCAGTTGATGGTCCAGAGTGTTTCCAAGGGAGGTGAACTAAGCCAATGTTGAGACTGAGTGGGATAAGGCCATGGTGACATGCATAATAGATGCATTCATACACATTGCTTCAATAGAGCATTTTCTTGGATGGAAGCATGGGAAATAACACATGGGCGTATACTCACGCTTGTTGTTAGCTTTCGGGGTCACTGCTGATATCCTTCCTTGTTCAGTTACCCTTTGGGACTTGAACTCCTGCAAGATCGTTGAAAATCTTCATGTTCTCAGAACTCAAAGGGAAGAAGACTTGACCCCTAACCCTTCAGAAAGCTGGCTGAAAAAAAAAAAGATTGTCCATAAATAGCAATTGGCTTTACCTAGTATTATTTACCACATTATTAAACTGCTAATTGCAGTGGTGTTTTTATAATGCCACTATATTATTTTAATTTAGAAAACATTTTATAAGTTTATTGTTTGTAAATTAAATAGATTTGCTTAACAGTTCTTTGGGAATTCCTTAAACTTTATTGCTAGCTACAAGTCCTTTTTAAATAGAATCAATAGGCTGGGCATCGTGGCTCACGCCTGTAATCCCAGCACTTTGGGAGGCCGAGGAGGGCGGATCACCTGAGGTCAGGAGTTCAAAACCAGCCTGGCCAACATGGTGAAACCCCATCTCTACTAAAAATACAAAAAATTAGCTGGGTGTGGTGGCGTGCACCCTTAGTCCCGGCTACTCAAAGGGCTGAGACAGGAGAATCATTTGAACCCCAGGAGGTGGAGGTTGCAATGAGCTGAGATCGCTCCACTGTACTCCAGCCTGGGTGACAAGAGTGAGACGCTGTCCCAAAAAATAAATAAATAAAATAAAATAATGAATAGACTCAATAGACATTGATCCTGCTAACATATTTTGCCTTTTAATCTATTGGTACTTCTTTTATTCCCTTTAAAGTTAATTCTAAATAAAGGAGAAGTATCTTAATTTGGTTAATATCATAGTTTGGAACTATGGCAAAATTATTTTTTCTCAGGCTACTTTCTAGTAAGTATTTTATATTTATTCACTAAAGAAAATTTTTAAAATTTCAAATTACGTAGAATTGTACCACTCTCACATAGAAATGTTTTTATCTTTCTTATACATATATTTATGTGGTTTGATTTTTATTTGGAATGCTTGTTTTACTTGAGGTGTCAGGACTTTCCACTCATTTATGAAGCCTTTACAATTATAATGATAAATACTGTTACATTAATGTACAATAATTTATAAAACTGACTTTCTCATGTTTAAAATTTAGATCGTGTCTAATTCTTTGCTACTTTAAGTATCATTGCAGTGAAATCTTCAGGCCATAATAAGTTACTTCCTTGCGATAAGTTCACAGGAATAACTAGATTAAAGGTATGAATACATTTTAATTTGGTTGAACACTTACGTTTATCAAAAACTCTTTACAAAAGTAACACAATTATCCTAATAAATTAGAATATTAGAAGTATATAAGATGAAAAAACATTCTCACTGAACTTCAGTCCTGCTCTCCAAAGTGAACCATGATGAGACCTTAAGCAAATGTTATATATAATGAGAAAAGATAGTCCTGAAGAATTGAGTGATATGGAAGTGATAATGGTGTACTATATGGGTGAAAAAATAAAGTACTGGTTTAGATACATGATTTAAGAAATAGAATCCTGACAGTTCCCTCTGTGGATAAGCCATAGAGGTGTCCAGTGTTGGTTTAATATAGCAGCTGGTTTGACCGAGTACCCTCTGCTGCGTCAGGTAATGTTAAATGATGTCCATGCCCCCTTGACTCTGATCAAGACATGGCTACAACCTGCAGTTTCCAGCTTTCCTGGGTTTAAGGGCCATTGAAGAATCCTTGTAGATAAGAGAAGAATTGTACATTCCAGGAACTGGAGGCATAGCTAGCCTTGGAAAGCTCGGAGGGTTAGTTGAGACAGCTTTAGACTTGCACATCTGTGACCTGAGTATCTTTGAGACTTGATTTCATCTTCTAGACCCAGAGGCAGAGATCATGTTTGTGGTTATTTTTCTGGGAACTGAGACTGGGCAAAGGGAAAGAGGCCAGTACGCAAGAGTGCTGTTTATAAATGGTTAACATCGTCCCCAGTCCCGTAGAAGAAGAATGAAATGGTATTCTCCTGTTTGGTGGTTTTATTTGATTGTTTTTGAATTCTTTGTCTCTGACAGAAGGCATCTTCTGTATCCTTTATGTTGTCACTCACTTTATTACTCTGGCATTATTATAATTAGGTTACCTTATCACTCCACCTGCCAGCCCTATCTCCATCCCCAAGACCTGAAGGGACGGTTGGCTTGACATGTGAGGAGGTTTTTTGGCCTTCAGAGATGTCGCTGTCAGCCCCCTGAGTTCCATTTGTTAGTATTGGGTCCAGCCCACAGCTTTCTACTAAAAACAACAGGCAAACTAAAGAATCTTTTAGTAAGTCACAGACAATTGTCACTGAACCAAGAGCCCAGCCCACGGGGCCAGTTCCTCACCGACTCTATGCCTTAATTTCCAATGTGTAAGCTTGGATGACTACACTTATCTCCAGGATTCAGTGTAGGACATAGAAAAAAGTACAGGACTCAAGTAATGATTGAACTTGGAATAAAAACCTTAAGGCCCATGTCCTCTGTCTCTCATGCTTTTCAGATGTGTCTTAGTGCCTGCTCCTTGCACAGAAGCTGAATCCAAACAAGCCACTGAGGAAGTTACATTTCACTTCACTTCTTAATAACATAGGTATGTCGATCCCATTAGATAGGAGTGTGTCTAAAATTCAGAACCTTTGACACTAATTATCTGACTGTCAAATGACAGTGTCATTCTATTTTGCAGGCATTTTTGATAGTTTATCTTCCCAGTAATATTTTTGTAATCTTCATCACCTTGACCATCTAACTCTTTTTTTTGGAGACAAAGTCTTTCTCTGTTGCCCAGGCTGGAGTGCAGCGGTGCAGTCTCAGCTCACTGCAACCTCCGCCTCCCGGGTTCAACCGATTTTCCTGCCTCAGCCTCCTGAGTAGCTGGGATTACAGGCGCATGCCACCACACCCGGCTAATTTTTTGTATGTTTAGTAGAGATGGGGTTTCACCGTGTTAGCCAGGATGGTCTCGATCTCCTGACCTTGTGATCCGCCAGTCTCGGCCTCCCAGGGTGCTGGGATTACAGGCGTGAGCCACCGCGCCCGGCCGACCATCTAACTCTTATGTGCCCTTGCCTGTACATATAAAAGTACATTTAAAAATAGGATTGGCTTTCATTTGCATAATGAACACACATATTACCCATAGTACCTCCCACACAAAGCCACCTATGCCTCTTAAATTGCACTTTGTTAATAGGAAACTATCTGTTGTTTTGTGCTTTTGGCAGCTGTAGAGAAAATACACAAAGCCAGGTGTTGTGGCTCTTGGGTAAGACTGAGAATGTGATTTTTGCAATCTGTGTTTTTTTAATAGCCAGTTATTGGAGATAAGAAAGAGAAATTCAGTACAAAGTCTAAGATGTCCCAGTGATGCACTCTGACTGGGTGTCATTATCTCAACAGGAATGAATGTAGTTCAACAGTATGTAGGCCCGGTTTCTTAGACATGATGTCTGCTGAAATGGTGATAAGGTATCCCACATTATCGGTGTTTTTTTGAAGACAGCCTTTAGGGTTTCAGTGTCATCATCTTTATGCCTTTTGCTAAAACAGTTTATGTTCTGCCTTTTAGTAAGCCTTTATGTTAAAAACGTTTCATATTAAAAAAAGTTATCATTTGGAATACATAGGTCAACTATCTAGGAATGGGACAAAGTACAGAAACAATGAGACAGGATTTGTGGGATGAGAAATTAAAAAAGCAGTCCCTTCAGCTGAAGAAGCTGCTTAGAAATTTAAGCCGGACATCTCAGGCGGCCATACTGGAATGGAATGTGGAAAAGGTAGCAGTTATATGTGAGCAATACCTTTGACTGTGACACTCTTTCGAACCCCAGTTTAGACCAGCAGCAGCTCTCCTAATGGGGAGTCAAGAAGTAGTAAGAGACCCTAAGAGTCATATAAGACACAAATCACCTTTGCCTGTGATATTTGCCATACATATGCCTATGGTTACATGCAGAGGATCCCAACAGGAGCATCATACACACAGCAAATAACACTAATGTGTTTTATTTATATGTACCAAATTAAAGGGGCATACAAAATAAAATTTTTAAATGAGTGGGTGAAGATATTGGGACAGAAGGAAGATATCAAGAGGAGGAAATATGGAGTAAAGATAGAGGTAGCATGTACTGTAAAAGATCTTGTAAGTAGACCAGAATAGGCCAGTAATTTGGCTCCATGCTTCCTAGCAGCCAAGGCAAAGAAGTAATTGTGACCAGATACATAGTTCACAGCATCTTTAAGATTCAGTAAGCTAGCAACTCAAGAAAAGCACAAGTAGTCACCATATAGGGACAAGTGGACCATGCTGTGAACAGCACACTAGATAGCAAGTACAGCTGTAACAATCGTTGCTGGAGATAGAGCAGAGCTTCAGTCCTTTATGACAAGCTTGTCCAACCCATGGCCCACAGGCTGCATGTGGCCCAGGACAGCTTTGAATGCAGCCCAACACAAATTTGTAAACTTCTTAAAACATGAGATTTTTTTAAAGCTCATAAGCTATCATTAGTGTTAGTGTATTTTATTTGTGGCCCAAGACAATTCTTCTAGTGTGGCCCAGGGAAGCCAAAACGTTGGACTCCCCTGCTGTATGGAAAATCGAATTTGTTTACATTCTCCTGTTGTATTCATTTTTGAAATTTTGCTAATTCCTAAAAGGAATCCACAGAGAGCAAACTCTCTATTACTAACTTTTTTCCTCTTCTCAATGTAAATTAAGTAGTATTTCAAATGAGATTAAAAACAGGATACTTCTTGAACTTTACTTTAAAAATACAGGTTCATGAGCCCCTTAAGTTTTGTGACTTTCTGTTGTAAAAAAGACTGTATTCACTAGATGGCAGTGTCACCAGCCTTTTGGGAAGTTAAATATGAGTGTGACTGTCCTAAGTACTAAACATGGGTAAAAGTAGGAAGACCATTTAACTGAGCATAAAGGATCTCATTTCTGCGCCCTACAGGAAAGAGTAGTTCTCCTTTTTCTCCTCCCCTCTTATTTGAGGCCGGGAAGAAGGCGCTGTGCATAGCGCTCCAAGCATCTCTGGGTGGCACTGGAGGGCCATTTTTCACAAGGAGCAAGTCGGCCAGCAGAGTGCTCAGTTCTTGGTCATGCCAGTGGCTGCAGGGTTTCCAGCCACTTGTCCTTGCTTCTTTGTTTCTGAACTTTCAGTCCGGGGCAGGAGTTACTGACAAGAGTTCACAAACCAGCTGTGAGATAATGGTGTATTGATAAGGTACAAAAGTGTGTTTAGCAGATGGGGATAATTTTTCGACCCTCAGTGTTTGTTTAAATTGTTTCTAGCATGAAAGCAATATGATCTCTCTCAGGAAATGAGATTGTTTTCTCTATTCAGGTAATAGGATCTTTTACCCATTTCCATCTTTGAGGAGTGATTATATACTTCTGCAGTTTTTTTAAATGAAAAAGATTTATTTTTAAATCATACTGGCATAAAGTTAATGGTATTTTGTTAAATTTTAGGATTTTTACAGCATATCTTGGCTGACACTGATCTTGGTCCTATCCTAGTGGCAATCTCTTAACAGTTGTGCTGCTGGTGTTATGAGTAGGACAGTTCCTCATTGTGTGGGACTGTCTCGTGTGCGGCAGGGTATTCTGCATTCCTGGCCCTTGCCCACTAAATGCCGGAAGTGCCCCTCAGACATGACTGCCCAGTAACACTCCCATGCATTTCCGTGTGCCTCCTGGGGTGGGGCCAGTACTCTCTAGTGTTGAAAACTGCTGGGCTAGAGATTTTGGTGTAGGTTGTGGGCCTTGTGGATTTAGTGAACATGATCTTTTAAAGAAATGTATATAAATGTACTTTATATTTTTAAAAAATCACTACAGCCCATCACCTTAAACTTCTGCTCATTCATATTTATATATGTATTCTGATTGTGATTACTCCTACATACAATTCTTAATATAGTACAAAATTGTACATATATAATTTTATGGTACCCATCCCCCCCCTGCCCTTTTTTTGAGACAGGGTCTCAGGCTGGAGTGCAGTGATGCAATCATGGCTCACTGCAGCCTCCGTTTCCTGGGCCCAAGCAATTCTCTTACTCAGCCTTCCGAGTAGCTGGTACCAAAGGTGTGCGCCACCATACCCAGCTAATTTTTAATTTTTTGTAGAGGGTCTCCCTGTGTTGCCCAGACTGGTCCTGAACTCCTGGCCTCAAGCAAGTCCTCCTGCATTGGCCTTCCAAAGTGCTGGGATTATAGTCTTGAGCTACCGCGCCTGGCATAGTATCATCTTTTTGATACCAACATACTATAAATATATTTTATTGCATTTTATTTGAAACTGTTAATAGACACATAATTTGCTGATGAATTGTATTCTTTGCTCTTTTAGTCCATCTGGCATCATATGCTCTTCCTTTTTGCTAGAATTCCCTCTTTTTTTCTTTCTACAGAAGTATCACTGGGTGGGAGAAAGCCTTACCTGTGATGGTTTGAGTACCCACATTTTAAAATTATGCTAGTTAAGAAGAGGGGGAATAATGTTGTTTCTTTTCTCTTTTTCTTATCAAATAGACTAAAAAGGCTACTCAAGGGCTGGAATTTGATTCCCACTTGTTCTTGTGGTACCTAGCACAGAGTCAGTCCCATAGTATATCCTTTAGGTAAAGACTTAATTAATTGGTGTGCTTTCAGTTTATTTTCCCTGGTTGGTCTTTGCATTTGTCCAGTTAACACCAGCTTCTGGATATTAGATCACCATAAAGTCCAAGACATGAAGAACAAATGTTATATATTCTCTTTGACATTTAAAGACAGAAGATAGTGGTAGAGGAGATCCCAAGTGATACCTAACCTAGCTAAAGACCCATGAGGAATGAAAGAACGAACAGGGAAAACAACTGCTGAATCCAGGTGGAAAAATGCTGGCCTACTTCTGGTCCTTGGTATGCCAGGATCCAAAGGTGGTGCCAGCTGATAGCATATGTTCAACAGCTGTGTTGATGCCATTTGCCTGCCCAGACAAGCCTCTTGAGGCATGAAAGCCTAAGGAAGGTTTCTCATATTAAGGATCAACAGGGACTCTTCTGTATCCGTCCTACCAGTGTCACCTCCCCACCCAGCATCAGCCGAGCACCACATCCACTGAAGCTCAATAAAGAAATGTTTAATGCTGAAGAGTTTCAATCAACAAGATGAAATTTTCAGGTTTAGGTAAACTTAGGAACTGGCTTGGGTTACTAGACTTCCAAATTTTATCCGGTCCTACCTTATTGCATGACATAACCGTGAGGACTAAAGTGAAGGCTTTTCAGCAGTCACTTCAGTGAGTCCTCAGCATTTAGGTGATACTGTATCAACTCGTGTCTGAAGCAACTTGGATTTAAGATAGTAGATCTTGTGCTGATTATTAGAATGGACATCCTGAACACCACTTAAATTACCATCAAACTGCATAGCCAGATCTTTAATTTACGAAACCTCTATTTTGTCACTTCTCCAAGCTGTCATTTAAGCTAAAAGCTGCTGTCTTTACACATATAAATCAAAGAAATATTTCATTTATATTCACTTGATACCTACCAAATTTCACCACTGGAATTTCTGAATACTTTATATCCTCTATCCTTCCATCCAGGCTTGGCTTTACTAAGTGTCCTTTCTAAGCCACTCATTATCAATCAAGATAGTAATTATTCTGCAAGACCCCAAATCTCAGTGGCTTTCAACAACACACACTGATTTTTTTACTCATATGCTACACGTCCATTATTTGTCAGCTGCAGCTGTGTTCAGTGTTGACCTCAACCTGTGATGGAGCAGCCTCTGCTTATGTCGCTGCTGTTCTTTATAGCAGAGGAAGGAAAGAAAGCAAGGCAAAGTTCCACACTAGCCCTTAAAACTTCTTCCTGGAAGTGAGACATGGTATTTCTGCTACCACTTCATTGGTTAAAGCAAGTCACAATGCCACACCCGAGTTGAGTGAGGGTGGGGATATGTGATTCTTCCTTAGGAAGGAGCAGGAAATTTTGGTGAATAGTAATGTAATCTACCACATGTTTAAAATGCAGTCCCTTCTCTAGAAGATCTCAGTAGTCTAAGAGAGAATAATTTTTTTTTAATATACTACCGTAAGTGAATGTTAGGTCAGTTAGGTCGATTTTTTTTTCATTCTTGCAAGGAATCATTATGTCTAATAAAATATAATAAAGAGTTTATGGTATATTTGAACTGTCCTTAATGTTATTTTACTGAGTCCAGTTCTTTTGGCAGTGGTTTAGTTTCTTTAACAATCTGTATTCTACAACTTCACTCGTTGCCTTCCTTGTTTAACATTTATTTTTCAAAACCAGACATGTCTTTTGTCTTCAAAGGATAAATGGAATTGGTTAGGAGAAGGATTGGGGAGGAGGGGGGTTGTGGCAAATGTCTAAAACCTATGTTTTATTCCCTTATTTTCTCAAAAATGTTAGCTCATGTTCACACGGGTTTATCTGTTTAGTCTAAGAAGTAGTTACTTTTGCTGTCTGGCCAAAGAGGTTCAGGACCCTGGAGCTTTGTTCTTTGGGACCCTGAAGGCAGCCTGGCAGGCAGAGCCCAGTATCACCTTTACAGCTACTTGATGGTGATCAAGAGCCAGCTGCTCTTCTTTCACCTGGCTGTTGGGGGAGGCACACCAATATGGGTGGGCAGGAAAAGTTACTTCCCAGGCTGAAATTTTCCCACCGTAAACTTAGGCTGATAGGCTGACAGTCTGCACCTCTCTTCCTCAGCAGACATTCCGATCAGCAGGCCAGTTTGTGACGCGTGCATGTGCACACTTCAGATTGCTTCTTCCACTTTCCTCTTTCCTGCTCAGGTTTCTCATAGGAGTAGGCTCCATGTAAGACTTCTGTCTTTTGTGAAAAAGAAAGCACGTATTTATAGAATGGAATTTCTTACTGAAAGAGGGTGCGGGCAGAATGGAGGATGACATGAATCCTGACTCAGTAACATTTATGGAACCACTCTCTGGATGCCACACTTACTGTGGGCAGTTACCAAAAAAATCAGTTTGGCCTACCTGCCTCCTAATATAATTTACCCTGCACACAAGGCAGTATCTTGAAGGTTATTTCAGTAGTACCCACGGAATTCTGCTTCCTTTAGGTAAGGAAAAGTATTCCCAAGAACAAAATATACAGGTTAAAGCCCATGTAATATAAAATTATGGCATTCATTGAAGAAAATACAGGCTATTCTAATTCCAGATCACATTTATTTATTTATTTACGAGACAGAGTCTCGCCCTGTCACACAGGCTAAAGTGCAGTGGCGTGATCTCAGCTCACTGCAACCTCCACCTGCTGGTTCAAGCAATTCTCCTGCCTCAGCCTCCCGAGTAGCTGGGACTACAGGCACACGCCACCACACCCAGTTAATTTTTGTATTTTTACTAGAGACAGGGTTTCACCATATCGGCCAGGCTGGTCTGAAACTCCTGACCTGAAGTGATCTGCCCACCTCAGCCTCCCAAAGTGCTTAGATTACAGTCGTGAGCTACCATGCCTGGCCCCAGATTACATTTTTAAAATGAAGAAACAGATATTTTCTCTTAGTCAAAATACTTATCGGAACAATTTTTTTTAAAGCAAAGATTGCATCATTTAAAAAAACATATTCACTCCTAGGCATCTGAATCACTGCTTCACATGCACAGTAGACATTCGTGAAATTATTTTTTTAAATGATGATGAATGCCAGGGCTTGCTTTTTTTAAAAAAAAGTCTCCAACCACAACATCCAAACTGGTCATTTGGGAAGTGATGCTTCCATTCAGTAAGAAAGCTCCTGCACACTGGGTGAACAGGCGGTGTTTTCTCCTCTCATCGCTGACATTTAATACCTGTCTTGAGGCAAAATTGTCTCCACCTTATTAATCCATGGCTCCTCACGAGCCTTAAAACAGAGAATAAAACTTGTCAAAGAAGAAAAATAGAAAATTAGAGAAAATAACCTCACTACTTATTTTCAGGCACCTTGTGACTTAAGAAAATGTTTTTAAATGTGGACTCTACATTTTATGAACTTAAATTTAGTGTCTGTTGGTCAAAATCCACAGGACCTTTAGGAGAGAAAATGGCCATAACTAAGTACAAGCCTCTCTTTTTAAATGCTTACCCAGGTCAGTTAAAAGCTTCCTTGTAGTTCTGAATCCTCAGTTCTTGCTTTACAGCCAATACTTAAAAGGAACAGGGGAGAGCTACAGTGCTTTTGAATTTCAGAGAGGCCTCTTATTTGTGCCTCAAGAATAGTTTGTATAAATGTTATATTTCAAGCCACACAGTACTTAAAACCATCACACTGTTTAGTTTATCTAGTTGGGTAGAAGAGGGGGCAAGAGAACAAAGCAGTATTAAATTAGGGCAGCAGCATCAGGGACAGGCTGATGTGAGAGCACCTTCTTTCTTGGGATGGGTAGAGTATAATTGTCCCTTTGCCTATCGTCAGATTTGGGTGGCCCAGTTGCTTTAAATTTTGAAAACATGGGAGTATTAACGCAAAGAAGAGCCAACATTAGTTCAGAATAGCTGAATTCATCATTCTTTTGGAACCAGTTTTGCTACTGTATAATGATAATAGCTCTTCAGCATTCATCTAGTGAGTGATAAAGATAAGTGATGATCCACAAGAAAGTTTACCTTTGACTTGTGGGTGCTCACGGACTGCAGAATGCAGATGTTCGTAGATCAGCCGTACTGTAATTTTCAAGGATTTAATATGCAATACATTCCTATATTAAGATGTTGAAACATTAAAATATTAATAATTTGCAATGATTTTTAAATACTTTAAACAGGCTCTTCCACTGGTGAGATTGTTTTTCCAAGCAGAGTTAGCTAGTTTAAATTCTTTCGTTGTGGCTGGGTGCAGTGACTCACGCTTGTAATCCCAGCATTTTGGGAGTCTGAGGCGAGCAGATCACCTGAAGTCAGGAGTTCGAGACCAGCCTGGCCAACATGGCAAAACCCTGTGTCTACTAAAAATAAGAAAATTAGCCTAGTGTGGTGGTGTGCGCCTGTAATCCCAGCTGCTAGGGAGGCTGAGGCAGGAGAATCGCTTGAACCTCGGAGGCAGAGGTTGAGCCAAGATCACACCACTGCACTCCAGCCTGGGCAACAGAGCAAGACTCCCATCTAAAAAAAAAAAAAATTGTTTTGTTGTATTCTCAGTTGTCTATTTCAGGTCTAGGCAGGCAAGAAAACTTTGTCAGGTACACTGGTGTCTTCCAAAATGTGCATCGTACCCTCTATTACTCAGTGTCATTAATCACATCCATTCCTTTCCCACCCTGTCTTGGAATAGGACATTAACTCTTCAACGATCTGCCCCCTAAATAAAACCTGCTTTCTTGGGCCATAGTAAACAACACGTAATTCTTTGCGAGAAAAGCAAAATAGTGATAATTATAATTTTTTTTTTTGGAACGGAGTCTCGCACTGTCACCCGGGCTGGAGAACAATGAATGGCGTGATTTCGGCTCACGGCAACCTACACCTCCCAGGTTCAAGCGATTCTCCTGCCTCTGCCTCCTGAGTAGCTGGGATTACGGGCGCCTGCCACCACACCCGGCTAATTTTTTGGTATTTTTTTAGTAGAGATGGGGTTTCACTATGTTGGCCAGGCTGGTCTCAAATGCCTGACCTCATGATCCAGCTGCCTTGGCTTCCCAGAGTGCTGGGATTACAGGCGTGAGCCAACTTTTAAAAATTAAAAAAATTTTTAAAAACCAACTTTTTAAATTTTCAAAAACCAATTTTAAAAACCAATTTTTAAAAAGCCAACTTTTAAAAATTTAATATTGGAGCATAATAGAATTCAGCAATATAAGATTTGATTGGGAATAAGAAATAACATCTCTTTTAAAAATGACTACAGCCCTCTTAACAATTTTACTCTTAACCAATTTTGGGGTACCAGTTTACTAATTGATCAAATTCCAGATTGGAAATTAGTCATCATTTGATTAACCAGAGTTAAGCCTCTTGAATCAAATTCTCTAATTTATTATCTCCCATCTGATCTAAATTCTTTTTTAGGGGATAAATTGCCAAAACGCTTTCAGAATGCCCAGTACTAGAAATCTAAGCTATTCAATTCAGTCTCTTCTCTGTTTTCAGGCTCCTTTCCTGACCCTTTGGAGAACCTAATATATTTAGCTAAAAATTTTTCTTTGGGGCCTCACCTAATAAAGGTAAATAGAAAACTGATAGCTATCACATAACATACATATTGGTTAATAATTGCAACCAAAAGTAAATTAATAATTTTGAGCTATTTATATTAGCTCTGCCAAAATTACATCATTAAATTTGGCCTTATGAAGCATTGCTGACTGTAGTAAAAACAAGTGTGAGCAAAGTCTTCATATGCACTGAGTCTGGTTTCAGTTCCACGTAATACTGACTTGGCAAGTGTGGAAATTCTCATGTCATCATTACCAAAAAAAAGTGAGTTCACACAGGGATTTCTGATCAAGTGACCCATTACTGCGGGAAAAAACCACACATACAAAAGCCTTTGACCCCAGTAATTTTGTATTGGTATATTTACCCTGATCTTAAACTGCAAGGAATGTCCGCAATTAGAGTTTTTCTTTGTTTTCTAAGTCTGAAACTTGATAATCCATTTCTGCCTTCCCATGACGAGTGGACATTCCTCCAGCCAGTGGTGAGTTCCTCTTTCCTTCGCTCTCAGCAAGAGCATGGGTTGCCCTCCCATCTCGTAAGCAGAGCCTACCACAAACGCAGCTCAAATCTCAGTTTCCAGCCCTGCTTACTCACTCGCTTGTTCCTGAATCCCCACATTACCCATCATGGCATCTTACTCTGTAGACTTCACATGTGAACTTTGCCCTCGCCGGTGGAAGGGGTACAGTCCAGATGGGAGATGAAATCCAAATGCTCCACCAAAGGGCTTTGGTTTGTTCTGGGGAGCCCTGGTGCTGCCGAAGCCTCTTGGGAAGGAAGGAGGGAAGAGGAGAAGAAAAGATACTAAGTTTGGTTTTCATTAAAAATTTTTCCAGGTTTTCTTTAAACTGATAGGTTCAGGGTCTTTTTCATACAACAGTCTACTTTTAGAGCTTTTGTTCGTTTGTTGTGTCATGGGAATTTATAAGGGATGGAAGGAAAAGGGGGACAAGGAATGGTCTAATTTCGGTCAGTAGAAGAATACCTGAAACCTGTTTAAATTTATTTGGAACTAATGACTTCTACTTTTAGTATCCATAAAAGACTTCCCTTGGAGCACAAAGAAGTTAATAATCTGTGTATATTGTCACTTCATGCTCTTCTTAAGCGCTGTGTGTTGGGGCACTGCTCTAGGTGTGGTGAAAGACTGCTACAGGATAAATAAGTCATGGTCACTGCCCTGGAAAGAAGCTTAAAATCCAGTGGGAGTAAATGATAAATGCATAATGACCTAAATGTCAGATGGATCTAGTACGTACCTGGAGGATTGCATAGAAGCATCCTGACAAGGGTGCCAAGAATACGCAATGGGGGAAAGGACAGTCTCTTCGAAGAATACTGTTGGGAAAACTGGATATCCACCTGCCAAAAAATAAAATTGGACCCTTAACACCATATACAAAAATCAACTTGAAATGGATTAAGACTTAACTGTAAGAGGCCGGGTGCAGTGGCTCATGCCTGTAATCCCAGCACTTTGGGAGGCTGAGGCTGGCGGATCACAAGGTCAGGAGTTTGAGACCAGCCTGGCCAACATAGTGAAACCCCATCTTTACTAAAAATACAAAAAATGAGCCAGGCGTGGTGGCAGCACCTGTAATCCCAGCTAATCGGGAGGCTGAGGCAGGAGAATGGCTTGAACCTGGGAGGCGGAGGTTGCAGTGAGCTGAGATCATGCCATTGCACTCCAGCCTGGGTGACAGACCGAGACTCCATCTCAAAAAAAAAGAAAAGAAAGACTTAATGGTAAGGCCTGAAACCATATAATTTCTAGAAGAAAACACAGGGGAAAAAAGCTTCTTGACATTGGCCTTGGCAATGATTTTGTTGCTGTTACCTCAAAGCACAGGCAACAAAAGCAAAAACATACAAGTGGGACTACATCAAGCCAAAAAGCTTCTGCACGGCAAAGGAAACAACCAACAAAATGAAAAGGTAACATACAGGCTGGGAGAGAATGTCTACAAACCATATATCTGGTAAAAGGTCAATGTCCATAATATACGAGAAACTCGTACAACTCAATACTAAAATAAAAAAAAAAGTGGAGGTGGGGCAAAGGACCTTAATAGACACTTTTCCAAAGAAGACACACAAATAGCCAACAGGTAAATGAAAAGATGCTTGCCAGGTACGGTGGCTCATGCCTGTAATCTCACCATTTTGGGAAGCCGAGGCAGGTGGATTGCTTGAGTCCAGGAGTTCCAGACCAACCTGGACAACATGGTGAACCCCTGTCTCTACAAGAAATACAAAAATTAGCTAGGCGTGGTGGCATGCACCTATAGTCTCAGTTACCCATTAGACTGAGGTGAGGAGGCTGAGGCAGGAGGATCACCTGAACCCGAAGAGGTCGAGACTGCATTGAGCCAAGATCATGCCACTGCCCTCCAGCCTGGGCAACAGAGTGAGATTGTGTCTCAAAAAAAAAAAAGAAAAAGAAAAAAAAAAGAAAAATGGTGCTTGACATCACTAATCATTAGAGAAATGCAAATCAAAACCACAATGAGATATTATCTCACATTTGTTAGGATGCCTGTTATCAAAAAGACAAAATATAACAAGTTTTGACAAGGATATGGAGGAAAGGGAACCCTTGTACGCTATTAGGGTGAAAATTGGTACAGCCATTATGGACATTGGTATGGAAGTTTTGTAAAAATCAACTATATGATCCAGCAGTCCCACTTGTGGATATATGTTTAAAAGACATCAAATTAGTATGTCAAAGAGATATCTTCACTTCCATATTTATTTCAGCATTACTCACAATAGCAAAGATATGGAAACAACCCAAGTGCCATTTATCTTAGGAATGGTTAAAGAAAATGTGGTATATATATACAGGATAGAATAATATTTAGCCATAAAAATAAGGAAAGCCTGCCATTTGCAACAACATGGATGAACCTGGAGGACATTATGCTAAGTGGAATAATCCAGACACAGAAAAACAAATACTGTATGATCTCAGTTATATGTAGAATATAAAAACGTTGAATCCACAAGCCAAGAGTAGAATGGTGATTGTCAGGGTCTGGGGCATGGGAGAAACGGTGAGATGCTGGTCAAAGGGTACAAGCTTTCATTTATAAGATGAATATGTTCTGGAGATTAGGGAGCGTCCTTAGTCTTTTCCCTCTCCATGCAGAGGGTAACTATGTGTGATGACAGATGTGTTGATTAATTTGATTATGGGAATCAATATGCAATCTATATTTATATCAAATAATCACATTGTATACTTTGAATACGTATAATTTCTATTAATTATTCCTCAATAAAATTAGGAAAATCAGAAGCATCCTAAAAGTTGCATTAAAAACAATGATGAAAACAGGCCGGGTGTGGTGGCTCATGCCTGTAATCCCAGCACTTTGAGAGGCTGAGGTGGGTGATCACTTGAGATCAGGAGTTTGAGACCAGCCTGGCCAACATAGTGAAACCCCATCTCTACTAAAAATACAAAAATTAGTCGGGCGTAGTCATTCCTGTAGTCCCAGCTACTCGGGAGGCTGAGGCAGGAGAATCACTTGAACCTGGGAGGTGGAGGGTGCAGTGAGCTAAGATCACGCCACTGTACCCCAGCCTGGGTGACAGAGCGAGACTCTGTCTCAAAAAACAAACAAAAACAATATCCCCTTTAAAAACGCAATGAAAAAAATAGCTGCCTTACCAAGCCACCAGTGAGAGCCCATCTCTGAGGAAAAGGGGTGTGCAGCCGGACAGGCTTCAGTTTAAAAGCTTAAACCTTGACTTGGACTTACTTTATGCCCTGAGCAAGCTATTTAACTTTTTTGTTCCTTAATTTCTAAATTATGAAATGGCAGTGGAATGAAATGGAAGATGAAATTGTGCCTTGTTCGATGCCCTGGGGTCTGAAAGGTGCTCCTAAGGGTGTACAGCAGTTAGCACCGTTAGCGTCCTGGGCAAACCCACAGCCCGCAGATCTCTTATTTGGCAGCGAATTCCTGCAGATCAGCTCTAAGAGCCAGATTTCCTCATGGAGGAAAAGACTGCTACTGTCACGGGAAAGATTTGTTTAAACATATTTTTTAGTACAGTTTTATAAGTCCTTATCAAGTAGGGCCAGCCCCCAGATAAAAACCGTTAAGTATTTATCTGTAAGCCAGAGGTTGAGAATAGGAAACATTTGAATCTTTAAGAACTTGAGTCCAACAAAAATACTGGCTAACAGCCTGACTGAGGTGAAATAAACCTTGTTTCCAGTTTTCCAGAAAAATTGTTTATTACTGGGCAAATCTTGGGCCTCCAAGATTGCCTATATTTTTGTTTTTCTTTTCTCTTAATCTACAGGAAACTTCTGGGTTGGGCCTTCTCATAGTTATCCGTTGTTAAAAGTTCTATATTTCTACAAACCTTCTTGTGCGAGGAGTATCTGGAAAAAAAAAACAACATTGAGATCACTCTTTAAAAATTAGTGTTTTAGACAGGTTTCTGGTTTTCTCTGCTTTGTTAACTGAAACAGCCCCCATAGAAACATTCTGAAAGACTTAATCAAACAAGTATTCAGAATAAAATGAATGGGAAGAAGTTTTGAGTCTCCTTGATCAAACATGGACCTGTGCTTTAAAAAGCTGAGCCCCTGAGTTTGTTGCACTGTGTACTTAAAGTCTGTGACAGTTTAGCCTCTTTCTAGGCTGCCCATATCTCTCACCACTCGGTTCATTTCCCGGTTTTAACCACTCCCCACGGTCCCCAGATGATCATTTTCATCCTGAGCCTCTTATTCCCACCTTCAGTCACTTCAGAAACTCCCCTGCACTCCATTCAACTTTCTGGACCTCCCCTTTAATGTTTGCCATTTGTGCATTCTACAGCTCGGTGCACTTGTTTTCTGACCTCAAGAGTCAGGAGAGGAGCTATCCCAGCTTCAATTCCTCATCAATAAGGTACAGAAAATACTCTCTAGGATTACTGAAGAAATGAAATAAGCAACTGTATTTTAAGTATTTTATGTACTGTAAAAGCATTGTGCGTCCGGGTGCAGTGGTTCATGCCTGTAATCCCAGCACTTTAGGAGGCCGAGGCAGGCAGATCATCTGAGGTCGGGAGTGACTGGCCAACATGGTGAAACCCCATTTCTACTAAAAATAAAAAAGTTAGCCAGGCGTGGTGGTACATGCCTGTAGTCCCAGCTACTCGGAAGGCTGAGGCGGGAGAATTGCTTGAATTCAGGAGGCAGAGGTTGCAGTGAGCCGGGTGACAGAGCGAGACTCCATCTCAAAAAGGAAACAAAAAAAAGCTGTGCCAATAAAATTATACTTATTATTCTAGATACAAATATTCTGAATGCTCCTTTAGTCAGATTCTGTGTTTTCTGTTTTGTTTTTGTAATTTTCACTTAGGAGGAGGCTGTACATAAATCAAGCCCTTAGTAAATCCTTATTTAGTGAATAAATAAATACTGCCAACATCTGGCCCCAGCCCTATTTGGCCTCAAATTTCTGAGGGCTGGTTACCACTATTGCTGAAAATAGAAAAGGAGAAACAAAAAACAAAACCCACCAATTCAGGACAGAATATATTTGTGCTTAAACAAGCACACAGTACTCTCACATCCACCCTCGGTCTCCCTGAAACTCAGACCTGCAAAACTAGGATACAAGCTGTAATGACATGATGCTTTCACAATAGCAGATTGAAGTTAGACTCCAGAAGACAGCTTTACAGTGTGTTAAACCAGATAGAAGACAGGCGGCTGCTATTGGTGTTTTACACTGGTGTACATCGGTGCTTCTCAGTCTCTTCACATTCTAACTCATTCCTTTTGGTGTTCTGTGTAGCTATTTTGGTCTTTATTTCATATTTATTTGATTTGCTCTTTTCTTGTACCCTTTATTCCAAGGGGGAAAAAAAGGTGGGGGTTGGACAACAGAGAATGAACAGCACAGAATTCCTTTCCTTAAATACTGCCATCCTGGGAAATCTAGAATCATGAAATGTAAGATACAGATTGTGCCCTAGATCCTCCTGTCCTACTCTTCATTTTATGGACAAGTCCATCCAGAAACCTGTGATGGATGAGGGCAGAGCCTGGAAGAACCCCAGTCTCCATTCCCTCCTCCTTCTCCCTAAACCACAAAGCCTGATTTGAGTACCCAGGGCTACCCAGGTTGGAAATAGAAGTCCTCATCTTCTGCCCAGGATTTCTCACTCCTAGCCACAGAGCTTCTGCCCCCTCCTAGCCACAGAGCTTCTGCCCCCTCCCACTGGAAGCATTGTGCCCAGGAGAGGACCTTTTTCTCTTATCTCTGCTGGTAAGCTTGATTATCAGGATATTCCTGGGGACCTAGAATTTAATCTCTTCTCCAAAGCTGCTCTTTGATGGTGTTGAGGGTGTTTTTGCCAGTAATGAACAATCTTCTTGTTTTGAAGCTGCCTTTTATCTTGTTTAATACATTGTAAAGTTGTCTTCTGGAGTCTTCTTCAGTCTGCTATTTTGAAAGCATCATGTCATTCCAGCTCGTATCTTGGTTTTGCAGGTATGAGTTTCAGGGGGACCAGAGGGTGGATGGGAGAGTGCTGTGTGCTTGTTTAATTAAGCACAAGTATATCCTGTCTTGGATTGGTGGGTTTTGTTCTTGTTTTTCCCTTTCTATTTTCAGCAATAGTGATAACCAGCCCTCAGGAATTTTAGGCCAAATAGGGCTAGGGCCAGATGCTGGCAGTATTTATATATTCACTAAATAAAAATTTACTAAGGGCTTGATTTATATACAGCCCCCGCTAAGTGAAAATTACAACAAAAAAAAAAGAAAAACACAGAATCTGACTAAAGGAGCATTCAGAATATTTGTATCTAGAATAACAAGTATAATTTTATTGGCACAATGCTTTTACAGTATATAAAACACTTAAAATACAGTTGCTTATTTCATTTCCTCAGTAATCCTAGAGAGTATTTCCTGCATCTTATTGATGAGGAATTGAAGCTGGGATAGCTTCTCTCCTGACTCTTGAAGTCCGAAAACAAGTGGACGGAGCTGTAGCACTAAGCCTCAGCCTGCTCGTCTTCAACCTGCTCCTGGCTGCAGAGTCTTGATTGACTCTGCCTGTCTCCAGTGTGCTTTCATTCCCTTCAGTGGGTAACTTGTCAGACCTCATCTTGTTTTTGAGACTTTGGTTTCTGTCTTGCCTTCTTCCTAACTTTGGTATTCTTAGTTCCAAATCCTGAATAACTCCTGTAATGGGCCTCCCAGTAGGGGGGGTTCCTGTATTTATATTCACAGATGTACGTATTTTAATAGTTAACATCTGAAATCAGTATACATCTTAAAGTTGCCATGGAAGTTCATTTCTTCAGTGTCTGCCTCTGCTCGTCACTTGAGGTGCTGGTAAACTAAGACCAAAGTTTAGATTCCCTGCTTGAGGGCACTTGAACCACAGTGGTGGTGAGTTCAGAATGCAAATGAGAGTAACTACTGACTTAGGATTCAAATCTTCAGGGGAGATTCCTCCCCTCTCTGCCCAGTTCCCAGGTTGAAACATCCAAGGCTCTTTGCCATCCCTTTCTGCATGGCGGGTTTCTTTGTGGCCATTTGGTTCCCTGGATTCAAGTGGTCCCTGATACCTGTTCAGTTTACCATCTTGGGCCGGGCATGGTGGCTCACTCCTGTAATCCTAGCATTTTGGGAGGTCAAAGTGCGCAGATCACTTGAGGCCAGGAGTTCAAAACCAGCCTGGCCAACATGGCGAAACCCCATCTCTACTAAAAATACAAAAAATTAGCTGGGCATGGTGATGGGCGCCTGTAATCCCAGCTACTCAGGAGGCTGAGGCAGGAGAATCACTTGAACCCAGGAGGTGAGGTTGCAGTGAGCCAAGATCATGCCACCGCACTCCAGCCTGGGCAACAGGGCACAACTGTTTCCAAAAAAAAAAAAAAAAATCCCATCTTGCATGCTTTTCCTTTCTCTGTAGTATGTAAAATAATGTATGTTTGTGATCAGTGAGATCTCAGATCTGATAAAATGCAGTGTTTTGTCATGAGAGTTGCTCCCAGCCGCTGATGGGGTTGCCTTGTTCAGCACTTTTTAGCACCAGGGGAGTAAGCCATGTTCTTGCTCCCCCTCCCTCAGGCTGAGGCTTTGCTTGATCACCTGCTAAGACAAAAACCAGAGTGGGTCACGAGTCACTCTCTCTCTTCCCCCAGCCACAGTGGCAGCTGCCTAACTTGGTTTCTTGCTGGTGCACACATGTGACAGAAATACAATGTTAATAAATATTTCTACGTGTAATGGAGAAACAAGCCATAAAAGTAGCTGTTTGCCATCTGCTCAGATACATTATTAGGAAAGGCAATGACATTTTATGATTCAGTAACTTAACTATTCTCCTGCCTTCTGTAAAGGCCCATCACATATAAATAAATTATAAACATCCAAACACATCCTGAGAGAAGTGCATTGGTCTCTGAAGCAGAAACAAATGATACCTGATTCTCCCTTCTCCCAGAGGAGATCTCAAACAACTCAGTTACAGTGCCTCACAGTTGTAACCTATAGTACAAACGTGTTGGAGATATAACACCTTGTATACGTATGTAGAGAGAATTGGCATAACAAAGTAGAGAGGAGAATTAGACGAATGGGCACCCCAATCAGTGATTCAGGGAGAGGACCATATTTTAAACAGCAGGCAATGACTCATTTACTGAGTGTTTTCTGTGTGTCAGGCACTGTACTACGCACTTTGTTCATCTATAAGTGGAAGAATGCTTGTTTTTCAAGAACAAAGGGAATAATAAGAATAAAAGTGAAGGCCAGGCGCACTGGCTCACGCCTGTAATCCCAGCACTTTGGGAGGCTGAGAAAGGCCGATCACTTAAGGCCAGGAGTTCAAGACCACCCTGGCCAACATGGCAAAACGCTGTCTCCACTAGAAAATACAAAAATTAGCAGACGTGGTGGCATGTGCCTATAGTCCCAGCTACTCAGGAGGCATAGGTGGGAGGACTGCTTGAGGCTGGGAGTTCGAGGCTGCAGTGAGCTGAGGTTGCACCACTGCATTCCAGCCTGGGCAACAGAGCGAGACTCTGTCTTAAAAAAAAGAAAAAAAACGAGTTGGGGGGCAGGCACGGTGGCTCACGCCTGTAATCCCAGCACTTTGGAGGCTGAGGCGGATCATGAGGTTAAGAGATGGAGACCATCCTGGCTAACATGGTGAAACCCCATCTCTACTAAAAGTTCAAAAAAATTAGCCAGGCATGGTGGCGGGCGCCTGTAGTCCCAGCTACTCGGGAGGCTGAGGCGGGAGAATGGCGTAAACCCGGGAGGCGGAGCTTGCAGTGAGCTGAGATCCCGCCACTGCACTGCAGCCTGGGCGACAGAGCGAGACTCAGAAGGATAAAAAGTAATAACCTGAAGAGTAGCTTCGTTTCAGGTGGAAGGTGAGAGAGGCTGCAGAAAGCTTAGGGCTGGGCGCGGTGGCTCATGCCTGTAATCCCAGCACTTTGGGAGGCCAAGGCGGTCAGATCACCTGAGGTCAGGAGTTTGAGACCAGCCTGGCCAACATGGTAAAACCCTGTGTCTACTAAAAATACAAAAATTTAGCCAGGTGTGGTGGCAGGCGCCTGTAATCCCAGCTCCTTGGGAGGCTGAGGCACGAGAATCACTTGAACCCGGGATGTAGAGGAGCTCCTTGGGAGGCTGAGGCACGAGAATCACTTGAACCCGGGATGTAGAGGTTGTAATGAGCCGAGATCATGCCGCCACACCCTAGCCTGGGTGACAGAGCAAGACTCTGTCTCAAAAAACAAAACAAAACAAAAAGTGCTTAGTCAATATCTGGTTGTTGATTGTTTAAGGAAAAGGCCAAGTGAGGGTATGACTGGTTGGTAGAAATATGTATCTTGGTATAAGCAGTTCTAGGAGTGATATGTGTCTTTTGCTGCTGTTATTGTTGTTTCTGTTCAGCGTTAATACGTTTTGCATTGTACCACAAATATTTCCTTACTCCTTTGCCTTTGAGACAAAGGGCATGAGTTTATAAGTTGAGTTGAAAATAGATTAAATATATAGTACAGCCTATGCCCAGCAAGCAGAATTATCTATGCAAGTTATGCAGCCCACACGGAAAAAGAAATGCTGTGCGGCCTCATTAGCACCCCAGGATTTGTGGGGCTCCCCCTGGGCAGCCTTAACCAGGAAAATTTCATAGTCTCCTTGGCATTCCATCCAAGATTTAAGACTTCTCCTTTCATCTCCTTGAGGACCATCAACTATACCCTTGAGCTCAGCCATCCCACGCACTGAGGCTTATCTGTACTTCCAGCCCAGACCTCCCTCCTAATTCCCCACTATACCTGTGCACTGAAACACCCTCTTAGGATCTCCTTCTTCCACATTCCTCCTCCTCTAGGCAAGGCAAGTCGTTTTCCTCATCTCAGCCAGAGCAGTAGTTACTGAAAACTAACCCAATATGGTGGCTTCTGAGCTCAGGTGTCTTTCAGTGACTCCTGCTGCTTCCAAAATAAAGTCCAACTGTTTAGCTTGGCATGCAAAACCTGTAGTCATCCATCCCTTGCATATTTAACTCCTCACACACCCCATTCTGTGGTCTCTTCTTCCCTTTGCATCTGCTCTGGGTGCTCTTTGAAGACTGTACTTCCTCCCCTTTGGGGCCAATTTAGTCATCTTTAAGCCTCATTTCAGGGGTGGTGTCCTCAGATAACCCTTCTTCACATACCAGTTTGGGTTATCTACCGCTGTGGCTCTATAGCTCTCAGCTCACACCAATAGGATAAGTATTTAACATACTGTTAAATTACAGTATGCCATGATAACTTCTCTTCCATCATTCTGTATTGCATGAGTACAAAGACTGTGTCATTAATCCCTGTCTCCGTAGCATTGTGTCTAGCCTTTAACAGTCACTTAATAAAGGCAATGAAAAGGAAATAACATTTGACCTTCAATTTAAGTTTGACTAGGTATGGTCAAACGTTAGAAAGTGGCAGTGAACTTCTTTTGAAGTCAGAATTCATATTTTCCTTTAACATCAGATATTGGCAGCCAGCTTTTCCAGATTTTCTTGGCCAAAAATATTACTAAAATTGCATGCCCCTAGATTTTGATATCTAGGATGATACATCTACAGCATGTAATTATTTGTCTCAATAATTGAGCTTTACCTTAGGGCTCTAAGAGAAGAGGTTAAAGGAATCAGTGGTTTAGTAATTGTATTGTTAATCTTAAAATGAAAGTTGAATGGAAAATATTTTAAAAACTGGTTAAGAAGATAATTATTGAGAGCATGGAAAAGATAATTACTACATATACTGTAACTGGTGAAGATGGAGGTTTTATGAAAAATAAAGCAGCTTGTAATTTTTTACAACTTCTTTCAAATGCACCTTGGACTGCCAAGGTGAGAGGCAGGGGAGGACATTTTCATTCCGTGGAGTCACACTGAGGATTTATCTTGTAATTGATTATCACATTATCTGCTTTGATCCTCATGAGATAATGAGAGTGGTGTTTTGTTTTGTTTTGTTTTTCTTTGAGATGGAGTCTCTCTCTGTTGCCCAGGCTGTAGTGCAGTGGTGAGATCTCGGCTCACTGCAGCCTACACCTCCTGGGTTCAGGTGATTCTCCTGCCTCTGCCATTCGAGTAGCTGGGTTTACAGGCATGCGCCACCGCACCCGGCTAATTTTTTTTTGTAGTCTTAGTAGACACGGGGTTTCGCCATGTTTGCCAGGCTGGTCTGGAACTCCTGACCTCAGGTGATCCACCTGCCTCAGCCTCCCAAAGTGCTGGGATTACAGGCGTGAGCCACTGCTCCCAGCCTGAGAGTGAGTGTTTTAGCAAAGCAAAACGGCAGAGGTAACATGGCCCCCTCCCTCCACATCTTATGAGGTTTCCTACCATTTTCTGTCCAATCGTGACTTTTTCTACACTCACTTTTAGTGCCCCATAAGAAGGATATTTAATGAAACCTTTTATGGACTATTGATAAGAACCCAACCCTTGACCGGGCGCAGTGGCTCACGCCTGCAATCCCAGCACTTTGAGAGCCGAGGCGGGCAGATCAGAAGGTCAGGAGATCGAGACCATCCCGGCTAACACGGTGAAATCGCATCTCTACTAAAAATACAAAAAAAATTAGCCGGGCGTGGTGGCGGGCGCCTGTAGTCCCAGCTACTTGGGAGGCTGAGGCAGGAGAATGGCGTGAACCCGGGAGGCGGAGGTTGCAGTGAGCCGTGATCGCGCCCCTGCACTCCAGCCTGGGTGACAGAGCGAGACTCCGTCTCAAAAACAAAACAAAACAAAAAAAACACCTTTTTTTGTCTTGCCATTCAAGTTACTTCCAACAGTGCTACCCCTTCTCCCAAGACTCTTAATGTAGTCTGTCTGTCCATAGCATTGTATCCAGATTCCTGAACCTGGCATATGAGCTCTCAATAATTCATTCTGACTCATCTTTCCAGGCTTACTGTTTAAATATGTTTTATTTATTAATGTTTGAGACAGGGTCTCGCTTTGTCACCCAGGCTAGTGTGCAGTGGCATGTTCATAGCTCATTGCAGCCCTGAACTCCTAGACTCAAAGGGTGTTCCTGCCTTAGCCTCCCAAGTAGCTGAGATTACAAGCACATGCCACCACACCTGGCTAAGTTTTTATTTTTAGTAGGGACAGGGTCTCCTTATGTTGCCCAGGCTGGGCCCAACTCCTAGCTTCAAGTGATCCTCTGGCCTCAGCCTCCCACAGTGCTGGGATTATAGGCATGAGCCACTGCACTGAGCCATAAATAGATGCAAGTCAAAATCCAAGAAAACCTTGAAACAAATTGCCTTACATGGTAAGAAAGGTTTATCTTTTTCATAAGTTCAGAAATGAACTTCTGGGGTTAATTAATTTGTAATTGCCCAATTGCACACACAAAGCCAATTCACTGAGACTGTGATATTGCAGTAAAGAAAGAGTTTAATGAATGCTAGGCCAGCAATGTGGAAAATGGAGTTATTATTCAAATCAATCTCCCCAAAGGCTCAGAGAGTTAGGGCTCTTCAAGGATAGTTTGGTGAGCGGAGGACTTAGGGAATGGGTGCTGCTGATTGGTTGAGGATGAAATCATAGGGATGTGCAAAATGGTCTAATCCTGTGCCACCTCACCTGCACTGAGTCCATCTCTGGACTTCCTTGGTTGAGTTATGAGTCCTGGCTCCCGGTGGGGTCACTCGGTTGCCTGAATGCAAAAGTCTGACAAGCATCTCAAAAGACTAATCTTAGGTTCTATAGTAGTGATGTTATCTATAGGAGCAATTGGGGAAGTCACAAACCTTGCAACCTCTGGCCACCTGACTTCTGAGCAGTAAGAGATTATAGAAAGTATGCTTACATGTTAGCAGAATTCAGGCCCCTCCCATTATTCTAGTCTTGTGGCCTTTATTAGTCTTACAAAGGCAGTTTCAGCACCTGAACAAGGAAGGGAATGAGTTTCAGGGAGGGACTGTTATCATCCTTGTTTCAAAGTTAAATTACAAACTAAATTTCTCCCGTGGTTATCTTAGCCCATGCCCAGGAATGAACCAGCCTGTGAGGCCAGAAGCAAGATGGAGTTGAACCATGCTAGATTTCTCTCAATGTCATCATTTTTGCAAAAGGACTTTCAGATTTAGTGGCCCACTGATATCATTAGGGGCCCAGGTTCTTATTGTCACTTCACTCTGCCATCCACTATGCACTGGTACATCCTGAGACTTGCTCTGCCTCTTGGCAAAATGGCTACAGAAGTGCCAGGCATCACATCTAGACAGGGCATCTTGTGGCTCTTGTAGGAGTAAGGAAACATTTCCAGACGCACCCTAGAGAACATCTTACATTTCACTGACCAAAAATGAGTCACATGGTCCTTTACAAACCAATCACAGGTAAAGGGAATGCCGTTATTATGGTAACCAGCATGGGGGAACAGGTGGAGAGTCAACCACCAGGACTACAGGGCTTCCTTTTCTCCCTTTGTATGTCCCTCTTCCATCCTGACCTCATGGTGACCCTAAAAAGTCTGTGCCTGCCTACCACCAAACCTGCTCTCTGCCCCTCTAGATTTTAGGTACCCAGCCCCCCAGGCCTATACCCGAGTTCGCTTTGCTCCATGGAACTTTCCTTGCGCACTCCCTGTTCTACCCCTTTGCCACCTGTGTGAAGGTCATATCTCTCTAGCTGGACCCTGAGGTCCTTTGGGGCATGCCTGCGCTGCTCTCTATTCCTTCATGTGCTTCGTAGAGAACCACAGACCCTGACTTTATTTGTGCAAACCTTTTCCCCAAAATGCTAAGACTAATACCACGCACAGATGGAAGTACTCTTACATCCTAGTCATATCAGCCCCTTGAGACTGGAGCTAGTCTTCAAAATGGAATAATAGTGTTCCCTTTTTATTATTAGAATAGTAAGAATTCTATATGAGTAGAATAAGAAAAAGTTAATGTGGCATTCACAATTTATTAATGTCCCTTCATCCATTTACCCACATTCCTTTTTATTCTTTTTTTTTTTTTTTTTTTTTTGAGACGGAGTCTTACTCTGTTGCCCAGGCTGGAGTGCAGTGGCACGATCTCAGCTCACTGCAACCTCTGCTTCCCGGGTTCAGGTGATTCTCCTGTCTCAGCCTCCCGAGTAGCTGGCGGTACAGGTGCACACCACTTTAGTAGAGACAGGTTTCACTTTATTGGTCAGACTGGTCTTGAACTCCTGGCCTCAGGTGATCCACCTGCATCAGCCTCCCAAAGTGCTGGGATTACAGGTGTGAGCCACCGTGCCTGGCTTTATTCCTTCTTAATGAGGCACAAACTCAGTTTCTGCGTGGTACATATAGCCTTTAGATTTTCATAGTTTTACTGTTTTTCTGATATTCTCAGACAAATAAATGGTTGTACATCAGAATTATTGGAGGAGCTTTCAAACAATATGCCTATCCAAGTATCAATTAAAGATTCAGTTTCAGTTGGCCTGGGTTAGGGCCTAGGGTGTTTTTGTAAAAGTTCTCAGGGATTCTAGTGGCGGCCAGGTTGAGAGCTCTGCTCTTAGATCTTTATATGCAGAACTCTCCTGGCTGAGAATTATCAGAATAATTTCAAACTTTTCAGAGCTCTTATCCAGACTGCTGCCATATATTACTGCTTCTCATATTAGCACTGCTGATCATGCAGGGTATGTCCTGGTTTCTTTTGTGTTTGATGGCTAAATATCCACCTTCCCTTTTATCTTTTTCCTGCCTGGATTGTAAACATCTCATTTCTCTTCTGTTCCACAGCATTCAGGACAATATTAAAGAGATCATGGAGGCTCAGTCAGTTCCCATCAACAGAGTCCGAAACGTTGTCCACTTCATAACTTGCTGGGCATTCTGTCCTGTACACCTTTAAACAACCTTCCTGGCTGGGTGCGGTGGCTCACACCTGTAATCCCAACACTTTGGGAGGCCAAGGCAGGCGGATCACGAGGTCAGGAGTTCGAGACCAGTCTGGCCAACATAATGAAACCCCATATCTACTAAAAATACAAAAAATTAGCCAGATATGGTGGTGTGTGCTTGTAATCCCAGCTACTCAGGAGGCTGAGGCAGGAGAATCGCATGAACCCGGGAGGTGGAGGTTGCAGTGAGCCGAGATTGCCATTGGACTCCAGCCAGGCGACAGCGCGAGACTCCGTCTCAAAATAAAAACATAAACAAAACAGAAACCCTTCCTTTAGGCCCAGAGAGCCAACCTTTCCCTCAGAGACTGTTTTTAAACCAAGCCACTTTAGACTTTGCCAGTCCTTCTGTAGTCCCCTATTCAAAACTTTGTTTATACCTTTCAGGAATATTTTATCTAGTACTTTATTGATTTCATCCAGTTATGTGCCCCTTCTCTCCATTTTTTGACAGTTTCTACTTTATTCCACTCCTCCAACAACTCCTTAATTTCTGCTGTATCAGCAGAGCCTCTCCTAGGTAATTGGAAGAGTTGTCCTTCTCTCAACCCTATTCTTTCTCAAGTTTGCTATTCCCAGGTCTTCTGTTGCCTTCAAACACTACCAAGTAGTCTCATTATCTATTCACAATAATGATGTGAAAGCTTTTGTTCCAGCATTTGTTGAATGTTCATTTTTTCTCTGGCCTTTCATCATCTGTGACAGTACTTTGTTTAGAAAATGGAGGGTAGGGTGGCACTTGTATAGCCCATTTTGTATGGTTCAACATTCATTTCATTGTGACTAATGATGACTGATAGCTGATGTCATAAGTAGTGTTTCTTGCAGCAAAGTTTCATAAATTTTAGCATGCATCACAATCACTTGGGGTACTTAACTCAAGTACGTATTGCTGGGACTTACCTTCAGGGATATCTAAGTCACCAAGTCTGGGGTGAAGCCTGAGAATTTGTATTTCTGTTAAGTTCCCAGATGATGCTAATGCTTTATCTGGGGACCACACTTGAGAACCACTGTCCTATGGGATCAAGAAATAAGCCAGGAACGAGTGTATATTTTTTCTAGTTAAATATTTAATGTTAAGATGTTTAGAATTTTTTTAGGGAGGTGCTTGTCAGATACTTTTCCTAATAGTGGGTACTCAGAGTATTTCATGTGAGACTACCAATGTCATATATTTTAAAAACTATTAGACTGGGACAGATGGGAAATTGCCTTCAGCATAAGAAAAGCCAATATTTTTCATAAGTCCCAAAAGCAGCTTTTGGGGTTGGTTGATTCAGTGGTTCAATGAAACCATCAGAGACTCTGGTTCCTACTCTTTATTCCACTGTGCCATGGACCATGTGCTGGTACATCTTCAGACTCACTCTGCATGGTGACAGAATGGCTGTAGAAGTGCCAGGCATCACATCCAGGTTACATACAGATGCACACTGTTTAATAGCCAAGCTTATGCAGTATCAGTAACTATTAGAGAAACTGAAATGGAGGATCCAGAACTTCTTATCAAATATAATCCTTAAGATACAAACAAAGCAGTCATTGAATAGTTTCTTAGCCCATTTTCTGTGGCTTATGATAGAATTCCTAAAACTGAATGGCATATAAAGAAATTTATTTCTTATAGCTATGGAGGCTGAGAAGTCCAAGATCAGGGGGACATGTGGTAAACGCCTTCTTGCTGATACCAGTAAAGCCTGCTGAGCTGGAGTGTCACTTGAATCATATTCGCCACTTTTGCTTTCTCTTCCTACATGGGTCCTGAGGTTTTGCTCTCATCATCATCTTGCCTTTCAGTAAGGTAACTAACTTGTTACCCTCTGCTATGTCAGAGAGATTGTTTGTTTCAGGATAAACATATAAACAGAGTTTCAGATAAATCTCTTATTTCCTGGCCACTGGGGCTCGAGTTATATTGTTAGCACCAGCTCTGTAAAGTGCCTCAATGTGTTTTTTCAACCAAAGGCAAAATATTTGGCAAAGAATATGTTGGTTCTTTACCTCCAGGTTCTGGGCAAACTTTGAGTTTCCATTCTTTTGAGATAGATGGACTTTGTTGTCTTTCATAAACTTGTTAAATTTGCGATCTGCCCTTGAAGAGGCACTTGGTTCCTTCTAATTCTTTTCTGTAGATTCCTCTGATTCTCCATCAGCGTATGGAAATTTTCTCTTCTATCCCTTCCAGAGAATTATTCTTCTCTCTGCCATTCAATTTGACTGTGTTACTGCCAGGAAGAGACAGATAAAAGGGCATCAGCAATGTCGACAACTTAGGAGTAGTTCATTCCTTTTTCCTATGGCTGAGCAAGTGGATTTGACTGTACTTATTTTTGTGTATTTTAATATGTTCACCTGAGCAAAGTCAGTGATCTAGAAGCTTCATAAAATGAATAGTGCATAACAGAAATCACACCTCAGTGTAAGTCTTACCTTCCTACAGGAGTCCCATAAAAACACTCTTAGGACATGCTTTCCCCCCACACATCTGATTGCTGAACACTTTGTTTCACTAGGCTTCAACAGGTCTCTTCAAAGCTGTCATTTTACTTCAGCTGGGATTACATTCCACCCTATTTCACTTAAATATACACCTTCCCTTTAATTTTCTCTCATTCTTATCATTGGCAGTAATCAGTGTGGCAAGAGTTCACTTTCTTTTCACATGGAGATTTGATCTTTGATTATTTTATTTTTATTTATTTATTATTATTATTTTTGAGACAGAGACTCACTCTATCACCCGGGCTAGAGTGCAGTGGCACGATCTGCAACCTCCTCCTCCCTGGCTCAAGGGATTCTTTTGCCTCAGCCTCCCAAGTAGCTGGGATTACAGGCACACACCATCACACCTGGCTAGTTTTTGTATTCTTAGTAGAGACAGGGTTTCACCATGTTGGCCAGGCTGGTCTTGAACTCCTGGCCTCAAGTCTTCTGCCCACCTCGGCCTCCCAAAGTTCTGGGATTACAGGCACGAGCCACTGCGCCTGGCCTGATCTTAGATGATTTACCAAACAGTGCCACACCCTCTGCCTTCTGTGTGTGTCTCAGGCTGTAAGTAAAGTCTCCGTCTTAGTCCATTCAGGCTGCTGTAACAAAATGCTACAGACTGTGTAATTTATAAGCAGCATAAATTTATTGCTCACAGTTCTGAAGTCTGGGAATTCCAAGATCAAGATGACAGCAGATTCAGTATCTGGTGAGGGCCTGTTCCTCAAGGATAGTGCCTTCTATGTCCTTACATGGCAGATGGGCAAAAGAGCTAACAAGCTTCCTCAAACCCTTTGTAAGGGCACTAATCCCATTTGTGAGGGTTCTACCCTGATGATTTAATCACCTCCCAGAGGACCCATCCTTAATGCCATCCCGTTGAAGGTTGGGTTTCAAAATGTAAATCTTGGGAGACACAAAACATTGAGAACCATAGCAGTCTCTCAGACCTCGTTGTACTCAGCTTCATTTTAGGATAACTCCACATTTGAGTTAAGAAACCAAGAGTTTGTATTCCCAACTCTATGCTTCATGAGGTTAAAGACTCTTGGCTTCTCATTCTCACTGCTCAGGCAGGGGTAGTCCATCTGAATGGAAACTCCTTTTTGGGGGGCACACATCATTTTTATTTTATTTTATATTTCTGAGACAGAGTCTCGCTCTGTCGCCTGGGCTGGAGTGTGTGATCTCGGCTCTCTGCAGCCTCCACCTCCTGGGTTCAGGCGATTCTCCTGCATCAGCCTCCCGATTAGCTGGGATTACAGGTGCATGCCATCACGCCCAGCTAATTTTTTTTTTTTTTATACAGAGTCAGTCTCTGTCTCCCAGACTGGAGTGCAATGGTGTAATCTCGGATTACTGCAACCTCCGCCTCCCAGGTTCAAGTGATTCTTCCACCTCAGCCTCCTGAGTAGCTGGGATTACAGGCGCCTACCATCATGCCCAGCTAATTTTTGTATTTTTGTACAGATGGGGTTTCATTATGTTGGCCAGGCTGGTCTTGAACTCCTGATCTCAGGTGATCCACCTGCCTCGGCCTCCCCAAGTGCTGGGTTTACAGGTGTGAGCCACCACGCCCGGCCTAATTTTTTTTTTTTTTTGAGATGGAGTCTTGCTCTGTTGCCCAGGCTGCAGTACAGTGGTGCAATCTTGGCTCACTGCAAGCTCTGCCTGCCGGGTCCACACCATTCTCCTGCCTTGGCCTCCCGAGTAGCTGGACCTACATGTGCCCGCCACCAGGCCCAGCTAATTTTTTGTATTTTTAGTAGAGACAGGGTTTCACCATGTTAGCCAGGATGGTCTCGATCTCCTGACCTTGTTATCTGCCCGCCTCGGCCTCCCAAAGTCCAGGGATTACAGGCGTGAGCCACCGCGCCTGGCCACCACTTTTAAATGTCTGTGTTGCAGTGAAATTTTAAAAGAGAGAGCTAAATTTTGATGTCAGTTTTTAAATAGATGCTGCCAAGAGCCATGTTGATAGCCCAAACCAATTTTCCATTTATACCAGTGATATACTTCAAGCCTGAAAAATGTAGTCCAGTGTGGGAAGAAGCCCTGTGATGGTGAGAAATGCAGTAAGAAACTGGGTTCTCCCATGGAACTGATAATTAATGCAATCAGATATGAACAGTATGTTTAAGGATAGTCTGGACATGAATGTGTATAATCTGTCTTTATCAGATAAACAAATAAAAGTCTTTTACCTAATCGTCGTTTCCTGAGTTAGAAGAATCCTCCTTATCAGATACCTGCTTTGGTCATTGGAAGGAAAGTAGAACATCCATCTTGGTGGTGATCCTTGTTTCTTAGTACTCTGTATATCCTTTCCAAGAGACAGGTTTCTTTTATGAAATGGCTAAGATCATCTCCACCACCATGAACAACATGCAAATGGAGCTGCTGCACAAAGTTTAGGGAGTTCTAAGCGTTGGGATTCCAAGGCATATTACCCTGTACTGAAGAAACTCGGAACAGAGGCATCCTCAAATCCTAACTGCAAGGAAGCGTAGCCTGTGTCCTTTGTTGATGGAGGAATGATTCAGTGAGAAAGAACACAGTGATTTTTTTCTCTACCTATCTTACATCTTACTCTCTTGCCATTTCTTGTAACACCTTTTCATCCTGTCTTAACCTTCAGCTACCAGCTTACCCTGATCGTAATGACAAGGAAATTCATACATTTTGGTTTTTTAAGGACTACTTTATTAAGGTATAATTCACAAACCATGCAGTCCACCCTTTAAAGTATACGATGCAATGGTTTTTAGTAAATTAACATAATCGTGTAACCATTGGCATAAACAACATTAGAACATTTTCATCACCCCAAAAAAGAAAACCCATACCCATTGGCAATCAAAAGCCGATTTCCTCCCCAACCACCACACACCCCCCAGCACTAGGCAATCATTATTCTACTTTCTGTGTCCATGGGTATATTAAATACTGTGTTGTAACTGGAGATAGGATGCCCATAGTCAGAAAGCTTGAGCTCACATGAACTGTTGGCTTGGATTTCTGTGCGGATTAAACCAGCTTACTTCTGACACGGCAGATGCTGGGCTTTTTAACCTCTTTCCTCATTGTGCTTCCTGACTTGTTACCTCTGTATCATAAAAGCATGAAAGGTCGTAGAATAAATGAGTCTGCAGAAAACTGCGTGGTTAAGTTACCCCATTTGTGTTTTACAAAGATAGCGGAAGGGAATAACCTTTGAGGGTCACATACAAAAAGCCATTTCCTCATCCTCCCTAACCTTAAAAAGTCGACATTATTTTTACAGCAGCTTCTCTAAATTGACTTACACTTGAACAAACTAAAAACTACAAGAAGAGTAGAGCTTAGCTGGCAGGCCTGGTTTTGAACAAGTGTTTGATTTTGCTAATCTTGGTAGTGCATAAGGTCACTTTTGTAAATTTCCTGTAGAAAAATTCTTGGTTCTTGGACACACTCAGCTACTAGAACAGAGAGATGGTTTATATTTTTTCTATGAATTACCAGCTGATAAAATTCCCCTCCTTTGAGTGGGAGAAAAATTCAAGCCAGACAAGAACTTTTGTGGCAGGTAACTCTTACTTGAAATTTATTTGGATTTCTAGAGGCAAATTAATTTCTCTCTCTGTCTTTCACAATAAATAGGTGCCTGTCACCTTTTTTTTTTCTCTATCTAGTGAGCTGCTTCTATAGATGGAAGAAAGTTAGTCCTTCCTTTTGGTATTTTGAGAGTTTTATTTTTAGGCCTCTCCTTGGCTGTCTTTTCTCCTTGTAAAGCCAGTGTCGAAGTAATGGCAATGGTAAGTATGCTTAGCGTTCTAAATTTTTTTAATGCATGTTTATTACTAAGTAATTTATCTCCTTTTCTTCTACTTTATAGCTCCATATTAAATATGGTGGCACCTTTTAATAAAAAAGAGGAAAGCCTATTTGGAAACATATAAAAATAGCACAGGATAGGTCATTTTTCAGATTCTGGTCAGATCACCATTTGGAAAGATCTTATTCTTTAAAGCAAAAGTTTTGAACCAAGGATCTGTTGAAGATGGGGAGTGACTCTCATTCATCTCCATCTTCCTTTGAAATTTCATACAGATTTTTTGGTGTGTGTTTGTGTGTGTCTGTATTTTCTAATGAGAAGATCCATAACTTTCATAAGCATCAAAGCCACTGCCTTTAAATATCTTTTTGATTACTTTTACTGTAGTTATTGTTTTAAGATCTGCTTTTTGCCATTTAAAAACATCTTTCAAATACTAGTTAACTCTTAAATGTTTTTTTGCAGAATAAGATCCTTTTTGCAGTACTTTTTGTTGTTGTTTAATACCTACCCAAAATTTTGGTCCAAGCTCTAGGGGCCTCCTCCCGAAGAATTTGGTTTAAAAGCAAAAGATTTTTAACATAAATAAACCAGAATTTGCTTTTTTTCTTTTTGATTTTTTTTTTTTTTTTTTTTTGGTAGTGATAGGGTCTCTCTGTGTTGCCCAAGCTGGTCTCGAACTCCTGGGCCAATCCTCCTGCATAGGCCTTCCAAAGTGTGAGGATTACCGGTGTGAGCCAATGTGCCTAGCATTGATTTGTGGGGGTTTTTTGTTTTTTTTGGGTTTTTTTTAGAGACAGAGTCTCGCTCTGTTGCCCAGGCTGGAGTGCAGTGGGATGATCTTGGCTCACTGCAGGCTCCGCCTCCTGGGTTCAAACAATTCTCCTGCCTCAGCCTCCTGAGTAGCTGGGATTACAGGTGCCTGCTACTGTGCCCGGCTAATTTTTGTATTTTTGGTAGAGACGGGGTTTCACCATGTTGCCCAGGCTGGTCTCGAACTCCTGACTTCAGTTGAGGCACCCGCCTTGGCCTCCCAAAGTGCTGGGATTACAGGCGTGAGCTGCCACGCCTGGCCTTGATTTGTTTTTGCATGTGAGAAAATGTATGTCCTAGTGTAGTGTGGTGTGTCATTAGAAGCATGATTTGTTCTTACCAATGCAGTGATTACATTGGTTCTTCTACATTCAGTAGAATGCTAATAATGTGGTAATGCTAGTCGCCAGTCTTCTTAATCTCTATAACAGAGGAAGCAGAAGTAGAGCAGATCCTATCCTAGCCTTGTAGGTCTAGAGACCGAACTATAGTGTCTTCTGGGAAAGCACTTAAACAAAACACAGGTTTATAAATTGTTATGGTCACTAATGTTTCAGTCAAGATGGTGACTACCTATGATTTGTGTGTATGTGCTACCCTTTTGAGAAGCATTAATTAGTCCGTTCTCTCACTGCTATAAAGAAATACTGGAGACTGGGCAATTTATAAAGAAAAGGGGTTTAATTGGCTCAGGGTTCCGCAGGCCAGGAAGCATGGTGGCTTCTGGGGAGGCCTCAGGAAACTTAGAATCATGGCAGAAGGCAAAGGGGAAGCAGGCACGTTTTACGTGGCCAGAGCAGGAGGAAGAGAGAGGAGAGAGGTGCTACACGCTTTTAAATAACCAGATCTCACAGTAATTCACTGACTCACTGTCACCAGAACAGCACCCAGGGGATGGTGCTGGCCCATTCATGAGAACTCTGCCCCCATGATCCAATCACCTCCCACTAGGCCCCACCTTCAACACTCGGGATTACTGTTCAACATGAGACTTGATGGGGACACAGATCTAAACCATATCAAGCATTAATATTACTATTAACCTGTGTGAAAAGGAACTGAATTCTGCTGTGACATTTTTTGTTTAAGAATTAGGCCTAGCAGGTGTGGTGGCTCACGCCTGTAATCCCAGCACTTCGGGAGGCCGAGGTGGGCGGATTGCCTGAGCTCAGGAGTTCAAGACCAGCCTGGGCAACATGGTGAAACCCTCTCTCTACTAAAATACAAAAGAATATTAGCCAGGAATGGCGGTGTGCACCTGTAGTCCCAGCTACTCTGGAGGCTCAGGCAGGAGAATTGTTTGAACCTGGGAGGCAGAGGTTGCAGTGAGCGGAGATCACACCACTGCACTCCAGCCTCAGCAACGGGGCAAGACTCCATCTCTACAAAAAAAAAAAAAAAAAAAAGAATTAGGCTTAGGGAGTGCATGGTGGCTCACGTCTGTAATCTCAGCACTTTGGGAAGCTGAGGTGGGCAGATCGCTTAGGGTCAGGAGTTCAAGATCAGCCTGGCCAACATGGCAAAACCCCGTCTATACAAAACTACAAAAATTAGCAAGCCATGGTGGTGGACATCTGTAATCCCAGCTACTGAGAAGTCTGAGGCAGGAGAATTGCTTGAACCTGGGAGGTGGAGGTTGTAGTGATCCAAGATCATACCACTACACTCCAGGCTGTGTGACACAATGAGACTGTGTCTTAAAAAAAAAAAAAAAAAAAAAAGGCCTTAAGATAAAAAACAGTGAAATAAAAGAAGTCATATTTTTAAGAAATGAAATCCCTAATGTTTAAAAATTATTTAATGTATAAAATTATCAATTTTTATACATTAGGGATTTCATTTTTTTAAATATGACTTCAGGCTGGGCGTGGTGGCTCATGCCTGTAATCCCAGCACTTTGTGAGGCCAAGGTGGGCGGATCACCTGAGATCAGGAGTTCGAAACCAGCCTGGCCAACGTGGTGAAACCCCATTTCTACTAAAAATACGGAAATTAGCCGGGTGTGGTGGTGGCATGCACCTGTAATCCTGACCAGCCAGCTGAGATCGTGCCACTGCACTTCAGCTTGGGCGACAGAGCAAGACTCCATCTCAAAAAATGTGTATATTATATATATATGACTTCATAGACACACATTGGTCTATACAACAAAAACAAAGCATTAGGAAATTATCTCATGATTTAGCCACAAAATTAAAAGATTTATTTCAACAAACACTTATTGAATGCTTACCCATTTGACTGGATGATGCGTAGGAATAACAAGAGGTCTGAGGCATAGTAGTAGACCCATGGAGCTGATAGTTTCAGGGCAGGGTAGACATCTAATAAAGTCTTTGTTTCCTTTTGTAAGTTTCTCTAAGTTTGTTTAGGATACCTATTTTGACAGCCATACAGATCTTCAGAAAATAGGGATTATCACCAGACACCACAAGGAAATAGGTGGAAAAATATTTAAAAATAAATTGTAAGCCAAGCATGGTGGCCCATGCCTGTAATCTCAGCATGTGATTTGGGAGGCCAAGGCTAGAGGATCACTTGAGGCCAGGAGTTCAAGACCAGTCTGGGCAACATAGCAAGACCTATATCTACCTAAAAAAAAAATTTAAGAAAATTTAAAATAAGTAAATAAATTGTAGTAAAAATGTAGGTTATGTTTCTTCGTCTGAAAATAAGCTATTCTGAAAAGCTAAGCTTTCCCAATGGTACATGAGTTCTCTCTCTAATTATATCTTCTGTATTCCTCTCTCACTTGAATAATTTTCTTTTGAAAACTTTCTGAAGTTATATGCTTTCAGACTTTGTAAAATAATATGTTGAACATGATTAATCATCTCTCAGTTAGGTTCATTATTTTCAATCATATTATTGTATTGTGCTGTGATAACAATGTCCCTAGAAACTGGACAGTTTATAGAGCAGTTCGCCTGATCATTTTTGTTTTTTAAGTATCTTTTTTTTTTTTTTTAAAGACAGTCTCTCTCTGTCACCCAGGCTGGAGTGCAGTGGCACGATCTCAGCTCACTGCAATCTCCGCCTCCCGGGTTAAAGCAATTCTTGGTCTCAGTCTCCCAAGCAGCTGGGATGGGACTACAGGTGCATGCCACCACGCCTGGCTAATTTTTTTTTGTATTTTTAGTAGAGACAGGGTTTCACCATGTTGGCCAGGCTGCTCTCAAACTCCTGACCTGAAGTAATCCACCCGCCTCAGCCTCCCAAAGTATTGGGATTACCGGCGTGAGCTACTATGCACACCCCTTAAACATCATTGTAAAAATCACTTCCCTTGCTATAGGAATTTGGCTTTGAGTTACTAGGCCTTCCAGAAGCCATCCCCATGACTTTGTTATCTGGCCTAAGCCATAGGTGGGGAGTGGGGAGGGAGACATCCAAAGTTAATTAGAACCAAGTATAAATTTGCCATGGATTTAAGCCTTCTGTATAAGATAAATTCATCCATAGTATTTTTGGATTACTTTATTTACTTGATTATTTATTTACTTATTTGATTATTTCTGTTCTCATTAATTTTCTAATTATGACTAGACAACTAAGTTCTGGGTAAGATATGTCATTATTACGTAATGATGTCTTATTCTTGGCATTATAAATGACTATACTGTGTTGTAGTTTTATTATATTTATGACATATGAGAAATAAATAATAGGAACTTTAAGAAGACTCTATCACTTCATATCTCTTTGGTCTCTTTCTCTGTCTTTAACATTGGTCAGGTTCCAAACTAGTGAAAACTACAGAAACAAGTGCAGTTTTCTAGTATAGTCTTTCATCTTACGAAAATATATTTAATCCCCACTCTTTTTTAAGTTTCACTTTGCCTTAAGGGGAGTGGTCTTAAGAAAACTCTTAGTATAGTTGTGAGTATCCATAGTGTCAAATGAGGGGAAACATTGTAACAATGTTAGGAGCCAAAGTTCTCACCACAATCTCATCAGATGTCCTGAGCTATTTTTTACTTGTTAACTCAGAACAACAAATACTAAAGAAAGTGCCAAACAACCTCAATTCTTCTGGCTCACACTTATATATAGCAGAGATACGAAATAGCCCGCAATCCCAGATCTTCCATGGGTAATTTTGGGAAAGTGTTTTTCATAGAGATGTTGAAGTCCATGGAAATCAGGTAGAACACTAAAGGACCCGGTTGACCCAGTACATTGCAACCCTCTGCTCTCATGTGCACCTCACACACAGCCAGTCTACGGATTAGAGACCACCATTTCTGGGGGTTGTTATCTTTTTTTTTTTTTTTTTTTTGATACAGAGTCTTGCTCTGTCGCCAGGCTGGAGTGGTGCAGTGGTGCAATCTTGGCTCACTGCAACCTCCGCATCCCGGGTTCAAGCAATTCTCCTGCCTCAGCCTCCCGAGTAGCTGGGACCACAGGCACACACCACCACGCCTGGGTAATTTTTATATTTTTAGTAGAGACGGGGTGTCATCATGTTGGTAAGGATGGTCTCAATCTCTTGACCCTGTGATCCGCCTGCCCCAGCCTCCCAAAGTGCTGAGATTACAGGCGTGAGCCACCACGCCTGGCCAGTTCTTTTCCTTTAACTTGTATTAACTGCATAGTAGTTAGTTTCTCTTTCTTCTTTCTTTAATAGGATCATCTCAACATATTTAAAAACTATGCCGTATATGTATAAGATTTGCCACCTCTGGGTCATTAAATGGCATCACAGACATAGAAATGTACCAATTCCTTTTTTATGAAATTTATCCATTCATGCAAAAGAAGTATGATAATTAAAAATAATTTTGAACATTGGGTATCCTAGGCTCTGAGCGCGAGGCTCTCAGAAAATTAAAATGACATCATCATCGTACTTGCAAAGCTTAAAGCCCAGTGGGGAAGAGCAACATGATAGTAACAAAGGTAGAGTGTAATAAGTGCGGTTGCAGAATCGCAGGCCAAGGGGAGCTCACGTCTTTGAGCTTCAATTTCTTTATCTGTTGCGGGGGAGAGTATCTCATGAAGCTGTTTTGAAGCTTATCTAAGACAATGCATGTGAAAACACTGTAAAATTATAAAGCTGCGGACATGTCAGTTGTCATGTTTGGTTTAAAATAGAAGCTGGGAGACTCTTTATTCTGAAACCATGTAGATAATCCAGGGATGAGACTCTAGTTAAAGTGAGGAAAACAATGTACTTGCATGTCAATTGCAGTTCCTGGGAGAATGTTTGTATTATTAGGAGACTCTCATTCCAGAAATCATTTTGTTGGCATTTATACTAAGTGGCGATGACACTGAGAACAGCACAGCTTCATCTGACATCTGACGTTATTGTCAGCCTTTCTTAGTACCCATGGTATGTTTTTACTGTATCTCGTGAATAAGATAATATATTAAGTCTCCTGGCATATAAGGATATATGTAAGATACGTGTTGTATAGTTGGTTTCTAGAGTGTCTTCATAGCAGTCTTCCAGTATTTCTATTTATTGCTATTCCCTCTCCACCTCTGTTTCTTTCCCATTAGTTCTTTACAGGTAGGGAGATTATATGTCCCAGTTTGCCTGTCCTGGTTTATGTCTCTTGTCCCTACATCCCATCTACTTAACATTTTAACACCCTCGAAAGCGTCCCAATTTGGACCTCACCTTATCTGGTCACCCTGGCTCAAAGCATAGAAGAAAATTAAATGAAGAGCCAGCAAATTAGTGAAATTGTACAGATGTGTGATAACTGACTTCAGTCACTGAGCTGAGCTGATTTACAGAGTGTGGATTTGGTCCAGTAATATCTTGGAATGCAGCTTACAGATGTAAGTAAGTAGTGCCTGATTATAGCTACACACTATAGCAGGTTTCCTAATGAGCTGTTAAAACGAAAGCATGTGTTTGTTCACTGTGGCACAGAACAGTAGCTTTGACACTTCAGTAGTTTTCACCATAGCATGGCTTGTTGGGGCTTGAAGACTGGCATTCCTTCTTAAAGGCCCATCAAGGTTTTCATTCACTGTGAGCTATGTGTTAAGCTGGTACTGATCTCGTTTTTGACCATCATTCACCCATGGCAGCCAACCAGGGAGGTGTAAAATGCTTTTGTCCCCCTGCCCACATATGCACCTCCTTTGGTGTGACCCATGGGATGACAGTTGCGATGCAGCTTGAAAGGATGGCTCTACATTGCAGCTTCTCTGCGTCATCCCCGTTGCCCTTTTAGAATGAGAAAAGAGGATTGAAAGGTTCAAAAGCCTAGAGAGAAAATTCTGCAGTCCTGTGTTTTTCTGAGCAGAGGGAAAGGTGCTACTTCGTAAGACTGCTTGCAATCCCCAATATAATAGAATAAAACTGTCCCTACTGCCAGCATTAATATGAAATTTGTATAAAGGTGGAGGGATTACTTTACTGTTTTATTAATATGCAATCCCAATATTTTCATTGCAGGGCAGCTTGCAAATTCATTGCAAATTATGCTGAGTTAAAATCAAATACATAAATCTACCTTTCTCTGTTGGCAGCTGTATTGGAGTTTGGGATTGGCCTCTGTGCTTATTAGAGCCAAAGAATGTATATTATTTAATTCTTGCAAAGTGAAAGTAAAAGATCAGGAAATAAAGACAAATCAGGGGAATGGAACATTTTTAGTGCGATTCCTCTTTTACTCTCCAGCAAGGGAAAGTGGCTTAAAGATCTCTGTTAAAACAGTGCTTCTCACACTTTAATGTGAGACTCTTGTTATGTAGATTCTTACTCCTGGGTCTAGGATGGGGGCCTAAGATTCTGCATTTCTAACTAGCTGTAGAGCATGCTGGTGCTGCTGGACCACAGGCCATGACTTGAGTAGCAGGTTGTCAGGAAGTGTGTGCTTCAGTGGGCTGTGACTCTGCATATCCCTGTTGTGAAATATGCAGATGAGAGTGGCACACACCAGACCCTCAACTGGCAGGAGGAGCTGTGTTTTAGCTAGAGGTTAGGGTGAGAGGGACCACCCAGACTTGTAAAGCTTAAGTATTGTCCCCGGTCTCTTTACCAGTCTTAAGGTATCCCTAACAGAGGCCCAATGTTCCTGCTAATGAAATGAATAAAGAAATGTTGCAGTCCATGGATTTGTAATTCCAGTAACGGCTTATTTTACATCTATTAAAGGCTACAAGGAAAGAAGTGGAGGGAAGGGCTGGAAGACTAAGAAAATAGGAAATGAGAAGAAATGCACAAAGGAGAGTTGCATTTCCTCCTGCTTCTGTCAAAGGAAAAAAAGATGTTATGTGCCTTCTCTTTCCACCTCTAAATAAAGCAACAGGGCCACCACTAACTAGTTTGTGTGACTATATTCTGGCTATTTAACCTCTGCTATTTCACAAAAAGTCCTCATCTGTGAAAGGAGGAATTTGGAATCGGGACAGTTTTCGGAACCCCTTCAATTGTTAAAGCATAGCGACTAAGAATTTTATGGTCATACAACACTAAAAATCATACATATGTCCTTAGGAATGGGGTTTTATTTCTGTAAGAGCACCTCCAAAACAAGTGGTGTGTTAATACATGTGCATTTTATATTTTTCTTTATATTCTTTGTTCTCTTCCTTTTAAGAAAATCTAGTTTGTTTCATTGCTTCAAAATTCCTGAAAAATTTTCTGTCTTTTTATATAATACAGAGTTGGCTGTGTTAATTTCTGCTTCCATCATACTAATTTAGGAAACGTGGCCTAACAGTGGCAGGAATAGCTAGAACTTTCTTCTGTGACTTACTGGCATTTTCCCTAAGCATCTGCATGTGTTGGGTGTATGTGTAAGTACCATGCATTGGATACATCCTCTGTTGAAAGGATAAAGGAATGCTTGTTCGTTCCACAAGTTACCTTGGCTCCAACTCTGTTCCATACTCAGCCTGTTCTCTCAACACAATGATGTCTTCAGTCTTAGGACAGAAGTCTGGAGTTCATTCACATCTCTATTTTGATTAATTGTTTTACACATCAGGCTCCATATAATGTAGTGGATAATGAAATGCTCTAAGTGAGTTAGGGATTTTCAGTTCTTAGACTTGTGGATGAGAGAATTTCAAAAATTATCTACAAATTTACCAACATAGATAATGTTTGTATGATATACAGAGGTTGAGTTTTATAAAATATAAATTGCTCTGAGCCAGAAATGAAAAATAAATGTAGAATCCCATGATAAAAAACTAAAGTTGCTATATTAAAATTAATAGTATACTGGGATTTTTGAAACATTGTTTTGAGGATGTGTTTACTATGTTCAAAGCAATAAATTTAGGAATGGAATCTAGTTTCATTAGCCCTGCTATAACATTTTGGAGAGAATATAAATTAATACCTGCTTTTTGAAGGACAACCTGACATTATCCATTAGAATGTGTAGGCCCTATTTTCTTCATCTCACAGATTCATTTCTTGTAATTTACCCATTTATAATTAATTATTGCAAATATGTGTTTGGAATTATTGGACAGGTACAGAAAGCTATATGTAGAAGTACATTCATCAGAGTGTTTGCAGTGTGGGCCAGGTGCGACGGTTTACTCCTGTAATCCCAGCACTTTGGGAGGCTAAGGCGGGTGGATCATCTGAGGTCAGGAGTTCGAGACCAGCCTGGCCAACATGGTGAAACCCCGTATCTACTAAAAATACAAAAAAATTAGCCAGACATAGTGGTCTGCACCTGTAATCCCAGCTACTCAGGAGGCTGAGGCAAGAGAATCACTTGAATCTGGTAGGCAGAGTTTGCAGTGAGCCGAGATCGTGCCATTGCACTCCAGCCTGGGCGACAAGAGCGAAACTGTGTCTCAAAAGTAAAATAAAGTGTTTGCAGTGTGAAGAAACAATCTAAATATTCAACAATAAAGGAAGGTCAAATGAGACAAAGATGAAAGGGGAATACTATGCAGCCATAAAAGAGAGATGTGGTTGTTATCTTAGGAAGATGACTATAATATGAAGTTAAAAGTTACAAAGGAACATTTGGGAAGAATGTATAGGTACATACATGCTTATAAAACCACAAGAAAGAACTGGGAAGCAATACACCAAAGCGTTGATAGTAGTAGAATTACGGCTGATTTTTTACTTTCTCTGTCATGCATTTCTTTATTGTTGAATATTTAGTACTAGTACATGGAGAGGGAATAGAAAACTTAATTTGGAAGGGATGGGGAAAAAGTAGCCACCCTGGGAGCTGAGTTAGAGGAGAACACAGAGCCCAGGTGTTTCAGCATCTGTTCCGGCGTTGGCGGTGGGAATTCTCTGAATAGTCCTCACTGTGCCAGAGAAGCTTTCTGCGCACAGCTGGGTCCTGTGAGGCAAGACCTGTGTCCTGCTGACTCATACACAGCATCCCATATGGCCTTAACTTTATTTAGCAACGTCAGCTCAAGGAAGCCTTGTGTTCCCTTTGGGCCCAGGATTTAGAAGAGCATAATCATAGAATGTCTGTCAGGCCTGGAAGTGTCATTAGGGCTGTCCTAGTCTGGACATGAAGAGTCTGAGGCCCAGAGCATTTAAGTAACGTTCCCAGAGTCCCAGAGGTAGTTCGAGGCCAACTGGAAATGAAAATGCGGTTCCCAGGCTCGTGGTCTCTCTAGTGCTACTACTTTGCTTGTCTCCAAGCTCTGCTCTGGTGGATGAGTCTCCAGTTCTCACAAGCAGTTTTTAAGGCCAGAGCAAAAGGTTTCCAGGTAAGAGAATTTTTTTTGTCATATAAGAGAAGATTAAATTAATAGGACTTTTGTTCAGATCTGCATTCAGTGAGATACATGGAAATTCAGAGGTTATTGACTTTCCTTGGGTCTGGCCTCTTTTGGATATTTAATAAAGGCTGCAAAACCTTTCCCTTGAACGATGCAAGTTTGCTGAAAACCACAAAACTTTGCATTTGATTTCGGAGGTTTCAAGAGCCCTGTAAAGCCTGTCCCTGGGTTCTGAATGTCCTTTGTCTTGTGCTCCCCTGTTTTCAAGCAGTTCTTTTGCATTTGGAGGTAACAGAACTGTGATCTGGTTTGGTTTTCATACCTTTGTTGCAGATATGTTTTCTTCAAATAAAAAAGAAGGAGAGGATAGCAACTAGGAAGATGAACAAGCCTCATCACATTGGATACTTAGTGTTGTCTTTGTGTTTACAGTTGCTGTTAGATTGTCATTCCAATAAAAGTAAAATTATGTAATACTTTTTAAAGCTCCCATCACACTAGCACAACTGCTTTCATTTTTTGCAGAGTGTGCCACCCTGTTCCTTTCCACATGGATACTTCCTGGTTACAGCCAAAGACTGTTCATTATGCCCTTTCATGCTTCCACATGAAAGACACAAACTGAGGCTGAAATTGAGTGGCTTCTTACCAGAAATTAGGTATTTGAATAAGAGCAGATCGTTTTTACTTAAAAGATGTAAGTTTTGAAAATGACCACATGCAGCAGTTAACACACTGATGACTGGACTTACCTGAAGAGTCTCTGATTCAGTAGCCCGTTGTGGGGCCCAAGCATTTCTAATAAGTCCTCAGGTGATGCTGACATCACTGGTCCACGGCCAGACTTTGAGAAACAGTGGCCCAGAGAATAACAGTCTTAGAAGGCAGGGTGTTTTCCAAATTTTGCTGAAGACAAGAATCAGTTGAGAATGTTTGTTAGAAATGTAAATTTTAACACCATGTCAGACTCACTGAATCAAAATCTCTGGGAGAATCTTGGAATAGTATATTACCAGATCTGGAGGAACTACTATTCTCTTGCTATCAGGTAAGCCCCATAGAGTGTCACTTGTTTGCAAACCACTCACAGGACAATAGAATTTTTTTTTTCAAACACTAACTCAACCAGAAGGGACAATGTAATATATTTACCACTCAATCGTTTCTCATCCATTGTCTGCTTTGACCCTATGAGCCCATGAGCACCTAGCAGCATCCACATTTTTAAATGAATTTTAAGTCACCCTTCTAAGACATAAATATTTTTGTTTCAGGTACCAATATATTGTTTGAAAGAGATACCAGAATACCTGCTTTCTGAGAATTTCCTCAAGTTTTACTGAGTTCCTTTTTAATAAGCATAGTCACAATATGCATTTGTGTGTGTGTGTGTGAGAGAGAGAGAGAGAGAGAGAGAGAGAGAGAGATAAAGGGAGGAAGGAAAAAGAAATGTGGTTTTCTGCCAAGTTCAAGTTCCCTAGTGATGGTGATGCTGCTGATCTCGGAACACGTTTTGAGAACCACTGGAATAGACCAATAACTCTCAAATGTAGCAGTTGGAATCTCCTGGAGGAGCTTTGAAATATACTTCTGCTCAGGTCTCACCCCCAGAGATTAGTTCAATTGGTCTTTGATGAGACCTAGACAGTAATTCTAATAATCATCCAGCCGGGCGTGGTAGCTCACGCCTGTAACCCCAGCACTCTAGGAGGCCAAGGCGAGTGGATCACCTGCGGTCAGGAGCTCGGGACCAGCCTGGCTAACGTGGTGAAACCTCGTCTCTACTAAAAATACAAGAAATTAGTCGGGCATGATGGCACACGCTTGTAATCCCAGCTACTCGGGAGGCTGAGGCAGGAGAATCGCTTGAACCCGGGAGGCAGAGGTTGCGGTGAGTGGAGATCACTCCATTGCACTCCAGCCTGGGAAACAAGAGCAAAATTCTGTCTAAAAAAAAAAAAAAAAAAAAATCCAAGATTGTGAACCATTACTGTAGGTTGCTCCAGATAAAAGGTAATGGGTTAGGAAGCTTAAGACTTGATGAGGAAAAATAAAGGTTAAACCAGTGCTCCTTCCACTTCAGTGTGCATACAAATCACCTGGGGGTCTTGCTGGAATGCAGATTGATTCTGTAGGTCTAGGGTAGGGCCCAAAATGCTGCTTTTTTAAATCAAGTCAGGCAGATGCTGCTAAGATTGCCCAGGGGTCTACACTTTGAGTAGTGAGGTGGTTAGAAAGTGTTGACCTATGTAAGTGCTTATCAACACACAGTTTTTATATATTTTTACGTAGTATAGAACAAATAAAAGCAATGTCATTGAGATTTCAGATACCTTAGAAACAATAAATATTTTGCCATTAATGACTATTTCCCTTCCCTTGATGGCTAAAACGTTTTGTTTTTGCTTCTCCCTACCTGCTTACTCAGAGTTTCAATCAAATGTTTGTAAATTAATTTTGCTTTAGTATGACACATGTAGTAACAGGCCTTTCCCCTTTGTAACTGAGTCCCAGGATTCACGGAGTTTGAGGATCTTGCCTTCTGGCTTCCTCCTTGCCTCAGACCCTGCCCTTTAGGGGTTACTGCCCTAAGAGGCTGAAAGTTTAGTAATGCCCCAGAGCCTCGTTGCAGGAGCTAGTCACTTTTGGCACTTTCTTGCTGTCAGACCGCAGGCTCTGGGAGCCAGTCTTCTTGGGACATGGCTTCATCCTGTGTCTCTGGCTTGAGCCCAACCTTTCAGGCCTGGGTTAGGGGTGAAGCCTTTTATCTGGCAGGTCCCACAGTCTGGCGCCTTTCCCAGCGTGGTGGAGTTGAGACCTTGCTGTCAGAGCCTGTTCAGAAGGAGAGAGGGAGAGACAAGACCTTCGCGTGAGGAGGAAAGAGTTTAAGTCCCGTCTGTGGAATCTGTTTCCCCTGGCTTGTTGAATTTTCTCAGCTGAACATGGCAGAAGTGGTTGATATTTGAATTAGAGGCTATGAAAGTGTCCTTGGGAAATGGGTGGGGCTGAGCCAGTGGTCTTCCCTTTTGCCTCTACCTCATGCTGACCAGGGGACAAGGCTCTGTCTCCTGGGTGTGGCCTGTCATTGGTCAGTCTGTGACCATACTGCTATTCTCCAAGGCATTCCTCAACAGAATGGGATCAGGCTTTTTCAGTCATTTCCCATTTTTAAAGGACATCTCCATGGCAGATGCCCCTACTCCCTCCCGGTGCCTGAATATTTGCCTGTCTAGCGTGGGTAGGTGAACGTCAGCAGAACTCTTGAAGAATCACTAAAGGGATGTGCTTGTCCTAGCAGGAGAGCCTGTGACAATAAAAAAGCAGAGAATGTTCTGAGTCTCCTGTATTAAAAAGGGAAAAGCTTAAGTGAGGTTTATTTCCACTAAAGGATAGCAACATAAGGCAGCTTGACCTTTAGTGTGACTGGAGCACCGTAAATGCTACTTCTACTTTTTTCCTTTTTTTTTATTGTGGTGAAAAACACATAGCATAGATTTGCCCTCTGAATGTTTAAGTGTACACTTCATTATTGTTAACTGTATGCACAATGCCATGACAGATCTCTAGAACTTTTCCATTTCACATGACTAAAATGCTGTGCTCATCAAACAACTCTGTTTCCCCCTGTGCCAGCCGCTGGCACCAACCTTTCTACTTTCTGTTTCTATGACTTTAATTACATGTATGTGTCATAGAAATTTGGCTTTTTGTGATTGGCTTATTTCACTTAGCATAGTGTCTTCAAGTTTCCATTCTATTCATGTTGTAGCATGTGATAGAATTTCCTTTTTTGTAGGCTAGATAATAGTCCATTGTATGCATATACCACATTTTCCTTAGGCATTCATCTGTTAATGGACTTTTAGGTTGCTTCTGCATGTTGGTCATTGTGAATAATTCTGTAGTGAACATGGGGATGCAAATGTCTCTTCGAGTTCCTGTTTTTAGTTCTTTTGGGCATATACCCAGAAGTAGGGTTCTTGAATCTCATGGTAGTTCTATTTCTTATTTTTTTGAGGAACCTCTATACTGTTTTCTGTAGCAGCTGCACCATTTTACAGTTTCACCAACAACTCTCACCAATGTAGGGTTCCAGTTTCTCTACATGCTACCGATGCTTTGTTTTTTTGTTGTTGTTTGTTCTTGTTTTTTTTTAATAGTGGCCATCCTAATGAGTATGAGGTGATACTGTGGTTTTGATTTGGTTCTGCCTTTTTAAACTCCAAATTCAGTCTCTGGTTACAGCTTTTCCCATAACCATTTTCAGGTGAGGTGCGTATGCTGCGTTGGTAACATAAATTTAACATTGTGAGAGCTTTTATCAGGCAGCAAATTGTAAAGCCCCTTCTAGGTCAGACAGTTGACCTCTGTAAAGCTTAAGTTAGGAACTTTTATGTTCTTAATAAAACACAAGAAAATATGGGAAATTTCCATTTGGCATGAGCCTTTCTGTTTTCTTGGTGGTGGTGGTGTGGGGGTGGTATAGGCTCTCCCTAAATTGCCCAGGCTGGAATGCAGTGGCTCTTCACAGGTGCAATCATAGCTCACTACAGCCTCGAACTCCTGTCTCAGCCTCACAAGTACTGGGACTACAGGCATGAACCACCATACCCAGTTCCATTCTGCTTTAAACAGTGGAAAAAATACATGTATTTTTTAAATGGAAGGGTTGGTTATATCTTCAATGTGAAATCCTCTATGTGAAATCTAAATAAACTATTCCTGGAATGTCCAGTGTCCTTTCCCCGTGATGATAAACAAAGCCCAGAGCTGCCTCTCTTTAAAGATAGTAAGAAGCCTATGCATAAACAAAACACTTAAAAATAAGATCATTTATTTTATTTTACTCATCCGCTTAAACCCATCAATGACTTTTAACTTAGAAGAAAACCTAGTCTTCCTACTATGACCAACAGGACTAAGCAAATCTCATAACCTAGCCTCTGCTTACCTCTCACTTCAGCCCAACCTACTCTTTCCCTCTCTTAAAAACTCAGTAGCTGAAATATATGGAGCTCTTTCTGGCCCCGAGCCTCCAGACCTTTTAAAGAAAAAAAAAGATTGTAATTTTGATGAAGACCGCATTGTCAATTTTTATTTCTATGGCTCTTACTTTTGGTATTATGTCTAGACCTCTCTAAGCCCTAGGTCTTAAAGATCTTCTAGGTTTTCTTAAGTTTTATAGTTTTTTTTTTAATTTTAGATTTAAGATTCATTTGGAATTAACTTTTGTATAAGACAGACGGTTAAGAAGATTCATTATTTTGACTATAGATACCAGATTGCTGTAGCACTGTTTGTTGAAAAGACTTTCCTTCCTTTTCTGAAAGAGTTTTTCTTTTCTGAAATGCCTTTGTCAAAAATCGCATAGGCACATCTGTGTGGGTCTATTTCTGGGCTGTATGCTGTTCCTGGGACCATTTTTACCTTCCACCTTTCCCCTAGTTAACTCCTACTTATCCTTCAGGTCTTAGTTTCAATGTTGTTTCCGTGGAAAGACCCTTAAGGACCACCCATTCCTATACATCTGCATACCCTCAACTTCAGTCCTAAGGAAGGGTACCTCTGTTATTCTCACTCAACACCTGTTTTTTTCTCCTTCGTAGCATTTAGCATAATACGTTTATAACTTTTTTTGTTTGTGCACATATAGTTCGTGCCTATAAGCCTCAAAAAGGCAAGAACTGAGTTTATTTTGTTCACCACTGTAGTGCCCAGCACTGTGCCTATTACATGCTGAGTTCTCAGTCAATATTTTTGAATAAATGAGTGAAACAAAGTTAGGCTTCCTGGGGGATGTTTTCTAAATCCCTAGGTATCATTTTCTTAAAATTAGAGGATATTCTTGGCTCTTGGAGCCTTAGGGCATAATTTTTTTCCCAGTTAACCCATCTTTGAAGATAGGGATTTTGAGAACTTTTGGCCTACCTCAGGGTCACCTAGCGGGTTATCAAAATGCAGATTGCAGGGCCCCAAACCCAGAGTTCCTGCTTCAGTAGGTCTGGGATGGGCCCCAAAATTTGGATTTCTAATAAGTTCCCAGAAAATAATGCTGATGCTGCTGTTCTGGGAACCCACTTTGAGAACTGTATTAGTCTGTTCTTGTACTGCTATGAAGAACTACCTGAGACTGGGTAATTTATAAAGAAAAAAGGCTTAATCGACTCACAGTTCCACAGGCTGTAAAGAAGCATGGCTGGGAAGCGTCAGGAAACTTACAGTCATGGTGGATGGCGAAGGGGAAGGTGGCACGTCCTATGTGGTGGGAGCAGGAGAAAAAGAGGGAAGAAGGTAATGCTATGCACTTTCAAACAACCAGTTCTCGGGGGAAGTCCGCCCCCATGATCTAATCACTTCCCACCAGGCCCCTCTTCCAGCACGGAGGATTATAACTCATAAGATTTGGGTGGGGACACAAATCCAAACCGTATCAAGCACTAGTGTTTTAACGTTAAGAATCTGAAGAGGCCCGAGTCACTGAGCCGCCACTGCCAAGGACTCATCTCCCCCTTCTCCCGCCACCGCCCGCTTTTGCAGCCATTTCCACTGAGGAAAAACAATCGTATGTCCACAGTCCAGAACCTCCACTCTTTCCACCCCTTTGCTGATACAAGTAAGGGTGATACCTGTCCTGCTGGCACTGAGGATTATATCCATATAAGAATTCATCCAACAGAGAAATGGCAGGAAGACCCTTACTACTGTCCAAGGGACTGCTGATGATTATGATAAAAAGAAACCAATGAAGGCATTTAAAAAGAAATTTGCCTGCAATGATACTGTAATTGAGCATCCAGAATATGGAGGTCATTCAGCTACAGGGTGACCAGCACAAGAACATGTGCCAGTTCCTCTTAGAGATTGGAATGGCTAAGGACAACCAGCTAAATGTTCATGGGTTTTAACTGCTGTGGCTCGCTGAAGCTTGAATGAGGTTTTCCTTGCAATGAGTAGAATTTCCTTTCTGTCCCTTGTCACAAGTTTAAAAACCTCACAGCTTTGTATAATGTAACCATTTGTGGTCTGCTTTTAACTTGACCTAGTGTAATTCCTTCATGCAGTAAACTTGAAAGAGCCATGCTGTCTAGTCTTGAAGTCCCTCATTTAAACAGAGGTCAAGCAGTAGGCGCCTGGCAGTGTCAAGTCTGAAACAAAGCAATACTGTCATGTTTCAGCCACACCTAGACCCCTAAGATCATAGACAACTACGTCTGGCCAGAAGCTCCTCCGCTCTCCCTCTGCAGAGTTCCCTGCCCTAAGAGACTGTCACCACCCGAACAATCCTCGGTGAATCTAAGAGGAGAGGATGGGGTAAGGCAGCAACAGCAACTCTACCACTGGAAGGGAGCCTTTGGTGGTCAAAGAAAGATCCCCTGGTGTCTATAACCTGACCAGGTGCAGAGTTTTAGAGAGGCCCCCTTCCCAATAGCGAGGTGATAGGACATCTGGCTTGCCACAAAGGTCTTTTTGACCAGACATGCCCTAGCTAAGGGATGTCCAAACACCAGAATGTGAGACCAACCTTCCATCAAAGTTAAACCTTTGACAAGGGAACAAATCTCAAAACTGATGTACCAGTCATGTAGCTAGCTGTAGAGCTTGCAACTTAATGGCAACAGCTGTCCAATTTCATGGAAAGTAACCAACTGGTTTTGAGGTTTGTTTGTTTTTTTCCCCTCCAGTTTTAATGTTATGTGTAATGTATTTAAACCCCTTTTTTAAATTTAAGTTCTAGGGTACATGTGCACAACATGCAGGCTTGTTACGTATGCATACATGTGCCATGTTGGTGTGCTGTACCCATTAGCTCGTCATTTACATTAGGTATTTCTCTTAATGCTATCCCTCCTCTCTTCCCCCTCCCCACAACAGGCCCCAGTGTGTGATGTTCACCGCCCTGTGTCCAAGTGTGCTCATTGTTCAGTTCCCACCTATGAGTGAGAACATGCAGTGTCTGGTTTTCTGTCCTTGCAATAGTTTGCTCAGAATGATGGTTTCCAGCTTCATCCATGTCCCTACAAAGGACATGAACTCATCCTTTTTAATGGCGGTATAGTATTCCATGGTGTATATGTGCCACGTTTTATTAATCCAGTCTATCATTGATGGGCATTTGGGTTGGTTCCAAGTCTCTGCTATTGTGAATAGTGCCGCAATAAACATACATATGCATGTGTCTTTATAGCAGCATGATTTATAATCCTTTGGGTATATATCCAGTAATGGGATCACTGGGTCAAGTGGTATTTCTAATTCTAGATCGTTGAGGAATCACCACACTGTCTTTTACAATGGTTGAACTAGTTTACACTCCCACCAACTGTGTAAAAGTGTTCCTGTTTCTCCACATCCTCTTTAGCACCTGTTGTTCCCTGACATTTTAATGATTGCCATTCTAACTGGTGTGAGATGGTATCTCATTGTGGTTTTGATTTGCATTTCTCTGATGGCCAGTGATGATGAGCATTTTTTCATGTGTCTGTTGGCTGCATAAATGTCTTCTTTTGAGAAGTGTCTGTTCATGTCCTTCGCCCACTTTTTGATGGGGTTGTTTGATTTTTTCTTGTAAATTTGTTTAAGTTCTTTGTAGAATCTGGATATTAGCCCTTTGTCAGATGGGTAGAAGCCAAATGATGAGTGAACTCCCATTCACAATTGCTTGAAAGAGAATAAAATACCTAGGAATCCAACTTACAAGGGATGTGAAGGACCTCTTCAAGGAGAAGTACAAACCACTGCTCAACAAAATAAAAGAGGACACAGACAAATGGAAGAACATTCCATGCTTATGAATAGGAAGAATCAATATTGTGAAAATGACCATACTGCCCAAGGTAATTTATAGGTTCAGTGCCATCCCCATCAAGCTACCAATGACTTTCTTCACAAAATTGGGAAAAACTACTTTAAAGTTCATATGGAACCAAAAAAGAGCCCGCATTGCCAAGACAGTCCTAAGCAAAAAGAACAAAGCTGGAGGCATCACGCTACCTGACTTTAAACTATACTACAAGGCTTCGGTAACCAAAACAGCATGGTACTGGTACCAAAACAGAGATAGACACTAATGGAATGGAACAGAGGCCTCAGAAATAACACCACACATCTACAACCATCTGATCTTTGACAAACACAAGAAATGAAGAAAGCATTCCCTGTTTAATAAGTGGGGCTGGGAAAACTGGCTAACTATATTTAGAAAGCTGAAACTGCATCCCTTCCTTACACCTTATACAAAAGTTAATTTTTTTTTTTTTTGAGACAGGGTCTTGCTCTGTCACCCAGGCTGGAGTGCAGTGGCGCGATCTCAGCTCACTGCAATCTCCACCTCCTGGGTTGAAGTGATTCTCCTGCCTCAGTCTCCCGAGTAGCTGGGATTACAGGCACCCGCCACCACGCCTGGCTAATTTTTGTATTTTTAGTAGAGATGGGGTTTCACCTTGTTGGCCAGGTTGGTCTCAAACTCCTGACCTCAGGTGATCCACCCACCTTGGCCTCCCAAAGTCCTAGGATTACAGGCGTGAGCCACCACGCCAGGCCTAAACCCTTATTTAACTAAAACTTGTTTTCAGAAAAAAATAAATCTGAGGATGTGTTACATGTCCCCCTTTTACTTAGTGACAGTCCCAGGCACACACGAGCTTGTCATTAACAATATTCATCAATTTAAGAGTTGATCAGAGAAGGTCATACAAGAATCCAATCTCAGTGGAATTAAAGGAAAAATTTTTGCTAAGCAGAAAATAAATGAGAACTGTACATTTAAAATAAATAAATGAACAGAAAGCCTTTCAAATCGTACTAAACTAACTTATATCTGTGGCTACTACATTGTTGTTCTTTAATGCTTAAATAGGTAAAAGCACTGATGTTTTAGTTGAAACTACCAGCAGTAGGAATGCTTGCTCAGTAAGAGCAAGACCCCACTAACACAGTCATATTTATAAAGTCAAGGTTTAGGTGTCTGCCAGGGTCTGTTTTCCCTAAATCTATTACAAACAAATGAAAGCAAATCAGTAAATACTGTTTTAATGTACCTATACCGAGTCATAAAATTATTTTCCTCCCAAGTCAGGAAGAAACATAAAGTTGGTTAACTGAAAAAGAGAAAGTTTAATCATTCTGATTTTCATTCTGATGCTCTTCTTTAGACTATCTATTGCTGCTTTCTTTTGTAGCAGAACAGCTGATTTTCCGCCTAGGTTTTCATGATCTGATAAACCTTCACCATAGACAGTTTCTTGGAAAGAAACTCTGGAAGTGTCAGTTATCTTTAAATGTTCAGGAAGCTGCGTGGGTCTCAGACCCAGCTGGAGCAGAGCCAGCACGGGATTCTGAAAGCATTTGCAGGCTCTGAGATGGTTTTAACCTGTTCCTTGGCAGTGCAGCCCTTGTGTACACTCTTGGAAAGATACTGATGTTTACTTTCATGATGTAGAATGGATGAGCAGTGAAGGTTTCTAGGAAGGTTGAACACACTCATGCCCACTTTGGGACACAAGGAGGCAGATGCTCTCATGGGAACTCTTCAAATAAGGTCGTATGGTTTGGCTGTATCCTCACCCAGATCTCATCTTGAATTGTAGTTCCCATAATCTCGTGTGTTGTGGGAGGGACTCGATGGGAGGTAATTGAATCATGGGGGCAGTTACCCTGATTCTGTTCTTGTAATAGTGAGTTTTCATGAGATCTTTACACTTGATTAATGTTAACTGTAGTTGTCCTACTGATCTATCGAACACCAAGTCTTATTTCTTCTAAGTGTATTTGTACCCATTAATCTACTGCTCTTCATTCCCCATCCCCACTACCCTTCCCAGCCTCCGGTAACCACTAGTCTACTCTCTATCCTCATGAGATTCAGTTTTGTAGCTCCCACATATGAGTGAGAACATGCGACATTGTCTTTCTGTGCTTTGCTTGTTTCACTGAACATAATGACCCCCAGTTTCATCCATCTTGCTCCAAATGACAGGATTTAATTCTTTTTATGGCTGGATAATATTCTATTGTGTATTTTTACCACACTTTCTTTTTAAATATTTATTATTATTTTGTAGAGACAGAGTCCTGCTATGTTGTCCAGGCTGGTCTCAAACTCCTGGACTCAAGCGATCCACCTGCCTTGGCCTCCACATTTTCTTTATTCATCCATTGATGGACACTTAGGTTGATTCCATATTTTGTCTATTATGGATAGTGCTGCAATAAACATGCAAGTACAGATCTCTCTTCAATATATTGGTTTTCTTTCTTTTAGAGAAATACTCAGTAGTGGAATTGCTGGATCATATAGTATTCTACTTTTACATTTTTGAGGAACCTCTGAAGTGTTTTCTATAGTGGCTGTACTAATTTACATTCCCACCAACAATGTGTGAGGATTTTTCTTTCTCTGCATCCTCACCAGCATGTTATTCCCTGTCTTTTTTGATAAAAGCTATTCTAATTGGGGTGAGATTATACCTCATCGTGGTTTTGATTTGCATTTTCTGGATAATTACTGATGTTGAGCACTTCTTATACCCTTTGTTCATTTGTCCTCTGTTGAGAAATACCTGTTCAGGCCTTTTGCCCTTTTTAAAATCAGATTAATGACTTTTTGCTATTGAGTTGTTTGAGCTCCTTATATATTCTGGTTATTTATCTTGTCAGATGGGTAGTTTGCAAATACTTTCTCTCATTCTATGGGTTGTTTCTTCACCTTGTTTGAGTGTTTCCTTTGCTGTGCAGAAGCTTTTCAGCTTGATGTAATCCCATTTGTCCATTTTCGTTTTTGTTGCCTATGCTTTTGAGAACTTAAACAAAAAATTTTTGCCCAGACCAATGTCCTGGAGCATTTCCCCAATGTTTTCTTTTATTAGTTTTATAATTTCAGGTGTTAGATTTAAGTCTAAATCCATTTGTATTTGATATTTGTACATGGTGAGAGATAGAGGTCTAGTTTCATTCTTCTACATACAGTTGTCCAGTTTTCCCAGTGCCATTTATTGAAGAGACTGTCCTTTCCCTGTTGCATATTGTTGGCACCTCTGTCAAAAATTAGTTGGCTGCAAATGGCATGGATTTATATCTGGGTTCACTATTCTGTTCAGTCGGTGTTTGTGTCTGTTTTTTATGCCAGTACCGTGCTGATCTGGCTACTATAGCCTTGTAGTATATTTTTAAGTCAAGTAGTGTGAGGCCTCCAGCTTTGCTCTTTTTGCTCAAGATTGCTTTGGTTATTTGTGGTTCCATATAAAATTTAGGATTGTCTGCTCTGTTTCTATGGGGAATATTGTTGGTATTTTGATAGGGATTACATTGAATCAGTAAACTGCTTTGGGTAGGATTGTCATTTTAACAATATTCTTTCAATCCATGAGCATGGAATAATATCTTCTCCATTTTTTGATTCATCTTCTATTTATTTAATCAGTTTTTTATAGTGATCCTTGTAAAGATCTTTCACAGCTTTGGTTAAATTGATTCTCAGGGGCCAGGCACAGTGGCTGACACCTGCAATCCCAACACTTCGAGAGGCCAAAGCGGGAGAATTGCTTGAGCCCAGGAGTTTGAGGCCAGCCTGGGCAGCATAGTGTGACCTCATCTCTAAAAAAAAATCAAAATATTAGCCAGACGTGGTGGCATGTGCCTGTGGTTGCAGCTACTTGGGAGGCTGAAGTCAGAGGATCGCTTGAGACCAAGAAATCAAGACTGCAGTGCTCACTGCATTGGTGACAGAGTGCAAACCTGGGTGACAGAGCAAAACCCTGTCTCAAAAAAAAAAACAAAATATTCCTGGGTATTTTACATTCTGTGTAGATACAATAAATTAGATTACTTTCTTTCTTTTTCAGATTGTTCACTATTGGTATATATAAATGCTACTGAATTTTGTATGTTGGCTTTGTATCCTGCAGCTTTACTGAATTCACTTATTACTTCTAATAGTTTTTTGGTTTTTAAAAATAGAAGATCCTGTCGTTTACATTCAAAGCGAATTTGACTTCTTTCTTTCCAATATGAACACCTTTATTTTTTTTTCTTGACTAACTGGCCAGGACTTCCGCTTTATGTTGAATGAAAGTAGTGAAAGTGCACCCCCTTGTCTTGTTCCAGATCTTAGTGGAAAGCCTTTTAGGTTTTCCCTGTTTGGTATGATGTTGGCTGTGGATTTATCATATATGGCCTTTATTATTTTGAGGTATGTTTCCTCTGTACCCGGTTTGTTGAGGGTTTTTATCAAAAGGGATATTGAATTTTATTGAATACTTTTCAGCACTTATTGAAATGATCATATGGTTTTTGTTCTTGGTTCTGTTAATGTGTATCACATTTACTGATTTGCATATGCTGAACCATCTTTGCATCCCTGGGGTGAATCCCACTTGATAATGTTGAATGATCTTTTTAATATCTTGCTGAATTCAGTTTGTTAATATTTTTTGTTGAGGATTTTTCTATCTGTGTTCATCAGTGAAATTAGCCTATTGTTGTCTTTTTTTTTTTTTTTTTTTTTTTTGGTGGCCTTATCTGGTTTTGGTATCAGGGTAATGCCCGCCTTGCCGGATGAGTTTGAGCATTCCTTCCTCTTCAATTTTTTTTTTTTTGAAGACTTTGAGTAGAATTATTATAGTTCTTCTTGAAATGTTTAATAGAATTAATCAGATCCTCGACTTTTCTTTGATAGGAGAGTTTTAATTATAGCTTTGATCTTATTACTTGCTATTGGTTTGTCGAGGTTTTCTCTTTCTTCGTGGTTCAATTTTGGTTGTATATGTCCAGGAATGTATCTTTGTCTTCTAGATTTTTCAATTTGTTGGCAATTGTCTCTAATGATTCTTTGTACTCCTATGGTCTCTGTTGTTTTGTATCTTTTTTGTTTCTGATTTTATTTATTTGGGTCCTCTCTTTTTAGTTAGTCTTGCTAAAGTTTTGTCAGTTTTTTTTTAACTAAACTTTTGTTTTGTTGATCTTCAGTAATGTTTTAATCTCAATTTCATTTATTTTTGCTCTGATCTTTATTATTTCCTTTCTCCTAGTAAATTTGGGTTTGGCTTGGTCTTGCTTTTCTAGTTCCTTGAGATGCTCCATTATTAGTCCATTATTAGGTTGTCTTTTGGTAGTCTTTCAACTTTTTTGATGTAGATGTTTATTGCTATAAACCTCCCTCTTAGTACTGTGTTTACTGTATCCCATAGATTTGGATATGTTGTGTTTCTATTTTTATTTGTTTTGAGAAATTTTTAAATGTTCTTATTTCTTCATCAACTCATTGTTTATTCAGGAGCATGTTGTTTAATTTCCATGTTTTTGTTTAATTTCCAAAGGTTTTTTTGTTTTGTTTTTTTTTTTGAGATGGAGTCTCCCTCTGTCATCCAGGCTGGAGTGCAGTGGTGCAATCTGCAACCTCCACCTCCTGGGTTCAAGTGATTCTCCTGCCTCAGCCTCCCAAGTAGCTGGGATTACAGGTGTACACCACCACACCCAGCTAATTTTTGTATTTTTAATGAGACAGGGTTTTGCCATGTTAGTCAGGCTGGTCCCGAACTCCTGACATCAGATGATCCACCCACCTCAGCCTCCCAAAGTACTGGGATTACAGGCATGAGCCACCACACCTAGCCCAAAATTCCTCTTGTTATTGATATCTAGTTTTATTCCATTGTGGTCAGAAAGGATACTTGATATGATTTCTACTTTTAAAAATTTGTTGAGACTTGTTTTGTGGCCTAAAATATGGTTTATTCTGGGGAATGTTCCATGTACTGATGAAACGTGTATTCTGAATAGTTGAGTGAAGTGTGTTTTATAAATATCAGTTGGACCTATTTGGTCTGATGTGTAGTTTGATACAATGGTTTCTTTGTTAATTTTCTGTCTAGATGATCTGTTCATTGGTGAAAATGGGGTATTTGACGTCCTCCACTATTATTGTATTATAATCTCTCTCTCTCTTTGTATCTATTAATGTTTGCTTTATATACTTGGGAGCTGAATTTCAGTCCATCAAATGTATTAATCAGTTCTAAGATTTCTGTTTGATTTTTTGAATAATGTCTCTTTGTTAAATTTCTCTGATAAATTTCTGAATGGAGAATTACCGTTTTGTTTCTTGTTTTCTGGTTGTTTTGTAACTCTTCTCCTCCTTTCTTCCTGTCATCCTTTATGGTTAAGTGACTTTCTCTGGTACTATGTTTTAATTTGTTGGGGTTTTTTTTAGTGTGTTTATCATAGGTTTTTACATTGTGGTTACCATGAGGCTTATAGAAAACATCTTATAGATAAAACAAGTTATTTTAAAGAGATGACAGCTTATCTTAGATAAGCAGTCCCCAGTCTGTTTTGGCGCCAGGGACCAGTTTCATGGAAGACATTTTTTCCATAGATCAGGCAGTGGGGATGGTTTTGGGATGAAACTGTTCTACCTCAGATCATCAGGCATTAGATCCTCATAAGGAACGCTCAACCTAGATCCTTCGCACTTGCAGTTCACAATAGGGTTTGCACTCTTATGAGAATCTATGCTGCTAATGATCTGACAGGAGGTGGAGCAGGCAGTGCTGTGTGACCTGGTTCCTAACATGCGACGGACCAGTACTGGTCCATGGCTCAGGAGTTGGAGATCCCTGTCTTAGATCACAAAAAAAAGAATAAATAAAAAACTTTAAAACAACCCTCCATCTTTAATTCCATCCCCTGACATTTTGACTTTTGTGGGCCTGAATTTACGTATTTTGATATTGCCTATCTCTTAACAGATTGCTGTAGCTGTTAGGGTTTTTGATAGATTTGTCTTCTAGGTGTCATACTAGAATTATGGGTAACTTATGGGTGGACTGCACATGACAATTAGAGTATTTGAATATTCTGGGGGTTTCTATACTTGATGTTACCTGTAGGTTTTATACCTTCAAATGTTTTCTTTTTGCACATTAATGTTTTTTCATTTCAGATTGAAGAACCATCTTTAACATTTCTTGTAAGACAGATCTAGTAGTGGTAAATTCTCTTAGCTTTTGTTTGTCAGAAAAAGACTATCTCTCCTTCATACTTGAAGGATATTTCTGCTGTTTGCTGGATAAAGTATTTGAGGATAGCAGGGTTTTTTGGGGTTTTTTCTTTCAGCACTTTGAAAATATCATTCCACTTCCTCCTGACTTACGGTTTCCATTGAGAAGTGTGTTGCCAACTGAAGTGGAGTTTCTTTGTATGTTATATCCTCCTTTTTTCTTGCTGCTTTTAGTATCCTCTTTTTGTCCTTGACCTTTGAGAGTTTTATTATTATATGCCTTGGGTGTAGTTTTATTTGGGTCAAATCTGTTTAGTGTTTTCTGACCTTCCTCTACCTGGATATTTTTCTCATATTTTGGAAAGTTTTCTGTTATTATTTATTGAGTAAGCTTTTTTCTACCCCTCACTCTTGCTCAACTTTCTCTTGAACACCAATAATTCTTAGATTTGGTCTTTTAAGGTAATTTTCTATATCTTGTAGGCAATCTTTGTATAATATATTTCCATTCATTTTACTTTTTCTCCTCTATGTAATTTCAAAGAGCCTGTCTTTGGGCTGACTGATTCTTTCCTCTGCTTGATGCATTCTGCTGTTGAGAGCCTCCAATAAATTTTTCAGTTAGCAAATATATTTTTCAATTTCAAGATTCGTTTGATTTTTTATCACTTCAATCTCTGTTAAATTCCTCTGATAAGTTTCTGAATTGCTTTTCTTTGTTGTCTTGGAGATCCCTGAGTTTCTGTGAAACTGCTATTTTGAATTCTTGGTCAGAGAGCTCATGAATCACCATCTCATTAGGGTCAGTCACTGGTTCCTTGCTTTATACATTTGGGGAGGTCATGGTTCCATGTTCTTATGGATATATGTCTGTGTCTTTGCATTAAAGGATTTATTATTTATTCCAATCTTCTCTGTCTAGTCTGTTTTGGTTTTTACTGGTATGTTTGCTTAGAGATTATTTGTAATTTAGCTGTTGAATTTCTTACACATTTTTCCCGCTAGGTCACTGCCTCTTTTTCAGCACTAAATGGTACTTAAAACCCAGGTTTGCCTCTGTTCTTCTAGCAAAGGATCAGAGGATTGCCTGGCTGGAATGGGGGAGGTTGCAAAGGAGCTATCCCTGTGGTATGGAAAGGCTGGCTAGGAGTTCATGCCCAAGAGACCTGTGGAATCTACCTCCTACAGCATAGTGCTGCCGAACACCCACTCTGATTTGGCGTCTCCTTTGGTTGAGTTACAGAGCGGAGCTTCCAGGGCTGGAGATGGTAATCCTGCCTCCTTCCTTTGTGTCCGGCTGTCCACAGGGTGGTATCTCCCTTCAGGCACTCCTGATGCTTCTCATGGGTTGAGGCATGGATAGGTCTCCTGCCAAAGAAGCCAAGATGGTAGGCAAGTTGTGTGTCCAACTTAATCTCACTTTTTCCAGTGTAGAATCTGAGTTGGGGGAAGTTTTACATGTGCTTGATACCAAGCAGATTGGGGGAAGGGTGTCACAGATATGAAAATCTGATTCTCTTACTGTCTGCTGGAGTTTTTTTTTTTTTTTTTTTTTTTTTTTTTACTTCTCAGTGGCCCCAGGAACTGACCGATTCTCTTTCATGAGTTCTGAGAGATTGCTGGTGATAATCTCGATGGTGTATATTTATTTTGGTTATTCTGTGGGGAGAAGTGAAGCCAGCTTTCATCTACATTTTTAAAGTATAATTCTTATTTTGAGTGGCAAGAATCTGATTCCAGTATCCTGCCTTAGTTTTTATGCATTTTTGAAATTCCTACCATTGCATTTAGAACCTTCTACCTGGTGGAGTTTTTTTTTTGTTTGTTTTTTGTTTTTCAGTTTTGGAAGTATTTGATTTTTTGAAACAGTTGACATTCATATAAAGAACAAGGTTGATAATCAAGCCTGCTCTAGTAATTCTGTGCAGTCTAGAAAAGAGTGTACTGGGGCCGGGCGCGGTGGCTCACACCTGTAATCCCAGCCCTTTGGGAGGCCGAGGCATGCAGATCACAAGGTCAGGAGATCAAGACCATCCTGGCTAACACGGTGAAACCGCATCTCTACTGAAAATACAAAAATTAGCTGGACGTGGTGGAGGCTGAGGCAGGAGAATGGCGTGAACCCGGGAGGCGGAGCTTGCAGCGTGCCGAGATGGCGCCACTGTGCTCCAGCCTGGGTGACAGAGCGAAACTCCGTCTCAAAAAAAAAAAAGAGTGTACTGGTTAAGTACTGAGAAGCATTTCCTGTGTGTCTCATGTAAGTACTTCAGGCTCTTAAATGTGTTACTCCAAGGAATAAGGTTGCAAATACAGTTGCTCTAAAAACATATTATACCAGCCTGGCCAACATGGTGAAACCCCATCTCTACTAAAAATGCAAAAATTAGCTGGGCATGGTGGTACACACCTGTAATCCCAGCTGCTTGGGAGGCTGAGGCAGGAGAATCACCTGAACCTGGGAGGCGGAGGTTGCAGTGAGCTGAGATCGCGCCACTGCACTCCAGCCTGGGCTACAGAGCAAGACTCCGTCTCAAAAAAGAAAAAAAATTACATAAAATTCCGAGATGCAGCTTTCTTATCTAAAAAGGATTTGCGCAAAGCCTCCTTGCAGTAAGCATATAGGTAACTAAGGTGTCTACCTTACGTATATGCATCACTCATTTATGCCCTAAGTTCTCATTTGTTAAAACAATAGTGCCCTTACTCTAAATCACATAATCACAAGAGCCCTAGGGCTGAATTGCTCAGCTTTAAATGTCAGCACTGTCATACTAGCTGTGTGATGTGAGCAAGTTCTAAAACTCCCTGTGCTTGTTTCTTATGTATACAATGGAGAGAAGGGGTAGTACTTTGTAGGGTTGTTGTGAAGTTTAAACAAGGTAATAACTGTTAAGTGTTTTTAAAAGTCCCTTGAATGTAACAATTGCATCAGTGGTAAGGTATGCATTTTTCTCATATGGCCTCTGAAATGAGGATGTGTCTTATAATGAATGTAATTTCTTAATAAGCATTTTATCATTTAGTGACATCTTTTTTATTAGTAGTACTTAATGTTACACTTTGGGTGACATTTTATATTTCAATAACTAATAGTAAGAGGTCTATTAACATTAGCTGCCATCAACATTACCATCAATATTATCATCAGCATTATCTTGTTTCTAACTGAGATAGTGGCATTTGATAGTTTAGCAGTGCTAGAGTATATATCAAATCTCAATTTTATCTAACTACTTGTTTGCATTGGTGTATTTTTATCAAAGTTCTAGTGTGCTGTTTTTCATATTTGTATCATTTTAGCTAATGTAAAGTATTTATGGGGTCAGCTCATGCAATGTTTCCGTCATTCATTGTACCTTACTTGGCGATCTACTAAAACATGCATCAGCATCCTTCAGTCTCCCGAAATAAATAGACACAAAGACAAATTCTTTATTTTCTCTGTTGATGTATTTTCCTAAATCGTTTCGCAGGAGTGGTTTCTTTCTTAGCTAGGAGAACTAAGCCACCATTGTACCACTTAAGATTTACTGGTTTGCACTGTCCTCTGAGGGAGAAAAGAAGCAATTTATTGATCTGTAACACAGGAATGGACTGTGGCCAAACCTTTTCTGGTTTATACAATGCACCGACATAAGAATCTGCATAGCATTAAGAAGAATGAGCACTCACAATTTGAGGCCGCCTGTCAGCATGAATAATAACTGAGAAAAATCAATACACAATATACAACTGTTCTCTTTGCACAGACACTGCCAGGATTCACACCCAGTGACAGTGTCTTCTTTTTTTTTTTTTTTTTTTTTTTTTTGAGACAGGGTCTCTCACTCTGCTGTGCAGGCTGGAATGCAGTGGCGTGATCTCGGCTCACCGCAACCTCTGCCTCCCTGTTCAAGTGATTCTTGTGCCTCAGCCTCCCAAGTAGCTGGGATCACAGGCGTGTACCACCCTACCCAGCTAATTTTTGTAGTTGTAGTAGAGATGGGATTTTGCCATGTTGGCCAGCCTGGTCTTGAACTCCTGGCCTCAAGTGATCCACCCACCTCGGCCTCCCAAAGTGCTGGGATTATAGGCGTGAGCCACCGTGCCCGGCCAACAGTGTCTTGTTATTTTACCAGTGATATGCTTACAGTTCCTAATTTTAGGCTTCCTCCTTATTTTGGTTTTATTGTTCAGTTTGGGGAAGGGTGGGAGGCACCAATTTGGATCTGAGAAAAAGATCTTCTGCCAGATGAAAGAGTTTCAATAACAGGAGAGGACCTTGGGCCAAAGTTTATTAAGCTTGACTAGGAAGATTCTGGGCACATCTCCATCCAAATACCTTGACACATACTTCATTCACCCCTAGCACATGCAGCTTGTCCCTTCTTGTCTTCTGTTTGCCTTCAAGGTTTTACATGGTGGTATTTACAAGCCGTTATGGAGCAAGAGTGCAAACACACAAGGCTAGCAAGGGGCCAGTAAACAGGGTTTGGCTTAGGGTTTTGTGGTTGTTAGCTTTTAAAAGCATACTTAGTTGAATAATTCCAGAAACTGGGCTTCTTTCCTTTGCCCCTTCATTTGCCCCTCCCTCTCTGGTCTTCCCAGTCTCCACTTTTTTTTTTGTTTAAATAAAACTGCGTTTGTCAGAAATGTATAGACATTCACTCCTATTCTTAAAAGACAGTGTTTATCCCTAATGCCTGCCTTTTGATTCAGCCAGCAGTGACTGTGCACACAGAGGTTATTGCTCTCCAAGTTCAATGTTGTGGACCTGAACCAGTGCCTCTGTTTCCAAGAGAAAGTCAGGTGATTACCCCTTCATCAGGGAGATTGGAGCCATCCTATCCTTCTGGTGTGTCACCAGCCAGAAACTAAGGATCAGCAGGGAGTGGATGGTTTAGAATCTCCTCTCTCCAGGTGAACACAATGCTAGTCAGTGTAGCTGGAAAAGCCACGCAGCGGGCAGGCTTGTCAGAAGCAATCTGTTTAAAAAAAAAAAAAAAGAGAGAGAGAAAAAAGGGTCCTTTTGAATTTACACTGAGTTGCTTTCACAGTAGTTAGCTTTGAACTGTGGTGCAAACCCATTTAAACAATGAGGGAAATTTCACTAAGTGGCAAGAAATTCTCACCCTGTGTGATCAAAGCAATCAGCCATTTCCTTTTCTTTCCTTTTTATTTACTTATATTTCTGACCCCTTATAATCTTCATGATTGTAGCCTGATAGTTTCCTTTTTTGAATAGCATTTAAAAAAATACCTTTTCTTTTCCCTGAGGGTTTTAAAGCAAATAAGACAGAAGGGGTCTAAATTTTTAGTTTTGTTTTTTGAGACAGTCTCGTTCTGTCGCCCAGGCTGGGGTGCAGTGGTGCAATCTCAGCTCACTGCAATCTCCGTCTCCCAGGTTCAAGTGGTTCTGGTGCCTCAGCCTCCCGAGTAGCTGGGATTACAGGCGTGCACCACCAGCCTTGGCTAATTTTTGTATTTTTTAGTAGAGAAGAGGTTTTGCCATGTTGGCCAGGCTGGTCTCAAACTCCTGACCTCAGGTGATCTGCCTGCGTCAGCCTCCCACAGTGCTGGGATTACAGGTGTGAGCCACCGCACCTGGCCTAAATATTTATTTTTAATAATGATTATTATTACAAAAGTAAGAAAAGAGCTAAAATCCATGATTTCATCACCCAGAGGCAACCACCACAGTGAACATTTTGGTACAATTACTTCTCATCGTTTAAATGTGTACATATACACATACATATTTTTAATAAAATTAGGTTTAGGATAGTATACAGTTTTGTTTTTCTTTTAACCAACATACTTTGAATATTTTGCCTTATTAAAAACTTATATGATTTCAATGGCTGCATTAGAATTAGTGTATACAGATATTATTTTGGCATTCTGTTGTTAAGAGGTCATGTGGGTTTCTGAATTGACACTTTAATTCTCAACTTAGAATTTATTTCTCCCAACTTCTTCTGATTTCATGGGTCTAGAGTCAGAGTTTGGGCACAATGGAAATGGGATTTCTATATGTACTGTTGTTTACTGTTTGCTAGTATTTTTCGAAAGGTATTTGCAAAAACCAAAGGGGAAACAGTATACTTTTTTGTATTTTTTTTTCTTTTTTTGTTTTAAATTTTGTGATTGAAATATAAGTCTTATTATGGTAATCTCAGGTAACTTTTAAATAGAAATATCAATGCAAAATGAATATATTGCCCAATGTGGACCCCGGTGTTTCAGAACTATGTGCCATGCTCTATCATTTTGTTACTGGAAAGGGGTCTTAATCCAGACCCCAAGATCTTGGATCTCTCACAAGAAGGAATTAGAGGTGAATCCATAGAGTAAAGTAAAAGCAAGTTTATTAAGAAAATAAAGGAATAAAGAATGGCTACTCCATAGGCAGAGCAGGAGCGTAGGCTGCTCAACTGATTATACACACAGTTACTTCTTGATGCTAAACAAGAGGTGGATTATTCTTGTGTTTTGCAGGAAAGGGGTGGGTAGTTCCTGGAAGTGAGGGGTCCTCCCCTTTTTAGACCATATAGGATAACTTCCTGACATTGCCATGGCATTTGTAAACTGTCCTGCTGCTGGTGGGAATGTTTTTTAGCATGCTAATGCATTATAATTAGCATATAATGAGCAGTGAGAATGACCAGAGATCACTTTCATCTCCATCTTGGTTTTGGTGGGTTTTGGACGGCTTCTTTACCACAACCTGTTTTATCAGCAAGGTCTTTGTGACCTGTATCTTGTGCTGACCTGTCTCATCCTGTGACTAAGAATGCCTAACCTCCTGGGAATTTAGACTTAAAATAAAGGTCTCAGCCTTATTTTATCTAGCCCCTACTCAAGATGGAGTTGCTCTGGTCCGAATGCCTCTAATAATTTGAAGTTTATCCAACGGCACAGTGGGAGATAATGAATTTTTGTTTAAGAGGAGGAGGACTGACTGGATCAGATTTGTGCTTTAGAAAGGTGGTTGCATGTAAGAAAGAGGCGTTGGTAGAAAGACTTCGGATATCTCAAAAGAATTTCCATGAAGTTAATCTTTTTAAAAATGTAAACATTTGGTGCAATAATTGCTTTGAAATTGCAGTTGAATAAATGAACTTTTTGAACCAGAATTTGGAAAGGAAGATATGCTTAAAAACCAAAAATATTTCGTAGAGTGCTACACATTAGGAAGTCATTTGTATTTGGTGACCACTTTCCTAAAATAGTCTCATTTCTAGAGAACCAATTTTGTTTCCCATAGATTATTATGTGTAGAGACCCCCTTTCAGTATGTAGCCACTGGTACATCCGTGGGTGTTATCTCCATACTGCCAGGTCCAATGCAGTCACCTCCTGGATCTATAGTCTTTCTCCCCCCATTCCGATTTCCTTTCTCTGTTAGCAGTCATCTTTGTAAACAGAAGTCTAAGATTTAGTTTGTACATTTTTTAAATGATCCATTTTGATGGGGCTCTCTTTATTGTTTCAGGTTGAATGCCTTTGAGAACTTGATGCATAAAATTTGCATGACTCCTCACTCCTTTCTGGATCTCTCATTGGACTCAAGCCAGCATGGCTCACACCACAAAGGTTAACGGCAGTGCCTCAGGTAACCCTGTGCTCTGGAGTTTGTGTGTTAAATGTATGTCTTTTCTCAAACTAATTTTTTATTCTCTTTAATAATGAACGGATAATAGCAAGTTGCCTAGATAACTAGGATTTCAAAGCAATTTTCTGTCCATTGAAGTTTGGGTTTGTTTTGTTTTACTCTCAGAAAATTTGCTTTTATCTTAGAGTCTTGCACTGAAATCAATTGAGTAAATTATTACCTAAGTCAATTCTGTTGAAGTGTTGAAAGACAAATGTAAATACTGAATGCTGATGCAAATGTAATGTATACTCCTCTTGCACTTCTTTCTGAGGGATTGAATGAGGAGAGAGGAAATTAGTTTGGATGCTTAAAACCAATTCCTAGTAGCCACTCCCAAGCAGCTTTTGTTTGATGTTGCTAAACAAAGAGAAAGGAGGGAAGAGAAGTATATATTCTGTAAAATGATTCTCTTAGGAATATGCAACAAGCCATATTATGAATCATAAAGACCTGTATTTGAATTCTTATTTTGGTTATATTAGAGACTTACATAGTTTCACTTTCTGTTCCAATATTGCTTCTGTGAGATTCGGGAGAAATCTGTACACGAAATGCAGAGAAGATCCTCCTAAGAGACACATCACCATAGGGACAACCTGCCCAAAATGGCGTGCCAAGTGTTCATTTCTTTTTTGAGTTATGTGCCAAATAGCTGAATGAGTAAGAATAGTAATTGTCTATGCAGAAATTTTTTCTGAGCGTCTGAGTCCAGACTCCTACGTCTGCTGGCTCTGAACACCTTCAAATGACAACATTATATACTGGAGCAAGTGTAGAATTGGAGCCAGGAAACCTGAATTTGAGTCCTAGTTCCAGCACTAACCGTGAAATATTGGGCAGGGCTATTTCTCCACATGTAAACCATCGGTAAGTATATCCACCTGCCGGTTTAGGACCAGTGAGCGCACCAGAAACATACTTAGAGGAGCTATGTAAGCCGTAAAGCACTTTTGAAGACAACAGCAGGAAGTGACCTCTAAAGTGGGCATTCCCAGCCCATGAATGTGACTTTTTATTCTAGCGGTCTCAGCTGCAATTATCTCCTCTGGGTAGAACACTATAACCCAAACCCAGATAAACTCAGTTATTTGTTCTGGGATGACTGATCTTTCCCTGTCCATTCCATTTTTGACCTTTTTTACTGCCCAGCTTCTTGAGACTTTTATAGATTCTGCTGTGGGACTGCTATCAATAATAAAGACATGAATGATAATATCTAACATTCATTGAACACTTAAATGCACCATGGTGCCTAAAATGCTTTGCCTGCATTTTCATACTTAATCCTCACAATAATCTAATGAGATTAAGCTATTATTTTACTGTCATCATCATCCCTATGTAATGTCACAGAGAAGTTCAGGGACTTACTGTAAATGAAGTAAGAAAAATCAGAATTATGGGCAGTGGCTCACACCTGTAATCCCAGCATTTTGGGAGGCCGAGGGGGATGGATCACCCAAGGTCGGTAGTTCAAGACCAGCCTGGCCAACATGACGAAACCCCATCTCTACAAAAATACAAAAATTAGCCAGGCATGGTGGCGCATGCCTGTAATCCCAGCTACTTAGGAGGCTAAGACAGGAATGGCTGGAACCTGGGAGGCAGAGGTTGCAGTGGGCCCAGATTGCACTACTGCCCTCCAGCCTGAGTGACAGAGTGAGACTCCATATCAAAAAATAAAATAAATCAGAATTATGATGACTTTCTCCAGTAAAATATTTGGTGAGAGAGGAGATTGAAACATTATGAAATTTCAAGTGTAGTGGGTGGGTTTTAATTCCCTCTGATGATGTGGTTTCCTCCCTTGCCCTCCATTTGCTTCCATTCACATGCTCAGGGGAAGGGGTGTTTAAGATTGTTGGTGCCTCAAGACCTCAACCTTCTTCTGGTGCCTTGGGCAAAATCCTTTCTTCATGGGTTTAGATACCTACCCCACTAATTCCTTTCCAACTTGGTTTGTTCTGTACTTACCTTTTTTCTTTGTTCCTGAGATCTAATAAGCAAGCTGTAACTTTTCCTTCCCACCTGGTATCCTGCCTAACAGGTCTGGGCATTGAGGTTGAAGGCAAAAGAAAGCTCTCCGATTTGTGACTTTCAGGGTGTCAGAGTATGAATTGTTACTGCAGACAGTTATCTGGACTGTGCAGGGGAAGATTTTTTACTTATTCTAGTCACCATGACCCATGTACATCTATAAGCAAATCTAATTAGAGACTCAACCATAAACAGTAATATATATGCAAACATACATATATGTGTGTATGTGTCTGTATATGTATATACACACATAGTAATATATACATACATATATGTATATACAAACACAAATGTGTGTACACCATATATATGACACTCATAGAAAAAAAAAATTTTTTTTTGAGATGGAGTCTTGCTCTGTCACCCAGGCTGGAGTGCAGTGGCACGATATCGGCTCACTGCAACCTCTGCCTCCTGGGTTCAAGTGATTCTTGTGCCTCAGCCTCCCACGCAGCTGGGATTACAGGCCCATGCCATCACGCCTGGCCAATTTTTGTATTTTTAGTAGAGATGAGGTTTCACCATGTTAACCAGGCTGGGGTTGAACTCATGACTTCAGGTGATCTGCCTACCTCGGCACTTTGGGATTACAGGCATGAGCCACCGCACCCAGCTGAAAATTTAAAAGTATAGATGTGTGTTGTATTGTCTGAAAACCAAAACAAAAGCAAGAATTACTGGTGATAATACCACCTAGAAATAAATGTCTTCCTATTTTTTATATAGTTGTCAAATGTTATATATTTCACATGGTTGAGAATATGTTAATAAAAATCATTCCTTTACCTTTTCCCACTTTGTATTACAAAGGAAACACCTCTCCAATGTTTAAAAAAATACTCAATGTAAGAGATGCGGGTTATAAATACACTTCTGTGCATGTAAATAACATTTAGAGAACCTAGATGAAGATGAGATAAAGAGGGCTTCATGGCAGCTAGTGAGGGCCAATTACTGGTCTCCTATGAGAAAAGGATAAGCTATTTGGGTTTAGTAGGAGTTTCAGATGTGGAGTAAATTATATGTTTCTTCAATTTCCAAAAATTGCTGCTTGGGCTTCATAGAGCATGAGGGGAAATTTCATGTGACGATGGAGTCAGGGCAGTGGCAAAAGAAGCACTTTCCATAGTGTTAGTAATAAAACAAGCAAAAGAGGAGCCTCTGGGAAAGGGCAAACCATGCCCTTGGCACAAAATACATCCGACGACTGATCATCTCAAGTTGACATCCCCATGTAACATTTAAATGGGATAAGGGGTGATTCACAACCTTTTATACTCTGACTTCCCCTTGGAGTCCCTCACGGAGGCTGGGTAAAAGAAACTGCTTTTAAAACGAGCTATTCATTAATGCTGTAATTTGTAAAATGTATTATGCCACACTTCAGACATACAAAATGTGTGAAAGTTATATAACAAGCACCTTTGTACACACTACTTAGCTTAAGAAATAAACCTTATTAATATAGGCCAGATATACATGAGCACCTACTACGTGCTGTTTTAGGTACTGGGGATACAGCAGTGAACCAAAGAGGCAAAAATTTCTGCCCTCAAGGATTGTACATTCTAGGGACAGTTAAAGTCTCCTGTGTACACGGTTGCCAGAAGAAAAAATACTAAGCACGTGTTCATCGTTTATCTAAAATTCGGTTTAATGGTGCTCCACTTTCGTGCGCGGCCCTACCTGTGTACCCCTTGCAGATTGCACCCCTGCCCTTCCTCACCGCCAGCCCATCAAAATCAATCTTCCCTCGTAGTGTTACCTCTTTTTCACCAGATCCTCCATCCTACTTCTCTTGATTGGTACAGTACTGTTTTCATTAATTCAAAACATTTTAGGCCAGATGGGGTGGCGCAGACGTGTAATCCCAACACTTTGGAAGGCCGAGGAGGGAGGATTGCTTGAGGCCAGGAGTTCAAGACCGGTGTGGGGAACATAGCCAGACTCCATCTCTACAAAAAAAAATTTTTTTAAATTAGCCAGGCATAGTGGTATGCACCTGTAGTCCCAGCTACTCAGGAGGCTGAGGTGGGAGGATTGCTTGAGCCCAGTAGTCTGAGGCTGCAGTGAGTTATGATGGTACCACTGCACTCCAGCCTGGGTGACAGAGCCAGACCCTATCTCTAAAGCAAAAAACAAAAAACATTTTATTATGGTACTGCTAACAGTACTGCAGCGTCTTTTGTTAAGGAGGTAAGAGCATCATAAATTGCTCTTGACTGTTCTCTCATAGCCAGCTAGGAAGTAAATGGTGATTGTTGGTTAGGAAAATAGCTGTGTTTCTTTGGGGTGTAGGGATGAGGCAGTCTGCTTTTTCCCCAAGTTTCTGAATCATGTTGTAAACTGAATGCACTGATTGATACCTCTCTAAACACTAATGTTGTGAAACTTTAATTAGAGCTTAGATATGCTTTAGAAGCCAAATAACAAGTGGCTTATTTGTGAAAGAAAGATAATAATAGCTATCCTACCTTCTTCACAAGGTGGTTGTGCAGGGAAAAAAAGAATAGCTGTAAAAACACTTTTTAAAACACAAAGTGCTGGTCATATGTCAGGGGATAGCACCATTCCCCTTGTTCTCTTGTCCTTGTCATGAGCCGCTGATCAGGAAACATCCCAGGTACCCTCATGTCAGGCCCTGCTGGACGCCATGATATTGGGGCCAGAGTTGTATTAACATCCTCATTAAACCCAGTTAAATGACATAAATGGATGAGCACTGGGAGGTGACTTTTTATGCCTGCTCTTATCATCTTTATTTTTGCTACTAGTTGCCTTCCCCAATTGATTATAGCTTTTCCCTCATGCTCTTTCTTTTTTTGCAGCCTGGATATATATTTTTTCAGACAGATACATATTTATTTATTAAAGATGCTTATTGAATTGCATTAAAATGTTATTTAGGCTGGGCACGGTGGCTTACGCCTGTAATTCCAGCACTTTGGGAGGCCGATGCAGGTGGATCACCTGAGGTCAGGAGCTCGAGACCAGCCTGGCCAACATGGTGAAAACCCGTCTCTACTAAAAATATAAAAACTAGCTGGGTGTGGTGGTGGGCGCCTGTAATTCCAGCTACTCGGGAGGCTGAGGCAGGAGAATTGCTTGAACCCGGGAGACGAAGGTTGCAGTGTCCCGACACAGTGCTACTGCACTCCAGCCTCCATGACAAAGTGAGACTCCGTCTCAAAAAAAAAAAAAGAAAAGTTATTTAAATTAATGATAACATAAAATTTGACAGGAAACCAGAAGAGAAGAATTACTCAAAATTCCACACTAGGTCTTATTTTTAGTATTTATTTTTCATGCTTTTCAGGCTAACAAACTTAAACACAGTTTCAATAAGCTTTTATAATTTGGATATCAGCTCTTGACTTTAACATTCTTTGCATTTTTCCAAGTCTTCATGGAAAATAGTTTTCAAATTATTATTTTCAATGACTGTATAATATTCCTTATGGTGTTTCTACCAGTTGAAGTATTCTTTTTTTGTTTGGATGTTTGGACTGCTTCCACATTTTCCCTATGGTAGATGATGTTGCAGAGAACATCTTCCCTGGTCATTTTTCTCCTCCTTTTTTATTATTTCCCAACAATTTCAAAGAAGCAGGATGACTGGGTTAAAGGGCACAATGTTTTCATGGCTTTAGTAACTGTTGTGGGGCTTGAATCTCGTTATCTTGGTCAGTTATTTGGCTCCAGCTTTTGTCTCTATGCTGATCTTAAATGAGTACAAAGGCCACTGATAAGACCGGGTCAGCCAGACAGAGCCAGGCTCATGGCAGGGTAGGCAGAATGCTGCAGTGCGGTGCACCCCACTCTCGCTTGTGTAAATATTTTTCTGGGCAGGAGCGTTTCTCAAACAGAACTCTGAGCCCACTGCGGTGAACCTGATAGCAGGAATTACGTGCTATTTGTCAAGTATAAGACTAGTTTGCAGTGACTGGTCTGGCTAGAACCCACCTGGTGTTTTCTGAGATCATCTGTAAGGAAACACACAGCACAGCAGAGGCAGTGTGCGCCCGTGGTGGTGAGTCTTAGACCTGTCATCTGTGTTAGCATTACCCCGAAGGCAGAGAGTTTGCTGATTAGAAACTATGGCTGCTTTAATTCATGGGTACCCTCCGTGACTTTTCAGGGTCTCCTGGTTGAATGAATTTGCAGAAGGATTAAAATGTGTGTTCTTATTTGTGCTTTGTATTCTCCCATAAGTAGTGTGTTGGAGGCTATTAGAATAGCTGAGAGGGTAAAACATAAACACATAGGTAGGAGCCTGACATAAACACATAGGTAGGAGCCTGCCATAAGCACGTAGGTAAGAACTAAAAGGGTGTGTTTCCATTTCAGTTGTCCAGCCTTCCTTCCATACTCTCAGATGACAAAACACAAGTTGCTGAGCTCACACAGCTAATGACTAAGCCAGAAGTTGGACATGGAGAACATTTTTCCTTTGTTCAAGGTTATTTATTATGTTGACATTTAAAATCAGAAGTGTGATATCTGTGAAGTTCTGATTAAACAGATCAAGTGAAAAGGATGTAGTTCAGAAAACTGCATAAAACCCTAAAGTACAGTGTTTAAAAATAAAACGTCCTCCCTGATAGGGATTATGTTGGTAAGTTACTTTTTTTCTTAGTATGGATTATTTCAAATTAATAAACATATTGTTATTCCTTTATTTATTGCATCATACAGCTTCATCCTAGTATTAGTGTGTTTAATAATTGCATTTAATTAGATTATGCATTTCAACTTTCAATGAAACTGTAGCTGTTAGTCTTTTGAAGGCTAATTTCACGCTGAAATTTATAGATGAAATAATTTTCTTATAGTGGTGGTGTTTGAGAAGATAATGTAACTACTTCTTAGATTTCAATTTCATAACCCTTAAAATGTTGGGACCACCTACAAATGGGGGACACCCTGGGTTTTGAAGTCTTGCCTGTGTGGTTAATCAGAACCTCAGAATTCACCCAGCCCCCGGAGAGGTTTTGAAAAGCCCCTGGCTCATCAGAGCTTGCTTGTTTCATAAACTCTTAAGGCTTTGTTTTAACCTGTAGCCAGCTTCGCCTTATAAGCTTTCTTGCCCCAAGCCTTGAGCCAGTCATAATGGCTTAAGCATCAGATTTCAGACAGGCGATTAGCTCTCCAGCTAAGCCAAGAAAGGATGATTTATCTTCCAGTGAGTACCAGCCTATTTGAGTGTAGGAAGGAGAAAAATCTGTGCTCCTGCTCCTGGGTACTGGGCAAAGAAACCCTTTGGTTGGGGATTTTTGCCTGGTACCAACTTTATAGGTGCCAACAAGAAAGAAAGAAAAAAACACATACAAAATAAACACCCAACAGGGAGATTCGCTGTGTTAAGAACTCGAGCTGTTGCTATTATTCTAAGAGACTGGGTAGCCAGTCAAAGGGTTAAAACAGCCCTTCCTACAAGGATTTGAAAACTCTGTGCTCTGCTCTTCCTCAGCAGACTTCTCGTTGTGAGTATTGGCATTTATTTCTGATTATGCACTTCCCCTCTTTCTTGAATGAGTTGGGTGGGCTAGCTGAGCCCATCAAAGGTATAGCTCATTTGCTTCCTTTTCCAGGGTTTGCCTTCTTCCTGTGTCTGGGATAATTTCAGTTCATCTCCTTTGTGCAGTTTCTGAGAAAGGTTTGTATGGGCTTAGAGGAAAATGATCGTGACTAAAGCTCACAGTCACCGCTTTGGCTCCTTTTCTATAAAAGGTGGTTTGATTTGATCTGGCATGAAAAATATTATCATAATTCTCAAATTCACAGAAACGATAAGTTCTTGCTCTTTCCTGACCAAAAAAAAAAATTAATTGCATTGGGTAGACTTCTCTAATAAAACCTTTAAGGAGACCCATCCAGGAAATCAGATTTTATAAGATTCATTCAAACAGTTGTAGAAATTCTAAGTTCAAAAACCAAAAGCAGACTCTTTTCTTTTTCCTTCCTTGGCTTCTCTGTTGGATATTTTTGGAGTGAGCCTTAACTGAGTTACTCATTTCCACATGCTTTAGGAAAAGTATGCTCATGTTTTACAGGCTAAGCCTGGTTCTGCTTTTGAGCTGCAGTTCATTATGAATCCGGAAAACACAGGTTTTTGAAATGCGGCCCATTTGTACATATAGCATTAGTCATCTCAGCTGGTAGTTCTATACGATGAGTTATCTCACCACTTAAAAATAAGTACGCTGCTATTTTGAGATTTAAAAATATATATAGTGACCAGATTTCTTACCCTAGTTAAAGCAAGCCATGGCTGAAACTCAGATTAAACAATATTCTATAAAAATGAGAGAAGGCCACTCTAATCAACAGATAGAAAAACAGAACTATAGACATAAGGGAGAGCTGTGCTAAGGGACAAATTGTTGGATTTGTAGGATTTGTTCGTATCCTGAAAGTTAAATCTTTGTACTCTTACCTTGTTTATGGCCAGATTTGCCTGATCCCTGATTTCCCTCCCAACTGGATCAGAGGTTGTGGAATTGGAATTTCACCATACAAACCTTTACTTAAAGGAGGTAGTACTAGAGTAACCATTTATGGGAACAGTTTGCTACTAATAGTTACTAGTACTGAGTTTATTTTAGTTCCTTTTTCATGATTTTATTCCATTGGAAAAGTTTTCTCTCAGGGATCTTTTCTACTTTGGACATGATCTCTGTTAGGCAGAATCAAAAGATAGCTGTGTGGCTTTCTGAATTTAGTCTCACAATATTTGGTTTAGTTGATAAATCCCATCCATCAGCTTTGCAAATAATTTTGTGAAAACATTGATTCAGCTTGTCCTGCCCAATTTTCCCATCCCTGCCCAGTTTACTGAGTGCCTTTTCCATTTGCATCCACTGTCCATTAGGCCAAGGCGTTTGAAGTGTTTCTGTACAGCAGGTACATTTAAGACTCTCCAGGAAGAAAGGGGGAAGAATATTCCAAACTGAAAACATCAAAGAGAGAGATGGGGTATTTCCAGTAACTTATATGCCCAGTGCTTAATATCTTAAAAACCCTACTCATGTGCATCAGCTCTTACTTTTTTCTAACTAAAACCAGAAAAAAGTTCTCTCTTCCTCTGTTCTCAGTATCCCCCTCATGTAAGTCTGTCTACCCAACACGGTGCAGCCGATTTATTTATTTTTCCCTCAGCATTTTTAGGTGGATTGACTGGGATGCTTTATTCAACTCAGGGACGCACCACGAATATGTTTTTTGGGGCAACCCGTTTGGCATGTTCCCCCTCAGCTGTGAGGACAAAGACTGGTTTGTCTTCTTGTGACCTGGCAGAGGAGGCAGAAGTACCTGCTGAGCTTATGCAGCATGTACCCCAACCGGTGCCCCACCTCTTCAAGTGGTGAATCAGCCTGATGATACACTGATTTTTAGAACACGCTAGGGTGGAGACCTGGAAGTCTGTACACTGGTCGGGGAGGGAGGGATGGTTTGCATGTCAAACCATTTCAACAATGCAGCTTACAGGAAAAAAAAATTAATTGCAAAACACTGTGATGCCCTTTGCCACCAGATTTTTCCATTAGCACCACACTTTATACAGCTTCCAAGTCTGCCCCAGGGACAACTGTTTGGCAGTGTGAGGGGAAATGGCAGCATCACGTCATAAGTGCAATGATTGTTACCTATGAGCCTATCCGGTAAGGGATCTGAGTGGGCCCAAGCATCACACACGTGCTGGAGCTGAGTGTTCTCTGAGGAACATGCTAGGATGTTACTTGGGTGCTAGAAAACAGCAGCTGGAATTCACAACACCTCAGGACACTGATTGTAAATGAAGAATCCTGAGACTAAACATCTTCTAGAAAGGTAAAGGGGGCTTAGGGCTGGGGGCTTTTCCTCTGGGCTCTTATCCTTTGGTATGTTGTCCCTGGATGCTTTGAGATGAGACTTTGCAGATACTGCTGAATTTCTTTTCTTTTCTTTTTTTTTAATACTGCTGCATTTCAATTGGGGTGTTGTTTGGGGACTACTGGAAGGAATGTTATGAAACTCCATAGAAATACTTCAATTCAGTGAGTTCATTCATTCAGTGGCTCACTTTTAAATGACCATACAGATGTATTTGGCAGAATACATCTTTGCCATTTTCCTTCTTTGTGTAATGGACCAGCCCCGAGGCTGCGAGCATTGGTCCTTCTTTGCCTTTTTCTCCCTGCTTTGTGGTTTTGTGTATGTAAGGATGGCTGGCAAGATTAAGGATCATTGAGCTTTGTATTTTCTGTTATTTTTCTGTCTCCCCAAACATTTTCACTTTCACAAACTTTAATCTCTAACTATTATTCCCTTATCTTAACTCTGAACTTTTGTTTTGGACTTATTTTGTCTGAAATCATGGTCTATTTCCGTTTCTTCAGTTCTTGTGTCTGTAAAAATCACAGTAGGCCTTACCGGAGGTCCATGACTACAGGTACTCAGAGACCAGCTGTATCCAAAGAGTTGTGTAAGATAGGGGCATCTGCTCCCTCCCAGTGCTGTTGCCCAGCCCCACCCTGCCCTGTTCCCCAGTTAGTGTCTTTGCTTTCTTGACCTGGATATCTTTCCCATATCTATTAATATAAGCCCTTCTTATCCTTCAAGTCTTGCTGCCTCTCTTACCTCTCCCAACAGGCATTCTCAGATACTCCCAATGGGAGTTCCTCTCTTCCTCTTCTTTATTCCTTTTATTCTGTTATTATTCTATTATTATTTCTATTAAATAATTGCCATCAGTTGCTTTTAATTAAGAGTTACGGTTGTGTGCGTCACTAATCTTATAAACTTGAGTGTTTTAAGAGGCAAGAATCATGTCATCTTCTTCGTATGCCCAACAATGCCTTGCTTAGTAGTCCTTGTAGAGTCAACAGATTCAATGTTCAACCAGCAAATATTTGCAGAGCACCTACTTTGTGCTGGCATGATGCTGGGCATATAATACAGGTCAAAAATCAGGCCCAGCACCTGCCTAAGAATTTGTGGGCCTGAGCCCTGCCAGTTGCCAATCTGATGTGCTATATTCTTTGCAGTTTTCTTCCAGCCTTTTCCCGTAAGTTCCCAGTTGGTCGCTCTGTGAATTCATGTGTGACACTTCACCTGGGTGTGTTTCCTGGGTGAACAGATGGCTTTTACTGTGTCACACACACACTCTTGCGTTCTGCCTCCTCTCGTGAAAGTTGTAGTTATCTGCTTTCTCTCCCTCACTTGCTCTAAGGCAGGCTTAAGATGGTGTTGTTGCTGGGTGTGGTGGCTCATGCTTGTAATCCCAACACTTTGGGAGGCCAAGGCAGGCAGATCAGTTGAAGTCAGGAGTTTGAGATCTGCCTGGCCAACGGGGTGAAACCCCGTCTCTACTAAAAATACAAAAATTAGCTGGGCGTCGCAGCGGGCACCTGTAATCCCAACTACTTGGGAGGCTGAGGCAGGAGAATAGCTTGAACCCGAGAGGTGGAGGTCGCAGTGAGCCGAGATCTGCACTTCAGCCTGAGCGACAGAGCGAGACTCTGTCTCAAAAAAAAAAAAAAAGAGTGAGAAAGAAAGATGGTATTGTCTGTTAAGTGCCTTGGGTTCCAGAGAGAGGTGACCAGGTATGTTGTGGCTGTCTTAAGGGGAAGATTATTGTCAGGGGCCATTTGGAAAGTTCTTCCTGGCTGCCATGGCCTTTCATTGCTTTTTGTGGCATGTTAGCAGCACAACCAGATAGGGAGGAGGTGGTACTCCAGTTGGTTCCTTTTGTCTCAGGCTTATTCTCTGGTGCAGCTTGGTGGGCTGGTTGCAACCGTAGGTAAGAACCTGAGCTGGTAGCCCCTGGGGGTATGGCTGGCTGGCCTGCTTTCCTTCTTTCCCACTGTTTTCTTGGGAAGGTCTCTACAGACCTCACCTCTTTTAGGTGTGAGGAGATAAATAGTCCTTATTATCCCTTATTTACAGCCTTCATAGAGTCTTTGTAGTAATCTAAGTTAAGGTCTTAATGTTCTTATTTAGTTCTGTGTCCCCCCAATTCATTTGGTATTGGCTTTTCTTAATGCTGATTTCAAATCTTGGATGAAAATATATTATGAGACCATCTCTTCTTTAGATGTGACAAAGGTAATAACCATGGGGCAATCCAGACTGTGAAGAAAGCCTAAGGTGTAGAAAGCCCATGCGACACTAGTTTTAAGCCTTCACATGTGTTTGGGGAAATGCGTTTGTTGAATAAAGGATAAGAAGACAGAAGACTTTTTATTTTTCTTGTCTTTTAAGGTAGGACCATCAGATAGCATCGTCTTCCTAAAGTCACTCTCCTGACAAGAATCAGACCCCTCTGCCGGGGCACACCCTCCTCATGTGGAAGGCAGGGTGGCCTCTCCTTGGAAAATCTCCCCTCATGTTAAGTCTTCTGAGCGGATCCTGCTAATCCAGGCATGTAAAGGAGGAGTCCTCATCCAAGACCCAACATGGTGCACACCTCACAGGAGGAGGAATGGAAAAGCAGGCACCTTTGCTGGACTTTCCTTTTAATCCCCTAAATCCTGTCACACCCTAAGACTATGAAAGAGATGGGTGGAGAAGAGCCTTGGTGCTGTGGAAAGGGCCATACCCACTTTCTCCCTCATTGCAGCTCACAGTGTAGGTCTCACACCCATCCCAAGCACCTAAGGGGAGGGGTCGGTTAAAGCAGCACAATACAGTATTTGAACTCTTCAGGGGTTTGGGGAAGTCCAATATAACAGAAATAACCCAGGCCCTCAGCGTGGGGTAGCAGAGCATCCTCCTTTCACTCTGTCTCTTTCTAAGGCAAATACTCATAGGTAGAGTTTTTGCAAGGTAAGCTTACCTGAGCCAGAAAGGGTGGGAGGAATGTGAGATTGTTTTGATTGTTGTCCTTGGGTTTTGTTGTTGCTGTTGTTATTGTTGTTTATAAGAACTACAAGAGGCTGGGCACGGTGGCTCATGCCTGTAATCCCAGCACTTTGGGAGGCTGAGGTGGGTGGATCACCTGAGGTCAGGAGTTTGAGACCAGGCTGGCCAACATGGTGAAACCCCATCTCTTCTAAAAATACAAAAAAAAAAAAAAAAAAAAAAACTAGCTGGGTGTGTTGGCAGGCCCCTGTAATCCCAGCTATTTAGGAGACTGAGGCAGGAGAATTGGTTGAACCCGGGAGGCAGAGGTTGCAGTGAGCCGAGATCCCGCCATTGTACTCCAGCCTGGGTGACGGAGCGAGACTCTGTCTCAAAAAAAAGAAAAAAAAAAAAAAGGCTACAAGAGAGAATGTCCCTAGTTTATGGCTTTTCAGTACCAAAATAGTATGCATTCAGCAGTAGAGTAAGCAGTAGCAGTAGAATAGCACCATGCTTATGCATGACATAAGCTTCATCTGTAAAAGGCTGAAGTAATCATACCTTGCTGTAGGGTTGTTGTGAGGATTAAATGAGTTCGTGTATGTATAAGGCACCTGCAGCAGTGGAGTCCAGAAGAATTGTGCACAGTGGGTGGTGGGGAAAGATGAGGGCAGGGAACATTGGGGGAGGAAAGTAAATTCAATGGATGTCAGGAAATAGGCATCTTGACCTGTCCACAGTGTAATTCAGGCCACCACTCACTACTTAATTTAACTTTGTTCTTATCTCTAGACTAATGGAGCAGGCTCTCTGGGGGAAAAGTGTTGCTGCAGTAATCCTGTTAAGTGTAAGAACTGAAGGTTCAGGTTGAAGTCTCAAAGTTCCAAAGCCACCATCCCAGGGATAAAGACTGTGCTGGTATACGCTCAGCCAGCCTGGTACCACAGAAGGCTTTTGTCTCCAGCAGGTTCCTTTTCTCACTGGGCGTCACCTTTTCTGGCTACTCTCCGCCTGTCAGAGGCCAAGCCTTGAGTATATCTTCATCTTCCCACATCTTACTTGGCTTCTTTCTTTGTATGTATATTGAAAGAGTAAAGGCAGATAGGTGTGTGTTTCTCTCTTCAGTGGGAACCTTTGTGACTGATGGTTTCCAGGCAGAAGAGGTTCAAATTTTTAATTGTTTCCCTTCCCAACCCTTGTCATCGTCTGATAAAGGACTAGGCATTTATTTGCATACAATGACTTTTTCTGGTGGACCTCACCTTCACAGAAGCACAGAGGCAAACACCCATAGGGTCAGATACAAGCTACTTTAGCAAAATGATTGACTTTGACTGCTTTATGTAATCTAAACTCTTACCAGAACACAATATTTATGAATGTAGCAGATTTTTTTTTTTGCAGGATCAAGAAACACTACATTCAGTACTTTATTCGTTTAACTTTTAAGAACAAGTCTTTTGATAGTTTTAAAATTGTATGTGTGTGTGTGTATATATATATATATTTATTTATTATTATTTTTTTTAATAGAGACAAGGTCTCACTATTTTGCTTAGGCTGGTCTCAAACTCCTGAGCTCAAGTGATCCTCCTGCCTTGGCCTCCCAAAGTGCTAGGATTGCGGGCATGAGCCACTGCACCCAGCCGATATTAAATCTTAGTTTGGAATATAATAATGTAACTAAATAATACCAGAATTTTTTTTTTTTTTTTTTTGAGACCAGAGTCTCACTCTGTCACCCAGGCTGGAGTACAGTAGCATGATCATAGCTCACTGCAGCCTCAACCTCCCAGGCTCAAGTAATCCTCCCAGTCTCAGCTCCCGAGAAACTGAGACTACAGGGGCAAGCCAGCACACCTAGCTAATTTTTTTTTTTTTTTTGGTAGAGACAGAGTGTCACTGTGTCATCCAGGCTGGTCTCAAACTCCTGGGCTCAAGTAATCCTCCTTCCTCAGCTTGCCAAAGAATTGGGATTACACGCATGAGCCACCATGCCCCCCAAAAAGGGTTCTTTTAAATGCCTTCTTCACCTTTGTCTAAGTACATTGGGTAAATGTGGCACTAGTTGAACAAGATTTACTGAATTTTATCACAGGGCAGGCAGGCAAAGCCAGTTCTAAACAATAAAACAGAGATCAACAAAGATGACGGATGACTCTAAATAGCCTGTTTTGTAAAATTCAAAACGGGACAGCTGTGTAGAGAGAGGCACAGTTTTATAAGAATTCACTGGACCTGCCTAGTTTGGCTCATCTTGGTGCCTGCACATGCCCTGCCTTATTCCATTTACTTTCCTTCTGTCTCATCTCCTACTGGTGACCACAGTTACTGATGGGAGACCTTAAAGGTGATTATCTTTGAGACACATACTTTCCTGTGTGAAGACACAAAGATTAAACTCTATAAGACCATGGCACTTATTTGGGCTTGGGGCTTGGTTTATACCAAATAAACCAACAGATTAAAAAATAACAAACTAAAAACAAAGTTTCAAGTGCCAGGTATTTTGAAATAGCAGATCCAAATAATTTCATATTACTTTACACAACAAGACCTCCATTAGTAAGAGATTTGGGTTAGATTTTTTCTTCCTTTTTTTTTTTTTTACTTTAAACTTTATTGAGCTGTTTTACATACCATAGAATTCACCCATTTTAAGTGTATGGTTTGATAAGTTTTAGTATATGTGGACAGTTGTATATCCACAATCCAGTTTTAGAACATACCCATAACACTAAAAATTCTCTTGAGGTTTATGTTATCATTTACTTTTGACAGAAATGTTTTCTTCTGCTTTTGAAAAAAAAAAAAATTCTGGGCCATGTGTGGTGGTTCATGCCTGTAATCCCAGCACTTTGGGAAGCCAAAGCTGGAGGACTTCTTGAGCTCAGGCATTCGAGCCCAACCTGGGCAACATAGTAAGACCCCATCACTACAAGAAAAATACAGAAATTAGCTGAGCATGGTGTCGTGCTACTCTGGAGGCTGAGGTGGGAGGATCACATGAGCCCAGGAGGTTGAGGCTACAGTGAGCTGTGATTGCACCGCTGTACTCCAGCCTAAGTGACAGAGTGATACACTATCTCAAAAAAGAACTTTTTTTTTTTTTAGGTAATGAATTTAAATCATTAGGGGAACATACCATTCTTACTAACTTTTTGAAACAAAAACAAAGGTTGCTCGAAGATGTTATGAATAAAATGTTTAAGAGTATGAGGGTACAGAGCAAGGGAAGGAGGCTTGGGCCTATGGTTTACGAATGGTGATTGTTTTTAGCCTTCTAATTATATGTTGCATTAAATAAGAAGAAACCAAAAAGGAACCACTTGCCTCCATTCCAGCCTCGGTTCAGCATAAAACTCAATCATTTCCTTCACAAGCCAGCTGCTGTGCTATAGCTCAAATTGTAACAGAGAGCCTTTCTCTGCAGTGGAGGGTTAGGGAAAGAGGGAGTAAGTCAGCACAAACAATGAGGAAACATTTGCTGCCTTTCTGATTTCTTCCTAGAATTAACAGGCTTACAGCTGCATTTCTAGGTCAGCATTTCATATGCCTGAAGAGTATGAGGATAGTTTGAAAAATCAGAAGGAAGATGAGAGAGGGCTTTGCCTCTTTTTTAAGATCTTGCTAGCAGTTTTGTTTGTTGGTAATTTTTGCTGTCTCACTGACGCCAAGAGTCCTGGAATTAAACCCCGTGGCCAGCAGGCTGTTAGTTCGTCAGGAAATTCCAAATGGGTATAAATAAATTCTCTGCAACAGCTCCTGGGCTCTTTGCCTGCTAATGTGTGGAGTCCCTTTAATGCTGAGGGAAGTTTGCCTGAGACCTGGCTTCCTGCTCGCTGAAAATCACAGTTATTTTGTTTCTGGGTGGGTAAGTAAGAATGCCCACAAAAGAAAGAGAGGAGGAGAGCATGATGTTTGGGTGGGGGTTGGTGAAATATAAACTCGAGCTCTGTGTGTTGTGAAAAAGATTTGCTTTTACTTCAAGCTAGAAAGAATAACCCAGTACTTGATTTTTGGTCCAGTGAAAATTTCAGCTTTACCTATGGCTTTAACATAAAGATGTCATTGTTGCAGGAGTGAATGGTTGTACATATATATATGCTAAGATTTGAGTTTTTGAGTTTAAGGTTTAGTTCAATTCAATAATTTCCTTTTTTGTTGCTAAATCCATCTTTGGGTATTTGTTTTCAGCTCTGTTTTTCCAATAGGGAGTTGCTCAATATTCATTAAAGCTGGCTTCTTGTATAAACACTATAAAACAAAATAAGGACAGGGATTCATACAAATACTAGCTTTCCACTACCACCCCACCTCCCCCTGGCCAAAAAACTGTAATGTTTTGTTAGAAAAGCCTGTTTTATCCCTAAGTTAGCCAGTGCTCCTTTTCTGCTTTTCACAGAATTACTCTCTGAACTGGCACATTTCTTTTTTACGCTTAGAACAGCATGTTACTTTTGAAGAAAGTTTGGAAAATAACAGTCCAAGCTCATTCTCTTCTGTGCATGCATGATTGATTTGGGCTGTATTTCAGCAACAACTTTTAAAATGAGACAGTGGACATTAGAGAGCAGCATAGTTGGGGTTGCACTTAGGAGCCCATGGCATTTTGGCTGTTTTGAGACAGATTTGGGGTAAAGAGTTGCTGCATCTTGTAGTTGGCACTGAACACTGGAGAAGAGGGCCACTGTATAAACCGCAAGGCCCCTGTTACCATCACATGCCTCCCTAGCACAATGTGCCCTTTATTAAGACAGGCCGTTCCACTACTGAGAATAGTAACCCTTTCCGCTGTCTTCCCCTCACTCTTACGTGCAGCCTGGCTTCTGGCCTCTTAACCCATGCCCAGAGTAGAATTGGCAATACCCAGGAGGGACACTGCACTGGGGATTGTTAGGTCATGCCAGTTAGGATGCAGCTGGAAAGGTGCTGCTGAGTGGGACGTGCAGAGGGGAAGACTGCAGGCTCTGTCTGCCTGAGCTCATCTGGTCTGACACCTGCCGTGATTCATTTTTCTTCATGCCATGTTAAGAAATTTTGTATCAAGTCTAGTCGACAGTTACTCATAGCCTGGAAGCAACTTTGGAAATCAGAGTTCCACTGACCCCCCTCATTTTAAGGGTATGAATCACATCACTGCATTGTATGATTCCAGGGCTCTCTTGCCCATGGCTCGTGCATGAACTAGGAAGTGATCATAGTTCCTGTTCTTGTTTTATGAAAACAATAGTATACCTTCCCCCAACCTAGGCAGGCCATTCAGGACGACTACCCTGGAGGTGCTCTGGGTGGCTTAAAGCACCGTCTTTGCACAGTGTGTTAGAGAGCACTGTGCCCTGAGGACTTCGGGAGAGCTGCAGAATGAGTGTTCAGAATAATCGGCACTCACCTTTGCCCTCATGTTGTGAGATGGAGATATTTTAACCTGGCCATAATATGCTTTAAAAGTTGGGGGGTGTTTGTCTGCTTTTGCTTTTATTTCCTTCCTGTGCTGGACTGGGACTCCCCCTTATCTAACTGGTACATACCACTCTGCCCAAGCAGTGCGTGTGCACACACACATCCCCTACAGCTCCCTGCTGGCATCTCCTTCATACACTCTTAAGAAGAAGAAACCAATGTAGAACTCAAGATTTTAGCAGACTTACTTGGTCTTGAACAAGTATCACAAATACCTTAAACCCTGACTTCGTGGGGGGGGGGGCAAGGTATAGAGGAGGAAGGGTTCTGGATCCTCTCTGGGGGGCCAGGGTTGTGTTCTTCTCCAGACAACAGAGGGTGATCCAGTACCACTAGTAGTGACAATAGAACCCACCCATTGTTCTAAGTGACAACACACTGATGCAGGTACTATTATTTTCTCAAACAATTGGAATATAGTCTAATTTGCCGACAGCTGCAAAGCAGCAGAGCCAGGATTCAAACCCAGGCAGTCTGGCCCCAGAGTGCCTGCTTCAAATCACTACATCTCTTCCTCTGTTATACTTATTCATCAGTAGATGCCTAGATGTGGGGCTTTACACTTCAGCAGATACTAAGAGGGCCATGTACCAAGCGCCAAGTACTGAGGAATACAAACATAAATACTGCTTGAGGGCCAGGCGCGGTGGCTCATGCCTGTAATCCCAGCACTTTGGGAAGCCCGGCTCACGAGGCCAGGAGATCGAGACCATCCTGGCTAACATGGTGAAACGCCGTCTCTACTAAAAATACAAAAAATTAGCCGGGCGTGGTGGCGGGCGCCTGTAGTCCCAGCTACTCGGGAGGCTGAGGCAGGAGAATGGCGTGAACCCGGGAGGCGGAGTTTGCAGGGAGCCGAGATCACGCCACTGCACTCCAGCCTGGGTGACAGAGCGAGACTCCGTCTCAAAAAAAAAAAAAAAACTGCTTGACTTCTGCCTCCCCTAGACACTTAGAGTCTGGTAGAGAAACACAGGCATGTGCTTGCTAACTGTAACACAGTTCCGCGTATATAGGCAAAGTGACTTAGGAAACAAGAGGGAAGAAGGGGACCAGTTATTCCCAGGACAGAGCAGTTGAGGGTAAGTAGGGCTTTACAAAAATGAGGTATCTGGGTTGGGCCCTTTAGGACAATGCAGCTGATTTTGACAGATGGGAGAGTGTGGGGAAGGGTGTGCTGGGTAGAGGGGATAGAATGAGCAAAGATAGATAAGCTTGAAAATTTCTCAGTACGTTGAGGTTTGGGGTGGGGAGGAACCTGGGAGGTGCTGGATTGGGGCTAAATTGTTGACATTTCGTGCCACAGAAAAGAGCTTTTAGGCTTTCTTCTTTAAAGTGGAGCTCCTGGCACATCACTTTGCAAGGATAGTGATTGAGAAGTTGTAGACGTTTCCAGGAATACCTGAAACAAATGTAAAATTTCTCAAATAATATGTAATACAGGAAAGCAAAGCCATCTGCCCCTGAAAACAGGCTGCATATTTGCAGTATGAGTAACAGCAGAGTCTGGGCTGTGCTCCCTAGTGGCAGGCTGACTGCACTCGTGCACCCTAAGGACATTGATGCACAGATGAAGAAAGGAAAGACAGAAATAAAATTTATTTTTAAATAATTTTAATCGTACATAAAAAGAGCTCTCATGTCTTCCTCACCCAGACTCAGATTTCCCAGTGGTTAACATTTTACCGTATTTGTTCCATCTGTGTGTGTGTGTGTGTGTGTGTGTGTGTCTGTGTGTAGAAATGCAGTTGTCATGTCTTTTTGGCCTCCTTCCATCTGAAAAGTTCTCGTTTTTACCTTTTTTTCATGGCCATGATGGTTTTAAAAAGAGAGGCCTGACATTCTGTAGAATGTGTTTCAGGCAGGGTCCAGGCCATGCCTTCTTGGCAGGACAGTGCAAAAGTGATGCTCTGCTCTTCCCCATGCAGATACATGATGTCAACTTTGATCACCTGGTCGAGGTGGTTATTTGTCAGCTTTCTCATCATAGAGTCACCATTTTTTTTTATGATTGACATTTCATGCCACAGAAAAGAGCTTTTAGGCTTTATTCTTTAAAATGGAGCTCCTGGCACATGACTTTGCAAGGATAGTAATTGAGAAGTTGTAGACGTTTCCAGGAATATTTTCTGGTGAGATATTCTGAGACGACATCAGTATCTTAGTCTTTAGTAGGAAATCTCTACCCACTAGCCTTAGCTAGTGATTCCTACCTGAATCCGCCACTGTTCTAATAATTGGTCCATGGTGATTTTCTGTTGACATAATTCCTTGTATATATTAGTTGGTATTCCTACATATTTATTATAGCATGATGGACTCACAAGTAGATACCTATTCTCTGGATTGTAACTTGTTACTATCATTAATCATATTATTTTCATGCTCAAATTATCCTAGATTTGGCTAGTGGGGGTTCAAAAGAGTTTGAATCAAATATACCCTTGACACTGGCATTAAATAGCCAATCTGATGTGTGCTGACGATTGAGACTAATAACTGGTAGGCGGAGGGTGTTATCTGAGTTCTAGATATGTATTTATCTCAGACAGTATGGGTTACCTGCAACAAGATCTGTGGTAGGCAGGCCAACAGTAACACTCGGGACCCTAGAGGCAAGCCAACCTGAAATTCAGCTTGTCAGAGACCATCTGGTGGGTGGAAGTTTTGCGTTTTCAGAGTATATTGTTTAAGTTCCCCAGGCCTATCGTCTACCTTTAGCTTTCCCTGTTGGCCAATTCAGGCCCTGGTCAGATGCGGGTGGATAGGTACACAAAGCTGGAAACAGCGTGCTGCCCGCCTTTCTCTCCTGCCTCCAGAGACACTTGTTGGCTGTCAGGGTCGGTGTTGTCTTAGCCTCACAGGCATTTTCAGTCCTTGCTCTTCCCATCCTAGAGTTTCAAACACAGAGCGAGTCTGTGTTCTGCATCTCAACATGCTAAATCAGAACCTGGATTCCCTAAAATGTTGTCTCCTGTTTCTTCCTGCCCTCACTCATGCCATATCCGTCCTTCCCAGGTTAGATTTCTCATACTTCAGTGACCTTCAGAAAAGGAATCCCATCACTTTTCTCTGCGGTGAGTCATCCATTGGTTTAAAGAAAAAATTTTCTTTTTTAATAGCAGAATGAGGTAACAGAGCCCTAGAAGACAAGCCCAGAGACCGGATCCTGGTCTCCAGCTCAGCCCAGAGTAGCTGGAATTTGTCAGACCTTCTCAGTTTCCTCCGAAGTATTAGGGGCAGACAGAGTCAAGGCTACAGGCTGGCTAGCCCAGATGCAGACAGTGTCAAAGTTCTCATTGTGGAATACCACCAGAACTTATCTTACTATTACCACTTACCATCTAATTGGGTAGGTAAAATTCATATGGTGCAAAGGAGTTTGTTATACCTAGACAAAAATTCATGGGGACTTGAATAATCCATGGAAACCCTAATGGAGAATGCTGAGGAGAATTTTAATCTCCAGCATCTAGCCAGAGCAATCTTATTAAAATGCAAATCTGATCATTTCACTCCCTTGTTTAAAACCCTTCAATAGCTTACCAATGCATCTATGATGCAAAAACTTGATCCCCAGGGTCCTGTGGAATTAGGGCTCTGTCTGTCCCCTTTCTGCCTCACTGCAGTCTTTGCAAAGTCCTCTTCCCAGTTCTTAAAAGTGGCAGGTTTTGCATATGCTCTTTCCTCTGCCTAGAATTTCTGCCATCCCTCCACACATCCCCACCACACTGCCCGGTGGACTCCTTAGCTACCGCTCCCTTGAAGAACCCTCCCTACCCGTAGCCTAGGCAGGGTCCCTGCTGTGTTCCAACATAACGCCTGCATTGTGCTTTCACAACACTTAATACAGTTGTTATTTATGTGATCACTTGTCTGTCTCCTCCTATACTTCGTAAGTTCTACCCAGACAGGCTCTGTGTCTGTTTTGCTTAGCACCTAGCCGTGTTTGGCCTATTGCAGGCACTTAATAAATATTTGCTGAATGAAAGAATACATCCATCTTTCAGTGTAACAACTGCATCTTCCTTACATCAGCAGGAACAGGTAGATGTGGAAGATGGAGCTGGTATGGAGAAGGGTAGTGATGGGAGACAGTGGAAGATGTAGGAGTAGTGTGCAGGTTAATGTCTGTTAAAAAAGTCCAGATAAGATTATCTGTGAGAGGAAATCCAAAGATTTGTGGGGAGAAGCCAAAAGGAGTTAGGAAGGGTTAGGAGTACACGAAGCAAGACCACATTCTAACTTAATCATATAAACAAACCAAGCCTGTAAAATTGCAGTTATGCTACATATGTGTCAACTGACCTGATATTTCTTAGGAACTTCTGGCATATACTTTTGCTTTCTTTAATGTTACAATTTTATTTGCATGAAGTGTTTAGGTAGCTTTTTAAAACAGCTATACTAGCCTGGGCAACATAGTGGGACCCCCATCTCTATAAAAAATTTAAAAATTAGCCGGGTTTGGTCACACACATCTGTAGTCCTAGCTACTAGAGAGGCTGAGGCAGGAGGATCGCTTGAGCTGGGGAGTTCAAGGCTGCAGTGAGCTGTGATCGTGCCGCTACACTCCAGCCTGAGTGACAGAGCAAGACCCTGTCTCTAAAAGAATGAATGAATACATACTTACCTACCTACCTACGTATAACCTGAAGAGGTATTGGTGAATTGCAGTAGGCAGTATAAACTCTGTGAGGAGAAGCATTTCAGGCTTCTTAGAAAAAGCCTAGCACGTGGCAGGTGCCCATCATTTGAATGCCTGAATGAACGGGTTTTATCTGGGAGGGAAAAGAGCAGGCTTAAAAACAACTCTTTGGTAAATGCAAGAGCAAAAGAAAATCTCATCTGTTATACATTTCCTTTAAACCAGAAGGAGGAACACTCATATTGCTACCCTTTTTATTGTGTGTTCTCTAACAAATGGTGTTCCTCACACAAATTTGATACAGGTAGCGAAGCTGCTGGGTCTCAAAGAGCTTAGTGCTAACAGTGTCATCAGGAGATACCACCTGCTAAACCCGTTCAGAAGGACGCTGTTGTACTTCGCTGTCTTCTTAGAACACTTTCCACTCCTGGAAAAGTTGATGTGCTAACTTAATTACTCTCATACTCTGAGTAATTAGCTTCATGAGAACTTGCCTCTCTTCCTGAGTTCATCCTACTGGTTTGCTTTCCTGCTGACGTGGGATCTTTTTGACTGCTTTGAACAGCAGGATGCTTACACTCTGGGGCTTTTAAATGTGGAAATCTGTGATAATTATGTACTTCTCTAGGACTGACTCAGCTCTTCAAGCAAAATCTTCATGCTTCATGTGAGAGGGGACAATAACATTAATGGGAATTAGCAAAGTTCTTCAGTTTCAACAGTCAGGTGTGGTATCTGGCGAAGAAAAACACATAAATAGTGTGTGAAAGTTGTGGCACAGGGGTGTAATTATTTTTCACAGCACCGTCAGTCAGTAACTGGGCCTAGAGTGTGCAGCAGTGAAATCAGAACAAAGAAGTCAGTGTGTCCTAATTAATAGATAAAGTAATAATATCAAAGTCTCCTCCGTTTTAAAGTCCACAGGACACATTATTTCACCCCAGTGCTTTTTGCTCATATTAAAGAATGGCTCATTGTGGTAGAGTATGTAGAAAGTATTGAATGCTTTTCTTTACTCAAAAGTGGCATTTTTTATCACTTGAGCACTTGAGCGTAGTGTTATTGGCCCCAATAGGAAATGAAAGACTTGAAGACTACAGATTTTTTTTTGAAATGGAGTTTCACTCTTGCCCAGGCTGGAGTGCAATGTCATGATCTTGGCTCACCACAACCTCTGCCTCACAGGTTCAAGCAATTTTCCTGCCTCAGCCTCGCAAGTACCTGGGATTACAGGCATGCACCACCATGCTGGGCTAATTTTGTATTTTTAGTAGAGGTGGGGTTTCTCCATGTTGGTCTCGAACTCCCCACCTCAGGTGATCCAGCCGCCTTGGCCTCCCAAAGTGCTGGGATTACAGGCATGAGCCTCCGCGCCCAATGGAAGAATACAGATTATATGGCCAAAATTTCAGTTGCTATCTGTGAATTTTTATTCTTCTCGCTGTCCCCAGCACAGGCTTTCTCAGCCTCAGCGCTACTGACATTATGAGCTAGATAATTCTTTGTTGGGGGAAGGAGGGCCTGTCTTGTGCATGGCAAAATGTGTGCAGCAGCTCTGGCCTCTACACACTAGATTCGGGTAGCACCCCAAGCAGCGACAACAATAAATATCTTCAGGCATTGCCAAATGTCCCTTCGCGGGGGCAAAATCACCTCCATGCCTCGTTTGGTTGGTTTAAAAGAAAAATTACCTCCAGTTGAGAATCACTGCAAGCAGGTTAGTACTCGACTAGTTTCCTGCGATCTAATCTTCTTCCTGGTGAGTACGTTAATTTTTATGTCTTTCAAAACCATGTATTATTTGGACAGCAAGTTTAGTTTCATTAAAAGTTAAAATCATATAGTACTTTATGAATCTAGATGAAATGATTTTTGAAATATCCATAACTCCATTTCACTTTGTTAATGCAGAAGAATTGCAAGCAAATTTCTCACTGTTCTTGAGGCAGTAAATTGGGCCCCTCTCACAGAGCACTAAGTTTTATAGGAGATGAATATATAAATAAGGAGCAGACTTGCCATCAGTTTGTTGATTTCACCTTTTCTCTGAACACAGAGGAATTTGGTCTGAACTTGGAGAGTTTTCTTTAATCGATGCCGTTGCATTGGTGTTTGGTTACCCCAAATTGCAGAGTGTGCAAACTTAGTTGGGAGCGAGAGGGAGGAAATGGACTCTGTGACCCTTGGTGTCTAGGAGTGAGTTGGCTCAGAGATGATGCCAACCTAAGACAACATGGAGCCCAGTGTTAGTTAGCAGGCCATCCACTTACCTTGAGACGCTGGTATAAATTCTGGCAATGCCAGCTGTCATGTAGCTGTTTGCTTCACTTCTGCCTTTAATTACTTTTCTATGCACCCCATCCCCACTAGACTGTGAGCCTTGTGAGAACAGAGACTTTGTCCATTTTGTTCGGTGCCCCCAGCTCCGAGAACAGTGCATGGTAAATAGTAAGTGAAGATCCATAGAAAACTAGAGAGATAGAGAAAGAGAGACAGAGACAGAAAGCAGAAATTAATTCATGTGCCTTTATTATCAATATCAATTATAAATGTAAGTCGAATGTGTGAATAAATGTTTTATTCGGTCTGCACTTCCCACTGGGTATTATAACATTTTAACTGGTCCTATTGAATGTAGCCTCTTTCCCTACGTCAGTCTCACGCACGCACAATTGTCAAGACGATCTTTGTTGATGCCTTTTAGCCCCTAGTTTCAGTGGAAAAACTTGCCCTGCTCCAGGATGTGAGATTGGTGGCCTCTCCTGTACTCATCTTCTTCCCCTTGTCTAACCTTGGCATTCCTTCAGCAGCACCAACAGGTTCTGTCCTGGCTCTTCACCTTTTTACTCTGGTCATTTACCTTGTCTTCAGAACTCATCTCTCGTTAACTCGGTTCTGTTTTGATCACTAGTTTACATACTTTCATACTGCATTGTGTTTTGGTTTTTTGGAGTGGGGGCGGGGTTGTTGTTTTTTGGGGTTTTTTCAGACGGAGTCTCTCTCTGTTGCCCAGGCTGGAATGCGGTGGTGCAATCTCGGTTCACTGTAGCCTCCGCCTCCCAGGTTCAAGCGATTCTCCTGCCTCAGCCTCCCAAGTAGCTGGGTTTACAGGCATGTGCCACCACACCCAGCTAATTTTTGTATTTTCAGTAGAGACAGGGTTTCACCATGTTGGCCAGGCTGGTCTCGAACTCCTGATCTCAAGTGAACTGCCCACCCTGGCCTCCCAAAGTGCTGGGATTACAGGCATGAGTCTCCACTCATGGCCTGCATTGTTGATATATGCCTTTGTCACTGATCTCAATTAGTGTTAAGGGTGTTTGGTAGTCATCTCTCAGCTAGACTATATCTGATTTTATTTCTTAAAAATTTTTCCTCTTACTCCTTCCACTGAATAGGACCATTTTCTGTAGCCAATTAAGCTTTCAATAAATGTTTATATAATGAAAGTAGAGGTGGTGCCAGGAGCAGTCTCCACCACTGGATTTCCAGACATTCAAAAAATTTTTGTAAACACCAGGGACAGCCCTCCAATTCCAGAATATTTAGTTGGAAGCTATTACTCTCAGGATTTCAGTTGCAGATATAGCCAGTGGAATTTTGACTGTGCAAAAGCAGGCATAGTTCTGTTAGTCCAAAAAGGCTTAGTTAAGAGTCTCTTTATAACCCAGGTAGATTTTTTTTTTTAAACTGCTCTTTTTTTTTTGAGACGGAGTCTTGCTCTGTCACCCAGGCTGGAATGCAGTGGCGTGATCTTGACACACTGCAACCTCCACCTCTCTGGTTCAAGCAATTCCCCTGCCTCAGCCTCCTGAATAGCTGGGATTACAGGTGCACACCACCATGCCCAGCTAAATTTTTTGCATTTTTAGTAGAGACCTGGTTTCACCATGTTGGACAGACTGGTCTTGAACTCCTGACCTCAGGCAATCTGCCCACCTCGGCCTCCCAAAGTGCTGGGATTACAGGCGTGAGCCACTGTGCCCGGCCAAAACTGTTGTTTTTATACTTCCTCTTGATCCTGAATTAATAATTTAAGTTTTATTGTAACACTTTTCCAGTTAATAATTTAGCGTCTTTCTCCTTTTTAAGATCTAGTCTTAATTTTTGAGAGGGAAAGGGGGAAGAACTGTAGTACCTGTTAGAATTCAGTGTAACTCCAAGTAAACAAGACCCAAAACAAACGATAGCTAAAACAAAATAGACCTTTATATCTTTTTCACTTAAAAGTATAGAGGTAGGCTTTTTAGAAATGTTATAGTAGCTCTGATCCACAAAGTCCTTTGAGGCCCAAGTTCCTTCTAGTACATCGTTCCTCCACCCCTAGATATGAACTCATGTTTCAAAGTTACACTAGTGTTCTAGTCATCACATCTGCATTCCAGGCAGCAGGATGGAGGAAGGCACAAAGAAGAACATAGGTGAAAGGATTATTTCTGTGTTTCTTAATGGAGGTTCCTGGGGTATACTACATGACACTTCTGCTTACAGACTTTTATTTGCCCCTATTAGTGTGGAAGGAGGGGATAATGCATACTAAAGAACATCAAGCTGTCTTTGCCATGGCCACCCCTATTCATTCACCTCCCAAGTGAACTTTCTCATTTTATTGCAGTCAATTCCATTTGCCTTCCAAACAGAGACTTCTTGTAATATATTTTAAGACAAATGCCCAGGCCAGGTATAGTGGCTTACACCTGTAATTCCAGCATGTTGAGAGGCTGAGGTGGGAGGATTGCTTGAGGCCAGGAGTTCAAGACCAGCCTGAGCAAAATAGCAAGAACTCATCTCTATTAAAAATAATTTTAAAAAATTAAAATTAGCCAGGCGTGGTGCTACATACCTATAGTTCCCAGCTACTCAGGAAGCTGAGGCGGGAGGATCACTTGAGCCCAGGAGATAGAGACTATAGTGAGCCATGATCGCACCACGTCACTCCAGCCTGGGCAACAGAGTCGGACCCTGTCTCAAAAAAAAAAAAAAAAAAAAAAAAAGAGCAATACCCACGTGTTGTAAAAATTATAAAATATAAAGAATAAAAATCATCTATAATTCCACAACCTAAAGATAACAACTGAAACAATATCATGGAAGAAATGTCCTTAACACTAATATTTAACGAACAACTTCTGTCTTCAGAGCATCAAGATGTTTTTCAAAGTTTATTATCTTATTCTGTTGGCCAGGCACAGTGGCTCACAGCTGTAATCCCAGCACTTTGGGAGGCCGAGGCAGGCAGATTACCTGAGGTCAGGAGTTTGAGACCAGCCTGGCCAACATAGTGAAACCCCATCTCTACTAAAAATACAAAAAGTAGCTGGGCGTGGTGGCACACGCCTGTAATCCCAGCTCCTCGGGAGGACGAGGCAGGAGAATCCCTTGAACCAGGGAGGTGGAGGTTGCAGTGAGCCAAGATGGCGCCACTGCACTCTAGCAAGTTTATTATGTTATACTATATATTCAGTTATTTATTCCTTCAGTAAACGTTGTCAGACATCTCCTTTCTTCCCAGCATGTTGATAATTGGTGTGTGGTTGGGAGAGGAAGCAATGAAAAAAAAAATGTATATTTTTTTTGGGGGGGTGGGGGCGGAGATGAAGTTTTGCTCTTGTTGCCCAGGCTGGAGTGCAATGTGTGTGATCTTGGCTCACTGCAACCTTCACCTCCCAGGTTCAAGCGATTCTCCTGCCTCAGCCTCCCAAGTAGCTGGGATTACAGGTGCCCGCCACTATGCTTGGGTAATTTTTTATATTTTTAGTGGAGATGGGGTTTCACCATGTTGGCCAGGTTGGTCTCGAGCTCCTGACCTTCAAGTGATCCACCCTCCTCGGTCTCCCAAAGTGCTGGGATTACAGGCATGAGCCAGCGTGCTCTCCAAAAAAAATTTTTTTTAATTAAGTTTTTTGCTCTCTGGGTGCTTATAGTCTGGTACAAAAGACAAAAAAGTGTTTTCGTCTTGTTAAAGTTGGGAAATAAATCAGGGACTCATAAGTGCCTAATTTATGTTGATGTATGTAAACATACACTAGAAAACAGGATATTAAAAAAATAATGACACCGGGTAGTTTTATTGTAGAATAATTTTTACCATGGACAATTGTTTGTGAAAATGACACCTTGAAAACACATCTTACTTTTTTACTTGCTGGAGAATGAAACTTGAATTACAAGTCCTTTGGGTAGCCTGGTTTGAGCAGTATTAGGAAATAAGCAAGCCTAACTTAGTTAAATTCTAACCTCTTCTGATTCCCAGAAGTCCAAAGTTCATTTGGGGGTAATACAACGTGATACATGCTTTTTGTGATTTCTACAAGGTGAACTAAAGAAATAACTAAAGATGGACCAGTTAGGTTTTGGTAAAAACTGTGATAAGTTTTGTTGTGTTTTAAATACTGATGTTGAGTCAGTTCATCTTTCCTACTGAAAATCCTTAAGTGGGAAAAGTATAGAAAAAGTAGGAGTTACACCAAAATATTAACGCTTGCCACTTGATGGTAGGATCTGAGTGCCCTTTTTTTACGTTCTTTAAATTATCTGTATGTGGCTTTTTTTTTTTTTTAATGTTTTACAAGCATGTACTACTTTCGTATCTGGAAAAAGGTTTGTTTTTCTTTCATTTTTTAAGAAGAACTTTTCATCAGTGGCAAAGGCTCAGTTGAAATTAATGATAAAGGATAACTACTTGCCACGTGTCATAAGCCCAGGGCTGAGAAGAGTCAGGCAGTGCTCTGGAACCAGTGAGTGCTGCCCGGATCCTGAGAACCCGCAGAGAACAGTGGGGCTGATTGTGCCTCTGCACCTCCTCAGGTGACCGAGGGCTGGGCAGGAGGACACAGACTCTTTCATGAAGCAGTGACTAGTATAGGAAAAACAGAGCCTCTCTGTAGAGATGCTTAAAGTGCTAGCTTTATTTAAAAATCAGCTGGCAAAGCGGGAGTGAAGAACACACATTTTCAGAAGATACCGGTTTCCTGTTTTCATTAAGAAAACAGGGAATGCGGAACAGCTGAGTGCGGCGGGGGTGGTGTCACTGCAGCCGGAGGGAGACCTCGCCGGTGAAAGCTCAGCCTATGGCATCCGAGCGTGGCCGGCCAAGTTTACACGAATGTTGAAACTTCTCCTCACGGGGTGAGGATCGAGGGCGCCCGAGGCCGGGTCCGGCTGAGCTGGAGCGAGCTGTGCGGGGCAGCGCGGGCTGGCGGGGAGCGCGGCGGGCGCCACGTGGTAGGTGAGCTGCGAGCGGCGTGGGGCGGCCACCGCTGGCCGAATTCCGGGGGGCCTGGGCGAGGGGGGCCGGCCGGGAAGGTGCGCACTGCTGGGCCGCTTCACTCCACCGCAGGCCTACGGGAGTCCAGCTTAGACCCGCCGGCTCCCACACACACATCCCGGGAGGCCCGGATCAGCCTGCCTGACAGCCAAGCTGCAGCTTCTCTCCTGTTAATGGAGTTTCAGACAGTCCTGGAGACAGGTCTGGCTGCTGCAGCTTCTCTCCTGTTAATGGAGTTTCAGACAGTCCTGGAGACAGGTCTGGCTGCTGCAGCTTCTCTCCTGTTAATGGAGTTTCAGACATTCCTGGAGACAGGTCTGGCTGCTGCAGCTTCTCTCCTGTTAATGGAGTTTCAGACAGTCCTGGAGACAGGTCTGGCTGCTGCAGCTTCTCTCCTGTTAATGGAGTTTCAGACAGTCCTGGAGACAGGTCTGGCTGCTGCAGCTTCTCTCCTGTTAATGGAGTTTCAGACATTCCTGGAGACAGGTCTGGCTGCTGCAGCTTCTCTCCTGTTAATGGAGTTTCAGACAGTCCTGGAGACAGGTCTGGCTGCTGCAGCTTCTCTCCTGTTAATGGAGTTTCAGACAGTCCTGGAGACAGGTCTGGCTGCTGCAGCTTCTCTCCTGTTAATGGAGTTTCAGACAGTCCTGGAGACAGGTCTGGCTGCTGCAGCTTCTCTCCTGTTAATGGAGTTTCAGACATTCCTGGAGACAGGTCTGGCTGCTGCAGCTTCTCTCCTGTTAATGGAGTTTCAGACAGTCCTGGAGACAGGTCTGGCTGCTGCAGCTTCTCTCCTGTTAATGGAGTTTCAGACAGTCCTGGAGACAGGTCTGGCTGCTGCAGCTTCTCTCCTGTTAATGGAATTTCAGACAGTCCTGGAGACAGGTCTGGCTGCTGCAGCTTCTCTCCTGTTAATGGAATTTCAGACAGTCCTGGAGACAGGTCTGGCTGCTGCAGCTTCTCTCCTGTTAATGGAATTTCAGACAGTACTGGAGACAGGTCTGGCTGCATATTTTGAGTGATCACCTTCTCCATGTGGAGATGAAAGTTAAAAGGGAAAGAGAGAAGGACAGCTACGTTCTTTTAACACGAGCACAAGTTTCCAGGCACAGCCCTCCCGACCAGCCCTCCCATTCTTAGGCTAGAGCATGACTGCTGCTGGGCACTTCTTTCACATAGAATTCACTTCCCACACGTGTTAGAATCGAACAGCTAGAGCAATTTAATATTGTTTTAAATTGGGACGTAAGGAATATACGTCCTTTTTATTCCTCTGCTTGGCAATCTTATTTTTGTACTTTCTTTCCAACATTTGGGAAGAAAGCGGGCAGATGGAAGCAGAAGTGTTCTTCACAGCATTCACACTGTCGGGTGTAAATGTTCGGCAGTGCTGGGGGTTGGGAGGGCAGACAGCAACCAGGTTTGCTGGAAGTTACTTCAAACTGGACAGCAGTCAAGTGGGTTTGTATACTCAGGAGAGGGCAGGGAGACTGATGGCTTACATTTTCACTCATTGCTTTTGAGTTCTTTCCATAGCTCTAAAAATGCGCAGCTTATTAGCGTGGCTCTGGGAAAACAACACATGACCTGATCCTACAATTTAAAAAAATAAAAATGACCTTGCTTTTAAGTTTGAAATGCATAGCCCAGGTCAGCGACAAGGTCTGCGCTTTGAAAGGTTCTTGTGTTTCCTCTTTTAAATGTCTGGTTTAGCCTTAAGTAGTATTTACTGAGTGCCACATGATCCAGTGGTTGGAGTATGTAGGTTTTGCCCTTATCTTCATTCTTTGCATCTGTTTGAACTCATGACAATACAAAACAAGGTGTTCCTGGGATAGGGAATGTTTTGTCCAAAAGGAGTCAACACGGAGAAAACTCTTCCTACAGTTAAGACAGGGTTTGGTTTTGTTTTTAAATGAGGAGAGAAACTGAGAAGTGGAAAACACAAAATAGAGTTGAAGTCTTTCCTCTGTGTGCTTCTACTCATGCTGCCAGAGTTAATCACTAAATATCCCATGCCCCAGCTTTCTCAGCCGGGGAGGTGCCAAGGCAAATTGTAAGCCCATGGAGGTAGTCAGGAGCTGAGTGCCCTTGACCTCCATTTAGAAAGGCAGCCCAGTCTGCAAAAGACAGCAGCAGGGACATCTCATCCCAGGCCTCCTGGTTATGCTGCTGACTTTGTCTGTCTGCTACTGACTTTTAGTTTTTTTGTGTGCCTCAGATAACACTTTGAAAAACAGGAATCTTAATGTCTGCTGTCTATATTCCAAGAGACTGTAGATGACCAATGAAATTATCTACTGGACAATGCTTTCATGTCTTTTTTTTTTTTTTTTTTAATTGAGACGGAGTTTTTGCTCTGTTGCCCAGGCTAGAATGCAATGGTGTGACCTCGCCTCACTGCAACCTCCACCTCCTGGATTCAAGCAATTCTCCTGCCTCAGCCTCCCAAGTAACTGGGATTACAGGCGCCTGCCACCATGCCCAGCCAATTTTTTATTTTTAGTAGGGACGAGGTTTTACCACGTGTTGGCCAGGCTGGTCTCAAACTCTTGACCTCAGGTGATCCACCCGCCTTGGCCTCCCAAAGTGCTGGGATTACAGGAGTGAGCACCGTGCCCAGCCTTTCGTGTCTTTTATAATGAATTCTTTTAAAAATATTTAGTAAGGACTTACTATGTGCTTGTCTCTTAATCATTATCTCTGAGTACTGATGGACATAAAGATGGAAAAAGATGGAAATAGTAGACATTTTAGACTACAAAAGTGGGGAAAGAGGGGAGTGAGGGTTGAAAAATTACCTATTGAGTACGGTGTGCACTATTTGGGTGATGTGTACACTAGAAGCTCAAAGCTCATCATTACACAATATATCCTTGTAACAAGCCTGCACATGTACTCCCTGAATCTAACATACAGTTTTAAAAAATAATACAATCATTATCTCATTACATTGTTTTTAAGCCTGTGAGTTAAATATTTGCATCTCCATTTTTACTCAGGGAGAAACTGAAGTTAAGAGAGGTTTATTAACTTGCTTACCCAAGCCGGGCGCAGTGGCTCACGCCTGTAATCCCAGCACTTTGGGAGGCCAGGTTGGGTGGATCACCTAAGGTCAGGAGTTCGAGACCAGCCTGGCCAACATGGTGAAACCCTGTCTCTACTAAAAGTGTAAAAATTAGCCAGGCGTGGTGGTGCACCCCTGTAATCCCAGCAACTCAGGAGGCTGAGGTAGGAGAATTGCTTGATCCCAGGAGACGGAGGCTGCAGTGAACCGAGATCATGCCATTGCAGCTCCAGCCTGGGTGACAGAATGACCTGTCTCAAAAAAAAAAAAAACAAAAAAAAACAAAAAAAACTTGCTTACCCAGCTGTTGTAGATCCAGGTTCAAAACATAGGTGTGTCAACTCTTAAAATCATACCAGCTTGCTGTACTGCAACAAACACAAATATTAGTTTTTACCATTAGGTGTATTGCATGTCATTATAATATTCTTTTCTCCCTCTTCTAGGAAAAGCAGGTGATATTCTCAGTGGAGACCAGGACAAGGAACAGAAAGACCCTTACTTTGTGGAGACCCCCTATGGTTATCAACTAGACTTAGATTTCCTCAAATATGTGGATGACATACAGAAGGGAAATACCATCAAAAGACTGAACATCCAGAAGAGGCGGAAGCCGTCCGTGCCATGCCCAGAACCCAGGACCACATCTGGTCAGCAAGGTATATGGACTTCCACTGAATCCCTCTCATCCTCCAACAGTGATGACAACAAGCAGTGCCCCAACTTCCTCATAGCCAGAAGTCAAGTTACATCAACTCCAATCTCAAAGCCACCTCCCCCTCTGGAGACCTCACTCCCTTTTCTTACCATCCCAGAAAATCGACAGCTGCCACCTCCCTCACCACAACTCCCAAAGCATAACCTTCATGTCACCAAGACACTGATGGAGACCCGGAGAAGACTGGAACAGGAGAGAGCCACCATGCAGATGACACCGGGTGAGTTCAGAAGGCCCAGGCTGGCCAGTTTTGGAGGCATGGGCACCACAAGCTCCCTCCCTTCTTTTGTGGGTTCTGGAAACCACAATCCTGCCAAGCACCAGCTTCAGAATGGATACCAAGGTAATGGGGATTATGGTAGCTATGCCCCAGCTGCTCCCACCACTTCCTCCATGGGGAGCTCCATCCGCCACAGCCCCCTGAGCTCAGGGATCTCCACCCCAGTGACCAACGTGAGCCCCATGCACCTGCAGCACATCCGCGAGCAGATGGCCATTGCTCTGAAACGCCTGAAGGAGCTGGAGGAGCAGGTGCGAACCATCCCTGTGCTCCAGGTAAAGATCTCTGTCTTGCAAGAAGAGAAAAGGCAGTTGGTCTCACAGCTGAAAAACCAAAGGGCTGCATCCCAGATCAATGTCTGTGGTGTGAGGAAGCGGTCCTATAGTGCGGGGAACGCCTCCCAGCTGGAACAGCTCTCCCGGGCCCGAAGAAGTGGCGGGGAATTATACATTGACTATGAGGAGGAAGAAATGGAGACCGTAGAACAGAGCACGCAGAGGATAAAGGAGTTCCGGCAACTTACAGCAGACATGCAAGCCCTGGAGCAGAAGATCCAGGACAGCAGCTGTGAGGCCTCCTCAGAGCTCAGGGAGAATGGAGAGTGCCGGTCTGTGGCTGTGGGTGCCGAGGAGAACATGAACGACATCGTCGTGTACCACAGAGGCTCCAGGTCCTGTAAGGATGCAGCTGTAGGGACACTTGTTGAGATGAGAAATTGTGGGGTCAGCGTGACAGAGGCCATGCTTGGAGTGATGACTGAAGCTGACAAAGAAATTGAGCTGCAACAGCAGACCATAGAATCCTTGAAGGAAAAGATCTATCGCCTAGAAGTACAGCTTAGAGAAACCACCCATGACCGGGAGATGACTAAACTGAAACAAGAGCTGCAGGCTGCTGGATCGAGGAAAAAGGTTGACAAAGCCACGATGGCCCAGCCGCTTGTTTTCAGTAAGGTGGTGGAGGCAGTGGTGCAGACCAGAGACCAAATGGTCGGCAGTCACATGGACCTGGTGGACACGTGTGTTGGGACCTCCGTGGAAACAAACAGTGTAGGCATCTCCTGCCAGCCTGAATGTAAGAATAAAGTCGTAGGGCCTGAGCTGCCTATGAATTGGTGGATTGTTAAGGAGAGGGTGGAAATGCATGACCGATGTGCTGGGAGGTCTGTGGAAATGTGTGACAAGAGTGTGAGTGTGGAAGTCAGCGTCTGCGAAACAGGCAGCAACACAGAGGAGTCTGTGAACGACCTCACACTCCTCAAGACAAACTTGAATCTCAAAGAAGTGCGGTCTATCGGTTGTGGAGATTGTTCTGTTGACGTGACCGTCTGCTCTCCAAAGGAGTGCGCCTCCCGGGGCGTGAACACTGAGGCTGTTAGCCAGGTGGAAGCTGCCGTCATGGCAGTGCCTCGTACTGCAGACCAGGACACTAGCACAGATTTGGAACAGGTGCACCAGTTCACCAACACCGAGACGGCCACCCTCATAGAGTCCTGCACCAACACTTGTCTAAGCACTTTGGACAAGCAGACCAGCACCCAGACTGTGGAGACGCGGACAGTAGCTGTAGGAGAAGGCCGTGTCAAGGACATCAACTCCTCCACCAAGACGCGGTCCATTGGTGTTGGAACGTTGCTTTCTGGCCATTCTGGGTTTGACAGGCCATCAGCTGTGAAGACCAAAGAGTCAGGTGTGGGGCAGATAAATATTAACGACAACTATCTGGTTGGTCTCAAAATGAGGACTATAGCTTGTGGGCCACCACAGTTGACTGTGGGGCTGACAGCCAGCAGAAGGAGCGTGGGGGTTGGGGATGACCCTGTAGGGGAATCTCTGGAGAACCCCCAGCCTCAAGCTCCACTTGGAATGATGACTGGCCTGGATCACTACATTGAGCGTATCCAGAAGCTGCTGGCAGAACAGCAGACACTGCTGGCTGAGAACTACAGTGAACTGGCAGAAGCTTTCGGGGAACCTCACTCACAGATGGGCTCCCTCAACTCTCAGCTCATCAGCACCCTGTCGTCTATCAACTCTGTCATGAAATCTGCAAGCACTGAAGAGCTGAGGAACCCTGACTTCCAGAAAACCAGTCTGGGTAAAATCACAGGTAGGTGGTACCCTGAGGACCTGGGAATGAGGAAGGATGGGGGAAAATGTCTTTCCAGAAGCTAAGGATTATTTTTTAACTGCTGGAACCATTTTTGGAGGAGAAATGGAGAAAGTTTTAGAGTGGTAATCTGTAGAATGAAAACTAAGAATCAAAATCCATAAGCACCTCTGCTGATGCTTATTATCTGGTAGCCTCACTGGCCTCTGGCTGAGGACTAACGCTGGAAGAAAAGTAAACTGGTGTTGGCTGGCCTAGAGGTTGTCTTCTGGGGCTGCTAGTTTGGTAAGATGCTTTATTCTTTGTCTTTCAGTTATTTACTTGCTCATTATTTATAGAACTGCCTTTAAAAAATCCTACCCTGTTTGTACCCACTATTACCAGTATATTAGCAATTGAAATACTGGCATAAAATGTTTTCAGTTAAAACGTTTATGAGAGGAGAGACTCCATTAATTCATTCTTTAATTCAGCAAATAATTATTGAATTTGAGCCAGGTGCAATGGTACACATCCGTAGTCCCAGCTACTCTAGAGGCTGAGGCGGGAGGATTGCTAGAGCCCAGAAATTTGAGACCAGCCTGGGCAACATAGTAAGACCTCCATTTCTAAAAAAATATGAAGTAAAAATCATTATTACTTGGATTCCTACTCTGTCTCAAGCTATAGGCTGTGAAGATAGTGTGAACAAAACAGAACAGAGCCCCTGTCCCTGCGGTGCTTACATTCTAGGTGGGGTGCAGGATATAGACAGTAGACCTATAACATGTCAGGAGGCGATAAATACTGTGAAGAAATTAACTCCGGTTATGGGAACAGCGAGTGGTAGTGGTCAGGGTGAGGGCTGTTTGAGATGAGGTGGTCAAACTTGGAGAGAAGGGAGTCTTTTCCCACTCATTTTTTTTTTTTTTTTTTGAGACAGAGTCGCTCTGTCACCCAGGCTGGAGGGTGGTGGTGCCATCTCGGCTCACTGCAACCTCTGCCTCTCAGGTACAAGCGATTCTTGTGTCTCAACCTCCTGAGTAGCTGGGACTACAGGTGCCCACCACTATGCCCAGCCACTTTTGTATTTTAGTAGAGATAGGGTTTCACCACATTGGTCAGGCTGATCTTGAACTCCTGACCTCAGGTGATCTACCCACCTCGGCCTCCCAAAGTGCTGGGATTACAGACATGAGCCACCACACCTGGCCCGATAGGCGCTTACATTTTTGTCTGTCTTATTCTTTCTCGTATTCATTGGGATTCCTGCTCACTCTTCCTTCTTGAAATTGAAGCTAATAATCAGAAAGCCACCCTGGATGATTTTATGGCTTACAGTAATTCCCTGTGAGCCTTACCAACCTGATTTTGCTTGTGACCATGTGCACTGCCTCTCACAGTGTATAACATCATCCTCAGCTTAGGACCACACTGCCTGGCTTCCGTTTCTGGCTCTCCAATTCTCATGAATCAGTGTGACCTGGGAAAGAGTGTGCATTAGATTAATTTTACATGAAAATGTGTGATACAGACTTAAGCCATCCACAGAAATTCCAGTCTTTCTATTAGTGTCTGATGGGGCAATGATTAAAATAGACTGAAATATATTATTTTTATATCTTCCTAGGTTTCCACTTTCAAACCTGAATTATTGTTAGTTTTCAGTATCTGTGCTATAGGACAGTTAGTTTGTTGTGGAAGAAAAAAATGAATATGACAGCTCATGTGTGGGGTTTTTGCCTTTTAGAATCCAAAGAGTCTAATAAACATACAGGGAAGTCATTTTAGAATAAACAGGATTAAAAATGATCTGTAGACTCAAACAGAGTCTGCAAGAACTCATGCCATGTCTGCTTTGACATCCTTTTAAAAATCATGATGTCAGATGAAGTCAAAATAAAATTCTTAAATACCTCCAGACAGATGGCACAGTGGATCATCCATTATAAAAGCATTTTGTTCCCAGCCTTCCTCCCTCCTCCCCAAACTGGGGTTTCTATTTCACATTCTTGCCAGAAATATTCAGCTGTAACCCTGAAGTAATTTGCTGACCCTCTGAGCACGGAGACCAGGGAGCAAGTTCGGTCTGGCTGTGTGACAGTGTTTTTTGGTCTATTTCCAGTCACACTGACATGCCACACATCACTGGTTAGATCCAACCCTGCTAACAAACACCTAATTAATCAGCTAAAATACAGAAGACCTACAGCACTTGTGAACAAAACAATAAATATTTTTAACAGCACTTATTTAGTCACAATGGCAGCCCCTCTCAGAGCACACAAGAACAAATTTTAAGTATTTCTGTAATGCACATCATATTTGTGTTTTCACCATTTTGTTTAACGTTCTAATGAGGAATTAATTAGGTTAGGAAATGAACGCAGAGTATTCCATTTTTGTTATCTGGCATTTGTCATGTGGACTGAAAATTAAAGCAACTTGATATAGTAAAGTGGAGATGCTCAACACTTAGAAGCTTTGAGAATCCAGGTGGCCCAGGGTGCACTGTGCATTCCTGTGCACACCATACCATAGAGAATAGCACTCACCACAGTCTAGAATGTATTTCTGAACCAAAAGATATACTGGAGTATAGAAGGGTATTCATCTCAATGTTTGTTTTCCCCAAATAAAACAGTAGGGAATTTGGGTCTGACACCTACCAAAAAGAGCATATAAATGATCACTTATATGAACCTAACACAGTATTCTAATTTAAGGAAGTTGTTCAGTTTGGGCTCTGAAGCTAGACAGTGTGGGTTCACATTCTTTCTCTGTCACTAGAACAGATTGTCTTTGTTCCTTCACAGGGTTGTAATGAAGATTCAGTGAGTCAATAGGAGTAAAGCACAGAGTATAAATGCTCAATGAAAGTTGGCTGACGTTGTTGTTATGGTTAGAGTATTTCCAGAAATAGAAATGTAGATCTAGAACAAATGATGCCACACAGAAATTGTACAAGTGGTCTTTTGTTTTCAGCCTAAATTTTTATCTTCATTATTCTGGGTGATGCCCCTACCCAATTATTATACCTCTCCAACTAACCATTGTATCAATATAAAGAAGTACATAGATAACAATGGGAAACACAAAATTGATAAATGTTCAGTCCAGAGTCATTCAGAATCCGTGTCAAAGCTCAAAACGAAGTATATTAGCGGCCAATCCATAGAATTCTGTTCATTTCTCCTAGAGTTGAAGATTTGATGATGGTGTCACTTTTCAGTATGCAAAAAAGTGTTATTTTTAGCAGCATCATAATGCTTAACACTATATTTAATTTCTTAAAATTACAACTAGAGCATGCATCATAAGAAATTAATAGTTCAAGCATAGGCAACGTAGTGAGACCTTGTCTCTACAAAAAAATTTTTTTTAATTATCTGGTCATGTTATCCTGTGCCTGTAGCCTCAGCTACTCAGGAAACTGAGGTAGGATGATCTCTTGAGCCCAGGAGGTTGATTTGAGGCTGCAGTGAGCTGTGATCACACCACTACACTCCAGCCTGGGTGACAGAATGAGACCTTGTCTGTGGGTGGGGGTGGTGGGGGGAGATTGTGCACGGTGGCTCACACCTGTAATTCTAGCATTCTGAGAGCTGAGGCTGGCAGAGTGCTTGAGCCCAGGAGTTCGAGACCATCCTGGGCAATATGGTAAAACCCCGTCTTTACTAAAAATACAAAAATTTGCCAGGCGTGATGGCAGATGCCCGTAGTCCCAGCTACTCAGGAGGCTGAGGTGGGAAGATCACCGGCGCCCTAGAGGTGGAGGCTGCAGTGAGCCATGATTGTCACCCACTCTAGCCTGGGTGACAGAGTGAGACCCTGTCTCAAAAAAAGAAAAGAAAAAGGAAAAAGAAATTAAAAGTTCAGAAGAGCATATAATAAAAGAGTTAAAGCCTCCCTGGCACACTCCTGTGGTAGCCCGCGTGTGTTTGGTATTTACAGATGTCCATGCTTGCACGTCTGTATTTTAGAAACATATATTTTTGTAATAAAATTTGAATCATACATAGTCCGCCTCTTTGTTTTTTCACCTAAAAGGTCACGAACATTTTTCTAGGATTTGAGAGACAATGTCTTGGTTTTGATGGAATTGGAACCTGATAGTGACCAGAGGTGTTCTGTATTTTTTAATTCCTGATAGTATGAGTTTAATGCATTTAATATTTTCTTTTATAAAATAAAAAAGTTAAGAGGAAATGAGTTTCTGTTATAACAAAAATGTTGGTAAAAAAAAGTTTATTCTTCCTGTAAATCAGTTGGATTGTTTTCGTTTGAGGCATAGATTAGTGTTTTCTTTTTTTAATTACTATTTTCTTCTAGAGAGGGAAGAGGAGAGAGAAAATTCCAGATAAATGACTTACAGATACTCTAAAAATATATAACTGTCTCTGAGCAAATACAAACAAAACTATAACAGTGGAATTTAACTGCCTGCCCCATGATTTATAGAACATTCATCTCTCATACTGAAAAGACCTGCTTTTTAAAATCAGCTTCCGTATTTATACTCTTAGTTATCTTAGTTCATCAAAAGTTAATGAACTCGAAGTCATTCCCATAACTATGAAAGTAAGTTGTAGACAAGAGATCTGAGCCAAAGCAAAAGTAGTCATTACAAAATACGTTTCTAGGTAGTTTTCTCCTCGTTCAAATAATATATCATTTACCTGTCTTAGCACTTGGCTTCTTAATCACTTTCTTTTAATGCTCAAAAGCACCAAAACAATGCAATCCAAGTGTTTCTGGGACCCTGCAGATATAAAAATATGATGTAGGTAGTGGAAGGCCTAGAAGTCAGAAGAGCTGACCTCTCATACTGGCTGTGTAGGTAACTTGCTGTGTCTTTTTTTTTTTTTTTTTTTTTTTTTTACTCTTAAGACAGGGTCTCACTCTGTCACCCAGGCTAGAGTGCAGTGGCATGATCACAGCTTGCTGTAGCCTGAACTTCCCGAGCTCTAACCATCCTCCCTCTTCAGCTTCCCAAGTTGCTGGGACTACAGGTGCATGCCACCATACCTGGCTAATTTTTGTATTTTTAGAGACAAGGTCTCCCCATGTTGCCCAGGCTGGTCTTGAACTTTTGGGCTCAAGCAATTCGCCTGCCTCAGCCTCCCAAATTATTGGGATTACAGGTGTGAGCCACCATGCCAGGCCACTGTATCATTTTAGAAAGGGAGATTGTGGACTTCCATGGCCTCCTGTGTCAAATAAATAGGGTGAGATTAGTTTTTCTCCTACAGTCCCTTCAGCAGGATTATTCTGTACAAGTGTGAGTTAACTGTTTATGTTGGTGACCACACATGTATTAGCATTCAGGCTGAGGTCTGAGAGGAGAGCGTAGAAACAACATATTTGTCCTTTCTCCTCTATCAAAGCTACATGCTTTTCCTCACAAAGTAGTATGTACCAAAAAAGAAGATGGTCCTTCATGAATAATCTCTACTGCCTGTTCCCCAAACCATCATTTGGGCTTAAAGAGTGAATTCATGCTCGAGCCCTTTTTTTTTTTTTTTTTTTTTTTTGAGACACAGTCACACTCTGTCACCCAGGCTGGAGTGCAGTGGTGCAATCTCAGCTCATCGCAACCTTCACCTCCTGGGTTCAAGTGATTGTCCTGCCTCAGCCTCCTGAATAGCTGGGACTACAGGCACACGCCACCAGGCCCGGCTAAATTTTTTTTTATTATTATTTTTAGTAGAGACGGGGTTTAACCTTGTTGGCCAGGCTGGTCTCGATCTTCTAACCTCATGATCCACCCACCTCGGCCTCCCAAAGTGCTGGGATTACAGGCGTGAGCCAGCGCGCCCGGCCTCAAGCCCTTTTTCTTAAAAACAAACATTATTTCAGATCCCTTTGAATTTTTAGTCATACTTTGGGAAAGTAACCTAAATATTTGAAAGGACTCCATAATGAATTGGAAATTTCAGTCCTACCTGTTCTCAATGAGTAAGTTTAGATGTTCTTTAAAAATTAAATCAGAATGTCAAGCTGAAAATGTGGCACAGCTACATGGTTAGTTAGCTGGCTACACTCTTCTTTTTTGTGTTTTCAGAAAGTTCTTGGCACTATCAATACAAATGTAGATCAGCATACCAGAACAGTTGGAATAGGTGAACAGAGCAACTTTTAAAATCCATTTTAATATATTTTTTTAAATTGATTTTCTAACAAATTTGGAAACCCATGGCTATATACCAATAACTAATACCCATTCTGGACAGATAAATGTTACACAGAAGACTGGAGAATTGATCTCTTTAAAACCCATTCAGCTCTAGTTTTGGGTGATTTTTTTTTTCTTTTTTTAAGAGATGGGGTCTTGCTTTGTCACCCAGACTAGAGTGCAGTGGCATGATCCGGGCTCACGCCACTGCAGCCCCCAACTTCTGGGCTCAGGGCTCAAGTGATCCTCCCACCTTCCAGCTCTAGTTTCACTGAATTATTTTTCTTGTAAAACAGTTTGCTTTTAACATTCCTTTATGTCAAGGACATAAAGTTTTCATTTTAAGTGGCTTGTTTTTCATTATAGTCATCTCATTTGCCTTAGAATTTAATATATGGATAATTATAAAAGCTAAGTGCACTTCGGAATGATAATTAATGCATCAAAGGTGTTCCTCTTATTTTCCAGGACACTGAGATTTCTGTCACTTGTTGTCCTTTAGTGATCACTAATCTGACCAAGTCGTAAAATGAGGCTCATGCTTTATTGGTGTTTATGGCTGTTATAAGTTTGAGTTAATGATAGAAGACTTCACAGTTGCCCACTCTGCTGTCCATTAACTTCCCAGTTGTGCCTGTGAAAACCGTTGCCACCTGGTGAGAATTTTGAGCATCTAGACCAGAGTGCCAGAATTCTGAAGGTGTTTTGTAATTACTCCACATGTTGCTGTCGTTTTGTTTTGTTGAGACAAGGTCTCACTCTGTCTTCCAGGCTGGAGTGCAGTGGTGCAATCATAGCTCACCATAGCCCCTAACTGCCAAGCTCAAGCTGTCCTCACACGTGAACCTCCCAATAGCTAGGACTACAGACACTTACCACCATGCCCAGCTGTTTTTTGTTTTGTTGTGTTCTGTTTGTTAGAGAGGGGGGTCTCACTATGTTGCTCAGGCTGATCTGCAACTCCCAGGCTCAAGCAATTAACCTACCTCAGCCTCACTAAGTGCTGGGATTACAGGCGTAAGCCAATGCACCCAGCCTGTTTTTTGTTTTTCCTCAGAGACGGGGTTTCATTCTGTCACCCAGGTTGGAATGCAGTCTCAATCTCCCAGCCTCAAACCATCCTCCAGCCTCAGCCCCTCAAAGTACTGGGATTACAGGTGTGAGCCACTCCCAGCCTGTAATTACTCCTGTTTTTATCCCTATTGTTCAGGGAGCATTTACTTTCTGTTTAGTATGAACATCTACCATTAGTGGCCCAGGGCTGTTAATTAAACCACCAGCAGTTCCTAAAAATTCACATGGATCCAAGTTGATGGGTTGAAACTAGAGGGGAGTCTAAATTCTTAATTTCAGTAGTCAGCTTTTATATTGGTTAATTTAATTCAGTGGATCTCAATCCTGGCAGCACAATAGAATCACCTAGGGAGAAGTTTGAAAATACTGATGCCTGCAATTGGAGACACTAGTTGTATTACCAAGGCTTTGACTGGAATGGCATGTTTACAGAGTGCTTTGGGGAACTGAAGTTGATCTTTAGAGCCAATGGAAGCCCCTTGGAAAAACTGACCTCCCTCATACCTTGTCCTTTACAGGGTTCCTAACCTGTGGTAAGTAAAGAATGTCACTTTCTGACAAGCTCAGGAGCCCCACGTTATTTTGGGACCTCGGGAAAAGAGGAAGTCACCTAATTTATATAGGTATCTGCAGGCACAAATAAATTCTTGGCTGGGCTCAAGAGGTTTGTAAAAGGTCTAATTTGAGATTCCTTATGAAAAATGTCAGCAAAGTCAATGTAAAAGAAAAAGGGGGGGCCATATGGCAAATACTTACTCTTGCTGCACTTTATGCAAATAATTAGCCCAAGCATAATAAGACTAAAACTTATTTTGGAAATAAATTGGTCCCACTATGATTGGTCTTTGGTAGAAATAGAAAACCAGAGAGAGAAAAATTATGTTTCAGAAAAACTATAGTACCCCTTTTATTGACTCCAGCTTTGTCCACTTTTTTGGATAAGGTCATCTGCTGATAACTCAATAATTGATTGGTTCTCAGGGTCATTTACCTGGGTCCCTCAAGGCTTCAGGTTGGTTCTACAGGGACTCCTGAAGCTAGGACTTTCACTTCTTGTGGTAGGGCTTACTATTAATCTTACAGTCTGCTGTTCACTTATGTGCTGTACTAAAACTGTGGATAAGAATGACCCCAACCAGACACCAGTGAAGGCATACGGTCAACTTGAAGACGGTTTCACTCCTCTTACCTTGGGGGCAACCCCTTCCCCAACAATGTTCCATAAGCAAGAAGAAATTAGAGCTGTCATTAGCCTTTCCCATCTCCATAGCTCACACCTCAGGATTGAGGTGTACCGAAACCCAAGGGGGTGGGGACATTGAAACTGCCTTTCCAAAATCATGACAGTAAAAGAAACCTGACATAGCTGACTCCGTCTTACTTCTGACCTCCAAGCTGTCCTTGTTCATTCCTAGGCACAGGCCAAGCTAACTGTGGGTAGAATTTGGTTTATAATTTAACCTTAAAGCAAGGATGATAATAGCCCTTCCCAAGACTAAACTGCCTTTGTAAAACTAATGAAAGCACACAAGGTTAGAATTATGGACGGGCCCTGAATTCTATTTTATTTATTTTATTTTTTTGAGATGGAGTTTCACTTCAACTGCAAATAAGTGTTCATTCTCTCTCTCTCTCTCTGTCTCTCTGTCTGTCTGCCTCTCTTGCTCTCTCTCTCTCATATCTGGACCCATCCAGATCATTGTATCTACATTTTTTAAAGTCTCACCCTCGATTCAGGTGATTCTAAAGGGTAGCTAGGGTTGAAACGACTGAATTTTGTTTGTTGGCCTCTTTGTTCTTTGGCTTTCCTGGCTGCACGTTTTCTTCGTTTTGCTCAAACACAGCAGTCATTTGTCAGTCTTACATTGGTGCATGCGGTGCCTACAACTACAAGTGGGTCCTTATCAAGTTCAGAGAATTGTTTATAGGCCACTCAAGACCAGCCAGAGTTTCAACACCATCCAAAGAACATTTTCTGGCAATATAGGTGACCAATTCCCTCTGACTTGACAAAGGAGAGCCAGTTTGGAATTTAATGAGGTTCTTTTCCTTACCAGTTAAGCCTCAGTAGAATCCTCATGACCTTTGGTTGAATTACATGGACACTTATTAAAGGCTCTCAATGGTCCCGCACTGTTCTAAGCACTGGACAGGACACCAAATAAGAATGTAGCAGGGAGGAACTCAAGATGCTGACCATCTCATTGAGGAGACAGGGCATATTTGAATCTGGACCGTAAGTGCTACAGGACAATGATGGGGAAAAAAGACATCTCTGTGGAATGGTTGGAATGGTATCATAGAAAAAAGACTAGAGAAGATAGAATTTGGGCCAAGCCTTGAAAAGAGTATGGGTCGAATTCAGCTGGTGAAGGATGGCGAATTTCCAGACCTGTAGGATGATCTAATTACTCCCTACTCACAGAGTTGGAGTAATTAAGTCACAGGACCACTCTGAACAGAATGGACAGAGTGGAGGAGTAGCTGAGAGGTAAAGTTCCCGCAGGCAAGATGAAACCTTCCACCTTGACCCTTGGATGCCTGCAGGAGGAGGTGGACCTTGATTGGAGAAGCTTTAAAAAGCCCTAGTTTACAAAAGTAAGCTGTGGTGAGAAAAATTATAGCACCTGGTATTCCTGGGTGACACTATCTGGAAGGGGTGGGAGGAAAGGCTTACCAGGTTGTTAGAAATGTTCTGTATCTCTGTTACAGAGGTGGTTACACAGGCGTATACATCTACCAAATTCCATCCGACTTACACTTAAAATCAGTGCATTTTCGTGGGGCATGATCACAAGCACCTGGGTCCTGTGTCCTAGCTACTCCAAAGGCCAAGGTGGGAGGATTGCTTGAGCCCAGGAGTTCAAGGCTACAGTTAGCTATGATCACATTCCATTGCACTCTAGCCTGGGTGACAGTGTGAGACCCTGTCTGTAATTCATTCTGTGCATTTTATTGTCTATAAATTGTGTTTGAATTTTTTAAAAATTTTAAGTTGTATTTAAACAAAGAGAACCTATGGATTAAAAGACTTTAAAATAATAGCAACCAATGGAAATACATGACTGGAATTCTGATGCAAACACCCTATTAAAGAAATTTTTTAGAGACTATTGGAGATTGGGCACAGTAGCTCATGCCTGTAATTCCAGTACTTTCAGAGGCCAAGGTGGGTGGATAGCTTGAACCCAGCAGTTCGAGACTAGCCTGGGCAACATAGTGAAACCCATCTCTATTAAAAATACGAAAAAAAAAAAAAAAGAAGCCAGGCGTGGTTTTGTACGTCTGTGGTCCCAGCTATTTGGGGGGCTGAGGTGGGAGGATTGATTAAGCCTGGGAGACAGGTTGCGGTGAGCAGAGATCACGCCACTGCACTCCAGCCTGGGTGACAGAGTGAGATGCCATATCAAAAAAAAAGACTATTGGAGAAATTTGAATACTGACTGGATTATGTGATAATCATACTTATCTTTTTTTAAGATTTGATAGTTTTAGCCTCAATGGTTTGCATTTTTTAGAGTTCTTTTAGGGACATATACTGAAATATTTATGGATGAAAATGATTGAATCTCTAGCTGTTGCTTCAAAATAATCCAGTGTGAGTGGGCAGAGGGAGTTATCAGGGAAACCAGATGTTTTCTAATCATTGTTGAAGCTAGTAATGGGAAGACAGGAGTTTATTAAACTATTATCTACTTTTGTATCTGTTTTATGGTTTCAATAATAGTCAAAACTATCATGTATTTGCATTTAAAAAGTCATTGTTGGTTATTGAAGAGGAAAATGCTTCGTACAAGCATTTCTCTACAAAGAGTGTTCTGGCGGCCAGGCACGGTGGCTCACACCTGTAATCCCAGAACTTTGGGAGGCCGAGGTAGGTAGGTGGATCACTTGAGGTCAGGAGTTCGTGACCAGCCTAGCCAACATAGTAAAATCCCGTCTCTACTAAAAATACAAAAAACAGCTGGGCGTGGTGGCGGGCACTTGTAATCCCAGCTACTCAGGAGGCTGAAGCAGGAGAATCACTTGAACCCGGGAGGTGGAGGTTGCAGTGAGCAGAGATCGCGCCACTGCATTCCAGGCTGGGCGACAGAGCGAGACTCAATCTCAAAAAAAACAAGAGTGTTCTGGCATTCAGTGATTAACTAGTGAGACTTTTTGGAGGCCGCTGCAATATTTTCTAAGTAATGATGAATGGACTTGGAGAAGGAAAAATGAAGATAAATGCCCTGCTTTATCTACTTTGCTTAAAATAAGTCAAAGGCACATTAGGCATTTCATATTTGCAGTTAGGGGACATCAAGTCACATAGTGTGAAACGTTGTTTGGACCGCTGAATTCAGTATTGTGTGTATGTGTGTTGAGGAGGAAGTTGGAGTTGTAAAGGAATCGTCCAGGTAGCCCCCATGTCCCACAGCTAAAGGAGAAAGCATTGTGCTGTTGATTTGGGGACAGGGGACTGTTCACCGAATTAGGAAATGTGAGTTCTCGTTCAGCTCTGTGGCCTGGGGCAAGTCCTGAACCTAGCTGGCCTTCAGAATCCTTAGCTGGAAGTCTGGAATTAAAAATTAGGTGATATCCCTTGAGGTCAGGAGTTTGAGGCCAGGCTAACCAACATGGTAAAACTCAGTCTCTACTAAAAATACAAAAATTAGCCAGGCATGGTTGTGCACACCTGTAGCCCCAGCTACTTGGGAGGCTGAGGCAGGAGAATCGCTTGAACCCGGGAGGCGGAGGTTGCAGTGAACTGAGATCACGCCACAGCCCTCACTCCAGCCTGGGTGACAGAGCAAGACTCTGTCTCAAAAAAAAAAAAAAAAAAATTTAGATGATCTCTAATGCCTTACATTGAATTTTTTGCCAGCTCTCACTCTTTTACTATAGCGTCATTGTTTTAAACCAGTCAAAGTAGACCACCTGCATCAGTGATTCTTGTAGGTGGTGGGGAATGTCAGAAATGCCATCACTTGGCCCCCATCCCAGAACTGCAGAATGATCTCCTGGCAGCATGTTCCTGGGAATCTGCATTTTAGCCAATGTCACAGGTGATTCTTATGAAGAATAGAACTCAGAGCAGTTTTAGGGCTTGTTATTCGTTCTTTTTCTTCATATTGCCTCAAAATACAATCAACACTTAAGCTGCTTTTCTTCTAAGAATCTAAGAGATTTCAGAGCTTTACTTTGAAAGGGATAAAGTTGTGATCACCTGACATTGTGAGTAGATTTAAATGTTTAATTTTTGTTAGTAATTTATAAAGTATAATTTAGGAAATACTAGAGACAAAAAGAAAAAAGTTATAGTAGCCTGTGACTCTTTAGCCTTAGCAAAGCAGTGTTAAATGGGTTTCCTGTATATCCTTCCATGATTTTTCTAATACATACATATGTAAATATAATTATTTACTAATGCCAGTAGGCAGCAATGAGAACAAAACCTCTTTTGTATTTTTTTTTCCCATGAGTCAAACAAAAGACTTCAGATTCAGATCAATTCTGGTGTGCTAGGGCAGGCCTTTCCTACAAGGGGTGGAGAGGCCAGCCTTTCTTCTCTTGGTGGGAATGGCCTGAGCTGTGTTGTGGGGCAGGCCGCTGATTTGTGTGATGTATCATTAGAGGGAATAAGCCCATTGATCTTTTCTAGTTTCCGTTAAACTTGAACTGAGAGGCCAGGCACGGTTGCTCACGCCTCTAACCCCAGCACTTTGGGAGGCTGAGGCGGGTGGATCACCTGAGGTCAGGAGTTCGAGTCCAACCTGGCCAACATGGTGAAACCGAGTCTCTACTAAAAATACAAAAATTAGCTAGGCATGGTGGCACTTGCCTGTAGCCCCAGCTACTCGGGAGGCTGAGGCAGGAGAATCGCTTAAACCGGGAAGGCGCAGGTTGCAGTGAGCCAAGATCGCACCACTGCACTGTAGCCTAGCAACAGAGTAAGACTCTGTCTCGAAAGAAGAAAACTTGAACGGAGACAAAAATTAAAAATAAGGCCAGGCGTGGTGGCTCATGCCTATAATCCCAACGCTTTGGGAGGTCAAGGCGGGCAGATTTCCTGAGGTCACAAGTTCAAGACCAGCCTGGCCAACATGGTAAAACCCCGTCTCTACTAACAATACAAAAATTAGCCAGGCATGGTGGCAGGTGCCCATAATCCCAGCTACTCGGGAGGCTGAGGCACAAGAATCTCTTGAACCAAGAAGGCAGAGGTTGCAGTGAGCCAGGATTGCTCCACTGCACTCCAGCCTGGGCAACAGCACAAGACAAGACACTCTCTCAATTAAAATAAAAAATTATTTACCAAAGTAGGTTTATTTTCTCCGTATTATTGTATGACCTATTTTTAATACACATCATGCTCATCTATGTTAATATTCTCCTATATCAAGATTTGTAATGGCCATATAGAATTCCTCTGTATAAATATACCAGTGCTTATATGGTTGTTTCTTACAAGCAGACTGTCTGCCTCTTTTTACTGTTTTAAACATGGAAACAATAGCCTTCTGTGTCTTTTTGTACATCCTTAGGATAAAACTTTTAGACAATTAAGTGAAATAATTTTTCATTTTTAAAAGTGATTTTGAACACAGTTAACCCATATTCACTATAGAAAAAATGGCAAATCCAAGGAAATTTTTTTTTTTTTATTAGAGTCTCGCTCTGCCGCCCAGGCTGGAGTGCAGTGGGACGATCTTGGCTCACTGCAACCTCTGCCTCCCGGGTTCAAGTGATTCTCCTACCTCAGCCTCCCGAGCAGCTCTGGATTACAGGCACTCACCACCATGCCCAGCTAATTTTTGTATTTTTGTAGAGATGGAGTTTCACCATGTTGGCCAGGCTGGTCTCAAACTCCTGACCTCAAGTAATCTACCTGCCTCAGCCTCCCAAAGTGCTGGAATTACAGGCATGAGCCACCACGCCCAGGCTAATCCAGGGAAAAATTAAAACTACCATAGCTGTTTCATTTAGCACAGAGTCAGATAACTTTTCATGTGTGTGTGTGTGTGTGTGTGTGTGTGTGTGTGTGTATGTGTGTGTGTGGTAATGTATTTTAATAGGATCACACAATACATGGAATTTTATTATCTGCTTTTTTCAATTAACCATATATTACAAACATTTTTCCACATCACCCACATTGAAAATTCTACAATATATCTGTAAACCAAAAATAAAATTCTAAGCCCCCTAACCAACGGAATAGATCCCTCCTGTCAGCCAGGGGATTCCATAGTAAACCTGAAAAACTAGTTCAGGCCATGATGGGAAGGAAGTGTCAAACATGCCTCATTATACCCTCCTCCCTTTGGAATTCAGGCACAACTGACCAGCATTAACATTAAAACAGAGATCTTAGGAGTGACAAACAGACTCTTTATACCAATAAGATAACAAATTCCAACCTGACTCTCCTATAGCATCACATGACAGCAGACCCTAAAAGAAAATGAAGTATTTTACCCTAAAATATATTTCTTCGATGTATTTTGTCTTTTTTTGTTTTGTTTCTTTTGTTTTCTTGAGATGGAGTCTCCCTCTGTCACTCTGTCACCCAGGCTGGAGTGCAATGGCACGATCTAGGCACTACAACCTCCACCTCCGGGTTCGAGCCATTCTCCTGCCTCAGCCTCCCAAGTAGCTGGGACTACAGGCACCCCCCACCATGCGTGGCTAATTTTTGTATTTTTAGTAGAGACGGGGTTTCACCGTGTTGACCAGGCTGGTCTCGGACTCTTGACCTCAGGTGATCCACCTGCCTTGGCCTCCCAAAGTGCTGGGGTTAACAGGCATGAGCCACTGCTCCCGGCCTCTTCGATGTATATTGAAATGGCCCTGCAAGGCTGTCTCTTGTGGGGAATATCTACATTATGTAGTGAATCCCCTTACCTGTCCAGGCCTTTTCCTGATCCAGGAGAGATTCAGAGTCTGGTACCTATTTAGGTCTGAAAAGAGACATTTACCATCTATATAGAGGTCTGAAAAGTGACGTTTACCATCTATGTAGATGAAGCCTGCTACCTGGAGGCTTCATCTACATAATAAGAACCTTGGTCTTCACAACCCCTTATCTTAACCCAGACACTCCTTTCTGTTGATTGCAGGCCTTTAGATAATAAGTTAACTTTTTCAACCATTTGCCAATCAGAGTATCTTTGAATCTACCGAAGACCTGGAAGCCCACCCTTATTTGAGTTCTTCCACCTTTCTAAACTAGTGTATACCTTACATGCATTGATTTGTGTTTGCCTGTAACTTCTAGTCCACTAAAATGTATAAAATTAAGCTGTAACCCAGCCACCTTGGGCACATGTTGTCAGGACCTCGTGAGATTGTGCTTTTGGCCTTGGTCATTCATACTTGGCTCAGAGTAAACCTCTTTTTTACAGAGTTTGACTCTTTTCATTGACATATCTGTATACATTAATTACAAAATATTATTTAATCCAAATTGCTTCGGTCAGTATACAGATTTTAAGTGGCTAACATATACAAAAGCACTCTAGTAGATTTGTTAAGAGAAAGTTGATCAGAACTGTTTGATGCCCTCAAAATATTTACCATCTACAAGGGAGTCTAAAACCATCATACAAGTCATCTTGTACATTGTATCACAGATCCCCAGGAGAAGGTACAAAAGATGGGCTGTGAGAGTTCAGGGCAAGAACATTGTTAGTGAAGGAGATCAGGGAAGGGTCTGAAGAGGCAGTGATGGGAGGGTGCGGCTGTGTGAAGATGGGGGAAGAAAGGTATTCCAGGTAGTAGAAGGGCATAAGCTGAGGCATGCTGCCAGGAAACAAGAGACCCGCATCTCTATACAGCGAGTCCTGGCACTTAATGGGATGCAGTCCCTGTCCCAGTAAGGACGACAGGAGGAGTGGGAAATGAAGTTGCGGGGGTCAGCCAGTACCAGGTTATGGATAGTTTAGAATCTCTGGCTCTGCAGTGTGGACTACATTTCCTGAGCAGTGGGTGCTTTTTAGGCGTTGTCACATTTTGTTTTAGCTGGAATAATGATGGCATTGGAGCTGGCTGGGAGTAATGCTCTGAAGCATTGTGCCAGAGTGGAAGTAGTAATGGAAGAGGGGCAGTAAAATGCTACTTCCATGACTAGAAACCAAGGCTATGACGGTAGCAGCCAAAACAGAGAAAAGAAGAGGTGCTGTGGAGTTAGAATGACGAGGCCCGGCAGTCTGCCTACGCTAATGAAATCAGGAAAGCTGGAGCGTCAAAGGGGCTTCTGAGTTTTGGTGGCTGGGATAATAGTCCCATTTTAAATTATGAGTGGCAAGAATTGTTTTTGTTGAAGCCTGCTTTTTCAGTCCTAGCATCACACACTCTGTACCTTTCTTTTTCCTGATAGGCAATTATTTGGGATATACCTGTAAGTGTGGGGGCCTTCAGTCAGGAAGTCCCTTAAGCTCCCAGACATCCCAGCCTGAGCAAGAAGTGGGGACCTCAGAAGGAAAGCCAATCAGCAGCCTGGATGCCTTCCCCACTCAGGAAGGTACGCTGTCTCCAGTGAACCTGACAGACGACCAGATCGCCGCTGGCCTCTATGGTAACTTTTCTCACTCACAGTCATTGGCATCAGGATTCTAGGGCCAGCATTGCCAGCATTCCAATTTAATGTCAATGTACCTTTTAAATTGACCTGGAAGAAAGTTAATATCGTTATTTGGAAGGTAGGCCCAGAATATCTTTAAATAAGGTTACCAAAGAGGCCGGGCATGGTGGCTCACACCTGTGATCCCAGCACTTTGGGAGGCCAAGGCAGGCAGATCATTTGAGGCCAGGAGTTCGAGACCAGCCTGGCCAACATGGTGAAACCCCATCTCTACTAAAAAATACAAAAATTAGCCAGGCATGGTGGTGCACACCTGTAGTCCCAGCTACTCCGGCGGCTGAGGTGGGAGAATCACTTGAACCTGGGAGGTGGAGGTTGCAGTGAGCTGAGATCACGCCACTGCACTCCAGCCTGGGTGACAGAAAGAGGCCCTGTCTCAAAATTACGAAAGAAAGCTGTACAAGAAAGCTTACCTGATATTACAAATTATGAAATATTTTAAATAGCATTTTATTCACGTTCTGGCAGGCATAAGTTTTTTCAGGTTATCTCAGCTGAAGAAGAATAATAATCCCTGTTTAGTACGTAAATGGTCCTTGAGGCTCGTGAGACACGACATCACTTTATAAGCAGTAAAGCCGGATACAAATGTCAGTTTTCACTGGCTTTGTTATGTCTGGAAGGACTAATTGATTTTTTTCCCATGTGAAGAATGTTATTAATGGAACTTTGAATTATTTTCTTTGCATGCACACACTTTCCCATTGAATTTTGTGGAAACTTCTCACATATATATGCCAAGATCTACATTTACATGCATGAGAAAAGAACTGTACAGGAAAAAAGATCATTTAACATGTATGGGTGTGAGTTTTCATTTTTATTGCCTTGACTTTTTCACAGCATGTACAAACAATGAAAGTACACTGAAGTCCATCATGAAGAAGAAAGATGGTAACAAAGATTCAAATGGCGCAAAAAAGAATCTTCAGTTTGTTGGCATTAATGGAGGGTAAGGAAAGATGGTGGTTCTAGAGGCTAATGCTGTCAGTCTCCTTTACCTCCTGCCTAAGTCACATTTCAAGGCGCCTAGTCGGGGAAGCGGCCACAGCGCAGTGATGAAAGATTCCCTCCTCAGAAAGGCAGAAAGGTGCATTTGGGCTTTGCTTTCCTCCTCTGGTGCTGTCTTTAAGGATTTGTCACTCTCTTAAGGATACCTGATGAAGCTGAGCGGTTTACATCTCCTCACCTCTGATCTGAAAGAAATAGTCTTCAGCGAACGCAGCAGGGTTCCTGCACTGTGTTGGACAACTTGTACTTACCTATACGAGAACTCACAATTGAGCAGAAAAAGACTGAGAGCATCACTCTCTGGGCCAACGATCGTCATCTTTTCCTTCAAAATGGGTCCTTTTGCTTAGCTCTCCATGTTTACGACCCAAATTGTAGGGCCTTTCACAATTGATAACCACATCACCAGTTTGCTTTCTAAATAGAATGGTTATTGTTTGTTCCTTCTCTTTGCATTGGCCCACGTACATAGTTAAGCCCCTTTGTTGTCCTACAATTGAATCAAATCAATGAATTGATACATGGCCCCCACAAGAAAGAAATAATACAAAGTGTACCATTAGGGTTTAACCTTATGGTGCCTGTTTTCCAAATCTAGAAGTTTTATTCAGTGATAATGGCCAGGAGATTTTGGAGGGCATACACCAGAAAAACTATCGATTGCCTATGTAATCTATTCCCCTTGATACTGGGAGAATTAATAGGATGAAATAGGAAGACATGGGGTGGGGGGGGGACAAAAAGCACCTACCGATCTGTTTTCCATAAAGTATGTTTTCTCATGATTTATGCTAAGCCGGAGATGCCATTATTTTCTTTAACAAGTGTTACATGATACCAATTGGTTATATGATACCGATAACCAGTTTAAGTTAGAGTCCATTCAAAACCACCAGGCATTTAAATAGACCTTACTTTGAACTTCTAAGTGCAGGATCTAAAACCACTAGTGAAATTTCTGGAGTCAATTAGCAAATCCCTTCATAGAAATTTCTATCACTGGGTCTTCGTGAGCACACCTTGCATCTCCTGAAATCCCAATTGCCACCTAGGTATGAAACAACTTCAAGTGATGATTCCAGCTCAGATGAAAGCTCTTCTTCCGAGTCAGATGACGAGTGTGATGTCATTGAGTATCCTCTTGAAGAAGAGGAGGAGGAGGAGGATGAAGACACTCGGGGAATGGCAGAAGGGCACCATGCAGTTAATATTGAAGGTTTGAAGTCTGCCAGGGTGGAAGATGAAATGCAGGTTCAAGAATGTGAACCTGAGAAGGTGGAAATCAGAGAGAGGTGTGGTACATTCCCCTTCCCTCCCTTGCCCCTCCCACATTTAATGTACTTTGGCAATAGAGTTGGCCAGTTCAGAGCTTTTGTAATTAAATGTTTGCTTTTATCTGTTCCTCAGAGGTATACACATCTTGAGATACTAATATATACAAGTGCAGAGTATTACAACTCTTAGATCTCTTATGGTAGAATGGCCTGGTACCTAATCACCCTTGTTTTCTGAAACCTTAACTCTGCTATATAATTTAACATATGGAACCACAATCCACTAAAACTTGCATTGTTTGAACACCTTACCTTATATTTAAAGACATTTTAATTTTTTGGTGGCCAGCCTACTTTAAGATTTCAGATTTTATGTTTAGCCATTTATCTTGATACAGGTGTATCATTATTACAGGATCATTGTGTGGATGAGGCCTCAGCCAAAGATCACATATACTGTAAAGATGATGCATATCACTTACATGTTTGTATTTTGTTACACATTGAATGATCAGGAATACCACAAGAATGGATTTGGGTATATCATAAATAGTAGCTGAAAAACACTCTGGTTGGCTGAAATATGTGCCTCAGAATGTAAGTTTTCAAGACCATTAGATAAGGATTTGATGCTCATAAAATAGAGAGTAGAAAAGGTGGAAACTTCAGTATGGTTTTTCAGTATGTGAAATATAAATAGAACATTTCAGAAAACTTACCTCTATTTAATTTGGCAAATGAAAGTTTAACTGCATTAAAACAAGGTAAGTGTTTTTAGTTTATATTTCCAAGTGTTTCACATGGCTTTTTAACAGCTTTGAGATGTAATTTATATACCATATGTCATTTTTTTACTTTTCATATGGGTTAAACACTTGAGTCACCAAATGTGGGTTCAGATGTGTGGTTTACTGGTCAGCACGATGGATATATGGTAATTTGTGGAAAGTCAAGGCAAGAGGATCGCTTGAGCACAGGAGTTTGAGACTAGCCTGGACAATATAGTAAGACCTCATCCCTACAAAAATATCAATTACCTGGGCATGGTGTCACATGCCAGCTGCTCTGGAGGATAAGGTGGGAGGATCACTTGAACCCTGGAGGTTGAGGCTGCAGTGAGCCAGTGCACTCCAGTCTGGGTGACAGAGCAAGACCCTGTCTCAGAAAAAAAGTAATTTGGGTCTCCTTCAACCCCCTTAAAATTAAAAATATTTTTTAAAAACTTAGAACAGGTTGGGCACAGTGGCTCACACCCATAATGCCAATACTTTGGGAGGCTGAGGCAGGCAGGCAGATAGCTTGAGCCCAAGAGTTCGAGACCAGCCTGGGCAACATGGTGAAACCCTGTCTCTACAAATACAAAGCCGGGTGTGGTGGCACACACGTGTAATCCCAGTTACTTGGGAAGCTGAGGTAGGAAGATTGCTTGAGCCTGGGACAGCAAAACTACAGTGAGCCGTGATTGCACCACTGCACTCCAGCCTGGGCAACAGAGTGAGACCTTGTCTCAAAAAAAAAAAAAAAAAAAAAAAAACTTAAAAATGGCAAAAAAAAATCTCTAAATGTTATTCCAGAATGTCATAAAGGCCAATTGGTGAAGCCGAATGTCACCCTCCCAAACAAGGCCTCAATCTCTGGCTGGAGGTGTTGGCTCTGCACAGTGGACGTAACCCTTAGACCCCTAAGGATTTCTGTGCTGCCTCTGCCCAAGCACCTTGTGCCATAATGACCTGCCTGGGCTGGCTTGGGGCCACTTGCCTTTTAAAAATATATTTTTAAAAGTTGAAGCTGCGCAGTGTCCCACCCCTGTAATCCCAGCACTGTGGGAGGCCGAGGCAGGTGGATCACCTGAGGTCAGGAGTTCAAAACCAGCCTGGCCAACATAGTGAAACCCCGTCTCCACTAAAAATACAAAAATTAGCTGGGCCTGGTGGTGCACACCTGTAGTCCCAGCTACTAGGGAGGCTGAGGCAGGAGGATTGCTTGAATCCAGGAGGCGGAGGTTGCAGTGAGCCAAGATCATGCCACTGCACTCCAGCCTGGGCGACAGAGCATGACCCTGTCTCAAAAAAAAAATTAGATATTTGGGTTGAAATAAAAATGATTTTCTTCTTGTGACCAATCGTAACTTGTTTTTTCTCCTTTCAGGTATGAATTAAGTGAAAAGATGTTGTCTGCATGCAACTTACTGAAAAATACTATAAATGACCCCAAAGCTTTGACCAGCAAAGATATGGTGAGTCTGACCTGCAAACACCATCCCCAGTGTGTACAAAGTGCATGAGTGGGTTCATTGTCAAGGCCAGCTGTAGGCTGCCCGAGCTGTTGCTTGCATGCTTTTCTCCTGAACTGTTTCCAGCATGAGTGGGCTGGGTAAACATCATGTGGTCTTGCTCCCTGGATCACACTGCCAGCGTTTCCTTGAGGCCCAACTTCGGACATCCTTTACCCACCCTGGACTTTTCCTGGGGTGGAGGCATCTGTGAGGCGTACACTTGCAGACAGAAAGCAGGGCTAATTGCAGTCAGTCGTCATCTTTCTACATATTTCATTTCTATTTATAGAACAGTAAGATCCAGGGAGCAGCATCCAAGAATTTTTTTTTTAAGTTAGCATATGTTTTTAAAAGAAACCTATCTGAGCCAAGGTCAGCATTCCTTTCAGTTATGAAACTGTATGTTATGCTCTGATGTGGAATGCAGGCGGCCACTATTTTTAAACATAAAAATAACCGCACTTGTCATCTCGCAGTCTAAGAAATTCAGAGCAAACAGCAAAGAGTTTGTGGTTGCCTTAGTGATCATGAATGGTACAACATAGGACACAAGTATTTCTATGGCAATGGTTAATGTGACACCATGGCCAAGAATGACATATTCTCATGTGTCGAAGTTATGTGCACATTCTTTCATAGGCCAGACTAACCCCCTGGTTGACAGCTGTCTTTTTTATTAGTGCATTGAGAAAATGTAGGATCCCCTAAGGATACCGAAATGCACAGATACTCAAGTCCCTTATGTAAAATGGTGTAGTATTTGCATATAAACTATGCATCTACTTTAAATTCTGCCATATATTTTAAATCATTTCTATATCATAATACCTAATACAGGGCCAGGTGCAGTGGCTGACACCTATGATCCCAACACTTCGGGAGGCCGATGCAGGTGGATCACATGAGGTCTGGAGTTCGAGACGAGCTTAGCCAACATGGTGAAACCCTTTCTCTACTAAAAATACAAAAAGTTAGCCAGGCATGGTGGTACACCCGTGTAATCCCAGTTACTCGGGAGTCTGAGGCTGGAGAATTGCTTGCACCCGGGAGGTGGTGGTTGCAGTGAGCCAAGATTGCACCTCTGCACTCAAGCCTGGGTGACAGAGTGAGACTCCATCTGAAAAAAAGCCTGGAGTGCAGTGGCGTGATCTCGGCTCACTGCAAGCTCCGCCTCCCGGGTTCGGGCCATTCTCCTGCCTCACCCTCCCCAGTAGCTGGGACTACCGGCGTCCACCACAACGCCCGGCTAATTTTTTTGTATTTTTAGTAGAGACCGGGTTTCACCGTGTTAGTCAGGATGGTCTCGATCTCCTGACCTCGTGGTCCGCCCATCTTGGCCTCCCAAAGTGCTGGGATTTACAGGCATGACCCACCGCGCCTGGCCTCAAAAACTTAACACAATGTAAATGCTATATAAATAGTTGTTATACTGTATTGTTTTGTATTACATATTTTTTAAATATTTTCACTCTGCCAGTGGTTGAATCTATGGAAATGGAACCTGTAGATACAGAGGGCCAGCTGTACTAAATAAAATTGCTGGTCAAGTCCAGGCACAGTGGCTCACACCTGTAATCCCAGCACTTTGAGAGGCCAAGGCAGTGGATCACTTGAGCCCAGGAGTTCAGTTTGAGACCAGCCTGGGCAACATGGCAAAACCCTGTCTCTACAAAAATTAGCCAGGTATGATGGCATGTACCCATGGTCCTAGCTACTTGGGAGGCTGAGGCAAGAAGATAGCTGGAGGCCCAGGAAGTTCAGGCTGCAGTGCTCCATCATCATGCCACTGCACTCCAGCCTGGGAGACAGAGTGACACCCTCTCAAAAAAAAAAAAAATTCCTAGTCAAGGGGAAACATAGAACTACATATTGAAATTCTTGGATTTGTATTCATGAAAATACCTGGCTATACCCTGGTCACTAGTAAAACCATAAAATCTCACTGCAGGGTCAGTATTTCCCATCAGGTTTAACCTAAACTTAAAACTGGTGCCTTACAACCCCAGATTTTATAGCCATAGTACACTTTTCTTTCACTGTTCTCAAAATACTAGGTTACGTGGCCTTTGGGAAGGATTCTGTTTTCCTGCATCCTCCAAATTGCCGAGCATGGTGTCATCCACACACACTGTGATGGGTACATCTTTTTAACTGAATTTTCATTTGGTGTGAAAGTGTTTAAAGTATTGTGTTGTGAAAAGTAGTGGACGAGTAAACACAATGCCAGGGCTAGATAATCATGTCAGGACACCAGTTATTTAGCAGTAATAGAATTAGAATGACCAGAAGACATAATTTCCCTTCTTTCAGTGTGACAACTCCAGAGAAACAGGAATGTGAATATATACAGAAAAAAAAGGACACTCTTCAAGTGACCCAAAATGTGATTGAAATGGTTAAAACTAAATAATCAGTAGCAGGATGATAAAGAGATGGAAGCTCTATAATCCCAACTCTACCTTTTCTACAGAAAGAGGACTTCTTGGGTTCTGGTGCTTCTGACATAGGCTGTCTTTCTTTGATATATTTTTAAACTTTTAAAGAGTAAGCACAGCAGAAATGAATATTAAACTCATATGAAGGCCCATTGAAAAGACACTGTAGTCATCCTCATCACCAGTACTGACTGCTCAGTCTCCACTGAGCTTCATGTGACCCAGGGTTGAGTTGATCATCCACAAAGCAAGTGCCTTCTTCATGTGTCCACAGCCTAAGGAAGTCAGAGTGGAGCTGATGAGAGAATGAAATTAGTTCCAGACGGGGTTCCCTTTTATTTTCCCTTTCCGTGGTTGAACAGTTGTATTTGGGATTGGGGTGGGAATTGGGTTGGCTATACACGTACGGTCTCCCAACCTAGTGCTGTGCTGAGGAGTTGAAGGAGGTGAGTTTGGTCTGGATAGGAAGGAAGCAGCATAATTCAGTGTAGGCTAGTTAATTTCTTCCTAATTTCTATGAAAATTGTTTGCAAGGCCAGTATGATTACATCATATTAATAGCTTAATAAATGGAGCCAAGCCTGAGTGTTTATTCTCATCACAGAAACTATGAAAGCATGGTATTATCCAGTTTTTCAGATGAGGAAACGGAAGCAGAATAACTTCCCTCGGGTCATAAAGCTTTTAGGTAGCAGAGCCTGCATTTGAAACTCAGTGGTCTGGCTCCAGAGCCTCTGCTTCTGCATGGTGCTGTCTGGTCTCCTTTATAGACATTAGAATCTACACGTCATTTAAAATCAGGAGAAATGTCCCAGTTTGGTGTTTGAAGCTTCTCTTAGGGCTGTTGGTTTTTGAGAGCAGATTCTAACTGCATATATATACTTTGACTATAAAAGGACAGGTTACTTGTGCTTTCAACTAGGTCTCAGAAAGTCTATAAATAGAAGAACTAACGACCACTTGGTGTTTTGGCAGAGGTTCTGTCTGAACACCCTCCAGCACGAGTGGTTCCGCGTGTCCAGTCAGAAGTCAGCCATTCCAGCCATGGTGGGGGACTACATAGCTGCTTTTGAGGCCATTTCCCCAGATGTCCTCCGCTATGTCATCAACTTGGCAGACGGCAACGGCAACACAGCCCTCCATTACAGCGTGTCCCACTCCAACTTCGAGATTGTGAAGCTGCTGTTAGATGCCGGTATGTTGGCTGCCCTTCCACCCTCTCTTCTCTAACAGTACTTGGGTTGTGACTCATCTCAGAGAACCTGGTTGAGCCACTCCTGAATTCTCTGACCATGCTAAAATCCTTTTTATTGCTTTTCCACATGACATGGCAAGAATTTTCTTGAGTCATTCATAAGAGGCTTGAAGTTTAAACAAAACTGGGTGACACAGATTCTAGATCTGTTTTTGAAAGGAGGTTTTGAGGATCTTCTTGCTGCAGTTCAGCTGCATTCAAAAGTGAGAGGTGTATGCCTGGTAAGAAGCATGTCTCACGTTCCCTCCTGAGCTGAATCATGCGGGCTTGGCCGGTTTGCACTCAGGAGGCAGAGTGCTGCTTACAGGCCCAGGGTCACAGCCTTGGTGCGTGTGGACCACTTGATTTGACCTTACTCCATGACTGCTGTCCTTGCAGAAGTGTGTGGTTAGTCAAGATGGGGACTAAGCAAAGCCACCTTAACAGATGGTCAAATGATCACCATTCTCACCAAAATATACTGTTATTGGGGAAACAGCATAGAGCAAAGGGCATGTTATTCTTGTCTCTCAACCATAATAGAATAGTAGAAACTTGTTATCCCAGAATAGAGCCAGTGGACATCTTAGACATGAAGTGAGGGAGGGGCACATACACAGATGGTACCCTCAAGAAACTGTGAGCTTTCAACTTCTTGTTCAAATGGAGCAGCCTGATGCCACATAGACCCCAAGTCTTTTAATTTTTGTAATACATATTTTTATTTCTAGTATGTGACAGAGAAGTCAGAGTATCTCAGTCTGATTAATGAGGATGTAGTGTGAACCTTAGAATATGCAATCATACTGTCCAATTTTCTGAAATTCTGTCTTCATCCACTGTCCAATCTCTTCTGCTCTGTTTTGGGAACTTGGAATTGATGCAGAGAAGAAAGCCAAGCAGATTTATCCTTCCTTTCTCTTATAAGTGTGTTTGTTCCCTCTTTTTGGAGCCATGTTAGGGTATAACTGCTTCCATCTTACAGGAAGGAATTTCAAGCCCCTCCTCTTCAGGCTTTCTAGACTATAAACAGAGCTGGTGATACAGTCAGCCAGAGTGATTGTTTAAACAGAAGTAGATAATATCCAGGGAAGCTGAAAACAAGATTTCACTATCACTCCTGACAGGAACAGCTTAGTATACCCTTAGAAGTTGATAAAACATCTTGGCAAATTAAATAATTTTAATTCCATTGCTGGATGGTTTGGGTTAATCACTTATCTTAATGGTTACTGCTCCCCCTTCTAGGCTGAGATTCTGGCTCCATAAGGTGTAGATCTAGGATGCTTCAGCATCTATGCAGAGCAGAGTCCGCAAAGTCCGAGGTGCTAAGGAGCCCCGAAGCGCACACGAATTCACCTGCTTCTCCTCCACAGGGCCTTTTATTTTCTGCATTAAAAACACCCACTTTTAAAAACATGTCCTTAGTATGGAGTTGTTTGGGATCTTAAGGTAAATGTTCATGGTACCTTTTATTTTCCTTTATGATAGAAACATTCTGAACATTTTAACTTCATATTTGGTCCCACATAAAAGCTGCTTTCTAACACTCACCATTCCGGTCATTTCAGAGAAAGTGCCGAAGGAACTTTTAAATGCCCGAAGGATAATTTTATCCCTGAAGACTCCTTAAGAATTACAAGAATAGAAAAGGTCTGGTTCATCGATTCTGTTAAGGGGACTTAACTGCATTTGTTCTCGACCATAAATTCTGGAGCTGGATGTTATATGATTGGAATTCTGCTTTTCAGGACCCCCGACAGGCCAGAGTAGTAAATTCAGAGTCTCAGAATGAGTAATGTTTGGATAAGTAGGTACCACCCTGTCCAACGTTCCATACGTAAGCGTTTGCAAACACTTCGTTCATGAATAGCTCACTACCTGCTTCACTTTCCTAAACACAGCTGAGTGCCTAGATTCCAAAAATCGTTTATTCTCAAGAGCAACCAGTAGAACAACCACCCTGACTTCCAAGCCATTGCATTTCAGCCACCAGTTGCAAACAAGATACGCTGTGGAAGCTTACCGTTGTTTCTCTTGCTTCAGGTGTCGTGAAATAGGGGGAAAAAAAGTTTTTGGTTTAGTATGAAAACATCTCTCACATTTCCTTCTAAGTCACTCTTGGTCTCCAGCCACCTGGTACCATTTCACTGGGCTCCTGTAAACACCATCCCTTCAGTGGCTTCGTAAGCGGCTGCTATTAGAAGGGGCTGCTTCCTAAGAGACTTTTTTTTTTTTTTTTTTACAGATGTGTGTAATGTGGATCACCAGAACAAGGCAGGCTACACCCCCATCATGTTGGCGGCCCTCGCCGCTGTGGAAGCAGAGAAGGACATGCGGATTGTGGAAGAACTCTTCGGCTGTGGGGATGTGAATGCCAAAGCTAGTCAGGTTAGTGCGCCTGGTTCCTGTGCTCAGGAATGCACCCGTAACCAGCAGACAGGACTGCGGTGGCCATTCTGGCAGAGCAGGCATAGATGCCACGCTTCCACCACAGTGCACTTGTTTGCAGGCCTGCCCTGAGTCCATACACTGCCTGGCACTCCTTGCTGACCAAACATACCAGGGAAATATGGGCTTAAATTTCACACTGGAAACTTCTCCCTCCTTTGCCTTGCCTTTTGTCCATTTGCATAGTTTGCATGGAAATACTGTTAGTTCCCCTACATATAAATGATTGCGCATCCCCATCAGATGCTCAGTGACTGTTGCTTCCTGTCTCTGTGTTGTACTGTCTTCATAGCAAACAGTGTCCCAGGTCCAGATGTGTTCACAGCTTGACTTTTTTTTTTTTAAGAGACGGTCTTGCTCTGTCCCCCAGGCTGGAGTGCAGTGGCGGGATCTTGGCTCACTGCAACCACCCCCGGCTCCCTGGTTGCAGTGATTCTCCTGCCTTAGCCTCCCGAGTAGCAGGGACTAACAGGCACACACCACCACACCTGGCTTTTTTTTTTTTTTTTTTGAGACTAAGTCTCATTCTGTCACCCAGGCTGGAGTGCAGTGGTGCGATCTTGGCTCACTGGAAGCTCTGCCTCCCGGGTTCACACCATTCTCCTGCCTCAGCCTCCCAAGTAGCTGGGACTACAGGCGCCCACCCCCACGTCCGGCTTATTTTTTGTATTTTTAGTAGAGACAAGGTTTCACCGTGTTAGCCAGGATGGTCTTGATCTCCTGACCTCATGATCCACCTGACTCAGCCTCCTGAAGTGCTGGGATTACAGGCGTGAGCTACTGCGCCAGCCCCTGGCTTTTTTTTAAGTAGAGATGGGGTTTCAGTGTTGCCCAAGCTGCTCTTGAACTCCTGAGCTCAGACAATCTGCCTGCCTCAGCCTCCCAAAGTGCTAGGGTTACAGGCGTGACCCACCACTCCAGGCCCACAGCTTGACTTTTAACCACCACCTGAACTTCCAGCCCCTTACTCTACTGAGACATCCTCCACGCTAAAATGAAGTTGGCTCCTTACTTTATGCCCTTCCTTTGCTCATAGCTCATGGGAAGCTGGTTTCTCCCTGCTTGCCACCACCTGCCCCAAGTAGTTCCATCGCCAGTTCTTTCCCTTCTGTCACCACACTCTTCCCCCTTTCCCTAGCACAGCCCCACTAGAGGCCACCACTGCCAGCTCAGTACGTACTTCTGAAGTCCTTGTCATCTCTTCCCATAGGCGGGACAGACGGCCCTCATGCTGGCGGTCAGTCACGGACGGATAGACATGGTGAAGGGCCTTCTGGCCTGTGGGGCTGATGTCAACATCCAGGATGACGAGGGCTCCACGGCCCTCATGTGTGCCAGCGAGCACGGACACGTGGAGATTGTCAAGCTGCTGCTGGCCCAGCCCGGCTGCAACGGTCACCTAGAGGACAACGTAAGCTGTCTCCATTGGGCCTCCTGGCCAGGGGTCTGGGGGACTCTGGACGGGAGCTCTGGGAGTGCCTTTTGGCCAGGAGCGACCAAATCCTCCTCTATTCTCCTCTGGGATTTGTGTCGCCATCTAGGTGCCTCCCTTCACAGCCAAGCTTGGCTACACTTACTGTGTGTGTGCAAACTAACACGCTCATAAACTAGTACCCAAAGCAGAATAAATAGGCCCTACCCCAAAAATTCATGAAATGAAAAAGTGATTTAACGGGCATGTCCAAGAGCCCCTCTACTAAAGGGAAATCAATGGATTTGCACTGCAGAATCAAATTCAGTGTAGGTGACTTCTGACAGGTGCACTTGGAAATCTGGATTATCATTAGAGGCTGGGGTTACACGGTGACTAAAACCAGTTCCTACTATAGTGAACCTTTTCCACCCAAAGTGAACACACTGACCCATCAAAGTGAGTAGCTTGTGACACAACATATGCCAGAGCCTGCAGAGTAGCTTGACTTCTTGAAGCGTTTTCCCATTTCTGCTTAGTCTGTCCCATCAACACCACTCTGCTCTCTTCTCCCAGTTCCCAGGCTGTCCACATTTCCAGATAACTCCTTGACCGGGAAACTCAACCAAAGGGGGTACTTTTGCGTGTCTCTAGGCCAAAGGACAGGAGTGGTGATAGGTAGAAGGTAGGAACTGGCATGTAGGCAGTGAGATGGTGTAAAGGTCACAGAGGTCGGGTTGGCTTGGTTCCGTTTTTGAAAGTTTATCTCTGTGGATCACAGGTTTGGATCAGAGCTTCTTTAGCTCAAAACACCAAAAAGTTAGGAAAATATCCTTTGTAGGTCAGATTCTTCTGGGCCCAAGCCAGTAGGGAGAAAAACCAGCGGAGTTTTTCACTGGTATGAGGGACTGACTAGCTTCACACTCAGCCATCTCCACAGGAGCACATGGAAGCTGCAGCTGTAGCAGATTCCCTTCTTCCCCTCTGTGGGAGGGAGAGCTTCTGACCGACTTCTTTCTTCCAGAAGAGTTTGTTAGCTGTGCTGTGGTTTTTGTTTGATTTTACTTCTATTATCTTTCAAAGCTTTTGAGGGGAAGGATCATAAGATTAAACCAAAGAGAACTGTGTCCTGCTGCTGCTGCTGACCAGAGGGAAATCCGTATTTCAAGACTAGATAGGCTGGGCACAGTGGGTCACTCCTGTAATTCCAGCACCTTGGGAGGCTGAGACAGGAGGATCGCTCGAGCCCAGGAGTTCAAGACCAGCCTGGGCAACATAGTGAGACTCCCATCTCTACAAAAAAAAAATTATCTAGGTGTGGTGGTATGCACCTGTAGTCTCAGATACCGTGGTGGTTGAGGCAGGAGAATCACTTGAGCCCTGGAGGTCAAGGCTACCGTGATCTGTGATCGTGCCACTGCACTGCAGCCTGGGAGACAAACCCTGTCTCAAAAAACACACTAGACAGAAGACAAGTTGTGTTGTTCTTTCCCTTGATACTCCTTTATATCCATTTAAATCCCTGAAATTTAATGGAAATCAAGCAGTTAAGTGAAGCTTTTTTCACCCATATGTAGTGTTTCCCCTCTTATTTCCAGAAGTTGGATCTGTGCAACCCACTGGGATTGCGTGCTTACACACAGATGTTACTTGTAGCCTTAAACCGAGGTGGTTTAGGGTTTTAGGATCACAGTGCCCTCTCTAAGAGGAAAGGTAAAAGATCTTTGGCAAATTGCAGAGTCTCTAAACACACACTACTGCTGCTTGCCTGGTCATTCATAATTAATTAGAAGAAAAAAAAACTTTCTATCCCCATCTTCTGCTTCCCCCTCCTGGTGGGCAGAATGGTTGAGTAAGATAATCCTCTTAACTGGGACCTCTGGAGGGTGGAGGCTTGCCTCATTCATCTTCACATCCTCAGGCCTTCACCCTTAGAGGTCCCAAAAAAGTTTCCCAGAAGACCGAACGAGTAGGGATATTTGGGGAACCTTGCCAATTATTGGAGGGTGTTTTGTTCTGTTACCTTTCGGTTGTCTGGAGGTTTGAGAAACCCAACATGGCTTGTTCTTTCCATCTTATCTTAAGGATGGCAGCACTGCGCTCTCAATCGCCCTGGAAGCAGGACACAAGGACATCGCTGTTCTTCTGTATGCCCATGTCAACTTTGCAAAAGCCCAGTCTCCGGTCAGTGTTGTGCATTTGGCATTTGTAAATAGGCTGAAATCCACCAGACTGGTGGACCCCCTTCCTCCAGGAATTGACGGGAGACAGATTTTATGTTGATTCAGAAAATGGAAGTTTTAGTCTGGAGCTTAAGAGTTCATCCTTTCCGCCTCCACCCCGCAAAAAGCAGGAGAACTAATGTTTTAGCAGAGGCTGGACCTTGCTTGTCCTTGCAAGACATATGCTCACAGCTTCCCATAGAGGTTTTGATTCTGTGCAGAATTATCCAGATAGCAGCCCCTGAGCCCATGGGGATATTTCGCCATGGTTCTGGCATTGTTCCTGAAGCAGATGGCAGGCAGCCTGTAGTCCACAGTTCACTCTGAGTGGGAAGGTGACTTCCCAGGACAGCCGGACATAGCACTGCTGAGCCCAGCTGGCCTTGGAGCTGTGGACACCTGTTCCCTGTTCTCAGCCAGAGCTCTCCTGGCTCGGGCTCACAGCTGCTTGTTGCCTGTGGTGGGCCAAGATCCTATGTCACAGGGTACACATCTGCCTGAGGTCACTTATTAACCCCCAGTTTTTTTCCTTTCCTGGTCTCTAGGGCACCCCTAGGCTTGGAAGGAAGACGTCTCCTGGCCCCACCCACCGAGGTTCATTTGATTGATTGTATGCAAATAGCCCTTTATTTACATGCCACTATTAAGCTGCTAATTGTTCCTGTTGGGGTGACAGATACTGAATGTATACGTATTGTGCCTGAGCTCACCAGCAAACAGAAGCATCAAGCCCAGGGGTAAAGGCTGAAGCTTTCACAGTGCAGAGACTGCTAGCCTGGGCACACACACCTCCTTTCTGGCCGTCTTCTGTGTAGGGCACACTTTAACCCAGTCTCTGTTGCTGTTGAGTCTCTGCTCCGTTTTGTACAGTCACAGGGAATTCTGATCTGAAGGGGCACCTTCTGTTCACTCCCACAAAGTGGTGTCTGGTTCTCACTGAGACGTTTTAAGATTTTTCCACAAATATTTATATGTACTAAATGTGGAACCATTAGAAAGTTCTTCCAAAATCTCATTCCAGCATAGTTTTGGATTTTTCTTTTGTCTTATTTTAAAATAAGGAAGTCGAGATGACTTTGATCATTGGTAACTTGGGCCTGGGCCAGACAAAGTATAAAACTTACAAAAGAATATTCTCATTTGGTCTTAACTAGGTAGATGTAATATATGACTTTTTATAAAAAGGGTATCTATATGAACTTGACACAGTATTTTCAGCTTTTGTATTCCATACTAAAGCCATGAAGAACTACACGTAACATCATCATTTGTATTAATTGCACAACTCCAATGCTAAAGGTTGGATTGTGTTAGAGGAATCGGCTCTGTATTTGCCTCTAGAGAAACACAGTGTTCTCTTTGTATTTATGGATTCCTTTTTACCGTGTCACATTTACTTTGGTCCTCTATGTATTTAAATGTTTGAAGTGCCTTAGACTCTTGCCATATTTTCAAAATAAAATTCCATTAAGCTCTTTTCCTTGTCCCTGTTTCATCTCTGATAGCTGTCCGCCCCGAGCCGATTGACTTACGGCAGTGGCAGCACACGCTGATGGATTGAGCTGAGCAGGGAGGGTGAGTGCGCCAGTTGGCTCCGACAGGGAGACAGCATCTTCCGAGGGCGCTTGTCCACTTGCACAGCTTGGCTCCTGACTCAGATTGCAAGTCGGGAGGCTGAAGTTTGAGGCCTCCTTAGACAAAGCGCTCTTCCGATGGGTAGCCGGAGATGCTTCTTCTCAGGTGCAGAAGCACTAGTCCTTGACTCTGAGTACAACTGCTGGGTGACTAGGTGATACGTGTAGTGACAAGAAAGGAGAGATGAAGCCGGACACTTTTTTTTTTTTTTTTTTTTTGAGAATGGAGTCTCACTCTGTTGCCCAGGCTGGAGTGCAGTAGCATGATCTTGGCTCACTGCAAGCTCCACTTCCTGGGTTCACGCCATTCTCCTGCCTCAACCTCCCAAGTAGCTGGGACTACAGGCGCCCGCCACCACGCCCGGCTAATTTTTTGTATTTTTAGTAGAGACAGGGTTTCATCGTGTTGGCCAGAATGGTCTCGATCTCCTGACCTCATGATCAGCCCACCTCGGCCTCCTAAAGTGCTGAGATTAAAAGCATGAGCCACTGCATCTGGCCTCAAATTCTTTTTAAATAGTAAAGTAAGTTGGGACCATCTCATTAAATGAAGCAGCATGGCAGCCAGAATTCAAACCAGGTGTTCTGGCACAATCGCTGGTGGTGAGTTTTGGCCAAGGCCATCTATGAGAGCCAAGTGCACTGGAGAAATATCAGAGACTTCTTCTTTCCCTCCCTCCCTCCCCCGCTTTTAAAAATTAAACATTATTGAGCTCAGGAAAGAGGCCAGAGAATAGACTTTTCCCATAGGTGTTTCATTATGAGGTCTGTTTCAGAGTCAAGATTTGAACCTTTCAGAGGAAAACAATTTGGGGGGCTGTGAGAGCCATGCTGGCAGTGCAGGCAAACCTGGGCAGCAACAGACCAGCTCTCCCAGGACCACAAGGATGACTTTCCTCTGCATGAACTGTGAAAGTGAGGTCACAGCCACCTGGAGGCACATCCCTCTCGGGACATAACCTAAACCTACTAGCTGATACATGCTGAATTTCAGATCATGTAGCTCTTCAAGCCCAAGTTCCTACAGATCCAAAATGGCACAATAAAAGCAGGAGAGAGAGAGAGAGAGAGAGAGTGTGTGTGTGTGTAGAGAGAGAGAGAGAGGTAGAGCCATGCGTGGTCTGCCCCTTATGGGCATAACCTACCTTTTGAGCAAATAAGGTAGTACCTCTGGTGGTTCCCGGGCCTGGGAATTTTCTTTGTTCCATCTGAGAAAGGAAAGGCATGAATGTAAATGAATGAGCAAATGAATCCCCCTGTCTGCATGCTGCCCTTCTGATTTCTCATGCTAGATTTTGAAATAGAAAATGAGTGCTTGTTTTATCAGATACAAGATATGTATCTGACCTCTAAGTAATGAATGCTAGATGGTACCTTGTTTGCTCTAATCACACTAGGCATTTAGAATGCCTTTTATCTTGGGATCCTGGTATACTATATAAACAAGCCTGATTATGCCCATTGGTACAGCTGCAGTTTATTGAGGCACAAACTCCATAAAAGGGATTTGTGACAGGAGGCTTGGGCAAGGTTCCCAAGTAAGACCAGCATGGGGTTGGCAACTCCTGATCTTATTTTCCAGCTTAAGAGAAGTCTAGGTGGGTGTGGTGGCTCACACCCATTATCTTAGCACTTTGGGAGGCTCAGTCAGGCAGATCACTTGAGTCCAGGAGTTCGAGACAAGCCTGGGCAATATAGCAAGATCTCATCTCTACAAAAGAAAAATTAGCTGGGCGTGGTGGCATGTACTGTAGTGCCAGCTACTTAGGGGTTGAGATGGGAGAATCACCTTGGCCCAGGAAGTTGAGGCTACAGTAAGCCATGATTGTGCCACTGCACTCCAGCCTGGGTAATAGAGTGAGAACCTGTCTCGGAAAAAAAAAAAAAAAAAAAAAAGGAAGGTTTAAATCTTTAAGTGATGAAAAGACAGCTTCCCAGAAACCTTGCCTTGGAAGTTGAACCACGGACAGTTGGGAGCCACCCCAAGACAACAGGAGTGGAACAGTGGGACTTTTGAGAGTTTAACCTTAAGAAAGTAAAACTAAGCCAGGTGTGGTGGTTCACACCTGTAATCTCAGCTACTGGGACAAAGGCTGAGGTGGGAGGATTGCTTGAATCCAGGAGTTTGAGGCCAGCCTGGCCAATGTAGTGAGACCCCCATCTCTTTAAAAAACAAACAAACAAAGGAAAAAAAAACTGGCAACTTGTCGTGACACTATTACGACTAAACTGACAACTAAATGTCTCACCAAGGGGGAGGAAGGGTGCTTCTGGAGACGTTTACTAGGAACACTTCATCTAGCTCTGGTATCCAAAATAAATGAAGCTCTGAGCGCTTTCCTTGTAAGTTAATACTTGGGAGAACAACATTATCCCTGATTTTTGTACTACTGAAGTACTGCCGATATCTGACAATCCTTGCAGATGGAATCACATAAGAAAACTATTTCTCCTTCAAAGGAAATAATGACCAAACATAACCTTTCTTTAAATTCTGCTAGATCTTTTGTGGGGGAACTTGCTACAAGTAGAATTACATTTTTATGATTTTGTATAAGCCTTCCCTTCACGAGACACTTAAGAATTTCCAGAGGGAGCAGGTAGAAAATGCAAATTTCAGTCGGACACGGTGGCTCAGGCCCATAATCCCAGCACTTTGGGAGGCCGAGGCAGGCAGATCACCTGAGCTCAGGAATTTGAGATCAGCCTGGGCAACATGGTGAAACCCCACCTCTACTAAAACTACAAAAAACTAGCCGGACGTGATGGTGCACGCCTGTAATCTCAGCTACTCAGGAGGCGGAGGTTGCAGTGAGTCAAGATCACGCCACGGCACTCCAGCCTGGCCAACAGAATAAGACTCTGTTCTCAAAAAACAAACAAACAAACAAGCAAATTTCCAGCCTGGTCTGAGAATCCCCATCCTTAACAAGCATCCCAGGTGTTTCTGAACATAGCCTTTGGTCCACACTAAGAAGCTGTTGCTCCCAAAGTATGAGACATGATGCATCTGTTCTTCCCCACACATGTTAGGCAAGGTGGGGGAACTACATCAAAACAAACATTGGCTTTACCTTAGCTCTCTAAGGAGCCGGGCTTCCACTGGTGATCAGGATCCCACATAGGTTTTCTGTGGTGCTGCACATCCATGTTCAGTAGCATTTCTGCATCTCCTGGAATATAGTCATTTCTAGAAGTCCAGGAACCATGACTGCCACAGATCCATTTTTCTGTGCTTGTAAGGACCAGAGAAGGTGGCTCAGTATATAGGTGACAGTGGCTGGGCAGGCAGACAGCCCTTAGAATATTTTCCCAAGCTAATCTTTTCCATTTCCACTTCCTCGTGGAGTTGGACTATTACTGCTCAGAAGGAGGCCATGAACCATTGCTTTGGCTTTGGAATAAAGAATTTTCCATTTTCTTTTTTTTACTAAAAGCACCTTTTTTTTAAAGCCCTAGGCCTTAGCCAGAAACTGTTCTACTTTCTGCATAAGGAAATTACTAATCATACGTTTTCTCTGCTCTTATTCAGCATGGCTGTAATTTAAAAGCCAGCTGATTATAAAAATATAAAGTACATTTTGTTGCAGTTTCTTACCACAAAGGATGTGGCTGAACCGTAGACCACAACGTTCCTGAGCTGCTCACGCTCGAACCCCTCCCCACTGAAGGCACCAGCTACTCCCTGCAGGGACCAGACAGTCATGGCTTTTCAAGCATGAAAGATGGCATTATTTGGAACTTGTAATGATATCCTTGAGATACCTATCCTGAATTCTGGCAAGGATCTTGCAGTGAAGCTGGAAAACAACATATCATTTTTGCAGGTGCATGCTTAGACAGAAATGTCTGATTTAGAGGATGTTGGGAAGGAGCTGGCATTTTAAGAATCCAGCTGCCCACTGCATCTCCATTAAGACCTTTGTTGATTAAATAGGTAAGAGGATGGAAAACATATCCCTCATTTTCATAAAATGGAAGCTGCATAACAAATATTCCTATTTCTAAAACCAAATGTCAATCTTGTATTTGAGCCAAAATAACTTTTACACTTGTTCCCCATTCCCCAACCCAGAAGGAACTAGTTACCCAGCCCTAGAAACCACCTGGAAGGCTAAGGCTGTACGACTGAGGGCGAGAGAAAATCCCTGAGCTGCAGACAGGCAGGTGCTGCTTTGCTGTCACTGGTGCAGGCAGCTCGATGCCTTGTTGAGGCTGGTTGTAGGAGAGCAAGTGCCAGCTGGGCAGGCCGCTTCTCATGTGTCGGGCAGCAAAGAGATTCTTGCTATGGTCCCATCTGCTCTTTTAGGAAGTACTGGATGTGCTTAAACAGGTAATAAGGAAAATATTTATTAGGTAAAATCCCTGAGAGTTCAGAGAGCTCACCCACCCCCAATCCTGCCTAAAATATGTCACCCCCACCCCCAGAAAAATCCAGTCTTCCAACAGGAAGCTTATTAGGATGAAATCTCATGCTTCGGTTTGTAACACCATCTGCCAGGACTGAGAAGTTCCGGTGCCTAGCTGAGAAATACTAGTTGAATGAATGAGTGTAAAAAAATAACTGATGGTGTTAGAAGTCAGGAGTGTTGCCATGAGGGAGCTGGAAGGAGCCCAAATGGGGCTGGTGGGCTCCTGGTAATGGTCAATTTCTTGCCTGGGGGGTAGTTGCACTGTTATGCTCACTTTGTGACCATTCATCAGGCTGTAGACACACGTGTGTGCTTTCCTGTATGTATATTAACTTCAATTTTTTTTAAAGTTTAAGAAAATGAAAAAGTTTGATCAAAAAAAACCTTGGGAAGGAAGGTGCAGATTTGAGAGTCAATATAATCAAAGAGATAGTGAAAGAAGGTAAAAACTGGAAACTCTTAGCCCTGCTATTTCTTGAATGTGACCACATAGTTTTGCATGATGGCCATTGTGGCCCACTCGTAACCTTGAATAGCAGTCACGAGGGCTGTTCTCAGATACTCCAGTTCTTTTTCTGGGCACAACAGGATCGGATGTACTACCCACACACTTTTGAAGTTACACTTGGCCATGTGACTTCTCCAATGAAACAGAAAAGGTTATGTGTCAGTTCCAGATGGAAGCCTCAAAAGCCAGTGCAGTTTACCGTATCTTGTACTCCCCTTGTCACAGTGATGATCACGGAAGCAAGTGTTGACACAGACATCCCATTAGTGTCGACCCTGAGTGACTACGTGGAATAGAGTTTCCTTGCCAAGCTGTGTTGCAGGTGTATTAGGAACAAGAAATAGTCCTTTATTATGCTAAGCCAGAGAAGCTAGGGAGTGACTTGCTGTCACAGCGTAACTTAGATTTTCTTTATCCATACAAAAACTGGTTCCTCGAAGTGAAGTGCTGCTGTGTAACCAAATGGCTTAGTTGATTGGCGGACAGCAACAAAACTGTCACTGGGGACTTAATCATAGAACAATGACAACTATTTGGATGACTATTTTCTTAATAATCCCCAGGGATGGTACATACCAGTACCATCCTAGTTGCAGAGAGAGAATGTAACCTATTATCTACAGTGGATGCCTTAGGGCACTAGGGACTACATATTTTTGTGAAAGGAAAGCCATTTCCTGTGTACAGTCTGCCTAGATTGTCTCTTAGAAACGTGTAGCTCTCAAACTTTGGTGTGCATCGGAATCCCCAGGAGGGTTTGTGAAAACACACTGCTGGGCCTCAACCTCGACTTTCCAATTCGGTAGGTCTGGAAAGAGGCTCAAGAATTGGCATTTCTAACAAGTTCCCAGGTGGTGCTGATGCTTCTGGTCCAGAAACCCCACTTTGAGAAATGCTGCTCTAGAGGAAGGGCTCTGATAAGGAGGATTCCTGTCCATCAGGGAGCTCTAAAGTGTCTGTTCTTTCATCTTTGTAGGCTTTCGTCTTTTGCAGTTTCCAGTGACTAAACCTTATGAGTTAACTTGTTCCCTGTGGAACTTTTGCTTCCCAGTATAAAAAACAAATTCTGCAAAGATACCATTGCCCAATAGGAAGTCTTTCTACAGCTTGTACAATATATCAAGTGTTTATAAATCCTGTATTCATCCAGAATTTGGCCATAGAACTTGACTCACAGCAGTCTTAAAAAAAAAAAATGACTCATACATTTCCCTTAGAAAGTAATGTTTCTTTATGCTAATCCCATGAGTTTCTGTGTCAGCTCACTCCCTTATGAATGCACATTTTAAAAAATCATGGTTGGCCGGGTGCGGTGGCTCATGCCTGTAATCCCAGTACTTTGGGAGGCTGAGGTGGGTGGATCGCCTGAGGTCAGGAGTTCGAGACTAGCCTGGCCGACATAGTGAAATCCTGTCTCTAATAAAAATACAAAAATTAGCTGGGCATGGTGGTGGGCACCTGTAATCCCAGCTACTCAGGAGGCTGAGGCAGGAGAATCGCTTGAACCCGGGAGGCGGAGGTTACAATGAGCCGAGATAGTGCCGTTGCACTCCAGCCTGGACAACAAGAGCAAAACTTTGTCTCAAAAAATAATAAAAAAAATCATGGTCTCCTCTGGAAACCCAGGTGGCATGGAGGAGAGTGTGCTGCACTGCTGCCCTCTCAGCTGCTGCCTCTGCATTCCATCCTGGGTTCTGATTCTGCCATCAGGCAGAAGTGCACAGTGTTTTTCCTTTCCAGAGCAGAAAAACGGTCATCCTAGGTGTTCACACTGAGATGCAAGAGACTGAGTCATCTGTGTTGGAAAGCCACAGGGGTCCAATGAACCCAGGAACCAATTGAAGATCCTCTTGCCTAAGGACACATATGGTATGTCCACAGCGCTAAGTTCAGAGACCAAGTTGAGATGAGTTAGAAGAGGGAGAAGACATCAGTGTTTCACTGGGAAAGGAGGCAACTTGTTTATATCTTCTCTCATCTGTAAATTCACCTCCAAGAGACAAGACACTCAGAAAGTACACTTGCTGAGATTGATTAATGGAAGGCCTTGAATGACCAAAGGAACGTTAATGAAGTTCCCCATATGCTTCATTCAGTCATCATCAGAGATATATGACCACTACATAACCAAAGAGCCAGAAGCTTGGTGTCTGTCTTATAAACCTTGCTATAGATATTGGTCTGTAGAACATTTTTTTTTTTTTGAGGCGGAGTCTCACTCTGTTGCCCAAGCTGGAGTGCAGTGATGAGATCTTGGCTCACTGCAACCTCCACCTCCTGGGTTCAAGCGATTCTCGTGCCTCAGCCTCCCAAGCAGCTCGGATTACAGGCACACACCACCACGCCTGGCTAATTTTTATATTTTTAGGAGAGCCGGGGTTTCATTATGTTGGCCAGGCTGGTCTCAAACTCCTGATGTCAGGTGATCTGCCCACCTGAGCGTCCCAAAGTGCTAAGATTACAGGCATGAGTCACTGTGCCTGGCACATATTTAAAAAAGTAGAGCACAGTCATTTTACTTACCTGTGTGTGTCGGAGTTTAGGGACTCCAGCTGAGGACAAACATCCTACACTTGCCAGTGCACAACAGTCTTGGGTTCAGAAATTTGTTTTGCCAAATTCTTGTCACTGCTTCTAATCCTTTTTAAAATTGGGGGCCCAAACACTGTCATCACCCACCAGTAAGTCTTCTGAAGATTACCTCTCGGCCGGGTACGGTGGCTCACACCTATAACCCCAGCACTTTGGGAGGCCGAGGCGGGTGGATCACCTGAGGTCAGGAGTTGGAGACCAGCCTGGCCAGCGTGGTGAAACCCTGTCTCTACCAAAAATACAAAAATTAGGCGGTCGTGGTGGCTTGCACCTGTAATCCCAGCTACTCAGCTACTTGGGAGGCTGAGGCAGAAGAATCCCTTGAACCCAGGAGGCAGAGGTTGCGGTGAGCTGAGATCACACCACTGCACTTCCAGGCTGGGCGATAAGAGTGAGACTCTGTCTCAAAAACAATCAATTAATTAAAGATTACCTTTCAATGATCGGTACCTACATTTACCTCTGCATGGAAAGGAGTTTCACCCAGGTGCCAACATGATGAACATTAACTGCTATTAGCAATCCACCCATCCGGGTAGACAGGCTGTCAGCCAGAGTCTACAGAAACGTAGGCAGTCACTCTTCCCTTTGCTTCCCCCTCCTGTTCATTTGATGCCTAATAAAGAATGACTTTTCACTTGTGCTCATTGTCCAGTTTTTACCAAGATATGAAATACATCTATAGCGCTGAAGACCAGTGAAAGATATTCAGTTTGGGGCAATGCAAGGAAAGAAGCAATCTACAGGGAACTATTTTATTTGAAGGTGAAAGTTGCTTCTGTTAACTCTTCAAGAAATGCATCATTCTAAGTGGGACATTTCAGTTATTTATGGTCACGATATTGTTAGGTAACAGTCCTCAAAGCCTCAGTAGCCTACCATAGTAAGCATGCATTGCTCACACCTCTGGGTGCCCAGCGAAGTGGCTGTGCTGACCTTGGCCAGTCTCACAGCTGTCAGCTGACCTAGGCTGGGTAGCTAAAGTGCGTTCTCATGGCCATAACAGAAATGCAAGAATACAGGTGGACAGGGATCCTGGAGGCTCAGGCTCAGAACTCGTACTCCATTAATTTCATGGCACTCCATTGGCCCAAGCAAATCATAAGACCAGTCCAGATTCAAAGAGATTGGGAAACAAATCCTTCAGTGAAAGGAACTGCAAAGCCACATGCCGGAATGTTTGGCTATAGAAAGAAAGAAAGGATTTGGAGCCATAAAATGCAATAAACCCATCAGAGTGGGATCCTCTCCCAATAATAGCTCCGGCCCGGATTTTGGAATTGCTCAGGAGGCATACTTCTAATAACCTACTTAAATACCTGTGGGGAAGGGTGGAGCTAGGAACTCTGGTCCACCCTTGAGATTGATGTCTGCAGAGCCTTTTCTGTGGTGGAGCCCTTTTGTAAGTTCTCAGCCACACCATTATCACTACCTTGAGTGCTGCCATCAAGAAGCCACCAACCAGAGCCGTCATCTGCTAAGTGTCCAGTGACTGTGAATGTAAAAGCGGAAGGTAGAAAATGGTAGCTTGTTGGAAAATATGGGGGTCGTAACCCAAAAACAGCTGTAAGAGAAGAGAGCTATCATAAAAGTCTTGAGAGCTAGTTTTTTGGGGGTTGTTTTTTAAAGCGGAGTCTCACTCTGTCACCAGGCTGGAGTGCAGTGATACGATCTCAGCTCACTCCAACCTCTGCCTCCTGGGTTCAAGTGATTCTCCTGCTTCAGCCTCCTGAGTAGCTGGGATTACAGACATGTGCCACCATACCTGGCTCATTTTTGTATTTTTAGTAGAGACGGGGTTTCAACATGTTGGCCAGGCTGGTCTCGAACTCCTGGCCTGAAGTGATCCACCCGCCTCGGCCTCCCAAAGCGCTGAGATTACAGGCGTGACCATCACACACAGCCTTGGGAGCTAGTTTCAAGCGGTATTTTTGACGAGTACCGGGGTGAAGCACCAGTAAGGGAAGAATTCCATCTCCAGCCTGTTCCCACTGAGGAGACTGTACCATAAAGCACTAGGGAAATCTGACCTCCACAGCCTTTGGCTTCCAACTGAGGATCAAAGCAAGGACAGGCATGAGTCATAGTAGAGTCCCCTTAAACCCTTAGCTGGTGAGCGTTATTTCACCACAAGCCATGGCTATTTCCTGTGGCCAACAGGAAAAGGCTGCATAGTCATTTCTGAATTCCTGTGGAAGAACTACTCTGAGGCAGTCTTATCAAGCAAGTCTAGCTCTGTCTCTGGGCAGTGACCTGAAGGCATCTCTTCCTTAACTTTGACAGCTGATCCCAGACTAACTTGTCACATAGGAGTTGGACATTGGTTGTGCCATACTAACCCCAGGAGGAGGAAGTGGAGGAACTGACTGAGAGGAGAGGTTACCACTTGCTAATGAAGTTAAGGGAATCCTCATTGCGCAAGGACGTTTCAGCTCTTCTGCCTGCTCTGAAGGTGGAACATGCTGTGGTCATCACTTTGGTCAAACATGAACAACAGCCTTATAGGAGAGCAGGTGGAGCTAATGGGGGAACAAAGATGAAAATCATGTTCAACACTTTTGGAAGCACTGAACATGATGGGGTTAATGAGCCAGTGGTCTGATCCTCCTTCTGCTCATGGAGGGAGGCTGAAATGCCTGACAACCTCTGGCTTCTCCCTGCAAAAACAGAAGAGATCCTGGAGCTAAGATAGGTGACTTTTTTTTTTTTTTTTTTTTTTTTTTTTTTTTTTTTTTTTTTTTGGAGAAGGAGTCCCACTCTGTCGCCCAGAAGACTGGAGTGCAGTGGCGAGATCTCCACTCCCTGCAACCTCCGACTCCCAGGTTTAAGCGATTCTCTTGCCTCAGCCTTCCAAGTAGCTGGGATTACAGGCACCCACCACCACTCCCAGCTAATTTTTTTTTTGTATTTTTAGTAGAGAGGGATTTTTGCCATGTTGGCCAGGCTGGTTTCAAACTCCTGACCTCAGGTGATCCACCCGCCTCAGCCTCCCAAAGTGCTGGGATTACAGGCATGAGCCACCGCACCCGGCCAACATAGGTGACTTGTCACACCTGCTTCAGAGAGAGCCCAGGGCAGGCAAGGCAGTCCCCATTGGAGCTGACTTCCAACCCCATGCATGGCTGCTTCTCTGTGCTGCTTCCCTGCTGAGCTTCAACTCCCTTCTAGGGATGCCATTTTCCTGACAACCAAAATGGCAGGCAGAACCAGCCTCATTTGCTGAGGTTGAGAGGAGGGCGCCTGACACACAGTAGGGTTCAGAACCTGTCCAGTGAGGTGAATTTTGCAGGTTGTTCGTGGCAAATCTTTTTCTTTTTTTTTGAGAGGGAGTCTCACTCCATCACCAGGCTGGAGTGCAGTGGTGCGATCTTGGCTCACTGCACGCTACGCCTCCCGAGTTCAAGCAATTCTCCTGCCTCAGCCTCCCAAGTAGTTGGGATTACAGGCGCACACCACCACACCTGGCTAATTTTTTGTATTTTTAGTAGAGACAGGGTCTCACTATGTTGGCCAGACTGGTCTCCAACTCCTGACCTCGTGATCTGCCTGCCTCGGCCTCCCAAAGTGCTAGGATTACAGGCGTGAGCCATCGTGCCCGTTCATGGCAAGTCTTAAGGCTGTCAGTAACACATCTGAAGGGGGCCGTTATGCCAACAGGAAAGAGACATGTTCTGTGCTTCTCCAGGAGGAAGAGGGTCCAAAGTGCTGAGCCAAAAATCCAACAACTAGCACACATTTAAATGGGCTCCCCCAGGCGGGAATGAGGCAGGGAAGGTTTCTTCAAATAAACAGACACTCGTTCAACTCAACTCCAAATGGGCACCGCCCGCCCCCTGTGAAAGGCCTTGGTAAGGAGTGCGAGAGGTTAGCTGAGAAGGGTCCCAGCCAGCACAGAGGCTACTACTACCTGCAACCCCACCAGTTCCCTTCACTCCTCAGCCTGACCTATCAGCTCTCCCTAGTGGCCAGTGGGAGACATATCCAAGCATGAGCCAGTCTCCCAACAACGTTTAATTTTATTTATTTATTTATTTTGAGACAGAGTCTCCCTCTGTCACCCAGGGTGGAGTGCAGTGGAACGATTTCAGCTCATTGCAACCTCTACCTCCCAGGTTCAAGCGATTCTCCTGCCTCTGCCTCCCAAGTAGCTGGGATCACAGGCAGGCACTACCACATTGGCTAATTTTCTATTTTTAGTAGAGACCGGGTTTCACACCATGTTGGCCAGGCAGGTCTCGAACTCCTGACCTCAGGTGATCCACCTGCCTCAGCCTTCCAAAGTGCTGAGATTACAGGCATGAGCCACCGTGCCTGGCCAACAATGTTTTTAAAACAGGACATAATGGGTTACAAAATTAATGTAACTACAAGCATTTTTAAAAGTTGAATAAATCTGAAATCTTGATTGTATCAGATATATTGATGGTAACATCATTTCATGAAGCTTTGTGTGTGTGTGTGTGTGTGTGTGTTTGTGTATCATCTCAGTCACAAAATAAGATGTGTTTGGGGTTTTTTGGTTTCTCCTTAAGACAGGGACTCACTATCACGCAGGCTGGAGTGCAGTTGTGCAATCACGGCTCACTGCAGCCTCAACCTCCTGGGCTCAAGCGATCCTCCCACTTAAGCCTTCCCAAGTGGCTGGGACCACAGGCGCACTCTACCACACTAGGCTAATGTTGAGGCAGGATCTCACTATGTTGCCCAGGCTAGTCACTTTTTTGTCTGGTAGCCTCATGGTCTAGAAAAGTTTCAACGTTTATAGCAAGTAACTTTTTCTTTCAACATCAGCCTACTTCACTCTTCTTTTTAATTATGTTCGAATTTTTTATTGTAGTAAAACATACATAATATGAAGTTTGCCATCTTTACTATTTTAAGTGTATAATTCAGTGACATGAATTGTATTTACAATATTTTGTAACTAGCACCACTATCCAGATCCAAAACTTTTTCATCACCCATAAAAGAAACTCCATAACCATTAAGCAAAACTGTCCATATCCCCTCCCTCAACCCCGGTAGCTTCAGTTCCACTTCCTGTCTCTATGCCTTTGCCTATTCTAGATAGCTCACATAGGGGAATCATGCAACCGTTGTCCTTTTGTGTCTGATTTATTTCTCTTAGCATAATGTCCTCAAGGTTCATCCATGTTGTAGCACATGTCAGAACTTAATTCCTTTTCATAGCTGAATAGTAGTGCACTGTATGTATATTCTGCCTTTTGTTTATGCATTCATTTGTTATCACCACCTCATCTTATTTTATTTGAGACAAGGTCTTACTCTGTCACCCAGGCTGGAGTGCAGTGGCGCAATCATGGCTCACTGCAGCCTGGACTTCTCGGGCTCAGGTGATCCTCCCACCTAAAGCCTCGCAGGTAGCTGGCATTGCAGGTGCGCACTGCCACGCCTGGCGAATTTTTTGTAGAGATGGGGTTTCACCATGTTGCCCAGGTTGGTCTCAAATGATCCTCCTGTCTCGGCCTCCCTAAGTGCTAGGATTACAGGCATGAGCCACCACACCCAGCTACCACCTCATTTTAAAATAAAGTGAAGCTCAGACTGGCTTCACTACTTAGCGGGAAGGCTGATCAGAAAGAGCAGGCCTCCTGCCTTCTAAGCCAAGACTTTTGCCACTACTCCAAGCTACTGACAAGCCTGCTTTGCCTTGACACCCTTTATTTCATATTCTGTTCCAATTCCAAGTCGTGAAAAATAACAAACCCTTAGCACTTAACCACACAGCAGGCGCTGTTCTGAGTGGTTTGCTCACGTTCCCTTATTTTCTCCTTTCCAGAAACCTATAAAGTAGTTGAACACCATTACTATCCCCTTTTTATAGATGAAGCAACATAAACATCGAGAGGTTAAGTAACTTGTCCGAGATCACACAGCTATTAGTGAGAAAGCCAGGCAGACCTGCACCAAGTCCCTGCACTGAATCACTTCGCCACACTGCCACTCTTGCAGAGAGAAAAGCATTCTTCACCAAAACAACACCGTATTTCTAGTGGTAAGAGACTCAAATTCCAGACAAGAAATCAAATACGGTGTCCTGTAACAGATTAACTTAGGAAGACAAATGTATTCCAAAGGCAAGACTGCAAGTTATACCTGCCTTTACACAAACATCGACGGTCCCAAAATTCTGCATGGGGCTTGTGAGACAGTCTCTTCCTCTGACTATGACAATCTAGGAACAACAGGACAAAAAACAATTCTTCAGGCCCAGAACTGGTTCCCTGACACATTCTAGACCCTGCTTAAGGACACAGAAGTCTGATTCTGGAGATGCCCTTGCTCTTGAAGACCCAACTGTGCAGTGTTCTGCGTGCCTGAGTCCCACGCCCCAGCCTACCATGGCCACCATGGCGGGTTTGGCCAGTACTCTACAAAGCCCAGAAGCATCAGGCACCTGAGAACCATGCCCTTGTTACATTTAAGTCATGTGACTCACTGACTAGGAAGACAGAAACTTCTAGAAAGAAAGCCAAAGAGAATCCACAGCTGCTTTCTGCAAGCCAGATTTACTTGAAAATGCAAGTGATGAGGCTGTCACTCCCACCCTGAGGATGAGGGGAAGGAGGAGGGAGGCTTTGCTGTCTCCCAGAAAATCAACAAGAACACAGTTTCCAGGCGCTGTGGAGAAAATGTATTATTCGGAAGTCTGAGCTCCAAGAGACTCCTTGTCCTTGCAGTGGGGCCATCTGTGTTCTCTAGGTTGTGGTTTTCGCCGGCAAGTCTAAACACTTCCATTGATCGGTCAACAAGAACAGAACTTATTTACCTGCCACAGTACCTCGGGCTGTAGCTCTGATAAGGGCCCCTCAAGGTGCCCTTCCCAAGCGACCAGCCTGCTTGCTTCTGCTATTTCCTTTTTATTCAGGAATGCCTCATGCTACTAAAATAGCAGACAAGGTTTAAATACACTGCTACTTTGTGTGTCTAGCCATTTTAAAAAATTATTTTCAACCTTACCACCAGTATTAACATCTCCTACATCAGAAGAAAGGTGCCACAGGAATCAGGGTGCTACACAGCATAGGGTTTGGGGGACACACTCCTGTGATACTCCATTGTATTAGGGCTCTCCAGAGGAGCAGAACCAATAGGATATATATAGATGTATAGAAAGTGATCGACTACAAGGGACTGGCATATGCAATTACTGAGGCCAGGAAGTCCTGTGGTCTGCCATCTGTGAGGTGGAGGCCCAGGAAAGCCAGGGGTGTGGCTCCAGCCCAGACCCAAAGGCCTAAGAACCAGGGAAGCCAGTGTCTGAGGGCAGGAGAGGATGGAGGTCCCAGCTCAAGCAGAACGGGAACTCTATCTTCCTACACGTTGTTGTCCTATTCAAGCCCTCCGTAGACTGAATGGTACCCACCCGCAGTGGTGAGGAAAGCCTTCTTTACTCGGTCACCAATTCAAATGCTCATCCCTTTCAGAGACACCCACGCAGAGGTGTGCCAGCTTTCTGGGCATCCCTTGACAGTCAAATTGACACATAAAAGAACCATTATACCTTCTTGTCCAGAAGTCTTTGCAGATAACCGTCCATGAATTCTAATGAAGCCTGGGAACCTATCCAGAGCTGGGGCAAGAAAGGATCCATGCAAGTAGGAAACTAGCAAAACCTGCAGGCTCCAGCATCCTGCCAGTCATCTGCAGACCCCAGAGGGGTCCACAAGCAAGTGCTCAACAACACCGTCCTAGTTACATTCGGGTCATGTGGCTTCTTGACCAGGAAGAGAGAAACCTCTCAAACAAAAGCTAAAGAGAATCCACAGCTGCCTTCTCCAAACCTGTTACAGCTGGAAAAGCAAGTGATGAGGAAATCACATGAGCTCATGCTTGTGAAGCACTCTGTACAAACAGGCACTGTGGAAGCATTCACTATTTTGTTAACGATAAGGTCATTTTTTTCCTCGAGGTCAGGTTGTTCATTCCAGTTTCACTCACTGGCATCTCTCCCCAGAGCACACAGGCACTCACACAAAAATAACTGTCTTCCTAGTTATCCCACAGGTATGGACAATCGCTGGTACGACCATTGGATTGTCCACTGCCTTGCTGAGTTCCAGCAGGCTGCTCTGATGGGGAACAAAAAAAAAAAGCAACCTGTGGGCAGCGAGGAGGTTTTTCTAGGGAATCTGCGTAGACTGTCTTTGTCAAATGTGGGAAGGAAAGGGGTCCTCCCAGGAATTAGGATCTGCTGCGAGGTTGTGCCAGGGCATCCACGCCTGCGTTTCTCTCAGTGTTGGCCTCGCTGATCCCACCATCCCTCCAGGTGCGCTGTAGAACTTCCAAGACTCATTGCCATGAATATGTTAGCTAGGTGGTCGTCAAGTCTACAGGTTCTTCCTCCCCACAGCTCTTGGGTCCACCCTCTTCCACTGCTGCTAACACAGTTCAGGGCACCATCATTTCTTCTGGACTGCTGCAAGGTCATCAGAACTGGTCTCCCCAATGTCAGCCCTGCCGCTTTCAGTACAGTCATGTTATTCCCTGTTGAAAGCCACTCAATGGCTTCAGCTCGGTCTGGCATGATGAAGCTTCCTCCGTAATCTGGGTTCAGCTCCATCACACTCCTCCCACACCTCCAACTGAGCTAAACCAAAATGCCACAGGAGTTCCTGACCTTAAGCCCTTGTGTCACTCACTTTATTATTCATAGTTTGTCCCCAGTGTTGCAACCAAGAGCTGAGGCTCCTTGGGCTCTCTCATTTTTGAACATCAAATGCAGGTCTCCTTTGCCATGCAATGTGACTGTCTGATTCACAAGAGCATGGCCCTGCAAGTGTATGCCAGGTGGCCCTACCCACATCAGCAGATACATTGGCAGACAATCAGGATGGATCAGGACAATCTCTCTGAATACATCCATCCATTTGGAAGGAAGGCAATCAAGATGGAGATTAAAACCAGCTTAACATGGAACTAGAGAGGCAAAACAGCCTCCCTTGTGAGGTTCTGAGTTGTAGAGTAGGAAGGTGGCATGTCCTTGCCTCACTACCCCTTCGTTCCCATTCGGTGGCTGACAGCTTCTGTTTCTCATTTCTTATTAGACTAAAGCTTGACTCTTGCTCTGCTGTTTCTTTTCATTGATGAAGCTTAAATAACCAGTAATCACAGCATGCAAAATAGTGTGCACCAGACTTCATATAGTTAAAGTGAGAGTCTTCATTTTTGAAAATATGCTCCAGGCAACTTTGGAAAAAGCAGAATTACTTCCTCTTGTAGGCCACTGGACAGACCCTACTTCGTCCTAAAGTAAGGTGAAGGCCAAAAGACGGGCTTCCAGGGCCAACTACACTACACCTACCTTTTGCCTTAACTTTATTCACTTGTGGGCAACATCAAAAGATGAGCCTATTTTGGGGCCGGCCGCAGTGGCTCACGCCTGTAATCCCAGCACTTTGGAAGGCCGAGGCGGGTGGATCACGAGGTCAGGAGATCGAGACCATCCCGGCTAACACGGTGAAACCCCATCTCTACTAAAAATACAAAAAATTAGCCGGGCGTGGTGGCTCACGCTTGTAGTCCCAGCTACTCGGGAGGCTGAGGAAGGAGAATGGCGTGAACCCAGGAAGCGGAGCTTGCAGGGAGCCGAGATTGCACCAGCGCACTCCAGCTTGGGCGACAGAGCGATACCCCGTCTCAAAAATAAATAAATAAAAAATAAAAAATAAAAATGGAAAGAGAACTACTTCTTTCAAAAACTAGGTGGAGGTCGGACACAGTGGCTCACGCCCGTAATCATAGCACTTTGGGAGGCCAAGGCAGGCGGATCACTCGAGATCAGGAGTTCGAGACCAGCCTGGCCAACATGGCGAAACTCCCTCTCTACTGAAAATACAAAAAAAATGAGCTGGGCATGGTGGTGGGCGCCTGTAATCCCAGCTGTTCCGGAATCTGAGGCAGGAGAATCGCGTGAGCTGAGGAGGCAGAGGTTGCAGTAAGTGGAGAGGGCACCACTGCACTCCAGCCTGGGCGACAGAGTAAAATAAAAGTAATTTTAAAAACTAAGTGGAAATTAAATGAAATTTAATATTAAATGTTTCCAAATAAAACATTATAATTTATTAAAATCCTTTTTAAAAAACTTTAAAAATCTTTTTGAAAAAAACTTTCTAAAAAGCAATTTAAAGGGAATCTTTGCCTTTTACAGTATTGAGTCCACTGCTCTTTTCCTTTCCTCTTTCGTTCTTTAATTCCTTCATGTCTCGCAATAAAGGAAGAAACACGTACAGTTTGGGCATATATCTAGTTGCACATATCCTGGCCCTAGTGTAAAAGACCACAGGGTTTACAGGAGCGCGTAGCCTTTTCTTAATTTAAAAGAATACAGGACGCAGGAGAGAACCACACCCCGCAGACCCAGGCGTAGCGAGTTGTCTGCCCTGTGGCACTCTGTCACCTAGTGTCTGAATCTGCATATTGCACTCTCCTCGATATCCCTTGGTCTGCGAAGGATGAAGTTCCTTCCACCATACGGCCACCGCCATCACCATCACCTTACGACCAACCCCAATGCTCTGCAATGGAGAACAAGCGCCACCATGTTGCAGGGTTCCAGAAAGCAGCAGCTCTGGAACCAGACAGACCTAACTTAGACTCCTAGCTTCCCGTTTACCAGCCGAGACTTTGAGCAAGGGACTTTACCTTTTTAAGCCCTAGTTTCTACATCTATAGAATATGGATGGTAAAAATGCCTGTCTCTAGACTTGTAACCACTGAGCTTCTAGAAAGCCAAATGGGTATGATGTTATAAACATTAAATGAAATATCACAGATAAAGTGCCTGCAAAGCATAGATCAGGCTGGGTGCAGTGGCTCAGGCCTATAATCTCAGCACTTTGGGAGGCTGATGCAAGCAGATCACTTGAGGTCAGGAGTTCAAGACCAGCCTGGGCAACAGGGTGAAACCCCACGAGGACTAAATTATGTTTTTTTATCTTGCCCAAACTCCTATCTAAGGGGTCTGGGGCATCACGCCCTACAAATCACAAATTCTCATCAGATGGGTTTTAATTAGCCCTATATATTGTGACTTACTTTCCAAACTGACTCTGGCATAACATGAGACAAGGGAGAAAATCAAAATATTTTACCCCAAAACATGTTCGTCATATTTTGTAATGGCCCTGCAAAGCTGTTCTGTATAGGGGAAAATTTGCATCTGTAAAGAATCTATTAACACAGCTAGATCCTTTTCTTCCAGACCCTCCCAATCCTAAAGAGATTAACTAAGATCTAAATAAGAAACATTTGTCATCTGTTGTCTCTAAGGGCAGCACTATGAGACTTCAAAACAACTTAGGTCTCCACAATCTTTATCTTAACCTGAACATTCCTTTTCTATGAATCCCAGGTCTTCAGACAAACTCAACCAATTGTCAAAATACTTAAACTCACCTATAGCCTGGAAACCCGCGCCCCACCCTCTCAACCCTTTGACTTGCCCCCACCTTTCTGGACTAAACCAATGTAGTGCTCAAATGTATTTGATTGATGTCTCTTGCCTCCCTGAAATGTATAAAACCAAGCTGCACCCTGTCCACTTTGGGCACATGTTTTCAGGACCTCCTGGGGGCTGTGTCACTCATATTTGGCTCAGAATAAATGTCTTCAAATACTTTACAGAGTTTGACTCTTTTCGTCGACATGCTCTAAACCTTGCCTCAGTCTCTCCCTCTGCCTTATGCCCCTCAAATTCTTTCTTCTGAGGTGGCAAGCACTGAAGTTGCTGCAGACCCATACAGATTCGCTGCCAACATCCTGACCTGTCATTTTATGGGTAAGGAAACTAAACTACAAGGTCCTTAAATGGTCTCTCCACAGTATTAGCCAAACCTGAACAAGATCCCAGGTGTTCCGAATTCCCATCCAAAAGAAAAGGGGAAACCCAATCCCGTTTCCATCTCACCCAGGATCTATTGTCTTCCCAAAGCACTTTACTTTCTTTCCTGCCCAGCTGTTGAAATATCAAACTGTACTAAGATTTTGGCCATGATGGACTCTGTTCTCTGCACACTAAGACATTTATCTTCCTGGTCATCATAAATATTAATAAGTAATATTTGTTGCTGTTTACTGAGCAGTGTGTAAGCATCCATATTATTTAATGGAAGTTTTTCTAGCTGTGTTTTAAAGTTGCAGCATTTGAATGAATGAATGACTTCTGAGCCAAAGTGAGAAAAAACAAACAAGACACAAATGAGTTTTTTCTAAACTATTTTTCTCCCCGAAATTAGCTCTGCTACTTTGCACAAGTCTCCTTTCCTAAGATCCAGCTTCTCATCTGTTCAATGCGGATATGAACATCTACAAGTTTATGGTAAAGTTTAAAAGCACATTTGTCTGATACTAAGTAGCTAATAAACAATCGTTACTGTCATTACCCCAGTTGGCAATTTGAGCAGGGCTTCACAGGGAGTTTGGGTGACAGGCGATAAAGTAAAGGACATTATGGAAAGTCTGAAAGAATGTAATAAGGATAATATATTTTAGATGTATTTTTCTCTTTTATATTTTGTAAATGACTTTTCCCCTAGTAAGCCTAAGGTGATTCTTATGCCTCAGGGAGGTTTGAGACTATTATAGGAGGAATGTAAATAGAAAAAAAAAAAGATAGATCTAGTTTTTGATTTCCAATTTGAGTTCCTAGAAAAACTGAGGACTGGGGGTGGCTCCGGCAAGATGGCCAAATAGGAACAGCTCTGGTCTGCAGATCCCAGCAAGACAAATGCAGAAGGCGGATGATTTCTGCATTGCCAACTGAGGTACCCTGGCCATCTCATTAGGACTGGTTAGACAGTGGGTACAGCCCACAGAAGGCAAGCAGAAGCAGGGTGAGGCGTTGCCTTACCCTGGAAGCGCAAGGACCCAGGGGCCTCCCTCCCCAAGCCAAGGAAAGTTGTAAGGGACTGTGCTCTCTGGCCCAGGTACTATGCTTTTCCCATGGTTTTTGCAATCTGCAAATGAGATCCTCTCATGTGCCTACACCACCAGGGCCCTGGGTTTCAAGCTCAAAACTAGGTGGCTGTTTGGGCAGACACCAACCTAGCTGCAGGTTTTTTTTTTGTACCCTGGCAGTGCCCGGAACCCCAGCGAGACAGAACTGTTCACTCCCCTGGAAAGGGGGCTGAAGCCAGGGAGCCAAGTGGTCTCACTCAACAGGTCCCACTCCCATGGAACCCAGCAAGCTAAAAACCACTGGCTTAAAATTCTTGCGGCCAGCACAGCAGTCTGAAGTCCACCTGGGACGTTCGAGTTTGGTTGGGGGAGGGATGTCCATCATTACTGAGGCTTGGGTAGGTGGCTTTCCCCTGACAGTGCTAAGGATGCCAGGAAGTTTGGACTGGGCGGAACTCACCACAGGACTGCAAAGCGGCTGTGGCCAGACTGCCTCTCTAGAGTCCTCCTCACTGGGCAGGGCATCTCTGAAAGAAAGGGAGCAACCCAGTCAGGGTCTTACAGATAAAACTCCCATCTACCTGGGACAGAGCACCTGGGGGAAGGGGCAGCTGTGGGCGCAGCTTCAGCAGACTTAAACGTTCCTGCCTGCCGGCTCTGAAGAGAGCAGCAGATCTCCCAGCACAGCGCTCGAGCTCTGCTAAGGAACAGACTGCCTCAAGTGGGTCCCTGACCTCGGTGCCTCCTGACTGGGAGAGACCACCCAACAGGGGTCGACAGACACCTCATACAGGAGAGCTCTGGTTGGCATCAGGCTAGTGCCCCTCTGGGATGAAGCTTCCAGAGGAAGGGCCAGGCAGCAATCTTTCTGTTCTGCAGCCTCCGCTGGTGATACCCACGCAAACAGGGCCTGGAGTGGACCTCCAGCAAGGTGCAGCAGACCTGCAGAAGACAGTCCTGTTAGAAGAGAAACTGACAAAAAGCAGTAACATCAACATCAACAAAAAGGATCCCCACACAAAAACCCCATCCAAAGGTCACCAGCCTCAAAGATTGAGGGTAGATAAATCCACAAAGATGAGGAAAAAGCAGCGCAAAAATGCTGAAACTTCCAAAAACCAGAATGCCTCTTCTCCAAATGATTGCAACTCCTCTCCAACAAGGGCACAAAACTGGATGGAGAGTGAGTTTGACAAATTAACAGAAGTAGGCTACAGAAGGTGGGTAATCAACTCCTCTGAGCTAAAGGAGCATGTTCTAACCAAAAGCAAAAAAGCTAAGAACCTTGATAAAATGTTACAGAGACTGCTAACCAGAATAACCAGTTTAGAAAAGAACATAAATGACCTGATGGAGCTGAGAAACATAGCACAAGAACTTCGTGAAGTGTACACAAGTATCAATAGCCAAATCAATCAAGTGGAAAAAAGGATCAGAGATTGAAGATCAACTTACCGAAATAAGTTATGAAGACAAGATTAGAGAAGAAAGAATGAAAAGGAACGAACAAAGCCTCCAAGAAATATGGGACTATGTGAAAAGACCTACAACTGATTGGTGTACCCGAAAGTGAAAGGGAGAAAGGAATCAAGTTGGAAAACACATTTCAGGATATTATCCAAGAGAACTTCCACAACCTAGTAAAACAGGCCAACATTCAAATTCAGGAAATACAGAGAACACTACTAAGATACTCAAGAAGAGCAACCCCAAGACACATAATTCTCAGATTCTTCAAGGTTGAAACGAAGGAAAAAATGTTAAGGGCAGCCAGAGAGAAAGGTCGGGTTACCCACAAAGGGAAGCCCATCAGTCTAACAGCAGATCTCTCTACAGAAACCCTATAAGTCAGAAGAGAGTGGGGGCCAATATTCAACATTCTTAAAGAATTTTCAACCCAGAATTTCATATCCAGCCAAACTAAGCTTCATAAGCAAAGGAGAATTAAAATCCTTTATATACAAGCAAATGCTGAGAGATTTTGTCACTACCAGGCCTGCCTTACAAGAGCTCCTGAAGGAAGCACTAAATATGGAAGAGAAAAACTGGTACCATCCACTGCAAAAACACATCAAAATGTAAAGACCAATGACACTATGAAGAAATTGCATCAATTAATGTGCAGAATAACCAGCTAGCATCATGATGACAGGATCAAATTCACATATAACAATATTAACCTTAAATGTAGATGGCCTAAATGCCCCAGTTAAAAGACACAGACTGGCAAATTGGATAAAGTGACCCATCGGTGTGCTGTATTCAGGAGCTAAGACCCATCGGTGTGCTGTATTCAGGAGACACATCACACGTGCAAAGACGCACATAGGCTCAAAATAAAGGGATGGAGGAATATTTACCAAGCAAATGAAAACCAAAAAAAAAAGCAGAGGTTGCAATCCTAGTCTCTGACAAGACAGACTTTAAACCAACAAAGCTCAAAAAAGACAAAGAAGGGCACTACATAATGGTAAAGGGATCAATGCAAGAAGAGCTAACTATCCTAAATACATATGCACCCAATACAGGAGCATCCAGATTCATAAAGCAAGTTCTTAGAGACCTACAAAGAGACTTAGACTCCCACACAATAATAGTGGGAGACTTTAATACCCCACTGTCAATATTAGATCAACGAGACAGAAAATTAACAAGGATATTCAGGAATTGAACTCAGCTCTGGAACAAGTAGACCTAATAGAATCCTACAGAACTCTCCACCCCAAATCAACAGGATATACATTCTTCTCAGTACCACATCTCACTTTTTCTAAAATTGACCACATAACTGGAAGTAAGACACTCCTCAGCAAATGCAAAAGAACGGAAATCATAACAAACAGTCTCTCAGTCCACGGTGCAATCAAATTAGAACTCAGGATTAAGAAACTCACTAAAAACCACACAACTACATGGACATTGAACAACTTGCTCCTGAATGACTACTGGGCAAATAACAAAATTAAGGCAGAAATAAATAAGTTCTTTGAAATCAATGAAAACAAAGACACAACGTGCCAGAATCTCTGGGACACAGCTAAAGCAGTGTTATGAGGGAAATTTATAGCACGAAATGCCCACATCAGAAAGCGGCAAAGATCTGAAATTGACACCCTAACATTACAATTAAAAGAACTAGAGAAGCAAGAGCAAACAAATTCGAAAGCTAGCAGAAGACAAGAAATAACTAAGATCAGATTAGAACTGAATGAGCAAGACATGAAAAACCCTTTGAAAAAAATCAATGAATCCAGGAGCTGTTTTTTTGAAAAGATTAACAAAATAGATAAACCGCTAGCCAGACTAATACAGAAGAAAATAGAGAAGAATCAAATAGACACAATAAAAAATGATAAAGGGAATATCACCACTAATCCCACAGAAATACAAACTACTATCAGAGAATACTATAAACACCTCTACACAAATAAACTAGAAAATCTAGAAGAAATGGACAAATTCCCAGACACATAAACCCAAGACTAAACCAAGAAGTTTAATCCCTGAATAGACCAATAACAAGTTCTGAAATTGAGGCAGTAATTAATAGCCTACCAACCATAAAAAGCCCAAGAACAGGTGGATTCACAGCCAAATTCTACCAGAGGTACAAAGATAAGCTGGTACATTCCTTCTGAAACTACTCCAAACAATAGAAAAAAAGGGACTCCTCCCTAACTCATTTTATGAGGCCAGCATCATCCTGATACCAAAACCTGGCAGAGACACAACAAAAAAAGAAAATTTCAGGCCAATAGCCCTGATGAACATCAATGCAAAAATCCTCAAAATACTGGCAAACCAAATCCAGCAGAACATCAAAAAGCTTATCTACCACGATCAAGTTGGCTTCATCCCCGGGATGCAAGGCTGGTTCAACATATGCAAATCAATAAACATAATCCATCACATAAACAGAACCAATGACAAAAACCACAATTATCTCAATAGACACAGAAAATGCCTTCGATAAAATTGAACACTGCTTCATGCTACAAACTCAAACTAGGTATTGATGGAACATCTCAAAATAGTAAGAGCTATTAATGAAAAATCCATAGCCAATATCATACTGAATGGCCAAAAGCAGGAAGCATTCCCTTTGAAAACCAGCACAAGACAGGGATGTCCTCTCTCACCACTCCTATTCAGCGTAGTATTGGAAGTTCTGGCCAGGACAATCAGGCAAGAGAAAGAGATATAGAGTGTTCAAATAGGAAGCCAAATTGTCTCTGTTTGTAGATGACATGATTGTATATTTAGAAACCCCATTGTCTCAGCCCCAAAACTCCTTAAGCTGATAAGGAACTTCACCAAAATCTCAGGATACAAAAATCAATGTGCAAAAATCACAAGCATTTCTATACACCAATAATAGACAAACAGAGAGCCAAATCATGAGTGAACTCCCATTCACAATTGCTATCAAGAGAATAAAATACCTAGGAATACAACTTACAAGGGATGTGAATGACCTCTTCAAGAACTACAAACCACTGCTCAAGGAAATAAGAGAGGACACAAACAAATGGAAAAAAAATTCCATGCTCACGAATAGGAAGAATCAATATCGTGAAAAATGGCCATACTGCCCAAAGTAATTTATAGATTCAATGCTATCCCCATCAAGCTACCATTGACTTTCTTCACAGAATTAGAAAAAACTACTTTAAATTTCATATGGAACAAAAAAAAAGAGTCCATATAGCCAAGACAATCCTAAGCAAAAAGAACAAAGCTGGAGGCATCATGCTGCCTGACTTCAAACTATACTACAAGGCTGCAGTAACCAAAACAGCACGGTACTGGTACCAAAACAGATATACAGACCAATGGAACAGAACAGAGTCCTCAGAAATAACACCACACATCTACAACCATCTGATCTTTGAGAAACCTGACAAGAACAAGCAATGGGAAAAGGATTCCCTATTTAATAAATGGTGCTGGGAAAAATGGCTAGCCATACACAGAAAACTGAAACTGGACCCTTCTTTACACCTTATACAAAAATTAACTCAAGATGGATTAAAGACTTAAACCTAAAACCTAAAACCATAAAAACCCTAGAAGAAAACCAAGACAATACCATTCAGGACATAGGCATGCACAAAGATTTCATAACTAAAACACCAAAAGCAATTGCAACAAAAGCCAAAATTGTCAAATGGTATCTAATTAAGCTAAAGAGCTTCTGCACAGCAAAACAAACTATCAGAGTGAACAAGCAACCTACAGAATGGGAGAAAATTTTTGCAATCTATGCATCTGACAAAGGTCTAATATCCAGAATCTACAAGGAACTTAAATTTGCAAGAAAGAAACAACCCCGTCAAAAAGTGGGTGAAGGATATGAACAGACACTTCTCAAAATAAGACATGTATGCAGCCAACAAACATGAAAAAAAGCCCATCATGACAGGTCATTAGAGAAATGCAAATCAAAACCACAATGAGATACCATCTCACGCCAGTTAGAATGGCGATCATTAAAATGTCAGGAAACAACAGATGCTAGAGAGGATGTGAAGAGATAGGAATGCTTTTACACTGTTGGTGGGAGTGTAAATTAGTTCAACCATTGTGGAAGACAGTGTGGCGATTGCTCAAGGATCTAGAACCAGAAATACCATTTGACCCAGCAATCCCATTACTGGGTATATATCTAAAGGATTACAAATCATTCTACTATAAAAAACACATGCACACATGTTTATTGCAGCACTATTTACAATAGCAAAGGCTTCAAACCAACCCAAAGGCCCATCAATGATAGACTGGATAAAGAAAATATGGCACATATACACGATGGAACACTATGCAGCCATAAAAACGAATGAGTTCATATCCTTTGCAGAGACATGGATGAAACTGGAAACCATCATTCTCAGCAAACTAACATAGAAACACAAAACCAGCCACCACATGTTCTCACTCATAAGTGGGAGTTGAACAATGAGAACACATGGACACAGGGAGGGGAACATCACACACTGGGGCCTGTCAGGGGGTGGGGGGCAAGGGTGGGGAGAACATTAGGATAAATACCTAATGCATGCAGGGCTTAAAACCTAGATGAGTCGATGGGTGCAGCAAACCACCATGGCACATGTATACCTATGTAACAAACCTGCATGTTCTGCACATGTATCCCAGAATTCAAAGTAAAATGAAATAAAAAAGAAAAGCTGAGGATTAAGAATGCCCCTATCTATAGACTCTAGATATTGAACTTCTAGAAAGCCAAATAGTACAGATTGATTTTTTTCATCCATCTGCCTCTGAAGAGTCAACTTGGTGCAAGTATCATTTTTATCCCTATCTTAAATATAAGAAAATTAGGCGGGGTGCAGTGGCTCACACCTGTAATCCCAGCACTTTGGGAGGCCGAGGCAGGTGGATCACCTGAGGTCAGGAGTTCAAGACCAGCCTGGCCAACATGGCAAAACTCTGTTTCTACTAAAAATATAAAAAACTAGCTGGGTATGGTGGCATGTGCCTGTAATCCCAGCTGCTCGGGAGGCTGAGGCATGAGAATTGCTCGAACCCAGGAGGCAGAGGTTGCAGTGAGCCGCGACTGCACTCCAGCCTAGGTGACAGAGTGAAACTCTATCTCAAAAAAAAAAAAAAAAAAGAAAGAAAGAAAAGAAAAAGAAAAGAAAAGAAAAGAAAAGAAAATTAATGGCCGGAGAAGTGAACGCAGGTCCTCCACATTCTAGTTTAGGTCTCCATCCATGACAGCCTCCAGAGAAAACATTTGGATTTCTAGTGACAACCCCATAAAGGCTTGATGAGAGGCATCGCCTTCTAGACATGACCCCCATTGCCAACAGTGTTTTTAATCTTTTTTTTTTTTTTTTTTTTTTTAAGATGGAGTCTCACTCTGTCGCCCAAGCTGGAGTGCAGTGGCATGATCTTGACTCACTGCAACCTCTGCCTCCCAGGTTCAAGCAATTCTGTCTCAGCCTCCTTAGTAGCTGGAACTACAGGAGCCCGCCACCATGCCTGCCCGGCTTTTTTTGTTTGTTTGTTTTGTTCTTTAAGTAGAGACAGGGTTTCACCATGTTGGTCAGGCTGGTCTCGAACTCTTGACCTCAGGTGGTCCACCCACCTCAACCTCCCTAAGTGCTGAGATTATTTTAATCTTTGACAAGCCTCCACCTATTTGAGGTAAGGATTCAGAAGAAAAAAAAAAAAGCCTGTAATCCCAGCATTTTGGGAGGCTGAGGCGGGAAAATCACTTGAAGTCAGAAGTTCGAGACCAGGCTGCCCTATCTCTACTAAAAATACAAAATTAGCCGGGCATAGTGGTGTGCACCTGAAATTCCAGTTACTTTGGAGAATGAGGCAGGAGAACCACTTGAACCCAGGAGGCAGAGGCTGCAATGAACTGAGATCGCACCATTGCACTCCAGCCTGGGCAAGAAGAGCAAAACTCCATCTCAAAAAAAAAAAAAAAAAAAATTCAATCTTTCCTATTAGCTTTATTAAATACACTTTAACTTTAGAAGCACAATAATTAGAACTGTGCATAACTTTTAACAAATTTTTCACAAAGAAATTAGTACCTTGTAGTGTTATTTATAATCATTTTTCTATTGATTTTTAAAGTTTTAAAACTCTAATACAACATTTTATTTATTTTTTGAGACGGAGTCTTGCTCTTGTCACCCAGGTTGGAGTGCAGTGGTACAATTTTGGCTCACTGCAACCTCAGCCTCCCAGGTTCAACTGATTCTCGTGCCTCAGCCTCCCGAGTAGCTGGGATTATAGGCGCTGGCCACCAGGCTCAACTAGCTTTTTTTTGAGACCAAATCTTGCTCTGTCGTCCCAGCTGGAGTACGGTGGCACAATCTCAGCTCACTGCAACCTCCGCCTCCCAGGTTCAAGCCATTCTCCAGCCTCAGCCTTCTGAGTAACTAGGATTACAGGTGCATGCCACCACGCCCCACTAATTTTTATATTTTTAGTACAGACAGAGTTTCACCATGTTGACCAGGCTGGTCTCGAACTCCTGACCTCAGGTGATCCACCCACCTCAGCCTCCCAAAGTGCTGGGATTACAGGCATGAGCCACTGAATCTGGCCCAATATTTTAAAAATAGCACATTATTACAGAAGCTACATATGTACTTTAAATAATTAGAAAATTGGCACAGGGCAGTGGCTTATGCCTGTAATCCCAACACTTCGGGAGGCCAAGGCGGGTGGATCACCTGAGGTTGGAGTCTGTGACCATCCTGACCAACATGGAGAAACCCTGTCTCTACTAAAAATACAAAATTAGTCACGCATAGTGGTGCATGCCTGGAATCCCGGCTACTCAGGAGGTTGAAGCAGGAGAATCGCTTGAACCTGGGAGGCAGAGGTTGCAGTGAGCCAAGATCGCACCATTGAACTCCAGCCTAGGGAACAAGAGCAAAACTCCATCTCAAAAAATAAAAATAAATAATAAATATATATATATATATATATATATATATAATCAGAAAATTAGTGTGGCAGACAGATTCAATGGTTGTCCCATCATCTGGGCCTGTGACATTCACACCTATGTGATGTGCATCTCCAACTGTGGGTGGGACCTGGGACTTGCTTCAATCAAAACAATATGGCAAAGGGTGATAGAATGTCACTTGTGATATTACGTAGCAGCCTTTTTTTTTTTTTTTTTTTAAATGTGACAGTCTTGCTCTGTTGCTCAGGCTAGCAATGTTACCATTGCAGTGATGCATTCTCGGCTCACTGCCTCCTAGGTTCAAGTGATTCTCGTGCCTCGACCTCCCGAGTAGTTGGGATTACAGGCATGCACCACCACACCTGGCTAAGTTTTGTATTTTTAGTAGAGATGAGGTTTTGCCATGTTGATCAGGCTGGTCTTCAGCTCCTGGCCTCAAGTGATCTGCCCACTTTGGCCTCCCAAAGTGCCGAGACTAGAGGAGTAAGCCACCGCGCCTGGCCCATATTATGTAGCTTCTAATGCCTGTCTTGTGAAAAACATTCTTCCATGTTGGCTTTGAGGAAGACCAAAAAAAAAACAAACTGTATTTTGACTAGAGTGATGGAGAAAGAATGCTGGAAAGTACCAGTGGAGTGGTGAAATCCCTGCAGGGCACAGAAGCTCAGGATGGCACCACAGAGAGGGAAGTGAGGCATCCTGCCTCTGACACACTGTCTCCCCAACTGGATTCAGCTCAGAGCCAGAGGAGACCTCTTCTTACAGGGAAAAAGGTAAGCTGGAGACCCTCACAGGTCCCCACCACTGCCACAAACACCAGAAATCATTGCTATAGGAGGGTCTCCCAGTCCTCACAGTCCTTAAATCCAGGAGAAACTCTTGCCAGGAGTCCACACCACTACCTTGCCCCGGAACAGGAACACTCTTGGCACTCCCAACCTCCATGATCTAAGCTGGTAGGGCACAACACCATCTTGAAACCAGACCCACAGCTGGAGTACATCCTGTCCTAGGGGCCAGTAGCCACTAACCCCCCTCCATTCCTGAGGCCCTGCCATCATCCCACTACATTCACATGGTACTTACAGCACCAATACTCCAACTGCTCAGAGCCTAGGCCTGGAGGAATGACCAAAACCCCAATATCTGAACCAATGAGAAACCCTATTCCCCAGGGAAACAGGAGGACCTGCATAGTCGGGAAGCCGTGACAGCAGCCTGGCCTGCATGTGCCTGCCCCTGGCATGACAGCCAGCCTAGAGATGCCCCCTACTTGCCAAAGAGCTACTCAGCTACCCAGCTCTCATGTACCTACCCTCAGCCAAACATGCAGCCAAGAGGATGCAACCCTGTTCCTCCAGAGAGAGCCCCACGCAGCTCCCTGGCATGCATGCCAGCACCCAGCCTAGTGGTGGCCCTGCCCTTCTGCAGAGCTCACTGCACAGCTTGCCAGCTCATCACACACGCACACACACACACACACACACCCCTCCTCTGACCTGACAACCAACCCAGTGCCCCCAGCCCCAGCAAAACTGCAACACCACTGTCACGAACCCCCATGGCCTAGGTCACTGAGACAATTGCAGACATCACAATCAAGAATTACAGTGGAAGAATCTGTACAAAGACCATGTTACTGAGTTCATCCAGAACCTAAAGCAATGCACCATTCCCAATCAACATCCTAGGACCCAATTACAGGGAAAAAAGCTTTTCCTATAAAAGCCACTCCATAAAATTGGGAAAAGTGCCTGTTCCACTAGATGCATAGATCTCAATGTAGGGATATAAGAAACATGATAAAAATCAAGGAAACATGACAGCCCCAATGGAACACAACACATCTCCATAATAGATCCCAAAGAAAAGGTTATTTATGAAATGGCTGAAAAGAAAAAGAAATTCCAAGTAATGATCTTAAGGAATCACAGCAAGATACAAGAGAATACAAACAATGTAGTGAAACCAGGAAGAATTTATAATCTGAATGAGAAATTCAACAGAGATAGATACCATAAAAAGGAATCAAAAAACAAATCTTGGAGCTGGAGAGTTCAATGAATGAAATAAAAAAAATACAACTGAGAGCTTCGACAGCAGACTAGATTAAGCAAATGAATTTCTGAACTTTAAGACAGGTGTTGACTGGGCATGGTGGCTCTTGCCTGTAATCCCAGCACTTTGGGAGGCAGAGATGGGCTGATTGTTTGAGCTCAGGAGTTCAAGATCAGCCTGGGCAACATGGCAAAACCTCGTGTCTACAAAAGACACAAAAATTAGCCAGCCATGATGGCAAGTGCCTGTGGTCCTAGCTACTCAGGAGGCTAAGGCAGGAAGATTGCTTGAGCCTCGGAGGTTGAAGTTGCAATGAGCCATGTTCACACCACTGCATTCCAGCCTGGGTGACAAAAAATAAAAATAAAAAAAATGAAAATTTAATACTTGTTTAAGCAAACAAGTATTTATATTATAGAAATGTCAAAAGGAGAGGAAGTGGAGAAAGGAATATAAAACCTATTTAATGAAATAATAGCTGAAGACTTCCTAAATCTTGAGAGAGATGTATATCCAAATCCAGGAAGCTTAAAAGTCCCCAGTGAGACCAGGCATGGTGGCTCATGTCTGCAATCTTAGCACTTTGAGAGGCTGAGGCAGGAGGATCACTTGAGTCCAGGAGTTTGAGACCAGCCTGGGCAACACAGTGATACCCTGTCTCTACAAAAGCAAACAAACAAACTAATACTAATACTAACTACTAGCTACTTGGGAGGCTAGGGCAGGAGGATCACTTGAGTCCAGGAATTTGAGGTTGCAATGAGCTACAATCACACTACTACACTCAAGTCTGGACAACAGAGAGCAAGATACTGCCTCAAAAAAAAAAGTCCCCAATAAGATTCAACCCCTAGAAACCCTTTCAAGGTACATTATATCAAACTGTCAAAAGGCAAAGGCAAAGTAAGGATTCTAAAAGCTGTAAGAGAAAACATCAAGTCATATATAAGGGAATCTCCATTAGACTATCAGCAGATTTATCAGCAGAAACTTTACAGGTCAGGAGACAATGGGATTATAAACTTCAAAGTGTTGAAAGAAAAAAAAAAACTTTCCACCAAGAATAAACTATTTGGCAAAGCTATCCTTCAGAAATGAAGGCACAATGAAGACCTTCCCAGACAAGCAAAAGCTAACAAATCTCAGTAGGCCACAAAACAAGTTTTAACAAACTGAAATAGTAAGTATCTTTTTGGAATGCAATGGTATAAAACTAGAAATCAATAGGAAAAACTTTAGAAACTCTATAAATAAATGGAGAATGCTTCTAAATAACCAGTGGGTCAATGAAGACAATAAAGGGGCGAGGGGGAATTTAAAAATTCCTTAAGACAAATGAGACTGGAAGCACACTCCAAAACCTATGGGTCACAGCAAAACAGTTCTAAGAGGGAGAAGTTCATAGCAACAAATGCCTACATCAACAAAGGAGAAAGATTTATAATAAACAAGCTAACCATGCACCTCAAGGAACTACAAGAACAAACTAAGCCCAACACTGGTAGAAGGGAGAAAAGAATAAAGCTCAGAGCAGAAATAAAACACAGACTAAACATTTCAGAAGATCAACAAAATGAAGAGTTGGTTTTTTGAAAAGATAAGCAAAAATCAATAAACCTTTAGCTAGACTAAGAAAAAAAGACCTGAATAAATGAAATCAGAGATGAAAAAGTAGACATTACAACTTATATTGTAGAAATATGAAGGATCATAAGACACCATTATGAGTAACTATAAGCCAACAAATGTGAGAACACTCAAGAAAGGGATAAATTCCTAGACACATACAACCTACCAAAATTGAATTATGAATAAATAGAAAATCTGAAGACTAGTAGTAACTCAGAAAAGTTGAAGTCTTCCAAAAAAAAAAAAAAAAAAAAAAAAAGCCCAGAACCTGATGACTTCACTGCTGAATTCTACTACACATTTACAGAAGAACTAACACCATTCTCCTCAAACTATTTCAGAAACTTGAGAGGATGGAATACTTTCAAATTCATTTTATGAGGCCAATATTACCCTGATTCCAAAACCAGACAAGGACACAACAAAAAAGAAAACTACAGGCCAGTATCTTTGATAAACATAGATGCAAAAATTCTCAACAAGATACCAGTAAAGGAAATTCAATAGCACACTAAAAAGATAATTCATTATGATCAAATAGGATTCATCCAAGAGATACAAGGATGGTTCAATATACTCAAATCAATAAATGTGATATATCACATTAACAAAAAGAAACAAAAATAATCATTATCATTTCAATCGATACAGAAAAAGTACTTGACAAAATGCATCGCTTCATGAAAAAACTCTCAACAAATTACGTAGAGAAAGAATGTACCTCAACACAATAAAGGCCATATATGACAAACCCATAGCTAACATACTGAATGGGGTATGATCAGGAACAAGATAAGGATGCCCACTTTTACCAATCCTATTCAACCTAGTACTGGAAGTCCTAGTCACAGCAATTAGACAATAAAAAAAGGTATCCAAATTGCAAAGAGGGGAGTCGAATGTTGCGGGAAGTCAGGGACCCCAAACGGAGGGACTGGCTGAAGCCATGACAGAAGAACATGGATTGTGAAGATTTTATGGACATTTATTAGTTCCCCAAATTAACACTTTTGTAATTTCTTATGCCTATCTTTACTGTAATCTTTAAACATAAATTGTAAAGATTTCATGGACACTTAACCACTTCCCCAATCAATACCCTTGTGATTTCCTATGCCTGTCTTTACTTTAATCTCTTAATCCTGTCAGCCGAGAAGGATGTATATCGTTCCAGGACCCTGTAATAATTGCGTTAACTACAAAAATTGTACAGCATGTGTGTTTGAGCAATATGAAATGTGGGCACCCTGAAAAAAGAACAGGATAACAGCAATTGTTCAGGGAATAAGAGAGATAAGCTTAAACTCTGACCGCCGGTGAGCCGGGCAGAACAGAGCCATATTTCTCTTCTTTCAAAAGCAAATGGGAGAAATATTGCTGAATTCTTTTTCTCAGCATGGGATATCCCTGAGAAAGAGAATGCACACCTAGGGGTAGGTCTCTGAACTGGCCCCACTGGGGCGTACCTGTGGTTGAGACTGCAGGAGTGAAATAAACTCCAGTCTCCCATAGCACTTCCAGGCTAATTAGGAAAAGGAAATTCCCACCTAATAAATTTTGGTCAGAGCAGTTGATCTCAAAACCCTGTCTCCTGATAAGATGTTATCAATGACAATGGTGCCCAAAACTTCATTAGCAATTTTAATTTCGCTTCTGTCCTGTGGTCCTGTGATCTCGCCCTGCCTCCACTTGCCTTGTGATATACTATTACCCTGTTAAGTACTTGATGTCTGTCACCCACACCTATTTGTATACTCCCTCCCCTTTTGAAACTCCCTAATAAAAACTTGCTGGTTTTTGTGGCTTGTGGGGCATCACGGATCCTACCTATGTGTGATGACTCCCCCGGACGCCTAGCTTTAAAATTTCTCTCTTTTGTACTCTGTCCTTTCATTTCTCAAGCCAGCCGACGCTTAGGAAAATAGAAAAGAACCTACGTGATTATCGGGGCCGGTCCCCCGATGGTCGAATTGTCCCTGTTTTCAGGCTACATGATCTTACATATAGAAAACCCTAAAGGCTCCACCAAAATGCTGTTAGAACTAAAAAATGAATTTAAAGTCACAGGAAACAAAATCAACATACAAAAATCAAGTGTTTCTATTTGTTAATAGTTAACTATCTGAAAAAGAAATTAACAAAACAATTCTATTTACAATAGCTACAAAACCAATAAGATACCTAGGGATAAACTTTACCAAGACAGTGAAAGATCTCTACAATTAAAACTATAAAACACTGATGAAAGATGACACAAATAAATGGAAAGCTATCCTATGTTAATGGATTAGAATAATTTTGTTAAGATGGCCATACTATCCAAAGTGATCTACAGATTCAATGCAATCCCTATCAAAATGCCAATGACATTCTTCACAGAAACAGAAAAAATACTAAAACTCATATGGAACCACAAAAGACCTCACAATAGCCAAAACAATCCTGAGCAAAAAGAACAAATCTAGAGGTATCATACTACTTTATTTCAAATTATACTGTAATAAACAAAACAACATGATTAAAGTTGGCATAAATACAGACACACAGAACAATGCAACAGTATAGAGGGCCCAAAAATAAGTTCATGCACCCACAGCCAACTTTTTTTTTTTTTTTTTTGAGACAGAGTCTCACTCTGTCACCCAAGCTGGAGTGCAATGGCACTATGTCGGCTCACTGCAGCCTCCACCTCCCAGGTTCAAGTGATTCTCCCACCTCAGCCTCCTGAATAGCTGGGACTACAGGTACGGATCACCACACCTGGCTAATATTTTTGTATTTTTAGTAGAGAGACGGTTTCACCATGTTGGCCAGGCTGGTCTCAAACTCCTGATCTCAAGTGATCCACCCACCTTGGCCTCCCAAAATGCTGGGATTATAGGCGTGAGCCACCATGCCCCACCTGATTTTCAATAAACGTATCAAGAACATACATTAGGGAAAAGGTAGTCTCTTCAATAAATGGTGTTGGGAAAATTGGATATCCACATACAGAAAAATGAAACTAGACCCCTACCTCTCACCTTATACAAAAATCAATTCAAAATGGATTAAGGACTTAAACGTAAAACCCAACACTATAAAACTACTAGAAGAAAACATAGGGGAAATGCTTTACAACACTGGGCTCCACAAGGGTTTTTTAAAGAAGACCCCTCAAAAGCACAGGTAACAAAAGCAAAACTAGACAAATTGGATTACATCAAACTGAAAAGCTCTTGCCTAGCAAAGGAAACAACAGAGTGAAGAGAAAATCTACAGAATGGGAGAAAATATTTACAAACTCTACATCTGACAAGGGATTAATATCCAGAATATATAAGGAACTTTTTTCCCCCACCCAAGACAGAGTCTTGCTGTGTCGCCCAGGCTGGAGTGGAGTGGCCCAATCTCGACTCACTGCAACCTCTGCCTCCCAGGTTCAAGCAATTCTCCTACCTCAGCCTCCCGAGTAGCTGGGATTACAGGCATGTGCCACCACACCTGGCTAATTTTTGTATTTTTAGTAGAGACAAGGTTTCACCATGTTGGCCAGGCTGGTCTCGAACTCCTGACCCTCAGGTAATCCACCTGCCTCGCTCTCTCCCAAAGTGCTGGGATTATAGGCATAAGCCACCACTCCTGGCCCAGAATATATAAGAAACTTAACAGCAAATAATAATAACCTGATTTTAAAATGGGCAAAATGCCTTAATAGACATTTCTTAAAAGAAGACATATAAATGGCTAGAGGGTACAGGAAAAAATTTTCAACATCACTAATTGTCAGGGAAATGCAAATCAAAGCCACAATGAGATACCACCTCACTCCAATTACAAGGACTATAATAAAAAACAAAGAAAACAAGATTTGTCAAGGATGTGGAGAAAAGGGAACATACAGTGTTGATGGGACTGTATTTTAGTAGAGTGGAAAATAGTACAGAGGTTCCACAAAAATTAAAAATAGAACTACCACATAATCTAGCAGTCTCGCTACCAGATAGCTAAAGGAAATCCAGTATGTTGGAGAGATAGCTGTACATCCGTGTTTATTGCAGGACTAGTCACAATAGCCAAACTATGGAATCAACCTAAGGGAGCAGCAAGTGACAAATGGATAAAGAAAATGTAGTTATCATACACAATACTATTCCACCATAAAAAAGAATGAAGTCCTGTCCTTTGTGACAATATCCATGAACCTGTAGGACATTATGTTAAGTGAAAATAAGGACTGGGGAGGGGAGAAGGAAAGGGGAAAATGGGGAGAAGCTGGCCAACAGGTACCAGGTTTCAATTAGATAGAAGTAAGTTCTGGTGTTGTGCTACAGTCAGGTGACGACGATTAACGGTAAGGTACTGTATATTATAAAACAGCTAAAATAGAGGCTTTTGCCATGTTCTCACCACAAAGAAATAAGTGCATGAGGTGACACATTAAATACCCTGGTTTGATCATTATACAATATATAATATCAAAACGTCAAACTGTATTTCATAAATATCTATAATTACAAGATATCAATTTAAAAAAAAAGCACCTGAAAATGTTCTGTGCTAAGCAGGTCTATGTAAACCTACCCTCAAAGTCTGAGGAAGCTGAGGGGCCAGAGGAGGAGGCAACAAATCCAGTTTCTCAGCGGGGAAGAAAACAAAAAACAAAACAAAAATGTAATAGGCCCTTAAAAACACAAGCCATGCCTCAGGCTGCAGGCGAAGAGATGGGGTGTCCCCTCTCTGTTACCCCCATCCCAGACCCAGGGCTTATATATTAGAGGGAATTTGCCTCACGGCAGTATTTATGGTAAGTATGTGTTTACATTAACATCAAGGTAAACAATCTAATGGCAGGATTTGTGGTACATGAAAGTAGAAATCTTACAGGCATTCCCGGGACTAGCGTTGAAGAAGTCAACGTGGCAGATTAGCATCAAAGATGGAGCTGCTTTAGCCTCAGCACCGACTAGACTAAAATAGTCAAGAAGTTAACCGTGTTTTTAAAGGAAGCACTAGCCTAGCCTAAAAATGTTTGTGACTGCTGGAGATTTTAAATGATCCTTGTAATGACATCTTGTAATTATAGATATTTATGCGATACAATTTGATGTTTTGATATTATATACTGTATAACGATCCAATCAGGGTTTTTAATGTGTCACCTCAGGCACTTATTTCTTTGCAGCGAGAACATCCAAAAGCCTCTATTTTAGCTGTTTTATAATATTCAGTACCTTACCATTAATCACCGTCACCTGACTAAAAGAACACCAGAATTTACTTCTATCTAATTGAAACCTGGTACCTGTTGGCCAGCTTCTCCCCATTTTCCCCTTTCCTTCTCCCCTCCCCAGTCCTTAGTTCACTTATTCCTCCCCTCCCCGCCGCCCACCATCACTGTGGAGCAGCAACCAGTCAGAGAATGCTGTTCATCCCCCAAGGAGGTTGTGAGGTCAAATCACAAACTGTCTTTCCTCTATGCTCATTCCACAATAATCAACACTGAGGGCTTCTGTGGCCAGATGTGTAGGGGTTTTTCCCTACGTGCCAAGCAAGTAAATCAACATGCAGTGACATCATCTGGGTATCCTCCAATCCAGTTCAACTCCAACACTCTCTACCTGGAGACAGTGTCAGACACCACATGCTGAGGGCTCAGTCCCACAAGACTGTCCCCAATTCTGATGCCAGTTGAAAGCCTAAGGTTGTGTTACATGCTTCTGACCAACTAGCTGTAAATTGGGGATCCCACAACCTCCTCTTTGAGTCTGATTTGCCAGGATGGCTTACAGAACTCAGGGAAACACTTAGGTTTACTGGTTTATTAGAAAGAATATTACAGGCCAGGTGCAGTGGCTCACGCCTGTAATCCCAGCACTTTGGGAGGCCAAGGCGGGTGGATCACCTGAGGTCAGGAGTTCGAGACCAACCTGGCCAACATGGTGAAACCCCGTCTCTACTAAAAATACAAAAACATTAGCCAGGCATAGCAGTGCACACCTGTAACCCCAGCTACTCAGGAGGCTGAGGCAGGAGAACCACTTGAGCCCGGGAGGTGGAGGTTGCAGTGAGCTGAGATCACACCACTGTACTCCAGCCTGGGTGACACAGCAAGATGCCATCTCAAAAAAAAAAAAAAAAAAGAATATTACAAAGGATACAGATAAAAAGATACATAGAGATGTATGGAAGGGGTATGGAGATTCCATGCCCTCCCTAAGGACACTGCATTCCAGGAACCTCCACGTATTCAGCTATCCAGAAGTTCTCCATACTTTTAGAGAGGTATGGAGAATCCACCCCCTTGGGCCTTTTACAGAGACTTCGTTTGATAGGCATGACTGAAAGATGGATAGCCATGTGGAACTGGCTGGACAAAAAAGGTATGATCTAATAAATACTAATAGACTGAGTGGGGAAACCCAGCAAGGCCTGTCTGTTCAGATTCTTCCTGGCCTCTCTGTGCAGCATTCCTTCCTCCTGGGTATGGGGCAGGACCCTTTCTTTACATCTTATGGCCTATAATCAGACAAGATAGATCAGAGAATTTCTTTATAGTCAGCTTCAAGACCGAAAGGCTGGGGGACATTCCTGCCTTGGAAAGAAAACGAGCAAGTGAATGGAGGGCAAGAGAAAGAGAGATTCTGTTTTCTAAGGCCTAAAGGGCCCTAACATTATAACAAGGGCTATGGGAGTTATGAGCCAGGAAATGTGGATGAAAACCTGTGTGTATTCTTTCAAATATGTCATATATATCATAATATATAACAGATCATCTCATTTATGCCCTCTTCAGATGATACCCAAGAAAGTAAAGAAAAAACAAAGCAGAACCAAAGGCCATGGAGAACACAGACAGGGAACAACTCGTGGGAGCTGACCCAGGGCTGCCGATTCAAGAAACATACCGTCTCTGCAAGAGTGGAGGTCTCGGAACATCCGCCCACCTTTAGTCTACTTCAGGATTGCTATGGACCAGCAAATGCTGTATATCTCCCACTTCTCCCATTTCCACTGGGAGCATTTAATGCTGTTATCCCAGCCTTATTCAACGATTGCATTTTTAGAGAGAGAACACGAATAGCTCATTTTCCTAGTTCGCTGGTTTCAAAATCAAGAGGAGCCGTACTCCACATCAGTGAGACTGTGCCTCATTCACTAAAGTAGACACCATCATGACATCCTAAACTTTGAGCTGAATACTGAAACTGGATGGGACGCTGGGGCTCCCTAGGAAATGGGAGGGGGATGGGTATATTGCATGGGAAGGAGGGCTGAATTGAATATTTGGTTACCAGATGGGTCGACTGTTAGACTTATCAGTGATGTTCACTAAGTATTCTAGTTCTCTCTCATTCTGGGGACAGGGTAGGGCTGCACTTCCTGTTCCCCTTGTAGTTGGTAGAGACTGAATGACTAGTTCTGACCAATGAATCATGAGCAGAAGTGACATATGTCACTTCTGAGCCTGAGTACGTAATTGTCAGTGTGAGACCCTCGAGAGCTCCCTTTCCCTTTACAATGACTGGGAACGTTCTACAGAGTGGCTGCTCCTTTAGCCTGGGGCCTGCAGGAAGGATGCAAAGCAGAGCCTCCAGCCAACAGTGCACTGATGGACAAGTTGGATGAGCAAAAACCCCACAGGCCAGGCTCAGTGGCTCACCCTACAATCCCGGCACGGCGGGAGGCTGAGGGGGTTGGATTGTTTGAGCTCAGAAGTTCAAGACTAGCTTGAGCAACAAAGTAAAACCTGTCTCTACGAAAACAAAACAAAACAAACATTAACCGGGTATGCACCTAGAGTCCCAGCTATTTGGAAGGCTGAGAGGGGAGGATCACTTGAACCTCAGAAGCAGACGTTGCAGTGAGCTGAGATCATGCCACTTCTCTCCAGCCTGAGCAACAGAGCAAAGCTGTCTCAAAAACAAAAAAGCAAAAATGTCTTTGTCATTTTAAGCCACTGAAATTTTTAGCTTGTAGGTTTCTACAGCATAACCTAGCCCATCCTAATACTAGCGCAGAAAGGACTAAAAATCAAGCATCTTCCTAACAGCTACTCCAAAACTCTTTCTACAGTGATTTAATCCATAATAAGGGAGAGTCTGCTCAGTTTTTAGGGAATTTCAATGAAGTTGATTCCACAATACCCTTTGGGAGCTAAAAGTTTTATAAATCTTAGCATCTTCACTGATTGTCTCACACTGTAGTTCAGGCCTTTTTGTGTGGATATCCCTGAAGACTGATTAAACCACAAAATCTCCCCACCACCCCCAACCTTCTGGAGCCTAAAGAGGTTCCTGTTCATGTGCAAGCCACTGTATTCGGTTTCTAGGGCTGCAGGAACAAAGCGCCACAGACTGGGCAGCCTCACAACAGTGTATGCCTCACAGTTCTGCAGGATGGGTCTCAGAGCAAGGTTTCTGGAGGGTCGGTTCCTTCCAAGACCACACAAAAAAAGGATCTGTTCAAGCCTATTTAGGTTGTACATGGCCATCTTTCTCAGGTATATTCACATCTTTCCATGTATGTTTGTATCCAAATTTCTTTTTTTTTTTTTGAGACAGAGTTTCACTCGTCACCCAGTGTGGAGTGCAATGGCCTCATTTCAGCTCACTGCAACCTCCTCCTCCTGGGTTCAAGCAATTCTCCTGCCTCAGCTGCCCAAGTAGCTAGGATTACAGGCACCCACCATCACGCCTGGCTAATTTTTGTATTTTTAGTAGAGACAGGGTTTCACCATGTTGGCCAGGCTGGTCACGAACTCCTCAGGTGATCCGCCCACCTTGGCCTCCCAAAGGTCTGGGATTACAGGCGTGAGCCACCGTGCCCCGCCAAATTTCCTCTTCTTAGAGGGCCACCAGTCATACCGGATCAGGGCCCACTCTATTTATCTCATGTTAATGGAAGTACTTCTTTAAAGACCCTATCTCCAAATATAGTCACATTCTAAGGTCCTGCAAGGTTAGGACTTCAACATAGGAATTTTGGTGGGGAGCACACAATTCAGCCCATAATAGCCACCCTCCAAAAGGTACTGTTTGGGGTCTTCAAGAGCTTGCGAAGATATCTGTATATAGTCAGTTCGTTTGCAGGATGCATTTGGTCGAAGAAAGATGAAAAGGATTGAGAAAATCTTAGCTCTCTTCTCATCTATGTGGTCTTATCCTATCACAAGCTTCTGTAGCAGGGGAGGCCACCCTTTTGAGGCCCCTTTTGCCCAGTATGTAGCAGAGAGCAGGACAGAAAGGGGTGTCATGACCTTGAACCCACAAAACTGAGCTGAACACACCTGATTCCATGACAATAAATGAATACACATTTGGAATCAATTAATATAAATTGTTGTCACTTCCATTCAACAGACACCTTGGAGCGCTCGGCTTATCACTCTTAAGCATCACGTTACTTACTCAACAGTTCTAAGAAGCTGAGAGTATTAGAGTTCATATTTTATAGACGAAAAGACGAAAGCTGAGGTCTTCTGGCCAGGATCAAAGCTTTTAGGAAAAGGTGCTGGGAAGTTTCCAGAGGGGCTCCTTGGAGGGTGGGATTGTATCTTACTCTAAGAGACACACAGGCCTCAGTGGTAAAGAACGTAGGCCTTGAGCTGGTCTAGCTCTTTGAACAAGTCACCTGCCATCACTGTGCCTGTTTCTTCATCTGTAAAACAGAAAATTTTATATTATTTAGTGGGGTTGTGAATATTGGAAGGGATAATATATGCAAATCCTTCAGCACAGTGCCCAACAGAGTGCTAAGTATCTGCTGTTATTCCCAGCTTGTCCAGCGCCCAGCACATAAATGAGCTCCATCTATCTATGCTGAATAAGGAAATGGACACTTGAATGGGGAAAGGTGGTTGGCTAAATGGCAGTAACTAGGGCTGCAAGATGGAGGAAAAGATTTTTGTTGTCGCTTCAATTGATTTTGCTTAGTTTAGGAGAGATATAGATGTGTAGTAAGCAAATAAATGAACAAGATGCTGCGCGGGGCTGGAGTCCAGCTAGGATGCTATGGTAGGGTGCGGCTGCTTCTTGGGCCACTGCACATACCCTGCAGGCCAGGGCACAGGGTCTAATGAGGGAAGGCTGGTGTGGGTGGCACCTCTGCACCACACTGAGTGGTGCTGGTTTCTCACTTGTTTTCTGTTGATGAGCACTTTGCACTGTAAAATACCCTAACTGCACAGTGCTACACGGACTCTTAAAAGTCACAGGGGGCCGGGCACAGTGGCTCATACCTGTAATCCCAACACTTTGGGAGGCCAAGGTGGGCAGATCATGAGGTCAGGAGACTGAGACCATTCTGGCCAACATGGTGAAACCTCATCTCCACTAGAACTACGAAAATTAGCTGGGCACGGTGGCACACACCTGGAGTCCCAGCTACTCAGGAGGCTGAGGCATGAGAATCACTTGAACCTGGGAGGTGGAGGTTGCAATGAGCCAAGATCATGCCACTGCACTCCAGCCTAGCAACAGAGGGAGACTCCAACAAAAAAAAAGTCACAGAGACTGGGTGTGGTGGCTTACACCTGTAATCCCAGCTCCTTGGGAGGCCAAGACAGGAGGATTGCTTGATTCCAGGAGTTTGACACCAGCCTGGGCAACATAGTATAACTTCATCTCTACAAAAAATTTTAAAATTAGCCAGGCATGGTGGCACATGCCTGTAGTCCCAGCTATTTGGATGGCTGAAGTGGAACGATTGCCTGAGCCCTGGTTGAGACTGCAGTGAGCCGTGATGGTGCCACTGCACTTCAGCCTCGGCAACAGAGTGAGACCTTGGCCAAAAAAAAAAAAAAAAAAAAAAAAAAAAAAAAAAAAAAAAAAAAAAAAAAAAGTCACAGGGAAAGCCTGTCAGTGCTGCTGCTGCTGCAGCAACATTTCTGAGTTCAGTAATTAATGCATGTTAAGATCCTCCTCAATCTGTTCACATGCCTGACAATCTAATGAAGTATCAGCTATAGCCCATTTGTCAAAACCCTAAAGTCTTGTTCTCTTAATCTCCTTCATGCTAAAATTTCCCACTAAAGAAAGCAAGAGGCTTTAGCTGAAAGCAGGGCATAAGGCCCACTCAATGCAGTGTGGTCTCTGCTAAATGACTATTGGTTTGCGAGGACTACTGTAACAAAATTACTACAAACTGGGTGACTTAAAACAATATAAATTGTCTCACAGCTCTGGAGGCTGGAAGTCCAAAATCAAGGTGCTGGCAGCACTAAGCTCTCTTTGAAGAATATAAGAGAGCCCTTGTCTCCACTCACTTCCAGTGGTGGCTAGCAACCCTGGCATTCCTTGGTGTGTAGATACATCACTGCAAACTCTACCTGTCTTCATCCGGTCCTCTTCCCTCTGTGTCTGGGTCTTCACATGGTGTTGTCCCCTGTGTGTCTGTGTCCACATTCTCCCTCTTCATATAAGGATACCAGGAATTGAATTAGCCCCCTCTAATCCAGTATGACATCAATTTGTTTTTTTTGGCTTTTTTGGACAGGATCTCTGTCACCCAGGCTAGAGTGCAGTGGGTCATGGCTCACTGCAGCCTTGACCTCCAGGGCTCAAGCAATCCTCCCACCTCAGCCCCTTGAATAGCTGAGTCTACAGGGGCACGCCACCACATCAGGATAATTTTTGTATTTTTGGTAGGGAGGAGTTTTGCCATGTTGCCCAGGCTGGTCTCCAACTCCTAGGCTCAAGCAATCTGCCCGCCTCAGCCTCCCAAAGTGCTGGGATTATAGGCATGAGCCACTGTGCCCAGCCTGACCTCACTTTAAATTGACTAATTACATCTACAAAGATCCTATTTCCAAATGAGATCACATTCTGAGGTTGCAGGTGAACATGAATTTGGGGGTGGGGGGTGATATGACAATTGTCAACCCAGGACAGTGACTAAATCTTCCTGTGTGAGAGCTGGGGGCATGCTCCAAAGTGGCTGATTAGCTTACTCTCCTGAGGATACACTTACCTTAGCCCCTGGTCTGCTCCCAGCTAATGATAGTTGAGCACTTACTCTGGGCCAGGCCGTACCTAATTTTACACGCAGTAGCTCATTATATTACCACAAAAATCTTAAGAGGCTCTCACCATCCTCATTTTAAAAAAGAGGACACTAAAGGCTCTGAGATGTTAAATGAACTACAGAGGCCCCCATAGGTGAACCAAACTACCTCTGTGCCCATGTTCTTAACCCACATGCTCTGCTGCGTATGGTGGGAAACTACGGTATCAGAGCATTTAGGTCTGAACCAAGTGTGCTTCTTTTCTGCTTATTTTGCTTTTTGTAGTTTTAGGAAATGTAAAACTAAAATATGTAGGGGAAATACTACATCAATGTTCACATTTTTACATTTATTTTTTGAGACGGAGTCTCACTCCGTCGCCCAGGCTGGAGTGCAACGGCGCGATCTTGGCTCACTGCAACCTCTGCCTCCCAGGTTCGGTTTCAAGCTATTCTCCTGCCTCAGCCTCCCAAGTAGCTGGGACTACAGGTGCACACCTCCACGCCCAGCTAGTTTTTGTATTTTTAGTAGACAGGGGTCTCACCACATTGGCCAGGCTAGTCTTGAACTCCTGACATCAAATGATCCACCCGCCTCGGCCTCCCAAAGTGCTGGGATTACAGGTGTGAGCCACTGCGCCCGGCCAATGTTCACATTTTTAAAATAAAACAAAAATATTTGAAAGGAAATTACCCAGGATAATTACAACTGTGTAGCAATGAGAAAGGAAAAGGCTACCTATGAGAAACAGTACAAATCTCTTTAAATTAGTCACACACAGCAAATTTAAACCAAAGACCCCAGGTAAGATACCTTCATGTCATGATTTGGGTTTCTTCCCTGAATCCATGAGCACCACGTAAGGAAGGTGCGGCCTCTACTTTCTTTCTCCTTGATTGAGAGAGCAGCTGCTGGTTTCCAGGTTCAGGAGTAGGCTGGAGGAAACAATCCTTCTGGCACAACCACGATCCTTCCCGAGACCGTGCCTGAGATGCCTCTTCCACGGGGTGCCTCCCTCCTGGCCGTACCCTGTGAGGCTGCTCTACCCGTCTCCAGAGGAAAGAACAGGCACAATTTTTTTGAGATTGAGTCTCGCTCTGTCGCCCAGCCTGGAATGCAGTGGCGCAATCTCGGCTCACAGCAACCTCCGCCTCCCAGGTTCAAGTGATTCTCCTGCTTCAGCCTCCTGAGTAGCTGGGATTACAGGTGTGTGCCACCACGCCCGGCTAATTTTTGTATTTTTAGTAGAGACGGGGTTTCACCACGTTGGCCAGGATGGTCTCGATCTTCTGACCTCATGATCCACCCACCTCGGCTTCCCAAAGTGCTGGGATCACAGGTGTGAGCCACCGCACCGGCCGACCAGAACAGGCGGATATTTCAAAGGAGCCACATCCCCCAACATCACCTCTCCCACCTGCGAGGTGAGTGATAGCTTCCCACCACACTCTAGTGACATCAGCACCGCAGCCCTGGGGCCACCCAAACTCACTTGTTCATTCCACAATAGTCACTGCATTGTGAGCCTGTTAGACACTGGAGAAGGAAGGCATGGAGCCGCCAGGGTGAACAAGATGGACCAGTCCCTCCCCCATGGAGCTTCTGTTCCGCCAGGGAAATAAACATAAACACGAGCTCATTTCAGAGTGCTAAGTACTGAGAAGCTGCCGATGCAGGGCACTGTGACCCACGGCGACCTCTGGGTGCACAACGTGAGCTGTGTGCTCAAAGCAGACCCTCTTTAAGGAGATGATGTTTGAGCAGAATTACAAGGAGGTACAGCGTTGTTAGGTTGAAGCGGGGCCTCAAGAGACACAGTGCTGGATTTATTCAGTCTTCCTGGCCTGCCTCCACCTGGGGCAGGCAGCGCCTACCAAGTAAATGAACTTCTGCTGTTGGTAATGAGCTTTGATATACCTTCCAGTCAGTACTGTTAAAGCAATACTGCTTAAGAGGGCAAATGTAAATACAAAAAACGTATTGACAAAGATTTTGCTCTGATTGTGAAATAAATGTGTGCACACAGTTGGATGTAAGCTTGTTAACTGTTCAGTATTGGGAAACAGTCCACTTCATCAAGGCAGGGAAGGGATGTTCCCTTGGGAACAACTTCTACCTCAATTTACTATTTTAAAAGGGAGCTAGGAAGGACGTTATTTTCTTTAAACCACAGGCCACTTCTGCCATTCTTCTGTCACGGTTACGGTAACTCATACACAGTCTGAGTTAAGGCTCCCTGAAATCTGGGAGAAGTCTTTGGATTCCACGCAGTGGCTGGGGTTCCTATGGGGTGTTGTCTGTCCTGTGTGTGGAGCCAGGACTGGGTGGCCAGTCTCAATAGCTTTCATTTTCTGTGCCCACCCTGCTGTAAAAGGCTGCCTTACATGTAGTCATGGACATCCACAAGAGGAAGGGGATATGGAGTCAATTGCTTGATGTTAGCTCTCTCAATGTCCATTCCGGTTGCTTTCTAGCTAAATTCTGAGCTGAAGATTATGGAGAGCAAAATTCCATTTTTTTTTTTGAAACAGGGTCTCACTGTTGTCCAGGCTGGAATGCAGTGACACAATCTTGGCTCACTGCAGCCTTGACCTCCTGGGTTCAAGTGATCCTCCCACCTCAGCCTCCCAAGTAGCTGCGACTACAGGCACATGCCACCCTGCCTAGCTAATTTTTGTATTTTTTATAGAGATGGGGTTTTGCCATTTTGCCCAGGCCGGTCTCAAACTCCCTTTCTGCTTAAACTGGCTTGAGTGAATTCTGTTGTCTGCAACTAAAAACACTAATCCACATAAGATCCTTGGTTTTATTTACTGATGCTTTAGTCACTTGCCATTTTCTACTGAATTCTCCTTTTCTCCTCATTAGGATCCCTATGTCAATGCTCTATCCCTGCCTCTAGCAATCCATCTACCTCAGCCTCTCAAGATGCTGGGGATACAGGAATGAGCCACTGTGCCCGGCCTACAGGTGATTTCTTGTGTCCTCTCCAGCTAGGGGTGCACATACGTAACATGGTTCTGGTTCTCCCCAGAGGATGACTTCCAGGAGTCTCAGAGCTAGAAGTAACCAGTGTGATACAGCAGCCATATATAGGCAGGGGGGAATGAGTTCTTTTGGCAAACACACGGGCAGACACAGCTGATTCTTCTGCGTTAACTCTGGCAGAATCTCCAGCATCCAGTCCCTAATTTCGCAGGTGCCAAAGAGTGGGAAGCAGCAGCATTAGTGCTTGCACTAGAATCATCAGGCAGTGGTTTGCAAACTTCACTGTACATCAGAATCACCTGGAAAGCTTATTAAAACACAGATTGCTGGGCCTCAACTCCATAGTTTCTCCTTCAGTAGGTCTGAGGAGTGGCCTGAGAATTCCCACTTCTATGAAGTTCGCAGGTGATGCTGATGCTACTGGTTGGGGGACACACTTTGGAAACCACTCTTTAAAAGTGTGGTTCATTTCTTGTGGCTGCTCTATCTGTGGCTGCATTGTTCCTATGTATAACTTCCAAGGTTGTGTGGCTTTCCTGGGGATTCTGTGAATCCAGTAATACCCATTGGTAAACCCCTTTCTGCTTAAACTAGCTTGAGTGAATTCTGTTGTCTGCAACTAAGAACACTGATCCACATAAGATCCTTGGTTTTATTTACTGATGCTCTAGTCACTTGCCATTTTCTACTGAATTCTCCTTTTCTCCTCATTAGGATCCCTATGTCAATGCTCTGTCCCTGCCTCTAGTTCTTAGACGAGTCATATGACTCATGCTGACACAAACCCTGTCCTACCAGAAGTTGTTCTACTTCCCAATCATATCTAAGTAACTCCCTCTCATTCTGCAACATTTCCAATCTCCCCACCTTCTTCAAAAATAATCCATGAATCCTCACTGAACAACAGGTCTGGGGTCTATTGCCGTAAAGGCAAAAATATTCTGATTTTAGCACTGAAGTAGCACCACAGAAGAATAAGTGAAAAAAGTATTTTTATCTACTAAAAGTAAAAAAAAAGTCAGGTGCCAGATGCTTGCTTCAAAGCCATTTTTAAAGATTTGATCCTTTCTTTTTCCTTTTTTGGTAAAATATCTTACTGTGAAATTTACTATTTTTTATTTGTATTTATTTATTTTTTTGAGACAGAGTTTCACTCTTGTCACCCAGGCTGGAATGCAATGGCACAATCTCGGCCCACTGCAACCTCTGCCTCCCGGGTTCAAGCAATTCTCCTGCCACAGCCTCCCAAGTGTCTGGGATTACAGGTGCCCACCACCACGCCTGGCTACTTTTTTTTTTGTATTTTTAGTAGAGATGGGGTTTCCCCATGTTGGCCAGGCTGGTCTTGAACTCCTGACCTCAGGTGATCCACCCACCTCAGCCTCCCAGAGTGCTGGGATTACAGGCGTGAGCCACCGCACCTGGCCTTAATGTGAAATTTAAAACTAAAATGACCTAAAGGAGCCCTCTCTGAAGGGTATGAGAGATTGTAAGGGTATGTAAGATTGATAAAATGGCATCTTGCTAGACACGTCTATTTAAAAATTGGTTAAAAGATATTATTTACCCAATGAACCATGAGAGCTCAAAAAAAAAAAAAAAAAAACCAAACACAATAACAGTCCCTCAGGTAAATGCTCCTTCAGACAGTTTTTTAAATGTGTATCATTTACTTGATAAAGCATAGCAGCCTATCAAGAGAGGAGTTATGGTCTGCTGCATAAATAGGCATTTGGACAGCTTTAAAAATGCATACTCTTTACATCCAAATGCCGAGTGAAAACCCCAATGGCAAGTGGTTGTTATAGGCAAAGAGCAACCACTTTTTTTTTTTTTGAGACAGAGTCTGACTCTGTCACCCAGGCTGGAGTGCAGTGGCACAATCTCGGCTCACTGCAACCTCCACCTCCTGGGTCAAGCAATTCTCCTGCCTCAATCTCCCGAGTAGCTGGGATTGCAGGTGTGTGCCACCATGCCTGGCTAATTTTTGTATTTTTACTAGAGATGGGGTTTCACCATGTTGGCCAGACCGCCCACCTTGGCCTCCCAGAGTGTTGGGATTGCAGGCGTGAGCCGCCGCGCACAGTCAGGGGCAACCACTTTTCAAAACTGATGGGCGATCTGGCCACATTGTGTCTTTAAAGCTCTTCTTCTTCAAGATCTGCACAAACATCTACTTATTTACTTATTTAAATGATCACTCTGGGCCTGGGTGGAGGGTGGGCCCCTCCCAGAGCTCAGGCTGGCTCAGGGTTCCCAGCCTTGTCTGCTCATCAGAATCACCTGCTGAGCCTTCCCAGGCCCCACCTCAGAGGGGCTGGAACACTGATTGCTTTAAAGCCCCTGAGGTGATTCTGATGTGTAGTTAGGTTTGAGGACCCCCAGGCTAGATGCAGAATCTGAAGCCCAGAAAGGTAGAGTGACTTGTCCCAGATCACACAGTTTAAGCCTCGGGGAGAAGTCAGGTGTCTGGATCCTGATTTTCCATTCCTACGGCTGCTCCACGTTCTCTCCTTTCCTTTCAGAGTTGCCTTTTTAATTTTAATATGATTTCATTCCTTCTTTCACTGCATCTATATTTAAAGTATGTTAATAGTGTACAGTAGCTATGCAATGAAATTACCAAGCATTTAGAAAATACAAAGGAAAACAACATATTTCCATTCCCCAAACACCAGTTCAATTAGTACTATTTTAATATTCCTTGAGATCCTGTTTTCTACTTCTACATATAAAATTTTCTCCATTTATAAATATGAGTTTATATGTTTGCATATTTAAAATGTTTATTTTAATATTATTTTTTAGAGACAGGATCTTGCTCTGTCACCCACACTGGAATGCAGTGGGGTGATCATGGCTCACTACAGCCTCAACCTCGTTGTCTCAAGGGCTCCTCCCACCTCAGCCCCTTGAGTAGCTGGGACCACAAGTATATGCCATCATGCCCACCTAATTAAGATACAATTTTTAAATTTCATTCATTTATTTTATGTTTTGAGATGGAGTCTCGCTCTGTCATCCAGGCTGGAGTGCAGTGGCGCAATCTTGGCTCACTGCAAACTCTGCCTCCTGGGTTCAACCGATTCTTCTGCCTCAGCCTCCCAAGTAGCTGGGACTACAGGCACGTGCCACCACACCTGGCTAATTTTTGTATTTTTAGTAGAGACAGGGTTTCACCATGTTGGCCAGGCTGGTCTCAAACTCCTGACCTCGTGATCTGCCCGCCTCAGCCTCCCAAAGTGCTGGGATTACAGGCTTGAGCCACCGCACCTGGCCTATTTATTTATTTATTTATTTATTTATTTATTTTGGAGAGATGAGGTCTTGCTGTGTTGCCCAGACTAGTCTTAAACTCCTGGGCTCAAGTGATGCATATTTTAAAATTTTATAATCCAGCTGTTCCACCTTACTATAAAGTCTCTATTGATTTTATATTACTTTTAAAAGTAACATAAGTTCACTGAAAATTTCAAGGAAATATATACAAAATAAAAAATGGGGCCCAGCGTGGTGGCTCACGCCTGTAATCCCAGCACTTTGGGAGGCTGAGGCGGGCAGATGGAGGTCAGGAGTTTGAGACCAGGATGGTCAACATGGCGAAACCCCATCTCCACAACAAATACAAAAATTAGCTGGGTGTGGTGGTGCACACCTCTAATTCCAGCTACTCTGGAGTCTGAGGCAGGAGAATCGCTTGAATCCGGGAGGCAGAAGTTGCAGTGAGCCAAGATCTCACCATTGTACTCCAGCCTGGATGACAAAGAGTGAACACCACCTCAAAAAGAAGATGGAAGGCCCTAAACTCTATCCATCCCAGTTTCTTTTATTTATTTTTATTAACTTATTTTTTTTTTGAGATGGAGTCTCGCTCTGTCGCCCAGGCTGGACTGCAGTGGCGTGATCTCTGCTCACTCCAAGTTCCGCCTCCCGGGTTCACGCCATTCTCCTGCCTCAGCCTCCCGAGTAGCTGGGACTACAGGTGCCCACCACCACGCCCGGATAATTTTTTGTATTTTTAGTAGAGATGGGGTTTCACCATGTTAGCCAGGATGGTCTCGATCTCCTGACCTCGTGATCCGCCCGCCTCGGCCTCCCAAAGTGCTGGGATTACAGGCGTGAGCCACTGCGCCCGGCCCATCGCAGTTTCTAGAGGAAATCTTTTCTATGCATTTTCTGAAATGGGATTATATGACGGGTGCAGTTCTGTAATTTGTTCTTTGTTTCTTTTTTTACGTAAAAGAATGCCTTGGTCATCTTTCCATGTCAGTGTATACTGATCTACCTCATTCATAGTATCCCATTGAATGGATATTCCATAATTCAGTTAACTGATCTCTCATGAGACATTTAAGAGCCTTTTCTATAAAAAACAAATAGGCTGGGCGCAGTGGCTCATGCCTGTAATCCCAGCGCTTTCGGAGGCCAAGGAGGGTGGATCACCTGAGGTCGGGAGTTCAAGACCAGCCTGGCCAACATGGTGAAACCCCGTCTCTACTAAAAATACAAAATTAGCTGGACATGGTGGTGCATGCCCGTAATCCAAGCTACTCGGGAGGCTGAGGCAGGAGAATCGCTTGAACCTAGGAGGCAGAGGTTGCAGTGGGCCAAGATCACGCCATTGCACTCCAGCCTGGGCAACAGAGTGAGACTCCATCTCCAAAAAACAAGCAAACAAACAAACATACGAACAACCAACCAACCAAGTAAACCTCTGGGCTTTCTAGCTCAGGCTACTATCTGGTCCCTGCTGCCCTTCCGAGGGGCACCTCCCCCATGCCAGTGTCCTAGTGCACGTACTGTGCTCTGAAGACAGAGGACTGGGGAGGAATTCTGTCATTGCCTCCCAGACATGTGGTTTACAAAAAAAGAAAAGCCCAAAAGGAGTGACACTGATAATTCACCTCATATCCAAGGCAACTCAAAGAACAGGGAGGCCAAGCCCAGGATGTGCCTGATCGAAATGTGCTTTTAGAAATCTCCAAAGCTGTCATAATTCAAGGACTTCAGGTCTCCTGTGCAGACAAATCTTTGTTTCTCTGGTCCCTTCTCCTGCTGCCAGCTCAGGGATGGGAGACAAAATGTAAATAGAGCTATTCAGCTACAGCAACACAGGTGTTTCGTTTTGTTTTGTTTTGAGACAGAGTCTCACTCTGTTGCCCAGCCTGGAGTGCAGTGGCCTGATCTCAGCTCACCGCAAGCTCCGCCTCCCGGGTTCACGCCATTCTCCTGCCTCAGCCTCCCGAGTAGCTGGGACTACAGGCACCCGCCACCGCGCCCGGCTAATTTTTTATATTTTTAGTAGAGACGGGGTTTCACCGTGTTAGCCAGGATGGTCTCGATCTCCTGACCTCGTGATCCACCCGCCTCGGCCTCCCAAAGTGCTGGGATTACAGGCGTGAGCCACCGCGCCCGGCCTCATTTTGTTTTCAAACATCAAAGAAGCAAATGAAGTGGAAACACATTGCCAAATGAGTAAATTTTACAGAGAGCAATTTAGCAATATATCAAGAGCCTTAAATATGCTCTTGAACTTTGGACCCAGAGATGCTATCTTAGGGAAACTAGCCTCAGAAAACAATTTGTGCAGAAACATTAAGAGCCCAAGCCCTGGAGACAACTGCCAGGGTATGAATCTTGAATTCACTGTTGTCTAGCGTGTGGCTCTGGACAGGTTATCCCCCGCCGCCTGTTTCCTCATCTCTAAAGTGAGAATAATACCTGTACCTCCTCACTGGGCTGCTTTAAAGATTGAGTGAATTGACTGACACCAGCCATTTAGAAAAGAGCCTAGAAGGCTTTGTAAAAGTTAGCTATTATCACTTGTAATAGCAAACGTTGATGGGGAATTGGTAAAATAAATGACGGGATATTATGGGGCCATGAAACATCACCATGGAAAATTATTAGATATCTCTGGCCTGTAAAGATTATGGGCATTTTTAATATTTTACAAATTTTATAAACTTTTCTATCATAAGTATCAATTACTTCTATAATCAGGAATTGTTTTTAATAAAGAAGCATCTTAGGGTATATATGTACAGTCAGCTGTCCATATCTGTGGGTACCCTCATCAGTGGATTCGACCAACAGCAGATGGAAAATATTTGGGGCAAAAAATGGATGGTTGATTCTGTACCTAAAATGTACAGATTTTTTTTTCTGTTACTATTCCTTTCCAATACAGTATAACAACTATTTACATAGCATTTACATTGTTTTAGGTATTATAAGTAATCCAGAGATGATTTAAGGTACATGGAAGAGTCTATGTAAATTATACGCAAACATTACGCCATGGAACTTGAGCATCTGTGGATTTTGGTATCTGAAAGGTGTCCCGGGCCGGGCACAGTGGCTCACGCCTGCAATCCCAGCACTTTGGGAGGCCGAGGCAGGAGGATCACTTGAGGTCAGGAGTTCAAGATGAGCCTGGCCAACATGGTGAAACCCCGTCTCTACTAAAAATTAAAAAAAAAAATTAGCTGGGCGTGGTGGCGCACATCTGTAATCCCAGCTACTGGGGAGGCTGAGGCAGGAGAATCACTTGAACCTGGGAGGTGGAGGTTTCAGGGAGCTGAGATCACGCTGCAGCACTCCAGCCTGGGCGACAGAGTGATACTCCACCTCAAAAAAAAAAAAAAGAAAGGGGTCCTGGAACCCATCCCCCGTGGAGACCGAGGGACGATTGTGCTGCACCCTCCATGGTAATGCTTTTCTTCCACATCAGTGCTCCCTCAATGCAGTTTCCTGCTCTCTGGGTATCTCCAGACGTGTGGCCCTTCTCCCATCACAACTGTCCCACTCTTCACTTCCCTCCTCTCCTCCCCCTTACATGGCCTCCTCTCAGCACGGGATTCTGTGAACTCAAGCTCAACTGTAAAAAGGCATAAAGCATTATGCTTGCCACAAGAATGTACGTTTTACCAGGAAACAAAGGATGAAATTCCTAAGAGTGGCATTTTGGGCAACACCAAGACAATGGAGGAAGCTGTGGAATAAGCAGGAAGGAAAATGGCTTCCTGATGCTCCTGAAATCAAAGCCTGTTAATTCATTCGGTTGAGTTATTCATTCTGGCTCAGCTCAAAACCACTGACAGCTCAAAGTAAGAAAAACCTTATTTCCTAAGAGGTACAAAACTTGCTAAAATAAACATGAATGTTGGGAGGCCAAGGAGGGCGGATCACTTGAGGTCACGAGTTTGAGATCAGCATAACCAACATGGTGAAACCCGCCTCTCTACTAAAATACAAAAATTAGCTGGGCATAATGGCGCGCACCTATAATCCCAGATACTTTGGAAGCTGAGGCAGGAGAATCACTTGAACTCGGGAGGTGGAGGTCGCAGTGAGCTCAGATCTCGCCACTGCATTCTAGCCTGAGTGATGGAGTGAGACTCCATCTCAAAAAAACAACAACAAAAAATGAACATGAATGAAGAAGCCAAGTGAGAGGCAGGGTGGAAGAGGGTTGGAGAAAGAGCTAGTTCACCCAGGAGAGTTTTATTATTTGTAATATCAGATAGGGTTTAAATGAGCCTTTAGGGTGTCAAAAAGGAGTCTCGGGGGAATATGCCAATTCCTTAGTGAGGGCAAGAAAAACAACAATGACCTCTAAGAACTAGACATGCCTGGCTTGCTGCCCGCTACGGGTAGAAGGAGGAAAAGGATGAACGCCCTTTTGAGTTCAGAGGGCACTGTCCTGGGAAAAGGAAATGATTAGAATTTACATCTGAGCCCAGGTTTGTAACAAAGAAATTGCTTCATAATTTAAAAATTATTCATCCCTGCTTATGCTGTGGCCTCATCCCAGGAAGTAGCAAGTCAACTGTATCCAATGAGGGATTAAAGATAATAAATAAAAGAGTAGCAATTAATTGTGCATCCTGATTTAAGAGGCTGGGTTGCCTGAGTCATGCTTGTGTGGCTTATCAAATTTAGCTCTATTACGACTGTCTTGTATTTCAACTGATGTCTGTGCTCACATCTGAAGGCACTTGTACCACAAGGCGCTTTCAAATAGAAAAGAATTTAAACATATAGATTGTTATAGGATTCTATCATTCTTACAGCACGAGCCAAAAGTGTTGGAAATGGCAGTTTAATGAGTCATGCAAAGCGGCTCAGTATTCAAAGTCAGTGATTCAATTACGTTTCCCCCTCCAAAGGCCATTGGCGGCAGAGCGATAAAGTTGTTTTTGAAATGCCTTGGTTCTGACTTGCCTTTTTGTAATTCTTGCCCGTTTTCTTGCACTTTAAAAAGCAAAGGCATCCCAGTGGCCCAAACCCCAGGTCACCTGATAATCAGAATCATTATCAGAGCCAAACAAGAAAAATAAATGCATCGTAACGGTGAGGGGATTGGCAAGAGGGGACTTTAAATGCAGTGCCCACAATGAATCCACCCCTTCCTGTACACTTCTTGCCAGAGCAGAACTGGGAGGTGAGTGTGGGAAAGGGCTCTTGCTGAAATGTGGGGACAAATGTGCTCCTCTCTGGCCCTGTCAGCGTCCTTGGCCCAAGACCTTTGAAGGTGCCCTCGACAGCCCCAACAGGTAAAGATTTCTCTGCTTGAATGCCAAATCGCATTTTAACAGTGCACTAATTCTTTCATTTGCTGCCCTACATGTTTTTATCCTCAGGCCATAATTTTACCTGCCAACTCAGGTAAATAGCCTTTAATAGGACAAAGGCTTTAAAAGGTTATACTGTACTGGATTTTGTGCTGAGACTGTGTACTTTCACTGCTGAGTCCTCAGAAGAGAGATTTTGTCATCTAAACCAAGTGTGAGTCGCCCCAAAAGGCCCCCTTCTTGTAGCGCTTTGGGAAGGGAAGGGTGGCTCTATCGCCCATCAGACGGCTTGGCCACTGCTCCTTCAGAAAATGCTTTCCTCCCCTTGGTGTGAGTGAGCCGGGAGGCTGGAGACTGTCCCCACTGTGTCCACTCGTCATCTTCCTCCATAACATCACTGCACACTGTTATGCATGAATATTAGACCTGATGGGCTGGAGACAGCTAAAGGAAATCACAACTTAGAAGAGAAGAATTTAAAATTGAACAGGAACGTGACTTTTCCCCTATACAAAGGTATAGCTCTCAAAAAAGAAAAGGAACAAAATGTAAAATAACTGCCATGTATTATACCACCTAGAAATCAAAGAAAAACATGAAAACCTGCGCAAAATACAAAGAATTTATCAAGATGCTTACATTCAGTTCCTAGCTCCTCCCTCCAACAGCATTAATATGGGGTAGCATAATTTGTCGATAACACACCATAGTTGGGCAAAGCCAGACCATTCAGAGTCTCCAGAAACCACATGGGCTTTAATTTGAATTTTGTGAAATCTTTGTAATTTGTAGTTTGGCAATTTGTGGCACTCAAGCCCACAGCCACAAATTGGCTTCAGATGAATATCACCTATTGATGGGCTTTATTTCTTCTATATTTTCCAAGACACAGTCACATATTTTTGGACTCTCTAATTCATTAGCTATCTAGCAGGCACAGATATTATATTAGCTTGCTAGGGTTTCGTACAAACTGGGTGGCTTACACAACAGAAACTTGCTGTCTCACAGTTCCAGAGGCTAGAAGTCCAAGATGAAGGTGTCAGCAGGGTTGGTTCCTTGTGAGATGTAAGGAAAGGATCTATTCCGGGCCACTCTCCTGGGTTCTGATGTCTGCTGGCACTCTTTGCTGTTCCTTGGCTTGCAGAAGCATCACCCTCATCTTTGCTTTCATCTTCATGTGTTCTCCCTGTGCGCATGTCTGTGTCCAAACTATTTCCTTATTTTGCTTTGTTGTTGTTGTTTTTGATTTTTGTTTTTGCTTTTTTGAGACGGAGCCTCGCTCTGTCACCAAGGCTGGAAGTGCAGTGGTGTGATCTCGGCTCACTGCAATCTCCACCTCCCAGGTTCAAGAGATTCTTATGCCTCAACCTCCTGAGTAGCTGGGACTACAGGCAACCGCCACCACGCCTGGCTATTTTTTTTGTATTTTTAGTAGAGATGGGGTTTCACCAGGTTGGCCAGGCTGGTCTTGAACTCCTGACCTCAGATGATCTGCCTGCCTCAGCCTCCCAAAGTGCTGGAATTACAGGCGTGAGCCACTGTGCCTGGCCTACATATTGCCACTCAGGGATATTTGTTAAGAGGACATGCTTTTCACGGGGAAAATGGTTAAGTAAATTATTATCCACTTGATGGAATTGTATGTATTGATTTTAAATGATGGCTTTGAGCTCTATGTAATGACATGGAGAAAGTGTATTAATAATGTCAAAGAGAAAAAGGCAGAAGGATAAATGTGTTCTTACAAACTCATATACAATGATTAACAGTTATAATAAAGTCCCACACCTTTGTCCAGGCCTGCATGATTCAGCCCTCTGTCCAGCTCTCTGACCACATCTCCTCCCTCTCTCCTGGTCTCTTGCTGTGCTCCAGCTACTCAGGACCTCTTTTGGTGCCTCATACACACCCAGCTTGTTTGCACCCTGGGATCTCTGCACAGCTCTTCCCTCTGCCTGGAATGCCCTTCTCCCTCTCTTCACATGCTACATCCTTCCTAGCAATTCAAGTCAAGTGTGGCTCAACATCATGCCCTCATGAGGCTTTCCCTGAAAGCCCGATCTAAAGAAGAGAACACAAGCCTCCTTATCACCTTGTTCAATTTTCTTCTCCGGTGAATGTGAAATTATCCTTATTTCAGCTTATTCATTCATTTTCTTGTTTACTTTATGACAACAGGAGCTTTGCCAATTGTTTGCTATTAGATCCCCATATCCCAGAATAACATTTGGTCAGTTACTATCTGTTCCATGAATAAATGAAAATATGTGGCCGGGTGCGGTGGCTTACGCCTGTAATCCCAGCACTTTGGGAGGCCGAGGCAAGTGGATCACTTGAGGTCAGGAGTTGGAGACCAGCCTGCCAACATGGTGAAACCCTGTCTCTACTAAAACACAAAAAATTAGCCGGGCATGGTGGCAGGCACCTGTAATCCCAGCTACTCGGGAGGCTGAGGCAGGAGAATTGCTTGAACCTGGGAGGCAGAGGTTGCAGTGAGCCAAGATCACGCCACTGCACTCCAGCCTGGGCAACAAATCGAGACAAAATCTCAAAACAAACAAAAAAAAAAAAAAGAAGAAAAGAAAAAGAAAATATGCAAAGGAAAAGAAAGGCAATAGCTGCTCCAAATAAGACATGTTTTAGACAAATGCTCATGTGTATGGGCAAAACACTCAAGGACTGTATTTGTGACTAACTGTATAACAGGTAATTTTAGTTTCTGCTCTGTGGAAAGTGAAGAGCATTCCAACAAAGGGTTTTAATGTAGTTTTTTTTTTTTTTTGCACCCATGCTGTTGATTGCTAAATGTAATACTCTGATGATGATGCTGAATAAATGTCTTTTTGAAAAATGTGCTGTGTAAAGTTAGTCTATTCTGAAGCCATCTTGGTAAATTTCCCCAACAGTGTGAAGTTAGAATTCCTTCAGGGTGATGACAGGTTCTATTCGGAATTTATTTACAACGCGCTTGGGTGGAGATGCCATTGTCTTCAGAAATCTTGGTGTAGTGGATCTGATAGTTACTGTTGTGACCTGAAGTTCACCATTAAAAGGGATCAAGCAAAATCATGTGGTTATAAAAATGGTTGTTAGCACATCCTATGCAATGTATCTAAATTGAATAATGCTACCAGATAAAATTATAGATTGGAATGAAGCTTGTATCATCTATTATCATGTGTAATCAATAAGTGATTTAATTTTCTTAAAAAAAGAAAAAGGAAGGCAATACCTCAAATCGCTAGCATTTTCTACAAAGATACCTGAGTTAAGATTGTTTTTTTCTCTTTCTTAATATTTTTATATGCTTTCTATAATATTATTTCCCTCCCTCCCTTCCTTTTTCTTTTTTTTTTTTTTTTGACAGCATCTCACTCTGTTGCCTAGGCTGGAGTGCAGTGGGGTGATCTTGGCTCGCTGCAACATCCGCCTCCTGGGCTCAATCTGTTCTCCTACCTCAGCCTCCCAAGTAGCTGGGATTACAAGTGTAAGCCACCATGACAAGCTTGGGAGTATTTTAATTTTTAATCTACTTTCTAGAAAACAATATAACGAAAATTGGGTTTAGATGGTTCACCTCAACGTGAATCAGTCTTTCTTTAAATATGGTACTATGGTCTGAATGTCCTGCAAAATTCATGTGTTCAAACTTAATCACCAATATGATGTATTAAGAGGTGGCCTTAGGCCGGGCACGGTGGCTCACACTTGTAATCCCAGCACTTTGGGAGGCCAAGGCCGGCGGATTATCTGAGGACAGGAGTTCGAGACCAGCCTGGCTAACATGGTGAAACCCCATTTCTACTAAACATACAAAAAAATTAGCCAGGCATGGTGGCACATGCCTGTAATCCCAGCTACTCGGGAGGCTGAGGCTGGAGAATCACTTGAACCTGGGAGGCAGAGGTTGCAGTGAGCCGAGATTGCCCCATTGCACTCTGGCTTGAGGAACAAGAGTGAAACTCCATCACAAAAAAAAAAAAAAAAAGAGGTGAAGAGGTGGCCTTAGCACCTCGGGCATAGTGGCTCATGGCTGTAAATTACCCAGTCTGTGATATTTCGTTACAGCAGCACACATGGACTAAGACAATGGGCTCATACTTGCAAAGCAGTCAACCTTCTTTCTGGAGAGGTGCTTAGTTATTATATCAATTGTAAATAGTTTGCTTTGATCTAAAGGCAAATCTAATTGCATTAAATAAAGATCATATAAAACTGCTAACAACAGTGTTGGTGAAATGGGCAGCTTAAGGAAGGGAAGAAGAAAAAAAGAAATTCACCAAATCCAAAACAAAAAAAAACCCAAAAACCAAAACAAAAAAACGACAAATGGAACTCCAAATGAATGGGGTATTTATGCCACCTACTGGATTCTTGTTGCACTGCTTAGTTGTGCCCTAATTTCCAGGGTTCTTTCTTGTCCTCTGACAATCCACAAATCTACCAGTCTTTTTAATACCCAACTGGACTTCCTTCCTTCCTTAAAGTTCCAGAACTGTTAATTGATGTGTACTGGGCACATCTGCAAATCAACTCATTCTGCAAGTCCTTGCTCAAGGCTCCTCCTCTGCAAAACCCTACCTGACCCACTGAGGTGCAGGATCAACCCCTCCTTCGGCCAAGTCTTTCTCCTCAGTTGCCAGCTCACCTAACCTTGTGTCGTGAGGGCTGGTGTGTCTGTCTCCCGCTTAGCGTGTAAGTACCTAAGGGCACATTGCTTCTTCCTACCTGCTTTGTACCTGGAGTGTCATAAGGATGGTGTTAATTCAGTCAGACCTTGTTCAAGTGCTACAATTAATTCTATCCTCACAATCCTATGAGTAGAGATTATCATGCCTGTTTCACAGATAAGGAAACCAAGGCACAGAAGGGTTAAGGAACTTCACCAAAGTCACCAAGGTAGAAATGGCAGGGCAGTCTTCAGGCCAGGCAGTCCAGCTCCCTGTGTCCTTCGTTGCTATGCTCCCAGCCACTTGATGAAAACTGAGGTATCCTCTGTGTTTCATTTATGAAACTGGCCCTGTGTTCACCTGTCACAGACGGCCACCATCCTAGGCTGTAGCGCTGCCCTCCAGGTCCCCTGTGCCCTCTTCTCCACTCTGCTCTGTGTCCCAAAATCTGGCCTCTATGGACTGCATCAACAGGCCCCTTGTCCTCTAGCTTTAGTTTGCGTGTGGTCATAAAAGGTACCCTTAAAAGTAGGAGGGTAGGACAAGGGCAAGGAAGGAGTCTTTCTTTCCCTGGTTTTCTCCCTGCTGGGTGACCAGAGGTTGGCTGCAGGTCTCTGCTGAAGCCAAGGCCTCTGCCAGATGGCATTCTCCAAAGCTTCAGCCCCTTTCTTGGGTTCCTAGGACTATTCCTTGTCCCTTCAGGTGTCGGATGGTGGTGGCTCCCTTTGTTGCCATCCCCAGGGAGGCCTGTTGCTATCCCATGTTGGTTTCCCTTAACCTTCCTCAAACTTCTGTAAATTATCTCTTTATTAAATTCTCCTCCATTCCCCACCTAAGGGTACCACCCTCCTCCTGTCAGTAGCCTAACTCACATAGCCTCCAAATACTTTACCCACCTGCTGAAATTCCTCCCCCCTGCTCAAATCCCACCACTCAGTTTTTGGGAGTTACAGATATCCTTTGCTGAAAGGCAAATGCTAGGAATCCCAAGCCAATAATAACTATTTATCAGATTGCTTTCCAACCCTGATTCAGGAGGAATAAGTTTTATACTGGGTAATAGGAACAAGGGAGCAGGCCAGGAGTGGAAGAGAAGGGGAATGAGAGGTGAGATGGCCCCAAGGACAAAATTCGCATAGATACTAAGAACACTTCCAGAGGATGCTATCCTCTGCAGTGGCTGCAGCCTGGGAGCTGTGTGGGGAACAGAGATGAGTACGATTCACAGCTCTGCTACTTAAAAGTTGACAGCTGTTAACTTCTCAGAGCCTCTCTTAATTTATAAAAGGTGAACAACAGTAGTATATGCTTCATAGGGTTGTTCTGAGGATTAAACAAATAATGCAGGCAAAATGCTTACTGCAGTGACCATCCAAGCCAACATGGTGAAACCCTGTCTCTACTAAAAATACAAAAAAATTAGCTGGGCGTGGGCGTGGTGGCTTGTGCCTGTCGTCCCAGCTACTAGGGAGTCTGAGACAGAAGAATCGCTTGAACCGGGGAGCAGAGGTTGCAGTGAGCTGAGATTGTGCCACTGCACTCCAGCCTGGTGACAGAGAGATTCCGTCTCAAAAACAAACAAACAAACAAAATAACCATCACAATGACCATTTAGTTCCCATTTAGTACAATCCTTTACAGGTTATAAGATAATGCTGCTCTGCAACGTGTGTGTGTGTGTGTGTGTGTGTGTGTGTGTGGTGTGTGTGTGTGGTGTGTGTGGTGTGTGTGGTGTGTGTGTGTGGTGTGTGTGGTGTGTGTGTGTGGTGTGTGTGTGTGGTGTGTGTGGTGTGTGTGTGTGGTGTGTGGTGTGTGTGTGTCTGGTGTGTGTGGTGTGTGTGGTGTGTGTGTGTGGTGTGTGTGTGTGGTGTGTGTGGTGTGTGTGTGTGGTGTGTGCGGTGTGTGGTGTGTGTGTGTGTGGTGTGTGCGGTGTGTGGTGTATGTGTGGTGTGTGTGTGTGTGTGTGGTGTGTGGTGTGTGTGGTGTGTGTGTGGTGTGTGGTGTGTGTGTGTGGTGTGTGTGTGGTGTGTGTGTGGTGTGTGTGTGGTGTGTGTGTGGTATGTGTGTGGTGTGTGGTGTGTGTGTGTGTGTGTTTTCTTTGTTTCTCCTTTAGGCCATGAATTCTCAGAAGCTAAAACTGGTTCTTGGGGGGCCAAGAAATCCTAGATATTACAATGGTGTGTAGCCCTCCAAAGTCAAATTCCACCTGACAAATTCTTCTTCTTTAATATTTCTCTCACTAGGGAGAAATTAAATTATATATATGTTATAATTTCCTATTATGGAACTTAATTTGTTTAACTTTAATTAGTCTAAATTTATTAAATTACCATAAATTTTCTCCTTAGAAAGTGTGTTATAGACCGAATGTTTGTATTCCCTCAAAATCCATATATTGAAATCCTAATCCTGGCCGGGGATGGTGGCTCACGCCTGTAATCCCAGCACTTTGGGAGGCCGAGGCAGGCGGATCACGAGGTCAGGAGTTCGAGACCAGCCTGACCAACATGATGAAACCCCGTCTCTACTAAAAATACAAAAGGTAGCCAGGCGTGGTGGTGCAAGCCTGTAATCCCAGCTACTCTGGAGGCTGAGGCAGGAGAATCGCTTAAACCTGGGAGGCGGAGGTTGCAGTGAGTCGAGTTCGCGCCACTGCACTCCAGCCTGGGCGACAGAGCAAGACTCCGTCTCAAAAAAAAAAAAAAAAAAAAAAAGAGACCCCAGAGAGCTCTCATTGTCTTCCTACCAGGTGAGGATAAAGAAGTCACCGGTCTGCAACCCAGAAGAGGTCTCTCACCTGAATCTCACTGTGCTAGACCCTCATATTGGATTTACAGTCTCCAAAATTGTAAGAAAATAAATGTCTATTGTTTAAACTATTCAATCTATGGCATTTTGTTACAGCAGCCTGAGCTAAGACAGAGTAAAAATTAATAATATCAAAAAACGTGAGAAACACTGCTTTAGGCCCTTTTGCAGAACATATTAGAACTATCTCTAGCAATAAAAGGAAAGGTGTCTCACGCCTGTAATCCCAGAACTTTGGGAGGCTGAGGCAGGAGGATTCCTTGAGCCTAGGAGTTTGAGATCAGCCTAGGCATGTAGTGAGACCACGCCTCTACAAAAAAATTTTTTTAATTAGCTGGGTATGGTGGTGTGCACTTGTAGCTGCAGCTATTCAGGAGGCTTAGATGGGAGGATCACTTGAGCCTAGGAAGTCGAGGCTGCAGTGAGCCACAGTTGCAGCACTGCACTCCAGCCTGGTCAACAGAGCAAGACCCTGTCTCTCAAAAATAAATAAATACACGCATAAAAATAAAGGGAAAGGTACGGCGCAGTGTTTTCATTGACTAGGTAGGTTTTTCAACTCTGTTTGCTGTTTCACCTTTAATTTTATGAATGATGAGAGGAGTTAGTGTTCGATTTAGCCAATCTTTAAAAAAATTGTGGCCATTAAATTGTAGTAACTCAATATTAAAAGTAATTTCCATAGAAATTTGTTTTGTTGTCAATAGCTGTAGCACTAACACTGCATTACTCAATTTCTGACAGCAAAACCAGCACACTCCACCCACAAGAACCTTATTACAGCTCTGATGAAACCAGTTATATTTATGATGATGACCTGCAGTTAAATCTACCGCTAGGACCTCTTCCTCCTGAGCCTCTGTCCTATTCAAAATGCCATTTATTTATTTCGAGAGACTGCTAGTCATTTCTGTTGGGCATCCAATAAGCTGCCAGGCTGCTGTCTAAAAGAAAACCACTTGTTTCTGGGGGCCTTTCAAAGTTTCCCTTTAAACACAAGCTACTTAAACAACCAGAGCACAACCTCCAGCTCCATGACTCTTTTTTTTTTTTTTCTTTCTTAGACAGAGTCTTGCACTGTTGCTGAGGCTGGAGTGCAGTGGAGTGATCTCAGCTCACTGCAACCTCCACTTCCCAGGTTCAAGCAATTCTCCGGCCTCAGTCTCCTAAGCAGAAGTAGCTGGGACTACAGGTGCACACCACCACACCCGGCTAGTTTTTGTATTTTATTAGAGACTGGATTTCACCATGTTGGCCAGGCTGGTTTCCAACTCCTGGCCTCAAGTGATCTGCCCGACTGAGCCTCTCAAAGTGCTGGAATCACAGGCATGAGGCACTGCGCCCAGCCTTATGACTCTTTAAAATATATGACCTGGGCAGGTAGCCAGGCACCTCAGAGCCTTGCTAACTTCATCCTGAAAGTGGAGATGATGATGCCCGGCTGCCCAGCTCAAGGAAAACAATCAGTGAGCCGCCACATGCCACCGCATGGCAGGTAATATTATAATGAATCAAAAGCTTCAGTATTTTCTGCATAAGTTTATGACTAATGAGAAACTGCACACAGGCTGTTCCTTCCACTGTTTGTTCTTCTGCATGCTATTGGCCTGACTAACCCGGCCCATCCTTCTGATCTCTGCATAGAGCTGCTTCCTCTGAGAAGCCTTTCTTGATGCTCCTTGATTTCCCTTCCCTACCAACCCCAGGTTATAGTCTTTCACCACGCTCTTTAATGGACTTGCATTCCTAACACGCTTCATAATCTGTACGTATACATCTCTTTCTGTGATTATCTGTAAAATGGAATGGAAGTACCACAGAGCCAGGCCCTCATTCCATGTTCCCAGCTATAGCCCTGTGTCCAGCACACGGCTTGGCACTCAGTGGGTGTTCAACAAATATTTTTACTAAGAGTTAGTAAACATGTCTGCCCCTTCTAAATCTCACCACCCACACATTTGAAGAGAAAATATGGAGTTTCTTTTCTCTTCCTAATTTTTCGAAAAGGACCCTTTTTTTTAAAAAAAAAAAAAAAAGAAAGAAAGAAAATCGAGGAAAGCAAGCTTAACCTCTGTTCACACATTGCCACATTTTCTTATCAAACTTCCAGAGACTTTATAAATGGAAAAGTGATACTCAAGAAACTGCCCTCCATATAATAATTTGCAAAAGTTGGGACTGGGTTCCCAGAAGCCCCTCCCTTTAATGAAATCACAGTGACCTGCTGCCTGACAATCTTGTCCCTTTCCCTAACCTACCAAGGACCTGCCTGGGCCTGACTTTTGAATCTCGTCCTTATCTTTCATTTCTTCCCTATTTTCCACTAAAGCTCCCCTGTCTTAGATGTGTCGTATCGGTTAAGGGAAGGAATCTGGCGTCAGTGCAAAATGAAAATATGATAAGCAAATATATTTTCATGGAATAATATGTTATCCCTTGGGAACAGCATGGATATTCATTCAATCATTATTTAGGATTAAGCAATCAATCTGTATACAATACAATGTTGGGTATTGAAGAAAATGTAAAGACATAAAAATGTGGTTTTTGGCAGATTTCCATTTCCAACAAAACAGCAAGGTAGATACTTTGAACCACTCCCCAAAACAAAAGACCTATACATTATGAATAAAATATCGTAAATATCCTATAAATACATGGTTGATCTCACAAGAAATGAAGGAAATCCCCAGAGGTCAAACACAAAGAAGCAGCTAAAAAACTGAAGGTAAGAGAATGGACACTTTGGATACCCTAGTGTGGGTTGCACCTGTTTTAGTGATGAAGGGACTTGGGTTTTAAGGGCCTCACAGGGCCAGGAGACAAGGCCTTTGGCTTCTCCTAAAAATGAGTTCGAATTGATAACCAACACAAAGCTGGGGCTTTCAAAGGGATACATCCTGAATGAAAGAGTGGACTAGAAAATCACACCCATTGGCCAAGAAGGATGATGAGGGACCTTGTCTGCCTAGGCCTTGGCTTTGGATGCATGGGACAAGATATGGGGAAGACATCTTCCATGAGACTTTGTAACCACAAACCTATCTTCACAGAGTTTTAGGGCTGGAACTACCTGTGAGGGCTGAGATATTAATGTCAAGAAGTGGTTATGGGCTGTTAACACCCTCAGGAGTAGCTGGCAGAAGCAAATGCAAAATTTTTCTGGAGGACCATCCCCTCAACCTAGATTTCCTTTCTCACAAATAAAGCTTCACAGACCATGAGCCCAGAAGCCCACATTTTAAAATGCATGCAAAAAGAAAACTTGATTCCAACCATCTTAGAGTTGGATAATCATTCAGAATCAATCAGAAAGAGTAGGCCTAGATTCACATTCAATGAAACGTTATGGGCCTGGCGTGGTGGCTCACACCTGTAATCTTAGCACTTTGGGAAGCCAAGGCGAGTGGATCACTTGAGGTCAGGAGTTCAACACCAGCCTGGTCAACATGGTAAAACCCCATCTCTACTAAAAATACAAAAATTAGCTGGGCATGGTGGCACATGCCTGCAATCCCAGAAACAAGGGAGCCTGAGGCTAAGCCACAAGAATCGCTTGAACCCAGGAGGCGAAGGTTGCAGTGAGCTGAGATTGTGCCACTGCACTCCAGCCTGGGCGACAGAGTGAGATTCTATCTCAAAAAAAAAAAAAAAAGAAAGAAAGAAAGAAAGAAAAGGAACGTTATGTTAAGATGAATTTTTCACCAAGGATTTTGCACTACTAACGCTTCATCCCAAAACATATAACTATCAAAGGTAGAAATTGTAGGTACCCTAGAGAGCTACGAAAAAAACTTTTGGCAGGGCGCGGTGGCTCACGCCTATAATCCCAGCACTTTGGGAGGTCAAGGCGGATAGATCAACCGAGGTCAGGAGTTCGAGACTAGCCTGGCCAACATGGCGAAACCCCATCTCTACTAAAAACAGAAAAAATTAGCCAGGTGTGGTGGTGGGTGCCTGTAATCCTAGCTACTTGGGAGGCTGAGACAAGAGAATCGCTTGAACCAGGGAGGCGGAGGTTGCAGTGAGACGAGATTGTGCCACTCACACCAGCCTGGGTGACAGAGCAACACTCTGCCTCAGAAAAAAAAAGAAAGAAAAAGAAAAAACTTTTATACAGGCAAGACCCAAAAATCACTTAAGACTTGTTGATCCCACAGCTAGCTCCCAGCAAGTAGCTGAGAATCAGGAGGCTTATACTCGTGCATTCAGATGAGGCTCACAGAATTCTGGAGCCAGAAATGTAAGTATTACCCACCATGGAGTGAGTATATCATCATGATTGAGCATACTTGCACTATCATTTCAGACTGCCTGGGTTACAACCCTTACTTCATCCCTTTACTTATCCTCTCAGTCCTCAGTTGCCCCATCTTTAACACAATGATAATAACAGTGCTTACTCCAGAGGTTGGGTATCATGATTAAGTGAGATTTGTTCATTTAAAGAGTTCAGCCAAGTGCCAGTTTAATAAATATTAGCCATTCTTATTCTCATTATAAACTGATTACCAGATTTAAATTATTTTTCATGAGATGTGCATTCAAATATTACCTCAAAAAGCATTCAGAAAGCTAGTTCTAAACCAACAACACATAGAAATGTCACCTCCTAGGGCCATGCTGGGCATGGTGGCTCATGCCTATAATCCCAGTGCTCTGGGAAGCCAAGAAGGGAGGATCACTTGAGGCCAGAAATTTAAGACCAGACTGGGCAACACAGTGAGACTCTAAGAAAAATAAAAATAATTAACTGGGCATGGTGCTGTGCACCTATAGTCCTAGCTACTCAAGACGCTAAGACAGGAGGATTCCTTAAGCCAAGGAGTTTGAGGCTGCAGTGAGCTGTAATCACAGCACTGTACTCCAGCCGGGGTGACAAAGACCCTGTCTCAAAAAAAAAAAGAAACAGCTCCTAAAGCAATCAATTTATCCTTTCCTCTCCAACTGTATATTCAGCAAAACCAGGTCTTCCTTTGGGTTAGGCAGAGTTCTTAGCTAGAATATTCAAAAACACAAGACATAATAGAAAATAATGGATAAATTAGACTTGATCAAAATTCAAAACTTTTATACTTCCAAAGAAACCATTAAGAAAATAAAAAGAGGCCAAGGGGCCCAGCACAGTGGCTCATGCCTATAATCTCAGCACTTTGGGAGGCCAAGACAGGAGGATTGCCTGAGCCCAAGAGTTCAAGATCAGCCTGGACAACAGAGCAAAATCTTATCTCAATAAAAATTTTTGTAAAAATTAGCCAGCCATGGTGCCACGCACCTGTAGTCCCAGCTACTCAGGAGGCTGAGGCAGGAGGATCACTTGAGCCCAGAAGGTCAAAGCAGCAGTGAGCCATGATCATGCCACTGCACTCCAGCCAAGGTGATAGAGTGAGACTCCCTCTCTCTCTAAAAAAAAAAAAAAAAGAGACAGAGAGAGTTATGGACATAAGACCTTTATCAGATACATGACTTGTGAATATTTTCTCCCAGTCTGTGGCTTGTCTTTTCATTTTCTATTCTTCTTTTTTTGAGATAGAGTCTTACTATGTTGCCCAGGCTGGAGTACAGTGGCATGATCTCAGCTGACTGCAACCTCCGCCTCCCGGGTTCAAGCAATTCTCCTGCCTTAGCCTCCCTAGTAACTGCGATTACAGACACATACCACCACGCCCAGCTAATTTTTTGTATTTTTAGTAGAGATGGGGTTTCACCATGTTGGCCAGGCTGGTTGGTCTCAAACTCCTGACCTCAAGTGATCTACCTGCCTCGGCCTCCCAAAGGGCTGGGATTACAGGTGTGAGCCACTGTGCCCGGCTCATTTCTTTTTTTTTTTTCTTTTGAGAGAGGGCCTCGCTCTGTTACCTAGGCTGGAGTGCAGTGGTGTGATCATGGCTGACTGCAGCTTTGACCTCCCGGGCTCAAGCAGTCCTCCTGCCTCAGCTTCCTGAGTAGCTGGGACCACAAGTGTGTTCCACCACCTGGCTAATTTTTTATTTTTAGTAGAGATGAGATCTCACTATGTTGCCCAGGCTGGTCTTGAAACTCCTGGGCTCAAGCAATCCTCTGGCCTCAGCCTCCCAAAGTGCTGGGATCACAGGCATGAGCCATTCTGGCCTACAATAAGAACTCTTAACACTCAGTAAGAAGAAGACAAACGATCTCATATTAAGATAGCAAATAATTTGAATAGATTACTAAAGAAGGTATAGGAATAATTAATAAGCACATAAAAGATGCTTAGCATCATTAATTAGCCTTAGGGAAACGCAAATTAAAAGCACAATGAGATATACTTTATACCCACTAGGATCACTATAATAAAAAATACAGACAATAATAAGTGTTGTGGAGGATGGAGAAAAACTAGACCCCTCATACATTGCTGGTGGGAATGTAAAATGGTGTAGCCACTTTTGTTTTTTTTTGTTTGTTTTTTTTGTTTTTAGACGGAATTTCGCTCTTGTCACCCAGGCTGGAGTGCAATGGCGGCATCTCAGCTCACTGCAACCTCCGCCTCCTAGGTTCAAGTGATTCTCCTGCCTCAGCCTCCCGAGTAGCTGAGATTACAGGCACCTGCCACCATGCCTAGCTAATTTGTGTATTTTTAGTAGAGACGGGGTTTCACCATGTTGGCCAGGCTGGTCTCGAACTGTTGACGTCAGGTGATCCGCCCACCTCAGCCTCCCAAAGTGCTAGGATTACAGGTGTGATCCAACATGCCCAGCCAGTGTAGCCACTTTGGAAAACAATTTAGCACTTTCTTAAAACGTTAAATATAAAATTACCCTATAACCTAGCAATTCCAATCCTAGGTATCTATCCAAGAGAAATGAAAACATAGGCCTTTACAAAGACTTATAGCAGCTTCATTCATCCACTACAAACATGGAAACAATGCAAATGTCCATCAACTGGTTAATAAATACACAAAATGTGGTATTCCACATCAGTATGGATGAACCACAAAACCATTATATTAGGTAAAAGAAGGCCAGTTCCAAAATCTCTATATTGTATCATTTCATTTTCATGAAATGTCCAAGAAAGACAAATCTTGGAGAGAGAAAGTAGATTAGTAGCTACCTTGGGCTGGTAGGAAGGATAGCCAATGACTGTAAATGGATAAGAGGAATCTCACTGGAGTGATGAAATGTTCTAAGACTGTGACTACGGAGATGTTTGCACAACTTGTACATTTACTAACAATCATCCAATTCTACACTTGAATCAGGTGAACTTTATGATTTATAATTATACTTTACAAAAGTTATTTTTAGGCTGGGTATATGGTAGCTCACACCTATAATCTCAGCACTGTAGGGGGCGAAGGTAGGTGGACTGCTTGAGGCCAGGAGTTTGAGACCAGCCTGGGCAACACAGTGAGACCCTATCTCTACACAAAAATTTAAAAATTAGCTAGGCATGGTGGTGTGCAGCTGTAGTCCCAGTTACTCAGGAGACTGAGGCGGGAGGATCCCTGGACCCTGGGGACATCGAGGTTACAGTGAGTTACGATAGTGCCACTACACTCCAGCTTGCGACACAGCGAGACCCTGTCTCTTCAAAAAGAAAAAAGGCCAGGCGCGGTGGCTCACGCCTGCAATCCCAGCATTTTGGGAGGCTGAGGCAGGTGGATCACGAGGTCAGGAGTTTGAGACCAGCCTGGCCAATATGGTGAAACCCTGTCTCTACTAAAAATACAAAAATTAACTGGGTGTCGTGGCGCATGCCTGTAGTCCCAGCTGCTTGGGAGGCTGAGGCAGGAGAATTGCTTGAACCTGGGAGGCAGAGGCTGCGGTGAGCCAAGATCACGCCATTGTACTCCAGCCTGGGCGACAGAGCGAGACTCCATCTCAAAAAATATATATATAAATAGGCTGAGCGTGGTGGCTGATGCCTGTAATCCCAGCACTTTGGGAGGCCGAGGCGGGTGGATCACGAGGTCAGGACTTCAAGACCAGCCTGGCCAAGATGGTGAAACCCTGTCTCTACAAAAAATTAGCCAGGTGTGGTGGCGGGTGCCCGTAATCCCAGCTACTCGGGAGGCTGAGGCAGATAATTACTTGAACCCGGGAGGCGGGGGTTGCAGTGAGCCGAGATGGCGCCACTGCACTCTAGCGTGGGCGACAGAGCGAGACTCCGTCTCAAAAAAAAAAAAAAAAAAAAATATATATATATATATATAGATAGATAGATAGATATAGATAGATATATATATCAAACAAAAAAATATACTCCTTGCTTTCCTTTTCTTTAATTTTTATAGATTCTGTTTTGCTAGAGTTAATGAAAAGGCTTTTCCCTCATAACCTCTGGCTAATTCTGTCCCATTCCAAGTGTTTATTTCTCTTACAAAAAAAAAAAACAAAAAAAAACCCTAAGGCTTATTTCCCCTTTTCTAGGTACCTACGCTTGGAAGTGCCAGCACTATTACGTTTCACTCTGAACAGGTGACCGCCTCCCTACCGACCCTTCTTCCCTGCCTCCTATCCTCCTTGCCTTGGCCCTTTTCTCCAGTTAGGAGGGGGCCTTTCTAGCTGGTTCCTCTATCCATGGCTTCCTGGTTCTTGACTGTTTGCCATGTGCCAGGCACTTGTGTTAGGCTCTTTTTTCACTTGTGGTGAATAAAGCACACCGGCTTTCGCAGGGCTTCAAGAAAAGGTAACAAATGCCAAGAGCCAATTTGCAGGTAGAAAAGGTAGAGGTGAAGATCGGGGACAGTGGTGGGGTAGTGTTTGTTTTTGCCTGCTTCTGGATTTCCTGAATAGAGCTGTGTGACCTCTCCCTCTCTGGGATTTATATGATCCTTTTCCAATTTTCCCTTCTTGAAGTGTCCTTTACTATCTATTTTCCCCGGTTTCCTGTTGGTTTCTTTCTTAGCCTGATGAATTATACTTTTAACTCCTATGCTTCCTCCTTCACCCACAACCAGCCCAAATTTAAATACTGAAAAGAAAAATAAATCACAGGCTAATGCTAACCTTTTATAGCTTTCAGCTTCTGCTACAGAATGATAAAGTGGGCTAAAATGTCATTTCTAATCCAGCTACAGAACCAGCAAATATTTTGAAGTCCCTGATGGGGCATAAGTGTAGATGCCTTACCCAGTAAATTACCTGGCAGGGGGTAGAATGTATCTTTTGCATTTTGTTTAGCAAAAGGATTGTTACCATTGTCCCATCTGCAGTGAGAATTTAGAGCACATTCAGAATTCTTTAATCTGGAAACTGGCCCTGGGATGTGCAACAGAGGGATTCCATCCGACTGGAGGAGAGCAGATTCTCTGCAGAGCAATGTGTTCGCTGTGCTAGCACAGTGCCTTCCTGCCAGAGTACACTGTGACTTGAACCTTTAGGAATGAAATATTGAGATACTAATTATGCAATTTGCAAAACCACTTAAGTTGCTTGCAAAAGAACCACGTTTGTTTTTTGTTTTTTCTTTGAGCAAAGACTTAAATTTAGCAAAAACAAAAAACATAATTGATGAGAAGGAGTAAGCGGAAGACTTCCGGTGTGCTGTAAACAGTCGGTATCATAATCTCAGTGGCAGTTATATGGATACATACAAATGTAAAAACTGATGGGGAGAACACTTAAGATTCTTGCACTTTATGTGTATTATACTTCTTTTTTTTTGAGATGGAGTCTCATTTTGTCGCCCAGGCTGGCGTACAGTGGTACAATCTCCACCTACTGGGTTCAAGTGATTCTCGTGCCTCAGCCTCCTGAGTAGCTGGGATTACAGGTGTATGCTACCTCACCCAGCTAATTTTGTATTTTTAGTAGAGACAGGCTTTCACCATGTTGGCCAGGCTGGTCTTGAACTCCTGACCTCAGGTGATTCGCCTGCCTCGGCCTCCCAAAGTGCTGGGATTACAGGTGTGAGCCACTGCTCCTGGCCTTATACTTCATTATAAAAATTTAAAAACGGATGGATGGTGGTGGTGGTTGTGCAACCACATGAATGTATTTAATGCCACTGAACTGTACATTTTAAAAAAGGTTAAAGTGGAACATTTTATGTATATTTTACCATGATAAAAAATTGAAAGACACATACTTAATTGAGTACAGCTCACTATCATATATTAAGGGATGCTACTGGTCGGGTGCAGTGGCTCATGCCTGTAATCCCAACACTTTGGGAGGCTGAGGCAGGTAGGCTTCTTGAGCTGAGGGGTTTGAGACCAGCTTACGCAACATGGCAAAACCCTGTCTCCACTAAAAATACAAAAACTAGCTGGGTGTGGTGGAGCATACCTGTCTCAAAATTTTTTTTAAAAAGTGAAAAATAAATAAATAAATAAATAAAAAACTTGACCCTAATGATGGAAAAGTTAACATTATAAGTAGATGGAAAAAACACCTCTCTGCCTGGAACATTTGCCTTGGCTCTTCACTTATTTTCCCAAGTTGCTTCCCTCCCAAGGTCTATAATCTCTACTAGAAAATGGAATAGTATTGGACAGTGTGCCTCCTGTCCCAGCCTCCTCATGACCCGCACCTGACCCAACCCTCTCATACTCTCCCCTGCATGCATGACTTCCAGGGTTGGGGGAAGCTGAACAAAGGCCTAGGGTTCAAGGGGAGGGCAGGGTGCAGGCAGGGCAGAGAGGAGGGAAAGGCCCTGCAAGGATCTCTGCTCTCCTCCTATCTCTGGCTTCCCCCTGCCTCTCCTCCCCCAGCCTGAGGCAGGGGGCAAATTGTAGACTTTTAGTCAGGAAAGAGACCCTAGGTCATCATTTCATTTCAGTTTTAAATGAGGCAAACAAAGTACAGAGAAGTGAAAGAGCTTTTCCAAGGTCACAAAGTCAGCTGGAGGCAGAGCCAGGACTAAAGTTTAGGCCCTCTGATGCCCAGTGCTGTCTGAGACCTGTACCTTGTGTGCAGTCTTGTCTCTGTGCTGCTCCACAATCCTCTCCTTTCTTTCTCCTCTACCTTCCTGCCGGAGTTTTTTGTTTGTTTGTTTGTTTTTGTTTTTGTTTTTTGAGACAGGACCTTGCTATGTTGCCCAGGCTGGAGTGCAGTGGCATGATCACAGCTCACTGCAGCCTCGACCTCCAGGGCTCAAGCAATCCTCCCACCTCAGCCCCCAAGTACCTGGGACTACAGGCATGTGACACCAGGCCAGCTAATTTTTAAACTTTTTGTAGAGATGGGGTCTTCCTATGTTGCACAGACTGGTCTTGAACTCCTAGGTTCAAGAGATCCTCCTGTCTCGGCCTCCCAAAGTGCTGGGATTATAGGTGTGAACCACTGCACCTGGCCTGGAGCACTTTTTATAAGCACTTTACTGAGTTGTTTTTGTTTGTTTGTTTGTTTGTTTTTGTTTTTTTAGATGGAGTCTTGCACTGTCGCCCAAGCTGGAGTGCAGTGGTGCGATCTCGGCTCACTGCAAGCTCTGCCTCCCGGGTTCACACCATTCTCCGGCCTCAGCCTCCCGAGTAGCTGGCACTCCAGGTGCCCGCCACCACGCCCGGCTAATTTTTTGTATTTTTAGTAGAGACGGGGTTTCACCTTGTTAGCCAGGATGGTCTTGATCTCCTGACCTCGTGATCTGCCTGCCTCGGCCTCCCAAAGTGCTGGGATTACAGGCGTGACCCACCGTGCCTGGCCTAGCACTTTACTGAGTTTTAATTCACATGTCTTAAAATTTACCCATTCAAAATGTACAATTCAATGAGTTTTAGTATACTGAGTGTTATGCAACCATGTCAATTTTCAAACACTCTCACCACCTCAAAAAGGAACCCTGTACTCATTAGTGGTCACTCCCCATTTCCCCTCAACCCCTAACCCTACGAAACCATCAATCTATAGATTTGCCTTTTCTGCACATTTTGTATTAGTGGACTCATATAATATGTGGGTTTTTGTGACTGGCTTTTTCCACTTAGCGTAATGTCTTCAAGTTTTATCCATGCCATAGCCCTCCAGATTATTCAATTGCTCTTGTCAAGGTAAGTGGAATAAAGGGGCAGAGAGAAGAATAAGAAAGAGAAAAATAAGAAAGAGAAGAATAAGAAAGAGAAGAATGAGAAAGAGAAGAATGAGAAAGAGAATTCTGAGGGCTACGACACAACAGCACAATGAGATGATGGCAGGAATAAATTCCCTTCTATGTACCATGTACCTAAGCAATCTATTAATATTCATTGTCTTATTTAATTTAATCCTCATAGTCTAGGAGCACTACCATCCCCTATTTAGATGAGAAAAACTAAAAAGGAATTTGATAGGTTTTCCAAGGGAATTCAAGTCATAAGGAGTAGAACAAAGATGGGAATTCAAGTTTGCCTGGCCCCAAAGCCCACTGTCTTCCTTTCATTAGACTGGTCCACTTTTTGGGCTATCAGATTCTGACAGTGGGTGGTTTCACACCCATGAGTGGTGGTGACTTCTGGTTAGTCAAAAAGAGTGATGATTTTAAATCATTATACTTCCCTAGCCCAAAATCTCCTCATTCATCATCCTCACATTCCTCATTGCAATACTGTTTCCAAGAGCCAAGGAAGAACAAGACCTACAAGACCAATGTAAAGGACTGGATAAAGTGTGGCACATCCATGCAGTGGATTCAGCGGTCAAATAGGTTGAAAAAGATCCTTCTGGACTGATAGGGAATAATCTTGATATACACAGTGAACAAAAGCCACATACAGAACAGTATGTATACTATGCCACCATGTGTATAAAAAATGTGGAGAGGAAGTGGAAAGTAACACACATATATATGTTTTTACTTGTGTATGCACACAGTAACTCTGCAAGAAATCTCAGAAAATGTAAAACCGGCCAGGTGCAGTGGCTCACGCCTGTAATCCCAACACTTACGGAGGCCGAGGCAGACAGATCATCTGAGGTCAGGAGTTCAAGACCAGCCTGGCCAACAGGGTGAAACCCCATCTCTACTAAAAATACAAAAATTAGCTGAGCATGGTTGTGCGTGCCTGTAATCCCAGCTACTCAGGAGGCTGAGGCAGGAGAATCACTTGAACCAGGAGGCAGAGGTTGCGGTGAGCCGAGATTGTGCCACTGAGCTCTGGCCTAGGTGACAGAGCAAGACGCTGTCTAAAAAAATAATAATAATAAATAAATAAATTTAATGAGCCCCTTAGGGATAACAGGTTTTGGTCTTGGTGCTGGGGATACAGATAGGAACCAAGCCAAATAGAAAAGATGGGAAAGACTTTCGTAGGCGTCACACATCTTGTTGTTTTGTTTTGAGAGAGGGGCTCACTCTGACACCCAGGCTGGAGTGCAGTGGCACAATCATAGCTCACTATAACCTCAAACTCCTGGGCTCAAGTGATCTTCCTCCTTCAGCCTCCCTGTAGCTGGGACTACAGGTGTGCACCACCACACCCAGCTAATTACAGCCCCTTGTTTCCTGTATCCAAAAGACAGTTCCTTTGACACCAGTAATAACTCCTCTATGAACAGAAATCTTGCACTTCTCTCCTGATTTTTCTATAGCATTTAGAACTGGTCTGCACCACACTTAACAATTACTTACCTGCCCCTTTGTTTCGTTTGCTGTGGCTTCAAGAGTGCTCAGTGTAGATCACCCACACTCAGTTGTTGTCACCGTTCACACAATTGTCTAAGATCATCCCAGGACCTAAGAAATATCCCTCTTCTCCCTTCCCACTACCCACTTGTTCCCACTGCCACCATCTGAGGAACAAGAGATAAGCAATGGGACCTTCCTAGGATGTGGTTAAAAGTGTGAATCTGTCCTAGGTTCACATTTGGGAGGCCAGAGGTGGGAGGATTGCTTGAGGCCAGGAGTTCTAGACCAGCCTGGGCAATCTAGCAATACCTTGTCTCTACAAAAAATAGAAAATTGAAAGAAAATTAGCCATGCATGGTGGCACATGCACACCACTGCACTCAAGCTTGGACAACAGAACAAGACAGTTTCTTAAAAACAAAACAAAACAAGTGAACCTGGGTCCGACTGCTCTTCCCCTTTTTTCAGATTGGGCAAATCAGTCAGCCTCTGTACACCCCAGATTCCACAAGTCTAAAGTGGGGATAATGACATGACTTCTGTCAATGGCTGTTGTGATAACTAAATAAATTAATATATAGGCCACATAAGTAAATAAATTAATATACAGGCCTGGTACAGTGGCTCATGCCCCTAATCCCAGCACTTTGGGAGGCAAGGGCAGGAGAATCATTTGAATCAGAGTTCAAGACCAGCCTGGGCAACATAGGGAGACCCCATCTCTACAGAAAAAAAAAAAATTAGTCAGGCATGGTGGCACATACCTATAGACCCAGCTACTCAGGAGGCTGAGGTGGGAGGATCACTTGAGCCTGGGAGGTTGAGGCTGCAGTGAGTTGTGATGGCACCACTGCATTCCTGCCTGAGCAACAGAGCAAGACTCTATCTCAAAAAAATAAAATAAAAATAAAAATGAATACACAAAGCACTTATAACAGTGTTAGGCATATAGAAAGCAATATGTGGATTTTGTTAATGATCGCTATTATCTTTAGTCATTCCTTCCCCCACCTACCACCCCTTTCCATCAAGTTCAGCCAAACATAACATGTCTCCATTTCTGGAATACATCATGCACCTGCCTGCTTGGCTGACTAGGTTTCTTGTCTTCCCTGTCTGCCTGGTAAGGCTGGACTCTCTGCATAACTCCCCCCCAACTTTCCCAGGTGAAATTAGCTGCTCCCTCCTCAAAGTGCCATTGTCCTATTTAACTTACATGGCCACCTTTCCTGGTAATCATGAGATCTGCAATGGCAGGGTCTACGCCCTGTTCATCGGCTAAGCCAGCAGGGGCCTGGGAAAGGCGGACTGTCTGAGGGGCAAGGACAGGATGACCATTTTAGACTATGCCTGCCATTTATAAGACTTTGGACATACCTCCAAGTGTTAGACCCTTTTGACTTATCTTCATTTAAAAAATCATACTGGGGGTCTAAAAAAAAGAAAAAGGAAAGTTTACAGCAGGAGTCAGGCACTGTTTCATAAAGGACCTGGTAATACTTTAGGATTTGTGGGTCATCTGGTCCCTGTTGCAACTATTGAACACTGACTGCCCATGTATCTTCAAAGTAGCTCAACAGTACAGGAATGGGATGAGTGTGGCTGCGTTTCAATAACATTTCATAAATGGACCCTGAAATTTGAATTTCATACTATTTTCATGTGTCACAAAATAGTTTACTTTTGACTTTCATTCACCCATTTAAAATGTAAAACTCGAGGCCAGCCTGGCCAACACGGTGAAGCCCCTTCTCTACCAAAAAACACAAAAATTAGCTAGGTGTGGTGGCGCGAGCCTGTAGTCTGAGGAGGCTGAGGTGGGAGAATCGCTTGAACCCAGGAGGCAGGGGCTGCAGTGAGCCATGATTGTGCCACTGCACTCCAGCCTGGGCGACAGAGTGAGACCCTGTCTCAAACAAAAAAAAGTAAAACTCAGCGGGACACAATAGATCACACCTTGTGATTCCAGCACTGTGAGGCCAATGCAGGAGGATCATTTGATCCCAGGAGTTCTATGCCAGCCTGGGCAACATAGCTAGACACCGTCTCTACCAAAAAAAAAAAAAAAAATTTTGCCAAGTGTGGTGGGATGCTCCTCTAGTACCAGTACAGGAGGCTGAGGTGGGAGGATTGTTTGAGACTGGGAGGCCGAGGCTGCTGTTAGCCATGATCACACCACTGCATTCCAGCCTGGGCAATAAGCAAGACCGTGCCTCAAAAAAAAAAAAAAAAGTAAAACTCATTTTTTTGCTGCAGCCCATACAAACACAGAAGGTAGGTGGATTTGGCGGAAGTGCCTGCGGCTTGTAGACTACTGGTATAAAGGATCTTTTTTTCTACTGCTTTTCAATTGTTGTTTGTTTATTTTAGAGACAGGGTCTCACTCTGTCACCCACGCTGGAGTGCAGTAGCTCAATCGTAGCTCACTGCAGCCTGGACTTCCAGGGCTCAAGCGATCCTCTCGCCTCTGGACTATAGTCATGTACCACCATGCCCACGCCCACGCCCAGCATTTTTTTTTTTTTTTTTTTTTTTTTGGTAGAGACGGTTCTTGCATGCTGAGTTGCCCGGGCTTTTCTTTTCTTTTTTTTTTTTTTTTGGCAGAGTCTCGCTCTGTGGCCCAGAGCTGGAGTGCAGTAGCGTGATCTTGGCTCACTGGAGCTTCTGCCTTCCCATTCAAGCGATTCTCCTGCCTCAGCCTCCCGAGTAGCTGGGGCTACAGGCGGGCGCCACCACGCCTGGATAATTTTTGTAGGTTTAGTAGAGACGGGGTTTCACCATGTTGGCCAGGCTGGTCTCGAACTCCTGACCTCAAGTGATCTGCCCGCCTTGGCCTCCCAAAGTGCTGGGATTACAGGCGTGAGCCATCGCATCAGGCCTTTTTTCTATTTCTGTGAATCCTTGGGGGAAATAGTGTATCCAAGGACCCTTAAAAGTAGGATTGCCAGATTTAGCAATAAAAATACAGAACACCCAGATAATTTGAATTTCAGGTAAACAAGGGATACTTTTTAAAAGTATATGTCTCATGCAATATTTACGTATCTTATCCGACACGCCTAATTCAAATAGTATAGTACTCTCCAGGTGCAAAGATATTCTCATCCTCCACCCCCACCTCCCACACTGCTGGCCCATGGCCCACCCTCTCACCATGCTCCCCGTCTTCTTCCTTCCTGTCTTCCCTTCTTTTCCCTTCCCCACCCCGCTCTCCAGCCGCATTTCCCCACCTCCATCCCCGCCCCCGGTGAGAGCTATCAGTTACCGCTGTATATTCCCGCGTGGAGAGCCCTTTGACCTCACCGTGTGGGCGGGAGAACAAAACCACTCCCTGTCAATCAGTGGGGAGCGGGCCGAGGACTACCTGTGCCCAGCACGGGAGCTGCAGGAAGATGGCGCCAGTCACGTGGGGCGAGACCATGCGGGCAGGGGCAGCCTGGCTGCAGGCTGGTAAAGCCCCAGGCAAGAACAATTTTTTGGGGGGTTCTCAGGAAGAAGAACAGGAGATTACACTTTGCAGGCCCCAGTGTGTCGATTCATGGCGCTATGATTATCTCTTCTGTGACTGTTTGCAGCTTTCATTAGTATTTGTAGATAGTAATAAATAAAAATACCCCAGTCTTGTCTCCGAAAGGATCCTGTAAACAAAGGAAAGGCTTTGTATTCCTCCTGAGCCTATGAGAGTAGGACGGTGTAAGTCTGCAAGGAATGCTCGGGGACAGGGAACTGGGCAGGCCAGGGATGGAATGTCGAGGGCAGAGTCGGGACTGCGTGAATGTCCCCACCATGAGACCCAGCCCTTTCTTAGAAGATCGAATTCTAGTTTGTATTTTTACCACTCCTTGATATGGTTCATAAATCCAAAAACTGCTCTCCTAGAAGCCTGCTTCTTCCAGGAAGCCTCCCGTCCCGCTCCAATCCTAAGTGTTTTTCTCTTCTAAACTCCTTAACTTCCTTAAAGTAACCTTTAGCAATGAATCTTGCACTAATGGTTTAGCAATGAGTCGCAACACCTCTTGAACTGTTGCTAATTTTTTTCTATGGTGAAATATTTCACTCATTTTCCTTATTTTCTAAGGGCCAGGAACATGCTTTTTATCAGTGTACCTGAAGTCATGGTTGGCTAAAGGTAGTTTTGACCCTTCAAGACATAGCAGACGACTGTGACAATAATCATATAATCAACTCTTGGCATATCAATAGTCATATAGAAATATATAAGCACCACTTTGGGAGGCCGAGGCAGGTGGATCACTTGAGGTCAGGTGTTCAAGAGCAGCCTGGGCAACATGGCATTTGTATTTTGGGTAATCTCTACCCAAAATACAAAAATTAGCTGGGTGTGGTGATGCGCCTGTAGTCCCAGCTACTCGGGAGGCTGAGGCAGGAGACTCACTTGAACCCTGGAGGTGGAGGTTGCAGTGAGCCAAGATCATGCCACTGCGCTCCAGCCTGGTTGACAGAGCCAGACTCTGACTCTTGGCTCATCTGTCTTCTGCAATTAGGTGAATTTTTGTTTCTATAATGGATCTCTAAAATGGTGTAGTTTTCTCCAACAGTTGGTAAAGCAGAAACCTAACAAGGCCTTCTTTGAAAAAAAAAAAAAAGATTGATAAAATACATAATAGCCTACATATATGTGTCTACTTAGGGTTTCAATTGTTAAACGTTGAATCAGTCACAAAATATTCATTTTACTATTCCCAACTCTCTACCCTATGTAAGTGACCTATGATAAAAATACAGGTACACTTACATTGTTATTTATCCTAGCAGTATCCATATGCTAATCTGTTTGACTTGTTTTTATTTTGTTGACAAGCTGAAAAATCAGAAAGATAGTGGCTATTGAACCCAATAGGGGATGTATCTGAGCACTTTTGGTGATACACATTTTAACTTCCAATTCATCTTGAAACTCTTAATGAAATTTTCTTTCAGTATTTGTTTTCACTGTTTCCTCTGTTCTTTCAGGTCTCTTATAGCAGAAGGCACAGGAAAGCTTGAGATAGTCTCCGTTTATCAGATCATTAATTGTATAAGAAAGTATTTAAATAGACAATAATTTTGGGTGGATTATTAAATTCAGAAAGCAATCAGCTGCTTTTTAAAAAATAGTTGAGCCGGGTGCAGTGGCTCATGCCTGTAATCCTAGCATTTTGGGAGGCCATGGAGGGTGGATCACGAGGTCAAGAGATCGAGATCATCCTGGCCAACATGGTGAAACCCCGTCTCTACTAAAAATACAAAAATTAGCCAGGAATGGTGGCAGGCGCCCGTAGTCCCAGTTTCTTGGGAGGCTGACGCAGGAGAATTGCTTGAACCCAGGAGGCGGAGGTTGCAGTGAGCCCAGATCATGCTACCGCACTCCAGACTGGCGGCAGAGCGAGACTCCGTCTCAAAAAAAAAAAAAAAAAAAAGTTGGTTAGGCGGGGTGCAGTGGCTCACGCCTGTACTCCTAGCACTTTGGGAGGCCTAGGGGGGTGGATCACTTGAGGCCAGGAGTTCAAGACCAGCTTGGCCAACATGGTGAAACCCCGTCTCTACTGAAAATACAAAAATTAGCCAGGTATGGTGGTGGGCGCCTCTAATCCCAGCTACTTGGAAGTCTGAGGCAAGAGAATTGCTTGAACCTGGGAGACAGAGGTTGCAGTGAGCCAAGATCGCGGCACTGGACGCCAGCCTGGGTGACAGAGTGAGACTCTGTCTCCAAAAAAAAAAAAAAAAGTTGTTTAAAATAAGTTAAAATCTAACATAGCAGCCCAGGTGTGGCGGCTTACACCTGTAATCCCAGCACTTTGAAAGGTCGAGATTGGCAGATCACCTGAGGTCTGGAGTTCGAGACCAGCCTGACCAACATGGTGAAACCTCCATCTCTAATAAAAATACAAAAATTAGCCAAGTGTTGTGGTGCATGCCTGTAATCCCAGCTACTTGGGAGGCTGGGGCACAAGAATCGCTTGAACCCAGGAGGTGGAGGTTGTAGTGAGCCGAGATTGCGCCACTGCACTCCAGCCTGGGCGACAGAGTGAGACTCCGTCTCAAAACAAACAAACAAACAAACAAAAAACCCATCTATTTTGCAGCTGGGCCACGTGGCTCAAGCCTGTAATTCCAACACTTTGGGAGGCTGGGGCAGGCAGATTGCTTGAGCCCAGGAGTTTGAGACCAGCCTAGGTAACATGGAGAAACCCTGTCTCTACAAAAAAATAGAAAAATTAGCCAAGCATGGTGGTGCACGTCAGTATTCCAGCTACTCAGGAGGCTGAGGTGGGAGGATCACCTGAGCCTGAGGAGGTCGAGGATGCTCCACTGCAAGCTCCGCCTCCTGGGTTCACGCCATTCTCCTGCCTCAGCCTCCCGAGTAGCTGGGACTACAGGCACCCGCCACCATGCCAGGCTATTTTTTTTGTATTATTAGTAGAGACGGGGTTTCACCGTGTTAGCCAGGATGGTCTTGATCTCCTGACCTCGTGATCCACCCGCCTCGGCCTCCCAAAGTTCTAGGATTACAGGCGTGAGCCACTGCACCTGGCCCAAAATAGATGTTTTTAAAAGCAGGTTTCGTCTTGAAGTTTCTTTCTTTTCTTTTCTTTTCTTTTTTTTTTTTTTTTTTTTTTTTTTGAGTTGAAGTCTTGCTCTGCTGCCCAGGCTTGATCTCGGCTCGCTACAACCTCTGCCTCCCAAGTTCAAGTGATTCTCCTGTCTCAGCTTCCCGAGTAGCTAGAATTACAGGTGTATGCCACCACAGCCGGCTAATTTTTTGGGTTGTTTTTTGTTTGTTTGTTTGTTTTGAGACAGAGTCTCACACTGTCACGCAGGCTGGAGTGCAGTGGTGCATCTCAGTGTAACCTCCACCTCCCTGGTTCAAGTGATTCTCTTGTCTCAGCCTCCCGAGTAGCTGGGATTACAGGTGCACGCCACCACGCCCAGCGAATTTTTTTGTAATTTTAGTACAGACGGGGTTTCACCATGTTGGCCAGACTGGTCTCAAACTCCTGACCTTAGGCAATCCGTCCACCTTGGCCTCCCAAAGTGCTGGGATTACAGGCGTGAGCCACTGAGCCCGGCAACTTTTTGTATTTTTAGTAGAGACAGGATTTCACAATGTTGGCCAGGCTGGTCTTGAACTCCTGACCGCAAGTGATCCACCCCGCTCAGCCTCCCAAAGTGCTGGGATTACAGGCGTGAGCCACAGAGCCCATCCTTCTTCTTGAAGTTTTAAGCAACTGATTCTACAAGAAAAACGTATGATGATAAACCATTTTTTTCTTTAGATTAATATGAGTCAGTCTCCTGATTGTTTCAAAACAGCAGTTAATACTGAAAAGTCATCTACAATTATCTTAAAAATAAATATCTTGGGGCCGGCGCAGTGGCTCACCCCTGTAATCCCAGCACTTTGGGAGGCTGAGGCGGGTGGATCACAAGGTCAGGAGTTTGACACCAGCCTGACCAAGATGGTGAAACCCCGTTTCTACTAAAAATACAAAAATTTGCCAGGCACCGTGGCAGGCGCCTGTAATCCCAGCTACTCAGGAGGCTGAGGCAGGAGAATCGTTTAAACCCGGGAGGCAGAGGTTGCAGTGAGCCGAGATCACGCCACTGCACTCCAGCATGGGCGACAGAGTAAGACTCTGTCTCAAAAAAATAAAAAGATAAATAAATAAATAAATAAATATCTTGGCCAGGCGAGGTGGCTCACACCTGTAATCCCAGCACTTTGGGAGGCCGAGGCGGGCAGATCACGAGGTCAAGAAATTGAGACCATCCTGGCCAACATAGTGAAACCCTGTCTCTACTAAAAATACAAAAATTAGCTGGGCAGTGGCACGCACCTGTAGTCCCAGCTATTTGGGAGGCTGAGGCAGGGGAAAATCGCTTGAACCTGGGAGGCAGAGGTTGCAGTGAGCTGAGATGGCGCCACTGCACTCCAGCCTGGCGGCAGAGCGAGACTCCGTCTCAAAAAAATAATAAATAAATAAATACCTTAATTTATCTGGATTATGAGTCCATTTTCTTTGAATTACTTTTTTTAACCTGCATCACATTCAGTGCTTTTTCTAAATGACAAAGTTTCTCTTTTACATGTCAAAACTTACATTTTAACAATTTTCACTGGGGAAAAAAAATCTAAAATTATTCACACGCTTAAAAAAAGAGTAATGAGGGAAGACGCGGTGGCTCACGCCTGTAATCCCAGCACTTTGGGAGGCCGAGGCAGGTGGATCACAAGGTCAGGAGATGGAGACCATCCTGGCTAACACGGTGAAGCCCTGTCTCTACTAAAAATACAAAAAAAATTAGCCAGGCGTGGTGGCGGGCGCCTGTAGTCCCAGCTACTCGGGAGGCTGAGGCAGGAGAAGGGCGTGAACCCGGGACGCGGAGCTTGCAGTGAGCCGAGATCGCGCCACTGCACTCCAGCCTGGGCGACAGAGCGAGACTCCCTCTCAAAAAAAAAAAAAAAAAGGTAATGAAATGAACATGACGTACTCTTTTGATAACTCATACAGGCATTACTTGTGAAAACCAATCACTGTTTATATAGTCTAATAAAGCAGTGACGGCCCCAGCCCTGAGTAACACAGACCAGGCTTCCCTGTTTTATGGCTGTGCTGCCCCCTCTCATCAGCCTTCTATTTTGCTAACCTGCCAGCCAATGTGCTGCTTATGATGTGCCACCTTAGTGTACCCCTCATCTTCTTAAGAGCCTGAGACAGGCTCTGGATGCTCAGATAACATCAGGATGCTGTGCTTATGACAAATGTCTACCACCTAGAGGCTTTGTCATTTACTTCCAGTTTCCAAGCTGGGGTTCTAATTACTACGTTGTTGAGAACATTGTATTTGGGAAGAACTAGCAAACTGCTCAGATCCTTAAACCTGCCTCCTAGATCCCCTCATCTTCAATTTGTGCTTCAAAATTCCTCTTACAAGGGCCGGACGCACCGGTGGCTCACGCCTGTAATCACAGCTCTTTGGGACGCCAGGGCGGGCGGATCACCTGAGGTCAGGAGTTCAAGACTAGCCTGACCAACGTGGAGAAACTCTGTCTCTACTAAAGATACAAAATTAGCCAGGAGTGGTGGCACATGCCTGTAATCCCAGCTACTCGGGAGGCTGAGGCAGGAGAATCTGTTGAACCCAGGAGGTGGAGATTGGGTGAGCCGAGATCGAGCCATTGCACTCCAGCCTGGGCAACAAGAGTGAAACTCCATCTCAAAAAAAAAAAGAAAGAAAGAAAAAGAAATTCCTCTTACAGAATTAGAAAACAGTAATAGCTCACACTTGGACAGTCTTTATTCTCTCGTAGGCAGTGTTTTAAGCCCTTTACATACATCAATTATTACATCTTCACAACAGTTCTCAGGTTATTTCCAATTTTCAGATGGGGAAAGGGTGACACAAAGAGGGTAAGTGACTTGCTCATAGGCATATGGCTGGTAAATAGCAAAACTGGGACTCCAACACAGGGAGTCTGATTGCGAGGCCTGTATTCTTACCTAAGATACACAGGATCTTGACTGCCTTTGTTTGTCTGCATGGATGTTGGTGGGAACTCAAATGCATAGAGGAAAATGGTTGGTAATTAGGTTTCACTTCTGCAACCTCAAACATAGCCATCTTTCTGAACAACTAGGTCCACGCCAGCACTATCTGCGTTCAGGTTCCTCCTGTTCCTCCAATCCAAACTACAGTCAGTGTCAGCTACCAACAATGATCAAGCAATTTCTATGTGGCAGGCATAGAACAAACAACTGGGCATTTTACAAACATCCCTAATCCCTGATATTGTCCCTGTGTAAGGACAGAAAGCTCAAAGATGCTGCTAACTGGTTTGTTCCAATCAGGCAGTGATTGGCAGAACCCACACTTACACTTTCATTCCTCAAACACCTCAAGGACAAAAGCCTCCATCATTCTCAATTTGCCTAAAGGATAGAAGCCAAATTCCTCACTGGCAGGCAAGGTGCCATGCTATCTTTCCAACCTTATCTCCTGCTGGGCTCCAGCTTGACTCCTCTGTTCCAGACTGGCATGTCTGTGCCCTCTCCCCCAACCTACAGGCACACTCCCAATGCCCAGCCTTCCATCCGTTGTTCCCATGACCTAGAATGCCTTGTTTTCTCCTTTCAGCCTCCTCAAATCCTGTGTGACTACAGTTCAATCTTCCATCTCATACAAGGTCCTCCTCCACTAAATGCTTCAGGTCCTAGCAGTCCCACTTGTCCCTTCTACCTGCTGGTAGGAGCAGTAGCATTTAGTGGAGGAGGACTCGTATGAGATGGAATCAACCGGGACATTGATCACACACAGCTGTACACCTTATCGTCAGTTCAAGCCAGCTGACTCACAGCTGCATGCTTGGCATAGGGAGCTGAATATTTTGATCACATAGTATCTCACTTCATATACATGGTCAGAGGCACCACAGAGAAGTTTCCCTTGACGTGTTGTACCAAGATCTGGGACAAAAACAGCTTTCTGTGGATGAAATGCGAAGTAGATGGAATTGATCATCAGTGCCTTCTGTAGCTGCCCCTCCCCACAAGTTCTTCCAATATGTGGCAGGTGTATATGTGTATATATCTGCTTTCTCTGTACTCTTTTTTTCTTTCCAATCGGGAAATAACAACCACAGTAGAAGACATGTTACTGTGTACCACTTACTTTTCTCAGCACTCCACAAGTATTAACTAATTTAGTCTTCTCACTAACCCTTTGAAGTAGGCATTAGTATTAACCCCTTTTTATAGGTGAGGAGACTGAGTCACAGAACGGTTAAGGAGCCTAAGGTCACAGAGCTTGGATTCAAAGCTATGCATTTAATCAATATGCTATATTGCCTCACCAATAAAACAACATATTGTTTTATTCTAATAGTAAAAGTAATGCCTGCTAAGTGTTAAAAAAAAAATCAGGGCGGGTGCGGTGGCTCACACCTGTAATCTCAGCACTTTGGGAGGCTGAGGCGGGCGGATCAGTTGAGACCAGGAGTTCCAGACCAGCCTGGCCAACATGGTGAAACCCCGTTTCTACTAAAAATAAAAAAAATTAGCCGGGTGTGGTGGCGGGCGCCTGTAATCCCAGCTACTAGGGAGGCTGAGACATGAGAATCGCTTGGACGCCAGAAGCAGAGGTTGCAGTGAGCCAAGATCCCAGCTACTAGGGAGGCTGAGACGTGAGAATCGCTTGAACCCCAGAAGCAGAGGTTTCAGTGAGCCGAGAACACACCACTGGACTCCAGCCTGGGTGACAGAGCAAGACTCCATCTTGGAAAAAAAAAAGTCAGATTGTAAAGTAGGAGAATACCATTCATAATCCTATCACACAGGGAAAATTAAATAACCTGCTCAAGCACAAATAAACATGCATTAGTTTGTATTTCAACAATGAAGAAAACCACAATGGAACCATACGGTACATTATGGGTAGTTTTCTTTGTGTTTTTTAATTAAAAAAATTTAAATAGCTTCATTGAGGTATAATTTATATACCATAAAATTTATTGTTTTAATGATAAGAATAATTTCAGTAAATTTACAATTTTGCAACCATTACTACAATCCAATTTTAGATCATTTCATTATCCCTAAAATATATTTATTTATTTATTTATTTATTTATTTATTTTTTTAACATTTTTATTATTTTGAGAGAGTCTTGCTCTGTCACCAGGCTGGAGTGCAATGGTGAGATCTTGGCTCACTGCAACCTCTGCCTCCAGGGTTCAAGTGATTCTCTTGCCTCAGCCTCACAAGTAGCTGGGACTACAGGCACATGCCACCATGCCCAGCTAATTTTTTGTATTTTTAGTAGAGACGGGGTTTCACCATGTTGGCCAGGATGATCTCCATCCCTTGACCTCATGATCCATCTGCCTCGGCCTTCCAAAGTGTTGGGATTATGGGTGTAAGCCACCGCGCCCGGCCTTATTTATTTATTTTTGGAGATGGGGTCTCACTCTGTTGCCCAGGCTGGACTGCAATGGTTTGATCATAGCTTACTGCAGCCTCAAACTCCTGGGCTCAAGCCATCCTCCCACCTCAGCCTCCCAAGTAGCTGGCATTACAGGCACAAGCCACCATGTCTGGCTTCCAAAAGAATATTTTATATGCATTTACACTTACTCCCAGTATCTACCTCTGGTTCCTGGCAACTGGCTAATCTGATTTCTGTCTCTATTGATTTTGCCTCTTGTGAACATTTCATATAAATGAGGTTATACCACAGGTAGTCTTTTGAATCTGGCTTCTTCTACATAGCACAATGTTTTCAAGGTTCATCCGTGGTGTAGTATATATCATTACTTCATTCCCTTTGACGGCTCAATAATGTTCCATTGTATGGATATATCACAGTTTGTTCATTCATTCACCTGTTGATGGACATTTGAATTGTTTCAAATAACTAATGCTGGGCTGGGCACGGTGGCTTATGCCTGTAATCCCAGCACTTTGGGAGGCCAAGGCGGGCAGATCACCTTAGGTCAGGCATTCAAGACCAGCCTGGCCAACATGGTAAAACCCCATATCTACTAAAAATACAAAAACTAGGCTGGGTGTGGTGGCTAATGCCTGTATCCCAGCACTTTGGGAGGCCAAGGCGGGCAGATCACCTGAGGTCAGGAGTTCGAGACCAACCTGACCAACACGGAGAAACCCCGTCTCTACTAAAAATACAAAAATTAGCCGGGTGTGGTGGCCCATGCCTGTAATCCCAGTTGCTTGGGAGGCTGAGGCAGGAGAATCGCTTGAACCGAGGAGGCAGAGATTGCGGTAAACCGAGATCACGCCATTGCACTCCAGCCTGAGCAACAAGCGTGAAACTCCATCTCAAAAAAAAAAAAAAAAATTAGCTGGGTGTGGTGGCAGGCGCCTGTAATCCCAGCTACTCAGGAGGCTGAGGCAGGGAGAACTGCTTGAGCCCGAGGGGCAGAGGTTGCAGTGAGCCGAGATCGTGCCACTGCACTCCAGCCAGGGCAACAGCGAGACTCCGCTTAAAAAAAAAATGCTGCTATACATTTTAATGTACAAGTCTTTGCATGGGTGTATGTTTTCACTTCTCTGAGGAAGAGACCTAGTATTGAAATTATTGGGTCATATGTTAAGTTTTCCACAATTTTACATACCCATCAGCAATATACGAGAGTTTTTGTTTCTTCACATCCTAGTCAATACTTGCTATTGTCTATCTTTTTGATCACAGGTATCTTAGTGAGTGTGAAGCAATAGCTTATTATGTTTTTTATTTGTATTTCTCTAATGAGTAAATACACTGAACATCTTTTGGCTATTTGAATATTTTCTTCGGTAAAATGTCTGTTCAAATCTTGTTTTGTTTTTTTGACAGGGTTTCGCTCTGTCTCCCAGGCTGGAGTGCAGTGGTGCCATCTCAGCTCACTGCAGCCTCCCAGGCTCAAGTGATCCTTCCACCTCAGCCTCCTGAGTAGCTGGGACTACAGGTGCACACTACTACACTTGGCTAATTTTTAAATTATCTACAGAGATGGGGTCTCCCTATATTGCCCAGGCTGGTCTGGAACTCCTGGGTTCAAGATATCCTCCTGCCTCAGCCTCTCAAAGTGCTGAGATTGCAGGTGTAAGCCACCATGCCTGGCCATATTAAACCCATTTTTCAATTGGGTTGTCTTTTCATTATTAAATTGTAAGAGTTGTTTATATATTCTGGATACAAATCAGATATATGATGATCAGATATATGATTTTCAAATATTTTCTCACAAAATGTTTTGGCTTGTATTTTCATTTTCTTTTCTTTTTTTCTTCTTTTTTTTTTTTTTCTTTTCTTTGAGATGGAGTCTTGCCTTGTTGCCTAGGCTATAGTGTGGTGGCGCCATCTTGGCTCACTGCAACCTCCATCTCCGGGGTTCCAGCGATTCTCCTGCCTCAGCCTCCCGAGTAGCTGGGATTACAGGCACCCGCTACCACGCCTGGCTAATTTTTGTATTTTTAGTAGAGACAGAGTTTCGCCAAGTTGGCCAGGCTGGTCTTGAACTCCTGATGTCAGGCGATCTGCCCACCTCAGCCTCCCAAAGTGCTGGGATTATGGGCATAAGCCACCGGGTCAGGCTGTATTTTCATTTTCTTAATGGTATCTTTTGAAGACACAAAAGCTTTGAATTTTGGTGAAGTCCAGTTTGCCAGTTTTTTTCCTTTCATCACTTTTGCTTTTTTTTTTTTTTGAGATGGAGTCTTGCTCTGTGGCCCAGGCTAGAGGGCAGTGGTGTGATCTTGCCTCACTGCAACCTCTGCTTCCCCAGTTCAAGCAATTTTCCTGCCTCAGCCTTCTCAGTAGCTGGGATTACAGGCGCAGGCTGCCACGCCTGGCTAATTTTTTGTATTTTAGTAGAGATGGGGTTTCACCGTGTTGCCCAGGCTGGTCTCGATCTCCTGAGCTCAGGCGATCTACCCGTCTCAGTCTCCCAGAGTGCTAGGATTATAGGCATGAGCCACTGCGCCCGGCCCACTTTTGCTTTTGGTGTTATGCCTAAGAAGTCTTTGCCCAACCCTGACATGTTTTAGAACTGCCCCTCCCCCCACTTACCAATATGTCTTGGACATATTTCTATTTCAGTAAATACAGATCTGCATCACCATCTTTATGGCTTCCATGTCTGGAAAAAGGAGAGGAGAGAAAGGAGACAACAAAGCCAGGCTACTTGAAATATCCAGTACAAATTTGTTCATTCTTGGGGCCTTCCTGTCTCTATTTTTTTTTTCTTGAGGCAGAGTCTCACTGTGTCACCCAGGCTAGAGTGCAGTGGTACCATCTCGGTTCACTGCAACCTCTGCCTCCAGGGTTCAAACGATTCTCTAGCCTCAGCCTCCCAAGTAGCTGGAATTACAGGCACCCACCACCCTGCCCAGCTAATTTTTGTATTTTAGTAGAGACAGGGTTTCATCATGTTGGCCAGGCTGGTCTCAAACTCCTGACCTCAAGTGATCTGCCTGCCTCGGCCTCCCAAAGTGCTGGGATTACAGGCATGAGCCACTGCGCCCAGACTTTTTTTTTTTCTTGAGAAGGAGTCTCCCTCTCTTGCCCAGATTAGAGTGCAATGGCGCAATCTCAGCTCACTGCAAGCTCTGCCTCCCAGGTTTTAAGAGATTCTCCTACTTCAGCCTCCCGAGTAGCTGAGATTACAGGCACGCGCCACCAAGCCCGGCTAATTTTTGTATTTTTAGTAGAGACAGGGTTTCACCATGTTGGTCAGGCTGGTCTTGAACCCCTGACCTCATGATGCACCTGCCTCCACCTCCCAAAGTGCTGGGATTACAGGTGTGAGCCACCGCGCCTGGCCACTTTTTTTTTTTTTTTGGAGGTGGAGTTTTGCTTTTTTTTTGCCCAGGCTGGAGTGCAATGGCACGATGTTGACTCACTGCAACCTCCGCCTCCCGGGTTCAAGTGATTATCCTGCCTCAGCCTCCCGAGTAGCTGGGATTACAGGTGTGTGCCACCATGCCTGGCTAATTTTGCATTTTTAGTAGAGAAGGGGTTTCACCCTGTTGACCAGGCTGGTCTCGAACTCCTGACCTCAGGTGGTCTGCCCGCCTCGGCCTCCCAAAGTGCTGAGATTATAGGCGTGAGCCACTGTGCAGGGCCCGTCTCTATTTTTGGTGGTCTCCTGTCTGGTACCTCTTCTGTGGTTTGTGAATAAATTTACTAGGCTATTAACTTCATCACAACATTTTATGTTATAATACCTTGGTCACAGAGATTCCTAGCCCCGAATTTTCTGTGGGCTTAAATTCCTCCTTCACAGATTCCAGTAATAGGATGCTTATAAAGAACCTATATTCCCCTGTAATTTGGGATTTGACAGCTGTTTCCTCCTGCATCTACTTCACTCTCTAGAACTGGACAGGACCTTGGGAATGATTCAGCTCCAGTTTATATATTAAAATACAAATATGGGTCAGGCACGGTGGCTCACACCTATAAATCTCAGTGCTGTGGGAGGTGGAAGGAGGAGAATCACTTGAGGCCAGGAGTTTGAGACCAGCCTGAGTAACATAGTAAGCCCCTGTCTCCACAAAATTTTTAAAAATTGGGGCCAGGCTTGGTGGCTCACGCCTGTAGTCCCAGGACTTTGGGAGGCCGAGGCGGGTGGATCACGAGGTCAGGAGATCGAGACCATCCCGGCTAACATGTTGAAACCCGGTCTCTACTAAAAGTACAAACAATTAGCCGGGCATGGTGGCAGGCGCCTGTAGTCTCAGCTACTTGGGAGGCTGAGGCAGGAGAATGGCGTGAACCCGGTAGGCGGAGCTTGCAGTGAGCTGAGATCGCGCCACTGCACTCCAGCCTGGGTGACAGTGCGAGACTCCATTTCAAAAAAAAAAAAAAATTTGGCGTGGTAGCACATGCTTCTAGTCCCAGCTACTTGGAAGGCTGAGGCAGGAGGATCCCTTTAGCCCAGAAACTGGAGGCTACAGTGAGCTATGACTGTGCCACTGCACTCTAGCCCAGGCAACAGAGCAAGACTCTATCTCTAAAAATTAAATAAATAAAATATAAATCTGGAAAAAGAACATAAATATTGGATAACAGCAATTGACATGCGTGTTTTAATGGAAGATTGTTTTAATGGAAGATTTAAGTGGTTATCATTTATAAGTTTCCAGGATGGAATAGATTGTTGCATCCTAGCTCCTGTCAGGAGTAGAGCTTCACTGGTTTCACAGGTAGGGTATGAGGTGCTGTGTAAAGCTAGAAGCTTCTTTTGGAAGTAATTTTCAGACAGAGAATACTAATGGAGAAATTTCAGACTGAGGGAAAGGGCCTGTGAGAGAGGCCTCAGAATTAGAGCTCCAAAGGCAGATTCGAGGATTTCAGAACTCAGTGCTGAAAACACCAAACTGCTGAAAGAGGTGGCCACAGTACAACCATTTTGATGAGAAGTTGAACAGGGTGACCATGCCTCTTTGGAGAAATAATCCCCTAGGTCTGGAGGCGGCCCAGGATCCTGAAGGTGAGTACCAGTGCTGGTGGAAAATAAGGAGCATTCAAAGTGCATTAAGAGCCACTCCGGGGTCTTTAACTTGTTAACATGGAAAACAATAGCAAAGTACTGCTGGGGCCCCCTGCTGTGTGTATAGAATATACCGGAAGACTAAGACATGGAGATAGCAGCTGGGAGCTACCGCAGAGATTCAGACTTGAGGTGAAGGGCTGGCCTTAGGGGGGCACGTGGGTGTGTAGGAAGAACTGCTCAGCAGGCCTTAGGGATACATTTGTTGTGCAGGTGCAGAGAGGACACAGGCATGGCTGGGGCGGGAGTTCAGGATGAGAACCCTGGGACAGGCTGTAAGATGATCGAGCCAGGGGTGTGTGTGTGTGTGTGTGTGTGTGTGTGTGTGTGTGTGTGTGTAGAGGTATAATGACATACTGTAAAATGCAAGATATGAAGTGTAGAATGAGTTTTGATACATTTCTACATCTGTGTAACCACCCCCCACAACCTCAGTTTTTTTTAATACATATGTTTCTTTTTAAGTTTGAGTTTCCCGTGCCTGCAGAGTCTAAGTTTAAACAGCCTCACAGACAAGAAGCTATATGCACCTGAAGTGAACGGGAACACGGGCTGCAACAGTAGATCGTAAAGTTATTTGGAGCGAAGGAGGTAGAAGTGTTGTGAGCAAATGAAGACAGGTGCAGGAAGGGATAAACGGAGAACAGAAAGTTCCAACCTTTGAGATTTTTGAAGTGCTTGTGCCCCAACACTGAGGATCTTCTTTGCCGTATATAGGGCAACTCTGATTTACCCTATAAATTTCTCAGGCCTTCCACCTCATATTTAATTCTCTTAAGCGAGAAAAAAAATTTTTTTCTGACTTGGCTGCTGCCAAGGTCGGCTCTATCAAATCTGGTGCGTCTCTCTGGGGGAAAGGGAGCTAGAAGACCCCATAGGGTGGTTTGCACCTCCTCTAAGCATGCAAGCACGGCTCTGGTCTTGACCTGGGGAGCCCAGCTTCCTCGGTGCACCGTGCTTTGGCAACCGGGTCTTGGCGCCTCCGAGAGCGGGGCGAGGGGTGCCACGCGATTCCCAGGCCGCTCTGTATCTCTCGGTGCGCTTGCAGGGACCCTGCAGCAAAGCCCTGGATGCTTGCAGCCGGTGCAAGTTTGCAAGCAGCTGGAGAGCGGTGGCTGGAGTCGGGGGGCGGTGGGCGTGGCCACGCTCCCTCCCAGGCAGTCCCGGGAATGTTCTGAAAAGTATCCGAAAGTTCTGAGTCGCGCGCGCGCCAAAAGAAAAGGCACAACCCCCCACCACTCCGGGCGTGGCGTGCCCAGACCTCGCCACTCCAGCTGCGCCTCCGGCTGCAGCGCACACGTCTCCTGCGCCTCCTCCTCCGGAGCGTCGCTGTCCGTCGGGTTCATCCCTCGCAGCAGTCTCCAGGCGAGAGAGGGGGCCAGAGTGCTCGCACTTCTCCTAGGGGCACCATGCCCAACGACGAGGCATTCAGCAAGCCCTCTACACCGTCGGAAGCCCCTCACGCCCCCGGGGTACCGCCGCAGGGCAGAGCCGGGGGCTTTGGCAAAGCGTCTGGGGCGCTAGTGGGGGCGGCCAGCGGCTCGAGCGCCGGGGGCAGCAGCAGAGGAGGCGGCTCCGGCTCCGGGGCGTCGGACCTGGGTGCCGGGAGCAAGAAGTCCCCGCGGCTGCCCAAGTGCGCACGCTGCAGGAACCACGGCTACGCCTCGCCGCTCAAGGGCCACAAGCGCTTCTGCATGTGGCGCGACTGCCAGTGCAAGAAGTGCAACCTGATCGCCGAGAGGCAGCGCGTGATGGCCGCGCAGGTGGGTGCGGGCGTGCGGGAGCCCGGGTTCAGCCTTAGTTTTTTTTTTTTTTTTTTTTTTTAGATGGAGTCTCGCTCGGTTGCCCAGGCTGCAGTGTAGTGGCGCGATCTTGGCTCACTGCAACCTCCGCTTCCCGGGTTCAAGCAATTCTCCTGCCTCAGCCTCCCAAGTAGCTGGGACTACAGGCGCACACCACCATGCCCGGCTAATTTTTGTATTTTTAGTAGAGACGGGGGTTTCACCATATTGGTCAGGCCGGTCTCGAGCTCCTGACCTCAGGTGATCCACCCGCCTCGGCCTCCCAAAGTGCTGGGATTACAGGCGTGGGCCACCGCTCCCGGCGGGGCCCGAGTTTCTTGAATGAAGTCCCCCCAGCATGGCCGTTGCCATGCGGGTCCTGGGTTGTGGAGAGATGCGGCGGTACTTGCCGACAGCGGCGGCGCTTGGGGTCCTGGGCTCCCGGCCACGCTACATCGCCGGTCTGGGAGCGCCGGAGACGCGTCTGATCCCGCCCGCCGGGCAGAGTTGCGGGCTTCGCTCGGCTCGGGGTTCCCCACGATCTCTCACCCTGTGTTTCGGCGGAGTTGCGGGGGTTCCCTCTGCTCCCGGGTCCCTGAGATCCCTGATCCCGCTCTCAGGGCAGGGAATTCCGGGGTTCGCCCCTCTGGGCTTCCCCGCGATCCCAGAGCCCGCGTTCCAACAGAATTGGGAGGGTTTATTGCGCTAGAGGAGTCTTCAGGATCTTCGCTCCCGCCCTCCGAGGTGAGGCTAGAGGGGAGGGTTCGACTCCAAGGGAATCCCAGGGATCTCTAGCCCCGCTCTTCTAGCAGAGAATTAAGGAATTCTCTCCGCTTTGGGGTCCCAAAAATCTCCGACCGCGCCTTGGGAGCAGAGGGTTTCGGGGTTCGATTTCCTCGAGCGTCCCCAGAATCTCTGACTCTCCCTCCTTGCTGAGTTGCACTTAAATTAGAAAGGATCTTGGAGGGCGGCAGCGCTGGCTGCTAGGTTAGCGGGAAAGGGAGGCTCGGCCGGCTGCTGCTTACGCGGGTAACCTGTCGGAAAGCCTTGTTTGTTTTTCTGGAAAAGTCGCTGCAATGGACACAGCGTTGCGCGGTTTCCCTGCGCGCCTGGGGCGCTTTTTGTCTTCGCCCTCCGTGGATGGAGGCTGAGCGCCTCAGCCATTTTGAGAGCTCTGGAAATTTTATTAGCATTTTAAAATTTGCATTCTCGACCGAAGATTAAAGTGCAAATTACTTTGAAGATGTTTTAAAGCACGCTTAAGAATTTTAAAGAATATGCGCAGGTGGAAAAAAGCGCGCCAGGGTTTGAGATTTGGTCCGTCTGTGGTTTTGTTTTTTTGAAGGTTCGTAAGTAGGCTGGTAATTTAACATTTTAACGGAAAGTTAATGTCTTTAGTATTCTAAAAGGATTTTTGGAAGGCAGTAATCCACGTTATTTCCAGTTAAAAGTTGTTTCATCTTTTTAAGACAGGTTATTTAAAATGAAAAGATAACGAAGAAATGTTTGCTAACGATGTGCTACTTTTGATTAGGAACGTGTAAATATCCTCCATTGAAAACAAATGCCCGAAGGTTATATGCTTTTATATAATATATCAGATTTTTACAAATGTGTTTTATACTAAACGTATTTTGGCTTCACAGATGGCGAGTGCAGTCATGAAAATAGATATTGTTTTGCTTAATTTCTTAATAGATTTTTAAAGCTTAATCTGTAGTGGGTGAAAAGAATACACTGGGTGTGGCAGTAAAATGCATCACAATGAGTTTACTGAAAAAAATTAATGGACTTTTAAATTATACTCTGGGCAGAAAAATTCTCTAAACATTTAGTCGTTGGCTTATTTAGTGTGGAGAACATGCTTGGGGGATTTCTCAAAATGTAGTAAAAATATTCTAGTAGAGGAATTAATTTTGAATAACCTTTATTAGTAGAGGAGGCTGCTTACACCGTTAAAAACAAAAGCAACTCAAGGTCACTTAGAATGGGAAACTTCAGTATTTTCTACACCAGAAGGTGTGTACTGTGCCAGATGAATCCTTAAAAATCCATAAAACAACTACTTCTAGTCATTTTTAAATAGTTTGAAATTGATCTTACGTATGATTCTAAAATAATTGTATAGTTGCATTTTTAATCAATTGTTATCCCCTTTCCTTTTTATATAATATTTTCTAAGAAACCTTGAGAGAAGGTCCTTAGCATATGGAGTAGATACCTGTGCATTTTGGATGTGCTTCAGAGGTTTGCAGGGGTTTAAAACTTGTTTCTGGCCAGATTCATTGATGTTCTCTTTCTAAGCCTCTTGGTTAGTAATAGGAAATCCAAGATTTAAGCTTAATTATTTAATTTTAAGTAATTAATTATTTAAGATGAATTTTTCTAAGTCGAAGACTTTTTTTTGGCTATGAGGAAAATTACTTCCCAATTAATCAGCTTCCTGTGTTTGGACTGTGGTTTTCCTAAAACAACATATAAATTGTAGTTGTTTTTCTTTCTTTCTTTCTTTTTTTTTTTTTTTTTTGAGACAGGAGTCTCGCTCTGTCCCCCAGGCTGTAGTGCAGTGGCATGATTTCAGCTCACGGCAACCTCCGCCTCCTGGGTTCAAGCGATTCTTCTGCCTCGGCCTCCCGAGTAGCTGGGACTACAGGCACACGCCACCACACCCGGTTAATTTTTGTATTTTTAGTTAGAGACGGGATTTCACCATATTGGCCAGGCTGGTCTCAAACTCCTGACCTCAGGTGATCCACCCGCCTCGGCTTCCCAGAGTGCTGGGATTACAGGCGTGAGCCACTGCGCCCGGCCTGTAGTTGTGTTTTTTAATTGAACGTTTTGATTTCACCTTTGGCTTATATTTGGGCAGCTCTGCGGTGTGGGTGCTTCACTGTCATTTCATAAGCACCATACCTTAGTTTCAACAGAAAGTCTTTGTTACATGTAGAAAGCAAAAATACAATTAATTTTCTTTAAACCTGTTTTTTCAATCTTATTATTTATTTATTTATTTTTTTGAGACGGAGTCTTGCTCCATTGCCCAGGCTGGAGTGCAGTGGCTCGATTTCGGCTCACTGCAACCTCCACCTCCTGGCTTCAAGTAATTCTCCTCTCGGCCTCCTGAGTACCTGGGATTACAGGCGCACACCACCATGCCTGGCTAGTTTTTGTATTTTTAGTAGAGATGGGGTTTCACCATATTGGTCAGGCTGGTCTCGAGCTCCTGACCTCAGGTGATACACCTGCCTCAGCATCGCAAAGTGATGGGATTACAGGTGTGAGCAACCCCGCCTGGCCTTTTTTCAATCTTTAACGGTGTTATTGAAGAGGGACCATGAAGAGCTTCTTGGGTATGTCAGGTCCTTTCCAGTCCCCAGTTCTGGCTCTCTTCTTCCTGTCTGTCTGGAATATCACACACCTGTCTTCTCCCTTCCTCCCTGCCTTCAGCCTCTTCTTCCTTCAGGGACTTCAACACCAAATTCCAGCCCCTTTCCCCACTGCTTCTCCCGCATGCTCCCTCCACCCCAGGAATCAGGGCTCTGCAGGCTTTCCTAAGCAGACCCTGCCTGCCTTTCCTGCCCACCCTGTTCCATATTATTCCGATATGTACTGCCCCTTCATCCTTGCCTGTCCAAGTCCTCCTCATCCTATTCTTCAAGGCTCTGTCCAAATACTACTGCTGGCTGATTTTAACATGTGAAAGACATTTCTCTCTCTGACTTTCTTCTGTAGGAGTGAAAGGTACTTCTGTGTACCACTCTTGTGGTGTTGGTCTCAGTTTGCCTTTTGTTGTAGTTGCATGTTTGCCTCCTGTTTTTGCCTTTTTTTTTTTTTTTTTGGAGACATAGTCTTGTTTTGTCGCCCAGGCTGGAGTGCAGTGTCGCGATCTCGGCTCACTGCAACCTCTGCCTCCTGGGTTCAAGCAATTCCCCTGCCTCAGCCTCCCGAGTAGCTGGGACTACAGGTGGGCTAACATGCCTGGCTAATTTTTGTATTTTTTTTAGTGGAGATGGGGTTTCACCATGTTGGCCAGGCCGATCTCGAACTCCTGACCTCCGGTGATCGGCCCACCTCTGCCTCCCAAAGTGCTGGGATTACAGGTGCGAACCACCACTCCTGGCCCTGTTTCATTTGTTAAACAGTAAGTAATGTAGGATACAATCTACTCTTACTGGTACCTGTTTTTAGTACAGTGGCCTTTTACAAGTTTATGGAATGAAGGAGTGAGTGATCCCATTTTCCTTCCTAATCTGTTAGTGCTTCTGACCCACTCTACTCTTCAGATTGTACTCCTCCCCTTGGCTGACTATAGTTTTTTCCTGATCCTCCCTAGCCAATCTTATTCTACACAGTCATTTGTTTAACAAGCTTTTTTATTTGTTTGTTAAGAGACAGGGTCTTGCTCTGTCTCCCAGGCTGGAGTGCAGTGGTGCGATTATAGCCCACCGTAGCCTCAAACTCCTGGGCTTAAGTGAGTCTCCTGCCTCAAGCTCTTGAGTAGCTGGGATTCCAGGTATCTGCGACCATGTCTGGCAACAAGCATTTTTTGAGCACCTACTGTCTGGCTCAAAACTGTTTCTCAGCTTTGCACATCATAGTTACCTGGGTGGGTTTAAGAAGAAATGGGAGATTTTCAGACCTCACCTCCAGAGCTAGTGAATCATGGTGTCTGGGATGGGTGGGGCTTCTGTGTTTTGGCAAAGCTGATTCTGGAGTGCTGGAGGATGACTCATTGTCGTGTGCTTCCAGGTGGCCCTGAGAAGGCAGCAGGCCCAGGAGGAGGAATTGGGTATCAGCCACCCCATCCCACTGCCCAGTGCGGCCGAGCTGCTTGTCAAAAGAGAGAACAATGGCAGTAACCCGTGCCTCATGACTGAGTGCAGTGGCACCTCTCAGCCACCGCCGGCCAGTGTCCCCACCACTGCAGCTTCAGGTAATCTGGAGGGGCTGGGGTTCACATGGAGGCTGGGCATGAGGGAGGCCGAAGGGTTGCAGCCACAGAAGCAGGGCTCCCCTGAGCTACATACAGTGTTTAGAGCTTAGAGGATTCTGTAGAGGATTCTCCCTGTGAAGGGCTGTTTGTGCCTGCATCACAAAGGAGGGGGCCGTGAATTCTAGAAATGCAGGTTCAACTCTTTCCTGTTGGTTATTAGTCAAGACTGAGTCTGGACAGAGAATGATGTTAGAGAGAGGTGAGATTGTTCAGATTTCATCTCAGTCCACCCCTTCATTTTCCAGTCATCCTTGTGGGAACTAAATATCCTTGTTTCCTAGAACTAGAAGTCCACTTCTCCACTGCATCCATTTGGGGAAAGTGTCTAGAAAGGCCAAATCCTAGTGTCAAATTTGAATGAGCGGGAAGTAACACCGGAAGGAAGGCCACGTTGGCTTGAATTCTCTCCCCTGGGTGCTAAGGAGGAATGTGTTCTTTTTTACACATGTGAAACCTGAGACATAGACAGTTATGGGATTGGCCAAGTTTACTGAATTAGAAAGTATCTGAATGAGTTTATCTGTCTCCAAAGCTCAATACTCAATGTGCTTACTGCACTAGGTCTCTAAATTACACAGGTCTGGAGCTGTACTGTCCGATATCGAAGCCCCTAGCCACATGTGGCTTTTTAAATTTAAATTCATTACAATGAAATAAATGAAAACATTCGGTTTCTTCATTACACTAGCCACATTTCATGTGCTTAATAGCCATATACAGCTAAGGGCTATCATACTGGATAATGCATTGCTGTCTCTTAGAAAGTCTAATTCGATGGCACTGGTCTAGAATGTGGGAGCTATGAGACATCCACCAAATAAAGACCTGTGGAATCTTGTTATTTCTGGCAATTAGATACACATACTGTAATTCACAGAATATCTTTAAATGTCTTTAAAGTGTTCTAAGCTCCATGAAATACAGCCTAGCAGTGTGATATCACCTTGACTAAGCTTTCATGAATTACTCCATTTGCTGGGCTTAAGCACTGTGTACTAAAGTCACACAACTATATATTATTAACTAGCTGTGCAACTTTGGAGAAGTTACTTAAGCTCCCTGGGCCTTTTTTTCCTCTTGTCAAAAATGAGGGAAAGGGTTCCTGAGGGTCTTAAAGATCTTATGAATCTTGGCCATTATTAAAAAGGAAGTTAAGCAGAAAAGAAGTTAAAAAAGAAGTTAAGCACCAAAGAAAGCAGGAAGGTGTGTCTGTCTGTGTCTGTCTTTGTGTATTTTACTGAAGTTACTGACTATGTAATTAACAGAGGTCAAGATACTCTTTTTTCTTTGCTTGGATTGGCTGCTCATAGTATGTCCTTATAATAGTTTCCAAACTTTTGTTTCCTTTCTTTTTTTTTTTTTTTTTTTGAGATGGAGTCTCACTCTGTTGCCCAGGCTGGAGTGCAGTGGTGTGATCTTGGCTCACTGCAACCTCCACCTCCTGGGTTCAAATGATTCTCCTGTCTTAGCCTCCTGAGTAGCTAGGACTACAGGCGCCCGCCACCACACCCGACTAATTTTTGTATTTTTTAGTAAAGATGGAGTTTCACCATGTTGGCCAGGCTGGCCTTGAACTTCTGACCTCAAGTGATCCACCCACCTCAGCTTCCCAAAGTGCTGGGATTACAGGCGTGAGCTGCCATGCCAGGCCAAAACTTTGCTTTTCATAGGAAGGAAGGAGTGTATCAGAAATACGATCTTTATGCTTTAAGATTTTAAGATGTGTCAAAGGTTTAGTGACTAAATAATACAGGGTCATGGCTAATCTGGTGGATTCAGCTGTGGGGCTGAGATGAGAAATGGGATGTGTCACATGAGTAAAGAGGGCAAGTTCCAGTGCCAGGTTTTCCATAGGGGAGTAACTCATTTGATTTTCACAAACGTCTCAGGAGGTAGGAATTATTATCCTCATTTACAGATAGGAAAACCAAGGCTTAGTAAATGGTAAGGAGACTGCCACAGAAAAGAGCTGGCTGAGCTAGGATTTATTCCAGGCCTGTCTGGTTCCAAAACCTATGGATTTCCCATTCTACTTAACTGGGACCAGTTGCCATGTTTCCTTGGAAAATGGACACTTAACGATTGTTTAGAGGCTGTGGTCTAATCCTCAGAGTAATTTAGGGCTGATGGACAGTTAGCAACAATGTTAGGTGAAAAAGTCCCTGCCATTCTATCTTGGCAGAGAAGACAGCAGCCATGGGTCTTCACAGGAAGAAATACAGGGAAAGGCCAGTGACGGATCAGTGTCAATGCTGGATGTGGCATAACATCAAGGTTTGATTATAAACCCTAAGATAGTGGAGCTTTAGAGAAGGACTTTAGGCTATGCAGAGTTCAGAACGACTCTCACAAGGGTGTTTCAGAGTGGTGATAGGGAAAGTTACAAAAGGAAGCAGTAGGGGGGCAAGATAGAGGGTTCAGGGTCAAGGAGGATTTAACCAGAGTCCCTTCCTCACCTGTGGAGTTGACAGACCTTGGAGTCATTCTACAGCCTTGAACTAGCACTCACAGGGAAGGGGCATGTGGAAGCCTACAGCGTGCTGTGCTCATTTGCTCAGGCACAGGTGGGCAAGTATGGCTCCGGGAGCCTTTACCTTCTGAGGACGATGGGCTCTCTCTCTCTCTCTTTTTTTTTTTGAGACAGAGTTTTGCTCTTGTTGCCCAGGGTGGAGGGCAGTGGTGCGATTTTGGCTCACCGCAACCTCTGCCTCCCAGGTTCAAGCGATACTCCTGCCTCAGCCTTTCAAGTAGCTGGGATTACAAGCATGCGCTATCTGGCTAATTTTGTATTTTTAGTAGAGACGGGGTTTCCTCCATGTTGGTCAGGCTGGTCTCGAACTCCCGACCTCAGGTGATCTGCATGCCTCAGCCTCCCAAAGTTCTGGGATTACAGGCGTGAGCCACCACGCCCAGCTGACAATAGGCTCTCTGCTAACCAGCTCATCTCTGTGGGGCAGGAGCCACAGGTTGCTGTCATTCATGGGATTTGCTACCAGACCTCCTGAGTGAGGATTGATAACTTCTGGACTGAGTTAGGATGTGAGCAAGAGGGAAATTCAGATGCCAGCAGAATTAAACTACGTAAATATAGAGACAGAAAGATGGAGTGTGGGAGAGTGGGGGAGAGCCAAAAAAACAAACACACTGTGGAGAGTCCTGAAGCTTGTATGCAGCAAAGGGAGCTTCTTAGATAGCTTCCTACTAACAAATATATAGCTTATATTCATTTTTCAGAGGTTGGATTTACTTAAAATAATTTCATGGAGGTGAATGGTAAACATGTATAGTGGAGTACAAAAATATATTCCATGAAAGATCATTGTTCTTCTAACCCCAACCTGCAGGTCTGTTTGTCATTCCAGGATGATTTACTGCATGTACAGGTGTATGTGTCTGTTTATCCTTTTCATATGTAATATAAAATATTTGCATAATTAATATAGTGGAAGTATGTTGTTCCTACTTGTGTCTAATTAGCTTTTTTCATTTACTACAGCTGAGAATTTTTAGTGACCTAGAATTCCACTGTATAGATGTGAGGCCAGCCAGGCGCAGTGGCTCATGCCTGTAATCCCAGCACTTTGGGAGGCCAAGGCAGGTGGATCACCTGAGGTCAGGAGTTCTAGACCAGCCTGGCCAACATGGCGAAACCCCATCTCTACTGAAAATATAAAAATTAGCTGGGCATGGTGGCACACGCCTGTAATCCCAGCTACTCGAGAGGCTGAGGCAGGGGAATCTCTTGAATCTGGGAGGTGGAGGTTGCAGTGAGCTGAGATTGTGCCATTGCACTCCGGCCTGGGCGACAGGGTGAGACTCTATCTCAAAAAAAAAAAAAAAAAGAAAGAAAAATAGACGTGGAAGGCTACGATTTGAAGTTATGCAGTGAGAGGTGAAAGTTGTAGGAGTTGTCATGGAATAGTAAAACCTACCAACCTGGCACACCTTGGGGCAAGTTGCTAACTTTCTACTTTCTAATACCTGATGTCTAGTGTTTACTAGGTCAGTAGCTTAGTGAAATTTAGTCAACTTTTATTTATTTATTTATTTTTTGAGACACAGTCTCGCTCTATCGCCCAGGCTGGAGTGCAGTGGTGCAATCTTGGCTCACTGCAACCTCCACCTCCCGGGCTCAGACGATTCTCTCACCTCAGCCTCTTGAGTAGCTGAGATTACAGGCGTGCGTGGCGATGCCCAGCTAATTTTTGTACTTTTAGTAGAGACAGAGTTTCACCATGTTGGTCAGGCTGGTCTCAAACTCCTGACCTCAAATGATTGCCCGCCTCGGCCTCCCAAAGTGCTGGGATTACAGGCGTGAGCCACTGCATCTGGCCTTAGTAGAATTTAAAGTCCTTGAAGTTTCTTAGTTATCTCCTTTTGGCTCCCAAAAGGGCCAAAAGTGAAGAAGAGAAATGCTCAAGAATTATTGCCAAGAATATTGGCCAAATTCTGAGGACACTTAGAAGGAAATTAAGTATGGTTTCATTTGTTGGAGAAACTGGCCTCTCTGAGGAGGATAACATATATTAGAAGAAAATCTCTAAAATCTTTAGCCAAAGATTGGCTAAGACTGACCAGATTAACTGGATAGTCTTTGAATAACGAGTGTAAAATATTTTTGTTGTTATTTTCTTACATGATTTTGGATATTACTGTGGAAAGAAATAGTCTTTTGAAGAAATTCTGTTTATTGCTGTTGCTTGTACCAGCAGGATCAGTTGTTAGCAGGTACACTTTTTTTTTGTTTTTTTTTTTTGAGACAGTCTCACTCTGTCGCTTAGGCTGGAGTGCTGTGGCGCGATCCCAGCTCACTGCAACCTCTGCCTCCTGGGTTCAAGAGATTCTGGTGCCTGAGCCTCTTGAGTAGCTGGGATTACAGGCGATCACCACCACCCGTTTAATTTTTGTATTTTAGTAGAGATGGGGTTTCACCATGTTGGCCACGCTGGTCTTGAACTCTTGACCTCAAGTGATCCGCCTGCCTCGGCCTCCCAAAGTGCTGGGATTACAGGTGTGAGCTACCGTGCCTGGCCGCAGGTACACTATTGATAAGCAAATAGTTTATTCCCAGCCATTTTTGGAGTATTCAGAAAAAAAAAAGATAAATGATTTTGACTCTACATGACAAATAATTAACGGCAAATTTACATTTTTTTCCGGTGGTTTCATGTTTTGAACTTTAGCATAAAATGTACTTTTTTTTTTTTTTCGAAAGTTATTAGCTGACTTAAATCTCAGGTCTTCTTCCTCTTTGTAAATGTAGGCTCCTCTTTGTTTTGTTTTATTTAATATTCTACTTTTTCTTCAGCCTCCCGTGCTCCTATAGAATGCTGTTTGACACAGTACTTAATGCAAAGGTCTGCATAGTTCTCTTCCTCTCCTTTTCTGTGCAGAAGCTGTCAGATGAAGGGTTGCATTGTAGATAATTCAGTTCTGCATGTGTGTCCTTTGTAAGGACCTGAATGTTATCTGTCTTGGGGCCCTCCCTTTTGGAGCACCGGGGACTTCCATCCACACTCACATTCACCCTCCCCCAGATCAAACCACCTCGGGCCCCCCTGGGCAGCTCCAGCCTCTTCTGTGGCTCGTGGCCCAGTTTCAGTCACCTTTCCCCTGTTAGAAGGATCAGTCAGGTCTGTGTCTAATATTGAAGGGGCCTTTCCTTCACTTTTCTTCAGCAGTTACTCCACTTGGAGAGCACACAGTGAGAGAGCACACGCCAGTTGGGAAACACATTGTGTCGTATGTTTAAGTGCTTAAAAGTTCATAAAACATGAAATGTGTTCGTTTGAAAATGGAATAGTATCCCATGCAGTTTTTACAAGTAAGAGATATGGCTGGTGAATTCACAACGGAAGATAGTTGTTTAAATTAAAAAAAACAATTTTTTAGAGCAGTTTTAGGTTCACAGCAAAATTGAGAGGAAGGTACGGAGATTTTTTTTATATACTCCCTGCCCCAACACATGCAGAGCCTCTCCCACATTACCAGCATCCCCATCAGAGTGGTGCATTTGCTAGCATCGATGAACTTACACTGATGCATCATTGTCATCCAGAGTCCGTAGTTTGCATAGGGGTTTGCTCTTGTTGATGTACTTTTTAATGGGTTTGGACAAATGTGTAATAGCTTGTGTCCATTATAGTATTCACAGCATTGCCACTGTCCTAAAAATTCTCTGTGGGGTTATTTAAATTTAAGATAACATTTTAAACATTTTAGAGTTTTTTGCAAATTTTTATTTTATTTTAAATTTTTGTTTATTTAATTAATTTTTTTTTTTTTTGAGACGAAGTCTTGATCTTGTCTCCCAGGCTGGGGTGTAGTGGTGTGATCTCGGCTCACTGCAATCTCCGCCTCCCAGGTTCAAGCGATTTTCCTGTCTCAGCCTCCTGAATAGCTGGGATTACAGGCATGCACCACCAAACCTGGCTAATTTTTGTATTTTAAATTAGCCACTCCCACTAATTTTTATATCTTTGGTAGAGACAGGGTTTCACCATGTTGGCCAGGTTGGTCTTGAACTCCTGACCTCAGGTGCTCCGCCTGCCTCGGCCTCCCAAAATGCTGGGATTACAGGCATGAGCCACCAGGACTGGCCATTTATTTAGAGACAGGGTCTCATTCTGTCTCCCAGGCTGGAGTGTAGTGGCTCCATCATGGCTCACTGCATCCTCCAACTCCTAGGCTCAAACAATTCTCCCACCTCAGCCTCCCGAGCAGTTAGGACTACAGGTGCACGCTATCATGCCTGGCTAATTTTTAAAATTTTTCTTTCTGTGGAGACAGGGTCTCTTTTTGTTGCCCACGCTGGTCTTGAACTCCTGGCTTCCAGCAGTCAGGAGTTGAACTCCTGCTTCAGCTCCCAAAGTGCTGGGATTACAGGTGTGAGCCTACACACTAAGCCCATTTTTTTTTTTTAATTTTTCAAGAGACAGAGGTTCGTTCTGTTGCCCAGGTTGGAATGCAGTGGCACAATCATAGCTCACCGTAGCCTCAAACTCCTGGACTCAAGTAATCCTCCTGCCTCAGCCTCCCAGGTAGCTGGGACTACAGGTGCGCTACATGCCCAGCTAATTTTATTAATTTATTTATTTTTGGGAAACAGAGTCTCACTCTTGCCCAGGTTGGAGTGCAGTGGCGTGATCTTGACTCACTGCAACCTCCACTTTCCAGATCAAGTGATTCTCGTGCCTCAGCCTCCTGAGTAGCTGGGACTACAGGCGCATGCAACCATGCCTGGCTAATTTTTGTATTTTTAGTAGAGACAGGGTTTTGCCACGTTGGCCAGGCTGGTCTTATCTTTGGAGTTTTCTAATGTTGTAAAGAAGGAAATACTTTATTCAAATAAGCAATAAAAGCGTTTTATACAAATTGGATTGAGACTTTATTTTTGAAAGAGTCTGGCCACTTAAGTGAAATGAGATCCGTTTGATTTTAGACAGCTTTCAATTAAAGCTAGAATAGGAAATGATATTAGATTAAGAAAAAGCTTTTCAGATAAAAACATTCCCAAATTTTACTTTCAAATTAAACAAATTTTCAGAGTTTCTAGCAAAACAAAACTCCTTTTTTTTTTTGAAACAGAGTCTCACTCTGTCACCCAGGCTGGAGTGCAGTGGCATAATCTCGGCTCACTGCAAGCTCCGCCTCCTGGGTTCACGCCATTCTCCTGCCTCAGCCTCCCGAGTAGCTGGGACTACAGGCGCCCGCCGCCACGCCAGGCTAATTTTTTTTGTATTTTTAGTAGAGACGGGGTTTCACCATGTTAGCCAGGATGGTCTCAATCTCCTGACCTCGTGATCCGCCCGCCTCAGCCTCCCAAAGTGCTGCGATTACAGGGGTGAGCCACCATGCCCGGCCAGGGACTGATGGCTTTGATAGCCTATTTTAGATAGTGTCTCAATTTTGTTTATCTCAGGGATAGTCTTTGCTTATATGTCAAGTATAGCAGTTTAATTGGTCAGATAGAAACTTTCTGTGGATAGTATTTTAATAAAGCAATTATGAAAACAAAGTACGTAGGAAGTAACCTACTTGTCTACCTTTGACTAGAAAGGAAATTTAGAAAACATCTAGAGCCAGGAAACGTAAATACAGGGGTTAAAGTTACAAATAAATTTTATAACAGCATATTAAAAAACAAAAACATTTGATTGGTTTACATCTGTGTCTCCCTTGTGAAAATCTAATCTTTAAGGACAAACACTGCATTTTATCCATTTCTGTATAGTACAGTACCTGGCTTTATAGTTAATGGTCAATAAACCATTGCTGAATGAATAAATGATGGTTAAATTTGAAGCTCTATTTTAAAATACTAGGTAAGTGATCTGAACCCACCTGTAGACACCAGAGAATAAAACTATTGATGTTCAGTGTACATTTTTGTTCTGTGATATTTTAAACATATATCTGAATTTTTTTTCTTTTTGAGACAGGGTCTCGCTTTTTAGCCCAGGCTAGAATGCAGTGGTGCCATCTTGGCTCACTGCTGCCTTGACCTCCTGGGCTCAGCAATTCTTCCACTTCAGTCCCCAAGTACCTTGGACTACAGGCACGTGCCACCACTCCTGGCTCATTTTAAATATTTTTATAGAGATGGGGATCTCGCTGTGTTGCCTAGGCTGGTCTCAAACTCCTGGGCTCAAGTGATCTTCTCACCTTGGCCTCCCAAAGTGCTGGGATTACAGGCATGAGGCAGCATGCCTGACCTCTGAATTTTTTTTTTGAGATGAAGTCTTGCTCTGTCACCCAGGCTGGAGTGCAATGGCATGATCTCGGCTCACTGCAACCTCTGCCTCCCAGGTTCAAGCGATTCTCCTGCTTCAGCCTTCTGAGCAGCTGGGATTACAGGCGCCCGCCACCATGCCCAGCTAATTTTTGTATTTTTAGTAGAGACGAGGTTTCACCATGTTGGCCAGGCTGGTCTCGAATTCCTGACCTCAAGTGATCCACCCGCCTCGGCCTCCCAAAGTGCTGGGATTACAGGTGTGAGCCACCGCGCCCGGTGACCTCTGAATTTTTAAGGTGATTAAAAATTCAAATGTAGTTTAACGACTTAAGATGTAATTCATATACCAGGTAATTCATTTGTCTCAAGTGTACAATTCAGTGTTTTTTAGTAAATTCACAGGGTTGTACCACAGTCACAAGAATCTGGTTTTGGAACATTTCAGTCACTCCCCATGTACTCTTCGCTCCAGCCCTAGGCAGACACTAATAGATTTTCTGTCTCTACAGAGGTGTCTATTCTGGAAATTTTATATAACTGGAATGATAAGATGTGTAACCTTTTGTGTCTTACTTCTCTTACTTAGCCTGATGTTTCTAAGTTTATCCATGTTGTAGCATGTATTTTTAATTATTATTGTTCCTTTATATTAGTAATATTTCATCATATGGATATATACCACATTATTTTTCTGTTTATCAGCTGATGAACATCTGGGTTACTTATGGGTTTTGGCTATTATGAGTAATGTTGCTGTGAACTTGTGTGCAAGAGTTTTTGAATGAATGTATGTTTCATTCTCTTGGGTATATACCAAGTAGTGGTGTTACTGAGTTTTATGTTAACTCTGTCCTTAACGTTTTGAGGAACTGCCACACTTTTCCAAAGAGGCTGCACTATTTTACATTCCTACCGACAGTCTATGAGGGTTCCAGAAAATTGAAACTAAGTTTTTTTAAGTTACAAGGGAAGATGCCTTTATCCTAGCAAGCTACAGGTAATTAAAACCCTGCGAGAGTCTCTCATGACAAGTTTAGATTATGAAGGATTCTTTAGGTTTGCATTTTATTATCAATAGATACATGTTAATATTCAGGCTGGGTGTGGTGGCTCACACCTGTAATCCCAGCACTTTGGGAGGCCGAGGTGGGTGGATCACCTGAGGTCAGGAGTTCGAAACCAGCCATGGTGAAACCCCGTCTCTACCAAAAATACAAAAATTAGCCAGGCGTGGTGGCACATGCCTGTAATCCCAGCTACTCGGGAGGCAGAGGTGGGAGAATTTTCTGAGCCCAGGACGTGGAGGTTGCAGGGAGCTGAGATTGCTCCACTGCACTCCAGCCTGGGTGACAGAGCAAGACTCTATCTCAAAAAAAATATATATATGTGTATATATTGAATATAATATGTATATATATATTCAGTCTTTGAAAACGTTCCTTTCTTACTTGTCACAGAGTTTATATTGAAAGGAACAGTATTTGTGGAAGTAAAGCAATTCATAAAGGGACCTGGAGAGAGTTTTTCTTTGCTGTAGCTGTATTATTGGTTGGTAGAAATATTGGTATCTATAGGAAGGGCTAAAGTAACATTTTGGACTTTGGGTGACATGTGTTTCCTGAAAACGAGGGAGCAAGAATTCTGTTGCCCTAAAACTTGGCAGGAATAGTTTTAATCTGTGAGTTTCTTTTTTTTTCTATTATTATACTTTAAGTTTTAGGGTACATGTGCACAACGTGCAGGTTAGTTACATATGTATACATGTGCCATGTTGGTGTGCTGCACCCATTAACTCATCATTTAACATTAGGTATATCTCCTAATGCTATCCCTCCCCCCTCCCCCCACCCCACAACAGGCCCTGGTGTGTGATGTTCCCCTTCCTGTGTCCATGTGTTCTCATTGTTCGATTCCCACCTATGAGTGAGAACATGTGGTGGTTGGTGTTTTGTCCTTGCGATAGTTTGCTGAGAATGATGGTTTCCAGTTTCATCCATGTCCCTACAAAGGACATGAACTCATCCTTTTTTATGGCTGCATAGTATTCCATGGTGTATATGTGCCACATTTTCTTAATCCAGTCTATTATTGTTGTACATTTGGGTTGGTTTCAAGTCTTTGCTATTGTGAATAGTGCCGCTATAAACATACGTGTGCATGTGCCTTTTAATCTGTGAGTTTCTAAAATTGGAAAACCACTGTCACTCTTCTGGGGAGTGAAAGAGAAAACCCGAGAGTTGGTGAAAATGGACAGCTGTCCTTCATGTGGCCAGTGGGAAGAGGGCAGTTCACAAAGACTTTCAGACCTGGTTGTAGCATTGGGGAACTTTTACAGGTGGTGACACTAGGTATTGTCCTTGTATTGTGCTGCCTTACGCTTGCTGCCATAGGGAACTTTTGGAAGGTCACAAAGGTCATCTGTGTCATCAGTGTCACTTGCTTACTCAGCAGCATCCCCCTGGAGTTCTTTGACTCACATATTCCTAGTTACTTGGTGGTTTGAGGATCCTGTCCTGTTGATCACCCCTCAGGTACCTACTTACTTTTGGAGTCTTGTGAATGCCTTTTTGTCCTCTTTTTATATTAATTAACTTATTTTTAAAAACTCTCTTTTATTGTGGTACAATATGCACAACTTAAAATTTATCATTTTAGGCTGGGCGCAGTGGCTCACGCCTGTAATCCCAGCACTTTGGGAGGCCGAGGCGGGCAGATCATCTGAGGTCAGGAGTTCGAGACCAGCCTGACCAACATGGCGAATCCCTGTCTCTACTAAAAATACAAAAATTAGTTAGACATGGTGGTGGGTGCCAGTAATCCCAACTACTTGTGAGGCTAAGGCAGGAGAATCGCTTGAACCTGGGAGTCGGAGGTTGCAGTGAGCTGAGATCGCGCCATTGCACTCCAGTCTGTCTCAAAAAAAAAAAAAAAAAATATATATATATATATATATATATTTATCATTGTAACCATTTTTAAGCATAGAGTTCAGTGGTATTAGGTACATTCACCATAATGTGCAACTGTCACCACCATCCATCTCCAGAACTTCCCAGACAGAAACTCTGTACCCATTAAACGATTATTTCCCATTTACCCCTCTCATGAACTAACTTATGACTGAGGCCAGTCTCTTATGCAAGCCCAGCTTTCTTGAAAGTTCCCTGGCTTCTGAAATCACCTGTAGACTCACATGAGTTACGATGATTCCTTTGATCTCTGCCAGCATCCTTTCTTGGCTCTCTTAACTCCCAAATGTTTCCTGTATTGCTGACTTCTTCCTTTGTTTTAAGTGCTGCTCTAACCTGTGCCTCTTGGGTAATAAGGGGCTCCAAAGTCTGTAAAATAACTGAGGTTTATAGGGAACGGATGCAGGGGACTGTATACTAACACCTTATGCAGTACACTGTAAATTCTGTCTGATGATCTGGACTCTGAGCCTAGGAGTGCCCTTAGTTGTACCGTGAAGCAAAGGAAGTGGAGTAGGGGTGCCTGTGGGTCCCCTGGGGCTCTCAGTGCTCTCTCACGGAGTCTTGACTTGTCACGGTCCCTTTTGCGGTTGTCAAAAGCAGCTATGCAAATGTATATGTGCATTTCTGTTTCAGCCTGAAGGTGTCTTCACTTTCCAAATCACAAAAAAATCCAATTCGGTGTTTTTGAGTCTCCTATGAAAATTCACATAAATATTGATTACTGTTGTTGAACCAAATTACACTTCAAACCAAGTTTATGCCAGTCTCTAAAACGTCTGCAGGCAGACTTCATAGTTGCTAATCTGGTCTCATTGTACAATACCACTGAACATGCTTTCCAGAAAAAAATGTGTAAGAAACTCTTAAAGTAGACTATAAATAGCTGGCAAGTTGTGAAAAGAAAATAATCAATTCAGTATTACAGTAATAGCAGATTTTCTGATGTTTATTGGCAGTAAGGTTCTTAGATACTGCTTCAGCCATCCATTGCCATTCAGCATATAGTAACAGATGACTTTCAATGTTGATTTCAGAACTTATAAAAATTGCCGTTAACTACCCGTTAACTCTAGTCCTGAGGTTTTAGGTTTTATCTAAAATATGGGGTAGGGCACGGTGGCTCACGCCTGTAATCCCAGCACTTTGGGAGGCCGAGGTGGGTGGATCACTTGAGGTCAGGAGTTCAAGACCAGCCTGGCCAACATGGTGAAGCCCCATCTCTACTAAAAATACAAAAATTAGCCGGGCGTGGTGGCGCATGCCTGTAGTCCTAGCTACTTGGGAGGCTGGGGCAGGAGAATGGCTTGAACCCTGGAGGCGGAGGTTGCAGGGAGCCGAGATCGTGCCATTGTACTCCAGCCTGGGCGACAGAGCGAGACTCTGTCTCAAAAAAAATTAAATACATAAAAAGTAAAATAAAATACACAAAATACAAATTAGTTCAGTGAAGCAGATTGGATTTATCAAATGGCAATAAATGTTTGCTGAATTGAATTGAATTCATCTCTGCTGGAGAGTTTGCTGTCTGAGCAAGATTTCCTCCCTCACTCTTCTTACTCTGTTTTTTCATTTTACTTCTTTATTCGTTCAACAAATGTTCATTCTATGGCTGCACTGAGCCAGATCCTATTCTAGGTGCAGGATATATAGCAGTGCATATATCTCTCACATGGACCTTATATCTCTTGGGGGCTGCCAGGGAAGACAGTTGATAAACAAGTACATCAATAAATAAGATATTTGCAGTAAGTGGTAAGTGCTGTAAAGAAAAACAAAGTGATATGATGGATGTGACCAAGGGGACACGGGCTGTTTTAAATAGGGTGGTCAAAGAAGGGAGGCCTCTCTAAGGAAGTTAAGTCAGAGCTAGTCCCAAATGACAGTGAGCCATTCTCATCAAGATCTGGGGAAAGAGCATTTGAGGAGGAAGGAGCAGCAAGGTGAGACTGTGCTGAGGCAGGCAGCTGTGAGCCTGAGTGCTTTGAGCACAGGGTGACACCAGTGGGGTTGTGTCATGGGCTCATAGCAGAAGGGCGCACAGCTGCCTGTGTATACCACGGAAAGGGTTGGGAGTTTAGCATGAATGCAGTGGACAGCCATTAACTATTAAAGCAGTGAATGGTGTGATCTAATTTACTTTCTTTTTTTTTTTTTTTTTTTTTTAGTATTTATTGATCATTCTTGGGTGTTTCTCGGAGAGGGGGATTTGGCAGGGTCATAGGACAATAGTGGAGGGAAGGTCAGCAGATAAACATGTGAACAAAGGTCTCTGGTTTTCCTAGGCAGAGGGCCCTGCCGCCTTCCGTCTTCTGCAGTGTTTGTGTCCCTGGGTAGTTGAGATTAGGGAGTGGTGATGACTCTTAAGGAGCATGCTGCCTTCAAGTATCTGTTTAACAAAGCACAGTTTGCACCGCCCTTAATCCATTTAACCCTTAGTGGACACAGCACATGTTTCAGAGAGCACGGGGTTGGGGGTAAGGTTATAGATTAACAGCATCCCAAGGCAGAAGAATTTTTCCTAGTACAGAACAAAATGGAGTCTCCTATGTCTGCTTCTTTCTACACAGACACAATAACAATCTGATCTTTCTTTTCCCCACATTTCCCCCTTTTCTATTCGACAAAACCGCCATTGTCATCATGGCCTGTTCTCAATGAGCTGTTGGGTACACCTCCCAGACGGGGTGGCGGCCGGGCAGAGGGGCTCCTCACTTCCCAGAAGGGGCAGCGGCCGGGCAGAGGGGCTCCTCACTTCCCAGACGGGGAAGCCGGGCAGAGGGGCCCCCCACCTCCCAGACGGGGCGGCTGGCCGGGCAGGGGCTGCCCCCCACCTCCTGGACGGGGCGGCTGCTGGGCGGAGATGCTCCCCACTTCCCAGACGGGGCGGCTGCCGGGCGGGGGGGGGCTCCTTCAGACGGGGCGGCCGGTCAGAGACGCTCCTCACCTCCCAGACGGGGTCGCGGCCGGGCAGAGGCACTCTTCACATCCCAGATGGGGCGGCGGGGCAGAGGCGCTCCCAACATCCCAGATGATGGGCGGGCGGGCAGAGACGCTCCTCACTTCCTAGACGGGATGACGGCCGGGAAGAGGTGCTCCTCACTTCCCAGACTGGGCGGCCGGGCGGAGGGGCTCCTCACATCCCAGACGATGGGCGGCCAGGCAGAGACGCTCCTCACTTCCTAGACGGGGTGGCGGCTGGGCAGAGGCTGCAATCTCAGCACTTTGGGAGGCCAAGGCAGGCGGCTGGGAGGTGGAGGTTGTAGCGAGCCGAGATCACGCCACTGCACTCCAGCCTGGGCAACACTGAGCACTGAGTGAGCGAGACTCCGTCTGCACTCCCGGCACCTCGGGAGGCCGAGGCTGGCAGACCACTCGCGGTCAGGAGCTGGAGACCAGCCCCGCCAACACGGCGAAACCCCGTCTCCACCGAAAAATAGGAAAACCAGTCAGGTGTGGCGGCGCGCGCCTGCAGTCCCAGGCACGCGGCAGGCTGAGGCAGGAGAATCAGGCAGGGAGGCTGCAGTGAGCCGAGATGGCGGCAGCACAGTCCAGCCTCGGCATCAGAGGGAGACGGTGCAAAGGGGAGACGAGGACCGTGCAATGGGGAGGGGGAGGGGGAGGGGGAGGGAGATTGAGATTTACTTTCTTAAAATATCTCTGCTCTTGTGTGGTGGTGTTTGAAGGGAACTGGGTGAGAGATTGATGGGAAGGTCGTGCTGTTGTCCAGGTGAAAGGGAGAGCTGCTTAGGCTGGGGTGGTGGCAGTAGAGATGGAAAGAAAGGCTGGGACGGGAAGTCTATACTGGGGGTACGTTGAAGTGTAGTTTTGGTGGGTGTTGTCAATGGTATTCCCTTCTGAGAGTGGCTGCTACAGCGCAGCCAGCACTAGGTGGTTGGGGTTTTCCTAGTTAGGTGAGGTTATGTACATCAGCGTGGTCAGGTGAATAACGGCCTCCCAAAAGATGCCTGTGCCCTAATCCCTGCAACCTGTGAAGTTGGTACCTTACATGGCAGAAGGGACTTTGCAAATGTGATTGAGTCAAGAGTCTTGAGATGAGTGAGATGATCCTGGATTTTCCGGATGGGCACAATCTAATGGCATGAATCCTTAAAAGTGGAGAGCTCCCTGGGTGTGGTAGCTCATGCCTCTCATCCCAGCATTCTGGGAGGCTGAGGCTGAAGGATTGCTTAAGCTCAGGAGTTTGGGACCAGCCTGGGCAACAGCGAGATCAGGTCTCTACAAAAAAAAAAAAAAAAAAATTAGCCAGGTGTGGGGGTGGCTGCTTTTAGTCCCAGCTGCTTGCGAGGCTGAGGTGGGAGGATTGCCTGACCCCAGGATTTCAAGGCTGCAGTGAACAGTGATCATGCCACTGCATTTCAGCCTGGGTGACAGAGTGAGGCCACGTCTCTTAAAAAAAAAAAAAAAAAAGGGCAGGGGAAGTGTGGACAGAACCTTTCCTGGCTGCAACTAGAGATGCCATGACAGAAGACACAGGAGAGTTTCCAGGCTTGACAGAGACTTGACCTGCTATTGCTGGCTTTGAAGGTGGAGGAAGGGAACCCCTCAGCCAAAGAATATGGGAGGCCTCTACAGGCTAGCAACAGCCCTCAGCTGACAGCCAGCAAGGAATGGGACCTAGTCCTACTAACACACAGGGAGCTGAATTCTGCCATCTAACTGATTGAGCAAAGAAACAGTCCCTGCTAGAGGCTCCAGAAAGAAATGCAGCCCCACAGACACCTTGACAGAGACTGGCGTCAGATTTCGGACCCACAGAACTCTAAGATAGTCAATTTGTGTCATTTACGCCACTAAATTTCTGGTGATTTGTTAACACAGTGAAAGATGACTAATGCAACTGGTATAGTTTATAATCTAGATTTCCCTTGTTAGTGGGGTTGAACATCGTTCCGTATGTTTAAAGGCCATTTGTATTTTATTCTCTGAACCATCTATGTCCTTTGCCCATTTCTCTATTGATCCCGGCCAACATCAAGAATTTCCTTATTTATTGTGGAGATTGGCCCTTTTTGATATGAGGTGCAAGTTTCCCCCGACTATTTGGTATTTTAAACCAGGAAACTATATGAGACTGGCGGGGGACAGACTGCGGGGTGATAAGAGTCCCAGGACTGAGTCCTCGTCACTGCACTCTTTGGAGGACAAGCAGAGGAGCAGAGAAGCCTGTAACTTTTCCACTTCCTGTTGGTAGGCCATTCTTCAGTCCAAATGAAAATGGCCATAGAATGGCTAAACCAATGTGTTATTTGTATTCTTTTAACTTCTTCTTCTTCTTTTTTTTCTTTTTTTTTTTTTGAGACAGTCTTGCTTTGTCACCAGGCTGGAGTGCAGTGGTGTGATCTCGGCTCACTGCAGCCTCTGCCTCTCAGGTTCAAGCGATTCTCCACTTCAGCCTGCCGAGTAGCTGGGATTAAAGGTGTCTGCCACCACGTTTGGCTAATTTTCATATTTTTAGTTTCACCATGATGACCAGGCTGGTCTTGAACTCCTGACCTCAGGTGATCTGCCCGCCTTGTCCTCCCAAAGTGCTGAGATTACAGGCGTGAGCCACCATGCCCAGCCAGTACTCTTTTTTTTTTTTTTTTTGAGACGGAGTCTTGCTCTGTCGCCCAGGCTGGAGTGCAGTGGTGCGATCTCGGCTCACTGCAAGCTCTGTGTCCCAGGCTCATGCCATTCTCCTTCCTCAGCCTCCTGAGCAGCTGGGACTACAGGCGCCCGCCACCACGCCTGGCTAATTTTTTTTGTATTTTTAGTAGAGACAGGGTTTCACCATGTTAGCCAGGATGGTCTCCATCTCCTAACCTTGCGATCCGCCCACCTCGGCCTCCCAAAGTGCTGGGATTACAGGCGTGAGCCACCGTGCCCGCCAGCCAGTATTCTTTTAACTTCTATTCCTCAGTTCAATTTTAGCTATGAGTAGGTCTCAAGTTTTAAGCCAAAAGCTTCGACTAAACCATTTCATAGTTATGGTTTGGAAGTTTTACAGTTCCATTCATTATATAATAAACTGTGGTATGGCCGTGATGCAGGAATGGGGAGATATACTGTCCAGTCACATATTCTGGTTTCTAGAGGCTAATCTTATTCTTACCAGTGTGGTCAGTGAGCATGGAATTAGAATGCACGTTACCTTCAGCTATCTCAGAGTCATTTTACTGTTTGCGTTGATGTGGAATGAGCATTGTCATTATTCCTGCATGACGTTTCCAGGTTTTCCCTGAGAGAATGGTATATGGCTTGATCAAAGTTCTCGAATATTGAAGACACCTGGGAAAAGAGATTTGTTGTTATCTTGATAACTTTATACCTGGAAAGGACTCTCAGTGAAAGAACCTAAGATCTGGAGTCAAAAGACCTGGCTCAGTTTCTTACCACCTCTCTGATTTTCAGCAGTTCATTTAACTTTGTCTGTTTGTTCATTTGTGAAATGAATAAAATAATAATATCTATCTAGGATATCTTGTAGAATTGTTAGAGTGCTCATTTTTTTCTTAAGATATGTATGGTACTTAATTTTTCATAAATATATATGATATATATGAAATATAAGGTATTTATGAAAAATACCTTTGTACACTGTGATGAAGTACATGAACAAGTCATAGAGCTCACATTTCAGATATTAATAGGAGGAGCAGATGAATGAGCCCGGATATGATTTATCCTGTAGCAATAAACAAGTTTTTGCAAAAATGAAGCTACCTGAACAGATACAACAAGAATTACATCTTTGGGTGAGGATTACATAACCCATCACATTTCCCTACACCCCCAGTTGCCAGGAATCTCAGAGACACATCTTAATGCTCAAACATGGTAGATGTATTAAACCGTCCCATTAGAATATAAATATTTCCCCTTCTTTTCATGACCTTCTTTTTCTGTTTTGTTGACTTCGCTGATAGATGCCTTCAGTATTAGCCATCTGTCATCCTTTCAAAAGAGAGTGAGGGCAGCGCACGGTGGCTCACACCTGTAATCCCAGCACTTTGGGAGGCCAAGGTGGGCGGATCACCTAAGGTCAGGAGTTCGAGACCAGCCTGGCCAACATGGTGAAACCCTGTCTCTACTAAAAATACAAAAATTAGCTGGATGTGGTGGTGGGTGCCTGTAATCCCAGCTGCTCAGGAGGCTGAGGCAGGAGAATCGCTTGAACCCAAGAGGCAGCAGCTGCCGTGAGCCGAGATCCTGCTACTGCACTCCAGCCTGGGTGACAGAGTGAGAGTCCATCTCAAAAAAAAAAAAAAAAAAAAAAAGACAGTGGTGGGTGTTTTATAACCACACAAATACTCAGGACTCTGAGACTGGGACGTTACCTTTAGCAGAACAGGTAAAGCACCATCAATGCACATTTAGAAATCGTCAGGACATTGCATATCAGATGAAGAAGCAGGAGGCATCAGCACTGGCCTGCGGGTGGGACAAGGGAATGTCATAATATTTCAGACCCCTTGACGTCACCACCTTTAAGAAGCAATATGGGGAAGCTGAACTAGGTGTGTCACACTGTGATCCATTGCAAAAGGGACTCATTTACCCCGTTGTGGGGATAGTATTTTAAAGTGTTTAGTTTCAGAAGTTTTCCTTCTTGAAAACACTCTCAAAACTTGTGTTTACTTGAAAATAAACAGTGTCAGATTTTTCATTAGGGGCAAACCAGAAAGCAACGAGAGAGTCTCAAGGACGTTATTGGGCTGATACACTGATACCAAATGCAGTGGATGGGCAAGGAAGTAACAAGCGGAAGCAATGTATGTACACGGTGCATAATTCCTCTTTAGTGAGTTTGAGATGTGTGTGAGACTGTCCCATGGCTTCCCACCCCAGGAGCTGCTACCTTGTAGAGTCCAGTCATCCACTTGATGAGGGTGGTGTTCATTTTCCTTATCACCCTCTCCCTCAATTTTTATCTGAGAGATGGAATTATGAGTTACAGGAGGAAGGAGTAAGAGGCACATCAAAGCCTTTTTGTGTGGCTTTGAATAAGCGGCCTTATTGGTTTGGGGTTGTTAGCTTTGGGTGTGCTATTTTCATCATGAAGCACCTGGGGTTTGTTTTTTTCTAAAAGATGTAGATAAACTAGAGAGAATCCAGGGGAAGGGCAACAAAAATGATGTATGACTTGGAGAGAAGGAGAATAACAGTCTATAAATATTTGAAAGGTAATATAAAAGAGGGAGAGAGATTATTTACAGCAGTGGAGAGGAGTTTGACAGGGAACAAAAGCATGCATCTAGGAGCAGGGGGAAATTGGGTAGGACTGAAAAAAAACAAAGCATAATAAGGGTGATTAAGCAAAGAAATGTAATTCTCACATTAGTTTGTGTTTCCAGGATGCAGGATGGTAGGAGGAAGAAGTGACGTTTGTCAAACTGAAGATCCACACACGACTATGAATCACGTTTTCCTAATTCCTCTCTGGGAAGCCAGGAGAGCGGGCAGTGCTTTATTCTGTGCCTCCTAAGCATGCAGTCGGTTTAATTCTCAACTCTTTGGCATTATGTTTTCATAGGTGGTAGTAATAATTATAACCCGAGTAGCTCTCATTTACCGAGTGTCTGCCTTGTGGCAGGTGTTGTCTTAGCTGCTTTGTTATTTATATTTTCATTTAATCTTTACGGCAACTCTGTAAATAGGAAGTATGTTTTTCCAATTATAGGGAAATTGAGGTTTAGTAACTTCCACAAGATGGCATGTGTATTAAGTGGTGGAGGTGGAACTCAAACCCGGGTCTGTGACCCACAGCCCATGCTCATGCCCTACATCGGGCTCCATTACTCTGTCATTGTGGTCATGAGAGTAGTAACTGGGACCCAGTAGGTGGCCAGGTGGTTTGTATCTTGGTACAAGGGTAAGTAAAATAGTTGATGTCCAAGGCTCCCTTTGCTTTCTTTTTCTCTTATTTTCCTTTCTTGAGATATATTTTCTCTGTAAGTGCTGTGTTATTAACATACTACATTTTATCATTCTGTAAATTAAGTTATACTATATGCTTTTAGTCATCTTTGTGGTTATATAGTGATATGTACAATCTCACTTAGGAAATCAACAATTGTTGTTTTTTATTTTGAGACAGGGTCTCTATCGCCCAGGCTGGAGTGCAGTCGTGTGATCACAGCTCACTGCAGCCTTGACTTCCTGGGCTCAAGCAGTCCTCCCACCTCAGCCTCCTGATTAGCTGGGACTACAGGCGCAAGCCACCATGCCCGGCTAAGTTTTGTATTTTTTTGTAGAGATGGGGTTTTACCATGTTGCCCAGGGTGGTCTCAAACTCCTAAGCTCAAGCGATCTGCCTGTTTCTGCCTCCCAGAGTGCTGGGATTACAGGCGTGACCACTGCACCTGGCCTGAAAGAAAGTATTTTACAAGGCAAGCATTATCCTGGATCTTACAGGGGATCTCTTAGCTGTATTCTATATTTGCCTCAGCTTTCTGTCTCTGATATTTGATAATATCCGGTGTATTGATGATTGCTTTAAAAAAACAAAATTCACAGAATTCTTCACTACTTAGAATAAAAGTGAAGAGCTGTGTGTCTGGGTTTTTCATGTCATTGCAAGAAGTTACCAAACCTGGAATCAAAAGGCCTGGGTTTCAATCGCAGTTCCAGCTATGTTTCTTTGTGTGCTGGGCACCTTTCTAAGCACAGCTAGCTCCTCTGTCTTGGGCCATTGTACCTCCTGGTCTTCAACCTTACAAGGTTATCGTAGGTAGCGTTTGAAAGAATATACATAAAATGTTGTTTATGAATTGCAGAGTATACTTAAATGAAAAATGTTAAGTTTAAAAGTTAGCATCGGCTGGGCACGTTGGCTCATGCCTATAATCCCAGCACTTTGGAAGGCCAAGGCAGGTAGATGGCTTGAGCCCAGGAGTTTGAGATCAGCCTGGGCAACATGGTGAAGCCCCATTCCTACAAAAAATAAAAAAATTAGCTGGGTATGGTGGCACACACCTGTGGTCTCAGCTACTTGGGAGATGCAGGTGGGAGGATCACCTGAGCCTGGGGAGGTTGAGGCTGGAGTGAACCATGATCGTGCCACCTCACTCCAGCCTGGGTGACAGAGTGAGACACTATCTGAAAAAATAATAATAATAAAAATAAAAGTTAGCATCCTTTATATTAGCAGCTTTTTTCTTAGTGCAGCTTCTCTTGGTAAAACTCTGATATAGTTTAGGGATGGTTGAGGCTTCTGAGGAAGTTGACATCCAAAGGACCTTGTTAGATTTTTATCCGGGGGCGGAACAGAAAGTACTAAGTGAATTTCAAGGATATTCTACTAAGGCCACAGCTTTTGCCTCTTCCTCCCCTTTCCCTATGGTGACATGCAATGGAGACCATGCCAGATCTTAAAGGTGGATGGCATAGAAATAAAAATGTGGCTCAAGGCATTGGCATGTTCATCTACACTTGCATTGTGAATACAAAGGTGTACTCATCTGCACCTTTCCATTTGCCAGTTCTCCTAGCTGTTCTCCGTAGGAATTACCTTCCCTTTGGAATTGTGTACCTTTTAAAATTCAGAACTTTTTGAATTTCCGTCTCCGGGTCATTGCTCCTAGTTGTTGTCTCTAGTGAATTCTTCTCTAAAGTATCCCTAGATTACTTTTACTGTAAACTGTAATGATTTGACTCTGGCCATATTTCTCCCAAGGTCTCCTATCTCGGTTACTTGTAAGGCTACTCCTCCCCTCTCTTGTTCTCTTTGATCTTTTATAATTGGCTTAAAGCTCTCTATATTTAATCTGCAGTGACTTTGTTTCTCCTCCCTATTTTGGCTTTTTCAATCCCCGAGAATTTAATAATCTGTTTCTCATTATTTTCTATTTTTTCTTAAGGTGTCGCATTCTCTGTCGCACAGTTAATAGTCTTTTCTCCTCTTCTCCCCATTTGGTTTATATTAGCTATTAATGCAAGTCTGCATTGTGTCTCTATTTTGGCTTGTAATAAAGTCCTGTGTATTCTGTGGAGTTGGTGGGCGTCCTAGTTACAGACTTGGCTGAACCTGAAGACCCCTGCGCGTGTATATGGTAATGTTGTAAAAATACGGCCCTGGAGATAAACAGTTGAGCACCCAGTTTGTATTGAACGAATAAGTTTCTTAAGTTTTTGAGAGCTTTCTCTTAGAAGTTGACCTTTTGGGGGCAAATTACTGTGACTATTCAACATGTAAGAAAGAATAGCTTGCCGGGCGCGGTGGCTCACGCCTGTAATCGCAATACTTTGGGAGGCTGAGGCAGGTGGATCACCTGAGGTCAGGAGTTTGGGACCAGCCTGGGTAACACGGTGAAACCCCGTTTCTACTAAAAATACAAAAAATTAGCTGGGCGTGGTGACGTGCACCTGTAATCCCAGCTACTCGGGAGGCTGAGGCAAGAGAATCGCTTGAACCTGGGAGGCGGAGGTTGCAGTGAGCCGAGATCATGCCGCTGCACTCCAGCTTGGACAACAAGAATGAAACTCTGTCTCAAAAAACAACAACAATAACAACAACAACATAGCTCTGGTCGCCATCCTGTGGCCTGTGGTTGACCTTTTGATGAGTCCGTCCCGTGACAGCATCCGTCATAATTTTTTCACTAAGCTTAGCTCTTCAGCTGTGAAATCCTTTTAGCCACAGCATTGTAGTCTCTTCTCAGAAGGTTAAGCTTTCTGATACTTTTTTAGTCTGTCACTTTTCTGGTCTCTGTTGGGTCCAAGAAAGAACCCCTGGTGAGTCTAAAGGCTTTGCTTATTTTGTTCTTTAAGCTTAGGTTCCCATATTTCTCATTTTCTTGACTTTTTTTTTTTTTTTTTTTTGAGACAGGGTCTTACTCCATTGCCCACGCTGGAGTGCAGTGGTGTGATCATGGCTCACTGCACCCTCTAGTCCTGGGGCTCAGGTGATTCTCCAACCTCAGCCTCCCGAGTAGCTGGAACTACAGGTGCACACCGCCAAGTGTGGCTAATTTTTTTTGTGTGTATGTAGAAACAGGGTTTCTCCATGTTGCCCAGGCTGGTTTTAAACTCCTGGGCTCAGCTGATCCTCCTGACACCCAAAGTGCGGGGATTACAGTTGTGAGCCATTGTGCCCATACATTCAAGCCTTTTAAAACTGTATTATTGGGTTTCAGGGGGTCTTTGAACCCAAGGTCTGGCTCTGTTGCCCAGGCTGGAGTGCAATGGGGCAATCATGGGCACATTGCAACCTTCGCCTTCTGGGCTCAAGCCATCATCCTACCTCAGCCTGAGTAGCTGGGACTACAGGCGTGTGCACCACCATGCCCGGCTAATTTTTTGTAGAGACGGGGTTTTGCCACGTTGCCCAGGCTAGTCTTGAATTATTGAGCTCGAGCAATTCTCCACCTTGGCCTCCCAAAGTGCTGGGATTACAGGCATGAACCGGTAGCCCGGCTGGTCTTTGAACTCTTTTTTTTTTTTGAGACTGAGTCTTGCCCTGTCACCCAGGCTGGAGTGCAGTGGCACAATCTCGGCTCACTGCAAGCTCCGCGTCCCGGGTTCACGCCATTCTCCTGCCTCAGCCTCCAGAGTAGCTGGGACTACAGGCATGCGCCACCACGCCCGGCTAATTTTTTTTTTTTTTTTTTTTTTTGGTAGAGACGGGGTTTCACCGTGTTAGCCAGGATGGTCTCGATCTCCTGACCTCGTGATCCGCCCGCCTCTGCCTCCCAAAGTGCTGGGATTACAGACGCGAGCCACCGCGCCGGCTAACTTTTTGTATTTTTAGTAGAGACGGGGTTTCACCGTGTTAGCCAGGATGGTCTCAATCTCCTGACCTCGTGATTCGCCCGCCTCGGCCTCCCAAAGTGCTGGGATTACAGGCGTGAGCAACCGTGCCTGGCCGGCCTAGTCTTTGAACTCTTAAAGCTGCATTTCTTTTGGAAGATGGCCCAGCATTTTTGTCTGATTCTTCAAGGAGTCTGTGACCTAAAAAGTATTAAGAACCACTGCTTTGAGTTTAAAACGATGGCCCTTTTCCAACAACTACCATTTCTTGTTATATTTTCTTCATCTCTCTATATACCTATTTACATTTTTCTATTGATTTCTGAGTAAATAGGAAGCAGACTTTATATTATTTGAGACCCTTCTAAAAATAACTTACTGAGGTATAATTTACATGCCATAAAACTCACCATCTTTTTTTTTGTGATGGCATCTCACTCTGTCACCCAGGCTGGAGTGCAGTGGCTTGATTTCGGCTCACTGCAACCTCTGCCTCCCAGGTTCAAGGGATTCTCCTGCCTGAGCCTCCCGAGTAGCTGGGATTACAGGCGCCCGCCACCATGCCAGGCTAATTTTTTGTATTTTTAGTAGAGATAGGGTTTCACCATGTTGGCCAGGCTGGTCTCGAACTCCTGACCTTGTGATCCACCCGCCTTGGCCTCCCAAAGTGCTGGGATTACAGGCGTGAGCCAGTGCGCCCGGCCAAAACTCACTATCTTAAGGTGATGTTTAATATATTCACAGAGTTGGGTAAACATCACCACTATCAAATTTTAAAACATTCTCATACCATCTCCAAAAAACTCATACCCATTACTGGTTACTGGGTTTCTTCCCCCAGCCTCTGGTAACCACTAGCCTACTTTCTATCTGTATAGGTTTGCCTATTCCAGACATTTCATGTAAATGGAATCATACACTGTGGGATTATTTGTGTCTGACTTCTTCCACTTAGCATGTTTTTGAGGTTCATCCGTGTTGTAGCATGTTTCAGGACATCAGGACTTCTTTTTATTACTTATCAGTATTTTATTGTATGAATATACAACATTTCGTTTACTCATCAGTTAATGGAAAACATTTTATGTTCAAATTTTTGTGTAAATATATGTATTCTCTTGTGTATTTACTTCAAAGCGGACTTGGTGGTTCATGTGGTGGGTCTGTGTTTAACATTTTGGGGGACTGCTAAGGTTTTTCAAAAGCGGGTGCACCGTTTTACATTTCCAGCAGTGTGACATACATTTACACAAAAATTTGTTCATCTGGGCCAGCTGATTGGACGATGTCCCCCCACATTAAAGGCAGATCTTCTCTACTCTGTTCATGGATTCACATGCCAGTGTCTTTCGGAAACACTCACAGACACACCCCAGAAATAATCCTTGAGCAGTTTGCTAGGTAACCTTTAACCCAGTCAAGGTGACATCTAAAATTAACCATCACACCATCCTAGTGAGCACGAAGTGGTATTATTTGTGGTTCTGATTTGCAGTTTGCTGATGGCTAATGACGTTGTGCATCTTCTCATGCACTTTGTGCCATTTTTGTCTGTCTTCTTTAGAGAAAATGGTTATTCAAGTCCTTTGCCCATTTGTAAGTTTTTTTTGTTTGTTTTTTTAAGTTTGAATTGTAAAACACATTTCTATAAGCATTTTTTTTTTTTGAGATGGAGTTTTGCGCTTGTTGCCCAGGCTGGAGTGCAGTGGCGCAATCTTGGCTCACCATAACCTCCACCTCCCGGGTTCAAGTGATTCTCCTGCCTCAGACTCCTGAGTAGCTGGGATTACAGGTGCCTGCCACCACGCCCAGCTAATTTTTTGTATTTTCTTTTTTTTTTTTAGTAGAGATGGGGTTTCATCTTGTTGGCCAGGCTGGTCTCGAACTCCCGACCTCAGGTGATCCACCCGCCTTGGCCTCCCAAAATGTTGGGATTACAGGCGTGATCCACCGCGCCCAGCCTCTATAGACATTTAATGTTCTTAGGTTATCGCTAGGTCTTGTGAATGAGTGAAATAAAGGAAGGGAAACCCTTTAGCTAGGCAGTGGCAAAGGTGAGGTGAAAGGCAGTGGAAAGGTGTTTTAATAACTGGGGGAATGGCCTTCTAATACCTTTTAAGTATTGTATTGTCCATTTGGAGAGACTAAGGCTAAAGATGACCTGCAGGGAGAGAACAGACAATGCATAGATTTGGAAGTGAGAAAAAGAAAAGAAGAGAAAAAGTTCACCTTCTAGTACTCCCCCCAAAATTCAATTAGTAGGGGAAAAGAAATATAGGAAGTGGGCATATTTAACTTGGAAGTGGAAAGTACCTAAAAGCTCTCAAGGAAATAAATTATTCCTACAGAGTATGGTGACCATGTATTTTGTATTTCTCTTAAGATTAAACGAGGAAACAAATTTAAAATGTAGTCCTTTTGGTAAGTGAGATTTTAGCATTGGCATGGTGCTCTCTCAGCTTTGAATAGGGGGTAGAATCTCTTTTCTCCTCATGTGTATGATTCTCTTTGAAGGTAATGAATGAGTCAACAATACCTCTTGAAATTTTTTCCCAGTCTTGAGATTCTATTAAATCATTTTGTTTTGTTTTTTGAGATGGTGTAAGTTTTGATTCATGGATCAGAATATCAGGATCATTTGAATAGTTCTCAGAAAAATCATAGCGCCTTCATCTAATATTTATACAGTTGAGATATAGATTGGGTCCCTTTTTGTATCTAGATCTAGTTCTTGCTTTGTTTCCCCTTCATTGTCATTTTCAGCCCTTTATTTGTTTCTGAACTTGTATATAAGTTTATTTTACACAATCTTAATATATACAGCAAATGTGTATGAGGCACACACAAGCCTTAAATACATGTCTGTGCATGCTATGTTAGATATTCTTGTTAATGATGGCAACTGCCATAAACTCCCTGCTCCTAGTTAGAAAAAGGGCCATGATGCCTGAAAGGAATTTGGAACAAAGCAGTACCCCTTTCTTCAAATCTTGATGCCTTAATTTCTTGAGTGAAATTTAGGTATGCATCCTCTCTGTGGACACAAAAGGAACTTCCTTCTTGGCTGTCTTGGCCTTCCTTCCTCTCTTCTTGGGACTTGTCATAACCCTGTATTAAAAACAATAACAACAACAACAAGTTAATCTTTTTTTTTTTTTTTTTTTTTTTTGAGATGGAGTCTCGCTCTGTCACCCCAGCTGGAGTGCAGTGGCGCTATCTCACTTCACTGCAAGCTCCACCTCCCGGGTTCATGCCATTCTCTTGCCTCAGCCTCTTGAGTAGCTGGGACTACGGGTGCCCGCCACCACGCCCGGCAAATTTTTTGTATTTTTTTTAGTAGAGACGGGGTTTCACTATGTTAGCCAGGATGGTCTGAATCTCTTGACCTTGTGATCCACCCACCTCAGCCTCCCAAAGTGCTGGGATTACAGGCGTGAGCCACCGCGCCCGGCCAACACTTAATCTTAAAACCTGTATGTTTGTAGGAGTATGTGCTTGTCGTTCTGATAATGGCCCTTCCCTCATTGTAAATTTTAAAAAACATGTCTTTATTCTCTTACTCTTAAAACCAGTATTGTTTCCGTGGTGGAATAAACCTTGAGAATTGTGGGTGAGGCTAGTGGTTGACGCAGTTACAGATGATACCAGGTGCTGCCCACAGACTTTGCAAACTCACTTTCCACAGATAGGGCTCCCAGACCTGGGCCCGACAGCTTTAGAGTCTTTGTCCTTCCCTGACACAGGCCGGACCCTCCCCACAGAGATTTTCCTAGGTTCTGCATCTATTTTGATTACTGTCACATAGTTTTTGATACTTGAGAGGTATCAAGACCTTGTGAGGTAAAATTTCAGAAAGCATGTTAGGTTTCTGGTGATCCAGATGTACAAATTCTGTACAATGAAGATCACCAAATGAGGAAAATGAAAATATATGGATGATGGTGTGACTATAGTTGTGGGCCAGTTAGATAGCTTCTGTCATGCTGTTTGTGTCTTGGTTGCCATAGAGACATTTTAGCTAACAAGCCCAGCATGGCTCTTTGTAGTCATTTCTTTCAGTTCAGATTTGATTTTCTTTTCAGGTAAGATTTTGAGACACGTGCATGTGTGTGTATGTATGTATGTATGTGTACGTATGTGTGTGTGCATATATAGTGTATGTACACACACATATATATTTACGCTCATATCCCAAGTTACCAGAGCCTTCAGGGCTTTTGAACTGCTGGAAAATAGCTGCGTCCGGTGTTTAAAAGCCAGAAGCCCCTGTCTCTGGCCAAAAAGAGGTGCCACATGTGATTGGCAGAGCTGTGTCACCTGCCTGGCTGGGAACTCGAGTTCCCGCCCCTACACTGGGGATGCTGGAGTTGACACAGTATGGCATGCTTTGCTGCACCCTTTTATCCCTGTGGTTAGTGGTAGATTTGGTGGAGCAGTTAGCCCTAGGGACACAATTGAGAGCTGGGTGACAGGTCTTCTTACCTGGTTCCGAGTAGCTTGTGTATATCCTTTGAGAACAGCACAACATAGTTAGGTTAGCAGCAGCTGGCAGTGAGGCTGCAGTTTCCAAGTACAGAGCTGAACAAGAAGCCAGAATTTAGAGGGAGCTGCTTCCAGGATAAGGTAGAAGAGCCACAAGTCAGGGGCTTTGGGCCAGTGGGAAGTGACCTGGGGCCAAATCATGACTCTCAGCCACTGCCTTACCTGACATTCCCTGCTGAAAAGGGGAAAAGGCCTAGACCATCACAGTCTGTCTTTGGAGCTTAAGAACTTGACCTCTTTGCTTGACACACTCCCATGTGAGTGCTTAAAGTTAGTAGTCATTTATATTCTTTTCCAGGAAACTGCTAGGTTGACTCCTCGTCAATAGGCTTTTTTTTTTTTAATCTATTGAGACAGAGTCTTGCCCTATCATCCAGTCTGGAGTGCAGTGGTGAAATCATAGCTGACTACAACCCCCACCTCCTGAGCTCAAGTGATCCTTCCCCACTCAGCCTCCTGAGTAGCTGGGTCTATAGGCTCGTGCCACTATGCCCAGCTATTTTAAAATGTTTTGTAGAGATGGGGTCTCGCCATGTTGCTCAGGTTGGTCTGGAACTTCTGACCTCAAGCAATCCTCCCGCCTTGGCCTCTTGAAGTGCTGAGATTACAGGCATGACCACTGTGCCCAGGTAACAGGTGTCTGAGAATGTCTATCAGCCAGACTCCACGGCTCCCTTTTCCCCTTCTGACACGGCATGGTAGACAAGTGTGAGGTCTCAGAAGAGGCTGCCTCAGCCATGGTCCCACTTCCAGTTACATGTGTGTCCTCAGACTTGCTCAGAAGAGGCTGCCTCAGCCATGGTCCCACTTCCAGTTACATGTGTGTCCTCAGACTTGCCACTTGAACCTCTCTGGGTGTAGAAACAAGGGATGAAATTACCTCCAAGGACTTCTCTGTGGTCACATTCTGTGAAAGGCTATTGGATTTAATTCTCTGTGGTTCACCTTCCCTGACTTTGGTAAAAATGATGGTTGAAAGAATGGATGAATTTTTATTTGTAGAATCACCTTCTTTTAATGTCAAAGAAGCTTTATTCCAAAGGAATAAAAAAATTGAGTGGTCTCGTTCCCAGGATATACATACACTCTGCTGAACAGGTTTTGAACCGTGTAATACCTTAGAGGTATGTCTCACCCCCCTGGAGGGTGCAGTAAGGGTTCTGAAGGAGGCGATGGTAGAGGAGACAAAGAAATGCCAGCAAGTGGCTAAGCATTTGGTGGGCACATGTATGGCCAGCAACCCTGTTTGCACCTTTTCTTTCCCTGCTATTTATGTTGAAAAGCAAGCTAAATGTAAAGCTGCACTTTTTGATGTAGCACTAGATGTCAATTCTAGCATTAATATTTTGAATCCATAGGGAATCTGCACATCTCATTTCAGTCACTAATTTGAACAGAACTCCTCCTCCCATTCCAAAAAAAGAAGCTAAATATGGAATTGTATATATTGAATTTAAGATGTAAAGTTTCTCTGTGTCTCTGTTCACTTTCCCAGTAGCAGTCTTTAAAAAGCACGATACAATTAAACAGCAGAATCAAAGCAAAGGGAGTATAAAGGGCTCCAGATAATTCCCAGTTTGGGTTATCAGCTCCCACACAATGGAGAGTTGATTATTTTTCCTTTATTTTAGGGAAGGTAAAAGTCCATGGAGGTGAGAAAAGTACACCTGGAAGAGATCTGAAATATTCCTGATTCTGGATAAGTGTGCCTGTACAATGACCCATGGTTGGCTTTGGAATATACCATTAAAGTACTGGAGGTCAGAAAAGCTTCCTTCACAAATTTGGTTAGGTGGAGCAGGTTGCTAAAACATCCAGCAACCCTGGAGGTCATAGACCACGCTAGGAGAAATAATTATGCATGGTAATGGGCAATTACAGATAATGGCCTTCCGGGGGTGGCAGAAAATACACAGCCCCACAGCCTTGCCTGGAATGAACATTGAATAGCACATTAACTTTATAGCAAGCTAAAAGTTCAGCCCTGGAACTGCAGCTGCTGCCCCCCCCCCACCCAATAAAAATGTCTGCCTGTCTTAAGGTAATCACAGGAGTGGCTGCACTTCTCAAAAGCAGAGTCGAATAAAGGAGGAGATGGGACTGTGGGAGACAGACTTTGGAAAAGGGAAGGAATGGTGCACTCTACTCCACTGGGTTGCATTTGCCTCACTAAGTAGAGGTGGTGGCTTGCAGGAGGTGCACAGTAAGCAGTTGTTGCTTTCCTGGCGCCAGGTTTGTGTTTGACGTTTAAAATAGCCCTGTCATGATTGCCTTGTGGGAGAAACACATTGTTCCCGCATTTCCTGATTATGACTTTAGGGAGTAATATCACACCAAACGCACTCAAGGCTACTGTCTGACCTCAGAGAAGGCCAGGAGTGGAAGATTCCAAGTTCAGCTGAGCTTGGGAAGCCTGGCCAGGTGCAGCCCAGCCCTCCTGCAGTACCCTAATGATGAGGATTTGGAGCAAGGATAACTTTGTGCGGAGTTATTTGGTGGCTCTCTTGCTTGATGGCAGAAAACGTTATGGCCGTGTTGTGATTGTGATAACAATAATAGCTAACATTTATTGAGCACTCAACACGTGGCAGAGCCTTTCTAAGTACATGTCTTCTCTCATATAATTCTCAAGTAGTAGTAGTATTTCTTTGCTACGTGCAAAGGCTGGGACATGCAAAACGTATATAACTTGCCCCATGATTGCATGGCATTAGATTTCAGATCCGATCAATTACTTTTGCTTGGGACCAGTGCTCTCAACCTGAAGTTGTGCTGCCTGGCCATATTGTGTCATTCTTAATGCCTGTTTCATGGAAAGAAATATTTCAGACATAAGGATAAAGCCAGAGCTGCCTGGTTAGGACTTTATTGCTGTCTACTAATAACACAACCCTGAGAGCCAGCTCAGAATAAGATGCCAGGCTCTAATTCTCTCAAATCAGTCCCCCTAAAAAGACAGGGGCTGTTAAGATGGAAGTTCTCAAACTTTTTACTTGCAGAATCTCTCTACAACCTTAAAAAGTATTGAGGACCTCAAGAGCTTTTATTTATGTGGGTTATATCTATCGATACCATACTGGAAACTAAAATTGAGAAATGAAAAAAAAATTATGCTTTTAAAATAATAAACTCATTACCTCTTAGCATACGTAACATACTTCAATAAAAATTACTACATTTTGCAAATTAAAAAAAAACAAGAGAGTGGCATTGTTTCACATTTTTGCAAATCTCTTTTACGTTTGGCTTAATAGGATGTAGGTGGGTTTGCATAGCTGCTGCTTCAGGTAGGCTGTTGTTCTAATGGAAATACAGGAAGAAAATTCAGCTTCACGTAGATAGTTAGAAGAGGGGTAGAAGTATTTTAATAGCCTTTTACATCATTGTCACTATTCTTTGATACTAGACCAAAACTTGACAAGTGGTAATTGCTTAAAGATTAGTTGTGATGTGGAAACCAAAACCATGCTAACGAACATTTTGTACTCTGTTTCATTAAAATCTATTCATCTGTCTCAGACTTGGCTTCCAAGATCAGACTAGATCTGCTGGTGCGTTCAAGGTGGTATGGCCATAGACTCTCTTATACTTTGGATGGCTCTTTCATCCGTGTATGACTTTATAACATTATGCATTGGTCATTTGGGAAATACTACTTCAGTAAGTTATGTACAACTTCCAAATGTTGACACATTTTATTACAAAATACCAGAAAATCACATTCATTAATACTACTGCTGATCTTGTTAGAATAATCTTCAAGTTTGGAAGCTGTCATCCACATAGTGGGGGGCCATAAATTTTCTAAAATTCTAATTTTTACTTGAAAACTCAAATTTCGGCAATAAATACTGTCAGTTGTTTTCCTTGAAGTGACAGGCTCACTTAGTTCATTTTCAAGAGAATGCCGCCAAATATCTGAGTTTCAGTAATTGTAGTTTGTCATCAGTCACTCTTCCAGGATATGGTGTTCCTTTAAGAAAAAGCAGTGAGTGTAGCTCTTCAACAGTTGCACAAATGTCCTTTTTCCTTTGGTGTGCAGAAAGGCTGTGTGAGTCCTTCCCATTGAGTCACACAGTTTTTAAAAAGACGTGTACTCTGAGGTACAGATTTGATCAAGTTACTCTTTCTTTCTGCTTCATCAAGGGTGTCTTTAGCAAAATCAACATAACATTTTTTTAAAGTTTTAACATTTTCCTTCATAGCGATGAGGAATATGCGAGCATTAGTATACTTGGGTAGCTTGGGCTGGGCGTGGTGGCTTACACCTGTAATCCCAGCACTTTGGGAGGCTGAGGTGGGCGGATCACCTGAGGTCAGGAGTTCGAGACCAGCCTGGCCAATATGGTGAATCCCTGTCTCTACTAAAAATACAAAATTGCCTGGGCATGGTGGCGCATGCCTGTAATCCCAGCCATTCAGGAGGCTGAGGCAGGAGAATTGCTTGAACCTGGGAGGCAGAGGTTGCAGTGAGCTGAGATTGTGTCATTGCACTCCAACCTGGGCAACCAGCAAAACTCAGTCTCAAAAAAAAAAAAAAAAAAAGAAAAGAAAAGGAAAAAAAGTATACTTGGGTAGTTTGCCATGTGCTAAGGACCAGCGGCCTTCCCCACCCTTGCCGCTGCATCATCAGTGCCCGTCACCACAGCAAAAAAGGCAAATTACATCTTTATGTTATTGCAAAAATACTTCTGACCTCTTGGGCCCTCAGAAGGAAGTTGTAGGCGAGGACCTCCAACCACATTTTGACAGCTGCTGCGATAAGATGTAAGGGTGTGATTTCTTGACATCAAAGCACCAAGCTTGAATGGGTTTAAAGCAGTTCTCAACTTGCTCTGCCTGGGTCCCATTGCGGGAGGCTGTCACGCAAAGTGGTCTGGGGTGTGGCCTGATCATGGGGAATTCTATAGACCCCCCCCACCTCCTCCTCCTGTGCAGCCAGGTTTGAAAACTTCTGGTTTAGAGGCAGGTTCTAAAACATTCTTGGTAGGGAGGGGGCTCTCCAGTCCTGTACAATTGGATAAGTCACTGTTCATGACAGCCAGGAAAATTTACAAGACAAATGCCTGATTGAAAATTGGCGATAATAAATTGAACTAGGTATAATCTTGAGTTGAACGGAAGCTATGTGAAACAATATGGTGAGGTATAATTCGGTTTCTTAATTGTATACATTTATGTAGAGGTCCACTTACTCCTTCACATCACTTTCTGGGGCCTGCAGGGACAAAGACAAAACATCTATGATCTTACTAGTAAAAGAAAGTCATAAAAGCAGGATCTGAATCCTATATCTACATGGAGCTGACCATGAGCAAACTTAAACATGTATCTTTGCTACCTTCTGTCCAGCTCCCTACATGCTCTAGAGAGAAAGACCCTGATAAATTAGGCTTCTCCATTTTAAGTTGTTTGATTACAGTTGAGAGCAGATCTTTTCTGTGGAGACCTAAATACATGTACACAGTCAGTCAAACAAGTTCCTAATTTAAAACATCCTCAGTGTACGAAATATTTAAAAGGTTCAAGAAGGGATTCTCTGTAAGACGGCTTTTAGAATGTAGCCTTGATGGATAGGAACTGTGTTGGGAATCATCCCTTTCTTCTTCTCCACCCCCAAACTCAAGCTTTCCCATTGGCCTGTTTGTGGCACAACCTGCTCCTCCAATCCGCTGGGAGGTGTTGATAGAGTCCCAAACTGTCTCTGGTATCTTGCCAATGGTAGGACATTCTGAATTGGCCTAAAGAGAGAAATCTCTGTCTTGGCCGTGAGACAGGCTTTCATGGCCATGAGACATTGCCTTGGAGGGTCAGAGAAATGGCATTTCCTCCAAATCTGACTCTCATTGTAGGATTAACAGTTTTCCTCGGTGACTTGGGGGAATTCTGAGGCACAGGCAGAGGTGTGGAAGAAGGAGGAAGCTGCAGAGAGCAGGAATCAGGGCAGGGAGAGGCAGAAACCCCTGCAGGTGGAAGTGGGATCCTCCTAACTTTAGCATGCCACTGTGCGTTACATGCCAGCCTTTTCAGGCCCAATTAAGTTTCTCTGGGGGTGTGAAGGGGGATCCCAAATTGCATACCACTGTGCCAGGAGCACCCCCATTCTCCTCCTGCAGTGGACCCTGTGCTCTACCTGCTCTGCAGGCTCTTCTCTTAACCTTACTTGTGCCTCGAAGCTCTTGTTGTGTGTCTCCTCTCTTTCCTTGACTTGGAAGTCCTTTCTTATCCTTTATACATCCAGAATGTTCTCTTGCTTAAAGGTGTCTTCTGGGAAACCTTTTCCAGTCCTTTACATTCTCCTTTGCACTGTTAATCACCTGAGCTCCTCCAGGCCAGGGTTTTGCATTCTTCTCAGCCAACACTTTGGGAGTTGCTGCACACAATGGATGGGCTTTGACACTCTGGGCTTTTCAGTAGCCCCAGGGCAGCCTGTTTCAAATCAAGACCTGCTCACCTTGAAGGCCTGTGTTTGCTCAGCCTCATGTTTGTATTTTCCCGTCATCTTCCTGCTTGATTTCTTTGATCTGGTTGTGCTCAGTGGCGCCCCCGTCTCCCCTGAATCTTTTTTTTTTTTTTTTTTTGTCTGTCTGAGACAGTCTCACTCACTCTGTTGCCCAGGCTGGAGTACAGTGGCATGATCTCGGCTCACTGCCACCTCTGCCTCTCAGGTTCAAGTGATTCTTCTGCCTCAGCCTCCCCAGTAGCTGGGATTACAGGTGCCTGCCACCATGCCCGGCTAATTTTTGTATTTTTAGTAGAGACGGGGTTTCACCATGTTGGCCAGGCTGGTTTCGAACTCCTGGCCTCCAGTGATCCTCCCGCCTCGGCCTCTCAAAGTGCTGGGATTACAGGCATGAGCCACCAAGCCTGCCCACCCCACCCTTTTCACTCTTTCACTCTTTCCAGATTCCATACGCATAGCCTGCCATCTGTCCCACATTGACGCTGCACTCCCCTTTGAACCAAGCCCGCTCCTATCTTTAAAAGCCAACTTCAGGTTCACTTTGCTATGAAAAGAGTTCACACCAAGAAAAAAAAAAGGAGCTGACATTCCTTCACAACCAAATTACGTTAAAAAGATAAGACAAAAATCTCTTCCTGGGAGAAAGGAGAAATAGGCTCTACCACATTCCGTGTCTTGTGCTACAGGAGCGACACTAGTGAGCCAACATCAGGGGAACCTGTACTTTGAAGGTTGAGATGAATCCTCTCCCCTCAGTGAGGAGCATCCCAGTGCCATGAAATCAGTCATCATCGAATGACACAGCCTTTTAAAAAAATGCATTAACTCCCCCGACCCCCAAAAGGAGAGCCCGGGTGCAGCGACTCACACCTGTAATTCCAGCACTTTGGGAGGCTGAGGTGGGAGGATCACTGGAGACCAGAATTTGAGACCAGCCTGGGCAACATAGCCTGACCCTGTCTCTACAAAAAAAAAAAAAAAATTGCCGTGTATGGTGGCGTGCCCCTGTAGTCCCAGATACTTGGGAGGCAGAGACAGGAGGATCACTTGAGCCTAGCAGTTGGAGGCTGCCGTGAGCCATGATCACACCACTGCACTTCAGCCTGGGCGGAGCAAGACCTGTTTCTTAAAAAAAAAAAAAAAAATGGGGAAAACAACTTACGCTTTTGCTATACCCTCGTAGCGCTCAACACAAAGTATTAGTTGGTGATGGATAGTTTTCAGACTTACTGGTGAATAATTTTGCCTGACTGGTATGTAACTCTTAAAACTCAGAAGCTAAGTAGGACAAACACCATGCAAGATATGGGGTTACAAAGAGAAAATCTGGAGTATATAAATTAATCGTTTACATGACCTCATGTGAATCACAAGTAGTTTACTGTTTGTAAATGGTAAATTTGGTTTTGTGACCTTTTTTTACTTCATGCTGGAAACTGTGATGTTTGGTTTTTTCATGGAGGTGAGTGTGGATCCAGATTTGAACACAAAGGACTCAAAGTGCAACAACTTTGGGAATCATGACACCAGCAAAGAGGGGGGCAAGCCTTCACCCACCTTAAAATGAATTACTGGTTAACTACTATTAATATGTCATGGGCCCAGAGACCAGCATATAACACTCCACGATCAGTAAGGGTATTTATCATGTGCAGGTATTGATCCCTCATGAAGGAGTGAATCATATTTCACACTGCATGTTAGTGCAAAAAAAAAAAAAAAGTAGCAGAGGGATTGTGAAGCCCTATCAAAGAACTGAATGTGCAGAAAGTAAACGGGTGTAGCCATGAACATGAGTATTAGAATAAGAGGTGACTGAGCTCATAAGCAACATCTCTGCAGATGCATCTGAGGGGAGACAGTGAGCTCTGTTATGGTCTGTGGGACAAATGCTATTGGTAATTTTTCCAGATGTGTATTTCTTGAGTTCCTGATGCTTTTCTGAGTGGTTGGATCCAGTCCTTCTGATCTTTTGTTCTTATTGCACAAATTAGGAGTATATACCAATGGTAACACTTAAAACATCTGGCCAGGTGCGGTGGCTCACGCCTGTAATCCCAGCACTTTGGGAGGCCGAGGCAGGCAGATATTTGAGGTCAGGAGTTCGAGACCAGCCTGGCCAACATGGTGAAACCCCGTCTCTACTAAAAATAGAAAAATTAGCCAGGCACGGTGGTGCGCACCTGTAATCTCAGCTACTCGGGAGGCTGAGGCAGGAGAATCACTTGAACCCAAGAAGTGGAGGTTGCAGTCAGCCAAGATCACACCACTACACTCCAGCCTGGGCAACAGAGTGAGTGAGACTCGGTCTCAAACAAAAACAAAAACATCTAACTTCATATTTCCATTTGCATCATAACAGCAGATCTGAAATGGGAAAGGTCCTCTTGTCCCCGTTTTAGAGCGTGTGAAGGAGGCATGGCTTGCTTCTTCAGTGCCCCACTGCTCAAGCCTCTAGGGGAGCATACAGATGGGCAGGCCGTGGGGCTCCGACCCCATGGCAGTGTCTAGGGGTGAATGTTTACAGCTGAAGCCCCAGTGGGTGTGTGTTACAGGGTGCCTTTTAGTTTAGCTGTCTGTAGGTGGCTTGCGTTAGTCGGCTCAATTAGATCCTCTGCCTTATTGCAAGGATAGAGGGCTTTCTGTATCCCCTGGTTCTTGCCTTGGTGTACCAAAAGAATGAGATCACATGTGGGCTTGGAGAATGAGTGTAAGGTTTTACTGAGTGGAAGTAGCTCTCAGCAGATAGGGGAGTCAGAAAGGAGATGGTTTTCCCCTGGAGTCAGGCTGTCGAGCGGCCCGACTCTTCTCCTACTTCCCCAACCAAACGCAGCGTTGTTCTGCTGGTCAAATGGCCTAGGCCCATCAATGACCTGCCAGTGCCTATCAGTCTGCTCTCGACGTTGAGCTGCTTGCCTTCTTCCACCAATCTACTCGTCTCAATGCCCAGCCGCTTGTGTGTCTGCTCGCTAGGGTTTCAGGGGTTTTGTAGACACAGGATGGAGGCATGGTGGTCCAGGGTGGTCTTGGGAAATGCAACATTTAGGTGGGAAGGCAGAAGTGCCTGTCTTCAGCTAGTCCATGGGCACAGGCTTCTGCAGTGGAGCCTTCGCAAGGGACCACGCCCACCTCTACCCAGCACTTCCCTGCCCACTTCTGTATCAGATCTACAGGTTGATAATTCTGTAATGGACTGTAAGGGACTACTGGTTAAGAAAGCCAGCACATTCTCTTGGAAAGAGTGCTGCTAGCTTTCTGTTATTATTCATTATAACAACACAGCACATTCTCTTGAAAACAATGCTGCTAGCTTTCTGTTATTATTCATTAAGCAATTTTGGCCAATTATCATTCTAGAAAAATAGAGAGTGAGATCTAGCTTAAGAATTTTCAGCAGACTCATTAAAATGTTTCCCTTCAATATACTTCTGTGGTTGCTGTACTTAGTTGTATTGGCCATGCAGTTTTAAAAGTCCGTGTTACAGTGCACACAAGCCATGGAGACTGGCAGGAGTAATTCATACTCAGATCAAGGGACTTGATAAACATTGGTGCATTCAGCTCAGGTTCATGGAGCCAACTGTGTTTTTTTGTTTGTTTGTTTTTTATTTTTGAGCGGAGTCTCGCTCTGTCACCCAGGCTGCAGTGCAATGGTGCGATCTCGGCTCACTGCAACCTCCGCCTCCTGGGTTCAAGCGATTCTCCTGCCTCAGCCTTCTGAGTAGCTGGGACTACAGGCACGGGCCAGATACACGCCCGGCTAGTTTTTCTGTTTTTTGAGATGGGGTTTTGCCATGTTGGCCAGGTTGGTCCCAAACTCCTGACCTCAAGTGATCCACCCGCCGCAGCCTCCCAAAGTGTTGGGATTACACGCGTGAGCCACCGTGTACGGCCAAACTGTCACTTCTTACTGTGACTTTTTTTTTTCCTGTGGCTCAGAGTGGGAATGGATATGGTTGGGGGAGCTTATTAATTGTATGTGGAAAACCACTTTTTGAAAACTTTATGTATATATAAATATATACATATTTTAAATTTTGTATGATAAATTTGTGTGTTTTGTGGCGTATCAGTTGGAAATATTACTTTTAGGTTTATCATCAATTAATAGGGACACTTAGGCTGGCCTGCCATCTTTGCTGACACCCCAGTGTTGAAGCAAATATTGCTGGCTTCTCTCTGGGGAGTTTGCTGTAGCATGGGCTGGACAGATGGTAGGTATACTCTGCTTATGCTTATCCTCTGTCAGTCTGGGCAAGGAATCGGATATTCCTTCTGAAGCTGCTTATTCTATGATCACTCAGCAGTTGAACAAGCATCAAAAGGGAATCTGGATTGCTTTCCTGGTCTCTGGATGACAGATATTAACAATGTAATTTATTAGCTGGGCGTGGTGGCGGGAGCCTATAATCTCAGCTACTCCAGAGGCTGAGGCAGGAGAATCACTTGAACCTGGGAGGCGGAGGTTGCAGTGAGCCGAGATCAGGAGATCACGCCACTGCACTCCAGCCTGGGAAACAATGTGAGACTGTCTCTCAAACAAACAAACAATGTAACTTAGTTGTTTGGAGGGAATTCATAGAAAAGGAGATCTGCCAGTGATTTTCATGAAGTTCCTTCCTTTACTACGGCCTCCTTGTGCAAGCTTAAAGTGACTTCTTGCCTGGAGTATTTAAAGCACCTAGTCTATTCCCCCATCTCCTTATTCTCTTAGGTCTGTTTTTTGTGCTTTGACCAGATTCCCAAATATATTTCTGCTACTCCCTTGCTCTGAAAACCTTCATTGGTTCCCTAGAGGAGAACTTGTTGGCCTGGCATTCACATTCAGGGTCTTCAGCAATTAACTCCAGCATAACCTTCCATTCTCATTTGCAGTTGTCACTTGTGAACTCTGCAGTCCAGCCAGGCTCATCTGGTCACTGTGGCTGGAGCGCGTCTTGTCCTTTCTCTCCTTTGGGCCTCTGTTGACCTCCCTCATGACTCTATTGGTATTATTCTCCTTTTTTTGAGTGTTTACCCACTGTCTCTAAATCACCTCCACTCTGGCTCATCACTCACCGTGGCCTTTTCTGACACCTCTCTATATAGAACCATTTGGTGACATTATCTATACTGTCACTGCGGCACTTGGATTATTGCTTTGTAGATTTCCCAGTTTGCACCTAATTTCCCCAAATAGATGGCAAATTCTTAAGAAAAAATGTAATGTTTAAAGTATGTTTTTGTGCCTTTGACAACATTTAAAGAAAGCTTTGAACATAGTTGTTATATGATAACTAGTGAATGAATCAAATCTAAATATAAAAATACAACTTAAGGTCAAGAATAAATGATTTTTGTAACACCTGCTCCTCTGGATTACCCAGAAGTCTTCTGAAGAATATTAAATTTTGACTCTGCAATGTTTTGTATCTAACTGAATGCCTGACAAATAGTAGGTGCTTAATAAATATTTGTCAACTGGAATAAGCATTTGAATAGATGAATTAAGTTACTGTGGTTAGAATAAATGAAGAAAGTCTGGATGTAAGCCATGAAACTCACAACCATTTGGCAGCGATACACACACAGTACATACAGCTTGGGATCTAAGCTCTGAGTGATTTAGGTAGAAGCCTAGCTTTTCAATACAATGGAATTCTTTTTTTTTTTTTTTCCTTTTGAGACAGAGTCTTGCCCCTTTGCCCAGGCTGGAGTGCAGTGGTGCGATCTCGGCTCACTGCACCCTCTGCCTCCCAGGCTAAAGTGATTCTCCTTCCTCAGCCTCCCTTAGTGGCTGGGACTACAGGCATGCACCACCATGCCCAGCCAATTTTTATATGTTTTGTAGAGGGGTTTTGTTTGCCCAGGTTGGTCTCGAACTCCTGGGCTCAAGTGAACCTTGTACCTCGGCCTCCCAAAGTGCTGGGATTATAGCCAGGAGCCACTGTGCCTGACCTCATTTGTTGTATACTTTTATTTAATAGTCAGGACTGTCACAGCGATGCAGTCAGGGGCATGAAGGTATCTCATATTTTTAGGAATAGCGTGTGGAGCAGTTGTTAATAGTCAGGACTGTCACAGCGATGCAGTCAGGGGCATGAAGGTATCTCATATTTTTAGGAATAGCGTGTGGAGCAGTTGCTTTGAATTTTGAGAGTACAGCCGTGTGTCTCAACAGTTTTAGCACATCAGAATCTCCTGGGCTGGATGCAGTGGCTCACACCTATAATCCCAGCACTTTGGGAGGGTAAGGCAGGAGGATATCTTGAGCCCAGGAGTTTGAGACCAGCCTAGGCAACATGGTGAGACCCCATCTGTATTAAAAAAAAAAAAAAAGAATTTCTGGAGAGCTTAGTAAAATTCAGATTGCTGGGCGCCATTCTCGGGGTGTATGATTTTGTCAGTCTGTGGTGGGGCCCAAGAATTTGCATTTCTTTACGTTCCCAGGTAATGCTGATGCTACTGATTCAGGGACCACACTGTGCGAACCATTGGATTAGACACATGTAGCTTGACAGATATTAATTTCAACCTTTCCATGTACTAGCAGTGTTCATATAAATGCCAGGAGTTATGAAGCTGTTTTTAACACTGACTGAGAATTTTAATTGGGAATTTTAACATATAGAATTCGGTGGTTTATACACATAGTACTTTGTCAAATCTAACTTTTTTAAAGTGGTTAAACATTTTAACAGCGTAAAGGCAGACATCTGCTCTTCCAAAGTTCAAATGGTTTTATTATTTAAATATTGGTATGGAACAACTTTTCCAATACATATCTCCTATTTATTCTTAAAGCTTGGTATAACTTGAAAGAGGAAATAAAATACGGGTAAGTGGAAAAGTGATGGTGTTGTTAACTAATTACAGTCAGCTGTAACAAAACAAATTATTGCTTTGACCTGACGTAGCATTTTAGTTGAGGTTTACTATGCAGTTTATTGAAGCCATTCTCTTGTTACCTTCAGAGTTATTACTGCCATTATTTTGTTGCTTGATAAACTGAGGCCTGATAAAAGGTTCAGATTAAGGTCATGCTGCAGAAATTCAAGAACTTGTGCTGTGCCCTGATTCTGGAATGCTGGAATCCTTGGGTTTCTATTTATTCGTCTGCTACTGTATTTTGTTTTCTTTTTTAAGAAGCTTGCTTTTGAAAGGCAGGCCTTAAGTGGGAGGTATTCAGTGTTTTTAATGCAGGGACAGGCCTAAGTGTCTAAAATGCCTTCCTAAATGTCTGTGAGATTGTATAGGAATGAACCATTAATGTTTATGACTGCATGGTAGGATAGGTCATTTATTCTTTTTCTGACTTAGATGCTCATATAATTTATTAAATTTGAGAAGCTCATAAGGCTTTTGTAATCAGATAAACAATAGAGACATGACCTTGAAAACAAAAGAATGATATAGAAAACCACCACTTAACGCCACCAAACGTGTTTTTTTTTTTTTTTTTTTTTGAGCCGGAGTCTTGCTCTGTCACCCAGGCTGGAGTGCAGTGGCGTGATCTTGGCTCAGGCCGACTGAGCTGAGATCTCAGGCCGCCCGCCTCAGCCTCCCAAAGTGCTGGGATTACAGGCGTGAGCCACCGCACCCGGCCCAAACTGATGTTTAAAATAAGAGAAAGGCCCAGTGGGGAAGTTGAGGAGGAGCGAATGGACATGTGCCCTCTCCAGACTTGGGGGTGTGGAATAATGGCATTGGAATGTCTCATCTCATTAGCTGGGAAGAGGAGAGAAGAAAGGAAAGGAATAGAATAAAACAGTGGTTTGGGAGTGCATTTACAGGAGCCTAGCATAGGTGGATTTGGTTTCCTTTCAGAGAAAAGTGACACCAATGCTGACTTTAAAATGAGGCTTCAAAAATAAATTTTGTTGTAGATCTCAGCCAGACCTTCCAGAGCTTGCACTTTAGTTTTGCCCTCTCCCTTGCATGTTTTTGTTTTCCCACACACTCAGCCAGTGGATGGTTTCTGGGCACCTTCTTTGGGCCATGCATTGTGCTGGAAATTTCTCTCATGAGCCAATTCTGTCTGCTTAAGGACACTTAAACCTCTATTTATTTCTTTATTTTTATTTTTTTATTTGAGACAGAGTCTCATTCTGTCACCCAGGCTGGAGTGCAGTGACGCGATCTCTGCTCACTGCAACCTCGGCCTCCCAGGTTCAAGCAATTCTCCTGCCTCATCCTCTGCAGTAGCTGGGTCTACAGGTACGCACCACCATGCCGATGTCCGGCTAATTTTTTTTTGTATTTTTTTTTTAGTGGAGACGGGGTTTCACCATGTTGGTCAGGCTGGTCTCGAACTCCTGACCTCAAATGATCAGACCTACCTCAGCCTCCCAAAGTACTGGGATTACAGGCGTGAGCCACCGCGCTCAGCCTTAAACCTTTTTAGAAAAGTGAAACAAGGCCAGGTGTAGTGGCTCATGCCTGTAATCGTAGCACTTTGGGAGGACAAGGTGGTTTGATTGCTGGAGCTCAGGAGTTTGAGACCAGCCTGGGCAACATAGTGAGACCCCATCTCTATACAAAAAAATTAAAAAAAAAAAAAGCTAAGAGCTTATTAAAATTCAGATTGCTTGAGCTCAGGAGTTCGAGATCAGCCTGGCCAACATGGTGAAACCCCGTCTCTACTTAAAAAAAATACAAAAATCAGCCAGGCATGGTGGCTTGCGCCTGTATTCCCAATTACTTGGGCTGCTGAGGTGGGAGGATCGCTTGAGCCCAGAAGGAGGAAGTTGCAGTGAGCCGAGATCGTACCACTGCACTCCAGCCTGGGCGACAGAGTGAGACCCTGTCTCAAATAAGTAAATAAACAAAATAAAAGTGAAACGACAAGATCTTATGACTCCCTGGAGGTTTTACTTTTTTTTTTTTTTCTCCCAGACGGAGTCTTGCTCTGTCGCCCAGGCTGGAGTGCAGTGGCCCAATATCGTCTCACTCCAACCTCTGTCTCCCAGGTTCAAGCGATTCTCCTGCCTCAGCCTCCCAAGTAGCTGGGACTGCAAGCATACGCCACCACGCCTGGCTAATTTTTTTTTTTTTTTGGTATTTTTAGTAGAGACAGGGTTTCACCGTGTTAGCCAGGATAGTCTTGATCTCCTGACCTCGTGAATCACCTGCCTCGGCCTCCCAAAGTGCTGGGATTACAGGCGTGGGCCACCGTGCCTGGCTGGAGCTTTTACTTTTAACTCACATTATTTTTGATGCCAAGCTACTTGAAAAATGATTATTCCTCAGTCCCTTCAGCAAATATTGACCCACTGTGTCTGGCAGTGTGCTAAGCACGGAGGACACAGTGGTGTGCCCGGAGGCTGGGTGCCTTCTTGCTGGATCTCACGTCCTGGTAGTCCTGGTAGGAGAGAGGCCATTCACTGGAGTCATCTCTTTGGATTTCTTGTTGCTTGTTGCTCCTTGCTCTCTTGCAGGCCTGCATCTGCTCCTTTCATCATGGTTAAAACCGCAAGGCCCTGAAGACCTAGTTGTCTGTTGGTCTTTTCTAGAACTGTTTGCTTGATGTCCCAGCAGCAGTTGACACCACAGCCTGCTTGCTCTGTGATTCAAGTCAGCTTTAACCTCTGTGACGTTGTATTCTCTGTTTTTCACGCTCCAGGTCTTGGCTCTCCTTTATTCTGTAACAGCTCCTCCCTTCCTTGCCCAGATGGAGCTAGCACCTCCAGTGGTGACTCTTGGATCTGGCTTCCAGTCTCAGCCTCTCCCAAAAGCACGCGTTTCATGTTCCTCACCCTCACCCAGCCCTCCACCTGCACACCTGCCCACCCTCTGCTCTACACACCCAGGCTCCTGCTCTCTGCCTCCCCTGCATCTTAATTCCTGGCAGCCCCTCAGCCCTCCAGTTCTGTTGCGTTTCATCCCCCACATGTCCCTGGAACAGGCTCCTCTCTTACATTTGCAGGCCTTAGAGTTCTGGTCTGTCCTTGAACTCACTTTGGTGGTTCCCTAGCAGGTCTTTCTGCCTCTGATCTCTCTCTCCTTCACTTGCCCTAAGCAGTTGCCCTTAGATAAATCTCCTCCAAGCACAGCTCTGACCGTGTAACCTCCTTGCTCAGAACTCAGTGGTTCCCATTACATCCCAGAGTCAGGAGAGCTGGACTGAGGCCCGCCTCACCTTACCCTAGCCCATCTTTCATACTACATGTCTCCTTCCCTTTTCTCATCCAGTTCCTCAGCCTCACTTCCCTGCCCATCATTCCAAACTCTACCCCCACTTTCCTGCTTCCACTCCTTTGTCCTTGCTGCTCCTTTCTCCTTCCTCTCCTTTTCTCATTTTTCACCTGTGTCCTGCATCTTTTTTTAAGTGCAACTCAGGTGCAGTTTTGTCCATGAATTTCTAACTAGGCTACAAGCCATCTCTGTTTCCTCTGACTTCCCATGGAAGTTTATGGGTCTTCCTGTATGATGGTAGGTGGTAGGTGGTATTCCCTTCCCATCTTCTATCCTAGACCGTAGACTCCCTGTGGGCACGGCAGCTGGCAGACGTTTCAGGCACCCGGACTGGCTCTTAGAACATTGTTTAATAAATGTCCATTGGATGGATGACTTAGGAATTCATTTATTGGAATTGACAATAAACACTTTAATGTCTGTGCCAGAGGTTGGGAAACTAGTCTTTGGGTTAGATCAGCCCACTGCCTGTTTTTATAAATAAAGTTTTATTGCAACACAAGCATGCTGCAGCAGTGATTGAATAGTTGACAAAACCTGAAATAGTTACTGACCTCTTACACTAGAAGTTTGCCCCTGGTCCGCACCTTTGGCCAGATTTCTGAAGATACCTGATCACCTGTGGAAGGAAGTTAAGGAAACAGGTGTTCACCTAAATTCACCTAAACTCTTGGCCACTCGTTTTGACTTTCTAACCTATCTATGTGGCTACAATTAATTTTGTTTTAAGAATGCACAATCAGGTCAACTAGATTTGCTCTTCAGTTTCTTGACATTAGGATAGGAATTTCTGGATAGAAGTTGTGCTGTTGGGCTTTATGTAATTAAAATCACCTCTAAAATGGTTTTGATACTCTCAGTAAAAACAATCAGCTGAGTCTTTCGGTTGTGCCACCAGAGTGAAGCGAACCTTAGAAACTCTCCCTTATTTTGGCTATAGGAGAAGCAACAGATGGTTTTGTCTTCTGCATATTCAGCTACCTTGCTCCGCAGGTCTTGGGTAGGAAGGTTTAGAAGTAAAGTTTCGTGGACTAACATTAATACCATGTTGTATTTTTCTTTTTTCTTCCAATTTAGAGGGACGTATGGTCATCCAGGATATTCCTGCTGTCACCAGCAGAGGGCATGTGGAGAACACACCTGACCTGGTTTCAGACTCCACCTACTACAGCAGCTTCTACCAGCCGTCTCTGTTTCCTTATTACAACAATCTATACAACTGCCCGCAGTACTCCATGGCCTTGGCTGCTGATTCTGCTTCTGGGGAGGTGGGAAATCCCCTCGGGGGATCCCCTGTGAAGAACAGCCTTCGGGGCCTCCCCGGACCTTATGTGCCTGGTCAGACAGGAAACCAGTGGCAGGTATGATATTAATTACCCAGAGAGTGAACTGGTTGTGTGAAAGCCACATGCATGTGCACACACATGCACATACACACAGAGGCACACACGCACTTGTGCGCCCAGAGGCACACACAGGTGACACACACAGGTACACACACATATGTGTGTGTGCCATTTTGCACACATGTAGGCACAATATGCAAAATGTGTAAGGAATTTTTTACTCTGTCAATAATGCCCTTTAGCCTCAAAGGTTGGCTGCAAGGAATTGGAAAGAAATAATGTACAAACTTGTTTTCTTTTTCAAATTTTACTTTTCTCATTTTTTGAATGTTGCATAAATAACCAGTTGGGCACAGGCAGATCACAAGTACTGAATGAGGTACCACCTCCTCCAGCTTTGTCCCCACTTTCGTTGGGCACCTTAGAAAATGCTGGGTAAAGCCTTCTGGGTGGCAGTAATCTGCGTGATGAATTTGCACCTTGGGAAGGAAACAGGTCATAATCTGTATGGAAGAAAGGTAAGAAAAGGAATTCGGTCACTGTTGAGCTGGACCCAACCTGGGTGCATTTTTCGCTAGGAATAGAGGTCAGTCTTTCATTCTCCAAGTTTGTTTTTTTTTTTGTTTGTTTGTTTGTTTTGGTTTGGTTTTTGAGACAGAGTCTCGCTCTGTTGCCCAGGCTGGAGTGCAGTGGTAGGATCTCAGCTCACTGCAACTTCTGCCTCCTGGGTTCAAGTGCTTCTTTTCACCTCAGCCTGTGAAGTAGCTGGGATTACAGGCGCCTACCACCCCACCCGGCTAATTTTTGTATTTTTAGTAGAGATGGGGTTTCACCATGTTGACCAGGCTGGTCTTGAACTCCTGACCTCAGGTGATCCGCCCGCCTCGGCCTCCCAAAGTGCTGGGATAACAGGCATGAGCCACCGTGTCCGGCCCCAAGTATGTATTTTTAAAATAGCATGCAATCAAGGGCATTTGATATTTGGAGTAAAACAAAGCATTTTACTTTATTAGAGAAGGGAGCGTTTATCTAGGGCTGTTCTGCTTCCTCAGTTGCAACCATTTTCATCATGCCCGTTTGTTAGCAGCAGATTGAAGGCATCAAAAGCATTCAGAGGCTAGATTACCTTGTACAGAGGTATGTTGTGGGAATATGTAGGTGAAAAGTTAGACTCAACACCTCCAAGCCCTCTTCCAAGTGAAAGACATTAGGATTCTGCAAGAACTGTTCTCATTCTGGATGCATTTGCCATGCTCAGGCTTCCTCAGTGGGGATTTGATTCAACGCAATGCCACATATATATTTGGGAGTTCAGTGCAAGTGTTTGACCCTCTTTTTCACTTTCCCAGCTTTATTGACGTATCATGGGTAAAAAAAGTTGTATATATTTAAGATGTACAATGTGATGATTTGATATATGTGTACCTTGCACAATGATTGCCACAATTAAGCTAATTAACAAACACATTAATCACCTCACATAGTTACCATTTTTATGTGTGTGGTTGATAACACTTAAGATCTACTCTATTAGCATTTTTCAGGTGTACAGTATATTATTAAGTACAGTCACCATGCTGTATGTTAGATTCCCAGAATTTACTCATCTTATAACTGAAACTTTTTTTTTTTTTTTTTTTTTTGAGAGGGAGTCTTGCTCTGTCACCCAGCTGGAGTACAGTGGCGCGATCTCGGCTCACTGCAACCTCTGCCTCCCGGGTTCAAGCCATTCTCCTGCCTCAGCCTCCCGAGTAGCTGGGACTACAGGCACGCGCCACCAAGCCCAGCTAATTTTTGTATTTTTAGTAGAGACGGGGTTTCACCATGGTGGCCACGATGGTCTGTATCTCTTGCCCTTGTGATTGGCCCACCTCAGCCTCCCAAAGTGCTGGGATTACAGGCATGAGCCACCACTCCCAGCCGTAATTGAAACTTTTTACCCTTTGCCCAACATCTTTTTTTTTTTCCAGCTCAATGAATTTTATTTCCCTTGTTGTATATAAATGCTTTGATTGACCAGTAGATATTTGTCAACCATTAGTATCTTGGTTCTGTTGAAGGAGTAAGAACATTTTAAACTGAGATTTTTTTTTTCTTGTCTTTTCTTTTTTTTTTTTTTTTTTCCTGAGACAGAGTCTCACTCTGTCGCCCAGGCTGGTGCGATCTTGGCTCACTGCAACCTCCACCTCCTGGGTTCAAGTGATTCTCCTGCCTCAGCCTCCTGAGTAGCTGGGATTATAGGCACGCACCACCACTCCTCGCTAATCCAACATCCCTTTATTTCCTCCACCTCGAGCTCCCGGCAACCACTGTTCTCTGATTCTGTGAGGTTGACTTTTTAAGCATTATTTAGGCCAGGTGCGGTGGCTCATGCCTGTATTCCTAGCACTTTGGGAGGCCGAGGCGGGTGGATCACGAGGTCAGGAGTTCAAGACCTGCGTGGCCATCATGGTGAAACCCTGTCTCTACTAAAAATACAAAAATTAACTGGGCATGGTGGCGCACGCCTGTAATTCCAGCTACTCAGAAGGCTGAGGCAGAAGAATCGTCTGAACCCGGGAGGTGGAGGTTGCAGTGAGCAGAGATCGCGCCATTGTACTCCAGCCTGGGCGACAGAGTGAGACTCTGTCTCAAAAGAAAAAAAGAATTGACTTTTCTAAGCCCACTTCAAGAAAATGTGAATTGAAATTTTCCTCTGACCCATTCTGTTCCATTTTGCGTCTGCCTTTTTCAGGTATTAAAATGTTGTTAAAATTGAAGTCATTAGGTTGATAAAATTGAAGTCATTCCACTTTTGGGATCTTTTGCTACCCTCAGGGATCTGACTTCTTGGGCATATTAAAATGTCAATTTTAATCCCCTGAGCTACAAATTTTCTTAAGTTCTTCATACGTTTTATTTTTGGAATCATATTATTATTATTATTATTATTATTATTATTATTATTTTTGAGACAGATTCTCGCTCTGTCGCCCAGGCTGGGGTGCAGTGGCGCCATCTCGGCTCACTGCAACCTCTGCCTCCTGGGTTCAAGTGATTCTCCTGCCTCAGCCTACTGAGTAGCTGGGACTACAGGCACGTGCCATCACGCGTGGCTATTTTTTTTTCTGTATTTTTAGCAGAGATGGTGTTTCACCATGTTAGCCAGGATGGTCTCAATCTCCTGACCTCGTGATCCACCAGCCTCGGGCTCCCAAAGTGCTGGGATTACAGGCGTGAGGGAATCATACTATTTTTGAAGGGAGCTTTTAAAGCACATTGATATTGGAATTGAGAGGTAATATACGTATAAAGGAAATGCAATGATCTGTGGAACTGAGACTGAGATGGGAGCCCGGGAGTTGGAGGCTGCAGTGAGCTATGATTACACTACTGGACTCCAGCCTGGGTAACAGAGCAAGACACTGTCTCCAAAAAAAAAAAACAAAATTAAGTAGATTTTGCATTCTACTATCTTCTCCCTATTATGTCGTTGTTGGTTTTTTCCAATTTAAGAATGTTTTAAAATCATGTTTGTTCATTATAACTGTCTCCTGAGAGCCACCGCGCCCGGCCTAAAAAATCTATTGAGTTCTTGACTGTTTGTTCATATGTATTTTCGTTAGCTACCTCAGATCCCCTTTGTAGCAAGATAGGGTATAAAAATACATATGTTAACTATTATCAAAAGACTGACATGCGAATATGGACCAAGTATGAATGTGTATGGATTGATTTCTGTATCTTTGGGGAAGAATTTGATGCCCTTAGGAAATAGAAAACATAAAGTATAGGTAAAAATGATAATGGTGCAAAATGCGTTAAGACATAGATGTTATAAAGAAGTATTAAAATTAAATAGTAAAAATCTACAAATAATACCTTTAGCTAATGTTGAAGGGAGAGAAACTGGATGGCTCACTTTTTAACCAGAGTCGTTTTTCTTTTTTCTTTTGTTATTGTTGTTTTTCTTTTTTTGAGACAGGGCCTCACTCTGTCATTCAGGCTGGCGTGCAGTGGCGTGATCTTGGCTCACTGCAACCTCCACCTCCCAGGTTCAAGTGATTCCTGTGCCTCAGCCTCCCAAGTAGCTGGGATTACAGGCATGTGCCACCACGCCCGGCTAATTTTTGTATTTTTAGTGGACATGGGGTTTCACCATGTTGTCCAGGCTGTTCTCAAACTCCTGGCCTCAAGTGATCCGCCCACTCGGCCTCCCAAAGTGCTGGGATTACAGGCATGAGTCACCGTGCCTGGCCCAGAGAGGTAGCAGAAGTGTCAGGAACAGAGATCTGGATGGCAGTCTTTTCCTCACTTCGCTTTTTCTGCTGTTCCTGGAAGGCTCTCTCACTCTGCTCTTTGGACAATGCCTTGCCCCTCTTGGTGGCAGCTTCCTAGGAGAGGGCAGAGTCGGGGGCTCTTCTTTGGTTGCTGCCCTGCTTTTCTGTCTTCTTTGTAGAAGGTGCCCCACCGCTGCACTTGGAGAGCACCTGTGCTGTTCTCTCCTGACTGATTTTCTTGGTGTGAAAATGGCTCAACCTTGAGGCCAGAATGTGAGGTTGGGTCTTCAACTACTTTCTTGACTGTGTTGCTAAGGCCGGACTCTCCTCCTAACTTAACCAGATGGAGTCATCTTTTTATTAGCTATCCTGCCTAGTAGGATGTAAACTCTCTTTTTCTTTTTAGATTGTGATACAAATTTGGGTAGTGTGGACATTTTAGCCATATTAATTCTTACAGCCCATGAACATGGAATATCTTTTCATTTATCTGTCTTCGGTTTCTCTCATCAGTGTTTTATAGTTTTCAGTAAAGAAATCTTTCACCTCTTTGATTACATGTATTTTTTTAACTATTGTAAATGGGATTGTTTTCTTGATTTCTTTTTCAGATGGTTCACTAGTCATGTATAGAAATGCTAACTAATTTTTGTATGTTGATTTTTGTATCCTGTAGGATAACTCCTTTCTGATTTATATCAGAATCAAGAAAGATTCAAATCTTTCTTCAAAAAAAATCAATATTTTAAAAAAGAAACAAGAAAACAATTTGTATTAAAACCAACAACTCCTTTTTGATTCCTAGAAAAAAAAAACTGACTCTAGTGGAGATCGTCATAACTTTTTAAAGCTAGAAGGAATTCTTAGAGATGAGTAGAAAGGGTTTCGAATTTTTATTGTACAGTTGAGACTTCCTGCAAGCCTCCCTATAAAAACAAGCAAGCCACGAATAATTACTGAGCACCTACTAAGTGCCAAACCTCCTTAAAAAATAGAGCAGTCTCCTAGCTCGGCATTCCAGAATCTTAAGGCTCTTTTGTGTAAATGCCCTGCCTGCTGAGAGCTGCTTTTAATTGCTTCTGGTCTGCCTCAGCCTGTGTAGGAGATTTGTGGCCCAATCATAGATTCCTGTCCTGTTGTGAAACAGGAATAACATTTGTGACACTGGAACAAACTCACAATGAATGGCTGGTTCCGCTGACCAGCAGCTCAATTTCACTTCTGCATTTAATTGCCTGCAAAAGCTGTTTATTGCCTTGTGCACTCCTCCACCGCAACATTATCTCTTAAATAAACATGTTGTACCAGGTTGACAAGGGAGAGGTGCGTATCGAGTGAGCAGAAATAAATATGGGAGGACTCTGAGCTATGCCTCGGATCTCCTTTCAGGCCCTATGGCAGGCGCCCTCTTGACTGCTTTTCCAAAGCTTGTGCCCCCAGATGTGTAGACTTACATTCCAGCCACGTTTAGGGTGTGGCCAAATGGCAGCACTGGCAGTTATTTCGTTCTTTCTGGTGGTTATGTGGTCTCCTCTGAAGTGTTTTATGGTTGTCCATTGACGATAAGGCACCTCGAAGGAATGCATTCATGTCTTAACATGCTTCCAGAGCCCACCATGTGCTGGGGATCTACCACTGAACAAAACACAAAAATTGGGAAAAGTGAGTCTTGGGAGAAGGCTGCTATTTCTTGATCCCTGGAGTTGGGGATTGCCTAAACCTTTCTACAGGTAGGAAGGAAACCGCGTTCTGGCATCTGGAGCTTGAAGCACAGAAAAAAGTGCCCCCTTGTGAGTGTTCCTGGCCCGGTGCTCCAGCACCTTCTGCCTGCTGAGGGTGGAAGGGTTGGGAAGGGCACTCAGAAAAGCCAGTACCTTTTCACTGCTTGTCCGCCGTAAGGAGCAGCCAGACAGGCTCTCGTTTTCCCACTGCCCCCCCTTTTTTTGTTGTTTTTTAAGTGTAGCTCAGCATCAGAACAACCTGTTTGTTAGCTTGAAAGAATGGTCAAAACAAGTCACTTTCCAAAGTATCTGCTGTGTGGGGGTGGCCAGAGCACTCTCTGCAGCTGTGCCATATTTGTGCTGTAGGAAGGCGCAGTGAGGGTGGAGCCATGGGAAGACAAGGCGGAAACCTGGCTCTCAGGAGACAGTTATGATGAACAAATATGATTTTAAAATACTCTTAAATTGAAAAAAAAACAACAAAGACATAATAGGGAGAAGACAGCAGAATGCAAAATCTACTTAATTTTTTTTTTTTTTTGGAGACAGCGTCTTGCTCTGTTACCCAGACTGGAGTGCAGTAGTGCAATCGTAGCTCACTGCAGCCTCCAACTCCTGGGTTCGAGTGATCCTCCCATCTCAGTCTCACGAGTAGCTGGGACTACAGGTGTGTGCCACCATGCCACACCTGGCTAATTAAAAAACTTTTTTTGTAGAGATGGGGGTCTCAGTGTGGTGCCGAGGCTGGTCTTAAACTTTTGGCTCAAGTGAGCCTCCTGCCTCAGCCTCTAGAAGCGCTGGGATTACAGGCTTGAGCTGCTGTGCCTAGCTCTACTTCAGTTTTTTTTTTTTAATTATTATTATTTTTTAATTGAGAAGGATCTTGCTCTCTCACCCAGGCCAGAGTGCAGCAGCATGATCTCAGTTCACTGTAGCCTCCACCTCCTGGACTTAAGCGATCCTCCTACCTCAGCCCCCTCAGTAGCTGAGGCTACAGGCATGTACCACCACACCCAGCTAATTTCTGTACTTTTTGTAGAGATGGGGTTTCACCATGTTGCCTGGGCTGGTCTCAGACTCCTGGACATTCAAGTGATCTGCCTGCCCTGGCCTCCCACAGTGCTGGGATTGCAGGCATGAGCCACCACGCCTGACCAATTTTTTGTGTGTTTGTTTTTTATTGTGAGACAGAGCCTCACTCTGTTGCCCAGGCTAGAGTGCAGTGGCGCGATCTCGGCTCACTGCAACCTCTGCCTCCCGGGTTCAAGCGATTCTCCTGCCTCAGCCTTCCAAGTAGCTGGGATTACAGGCCCCTGCCACCATGCCTGGCTAATTTTTGTATTTTTAGTAGAAACGGGGTTTCACCATGTTGGCCAGGCTGGTCTTGAGCTCCTGACCTCAGGTGATCCGCCTGCCTTGGCCTCCCAAAGTGCTGGGATTATAGGCGGGAGCCACCGCGCCCGGCTGCCTGACCAATTTTTAAGACATAGTAGGAGACTTCACATGAGTTTTTTTTTTTGCCACTGAGCTCCACGGTCAGGTTTCCCAGGATGATGTGCTCTGGTCACTGGAAACTCCTGGGAAGTTCTGGATGGAGAAAGCGGGAGTGACTTGCCTTACGAACCTGCCCTGGGCCCTCTCACCCTTGGCCGGGAGCCCTTCACAGTCTTGTTATCCACAAGATAACACCCTCACTCCAAGGCTGCCCTCTCACCCCCATGGCCCACACCATCAGCAAGTGAAACTAGCCCTTTTTTTTTTTTTTTTTTTGAGACAGAGTCTCGCTCTGTTGCCCAGGCTAGAGTGCAGTGATGCGATCTCAGCCCACTGCAACCTCCTCCCTAGTTCAAGCGGTTCTCCTGCCTCAGCGTCCTGAGTAGCTGGGATTACAGGCGTGCACCACCACGCCCAGCTAATTTTTGTATTTTTAGTCGAGATGGGGTTTTGCCATGTTGGCCAGGCTGGTCTCAAACTCCTGACCTCAGGTGATCCGCCCCCCTCAGCCTCCCAAAGTGCTGGGATTACAGGCGTGAGCCACCGCGCCAGCCACTTTTCAACTTTTTAAAACATAAAGTGATGTATTAGATGGTGGGATGTTTTTTGTTAATGCTCTTATTCAGCAATGTAAAAAGTTGATACCCGTTGTCTCTCGCCTCCTTCCTACACCCCCTCCTCCTCCACCTTTCTTTTTTAAGACTGCTGCAGTACTCAGTGTGTCCTTGTGACAACAGTGAAGTTCTTTAGGGGCTTCAGTGTGCTCCCTTTAGCAATTATGTGGACTTACATTTGTGCTTACCTCTTGACTTGCAGGGTGCTTCCCCTCCCACCACATTTTTTTTTTTTTTAGATGGAGTCTTGCTGTCTTGCCCAGGCTGGAGTACACCAATGCAGTTTCTCGGCTCACTGCAACCTCTGCCTCCCGGGTTCAAGCGATTCTCCTGCCTCAGCCTCCTGAGTAGCTGGGACTACAGGCACACGCCACCATACCCAGCTAATTTTTATATTTTTAGTAGAGACAGGGTTTCGCCATGTTGGCCAGGTTGGTCTCGAACTCCTCACCTCGAGTGATCCGCCCACCTCAGCTTCCCAAAGTGCTGGGATTACAGGTGTGAGCCACCATGCCCAGCTTTCCGCTCCTTTTTATGACAGCCATGGGAACACCCTCATGCTGGTCTAGCATTTTGAGGAATTCATTCACAGGAACCCCAAGTAGGTTCTGCTGTCAGGTACATGGTGAGGATGTAATGATTGGGCCTACTAGGTCAGTAGGCAAGTTTTGGAGACTCTTCTGTTTAAGGAAATGCAACTCCAAAGTCATGATAGACCCTAGAAAGTTTAAAGCCAGTGGAATTAAAGCTGTCATGTTCCCTGAGTTTGGGGGTCACATTACTATTAGTATAAACTTTGCCTTAAATGGCTTGTCAAGTCTTAGCCATGCCTATGATGTTTTCTTCTGCAACATAATTCCTCATTAGGTTCCTCTCTTTTAAAGAGAAATAGTGGACCCAATTCTCTTGGGTCTTTACAACATAGTCTTACTCCTGCAGGGAGCAAAGCTTTCTTTCTCTAGCTGGCCCTGTAAGGAGCAGTGAGAGTCCTTGCCCACCCCCACCCACATTACTCCTCTGAAGCATTAAGCCTGGGTGAATGCAGTCCCGGCTTTCTGTTTCTAGGTGATCACCTCACCTACCAGCACTTTCACCAAGGAGTTCCTATTTTGTCTCATTTTAGCTGATGACAAGTGATGATCGTGACAGTCATCATCTGGTTTTTATTACACCTTTCCTTGAAGGAATTGCTGTTTTGTTTCACAGATGATGAAAGCTTAATGACTTGCATGCTTTTGATCCTGCAGCAAGGGTAGTTGTTTGTAAGAACTGGTGCCTGCGATGACAATTTTCCCAGTGGCTCTTTGTCTGGAGCCAAAGCTCAGGGAGGGTGATGGTGGGAAGTTTAGCCGCTGAGCCCAGACAGATGGTGAGAGGTTGGGTTTAGGAATATCCCGTAGCTACAGTATAGTGCACAGGAGAGACATTTTTGGAGTGTGTTTTGGTTAAAAATATGTAGATTCCAGAAGAAACTAGAATTGGCCTCTGGATACCTGGGGCCCTGGAGAACAGACAGCTCTGACTCAGAGAATATCTAGAAGGAGTGCAGACCTGGGCATCCTAAGGGATTGTTTTTTCAGTCTGGTTGAAGTGGTCCAGTAGCATCCCAGGAAGCCAGATAGAGTGAAACATTAGGTTTTTCAGCAACCTTCGGAAGACTTGTGTAAGTCCTGGGCTGTCCTACAGATTCATTTCCATTGTTAGATGACTTCAGTGTGATCTGGGCTGAGTAAGAAATCCCCTGTAAAGTGCTGATGTACTCCAGGGACTACTTCACAATTGAATCGGAGGCAGAAGCATATTATTAGTCTTGCGAGGTTGTTACATTACCTATTATCTGACACAGTAGCATTAGGTTAGTAAATAATATAGTCATTTGGGGATTCTGTAATTGGCTTGAAATTTAGATAATTAGATCACAGTTTTTGAAAGCTTTCAGATTTGATTTGGTTTGGCTGGTGGCCAAAATCTTATCCATTTATGTTTGCCCTTTTAGCTTACTTTTTTTCCTGTTAAGTAGACATGAATATGATATGAAATTAGTTGCTTTTCAGAACGTTTAATTACATGTATAAGTGATTCTCAGATTTCTTAGGAGTCTATATTTCTGTGGTCTCTTAAGTGTTCCTCATCATTTGAATAAAGATGAAAATCAAGGGAATGCATAACAGGTTTGCCCTGTTTTTTCAATACCATAATAGAAATAGGATAGAAAAAAAGACTAGAGTTGCCAAAAAATATCCACTGTATTACAGAGTATGCGTTAGAGACTCCTTTATGCATTTGTTGATTGTTTTTATTGAGTGGCTGCTCCGTGCCTGGCACTGTGCTAGAGACTCTCAAGTACTGGCTCATGGTGGAATGGATGAGAAAGAAAACTCAAAAGACCCATGTGGCCGGGTGCTATGGCTCACGCCTGTAATCCCAGCACTTTGGGAGGCCGAGGCAGGTGGATCACCTGAGGTCAGGAGTTTGAGACCAATCTCAGCAACATGGAGAAACCCTGTCTCTACTAAAAATACAAAATTAGCTGGGCGTGGAGGCAGGTGCCTATAATCCCAGCTACTCGAGGCTGAGGCAGGAGAATCGCTTGGACCAGGGAGGCGTAGGTTGCGGTGAGCCGAGATTGCGCCACTGTACTCCAGCCTGGGCAACAAGAACGAAACTCCGTCTCAAAAAAAAAAAAAAAAGACACATGTAATTCTCTTATTCCTGTTTCGATCAGAGCCCGGGGAGAACTGTGATGCCTTGTGGAAAGATGAGCCCTTGCTGTGGCATGCCAAGAGGCAGGGTGGGGACAAGTGTTTGATCACAACTATTGTTTAGAATTTCCAGTGCATGGTGATAGATTGACTTTAGTGGATTTTATTTTTAAAAAATTATCCCACAGTGAGTGCACCCCCTTACTGCCTCCCCCCAGGATGGGTTGCCCTCAGCACCCCCTCCTTGGTATAGCATTGGCCCTGTGGGCATCACCATTGAGATGCACAGCCTCCTGGAAGGGGTGTTCATACATAGACTGAGGAACAGGGAAAAAGGTATTATCCCCACATTTTATTTATCACATTCCTTCTCACAACATTCTTTCTGGCAAGTCCCAGTTCTAGGGGAAGGAAGGCAGACATAATTCTATGTCTGGAGTATTTGTATAAAACCAAAAAATGGGAAGGCCTGGAAATTTCGCTGTCTCCTCACTCCCTTGCCCCTGTGTGTGTGTGTCTGTGTGTGTGTGTGTGTGTGTGTGTGGCACTGCAGGACATGTCAAACTAAAGTTTATGTACTTAAAATCACCTTTAAAGTGTATAATGGAAAGGTTTTTTGTTTGAGTCATTTGTTTGCAAACCCCGAAGAGGAGTCTTTCATTGCGGTGCCCCGTTCTCCCGTTGACAGAAGCAGGTGGACCCGTGAGGGGAAGAGGAGGGTGCAAGCAGAACAGCCCTGGAACAGTGTCACGCTGCTGGGCACTTCCTGTCTCCTATTCCATTTCATCCATAAACACAGCCTTTCCGGGCTGTGAGCCTCCTTTTGTGGATGAGGAAACTGGGGCTCAGGGAGATGAAGTAGCTAGCTAGTACTGCACGGCTGGAAACGGGGAAGCTGGATTTGGAGTTTGCCTGACTGCAGAGAGGCACCTCTGTTCCCGTGGTGTCTCTGCTTTCCTTGCAGGGCAGTGCACATTTCTTGGTTTTCCTTTTAAAGCCGTGAAATTCTGGAAAATCACTAGGCATGCTGTCTCTCAAGATGCTTCTGTGACACACACACCCACACACACACACACACACACTCACACACTCTTCCAAATCCATGTACTTTAGGGAACAGTGGTAACGTGATGCTTTTGGTCATTCTTGTGTCATTTCAATTAGTTGGAGGTGGACTCCCTTCATGGTCTTAGAGTGGGCAGGGCTTTTTCCTGCCACCCACAAGTTGAGTGTGTCCATCAGAGGTCACCAGCCTGCGTCGGATCTTGAATACCAGTTTGGTAAAGGATGTGAGTGTGTGCGTGTGCTTAGTTAGAATGTGGCCCCAGACAGCCTCACGTTGCCCTCCCGGCAGGCTCTCATGTTCTGTGCTCATAAGACACCCTTCACACTGCTGATTTATGCTAAAAGTATCCTAATGTTTCTGACAGCTCATGTGTGACATGAATATAATCCATATTTCTTACAGCAGCTAATCCAAGTGGCTTATTTTCCTATACTGCTGATAGGGCTATATCTCTTGATGTCGCAGCCCTGGAGATTGTGATGGTGACATATTGTTTCTGGGTCACTAGTTTTGTCTAAAACAGTAGGTTGGAACAGAGTAGCAAAGGTTAATTAAGTTTGTCCATCAAGGTGGGAACAGATATGGATGCCTCTGATGTTTCTGGTTCTGAAATCAAAGTTCCTAAATGTGCGGTTGTGGGCATCATTTCTCATTTTCAGACAATCAAAAAAAAAGTTTATTTGCTCCAGAAGTAGAGACAATGCGAAGAGTTGTTAAAAGCTAAAGGCAGCAAAGTAGGTCTTTATACTAAGCAGATACCTTCATTTAAAATTAGAAAGTTTCCTTGGTTTAGTAGAGAGAAATCTCAGAAGCGTCTGAGGTGATTTACTTTGAATCTTGCTGTCTGTACTTAATTCCTTGGGACCAGAACCAAGTTATTTGATCTCTCTGAGCAGTTTCTTCCTATATCAATGATTATTAAATTATGAAGACTCATGAGATAACAAGTCTCTATATTATTTCTCAATAGATGCTCATTTTCTTCCTCTGAAATTTGGTTAATCTTATCGTCAGTAACCAGTATTTTCTCAGGAAAATTAACATTAAGAATATCATCAGTACAACCCCCATCCGTACAAACACACACCCCAGTCTTAAGAAGCATTGTAGATGCCTTCAGAGACTGGACATGTGAGAGAGTGGAGCGTGCTGATCATTATTAACCAAATTTAAAAAATACAACCTTTTTAATTTCCTTTCTCTCCAGCCATTTTACTGAAACTCTGTTTCTTAGTTGCTTTTATGTAAATGGTACTTGCATTTATGCCTGGTATACATGGGTTCAGTTGGGAAGTCCGGGTCTGTATTTTAGATTTGTGAACTAGACAAATGTAGGTTTCCAACCCAGGAACTGGAAAATCCTGCATAGATTTCTCAAGATGAAGAAGGCGCTGAGCTAGTCCCAGCCAGACACTGGTCCAAACCAACCACCCCACTCTCTTTTGTGAACCCCCTGATATGCACCAAGACCCTTTCAGGTTTTAGGAAAAGGAAACATTTTTTAAAATTTGGCTTTTTCTTACTGTTTACCTCCTTTTAGAGGTACTTGCATCCCTTTACCTGATTTATACGTTGGTGTCTTTCAAACATTTTAGATTGAGACCCACAGTAAGAAACTGTATTCCAGTATATATTTACACACACATACACAAAATGACAAGTTTTGTAGAACAGTTCTTACCCCTTACCCAAATTGTATATGCAATGAATTCTTATATACAGTTCTCTTTTATTCTGTTCTGTTCTATTCTATTGCATTCTGTTCAATTCCATACAGTTCTCTAAAATATATATGTGTGTGTGTGTGTGTGTGTGTGTGTGTTATATGTATATAACACACACTGACTGCATACTGAATTATTTGAGGGCCCTATAAAAGGTAACACTTCTGCCTTTTGGAAAACATGGTCTCAAGAAGTACACTGTTGTTCCGTCAGTACCACTGATGGCAGATGGTGAAAACAGTTGAACAACACAAGTTAAAAAAATAATTTGGCCTTTGTAAAATGTCAAAATACTCACATCTGAATTGCTTCTGGGCTAAAGATAAGCAAAATGGACCACTAATAAATACAAGTGTAATCCTGATATCCTATGGGGTTTCTATCCTTAATGGGTATTCAGGATTGTTGTGGGCTGGGCATGGTGGCTCATGCCTGTAATCCTAGCTCTTGGAGGGGGGCCCAAGGTGAGAGGATCACTTGAGGCCAGGAATTCAAGACCAGCCTGGGCAACATAGTGGGACCCTGTTTCTACAAAAAATATAAAAAATTTAGCTGGTCTTGGTGTTGTGCGCCTGTAGTTCTAGCTACTCAGGAGCCTGAGGTGAGAGGATCACTTGAGCCCACGAGATTGAGGCTGCAGTGAGCTGCGATCACACCACTGTACTCCAGGCTGGGCGACAGAGAGACCCTGTCTCTAAAAATGTTTTTTTAAAAAAGACTGATGTGAATTTCTCTTCCATGCCCTCTCCACAATTTATGGAAATTGCGGGAGGGCTTGCTTTATATCCTTGTGTTCAATTTTGGTTCTGTTTTTCCATGTGAGTTGTTTGTTTTTTTATGGTTCACCTTAGGGCTGTTGTTTATTTTTATTTTTGGAGCTACTGTAATACAAACTTTCCTTTGGTTCTTTTTTTTTGAAAACTCCACCCACACTTTTTCTTTTGTTTTTGCATGTGTAGTGGGAAATTTGGGATTTGCAACTTAAAACATCTTAAATGAATCACTTCTGAAATGGTTGGTTCTCTCTGCCCTGTTGTGTGAGCGTCCTCCTCTCCACTCCTCCCCCGTTTTCCCCTCCCACCTCTCCTGGGCGCATTTGGAGGGAGAGCTTTCGTTTGGAAAAAGGACTCTTGGGTTCTTCAGCATCTGAATGCCCAGCCCCAGCCCCACGCTTAGCACAGCAGCTTCACCCCTCCCCTGTCCACCCCTCACCCCACACACGTTGAAGGATCCTCTTGGCCTTTGCGGGAATCCCTTACAAAGGCTGAGTCCTCACAAGTGCCTGTCTCTGCCTGCCTCGGTTCTTTCCTCCCTCTAGGAGGGAAGTGGAGGGCATTCCATAGCAGGACCACCTAAGAGAAAGCAAGGTGAGCGCAGGAGAGGAAGGGAGCAAAGGACTCATCTTCAGAGCTCTGGACACAAAAGGAAAGGAAGTCGGGAGGGGCGGGTTTTCGCTGTGGGAATCTGCTTGGGTCACACACCTCAGCATTTGGCCTGGTGCTTTGGTAATCTCTGAAATGTGTGCATAATAGCAATCATTTTAGCCTATATATTAAAATTTTTTTCTCAGCTGTGAAATATGGAATGCTGAAAAATGAATAAGGTGTGTATTTCAGAAGGTGAACGGGGCTTTTTGGGTGAAGCCCTTTGCGTAGGTGAAGTCTGTAGGCTCAGACAGTTCACGGTGTGTGCTTAGGTGAGCTTGGGAACAGGCATCCCATTTAGATGGTTCGAAAAGAAGCATCTATTAAAACTAAAGCCATCATTTAATGAGGGTAAAAGTCAACCCCAGCCTTCACACCCAGCACCACCAGAAGACCCAGAATTCTACAGCCTGTGAAGAGTCCTACCTTTATAAAAAGGTTTCTGTTCAGAAAACCAAAGGTTTACCCCAAATACAGCTTTTGCCATTTAAAAGACTGTAAGCCACATATGAATACCAAGGGAGTTTTTTTGTTTCTGTTTTTTTTTGAAACAGGGTCTTAATCTGTCACCCAGGTTGGAGTCAGCAGGGCAAACATAGCTTACTGCAGCCTTGACCTGCTGGGCTTAAGCGATCCTCCCACATCAGCCTCCTGAGTAGCTGGGAACACAGGTGTGCACCACCATGCCTGCCTAATTTTTTAAATTTTTTGTAGAGATGGAGTCTCACCATGTTGCCCAGACTGTTCTCCAACCCCCGGGCTCAAATAATCCTTCCTCCTCAGCCTCCCACGTGCTGAGATTTACAGGTGTGAGCCATTGTGCCTGGCTGAGTCATTACACTATTTGTTTAAATATCAGTTTGCAATTAGGAATGTTATCCTATAGAATAACTCTTCTCATTAAGACTGTTCCCCTTTCTGCAAATGAGCATTACTTAGAGCCTCCAGTGAAGCTGAATGAAGCTCTAGAGAGATACGAACTTAACGCTGAAGATTTTTTTGTCTTGAAGCATGAAGAATCAAGATACCTAAATACTGATGATGAAAACTTTTAATAAATGTGAGCACAGGCATTTTTAATGAAAAAGGCATCATCTGATATAAGTTCAAAAACAAATGAAAAAACTTAGAAATTAAAAAAAAAAAAAGACTGTTCCCCTTTGTTACATCAACTCCAGTTTTATGCAGCCATGCGATGTTTAGTAAACAACTAGATGACAATTTGGTCTTCACAAATCCCTTTTAGTCATTCACCTGGATAGACTGTTCACTTTGATGCAAGACCAGGCACTCATCTAAACTGTTACTAGATAACCAGTGACTGGTATTTGGGATTTTTTTTTTTAAAAAAAGAAGTGAACTCAAACATTTTTATGGTTTTTTTTTCAGATATTATTGTTACTATAAAATAGGGTGGCTAACACGTATAAAAGGAAATTATGGCTCGGGTTTACTGTAATGCATATTCTTAACAATTTAATAGAACACAACTCCAAGGTCTTGGGTTGCCTGCAAAGTTAATACTAACACCATGAGCATCCTCCACCAGCCAGCTCTTATCCATGGGTCGTACTCTGGTTCAGAGACTTTGGATGGGTAATAACGTATAAAACATGCCTCTTGCTTGCCAGTGACCACTGCTAATAATAATAGTAGTCATCATTCACTGGAATCCTGGGTTTTTAGGGTTTACTTGGTTTATTTATTTGCTTAGCTTGAAGGAATAAAAAAAAACCTTGAGAGGAAACAAGGAGGCATTTCACAAAGGAGAAAAATATATATCCCTTTAGGAAAACTGAGTGGCTCCTCTGATTTCTTTGCCGCTCTTGTCCCTCAGCAGCACTTAGCTGTTTTCTTCTAGCTGGAGGTGAGGGACTGAGCACAGGGGTGGTGCTCAGTTAGTTTAAAGGGAGCTTCTCACCTTGGCGCTGTTCAGGCCTTGGGTTGGTTAATTCTGTGTCCTGTGGGAATTGTGGGACACTACACTGTAGTGACAGTCAGCAGCATCCCTGACCTTGACCACTAGATGCCAGCATCAACTCCCTGCCCCCTTGTCACAATCAAAAGCGTCTCCAGATGTTGCCAGATGCCCTGTGGAGGATCAGACTGCCCCTAGTTCAGAACTACTGGTTTAAAGTAAAGTGAGTTTCAAAGGCTTCGTTAATTTCCCATTTTGTTTAAGCCAAAAGTAGCAGGGTTGTGATTTTCTTTTTAAAGTTAGAAGAGAGCAGGAAGTAATTTAGTTTGAAATTGCATTCTGCCATGCCTTTTTCTGGGTTAATTGCATTTTTTTTTTTTTTTTTTTTTTTTTTTTTTTTTTTTTTTTTAGATGGAGTCGCACTCTGTCGCCCAGGCTGGAGTGCAGTGGTGCAATTTCAGCTCACTGCAACCTCTGCCTCCTGGGTTCAAGCGATTCTCCTGCCTCAGCCTCCCAAGTAGCTGGGATTATAGGCGCCTGCCACCACACCCAGCTAATTGTTTGTATTTAGTAGAGACGGAGATTCACCATGTTGGTCAGGCTGGTCTTGAACTCCTGACCTCAGGTGATCCACTCACCACAGCCTTCCAAAATGTTGGGACTGCAGGCGTGAGCCACCGCGCCCATCCATGAATTGCAGTTTTAACATCCTGTTTATATTGCTACACATGCACTTAGAAACACATAGAACTGTCCTTTTCTTCTTATGAGCAAGTTGTCACGTGGATGGGTTGTTTGTGGATTCTTTGAGGTGGATGTAGCTGAAGTGACTGATGACCTCAGTAAGTTCATGTACTAGTCTGTTCTCACACTGCTGTAAAGATACTACCCAAGACTGGGTAATTTATAAATAAAAAAAGAGGTCTAATTAACTCACAGGTCCGCATGGCTGGGGAGGCGTCAGGAAACTTGCAGTCATGTCAGAAGGCGAAGAAGAAGCAGGCACCTTCTCTTCTTCACAAGGCAGCAGGAGAGAGGAGAAAGAGAACAGGGGAAACTGCCAAACACTTTTAAAGCATCAGATCTCAAGAGAACTCCCTCCATATCATGAGAACAGATTGGGGCAACCGCCCCCATGATCCAATCACCACCGCCTACCACGTTCCTTCTTTGACACGTGGAGATTACGGTGTGAGATGAGATTTGAGTGAGGACACAGAGCCAAACCATATCAGTTCACATTCTAGTAACCTCAAATGGAGTCTGACCCTTTGTATCTTTTTCTTCTTTTACTGGAATTCTTTTATAGCTCAGTGATCTTGGGGATTCATTAAGGATAGTGAATGTTTGAATATAAATAACTAAATTCCTATTTCCTAATAGTTCTTTTTATTTCATGCTTTTGGAAAACATGGAAAAGGAATTAAGGGAATAAATAAGCACACGCATGGATTTGAAATTGTGTTTATTTTCCAGTAAGCGTTAGTTAAAAAAAAGAATTTTACTGTTCATCTTCATCTTTTTGTCAAATAATACATACATTGGGATTGGCAGCGTTAGCCAGTCTATTTGTCAGATTTAGCCTGTTTTAGTTAATATAGGGGATTGTTGGGATCTCGTACTTCCAAGGTATATGGACGATATGTTGGTAATTGTAGAGCACTGGTTCTCAATCTCGGTGTCATATTAGAATTAACTGGGATCTTTGAAAATATCCAGGGCCCAGGCCACATCCCAGAGCAGTTAAACCAGATTTTCTTGAGTGGAGTCCAGGCATCAGTACTGAGTTCCCTTCTCACCTTACTCCAGTGAGAGTGAAGTTTGAGAAGGAACCAGTGCCACTGTTTACAAATAAAGTTTTATTGGAACACAGCCATGCCCATTCATTTTACAAATTGCTAGAGACTGTATGGCTTGCCTAAAATATATATACTGTTTGACATTTACAATAAAAAGTTTGCTGACACCTGCTATAGACTCATGATCAACATTTTTCAAACATTTTGAAAGGAAGGTTTGTGTAAACTTTCATAGTAAAAAAAACATCCAGCATTTTGCAGAGCATTTAGGCCCAAATCCTATCTGTTTTCTTGTACCCTGGCAAAATTGAAAAGCATTTTCCTTGAAGAACTGGCTTGAAGATATTGTCAAACCTGAAGTAGATGTGACAAACTCAGCCCCCAGAGCAGGGAGGCTCCATTATTTATATTACGGCTTATGTCGGCACCTTGCTTCTAATTCAGTGTTCACTACTCAGACTGTGTAATTGACTTAAGGAAGTCTATGGAGACACAAATGGCTTTTCAATTCAAAGTGTGTTTGAGTTTTTACTGCTGCAGCAGTTGTAGATGGCAACAGACCCCTGAAAAAAATCTTTTAGTTCTGGGGAATTTTGTGTATAAAAATAAAAAAAGAATGAAAATTAAAAATTGCTATTTACATAGTTTCACTTTTCCAGTTCAGCTGGAAACTGGATGGTTGTAAGCAACTGGTAATTTTTTTTTTTTTTTAAGCTGGGGCAGTGGCTGACACTTGTAATCTCAGCACTTTGGGATGCCGAGGCGGGCGGATCACTTGAGGCCAGGAATTTGAGACCAGCCTAGGCAACATGGAGAAAACGTCTCTACTAAAAATACAAAAATTAGCCGGACGTGGTGGGGCATGTCTGTAGAGTAGGCTACTCAGGAGGCTGACGCAGGAGAATCGCTTGAAGCCAGGAAGCAGAGGTTGCAGTGAGCCGAGATTGTGCCATTGCACTCCAGCCTGGGCAACAGAGTGAGACTCGGTCTCAAACAATTTTTTTTAAAGGGTTTCCTTTGGTCTTGGGTTCTGAGAGGTACTAAGTATGAGAGGAAGGATCACGTATTCTAGTCCCTGGGCACCAGCAATATCAGCATCTCCAGCCCAGTCTTACCATCAGGACCTGCATTTTAACAGGACCCCCTGGCCATTCATATGCGCATTGAGAGCTGCTGGGAATCATCAAAAGATGCTGCAGTGCTCTAATTGATAACTGGGTGTGTGTAGTAAACAGCTACCATGATTGTCCCTTTTCTCTTAAATGGTTTAGTGGCTTCTTAATGGGCTCTTCTGCTGTGTGGTCTTATTTATTAGGGGTAGCCAGTTTTTCCTTTTTGGCTGTTTTCCGAGTATAGCTTCTTTAACCTTCTATTTAGTAAAGATTTAATGTGGCCAGGCGCGGTGGCTCACGCCTGTAATCCCAGCACTTTGGGAGGCCGAGGCGGGCAGATCACGAGGTCATGAGATCGAGACCATCCTGGCTAACACGGTAAAACCCTGTCTCTTCTAAAAATGCAAAAAATTAGCCAGGCATGGTGGCGGGCGCCTGTAGTCCCAGCTACTCGGGAGGCTGAGGCAGGAGAATGACGTGAACCTGGGAGGCGGAGCTTGCAATGAGCCAATATCATGCCACTGCAGTCCAGCCTGGGCGACAGAGTGGGACTCTGTCTCAAAAAAAAAAAAAAAAAAAAAAAGATTTAATGTAATGGTAGAAAGTGAAAACGGAGTGATTGGCCTAGAAGAGACACCATTTCATATACTTCAGAAAAACAAACTAGAAAGGATAAAGGGGACTTACCCAGGTAAACTTCACTTGAGAGGAAATAATCACCTGTAATGGTATCTTTGCTTCTCCAGAAGAAGTAATCCACTCATGAGAACATAGATTTGAGCTTGAGAGCAGTAGAGATCAAAAATAAATTCCTTGAGCTGCTCAAAGCATCAGGCAGAAATCAGGGACTTAGCTCTTTCTACCAAACAGCACCATAATACCCAAAGTACACTTAAGCCAGTGTTAGTTGGTGAATTGTCCAGAATGTAGATGTTCATAGAAAATCTTGAGGAAGCCCAGTGCCTAATTTTACACTACCAGGCTCTGTCAAGTTAGTGCTATTTTCTTTTTCAAGTACCATTTAAAATACTTGATTGAAAAACATGATTTTGAATTATTTTGGATTATTTTGAAATTACTCATATTTCTGGACAGAATTGGTTTATCTTGAACATTCCCTTAGATCGAATTTTGTTTAAAAGCGAGTACCATCTAAATTTAAGTTTTAAAAGACTGTCATAAATAACTGAAGTCCAGCTCTGTTGTTGCCGTGAAGATGTGATCATGAGTTGAATGCTCGGTGTCTCTAACAGGGTCTAGATGTTCATGGAAGTGGGTCTTACACAATCAGAGTCATCAGGGCCAGGAAAGTGGAAATGGAGGGGGGGCCCTTTCTAAGCCATCAAGTCATATCTTCTTAGCTTTGAATGAGAATCAGGAAGCCACAGGGAATGAACTGCTTCTTATATAAAAGCTATCTCATGGTCCTAAAGGCAGGGTCTGGTTGCCGGAAAAAAATGAATGACTGCTGTGCTCACATGCAGCTGCCACTGGAGGGGCGCTTGTGCCTCCTTACTGCCTTCCGAGTTTTGCTCTGCCCCATGTGTCCAGTTAGCAGAAGCCAAATCACCTCCAGAATTCAGATCTCAGACTCCTGTTCTTGCTGCAGGGAACAGACACCGACTAACAGGATCCAGCATGGCATTGTGCTAATGTCCACAGCTTCCCATTACACATGGTTTGCATGTTGTTTTACAGTATTTATTTATTTGTTTTTTTTAATATATATATATTTTTTAGACAGAGTCTCGCTCTGTCGCCCAGGCTGGAGTGCAGTGGCGCGATCTCGGCTCAGTACAAGCTCTGCCTCCCGGGTTCACGCCATTCTCCTGCCTCAGCCTCCCAAGTAGCTGGGACCACAGGTGCCCGCCACCACGTCTGGCTAATTTTCTTGTATTTTTAGGAGAGATGGGGTTTCATTGTGTTAGCCAGGATGATCTCGATTTCCTGACCTTGTGATCTGCCCATCTTGGCCTCCCAAAGTGCTGGGATTACAGACGTGAGCCACTGCGTCCAGCCTATAGTCATTTTAAATACTCTCCTTATATGAACACTGTAAGGTAACCAAGATAAAATTCCAGTTTTGCACATGAAGAAACATGGGAAGAGGTCTGATAACTTGCGCCCGTTCAAACAAATTTGTTAGTGTTACAGCAGATTGTGTTGTCCCCTCTCCACCACCCTGTTCTCTTTTGTACTGGTTAATCGAGCACCAAATGAACAGAAGGAATTTCAGGGGTGCTTTAGAGGGGACCTTAAGATAGAAAGGGCACCATCATAGTTCTAGGCCCAGTACATTGGAAGAGCATATTCATGGCTGAGGCCACTTCCAACTTAGATAGGCTATTCCCTTAATTTGCTTTTTTTTTTTGAGACAGGGTCTTTCTCTGTTGCCCAGGCTGGAGTGCAGTAGTGCAAGCAGCCACGGCTCACTACAGCCTCAAACTCCTGGGTTCAAGTGATCTTCCTACCTCAGCCTCCTGAGTAGCTGAGATCTCACTCGTGCACTATCACACCCAAACAATTTTTTGATTTTTATGTAGAAAAGAGGTTTCACTGTGTTGCCCTGGCTGGTCTTGAACTCCTGGGCTCAAGCGATCCTCCCGCCCTGGCCTCCCAAGGTGTCGGGAACATAGGCATGAGCCACTGTGCCCAGCCTGTTACCTTGTTTTAAAGAACTAGATAATTATTGTACTAGTTGTGACATGCAATGTTGATCTCAGTATATTTCTTCTTTTTTCTTAAGCAGATGAAGAACATGGAGAACCGCCATGCAATGAGCTCCCAGTACAGGATGCATTCTTACTACCCGCCTCCCTCTTACCTGGGCCAGAGCGTGCCCCAGTTCTTCACTTTTGAGGATGCTCCCTCTTACCCGGAAGCCAGGGCGAGCGGTAGGTGTCTGGTCACACAGACTGGATTTGGGGTTGAGAGAGGATGGCTATCCAGTATTGGGTCATTAGCTGTGTCTAATGGCTTAGCTGTTAGTAATTGTTGGAAATTTTATTGCTGTGTGAAGCTTGGATAAGTATCCTTTAAAGAATTTAGTTATAAAATGACTTTGCTATGCTTGATTCTTAATATCATGTTTTTTTTCCTTTCTGGATTCCTAGAGTGACAGGAGTAAGATGAGAGACTCTCCCTTGGAAGCTAAAAATGTATTTTATGGAGGATCAATATGAAATACAGGGGCACTTTAAATGTGGTTCAAGACCTGGTATTTTTTGTGAAGTGAGTTTCTGTGCATTGAAAACTCCTTTCCCAAAGACTTTCATTTTAAAATTGAAGGCGTATTCATCTTTTTGGCGAAAACAACATAATAAAACATTTTTGAATACAATAGATCTCAGAGTTTATGCAGTAGCAATGCAAATAACTCTGATATAATGGCTTTGAAATAAAAAATGACTGTTTAATGAATCAAAGCACTTTGAAATACATAGTAACTCGACTTCAATTTTAACATCCCCCAGCATTTTCACTGTGGTGAGAGGCAGGTCTTTACAGCTGCTGCGTTTCCAGATCCCGTGTTTAAGTTCTTTATAGTTAAGCATCCTCTTTTGATGTAGGAAAGTGAGAAACATACACAATAGGCAGTAAGTGGAAATCAGGGCAGTAGAGGGTGTCTTGGAAGAGAAACCAATCTAGAAGAATTTACTCTGTGCTAAATAAAAGGATATGTTCATTTTCTAAGTAACTTGACTCTTTAGAGAACTTAGAGAATGAGAATCAGAACCATGCTTTGATTTCCAAATTCAGAACCAGAAAGTCTAAAATAGCTGGGCAAGTTATGCTTTATTTACCATATTAACATAAAATAAAGGACTTCTATTAATATGAAATATATAGGTCACGGGAGCCTATGTAGTTTGAGCTGCAGAGAGGCCGAAGTACACATTGTTGATTGCAGTTTCACTTTTATTAAGAATCACTTTCCGTTGGGAGTGGACAAGCACAACTCTGTTTTATAAGTATTCATACTATATAATGTGTGCCCATAGGTCCTTCTTTCATACTGCTTTTGAGTCTATATATTTATTTGGCTTATAAGCTCCCTAAGGACAAACAACACATTTTCTATACTTTCTTACCTGCTGTGATGCCTTTTATTTATTTGTTGGTTGAGTGAATGAATGAATGAATCTGGTATTATTTTTAACTGAGTTTGGCCTGTAAGGGCGTGCAAGCATGAAAGGTCAGAATCCTAACTGGCCTGTCTGCACAATTTGGGGATGAAGCAGTTAAAGGAACATTTGTTAATACAGAAAATTAAGAATGAAACCCACTTTCAGGAAGAAATTGCCTGAGCTTCTTACACCAGGAATAATGGAATATTTTTTGAAGCACTGGCGTTCTTGAGACAAAGGTGTAAATTCAGAGCAAGGCAGTAAGACAAAAATATAAGAGGCAATTTATTAGAGCAGAGAGGAGCGAATTTGGAGAGGAGCGGTAGGCATTTGAATTTATGGCAGAAAAGGAAGCGACTCAGAAGGAAAGAGGTTACAGTCCAGGAAAGAAAAAGACCAGCTGTACTAGCGCTCACAGGGAAAGAAGAATAGGTGAATACCACCTACAATTCCTTATTACTTTTCTGGCCATGTGTTTATTTGAAAGAGTAGTGTGTGAGGAGGCCCCAGGCTTAACTTCCTGGTACCCTGCTAACCCACTAACAGTTAAGTAGGAGGCCCAAGCTTCAGAAACGAGAGCTGGGAAGTAAAATCTCAGCACTATCTACTTTGGAATTATCTTCGAGAAGGAGTGTACAAATACGTAGAAAATCAAAATCCCAGCTAATTTTTAACAGAAGGCTTAATGCCTTCCAAATGTGTGCTATTTTGGCTTTTTTTATATTGCATGAATTTTTACAAAGCAAGTGGGAAGGTAAAGGAAGCGTGTTTGGAGGTCAGTAAGGACACCTCAAAGGTCATCTCATGGGACACTGGATCCTCAGTTTTATCAGCATTGACACAGTGGGGTGTTCTTTGAGAGCATGTTAGCCCTTCTGGGAGGTGGGGCTGAGGCTAGAGACAGGAAATGATGGGTGGGGATGCGGACATCAGTATATTCATTTGTGAGATATCGGCAAAGGTTGGCTCATAACCAGTTACATGTGGCAGATCCGTCAAGTCTAAGTTCCTTTGGTTGATTGTGTTAATATGTAAGTTATTATTTATTCTAAATAGGGATTTCTAAAGAACTTGAAAGACAGTGTTTTCAGTAGGTTTAATGTCTTCTTTAAAGTCTTATTTAAGTATAAATTTGCCCATTAAATCTATGTTCTTCAGTTTCTTTAAAAATAAATTTAAGCTTAGCTTCTCTGTCATCTAAAAAAATGAACCCAAGTTCAGTGTCTTCCTCTGGGTTTGCTATAAAGCTGGCAACATGAAATAAATGGAATGTTGGGCGGGGGGAGGGGGGCATTTTACAGGGCAAGTTTTCCTTTTGTCGTGTTACTGCTTTTTAATGCTTTTCTTTGTAAAAGGATAGGAGCCATTCCTTCTTTCCTTATCCTGAAAAACGTTAAGAGGGTAGGTCAGAGAGATGGTGGAGTCAGATCTTGCAGGTCTTTGTAAGCTATTGGAAACAATTAGGCTTTTATTTCAAGTGAGATGGGGAGCCATAGCAGGGTTCAAGCACAGGGTGATTTGTCTGTCTTGTGCTTTTAAATGATCACCCTGATGACTGTTTTCTTATAGACTATAGGGATGCAAGGGTGGAAGCTGGGAGACCAGTTAGAAGGTGATGGCAGTAATTCTGGCAAAAGAAGATGGTGGCTGAGTGAGGGTGGGAGCGTGGCAGTGATGACGGGTGGTCGAATTCTGGATATATTTTAAAGATAGAACCAACAAGATTTGCTGTTGGTCTTTGGATGGGACAGGAAGAGAGGAGTGAAGGATGACTCCTTAATTTTTGACCTGACCAATTGGTATTTTGATTTTCTACGTATTTGTACACTCCTCGAAGATAATTCCAAAGTAGATTGGGGTTTCCAATTATTGAGGTAAAGAAGACTATGGGAAAAATAAGTTTGTGTGCATTACGAGTTTAACTTTGCATGTGTTAAGTTTGAGATGTCCATGAACCACCCAAGTGGATTGTTGATTAGGAGTTGGATGTGTGGAGTCTGAGGGGGAGGGGAAATATCTCTACTGGAGATGAAGATTTGGGGGTTCAGTGCATAGGTTTATTTGAAGTCAATGTGATGAGATCATTTGGAGAGATGAATGTAGGTGGAGAATATAAAGGACCAGGGACTGAGCCTGCGTGTCTCCAGTGTTTATGGCCCTGTAGATGAGGAGGACTAGCAAGGAAAAGAGGGAGGAGGAGCAGCCTGTGAGGCAGGAGGGAAACTGTGTGTGAGCGGTGCCTTAGAAGCCAAATTAAAGGATTTTAATGAGAGCCAAAGAGTGCTGATATGTCAAATGAGATGAGGACTGGAATCGACCATCAGCTGTTGCAAGGTGGAAATGATCAGTGACCTTCTGAGTGGTCACTTTGGTGGGAGGTGAGAACCAAAGCCTGCCTGCGTATTCAGGAGTGCATGGGAGAGAAGAATTGGTGCAGTGAATACAGGCAGCTCTTCAGGAGTTTTGCTGTAAGAGGAATAGTGGGATGGGACGTCAACCCGTGGGGAAGTGAGTTCAAGGAAGGGCCTTGGCTCCTTCTTTAAAGAAGAGAGATTTTATAATACGCTTGTATGCTGATGAGGGCGATCCCAATAGAGGGAGAATTTGTGGATACAGGGAGTGTGTGGAGGGCACAATTGCTGTAGGGGTGACCCTGAGCAAGCCAGGTGGGGTGGGAACCAAGGGTCTGCAGAGTGGGGGCCATGGTCTGATGTGGGTCTGGGAGTGCTTTGTTACTTGTCTAAGAGGGGAGATAAGAAATAGAGAGGAAACAAACTTTATAGCAATTTGGTAGAGCAGTTTTGTCTGTTGAGGTTGATAAAATATTGGGGCTTGTATTTTTTGTCTTTCATTTTTCTAGTAGCCTATTTTTTATTGAGGTAGAATCCACCTAACATTAACTATTAACCATAATTAAAGTGTACAATTCAGTGGCATTTGGTACATTCACAGAGTTGGGCAACCGTCACCTCTATCTGATTGCAAGGCACTTTCATCACCCCAAAAGGAAACCCCCCATCCTCCCTCCTCCAGCCCCCTGGTAATCACTAATCTGCTTTCTGTCTCTATAGATTTGCCAGTTCTGGAATGGAATCTCATAATATGTAGCCTTTTGTGTCTTGCTTCGCTTAGCTTAAATGTTTTCATGATTCAGCTACACTGTCGTATAGATCAGTATTTCATTCGTTTTTGTGGCTCAATATCATTCCATAGTATGGATGGATATACCACATTTTGTTTAGCCGTTCATCAGTTGAGGGATATTGGGTTGTTTCCACCTTTTGGGTAATGTGAATAGTGCTGCTTTGAACATTTGTGTACAAGTCTTTGTTTGAATGTCTGATTTCACTTCTTCTGGGTGTATGCCTAGAAGTGGAATTGCTGGGTCCTATGGTAAGTCTATATGTAATTTTTGAGGAACATGTTACTGTTTTTCACAGCAGCTGCATCGTTTTATATTCTTACCATAGTATATGAGGGTTCCAGTTTCTCCACATCCTTGCCAACACTTGTTTTCCATTTAAAAAAACAGTTTCCAGCCTGAGCAACATAGTGAGACCCCATCTCTACAAAAAAATAAAAAATAAAAAATTAGCTGGGTTTGGTGCCACCCACCTGTAGTTCTGACTACTTGGGAGGGTGAGGCAGGAAGACCACTAGAGCCCAGGCTGCAGTGAGCTATGATCACACCATTGCACTCCAGCCTGGGTGACAGAGCGAAACCCTGAGACACACACTGCATCCAGCACTGCATCACGACACAGCCCTCCAGCTCTGTAGCACAGGCAGGCATGCAGGGGTGCAATCATAGCTCACTGTAGCATCAACTTTCCAGGCTCAGGTAATCCTCCCACCTCAGCCTCCCGGGTAGCTAGGACTACAGGTGAGCACCACAACGCCCAGCTAATTTTTTTTTTTCTGTAGAAACAGAGTTTTGCCATATTGCTCAGGCTGTCTTGAACTCCTGGGCTCAAGCGATCCTCCCACCTCGGCCTCCCAAAGTGCTGGGATTATAGGTGTGAGCCATCTTACCTGGCCAAGAAAAAAGTCTGGGGGGCTCTAGTAATTCATTTTTATTGTATTTTGCCAAAGTACCAGACCACGGTGGGTTGGAAACTGGAAAAAAAAAAGTTTAAAGCAGGCCTCTCCTGCTCCACAGACTGTTTGAAGATCACTTGTCTAGTGCCCAGATGGAGGGTTGGCTTATATAAGAATGTGGCCACTTCGTAGTAACAGATGCAAGCTGTTCGGGAAGTGGTAGTGGGAACAGCTTTGAAATGATGCTTCCCCAGCTGGTGATGAAGAGACAGATCTCCACAGCAGCCCCTGTGTTTTAACAGATGCACCTCTGTCTAGAGGTGGGTGGCACTGCACATTTGAGAATAGACATCGTTCTCTGCATGTTGAATTCTTGAGTATAAGTTGCTGGAGTACGTGGTTGGTCGACACCTGCAAAAAGGTTTAGGTTTCAGTTGGTGAAGGTAATACACTTAGATATTTTTGTCTGTTTATTTTGTGATCTCGGTTTAAAAGTTAGAAATGGTGCCTTATTTCTTTTGGTTCCGTCTCAGAGTGGCAGCCTGCCGTGCAACTTCAGCCTTCCTTCACGTCCAAGCTGCACTCTTTTCAGGAGAAAGAAACATTTAAGGTGGTGCTTACAGATCATGAAGTGTTCATGTATTACTCATTTAACACACAGAGGTTGTCAGCAGTTCCGTGAAGCGAGTTGCAGAGCATCTACATTTTACCCAAAGGTCAGATGGCCACCGTCAGTGATGGGCTCCATGGAGTTGAAGGCTTCATGCTCCTCTGTGATGTGTAAGCAGCTTGCAGAGGCCTCTGTGCTCCCAAATACAACTTTTCGAATCCATCTGGCGTTGGCAATGTCGTGGACCAGGGAGTCTAGCAGTGCCTGATTTCACTGATACCATAGGCCTCTCCTTCAGGATGACCAGGACTGCATGCAAAATGGGTAGCTTGCACCTCAGGGAGTGGACTTGCTTAATGCTGCATGTCAGACTTGGACTTTTAGGAAAAGGTCATCTGGCTGCACCTCCCAAGTTTGCAGGTGAGAAAACTGAGGTTCTGCTCTCTGTTGGGAGCACCCTGAGATCTACTTGCTCTTGATCCAGAACGCCAAAGGTGCCCTTTATGTGAGGTGAGGTGACATTCTGTGACAAGCGGCCATGTGGGGTGGTAGAGAATTCTGTACGTGGAATCTGAATGGGACCCATGACTTAGCAGGTTATGTGGCAGTACCAAATGCTTCCCTGAGAGCCTCGATTTCCTTACCTGCTGAGAGAGGGTGAGGATGTTGGCTCTGTGGAGGCCACACCAGTGAGGATGAAATGGTGTCTGATGTGCAAACAAGCTCAATAATCACAAAATGCAGGTAAAGGATGGCAGGTGTTATCATGACTTTCCCCCATTTTTTCCTGCGAGGGCTGTGTGGGCATTTCACATAGCTCTTCTTGTAGGGGAGAACGATGCCTTTGAAATGTTGTAGAGCTTGGCTGGCACGAAGGAGAGTGGGGCAAAGACTCAGAGGGCTGCGTTTGTTATGTATGCATCCTGCCCTGAGCTGTATTTCTCAGCCAGTAGGATAGAAAAACATCAACCCTTGTCTTTCTCTGCTTTAAGGAAAGCTGAATGTGTTTTATGCAACATTTAGAAAATGCTGAGTTTAATTTAAACTTGACATTTTAGAAACGACTTATTATTTGCTAAATTTCAAAGAAAAGAGAACTTTGTAGGTAAATCTGTTTTCGTTATGTGTCCATTTTGTTCTCAGCTTTAACTTGGAACAGAGAAGTAAGTGGGGCTTTCAGTGGCAACAAGGCCAGTGAATGGAAGGGCATTGGAACTATCCCAGGAGACGAGGTCTTGCTCAGGTCCCCAGCTCTGGAGCCAGTAGTAAGATGATCAATCTCTTTTTTTTTTTTTTTTTTCCACCTGGAGTCTCTCTCTGTCTCCCAGGCTGGAGTGCAGTGGCATGATCTCGGCTGACTGCAACCTCTGCCTCCCAGGTTCAAGCAATTCTCCTACCTCAGCCTCCTGAGAAGCTGGGATTACAGGGGTGCACCACCACACCCAGCTAACTTTTGTATTTTTAGTAGAGATGGGGTTTCTACATGTCAGCCAGGCTGGTCTCGAACTCCTGACCTCAAGTGATCTGCCCGCCTTGGCCTCCCACAGTGCTGGGATTACAGATGTGAGCCACTGTGCCTGGCCTGATCAATCCCTTAGAGCTTCAGTTACATCTGGAAAGTGGAAAACAATAATAACACATGTATCTATTTTTATATATGGATCACATAAGGAATTATGTAAAAGTATGGCAGAATCTGTCATCTCTCATATACTTGTATGTAGACCTTTTACCGTGGCTTATGTATCTTTCTGTTTTGGCAGGTGCCTGGCAGTGGGCTGTACAAATGAAAATGATTACTGTCATTAAGGAGGGCTAAGCGTATGTGTATCATGATTCTTGAAATTAGCTAGACATCATGGTCTGCCGAGTGAGGAAGATGGAGCATACTAATTTTAAGCAGATAATAAACATTTGGAAATGGCAGCTTTAAAGATGTATTTTTTAATATATTACACTTATGATATGTTTGCCAAGTAAAACACACCAGTGCTTTTCAGGGAATGTGAAGAACACCAGCAGGTCCCTTTATGCCTAAAGAATGGTACAGAAGCAAGCTGACATGCTGTTGGATGAGGACAAGCAGATTTCTGTCTTTCCTTCAAACTTCTTTCTCTTTCTACATACAAAGAGCACCCCACAAGGCAAACTGTGGGCAAGATTGAGAGCTGTCGGGCTCCTAACGTGTCCTCTGTGTAAAGCACTGCCATTTGACAAGGCCTCCTCCAGGCTGTAGTCTGGAAATAGCAAGACTTCCCAGGGGCCTACCTCAGGGAGGTCACACTTACTCATGTAAGGATAAGGTCCATTCACTGCAGCATGTTAGCAAGAATTACCAGGGTGTGTGCCCACACGGAGGGTCAGCTTCGTACTCCTCCAGGTGCCTGGCATCGTGCAGTGTTCTCAGATGGCTCCCGGGATGGTTTGTCATTTCTTAAATGAGTAAGAAACCAACTGTGGAATCTTTTCTGTTCGTTCCTCATCTACTTGGAGTTAGGTATTCCAGTGAAGCATTCAGTGAAATAAATCAGACACCAACAAACATGGGGTACTGTCCCCAGGCCACAGACATCTTGGATTTATGCCATGTAGAATCTTCCCTTTGCAAAACTTGAATTTTAGGGACTTAATTATCTATGTGTGACTGGTATTTTGATTAAGAACGCAGCCCTGCCGGAGGGTCAGGGGTGCTTATTCAATATTCACACTTAACAGAGAGGATGGGTGTGCAGGCAGAGCGCCGTGACTTCCTCTAAGCCTTGTTGCTAGTGTTTAAGAGGAGGAGCCAGCCTACGAACTCAGATCCCTGAATTACTTTCCTGGGCGCTCTTTCTTCTAGTATATCCTGTGTTTTTCTCTTCATTTCCTTCCTTTTCTTTTTCTTCCCTTACAAACACACGTGCAGCTCCTCCAGTGTCTGTAAGACAATATCTGACCACTCTGTGTATAACTCATTTAATTATCTGGATAATGCTATTATCCCCATTTGACAGATGAGGATATTGAAGCATAGAGACAGTGCCTGTTAGGTAGGGGAAAGGAGGGGTCCTGTTCCAGTGTGGCACGTGGAGGAACTGAAGCTCAGTGATGATGCTGTTTATCCAAGGCCTCACTGGGCTACAGTCTAGCACCCTCATGTTTTAAGTATTTTCAAGGAAATGGTGGCTGTGATTGGGGTTGAGAGTGCACTTGGGAATGTTCTATTTGCAGGGACTAAAGGCATGGATGCAGTTTGTTTGGCTGTAATGATGAGATACCTGTCTTACAGGTAGCACATGCCTGATGCAGAAATGCCCCCATCTGGGGTTGTGGTTCTGTAGCACATTACTGTCACAGTAAAAAAACTCAAAAGCAAACTTAAACCCTTCGGCATATCAGGTGTGGTGTTCTCTTTACATTGCTATTCCCAAAGCTCAGTATAAACTTTAAGATACCTTTATGAGCACAGTAAAGTCACTTTTAATTTTGTGATTATATTTGAATTTTCCTTTTATTTAATAAGAGAGAGTCAAGTGGAAGGGTTAATATTTGATAAGGGCAGAAATCACAAAATTTAACTAGTGATTAGCTTTGAAATCATAAGTGCAAATAGAAACACAATCAGCTACTTTCAAAAATATTTATTCTCTTTTTTCCCTGTGGGCATCAGCTGTTAAGTGATTACATATTCTACTTGTTATTTTATTGTTAAACTCCTGTGACTAAGAGGCCTGGCAGTTTTCCTCAGATAATTTTTGAGGAAGATGTTATTTAATCTTCACCTAGTCTGTCAGCAGCTTATCATGAGATTGCTTTTACGACTTTAATTTATTCTGTAAAAGCTATAGATTGAATACACAGAGCAACTACACAGAGGTTTTCATTTTGGCTAAAGATTGCAGCCTAGAGAAGACACAGGTAGAGAGAGAGAGAGAGAGAGAGAGAGAGAGAAGCTCTGGAAACCACAGTTTAGGAATGCCTAAATGCTCTGACATAGCCAGGTTGAACATACTTACTAGAAAACATTGCCTGTCTGTTTTCAATGCTGATGTTATCTTCATGGGATTCAGGTGTGGCAGTGAGTTCCATCCCTGCCTGCTCAGTAGAGGGACCCAGCTCTCTTGTGGGTACATCACAAATCATCAAGTTGGCCAGTTTCTGTTACTCATTTAGAGACCATTTGTATTTGAACATCCCAGAGAACTGACGTCTGTCTGTTGGGCCCTCCTTGGATGTGACACTAGCCAGTTGGGTTAGAGCTTCCAGCATCCTCACTCATGAGATTTCCTCATTTGAATCTGACCTGAATCCACAGGGCCCTAGCGATTTTTTTCAGGGATGGCGTGGAGTACTTCTGGAGTTTATTTTCCCTGCTTGCCTCTTCAGAGGCACGGCCCAGGCCAAGTACAACTTGAATAACCTTCAGGAAAGGTGTGCTGTCCTTCTTTCGGCCGGCCGCTGTCTTTGAAAATTGCCTCCAGAGTTAGTGAGCAGGAACAGTTAAGATTTACAAACAATGATGAAGCTTGTCATGCATCTTTCACCATTCATCATCCAGGTGCCGTGCCTGGGCGGTGAAGTGTTCTTCATAAAAACCAGCTCAGTGTGAAATACACCTCGCTGCAATGTTTACTGCTTTGAAGCTCGTCAGCGGCCCTTTATAGTAAATCCAGATTGCGATGTGACATTACAGTATATCATTGCCCGGCGCGGTGGCGTTTACACTAGGAATGAGTGCAGTGCACACCAGATGAGGTGTCCAAATTGAGTTATGTCAGAATTTGGCTGTTATATGGGGATAGCTTTTGTTTTCTGAACACTGAAAGTTAGCTTTATATGTATTTATATTTATATATAGGCATATACTTCCCATCTTGCCCGTATACACGGGGTATACAATAGATGCTGAGGTCAGGTTCCAAATGCGCTTCCTGGTGTAAAGAATGGTGACCAGATTTTATGTGCCTTCCAAATTGTTGTCCGTTGAAATTGGCATAAATGGAATCTTTGGGGGGAACTAGAGTAGATGGTTATTTCAGTTTAGAAGCAGCTTTGATTTTGCTATGTGTGAAGTGACCATATTTGCCATCCTTTCCTATGAAAACTTGGAACACTTTCTCCCGGGAGTATTGTGGTACATTGGAATGTCCGTTTGATAGGAGGGCAAAGAGGAGAAACCCATACAACTGTTGCCACCCATTGTGGAGCATCTTGCCTGTCCTGTTGAGCACATATGCTTGGGGAGGTCTCTGAAGTCAGTGGCTTATTTATTATTTCTTTTAGTGGGTATCAAAATCCTAGTGCTGCCTAGTGTTATCTTGAAAGATGCTGCTTCCAAGAGATTGATGGTGTTTTAGCTTAAATCTGCAAAATAAAAGAGCACACTGAATTTATTGCATGATCAGGTTTATTTACATTCACGCTAAAAGTGCCGATATTAAAAATGAGCTCCATAAAAAAATAATATTCAGAGACAGCAGCCGGCTCTGCAGTCCCATGATCATCTGCTTAACACACATATTTTAAAATTCTCTGTTAAGTATAGCAGGATTGTTAGGAGAGTCATTTTGTGGTCTTTAAACACCTGGCTTTACATTGAATCCAGGGTCTCTCCCCCATGTATACTTGCATAAAATCTGGGTTAGGGATTTCCTCTACTTTAAATGCAGAGGTCAACATAGCCTTCCCAGCCATACTCTCTGCCTCTTAGTTGCAGTGTCTTCTTACTAGAGATGATTAACTCGGCCAGGTCTGAGCTTCCTGAGGCAGCGAAAGAAACAATCACAGGTGTATGGAACTTGACCTCTAGGGGCAGTAGAGGAGCCAGAAGCTTTCCATTGGCTTTGACTCTTGGAGAACCAGAGACTATACCCAAATCAGCCCAGTAGTTTTTTACCAGGGTGGGTCGGCCCAACATGTACAATCACTTTATTAAGATTTCGAGATAAAATGTAGGACACTCAGTTAAATTTAAGTTTAAGATGTACAACAACAAATGTTTAGTATAAGCATGTTATGAATATTTTATTATACTAAAATTATTTGTTTCTGAAATTTAAATTTTATTTATTTATTTATTTTTATTTATTTATTTATTTATTTATTTTGTGCCCAGGCTGGAGTGCAGTGGTGTGATCTTGGCTCACTGCAACCTCCGCCTCCCAGATTCAAGAGATTCTTGTGTCTCACCCTCCTGAGTAGCTGGGACTACAGGTGCATGCTACCAAGCCTGGCTAATTTTTTGTATTTTTAGTATAGATGGGGTTTCGCTATGTTGGCCAGGCTGGTCTCAAACTCCTGATCTCAAGTGATCTGCCTGCCTCACCCTCCTAAAGTGTTAGGATTACAGGCATGAGCCACCACTCCCGGCTTAAATTTTAGCACCCTGTATTTGTATTTGCTAAATCTGACAACCTTGTACTTCATCTGTGTCTTCTCTGAAACACCCTGGGATAGAAGGCAAAATGGAAAGTGAACAAAGGATTGCAGTACCTTCTCTAAGCATGTTCAGTAATTTTAAGGGTGGTTTCAGTTTTTTTCTTTTTTTGAGATGAGGATCTCACTATGTTGCCCAGGCTGGACTCGAGCTCCTAGGCTCAAGTGTTCCTCCTGCCTTAGCCTCCAGAGTATCATTTTTATTTCTACAAAAACAGTACAAGAGGGCAATGCTAATCATGCTTGGAAAGCTCTTATTTTGATTGATGTTGTTTAGTAATTTCTTGGTGAAAAGTTTCTGGATTGTAGTTTATCCTTGAACATATTAACATATTATTTCTCCTTCTGCTTGGGTGATACATAGGTCCAGAAAGGTCAAAAGAATATTCTTTCTTTCTTTCTATTATACAGGCTAGACACATTCATATATGTAAATGAAAGTTAATCCACTGCTGCTCAGAATGAAAATGGAAATTTATACTTTTCATGCATTTTGTTCCGTTGTCCCCCTGTTTGTGCCAGGCCTAACAGTGACTCTTAAAGCTGTTCTGCAGGGTCAGTTCCTCAATATCTCTTTCCTTAAGTCCCCCCAGGATGTAAACTGATGGCTCAGTCAGTAAACAAGTGAGAAATTCATTGAGTGCCAGTTAGTGTCTGGGCCTAGCATAATGCTCTGGGAGATGAACCATGAGAGAAGGCGTGGCTGCAGGGATAGTGAAAGGTCAGCGGTTTTAGGGACACCTCCCTTCCCTTCCTGTCTGCAGAACAGCCTTGCGTCTGAGCTTCTGTATGCTGTGGAATGGAGTAGCTGTGTGCCCAGCCGTCTTGACTTTATTCAAGACCTGGTTGAAGTCTTCCTCATAAACCTAAGAGGGTGTTTTCTTCTCAAATTAGAGAAACCAGGATTACAGTCAAATTCTTGATAAATGCTCCAAATACGGAGCCTTTTCCAGGCACACTTCACCTTTGTTACTTACATAGCTATAGAGGTAGGATGGAGCTAGATTGTTCTATTTGTTTGTTTTTTTAGAGACAGGGTCTCTGCTACCCAGGCTAGAGTGCAGTGGCATGATAATAGCTCATTGTAGCCTTGAACTCCTTGGCTCAAGTCATCTGAATTCCTTGGCTCAAGTGATCCTCCTGCCTCAGCCTCTCAAGTAGATAGGACTACAGGTGTGCACCACCACACTTGGCTATTTTTTTTATTAAAAAAATTTTTTTTTTTTTGAGACGGAGTTTCGCTCTGTCGCCCAGGCTGGAGTGCAGTGGTGCGATCTCGGCTCACTGCAAGCTCCGCCTCTCGGGTTCATGCCATTCTGCCTCAGCCTCCTGAGTAGCTGGGGCTACAGGCGCCCGCCACCATGCCCAGCAAATCCTTTGTATTTTTAGTAGAGACAGGGTTTCACCATGTTAGCCAGGATGGTCTCGATCTCCTGACCTCGTGATCTGCCTGCCTCAGCTTCCCAAAGTGCTGGGATTACAGACATGAGCCACCGCACCCGGCCAATTTTAAAAAATTTTTTGTAGGACAGGTTCTTGCTATGTTGTCTAGGCTGGTCTCAAACTCTGGGCCTCAAGCGGCCTGTTTCAGCCTCCAAAAGCACTTGGATTACAGACATGAGCCATTGTGCCCAGCCCTGTTTGTCTTTTTATAACTGCTTCATTAAAATATAACTCATATACCATAAAATTCATCCTTTTAAAATGTATGATTCATTGGATTTTAGTATATTAACAAAGCTATGGAACCATCACTGCTATCTAATTCCAAAACATTTCCATCATCCCCAAAACAATCCCCATATTACTCCCATTTCTGCCTCCCTCCCAGCCCCTGCCAAAATACTAGTTTACTTTCTGTCTCTATGAATTTGCCTGTTCTGGACTTTTTGTATAAATGGGATCATAGAATATGTGGTCTTTTGTGTCCGACTTCTTTCATTTAGCATAATATTTTCTGGGTTTATCCATGTTGTAGCATGTTTCAGAGCTTCATTTCTTTTTGTAGTTAAATAACGTTCCATTATATGGAGGGGCTTGGTTTATTTTTAGTTCAAAAACTATTAGAGGACCAAGAAAAACTATTAAACCACAAGATTACCAAAGTGAAATATCTATTCTGTCTCATTTTATTAAGTCTCCAGTTCTTTGAATTCAACATACAAATGTAATGAGTAGAACCTCTTCTATGCAGTGAGAGGAATGTGGTGCATATGGACATTGAGCAGTCCAGGCTGTGTTATTTTCCCGTTTTGTGCTAATACTATTTCTATTAGTCTGGTTGGGCTGCTGTAACAAAAAGGCACAGACTAGGTGGCCCAACAACAGAAATTTATTTTCTTATAGTCTGGAGGCTGGAAGTCCAAGATCAAGGTGCTGTCAGAGTTGCTTTCCGGTAAGGCTTCTCTCCTGGGTTGTAGACTGCCATCTTATGTCCTCACATGGCTTTTCCTCTTTGTGTGTGTGGAGATAGACACAGAGAGAGAATGGAATGTGAGTTCTGGTCTCTCTTCTTCTTAAAAGGACACTAGTCTTAGAGAGTATGACCTCATTTAACCCCAGTTATCTCCCTAAAGGCCCTGTCTCCAAATACAGTCACATTGGGAGCTAGGACTTCAGTAGTTTTAGCACAGAGACTACATTCAGTCACTAACACTACTGAAGGGTTTTATGTCTCTAAATGTCTCTTCTTGATGAGATTTGGTGGGTCGGTGTGTGTAAAATGAACGGAGTATGTTGTGTGTTTTCAGGTCTTACTGCCTCAATTCTGGTCTTTGCTGATCACTTACCTTCCTAACTCTCCAACACAGAGACCCCAGCCCACGTCAGGCCCTCATCTGCAGATCGCATCCCTAGAGCCAGCGGTGGCTCTCAGAGATAGAGAACGCAGTGGTCACTCACACCCCACTCACGGGAACACTTTTCCAGATTGTTGCTCTTCTTTTCCTCATTTAACTCCCTAGAATTTCATTTCATTTCATTTCTACCTCTGAATTTCAGAAAATTTCTAATCCATGCCATCTTTGCCTTTTAACAAATGCTCTGCATAACCTTAAACAGTTTAACTCTGATGTACTGCTAAAGTGAGAGACTTTGCCAGTTTTCCTGGCAGATACAGCAGAATTTGGGCCTCCACACGCAGGGACATGAATGAGAGAGCAGTGCGTTATTTCTTGATGTTATAATGAGCCAATGCAATGGTAACTTCAGAGTGAACTGGCTAACATTCATGAACTATCTAATGTCTATATAGACCATCCATATATGAAAAATAAACTTTTACTTTTGGAAGCACTTTGACATAGATCATTTTGTTCAGTCCTAACAACAATCTTACTAAGTAATGAGAGGTTTTTTTCCTTCTGACACAAACTGGGTGTCCTACAATTCAATTCAATTCTGACACTAACTTTCTGAAGTTGGCCCAGATGCCACAGGTTAAGGGCTCAGTCCCACAAAACTGCCCCCATTTTAGGCTCCAGCTGAAAATGGGGTGCCCAGGTTATCCACATTTCTACCCAGCTGGCTACAAATTAGGGGTTCCTACAATCCCCCTTTTGGTCCAGTAAATCTCTATAATGACTCACAGAACTCAGAAAGTGCTTTACTTACTCTAAGCAGTTTTTTTTAAATAAAGGATACAACTCAGGAGCAGCCAAATGGAAGATGTGCATGGGGCGCGGTATCTCCGTGCTCTTTGAGATTTCCAAGCTTTCTTTTTTTTTTTTGAGACAGGGTTTTGCTCTGTCACCCAGGCTGGAGTGCAATGGCGTGATCTTGGCCCACTGCAACCTCCGTCTCCCGGGTTCAAACGATTCTCCTGCCTCAGCCTCCCGAGTGGCTGGGATTACAGGTGCACACCACCATGCCCAGCAAATTTTTGTATTTTTAGTAGAGATGGGGTTTCACCATGTTGGCCAAGCTGGTCTTGAAGTCCTGACCTCAGGTGATCAATCCACCCTCCTGGGCCTCCCAAAGTGCTGGGATTACAGGTGTGAGCCACCACGCCCCGGTGAGAGCTCCAAGCTTTTAATCAAGGCTTAGGGTCTTTCGGGCGACCAGCCCCCATCCTGATGTTATCTAACTGCCTGCCACCAAGTCACTTTATTAGAATAAAAGAGGCTTCTACATCCTTAGCACTCAGGAAATTCCAAGGGTTTTAGGAACTCTGTGCCAGGAACCCAGGACAAAGACCAAGTATGTTTCTGCGATACCACAGGTAGGTAGAGCAAAAACCACTGACCCTATTTTATCCATAAGCCGATGCTGAATAGAGAGAATGGGTAACAAAGCTAGGAATGGAGCAGGGTGACCTTATCTCTCCTGACCGGGTTTCTTCCTGGGACACTTTTCAGCCTCAGGCTGTCAAACCAGCATTGAACCCTTGTCTTTAGCCTGATGTTGTAGACCTGCACCATCCAGTACAGCAGCTACCAGCACATAGGGTTATTTAAATTTTAATTACAATGGAAAATGCAATTCCTCTGTCACACCAGGCCCATTTCAGGTGCTTTGTGGCTACAAGAGGCTAGTTATATCGTATTGGATAGTGCAGAAACAATATTTCCATCATCATAGGAAGTTGTATTCGGCAACTTTTTGGGTCTTTTACAGTGACAGGAAAGGACATTGCAGGGTTTAAACCTGAGAAAACAAGTCCCATATGCTCACAAACACCATTTAAAGGTCTTGACTTTTGTGGGAACATCAGCCCTTATTCTCCTATCCTGTCGGGTTGAGGAGCTGTTACTGACAGACTTATTGAGTGACTGCTAACAGAATTAGTTGATCCTTGGACCTAACCTGTGATGCACACTTAAGAAAAAAAAAAAAAGATGATGAAAGTGAGTAACTCAGCTAGAACTTGGTTGATCTCAGTCCAAGAATAGTACTTGCCCAGAGTGGAAAACTTGTCTTATGGCCTTGGAGCAGCATGTGAGCCTTGGAGACTTGGCAAGGATGCTTTCATTAAAACCAAAACTGGGGATGTAGCATTCATCCCTTATCAGATAGAAGATGTGCACATATTTTCTCCCATTTCGTGAGTGGCCTCTTCACTCTGTTGATAGTGACCAGTGAGTGACCTTTGATGCACACATATTTTTAATTTTTGATGAAGCCCAGTTTGTTTTGTTTCTTCTTCTGTTGCCTGTGCTTTTGGTGTCATATTTAAGAAATCAGAGCTGGATGTGATGGCATGCATCTGTAGTCCTAGCTATTCAGGAGGCTGAGGGAGGAGGATCACTTGAGCCCAGGAGTTTGAGGCTGCAGTGAGCTGTAATCACACCAGCGCTCTCCAGCTTGGGCAAAAAAATGAGACCCTGTCTCAAAAATTAAAAAATTTAAAAATTTTAAAAAGAGAAGTCATTGCCAAATCTGTGTCATATTGTCTTCTAAGCATTTTATAGTTTTTTAGCTCTTAGGTTTAATCCAGGTCTTTGATCCATTTTGAGTTAATTTTTGTATATGGTGTAAGGGAAGAGTCCAGCTTCATTCTTTTGCATGTGAATATCCAGTTTTCCCGGCACTATTTGTTAAACACTCTCCTTTCCTCCATTAAATGGTCTTGGTGCCAAGAGGACAAAGTGGCAAAAGAGGAAAGTTTTGACACTTTCGATGACTGTGGCCCTTTTCTGTGAGCATCAGAGAACACCAGACATTGAATGTTGAATCCTAAGCACAAGCCTATAAAATCGGCAGTTGTTGATACACCTTGATCTCTCTGGTGAATATTTTCTCGGTTATCTTACTTTTGTTTGTCTCTCCCAGCTGTCTCAACTATATCTTTCCTACAGTTCTGAAATAAAGGCATATAGGGTAACCAGGGAAGGGAATCCTCCAAAATCATTTATAATAGAAGCAGTGAGAATAGTAGTGCATTTAAAGACTGTGGGTGATTTTCAATTTTTCTAGTTCTAAGTGACTAGTGTTTTTCTAATTGAAAGTGACTAATGGTAATTTTTAAAATACCCAGTTTTTAAGGATCATCTGTAGCTGCTTATATGTAAGAGATGGTAAGTTCCAGTGGAAAAGCCCCTATATCCTCTAGTGTCCTATAGGAATATTCCTAAAGAAACGGACTATCAGAGCTAACAGCAGATTGGCAAACGAGGGGGGCAGATGGATAATGCCTGGCTGGTTGCAGCCTGAAATTGTCAATCACCTCTTAATGTTTACAAAAGTGAAAAGTCAATGTGTAGTTGTTTTAATTTGACACACTCTTAGGTTGAGAGAGTGTAATTGCCGGAGGGGACAGTTAAGTGGCTCTGCTCCTTGTCAGCCTGTCTGAGTCTGACTCCAGTGCTAAGCACTTTTCTGATGAGCGATAGATTGGGTTAAATACTGGCGTAATTGCTCGCTTCCGCATACCAGTCTCGCAGTGCCTTGTACTACATTTCTATCAGCACTTGCCTGAGGCTGTGAGAGTTTATGCTGCAAAGAGAGCCCGTATGTTCATTTTCATGAATCAGTGTCGGGTTTTGAAAAGCAGTTGTTACAGCGCTAAATGGACTGTAATAAATTACACCCCCTCCAGACCCGTTGAGTAAATCAGAACTGTTTATATCCATCCAAGTGGTCTTTTGAGTATAAATGACTTTTGTTTACTTATCAAACCAAATGTTTGTCTCCAGGAAATGGAGGCAGATGATTTGTTCATTTTTTAATCCTGTGAATAGCACTTCACTGCTGTGAAACCAGAGAGGAAATTCTGTGTATTGTTAGGTAGAAAAGTGCCACCTATCCCCACCCTCCCATAAGTGAAATATCCCAAAGTCGTTTTCAAGGCTGGAGACACTTTATTGTAATTCTGCAACTCTGAGTAGCAGCCTGTCTCTACCCACTACCTCATATGTGGCAACAATGCAGAGCTCGGAAAAGCATGGCTTCTTGTCCCAGTCATTTCTATGAGAAGAAAGTGAATTTTGTAAAATACATTTCTCTCTCTTTGGATTGCTTGTCTCCACTTCTTTATGAAGGATGTGTGTTGCTTGATACTTATTTACTTGGGAGTCAAGAGAGAACTGTTGAAATGTATGCATTCCTTTTGCAAATTAGACTTATCAGAGGTCTGCCCCTTCTTGGTAGGACATAGATATTGCAGTTTTATTGTAGTAGCTCTATGGTTATGAAATACCTGCTTCATATTTAATACTAGATGAAAGAACTATCTCCTGGCTTTCTTCTTGGCTTTTTTGATGGGCCATTGTCTTCTTCCACTTAACATCTCCTGTGAGGTTATTAGGCTATATTAATAATGTCTTCTTCAGGCCGGGTGTGGTGGCTCATGCCTGTAATCCTAGAACTTTGGGAGGCTGAGGCAGGTGGATCACCTGAGGTCAGGAGTTCGAGACCAGCCTGGCCAACATGGCGAAACCCTGTCTCTACTAAAAATACAAAGAATTAGCCAAGTGTGGTGGCAGGCGCCAGCAATCCCAGCTACTCGGGAGGCTGAGGCAATGAGAATCGCTTGAACCTGGGAGGCGGAAATTGCAGTGAGCCGAGATCACACCATTGCACTCCAGCCTGGGCAACAGAGCAAAACTTCATCTCAAAAAAAAAAAAAAAAAGTCTTCTTCAAGGAAGCCCTGATAATCCTTTCTTATTACATTTTTTCTTACTGTGTTAAATATACATAACATAAAATGTCAAAATTTGCCATTTTAACATTTTTAAGCATACAATTCAGTAGCGTTAAATGCATTCACAATCTTGTATAACCATCACCACTATCTATTTGCAGAATGTTTTTTTATCATTCCAAACAGAAACTCTTTACCTCTTAAGCAATAACTTCCCATTTTCCATTTCCTCCTGCCCCTGGTAATCTCTCTTCTACTTTCCATCTTTATGAATTTGCCTATTTCAAATACCTCATATAAATGGAATGATGCCATATTTGTCCTTTTGCATCTGGCTTATTTCACTAAGCACGGTGTTTTCAAGGTTCATCCATGTTGTGGCATGTGTCAGACCCTCATTCCTTTTTATGGCTGAATAATATTGCATTGCCTGTGTGCGCCTTCTTTTGTTTATCTGTTCTTCTGTTGATGGGCACTTGGGTTTCCACCCTTTGGCTACTGTGAAATAATGCTGCTGTGAAGTTTGGTGTACAAGTATCTGTGTGAGTACCTGCTTTCAGTTCTTCTGGATATATATCTAGAAGTAGAATTGCTGCGTTAAATGGTAATTTTATGGTTAAGTTTTTGCAGAACTGCCAAACTGGTTTCCACAGTGTCAGCATGATTTTACATTCCAGTCAGCAGTGCATGATGGTTCAACTTTTTCCATATCCTTCCCAACTCTTGTTGTTTTCCGTTTTTTTGATAATAGCCTTCCTAATGGGTGTAAAGTGGAATCTGATCATGAGTTTGATTTGCGTTTCACTGATGGCTAATGATGTTGAGCATTTTTTTCATGTGCTTCTTGGCCATTTATGTATCGTCTTTGGAGAAATGCCTGTTCAAGTCATTTGCACATTTTTAAATTGGGTTGTTTGGTTTTTTGTCGTTGTTGTAGGAGTTCTTTATTATGTTCTGGATACAAATCCTTTTAAGCTATGATTTCCAAGTATTTTTTTTCCCATTCTGTGGGTTGTCTTTTTACTCTCTTTTTAGTATCTTTTGCACAAAAGTTTTTTTTTTATTTTGATAAAGTCCAAGTTATCTAGTTTTTCTTTTGTTGCCTGTGCTTTTGGTGTCATATTTAAGAAACCATTGTCAAATCCAAGGTTATAAAGATTTATTTTTGTTTTTTTAAGAGTTTTATAGTTATAGTTTTAGCTCTTAAGATCTTTCATTAATTTTAAGTTGATTTTTGTATACAATGTAAGGTAAGGATCTAACTCTATTCTTTGGTATGTGGATATCCCGTTTTCCCAACATTGTTTATTGAAAAGACTCCTTTTCCCAGTGAGTGGTCTTAGCACACTTGTCAAAAATCAGTTGACCGTATATTTGAGGGTTTATATTGCAGCTTTTGTAGTGAGTTTTGAAATCAGGAAATGTGATCCCTCTAATTTTGTTCTTTCTTTTCAGGTTATGTTGGCTATTTGATGTGCCTTGGAATTCCATATGAATTTTACAATGGGTTTTTCTATTTATGCAAAAAACAGATTTTGAGATTTTGATGGAAATTGAATTGAATCTGTAGATTGTTTTGGGTACTATTGTCATCTTAACAATATTAAGTCTTCCAGTCCATGAACACGGGATGATGTCTTTCTATTTATTTAGGTATTTAATACTTTCTTTAAGCATTTTTAATAGTTTTATCTGTGCCTGTCACCTCCCTGGTTAAATTTATTTCTGAATATTATTTTTGATGGTATTGTAAATAGAATTTCTTAATATTTTGTTGCTAGGGTATAGAAATACAACTGATTTTTGTGTGTTGATTTTATATCCTGCAACTTTGCTGAATTTATTAGCTCTATCAGTTTTTTTGTGGATTCTCTAGTATTTTCTATAATAAGTTTACATCCTCTGTGAACAAAGATAATTGTACTTCTTTCTTTCCAATTTGGGTGCTTTATTTCTAGTCTATTTGCTCTGACTAGAATTTACAGTATTGTATTGAACAGAGGTGGCACAAGTGGGCATCGTTGTTTGGTTTCTGATTTTGGAGGAAAGCATTATTATTTCACCATTGAATGTGATGTTTAGCTCTGGGTTTTTCATATACGACCGTGATCATGTTGAACACTAATAGCCTGATTTGCTTGTTTTCTGGACTCTTTAATCTAAGGTAATCATTAATCTATGAAGAAGTGGGTGGTGGAGTTGTCAACTGCTCAGTGATCTTGTAACCCACCCCTGCCTTCACTGGTTAGGTTGGGTTGCCCCACTCCATAGCCTTCTAGGGCTACCTTAAAGGTACCAGTAACACCCCATTTATGCCTGTGCATCCTTTTCCCCTAAGAATCCTCTTCGTTTACACGATTTAGTGGATCCTGACCTAGCCCTGCTCATCTTCTGTCTGTCCTAGATAGTTCAGCTTCTTCCTTTCAAGATGCTTCCATCCCAGTGCTTACCCTCCACTCTAGAGACCACTTACCAGGCCACTAAGGACCTCCTTTTAACTGTCTGCTTATTCCTGTTGCACTTAACTCCCAAATTGCACCATATGCTGGGAACAATCTTAACTCCCTACCCAGTCCTCCTAACTTCCCTCATTCACCAAGTCTTCTTCTTTAATTAGCCGTCTCTAAAACTCTTATGTCAGGATATTTCCAAAATGAATGACAAAAACAGAGTTAATTTACCGTGGCCAGTCTTGTTTTGAAATATGAAACTTCCCCACACATGCTGAAAATATTTTGTCCTGTTCTCTGTTGTATATTCTTTCTCTCGTTTGTTCTCTGGACTTTATTATTCCTTTATTGGCATTTAATGCACACCTAAGCTACAAAGAGGGCTTTGCATTATTCTCTGCTTAACTCCTATTTTAGAGCATCATACAAAGTTATTTTTATCATTTTTACCAAAAGCAATACAAGCTCACGGGGGGAAAAGTCAAATAATGTAGGAGTGTACAAAGTAAAACCAGAAATTTTGTAGTGAAGTTTTATAGTTTCTTTCATATAGATACTACATATTTTTCCTCTCCCTCCTCTGTATGTTGTAGAAATAGTCATTAATACCTATAAGGGTGGACATTATACTGGCAGAAAGATTTGCCCAATTTAAAAATGGGCAAATGACTTGAACAGGCATTTCTCCAAAGACGATACATAAATGGCCAAGAAGCACATGAAAAAAATGCTCAACATCATTAGCCATCAGTGAAACGCAAATCAAACTCATGATCAGATTCCACTTTACACCCATTAGAAAGGCTATTATCAAAAAAACGGAAAACAACAAGAGTTGGGAAGGATATGGAAAAAGTTGAACCATCATGCACTGCTGACTGGAATGTAAAATCATGCTGACACTGTGGAAACCAGTTTGGCAGTTCTGCAAAAACTTAACCATAAAATTACCATTTAATGCAGCAATTCTACTTCTAGATATATATCCAGAAGAACTGAAAGCAGGTACTCACACAGATACTTGTACACCAAACCTCACAGCAGCATTATTTCACAGTAGCCAAAGGGTGGAAACCCAAGTGCCCATCAACAGAAGAACAGATAAACAAAAGAAGGCACACACAGACATAGAGACCAATAGACTAGGATAGAAAGCCCAGAAATAACTCCCACATGTATGGTCAAATGATTTTTGACCAGAGTGCTAAGAACATTCAATAGAGAACATTCTTAACAAATGAGCTAGGAAAACTGGCTATCCACATAAAAAAAAAATGAAGTTGGAGTCTTACCTTATACCATATACAAAAATTAACTCAAAATGGATCAAAGACCTAAATGCAGGACCTAAAATTATGAAAGTCTTAGAAGAAAACAGAGGAAAAGCTTCATTACATTGGATTTGGCGATGACTTCTTGGATATGACATTAAAGGCTCAGGTAACAAAAGGAAAAAAAAATTGGACTTGATGTTGAAAATCTGTACATCAAAAGACACTATTCAACAGAGTTAAGAGGCACAACCTTCAGAATGGGAGAAAATATTTGCAAATCATATGTCTGATAAGGAATTAATATCCAAAATACACAGAGATCTGCTAAAACTCAGCAACAGCAAAACAACCCATTTCAAAAATGGCCAAAGGACTTGAACAGACATTTCTCCAAAGAAGATATAGTAATGGCTAATACGCATATGAAAGGATGCTCAATATCTAATCATTAGGGAATGCAAATAAGAATGACAATGAGATACTGCCTCACACACATTAGGATGGCTACTATAAAAACAATGACAAATGTTGACAAGGATGTGGAATAATTGGGACCCTTGGGCACTATTGGTGGGAATGTGAAGTGCTATAGCCTTTATGCAAACAGTATGGTGGGTCTTCAAAATATGAACCCAAATTACCACATGATCCAGCAATTACACTTCTTGATATTTACCCCAAAGAAGTGAAAGCAGGGTCCAGAGATATTTGTACACTCAATGTTCACAGCAGCATAAATGGGGGTCAACCTAAGTGTCCATCAACAGAGGGTGGACAAAGAAAATGTGGCGCATGCATGAGCGTGTGCGCACACACACCCCCTCCCCCCCCCCACACATATGCAATGGAATATTAAAGGAAGGAAAATCTGACTCATGTTATAACATGGATGAACCTTGAGGACATTATGCTAAGTTACATGTCGTTCACAAGAAGACAAATACTGTATGATTCCACATGTTTAAGGTACTTAGAGTAGTCAAAACATAGAGGCAAAAAGTGGAGTAGTGGTTGCTGGGTGTTGAGGGGAGGACAGAATGGAGAGTTATCGTTTTTTTGGGTATAGAGTTACAGTTTGAGAACATAAAAAGTTCTGGAGATGGAGGGTGGTGATGGTTACACAGCAGCCTGAATGAACTTAATTGCTATTGAACTGTACACTTAAAAAATGGTTAGGATGGTAAATTTTATGTTTACATGTATTTCACCACCAAAAAAATAGGAAGAAAAGAAAAAAGTATGGACATTTTATTTATATCAAGTATCTTTTTTGCATGTATCAAAATGATAACATTATTTTCTCTTTATTTATGTAGTAAGTCACATTGATGAATGTCCTAATGTGGAATGATTCTTATATTCCTGGAATAAATCTTATCTGGTTATGAGGTATTGTCCTTTTAGTACATTGCTGGATTCAGGTTGTTTGTATTTATTTAGGACATCTGCACTTATATCCAGAAGTGAGCTTGGCTTTCTATCCCAGTTTGTGGTATCCTTGTAATGTTGTTATATCATGGTTATGTATAACATGAAACAGAAGCCATCATCTTCCTTTATTCTCTGGGACATTTTAAGTGACATAGGTATGACAACATCTTGGTATTTGAATAAAATTGCCCATGACCATCTAGGCCTTGGTCTTTTTGGAGATGGGGGGTAAATCTTTTGATTAACTTTTCTGTTTCTTTTATGGTAATCTTTTAAAAACAAGCTTTCTTCCTCAGTTTTGGCAATGTGTCTTTCTTTAAAGAGAAATATCAATTTTCCTTTTCCTTTTTATTTGAGTCAGGGTCTCAATGTGTCACCCAGGCTGGAGTGAAGTGGTGTGATCATGGCTCACTGCAACCCCAACCTCGCAGGTTTAGTTCATCCTCCTGCCTCAGCCTCCTGAGTAGCTGGGACTACAGGCGCGTGCCACCACACCCAGCTAATTTTTAATATTTTGTAGCGATGGGGTTTAGCCATGTTGCCGAAGCTGGTCTTGAACTCCTGAGCTCAAGTGATCTGCTTGCCTTGGCCTCCCAAGGTTTTGGGATTACAGGTGTGAGCCACTGTGCCTGGCCTATTTTTCATTTTAAACTTGATATAAAATTGCAATGATGATCTCTCAAATTTTTAAAAACACTATACCTGTGGTTCTGGAGGTACATCTCAAGTTTATTGCTTTTCTTTTTGTTTATTTTCTTGTGTTCATAGTCAGATTTTCCAGAGGTTCGTTGGTTTTATTGGTGATTTCGTAGCAACATCATGAGTTTATTTGTGCATGTGTAAATTTTGGTTGATATAATTTATAGTTGTTTCTAAAGAGACTTTTGAACTTCTTTATTTATTTCTATTTTTTTTTCAATCCTCACAAAAAACACTGGGGTGTTATTTAAGCCATCTGTCGCAAAGAATTACTCCCTTAAGGAATGTGGCAAATAAATCGCAGAGCAGGAATTCAAAACCAGATCTGACTTTAAACCTCTGCACACCCCTCCCCCCAACCCTATATGATGCTGCTTAGTGAAGTATACAGGATATCTGTGTCTTAGTTTGGGTTTCACATAAAAGCAGAACCGAAGACAATAAGGATTTGCGTTTTGATAGCATATCAGGTTGTTATTCCAAGGAGTAAGAGTGAAGGATCAGGAGGAGGAAGAAAAGCCAACATAAAATTGTGAAGGCAACAGGTGTTAGATTCAGGGCTTTCTGCAGAGTTCCTAGAGAGCCTTCCAGAATCATTCATCTGAGGATAAAACAGAGTATTTACCTTCCCATCGGCCCTTATCTCTCAATGAGGTGTTGAACCCCCTCACTTCTGAGTTGCACCTGTGTACTTGAAAAACAGTAACAGGAGCCCTGGGGCAGGAAGTGACTCATAGTCTCATCTCCATGCAGGTTGCTGTCACAGGGAGGTGAGGTGATGCTTTCACAGAGGCATTGGCTGGAGAATGAGAGTTGGCACCAGGGGCAACGAGGACACTCTCTCAACAGGCATGTCACTGGAACTCACACTTGACAGTACATTTACCCAAATATTTTCTGTGCAAGTAATACACAGTTGTCTAACACTTACATCCTGAATTTGGGGTGCTGATAATTATTTTTATTTCCTTAAATTCTGAAGGTCATGGGGATGGTGGGGATATGTATGTGGTCCATAGCGAAATGGACTTCTTCTTCTGCTAGAAGCAAGAGGTCAGGGAGGAGTGTTGGAAATAACGTGTTAAAGATCCGCCAGCAGATTACAATTTACTGATGAAGGACCCCATTCTCAAGAGGATTTATTTTTGTAAGAAAAGCCGCAAAAGCACAATGGGAAAGAAGTTATTTTTATCTTTCTTAATCAAAATACATTGATTTAAAGAAAAGATGAGTTTAAAGGTATCCTTCAGAGTATGTGGTTGGCTTTTGGGCTTAAGCACTCATTTGTGGCCAAATTCTTTTCCCTTGTGTTTCTTGGAGTGGGGCAGCATTGCATAATGGTTGAGAGTACTGTGTTTGGGGTCTCTCAGACCTGGGTCATCACTTAGTAACCATATAAACTTGGGCACCATTTGACTTGGGCAAATTTCTTCCCCTCTCTAAACCTTAGTTTTCCTGACTGTAAGTTGGAGGTGATAGGATGCATTTCATTTAGTTTTTGTGTGGAGTAAGTGAAATAGTGTTTCTAAAGGGCTTAACACTGCACCCGGCACATGAGTGGTGTTCACTAATTTGTAGTTACTACCTTTATTGGTTGTCCAGGAATTCCATGATCTCCTTAATTATTGTGTGTTCCTGATTTTGAACCTGCCACAGTTTTTTGAAAGATTTCAGTGGAAAGATTACAGTCAAGAGTAATTCCAGGAAACAGTATGCTTAGTAGGATTAGACTGTTGTAATTTCCCCTCCAGCATCCTCACACAATAAGCACATTCAATAAACACATATACAATTTTCAGCAGCTCACTCCCCTCTTGCTCCTCCCTCCTTTGAGAGAAAATGATTTGATAAATAACATGGTAAAATAAAACTGATTTTGTGTCTTAGTCCTCCTGATTGTTTGCATTTTAAAAGGAGATGGATATTTAATTCTGAAGAAACGGATCTTTAATGGTGGAATTTCAGATATTTTGGTCCTTGCTTGGCAGGCACATTTTGAGAACAGAATCCGTTGCCCTCATTTATAAGTAGCAACCTCTTTTGGGTAAATGGTACCAAGCCTGATTCTTGCTTTTTGAAGTGCTTTAAGTTGTGTTTGATTCCAAATACTATATTTGTGCACCCATTATGATATCAAATGCTTATAATAAAAGGTTATGTTGTCATAAAATATTACTATTCTATGGTGTTTCAAACATAGGCACTATCGTGTATTTTAGTTCTGTTAGTTACTTGCTTTGGAAAGCACATGACCACCTACAAAGTTAACAAGATAATTTGGTAAATCTAGTTGCCTAAAATTAATGTCCCCCAAACAACCGACTTAATCTGGGGAATTGTCCAGACCTCTGTCAGATAAAGCAGCTGTATAAAAACACATTGACAATAATTATGAAATCTACTACAAGTTTTATCCACAAATTAGATCCTTTGCAAAATAGCATTTTCAAAAAGTGAAAATAAAGTGCTTCATCTTAACAGTATAGCTAGCTAGACTCTAATGTTTTTGTCTTTCTTTCTTTCTTTCTTTTTTTTGACATGGAGTCTTGCTCTGTTGCCCAGGCTGGAGTCCAATGGCTCAATCTCAGCTCACTGCAACCTCTGCCTCCCAGGTTCAAACGATTCTCCTGCTTCAGCCTTTTGAGTAGCTGGGATTACAGGTGCCTGCCATCACGCCTGGCTAATTTTTTTGTATTTTTAGTAGAGACAGGGTTTCACCATGGTGGCCAGGCCGGTCTTGAACTCGTGACCTCAGGTGATCCACCGGCCTTAGCCTCCCAAAGTGCTGGGATTACAGGCATGAGCCACCGTATCTGGCCTGTTTCTGTCTTTCATAATAATTTCCAATCAGCCATTTCGTACTTTCATCAAGATGAAACTTGCTACACTGCTATTTTTTGTATTTTTATTCATCTAAAAAATACCTTTAAAAGCAGAGATTTAAAAGACAGCAGTCAGAAATAACTGGAAAACTGGTTTTTCAGAACATGTTTCTCAATGTATAGTTAAGACAGCTTTATTTTTTTTTCTTAAATGAACAGAACACTGCTGTTTTTATTCTCTGTAGTTCCTGATGAGTTGCTTTTTTAAAAAAAAATACACACTTTTTTTTTTTTTTTGCCAGTTGTAATCTTGGCGTAATACAGTGTTATGGCCTACTTTTCCCTCATTTTATTTATTTTAACAGTTGCCTCAAGAGCTAAACTCTTGATGTGTGTTGTTCCAGACCTTTTGCTATGAAATTACATGCAGATATGTGTTTCTGTAGAAATGTGGTTTGCTTGGCTTTTTAACATAAGGGGTGTTGTAGTCAATGTATTGTTCCTCAGCACTTTCCTTTTTTCAATCAATGCTTGGTCTTAGAGATCTTACATGTTTAGTACATGTAGGTCTACTTTATTATTCTTAACTGGCACCTACTATTCCACAGTTTGGATGGAGCATGGTTTATTAGTTAATTTTCTTATTTATTGGCAGTCATGTTATTTTTCTTTCTTTCTTTTTTTTTTTTGATGTGACAAACAAATGCTGCCCTCTCCTTGTGCAATTGTGCTGGTGTTTTTCTGGGGAGATGAAAGCCTGCAAGTAAGGTTGTATTGAATACTGCCAAATTAACCCCAAGACTGGCTGCACCTGGTTACAATCCTAGCAGCAATGTATTCCTAGCAATTTGGTATTATCCAACATGTACATTTTTGTCTATTGGGTGGATGGGAAATGGAGTCTAGTGGTGGTTTTTATTTCCATTTCCATCAGAGCCAGCATGGTAAGGGAGGTGCCCCATCCAGCATCTGTGCAGTGCCTGAAGTGCCAGGTAACTGGACCATTTCATCCACCGTGGCTCTCTCCTCCCTCTGCAAGAAAAGTACAAGAGTGGGTCACAGGTCATAAGACAAGCCCCGGCATAGTCCATCTCTGCCTAACAGCCACCTCACACTGAATCCCAATCAATCTCCACATAAAAACGCTGGCTTTTGTACAAACAGAGGTTCCGGTAAAGAGCCTTGTGACTTTCCTTCCTTGTAGTTACTTTCTCATTACTAGGCGATCTCCCCAAAATAAAACCAGAAAGCAGAAGGCCATTCCACCCTGCACTCTTGTTGACATGATGTGGGGACAATTGTGTTTCCACTTGGGCTGAAAAATGTGCTGCCTCCTTGGTAGGAAAGATTGGGGAATACGTCCTTTCTGTGCTAATGGGTGTGTACGTCCAGGTCTGCAAGTTTACACTGGCAGTAGTTGAGATTCACACAAAAGAGCAGTGCCTGACAATGCAAGGACTGGATTCACAGACGGTGCCCATCAAGATACCAAAGAGCCGATAATGTTAGGAAATTCGTCATGCAGAATTAGCTAACGATTTGATTTTGACCAGTTACATGATTGGCAGTTTATTATGAGGCAGAGGCTGTCATTACGTCACTTGAAGCAACTCGTCTACAGCAGCTGAAGGATGGAGGAATTGAACCCTACCCCATTTAGTGGCTGAATTCCAGTAAATGGAAAGAACCTAGTCCAAGCTTGTCCATCCCACAGGACTACAGCCACATGCGGCCCAGAATGACTTTGAATGTGGCCCAACACAAATTTGTAAACTTTCTTAAAACATTATGAGATCGTTTTGGGATTTTTTTTAAAGCTCATCAGTTGTCGTTAGTGTTAGTGCATTTTACATGTGGTCCAAGACAATTATTATTCTTCCAATGTGGCCCAGGGAAGCCAAAAGGTTGAACACCCAGGCCTAGTCCATTATTGACAGAAAATGTTAATGTGTCTATTAAGGAAGGAAAGCTCGTAATTTCTTGCTTCAGAAGTAATCACTCAATTCTAAATTATCCTCTCTTGTTTTGTACTCCATTTATTCTGACTTTGAGCAGGCACCAAACCTTTAGCACTTAAAAGAAATGGAGATTGGCGAAATCATAACAAAATGATAGAATTTAAATTCTGGAAGTTGGAGGTCACGGAGCTCAACCCCTTCACTTTATTTTTATTTTATTTTTTTGAGACAGAGTCTGACTCTGTTGCTCAGGCTGGAATGCAGTGGCGCGATCTCGGCTCACTGCAGCCTCCGCCTCCCGACCAACCCCTTCACTTTAGATGTGGAAACTGAGGCCCCAGAGATGACTTGCCCAAGGGGACGGTATAGCCCTTCAAGACAAATACTGTCTGAAGTCAAGTTTTATTATTGTACTACTAACCATTTCCTGTCGCTGGAGTCATAGATCTCAGCCGGAGCTGGATTCTATGTTAGCTTCTTTGATGAATGGATTTCTCCCAACAGTGGGCCTGGGGTCAGCCATGCTGTGTTTCTGTTAGATGTTCCAGGAGCCCTTGCTGCTGCTGACTGGGAGGTGCTGGAGCTCACTGGGGTGAATCAGTTCATTTTTCATTTTCTCCACCTTGACTTCATGGAAGGTCACATGAGGTGGAATTGGGTAATTACTTATCTACTCTGAAAACACACCTGTATGGATTTGCACAGAATGTGGGCCTCCTGTGCTGCTGCTTTGTGCTTTGGGAACACAGTGGGGAGCTTGAGGCCTGTGGGGTGGAGCCTGCCTTGGTTGCAACCCAGCCCCGGCCTGCTCAGGCCCGCCCCTCCTCCCCTCTGTTGAAAGTGTGCTTTAATGAACAGTTTTTCTCATCGTTATCTTAAATGAGATGAAGGGAAAAGCAAAGTTTTTATATTAGGAAGATTATTTGGCCCATTTTTTCTCCTCTCCTCTCCACAGGGACATGAACTACTGGGAAAAACGAGATTTCTTGAAAACTCTTTGACATCTGGGTGTCTGGTAGCTTTCAAATTCCCAGACCCTATGATTCCATTTCAGACTCTACCATTAGATGCCCTAGAGTCTGTGGAAGTCAGTATCCTCTCCACAGCCTGTTGGAAGCCTCTCTGCTGGCCCGGGACAGACCATCCTTCCCCTGCGCTCTGCTGTGTTGGGGCCCAGAAGGCTCCGCAACAAGTGGTTGATTTAAAAGAAAACCTGGAATTTTACCAAGCAGCTTACACTGTGTTGACTGAAACACTCAGAATCTGCCAGGCAGCAAACAGTTGAGTGGCCACCCAACACTTTACTCCACCCAATCACACAATGGGTCCTTAAAGTCTCTCCCTTTAAAAACAAAACAGGCTGGCGCGGTAGCTTATGCCTGTAATCCTAGCACTTCGGGAGGCCAAAGTGGATGGATCACTTGAGGTCAGGAGTTCGAAACCAGCCTGGTCAACCTGGTGAAACTCTGTCTCTACTAAAAATACAAAATAATAATAATAATAATAATAATAATAATAATAATAATAATAGCCGGGCGTGGTGGTGGGTGCCTGTACTTCCAGGTACTTGGAAAGCTGAAGTAGGAGAATCACTTGAATCCGGGAGGCAGAGGTTGTGGTGAGCTGAGATCGTGCCACTGTACTCCAGCCTGAGCAACAGAGTGAGACTCCATCTTAAAAAACAAAACAAAACAAAAACACACACTTGCCAGGTGCAGTGTCTCACACCTGTAATCCCTTGAGGCCAGGAGTTTAAGATCAGCCTGGGCAACAAAGCCTTTCTCTTCAAAAAATAAAACAATTAGCTGGCATGGTGACGTATACCTGTAGTCCTAGCTACTTGGGAGGCTGAGGCAGGAGGATCTCGCTTGAGCCCAGGAGTTCGAGACTGCAAGCCAACTGTGACAGCCCCATTGCACTGAAGCCTGGGAGAGCAAGACCCTCTCTCGGGGAAAAAAAAACCCCAAAAAACCCACAAAAAACTTTTCTGAAGTATGATTGACAATACCGAAAGCTGTTCTTATTTAGTGTATACAACTTGGTGAGTTTGGAGATAAGTATACACCCGTGACACGATCACCACAATCTGTGCCACAAACCTACCCATCACCTGCAAAAGTTTCTTACTGTCTGCTTTATTATTTTGTTTATTCATGATAAGAACACTTGACATAAGACCTACCCTCTTAGCAAGTTTTTAAGCATAAAATACAGTATTGTTAACTGTAGGCACTAAGCTGCACAGATTTCTAGGACTTATCTTGTGTAACTGAAACTTTGTACCCTTTAAGCACTTCCCTGTTTTCCCTTTCTCTCAGGCCCTGTAGCCACCATTCTACTCTGCTTCTGTGGGTTTGGCTATTTTAGATTTCTCATGTAAGTGGAAATCACAGAGTACTTGTCCTTCCGTGTCTGGCTTATTTCACTTAGCACAGTGTCCTCCAGGTTCATTCCGTTGCAAATGGTAAGATTTCCTTCTTTTTAAGGCTGAATAATATTCCACTGTATGCATATAGCACATTGTCCTTATTCATCTGTCTGTCAGTGGACATGTAGGTTGCTTCCATGCATTCCTTGGGTACTGTGACTAGTGCTGCAGTAAATATGGGTGTGCAGATACCTTTTCAAGATCCTGATTTCAATTCTTTGAATATACACTCAGAAGTAGCATTCTTGGATCATACAGTAGTTTATTGAAGTCTCTTCTGCTTGGAAAGTGGAAAGATGTGGGAATTTGGGTCTCTTGGATATCTCCTTACTCAGCTCATTTTTAGAAGGCAAACCTGCAACTCAGTTGATGCCTTAGACTTCAAAGCTGTCTTTTTGCAGCAAAATCATGATTATCTAGAGAGATACTTGGGCAACAGATTTGTGGATGTGAAGAAGAGGAAAGCTCACTGCAGAGGTCTCTCTGGGTCAGCAGGAGGCAGCGTGAGGAACACCACCAGCAAGCTTGTTGTGATGCACTGTGGTCTCTTGTGAACAGTCCCACATTCAGATCCTGAGTACAAATTCTGGCTCTGATACTCAGCAGTCATGTGAGCTTGGGCATGTTAATCTGAGTCTGTTTTTAAAATCTGTCAAGTAAGGATGTTAATATCCACCTCCCCAAAGGGTTTTTGTGAAGATGGTAAAGTATAGTGCCTGGAACATGATAGGGGCTCAACGAATGATAGTAATTATTATTAATAATTATGCTAATAAATAATGTGGACTGAACTTCATTTCACAAGCCTGCTTCCCCAAGTCAGCATTTACCAGCTCCTGCCTTAGGCTGGTAGATGAGCCTTCCTAAGAATTCCTGTTTCATTTCCCCAGCATCTCCTAGCCCCGACTCATTAAAGAAAGCATCTCACTCCTGCAGTTCAAGTGAAAAGCAGTGTTTCCAGAAACGACTGTTTTCTTGGACTTCCTTTTATTCTTGCTTTCTGTCTTTTTCTATCACTTTTTGTTACTACAAAAATGTTTCGTCCTTTATTGTTTCATAGTTGTTTTGATATAGAAAATTATAAGTGCTTCTTAAATAAATGGATGACCTTGGTTTAGGATTATAAAAAGTATATCCCCCTTACTACCAGGCATATTAGTTAGCTAATGCTAATATTTGTGTCTTTTGCCTTTTCTCTCAATTTTATCTGATTCAGTATTACAACTAGTAATATTTGCTAATGGAAATAATTAAAAGTTCATTTTATTAAAATTTCTGACAAATAATTAAATCCTAGAGCCTCATTGAAGCACTAGACAACATGAGAGTTAACTGCTAGCAAAAAATAAATTTATTTTAATATATATTTTTCTTTAAATACCAGTCATTTCTGTTTGGCTGTAAGGACTACATTCAAGTTAAGCTCCTGGAAGGCAGAGTTAAAGAAAAATGATTTTGAGATTAGCTCACTGGTAAATCACTTTGAAAGGCTAAGCCTCTGGTAAGCTGGAAACACAGACCAGACATGGACAGTAACCTTAATCAGCAAGAATGCGTCTTTTCTGTAAATTATGAAAATTTGATGTAGTAAAAATAAAACTTGATTTATCCACTTACCTAGCAGTGCATTCTGTATACTGAATGGTACAGATGACACTTCAGCAATTTGCCCTGCCCCTAAAGATGACATCTCTGCAATGTCTAGAAGCTTCCTCTTTAAAATGAAAATATCAACAAGAGGGTTGGCAGCATGAAGCTTGCATGTACCTCTTGGGTAAATTAGTTTAATTGAATGCTTTTCTTTGAAGAGCTCCAAGCAATATACTTAAAGAATAAAACTGTTCTGGAGCAGATTGAGGGAGGGTATAAGTTGTAGTTTGACAGAAATGAGACCCTGGGAGTGGACCAGGGGCCACAGGATACCTAAGAACAGAAAAGAAGCACAGATGTGAGGAAGATGCAGAGGACCAGGCAAACACATAATAGAGAAAAAATGGCACCTTCTTCTGATTCTGTTTCAGGTAGTCCCTGGTGCCAGTTTGAAGCACTTACTGATTATCTGCTCTCTTCTTACAGGAAGGGAGGGGGGCCAGTGTCCATTCAATGCCTGTTTTGAGCTAAGGAGCTTGCTATGCTATGTATATATTTTTAAAATCACAACAGCCTTTAACATTGTTGTTTTCCTTTAATAGATGAGGAATTGAGGCTCAGAGCTGTTAAATGATTGCCCAGGGTCCCATAACTAGTAAGTGACCCAGCCAGAATGTAATCCCAGGTGTGTCTGATTACAGGTGTTTTTCTTCTGAGAACAGAGCCTTGTTTCATTCACAGCCATATCCCCTGTATCTCGAACAGTGCTGGGCACAGAGCAGATGCTCAGTAAATGTTCTGTGAATTACGTAACCAAATTAGCGCCACAGTGCCTTTTATGCGTGAGTTTTAGTTAGTTGTGGAGGTAGATTAAGAAATAAAAAGGACTAACAGTAGTCATTGTTTTCCTTAGAGTACTCGGCTCCCAAAGAGGCTCTTCCAACACCTTGGACGTGAGATAAAACATGTTCTAAAATTTATACTTTTAAAATTACGGTGTAATCAAAAGGCCAGGCAGCCCGTAAACCTGAGAATTTGTGCAATTGGACTAACATTTCTGATTCCCAGGAAGCTTGCGCCTAACAGTGGAAAGCATTTTTACATGTAAATTGGTCAGTTTTGAGATGAGCTGATAATTTCTGAAATTAGCAGATTACTTATGCTTGAAGGAGCTGAGGTCGCCATTTGTTATCTGACTGCTCTTTGCCCTGAGCTTCGAAGCCAGCCAATAATGCAGTGAGTGCTGGACTTCCACTCTTTTTTTCAAATTAAAGATTTAATTACAGTCTTCACTGAAGATGAACCAAGTGTGAAAATACCTGATCTACTTGGAATGTGGGATCAGGGAGGAGTGTGTGGGTTGGAGTCAGTGCCTGGGCATTTAAATACTTTCAACAGTAACATTAAGGGTGAAATTAATTATATTGTGACCAAATGTTGGCGTGTTGGTTAGGCAGAGTCAGTGAAATTTATATTCTTTTTTTGTTGATCATTTTTTAAAGCCGAAAGGGTTTTTTTCCTTAGGAGATATTCTCATAGCCTATAGACTTAAATCTTTAAGACTTCAAAGGTTTTGAAAGATACACATCTTTGAAATGTGTAGAGACTTTCTTTGTGGACTGCTACATGGTTATTTTGCATACATGCTTTGTGTGTCCCTGTGAAGAATGCGGATTTGTTCATTGTTGGATGCAGAATTTTATATACGTGGAGTCAAGCTTACTTATCTTGTTTACATTTTCAGTCAATTAATAATGAAAGTGATCTATCTAAAACGTATCTGACGGCCACCCCTTATCTATTTTTCTAAGGTAGTAGCTTTAATAAGCCTCCTTTATTATGGAGAAAAAAAAAAGTCTGTGTATCTTTTTGGTCTTCTAGCTTTAGTCATTCTGATATTTCTGTTAGTGTCTGGAGTTTAGTTATACCCATCCAAGGACAGAGTTTAAGGGTAGATTCGAGCTGCCTCATTAACTCGCCATCATTGAGAAATGATCTGTTTCACATACATGCATTTATTTTCTAAATGACGAAAATCTTCTCTTGCAGTTGTCAAAGGCCTCTGCCCCCCCGACCTTTGATGACAGGAAAGTTTATCAAGTGGATTCTTCTCTCTCGCCTGCAGGAAGCTGACCCATTCTTGAGGTTTTGGATTCGTTGCCACCTCTGTTGTTGTACTCCCTCTCCACTGCTGCTTAAGCTGCTTCTTAGTTTTCCTCGCCCCTTCCTTGACGTGGGGCCAGCAATCATCTCTTCTCTCTTGCCAGAGCTGCCTCTCCACCATTCTTTCCATGCATACTTACCTAGTGTGCTGATCACGATTGGTCTAGGAAACAGATTGGCTGGCTTTGTCTCATGACAGTGATCTTTCATTTATTCATCAACTACTATTTGTTGAGTGCTGGCCACATGTAAGTCTTTTAACTAGTGGCCACCAAAGGGCTTTAAAGATAGAACCATAACATGGTCCCTCCTCTGGTCTGTAGGGGAGTCATTAGATCCATAATGAGAGTGAAAGTGATAGTGGCACAAGGAAGGTGGAGTACTGTGGGCATTAGAGAAGGGGGATTAGAGGAGGTTGGCATTTGAGTTGAGTGTTAAGCTGTGGAGATTGGGGAAAGTCTGTGGGACTGGCATGAACTCAGCATCAAAGGCAGGGGACCTTAGAGGTCTGTGCAGGCATCTGGAGCAGGAGAGAGGCTAGGACGTGGCATAATAAGCACGGGGAGAAGTGGGCAATCAGATTGCTCTTGAAATGCCAGGCTAGGGAGCTTGGACCTTTGCAGAAACCACCAAAGGTGTTTATTTAGGAAAGATGTCAGAGACGTGCTTTTGGAAGCGTAACAGCCACCAGGGTAAAGTGAAGCAGAGAGAGAAGGGACCGGATAGGGCACCAGATGCTAGCAGAGAAGGCGCGAGGGGATGAGGGCTGGAATTTAGATGAGGCTGTGGTAGGATAGGGTCATTGGAAAGGAAGGATATGTGTAAGGAGGGATGTGGCAGAGTTCAAGAGAGCAGGATGCAGCAGCTGCTTAGATGTGGGAGGGAGGTGGAGTAGTCTTAAGCTTCGAGTCTGAGCTGGCTAGAGAAGAGGGTGTGAGCCCAAGATCCAAGAGATGAGGGAGGGTCAGGTTTGTTATTGGAGGAGGAGAAGTTGGTAGGTTCAGTTTTTTTTGTTTGTTTTTTTGTTGTTGTTGTTTGGGCTTTATTTTATTATTATTATTATTTTTTAGAGTCTTGCTCTGTCGCCAAGCTGGAGTGCAGTAGTACGATCCCGGCTCACTGTAACCTGTGCCTCCCAGGTTCAAGCAATTCTCCTGCCTCAGCCTCCCTAGTAGCTGGGATTACAGGTGCGTGCCACCACGCCCAGATAATTTTTGTATTTTTAGTAGAGACAGGGTTTCACCATGTTGGCCAGGCTGGTCTCGGACTCCTGACCTCGTGATCTGCCTGCCTCGGCCTCCCAAAGTGCTGGGATTACAGGCATGAGCCACTCCGCCTGGCCGTTCGTTAGCTATTTAAAATACAGACATAGTGCTCAGTAAGAAGTCAGGGAAAGAGATATACATTGTGAAGTCATTTGCAATGAGGTGATATTTAAAGCCTTGTGTGACAAAAGAGAACCCAGTTCAGCAGTTGGAGAATGTCCGTGCTCAGGGTTGGATTAGAGAAGAGGTGGTCAGTGGAGTGGGGAGGGCCTGGAGAAAGGAGAGTACTGTGGCCTGAGGACTGGGGAGGAGGGAGAGGGTAGGGCATGGGCACTTGTCCAGTGCTCCTGAGAGAGGGCAGGAAAGAGCAGGGCAGGCCACTGGCATTGGTGACCAGCAGGTTACATGTGAGCATGAGGAAAGTTTTCTGGGAGTTCGACAGTAGCCAGTTTGCCAGCATTACTGTGTAATAAAATAGAGACAGGACAGTAGGTCATGACTAAGGGAGAGCAGGAAGAAGGGAAAGAAGGAAAAGATTAGTATAAAAGAGGCAAAAAACTTGGCTGGTGTGGTGGCTCACGCCTGTAATCCCAGCACTTTGGGAGGCTGAAGCAGGTGGATGGCTTGAGCCCAGGAGTTCAAGACCAGCCTGAGCAACATGGCGAAACCCTGCCTCTACTAAAAATGCAAGAAATTAGCTAGGCATGATAGTGCATGCCTGTAGTCTCAGCTACTGGGGAGGCTGAGGTGGGAGGATCACCTGAGCCCATGAAATTGAGGCTGCAGTAAGCCGTGATAGTGCCACTGCACTGTCGGGCTGTGGGTATGAAACCCTGTTTCAAAAAAAAGCAGCAGCAAAAAACTAAATCCTGCGTTTCACACCCATTATGATGGCTGTCATTTAAAAAATAATCAGTGAACGGAAAATAAGCGTTGCTGAGATGTGGGTAAGTTGGAACTCTTGTGCATTACCAGTGGGGATGTGAAATGATGTTGTGGAAACCCATATGGCAGTTCTCAAAAAATTAAAGATGGAATTACCATACGGTCCAGCAGTTCTGCTCTGGGTAAATACCCCAAAGAATTGAAAGCAGGGTGTCAAAGAGATATTTGTATACCCATGTTCATATCAGCGTTATTCAAAGGTGGATGCAACGCAAATGACCATTAGTGCATGGATGGATAAACAAAAGGTGTATACGTATACAATGGAATGTTATTTCGTCTTTAAAAGGAAGGAAATTCTGATGTATTCTACAACATGGATGAAACTTGAGAACGTTATGCTAAGTAAAATAAGCCAGACACAAACGGACAAATACTGTATGAGTCCATTTATATGAGGTACCTACAGTAGTCAAAATCATAGAGCCAGAAAGTAGAATGGTGGTTGCCAGGAGTTGAGGGGAGAAGAGGATGGACAGTTGTTGTTTAATGGGTACAGAATTTCAGTTTGGGAAGATGAAGAAGTTTTGGAGATGGATGGTGGCAGTGGTTGTGAATGTACTTCAAATGCATGTATTTCACTGAACGCTACACTTGAAAATGGTTAAGGGCCAGGTGTGGTGGCTCATGCCGGTAATCCCAGCACTTTGGGAAGCTGAGGCAAGAGGATCACCTGAGCCCAGAAGTTTGAGGCTGCAGTGAGTTATGATTGAGCCATTGCACTCCAGCCTGGGAGACAGAGCAAGACCCTGTCTCAAAAAAAAAAAAAACAAAAAACAAAAAACCCAAAATTTAAAAGGCCATACAGACAATTTTTAAATGATGAAATGATAAATGTTCTGCTATGTGTATTTTACTACAATAAAAAATTAAGCAAATGCTGGAAGAAGCCAATTTGTTGACCAGGGGAAGAAATAATTAAATAAAAATTTATCTCATGCTTTGGTAAATAACTGCCAGCCTTTCTTTCCTTAAGTTCAGAGCCTCGCTCTCTTGACCCAGTACCAACAGGCCCTTTCTGGGATCATCTCACCCAGAGATCATAGGTGGTTGTTCTGAGAAGCCCCTTAAGAAAGTCTACAATTAAGTTTGGCTTCAGGTGGGCTGCAGCTAGGGAGAAAAAGGAAACCCTTTTTTGTTTTCCCTTTAATTTTTATTTTAGATTCAGCGGGTTCATGTGCAGGTTTGTTACGTCAGCATATTGCATGAAGCTGAGGCTTGGGGTATGAATGATCCTGTCACCCAGGTACTGAGCATAGTACCCAACAGTTAATTTTTCAACCCTTGCCTCCCCGCCAGTAGTCCCCAGTGTTGATCGCTGCCATCTTTATGTCCATACCCAATGGAACATCTTTTCTTGAAGGCAGACTAAAATACCTGTTGAAACATGAGCATGAGCTCACCTGTCCTGAAACAATTAAAAATATCATAAACACCTGGAGAGAAGAAGGCACAGTAACAATAACATTCCATGAATGCCTTATATTGCCTACAGACTAAACCTCTTTAGGGTTAAAGTCCTTTCTTGGGGCTAATTGGACAGAAGATACCACAAAAATGTTTTAAGAAATACATGTATTAAAGAATTTTAGCAATTGGAGTCTTATGCAATGTATAGAAATATTATTTCAGAAAAGCCTACACAGTCTGTGCTGTTATTTTCTTATTTCTCTTCAGCCCTAATGTGAACCATTCCTAAACAGTGTGCACTTGGTTCTGTAATCTGAACTTACCTTATCATCCATGATGGCCGTGTTATATTTAGGTGGTAAAATAACATGTGCAACTTTGAGTAGGCATGTATTCTCCTGTCTGGAAATGCCTAAAATGTTCAATCTTGATTGTTTTTCGATCCGTAGATGTTCTATTTAGATGTGTCCTGGTATTTGCTTCCTCCTTCTATTTTAGAAGAAAATATTGAGCTGAGGGCAGTGGCTCGCGCCTGTAATCCCAGCACTTTGGGAGGCTGAGGCAGGTGGATCACCTGAGGTCAGGAGTTCGAGACCAGCCTGACCAACATGGCGAAACACTGGCTCTACTAAAAATACAAAAATTAGCCAGATGTGGTGGCGGGCGCCTGTAATCCTAGCTACTTGGGAGGCTGAGGCATGAGAATCACCTGAACCCGCAGGCGGAGGTTGCCCCGATTGGAGATTGTGCCACTGCATTCCAGCTTGGGGGATAGAGCGAGACTCTGTTTTTAAAAAAAGAAGAAAAAGATGAAAAATACTAATAATTTATGAATCTTAAATTTTCATTAATGCTGGTTATAAAGAAACAGAAGGAAATAGTTGGCATAGTATGATAAGCCAACATTGAAGTTTTGTGTGTTACATGTAATGTTCACCCTAAATAGTATTAATAGTTGCTTTTTGAAGAATATGAGTCTCCCAGTAGTAAAGAGAAAATAATTTGCTGTATGCAATCCTCTACCGTGCTACTAGCATATCATTTGTGCCACAATATTTATTTTCAAATTATAAGCTGCAAATTCTATAAAATTCTACTTGAGAAATGGCTTGGGAACTTTCTCTCATATCCACTTAATTGCAAAGTGTCAGAATATTTTTATTTTTGGAGATGGAGTCTTGCTCTGTCACTGAGGCTGGAGTGCAATGGCGTGATCTCAGCTTACTGCAACCTCCACCTCCTGGCTTCAAGTGATTCTCCTGCCTCAGCCTCCCAAGTAGCTGGGATTACAGGCGCACACCACCACACCCAGCTGATTTTTGTATTTTTAGTAGAGACAGGGTTTCACCATGTTGGACAGGCTGGTCTCAAACTCCTGACCTCAGGTGATCCACCCGCCTGGACCTCCTAACTCTCCGGGGGTTACAGGCGTGAGCCACCACGCCTGGTCCAGAATATTTTTAAATGAAAAACTTTCTAAAAACCATATAGCTAAAGATGCACATCCTAAGTGTAAATATTTTGTTAAACATTGTGTTTTATTAGAGATTATATAAATCTAAAGTGAAAGGCTAACTGCAGTTTGTGGATTAGATAGGAAACCAAGCTCATTGGCGCTCTGGATGAGAAGGCAGTGTTGACATTATTGTGACCAGCTCCTCTGGCAGTGGTGTTGACTCCAAAACTGTAATCCTTTTTCTTAGCCTTAACGAGATGCCCATCAAGGTTGGGATTTCCATCACACCTTACCCTTTCAGACTGGAGCATCTGTGATTCTTCTGCAAGGCTGCTTTAAAATTTTCTCATACTGCAAAATATCTGGACAGCCAACCTAGTTTGTAGAGTGGCAAATGTCACAGCCTACTTTATGGGTTTGATTACTTTTGTATCTGAGAAAACAGCTTTCCCAGAATCAAATGATAAGTCTATTTCAGAGACGACTCGTAGAGCATCTTCTTTGCCCAGCCTGCCTTCGTTACTGAGATGATCACGTATATATTTAAGTCTGTTTTCAAATGCACTTGTGGTGTGTGTGGCCAACCCAGTCATGGCACCTATATGTGGATCTGAGCACTCATTTGCATTGCACAGAGTCCCTGAGGAACTCATTAAAAGCTGGGGGCCTTTGGCCTGGGCTGACAGGGTCCTGGTGCCACCACTTGTCAGAGGGTGTGTTTGATGCTGCTTTTCCCTTTGCCTCTGTGTCCAGGCTTTGCATAGAGTCACTATGTAGTCACTACAGGCAGAATTGATTCAAACACTTGTACTCTAAACTCCTTAAACTGGTTTTATTGTTGTTGTTGTTGTTTTGTTTTGTTTTTTGTTTTTTGAGATGGAGTCTTGCTCTGTTGCCCAGGCTGGAGTGCAGTGGCACTATCTTGGCTCACTGCCACTCTGCCTCCTGGGTTGAAGCGATTCTCCTGCCTCAGCCTCCCGAGTAGCTGGGATTACAGGCATGTGCTACTATGCCCGGCTAATTTTTGTATTTCCAGTAGAGATGGGGTTTTGCCATGTTGGCCAGGCTCGTCTTGAGCTCCTGACCTCTGGTGATCCACCTACCTCAGCCTCCCAAAGTGCTAGGATTACAGGCGTGACCCACCGCATCCAGCCACCTTAAACTGGTTTTAGACTTGAGACTGTCTGCCAGTGCATGCATGGGTTAGTCCTGTTTTATGGTTGCAGTGTGTCTTGTGAAGGCTACATTCCATTGTTTTTCTCACTCATGCATCCATTATTAAACACCCACTATGTGCTCTGCACTGTGCTGGACATGGACAATGGATGGTAGACATTCGCAGCTCAATTTCCATTTACCCGAGGTTTGTCTTTTACCTTGTGGACTTTGTGTCTTTGCCTCCAGGTGGTTCTCCTGGCTCTTTGCCCTAGCCTGATTCAGTGGAGTCGGCTTGCCTGTTGGCCCAGCCTCAGGAATGGTTAAGTGTCACTGAAGGCCTATACATGATGCCGTGAAAAGCACAAACAATAGGCTCAGGTTTTAGCTTGGAATTCATTTTAACTTTCAGTCTTTTGGTGTGTAAAGAGGGATGAAGAAAGCAATTGTTGACTTTCCTTCACATCAGAATTGAAACTTGTCCAAGAACATTCAGAGGTGTTGGGTGTGTTGTCACTTTTTTTCCTTTCTCAACCAATGTTTAATAAAAATCCTATTAATTTCCAATGGAGTACAGACACTCACAATTCTTTCCTGGAGAAGAGTATAGGCTTCTGCCAGAGGAGAGGGGACAGAAAATAATGAGTAACAAGTGTATAGACCTTTAGGGTTTACAAACTATTTTGTCTCCTTGATCCTCAATGCAACTTTGTGAGATATTTATTACCTTCCTTTACAATTGAGGAAACTGAGGCACAGGGTGTTTATTGAGGTGCCAGTGTGGATGGCAGAGCTCCTGGTCTTTCTGGACAATTCTCAGACGGTGGCTGCTCCTGGCTGAGGGGTACGAGCTGGGCTTGGCCCAGCCTGACAGGTACTCCTAAGTGAGAGGAGCCAGCCAGAAGCAGGCCTCCCTCAGCCCTCCTGCCTAGCGTGCAGTGTGGTGGGAAAACAGTCTCCCAGAAAGGAGGCTGTGTTTCTGCTGCCTCTTCGAGCTCAAGAAAGATGAAGTAGGGTGGGGTGGGGCAGGTGTAGACAAGGGAAGTGGAGTGGGGGAGCAGTGCTGAGAAGTGACGCTAGGAACAGGGCTCAGTTCAGACAGCATCAGGTGCTGAGATGTGGTTGTCACCGGGCCACACGTGTGGGTGACCACAGGAGGGAACGTAGCACTTAATGGGGCCCCACGCCTTGTGTAGAATCCTCCTAAGTGCTCTACTGTATCCCCAATTTTACACATGAGGAAGCAGAGACATGGAGAGGTTAAGGGACCTGTCCAAGGTCTTCAGGTAGTAAGACAGCCCACCTCCGGAGCCCACACCTGACCCCTCTACTCTGTTGCATTCTGACCCAGGGACAGTTTCTGGAATGCCTCGTTTTAATTCCCTTTAGTAACAACATCCTGCAGCAAACCCACACACTGGGTAACTCTTTGCTCTTCTCTCCTCAGAACGCAAGCCTCGTTGTGACAGGGCTCCAGGAACCCAGTAATTGTAGATTAGGAACAGATGAGACCCGTACTTATTTGGAGACATTGACACCTGTGCCATGTACTTCCCAGAGTTCCCAACTTTTAGGACAAACTTAGGCTCAAAAACCACAGATTCTTCCTTCCTCCAAATGCTAGTCTGAAGGGATGGTTTGCTTGATCGTGGGATAATAATGCTATTTTCTGTTTGGTTTATAAAGTATGTTCACAGACATTCTGGTGTTTGATTTGATGCCAGCCATCTTCTCACCTCCCTCCTCAAAAAGATTGAAAAAGGCAGAACTGATGTTAACAAAGGCCGTTCAAGTGAGGAATAGGTTGTTTTGCCTCTTGGATGTGACCTTCAGGCTATTACATAGTAAACATGTATTCCTGGTTCTCTGAAAAAGGCAACATGTATGTGTGGCCTGGAATAAACAGACCTTGTACTAAATCCTGATATGATTCTGATGCGTTCAAAAGCAAGAATCTTCTCACATTAAGACATGGAGATTTAGACAGCTGACAGAGGAATTAAGGAAACTAATATTTGTTGAGTAAACATTACTCCAGTCATCTTCACTACTATCTGTTATTACCCCCTTTTCACAGATGGAGAAACTAGGGCGCAGGATGCTTAAACAATGTCCCAGGTACCAGAGGAGTTTTCTTAAAAGTCTAGGTCGTGTTTATTTTACTGGAGAGCAGAGGAGAGCAAAGAGTTAGCCAGTCTGTGGTTTTACTGCAGGATGTTGTTACTAAAGGGAATTAAAAGCCCCACGATGATTAGGTGTTAAGACTTAATATATTTTGGTTAAAACATAGTTTTAGAGTGACTTTGACTGTTTGGATTGCGTGTATCACCAAATGCGACACCCCTGGACGGGACTAGTCAACTGAGTCAGTAAAAGTGAGTCAGCCCCTCGTGTGCACGCTTGCTCACCTCTGAGAGGGTTTAGGAAGAGATGTCAGTGGGAGGAAAGTTCCCACAACTGACTGAGTTTGGGGGCAAGGGAGCAGTCTGGAGCATCACCATTGCTGACAGGCAAGAAGGGTTTTTTGGAAGGTGAGGAGTGAGGGGAGAGGAGGTACTTCAAAGGGTGCTGAGCCCCTATCAGGGTAGGGCTGCTGCCATGGACATGTTGATTATTCATGGCTTTGAGACACAAGTTGCTTGTGGTGACCTCCTCCATGAAACAAGCAGGGAATTTGGGGACCCACCAGCTTTCTATGCTGTGGTCCAGGAGGGCTTGGGTGGGGTGGGGTGGGGTGGAGGTGGCACTGGGGACCCACCAGCTGCCATGCTGTGGTCCAGGAGGGCCTGGGTGGGGTGGAGGTGGCATTGGAGAAGGAACGCCTGGCCGTGAGCTAATTTTGCTTGAGTCCCTGGTTGGGGTATAAGGCTGAATGCGCCCCTTCTTTCTCTTCCCTTTTTGCATACCATGTTAATATAAACAAAAAAGGCTTCTTCCCTTTGCTTCTCGGTTGAACTCTGTAAGTGGGGGAGTAAGTTTGATGGGTGCATTATCACTTAGTTTCACAAGCAGCAGGGAAACTAATCTGCAGCTACAGTAGGACCAGACTGTGAGCCCAGATTCTCAGACTCCCGGGCCAGTGCTCCCCCAACCTCTGACATGCTGTAGAAGGATGCTTGCTTGGCTCTGTTCCTTTTGAGAGTTAAAAAATTGGCCTACTATTATTTTGTGAATTGTGTGTACATTATGTTTTACATAAAATTTAGAGGGAAAGAGGTAATGTTGCATAAATATGTACTTTCTGTTAAGTTCACCTAGTTTTTAAAGTATGCTATTTGCCAGTGCTTGCAAAGGTTGTGATAGTTGTATCAACGAGGAAGCACTGATAATTTACCTGATTCCATCTATAGGATCTTTCATTTAATTTACCTGATGCCATCTATAGGTTCTTTCATTTACAGTGATTGGCCAGTTCTCTCTACAATACGCAAAGTGCAGAGCTAGCCCCCTTCAAAACCGATACTCGATTTTAAAGCTGATAACTAAGATATGGTGTTACGGAAAACACAATCCTATGCTCCACTCTCTCATCACTACTCTTTAATTGCACTCGGGGGAAAAACACATTTAATTGTTTCAACGATCATTACTTTTTTTTTAGTAAATTTATAGTAAATGGAGGAGATTACCAAAGGGCTATTTTTTTCTCAGCTTGTGGTTTCTAATTACATCAGTTACAGCTCAGCCTTCTTCTTAACTAGAGTGCAGGCATGAACTGGAAAAGAATGAGCTAATCCATGATAGATCAGGTGGAATAAAGATCTCCATTCATATCTTTACCTTTTATCCCTTGTTCTGAGTGCCAAGAATTAATGCTATTTGAAAGTACAAACTGAACCTGCCAAGCTTCGGACAGCTAAGATAATCCTAATTATTTTAAATGTTAGTGAGAAGGGCAGCAGTTCCACTCTGGAAAAGAGTTCTATTGTGAAACATTAAATATATGCTAAGTGGTATTGATTGCACATGATTTTATTTCCAAACACTATGGTTATCATGAAGTGGAAGAATTTGTTGTTTAAGAAATTTTCATCAGCTTTTCATCAGATTCTTTCTTATGCCTACAAAGTCTAGGAAACTGAAGAGGCCAGCAATTTTGTTTGTCTGCCTTGGCAGTCAGCATCTAGATGAAGAGTTGGTAACAACTGAAAAATGCCACTTGTATTTTATTTTAAAATGGTTTCTTAGGAGTTTAATAGTGTTTAACATATAGAGGAAGGAAAAATGTTTTTAAAGCATGAATATCCTGTTTTCTCACATCACTGGAAGAGAATTATTCGTTCCAGTCCATTGACTTCCAACAGATCATTCAAGTTAAAAGTCAGGGGTCTTTGCAATGTCAAAAGATTTAGCACTTAGAGTTTTGTGGTTTTTTTTTTAAGAAGGTTTTCTTTTTTGACAGTATAAATATTTTTCAAAAATAATACTCATGGTTAGATGGCATCAAAATCATCTTGAAGTGTTTTTTCCCCTCATTGGTAAGAATGATCCTGTGTAAGGTTTTCTGTTTATTTTTAAATCATAATAAAATAACATCCCAGTAGCTTCGGTAGACAAATAGGCTTCTTGAGAGAAAACAGATACTAGATTTGCTGGTTCAAACAAGGGTCAGCCTCGGAGGTTTACCCACCTTTCATTGTAACACAAAAAAATATCAGATGGGCAAGTTTTCCTTTTTTCTTTTCCTTACTTTTCAGTCTCTGCTGTGGTGTGCAGAAATAATTTCTTCTATTTCTGTAAATGCTGGGAGGCTATCAATGATTATAGGGTAGTATAATCCTTAATTGTTTATTGCCTGTGAATGCTTCCTGCCCCCAACCCCAGTGCAGCTGGCCCCAACTCCCTTCCCCAAGCACAAGAGCAGTACACTAACATCTTCACTGACGGTGTGTTGAGCATCTCAGGCTCAATTATTCTTCCTTTCTTCGGGGTTATTCCCCAGAGTGGAATTACCAGGTCAGAGGGGCTGAACAGCTTTATGGTTCTTATTACATGTCACTAGATTGCTGTCCAGAGAGATTGAACCAATTTCTAGTGCTACCAATACTATCTGTTCCCCCACAGTGCCACTGACGCTAGGAGTTAGCATTTTTACAAAATGACCTAAGACAAGACTTTTGAGTTGAAATTAGCCTGGTGTAGGGCCCCTTAGAATCAAAGAGCGAAAAGCATCATTTAGATTTTTGAATTTTTAATTGGTATGAAATAATTTACAACGGTCAACTATTAGCCTTCTCCTTCCAAAAGTTTAAGGAAGCTGCATTAAAATGGAAAAGGTACCTCTGAGGGACGATCTTTAAGGATGGTAGTAAAAGTGATTTTGGACATTAGTCACTAAGGAAAAACACACTAAATCTTTTCACGTACCTAGAACTCTATGAGGGGCTATACTTAAACAGATACTATCCCTAACTTCAACAGCCTATTATTTAAAAACAATGCTAAGCCTTGAACAAATGTAAAAATAGCATGGGTTTAAATTTTGAGTGGAGAAACACTATAAACAATACGGCTGTTTTTCAAAACAGGGTGAGTTTTACATTTTCTCTAGAGTGCAGTCATGCATTAAAAGTATGCTTGGAGCCCCGCTAGTCCATGCAGGTAATATTCTGCATGCTTTGTGGCCCCACGTCGCAAGAGCACTTTCCAAGAAAATATTCATAAGGCAAGTTAGAGCAAAAGGGGGATATTGTCAAATTCCTTTCTTTTGCAAAATTCCCACTCCTCCCCTTTTCAGTCCCAAGTTGGCTAAATGAGGAGAGGGCATCTCCCGGGGCATCTCCCAGTCAGCTGCTAACTGGAAACAGGCCCAGGGCTCTGAACATGTTGGGAGAACACATACCTATTCCTTTACAAGCCTCTGCATCAGCTTGGCAAAGGTCCGTTGCTTTGCCTCCTTAAACTCACACAGGGATTGGGAAGGTTCAGCTGCCAGTTCTGAAATGTGGGGCCCAGGAGAAGGTTGGTGCAGGGGCCAGAGCACGCCAGAGTCAGCCTAATCAGTACAGTGCTGCCCTTGACAGCTTGCACAGGATCCCTGTGTTAAACGGGGAGAGTAATTCTCTCAGTGAATGGTTTGAGGGTGAAATACCTCACTAAAGTATGTGTGTGGCATACAGGTAGTAGTCAGTAATGTTTACTGTTCTTCTCCATAGCTTCTATACAGAGAAACTTCTGTCACTGGTTGGGGGTGGGGACATTAACGCACGGACTCCAGGAAGCTCTTAGTCGGCTCTCCAGATCTGTATAGTAACAAGATCTCAAAGCAGTCTGCTGCCTTTGGAAAACATTTCTCTGTACATATATATGACAACCAGGTGCATGTATACAATTAATAAATCACCTTGGATTTGCATGGAATTTAAATGCATATAACAATACAAATTTAGTAAGATACTTTTATGAACTGTAATAAGATGAAGGCTTCATATTTCCTAGATTCCTAGTTTTGGTTGCTATATTTATATATGCATATGCGTGCTTTTTTGTTATGAAATACTACTTAATGACTCCCTTTAAATTAAAAAAAAATATTTTCCTATATTTTAAAGCTTACAAACTTATCCTTTGCTTTTTATTTACCTTATTAAAGACTAAACAAATCTATCAATATAAAAAGTAACCACTTGTCAGGAAATTGCCTAAATTGTTTTTCAAATTTATTCACTTACTGAATTTTCAGATCATCTCTTTCCTTCTTGGATATTGAGGTAGCTGTACAAAACTATCCATTTGTCTATCTGTCTACCCATATGTCACACTGGAAGAAGGGGGCCTTCTGAAAGAATGTGGTCCAGTGGAGTGGTTAAGGGCCTGCTTCTTAAATCCTAGCTCTGTTCTTTTATTTCTGTGTGGTTCCACTAGCTGCAGCAAACCTTTTCCAAACCCGTAACGAGTGTAAATAGTGTTCAGTTGTAAAAAGGTCTCTTTTCAGCATGGTAATATACCTTATTAAATTCCAAACATAATAAGTATTGATGGCAAACACATCAGGACCCAGTGCAGCTTCTACTATGATTTAGTTCTCTACAAATGACTTCAGCACTCAGCTCCCAATGCATTTTGCTAATTACATCATAGATTTCCCTATTGATGAACACAAGCTGAATTAACACAGGAGCACTAATGTACCCTTTCACCATTATTGTTGTACAAGAAGCCGTGGCAGATGCTGGCAGTTAGTTACACAAACATTAGTATTAACGATTGGCCATTTGGAATTGGTGACAAACTACTGCCCGGCAGAATCCTGAGGCTGAAACCAATCAGGAAGTTAATGAGGAGAGAAATTACCACTGCAGCTTCCCCTTAATTACATTCACACTAGGCAGGAAGGGAGTTCTGGGGGTGGATCTAAACTCAGCTAAGGTTAAGAAGGTCAGAGACCCTTTTGCTTAAGTTTTTTATCTACTGTGGCTGCTAAGGTTGCAAAAGTTGCTTAACACATTATTACTTTTGCATCCTTCATATTTAATGTGGGTTTTCCAGTGGAGTTTTATGTTCCTAGGTTTGCTTTCACAATTTATCTGACTTCTATTTTAGTGTGATGTAATTTATTTACTTTTCTGTTTTTACAATTTTTCTCTCCCATTTACTGTCTTTTACTTTTTAAAAGTTATGTATGCTGACATCCCTTTCCCCCGTCTTTGTCCTGTTATGCCAAGAGAAATAATAGTAAAGTTAATATGCTATCCACTTCACCTGCTGTATCTTGAAAAAGTAGGGTGGGTTACCTGTCGTGGTGGAAATGCATGGGTGGAGTCTTGCTTGAGGTAATGTGTCAGATGGATCACTTGACAAGTTTCATCAGCATACTTTGCATAAAGGGGAGGAGTCCGGTGAAGGGTGGAAATAGTTTCCCAAAGAGGATGCAGCCGACTTGTTTTGTTTTTTAATGAACGTTAAACTGGAACTCTGCTATCTAGCTTACTCCTTTCGTTAAATAGGTATACTGTGTAGAATACTATTTTTTTATTCTAAAGAAATGCTAGGAGTTTTAATGAGTGTCTATAAAAACACTTTCAACTCAGAATAGAAATGGAGAGCGTCACTTTCTTTGTTGTAACCTAATTGAATAATGAATGTATAAAGACCAGCCACTTTTAACATTACTCCCTTTCTCCCTTTCTCTCTTTCTCTCTCACCTCACTTCGCAGTATTCTCGCCGCCCAGCAGTCAAGATTCTGGCTTGGTTTCCCTCTCGAGCAGCTCTCCTATTAGTAACAAGAGCACAAAGGCAGTGCTTGAATGTGAGCCTGCGTCGGAGCCCAGCAGCTTCACAGTCACTCCCGTCATCGAGGAGGACGAGTGAGCAGTGCCTGCTGCCGATGGCGGTTCACTTGGAGTAACAGGCTTATTCCACTTTCCATGGGGTTTGTTAATATTTTGCATTGACTCATACTATCTTAACTGTTGAGAACGTATTTGGTTTATATTCCTTAGAGTTTAGTCCAGAGGCTGTAACACATTTGTAATACTTTAGGGTCCGTGACTACCATCTGCATGGTTTAAGTGCTTTACTCACGGAGTTTAAATAATAGTGTTCATTTTTTTAATGACACTGGTTTCATGTAGTTTTCAAGAAATAAAAGAATTCATTCAAGTGAAGCCATTTGTGTGCCTCTAAATGAGTCATCTAATTAGATGTTACTTTTAGTTTTAAAATGAAATCTTAGGTGCCTTAGGGGTTTTTTTTTTTTTTAAGTATTTTTTAAAAACCTGCAAAGATATAAATTTAGCCAAGTTACCTGACGGGTGAGAAGAAAAGAGCAGGCAAAATTAGTGATTTTTTTAGAAGTCTGCTAAATGGATATATTGTGTGTGTTGCTGTTGGAAATAGCCCCACCCCATCCTCCCAATCCAAAACGTAACTGAAATATAATCAGAAACATTAAAGCCTGTAAAAAAAAATTGCTGCGTTTTTGGTAAAGGGTGTAATTTGTAAACAGTGCAATTTAAAGTGACCTTAGTGATGCAGAGTTCCTGAGTGGTGTTTGTAGAATGAGTTTATCATACATTCTTTCTACTACTGGAAAAAAATGGATGCAGTCTGGACTGTTGTAACCTTAGGTTGTAATCTGATTTGGAAATAAGTACATCTTTAAAAGTTGCTACAGATTTGAGTTCATGATTTTGTTAAAAATTGCTATGGAGTACTTTGTTATATAACAGAAGCCATCCTGAAATGAAACTAGTCTAAAAAAATTCATTGTTCTACTTAGTTGCAGCTGTACCTGAAATAAAAATGTTATTGATGACTGAATTTTCTTGTGTGTATATTTGGTGAGCGGTATTAAACAGGAAAAAAGAAATTACTTGTATTTTCTTCGCTCTGTGCTTTGAAAACATCTATTTGATTTCACCCCCATCTGTTGTAATCAATAACCTGACCATCTTGTTTTTTATTAAATGCACTTACTCTTAATTTCATCCACCAGTGGTTTTAGAGAGAATAATGTGGAGTTACCTATATAGGTTTGACATTATAAATCACTTCTTGGGGCTGAATCGTATAGCGGTATCGATTGATCCTGATATATCACAGAAATTTACTGTCACTTCTGTTTTCAATTAAAGATACAATCAGTCAGATAATGACTTAATTGGATTTTACAGAAGATTGAGTTTTATTGCCCAGTGCTTTACGAGTTTAGTTAAGGAAGATCATTTTATCACACTTGTCAGGCTGCTGCTACTGCAGCCGTGTGCCCTTCGGCGGGCGGCTGTAGCTGTAGCTGTTGTGACGGCTACGGCGGAGGCTGCGGCCGCGCGGGGAATGGAGCCGGACCGCGGAGTCGTCACCTCCAAGGTGTTTCTAGTGGCCTCCTGGAAGATGATCCCGCGCCCACCTTGCCGGCGTGTTCGCGGGCCCCTGCCCACTGCCCCCCCTCTTTCTTTAGGTCTGGCTTTTGAGGATCCCGGAGTCTTGCAGCTCCCGCCATTCCGCAGATAACCTCCGCACACTTAATTGTGACCCGCGGGGTGGTCGGAGAAGCTCCGCACGCGTCCTCAGTGGGAAAGTGTCCCCTCTCAGCACTGCCCCCTTCAGTCCCCCTGCATTTCTGGAAAGTCAGGCAAGGCCCAGGTAGGCTGCCAGTGCACTCTCAGCCTTGACTGAGCACCTTTCGGGCCTCTGGTGAGCCCCGAGAGCCAGGTTTGGCTCGGCAGAGCGGGCTTGGGCTGCGCAAGCAATGCGCATCGTGGCCGCCTGCACCCTGGGAACTAGGCCTGTCCAGTGGGCAGCATCCTCATTTTTGAAAAGGCCCTTCTAAACCCACCGGCCTCGCCTAACGCCGTTTGGTGCTGCATCCGAGCGGCCTCACGCGGTCCCCTGGAAGGGCCACTCCCAGCGGGAGGGCGGGGCCCGGGACCTGCGCTGGCCACGCAGGGTCTCAAGCTGACCGGAAGACCCGGCTTTTGGCCTGTGTCCAATAGCCCCAGAAGAGAGGGGTCTGGAGCCTTCCTCCCACGCGTAGTGACGCTCAGGTGTCCTCGGGTTGTTAGTCTTGACCCAGGAGAGTGCAAGACAGGCCCAAGGCCTGGGGGGATTGCGTTATGAATGTCCAATTCTAAACACAAGGTAGAGCACAGACAGTACATCCTCACGGCTGGATTTTAACCGTATTTTAATAAACACATTCGAGGGGGTGTCAGTTTCCCCAAGCTCTGCCCCCTTCCGCGGGCGGGATCCATGGTGTGTGCAGTGTAAGAGTGCGCAGAACGCGTGTGTTCAAGTGTGGGCGTGGCAGGCGTCGTGTGCTCGCCCCGCGCACTGTGCGGATCGCCCAGACAGCCTTGACAGGTTTTTGCAGATGTTTGGGTGCTACGGTGTGGGGAAACCCAGGCAGGAGCGCCAGGCCTAATTCTCCTGGACTCTTGGTGAGCGGCCGCTACTCCACGAGGGGCTAGAAGCAAAGGGGGCACGCGCTTTTCCCCAGGCCGCCTCTTGCTGCCGCAGTGGCTGAGGGCGCTGATGACCCCTCCCCGCTTCCAGCGGACTTGACCCGCGGGCTGACAACCCACCGCGACAAGCAGGCGGCTGGGTTCGCGCCGCCGCCCCGGGGCCCTTGGCTCAAATTTCACCTCGAGTCCTGCAGACCCTGCGCCACTGAATTGGGGCCCAGGACGCCCTTGGTGACACTCGCCTTCTTGCTGCCACAACCACCGTCATACCCGCAGCCGGGGCTCCCTCCGCTAACCACGCTTGGAGACCCCAATCGGGGACAGAGGTGGGAGTCAGACCCCCCCTGGCCTGCACTGCCGTTTCCCTCGATTCTTGCGGAAACAAGACTCCCGCCCACACATAAAAATGCAGCTCCCGGCCACCGGGCGCCGGTGGCTCACGCCTGTAATCCCAACACCTTGGGAGGCCGAGGCGGGCGGATCACTTGAGGTCAGGAGTTCGAGAGCAGCCTGACCGACTACTAAAAATACAAAAATTAGCCAGGAGTAGTGGTGCATGCCTGTAATCCCAGCTACTCGGGAGGCTGAGGCACAAGAATCGTCTGAACCCGGGAAGCGGAGGGAAGCAGCGAGTCGAGATCGCGCCACTGCACTCCAGCCTGGGCGACAGAATGAGATTCCGTCTCAACAAATAAATAGAAATAAAAATATGCAGCCCCCTCCGCTCCACTTGAACTTTAATGCTGAACCGGTTTCCCACGTATACGTGTATCGCACCGCATTTTGACGCTTTGCATCGAGTCGCATTAATGGCGCTTTTGAGAACGCGTCGTCGCGCTTTACAGAGAAACCCTACGGGCAGCCTGTGGAGGGGTAGGGGATATTCATTGGCTTTCCCTGCTGGGCCCCGTCCGCCGGGCGGGTTAGGGTCGTGGCAGCCTGCCCGCGCGCCGCTGACTCTGGAATTTTGTCCGGGAAACTGGCGTAGGGCCCTGGCTCTCCCTTCGCCCTCCGCGCACACGCGGACGAGGCCTTAGATCCACAGCCTTTTCTAGGCCCTGCGCCTTTGAAGCTGGGCCACTGCCAACCGCTCGCGATTCTCACCTTCAACAGTCGCCCCCTTACCCCTCCCCCACCCGCCTGCCCTCGGGAGCGGGTCGCCTCCACTCCACCACCTGTTTAAGTTCCTCCCCCTCGGCGCCCCTCCAGTCCCCACCCCGGCCCCGGTCCAAAAAACCAGCAAACGGAACTTTTCCACAGTTGAAAGCCGCGGCCCGCGAGGCCGGGCTGGGAGGGGAAAGCGGGGCGTGTCTGGGGGGCGGGGCCCCGAGCACTCCGGAAGTTGCCCCGCCCAGGAGGCTCCTGGGAAAGTGAGGAGAGGGCCCGGGCCTACTTTCGTCCTGGTGTGGCGCCCCTCAGCCTCCCCTCCTCCCAGTTCCCGCGCCTCCGCAGGGCGCCTCGGCCTGGCCTCCAGGCAAAGTTCGCGCCCCCTGTTCCTGGGGTGTCGGCCGCGCGGGCCGTTTCCCTTCATTACTCCCGGGCCCCTGAATCCGAACGCTTTCCCAGAAGCGCGCAAATCCGCTTGCTTTCCCCGCGGCTGGGCTTTGTTCAGGGACAGCAAAGGAGGAGGCGGGAGGCTGGTGAGGTTTTCTGGAAAAGGGGCTTGTCCCGAGGAGGAAGTGCCCCAGATCCCTGAGAGCCAACGCTCTGGGGAGAAGAAACTTTCCTTCTCCCTTGAATGTTGCTCAGATTACCTAAAATTATTTTTTCAGCCCTTGTGTTCTAAAGTCGCAGGGTAAAGGTTATCTTAAGACTTAACATCAGCGCTGCTCATTTGTACGTTGGTGGAGACGTGCCTTTTTTCCTTTGCACTTAAGGTGGACAGGGTCTGCGACGCTCCCTTCCAGGACGGTGTGGGGAAGCGGCCGACGTCCCCAGCCGGACTCACGCCCTCCTACTACTGGGCGTCGGCTCCGCCGCGGGCGCTCCCGACAGGGAGCTGGAGTCGGACGAGCGGCTGCCCCCAGGGCCTCCAGGAACCGCGGCCCAGCGGGGAGCGCCCCAGGCTAGCGCTTTTCCAGTTCCCTTCGAAAGCGCGGGGCTGAGGTCGCGGCGCTGGGCCCTCGGATGAAGCCGTGCTGTAGCTACACCTGAACCCCGCGAAAGGCTGGCGCGGTCGTGTATCCAGGCTGGGTCTGAGGAATCCGCAAGCGGGAGAGCGCTAACTCCTAGGCGTGAGCCGCTGCTGGCTTCGAGAGTTCGAGAACATGAAGGACCTGGCTTCTCCCGCCCGGTCGGCTTAGGGCCAGCGAGGTCACAGGCCGTTCTGCTCTCCCTGTTTGTCCCCAAAGGCCTCGGCACGTGGGGATCTGGAGCAGGCCTCAGGCTGCGACCCGTCTCTTCCCCTACCAAAATTATGTGGGAACAGCGGTCCAGGACCTTCCCCTGTTCAGCGGTATCCCCGGGCCGGTGACCCCGGGGTTCAGTCGTCTCCCCGACCCCAAGCGGCCTCTGCTTTCCACCCCTCGCCCCGGAGGGCGGCTTCGGGGATCTCATGGGGGGTTTGCATGAGTCTGTCCCCAGCCAACTGAGGGAGAACCAAGACATTATTGCCATCTAAAGAAATTGATTGCTGGATGCCCCACTGCCTGGCTGGACATTCCCCCAACTCCTTTCAATTTGAAGCGGGCCGAAGAGCGAGGTCGAGAAGCTGACCAGGTGAGAGCTGAGTAGTTCACGCACAGGAAGAGGGGACAAGTTTTTCTGTTTTCACAGGGGTTCCTCACGCTCAGGCTTCCAGCGTCTGCCTGCACTGACATCATCGTGGTCGCGATGAAAACAGTGAAATAGGAACCCTGACCTCCCCTTCCATGAGAATCCAGCAGAGAATTTGCTGATGTGTTATACATCCGGGACAATCGGAAACTGCCGTTTTGATTGAGTATTAGTTGGGATGAGGAGCACATACCAGGACTCCCAGATCTGGAGTCCTCACTTTCTCAGCAAGGGCACCTGCATCCTGAGCTTTTACATGTACACACACCCAGCGATTGTGTGTGCCGAGAAAGACCCACATACGCACATTGTTTTTTCCTCTTCCACGATTATCTGCCAGAATTCTACTCAGTTAATTGCGGTTTGAGAACACACCATCCACAGGAGAGCACCAATGGATCTAGTCTAGTGAGGTTACATTTACTTGTAATCCTCCCCCTTCCCTTTCCCATTTCTTTGATGATTTTTCCCATAAGTGTGTAAGCTACTGGGACTTAGTAGAAGCAGGCCGCTCCTCCTAAATGTGATTTGGACCATATGCTTTCTACATTCATTCCCGCTTCGGCTTTTCTTCTCTGCACTAACTGCTAACACGTTATAGTCACCTTGAAATTTCCTCTGCTATTTTCCAATTAAAAGCTTAATAGCCCTGGAAACGGAGTTCATGTGGTGAAGTTTACCACAGCCCCTTGTTCTGAAAGGCTTTCTGCTGGGATCCCATTATGTGCTTGAATAAACCCTTTCTGCAAACAGAAATGGGACTCGGGGTTGTCAGGTGTTGGGTTACAATAGACTTTGAGGCAGGGGACATTTTACCAACATAAATACAAACCTGTCCCTATAGGGAGATGTTGTCAAATACTGGGATATGGAAAACATTCCCATCAAATATGAGAAAAGGATTACTGCACTATATCAAATGAGTATTTAGATCTCAGCCCCCGATGTGCACCGGAGTGAAACGGGCCCCCGGGACCAAATGCCAGACTGTTTGAGTGGCAACGAGATAGGGTGGCTAGGTGACCGACGGGGGAAAAGGGGTCGCCTTGGTAGTGAAAGTGCCCCCACAAACCTGGTGCAGAGCTCTTCTGCTTTCCTTTTAAAAATTTATTCATACTCAAGTTCTTTATACTTCCTCGTTTCACTGTTTGAAGAAAATCGGAAGAAATTTGGTTTTGAAAAAAGTCGTTGGTCCCCACGTTTCCAAGAGATCCGGAGGTTTCAGCGCAATAGTTTTCAGTTAAGGTGTCATTTGAGGCCCTCTATATCGCAGCACGTTAAATGACTCGCGTCCAGCTCCCCATTTCCTAGCCTCGGGCCTACAGGGCTGGGGGCGACCTCTGCCTCCCGTCCCCAGAGCTTACAAAATTCCTTCCAGTTGTATTTTAGGGCTTGTTTTCCTAGAGAAGGTTGAGACTAGAGGAAGGATTAAAGTGGTGGGGGAAGGGGCAAGACCGAGGGGTCCCTACCCCACGCGGCTTTGGAGGATGGCCTCCCAGGGTTAGCACTCGAATGCTAGAGCTTCTTGTCCACACTCTACCAGGTCAGTGTCCCGCGATCCCCACCTCCCGGACGCGTATGAAACGGGAACAGCTAAGGGCTTCAAGGGAAACACACAACTGGGGTTCGGTTTTCAACCCTCCTCTCCGCAAATCAGCCTTCTGGGCAGAGGGTTGGCTGCTAGAACGCCTGGAGGTGCTTCCCTTGAATTCATGGCAAACACCAGAGGAAAGTTTTCAGGTTGCTTGCTTACTTCCAGGGCAGTACAGAGAAAAGCGGCCTCCCCGAGGGGACAAGGGCCTCTGTGCCCATGAGGGGTCGGACATTGCAGCGGACTTGCCTACGCTCTCATCTAGCATTTGATTCCCCACCAGGAGATGGGCTTGGTGCACGCTCTCAGAAGCGCATCCACCGAAGGCTCTGGAACTGCCCCGCTTCGCATAGAGCTATTGTGCTGCCCTGCAGTGTATCCACTTGTTTTGTTTGTTTGTTTGTTTTTTGGTTTTTGCTTGTTTGCTGATGGGCAGTGGGGAGGTGCGAGGGTGGAGGGCCTTCTTTGTGCATATATAGCGATAGTCTGCACTAGGCCAAGCCCGCTACTCCTGGGAGAATGGGAACACGCAAATAATCTAAACAAAGTTTTCTGCTGTCATCTTGTGAAGGACCCTCTCCCCCAAGACATCTATGACTGGGGTCTATGGGTTAAGGAGGTGAAAAAGTGGCCCCATCCCATATCCATAACTGAATCACAGAATCCGTGGGGATTTGAACTGAGTGGCTGGCGCAAGACCTCCGTTTGCTTCCAGTAGCTGCTGGGAGCGAGGGAAGAGGATATCGGTAACTTTGGGGGCGCCAATGTGGCTTCTGTGTCTGCCCCTTGAAAGTTTATACCCGGCGCTTAACAAATCCTTTACAGGAGCACGTACGTCCCTGACCTTTCAGGATACTGTTTTATATTAAAACATGGACAGGAGGGTAGAAAAGTAAAATTCGCCTGCAAAATGGCTTGTCATCCTTGGGCCGGCAGATCTCCAAAACCATTTTCTTCTAAAGCAACAAAAGAGAAAAAAATACGTTCTAAAAGGAAATTACGAAAAGAGCCTAACTTTCCTAAACCAACATCACTTCACTCCCCTATCCTAAACTCCACCCAGGTCCGGGGTGCAACCGCAACACTCCCGTAGGTTCGAGTTCTCCCGGAGCTGAGCTTCTGCGGCCAAATGTCGGGATAAAAGCGGCCTTGGGCTCGGAAAAACGCGGCCAGATCTGGACTGGAGGGAGGAGAAGAGAGAGAAGCGGAGCGGCCACCTCACTCGCTTACAGGCACCCCCACCCTCACTCCCGCTGGTCCTCCCCTTCTCCGCCCCGCGAGCACCGCCGCGTTCTGGAGCGCCGCAGTCTCCAGCCGCGGGCTGGGGTAGCGGAGAGGGCTTGGAGGAGGGGGCCGCGAGCGCCCCCGCGAGAGTGGCCTGGCTGCAGGTGGCAAGGAAGGTGAAGTGCAGGCACCCGAGGGGCGCAAAGGAGGAGGAAGGCGTGGGGCGGGGAGTGCAAGGAGACAGGGACCCCAGGGGCGGGGGTGGCGGTGGGAAGGAGGAGGGGTTGGGGGAGGGCGGCGGAGGTGTTGGGTCCGGCCGGCTCACGAGGGAGCTGCAGAAGAGCTGGCTCAGACCTTAATCAGAGCTGTCGCCGGCTCCTTGCAGCCGCCGCAGCGCCTCCGCGAAGGAGGACGTGCCGACCCGGCTGCGCGCCCAAGGCAGAGGCCCGCGTCGGCGTTGGCTGGGCGTGAGCTGGGAGGCCGAGCTGTGAGCGCGAAGGGAGCTGGAGAGACGACTGCGGCACCTCCGGCCGCCCCGGAGCACACACGACCACCGGGGCTGCGGGACCAAGGGCCGCGTCGCCCGGAGGCCGCCCCTGAGCGGGCCTCGCAGCCCCGCCGTCCAGCGCTCCCTGGCCCTCTCCCGCAGCCAGGCTGCCAACTCATTCGGGAGCCCGGGGCATGAACGGCTACGGCTCCCCCTACCTGTACATGGGCGGCCCGGTGTCGCAGCCGCCACGGGCGCCCCTGCAGCGCACGCCCAAGTGCGCGCGCTGCCGCAACCATGGCGTCCTGTCCTGGCTCAAGGGCCACAAGCGTTACTGCCGCTTCAAGGACTGCACCTGCGAGAAGTGCATCCTCATCATCGAGCGGCAGCGGGTCATGGCTGCGCAGGTGGCGCTGCGCCGGCAGCAGGCCAACGAGAGCTTGGAGAGCCTCATCCCCGACTCGCTGCGCGCTCTGCCAGGGCCCCCGCCGCCGGGGGACGCCGTCGCCGCCCCGCAGCCGCCGCCAGCCTCTCAGCCGTCGCAGCCGCAGCCGCCGCGCCCTGCTGCCGAGTTGGCCGCGGCCGCCGCGCTGCGTTGGACTGCCGAGCCGCAGCCCGGGGCTCTGCAGGCGCAGCTCGCCAAGCCAGGTAAGAGCGTCTGAGGTGCGGGAGTTTGGCCGGGCGCGGGGGCAACTTCGGAGTGCCAGCTGCAGCTCCACTTGGGAGGACTGGAGGCAAAGTTTTGGGACGTGGGCCTGTCGGGGCTTTCCTTCCTACTCTCCGCCAGGCCGGGGCTTCCTCTCCCGGGAGAAGCCGGCTGAGTCTGGACCCAGCGCGAGTGGCACTCGCGCCCGCAGGGAAGGCGCCTCCGGGCAGCCAAACGACGGGACTGTGCGTCAGTATCGCCAGGTGCCTTCCCAGGTTGAAGGGTTCGGAACGTGTCAGATTGAGCAGGGAGACAACGGAGTTGAGACAGGACAAAATTAAAACCCACGTGCGCACACTCACTACGGTGGGGTCGGATTTTCCTGGCTGCAGGCTTTAGAGGTCCTTGCCATTTGGGGGTTGGAATGGGTAGGTAGGTGTAGGGAAGGAGCCAAGGCCAACACTCGGCTGAGTCGAGCTGGCTGTGCTTCTCGGCCGGCCCGGCCCTGCCCAGGGCCCAGGAAAATTTGAGTGAGGACAAGTATCCAACTCTCAGAACCCTGGCCTTTCTAGCTTTGCTCCGTGGCCTCCAGACTCTTGTAACTGGTGAAATAAGTTCCATTTAGCAATGATAGTAAAAGGGTCCGGAAAGGCTTGTGAGCTGATAGCGGGAAAAGAATCTGATGCGCCCAGAATTCACTCCTTTGCAGAACCTCCTAGATCCTTTAACACTGTTCCCCAGGCTGCCCTCAGCTGTCTTCGTGGTTTAAAGGAATACAAAAAATCTGATCCCCCACCACCCATCCGTTTCCATCCAGGCCTCCTGAGCTTGGCAGGCCTGAGTTGAGTCTCTTAGTCTCTCTCTTCCTGGGGAATTTCTAGCTTGCGGTTCTGCCCAGCTCAAGAGCTCTTTTGATGGCTCTTGGAATTCAGTGGATATGTGTTTGGTGTTTCTCCTTAACTGGGGCAAATGTGCAAAGGAACACAGCCCACCTTCTCCCGGAAGGGGGCATGCTGGAATTAGGAGTGGGAAGGTCCAGAGCCCTCCTGTAAGTAGAACTGTGGCAAAACTGGTACCTACACTGACCTGCCAACTCCCTAAAGACGGTACCCCTAGCTTCGGAGAAAGGCTTTCAGGAGCCCAGGACTGCTTTGTCTGGATCCTGTGGAGCTGAGGAAGTGAGGCGGACTCACCTGTTTCATGGTGAGTCAACGGGTGACTGGCAGGTGGAGTTCTGCTGCCCTGTCTTTCCGCCATGCTTTCCAGGCCTGAAGCTCTGAGAACAGCCTGTGTGACAGTAGAGCTGGGAATTTTAAAGCCTGAAGAGAGTTTGCCGAACTTGGATTTTGTGGATATTTAATCCAAGTTAGCATATAAACGTTTCTCAGAAATGATCGCCAGTTGTCTCTCTTTTGTCTGTCTCATCTTTTTATATTTATGGATTTGTCACAGACGAAGAGGAGGGAGGAGAAAAAGGTTTTATTATTTTTCTCCCATAGGTTTGAACAAATAACAAGGAAGAGTTTGGTCTCAGCTCTAGAATTGGATTTGTACCAATATATTTTCTTAATTTTTTTCCATTTCCAGCTTCTCTGGTTCCGTTTCCCCCAGGACTAGGGCAGAGGCCTGAGTTAACATCAGAGGTTAACTCAGCAGCACTCCTGTGATCGGGCATTGGGTTCTGTGGTTTTTATCCAAGGAGATGCCTTTCACATCCTGTGTTCTTCAGAGTATTCTTTGGGATAGCTAAAGTTCATGATTTCTAAAGAGTCACAAAACTAAAAACACAACCCCAGGAGGAGGAGGAGTGAGGGCAGGCAGGAAGGCAGAGTAGGCAGCGGCAGCAGGATACGTGCTTTGGGAGAATAGAAAAAGGAAACGGATCTCAACTGGACAAAGCAGAGCTGTGCTGTTTTACTCCTACTTAGCACTCAGGGATAGCCTGAGCCTTCCGAATTGAAAACAAGTAATTGCAAAGGAGAATAGGATTTATCACAAGGCGAGGTCCAAGTGAGGACTTTGGGGGACCGAGGCATCAGGGACCAAGGGCTCAGTTTCCAGCTGGTCACCCCCACCCCCCCATACCTTGTACATTGATGTACACAACTTTTGTTTTCTTCTTTCACTTGCTGTGACCCCATAATTCCCATTTTTTTAAAAAAAAGCAAATCACCACTCTGATGGGGAGTGGGGAGAAAGGTAGGAAAATAATAGATGATTGTTTAGGAAGACAGGCATACAAGTGGATCCATTCTACACAGTGCTTGTAGAAATAAAGTCTATTTGGGGTTTAAGCTGAAGAAAACTGCTCACTGAGACTGCCTGTTGCTATAGGTATTATACCCTTTTTGCAGTTGTTCTAATAATGTATTTGTGTATAACATTCCATATGTATTTAGAAGCATATCAGAACTACTCCTGAATAAGTGCAGAGAGTAAGCAAAACTAAGTGCAGAGAGTAAGCAGAACTCTATTGGAATGGTAGTTCCACATGTACATTAAGTATACAGACCATCAGAAATCTTTCAATATCTGCTGGCAATGTAGATCTATTACTTTGTGAACTTTGACTTTGAAATGTGGTTAGTCTTTTTGCGGGGCAAAGGACCTCTTTAATACATAAGCTGTGAAGAGAGATTTTTTTTTCTTGTAAACAGAAGCACATGGAGTCTTTCCTCTCCAGAAATCTTTGAGAAAAGCACATGCCTTAAGGAAGAGTATGTTTGCTGTGAATCACTGGAGGAAAACCACCCCGTTGAGGGAGTGACATATTCACATCAAAACTCAGTTTTGTAACTGGAAGAATTTTTTCTCAAATTCTGCTTTAGATTCTTTAAAGGAATGGGGTTATTTTATCTAATGGTGTAGTATGTTGAATATCCCTTTCAATGTGTGGTGTTTTTAAGGAGAATTTTCATATTCTAGTGGTTTTTACTTCTAGTTATGAAGTATTCTTTTTTCTTTTTGAATGTAGATTTCTCCTTCTCTTTGATTACCATCTACGATGGACCTGGAATTAATTATTAGATTTTGATTGAGCTGAACATTTTGATTTAAGCTATGTATAGATATATTAAGCTATATATATCTATTAAAAGCTATATATATAGCTTAAATTTAAATTCTAATTTAAGCTATATATGTGTGTGTATATATATATGTATATATACATACACTATTTAATTCATTTATTCTTCTCCTAAATTCCCTCTATGTTCTTCTCATACTCCTTCTCCCCATGAAAATACAGGAGGCATGAAGATCTTCCAACTGTTAGTGTATCTGAATCAGCAGTTTTAATCAGCCTAGCCAGCCTTTCAGGACGTGGGCTCAAGAGCTGAGGGAAGTTAAGGGTCACTGCCAAGGTGAAAAGCTAAAGTTACATTCTTGTGTTGTGGCTCCCTTCCCTACCCCCAACTTTTCCTCCAGGGGAGTGTCCTCGGACACCTTAGACTGTGGTGCGATGAGAAGAAAGATCTGTGGCTGTAGACTCTTCCTAGGTCTCCATCTGCCATCAAAATGAATATGTACACACATTCTTTTAAATGCTTTTAAAAGGAAAAAGAAATCGAAAACATGGTTAGGAATAAGAGAGAAGGATCAAATGGGAAAGTAGGATCTTCTTTCCTGTTTATTTCTTAGGGGGTGGGGGCGGAGCAAACAAGATAACTATAGGGGGAGAAGTTAGGAGATTTTGGAAAACTGCCTTTATTTTATTTTTTCCTCTTGCCCTGCGCCTCCTAGCATCTTTATGCTTGCCTCTGGGCTTTTCTGCTCCGGCTTGACTGGGTCCCGCAAAGTCCACTTCCTTTTTTTTTAATTTTTTTTTCCCCCAAAGAGAAGCACCTGCAAGTGTAATGGGTGTTACGGAACACTCGTCCAGGCCAGGATGAGAAACCCTCTGACTGTTGGCTAGGAAGAAAAGAAAAGCGGGAAATACTTAAAAACCATTTATGAAGTGTACCTGTGAATTGAAAAACAGGGTCTCATTTTAAGACAGCTTGATTTGAGGGTGAGGGGCTTGACTCAGTTGCATTTTAAAAAACAAAACCCAACCAAATAAAAAGGAATACGCATACAGGCACTAAGGTCTCTTCCAAACCCCACCCCAGGGCTGGCTCTTGGGGCTGGGATGCTGCTGGGGACCGGTCTTCCCAGCTCTTGGCCTGGCCGGTTTGCACGCAGTGCAGTTGCTGTGTGTGTGTTGCGGAGGGTTGCGGCAGCTGGCCCAGGACTGGGACCCTGGCCACAGCGGGTTCAAAGTAGGGGCAAAGATAGGGGGCAGCGGCTCCTTGCGGCCGCAATGGACTGCCGTCTCCTTGCACCAGGGGGTCGGAGCTGCAGCTGAGCCCAGCTTCTCGCCGCCTGCTGGGGACGGCTCTTTCCTTGGTCACTGTCAGGAAGCAGCTCACTAGGCAGCTCAGGAACCGCCCAGAGACAGCCACATCCCTTGCCTTTCCCTTGCCCAGCTCTTGGGCCACCACTCCCTCTCTGCTCTTCCTGAGCTTCACTACCCTCTCCTTCCCAAGGCAGGAGTCCCGAGGTGAGTTGACACCTTCTGCAAAAATCATGCAAACAAAAAATAGGATGCCAATATTGCATGGGACATACTTTCTCTAGAAAGCCTTCTTTGTTTATTTGATGGTCCCACTTAACTGGACATCCTGTTATTTTATCTGGCAACCATAGGCCTAGGCCTTCCTCACCCAGCCCCAGTACCCACGCAGGGCACCCCTTGGCGGTGGGGTCGCCTGTGCTCATCTCCTAGTTCTTTCTCTGCAGAGCCCGAGCTGCCTGGGACTGGCGTCAGGGAGGTGCTGGGGTCCATCCTGTGGATCTGGGACGGTTTGGCAGGAAAAACGAGAGTGTGTTCCACGTCTAGGAACCAGAGTTCTACTGCCATCTGGGAAAGAACCTCTCTCCACCTCCAAATCACTCCTTGGTGTTATAAATCTGGAGGATAGCCGTGCTCTCGACTTACACAACCAACTTTTCTTTTTCCCTGATGGATGAACTCCCGGGTTTAAAAGATTACAGTAATCACAGGAGGACAGTGTGAATCGAATCTGATAGCAATAACTTTCGGAGAAGGTCAGGCTCAAGTGAAATGTTACCAAGCAACAGGCATTTTGTTTGCAAAATACAATCAAAGAGCATTGATGAGAAATTCTTTGCTGCAGCCAGTCAGCACTTTCTGCTAACAGCTTTACAGAGAGAAAAGGAATAAATCTTCATAAATCAAAGTCCCTGGAGGACTCGGAGCCCTTTTCTGGAAATGTTGCACTTCTTCCTGACGGGAAGGAGGACTAAGCCCAGCAAAAAACCATGGGCCTGCCTGCCCTGCCTGCCCGCCTCCTCTTTCTTTCTCTTCCTTTCTTCCTCGCCTCTTGCTTTTTTCCTTTCTTCCCGCCTTTAAACCTGTTGCAGCCCCTTAGCCATTAGCTGCTCAGGTCCTTGGACCTCCTTGTCTAGTCCTGTGTGGCTCTGATGGCTTGTGCACGGGTGCTCATGGCAGAGGTGGAGGATGCAGTGATAGGACAGCTGGTCCTCACAGGTCCACCGCCTTGTGATTGTGTCAGTTACGTCCCACATCGCCTTAGTGAGTCATCCTCTTGCCTGAGCAATGCATACTACTGTTCTCAGAAGGGAAACTAAAATAACTAGGTATGGGGTTTTTTTGCATTTTATTGCATAAACAGCTATAAAAGGCACAATCAAGTACCAAGTAACAATAATAATAATGAAAAACTTAAGAGTCGGCACATCAATTCTTTACAAAATCTCCAATCTCTTGATTACAACAACTAGGCAGACATAAATTTTACAGAGCTGGGATTAGTGTTCCACGTTTTTCCCACTGATTATTACTTTGTTTAGTTCAGTATATATCTCTAGCACCCATAATCTTTATATGTAAGCATTTAAAACAATATTTCCTCCTGTGAAGACACCATGGTCTGCCCAGCTGCTATCCTTGGAATTATTTGCTGTATTTCACTGTGAAATATAACCAACTGCAGCTTACTTGGAATTTTGCAAAAGATTAGTTAGTAAACTGTATGCCTCTCAGTGGTCAAGAGGCAATGCTTTGATCATCTCTGTATGATCTTACCCAGCACAGTACATGAGAGCATAGTAAGGCATTTAGGGGCATTTGTTAAATAGATGGATGAGTTAGACAGGTGCATTTTGGAAGGTACCAAATAAACATGTAGATTTGTAGGTAATTTCCCCTCTGCTTCTTGGAAGGTATTCCCTTCTGAGTCAAGAAAGAGATCAAAACTAATTTTTTACAAAATATGTGAGGTCCACAGTTGCAAACCATACTTCCTTCAGCCCAGTCCTGTCTATAGCAATATTCCCCCAAAATATAGTGTCAAGGAACCACTCTGATTCCTTCATACGTTATTAATTCAGTGTTGTTAATGATTTTTTAAAAAGTAAAGCATGGCTAGTTTTTTTTTTTTTTTTAACTTTTCACAACCCTCCCCAACCCGGCAATCCACCCCAGGAAGAAAAGGAAAGTTTTTAGATCGAGATCATTCCCTGGTGTTCTTTAGATTTTCAACTATTCATTTTTTTAAAATAATTCATCACTTCTAGTGTGAGATGAAGGTAAGAGAAAATGTGAAGCGTTTGTCTACGATTAGAATTCTGATTAGGCAATGGTCTCCTGTAAAAGTCTCATCCTGCCTGGGCTCCCTCCCTTGCCATTGTTGTAAGATTTATGTGCTTTGAAAACTACCCATCAAGGACCTGTTATTTACAGGTGTGTTCCCCACAGCTCAAGTGAACAGATGAGGATATGACAATCTATGTTTCAAAATGCGTGACATGATTTCAAAAGGGATGGGGGAGTCCAGTGACTTTTGAGCTAGGAAATATTCCTCTCTGCTCGAGTTTTTCTGTGTTTTCATTCTGTATGTAAGAACTATTTTGTTTTCGTAGATATAATTGGATAGAATGGATATAACCTATGACATCTAAGTCAGAAAGATTTTTCACATTTTTTTTTTTTTATTTAGACAGTCTAATTCTGTCGCCGCAGCTGGAGTGCAGTGGTGAGATCTGCAGCTCACTGCAAGCTCTGCCTCCCGGGTTCACGCCATTCTCCTGCCTCAGCCTCCTGAGTAGCTGGGACTACAGGCACCTGCCACCATGCTCGGCTATTTTTTTTTGTATTTTTAGTAGAGATGAGGTTTCACCATGTTAGCCAGATGGTCTTGATCTCCTGACCTCGTGATCCACCTGCCTCGGCCTCCCAAAGTGCTGGGATTACAGGTGTGAGCCACCGCGCCCAGCCAGATTTTTCACTTTTATGCATCGTGAGCAGAATGTTTGTTTCTCATATGTGGTAGACTTTCTCAAAGTATTTGAAATAATACATTTTTTTTTTACTAAATTGCATTTTTATGTGAAAAACTCCCCTAAAGAAAGTTACATTTTCAAACTGTAATTTTAGATTGAAAGCACTTTTGTGAGTGTTTATTTTCTCTCTTTAAAGTCTTGTAGCAAAAAAAGAAAAAAAAGTATTGTAGTCATCTTATGGCATATATATTTTGAAGTCGGTAGCATTGTTATCTGTAGAAAAACTTTTCTTTTTAATTGAATATCTACTTCTTTTAAAAACCTCTTTACCCTAGTGCACAGTTTATTTCAGGGATAGCTATAAGTGTTTCTACCCCATGAAATATGAAATGGAAGAGAGAATATTAAGATTTTAAAAATATGTACATGTTTAGCAATAGAAACAGCATATTGTATCACTTTCAGTAATATTTGTCATATTCGATAAAATTGATTTCTTCCCTGTTTAATAGCTTTGACTTTCTATACCCATCTACCGGGGTAAAAATATTATCAGTTGATATACACTCTTAATGTTCTAGGAATTAGGGTTTCAGTTTCAAGAAGAAAGAAGGTAAAATGTTTCAGGAGTATTTCCTATTTTATTTTGTTAGTTGGCAGTTTCACATTTCTATGTCTAGAAAGGCCTTTATGTTTTAAACCAACTAGAATGATTTGTAAAGTTTATTTAAGAACAAATCTGGAGATGTAAAGAAGTACCTGTTATTAAATTACACTTTATCACTGGGCTCAAAACTCACCCTCTATAATTACCTGTGAAAGTCTGTATTTATAATAGAATAATTTACAATATATTTAGTTTAGGTGCAATAATACAACCAGTACTAGACACCATAGCGCCACAAAATTGCAGGAACTATATATCCTGCCCTTCAGAAATTATTGTTTGGTGAGGAGTTATTCTTGGTGCAAAGTTAGAGGCTAGTCTTCCTTTGCCTAGTTTTGAAACTCCAACAGCCTTACATGTTGATGGGGATTTGGCTCACCCAGCACTACTTAGCAGGACCTTGTGTGCGGCTCAGGTGCATAAGCCTCACAGGTGTGCTCTGCTTGTTCTTTCATCATCTTTGTCTTTCCTTTGAACACAGTGTAAGCAGTGCTGAGCTCAGCTGGTTGGTTGGTTTACGCTGAATTTGTAGATTTGATTCCTGTGACATTGTGTTAGCTTTTCTCATATTTTGGCTATAGCCAGACGGCACAGAGACCTGCGGAGAGAGCATGGAGGATTCGGTGTAATCTATCACCACTCCTTGACAAGTAACCAGAAGTGCATGATGCACTAGCATGTCCCAGTAGCAGGGGCAAAGGGTAACACAACAAAATGAGAAAGTGACTTTCACAGTCTGAGAGTTCACAATTGCTGAACAAGCTGGCACTGACATAAGATTCCACTACCGTCTGTTCCGCAGAACTTAGGAAAATAGGTACAAGAGTGGAATTTTATATTGTCAGACTTGTAATCCTGGTATCAAGTATTCAGTTGATTGGGACAGTATATCTGTTGCTACCTTGAAAAAAAAAAGCCTCCATTTTTGTAATGGTAGAGTCATTATGTTAGTGAGAACCTCATTCCCTAATTCCCCTTTCAGTTAGCCTTCTGCTGTTTGATCCACTTTTTTTCTGGAGACTGAAGTGTACTGTGGAAGAGTCAATTTGGTTGACAGACCTGAGAAAACACTTCCTAATATGTTTTCAGTGTTTGAAACTTATCTAAAGTGGGGGCAGGGGATGTACCTTTTAAAACACAAAGCTATTTGGTTCATATATTTCTTTTAAAAATAGTTGAGCTGGCCGGGCGTGGTGGCTGACTCCTGTAATCCCAGCACTTTGGGAGGCTGAGGCGGGTGGATCATGAGGTCAGGAGTTCGAGAGGAGCCTGGCCAACATAGTGAAACCCTGTCTCTACTACAAATACAAAAATTAGCTGGGTGTGGTGGCACACACCTGTAGTCCCAGCTATTCGGGAGGCTGACGCGGGAGAATCACTTGAACCCAGGAGGCAGAGTTTCCAGTGAGCCGAGACCATGCCACTGCACTCCAGCCTGGGTGACAGAGTGAGACTCTGTCTCAAAAAAAAAAAAAAAGTTGAGCTTTGAGCTTTCCAGCTGTGCCTATGTACGCTTTATTCCCAAGAAGGACTAGTTGTTTCTCTTGCTTAAAAAAATCTCTTCATTCTCTATATTACTATGACACTGTGTGGCATATATTTTTCTTTTTTTATTGTGGTAAAGTATATATAACATAAAGTTTACAATTTTAACCATTTTTAGGGGCACAATTCAGTGGCATTTATTCAAAATGTTGTGCAACCATCACCACCATCCATCTTCAGAACCTTTTCATCATTCCAGACGGAAACTCCATACCCATGAAACAATAACTCCCCATTCCCTTTTCCTCCAGCCCCTGACAACCACCACACTACTTTCTCTCTGAATTTCCCTATTCTTGGTATCGAATATAAGTAGAGTCATACAGTATTTGTCCTTTTGTGTCTGGCTTATTTCACTTAGCCTAATGTTCTCAAGGTTCATCCATGTTATAGCATGTATTGGAATTCCATTCCTTTTTAAGGCTGAATAATATCCCACTGTGTGTGTGTGTGTGTGTGTGTGTGTGTGTGTGTGTGTGTGTGTACACCACGTTTTATACATTCATGCACTGATGGACATTTGGGTTGCTTTCACCTTTTGGCTATTGTGAATGCTGCTGCCATGAACATTGGTATACAATGTGTGTCATATTTGAGGCTTAGCAAATGCTGCCAGGCCCTGTTTGCTTCTTCTCCTGCATGTGTGTCTTATTTCCCCAGCTAGAAGATAAGGTCCATAAGCTAGGTGTGGGTCTTACACTTCTTGGTGTTTTTCATCCTTTATTCTGTTTCTCCCAGTATCGTGCAGAAATATAAATACTTGGTGCTGATAATTACGCTAAAATTAAAAAATAAGGAAACTGTTTAGAAGTACATAGTATTTTAAAGAAGTACTTTATGTCCATATTTACATGGGGAGAGTATTTGACTTGTTTTTCCAATTTCTAAAAGTGATAGTATATTAATATGCTATCACTTTTCAAGTGTTTAATAATTTTCAAATGTTTAATAATAGAGTAACAGCCAAGAAGTATGTATGGGTCATGAGTCAGGAACATTTAAATAGATCTAGCTGATTATAAAGTAAATCTATAGAAGCCTTTTTGTTGCTGTTTTTCTCTTTTGAATCAAGGACATGAGTTCAAATACCACATTAACTCAAGAGGTAAAAGCTGTGTCCCCCATCCTAAGAAGTTGTAGGAGAGAATATGTCAAATTTCTCTTACAAAAATAGAGTCATTCTACAGTAGAGTCTTTCTATAGAGTCATTATATAAAGTGAAGATGGCTTCATATGTATGTGACGCAAATGAACCTCTCATTGGAAACCTTATATTTTATATTAAAAAAGAAGCAGTTTAATTAAAATGCAAATTTGGGATAAGTATGAATTCCTATCAGATGTATGTTGACACTTGCACTGAGGTAATTGAAGAGTGTTTTAAAGTGTATTTACTTATGTTTGCCACATATTTATTGCTTTGTTAAAGGCCAAAGTTTTGGTTTTTGGTTACATCTGAGATACATCCTGTATTAGAAGAATGTTTCTAAGTAGGCCTTTAAGGCTTTTAAAATAAATAACAAGTGTAGGAGAAGATGGTTTCTAGAAGGTGCTTTGATGAAATTTCACAAAGTTTTGTTTTTTGGTTACACTTAAGATACACCTGTATTAGAAGAATGTTCATAAGTAGGCCCTTAAGGCTTTTAAAATGACAAGTGTAGGAGAAGATTGTTTCTAGAGGGTGCTTTGATGAAATTTCACCGGCTGGCTATCTGTATATAATCAGGTGTGCCCACAGAGAAGGCAACAATGAAGCTATTCAGGCAGGGCAGCAGAAAACACAGGCAAAGCAATTGTTTACAACTCAACAACTGGGTCATTAGGAATTTTCATCTTTCGATCAGCTACCCTGGCTTTGAGTAGCCACAGCCAGCGCGTGTTTCAAAAAAGGACAAAACTCTATTTGCAAATAGCTTGCTACTAAAAAATATGTTTCTTTATTATAAAGTCCTGTTGGAATTTACTACTGCAAAGCAAACCACTCTGACTTACTCTTTTCTGTGTGCTTAGCCCTGCAATATTACCAGCTGTTAAGTAAAAATGTTCTTAGGTCAAGATGTTAAATTTGCAACTGGTTTACTTTATCGCAAGTCTCTGCTTTATTTGGGAAGCCTTTTTTTCCCTCCTTCTTCTTTTCATATAATATAAAAAGGTATCTTCAAATTTCACTGGCTTTAAAAAAAGGTATCTTCAAGTCCTTTCCATGAACTGTACCAGCAAAACAGTTCATGCACAGGTATCTGCCTCGTGCCACCCGTGGCGGTGGAGTGTGATGCGTTGTTTCATTGATGGATAATAATGCCCCCGTGCAATTTAACAAACCCTTTCTAGCCACTTCCTTTTTTCCTCTCCAGCAACTTATCCTGCCATCCGGAATTCATAGCTGGTTTCGTTTGCTTTCTAGTACAAGTTATTGGCAACCAAGTTTGCCAATGCCTCAAGTGGCTTCTTATGAAAGATTTCAATGGATAGAGGTATCTTTCACTTCAGCAATTGAATTAGCTAGCTATTGTATATGGTAACCTGATGCAACTTACTGATTGGTTCATAAGACATATTTAACACAAAATCAGCCTATGGGAAAATAGATTTCAGATATTAAAATTCCCTGTGGGTATCTGGATGGTACTATCCCTAGATAACAGCTGGGGACCTTATTTGCAGAAGAGGAGCCGGAAGACAAGCTGAGCTGATTTTCCTGTTTCTCCCTGAGCTTTGCTCTTCCAGGAGTCCCCCACCCCTCCTCCCAAAGAGGCTCTCTATTGAGATTGTTACTGCTATGAAAGCCATATGTTACAGGTTCATGTAGCCATTCTATGTTGAAGGCAAGCTTCCTTGCACAAAGCATTCCAGGAAGCCACTCTGATTTCTAGATCTTTATTTACAGGGTTTTTGTTTCATTTGCCAGTGATATAGTTCGAATTTTTTTAAAAAGGCTTGTAGTATATTATGACCCATTGAGATGCATTTGCTCTTCCAAAAAGCACGTGTACAGGTCTCTTCTGAGCACATCTGCTCCTCTTTATGCACACCAGGAAAAGATTAACTCAGCTGTTCTGTTTTCCAGATTTGACTGAAGAACGACTTGGAGACGGCAAGTCGGCAGACAATACAGAGGTCTTCAGTGACAAAGACACTGACCAGAGGAGTTCCCCAGATGTGGCAAAGAGTAAGGGCTGCTTCACCCCTGAGAGCCCTGAGATAGTGTCCGTGGAGGAAGGGGGATACGCTGTCCAGAAAAACGGAGGCAACCCCGAGAGCCGCCCTGACAGCCCCAAGTGTCACGCGGAGCAGAATCACCTCCTGATTGAGGGCCCCTCGGGGACTGTTTCTCTGCCCTTCAGCTTGAAAGCCAACAGACCGCCGCTTGAAGTGTTAAAAAAGATATTCCCCAACCAGAAGCCAACGGTGCTTGAGCTCATCCTCAAGGGCTGTGGCGGGGACCTGGTGAGCGCCGTGGAAGTCCTTCTGTCCAGCCGATCCTCAGTCACGGGAGCAGAGCGAACTTCCGCAGAACCTGAGAGTCTAGCGTTGCCCTCCAATGGGCACATCTTTGAACACACCTTGAGCTCCTACCCCATCTCGTCTTCCAAATGGTCTGTGGGATCAGCCTTTCGAGTCCCAGACACGTTGAGGTTTTCTGCCGACTCTAGCAACGTTGTCCCCAGTCCCTTGGCTGGGCCTCTGCAGCCCCCTTTCCCCCAGCCACCCCGGTACCCGCTGATGCTGAGGAATACTTTGGCGAGAAGCCAGTCGAGCCCCTTTTTGCCCAATGATGTCACCCTGTGGAACACCATGACGCTGCAGCAGCAGTATCAGCTGAGGTCCCAGTATGTCAGTCCTTTCCCCAGTAACTCTACCAGCGTCTTCAGAAGCTCGCCCGTCCTTCCTGCCCGCGCCACGGAAGACCCTCGGATTTCCATCCCTGATGATGGGTGTCCATTTGTGTCAAAGCAGTCCATTTACACCGAGGACGACTATGACGAGAGGTCTGACTCCTCAGACTCTAGAACACTCAACACATCATCTTAAAGTGGTGCTGGATGGGTGGTGGCCAGGTGACATTTTCTGTGCGTTTTGACCCTGAGGCATCTGAGGAGAGGCCACATCTTGTGTATGCCCTTTCCTTCTGTTTGACAAAGTGACTGTGCTTGATTCTATACATTAGCAATAAAAACATAACTTATTTAACTTCTTGCACTTCACTGGAAAATGCCAAATAGCTCTGTTCTGTGGCTTTAGTGCTGAATGTTTATTGTAAAAGAGAGTCTAATGTTAAGAATAGTCTTGGGAAGGCTGGGTCCGTGGAAGATTTATTTGGGGATGTAAAGCTGAAGGTCAGCCTTGCACCTAAACCCAACCTGGAATGTTAAATGAAATAATATACTTGAATGCAATTTTGTAAAAGTGGATTCCTCAGGATATGTGAAACCTAAAGGAAGTGGTTCTGTTGCAAATGGACTATAAACAGGGACATTATATTCTTACACTAAAAATCCTTGCATTTTAAAGAGAGATGCACTTAAGAATAGAGTGAACTGCTCATATGCTTATTTAAGCTTGGACAGTTTTCAGAGACAAACCCCATTAAGAATTACTCTTTTCACATGGCTGAATCGAAACATGTGTAATGTCAATGTAAAACCAATCACAGCTGTGAACTGCATGAAATGTATTGTGAAACGAACACAAGATTAAGCTTTGTCAGGTTAATGTAGCATGTTAAGGACTCTAGAAAAAAATAAACTAAGGAGACGAGCGTGGTTTATGTCATTTCTACTTGTGGAAAGAGGATCTCTAAAAATAGAAACTTGATGTAAAAATGACTTTTACTAACGCATGGGCCAGGAATCAAATTATCAGTTAAATGAGACATTCCTGAGAAATATGAATGGCAAAGTTTTAGGGTTGCATTCAGAAAGATAATTTGTTCAAAATGGAGTTAATTCTCTCCATCCATTCACTTATTCAACAGATACTTACTGAGTGCCTACTATGTGTAAGAGAATGTGCTTTCCATGTATTGTCCAAGTTACCTACCCGTGAGTCCTAGATAAGCAGATATTTTAGTGGAGAATCCCATTGAAAACAAAGTAAAAATGGAAAACTCCCAACAATGTATAGTTGAGTGTGGGAAGCAAGGAAAGTGCTTAGCCCAGTACCTGACATAGGAAGTATGCAGTCCATGAAAACTACTGCTTCTATTAATGAAATTCAGTAGCCTTGCATTCAGAATATAGACGTGCATTCCTTCATTCTTACTTGGAGACCATGCCATTCTGGTTTGAGGCAAAACATTGAAAACCAGGGCTTTTTTCTTTCGTTTTAAAAACATTCTTGAGGTGCTGTATATGACAAACTTCTTGCTCAGATTTTTTTTTTTAGAGAGAAGTTTCAAACAGTAACATTCAGTGGTGCTCACACCAACCACTTCTCTGACTTACTGTTTCCATTTTTCAAAGTGCTTGAAAGGTAAGATGACTGCTTAGGTCAGACAATAAACTTACAAATGTGGAAGGGAAAGTAAATAAGCAAATAAATAAAAGCCTCTACATGACAAGGATGCAGAGAGAGCTCCCAGTGCAGGAATAAGTCTTAAAAGGTTCTTCGGTCCTCGGAGGGAGAAGGGCAAGTTCTCTCAGCCTGAGATGCTCCCCACCCTTGAATGGGTTCCCAAGAGAAGGGAGATATGTAAAAGAGCCTTCTCATTTTTAATTCCACTGGGCACTTTTGACATGAAAAACCTTTGAGGAGAAAAAATCCCCTGTATTAGTTGGACTACTATGTATTTAATTGACATAGTTACATACTAGAGTGTTTAAATACGGGCCAGGCATGGTGGCTCATGCTTATAATCCCAGCACTTTGGGAGGCCGAGGCAGGCAGATCGCTTGAACTCATGAGTTTGAGACCAGCTTTTGTATTTTTGTCTCTACAAAAAATACAAAAATTAGCCAGGTGTGGTGGCATGTACCTGTAGTCCCAGCTACTTGGGAGGCTGAGGTGGGAGGATGGCTTGAGCTGGGGAAGCAAAAGTTGCAGTGGACAGAGATTGTACCACTGTACTCTAGCCTGGGCCATAGAGCCAGACCTTGTCTCAAAAAAAAAAAAAAAAAAAGGGAAATATGGCTTCTTGTTAGGGTTATATTTAAACATTAATGTTTATATAAGGAAGAAAGGGAGTAGAAGGGAGAGCAGTTTGCCCCCTGATTCTAAAGACATGTCCAGGACATTTTATGTGGCAATGAAGTGCTGATGTCTGGACCTATCTAGGACAAATGTATTTTAAAGGCATCTTCATTGCAAAAGTTTACCCACATTTAACAAGCAATAATGATAATGTACCACAGCACCTAAGCCAAGATGCTAAAAAGCCTGTCCTCAGATATTACATCTTCAGGTTGAACCACCCAAATTGAACAAAACCTCACTGATAACGGCATCCTTACAGCTTGATTTTGCCTATAAATAATTATCATTGGCCTCTCTATGATGGCCAGCAAAATGGAATTATCTGTAAAGCAATTTATTTGTGGGCTAGTGCAGGTATGTTTGATCCTCAATATAATCTGAAAAAAGAGGCTTGGTGTGGTGGCTCATGCCTGTAATCCCAGCATTTTGGGAGGCCGAGGTAGGTGGATCACCTGAGATCAGGAGTTTGAGACCAGCTTGGCCAACATGGTGAAACCCCGTCTCTACTAAAAGTACAAAAATTAGCCAGGCATGGTGGAGGGTGCCTGTAGGCCCAGCTACTCAGGAGGCTGAGGCAGGAAAATCGCTTGAATCCGGGAGGTGGAGGTTGCAGTGAGCCGAGGTTGCGCCACTGCACTCCAGTCTGGGCAACAGAATGAGACTTCTTCTAAAAAAAAAAAAAAAAAAAAAAAAAAATTCTGAAGAAAGAAATGTTTGCTTCAGTGGGGTAAGTGTGGTCAGGGGTCAGAAATGAGAAACTGGGTGTTAAGATCCTCTGTCCTCCCAGCATTCAGTTTTACTCCGAGTCCCAATTTATGAGCCCCCTCTGGTTAAAGAGGCAAACCTCTTGGATTCTAACTCAGCTCTCAGAGACCATCCTGTTGCAGCACGTAGAATTCAAGGGAAATGAATACTCATCTGCCCACAGGTACTCAGTTATTCTTTCACATGAAACTGAACATCTGGAAGAAGAGAAAAACCAACTTCTGTTTTAATTCCTTCTGTCACACAGGCAACATCTGGGGGCCGGGCTAGGCTGTACACTTTCAGTTTCCATCAACTGATGTTTGACTTGTGTCAATCCGGTCTTAGAGGAAGTTAATCCACATTAAACCACAATGCCTCTCCTCCCTTCTGGTGGATCTGCCAACTCCTAGTGTTGGTGTAAATGCTTTGTCTAAGATGCTGAGAGTGTGGGTTGGTTCGTTGTGTTCTAGAGCATTTGTGTCAAAGTGTGGTCCATGTACCCAGATGCTTAATTTCTAGGGTAGATTCCTGGGCCTGAGTTGTTGAGTCAGAATCCCTGGTAGCCTAAGCAGTACATTTTTATTGTCCTCTCCAGGTAATTTGTACACTCACTAAGATGTGAGAATGAACTTCCTCTTCATCACATCCTTGGGTTTTCTTTTTAGATCTACACCACGTAAAAGGGCTGAAGGCCATAAACTTTTATGCTGAGATATTAAGTCCTTTCTCCCCCATTCCCACCTACTTTTCTAGGGCAAGGGTAAACATCAACATGTAAACAGTCCTAGTACATACCCTAGATCTAGTTCAAACAATGTTGGCATCAATGTCAATTATTAGGTTGAGTATACATTTGGGATCAGACTTGCTTGTTTCTGGAAATTTGGTTGGTGAAGGACCTGATAAGAGCTTAAATGTGCTATTCTTTCCCCCAAGGGGAGGGCCAGAATTTTTGGCACTGCTGATCCTTCCGGCTGTCCCATGATTTTCAGTTTACTAGTGACATCTGGGAATAGGTTTTGCCCTCGAGATTTGAGCTTTAAGAAATAGCAACATTCTTGATGATGGGGGTGGGAGGAAGTAATTTTATAGATGAATTGAGAAGCAAGACATTTGTTAGGTACATGGATATGGTTGAAATTAACGGTAGGGCAACCTGGGGAGGCATCAGGCACCAGAGAAAAGGGGCAGTGATTCTGGACCACTGGTCCAGGCTGTTAAGTTGGTCAACAGGCTCCTAAGAGCCGAAGAACATTTCAAATGTATAAAAAGAAACAGGACTAGAGAAGGAGGTGTGAGGTGTAGCAGTCCTGTATTACCACACTTGCTCTTTAGGGACTCAACTCCCAAGGTCCCTAGCTTGCCCTAAGGATAGAGGGGATGGGAGGTGGTGGCAGAAGGAGCATCTTGGGAACATTTGTTGGGTGCCCAGAAAACAGGCTTTGACCGCATTTGAACTGACGTATTTGAAAAATGAACTTTATTTCACTGCATACTGTTTCAGTGATTCATTCTTTATATGTGCATTTACTCAGCAGAAGTGAGTCAAAAATAAGATGGATGCTAAATTTGTATGTTAATTTTAATATGGAAGCTATCCTATATTTGAAGAATAAGATCAATGCTTCAATTTCATTTCTTATGTGGTACTGAACGTTGTCATTACCGGAAAAAAATCATTTCTGAATGCATCCTCCCCAAATTCTAATCTCAGAGGACAGAGGAGGCTCAGGAGAGGCAATCTTGCCTTTTGTTGATGGTCTATTCTGGACATGCTTCAACGTTCCCACAGTATCATTTACTATTTCAGTGTGAAGGGTAAATAGGAAAGGTAGTGGTTTTCCCTTAAATTACAATGGAGTTTATTTACTAATTAGATTCTGAGAGTTTGCCGAGATTGTTAGGTTATGTCAAGAGTTTCATATATCCCATGGGCAAAGCCACTGGACTTAACCAAAAGTAAACAGCAGCTGTTGAGAAAAATTATCCCTTCCGAAGACTTGAGTCACTGCTTGTTGGTTTTAGACCATGACCTCACCCTGCCACTGTGATTTAAATGAAAGATTCCTAAGATCTGTGGAAGTATCTCTGTCTCCTAGCCAAATATGGCAGAACCAGATGTGTGGTGGTTTCTATAGAGGGAGGGTGGGTGAATTAAACGTGGGACCTTTCTCAGCCCCAGGGGCTGCTATGACAATACCAGTGGGCTCTGTCCTCACTAGCAGCCTGCTGGCTGTCCATTGCAGCCCCTGGCTTTCCTTATTGCTTCTGCCTTCAGGGATCACTGGGTGAAATAGGCTGCTGTGGAGGCTGTCCATTTTGTGTATTGCACCAAGGGGTCCAGCCAAGGAGCAAGTGGGGCCTCAGATCCAGAGTGGGTACCCTTTTCAAATTTGTCAGACCAGAAAAGGTGCTGTTTTAGGAGAAGCCTTTTTCTACTCTGCTCAAAGGTACACTAAAACCTAGCAGAGACCCTAGAGAAAGAGAGAGAAAGAAAAAACAATGAGTTGCTAGAGAACAGTTTGATCATTGAAAGGAATACTGTGGAAGCCATGGATAAATAAATCTTCGTCAACCTATCTCCTTTGGCCTGTCCCCTTTGAGAAAATAGGAAGTAGTTTCAATTTTCAAAAAAATCTCACTCAATGGACTTGAGATTAGAAATGGAGGGAGATGTTGGAAAGGGAGCTGGAAGAACTAGCCTTTATTGAGTATCTACTACCTGCATCTGTTAGGTCAGCCCACCATTCTGACCTCAGTATATCTCTAAGGATTGTCCCTGATCTAAAACCAGCTCAGGCCACCAGCAACCAGGTGGGCATATATCATTTAGGGCTGCCTGAGTAGACAACAGCATATGTAAAACAACACAAATGAATGAATGAAAATGCCCACAGAAAACACTAATTTATGCAGTTTTCTTTCTTTTTTTTTTTTTTTTGACATGGAGTCTCACTCTGTCAACAGGCTGGAGTGCAATAGTGTGATCTCGGCTCACTGCAACCTTCGCCTCCCGGGTTCAAGCAATTCTCCTGCCTCAGCCTCCTGAGTAGCTGGGACTGCAGGTGTGCACCACCACACCCGGCTAATTTTTGTATTTTTAGTAGAGACGGGGTTTCACGATGTTGGCCAGGATGGTCTTGACCTCCTGACCTTGTGATCCGCCCGCCTCGGCCTCCCGAAGTGTTGGGATTACAGGTATGAGCCACTGCACCCAGCCGATTTATGCAGTTTTCTATCTTCAAGATAGCTCTGTGAGCCAGCCTGTCTGCATATCTCTTAATACAGTAATATTTGAGATTCACTGCAGATCCTGAATCTTCAAGAAACATTATGTGTAATGCAGCTTAGTATTAAAGATATCTTACTGTATCCAGAGTTTTGAGAATTGGAATAATGCTTTGTATACCACTGCTTATACCCTTAGAGAAAATCTTATGAATCCAACACTGATTTAGTCAAATTAGTAATTCAAAGCACCTGCTAGGTATTATTTTGAAACATTATCTGAAACCAATCCAAATGCAAATTATTTTATTAAAAAAACACTTCTAGCTGGGCGCGGTGGCTCACACCTGCAATCCCAGCATTTTGGGAGGCCAAGGCAGGCAGACCACAAGGTCAGGAGTTTGAGACCAGCCTGACCAACATGGTGAAACCCCGTCTCTACTAAAAATACAAAAATTAGCCAGGCGTGGTTGCAGGCGCCTGTAATCCCGGCTACTCGGGAGGCTGAGGCAGGATAATTGCTTGAACCCGGGAGGCGGAGGTTGCGGTCAGCCCACATCATGCCACTGCACTCCAGCCTGGGCAACAAGAGTGAAACTCGGTCTCAAAAACAAAACAAAACAAAACAAAACAAAACAAAACAAAACAAAAACAGAAAAACCGATTCTACCCAGAATCCCACATTGTCCAAAAGTGGTTTGGAATTAAGTGAACACAGGAGCAAGCATTTAAAAAGCACTTATTCCGGCTGGGTGTGGTGGCTCATAGCTGGAATCCCAGCACTTTGGGAGGCCAAGGTGGGAGGATCACTTGAGCCCAGGAGTTTGAGACCAGCCTAGGCAACATGGTGAGACCTCATCTCTACAAAAAATTTTTAAAAGCCGTGGTGGCACACACCTGCAGCCTTAGCTACTCGGGAGGCTGATACAGGAGGATCTGTTGCGCCCAGGAGTTCGAGGTTGCAGTAAGCTATGATTGGGCCATTACACTCCAGCCCAGGCGGCTGTCTCTTAATAATAATTTAAAAAGCACTTATTCTGTGCTAGCCATTATTAACATCTATTAACTCATTTAATCCTCTCAACAACCACATGAAGTCAGTAGATTACCATTCCCATTTCGTAGATGAGGAAGCAAAGAAGTAACTTTCTCAAGGTCAACTACCAGGAAGGGTCACGTGGATGTGGGCTTCGGTCTCTCTCAGGACTTTGGATCCAGTTTACGGTCTCGGAGTTCACAGGGCTTTTTGGAGCCCCTGGACCTTTGCCCAGCCGCCTGGCTTCCTCCTGGGCCCGAAGACACCTCCATGAGAGGTGGGAGGTGCGGCCGTGGCTGTCGAGGGCAACCCCCAGGAGCCTGAGAGGACGTGGCGTGAAACCCTGTGGGTTAGAGCGACCCGCACCTTCCGTTTCCCGGAGCCGCCTGCGTGAATGTTCTTCCCGGCTCTGCTGCCCCCTGGAGGCTAGTGGAGGTAAATGCGTGAAGTCGGCGTTTTCCCTCCTTCCGTTTCCCGGAGCCGCCTGCGTGAATGTTCTTCCCGGCTCTGCTGCCCCCTGGAGGCTAGTGGAGGTAAATGCGTGAAGTCGGCGTTTTCCCTCCTTCCGTTTCCCGGAGCCGCCTGCGTGAATGTTCTTCCCGGCTCTGCTGCCCCCTGGAGGCTAGTGGAGGTAAATGCGTGAAGTCGGCGTTTTCCCTCCTTCCGTTTCCCGGAGCCGCCTGCGTGAATGTTCTTCCCGGCTCTGCTGCCCCCTGGAGGCTAGTGGAGGTAAATGCGTGAAGTCGGCGTTTTCCCTCCTTCCGTTTCCCGGAGCCGCCTGCGTGAATGTTCTTCCCGGCTCTGCTGCCCCCTGGAGGCTAGTGGAGGTAAATGCGTGAAGTCGGCGTTTTCCCTCCGCCTGTTAGTCCTCCTCATTCATCTCTCGGCCAAACCAGAAAGATGTGAGGGTATTTCAAAGATATCTTTGCTATATTTTATTTCACTCAAATTCAAGGATCCCTCTCCCAGGACAGCTGTGACTACAGACCATGGGATTCACATCCTCCCACCCCACGGCGCAGGACCGGCAGGGGATCTCCAAGAAGCCCCTAGCCTATGGGTCGCTGAGACCCTCCTAGAAGTTTCAGCCTGGCTGATGACATGCATGTGTGTTGACCACGGCTTGCGGATTAAACTCAGATATGAATTATCTAATGCCGCCATGGAGGAAATGTAATGTTAAGACCCAACTTTATTAAAACTGCTAGGCAAATAATAGAATGCCAGGAAAACCATTTCAGCCATAGTTTCTCCAAGGGGCGCCTATGACTCACTGGATCTGGAATCCCCTGAAGTGTCTGTTCAAACAATTTAGATTCTTAATCCATCTTTAAACCTTCTCAACCAGAACTTCTGGGAGGGGATATCTCCCTCCCTCCCAGGAATCCACAATTGCAATGAGAACCTTGAAGTCCACTCCTGTCCAGGGAACAGCCTTAGAGAACTCAGGCCCTCCAGTGAAGGAGGAAAAGACAAATCTAGTTGTAATACTTGAAGTATATTGCTCATCTGTAAATTACCCACCCAGGTGAATAAAACACTCTCTCAGGGTAAAAGCACATGTGAATTTGTCCAAATCATTGTAATAAGGCTCCTGGGGGTGGGGGGTGGTTAACATCAGTGATCAGCAGCAACTATTAATACTAACTACATCATCCCCACAGGGCTTGGGGTGCAAGGACAGTTATTTGCCCTTCATAGTTATGGATTGGTTCGATCAATTAAAAGAAAAATTACCCAAAGAGAATTTTTCTTTTTTTAAACTCAGAGTGAGACCCAGTCAGTAAGCATTTTGAACTGTGGGTGGAGGACCCAGTTGCCTTACAAGTGTGCCTTTGAAGGAGGAGGAGGAAGAGAGGAAGAAAGGAGAAGTGAAGACGGAGACTCTCTTTGGGCAAAGCGGGGCTTTCAGCACGTTCGGTGGTACAGCTCTGACCCTGGCCAATCATGGCACTGACCTATGCCACCATATGGGGGTGGATCGAGGTGGGTGGTGGCATCTGGGATCTCTGCTTGGCTTCCCGGTTGAAAGGAATATCCTCTGCAGCTCCACCGGGGAGCAGGGCGGACAAGGTGAGATAGTTAAGTCTACAGGAAGGAGGGAGGATTGTGGTTTCTGAGCTGGCCTCCCTCTCCCAAGGGGTGGGAGGGAGGCCTGGAGCAACCTCAGCTGAGATCCATTAGCTCCGGCCCCCACCAGAAGCACGGGCATGATGAGTGTTTGGAGGACAAGGGAAGTGAGCCCACCTGTGCCTGGGAGCACCAGCATCTGCTGCAGCTATTATGGCAGGGAGAGGAAAGGGCACTGCAAAAGCCAGCGCGGCCTGCAGAGGATACACCCATAGGTAGTGGGCTTGACCCTCAGTGAGTAGAAGGGATAGGGAGAATAAAATGCATTCCCGTTGTGGCCTAAAGGCCTCCCAACTGGAAGGAAGCCAGGCAAGCCTGACCAGACAGCGGGTTCCAGTGGCCATTTGCCCAGGAGAGTAGCCACTCTGTGGGTGGGATCAAGTCCTTCCTACAGCATCGCATACAGTTATTCACACACCAGAGCTTTGGTGACTTGTTCTGAGCCTAGCTGGACCCAGATACCTTTGTTTTCCAGTTTTCCTGATAAATTAGCGCCAAAGAAGGAAGAGCTCATTAATCAACTGTCTTGGTCCATATATAAGACACCAGTTAAACTTGAATTTCAGATAATCAGTGAATAATTTTTTATCATAAGGATGTCCCAGGCTGAATTTGTATAGGTATATATTTTTATGTGTGTGTGTGTGTGTGTGTGTGTGTGTGTATATATATATATAACTATGTCCAGGGAATAGTATGTAAGTATAATATATAATACTGATACATGTAGCATATGATATAATACTTATATAATATTCCCTGGACATAATTATGCTCTACAATATATGTATGGCCTATACATACTTATACTAAAAAATTATCCATTGTTTATCCAAAGTTGAATTCAACTGGGCATCCTATGTTTTTGTTAGCTAAATCTTGTAACCCTACCGGAAGCGATGTGTCTGTGGTATGACTATAGCTGTCGCCTCGGTCATGTCCCTGCAGTTAAGAAAACAGGAAAGCTGAAGTGGTAACAAAATGGGCTGAAGGCCTAATCCAGCCCTCAGGTGTATTTTGTTTGATTAGTACAGAGTTTTTGTTTTCATTTTCAAGTAATTGCCAACATTGAAAAATCCAGAGATCTCACGTATGCACCGAGTGTTTAGGCATTTCTGGAAAAGGTGGAAGATCTGTCAATATCGTATGGAAACAAATTAGATGTTCCCTGTCTTGGTCTCACTCATTTGTGCTTCTTTCCTGTAGCTGAATTTGGGACAGATCCATGTAGGGTATTCAATTCCCTAAAATTTTCCCTAGAACAGGGAGGAACTTTTTTTGGGGTGCTGGAATCCCTGAGTGCCTGTTGAGCCTGACCAGGCTGATCTAAAGCAGGAGGGCTCTTTACCCCTCACCCTCGACGTCTGACCTGGAGACTTGCTCCTTATAAGGCTTACATGTGACCTGGGACAGGTCCCTTGCTTCTCCCAGGGTCTCTATTTTCATCCCTAAAACAAGGGGACAACTATCCATGTTTCCCAACTTTTTTGTACCAAAAGTTCTGTTTTGTCAACCTTATGCCACTGTGGTTCCAGTTTTTGCTTGTTTGTTTGTTTTATAGAATGGTTCACAAATTTGTGAGTCATCCTTGCTCAGGGCCACGCTAATGTTCTCTCTGTCATTCCGATTTTGGTATGTGTGCTGCTGAAGCGAGCACATGGACCCGATGTTTTCAAAGATCTGTCTACCCAAGCAAATGACATATGTTACAAACAGCCTGTAAGTTCTGGCCTGCCTGAAAGCTAACTGGTTTCATCACACCACATGGGTCAAATTCCCTCTAAAAGCAAAACCATTTTGTAAGCTCCTGTAACCTTGCTGAAAATAGGAATGCCTTTAAAGCCAGTAAGGGCTGGGTGGGGTAGCCTAGGTTACACTTCACTAACACACTCCAAAATTTCAGTGGTTTAACACATAAAGGTTTATTTTAAAACTTTAACCCGTGCAGAATCTGCCATGGGTTTGGCAGCTCTTTAGGCAGTGACACAAGAATTGTTTCCTTTTTTTTTTTGAGACAGAATCTCACTCTGTCGCCTAGGCTGGAGTGCTGTGGCATGATCTCGGCTCACAGCAACTTCCGCTTCCCAGGTTCAAATGATTCTCCTGCCTCAGCCTGCTGAGTAGCTGGGATTACAGGCATGCACCACCATACCTGGCTAGTTTTTTATAGTTTTAGTAGAGACGGGGTTTCACCATGTTGGACAGGCTGGTCTTGAACTCCTGACCTTGGGCGATCTGCCCTCCCAAAATGCTGGGATTACAGCCACTCTGGCTTTAGTTTCCTTCTTTACTGTGGCTTGACCATTTCCACACGTGGTTTTCCTGGCAGGGGAGGGTGTGCTGGTGGGCTTTCCAGGGCCTCACCTCTGCTCACATTTCATTGGCTGGATCCAGTGCCATGGCTTCACTTAGAGGAAAGGGCTAGGAGGTAGAGTTTTCTGCATGCCTGGGAAGCTGTGGAGAAAAGCATACAATGAAACTAAGAGGTGACACCACAGGGACATGAGCCCTTTCAGTTCCAAAATCCTACATTCTGTCATTCTTCAGAGTGGTCACATGGTGTGGTCTGTAGATACACTGGCTTGACCTTTAAGATGACTGACTGCTGTCAAGCAGAACAGATGCTACAGATATGTTGAGCTTTAAGTAGTTCCAAATCCTATGTTTCCTTCCTGATGATAATAGCTTTTTTTTTTTTTTTTTTAGACAGAGTTTCGCTCTTGTCACCCAGGCTGGAGTGCAATGGCTCGATCTCTGCTCACTGCAACCTCTGCCTCCCAGGTTCAAGCAATTCTCCTGCCTCAGCCTCCCAAGGAGCTGGGATTATGAGCGCCCAACACCACACCCAGCTAATTTTTATACTTTTAGTAGAGATGGGGTTTCACCATGTTGGCCAGGCTGATCTCAAACTCCTGACCTCAGGTGACCCGCCTACCTCGGCCTCCCAAAGCGCTGGGATTACAGGTGTGAGCCATCATGCCGGCCACAGCTAACTTTTATTTTGTGTGCGTGTATCGACTCAACTTATCTTCACAGCAGCCCTAAAAGGTAGGTACGTTTTTTATTGCTCCTGTACTATTTTTTTTTAACAGGAACTGTTTCATAGATTTTAAAAACAGGCTCTGTCTTCACTTGAACAGATATATTTGAAAAATGAACTCGAGTCCACTGTGTGCTGTTTCAGTGATGCATTCTTGATACATGCATTTTCCCAGCAGAAGGCCCAGAATCACTAACACGCTGCTTCAGGGTCACACAGTTGCTGTGGGGAGCTGGATTTCCCCCTGAGAGTCACATCCGAGAGCCCATCTTGGGCTGACACTGGGGCCATTAGGCTCAGGGGCCCTGACATGCCCAGCCTCCAGAGTCTGCTCCTCAGGATTTCAGAGACCAGCTCATCAGGACAGTGAAGCCTGAGTGTAAGATGAAACTGGCCTTAATTTGACCAGCTATAGTAAGTTGGCTTTAATTGGATGTGAAATATTTTGCCCCTACAGGGAAATTTAACTGTGTTTTTTTTCTTTTTGCCATTTAGTGGCCCACGTTCCAGTGGGTACAATTTCCAACTCCCAGTCCCAGACTAGCCCCTAATTAAAATATGATGTTTTCTTTTCAAGCTTGGTTTGAAAGTCAACCGACAGTTTTTTGTTTTCTGTTGTTAGGAAATTGTTTTTATTTTTTGAAAAGGTCAGGGATTTACAGAGCTCCAAAGTAAAAAGACATAAAAAGGTTTACAGGGAAAATTCTCCCTCCTCCGAGCTACCTGAGTGCAACCAATGTTTAGTGTCTTGGGCATCCTTCCAGAAATATTTTATTTTTAATTTTCTTTTTACAAACAAGGCAGCGCTCTGTCACCCAGGCTAGAGTGCAGTGGTATGATCACGGCTCACTGCAGCCTTGACCTCCCCAGGCTCAAGTGATCCTCCTAATTTTAGCTTCACTAGTAGCTGGGACTATAGGCACACGCCACCATGCCCAGCTAATTTTTGTTCTATATTTTATGTTATTTTTTTGTAGAGACAGGATCCTACCATGTTGTCCAGGCTGGTTTTGAACTCCTGGACTTAAGTGATCCTCCTGCTTCAACCTCCCAAAGCGTTGGGATTACAGGCATAAGCCACTATGCGCAGCCCTTCCAGATATATTTTATGCACATGCAAGCATAAGTATTCTTTTTTCATTTTCTTTAAACATTATTTATAGTATACTATATACACAGTTGTTTTACCTTGCCTTTTTTTTTCTGTCCACTTACTATGTTTTGGAGATAGCTAAATATAATTATAAAGATAGTTTCTTCATTTAAAAATTTAAATTTAAATTAAAATTTTATTTAAAATAAAAATTTTAAAAATTACATAGTATTTGGCTGTTCCATAGTTTATTTAGCAGTCCCCTTCTGGTAAGTATGTTAAGTTTTGAAGTCATCTACTATTAAACGATTTAGTAATAAATAACTTTAGACCAATGTGATTTGAATTGGGAGCAAGTATAAGTTGCATGAATTGATGAAAGAGGAATTCCTGCAGCAAAGCGTACATGCATTGGTAATTTTACTAGATACTGCCAATTTGTCCCCTTATAGGTATTTTTCCAGTTTATACTCCCACCAATAAAGTACAAGAATGTCAGTTGCCCCACATCCCCAGTGAGTGTGTTTTCAGTTGTGATTTCCCACAACTTGAAAATCTCAGTATGCTTTCATTTGCATTCTCTTCTTATGAATGGAGGTGAGCTTTTCGTATGATGCCATCTGCATCAACAGCCATCTCTTTCTCGGAGTGCTGGAAGAACACTTGCCCTTGAACAGGTCTGTGACCCAAGCTCAAAGCTGGCAGAACCCATCGCAGCTTAACCACCAGGGTTTGTAGCTGAATGTCTTATGCAAGGAAGTGGTTGGTTTCTGCAGTGTGTTCTCATTAGAAATGCTTGGTCACTGAAACCAATCCTAACCAGGCTGATGGCGCCATCTATCTTTCTGAGATGGGTAAATGGAATGCAATGCAGTTTTACAAGCGGGATATTTGGGACCTGACATGGATGATTTCAGGGACCTGACCCTGATGATGAGCTCTGCCAGGGGCTGTGGATGCGTTCCATCAAAGCTGAAAATATCATCAACTTATTGAATTGTCTTTTGTCCTACTTGATGTCACTGAAGTGAGCATGTCTTTTTGATTTTTAAAAAATGTTTGGCCAGGTGTAGTGGCTCACGCCTGTAATCCGAGCACTTAGGAAGGTCGAGGCAGATGGATTGCTTGTGCCTAGGAGTTCCAGACTAGTCTGGACTACATGGAGAAACCCCGTCTCTACAAAACAATACACACAAAAAATTAGCCAGGTGTGGTGGCAAGAACCTGTAGTCCCAGCTACTTGGGAGGCTAAGGTGGGAGGATCACCTGAGCCCAGGGAGGTTGAAGCTGCAGTGAGCCGTGACTGCACCACTGCACTCTGGCCTGGGTGACGCAGTGAGACCCTGTCTCAAAAAACAAACAAAACAAAACTTTATTATTAAAAAAATAAAAGGCCCACATATATAGAGAATAGTGAAATGAACCCTAATCTACACATCACCAACATTAAGCAGTTACGAAGACTACACGACACTTGACCCATCCATCCCATTTCCTGTTTCTTCCTTTTGGATGAGGTAAGTAGTCTTTAAAGCAAATAATGTCATTTCACCCTTATGTACTTCAGTAAACATCTCTAAAAATGGGCATAGTCATATATAATTACAATGCCATGATCAGATCTGACAAAATTAAAAGTAATTCATTGGTATCATAAGACCGAGTTCATAAAAATCTCCGAGTTATCTCCAGCCTCGCTCCCCCTTTACCGTGGGTTTGTCTGATGGGGGTCCACACGCTGTATTTGGTTCTATGTTTCTTACGTCTCTTCATTTGCACAGTGGACGCCCCCTTTGTGAGGAAACGGAGTCCATTGCTCAGCAGAATCCTCTCCATTCTGAAACTGTGTGTTTGCTTCCTCGTGGAGTCACTTAATTTGTTCCTGGATCCCCCATGTTTCCTGTAGAGTGGAAGCAGATCTAGAGGCTTCTTTGATATGGGTTCAAATGTTTGAGGGAGATGTACTTCCCAGGAGATGCTGGTCCACTGCCTACTGCGTCACTTCCGAAAGGACACAGTGGGTCTTTTGTCCACCAGGCAAGATCAGTAGGGGTCAGTAACGTCAGCCAGACAACCCCTCCATTGCAAACTCCACTTTCCATCTTTTCTCTACAACCTTTCATTTGCTCACTATGTTGCTGGAATCAGTAATTTCAATTAGGGGTTGAAAAATGGGGATTTTCCTTTTTTTTTTTTTAATTTTTTTTTTGAGAGGAAGTCTCCCTCTGTTGCCCAGGCTGGAGTGCAGTGGCGCAATCTCGGCTCACTGCAACCTCCCGACTCCTGGGTTCAAGTGATTCTCCTGCCTCAGACTCCCGAGTGGAATTACAGGCACGCGCCACCACGCCCGGCTCATTTGTGTATTTTTAGTAGAGATGGCGTTTCGCCATGTTGGCCAGGCTGATCTTGAACTCCTGACCTCAGGTGATCCACCTGCCTTGGCCTCCCAAAGTGCTGGGATTATAGGCGTGAGCCACTGCACCCAGCGGGGATTTTCTAATTCTACCATTGCTTCCACATATTAGTTGGAGTTTTTTCTGTATATAAAGAAAACTAGAGTTATTTTGTCACCTTGGAATAGTTTATATCATTGTTAAAGTGGCCAATGGCTTCCTCAGGTTTCTTGTTTTTTAAGTAGTCTATCCTTCTCCAGTTGAGGAAACAAAGAACAGCATATTATGTTCAGGCCATGGAATTAGCCTAGGAAAGAAATAGCCTTTTTTTTTTAGCTTTCCTTATTACCATAGAATATTTAGCCCCAGATGTGTGTGAAATGTCATAATTACTAATCGATCCTTTCTACTTGCAGGCCTTACCCTTTGTCCCTGCCTTTGGTCTTTTCCTCAGGGTCTGTCTCCTCGAATCAGCAAAAGCATTGAGTTGTAATAAAGCATGTAGGCTGAAATATCATCACTGAAATCTCAGCACATTCCTTTCGCCCCAAAGCCAAACACCACTTAGTTGGATGATATTTGGATAATATGTTGCAATGACTCTCAGTTGTGTACACTTTAGTAAGAATTAATGCAACCAGCTTGCTTTCCATTTCACAGATTAGGTTGATGCGGGAGAGACAGGCCTGGAAAGGAAGTAGCAAAAAGAGGGCGTTGAATCACCAGGTGCAGGGCCCTTTCTAGATGGTTGTGGAGGCAGCTGTTGTTTTTTCAGCTAGTAGAAGCAGCTGACAGCATTTCATGCTAAGAAGAGATACTAGGAAGAAGGAAGAAGGGAAATAAAGATGTTCTGGGAACTTTTAGCTGCTAAAGAATGGGTTAGATACCCGATTATGGGCACCTGAAATCCCCATTCTTCCCCTACCACACCGTATCTCTGTAAGATATTTTTGCTGCAAGTCACACAATACTGGACTGAGAAAGGCCACTGTCTAGACATGTGCGTTTCTGAATAAATACCGACTGGGTGGTAGTGTAGCACAGTGGTTAAGTTCATAGGCTTTGGAGACAGATCTAACTGGGTTCAAGTCCTGGCTTCATCATTTGGGTTAGAGGCTTTAATGTCTTCAGCCCTCAATTTCCCCACCTGTAAAATGGGGATAATAACAAGGCCACAAGGCTACTGTGAAGATTAAGTGGACTTGAAGCCTTTACCACATTTCCTTTCATATAAGCCTTCAATATATAATAACTTTGAAAAAGTGAAAACAAAAAATGGAAAAGATTTTTTACTTCAAAAGAGGATTCCACCAGTTGGTAGAAAAAGATTTTATTTTCACTAATCCAGTGGGCACAAAGACTCCTCCAGGTATCCTTCTGTCATGCGAACAGGAGTGACCTGGTCAGCCACCGACAGCTGGATGCCCCTTAGACATTGCTAGGTTGTTCTGAATGTCAAAGATTTCTGGCCTGATGCGGAGGAAAGGGAACTCTTATATACTTTGGTGGAAATGTAAATTATTGGTACAGCCATTATGTAAAACAGTATGGAGATTTCTCAAGAAACTAAAAATAGAACTAACATATGATTCACCAATTCCACTGCTGGGTATTTATCCAAAGGTTAGGAAATCAGTATGTTGAAAGGATACATATACCCTCTTGTTTATTGCAGCATTGTTCACAATAGCAAACATGGAATCAACCTAAATACCCATCAATGGATGAATACATAAGGAAAATATGGTACATATGCACAATGTAATACTATTTGGCCATAAAAAAGAGTGAAATCATGTCAGTGGCAGCAACATGGATGGAACTGAAGGTCATCATGTTAAGTGAAATAAACCAAGTACAGAAAGACAAATGTCAAATGTTCTCACTCATATGTGGGAGCTAGAAACGCTGACCTCATGGAGATAGAGAGTAGTAGAATGACAGACACTAGAAGCTGGGAAGGGTGTGTAGTGGGAGATGGGGGTAAAGAGAGGTTGGTTAATGGGTACAAACACACAATTAGAAGAAATAAGTTCTAATGTTCGACAGCAGAGTAGGATGACCAGAGTTGACAACAAGGTATTGTATATTTCAAAAAAAAAAGCTAGAAGAGAGGACTTGAAGTGTTTGCAATACGTATAAATGATATTCGAGGTGATGGATACGATAAATAACCTGACTTGATCATTACACAGTCTATGCATGTAACCAAAGATACGCGTGTCTCATAAATATGTGCAAATATTTGCGTATCAATAAAAAATAAATATTTTAAAATGGAAAAAAGAAAGGCTCTGGCCTGATGAAAAGCATCTTGTAGCAGCCCTGATCTTTCACTTCCATCATTTTCGTTCTACGGATCTAAGCATCGTGTCCTAAAGCGGGGCTGAAACAAGCCTCACCAGCACCGGGCGGACACTCTGTGCTCCTCGAGCCAATGGCGCCATCTAGTGGTGCTGTTGCGCTAACACAGCCTGGCCCTGGGCCCAGGTTTTGTGGCCACTCTCAGAGTTACCCTGAGTGTTCACAAGAATAAGCTTCAGCGACGTCTTCTTGTCTTTCACGCTTACTAAAGTGCAGTCGGCTGCCTGGGCTCCCATCAGCTCCTCAGAAGGTGGGAACATTGCTCACTGTTCCTCTCTTTCTGGCTCTGCCTCACTCCTGTGCCTCTCACTGTGGCATGTGGGTGACATGCTGGGACATGCTGGTGATGCCATTTCTCTGCGTGGTCCCATTTATCCTTTGGAGAACTGATGACAAATGATAGGTACCTAGGCAAAAATCATATGTCCTGTTCTGAAGTAGGATTTAAGGGGATGTTTCTGTCTTTTCCATGCCCTTCCTGGAACCCTAAGAATTTGTGAATGTCCAGTAGCTATAATTAGAAGTGGCTAGCTTCAGGGTCCAATGTGTGATTGGCTCTTACTCTATGATGACCCGACCTCACTCCACAAAAGTCCCAGAAAATTTCCAAAAAGTAGTCTCTGTACATCGCCTTCCGTGCTTTAGACAGGACATCTGCCACACTGAGTCTGAGGACACGGGGCACTAAGCGTACCCAGGCAAGATCATTAGCTGAGTTAGCTCTAAAAGCTCGCTACCAAGTGTGGTCTAAGGAGTAGCAGCAGTACCATCACTGAGAGCTGGCTAGAAGGCAGACTCTGGAGCCACGCTGTAGACATACTGATTCAGAATCTGAAGTTTAGCTAGACCCTAGAGATTGGCGCACTCACTAACATTTGAAAAGCACCGAACTGTGGCAGTGACTCTCAACTTTGGCATCACAATAGAACGACCCAGAGGGCTTCTAAAGATCTGGATACCTGGCCCTCGCTCCAGACTGATTCTAATCTCTGGGGGTGGGAAGTGGTGTGGTGGTAGGACAAACATTGAGAAAGAGGTTGACCATTTAGAGCAGGACCATTCAATTACCCAGAGCTGGATTTTACCACAGTGAGGGTACAGGAAGTTGGCCTATAGCTCCTTCCTGAAGATCTCACAAAAGGAACAAAAAGTGCCAAAACTCAGCAAAAACTCTCCAGTAGTAAACAAATTAGGTTAAGAGGCACAAATTCTTGTTAGAAACTTTAAAACATGGTGGCCAAGAAAATAATCGAAGCTTCTAGTGTAGACCACACAGGTACCTACCAATCCCATCCTACCTGCCTGGAGTGATTCAAGAAAAGGAGGCTGGTGATGAAATTCTGAGAATTCTCACTAATATCCACCGATGTAAAGAAAAGAAAACCTACGGAGTAAATAGGCAGCCTGTGGGAAAGGTTAAGAGTATTGTGATTTTTTTCCCCCAAGACAGAGGTCTCACTCTGTCTCCTGGGCTGGAGTGCAGTAGCATGATCACAGTTCACTGAAGCCCTGAACTCTTGGGCTCAAGTGACCCTCCTGTCTCAGCTGCCCGAGTAGCTGGGATTACAGGGCAGGCTACCACACCTGGCTAATTCTTAAAACAATTTCTCATAGAGATGGGGTGTTGCTATGTTGCCCAGGCTGGTTTCGAGCTCCTGGCCTCAAGTGATGCTCCTGCTTCTGCGCCCCCAAAGTGTTGGGGTCACAGGCTTGAGCCACCACACCCAACCTGAAAAATTGTGTTCTAACAAGCCCTCCTGGTAGTCCTGATGCTCACTAACATTTGAAAACTGCCGATGTTAAACGGTCTCCAAATTGTGTTCGCAGCCACCACTAGCTTGCTGAGCTCCAGCTGAGGAAGGTGGGTAGGGAAGGAAGTTTCTATACTGTGGCTCCTACCATGCTGACTGCCCACAAATCAACTGGGGGTAAAGCACCTAGGAAGCAGCTGGTTACAAATGCTGCTCACAAGAGTGGGCCTCATATTGGAGGGCTAAAGAAACCTCATCGTTACTGGCCTAGCACTGTGCCACTCCATGAAATTAGATGGTCTCAGAAGTCCACTGAACTTACAACTCAAAACTTCCTTTGCAGCACCTGGTGAGAGAAATTGCACGGGACATCAAAACAGATCTGTGCTTCTAGAGTGCAGCTGTTGGTGCTTTGCAGGAGGCAAGGGAGGCCTACCTGGTTGGCCTTTTTTTGTTTTTTGAGATAGAGTCTCACTTTGTCACCCAGGCTGGAGTGCAATGGCGCGATCCCAGCTCATTGCAACCTCTGCCCCCGCTTCCCCTGGGTTCAAGCGATTCTCCCACCTCAGCCTCCTGAGTAGCTGGGATTACAGGCATGCGCCATCACACCAGGCTAATTTTTTTTTTTTGTATTTTTAGTAGAGACAGGGTTTCACCATGTTGGCCGGGCTAGTCTTGAACTCCTGACCTCAAGTAATCTACCCGCCTCGGCCTCCCAAAGTACTGGGATTACAGGCGTGAGCCACTGCAGCTGGCCTGGTTGGCCTTTTTTAAGATACCAACCTGTGTGCCATCCATGCCAGACATGTAACAATTATGCCAAAAGGCATCCAGCTAGCACGTGGAGAACAGCTTAATAATCTACCATGAGGAGAAACACGTTTCGTTCTCAAAAAAATAAAAACTCTCTTCTTCCTGTTTTTGGTAGTTGTGAACAATAGACATTTTTTTTCGTGGGGCCAAAAGGTACTTAAGTATATGATTGTGACTGGAAAAACAGGAGACAGAAATCAGGTATGGGCAGTTTTTCCATTTTCATCTGAGTGTGAATTGTTCATATAAATGAGATGTACAGCATTCATGCAAGTCAAAAGTTTTGTTGAACAAGTTTCAGCAGTTCAACTTTATAGCAATTACAAATACACCTGTTAAATGTTTCTGGACGATGCCAGCATTTGCATTTTTTAAAAACAAGCAAATTTCTTATTGACTGCAACTAACTGGTGTTTGTAGCACTTTTATCATACAGCAGATTCCATCCACAGACTTTTCTAACTGAGTTGTCCTACATGCAAGTATATATTTTTAATGTTGGCTGTCTTCTGTGCCGTTCCTGTATTAAAATACATGAAGCTATAAAAAATAATACTCCAGGTGATTGTTGCTCTCTGCCAACTTAAGTCCGGTATTGTCACGTCTTTGATTTTGTTTTTCAAGAGAAGCTGAAATTCTGAATTTTTATGTGTCACCTCCCAACTTTTAAATGTTGGCAACAAATTTGCCTTTTCGAAAAAAAGAAAAAAAAAAAGAAAAAACCAGACAGACCAAAGAAAATAAAAGTTTGTTTCATGAGGTGTTAATTTTGTGCCACTGATTATAGAACATCTGGATGGCATTGCCCACCTTAAGCATGAAAAAGATGAAAAGAAATGACATTGGCCGGCGTGGTGGCTCACGCCTGTAATCCCAGCACTTTGGGAGGCTGAGACAGGTGGATCACCTGAGGTCAGGAGTTCGAGACCAGCCTGGTCAACATGGTGAAACCCCGTCTCTACTAGAAATACCAAAATTAGCTGGGCGTGGTGGCAGGTGCCTGTAATCCCTGCTACTTGGGAGGCTGAGTCAGGAGAATCGCTTGAACCTGGGAGGTGGCAGTTGCAGTGAGTCGAGATTGTGCCACTGCACTCCAGCCTGGGCAACAGAGCAAGACTCCGTCTAAAAAAAAAAAAACATGAAAATGTATAGAATATTAGAGAAGAAAAGATACCAGAGGGACAGAACACACAAAGATAGATGGACAAGCTAGTGTAGAAGAGAAAAATACCCACAGGAGAAGAGAGCTAAAAACCTGAGATGATACAACGGCAAGAACATGGAACTGTTATACATTAGGAGACTTCGGACATATCCCTGTTTTTCACCTGCCAATAGATCAACAACGCGGCAACTGAGTGAACACACTTTTCAAAGCCAACCAGTCAGTGTCAGGTCTCCCTTCTGAAAGGAGGAAGTTCAATTAAACAGGCCTCCAAGTGTCAACCAATCAACAACAGTGTCATCAATGACGTCAGCCCACTTACACCCCTGGAAATCCTGTCTCTAACTTCCACCTTCCCCTAAACCCTGTATGAGATCCATAGTCAGCTCTGCTGATCAGCACAGTTGTCTCTTATAAAGCAGTAACTTCAGTTTTGTCTTTTTATCTTATATATTGAATAGTGGTCTCATCTGACAAATTCAAGAATGAAAAAGTTGAAGTAAAAGAAAGAGGTGGGTGGTGAAAAGTGAACAATGTAAATTAGAATTAAGAAAATGACCACAAGGTTTATGATCACTGAATAGGACATAAATATATTATAAAAGACAAGATAACAAAACTAACAGCGACAAAACAGAAGTTTGGGAGAGGGAAGTGGGAAGAAGTTTAAAAAGTTTAATTTCCTAATTTTTATATCTGGTATCACTCATCAATATCTAAAATTCAGACAAGGAGTTTAAAAATGATTCTAACATCTTAATGTCTTCTCAAGTTATTTTTGTTATAATAAAATTTAAATATGCATGAACGTAACTAGTTATAATCTTGATAGCCTCATAGTTCTTATACAAAGTAAATACAAACAAAGCCAATAAAATTCAGATTATCAATTATTTAAAAATAGATGTTGAGTACAGCATTCATACAGAAAAGAGCGCAAGTCACTGGCTAGCCAAATGTTTTTTTCACAAGGTGAACACAGGCATGCAATCAGCACCTGGACCAAGACTGAAAACAGTGCCAGGACCTCAAAGCCTCCTCTCCTTCCTACTGCCAGCCCCTCCATCAAAGGCAACTCTCAAGGTGATTTCTGACACCACAGATTCATTTTGCCTTTTTTGAACTTTATAACAATGGAATCATAAAGTTTGTCCTCTTTCATGACTGGCTGCTTTCATTCAGCATTATGTCTGCGGCCCATTCATCTGTATTGTTGCGTGCGGTTGCTTCTTTTCATTTTTGTACAGTATTCTATTATGTGAATATACCACATTGTATCCATTCTACTGATAATGGACATTTGAGCTATTTCTGGGTGTGGTTACTACAAAGAGTGCTTCTATGAGCATTCTTACACATGTCTTTTGGTGAACATATGTACATATATCTGTTATGTATATTCGTAGAAATAGAATTGCTCAGGCAGAGTATACATATGTTCAGTTTAACTAGATGCTGCCAAACAGTTATCCAAAAGTTTGTAGCAATTTATACTTCTACCAGCAGTGCATGAAAGTGTCAGATGTTCTACATCCTTGCCAACAGTTGGTACTGTCAGTCTTTTACGTTTTAGCCATTTTGGTGGGTGTTCCGTGATTATCTCAGTGTAATTTTATGTGCATTTCCCTGAAAACTAGTGATGTTGAGCGCTTTTTCATATGCTTATTAGCCATTTGGATATTCTCTTTTATGTAGTGTAGATTCACATTTTCCCATTAAAATTGGTTTATCTGTCTTTTTCTTATTGATTTGTAGAAGTTTTTAAATATTGTGAATTCAAGTCTATTGTTGGATGTATTAATAACAGAAATTCTGAATTTTAATCAAGTCCAAGGTTATGAAGGTATTACATGTTTCCACTTTACATTTCACATTTAGATTTGCAATTCATCTGGAATGGATTTTTGTGTGTCGGGTGAGGTAGGGGTCAAGATTCATTTTTCTCTGTATAGATTTCCAGTTGGCCCAGCACCACTTATTGTGAAGACTCTTTCTTCCACTGCATTGCATTTCTGCCGTAAATGAAGTGACTATAGGAAGATTTGTTTTTGGATTATTTCCATTGGTTAATTTGTCTATCCCTCTGCCAATATCACATTGTCTTATTATAACTTCATAATCAGTTTTGGTATCTTGCCATATAAGCCCTTCAATTTTGTTCTTAAAGATTTTATGGACTTTTCATGGTGATTTGCATTTCCACATATATTTTCGATTTGGACAGAAGGACCTGCTGGGGTTTTGATTGGGACTAAATCAGATCTATAGATCAATCTGGGAGGAACTGATATCTTTACACTATTGAGTCTTCTGACTCAGAATGTATCTCTCCGTTTATTTAAGTCCTCCCTAATTATGCTCAATAATATTGTGTAGATTTATGTAGCGAGATCTCACATATGTTTGTTGGGTTTATTCCTAGATATTTGATTTTTGATGCCATTATAAATGGTACAGATTTTAAAGTTTTGTCTTAAAATATTTTCTGGGGCTGGGCATGGTGGCTCATGCCTGTAATCCCAACACTTTGAGAGGCTGAGGCAGGAGGATCGCTTGAGACCAGGAGTTTGAGACCAGCCTGGGCAACATAGTGAGACCCTGTCTCTACAAAAAATACAAAAATTAGCGGGGCATGGCGGTGCATACCTGTAGTCCCAGCTACTCAGGAGGCTGAGGTGGGGGGATTGCTTGAGTCCTGGAGGTCGAGGCTGCAGTGAGCCGTGACTGTACCACTGCACTCCAGCCTGGGAGACAGAGTGAGACACTGTCTCTCAAAAAATAAAAAAAGTTCTTACTGATATATAGAAATGAAATGGACTTTTTAACCTCGCCCTTGTATCTAGTGACCTTGCTAAATTCACTGATTAATTCTAATAGTTTATCTGTTGATTTTTTCTGAGTTTTTGACTTCCACAATCATGTAACCTGATTCTTCCAGGCAGTTGAGCTGAGGGTGAATTACTTTATCCAATCTGGGATTGAGCTGGATTTCTGTATTTGTGAGTGCTATTCATTATCTTTAATCCCAGAGTAGAGGCTTTCAGGGGTCTTAACAGAAAATCTGAGGTGTTTCACTGGACCTTTCCTCCAAAACCCCAATTTTGTCTCCCCAGCTCCAAAAACTCTGCTCAGTTTCTCTGCCTCTTGGTCACCAATTATATAGTGAAAAAAGCTTAAAGGGAAAAGTAGCCAAATATCAGGTCACCTCTCTGTGCCTCTTTTCTTTCTGGGATCTTGACTCCACATATCTCTGCTTCCTTTCATTTTTAAAAAAATTATTTTTATTTTTTATTAAATTAATTAATTAATTATTATTATTTTTGTTTTTTGAGACGGAGTCTCACTCTGTCACCCAGGCTGGAGTGCAGCGGTGTGATCTTGGCTCACTGCAACCTGCACCTCCCGGGCTGGGAGTAATTCTCCTGCCTCAGCCTCCTGAGTAGCTGGGATTACAGGCGTGCACCACCATACCCGGCAAATTTTTGTATTTTTCGTACAGACAGGGTTTCACCATGTTGGCCAGGCTGGTCTTGAACTCCTGACCTCAGGTGATCCTTCCACCTTGACCTCCCAAAGTGCTAGGATTACAGGTGTGAGCCACGGCGCCAGGCCAATTAATTATTTTTGAGACAGAGTCTTGCTCTCTCACCCAGGCTGGAGTGCAGTGGCGCCATCTCGGCTCACTGTGACTTCTGCCTTCCGGGTTTAAGTGATTTTCTTGCCTCAGACTCCCAAGTAGCCAGGGCTACAGGTGTGTGCCACCACACCTGGCTAATTTTTTTATTTTTAGTAGAGACATGGTTTCACTATAGTGGCCAGGCTGGTCTCAAACTCCTGACCTCAGGTGATTCGCCTGCCTCAGCCTTCCAAAGTGCTGGGATGATAGGCATGAGCCCCTGGGCCTGGCCTATTTTTAATTTTTTTAATAGTTATCTTAATGGGTATGAAGTGACATCTCATTGTGACTGATCTTCATCTATTTAATGGCTAATGATGTTGAGCATCTTTCCATGTGTTTATTGGCCATTTGTATGTATTCTCTGGAGAAATGTCTACTCAGGTCCTTTGTCTATTTTTAAATTGTGTTACTTGTCTTTTTATTATTGAGTTGTAAGTTTTCTTTATATAGTGTTCTATCTAGGCTGGATTTTGTTACAACTCAATAATAAAATATTTTTGACCATTCTGTGGGTTGTCTTTTCATTTTCTTGATAGTGTTGTTTGTAGCACAAGTTTTTAATTTTAATGAAGTTCAGTTTATTTTTCTTTTCATTTCTTGTTTCTTTGCTGTTGTATCTAAGAAGGCTTTACCTAACCCAAGGTCACAAAAGTTTACTCTTATGTTTTCTCCTAAGAATTTTATAATTCTAGCTCTTACATCTAGGTCTCTGATCCTTTGGAGTGAATTTTTGTTTATGGTAGAAGGAAGGGGTCCAACTTCATTCATTTGCACAAAGATATGCAGTTGTCTTGGTACTATGCTCCCACATCCTTTAAATAGTCCATCACATTCTCCTCCATGACCCCAGGACCCCTCATCATGCATGACCTCGTGCTCGCCCCTGGACTGCTGATCCCTGGGACATCGCCCTCATGGTGCAAGTGGTTCTTCTCCAGTCTTCCCCAGGACTTGCAGTAGATTAGAAATTACTTCACTCAAGAGCTTGGTCAGGGTGTGCATTGCTGTCTTCACTACTTATTGCAAAGTAAGGAGTGTAAGAGTTTAATGTGGAATATATATAATTTTGTGAAAAACTGGGGGGTATGTAGTGGTCAGGCTACTATAGTGCAAAGGAGACCCACCCCACAGGCCCCTGATTTTCTGTGGCAGAAGGGAACGCACGGTCTGGCAGCCAGCAGCCGGCTCTGCTCCAATGCTTGCTGTTTCTACAGAAGCCCTGGCATCCACGTCTGTTCCCCCATTGAGGGTTCTGATGGGTGCTCACTCTTGCCACTATCGTCATGAAAGTAAAATGACTTGTTTTCCCCCAAAGGAAACATTACGAATGCAACCAAATGCCTGAAGATTTCCTACGTGACCAGTGCTCATCCACCAGGAGGCCTGGTTTTTAATATTCTTTAGAACTTTTCTTGTCACTCCGAATGTGTCACTTCTCTTCTGTTTCTGTAAAGTGGGGATTTGTAGTCTCTATCTTTAAGCATTAAGACAAAAATACTCCTACCCTGATGAATATGGAGAGCTGTGTTCCCACAAGTGTCTTTCTTGTGCCTGTGTTTCAGCAACAGTGGCTTTTCCTCTGGAAGATTCATGAAAACTTCTGCTGATTAGGAAAGACCTCATCCACTCTCCTACTCCACCCGCCCCGTGTTACAAAAGCAGACAGCAGAACCGGCGCTAGGAGGGAGTGTTTAGCCACCAGAGGGAAGACTTTCTGGGTAAAAGTCTGATAACCTGAAGGCCCAGGGCTGCATCGGGCACGTGACCCCGGCCGTGGGGCCTCTATCTTACATTGTCATGTTGCGGAAGATCACAAAAGGAAACATAGCAAGAAATTTAGGTAGAGCATGGGTAACACGTTGATAAAATGTAACTGGACTGTACCTTTCAGTGAATTTGTCTTGAATGGCTGGTGAACCTCCACATTCATTGAGTTGTTAATTCAGTCAACAAATATTATTGTGCACCTACTATGTGACAGGCATCGTGCTAGGGATTTGAGATAGCAAGGAACAAAAAAGTGCAGGCATCATGGAGCTTATAGTTCAGTGGGGGGAAATTTGGAAATAAATATAAATAAAGATAAAGATAAACCACAGGGCTGGGAGTAGTGGCTCATGCCTGTAATCCCAGCACTTTGGGAGGTCGAGACAGGTGGATCATGAGGTCAGGAGTTCGAGACCAGCCTGGCCAACATGGTGAAACCCTGTCTGTACTAAAAATACAAAAAATTAGCCAGGCATGGTGGCAAGCGCCTGTAATCCCAGGTACTCAGGAGGCTGAGGCAGGAGAATCACTTGAACTCAGGAGGCGGGGGTTGCAGTGACTGGAGATAGCGCCATTGCACTCCAGCAAGGTAACAATAGCCCGATTTATTGGAGGAAGTCTTTCCTGAGTATGTAACATTTAAGCACAGACTTGAAGGGGGGAGGAAGAAGGCTCTCAGAAGAGAAAACAGCAGGTGCTAAGGGTTTGGGGTCTGAAAGAGCTTGGTGTATTTGAGGAGCTGAAGAAGCCACCATGCCTCGCTGAATATGCAGAGAGCAATGCGTTCCCTTCTGCCACAGAAAGACTTACCGAGGCTCAGCTTAATGTTTTAACTTTCTATCCTAAGTGCAGTGGAAAACCATTCTAGGGTTTTCCATGGGGGAACGATATGATCAGATTTTATATGCACGTCTCGAGTGTCTCCATGAAGACAATAAACTCTTTAAAGCAGGGCCAGGGACTTAGTTTCTTTCTATGCTTCAGAGAGCTAGTATTGTGCTGTGAGTATCCTAGGGGCCTGGCGGGGTGTGTTCTGATGGCAATTCATGCTGGAATTCATTTTAGGCAAAGGTTTGTTTTTGCACAAGATAAAAGTAGTCTATCTGTGTTCCCTGTAACACAGTATAGGAAAAGTAGGAATATTTTGGTGTACTAAAATAATAAATGCCATTCTCTTCATACATACCCATATACCCACATACATATGGATGTGCACACACTTACGGGGTGTGAGTGTGTGTGTGTATGTGTATTTTTTCAGATGAGACCATTTGTTACTACTGGAAATTCACAAATAATTATTTTCCTTTTCCTAACTCCTCTCTATTTAACTTTTACTTTTAGACTATTTCTTTTTTCAATTTGCCTAAAAAAATTGTTCAGCTAATAAATACTTTCAAGGCAGACAAAAGGAGCTTCCATAGGTTATGAGAAAAATGCTAGGCTCTGAGAAGACCTCCATGGATACAAAAACATAAATCACAGAAGGCCCTTTTGAAATGTCATTCACTTTCCTTTCTCATAGGAAATCAGGGTCTGGAGAGAAATGAACTAACGTTACAGTTCATCTGGATCTTGTTACTCAAACCAGGATAAGAATGGTAGAGGAGGATGCACCCAGTAGAAGCCAATCCATTTGGAGTTTTATAGTTTCCCGTTAAAAAAACTACTGAGCTTCCTAGGAAGACAGATGTACTTATCCAAAACTTGGCACCTGGAAAATATTACTCACTAATGACAATCCAAAGAGTTATTTATCAGCCAGGGTTGAGATGGCAGACTAACAATGAAGAACAGAAGTCACCATTTGGTTCTGAAGCAATGGAGCCCCTAGAAGACATCAGCCATCAGGGATGATATTTTAACATCATGAAGCATGAGGCCTTGGCAGGCTGGGGAAGTTAGCTTTTTTTAGACAGGGTCTTACTGTGTCGCCCTGGAGTGCAAAGGTGTGATCTTGGCTCACTGCAGCCTCAACCTCCCAGGTTCAAGCAATCCCCCTGTCTCAGCCTCCTGAGTAGCTGGGTCCACAGGCATGCACCACCACGCCGGGCTAATTTTTGTATTTTTAGCAGAAACGGGGTTTTGCCATGTTGCCATGTTGGTCTCGAACTCCTGGACTCAAGCGATCCACTTGACTCAGCCTCCCAAAGTGCCAAGATTACGGGCATGAGCCACTGTGCCTGGCCAAGTTTGCTTCTTAATATTACTGGTTACTATCATTAGTATTTTAAGAAAATTTGGATGCATTTATTTATTCACTCATTTCCTTCCTGCCTCCTGTCTTCTTTTGTCAAATATGTACCAGTAGCTAATGCACGGTAGATGCTGAGGCAGATACACAGATGTTTAAGCAGAGTCGTCATTGCCTTTATGGAGTTTACATTCTAGTAGGAAATAAAAACATATATAAAATGTGTGCAAGATAGAATCCGAAAAGCATCCCAAGATTGTAAAAAAGGAGTTTAGAACGGAGGGCACCACCTCAGGTTGGTGTGAAGGAGGCTAAGTGTGATTAGGTAGTTGCGACTCAAGACTTTTGGGAAACTGGGGCTCCCAGGAGGACCTCCTCCTTATTTGCTTGCATTGGGAAGGGGCCGATTCTTCTTCCTGCATGGCTTGTTTACGAAGATTTCTGTGGTTAGGTGATTTTGTTGGATGTTGGTAGTGATGCCTGGCACCAAAATGAACCTCCCTTGAATCCTGCCCTTAGGAATTGCCGGAGAGAAGTTTTGTATGCTTGTGCAAGAGTGTGCATTGAGATTTTATTGTCTCACCTTCCCACTTAATCTCTGACTGCACAGGAAAGAGTCTCTGGTGCCATCTCTCTCCTATGCGCTCTTTTCTTTATCCTGGGGTACTTGGTAGACTCTTCCTTTCTCGCTTTTTTCCCTCGTTTCTTTTCATGCCTCTTTTTTGGATTCACTAGCTTGAGATCCTTATGTTGGCTTAGGTGTGTGTTTCCTTTAACCAGCATGCAAACTAACCTTCTTACAAACTCCAGTGCAGGCAAGGGATGGGAGGGGACTTTCAGATATTGATTCAATCCATTCTCCTGCTTCCAGGAGAAAAATGACCTGTGCAAAGAGTTGCCCATTTCCTTTCAAAGATCTTCTCACAAGAAGAAACTTGACTTATCCTGATTGGGAAGTACTGCCTTCTGCCATTTAGAGCTATTCTGTTTTGCTTCCCTTTCTAGGAGATGTTTTTAATTCTAGGAAATTAAAGTCTCTGACACCAAAATATTATTCACTCCAAGAGAGGCACCATAGCAAAGTGGTTAAGAAGGCAGATTCCTGGAGCCATACAACTTGGGTCCAGATCCTAATTCTTTCACTTTTCAGCTGAGGCACTTACTATCTGAGCATCCTCTCTGTACCTCAGTTTCCTCAACTATGAGGATAGTAACAGTACGGCTCTCACAGGCTCCGGAGAGGATTGAATGCCTGAAGTGTCTAAAAAGGTTCCTGGTACATAATAAATATTATGTAAGTTTTCTCTGTTGTTATTTCACTTTGGTTAATAGGGAAAATCTATTCATAGACTAAATTCTCATTAGTGACTTTTTTATCTTTCTAACTTTGTAGGAAGTGTTTTGATAAGGAATATCTACACATATATTCTAAGCAAAATAAATACGTGTACTGAGAATCACCAAATTTCTTCTGCTCCTTCCTATTCAATCTCCCCCCACCCCAGCCCCATGCAAACCCTGTCACTGTACATTAGAGTAGTCTTTCTAGAGTATCATATACATTAAAGAACACAGTATGTTGTCTTTTGTGTCTCATTTATTTTACTCAGCATAATGGTTTTTTTTTTCCCCAAATGGAGTCTTGCTCTGTTGCCCAGGCTGGAGTGCAGTGGCATGATCTCAGCTCACTGCAACCTCTGCCTCCTGGGTTCAAGCAATTCTCCTGCCTCAGCCTCTGGAGTAGCTGGGATTATAGGCACCTGCCACCACGCCTGGCTAATTTTTGTATTTTTAGTAAAGATGGGGTTTCATCATGTTGGCCAGGCTGATCTCAAATTCCTGACCTCAAGTGATCCACTTGCCTCGGCCTCTCAAAGTGCTGAGATTACAGGTGTGAGCCACCACGCCTGGCCAGCATAATGTTTTTAAGATTCAACTATGTTGTTGTATATATTAATTCATTCAGTTTTTTGCTGAGTAGTATTCCATAGCAGGAGCATAGCCATATCACAACTTGTTTATCCGTTCATCGGTTGATGGATATTTGTTTTATTTCCAGTTTTGGGCTATTTTGAGTAAAGTTGCTATGAGCATTCACATAGAAGTCCTTATGTAGACATATTTTATTTCTCTTGAGTAAATACCAATGAGTGGGATGCTAGGTTATAAGATCAGTGTATGTCTTACATTATAGGCAACTTCCAAAATGTTTTAAAGTAGTGGTGCCATTTTCCATTCTCACCAACAATGTATGAGAGTTCCAGTTGCTCCACATCATCACCAACACTTGATATTGTCAATTTTGAAAAATCCACCATTCGAATAAATGTATAATATTACCTCATTATGGTTTTAATTTGCATTTCACACATCTTTTTAGGGACTTATTAGCAATTTGTATATCTTCTTTGACAAAATGTCTATTAAAATATTTTCTCCATTTTTCTTTAAATTGAGTTGCTTCACTCTTTATTATTGAATTGCAAAAGTTCTTTATATAATCTGATTAAAAGTCCTTTCCAAAATATGTGTATTTTGATTATTTCCTTCCAGGTGGACTAGTCTGCTTTTAAAACTTTGCTCCTTCCAAACTATGTGGGGGTGTTGATCAAGAGTTAATTTACCATCACGTGGTCCCAAACTGGAGGATCCTTTAAGAAACACCATGTAATTGCTTGCTCCTGCATTCTAGTATTTCTTCCATTCTTGGAGCTAAATGTTTACATTTGGAGTTGAAAAGACACCCTGTGTGAGCATAGATAGAGCATTCCATCTAATGCTGTCAGAAAAAACAGCTCCAGACCCAGCATTCCAAAATCTGCAAGATGGAACAAACAGATGTCTTGTCCATCACAGGATGGGGCCCATCCCATTTCTGAAACGTTGTTTCTTCCTTTTGCAGCACCTTGGCTTTTATTAACCAGCTGTTTGCCCAGAGGGACCCTCTCTGGCCTGCCAATTCTCTTTCAGGAGAGTAAAGTTATCTAATAGCCACAAGGTAGGGCTTGCCTATTACTATAGGCTTAGAGAATGGACTGAATGCAGGAGGTCACTCTGGCTTCACAAGAGTCAAAACCCAGAGACATTTATCAGACAGGGAAAATAAACCTCAAAACCAAAAGCAACTGAAGGAGAAAGTGGTGCTTTAGGCACCCAGGAAATTTCTGATTTCCATCATTCTCTAACAGGTAGTAAAATCATAAAAATGTTATTTAATGTTAATTGAGCACTTACTAGTTCATACACATCTTTTTATTGAAACCTCGTAACTCAGTGAGGAAGATACTTTACTATTTTTCATTTTCAGATAAAGAAATGAAGGCTTAGAGAAATACTATAACCAATAATGGCAGAGCTGGACATTAAGCCATGTCTGTCATCAAAGCTGTGCTTTGAGATACTACAGAAACATTTCCCCTATAGACAAGCATGTCCTCGTATCTTTCCTTGAATTGAGGAGTCAGTCGTTGTTGTCAGCTTACATTTTCTTTTCTCTTTCTGACTGCATTTTCTTTGCTGATACCACAAGTTCCCAGAGGAAGGGATGAAGCCCATTGCTTGTCTAACTCTTGCTTAGGACAGAAATCCTGATTTGGGGACCCACGTCATCTACATCCTGACCTACTGACTGATCCATGCAGGTTGTACTGTCACACAGCTCACAGAACCAAATCCTTTATCTCCACCCACACTTAAGGATACATTTCCTGGTGTCTTTATGACAGTGAAAGAGAAAAGGGATGACTCATGGCATTATGGTGATATATTCCAAGACCTTCATGAGAGCCTCAGGTGCCTAAATGACTCTCCCTTCTTTTGGTAAATGTATTCTAGATTTCCAGTACAGAGCCCCAATGCTGGGCTGAGATGCACTTGCTAGGTGCTCAGCTAGGCTCACTCACTCTAATTAAAGGACTCATTTGCATGCCAGCCATGCAGTGAGTCTGATTCAAATTTGTGTCCCAGTAAAATCACCATTGCCTGCATATCCCGGATCTTCAAGGTCACACAGGGAAAGCTGGAATCATGAATGTTGAAACTCGGAATGCCAAGAGTCCACAACAACCTGATCCATGATAGCCCTTGATTTCTTGGCCAAATCTCTTTTTCATATCCTGGGATATTAAATTAAAGAAGGAATTAAGAAAGGCCTTTTCAGGCTGGGCATGGTGGCTCACGCCTGTAATCCCAGCACTTTGGGAAGCCGAGGCGGGTGGATCACCTGAAATTGGGAGTTTGAGGCCAGCCTGGCCAACATAGTGAAACCCCGCCTCTAAGAAAAACATAAAAATTAGCCAGGCGTGTGGTGTGCACCTGTAATCCCAGCTACTCAGGAGGCTTAGGCAGGAGAGTCGCTTGAACTCGGGAGGTGGAGGTGGCAGTAAGCTGAGATCATGCCACTGTAATCTAGCCTGGGTGATGGAGTAAGGCTCTGTCTCAAAAAAAAAAAGGCCTTTTCAAAAGTAAAAGGGGGTAATTCCCAATCCATATGGGAGCAGGGGCTCAGGAAGGCCTCACCTGTGTCCCTAGACACCTTCCAGCAGAACCTCAGAGGAAGGAGTGCTTCTTAGCAGTGAGCATTGTGGAGGAGGCAGGAGGGAAACCAACTGGAGAGGAGGGTGTGTGTGTGTGTGTGCAGGCAAGTTCATGCACAAGTGTGTCTGTTGGGTGGGAGGTGGAATGTGCTTGTGCCTGTCCGTGCTTGAGGTGCATGGCAGGTGACGTGAGTGGGGCCGCTACAGATGGCAGGCCAGTCCTAGCTGTGCTTTGTTCCCTAGCCCGGCCCCTGGAATGACTCACAATGCTAACTTGAGAAAATCTTCTTCAGGGGCGCTGCTCCTTAGCCTGGAAGCATGGGAATCTGCTAAGCCCCTGGGTAGCCCAGCTTGAGGCGTTTGATCCAAGCCCACAGCAAAAGCTGTTAACGTGTTTCTTGACCACAGCGAAACAGTGGGTAGAAGTTTTGGTTTGGTTTAGATTAGCCAGCGGTTCTGTGGCTTTTGGGGAGAATAAAAGCCCAATTACTTCCTTAAAAAAACAAGTGGGCAACTAGATTATTACCTCTTATTTCTGATTTTGAAGAAGAGGAGGTAGGTATAAGCAGTTTGTGTCTGGGAAAGACTAGGGTATACAGACCTCATATAGGCAAAACCATGAGGTCATCAAAATGTGTCACCTGGGCCCTGACTCTAACCGCCACCTCCATGTCCCTCATCTTTCAGGCATTAGTGTCTCCCCTCTCCCAAAACTACTCACAGAAGTAGTTGGCACAGAAAAGTTGGCTCTGTATCTCAACCATTTACCCATAGTAAAGTTTATCTCCTCTCCTCTCCTCTCCTTTCCCTCTCTCTATCTCTCTCTCTGTCTCTCTCTTTGAGACAGGGTCTTTCTCTGTCACCCAGACTGGAATGCAGTGGCATGAACATGGCTCACTACAGCCTCAACCTTCCAGGCTCAACTGATCTTCCCACCTCAGCCTCCCAAGTAGCTGGGACTACAGGTGCATTCCACCATGCCCAGCTAATTCGATTTTTTTTCCATAGAGGTGGGGGGTTCTCACTATGTTGCCCAGGCTGGTTTCAAACTCCTAAGCTCAAGCAATCCTCCTACCTCAGCCTCCCAAAGTGCCGGGATTACAACATGAGCCACCATGGCTGGCTAGCTATCCCCTTTCTAAAGAGGTAAGCCTGCCTGAGTACAAATCCCATACAAAAAGAATGTATTTACTTAGCTATTTTTTGCTTATTGTTCATTCTAGGTTGCTTCCAACTTTTTCCTATGTTAAATAATGTCACCACAAATATATTTGTGTATATAAATTTTCACTCTTTTTGGTTAATTTATTCCCAGAAGTGAGATTACTGGGTCAAAAGGTCCTTCTGCTAGTGTGTAACCTGGGCCAGCTGCTCAGTGTCTCTGTGCTTCAGTTTCTCATGTATAAAATGGGATTTATAAAATAGTACTTTACTCACAGGTTTGTTGTGAGAATTAAATGAACTGCTGTATGTAATGCACTTAGAATAATATCCTGCACATAGCAAGTACTATGCTTAATACTTAACTTGTTATATTTGTTACTTTTATCTTGCCACGGGGGATTGATTTGAAGACATTTCTAATTATGAAATGAAGAGTTATTCCCGATCGAAAAAAATCTTTGGAAAAGTGGAAAAGTGGCTCCTTTGGAGGGTGGCATGTTAGCCGATATCCTGATTTGCAGCCTGGAGGCAGGTGTCCATGCCTAACGTCAGCGCCTGGGGCAGCCCACTCTTCCTGGAAGATGGGTGCTGCTGTCAGAGGCCAGTGGCAGGTGGTGCGTCCCCAAGGGCTCCCTTTGGCAAGGCTGACCCAAGCAGCCGATGGTCCTAAGACAGGCCAGCTTCCTTGACTGCGTGCTGGCTGCCCCTCCTTTCATGCCCGGTGCTCCCTGACTCTGCTCCTGGACAGTCAGTGGGGCCTCCTGAGAGCCAGAGGTACGGTGCTGAGCACACAGGAAGGCTCAGGGAACATGTTTTGAGGAATGGAGCCCCGTTGGGGAGCGAAGATCTGTTCCATCACCTGCTTCTGCCTGTCGCCTCCACGCACCCCCCCAGAAACCAGGAATCAAGTACATATTCACAGGGCTCTTTAAAGGCAACTGGTTGCTCAGGCTCAGGGGCTCCAATACATTTTTTTTTTTTTCGAGACGGAGTCTCACTCTATTGCCCAGGCTAGAGTGCAGTGGTGCCATCTCGGCTTACTGCAACCTCTGCCTCCCAGGTTCAAGCGATTCTCCTGCCTCAGCCTCCCGAGTAGCTAGGATTACAGGCACCTGTCACCATGCCCAGCTAATTTTTTTATATTTTTAGTAGAGACAGGGTTTTACCATGTTGGCCAGGCTGGTCTCAAACTCCTGGGCTCAAGTGATCCGCTGACCTTAACCTCCCAAGGTGCTGGGATTACAGGCATGAGCCACCACACTCGGCCCCAGTACATTTAATTTCAAGTGTCTTAAAGTAGTGGGCTGTGAATTCAGGGCTACTTGGAGCCCTTAGCATAGCCATCTGCCATGATTTTCCCAACGCTTTTCTCCAGAGCCCTTAGTCAAGTAGGCCTCAAGGCCAACTGTCATCAATTTCCGTAATATTTACATTGGGTGTTTTATTCTCTGATGACTTGGGAGTGATACATATGCCAGTGTCCCACTGAAGGCTGACACCTCTTCATTTAAAGGGAAAATCTGTAAATGTATACTCTGTCTCCCACGCCTGCTGTTACTGGTTACCTTTAGAAGGAGTGACTGGCACATGGAGGCTGATGATTAAATGTTTGTTGAATAAATGAATGCATGAATGTACAGCAGTTTTCTTAGCTGTTCCCTATTGTGGGGCTTTTAGGTTGCTTCAATTTTTTTAAAATTGTAAATGTTACCTTCAACATACTTGTGTGTATAGCTTCCTTCTTTTGGGTTATTTCGTTTTCCACAAGTAGAATTTCCGGGTCAAAGGGTAGAAACAATTTATGGCATTTGATTTGTATTTCTAAATCGCTTTGCCCAAGTATTGTACCAAGTTTTACTGCTCCCAGCAGTGTTTGAGTGCCAGTTTTACAGTAAGCTTTCTGGCTTTGGCTGTGAACAGAAAATTCTTTTTTGCTACTTTATTAGGTTAATACTGATATCTCAATAACTTAATTTTTCATTTCTTTGATTTCCAGTGAGGCTATCTTTCTGTATTTGATTACTAGTTATATTTATTATTTTGTGAATTTTGTTCACTGCTGTTTTCTATTATCTGAACAATACTTACCTAATTAAGCTATTCACCTGCAAATGTTGTCACTAGTCTGTAATTTTTCCTTTCCTCTTTCTTTTCCCTCCCTCTCTCTTTCCTTTCCTTCCCCCTTCACTTCCTTCCTTCCTTTTTCCTTCTATTGTTTTAATGTTCGTATTGTCACCTCTGTTAATCTTTTCCTCTGACTTTGGTTTATAAGCCACAAGAATGTGACTAGCATAACAGAGGGAAAGATGAGCGCTTAAAACACAAGGGAAAATTTCTCTTGTTTTAAATTGCTGGCTAGTTTCCACCTCATTCCGTATTGACTTTAGGAATTTTCTAGTAGTATGATTTGTTCATTCTGTGAAGGGTATGATATAGCGCCAACATTTTTGGCATTGTGTCTTTGTTCTGTGGGATTCATTAACAAACAGGCCGAAGGCTAACTTTTCCTCTGCCTCCCCACTTAGTCGTAACCCTTGTGGAAACTTTGAAGATGGCAGGAGAGGTGAAAGGCAGTTGGCTTGAGTGTTGCAGGAAGGAAGAGGATTATCATCTTGAAATGCTTTTGGAGGAACCAGCTACCTTCTAAATGAAAAATATGGGAAGGGGGAAGGATGGAGCCAGTATTTCTTGGCTCTGGTACAGCTGGTCTAACAGGGTTGGGTTGTGGGCGGGGGGGTCTGTGTACAAGGCAAACGTTTGTGCTGGCACCAGTTTGGAACTGTATTGCATGAAAGGGAAGAAATGTAGCCATTAAAGTGAGATGGAAACGTTAGGCCAGTCCTTTTCTGGGTATATCTGAAAATCAGAGTAGTGAGCCTTTCAAGGGCTAAGGTCCATGGAGGGTCTGAAGGACCTGCCTCCCCAGGGATTCTCATCTGGGTTTTCAATACTCTACTGTGTCTCCTGTAGTTTCCTGTGGTTGCTGTGTGCAGGGAAGGGATGGTGTTAGTTGTCTCATAATCAAGCAGAGCATGGGTCCTAACACCCCAGCTGCCGGGAACCACTGTCCAGGCAGTTCTCGAGGGAATGAGTGGGGCATAAAAATTCTGTTTCTCAGTTGGTGAGCCCTGCTTTCCCTTGTGTTATTTTAAGCTGCCATTACCGTATGGCCTGATCCCAGGGTGTGGCTTCTGTGACTTATTTTAGCAAAAAAGAATTACTAGTAGCATTGTTGACCTAAAAAGCCATTAAGATTTAACCATTCCTACCTTCCCTCTTGGGTATGCAGCAAATGCAGTAGGCTTGGGGGCAATTAGTAATTGTAATGAAAAGCAAATATATGAAGTTACATACTTTTGAGTTATTTACATGTAGTGTGAAACACAAAATGAGGGGTTTAGGAAGGATACGTGATGCAGAATATAAATTAATCCATGTACTTCTCTCAAGATTGAGTCATACCTGAGGCTTAGAGTAGACCCTATCACCTCCTGCTGTCACCAGTGAGTACCTGTGCTGCCCAGGAGTACATATGATCAACTGCTGAAAACAAACAGCCAAGCAAACTTGAATGCCTGATGTGAGAACAGGTGCCCTTAGGGGATCTCTCCTTTGGGCTAAGGTCCTCTGAACTAATCCCTTTTCTATCTGTCTCTTTAAGGTGTGTGCCTGTTAACCCTACCTGATCTTTACCTTTTGTAGAGCTGGCACACATGCTGGGCACTCAGTTGGTGTTGAATTGTTGACTGACCGATGGAGGGAACAGCAAGGAAAGAGTGGCAGCTCTCTCTGCTATTCCTTGTTTGACGGCAGTGGAAGTTTTCACAGATCCAGAGGAGCCTTCTGGGATAGGACCTTCACTTAGGGAAGGCCTGGAGTCTTCGTGGCATGGTCTTTATTTAGAGGCAATGGCTCTGACATCTTGGAATCGATGATCATAAAACCATACTTAATAAATTCTAGGCACCCTACGGAACCCTTCAGGTTAGTGGTTCTCCAAGTGTGAGCTCTGGACAGCCATGTCATTGCCTGGGAACGTGTTAGAAATGCAATGTCTCAGGCCCCAGCCCAGACCTGCTGAATCAGAAACTCTGGGGTGAGGCGCAGCAAGCTGTGCTTTAGAAAGCAGACCAGGTGATCTCGATGTACACTGAAGTTCAAGTATCACTGTTTTATGGTATGTTAAGTAAGTATTTAATCCTTACAACACCCATATAGAGTCAAACCTATTTAAAAATTTTCAGCTTTATTTAGGTTATAATTGACGAATACAATTATATATATTTAATGTATACAATCTGATAATTTGATATATGTAGACATTGTGAAATGATTATCACAATCGAGTTAATTAACACACCTGTCACCTCACATAGTTACCTTTTGTGGGTGAGAGAATGCCCAAGATCTACTCTCCAAAAAAATTCCAGGTATGTAATGCAGTACTGTTAACTATAGACACCAGGCTGTACATTAGATCCCCAGAGCTGCTTCATCTTAGAATTCAGAGTTTGTACCCTTGGCCAACATCTCCCCATTCTCTTGCTCCCTCTGCCCCGCAACCCCTGATATCTATTACTCTACTCTCTGTAAAAACAGCCTATCTTTAAAAGTATCAAATTTTGTTGGTGAGGAAAGAGAAAAGGGGATACACCCAAGGCTTCACACCAGCAGAACCGGGATTTGAACCCAGATATACTGATTTAGGGCCTGAGATTAGAAGGGAGAGAAGGAAGGGCCAGGCGCAGTGGCTTACACCTGTAGTCTCAGCACTTTGGGAGGCCAAGGTGGGCAGATATGTGAGATCAGGAGTTCGAGACCAGCCTGACCAACATGGTGAAACCCCGTCTCTACCAAATTCAAAAATTAGCCAGGCATGGTGGCATGCGCCTGTAATCCCAGCTACTTGGAGGGGGAGCTGAGGCAGGAGAATTGCTTGAACCTGGGAGGTGGAGGTTGCAGTGAGCCGAGATTGAAACACTGCACTCCAGCCACTCTGTCTCAAAAAAAAAAAAAAAAAAAAAGAGAGAAGAAGGGAGAGAAGGAAGACAGACTTTGCAGATAACAAGGCAACAAGGCACAGGGATAATTTTCAATCCCAATTTATTTATTGAATTTGTAGCGGTGTGCTGGACCTGCTCCTACCATCTTGCAAGGGCTAATGGTAAACATCTCTTCTCAACTTTGTGTTCAGTGATGTCAGCTTGAAATTGGCCCTGGGCGGGGAGGGCCATTTATACCTCAGAAACTCCATCATTGCCTAAATGCATGCACTGTATAAAGCTGGACATCATGTGTTCTTGGTAGACATTGCATACGTGTTAGCCTGGAGAATATAAAGCAAGCACCATTCATGGATCCATTAATGTTTTAGCTGCACCTGTGTTTCCTCGTGTCTACAGAATTGCTTTCGACAACATTAAAACTCTAGAACCTTAGGGTCAGAAGGGAGCAGAGAGCTTATCTTCTCTAAAGCCCTCTGAATGAACACAAAATCAAATCATTTTGATTATTTCTAATTTGTAATTAAAAATAGGTCAGTAATAATCGCCTGCTTCTGCGGATTTCCGGGATTTCAGACACCCCTTCACGGGCCCTCTTGGTACCCTTTGTGATGGAGTGGGGGTAGATACAGCTGGTCCAGGCCTGAGAGGCAACAGCTGCTGGAAAATTTGGTGAGAAGGACAGCAGAGTAGGAATTCCCTTCTCTGTGGCCTGGCACGGGTGTGGGAGAGGGTTCCTTGCTTCTGGAACGGGGTAATGAATTGAAATGTCAACACAGAGCCTTCTCTGAACTTCTGTCTCAGAGGGATTCATGTAGGAACAACTGAGGATTTGAGATTTCAGGGTTCCCAGGCTGGGGGCCGGGGTTTTCTGTAGTTTCCCGCCAGCTTCTAATTCCAGCTCTGTCTTGGATCACGGGTTACACTACTCACTGGTGGATGGGGTGTCCCTCTCCCCAGACAGTATCGGGAGTGAATTAGCATGTTTCCCTCCTGTAAGTGATCCTCTTTTTGAGTAAACATCCCCTGGGTTTCTGTGATGTGTAACTAATGGAGTGCTAAACTCTCAGGGCTGGTTTAAGACTCAGAGCGCACACGTGTTGCCAATCCATCATGCTCCTAATACTAATTAACATAGCAGGGACACAATAAAGCCACAGATCCTGCACACATTACCTGGCTCGGGTTTCGCTCTCATAACAATCTCACTATTGACCCAAGGAGAGCACACGTTGGGAAAGGGAGCTCCAGCCCCTTCTCCCTGGCTCGACCTGCCCCATCAAATAAAAAATGCCATTGGGCATCATGATATAGGCGGCGTCCACTGTCCACTTGTTGTTTCTGCTTTGGGACAGTGCCTGAGTTCACGGAACAGTAGGGTGGGGTGGGGTGGCCTGAAAGCGAGGCTTCCCAGCATCCCTGAGTGGGAGTTGAGGCATTTCTCTCACACGCTGGGCTACTGTTACCATTGGGATTTCAGGCCCTGCCTGGTTCACAGCTCTTAAGTGAACCTCTCAGGAAGACTTGCTGTTCAAATGAGAACTGGCTTACCTACCTGCACCCTGCAAAAAGCATTTATCCCTCATCCCAAAGTCGGCCAAGCGGAAATATATGCATCTAGATCTTGACCGGGTTGTTGGTTATGGGGGGTATAATGCATTTATCAAAAATTACTGAATTGTGGTCAGGCATGGTGGCTCATGTATGTAATCCCAGTCCTTTGGGGAGCTGAGGCAGGAAGATCGTTTGAGCCCAAGAGTTTGAGACCAGCCTAGGCAATATAGTGAGACCCTGTGTCCACAAAAACAAAAATAAAATTATCCAGGTATGGTGGCTCACACCTGTGAGTTACTCAGGAGGCTGAGGAGGGAGGACCGCTTGAGCTGGGGATGTTGAGGCTGCAATGAGCCGTGATTCATGTCACTGCACTCCAGTTTGGGAGACAGAGAGAGATTCTGTCTGTAAAAAAAAAAAATTATTGAATTGCACAATTAATATGTGTGTTTTCATGGTCTATAAATTTTTCCTCAATAAAATAGTTTGAAAAATTACCTTTTGCAGCAACCAGTAGTTTTTGGATGTCTTACAATCAAAACAAGATATAAAAATGGTGCTGGGGCTACTATGACACCCATAACCCTGCATGCCAAATCCTATGGTCTTTATTCTCTAATGACATTATTCTTACTGATGTAAATGACTATGGATGTAAACTTATAATACAAGTTATTTTTTAAAAAAGGAAGTGCGTGTTCAAAGCCTATTCATAGAGGGGCCATCTGAGGGAAACATGAACAAATGCTCCTAGTCTGGTGTCGAAATGCTCAGCAAAACCTTATACAGGATTCAGATCCTGCATAATACAGCATCCAACTAAGCTTCACTTCCCTAAATCAGCTCCATGATTTAGGGACCACTGCCCTGGGCTGGCCTGGGGGAAGCAGAGAAGTGGAGCAGCTCAGGATCTCCCTTCCTGTTTCAATCAGGGTGGCTCAGAATTTACCTCTTTCACATGGGGGCTTTCTGTGATGCTTTCTTTTGTGGAAAAGGTTCTTGAGCTAAGATACGTTTGAAAATCCGTTGAGTAAATGATCTCTAATGTCCCTCCCAGCTCTCGATTGTATGCATCTATTATTTTGTAACATCACTAGGAGATGTTTGCATGAGTATACATTATGATGTGAGATGTTTGTTATCTTTCCGGAATCACGTATCTTTTTATGTTGAAGTATGCCTAATGTGTAATGTAGAAAAAAATCATAGTTATGCATAATATGATATTCCAATATTTTAAAAAGTATGCTAAAAATTACATAAAATAAGAAATAATCACTATGTATAATCTAGGGTATTATAATATTTTAAAAAGTATTTATGACAAATAGTTCCATAAACATAGGAGAAAAAAATAAAACTAGATTCAAGAGTTGTATTGCGAGGCAAGAGAAGGATGACCTAAAATTGTTTGTGTCCTCCTCTGCCTAAATATTTTTAGAGATCAGGGGATTAGATGATGGTGGTTTGTTTTTCACGTATTCTCAGCCTAAGGGTTTGTTTATTTAACTGTCTCACAAGTAGACACATCAAAAGAATATTAAAACAAACCAACAGCAAGCTTTGGGAACAAACACAAAAAAAACACAAACAATATCACACTGCCAGGCTCAGAAAAACATCAGAGGAAGAAGCTAAAAGCCCTTAATACGGTAGCCAGAAGTTAAACAAACAACCCATTAGATTAAAAATAACGGTGTCAGTACATGAACAATTTGATGATTAGCTAAGTGTTGTTGGCCTTAATCCAGCTGCAGGATTACATTAAAACATAGTTTCATTCACCACAAGATGCTTGATAAACCACAGGACAATTAAATTTACCCTTCTTCTTAAATATTAGCATCATTAGATAAGTTAACGAATAACGTTGTAAAGACTGGGCTTTCTATTGAAATCTCAATCTGAATGCTCCTAATGGTTGAGTAGATAATAGATGGACTTTCACCTAGTAAGTATAAATTTTGATGTTCCTTGTAATTTAATTTCTTTTTCCTTTTTTTTTTTTTTTTTTGAGACAGGGTCTTTCTCTGTCACCCAGGCTGCAGTGCAGTGGCGTGATCACCGCTCACTGCAGCCTCAACTTCCCCAGGCTCAGGTGATCCTCCTACCTGAGTAGCTGGGACTACAGGTGTGCACCATCACTCCTGGCTAATATTTACATTCTTTGTAGAGACAGGATTTCACCATGTTGCCCAGGCTGGTCCGAACTCCTGAGCTCAAGCCATCTGCCTGCCTTGGGCACCCAGAGTGCTGAGATTACAGTCATGGGCCACCGCGCCAGGCCTAATTTCTTTTTTCAATAAGGTAGGATGCCTTTCTCTAACATGACATTTTCCCACTTAACACTCATGTAAAATGTGTTTCATCTGCACATCCATGGCAGACACTGCTCATCAATCACTCTGTCTTTCCTGCCCAGCCTCAGAATCCTTTTCAAGGCAGAGTGCTGACACCCACAAACTGTCAAGCTAAGTTGGGACTGGAACTGAAGCCATTTGCCATCCTCTCTGTGGTCATCACTGCTTCCTGATTCAATGATCCAGTTGGCCAGGGGGTCCCTGTCTTTGCAAAGACAACACTTCCTGCCTACTTTTTGTTTATGAGAGTATCTATCAATGTCTCTCCTTTTTTTTTAATACATCTAGACTCAAATACTGAGTTTGGGTGCTTACCCAATTGATGCAACATTTTATGATTCTAAAATGAAAAAAGAAAAAAGAAGAATTTGTTGGATATATATTTACCTAGTGAGCCTTTCAGTTATGTCAGAGCTGGACAAGTTCCCTGGATAGAATGGCACTCACAGATTTGACCCACTAGGTCCATGATTTTTAATCTTTGGTGGGTATCCAAGTGCTTGGTTCCCACTTCAGGTCTGCCGATTCAAGCCTGCATGACAGAGTGAGAACCTGTCTCAAAAAAACAAAAAACAAAAAACAAACCCCAGACCTGCTGATTTAGTACCTGTATGGGTGCTAGACTAGGCACATTTTTTTGGGGGGGAAAAGGGGACCAAAATTTCATATGTGGCTTCCATGTTTTCCAGAAATTGAGAAACTCTGTCCTGGAGGGATGGGGTAGGTGCAGTATTTGATCCTTTGGGTATTGGTTTTTTTTTTTTTTTTTTTTTTTTGACAGAGTCTCACTCTGTCACCCACGCTGGAGTAGAGTGGCATGATCACAACTTATTGAGGCCTCAATCTCCCCCAGCTCAGGTGATCCTCCCACCTCAGCCTCCTGAGCTGCTAGGACTACAGATGCGAGCCACCACACCTGACTAGTCTTTGTAGTTTTTGTAAAGATGGGGTTTCACCATGTTGCCCAGACTGGTTTCAAACTCCTAGCCTCAAGCCATCTGGCCTCCCAACATGCTGGGATTACAGGAGTGAGCCACCACACTCGACCCTTGGGTATTGTTGAGGCTAATGGAGAGGCTGTAGTAACAAGACACTGTAGCCTGGATGCTGAGAGGTTGTATACTCTCAGGCCTCCATGCAATGTAGTTCCACCAGAGTATTGCTAGAAATAGGTTAATGGCAGCTAGCTTACCACTTATCTATGTAGTGCCACTTGCCAACAATCTATACCCAGGTTTTCAAATGTTAGCAATACTAAAGGGTGCACTTATACAGATGATATTGACCATTTCATATACAAATCATCTGTATGCAATTGTATATATTCAAATGTAACGTATGTTTGAGATTTCTGCCATTTCCATGAACAACGATTAAGAGAATGGGCTCTGGAGTTAGATCTACTTGGTTTTGGGTTCTAGGCCCACCACTAAATGATCAGATGTGTGACCTTTGGTATGTTTCTTAACCTCTGTAAGTCTATTCATTCAACTACAAAAGAGACAAGATGCTTGACTTAGAGCATGGTTTTGAGGAATGAATTAGATAATTTACTCATGCATCTGGCCTAGGTGAGTGTTCTATAAATATAGTAGTGTTTTTACACTTGATGGTAGCCAAAAGGCCAAGAAGCGATAGTAGTGTTTTTATTTTACACAAAATAGCTTGAGTGCTGGTTGGAGCTTAGACACTGACTGATATGAATGATACAAACTGCTTTAATGCTTTACACTTTGGTTTACCTATTAATATGTCACCTCCTCTAATCCCTAACGGTTCCCCATTTCCCTGAGAGTGTCTGCCCAAGTCCTCCAGGCTATATATGATCTGCCCCTCTCCACCCCAAACACTCACAGATCAGCACTGCCTCCTTTGTACACTCTGACCCAGCTGCACTTGCCCCTTCTCGTTCCTTAAACACACCAGGAACATTCCTCCCTCAGGGCCACTGCATTCCCTGTTTTCTCTGGCTGGAATGTTCTTCCATGAGATATCAACATCTCCTTTAGGTCTCTTATCGGTGAGGCCACACCCTCCTTTTAAAATTGGCTTGCACAGGGCAAAGAGTTGGGTCCAGGGCTTTTATAAACATTTAAAAAATTATAAATATTAACTTTCATATTTTATAAAATTGTATATTTTATACACACTAATTACTGCATGCTTAGCAAGCTTAGTTCAATCACCTGCCTATCACAGTCCCAAGTACACACAGATAGAAGCAAGGGCTCTGTGTAGTAAATTGCTTTGGCTGTCTTACCGCGGTGCTCATAAGTATGTTTTGCTTAGAAACTGCTCCACTGGCAAGGCATAACAATGAAGTTAAGCAAATGTTTTGCTGGTCTCTGAGGCCCTGTCAGGTCAGTGGACTACTGCTTATGTTTGTAAGAATAGTCTCTTCATGTCTATTTAGAGACATGGCCTGCTACCCAATTCCCCAAGCCCAAGTGATAAAGCGTTTTGAGTCTTTGAATTACTTAGCTTGTTGCCTCAGTTGCCTTCTGGGTGTTCTTCTGGTAACAGCCTATTTGATGGATGTGAATTTAATTTCTCAAACCCATTAGGATGATTTAGTTATGACTTGGAATCTTGGAATGCCATCAAATATGGCCTTTAAAAATTTAAGTAATTTTGTCCACAGTTGAATTAAGAAAAAAAAACAACTCACCTCATTGTATACAAAGAAAAGAAGCTCCTTCAATATTTTTCACTATTAAGTAGATTAAAGTGGTAAGAACACAAAAGTGAAAACAAACACATTCATAGAAATGCCTTTGAAAGCCCCTTAGGATCTGTTTTCACAGAGAAAATGAATGTTAGAGTATTATATGTAGCTTTTCCCTCCATTCTGGTTTTCCTGTAAGCAGCTGCCCAAAATTTCAACATGACTACTGAGACTTAGTAGGGCTGACTTGAATTGAGATTAATTACTTCTTGGTTGGATGAGATGCCCAACGAAGGTGGGACTGGGATCAGGGTCTGTGAGAATGAATATTAAATAACACAGTAGCATAAAGCAAGCAGCATCACGTGGAATAGCCCTTGCCTGTTACTCCTGAACAATCCAATGCATCTGATAAATTACACTCTCAAATTCCTTTGTTAGGATGTTGTAATTACTGACTAATTAAAAAATAGTCTAGTTTGGTTGTCTTCATTAAAAATTTTGCGAACAATTAATAAGAAATAGAAATTAAATGGTTGGTACTACTCAGATATCTCCTTTCCCAAACCAGGTACCACAGCGTTAGTCTTTTTCATATCAATTTAATTGGTTTTATTCATTTCAGGAAACTAATTTTACAACAGAAGTAAAGCTTTTAAATACAATTTCTGATACATATCAAGTATGAGAAATTTGGCTAACCAAACTTTAATGCTTTATAAACATGTAAGCAAAACCAAATGTGAGATCAATCCCATTAGGATGTAAATTTATCAACATTTCTAGACAAAATCCCACAGTTAAGAATCACCATCTTCCCAGTAAATGCCATTTACACACAATGTGAATTTTTAGCTGAATATTCTAAAATTTCTAGTTTCTTATTTTGTATTTCTGTGCACAACACAGGATAATCAGAGTTTCTTTTATTTCTCTGTGCTTTCTTTTTTTTTTTTTTTAAAGAGGAGTTGTTTAAAAAACACCAGCAACATAAACAACAAAAACGTTTCCTGTGGCTGTGATAAAAACATTGCATTTATCTGAGCCTACTAAATATATATGCCCCTGTAGCAATGAATGCTTATTATAATTATTGAACCTCAGAGAAATGGAAACAATTCTGCCATCCTAAATCTTTAATAAATGTTGTAGAATCTATAAAGTGATTTAAAATTACTTTCACTTTTTACTATTTGGTAACTTTCAAAGCTTCAAACGTCTTTCTCATTGCAGGCTTATTTTCCTCTTTCAATTTTTAATTATTAACACACAGGAATCTAGGTTTTAAAACCAGTGTATGTTAGCTCCCTCAAATAACTTAAGAATTAGTTTATTCAAGCTTTACTAAAAAAATGAAATTGCTGGAGAGCTGAGTTTCTGTGTGAAAAATTTCACCCAGAAAGACAGTATTTTTGGAAAGGAGTGAAAACAGAAGCTTTGAATGGAAGTGTGTGCGTAACTATAAATGGAGGGCAAAAAGGTTGTAACTGACAGGTCCCTTCTGTGGTGCAAAAGTCACCATTACAGGAACGTTAAGCTACCTAATATGCAGTTACTCTACTTGGGTCTTGAAAAACATTTGGAATTCAGGAACTGGGATCTTGCAGCCAGAAAAGAAAATTAAAACATATGTTAAGTGAGGAAGTTTATTGACTTTTAAATATTTTATCTTCAGCCAGGAAAAGACAGAAAGATTAAAAAAAAAAGTTTTAAAACACCAACAATCTGCAGGGACAAATAAAAAAAGGAAAACATTCTAATGAAACGCTGCATCTGGTTGACATTTAAATAAAGCTGCCAGAGTATAAACTAATTTTAAGACAACTCTAGTGACACATTTTTAAAAGAGAGTGCAGGAAAAAACTTTTGGCTGAGCAAATCTTAACACCACATGTACGGGAGCCATCAATATTCATTACCCTATAGATTTGCCAAACACCACAAAGTGTCTGGAAACATTACAAGAGTGCCATGACTGGAGACTTGATTATGTGCTTTCGTATATTGAACTGTATACCGAGGTCAGATCTAGTTCTTTTGGAAAAGATAAGCCAAATCTACTGACTTCATGACTCTTAAGTGGATGAAAGTTGAGTGTGCAGATGTCTGCATGAATTGTGCAAACTAGGGTGAAGAAAAACTGTAGAAAACAAAACAACAATCAAAACTCTGTTCTTTGAGATCCTGGGAGGTTGCCTGTTAACATGAATGTGATGGAGTTGAAGAGGTCTTAGGCTGGGCTCAAGAGGTGTTTTTACTCCTGGGCAAAGTGTAAGGCTCTAAGTGGAGAGGAATACAACAGGTGTGTAGTTCTAAAGCCAGGGCTGAGATAAAGTCTCTGCTAAAAGAACGAATTCTAGATCCTTAACAGCGTTAACAATCCTAAACCCTTTGAGGGAGTAATTATTGTGAGTTATGGAGGAAATTTCCCAAATTGGTTAGAAAAACTGCATAGAGTTCAGATTCTAGACTCTAGAATTTAGGGTTATGACTCACCCCTGCTACTTATATCTTTGTCCCTAGTCTACTGGCATCAAGCTGGGCTCTCAATGAGAATCTTGCCCAGATGATTTATCACGAGTTTGTGAGTTCTAGAAAGTATCAGATCTGAGGTCCCAAAAATTCCATTCAATTGGTATAATTAAATCTTACCAACTCAATAAATGGGGCTGCAGGTTTTTTGCTTTTGTTTTTGTTTTTTTTGAGACAGGAGTCTTGCTCTGTCACTCAGGTTGGAGTGCAGCAGTGGTATGATCATGGCTCACTGCAGACTCAACCTCTTGGGCTCAAGTGATCCTCCCACCTCAGCCTCCCGAGTAGATGGGGTTACAGGTGTGCACCACCATGCCTAGCTAACTTTTGATTTTTTGTAGCAATGAGGTTTTGCCATGTTGCCCAGGCTGGTCTCGAACTGCTGGGCTTAAACCGTCTGCCCACCTCAGCCTCCCAAAGTGCTGGGATTACAGGCATTAGCCCCCGCTTCTGGCCAGCTGCAGGTTTTAATAGACAGAAATGTAGTGGACGTTCTGAAGAATTTTTCTGAGCAGGGATGGGCAGAAAGATGGGTCCATTATAACTGTCGAATCTGGTTAACAGATATATAGATATTACATACCCATATGGATATATAGGTATGGAGGTTACTCTACTGGGTTATAGTAATGGATATTATATTACTGGTCTACTTTTGTATATTGTTAAAATTTCCGTAATTAAAAGTATAAGTAATATAAAAGAAAACAACCCAGCTTATAGTTCCAGCTGGAAACCAGCCTTAGCTGAGTGAGGTAAGAGTTGAAGCTGGACTCATCCTTTCTTGCACAATAACAGGGTTTCCTCTGAAGAGAAATGAAAAGCATTGAATCAACGTGCTTATTTAGAAAGCGTTTATTACCTTGCTGCATCCCTCTTCCTCTTCAAAGTGAGAATGACATTTCCTTTCCAGTGCTTCCACAGGGAAATAGAAATCTGTGTAAAAATTCCAGAGCTTTGTTCCTCACTGGCCACAAGGGAGGTTAGGCACTGGATTTCTTATATGGCTGATGAAGGGAACATAATGGCAGCTTCATTTTAGAAAAGGGTATTGCTTGAACAATAATTAATAAACCAGCACCCATATTTCCCTTTGTGGCCTTTCCCAGACTTGTCTTATTTGATCTTACCAACTTGTTACTCAGGGAGTGAGGTTCCTGATTAGAAAGCAAACTAAGTAAGAAAAGAAGTCTCATTCATACCTTATGCTTTAAATGCTTTCTTATTTTCAAAGAATTCCAATTGCTTTTTTTTTCATTTGGAAATCAGGAAGCCATTGACATAGGCAAGAAAAAATATTTATTATGTTCATTTTACAAATGAGGAGACTGAGGTTTAGAGAGGTTAAAGGAATTTTCCAAAACTTCACAAGTGCTCCAGGAATGATTTGGTGTCTTTTATGTTTTCAGAGCCCAGGCTTCCTGTGTTCTATGCAGTGTATAGATTTGTCTTTGGGTTATTTCCTATACCAAACTTTAGTCTTTCTCACTGGGTACAAAGGGAAATTCTAAAATTCTGTTCCCCATGGAAAAATGTCCTTTGCTCCTCGGGGCAGATTCTGCAGGGAGAGACTTGCAAATATGAAGGAGGAGTGGAAGGTGTGATCGGAGAAAATACCAAGGACTGAAGTGTGAAGGGGTATGGGATGGATTGGAGGCAGTTCTGAGATGAGAGCCTGCTGAATTCGTGTTCCGGGAGATCAAGTTGGCTTCTTCTGGAAAAAACCTGTAAGCTTGGGAAAGCTGGGATTGGCTTCCATCACAAGCAGCTGGGATCTAAGTTCATTTGCATCAGGGCCACTCCAGCTCAGTTCTGCTGGGAACCGTACCGGGATGGGTGTGGGACGGCCTCGAATTCAGATCCGGGTGCTGTTTTTTCTAGGCAGTCTCTCGGAGCCTGCTTCCTGGACTACAAAATGAAGAGTTGTGAAGAGTCAATAATGTCAAGTTGGAAGGGTCTGACACGGAATCTGACCAAGGCTGGACCCTCAATAATTGTGATTTCTTTTCCCCCTTTTCCTTCTTGGTAAAATCATCCCACGAATCTACGCAAGTAGGGCCCTTCGTCATTCTTCGGAGTAGCCGCTTGAGGGCTGGAAGGAGCAGTGATAGAAACCCCAGAGACGCAGAGACCCTCCGAACTTCGAACTCGATCACTGTCCTCCCCCGACCGCCGAACCCGCTGGAGAAGCGGGCGCGACAGGGCGATGAGTTAACGCGGAGGGAGCGCGGAGGCCGCGGAAGCCGGGGGCGCTGGGTCTCAGGCCCGGATGCTGAGCGCGGACCGGCGTGTCCTCCCCACAGCGCCCCCGCGCGGCCTCCTCCCGCTGCGCCCCGCACGGCGACCCGCCGCGGGTAGCCCTGGCGTTTGGCCACGCCGTCGGCTGAGGACCGCTAGAGCTGGGGGGAGATCAAAGCATTCCTATGGGGCCCAAAGAGCCTGGGATTGCAGTGTTGTTAGCCTGGCCTCGCCGCGTCAATAAATTTTCGGCGAAAGTTGGGAGCAGGAGTGGAGGCTTGGGGCGGGGGTTGGTGGGGCGCGGGGGTTGGCCGGAGGGAGGGTCCGGGGGTTTCTTGCACCTGCGCTCCTGCCGCGTTAAGTCAGTGGGAAGCAAGTGACATTTCCCTTTCACCCGCCCCCTTGGAACTTGCTCATCTCCCTCCTTTAGAACACCGCCTGCTCTCCGGGGTCAGCATTATCAAAGAGAAGATTTCCTCCAGGCCCTTAAAATTTACGTGGCGCCTTGTTACAAGGAGCGCGCTGGAAGCTGGCTTTGGTATCTCCTTGTCCCCTCTTTCTCCTGCCCCGCCCCCACATCCCCGTGGAGAAACCCCCGAGCAGGCCTTTTGCATTTTCTCACCCCACTTAGAACTACAAAAAATATATGGGAAGGTGATTTGGTTTCACTTCAACCTCTTCATTTTGCAGAAGCCTAAAGTGGTGATGGTGAGAAAAGTGGCCCAAGGTCAAGGGTTACTTCAGTTGGCAAAACCAGGAGTAGAACAGGAGAATCCCTAGAGTCTTACTATATATTTTTTGCTACTTATTTCATGGACAAAAATAATCATTCTCTTAGGCAGGTCAAGTACTCTTTAAAGGTGTCTGTGCTTTTGCCAGTTGGCTGCAAAACTTAGCATCACACTTGTCACCTGGACATCATGGGGAGTCGCTGGCTATCCAACGACAGAGCCGAGTACACTCTGATCCCTCCTCTGAGACACTCCTTTCTCACTCCCACTCCATCCTGAAAAACACTATGGAGCATGTGTTCTGGGCAAGTCTTCTCCCAGGCGTGGGTAAAATTTGAGCACAGGGATTCTTCTGGCATAATTGGGGGGAATCCCTCCTCCAGCAAGAACACTTTTCAGAGGGATCTCCTGGGGCTAACAGGAAAGGCAATATTTCAGCCCTCCACAGAGCTGAAACTCAGACCTCAGAGTCAGCTTCGCACAGGACAGGGCTAAGGAAGCCTGGTAATTTTTGGCTTAAAGTCCAGTCAGAATGAACCTGACCTAGAAGCCACAGGATCATGGAACCTTTGTGACTTGTGGCAACCTTCTTTGTCACTTGGATGAATCCTATTGGATCTGGGCTCTAGGAAACTGAATCTTTTGTGAAACTACTCCATGTCCCATCGTTTCCCTAGTTGATAGATTCCACCCACCCCCTACATTTTTAACTAGGTAAGATTAATAGCAGTAGCATAGAGGAGCAAAAATATCACCAAAATGTCAAAACCAATGCCAAAGCTTGTTTCTAATTCCCCACACGCCACCTTCTTTTCCTTCTCCTCTCCTCCTCCTGTCCAGCTTGGACTTTCTTCATACCCTTGATCTTGCTACCTGAGCAAGCAGTCCATCAGATGGGAGTTAAGATTTGTTACAGTCTTTAACGTTTGAGGCAGAACCTAGAAATCAATGTACTTCCCTCCTTCACTTTACAGTCAAGGAAGCCCAGGCCCAGGAAGGTGGAAAGATTTGCTGAGGGGTTCATGCACATGGAAGAAGTTAACTTTTCATCACAGCACCTGCCTTGCCAACACTTGGCAATCCCCCCCCCGCCCCGCCCCGCCTTGATTCCTCTCTACCTGGTTGTTAGACTGCTGGGAAAATATGGAGAGTGATTTCAGTGTGGATAAAGCCTGCCCCCTTGAAATGTAAAACCCCAAAATAGAATGGGAATAGGGAGTGGAAAGTTCTCAGAGTTAAGGGTTTACTGTTCCAGTTAGTCGTGAGGACCCCTAGGGGCTGCAAGAAGGCTCTCGGGGGTGAAGAGCTGTGTGTCTCCTGATGTGGCAACCAGCCACATGCCCTCCCAGGACTGCCTTCCATAGCAAGGCCACAGCCCCGGGGGTGGAACCCAGGCCCCAGTACAGCCCACGGTATCTGCCTCCCCTGAGGACCATTTGGAATGGGTACTGAGAAGTCAAGAAAGTCTGCAGTTGCCTCATCTCCTGGCTGCTACCAGCCCCCCAAGGGAATTGAGCCACGTTTCCCAGCATGGAGGATGGAAGCTGCCGGGGGTTGGGACAGGCGGGCTGGCAGATCCTCCAGATAGATATGCTAGGAAGGGACGATTACTTCATAGTCGGCGTCTGACTCCGTATCCCGCTGCAAAGAGCACATTTAAAAAGACGGTATGAGGCAGGGAGCTGGAGGTGCTCTTTGACCCCGCACAGCCACTGTTTTAGCTGTGTGTCTCCCAGCAACTCCCATGAGCTTCTCCGAGCTTCAGTTTTTCCTTTCCTTTGTAAATCGGAGCAGGGAAAGGGAGGATTCTTTTTTTTTTTTTTTTTTTGGTTTTTTTTTTGAGACGGAGTCTCGCTCTGTCGCCCAGGCTGGAGGGCGGTGGCGCCATCTCGGCTCCCTGCAAGCTCCGCCTCCCGGGTTCACGCCATTCTCCTGCCTCAGCCTCCCGAGTAGCTGGGACTACAGGCACCTGCCACCACGCCCGGCTAATTTTTGTATTTTTAGTAGAGACGGGGCTTCACCGTGTTAGCCAGGATGGTCTCGATCTCCTGACCTCGTGATCCGCCCGCCTCGGCCTCCCGAAGTGCTGGGATGACAGGCGTGAGCCACCGCGCGCGGCCGGAAAGGGAGGATTCGAACAGCCTGGCGGAGAGAATTGTCTCCCGCAGTCTCCACTCCCCACCCCCATGGCTTGCGACGGGTCGCGTATTTGATTACGCAAAGTAAGTTGGGAAATCCTATGTCCGCAATCCCATCTGGGATTATTTATTTCGCCGCGTCCGCAGCCGGTGGAAGTCGTGAGACGGTGCAACGCTGAGCGGCTTTCCGCAGAAGGAGGTGCCTTCGAGGCCGGCTCTGGAGGAGCCACAGCCAAGCCGGCCACAGCAAAGCACTTCTCTCGGGATGCTCAGACGTTTTCAAATGCCGGTCGCCACCCTGGGCGCTGGCGGCAGGTTGACTTAGCCACAGGCGACTTAGGCTGCAGGTGGAAGGCGAGGATTCCCGCCGGCCCCCAGCCTCCTCTGCAGGCCTCCGAAGCTGGAGAGTTGGGTGGAATAGGGAGGAAATCGGGCTTCGGATGCCCCCCAGCCTCGGGCGCTCTGCAGGCTAGCTCACGGAGTTGAAACAACCACAAAAATGATACAAATTACGCGCAAGCACTGAATGCTCAGTGTGGGCGGGTCACCGTGCCGGGGCGTCCACGCGCGTCGCCTCCTCTTAGGTGGCCTCCATTCTGCAGTTGGGGAAAGCGAGGCGCAGAGGAGGGTTAAGGGACCTCCTCACTGTCCCGGCCAGGGAGGGGCGGATCCGCACTCCAACCCGCCTCTGTCAGGCTGGGCCTCTAAGCCGGGCCGTCCGCGCAGAGTCCGGGCGGAGCTGGGGGGTGTGGGGGGAATGCTCGGGGCAGGATCCGCTCCCGCGATTAGCTCTGGGAGCGAAGTGGGAAGGGGCAGGGCGGGGCTGCAGAAGTCGGGACCCTCGAATGGGATCCGAGCCCGTGTGGCTACGCGAGGGGGAAGCCACCTGGGCTGCGTGGCTCCGGGGCGAACTGGGTGGGATGGGATTCGTAAAAAGAACTGGGTGGGTGAGAGGGAGCCAGTTTGAAACTCACTTTCCTCCTTTATTTATTTTATTTTTAAATTTGTGGCAGGGTGTTTGAAGAAAACAAGAAAACCACCCTCATCCAGGAAACAACAACAACAAAGAGTTTTCTCTCTCTCTCTCTCTCAGTCTCCAGGGTCTCACTCCTGTCGCCTAAGGCTAGAGTGTAGTGCCGCGATCTCGGCGCACCTGCGGCCTCGACTTCTCAGGCTCAAGCGATCCTCCCACCTCAGCCTCCTGAATAGCTGGGACTACAGGCGCATTCCACCACGCCCGGCTATTTTTTTTGTATTTTTAGTAGAGACGGGGCTTCGTCCTGTTGTCGAGGTTGGTCTCGAACTCCTGGCCTTAAGCAATCCACCCTCCTCGGCCTCCCAAAGTGCTGGGCCTCCTTCTTTTCTTGTTGAGGTTCCCATACGTGACTCGCCCAAAGAGAGATTCTCACCGGGTGGGTCTGAGCAGCGCCAGAAAGGGAAGGGATACAGGGTGAGAGAGATTTGGGGTAAAGGGAGAGGGAGGCAGAGGGGGAAGGGGGCCCCAGGCCGGTCAGTTCCAAGAGGCGAGCCCCGCCGGCCGAGCTCCACGGGCTGAGTCAACAGCGGCCCAGTTGCTTTGTAATTTACAAGAGGGACTCCGAATGGTACTTTGTAATTTGGTGTCGGTTTACAAGGCAAAGGACTTCTGTTTCCTCACCTCACCAGGTCCTCAGTCACGGCCTGACCCCTTTTAAGAGAGGGACCTCAAGAGGGGAGCTGAATTCCTTGAGCCCTCGCCTTTCAATCAAGTTTTCAAGGCACGCTTTGGCCGGGCCCTCCCGGACTGGCTGTGCTGCTACCTCCAGAGGAAATCAACGTCTGTACCGAACTCCTAACCTGTGAAGACCTGCTGTCCTCATAATTGCGGAGTGGGGCCAAGGAAGGCTACTCTTTCCCCTTTGCAGATGAGGCAACTGAGGCAACTGAGCCGCAGAAAACTAACTGACCAAGATCACCCAGCCAGTGGAACAAACAGCTCGAGCCCAGGCTCTCTGGCTCCTATTCCCTCTGAATATTTAATTTACTAAACTGTTTGAGCAGCCGTAGATTCCCTTCACAATCCGGTAAAATCTATAATTACTCCTCCCCTTCCCCAAAATGTACTTATTTTCCCATTCAATATCGGAGCTTCTCGGACTTCCTGAAGTTAGTCCCAGGATAAAGATCCTCTTTCTCCTCCCCCTTGCCCCGCCCCACGACCTCGCTTCCCAGTAATTGCTGGGATCCCGATTCTCTGGAGGCATTCCGGGCGGATTGATTGAGTGTAATTCAACTGAGTTATGATTACAGCTGCTGGTTCCCCTGTGCCGCAGACGGGTGTGTAGGGAGGGTGGGGCACGTGGAGATGGGCAAGATGTCTGGAGAGAGCAGTGGGGCTGTTGTGCACGTTTTTGCTAGAGGTGAGGGTTGAGAGCTAGGGAGGAAACAATTCCGAGCCCACCCCGCTGGGACCCACGGGCTGAGGTCCTCCAGGAAGCACTGGGGCTCAGCTTTCCCTATGTCAGTACGGATGGAGGACACACAGGAGGAAGGCTGGTGGCTCTGCCGGAACATTCTGAGGGCCTTGTTCTCTGCCTACGCTGGGACCTGCAGTCCCATCTCCCATTTGGCCTCAGCCAGCGTGGTTTATTGTACCCAAATCCCGCTTGTTTCCTCCTTATGCAGCAGTTTTAAAATTTCGAACTAGTTCAAGAGCTGCTCGGCTGCTCGTTTACTTTCAGTTTTGGGAACAGAGGCTTACACCCCTTTCTCCTCCTGTTTCTCCTCCAGTCCCTCTTCCCCTCAATCTAGTTTCCCAAAGTTAGCAAACCTACTTTCTTGATTTTGTTTCTTAACATTTAAAACAACTGGTGAAGGGCTAATGATTTCATCTCCTTACCACCACCCCTAACCTTAAAAGCAATAAATAAAATAAAAGCCCAGCCTGCCAACCGCATGCACACACGGCCAGCGGTGGTGGGGGTTTGTAGTTTGCATACACGTCGCGGGGCAGAAGCCTGTTTGCAAAGGCTGAAATGTAGCTAGCAGGGGAAGACGCTGAAAAAACAGAGTGATTTGATAAAAACGTGCTGGGCCCTGTTACAGGAGGGCTGCTGGGAGTAGTCCCAGGTACTCACATCAGAAGGGGTGCAGGGGAATAAAATTTAAAAAAGCAAACCCATGGCGAGTCTTTCTTGCTGGGAGTGAGGGGCTCTGCAAAATTTCTGGGACTTCAGAACAGAGGTCGACAAGGTCCATTGCTCTTCCCGAGACTACTGGGTGATCCAGGGCTCCTCTCTGAACCTCAGTTTCGTCGTTGGAAAAACGGGGATAGGAACATATTTCTGTTGCTGTCAAGAATTTAAACGCTCCAGTGCAGGTGAAGGAAATGTGCTTTGATGACTGGGTATAAAAAATGTGCAAAAAGAACCTGGCGTTACAAGGTGGTGTCAAGGGAGAGGAAGTAAAAGTCTGTATGACCTCCCTGTCGCTTGTCGGAGCGCGCACCGCTCCCAAGTCACCCTCTGAGTCGCCAGAGCTACCGAAAAGCCGATGGGAATAAGCAGGACTGTTTCTCTACTTCCTTCATTGGGCTTCGCAAGAGGCTCTGGGAAGAAGCACCCGTACAAATGGGAATCCCAGTGCCTGGTCACCGGGGAGGAACTTTACAACATCACTGAAGGTTTGAGAATAGTGCTTCTGGCTGGTCGCGGTAGTTCCTAAGCTGCCTTTGTTCCCACTTCTCTGATCCAGGTTAACTTTTAACATTCTGACAAACTCGGACAAAAGTAACGTTGGGATTACGTCAGGAATTCCCACCCTTCAACAAATATTTGTTGCGGGCCTACTATGTACTCAGTGCAATGATACCCAATTTTGTAGTCTCCTAAACAGATCCTACTCGAGAGGTCTTGATTATTTACAGATGCAGTTAGAAAAGCGCCCATATTATTTTTAATTGAGTTCAAGAAATAGAATGCAGCGTTGAATTAGAAGACTAATTCCTTCTTTTAATATGTTGAAAATTTTTTATCGTTAAACATTTTGTAAAGGATTTTTTGAGGGAGTCGTTAGAAAGTCTATAAATACAACTACGCACACTAAAAAGTAGTCATCTTTTTAAAAATAACTTTGTTTAAATGCATGCTTAGTGTGAATGGATTTACCTAATTCTCTTAATAGCATGCATTTCTGATCTTCCCTACATTAACTGTAATAGCAACTGATATAACAGAAAAATGTAAGTGACTTGTAGTCGACTTGGCCACCTGCCACACGGGCTCGGTGAAGGTTAATGAGGAGCTATTTGGCACTTCGAGAATAGGTGGCACTAGACACAGAAATATCAACAGGCTATTTGTATGCTAACTAGGAGTTTCGGTGCCAGGTAACCATTGATGTACTCTTGCAGGAGAAAGAAGGATGTCGCTGTACGCCCCGAAAGAGAGGCATCATTTTTACGCCCAGTTTGGATTAATGATTGATTGAGTCGCAGAAATGCTTGTGATGCTGATAGAGGCCAATACTGGTCTTTCTGATCTCTTCCTCGTCGTTTATTACCTTCTCTTGTGGACAACGCATTCCTAAGAATGTATCTCTGCTTGTTTCCCAGTCCGCGAGATAAATGGTGACTTCTCTCTTGCAGGCACCGTCATACCTCGGGTTTAGATTCTGGACAGGCGAGCCGGCTGCACCGAAGGCCCGGTAGGCGGACTCTGGCGGAGCGCTTCAGAGAGAAGAGTGTAGACCGCGGGAGGCGGAGGGCTCCCTGCCAGCGTGCCTCGGCCAATCAGTATTCACACCGCCTGACAACCGGCCAATCAGAGGACGTAAAGCTCCGGGGCCTGAGCGGACAGTACTAGGAAGGGGAGCGCAGTCTGCAGACTGAAGCCAGTGGCGCTGCGCTGAATGCAACTGCGCGCGCCCGCCGGGTGAGCCAGCGATCTGAGCCAGGCGGGGGCGGCCCGACCTTTCCCGCCCAGCCTGGGTCAGAGGAAGCCGAAAGCGGCCTCAGCAAGGTGAGGCGCCCGAGGCTGCAGAAGACCGAGCAGAACTTTGCAGAGTTCGGGATGTGCTGGGCTAGGTCGCTGAGGACTTGACTGGCTTCCTCCCTCCTTCCCTCCACCTACCTTCTCCCTCCCCCTCCACCATCCAGTGGGTTCGTTCCGGGCCTCCAGCTATCAGCTCCCGATCTCGTGTTTGAGGGTAGCGACCCCGATTTCTGTTTGCATGCACAGCCAGCAGCCCTAGCGCCAGATCCTAAAGCTGGATATCTTTTAACTGGGCTACCAGCCCGGGCCTCAAAGTTTTGGTGAGTGCTGTGATGCCGCTCGGGGTGTCAGGGAGGGCAAAGGGCGTGAATCATCTTTCACCTTTTCTGTGTGACTTGGATGCCTTACCTTAAATATATAAACCAAGGCCTAAGTACAGAGAGCCCACGCGGCTCAGCCCTGTGCACCTCAGGTACTATTAAGGCTGGACGGGCGTCTGTATTGTGCTCTTTGCCCTTATGGGACGCTAATGACAACAAAATTTTGGTTTTCAGTTGAGTATTTTGGGGAGGGGGGTGAGAGGACCTCTTCAAGCCCAAGGAGGGGTCCTTGTGGTGGTGTAGGCTGATGAGAGGCATTTGGGAAGCATAGAGTGGTACTTCAGTGAGTCTGAAGGGCCACTTGTAATCAAAGGAAAACTGTTCTTCCACGGATAGTTTTATATGCATCATGGCCATACTAGTTGAGTATGGGGAAATCCGACAAGTGGCCTGGGGCTGCCTATTTGGACACAATATTTTGTGTGTGTGTGATAAGTGAGTTACCCAGGGACTTGTCCGGAAAGCCCGTGTAAAGCCAGAGAGGGCCACGGTTAAAGGTCAGGTACTCACAGAGCACTTAGAATTAATAAAATAAAACCTTTGTTGGGTTGTGGATCCCTGGGGGCCCTGGAGATACAGGAAAGGCACGTGTGGCCTGGAAGTGAGGGACATGTAATGAGAACAGGATGACTCAAGCGGCCGGAGGCGGGCAGACCAGGAGCTTTGGGCCGGAGGCTCAGGGATGGTCCCTGACGGCGGCCGGTGGGTCTTTGGATTTCTTTGTGTTTCCCCAGAGTGAGGGCCGCCAGGCTCAGGCCCCAGCGAAGCCCCGAGCGCCATGGCCGACCCGCAGGCTGGCTCCGCGGCCGGGGACTGGGAGATCGATGTCGAGAGCCTGGAGCTGGAAGAGGACGTCTGCGGGGCGCCGCGGTCCACGCCCCCCGGGCCCAGCCCGCCGCCGGCGGACGGGGACTGCGAGGACGACGAAGATGACGACGGGGTGGACGAAGACGCGGAAGAAGAGGGCGACGGCGAGGAGGCAGGCGCGTCCCCCGGGATGCCCGGCCAGCCGGAGCAGCGGGGGGGACCGCAGCCGAGGCCGCCGCTCGCGCCTCAGGCCTCACCCGCCGGCACCGGTCCCCGAGAGCGCTGCACTCCCGCGGGCGGCGGCGCGGAGCCGCGCAAGCTGAGCCGCACGCCCAAGTGCGCGCGCTGCCGCAACCACGGCGTGGTGTCCTGCCTGAAGGGCCACAAGCGCTTCTGTCGCTGGCGCGACTGCCAGTGCGCCAACTGCCTGCTGGTGGTGGAGCGGCAGCGCGTCATGGCCGCCCAGGTGGCGCTCCGGAGGCAGCAGGCCACCGAGGTGCGTACCCGCCCGGCCCGGGCGTCTCAGGCCACAGTGGAGGTGGGGGAGTTGGAGGGGAGCGGGGCGGCCGTCCACACCCCCCGCGCCCAGGGCCTTGCGGTGCCTGGCACTCCCTAGGAAGGATGGTAAGAACGCTTTTCTGCTTGCACTGGCGAGCAGGGTCGGGAGGGAAAAAGCAGGCATCTCTGGGGAACTTGGGAAATGTTTTTGTCTTAAAAAGCAGGCAGAGAGGCCTTGAAAGTGTTTAGGCCCATTTGGAACATCGCGAGAAAATCAATGTTTTTATTTTTTTGCATTTTAAAGTGCATTTTCGTGGTGTTGAGGGCGGGGGCTTGGGGGGAGAGTGGTTGATCCACAGCACGGCGTGCAGCTCCAGGCTCGTCACTGCTGTACTGGTGATGATGGAGAAAAAGAACCACGCAGCACGCATGCGCTCGGTGCTTCAGCTGTCACCTGGACGTTTGAGATATCTAGAACACTCATTTTATGGATGAGACACAAAATGCATGAGAAATTAGATGCCTGCAGCCCAAGGTCATCAATCCGAAGCTACTGTCCCTGCAAACTACCTAAGAGCAAGGGGAGGGTCTCTGCTGCTTCCCATCGGAGGACTCCAGCTGCGAGGAGAGCCAGGGCTTTCTTTCCGAGAGACGCTCTTGAACCTTCGATTTTGTATTTGTTTCCATGTGCGCCTGGACAGGGAGAGTTCAGCGAGCGAGGCTTCACAGGGCCTCCTCCCAGACTCAGGACCAGGGAAGACTTTCAATTTTACTTTTTGGCGGAGAGGAGCTGGGGAGTGGATCGCCAGACACACTGAAGGCAGTAACCCCACTGGAAAGCCTCTCGAGGGCCCAGGAGAGCGCGCTGGACGCCATGGGCACCTGGTCCTGGGCTTGGTCTCCTCCCGCGTCCCGCATGGGTCATCGCCTGCCCTGCGTTCCCACGCGTTCTCTGTAGCATATGCTGGGTAGGACGCGGGCGTGGGAGGGCCCAGAATCCCACCAGCTGGTGGGATAGGTGACTGCAGAGGCGAGGGTGGGTGTCCGCAAAGCGCAAATTTGGAGTTTGCAGCCGGACCCAGGAGACCCTCATCTCTTCATTCCCCTATCACCCCACCCTGCCTGCCCTGCCACAGGGAGAAATCCGCCCGGCCTCACTGCTTCACAGCAGGCCTTGGGCACCTTCTATCCGACAGGTGGGCTCCCAGGACCCAGCCTGGCTGCAACCATCTCTTGAGGTCGGGTGCCCCCCTGAAAGGGATTTCACTTTTTCACTTCCCTCCGGGATGTCCCCTCACTTCTGGCCATAGGTCTGCGTATATCTAGAGTGATTAGAGTCTAGAGTGACTATGCTGCGGAAAGCAGGGGATCCAGCTCACCAGCTGAGGTTCCAGCTCCTTGCCCTAGGATTAAGGGGTGCTGATATTAATTCGTTTGTAATTATTTTTCACACGGAATGGGAAAATTCAATACATTTAGAAGGGGGAGAGTTTCTAGAAGATTTACGGACATCCCGTCCTTCCCCCTTCTCGCCCCCATTTTCTTTCAGGGCATTATTGATGATGTTTCTTGTGTTTACAGGACAAGAAGGGGCTTTCCGGGAAACAGAATAATTTCGAGCGCAAAGCTGTGTACCAGAGGCAAGTCAGAGCCCCCAGTTTGCTGGCCAAAAGCATTTTAGAAGGTAAAGCAACAAAATTATCCTTCAGCCTTTTAAACAGAGTTGAGTGACTCTCATTAATCAGCACAAAGTGTGTTTATTAATCTGTGAAAGAGCTATCTAAAGGGAAAGTACTTTTTATTAGAAAGGTTTTGTTTAGGTGTTCGCTGAGCCCGTACGCTAAAACTGAACCCGTACGGAGAAGATTAGCATGGCCCGGGAACCAGAAAGTTTTCTTCTAGGAAGGAAACCGCCACCTGGGAAAATGAATCTCACATACCTCCTGAGGTTTCTGTCACCACCAGTTGAAGAATCCCTATTATTTGGTTGTCTGCTTAGTGGTTAATCGGTTAATGTGGAGTGCATGTGAAATTTACCCCGTATGAGGGATGTACAAAGATATACTGCCAAGTGATCCTGGAGCAGATGTCTTGGAAGGAAATAAATAACTTAAACAAAGCAAAACAAAACAACACAACCACGTCCACTTTTCTTAGTTGTGGGAGCTGAATAGATGAAGTCAAGTGAGGAGTTTAACAGCTGCTCGCAACCAGTAAAGCCGTTTAGTCTGGAAGTTCAACCTCAGATTCCGCTCTTTTTCATTGTACTTTTTTTTTTTTTTTTGGATTACTTGGATAATTCCTATTATTCCAAACTTCATTTTTACCATTTTTTGACAGTCAAGGTTATAGAATCTGAAAAAGGTTTCGAATCCAGCAAGCGAAGTGGAGGTTGAATGCGAACAGTGCGAAATCTCTAGCTTTCTGTCTCCATGTTCTCACTTTCGTGAAAGCCTGGGGGTACATTAATTTTTCTTAAAATATTACTCATTTTTAAAAGCATCTCTATTTGGGTATGGAATTTATTTATTGACCTCAATAATATATTGACTATTTTTAACCGTTTCTCTTTAAATTTTTAAAAATTTAAATAAGGGACAATTAATGTTTGCTTTAATCACTGCCACTTCATGAAATTCAGGTTGAAAGTAAACAAAAATTTTTAAGTAGACATTTGGATTCTGTTTTTTTCTTGTGTAGCTTCTGAATTTTGTTGGTTCTGGACAGGTTTGTGTGTGTCCTATAAAAATTTTTAAGTAGACATTTGGATTCTGTTTTTTTCTTGTGTAGCTTCTGAATTTTGTTGGTTCTGGACAGGTTTTGAAGTTTGTGTGTGTCCTATCATGTGTTGTATACTTCTGACCATAGAGTGGTTTCTTATGAATTAAAAATGAATTTGGTTACAAACTGGATAAACAGATTTATAATAATAGGGCCACATTGATAAACTGAGATTATGCAAAGCAACTTGTGAAGTCTGAGGACTAAATGGAATAGTAAATTCAACTAAATAACTTCCTGGCAAAAACTTATCATAGAAATGTAAACATTAATTTTCAAATTTTATTTTATTTGCAAATGAGTATAATGGGTTTGTCACTATGTAAACACAAATATAACAATGGATGCTTCAAACAAATATGACAGAGGTGAGTGCTTGGGGGTGATGAAATACTCCAAGTATTTTATGCCTCCAGGAATTCTATTTATGTTACACTAATCTTTGTATTTGAGTTTGCTCCTATTCGTGCGATGACTTAGCCTGTGTTTTAATGATTGCTTGTTCAACCATTTTGGTATCCGGCCAAAATGATTAGAGCTTGGGAAGAATGTTTCAGAACAGTTATTTTCGATAGAGCAGGGAATACTCCCCGCCTTTTTTGAGTTTTGTTTTATTTTATTTTATTTTTTTTTGTAGTGGTATCAGGGGAAGGGGCCTGGTTAAATTGTTCACTGTAGAGTGTGTTTGACTAGTTAACAGCTCTTTTCAATTTTCTATGCTTCTCTATTTTCTTAAGCCTTTTTTTTCTTTTTCTACTCGCTAATCTCCTTTAACTTTCTTTCTTTCTCTTTTTTCCTAGTTCTCCTTGGATTATTCTACAGCTATTATGTGTACATAATGAACCATCTTTAGAAAATAAAAGTGACATCAGCTCTAGGTATAGATATATTTTTTAATAATGAAAAAAGATGACATGGATAATAATAAAACATTGATTGATACAAGATAAATAGTCTTGTCTCTTAATGCGTAGGGGGCCTGGGAAGAATATTAAAATTTTAATCAATAAAGTATGTCTGTTGAAGCAAGCAAGCAAACAAATCCATAACAACCACAACAAGCAACAAGAACAAGAACAACAACAAGAAGAAGTTGCAGTATGGATATCTTTCACCCTCCCAGGAAACTCTTTCAAACCTAATCTGTACTTTTGCATCTGTATAAAAATATCAGTGAGATGGAACTGTAAATAATTGTTCTGCTGATCTGTAGTGTTGCTGTTACCTTCTGGGTTTCCACATTTTTATTCCGTAGATGTTAATCTCTTTCATGTGCAATCTTTGCTTCTTGTAGGCTATCGCCCCATTCCAGCGGAGACTTATGTAGGAGGGACCTTCCCTCTACCTCCCCCAGTTAGTGACAGGATGAGGAAAAGAAGAGCCTTTGCTGATAAAGAGTTGGAGAACATTATGCTGGAGAGAGAATATAAAGAAAGGGAGATGTTGGAAACTTCTCAAGCTGCTGCTCTGTTTCTGCCCAACCGCATGGTGCCTGGACCTGACTACAATTCCTACAAAAGTGCCTACAGCCCCAGCCCAGTGGAACCACCAAGCAAGGACTTCTGTAATTTTTTGCCCACCTGCCTTGATTTAACCATGCAGTATTCAGGGTCTGGGAATATGGAACTAATTTCTTCTAATGTCAGCGTGGCCACAACTTATAGACAGTATCCCTTGTCCTCAAGATTTTTAGTTTGGCCCAAGTGTGGCCCCATTAGCGACACCCTCCTCTACCAGCAATGCCTGCTAAATGCCACCACCTCAGTTCAAGCCCTGAAGCCTGGGGCCAGCTGGGACTTGAAGGGAGCACGAGTCCAGGATGGACTCAGTGCAGAGCAGGACATGATGCCATCGAAATTGGAAGGTTCCCTGGTGCTGCCTCACACTCCTGAGATCCAGACCACGAGAAGTGACCTTCAGGGTCATCAGGCTGTCCCAGAGAGGTCCGCGTTCTCCCCACCCCGACGGAATTTCTCTCCCATTGTTGACACGGACTCCCTGGCAGCTCAAGGGCATGTCTTAACGAAGATCAGCAAAGAAAACACCAGGCACCCTCTGCCACTTAGACATAATCCATTCCACTCATTATTCCAGCAAACACTTACTGACAAATCGGGTCCTGAGTTGAAAACACCATTTGTCAAAGAGGCCTTTGAAGAGACCCCTAAGAAACACAGAGAGTGTTTAGTTAAGGACAACCAGAAGTACACATTTACAATAGATAGATGTGCAAAAGACCTTTTTGTAGCCAAACAAGTTGGAACAAAACTCTCGGTGAATGAACCACTGTCATTTTCTGTTGAGTCTATTCTTAAGAGGCCTTCATCTGCCATCACTCGTGTCTCTCAGTGAAAGGCTGCTTAAACAGAAAGCTGGATTTTCTGCAGTCTTAGAGCATTATAGCCATTTGCTACTTTTTTTAAAAGTTAAGATGTTTGTGTAAAGAAATTTCTAATGTAAAGATGATGATTTTGAAAAATTTTATATATTCCTAATATGCATGTACTTTTTCTTATCACATATATTTAAACTTACAGATGGAAATTGCCCAATGTGCAAATTGTTAAGTACCACACTTTACACAGCATTTCAAAAAGCAATAAAATTGACACTGTCTTCTCAAAGACCCAATATTTGCCGAAGCAAATAGCTGTCTCTGTCTAGATGAAGAAGCTATTTTTCTATGATTCTGTATATTTGTATATTTTGAAGTACTCTTAATGGTCACTGGGGGCCACAGGAAAACCTTTATAATACTTTAGTTTTGCATTGTGGAGGGCACATAAATTTAATTATTCGAGACTGTTTGAGGCAAAAATCACTTTAAGGAGAACATAGGGCCATTTGCATGTTTACAGTATCTTCATTTCACGTGATTGGACAAAGCTGAATTAATTGGAAGGGAAATCAAGTGTAATGTCTCTTTTACATTACATTAGATGGTTTGGGTTCTTGGAATAGATTTCTTCTGACTCCCTGGGTCCCAGTTTCTTTCCCTGGCGAGGATGTTTATGTGGGGCCCTAAGCTTCCTTTCTAGAAACATTTCTAGTTTCTTTGAACAGTCTATGATTTTAGGTTGCTAGGAGCCACAAATCAGGTTTCCTTTTAAGATGTGGTCAGTACTGATGGGGCCCAAACCTCCTCTCAGCTCTTGTGTGAGTCCACTGTTTCTGAATCACTGGTGACAGCAGGCATTTGGATGCAGGCCCAGTCACAACTCTCATCCGGTCCCCAAGTATCAGCTTTATGCCTCCCACATTTGCACCACTGTCAAAGGCCTTCAGTGTAACTCTCTTCTGACACAAAAACGTTTAGTATTCAGATTGCTTCAGCTGACAGTTGCTGAAGCTTGCAGATGTTTATCACAGCATGAGGGTGGCTTCTTAATTCTTACACCTTTTCTCCCCCCACCCCCCCTTTTTTTTGAGACAAGGTCTCACTCTGTCGGCAAGGCTGGAGTGCAGTGGTGTGATCATGGCTCACTGTAGCCTCGACCTCCCCAGGCTCAAGTGCATGCCTGTAGTCCCAGCTACTCAAGGGGCTCCACCTCCCAGGCTCCACCTCAGCCTCTTGAGTAGCTTGGACTACAGGCATGCACCACCATGCTTGGCCAATTTCTAAATTTATTATTATTTTTGGAATATGTGCAGAGGTAAGTTTTTAAAAATTTTGGTAGAAACAGGGTCTCCCTATGCTTCCCAGGCTTGTCTTGAACACCTGGTCTCAAATGATCCTCGTGCCTTGGCCTCCCAAAGTGCTGGGATTACAAGCATGAGCCACCACACCCACCATTTCTCCCATTTTTAAGTTCTTGTTAATCTCTTGTTTTACTCAGTAAAATGTTAGCTGTTGTTCCATATAATTGATAAAATAAGAGTAAGACTTTTATGAGAGTACTAAGTTCATCTCTTAAGACCTCACCTGTGGACCCCAAGTGAAGTTTAAGGTGTCATAGTCATTCTAATACAAAAAATCAAGAGTCACGTATCTCACTTTTAATACCGCCACAGAGGGAGGTTTTACGTCAAATTCTGCTACTGTCTTCTGGGTAACAAGAACATGAGGTGGGTATGTGGAAGATGCCAAGTGATTCAGCAGTGTGAAAACACTTTGAATTACTTAGAAATGATTTTGCTACTAATGACCTCATGTAAACCTCCTGGGATTCTCTGAATTGTTGCTTAAAATTAGCATCAATTTCAAAAAACAACAAGCCAAACCTTGGGTTGACTTTCAGTTTGTACTTGTAAAATAATACTTGGTTTTATTGAGTCAAATTTAGTTATTTGTATTATTGCAAAAGTCAGAGTGAATGGACGTTTGCCAGAGGCAAAGGATTTGAAAACAGGCAGAGATTCCAATAACTTTTAAAGATTATCATTAAGCGGAAAAATGTTTTCCAGCCAAGTGTGCCCTGATGTCAGAGACAGAATCTAACTCCAGTTTTCCCTCCCAGTCGTCTCTGCTTTGTCTATAATCACTAATTTTTGTCTTTCTATTGGAAATTTACTTTTTTGTTTCAAGTGTTAAATGTATCCTTAGCATTTAATTAAACTGCTTCAAAGGTAATGAGGGGGAACGTATTAGAATAAAAGCACATAAAAAATCTCAGTGAGAGGTCTTCTCATCTAAACATGAATTTTATCTCTTGCTTGCTCCACTTTTGTGTTTTGAATACTTATATTTGTTAAGATGTTTCTCTTTTGTATTCAGTGAACACATGGGGACTTCTTTTCGGTCCTCTCTCTCTGTATCATTTTAATCCCATTATGTGAATCCAGTTGGCTGTGGGTATTAGTGGTTTTTCTCACATTACCAGTGACCAGAATTTTATTGTTCTTGAACATTTATGAGGGTCACTACTTCCCCTGGCAAACTTATTATTATACTATGAATTAGTTCTGCTGTAATGAGTTCTTTGAATTTTAAAACTACCAAAGGCCGGGCGCGGTGGCTCACGCCTGTAATCCCAGCACTTTGGGAGGCCGAGGCAAGCGGATCACGAGGTCAGGAGATCGAGACCATCCTGGCTAACAAGGTGAAACCCCGTCTCTACTAAAAATACAAATAATTAGCCGGGCGCGGTGGCGGGGGCCTGTAGTCTCAGCTACTCGGGAGGCTGAGGCAGGAGAATGGCGTGAACCCGGGAGGCGGAGCTTGCAGGGAGCCGAGATCGCGCCTCTGCACTCCAGCCTGGGCGAGAGAGCGAGACTCCGTCTCAAAAAAACAAACAAACAAACAAACAAAAAAAACTACCAAATCTACCGTCAGCCACTTGTTAAGAGCTTTGTGCTTGGCTCTTTGCTTTTGAAAATCATTTCACTTCCATGAACGTGTCATATAGAATCTTCAGAAAACACTGCCATTGACATTAAATCAAACTTGGGATTCGATTTAAGCATTTTCTCTATCGAAGGCAATAAATGGATACAGTTTTAATAGTTTTCGAGAATGTAAAGGATAGTAAAACGTGGACATTTTTCTCAATTTAACTCACAATACAATAATACAACTCTAATGACATGTTATCCTTCCATCTCAACCCATCAAGCATGATCGTTAGCTGAATTTGCAGTTCTCGAAAGTTTACAACAGTGCTTCTCAAACTAATGGACAATTGAACCACCTGAGAATCCCGATGCTGCTGGGCTTCAGGCCACACTTTGAGTAACAATGCTTGCAGCATTTCTGGTATTTCAACGCACATTTAATATTATCTGCTGTGGATTTTGAGTTGTAATGCAATCATCATAATATTACTAGCATGAGTAAGTTAATATACAGAAATAGTTTTAAAAAACCAAATTTTTTTTTTTTTTTTTACGGAGTATCGCTCTGTTGCCCAGGCTGGAGTGCAGTGACGTGACCTCAGCTCACTGCCACCTCCGCCTCCTGGGTTCAAGCGATTCTCCTGACTCAGCCTCCTGAGTAGCTGGGATTACAGGTGCCTGCCATCACGCCAGGCTAATTTTTGTATTTTTAGTAGAGACGGAGTTTCACCGTTTTGGCCAGGCTGCTCTCAAACTCGTGACCTCCAGTGATCCACCTGCCTCAGCCTTCCAAAGTGCTGGGCTTACTGTTGTGAGCCACCACGCCTGGCTGCCATTTTCCTTTTTACTGAGCCTAGGCCAAGACCCAGGCAAGTCATGCAGCAGACAGTGCCTGCTCCCCACCGTCTCTTTTTTTTTCTCACAAAGGTAGAAGTTGTTTTAATTTGGTTAAAAATATAATATGTATCTTTTATTTTTAACTGTGGGAAAACATAAAATTTGCCATCTTAACTATTTTGAAGCATACAGTTCAGTGACATTAAGTACATTCACATTGTGCAGTCATCACCACCGTCCATCCACATAACGCTTTTCATCATGCAAAACTGAAATTCTATACCCTCAGTAACTCCCTCCCCTCCCAGCAACCGCCTTTCTACTTTCCGCTTCTGTGAATTTGACTACTCTAAGTACCTCATAAAGGGCAATCATACAGTATTGTGTTTTTTCAGTACCTCATACAAGTAAAATCAGACATTATATGTCTTTTTGTGACTGGCTTATTTCACTTAGCATAATGTGCTCAAGGTTTATTATGTTCTAGCATGTGTCAGAATTTTCCTCCTGCTTAAGACTGAGTAGTGTTCCACTGTGTTTGCGTGTGTTTGTATGTATATGTGTGTATGTCTGTGTGTTTAAGCTGCTTCAAAGGTAATGAGGGAAAGCCATTAGAATAAAACCACATAAAAAAATCTCAGTGAGAAGGCTTCTTAATCTAAACATGAATTTTGTCTCTTACTTTCTCCATTTTTGTATTTTGAATGCTAATAGTTGTAAGATGTTTCTCTTTTGTATTCAATGAACGTATGGGAATTTCTTTTCTGTCCTTTCTCTCTGTATCATTTTAATCCCATTAAGGGAATCCAATTGGCTTATTTTACTTATATGAGGTATTTTCCTTATGTAAGGTACTTTTCCGACTCCAAACTAATCAATTAGGTAAGTTATATACACACACTGTATATATATGTTATACATATATATACACACACACTATATATATGTATATATATACACACAGACACACACATACATAAATACACACACAAACACAGTGGAATACTGTGCGTATGAGTGTAAACGGTGTACATGTAGACATATATACATACATACACATGTGTTTATATGTATATATACACACATACATACACATACAGTGCATACACACACATACATTTTTGTTTATCTGGTAATCTGTTGATAGACACTTGGGTTGAATCCAGCTTTCAGATATTTTAAATAATAGTGCCATGAACAAGGATGTCCAAATAGTTCTTTGAAACCCTGCTTTTAGCTCTTTTTGGTATGTATGCCCCTTCTCTTCACCCTGTTCTCACTTCCGAGTTTCACCTGCTTCCTGTCCTTAGGAACTGAGTTATCTCAGGTATACAGTCCTCCCAACTATCCCCTCTCCTGCAGTGTGTGGACCATTTCCACTCAACACTGTTGTTGCCCAGAAAGGCTCCAGTATCAGTTGTGTACCTTTTAGTATGAGCTTAAATGATATCTTCATTTAAAAGCTTAATTCCAATTGTGTAATGAAAGACTGTAACTTGTATTAACAAACTTTCTGGAATTCCTTCTGCAAAGCCTCAGAAGTGCTAAACTGAGAAAATGGCTGAAGGTCAAGATGAAGAAATAAGGAGAATCCACGCTTCCTTGTAGAATAATGGATAAGACTTAGTGTCGAGGCTGAGTTTTCAATAGGGACTAGAATTCTTAGTGGCTCACCTGATTTCATTAATTTTGGATTAATTTTAATATTCCTATTCTATGTCTATAAACTTAGGCTTGTTTCCATGGGTAGGGTCCAATTTGTAGGGCTGATAGTTCATGAAATGGTTGGACCTTGCATTATATAAACTTGGGCCTTTGGCATCCTCTTATATTTATTTTAATAATTATACAAAGCTTTTATCACATTCCACCCCCTTAGTTCTTTTAGTTTGTAACTTGTGATGTCTAAATACATCTAGGGCATGCTGGACAACTGCACACCTATAAATAGGTTGGCATTTGCTATAATGGTAAATGTGAAATAACAACATATGTTTAGAGCCTGGCAATTTACAGAGCACATTGACATTTATCATTTTTTATATTCCTCACATAAATTCTATAGAAATTTGGTAAATGGCCATATGAAGAGATGAATCTATATGTCTGTGGATATGTTTACAAATTTGGGAATTCTTTCCAATATACAACATGACTTGAAATTGCATAATACAGCCCTAAACCTTTGTATATAAATTTTAAGTGCATCTAATGCTGATATGTAATATATATTATACATTACATAAGTATAATTTTACTTGTATGATTACATCTATCTCTATTACATTTGCACATTCATTCTACCTTCAGTAAGTTATACACATGCACACACCAGTCTCATGGGGTTGTGAGACCAAGTGAGATGAGAAAAGGGAAAGAGAAACACTAAGGCCACATTTTCTCTGGGTTGCTTCCTGCACATGACTGAGTGGAGCAGGGTTGCTGGAGAGGAGCCATTTTTGCCCTGTCATGGGATTCCTCTATCAGGCATCTTTAGTGGGGGAACTCTTCATTCAAGTGTATTGTTATAGATGTTTGATGAGCTCCAAAACCAGCACCTCTGCTCCATGCCTGGAGTTCTGAGCCAATCAAGAAATAAGAGAAAGGAGTTGGCACTTGGAGGTTAGAATCTTCTTAACTACCTTTAAAACTGATTATGATTACACTGGAGAATATGACTTATATCCAGGAGCTAGGGGACTTCATAACACTAAACTCCAGGATGATACAGACTACCTACCTAGAAACAGTCAACAGTGGCCCAGCACACCTCCCCTGCATGTGGGTAGTGATTGAGTGTCTGTATTCTCTGCGTTCAAGTTAGCTCTTGAAGGGAAGGCAAGAAGAACGGGAGGAGCTACCCAGGCTCCCTTTCCTATCCCAAACTCATCAATCAGGTAAGGTATTCTCCCTGCGTCTTTTCATTAACATAATTTTGCTATTATTTTCTTTGTTTTGAATTGAGATCAATCCAAAGACCATATACGCTTGGATTTGATGACTGCAATCAAAGTTTAAGTCCTTGATAAAGATATAAGCTGGAAGGCAGGAAATGGTGTTATTACTTCATATGTGCTTACTAGACTAAAGACTATATACATTTTTGTTTTAGAATAAAAAATAAAACTGGAGAAATAACTTCCTTTACCCCAGATGGAACTGAGACATTTGGTATAGCACGCTGGCAAGCAGTGAAGAATTGTTTTTCTGATGAGTATATCATTTGATGTCATTAAGTAGCATGGCCTAAGGGGAGTGTTCTGCTGCTATCCATCACCACCAAATTATTTTCATGGAATGTCATCATAAAAAGTTATCAAAAGAAGTTACCTGAGATGTTGTGAAGCTGTGAAGCCAAACTAATATTATTTCCTCTTTCGAATAATGTTACTATAGAGGTATTAGGGGAAGGCCACATACAAGTTATGTCTCAATTTGTCAAGGAATTCAAGAAAGCCTTTCGTGACAGGGAATTTTAGGATGGATAACAGTGAAGTCAGGGGAATTTGTAGCTGCTTGAACAGCTATCTTCACAAGACAGAGTAATAAATCAAAGTCGATTTCAAGGAAAGTCTTTAGTCTCATGGCCATTGAGACCTCTTGTTTTGGGTGATATTCTGGCTGGCAAATGAAGACATAAAAAGTGTACTTATCAAATCTATACATGACATTAAGTTGGGAGGTCTGGCCACTGTTGTTGATAGTAGAGTTGGGTGAGACTAGGACTATAACTCAAAGTCAAATCTAATATTTGGATTTTAAAAGTAACTGTCACCCAATTATGAAACTTTATGTTGAGGGAGAGTTAACTTGATGTTAGTTTATGTGAAAATGATCTGGCAGTCATAGAAGACCACAGAGCTTAAAAAGAACCATAATGAATCATGGCTGTAAGAAATTGCTAATACTAACCTGGATTCCATTAACAGAGACTCCAGATGAAGAGAAATGCTAATTACAGTGCATTTCCTCCCCTTTCTCCTGACAGATCAAATCTAGTAACTTGTGCCCAGCTCTGAGCACTGCATTTTTAGTGTAGACATTGATAGACTTGGCCACGAGGATGGTGAAAGGACTGACAATTTTGCCTACCTATAGACAGTTAAGGGCCTTGGGGATGTGGCCTGGAAAATAGATATCTTAAGGGAAAGGATTTGATTTGTGTTTTTATATATTTGAAATATTGTCATTTTGGAGAGGGAATTAAGGTCCCTTGGTAGTCTCTAGAAGAAACAGTGCTAAGAGGATGCTAGAGGGGATCAAATATAGCACAAAAAAAGGGAGATCATCTTTCAGTTTGGCTTGTTCATACTTGGCCTGGTCGGCCTTGTGAAAGAATGCATTTAGAGATCTTCATGTGAAACAAAGAAACAAACCTTGCAATGGGTATGAGAATGAATTAGCAAGCAGAGACTGCTTCATTTATCTTCATCTGCTAGGTCCTAGCATACAGTTGGTGTCAAGAGATTTTTGCTGAATGAGGAGAATCTTCGTCAACTCCGGTAATTCTTGATTTTATGAAAAATTACCACTGAAAAGGATCAGATGAAGTTTTTTTCCTCCTAGCCAAATTCTCTAGAAAATCATATCACCAACTAGTTCTTCGGAATTTTAACTTTTACTTAAATACTTTTACCTATTTAAGGTGTACAGCATGAATTTTTTTTTTTTTTAGATGAAGTTTTGCTCTTGTTGTCCAGGCTGGAGTGCAATGGCACAATCTTGGCTCACTGCAACCTCTGCCTCCCAGGTTCAAGCGATTCTCCTGCCTCAGCCTCCCTAGTAGCTGGGATTTTAGGCATGTGCAACCATGCCCGGCTAATTTTTTATTTTTAGTAGAGACGGGGTTTCTCCATGTTGGTCAGGCTGGTCTTGAACTCCCAACTTCAGGTGATCTGCCCGCCTCAGCTTCCCAAAGTGCTGGGATTATAGGCATGAGCCACCGCACCCAGCTAGCATAATTTTTTTTTTTTTTAATAGACAGGGTCTCATTCAGTTGCCCAGGCTGGAGTGCAGTGGCGTGATGATAGCTCACTGTAACCTCCAACTCCTGGGCTCAAGAGTAGCTACAACTACAGGTGCGCAGCACCGCATCCAGCTATTTTTTTTATTTGTATTTGTATTTTATTTTATTTTTTTAAAAATTATAGTTTAAGTCCTGGGATACATGTGCAGAATGTGCAGGTTTGTTACATAGGTATATATGTGCCATGGTGGTTTGCTGCACCCATCAACCCATCATCTACATTAGGTATTTCTCCTAATGCTATCTCTCCCCTACCCTCCACTCCCCGATAGGTCCTGGTGTATTATGTTCCCCTCCCTGTATCCATGTGTTCTTATTGTTCAACTCCCACTTATGAGTGAGAACATGCATTGTTTGCTTTTCCATTCCTGTATTAGTTTGCTGAGAATGATGGTTTCCAGCTTCATCCATGTCACTGCAAAAAACATGAATTCATCCTTTTTTATGGCTGCATAGTATTCCATGGTGTATATGTGCCACATTTTCTTTATCCAGTCTATCATTGATGGGCATTTGGGTTGGTTCCAAGTCTTTGCTATTGTGAATAGTGCTGCAATAAACATATGTGTGCATGTGTCTTTATAGTAGAATGATTTATAATCCTTTGGGTATATACCCAGTAATGGGATTGTTGGGTCAAATGGTATTTCTGGTTCTAGATCCTTGAGGAATCATCACAGTGTCTTCCACAATAGTCGAACTGATTTACACTCCCACCAACAGTGTAAAAGCATTCCTATGTCTCCACATCCTCTCCAGCATCTGTTGCTTCCTGACTTTTTAATGATCGCCATTCTAACTGGCATGAGATGGTATCTCATTGTGGTTTTGATTTGCATTTCTCTAATGGCCAGTGATGATGAGCTTTTTTTCATATGTTTGTTGGCTGCATAAATATCTTCTTTTGAGAAGTGTCTGTTCCTATCCTACACCCACTTTTTGATGGGGTTGTTTTTTTCTTGTAAATTTGTTTAAGTTCCTTGTACATTCTGGATATTATCCATTTGTCAGATGGATAGATAGCAAAAATTTTCTCCCATTCTGTAGGTTGCCTGTTCACGCTGATGATAGTTTCTTTTGCTGTGCAGAAGCTCTTTAGTTTAATGAGATCACATTTTTCAATTTTGGCTTTTGTTGCCCTTGCTTTTGGTGTTTTAGTAATGAAGTCTTTGCCCACGCCTGTATCCTGAATGGTATTACCTAGATTTTCTTCTAGTGTTTTTATGGTTTTACATCTAACATTTAAGTCTTTAATCCATCTTGAGTTAATTTTTGTATAAGGTGTAAGGAAGGGGTCCAGTTTCAGTTTTCTGCTTATGGCTAGCCAGTTTTGCCATCACCATTTATTAAAAAGGGATTTTTTTTCCCCATTGCTTGTTTTTGTCAGGTTTGTCAAAGATCAGATGGTTGTAGATGTGTGGTATTATTTCTGAGGCCTCTGTACTGTTCCATTGGTCTGTATATCTGTTTTGGTATCAGTACCATGCTGTTTTGGTTACTGTAGCCTTGTAGTGTAGTTTGAAGTCAGGTAATGTGATGCCTCCAGCTTTGTTCTCTTTGCTTAGGATTGTCTTGGCTATACAGGCTCCTTTTTGGTTCCATATGAAATTTATAGTAGTTTTTTTCTAATTCTGTGAAGAAAGTCAATGGTACCTTGATGGGAATAGCATTGAATCTATAAATTACTTTGGGCAGTATGACCATTTTCACAATATTGATTCTTCCTATCCATGAGGATGGAATGTTTTTCCATTTGTTTGTGTCCTCTCTGATTTCCTTGAGCAGTGGTTTGTAGTTCTCCTTGAAGAGGTCCTTCACATCCCTTGTAAGTTGGATTCCTACATATTTTACTCTCTTTGTAGCAACTGAGAATGGGAGTTCACTCATGATTTGGCTCTCTGTCTATTATTGGTGTATAGGAATGCTTGTGATTTTCGCACATAGATTTTGTATCCTGAGACTTTGCTGAAGTTGCTTATCAGCTTAAGGAGATTTTGGGTTGAGATGATAGGATTTTCTAAATATACAAACATGCCATCTGCAAACAGAGACAATTTGACTTTCTCTCTTCTTATTTGAATATCTTTCATTTCTTTCTCTTGCCTAATTGCCCTTACCAGAACTTTCAATACTAAGTTGAATAGGAGTGGTGAGAGAGGGCATCCTTGTCTTGTGCTGGTTTTCAAAGGGAGTGCGTGCAGCTTTTGCCCATGCAGTATGACATTGGCTGTGGGTTTGTCATAAATAGCTCTTATTATTTTGAGATATGTTCCAACAATACCTAGTTTATTGAGAGTTCTTAGCATGAAGCGTTGTTGAATTTGATTAAAGGCCTTTTCTGCATCTATTGAGATAATCATGTGGTTTTTGTCATTGGTTCTGTTTATGTGATGGATTACATTTATTGGTTTGCGTATGTTGAACCAGCCGGCATCCCAGGGATGAAGCTGAGTTGATTGTGGTGGATAAGCTTTTCGATGTGCCGCTGGATTTGGTTTGCCAGTATTTTATTGAGGATTTTTGCATCAATGTTGATCAGGGATATTGGCCTGAAATTTTCTTTTTTTGTTGTGTCTCTGCCAGATTTTGGTATCAGGATGATGCTGGCCTCATAAAATGAGTTAAGGAGGAGTCCCTCTTTTTCTATTGTTTGGAATAGTTTCAGAAGGAATGGTACCAGCTCTTCTTTGTACCTCTGGTAGAATTCGGCTGTAAATCCATCTGGTCCTGGGCTTTTTTTGGTTGGTAGGTTATTAATTACTGCCTCAATTTCAGGACTTGGACTTGTTATTAGTCTATTGAGGGATTCAACTTCTTCTTGTTTTAGTCTTGGGAAGGTGTATCTGTCCAGGAATTGATCAATTTCTTCTAGATTTTCTAGTTTATTTGGGTAGAGGTGTTTATAATATTCTCTGATGGTAGATTGCATTTCTGTGGGATCAGTGGTGATATTCCCTTTATCATTTTTTATTGTCTATTTGATTCTTCTCTCTTTTCTTCTTCTTCTTCTTCTGTTTTTTTTTTTTTTTTCTGAGACTGATCCTCTCTCTATTGCCAAGCTGGCATGTAGTGGCGTGATCTCAGCACACTGCAACCTCCGCCTCCTGGGTCCAAGCGATTCTCCTGCCTCAGCCTCCTGAGTAGCTGGGACTAGAGGCGCACACCATCACGCCCAGCTAATTTTTGTATTTGTAGTAGAGGCAGGGTTTCAGCATATTGGCAAGGATGGTCTCGATCTCTTGACCTCATGATCCACCTGCCTCGGCTCCCCAAAGTGCTGGGATTACAGGCATGAGCCACCTCACCTGGCGTCTCTTTTCTTTTTATCAGTCTGGCTAGCTGTCTGTCTATTTTGTGAATCTTTTCAAAAAACCAGCTCCTGAGTTCATTGATTTTTTTTGAAGAGTTTTCGTGTCTCTATCTCCTTCAGTTCTGCTCTGATCTTAGTTATTTCTTGTCTTCTGCTAGCTTTTGAATGCCCAGCTATTTTTAAAATTTTTTGTAGAGACAGGGTTTTGCTATGTTGCCCAAGGGGGCCTTAAACTCCTGCCCTGAAGTTATCCTCCTGCCTTGGCGTCCTAAAGTGCTGGGATTACGGGTGCTGAAATTATATCACCTGGTCCTCTTACAGCTTTTGACTCACCCAAAACTTAACTACTGATAGCCTATTGATGACTGGAAACTTTACCAATAACATAAACAGTCGATTAACAAATATTCTATATGTCATATGTATTATATACTGTATTTTTACAATAAAATAAGCCAGAGAAAAGAAAATGTTATTAAGCAAATCACAAGGAAGAGAAAATGTATTTACTATTCGTTAGGTGGGAGTGGACTATCATAAAGGTCTTCATCCTAGTTACCTTCACATTGAGTAGGCTTAGGAGGAAGGAGGAGGAAGAGGAGGGATTGGTCTGGCTGTCTTTGAGGGTGGCAGAGATGAAAGAAAATCCTCGAACCTTAGCAGTTTAAACCCATGTTGTTCAAGGGTCAATTGTAAAATTAAACGTACATATTAATTCTTGGGATTTATTGTCTATATCAGCAGTCCCAACCCTTTTTGGCACCAGGAACCGGTTTCATGGAAGATAATATTTCCATGGACAGGTCGAGAGTGGACAGGAATTTGGGATGAAACTGTTCCACCTCAGATCATCAGGCATTAGATTCTCATTAGGAACATGCAACCTAGATCCCTTGCACGTGCACTTCACAATAGGGTTCAGGCTCCTATGAGAATCTTGTGCCACTCCTGATGTGACCGGAGGTGAAACTAAGGCAGTAATGTTTGTTTGCCTGCTGCTCACCTCCTGCTGTGCGGCCCACAGACTGGTACTGGTCCATAGCCTGGGGGTTGGGGACCCCTGGTCTATATGATGATAAACAGTAAATCCTGAAAATGCCTTCTCTGTTTTAGCCATCTTAATAGCTAGTCAATTTTGATTTAAAATAATATTTCTTATGGCTAAAAAACCCAAAATAGATTTAATTGAGATTATTAATTTAGATAAAGTCTGATTCTATTCAAATGTAGTGAAGTTGAACTTCAGTTCTACTTGAAGTTGTTAGGCAAATCTGTAAATCTGATTCTTTAGATTTGAATTACTGTTTTTATTTAATTCAACAAGCATGTATTAGGCACTAACTGTGAGCTGAGCAATGGTGACCTCTGAGAGGTAGCGACAATTAAGATATGGTCTTCAAACATTTATCATCTGGAAGGCTACTGTAGATTACATTCATCATTTTTCTCTCCATGTACTTTGTGAATGCAGACAGCCCTTCTGCCTCCCAGCTTTCTTAGTCTCCGGCTTGGAGACAGTCCACAGTTATTTCCTGTCATTCTGGGCATGGATTGTTTGGATGCGACTCTGTTGTCTTTTACTCTTCCTCTCTCCATGTTTCACTGTGATCAGAGCTTTTGAAATGAAATTTGTAGATTCAGGAGTTTCCTGTAGGAAAGTAGTGGGTTTAGTCTCAGTTTCCCCAGTTTGCTATAAAACTCAAGGTTGGTAACAGTGGCCATGAAATCAACAAAGGACAGTTATTCCTTAACACACACATTAAAAGAATTAAGAACCCAGTGTGACCCACTAGCCAGAAAGCACCTAAATGCTTGCTATTAATGGTGATATTGCAGGAAACAGTTGCAAAGTCCCAATGAAAAACAAACCACCAAAAACCAAGCATCTTCTTCTGAGATAATGAGTCTGAAGACCCAAGGCAGGCAGAGGGCAGGTGAGTAAGTTATAGGGCTGTGTGACTGTTCATAGAATTCAGTTCACTTTAATGAATATTGATCGAAAACCTTCCTATGTGCCAGATGCATGCTTGTAACTGGGCCTATATGTTATTTAGAGCTTTTTTTGAAGTAAAAAAAAAAAAAATAAACAATCCACCAGTCCTGACAACATAAGCAATACTCTGTCTCTACAAAAAATAAAAAAATTAGCCAGATGTGGTGTCATGCATCTCTGGTCCCAGCTACTTGGGAGGCTGAGGTGGGAGGACTGCTTGAGTCCAGGAGGTTGAGGCTGCAGTAAGCCACGATTATGCCACTGTACTCCAGCCTGGGCAACACAGTAAGACCTTGTTTCAAAAAGCAAAACCAAACCAGAGGCCCACTTTAGTTATTTTTTAAAAAATAAGGCTTAATTTAAGGAGAGAGAAGGACATCAGGAATATGAGAATCTCAGCACTTAGCAGGCCTTTCAAATACTACGACATGGTCTAAGCACTAAAAGGTAGCTTCACCCAGATCTGGCAGTCTTATTTCCTTATTGTTCCCTTGGCAGTTTGACCAAGGGAAAATACCAGAAACTGCTAGTTGCCTCTTCAATATCCATTCTTCCCTTCTTTAGTAACAGAGCCCTGGTTTTATTTGGACTGGCGAAGTGCCCAGGTAAAAGACTGCATTTCCCAGCCTAGTTTGCATCTAGGTGTGGCTGTAGAGATGCAGGTGGCCAGCCACGGGTGAGACTTCAGAAGATCTCTCTAAAGGGAACTGAAACTACAGGGAAGAGTTTTTTTTTTTTCTTCTTTCACCTTCTTTCTTCTTGGAATTTGGACCTCTTTTAGCCTGTTATAACCTTGAGGTTGGCAGCCATGTTCAAAGAAGGTTGGAGCAGAGAAATCAAAGGAGCTGGATGCTGGCTGACTTTGAGGATCTGCCATACCAGCCCTGGATCACTTTCCTCGGCTCATTCGTGTTTTATAGGAAATAAGAACTCTTTATGTGCATAAGCCATTGTAAACCAGAAAGTATCTGACACAGGTCTCAATCAGTTTAGAAGTTAATTTTTCCAAGGTTAAAGACGTGCCCAGGAGACAGGTCTGTGGCTTTCTCCAAAGATGATTTTGAGGTCTTCAATATTTAAAGGGGAAAGGGTGGATATTTGGGAAAGAAGAAGAAAGTTTAAAAAGTTGTGGGTAGATAAGAGGCACGTGTCTGCATTATTTTGAGTCTTTAATCAGCCATTCACCTGTGAGTGGGGGCAGGGGAATAGTTACTTATGCATTCATCTAGCTGAATGAATCTACATTTTTACATACGGTAAAATAAACAAAGGGCAGGGAAACAATCAGATGTGCATTTGTCTTAGGTGAGCAGAGGGATGACTTCGAGTTCTGTCCTTTGTCCCGTACCTGTGAAGATAAGCTATCAATTTACATTGTCAGGGGGAAATTCTACAGAATTGTTTTAGGATAAACATCTTGGGGTCCACAAGGAATTTCCCAGTGGGAAAATTGTGAGGGAAGTATGTAGCTTTATAACTATTATTTTTTAAATTATAGCTATCTTATTTAGGAACAAAATGGGAGGCAGGTTTACATGACACAATTCCCAGCTTGACTTTTCCCTTTGGCTTAGTGATTTTTGGGGTCCTGAGATGTATTTTCCTTTCACACCATCATCACTAGGTCTCAGTTACAAACAGCTGAATGTAATTCCTTCTGATAAAGATGGACTCCTCCACTCTGATGGACAATCTGCTGAATGCGTTTGCTTTTCCTATGGTTCCTGATGACTCTTCCGTATTTTCCTTCCCCTTATAGCTTCTCTTTACTCTTTTCTGTGTACCTTTTGGCTTCTGTCTCTACCACCTACTGTCCCCTTGTACTGTAAGTCCTTCACGCAAATCTAAGAGTGGGATCTGATGAGTCCAGTTAATTCCTGCTGCTTCTTTTGTTTTGCCTTACAGGTAAGGTACCTACAGTTGGTCTTTGTGGGGAGTCATGTGTTATAAGCCATGGCAAGCTCCCATATGCAACCTCTCACTGGAAGCCTGGATGTATCAGGCTCTTGGAATATAATAAATTCCTCTCCCAAACTAGTTTCAAAGATGAATAAGACATGGTCCTTGCATTCTAAGAGTTCAGAGACTACTGAAGAAGAAACATCCATATGTTTAAGATTTTTGCAAAATATCCATTTTCAATCATTAAGTCAGAGATTATTAAGAATAATACTTAATATTTATTGTGCTCTTCATTTTTTTGGTCTCAACTTTGTATGCCTTATTTCATTTACTCCACATACAATTTAACTTGTGAAGTAGGTATGCTTGTTATCCTTGTTTTACATATAAGGACATGGTCTTAGAGACGTGAAGCAACTTGCCCACTATCATACATCTGGGAAGTGACTGAGTAGAGAAGAATCCTAGGTAATTGGGATTTCAGAGATCATACTCCTCATCACTGTCCTACACTGTCTCTCAGAGATGAAAAATGGCCCATTTTTACAGCAGTGTCTTGGTATAGGATGAAGGGCACAGGATGGGAGAGGTGAGAGATCTGAGTTCCCACCCAGTACTTCCTCCCTCTGCCCTTTTGCTTAGAGATTTTTTTCTATTTGTAAAACAAGAGAAGTAGGTGAATGGGCATTAAAGACTTGGCTGTTGAAAGGCCTGACTTTGAATCCTAATGGGACACATACTTCTCACGTGGCAGGAAGACGCAGCAGAACTGAGTTGTGGTTGCTCTGGCCAATCTATTCAGCTTATGATCCACCTGTAGCGTTAATCTATTGGAAGAGACTTTTTAAAAAGTCACTTTGCATACAATAAAGAAAAATTGTCCAGGGGGACATCTGAGGGTTGAACCAGAGGGTGTGTTTTAGGAAGCTTACCCTGATGATAAAAAGCCTACAAAGGAAACAGGCGTGGCTCCTAGTAACTAAGAATCAGCTCTTGTCTACCTTTCACATGCCGTTTTCTCTTTTTCCCCCACTTACTTAAATAAACACTTTTGTTAATTCTTTTTTTTTTTTTTGAAACAGAATCTTGCTCCGTTGCCCAGGCTAGAGTGCAGTGGTGCAATCTCGGCTCACTGCAACCTCCCCCAGCCAATTTTTGTATTTTTTGTAGAGATGGGGTTTTGCCATGTTGGCCAGGCTGGTCTTGAACTTCTGGTCTCAAGTGATCCACCCGTCTTGGCCTCCCAAAGTGCTGGGATTACAGGCGTGAGCTACCTCGCTGGCCTGAACACTATTCTTTTTTTTTTTTTTGAGATGAAGTCTCTGTCACCCAGGCTGGAGTGCAGTGGTGCGATCTCGGCTCACTGCAAACTCCGCTTCCCAGGTTCATGCCATTCTCCTGCCTCAGCCTCCCGAGTAGCTGGGACTACAGGTGCCCGCCACCACACCCGGCTAATTTTTCATATTTTTAGTAGAGACGGGGTTTCACCATGTTAGCCAGGATGGTCTCTACCTCCTGACCTCGTGATCCACCCGTCTTGGCCTCCCAAAGTGCTGGGATTACAGGCGTGAGCTACCTTGCTGGCCTGAACACTATTCTTTTTTTTTTTTTTTTTTTTTTTTTTTTTTTTTGAGATGAAGTCTCTGTCACCCAGGCTGGAGTGCAGTGGTGCGATCTCAGCTCACTGCAAACTCCGCTTCCCAGGTTCATGCCATTCTCCTGCCTCAGCCTCCCGAGTAGCTGGGACTACAGGTGCCCGCCACCACACCTGGCTAATTTTTCATATTTTTAGTAGAGACAGGGTTTCACCATGTTAGCCAGGATGGTCTCTACCTCCTGACCTCGTGATCCACCCGTCTTGGCCTCCCAAAGTGCTGAGGTTAACAGGGGTGAGCCACCACACCCGGACCTGAACACTATTCTTAATTCTTGATTAATTATTAATGTGAACCTGTTCTCTTAGATTACCTCCAGGAGACATTGTAGCAAACCAGAATACATGTGAGTTTGGAATTAAGTTCAGCCTGGGTTTAAAATTCAGCTCTTTGAGCTTATTTCACCTCTTTGAGCTTCCTTTTTTGATGGGTACAATGGAGAAATTAACAGCACAGTGAATTGTTTTAAGGATTGAATGAGACAATATATATAAAATACGTGACCCATAATTAAGTTTCTCTCTCTGCCTTTGACCCATGGCTTTCCCTAAAAGGCATTTCCTTCCCACTGAGAGCCAGTAGTTTCATAGCCTGTAAGAATTGAGTGGTTTTAAGGACTAATTATTACAGTGGAAAGGTTAGCCTCAAGATTCCATAGAACAGCAGCCTGCGTCATTTAACTTTTAAATATTATAATATAAAATTATTATCTTTTTTATTATTTTTTGAGACAAAGTCTGGGTCTGTCGCCCAGGCTGGAGTGCAGTGGCACAATCTCGACTCATTGTAACCTCTGCCTCCCACAGGCTTAAGCCATCCTCCCACCTCAGCCTCTCGAGTAGCTGGGATTATAGACGCGTGCCACCATGCCCAGCTAATTTTTGTATTTTTTGTAGAGACGGGGTTTCACCAGGTTGGCCAGGCTGGTCTCAAACTTTTGGCCTCTAGTGATCCACCCACCCTGGTCTCTCCCAAATTGCTGGGATTATAGGCGTGAGCCACTGCACCTGGCCTAATACCCTAATATATATAAAATTATTATAAAAGCTACATATAGGTAGAAATACACTATGATAAAAATTAGCTATTTTGTATCCACTTGTAATGTGGTGTGAGCTTTTTTTTTTTTTTTGAGACAGAGCCTTGCTCTGTCGCCCAGGCTAGAGTGCAGTGGCATGATCTTGGCTCACTATAAACTCCGCCTCCCAGATTCAAGCGATTCTCCTGCCTCAGTCTCCTGAGTAGCTGGGATTACAGGTATGCACCACCATGCCCAGCTAATTTTTGTAATTTTGGTAGAGACGGGGTTTCACCATGTTGGTCAGGCTGGTCTTGAACTCCTGACCTTGTGATCCGCCTGCCTCAGCCTCCCAAAGTGCTGGGATTACAGATGTGAGCCACTGCACCCGGACAGTGTGGGCCTTTTTTCTAGACTTTAAATTTTTTTTAAAAAAAATACCTGAAGAATGTACATGGTATAAGACTACAAAGTGTGTATAGTACAGAGTAAGTCTCCCTCTTCCTGTCCTTCAAATTCCTTCTGCAGAGGCATCACTGTTGCCAATCCCTTCTATATGCCTCCAGAAATAATCTACAAACGTGTAAAAGTATTTAGTCTTTTCTTTCGGCATGAATGGGTGCATACTATGTGCACCATTCTGTATCTTGCTTTTTTTCGTTTAGAGCCTTGTTTTAGAGAGCATTCCATACCAGTTCATATAGAGCGGCTTTAATGCTAACTCAGATTGTTGGACTCTTCCTCTTGGACGGGTTCTTAGAAATGACCTAGTTCAAGCTTTTATTGTGAAGATGGGAACAGTGTGGCCCATAGAGGGCATATGCATTACTCAAGGTTTCTTATTGCTTGATTTTCATTTCAATGAGCTTTCCATGTTACTATGCTGTGTATGAGTAAAGGTGTGTGCACATGCACAAATGTGTGAACATATTGGGCCAGTGAGTTAGCTAATATTTATTTAGTGCTTATAATGTGCTATATTTCATTTAGGAGTCATAACAAGGGTGAGATACAAATGAGGAGAATGAGGCTTGAGTAGTTAAATAATTTGCCCAGGGTTTCTTGTTCTCCCTGACTCCAAAACCCGTGCCCTTATATACTGTATTTTACTTCTTCTCTTCCTCTAGGAGGGAACAAGATTGGGAAAGTGGGGAAAAAGGATGAGAAGTGCTGAAAAATGGGCAGGTGTCAAGTAAAATATTTCCAATAAAACAAGTGACACTGTTGTCTGTCTTGATGGAAAGGCATATTGTGTTGTGTTGGGAGGGGTATGGGTAGCTGGAAGATTGGTCATTAGGGGCTATGGGTCAAAGGTGCCTGCAAATGTGGTTAGAACATAGAGCTTTGTGATGCAGGCCCAGTCATGAAGGTGTTTCCAATGTAACACTGCTAACTGGCTTTACTTCCATAAGGACCAAATTTGCCAGCCAATTTAGCCGGCATCCCACTTCCTCCTTTTAAACTATGGAACATACCACCCAGTTTCATTGTGAATTCTCAGCTTCTTGTGAAACCTTCCTACTTTCTCCAGGAAAGCATTCCCTTATCTGGCCTTGGAGGACAAAGTCACTTGAACCGTCTTCACTGTGTGACAGTTCTGATCTGGGGAAAACATCATTGTGTTTCTCATCTATATTTATAGGGAGGGCTAGTTGTGGTGGAGGCACTCATATCTTACCTCTTGAACTGGAGACATTGTCAGACAACTTTACAAGTCTGACACTGGTTGATGGCCTTTCTCCAGGAGAGTGTTTGGGAATGAGAACAAGCATGAAGCGGCCTTAGGCCATCAGATGCCACCATGGCCCAGCCCAGGGCAGAAGGAGAGCCTTTTTGTGGTTGAGGTTGAGGGAATCTCTTCTCCTTTGCCTTTCACAGCCCAGTGATCTTGTGGTTTTCCTCCTGCATCTGTTTAGAAAAGGGTACATCTTGGCAGGGTTCCTGTCTCTTTTGACTTGTGAATTACAGAGAACATTCACAAGTCAGGGAAACACATTCACCTAGTTTCCCTCTAGGTAGTCTGAAGGCAGCGTGAAAAACCTCTATAAAGTTGCTTCAGTGCTTCTTTTCATTTGTTGTAATGAGCACAGACAAGAGCTGTGCACATCCCCAAGAAGGGGAATAGTTATCTTAGGGCATATCTTGGCACAGGCGGAGTCACCCAGCCAGGTCTGTATAATTCGGAAAAGCATTGGGAAGGTCAAATTCATCCTCAACTTTTCTTTTTTCCCTAATTTCTGAACTTCTACTTCCAGTTTTGGTACAAAGTAAGTATCCCTATAGACTGTACCACATTCTGTATTTTTAAGGCAGCATTTTGTACTGGACACAATACATTAAAGGGGAACGCTGGCCAACTGAGCATATGCAGAGAAAAAGTACATCTATGGCAAGGACCTGGAAGTCTTGTTGCAAGAGAGCAAGAACGTAACAACAATCTTCTCATTATCTGAAGACTTTCTCTGGAAGCAGAATTACCCTTTCTCTCTATAGTGCCACAGAGTAGAATTTACAGGAATGGGCAGAAGTTCCAAGGAACCTCAGTTTTAGTAAGATCTTTCTGACTTTGACTCTATACAAAAGGAGAATGGACAGGCCAATCAAAGTGAGTTGCCATGGGTGCATGCTGGGCTGGGATTCTTGCTCTGGGAGTAAAGTCAGTCCTTAAACCTTGGCAGTCCTCACAATTGCTTAAGAAACTCTTGAAAACGTATATCCCTGAAGATCCTGATGCAATGGAACAGAGACCTGGGACACCATGTTTCTAAAAAGACCCCCAGCTGATTCTGATAGGCCTCTGAGTCAGTTATGCCATAGATTGCAGCGAAGGAACGTACTGAGGCAGAACACTGCAGGAGGGTGAGGGAAGGAGCCTGAGAGCCAGAACACCTGGGAGGTGGAGATGATGCCATCAACATGAGAAAAGAGGTCCCAAATATTGATCTTGAGTCTTCTCCTGAGCTGAGGAAAGAGTTACATCAGTATTGCAGCTCAGGAAGCAAACTTTTCTCAAGATGAAGAGGAGACTTGGACTCTTTATGAAAGAATTCAAGAGCTAGGATAACCTGGTAGCAACACAAAGACTCCCTGTGTTGTACTGCATACTACATCCAGGTTAGTCCTCATGTTACAATGATGATGCCATTCCTAGTCCAATGAAAAATTCTTCCCTATGGAAGAATATGCAAGAATATGCATTACATATGGGCTAATACAATGTCAGAACTGGAAAGAACCTTAGATATGTCACATGGTTCAAACCACACCCTCAAGGTCACAAAGCTGATTAAGAATAGAGTTAGAGTTAAACCTAAGTTTCCTGTTTTCCAAACTGATTTTTCACTTGATGATATTAGGAGATACTTGCATATTTTAATAACATCTTACCAAGCAATTCACAGCCAAGTCCAAAGTTGTGGGTTGCGGACAGTCCTCCAATGGAGGTGAGAATGGGGAAGGAGGAGGAAGTGACTATCTAATAAACAGTGATCTAATCTACAACCATTGGATAAAGCAAATCAATGCAAGATGTGGAATGCTTAGAGTTAAGTTGCTTCTTGTTCTATATACTATGCTTAATCCTCCACCCCATAATTATTCCCAGGTCTTTAAAAGGAATATACATCAGCCTGTATAAGTAGTGCTTGGGCTGGAATAGAAAAGAGGGGTGGTTTTCCATCCATGTTCATATGGATTTAAATAAGTCAAGAACCACAATTCACAGCCAAAAATCAGTAGAAAAGCAGGTGAAGTTGGAAAATGTAATCCTCCATTCCACCTGTTAGCCCCCCTGGAATCCTTAGATTAGAAATATTTAGACTTTGAGTTATATAAAAATCACCTGGTGTTTGTGTTTATAATAGTTTTTAGGATATTGCTCCCTGAGATTCTGATTCAGTAGGTCTGGACAGGGCCCAGGTATCTGCATTTTGAACAAGTACCTTTGATGATTCTAACATAGATGCATGCAGACCACAGTCTGAGAAAATGAGGGAGACCTAATTAGGAGTCTGGTTGAAAGTGTTCTGATGAAACTCCACGAGGAGTTTTTCAAAGCAGTGATAGAATTTATTGAGAATAAATTCAAATAGAACCTGTTCCATCAGTTAATATTAAGGTTTATATTCAACATGCAATCTACTTTCATCCTAAATTCCACTTGTTTCCACAGAAGAAATATTAGTATGTAACAGATTATTATAGCACACACCTCATAAAATACAAATAATACTGAAATGAAAATATATCATTATGCAACACAATTATTGATTCCTTGTTTTGTACTTTAGATTAATATATCAGAGATATATTAGGAAATCAATAAATATATATTGAGACTCTATCATGTAGATGACATTAGCTTAGATAGTATGGAATATATAAGCAAAATAATTGAGAAAGAATTCACATATCCGTAAATAAGAAATAGATAAATAAAATATAGTTTACCTGAACTATGAGATACTGTGTGAACTTTTAAAAAATCAACCTTGACATTATATGTGCAAATATGAAAATATATCATTGCGTATAAATAATATAGACCAAGACATACATTAAGATACACAGATAAAAAGAAAAAAACTACACCCACATAATGCTATGTATTTGCTAGGGTACGTATATATATGGATGTAAAAGCACATAAATAGATCTAGAAGGACACTTCCTAACCTGATAATAGTTACCTCATCTCAGTCAGGAGGAAAATGAGCAAAGCAGTAAATGGGAATTTTAACATTGACTGTAATATATCATTTTACTGAAAAATATGAGCATATTATTTCTGAAATTTAAAACTAACATTTCTTTTAAAAATATAGATGCAATTTTGAGCCAAATCAAAAGATAAAATTTAAATAATAAAATAGTATCTATTTCTAGGAACCAATAAGTTATAGATAAGACATAAAATATAGAATATTAACCATAGAATTCCTTAAACACTTCTATACAACTAGAGATAAGATTTGAGGCAAAACATGATTAACAACAAAATAAATGCTAGAGAAAATAAGTGGTAGAGAAATTGAGAGAACAGAGATGGTAGAATAATAGGCTATTTAAACAGACCATCCTCCACCCAAGTTCTAGGATAAGACTTAGTACACTGTGGTAATCAGTATGTTGTTTTGTTTATTAATTTGTTTGGAACGTGTAGTATATTTCCATGGTTCAAACTGCAAAGCCTATGAAATTGTACACAATGAAAATTCACCTTCCTACCCATCTCCCTTGGCCACCCAATTCAGTGTATTCTTCCAGAGGAATTTTAAGTATATACATAAAATACATATAGACATTCTTCTTCGTCCTTTTTCATAAACATGGTAGCAAATGATTCTCCTGCCTACATCTTGTTTTTTCATTAACAATACATGTTTGAGAAGATTCATATTACTATATAGAGTACATTCTTTTTCTTTTATTTGCAAGTTCTATGGCTTATTTAAATGGTCTACTATTGATGGAAGTGTAGAGTGTTGGCATTATTTTGCTGTATAATCAATACATTCCCCAATAAATGGGTCTATCCCTAATTGCTGGTGTCCTCATGTTTCATACTGGGAATCAATATCACATGTTTATTTGATCATTAGCTACTTTAGGATTAAAGATGTAGACAGGTTCAACAGAGGTTCTTGGTTAGCGAGTGTCTCTATTGACTATCGCAAAGATGGTGAGATGGGATGAGTTTCTTGATTAGCTAAACTGAAAAAAATAGTGTCTTTCTGAAATAATAAGGCAGGCTATTAGATGCTACCTAACACTTACCCAGCCTGTGGGTAAAGCTATAATGACAGAAAACATAGAAGTGGTTGCTAGGGGCCAAGGTGGGGTCGGGGGAGCTGATTGGCTACAAAGGAACACGAAGACATTTTGGGGGTGATGAAATTGTATATTATGATTGTGATCGGGGCTATAAAACTGTATACATTTGCCAGGGGCTGGAGGGAGGGGGAAATGGAGAGGTATTAGTCAAAGTGTATAAAGTTTCAGTTATACAAGACGAATAAATACTAGAGATCTATGGTACAGCATAATGCCTATAGTCAATAATACTGTATTGTATATTTAAAATATAGAATAAAAAGTTGCTGAGAGGGTAATCTTATCTTGTGTTTTTATCACAAAAATATAATAATAAGAAAGCAGGAGGAAAATCTTGGACGTGATGGGTAAATTCATGGCATAGATAGTTTCATGGATATACACTTATCCACAAACTTATCAATTTGTACATATTAAATATGTAGGCTTTTGTAGGTCAATAATATCTCACTAAAATGGTTTTTTAAAGATCATATTAAAATTATATATTGAATTGTACACTTAAAATTAGTGAGTTTTATTGTATGTAAATTATATCTCAAAACTACCTGATTTTTTTTAAAAGGAGGGTTGTTACCTTCCCATTGGGCCAAGTTAAAGTCATTTTTCAGGAGTAACAGGTCACTGCTGTTACCCCTTTCTCCCCGTACCCGCTGCACAAAAGTAAGAAATGTCTGGTTAAACATCTTGGGAAAAAACTCTGATTGGTCAGGCTTGGGTAGAGTGTCATCCTTGGACCACTTAACCTTGGTGAGTAAGATGCAGGCACAAGGTGTAGATAAGGTTACTGGAGATCAAGAAAAAAAAAAAAGATTCTTGAGCCAGATAGACTCTTATTTGATGCCTACCACAGTGTGCTGGTTCTAATTATCTCTGGGTGCCCAGGCATCTCTTTGCATTTCTTAAAAACCCTGCATATCTGATCTGATATGCTTCTGTGCTGATCTCTAGGTGCAGAAACGTGGAGAAACACTGTGTGATACACCTGGAGACTATATATAAATCTGAGACCCAGGAAAAAAAATTCTCTTGGCCAAAAAAGAAAGCTGTGGGAAAGATGCGGAGAAATTTCTTGTGCCATGTATCCCAAAAGAACACACATTTCTTAGAGCCAGGGATGAATATGAGCACTTTGACATTTTCTGCTTCCAATGAAGAGACATGTTAAGCCACTGACTCATTCATTTCCCTTACTGCTCTTCAAAGAAACTCATCCCATCTCACCATCTTTGCGATACTCAATAGAGACACTCGCTGAGTTTTATATCACAAATAACTTGTTCTTTTGGATGAAAGTGTTTGCCGAGGCTGCAGATTCCCCTGGTTGATTCTTTATTTGTGCATTAAAATATAATAGATCTGAAGTTTTAATCCTGGACCAGAAAGAACATAAAAGGCGTTTGATGTCTGGTTCATGATGGAGCTCTTCAGGTCTTAGATGATTTCTAAATAGGTGCCCTTCGCCAAGAATTCAAGCAAGTACTCCAGGGTCAAAGATAAACTGTGTATCCAGAGATGAAAGGACAGTTGTTTCCCTACAAAGCGTCATATCAGTTTCAGTATCATTCCTGTTTTTTTCTTTTTTTCCTGGCACCACAAAATTGGGGCTGTTTGATGCATTTAACTAAAAATATTTGTATAGGGAAGGGCCCTTCGTTTTTTTTTTTTTTTTTTTTTTGTGAGGAAAAGTGTTATCTCAGAAAAGAGCTGTTAAACTGAGAGGCAAAGCGAAATGAGCATCCACTCAGCATCGGGCTGAGAATCCAACATCTGATTGTACTTAGCGGGGAAGGAAACTTAAAAAAAAATCCAACCCAACTTTCATTTCTTGTTCTTTTATCCTTAAGCTCAGCAATAAACTAGCACCCTTTGGTTAAAAAGTCAAGGGAGCAGATGTGTAATTCTGGTGCTTCAGCGTCTATATTTTAAATGGAGCATGTAAATTATGGGAACGCCTCGGGGCGCTCTGTGGGGAGAGACTCCAGGAGCATGCGCGGGGCTGCTGTCAGTCATCCTGCATTCCGCCCCCCTTGGGAAAGAGCTGCCTCCAGGCTGCGGGCTCAGTTGCCTGGAGAATGGTACAAGGGCATCGTCCTGAGGAAGCTGTTCATTTCACAGAGGGAAATAAGTGGCTGAACTGTGCAGGGCTGTACCACCGAGACCTGCCAGCTGAGACTTAAAAAAGGCAAAGACAGTGTAAGGTCTGGAGTTCTGTCCCAGAAGACCTGGGTTGTGTTCCATTCCTCCTCTTGCTAGTTATGTGGCCTTAGGGAAGGTACTTAAGAGGTTTCTGCTCTAAAAACTGGGGCTCTAAGTGCCGACTTCAGAGGACTATGAGGAGTATGAATAAGAAAAGAGTGTGTGTAAAATGCTTAGCTCAATGTTTCTATCTAGGTGTCTACTTTAAAAAATAGAACTCATTACACACAAGAAAGGTGGCAAAGTATTTATTAAAGTGTCATTCAAAATTTCAAATTCAGGCTTGGCATGGTGGCTGACGCCTGTAATCCCAGTTTGGGCGGCTGAGGCTGGAGGATTGCTTGAACCCAGGTGTTCAAGACCAGCCTGGGCAACATAGCAAGACCCTCGTCTCTAACCCCTGTGACCAAAAAAAAAAAAAAATTGCTGAGCGTGTTGGTGGTTGCCTGTGGTCCCCGCTACTCAGGAGACTGAGTCAAAAGGATTGCTTGCGCCCAGTAGTTCGAGGCCGCAGTGAACTATGATCACGCCACTGCACTCCAGCCTGGGTGAAAGAGTGAGACCCTGTCTCTAAATAAAAAAAAAATAAATAAATTCAAATTCAAACACTGGAAAGGACCTTTGAGGCCATCTGGTCTGACATCCTGATTTAGAGATGGGCATGGCTTGGGGAACAGGAGATGATGGGCAAAGTAGCCTGGAATGTCTGGATGTCCAGCCTTTTTTTTTTTTGAGACAGAGTCTCATTCTGTCACCCAGGCTGGAGTGCAGTAGCGTGATCTTGGCTCACTGAAACCTCCACCTCCCGGGTTCAAGCGATTCTCCTGCCTCAGCCTCCTGAGTAGCTGGAATACAGGTGCATGCCACCATGCCTGGCTAATTTTTGTATTTTTAGTAGAGACGGGGTTTCACCATATTGGTCAGGCTGGTCTTGAACTACTGACCTTGTGATCTGTCCGCCTCAGCCTCCCAAAGTGCTGGGATTACAGGCATGATCCTGAACTGCAGCCGGCCTGGATGCCCAGTCTTAATCCAGCGTTCCTTCTTCAAAACCACACTGCCAGAACCCACTGCCACCAGAGCTGGGCCCACAAGGGCATCATCATCACCTGCTACAGTGCCTGGCATTCAATGAAGGTTTGTTCCATTGGTAAATGAAACTCAGGGATGCTAGGATGTCACCGGAAGAGATCCTTTTTCACTTAGAACTGTTTCAGCTTCTAAGTCTTTCTGAAGAGTCGATGAGCATAACATTGTGAAGTGCTTAATGCATGACACAAGTTATTAAACAATTTAATATGTGAACTGAGCCAAAAAATTTTGGAATACTTTAAGGAAAATTGCTAACTGATGTATGAGAATACTGTTGGAACCCTAATCATTATCGGGTAATCCGAAAAAGCTTTTAAAATGCTTATTTTGCAGCTCAGATTAAGTGGTGTTAAATGAGTTAACAAAGGTTAAAGAATTATGAGTTGCCTAACATCCCACAGAGATATGCTCAGAAAAACAAACAAACAAACAAATGCTTCTCTTGATATCCCGAAATGCCTCTGGAAATCAGTAGTGGTTTATCTCCTTTTCCTAAGACTTAGGATCAAATAAAGACACTTGTCCCTCTTGTCAAAAAAAGGGACAACCTGGGTTTTACCCACAGCCATGCTAGCTTTGTTCCCTTTGCAAATGGAATCCACAGAGTACCCCTTGACTGCCATGCACCACTCCCACCTCTTTCTGCCACTTAAAGTAGGATGGCCAGCAGAAGGGCACAGTTAGACTCTAAAGGCCTGCCCCAGGATGGGAGTGAGAGTTGGGCTTCAGCGTTCTCAAATGGAGCAACTTCTGTGATTCTGTCTTTCTTTTTGAAGCAGAGCCAGACAAAATAAATAGGTGGCTCCCCGGGCAACCAAATAACTTAGTGCCTTGATAGTTTTAAAATATGCATCCCATGTTTATACAGGCTGTGTGGAAGAAGGATGCGGAAGAAAGACCACTGGCAGTGGCACTCAGCATCTGCTCACTTTTCCCAACCAACGCAACTCCAGTACCAAACATGATTATCCAGGGTGCAAAACAAAAGCCCTGCACTCTGATTGAGTGGGATATTTGTTCACTCAAATGGTTTAATCACCCTCCTAAGGAGGCACTTTAAACAGGGTCACCATGAACAGTTTGCAGGTCATATGTAAATGACTTCTGGAGTTGTGCACTACTCTACATTGTGGCCTTGTGACCCTGAGTTTAAACAACCCCTATTATTATTCATGTATTTTCCTGGAAGAGGGGCCACACACAGCCCCACCCCACACAATTTATAACTGGATTCTTGTTAACCTCGCAAAGTACTCTCTGTAACAGGAGTGCTAGGAAAATAATTTTTTCCATCTTGCTATAATTCCAGTGATATTTTTAGCACCTCTTAAATACTAGCACCCCAGGCAACTCCTATCTGACTCACCCTTAATCTGGCTCTGCATGGAACAGGTATAAAAAGGAGGAAAGAAAAAATTTGTAGTAATGAGAGATCACTGGAGATATATAAAATCTCATAAAATACAGATGAACTTCCAATGTGTGATGCTTAGCCAATGTATAAATCACTATTTCTTAGAATGCACCGAAGATCCAAAAAATTAGAAATGAAATCTATTTTGGTTCATTTCATGCTTCCTCAAATAACGGAAATAACAAACTATAAACTGTAAAACTTTATATCCTTTCAAAGGTTTTCACGTGTATGATGTCATTTCTTTTTAACTGAAGCTATAAACTTCTCAGTTCATAATAACTTATTGTCATTTATCACTGGTCTGTGTAACACCCTTCTTATTCTAGTATTTTCCCCCCAATCTCCATTGCTAGTCCCCTCCCTGCAGTTTCCAAACTAATATGTTGATAATGAGTCTTTAATGATGCAGATATCATAGTAAAATATTGAGTGCTGTTTGGAACATGTTTCTGTTTCTAATTTATCATTCAATCCTGTTTTTTGAGATTGATATTGCTATAACTATGGTTCCCTCATTTTTAACTCCTTTAAGGTATTACATAATAAGCATTCACTCTCTTTTAAAAATCTTTTAAAAATTGTAAAATCTACATAATAAAATTTTTAAAATTTTCTTCATTTTTATGTGTACAGTTCTGTGGCATTAGATCCATTCCCATTGTTCTACACTCATCACCGCTATTCATCTCCGGAACTTTTTTTTCTTCCGAAGCTGCGCCTCTGACTAACACTAACTCCTCATTCCTCCTTAAGCCCCGGCCTTGGCAGTCACTATTGCATCCACTGTATTTTACTATTCTCCTACTGAGGGTCACCAAGTTTGTCTTTAGATCCACTACCACAAACCACATCACAACCTCATACAGACCTCCTTATGAAGTTGTGCAATAATTTCTCTAACATATAGACCCAGGAGGGGATTTGGGGGCCAAACAGAATATATTGCTTTCTAGAATGACTATATCAGTTTACATTTTTCTTAACAGTACAGTAAACTTCCTGTCTTGTTACATCTTGCCATCTCTGGAATTATCTAATTTTTAATTTTTTTTCTATTTTAATAATCTTATTTTCGTTTGAATTTCTTTGTTTAGTAAAGAGTTAGAGCATTTCTGAATATATATTAGTTACTTGCACTCCCCTTTCTGAGAAATGACTCTTCAATACTTTGCTCATTTAAAAATTGGGTTTCACATCCTGTTTCTTGTTGATTTTCTGGAGTTGTTTGTACGTTATAGGTGTTAAGTTCTTGGTGGTTTTGGATGTTACAAATATTTTCCCCCAGACTCATTCATTTGTTCCTTTGTTTATGGTGTTCTTTATTTTGATAGAATCAAATACATCAATTAAAAAAATCTTTGAGATTTTAGGGTCTTGTTCCAGAAGTCTTTCCCTCACTCTTATATAAAAAATATACTGTTCTACATTTTCTTTAAAATTTATTTTACATTTTCTTTATATTTCTTCTTTCTTTTCTTTTTCTTTTTTTCTTTTTTGAGACAAGGTCTTGTTCTGTCGCCCAGACTGGAGTGCAGTGGCACAATTAAAGCTCACTACAGCCTTGAATTCCTGGGCTCAAGTGATCCTCCCACTTCAGCCTCCCAAGTGGCTGGAACTACAGGCCAGCACCACTACGCCCGGCTAACTTTTGGATTTTTGTAGAGACTGGGTCTTCCTGTGTTGCCCAGGCTGGTCTCCATCTCCTGGGCTCAAGCATTTCTCCTGCCTTGGCCTCCCAAAGTGTTGAGATTACAGGTGTGACCCACTGCACCTGGCCTCTTCTCTATTTGATTTTTTAAAAATAATTTTACCTCTTACATTTATGTCTTTAATCCATTCAAAGCACACTTTTTCATTGTTTAATGTAAGTTATAAGGTCTAACATTATTTTGCCTTATCATAGTAATTCACTTTCCGGTCACAATTTGCAAATGATCCATCCTTTCTGCGTGTTATGTGGTTCCAACTTCATCTTTACGAAGTTCCCATATATATGTAGTACTACTTCTAAGACCTCTGTTCTTCTGCAGTGGTTCAGATTCAGCACCACGCTATTTTTATGGCTCCATCATGTCTCAGTGTCTGATGAAGTGAGTATTCCTCTCCTTGCTTATCTATTTCAAAGTGGCCTTAGCTATTTTTGAAATTTTACTTTTCCGTATAAATTTTAAGAGTGAATTTGTGGAGTTCCTTAAAAAATCCTTTTGCAAATTTGATGGGATTGCTTTGAATGTACAGATTAATTTGGGGAGCACTGACACCTTTACTTTGACATGTCATCTTTGACATTTCAAAGAGTTGATGTCTACCCATTTATTCAGAATTTTCTTTAGTTTTTATTCTGTAAAAATCAAAGTTTTTTTGTTGATTTCCAGACTGATTATAATCTCTTACTATTGCGAATGATATCTTATTGTTGAGGTCATCATTGCTAGCACAGAGGAATATTATTGTGTTTTGTAAATTTTATCCTATAATAGAACAACCTTGTCAAACTCTTACTAATTCTAATAGTTTGTTAATTCTGTTGAATCTTCTGCGTGGATAATACTTTTGTCTGAAAATAGTAAGTTTACTTTCCCCATCTAATCCTTACGCATCTAATGTCTTTTTCTTGCCTACAGCATTGGTTAGTTCTTTTTGTACTATGTTAAGTGGAGAAATGATAACAGGAATTCTTGTCTTGTGTCCAATATTATTGGGAATACATTTCTCTGTTACATGTGATGCTTAGTGTAGGTTTTTGATATGTAGCCTATTTTAAGCCAAGGAAATTACCTAAGATTCATAACTCTCTGGGGTCACTGAACTTCATCAAATGCTTTGTCTGCATGTTTTTATATAATCAAGTGATTTTTGTCCTTCATACCATATTGCCTCTCACTCTAAAGAACGAACGGAAGGGGCAAGGAGGGGGATTATTAGGCATGTGTCCTGTGCCAAGGAATCCTGATGGGCTGAAGTGAGAATTAGACATTATGGGAAAATTTCAATGAACAATACCAGGGGCAGGTAATCAGTGGTTCTCCAGGGCTTCAGAGGAAGCAATGGAAGGGGTAGGGAGAGAAGTAATCACATTAAGATGGTAAGGTGGTGTAATTAAAAGAGGAAAAAGTCACTTAAATTTACTGAGTACTTTTTATGTGTCAGGCTCAGAAGCCATTTTAAAGCTTAAACCTCATAACAACACTGTGAGGTGGTCATTATTTTGCCTGCTTTAAAGAGGAAGAAACAAAGGCTTAATGAAGTTAGGTAACTTGCCCAGGTTCTTGCAGCTAGAAAGTGCTAATGCCAGGACTCTTTCCAAAGCCCAGGTCTCGTTCCAAAGCGCAGGTCTTTTCCACATGCCATAGTATGTTCCTTAAAAGATTTCTAATGATAATACAAAGGAGATATGAAAATGAAACCTAGTCAGTCATCAAAAACACTGAAATAGTTCTATCTCAGTATATACAAATTTGTGAAAAAAGAAAATGAACCAGAGGTCCTTTGAGAAATGAGTGATTCCAACTAGAACAGAGAAAGTAAGAGATAAGCTTGGAACACGTTATTATGCCAGAAAGTAAAAAAGTCCTCATACAAAGTAATGGAGACCTGTGAAAAGGCTATAGGAATCAGCTTGAAGGGGCTGTAGCTGGCCAAATTTAGAAAAATTTGAGCATCAAAAGAACAGTAATTTATGGAAATCCATTGAATAAAATAATTCACAAGTTTGTGCTGATAATAAATAATAGAAAAATAAATAAAAATACGGGAGAAAAGAAGCTTTTACTTGAGGTAGAATACCAACCTATAAATATGGAGGGAGTGGTATGGTTGGAAAAAATAACTATTTTGCAATAATCATAACAAAGATTGTTTTAGGCTTGAATCATCAGTGGATACTATATCTAGGGTATAAATATTGATGCAGATCATGACATTTTCATGGTCTTAAAATGTTTACTCCTAGATTACCTATTAGATGGAAGGGAGGAGTGTAGTAAATGTATAGTGGAGAAAGTGGACAACACCTTGATCTAGTAGTAAAAATTAATATCACCAGTGATGGACTCATATGCCTCCAGATGTGATATTTTGAGAAGGACACAACACCACTTTATGTGGTGTTCTGTAGTATACTGTAGTAATATGTGTAGTATATGCAGTTTGAATTTAATCATAAGGAAACATCAGCCAACCTCAAATTGAGGAGCATTGTATAGAATAGCTGACCCCTGCTGAAAGACTGAGGAACTAACTGTTCCAGATTTAAAGAGATTGAAAAGATGTAACATATAAAATCCAACATGTGATTCTTGACAGTATCCTGTACAGGAGAGAGAAATGTTCTAAAAGACATTATTGGTATAATTGACAAAACTGGATTATTGGTGGTAGATTAGATAAAACTATTATCATCTATTTTGGATTTCCTGAATTGTGTAGCTAGTGTAGCATTGTAAAAGAATATCCTTGCTCTTAAGAAACACATACTAAAGTATTGAGAAAAGGAGTGTTCACAAATGGTTAAGAAAAGAAACCGACGATAAAGTGAATATTGGTAGAAGAAAAAGAAAATATGCCAATATGGAAAAAATTAGTGAAACTGAATAAAGGGTATATGAAAGTTCTCTGTATGATTTTTACATCTTCTTAGTAAGCATGCAATTATTTCCATATTGAAAAATACTGCAGAAAAATTTAGTACATGTGGTCATTTGTCAAAAATACTGATGAGCCTGGGCGACATAGTGGGACTCCATATCTACAAAAAATACAAAAATGAGCCAGGTATGGTGACACACACCTGTAGTCTCAGCTACTTGGGAGGCTGAGGCAGGAGGATTGCTTGAGCACAGGAGGTCGCCACTGCACTGGAGCCTGGGTGACAGAGTGAGACCCTGTATCAAAAAAAAAAAAAAAAAAAAAAAAGAAAAGAAAAAACAACAAAAAATTCTGATGAGTTTCGGCAGTCAACATTTGACCCATGACATCTCTATTTCCCTAGGAGAATGAAATAATAGCATTCCTGAAGGGCATATTGGTCCCCAAGACTGACTCATTAGGAGTGAAGACTTCCTACTTGTTGTTGGCTTAACTGCCTTTTGCTTGTAGGTTTAGTAACAGAATTATAAAAAGAGGAGCCATTTATTGGGGAACAGAGGGTTTTGTTTCCTTACTCAAAATAGAATATGCCAAACCTAACAATTTCAATTTTGCTAAAACTTTAACATCTCAATTCCCCAATATGATATGTTTATAATAATATTCCTTAAGAAATCACCCCTCTATAGTACCCTGAACTGGTGGGGACTGAAAAACATTTACTCTTTAGTTTAATTTCCAACTGTGTTCCAAGATTCCATATGGAGTTCAGGATTACTTTTGGGATATGGTTTGAGCAGTAGCAAGGAAGTCACCCTGATTGTATTATCTCTAATATTTTGCCTATCAGAAGTGAATAGGAATGTTACAAGTTGGGTTGTGTTTCTTTTCTTTGTTGTTTAAAATACATTTGAAAAATTGTGGTAAAATATATATAACATAAAATTTACCAGTTTAACTTTTTGAAATTATCCAGTTGACCCTTGAACAACACGGGTTTGAACTACACAGATCCACTTATATGTGGATTTTTTTCCCAATAAATACATTAGACAATTTTTTGGAAATTTGTAACAATTTGCAAAAACTTGCAGATGAACCCCTATAGCCTGGAAATATTGAAAAAAGAAAACGGTATATCATGAATGCATAAAATATATGTAGATACTAGTCTATTTTGTCACACACTACCATAAAATATACACAAATCTATTATAAAAAGTTAAAATTTATCAAAACTCACACATACAAACACAGACCATATATGGTACCGTTTACAGTCTAGAGAAATGTAAACAAACATAAAGATGCAGTATTAAATCATAACTGCATAAAATTAACTGTACTACATTCTGTACTATTGTAATAATTTCATAGCCACCTCCTGTTGCTCAAATATTGTAAGTATCTGCTTAAAACACCATGTGATGCTAATCATCTCTGTGTGAGCATTTCACCTCTCGAGTAAATTCTTTTTTCTTTTTTCTTTTTTTCTTTTTTTTTTTTTTTGAGACGGAGTCTCACGCTGTCGCCCAGGCTGGAGTGCAGTGGCGCGATCTCGGCTGCCTGCCACCTCCGCCTCCCGGGTTCAAGCGACTCTGCTGCCTCAGCCTCCCGAGTAGCTGGGACTACAGGCGCGCGCGCTACCAAGCCCAGCTAATTTTTGCATTTTTAGTAGAGACAGGGTTTCACCATATTGGCCAGGATGGTCTCCAACTCCTGACCTCGTGATCCGCCCGCCTCGGCCTTCCAAAGTGCTGGGATTACAGGCGTGAGCCACCGCGCCCAGCGAACTTTATTTCTTATAAAGGGTTACAACCTGCAGACTGGAAAGAGGAGTCTCTGGCCAAAACCAAAAGCAGACACTTCAGAGACAAAAGGGAGAGATGCTGAGATTTATGCCCAGTATGATTAGCTATACATATATTCAGTAGGTTATAGGAGCATCTTGTTAATATTTATGAGGGAGTCTAACACATGCATAGTGAATACACATATATTACATACAACCCATGTTCACTTTGAGGTAGAGACTTAACATCCAAATGCAGTAAAATTAGGCTCTATACACCAAAAGGTGAAACATAGGGCATAAAGGCACTTAGTGCACAGTTTCTGTAAACTGGCCAGAATCTGTCTGTGGTTGGTGGACAGTTATTAGGATGGAATGCTTTGCAAGGCTGGCCGTGTGTAAGAGTGAAACTTTGATACAGACAGGAGGGAGGTGGACCACAATGTCGGATGGTCTGTCGAGGTTGCAGGGGAAGTCTTCCAGACATAGTTTTTTAGGAACTGGTTTTTCTTTAATTGTAGGAAAGTCTTGAGGTGGTTAATGAGATAGGGGAGAGTTGAGGCATGACTGACCTCTTGCGTTGCCAAAGCTGTAGAATACAGCTTAAAAGGTTTTCTGGGATCTCTTGCCACAGGCAGTCCATTTCATTCTGCCTGGAGGGCCTAAGAGCTTTATTTTTATTTTATAATGACAATACTGTAAACCTTGAACAACACCGTGGGACCTATGCAAAGTGCTACTAGTGATGCCAGAAATGCTCCCAAGAAGCAGAGAAAAGTCATGACTTTACAAGAAAAAGCTGAACTGCTTGATATGTACCACAGATTGAGGTCTGCAGCTGTGGTTGCCTGCTGTGTCAGATCTTGTAAACAGATAACATAAACTTAGAGTATTGATAAATACAGTACAGTACTGTAAATGTATTTTCTCTTCGTGATGATTTTCTTAATGACATTTTCTTTTCTCTAGCTTACTTTATTGTAAGAATATAGTATATGATACATATGACATACAAAATATGTGTTAATAGACTGTTTATGTTATTGGTAAGGCTTCTAGTCAACAATAGGCTATTTGTAGTGAAGTTTTGGGGTAGTCAAAAGTTATATTCGAATTTTTGACTGTATGGGGGACAGGTCAGTACTGTAAACTCCATACTCTTCATGGGCCAGTTGTCCAATTCAGTGGCATTAAGTACATTAACATTGTTGTGCTACCATCACCACCGTTCATTTACAAAACTTTTCATCTTGCAAAACTGAAACTCTGTACCCATTAAACAATAACTCTCCAATTCCCCCTCCCCAAGACCCTGACAGCCGCCATTCTATTTTCTGTCTCTACGGATTTGACTGCTCTAGGTGCAGGACCTCATGTAAGTGAACATACAATATTTATCCTTTTGTTACTGGTTTATTTCACCTTGGCACAATGTCCTCAAGATTCACCTATGCTGTAGCATATGTCTGAATTTTCTTTCTTCTTAAGCCTAAATAATATTCCATTGTATGTATATACCACAATATGTTTATCTATTCATCTTCATTTTCTGGTGGACATGTGGGTTATGTCTACCTGCTGGCTGTTGTGAATAATGCTGCTATGAACATTGGTGTACAAATATTTGTGTTCCTGTTTTCAGTGCTTTTGAGTATATGTCCAGAAGTGGAACTGCTAGATGGTAATTCTCTTTAAAAGTTTTGAGGAACCGCCATAGTGCTTTCTATAGCAGTTGTTCCATTTTATATTCCTACTACCAGCTTATTTTATGTTTTCTTTTTTTGGAAGCAGTCATCTTAATGGGTATGAGGTGGCATCTCATGATTTGTATTTAGTTTAAGTGCAGGTTTCCTTAGGGAAAACCAAAATATTATCAGTTACTAATATTCTAGAGTCAATGAGTTTGTAAGAATTTTTTTTTTTCTCAAAATGACAGCTCTCTCTAGAATGAGACAGTCAACAGGTATTACTGGAGGGAAAGTATTCGTGTATGGTAAAAATGGCCCTGAGCTTGGAGTCAGAGGCCTATCTCCAACACCTCACTATGAATCAATACAATCCACAAGTGCTTCAGTTTCTTTATCTGAAAGATGTACGTAGTACCATACAGCAATGGCTCGCAAACTTTAGTGCATGTCTGAGTCACCTGTGGAGCCTGTTAAAACACATATTGCTGCACCCTCCCTCAGTTTCTGATTCCATGGGTGTTGGGTGGGCCCTGAGAATTGCATTTCTGCAGATTATGCTGATGTTGCCAGCCCAAGGACCACACTTTGAAAATTACCATTCTACTGACTTGTTTTAGCAATGAGATAATATATTAAATAATTTTACACAATTGTTAAGCACTGTGAAATGTTGGAGGTTAATTAATCATTTGAGGGTAGAGAAGTCTCCTGAGATAGGCCATGGAATCCAGGGGTGCAGTACTTTTCAGGACTGCACTACAATTTCTGGGACTTGGTCATCCTGAGAAGTGAGCCAATGAGGAGGGAATATTAAGAAGGAGAGGGACTTTGGGAGTTAAGTTGGGAAGATGTCAAAGACTCATTTTACCTAAGACACAAGAGTTCTAACTTCTCTTTGAGGCTTCAGAAAGAATTTCTGTTTGGCTGCAAGGAAAAGAAAACTCAATGAACAGACATAATGATATTTGCTTAAACAGTTAAAGTCTTGCTTTTTATTTCATGCAACAAGAGTCTTAGAGATATAAAGTTACTGCTATTGACTCAGTGGCTCAAGGATTTCAATACTAAGGCCTGAGATTTCCTTGACCTTTCAAGTGTGTAACATGGCTGCTGCAGGTCCAGCCATTACATCTGCTTCTCTTGAAGGTGTAAGGAAAAAAAGACAAGGAGCAAAGGTCAGGGTCTCTGTTAGGAAAGCAAAATTTCCCCAGATATTCTCAGCAGTTTTCTGCTTGTGCTTCCATGTCTAGAGCTGTCTCTAGTTCCTGGAAGTTCCTAGCTTCAAGCATGTCTAAGAAAGACTTCATTTGAGTACCTTGCTACCTTATAGTCTTCCCTAGCTTAATAATTTTTTCTGTACCTAATGATTTCAGAGTGAGATGGTGAGGTGATCATGGGCAAAATTATTAGTCTTTCTGAGTTCTCTTATTCCTTTTATATCATTGAATGTTCTTTTTTGTGGCTATTGTTAGGATTAGTGTTTCAATGTGAATGGCAGATTGAAGCTTCAGAGTGCTTTCACTCATCTTCAGTTGTTTCTCCGAGTTGCCTTGAGAGAGAGAAAGAGGTAGTTTTAGCCCTATTTTGTAGGTATAGTAATAGTGATTCCCTTTTCCTTTGTGTCTCTTTCGAATCCTACCATTTTATTCCCTATGTTTCTGTTGCCTGTCCTCACATTTGGTCCTTCTCAGGATATGGCATGCTTTCCATATTTCCCAGTAAAAATCCCAGCCTTTCCGATGTCATATTGTCTCTAACCACTATGTGGTGATTATGCAAATCAGATGGACTGATTCATGACAAAAACACATGAAGAGGTTAAACTTGAAAATAAACCTTGGCTGCTGCCATATGGAAAATTTTTTTCAGTGTGTGTTCTCAACCAGGGGTTAATGATTCTCTTAATCTACTCACCACAAGGTAGAGGCATTAATGAAGTAGGCTCCTTGGAAACGTGCTGTGACAAGAGAAAATAGTATATTTATTTGCGGTTTATCTTTTTCATTTTTTGTGTGAGCTTGAGGCAGGTGTGGAAAAAGAAATGATGTCTTACCAAGGAAGTAACATTCAAAGTCGTTTTGAAAAAGTGACTATTCGGGAAGACTTAAAGGAAGGCAGGGTGGTAGCTGGGCCAACAGGCTGGTGGCAGGCAGGTGGCCTCAGGTATAGGGGGAGACAGAGGAAAGAAGGGAGTGAATGCAGGAAATATACGCAGTGGTTAGTGGACAGGTCTGGGCAGATGAGGTGGGAGTGGGAGGAAATGAGAGCTGACACTAACAGTCTTGCTAAATATAGATTTTACAGGTGTGAATGGCAGGCAGGAGAAGGGAGCCAGTGTCGGATGCTGTGGCTCAGAGGCGGAAAATGGAAAAGTAGACAGTGACAGGGAGAGATACTGACTTGCAGGAAGCACTGAGTGCCTAGAAGGGAGATGACGTTCCCAAGAACATAGGAGTCTAGGGAGAAGTAAACCACTGTAGATCAGTTTAGCCCATTTGAATCCATTTCAGCAAACATTTATTGAGTGTCATAGATAGAATAATGATCCTCTTGACCCTACCAAGATGCCTGTGCCCTAAATCTTGGAACCTGCCCCTTACATGACAAAGGGGACTGTGAGGATGTGATTAAACTAGTGATCCTGAGATGGACCACTAAGCATGTGGTAATTTGTCACAGCAGCAATGAGGAACTAACACATTGAAAAAGTACCAAATGGAGCAATTCATTAGGAAACATAAAAATGAATAAAGTGTTGATTCTAGCCTTTATATGATGACCAGCTCAGTGGTCCAAGTCAGTGATCTTAAAACTTTAAATATGCATATGAATTATATGGAGGACCTTGCTAACATAAAGATTCTGACTAACTAGGTCCAGAGTGGTCCTGAGATCCTACATTTCTAACCAGCTCCTGGGTGACATGATGCTGTTGGTCTCAAACTAGGTTTTCTTTAGCAACGATCTAGGGTGTAGGTCTGTTCTAGCAACTGTGCAACCAAGAACAGCAAAACTTTTTAGTTTTTGTAGTGGAGAAAATGGTTCTGGTCTTAGGTACAAAAATTGATTGGAATGATCATCTGACTTTAAAGTTCAAAGATCTAAAACTTACTAGTAGAGGGAACTTGGGGATCCAAGTGCTTTTAAAGGATTGTGGAGATAATCAAATAAGAGAATGTTTGTGAAAGCACTGGGTAATTTATTATAAAGCACTATGTGCAAATGTTATTCTTTTATATGTTGGATGAGAGCGGATTTGGCAAGAAAGCACAAATGTCATTCAGTACTCATCCTTTCTTGTTAAATTGAAGTAAAGGAAGAGCTATTTGGGTGAAAACTCCAATGTCATTTATCTTTTATTTCTTTTAAGTTCTCTGTTCTTTTATGATTATAATACATATATGGAATGGAACATTTGGAATACAAAACAAACCAAAAGCCTACAGAGAAGAAAATTATAGTCACCTGTAATCCCATATTCCAAAGATAACTGGGAACTAGAGCTTTTCCAGGAGTGCGGGTTCATTTGATGTCCTTTGAGGGTCTTTGCATATTCCTGTCTCCTTGGAGTATTGTAGTCAACTCCATGCTCATTTGTTGGGCACCATTATTGATACTCTGTATCATTGTAGTGTTCCTAATCCAACCACAGTAGGGAACGGTTTACCATAAGGCAATAGTTCTCAACTAGGGGACATTTTGCAATGCCTGAAGATATCTTTATTGTAACAGCTGAGGGGTGGGTTGCTACTGGCATCTAGGAGATAGAGGCCAAAGATGCTGCCAAACATCCTACAGTGCACAGGACAGCACCTACAACAATAGTTATCTGGCCCCAAATGTCAATAGTGTCAAGCTTGAGAAACTGCTGTAGAACATTGGGTTTTACAGTTTAGTGGTCATCAGAATCACCTAGAAGGCCTGTTAAAACACAGATTGCCCACCCTTCCTTCTCCCCTTTCCCCCAGTTTCTGGTTTAGTAGGTCTAGGAGGAGGTTGAGAATTTTTGCCTTTTTAGCAAGCTCTCAGTTGATGCTGATGCTGCTGGTCTGGGGGCTACACTTTGAGAACAATTGCCATTGGGGTTAATAGCTGCACAACTATAATTGGTCTTGTGTAAAGTACCAGCTCCATACTTTGTGCTGTCACTCATATTTAAGCTGATCACATGTCTCTGGTATGTTGCAAACATCTCTTGGGCATAGGCCAGATCTCCTCCTTCCCTTGCTCTATCCTGCAGTGCTGAGAACAGGCCTCTTTCATTACTATGAACCAGATGGTTTCATTTGACCATGTGGACTTGGCACCATATAAATGGCTCCAAGGACACATAAGTGAATTTTTTTGCTGGAGGAGATTGATGGAGAGAGGGGAGAGTTGGGGCAAATGAATGTGGAGAGAAAAAAAACAGCCGTTTTTGTGTTCCTTAAGACATCCCCCGCAGTGTCCTGAAAACTCAACACACCTGTGCAGAATGCATAGCTTTGCACTCTTTAAAATAAATGGACAGTATTTTAGTCTCAAATGGTAGACTCCCAATGTAACCTGCTGTCTTATTGGTGTTGGAGTCAGGTTAAATTTCACTGTCACCATACTAGCAGGCCCCAAGGAGGGGAGATTTGTCTCCTATGTCCCTGACTTCATAATCTTTCTCTTCTCTCCGAGGATCCTTTCTCCCACCCTGTCCTCTGTTGTCTACTGTCCCTTCAACATGAGGGCAGAGCTGGGGTACCTCTGAATCATATCTTATTGAGACCCTGGACAGAGGCAGTGCCTGGATTCAGTATGGAGAGAACTTAGGCAAGGTTGGGAATGAGAGGCTGGAAGCTAGACACAGGAGTAGGTTGGGCTTGGAAGTACTCAGAAGCCATCCATTAGAAAGCAAAGAACACACCGACCCTTGTGCTTAAAATGAGGCAGTGGGTCAGAAACCAGGCAAAAGGTTAGAAAAACTCTAGGGGACAAGGTGTCCAGGAATGGGAGAGCTCAAAACTGAAGCAAGGTCTGTCTTTGAAGCCTCTTCTGTGACTTCTGCTGGGCCAAGGAAAAAAACAGGTGCCTCTCCCTAAAGTGCTAACCAGCTAGTCTGGCTGACTGGGAAGGCTTCAGACCATAAGAAGAACAGCTAATAGCTATGAGGAGGGGGGATGGGGATAGGCACATATGACATTTCAAAAGTACCAGTGGTATTCTTTTCCCCATGCTGTTAAGACAAGTATTTCTTTTATTTCTATTTTAATATTTATAATAGATAACATTCTGTAACATTCAATATTTAACAAAAAGTATAAAAGATAGCATTAATTGAGCACCTACTATTCCTATTAACAGTGCTGCAAGATAGATTTTTCTCCTCATTTTAGAAATAAGGAAATTGAAGCTAAGAGAGGGAAAGTCATTTTCCCAAGTAAGCATACAGCTGGAACTTGAACTCAGTTCCACCTGTCTTCAAGGCCTGTACTCTTTTCAGTAAAGTGTGAGGCAGTTTGGGCCACAGCTTGTTTTCTGGGTTTCCTACTGATCTATTCTAGAATTCTTTCTATGCAGAGAGTCACTCTATCTCCCAATAATAGGTTCTCGTAACACTAATTTTTTAGCTTGCTAACATTCAACTGCCTATTTTGGAAAGTTTTAAAAAGCTGTTTTTCATTCAAGTATTAAAAAAAATTCTCAGACCATTAAGATGTCAGTTCACTTCCATTCTAAGCTCCAGGTTTGAGGGAGGGAGAGGAGAATTTTGCAAGCACTGAAAATTAAATGTGTGTGTATGATATGTCATCCTTATATTCAACATGACTCTCCCCAGTGACACAGCTGCAGTGCACACAGTAAAACATCCTGATTCATCAGGCTTGCATCTCACTGTGTATAAGTCCTCTCTTTACCTTTGCAAGTGAGAGTTGTCCCAGAGTTTCATATAAAACAGTGCTGTATCACCCAAGAACGTTCTGGCCTCTTTTACATGACTTGAGTGGAGTCTGAGTGGTACTGTAAAGCTGAGTTTATAGCACGGATGAGTCAGGAGAAGGAGAGGTCTGGATGTCAGCTGGAGCCAGCATCAGAACCAAAGAGAAAGGCAGAAGGTGGAGACCACAGTTTAGGGGTCACAGAGGTTTAGGAGTCATGAATTGCTACCCACATCAGGGCACCCCGGGGGAATCACAGCATCCTAAGAAAGTCAAGAACAAGGCCGACAGTCCAATCTGACTGTCTTACAGGACAAACACTGATATAAAGCCAGGGCTGCATCATTTGGCTAGAGCCAGACCAGAGATATGTGCCTTTACTTTGATAGTTCGGTCTCTGAAATCCAAAAGTCAGGGTATGATAAACGTCTGAGATTTTGCTTTTAAATATAGCAAGTGCCTTTTTAAATGTACTTTTTCTTCTTCCCAGCTTATATTAGAGTAACTCAGCACCAATTGATTAGATTCCCCAGCCTCGCTTTGTAGCCAGAATGGCCTATCCTCCCTGCCCCATGATGTTTTTGCTGCAAAACGAGGTCTCAGCAGTTGCAGCTGGGGCGCTGGAAGTCCGACGTACGGTGAATGCCTCCCCGGCCACTTCCCTTTCAGCAATGCCCACTAGGTGACGCCTGTGAATGGGACAGGCTCTCCAGAGTACTAGCCTTCCACTCTCCCTCCCTTCCCATGCTCACATATTGGCTAGAAGATGCTTAAGTGGGCAAGGTCCTGAAGACATTCTTTTGTGCCTTTGCTCAGACAGAGGACATGTGATGATCTCAGTCAGTTTCCTTTCATTTCATGGGGGCCGCTGATGTCTCCGTGTAGTGTATGTGATGGTTAAATTATAAAAACAGGAAAAGACCCCAAAGCCTGCATGACCTGCACAGTTTTAGCTGTCTGGGTAGGTTCATAACGGCTTTAGAAATGCAAACAAAATTCCCCAAACTAAAATGACTTCTGATGGTTCTGGTAAACTGAATGTGACCTTTCCAGAAAGAAGACTACAAACAGGTGTGATTATCTTTCACTACAGGAGCAGTTCCCAAACTTGAGTGTGCATCAGAATCACCTGAAGGGATAGTTAAACCACTGATTTCTGGGTTCCACCCATAGTTTCTGATTTAAGAGGTTTTGGGAAGGGCCTGAGAATTTGTATTTCTAATAAGTTCCAAGGTGATGCTGTTGTCACTTGCGGGGGAACCTAACTTAAAGAACCATGGCACCATGGCATTCTGTTAGAAGTATGTGGGGGATAGAAAATGATGTGGAGAGAGAGATGGGGGCTAAGAGGGGCGGGGAACATACCGTGAATTGCTGTAAACAGAGATTCCCTCTTAGCTACAACAAAAGTCACTTTCCTGTTTGCCCCATCATCCTCCTACCATTTTTCCAGTGTTCTCCTTACTCCGAAGAATGTCAACAGCACATTGTGCTTTTGTTAGATAAATCTACCGGGTGGGGATAAGTTAAATCTAATGGCAAGTCAGGGACAAATAACCAGGCAGCTGGGCCATTGCTGGAGATACATTGAGGTGATTTATTTAAATTTGCCTGATTGCCTTTCTAGTAGGGAAATGAAACGTTTTCTTTGTACTGCAGGTGTTCAAGTGCTTTTTTAATGGCTAAATATTTAAAGTGACAGTCAAGTCAAGGTTAAAAAGGTGATATGAGTGTACATTCAGAGCCACTGATTTGGGAACATTCTAAATATAGCTCATTTGGCTCTTAATAAAGGGTGAGAGAGTGGATGAGTATGTGTGTATGAAAATATAATTGCTCCCATGACACCCCAAATTACTCTTCAGGTATATATTAGCGTTGCTGAGAGCTTCCTCATATGACACAGCATCTTTCTATAGGTTTTTGGGTGTTTATGCCTTTTTTCCTTTTTAAACAATTCTATACAGCACAAGAGAGGTTAATTTGATGATATCCATTCTACAAGTGAGGACTGTGGTCCAGGGAGACTCACTGATAGGCCAGAAGTTACCTGACTTAGCCTCCAAACTGGAAACAAGAAGTCCTTAGACTTCAGTTTCTGTTCTCTATCGATTTTTCAGCCATGTCTGTCGACTTTGATTTTCTCTGCTAAAATAACTTGTGGGCAAATTTCCACTGTTCGCTATAGTTGTGTCTTGTCTTCAGTTATGCTTGGAGTCCCCTTTAAGAGATGGTGTTCCCCCCACCCCCCCATGCTGAAAAATTCATCCCTCAGGTTGATAGCACAGCAGGCAGGCAGGCATTTTCCTTTCTGTCTTTCATGTAATGACCGTGAAATCCCTTCCATAAGAACATAGAGGTTTTGTTCTGTTCTGTTTCTATTTTCAGAACAATAAGTCTCCAATGCACCACCACCCACCGGAAAAAGAGCACACAGTGACTGACAAGGTGAGGTCTTTGTTTGGTTGTATTTCAAATCTTTTGCTTTCTGAAATCTCTAACACTTTGGCTATAAATCACTAAAAGGTGGATGTTCTCTAAAATGAATTTTGCATGAAATGTCAGCCAGAGTCGAGGGGACAGCTATAATATTTATGACTGGTGGTATTTCTTAGGGGAGGTAAAAGAAAATGAAGCCAATATAGTTCAGTTTTGTACTGAGGGCAGGGAAGACAGAGAAGGAGAGAGCAAATCTTTTTCTTTCACCCAGTTATTTTGCTTCTGCCATTTTCAGTACTAAAAAAAAAAATACCAAAAAAACCCCAAAACAAAACAAAACAAAAAACCCTGCAATTCTCAAAGCAAAGGGCTCAGGAGTGTTTATCCACATTGGTAAAGTATGGGTTAGAAGAATGTGGGCAGCTGTGTAAGAGGGAAATAAGCAAACCTGAAACTACTATGGGAATGTACTTGTTAATAGAAAGATTGTTTTACTAAGTCCTCTCTTTCTGAAAGACAATTTGATACTAGTTGCAGCTCCTCATAGTTTTCCTTGGAAAGCAAACTGCTGTGTTTATTTAGGGGAGGAAATGTTGCAGAGATAATGTAATATCCACTTGTCCTCCCGTCATTGATAGGAAAACACACAGAACATATCTGCCTGCCAATTGAGGGTGTCCAAACCTGACACTAACTTATACATACACACATGCATGCACACACACATACACACACACATGTGTGTATATATATATTTGACATAACTTTTAAGTTCAGGGGTACATGTGCAAGTTTGTTATATAGGTAAAGTTGTGTCATGGGGGTTTGTTGTACAGATTATTTCATCACCCAGGTATTAAGCCTAGTTCCCATTGATTATTTTTCCTGATTCTTTCCCTCCTCCCACCCTCCATCCTCCCATAGGCCCCAGTGTGTGTTGTTCCCCTCTATGTGTCCACGTGTTCTCATCATTTAGCTCTCACTTGTGAGTGAGAACATGTGGTATTTGGCTTTCAGTTCCCGAGTTAGTTCGCTAAGGATAATGGTCTCCAGCTCCATCCATGTTTCTAGAAAGAACACTATTTCGCTCTTTTCTATGGCTGCATAGTATTCCATGGTGTATATGTACCACATTTTCTTTATCCAGTCTACCATTGATGGGCATTTAGGTTGATTACATTTCTTTGTTATTGTGAATAGTGCTACAATGAACATACGTGTACATGTGTCTTTATGATAGAATGATTTATATTCCTTTGGATATATATCCAGTAATGGGATTGCTGGGTCGAATGGTATTTCTGCTTTTAGGTCTTTGAGGATTCACCATGCTGTCTTCCACAGTGGTTGAACTAATTTACACTCTCACCAATGGTATGTAAGTGTTCCTTTTTCTCTGCAACCTCATCAACATCTGTTCTTTTTTGATTTTTTAATAATAGCCGTTCTGACTGGTGTGAGATGTTATCTCACTGTGGTTTTGATTTGCATTTCTCTCACGATCAGTGATGTTGGGCTTTTTTTTTCCATATGATTGTTGGTTGCATGCATGTCTTCTTTTGAAAAGTGTCTGTTCATGTCCTTTGCCCACTTTTTAATGTTTATTTGTTTTGTCTTGTAAATTCGGTTAAGTTCCTTATAGATGCTGGATATTAGACCTTTGTCGGATGCATAGTTTGCAAAAATTTTCTCCCATTTGGTAGGTTGTCTCTTCATTCTGTTGATAGTTTTTTTTTTTCTGTGCAGAAGCTCTTTAGTTTAATTGGATCCCATTTTTCAATTTTGCTTTTGTTGCATTTGCTTTTGGTGTCTTCATCGTGAAATTTTTGCCTGTTCTTATGTCAAGAATGGTATTGCCTAGGTTGTCTTCCAGGTTTTTTGTGGTTTTGGGTTTTGCATTTAAGTCTTTAATTCATCTTGAGTTTCGATTTTTGTTTATGGTGTAAGGAAAAGGTCCAGTTTTAATCTTCTGCATATGGCTAGCTAGCTATGCCAGCACCATTTATTGAATAGGGAGTTCTTTCCCCATTGCTTGTTTTTGTCAGGTTTGTTGAAGATCACATAAGCATGTGTATTAGTCAGGGTTCTCTAGAGGGACAGAACTAATAGAATATATATATATATCTTTCCCGTATATATATATATCTATATATATAGCCTTCTCCTTTATATATATATATATATCCTTCCCCTTTATATATATATATATTTCCCCTTTGCATATATTTATATATCCTTCCCCTTTATATATATATACATATATATATCCTTCCCCTTTATATATTTATATTCTTCCCCTTTATATATATATACTTCCCCTTTATATATATATATATACACACACTTCCCCTTTATATATATATATACTTCCTATATATATATACACAGAACTAATAGGATATATATATTTATATCCTATTATATATAATAGGATTTATATATATATTCTTCCCCTATATATATGTCCTCATATATATGAATTTATATATAAATATATGTAATGAATATATAAATATGAATTTAATTCCCATATATACGTATATACACATATATACATATATACATACATATATGTGTGTGTGTATATATATATATTATATATATATATATATATAAAGGGGAGTTAATTAAGTATTAACTCACACTATCACAAGCTCCCACAATAGGCTGTCTGCAAGCTGAGGAGCAAGGAGAGCAAGTACGAGTTCCAAAATTGAAAGACTTGGAGTCTGATGCTTGAGGGCAGGAAGCATCCAGCATGGAAGAAAGATGTAGGCTGGGAGGCTAGACAAGTCTAGTTTTTTCACATTTTTCTGCCTGCTTTGTATTCTAGCTGCACTGGCAACTGATTAGATGGTGCCCACCCAGATTAAGGGTGAGTCTGCCTTTCTCAGCCCACTAACTCAAATGTTAATCTCCTTTGGCAACACCCTCACAGACACACCCAGGATCAATACTTTGCATTCTTCAATCCAATCAAGCTGGTACTCAGTATCAGCCATTACAGCATGTGACCTTATTTCTGGGTCTGTGTTCTGTTCTACTGGTCTCTATGTTTTTGTAGACACATAGTCGTAGGCATGTGACCTTATTTCATGTTCTGTATTCTATTCAATTGTTCTATGTGTCTGTTTTTTACCAGTACCATACTGTTTTGGTTACTGTAGCCCTGTAGTATAGTTTGAATTTGGAGAGTGTGATGCCTCCAGTTTTGTTCTTTTTGCTTAAGATTGCCTTGGCTATTTGGGTTCTTTTTTGGTTCCATATGAATTTAAAAATAGTTTTTTTCTAGTTCTGTAAAGAATGTCATTAGTATTTAAATAGGAATAGCACTGAATCTATAAATTGCTTTGGGCAGTATGGCCATTTTAAAAATATTGATTCGTCCTATCCATGAGCATGGAATGTTTTTCCATTTGTTTGTGTCATCTCTGATTTCTTTGAGCAGTGTTTTGTAGTTCTCCTTATATAATTTTTTTACCTTTCTGGTTAGCTGTATTCCCAGGTATTTTTATTCTTTTTGTGGCAATTGTGAATGGGATTGCATTCCTGATTTGGCTCTTAGCTTGACTGTTTTTGGTGTATAAGAATTCTAGTGCTATTTGCACATTGGTTTTGTATCTTGAGACTTTGCTGAAGTTGTTTATCAGTTTAAGGAACTTTTGGGCGAGACTATGGGGTTTTCTGGTTGTAGGATCATGTCATCTGCAAACAGAGGTAGTTTGACTTCCTCTCTTCCTACTTAGATGCCATTATTTCTTTCTCTTGCCTGATTGCCCTGGCCAGGACTTCTAAAACTATGTCAAATAGGAGTGTGAGAGAGGGCATCCTTCTCTTGTTCTGGTTTTCAAGGGGAGTGCTTCCAGCTTATGTCTATTCAGTATGATGTTGGCTCTGAGTTTGTCATAGATGGCTCTTATTATTTTGAGGTATGTTTCTTCAATACCTAGTTTATTGAGAGTTTTTAACATAAAGCGGTGTTTATTATTTTCAAGAGTCTTTTCTGCATTTACTGAGATAATCATGTGGTTTTTGTCTTTAGTTCTGTTTATGTGATGAATCACATTTATTGATTTGCATATGTTGAACCAACCTTATATCCCAGGGATAAAGCCTACTTTATCACGGTGGATAAGCTTTTTGATGTGCTGGTGAATTCCTTTTGCCAATATTTTGTTGAGGATTTTTGCATCGATGTTCATCAAGGATATTGGCCTGAAGTGTGTGTGTGTGTGTGTGTGTGTGTGTGTGTGTGTGTGTGCCTGCCAGGTTTTGGTATCAGGATGATACTGGCCTCATAGAATGAGTTAGGGAGGAATCCCTCCTCCTCAATTTTTTGGAATGGTTTCAGTAGGAATGGCACCAGCTTTTCTTTATACATCTGGTAGAATTTGGTTGTGAATCTGTCTGGTCCTGGGCTTTTTTTGGTTGGTAGGCTATTTATTACTGACTCAATTTCTTATTTTTTAATATATATATTTTTTATTATACTTTAAGTGCTAGGGTACATGTGCAAAACATGCAGATTTGTTACATATGTATACATGTGCCATGTTGGTGTGCTGCACCCATTAACTCATCATTTTACATTAGGTATATCTCCTAATGCTGTCTATCCCCATCAATTTCAAAGTTCATTATTGTTCTGTTCAGGGATTCAATTTCTTCCTAGTTTGGACTTGGGAGGGTGTATGTGTCCAAGAATTTATCCATTTCTTCTGGATTTTCTAGTTTATGTGCATAGAGTTGTTCATAATATTCTCTGATGGTTGTTTGTATTTCTGTGGGGTCAGTGGTAATATCCCCCTTGTTGTTTCTGATTGTGTTTATTTGGGTCTTCTCTCTTTTCTTCTTTGTCTAGCTAGTGGTATATCTATTTTGTTAATTTTTTCAAAAAAGTAGCTCCTGGATTCATTCGTTCTTTAAATGCTTTTTTTTTCGTGTCTTAATATCCCTCAGTTCAGCTCTGATTTGGTTATTTCTTGTCTTCTGCTAGCTTTGGGATTTGTTTGCTCTTGGTTCTCTAGTTCTTTCAGTGGTGATGTTACATTGTTAAATTGAGATTTTTCCAACTTTTCAATGTGGGTATTTAGTGCTATAAATTTCCCTCTTAACACTGCCTTACCTGTATCCCCAAAATTCTGGTATGTTATGTCTTTGTTCTCATTAGTTTCAAAGAACTTTTGATTTCTTTCTTAATTTCATTTATTTACCCAGAAGTCATTCAGGATCAAGTCATTCAATTTCCATGCAATTGTATGGTTTTGAATGAATTTCTTTTTTTTTTTTTTAAATTTTACTTTAAGTTCCAGGATACGTGTAGGTTTGTTACATAGGTATGTGTGCCATGGTGGTTTGCTGCTCTTATTAATCTATCATCTAGGTTTTAAGCCCTGTATGCATTAGCTATTTGTCCTAGTGCTATCCCTCCCCTTGTCCCCCACCCCCTGCAACTGGCCCTGGTGTGTGTCATTCCATTCCCTGTGTCCATGTGTTCTCATTGTTCAACTCCCACTTATGAGTGAGAACATGTGGTATTTGGTTTTCTGTTCCTGTGTTAGTTTGCTGAGAATGATTGCTTCTAGCTTCATCCATGTCCCTGCAAAGGACATGATCTCATTCCTTTTTACGGCTGCATAGTATTCCATGGTGTATATGTACCACATTTTCTTTATACAGTCTATTATTGATGGGCATTTGGGTTGATTCCATGTCTTTGCTATTGTAAATAGTGCTGCAATAAACATACCTGTGCATATGTCTTTATAGTAGAATGATTTACAGTCCTTTGCGTATATACCCAGTAATGGGATTGCTGAGTCAAATGGTATTTCTAATTACAGATCCTTGAGGAATCACCACACTGTCTTCCACAATGGTCAAACTAATTTATACTCCCACCAACAGTGTGAAAGCTCTCCTATTTCTCCACATCCTCTCCAGCATCTGTTGTATCCTGACTTTTTAATAATCATTATTTTGACTCATGTGAGATGGTGTGTCATTGTGGTTTTGATTTGCATTTCTCTAATGACCAGTGATGATGAGATTTTTTTCATATGTTTTTTTGGCTGCATAAATGTCTTCTTTTGAACAGTGTCTGTTCATATCCTTTGCCCACATTTGATGTTTTTTTTTTCCTTTTTTTTTTGAGACGGAGTCTTACTCTTGTTCCCCAGGCTGGAGTACAGTGGCACGATCTCAGCTCACTGCAACCTCCACCTCCTGGGTTCAAGCAATTCTCCTGCCTCAGCCTCCCAAGTAGCTGGGATTATAGGCTCCCGCCACCATGGCCTGCTAATTTTTGTATATTTAGTAAAGAAGTGATTTCACCATGTTGGCCAGGCTGGTTTCGAACTCCTGACCTCAGGTGATCTGCCCAGCTCAGCCTTCCAAAGTGCTGGGATTACAGGCATGAGCCACTGCACCTGGCCTGTTTTTTTTCTTTTTTTCTTGTAAATTTGATTAAGTTCCTTGTAGATTCTGGATATTAGCCCTTTGTCAGATGGGTAGATGGCAAAAATTTTCTCCCATTCTGTAGGTTGCCTGTTCACTCTCATGACAGTTTCTTTTGCTGGGCAGAAGCTCTTTAGTTTGATTAGATCCCATTTGTCAATTTTGGCTTTTGTTGCAATTGCTTTTGGTGTTTTAGTCATGAAGTCCTTGCCCATGCCTATGTCCTGAATGGTATTGTCTAGGTTTTCTTCTAGAATTTTTATGGTTTTGGGTTTTACATTTAAGTCTTTAATCCATCTTGAGTTAATTTTTGTATAAGGTATAAGGAAAGGGTCCAGTTTTGTTTTTCTGCATATGGCTAGCCAGTTTTCCCAGCACTAATTATTAAATAGGGAATCCTTTTTCCATTGCTTGTTGGTGTGAGGTTTGTCAAAGATCAGATAGTTGTAGATGTGTGGTATTATTTCTGAGGTGTCTGTTCTGTTCCATTGGTCTATATATCTGTTTTGGTACCAGTACCATGCTGTTTTGGTTACTATGGCCTTGTAGTATAGTCTGAAGTCAGGTAGCATCATGCCTCCAGCTTTGTTCTTTTTGCTTAGGATTGTCTTGGCTATAAGGGATCTTTTTTGGTTCCATACAAATTTTGGTAGAGATTGTGTTGAGTCTCTAGATCAGTTTGAAGAGTATTGCCACCTTAACAGTATTAAGTAGTCTGATTTATCAACATGGGATGCCTTTCTATTTACTTAGGTCTTCTTAAATTTCTTTCAATAGTTTTCAAAATACAAGTTTTACACCTCTTTTGTTAAATGTATTCCTATGTATTTTTGGATACTATTATACATGGACTTGTTTTTTTAATTTCATGTTTGGGTTGCTCATTGCTAACTGTGTAGAAATACAGTTGATTTCCATATATTGATCTTGTATTGTGAAATCTTGCTGAACTCTTTTATTAATTTGAACAATTTTTTAGTGAATTATATATGATTTTCTATATACATGATCATGTTCTTTGTGAATAGACATAATTTTACTTCTCCATTCTATTATGAATGCCTTTTATTTCATTTTGTTGCCTAATTGCCCTGGTTAGAATCTCCAATACAATGTTTCCTAGAAGTGGTGAATGTGGACATTCTTGTCTTGCTTCTAATCTTGGTTGAAAAGCATTCAATCTTTCACCATTAAGTATGATTTTTAGCTGTAGAGATTTTGTAGATGCCTTTTACAAGTTGAGGAAGTTTCTTTCTATTCCTAGTTTGTTGAGTTTTTTTATATCATGAAGGAAGTTAGTTTTTGTCAGTGCTTTTTCTGCACCTATTGAGATAAACATGAGTTTTGTCTTTTATTCTGTCGATGTGGTGTATTACATTAATTGATTTTTGAATGTTAAACAACCTTGCATTCATGAGGCAAATCCCACTTATTTATTCTGTATAATCCTTCTTATATGTTGCTGTATTCATTTTGCTAGTATTTTGTTGAGGATTTTTGCATCTATATTCATATGAGATATTGCTCTGAAGTTTTCTGTTTTGTGATTGCTTTATCTGGTATTGATTTTGTTATCTGGATAATATTGGTTTCATAGAATGAAATGGAAAATGTTACCTTCTAGTCCATTTTTAAAAAGGGTTTATGAAATATGTCTTTAAATGTTTGATAGAATTCACCAATGAAGCCATCTAAACTTGGGCTTTTTTCCACGGATTTTAAAATTAATAATTCACTCTTCTTACTTGTTATAGGTTCATTCAAATTTTCTTGAGAAAGGTTTGGGAAATTGTATCTTCCTAGGAATTCATCCACTTCATCTAAGTTGTCCGATTTATGGCATATAGTTGTTCATAGTGTGCTTTTATTATTTGTTTTTATTTCTCTTAGTAATGATTTAATCTCTTGCATTTCTAATTTTAGTACTTTGAGTCTTCAGTCTTTTGATCATGATCAGTTTAGCTCAAGCTTTGTCAATTTTGTTGATCTTTTCAAAGAACCAACTTCTGAAAATCATTGATTTTCTCTACTATTTCTTACTGTCTATAATTTTCTATTCAAATCTTTATCATTACATTCATTCTGCTTGATTTGGGTTTAGTTTGCTCTACTTCCAGTTTCTTAAGATGGGAGGTTAGGTTATTGATTTGAGATAGTTTTCTTTTAAAATGTAGTCAACTACAATTATATAATTTCCTTGTGATTCTTCTTTGATACGTTGGTTATTTAGAAGTGTGTTATATAATTTCTACATATTTGTGAATTTCTCAAATTATTTCTGTTGTTGATTTCAAATTTAATTTTATTGTGGTTGGAGAGGATACTTTGATGATATTAATCCTTCTAAATTTATTGAGACTTGTCTTATGTCCTAGCACATGTTCCAGATGCACTTGAGAATAATGTATATTCTGCTATTGTTGGGTATAGTGATAGTACTATAGATGTCTATAGATGTCTGTTGGTGTAGTTGCTTTATAATGATTTTCATATTTTATTTTTACATTGATATTCTGATTGCTTGTTGCATCCATTATTGAAAATGAGGTATTGAAGTCTTCAACCACATTTGTTTAATTGTCAATTTCTCCCTTCATTTGTGTCAGTTTTTGGGTCTTTGTTGTTGGGTGTACATATGTTTATGATTGTTATGTCTTCCTGATGAATTAACTCTTTTATCTTTATGAAGTGTTCATCTTTATCTCTAGTTAAATTTTGTAATAAATTCTACTTTGTATGATTAGTATATCTACTGTAAGTCTCTTATGGTTTCTGTTTGCGGTATATCTTTTTTCATCATTTTTCTTTCACCCGATTTTTATCCTTAAATATAAAATTTGTCTCCTGTAGACATCACATAGTTGGATCTTGATTTAAAAAAATCCAATCTGATAATTTCTGCCTTTTGATTGCATTTTGTAATGCAACTTTATTTAATGTTATTAATATGGTTAGATTTATACCTGATATTTTCCTTTTGTTTTTTTATGTGCTTCATGTCTTTGTTCCTCTGTTCCTCATTTACTTCCTTCTTTTATACTAAATGGGTTTTTTCCTAGTCTAACTTTTAAATTCCTGTGATACTTTTTAAATTATACTTTTAAAAATTGTTTTTGTATTTATTGTTTTATGGTTTGCTATATACATATTAAATTATCTATGTCTATTTATATTTATACTAACTCAATTCCAGTGAAATATAGAAACTTTATTCCTATATAGCTTCATTCCACCTTCTCCTTTTTATACTAGTATTGTTATATATATTATGTCTATATATGTGACAAATCCAACAACACATTGTTAAAATTATTATTATAATATTTTGTCTTTTAAAAAATCTGGGAATAAAGGAGAGCAAATATTTATTTATTGAGTTTGTCATATTCTTTTCTTCCTCCTCCTCCTTCTTATTCTTCTTTCTTTTTCTTGTTCTGATTCTTTTCATTTCATCTCTTTCTCTGAATTCCAATTACTGTCTGATGTCATTTCCTTGCTACAGTAGAACTGTGGTGACACTCACCTCTTTCATTCTATTATTATCTTCATTAGGAATTTTCAGACTTTCAAATTTCAAACAATGGTAAGATTTCAAATTTATTTTGGTAGCTGGCCAAGGATTGCCAACTTTTACTTTGTAATTATGGGCATCAAAAAGATATCCAACCAACTATCGTTTACTATCATCATCATTTTATAAAGGAATGGATATTTTTACTACCACTTCCCTGACCAAGCAGAAAGGCTATAATCCAAGAGGAAGAACAATCATTCCTAGTAAAAGACAGCTGGAATTTTTACAATAACAGTTTTCCAGTGGACTGATGAAAACTTCATCACCAATCGGCATTTGGGAATTTTGGGCTTATGTAAATAATATCATCATCTTCTTCAGCAACAAAAACAATTTTTTTGGTGCGTATTATGTGTGAGTTAGGCATTGTGCTAAGCACTCTATATTAACTCAATTACTATGAAGATGGCCCAGGAGGTGGATACATTTATTATCATCAGTTTATAGGCAAGGAAACTGAGGCACAAAGATGTTGCATAACTTTCCAAAGGTTTCATAGTGGCAGAGCCAGGATTCAAACCTCAGAGTTCTAGCTCTAGTATCTGTACCATAAACTGCTGCAATGTTCTATGGCAGGTTGGCTAAATGTGGTCCTAGACTGTGATGGGTTAATAGAAGTAACTCTCACTCAGACATCGGTTTTGTTAGGGACAGCAGAAAATGAAGTTCACTGGTGTGTCCCAGAGAGGGATACTTGGACCTTGACTATGTGAGCAGTAGGTTGAATCAGATGATAGTGATGGTCTCCTTATGTGTGTTGAACCAGAGGGCACACTGATTGTATAGAAATATTAATAGAACAAGGCAGGTTTGCTACCTAACCAGCTGCTGAAGACAAAAGTTTGGGAATAGTTTTTGACTTTCTCTTACTCTTATGTCCTCTCAATCGCTGAGTCTTATTAACTCAACCTCCTAAATATTTTTCACATTCATCCCCTTGTCCTCATTTTCTTTGGCTCATTCCTATATCCTATGCACTAAATGGCTGGCCTAGATCATTTTAGCAGTCTTCTAACTGGTGTCGCTTCTCTACTCTTGTTTTTCTTCAATCCATTCATTCTGCACATGGACTGAGTGAATTTTCTGAAACACAGATTTAATGATACCACACCCATCCTTTTCTTTTCTTTTCTTTCTTCCTTCCTTTCTTTCTTTTTTTCTTTCTTTCTTTCTTTGTTTCTTTCTTTCTTTCTCTTTCTTTCTTTGTTTCTTTCTTTCGTTGTTTCTTTGTTTCTTTGTTTCTTTCTTTCTTTCTTTCTTTCCTTCTTTCTTTCTCTCTTTTTTTTTTTTTGCAATGGAGTTTTGCTCCTGTTGCCCAGGCTGGAGTGCAATGGCATGATCTCAGCTCACTGCAACCTCTGCCTCCCGGGTTCAAGTGGTTCTCCTGCCTCAGCCTCCCAAGTGGCTGAGATTACAGGTGTGCATCGCCATACCTGGCTAATTTTGTATTTTTTTAGTAGAGACAGGGTTTCACTATGTTCGTCCGGCTGGTCTCGAATTCCTGACCTCAAGTGATCCACCTGCCTCAGCCTCCCAAAATGCTGGGATTACAGGTGCGAGCCACTGTGCCCGGCCTGCCACACCTCTTATTACACACTTTAAATGGTTTTCTTCTGCCGTCAAAACACTTAAAAAAAAAAAAAAGACTAGGTCTCACTCTGTTGCCCAGGCTGGAGTACAATGGTGTGATCCTGGCTCACTGCAATCTCAAACTCTTGGGCTCAAGTGATCCTCACACATCAGCAACCCCAAGTAGCTGAGATAACAGGTGTACACCACCACTCTTGGCTGATTTTTCAATTGTTTCTGTAGAAACAGGGTCTCACTATGTTGCCCAGGCTGGTCTTGAATTCCTGGGCTCAAGCAATCTTCCCACACTGGCCTCCCAAAGTATTAGAATTACAGGTGTGAGCCACTGTGCCTGGCCTGGAACACATAATAGATACTACATTGACTTCCAGTCTTCATCTTTCTCTGCTTGTTCTCATATTTAGCTATAAAAAGTATTTGGTTTTCTCAAAAGGCTTTCTTAATGACTATTATTGAAAACAACCCCAAACTCATGTTTACACAGGTTTAAAAAGTGTAATCATGAAAGTTATAACAGTCTTCTAGGGCTGCCGTAACAAAGTATCACATACTGGGTGGCTAAGAACAAGATTGCCTGGGTTTTCAGCTTGCAAATGGCATATCATGGGACTTCTCGGCTTCTATAATCATGACAGCCACTCTCCATAATGAATCTTCTCTTGTATATCTATATCTGTATATTCTATTTTTTTCTGTTTCTCTGAAAAATCCTAATACATCACCTTTGTGTGGTTCTCTCTCTTTGAATCTGGGGTGGACCCGTGATTCTGTTGTAGGCAAATTTGAGCTAGAGAAAAATTTAAAGCTAGATATTATTCAATTAGATCAAAACCTTTTGGTCAAGATGTTGGTAGCCAAGGGAAGTCTCTTCTCTTCTCTAGCCAGAATAAGAAGATACTTTTTTTTTATTTTATCCGGTCAGAAGTTTGTAAAATGACCCACATCTGCTCTTTCAGGAGCCAGAGTTCAACCTCTAAAGCTCTGAGTGATTAAGGAGCTTCATGGAACAATATAACCAATTTCTGTTGGTACAGGTACATACTTTACAGGCTGTTTGTGAAAGTGAGACTATGAAGAACATGAATGAAAGTATCATATATTCTAAAGCACCTGTGGATTAAGTTGGTGAAAGGTGAAATTTCTTTCGATCATGAGTTAATAATATCTTCTGCTTAAAAATTAGAAACTTTACCCGGAGGTTTTTGAATACTTAAAAAGCATCCACATACATATGGTCAAAGTGATAAAAGACATGTTTTCTTATCTGAGTGCAATGACATCTTAAAAGGCTTCTTTTGTTATGTTTAAACTTGCATGTCAAAAACTTATTCTCTGCATACAATTTATTCTCTATTTATTCAATGTTACTGTACAGTGATGTTGATATAGAACGAGACGGCACACTTTTAAGTTCTAAACTACAATTGTTGGATAAGAATCTTGACAGTGCCAACTAATCGCTTCTGATTGGTGCCGTGTTGATATTGGCTGACGACATAAAGCCATGTTGCAATATTCTAATCCATCACCTGGCATAAGAGGCATTTTATCTTGGGCTTCATGGGAAAAGAATCCATTTACATCTGTGTTTCAAAGTGAGATTTCCCAGGAGTGTGACTGTCTCAACCTGCCACCCATCTCTTTATAAGGAGGGATCACAACAGGCAATCTAAAAATTAAAGAGATGGCAACATGTTTCTGTCGAGGTACTTTTATTCAGAGCATTTACCCTTGTTATCTTTCAAATCTTTCTTTGGAATTATGTGATCTCCATCATGTGAAAAAATCTAGGCCTAGATAAAGATCCTCATAAAATGGCCCTCACCAAAGTAATAGAGTTTTCCTCCTAAATAGTAATTTGTTTCTTGGTGGAAATGGGAGCAATCAGACATCATGGAGTAGACATAAATCATCTCCCCTGTGCCCTATCAGAGCTCCTGACTCACAGAATCCAATCCATGAACATAATAAAATGGTGGTGGTTTCATGCCACTAAGTATGGGGAGGTTTGTTATGCAGCAAGTGAGAACTAGAACAGATATTATTATTGGTACCTGGACAATCTTGAATGAGGTATTTAACACTATTGCAGCTCAGTTGTTCCTTCTCCTCCTCCTCCTCCTCCTTCTCCTCCTCCTCCTCCTTCATTTTTCTTCATTTTCTTCTTTTTTTTTTTTCTTTTAATGGAGTTTCACTCTTGTCACCCAAGCTGGAGTGCAATCATGCAATCTTGGCTCACTGCAACCTCTACCTCCCAGGTTCAAGCGATTCTCCTGCCTCAGCCTCCCAAATAGCTGGGATTACAGGTGCCTGCCACCATGCCTGGATAATTTTGTATTTATTTTAAGTAGATATGGGATTTCACCATGTTTGTCAGGCTGGTCTCGAACTCCTGAACTCAGGTGATCCACCTGCCTTGGCCTCCCAAAGTGCTGGGATTACAGGTATGAGCTACCAGGCCCAGCCCCTTCATCTTTAAATGAGGTTAATGACAGTAATATTGATCATCTGTTGACTGCCTATTACTTAAGTATATATACTCACACACACCACACACACACATACATGGACATACCCATACACTTAGATATATATTATACATATACATGTGTGTGTAACATACTTAGATATATGTTATATATACATACACATAAATGTATGTATGATTAATTGTTATTATTCACAGTAGTTATGTTCTATAAAGTTGCTAGGAACACTGAATTAGCAAATATTGAAGCATTGCTCATAGGGAAAATACCAGGGTTAAGCTCCTGTGTGTCTCTGGTCACGATATTTTCATCAGCCAATCAATGCATAGCCTTATTTTGTGTATTTCTGTTTGAAGACACCTTATTTAATATATATTATTTATTCATTAACATTGAACTCACAGTCAACAGCGCCATAACTTATATTTTCTCTGGAAGGCACATCACAGCCTTCTTGCACTTGGGAATACTAGGCAGAGCGTTAGCACAATGCTTAGGGACATTTGAAATAGCAAAACCACCAACAAAAGCTGCAAAAAATGAGGAAAGCATGGTGCTAACTATCCCATGAAAAGGACACTTGTTTTTAATATGAGAGCTGAAATAAGAAGCCAGTGGGTGGCTTTGTTTAACCTGAGCTAGGGATGTGTGCTTTGGGTGATTCACATTTTTACCACTTTGACATGCCCATGAATGGCTATGGATGTGCCAAAGTATTGATTTCAAGGTTATGAAAAAATTTAAGTGAGCAAGTGAGATTGCAAATATGGAATCTGCCAGTGGGTTTTGACTGTGCTTATACAATCTCATTTGGTTCTTATAATAGCTCTGTTATGTGAGATTAGATGCCTGTGTTCTTGACCATTCCATTATGCCATCCTACTATTGCCTTTTAATGTTTTGAATATTAAATAAGATAATGTGGGTAATAGAATACTATTTGAAAATCCCATTTTCTCTGTTGCACAGCTTTGGGTGTGAGTTCCATCTATTCTGCCAGAGGTATCTATTTGCTTCAGAGAGGACTAAGAAGTTACAGCAGGGTTGCTATGACAAAGAGGGGGCCAGTAATCATAGCCAGCCCTTTATAGTGCATGCTAGTGGCTAGATCCTGGTCTCTGTTCTTTGTACATGTTGATTCAATCCTCAGCAGAGCCCCACAAGGTCCTACCTTGTAGTTATACCATAAGCCCAGGCAGTCTGGCCATGGAATCGGCTGTTTACCCTTACTCATTAGGGAACCCTTCAGCAGTCAGCTTTTGACACACAAAGTAAGATTTTATGTCCAGAGCAAAACAATGTCCTTAAATAGGCATTGTTAGAGAAGGAATTTCTCAGTTTCCTTGTTCACATATCAAGATCTAAGTTTGGAGACTGGAGATTTCCTTTGTATGACTGCCCCTTCCCCCTTAAGGCTTAGCATCTCCATGAAGAAATAGGAGGCATGTAGTGGGAGTCCAGTCAGATTGGAAGAAATAAAAAGCTTGTCCTTTTCTCCATGGTGGCCCGTGGGAACGAGAAGGGAGACAGAAGGAGGTGAAAGCAGAAAAGTATTTGGTGACTTGGATTATGGAGCTACACTAACTCACCTGTTGCCAATCAAGGTCAAAATCCTGAAGAAGGGAAATATTAGATACACAGAGAGGAAAGTGGAAGGCAGATGTTTTGCAGGAAACAGACTTGAAGGATGCCCTGTGTATCAGAGAAATTTGTCACTGTGATGACATTAGGCAGAGGAAGACCTGAGTTGGGGTTGCTGCATACAGCTATGCAGGTTGTGCACTGCACAACTCCAAAGGTCACCACTCACATAGACATTGCTGGGAGTGCTCTGTCCCCTTGAGTTGTGCTTTGTGGTGGCCTTGGCTTGAGTTGGCTTTCTGGAGTCTGTTTTGGCTCCTGTGTTGTATGGGAGTGTCCAGAAAGTCCCCCGTGCTTTTGAAGGTACATGAGTGGCGTGGTGCTGATATGCCTAGCAGTCAGCACTATCAGAAAAGATATCCCACAATTGGCGAAGCCAAAATGAAGGGCTATGGGACAGCTCCTGGAACCAGAAATCAAATGGGAGTTGTATGAAGACCTCGGATGGATGTGCTGTGCTAGGGATGCTGAAAGAGGGCCAATTCAGCCAAAAGGACTTGCCAGGCCTGATGGAGCTGAGAGAGGGGATCACAAGCTCTTTGGCCACAGACTTCATCAGCAGATGCCTACAGGCTAAGCAGTGACCAAGTCAATCCAGGACCTTTTTGTTGCAAAGGCTAGAAAGTACTAAAACCTGATTACCTATGATGCTTTGGGGATATAAAAATGAATATCTTATACACTTATGGGAAAGACGGACTGAAATAAATAAATGCAAATAAAGTTTGATAATAAGATATTTAGAAGTTTTCCAAGATAATGCATGGGATACAAGGGAGAATGCAATCAGAGCCCAGGGAAGAGCAGGCAGGAAAGACTTCACAGGAGAGGTAATGCCCTAATGGGTTTTGAAGGATAATTAGGAGTTTGTCAGTCTGATGAGGTGGGAAGGGATATTATGGAAGGCAGAGGGACCATGTGCATGGGCATGTGAGAGAATCTGGGCTTCAGGCTCTACATACAGCAGCAGGATCAGCCTCTGGAGCTTATAGCAAAGGAAGGACCCTGTGCTTGGGGTTTGATGCTCTGTTGTCATAGTCTGGAAATTCTTAATTTTACCTTTGAATATATGTTCAGATGAATATATATTCATTTGAATATATGTTTGTAAGTGCAGTTGATGGGACAATGGAGCCTGTGCTAAGGTGTTGAATCCTTGGCTCACCTGTGGTCCTGCCTCCCCCAAATGAATCTTGGCTGCCTGCTCCCTGCCTCTTGGAGGCCTAGGCAGTACCCAGTCTCCCCGTGTCTTTCCCTCTTCCTTCCTCTAGCTGGTAACTGCTGCTGCCCTCTGCCCCAGTGGGAGCCTGGGTATGAGTGAGTGCCAGGGAGGTTGGGGTAAGCTACATGGGGTATATGGCATCTTGGGGCCAGGCATAGCATTGGCCATTCCTGCCTGGGGCTGGCAGCACCACAGTGCATTCCACAGGTGACTTGGTGGGGCCTAGCCTCTCGCATCCTGGTGCAGAGGTTGCAATATCCTTGGAAGTTGCTCATGTATCATGTATTGGGGTAGCAGTTCCTTGCTTGATTTTCCTGACTTGGGCTGGAGTAAGAAGGAACTGGCAGCCAGGGGGCCATACATGTGCCAAGTCACCCTCGAACCTGTGAGGGTTTGAACTCTCCCTGCAAGTATCCCAGTGCCTGAAGGAGCATGACTTTAAATAGTACATAAAGAAACACTGTGACAGGTCAAGAGAAAGACTGTGTAAAACAGGAAAATGTTTTCTTTCAGAAATTTTAATAGCCCTTTCTCTCTTTTCTTTTTTGAATAAGGAATCTGGCATTTTCATTTTGCACTGGGTTCCAAAAATTATGTAGCCGGTCCCGAGCATGGGGGAAAGAATGAATAAATGAATGAATGAATGGGATGGGATAGCTCTGAGTACAGATCCAAGTCACCACATATTCCTGTTCCTGTTTGGGTGTTAAGTAGTTTTTCATTACTTCACAGGGGTTCCTAGTCAGTTCTTGCTTTACAAATGAATAAGACTCAGAATTAGGATTCCAGTTCACCTGGAACTGGTGAGCCGTCCCAGCTCTAGGTTTTGCCCTGGTGTTAACCCTCGAGGCACCTGTTCTTTTGTAATCCTCCATGGCCAGAGTGATGTAAAAAACGCAAGGCTCATGCAAAGGGAAAGGAGGACTGCTGATTTATTGCATCAGGAATGTGTTAAATTGTGCTCCAGCGGCCTAAGAGAGCTAATGCATCTTCCAAAGCAGGTAATTTACTGGCCAGAGAGAAAAGAATATGGGACCTTAAGACAACAGGGCAGGGGAGGGAGAGGGTGTCCTTAATGATTGTGTAGCCCAGTTGTTAACTGAGGCTCAGGAGGTGAAGTGACTCACCCAAAGTCACGCAGCTACTTGCTTTCAGAGCTGGGCTTGACCCAGCTCTCTGACCTCAAGGCTAATGCTTGTCTAGCTCTCCTGCCTCTGAGTCCGATAACTAAGAAGAGTGACCATAAATCCTGTGGCAAAGAATTCACTTGACATTTGCATAGCACTTTGTATGTGTAACATCACAGTGATGTTTGATGCTTTTTTCTCCTTTTGACAAGAAATGTCAATGGCCTAATATTGAAGACAAGCAATGGAAAAGGATGTATGTATGTATGTATGTATGTATGTATGTATGTATGTATGTATATATATATATGTGTGTATTTTTAGAGATAGGGTCTCTCTGTTGCCTAGGTTGGAGTACAGTGGTGCAATCTAGATCACTGTAACCTTAAACTCTTGGGCTCAAGCAATATCCTGGCTCAGCCTCTGAAGTAGCTAGAACTATGGGCATCTGGACCATGACTGGCTAATTTTTAAATTTTTTGAAGAGACAGAGCCTTGTTATGTTCTGCTGGCTGGTCTCGAACTCCCAGCCTCAGCAATTCTTTAGCCTTGGCCTCCCAAAGTGCTGTGGTTATAGGTGTGAGTCACCGTGGCGGGTCAAATTTTGTATTTAATCGATGCCTAATAATTACACATATTTGTGAAGGTACAGTGTGATGTTTTGGTCCATGGATACATTGCATGATGTGGCCAAATCAGGGCATTTAGCACATTCATCACCTCATACATTTATCATTTCTTTGTAGTGGGAACATTCAAAATTCTCTCTTCTAGCTAATTTAAAATACACAATATAATATTGTTAATTAAAGTCACTGTACTGTGTAGGAGAACGCCAGACTTATTCCTCCTACCTAACTATAATTTTGTACCCATTGACCAATCTGTTCCCATACCCTCCTGCTCCTAGCCTCTGGTCACCACCATTCTGCTCTCTACTTCTGTGAGATCAACTTTTTTTGATTCCACCTGTGAGTGAGGTCATGCAGTGTTTGTCTTTCTGTGCCTGGCATTTCACTTAACATAATGTACTTCAGGTTCACCCACGTTGCTGCAAATGACAGGATTTCATTCTTTTCTGTGGCTGAGTAGTACTCCATCATGTGTAAGTACCACGTTTTCTTTATCCATTCATCCATTGAGAGACACTTAGGTTGATTCCATACCTTGGCTATTGTGAATAGGCCAGCCTCCTCATTTTGAGGTGTGACTGTCTCACTCTTGCAGAGTCAGCAGTACATTGACACAATGAGCTTTGTTGTTTGGTTGCTTGAAGTTGAATGCAAAGGACTTGCTGGTATGGGCAATGTGAGAGCTGACAAAATCACATGACTTCCTGGAATAATAATGCAAAGAAGAAAATGTTCTGGCAAAGGATCCCCTTCCAAAATGGTATATTTATTATAACCCAGGGTAGTTTTGCTTGATGCTTAGGAACAGTGTTTCTCCCGATTAGGTCAAAGTGAGTCTTTGAAACTGTGGGAACAGCCTCAGAAATCCAACTAAAAGAAGTAGATGGGATGTGGGAGCTCAGCACACTTGGCTAGGTGCAGAAATGAGAAGTAGAGTGGGTTTTTTTCCAAAAGAGTAATCTCCTTACAAAACTCTGTCAGTTAATAAGCCCCTAGTTACTTCTGTGATCCTGCATGGAAGTAAAGATACTTGGTTAGTCTTAAGAATATTCTTCCACTGTTGCATTCACTTCTGGGATGAGACTTGGAAGGAATTATGTGTCATCCCCTGAGTGCCCAAGCTTGGAGCATCAGAGTTGGCTAGTTTCATTCTCAGCCCTACTCCACACTCCCCTTATCCCTCCCCATCATCTGGTGCCTTGTGCTGATTGTATGTACTGCACCCTAAGTAGAATCTTAGAATGTTCTATCTCAGAGGAGACTTTGGCTCCTGTTGATCAAGCTCTGCATTGTTATACCATGGGAAAACTGGGAATCAGAGAAGATTAGTCACTTATTTTAGGCACCCAGTTTGTTAGCGGCAGATCTGGGAATAGAACCCATGTTTCTTTCCACTATGCCATGCTACCTGGAAACATGCCTGTAACATAAATTATAAAAATGTCAGGAGAAACCCTTGAAATAGTAAACTGAGCTTTCAGGAATAGGATTTCAAATAATGTCTTTTGAAAGCTGTTTCCAATCATTTCACATGAACTCTGGTACCTGATACAATACTCTTTGGATCCATGTCATGATTGCTGTGGATGTGAAATGGACAGGTGGTTTGGCTTGTCAAGTTTTCAGTTAACAGGAAGAAGAAATATCTTCTCAAGTATAGGGCCTTATCTTATTCATTGGTAACATCCCAGTGCTTAATATAGTGCCCTGCATAAAGTAGCCACTCAGAGGTTTCATGGATTTCTGAGTTATGTCAGCAGAAACTCTTGCTGGTGCCCTCCAAAGGGGTTCCAAATTATTTTATCCATCATATTTTCACTTTACTTGTCGATCAGAGGACATCAGAATAAACGGAACATCAGAGAAAAGATAGCGTTGCTGCTTTTTGATCTAAGGAAGCATCTTACTCTTCACTCATCTAACTCTTTTGAGCTTGAGTTTGCTCATTTGTAAAACAAGGAAGTCAAACCAGATCACTGTTTCCTTTATGTGCTAATATTACGTGATCCCCCCCTAAAAAGAGTGGAGTTTTCAACAATAAAAATTTCGATTGAGACATTGTGTGTTTGAGTTTGGCTTGCTCTATAGACATAATATATGGAAAGATGGTTTTATAGTTCTGGAAATCAGATGAATATGGTTTAAATGACTCTAATGGAATATGGGCTGATATTTCCTCTTGGCCGATTAGACAACAGTTTCCACAACCACCATAAAAAATCAAAAGTTTTATTAGTGGTTTATAGAGAAAAAAACAAAACAAAAAAAACCCCTAACCCCTAATGAAATTAAAATGAAATTTATATATGTTATTTGCTTAGTTTGAAAGGCATGTTGCATATATTTATTTGGAGACTCCACAACTTATTCCTCTCTCTGTCATAAACCACCATACTGTGACAACAAGACAGCATATTCTTATTTTGTTAAAGCTGAAGTTACCGTAACTCACATTCAAGGTTGGCTCAGGAATTGGGCTCTGGCTCCAGGAACTGATTTATAACTTTAGGTGAAACCATGAAACCACATGGACTGTTGTCTGAGAATAAGTATGACCAATTGCACCTGTATTCCTCAAAGCAAAGGCTACTAAAATCTCAACTCAGCATACTTTTACTCTCAATAGTATTGAAAAGATATTAATCATACACTGCTCCATAGAAATAATTTACTTAAGGGGAATTGACATACTTTTATATATTTCTCCAAAGTTCAAGCAATAGGGGGGTTTGGAATCAGAAACTCTTGAGAGTGAAAGGAGACCATCTAATTCAACCTCCTTATTTTATAGATAAGAACACTGAGACACAGGAGGGTAAGGGACTTGCTTATGGGCACACAGCTAGTTCAAAACATTCAGGCATAAAAACTTATGTCTCCTTATTTCCCAGTCCACTACTCTTTTCTGTACTTCCCTGAAATCCCTAGTGTAACTATTACTTAAATGCTAAGTTTTGCCTATCATTCATTGTTTTCTGTGTAATGAGCATTTTACATGCTTCAAGTCATTTAATCCTCAAAATAACTCATTTTACCATTAAGGAATCTAAACTTAGAGTAATTCCTAACATATTAGGGTCACATATCTACTAAGAGGTGGGGCCAGGCCAGAAATAAAGGCAAGTTAACTTGGATCCCAATGTAAGGTATATGGGGGCACTCAGTTAAATTTGAATTTCAGATGAGGAACATATAATTTTTTTTTACAGTACAAGTATGTGTCACATTTGGCATGGGGCAATTCAAATTTAAGGGAGCATCCTGTATTTTTATTTGCTGAAGATGGCAACTTCAGCCCAAGCTATCCCAGGGTTGTCTATCCTATGGTGTCTCATCTCTTTGGCTTTAAGAAGAAGTATGCAGCCAGGCATGGTGGCTCATGCCTATAATCCTAGAACTTTGGGAGGTTGAGACAGGAGGACTCCTTGAGGCCAGGGGTTCAAGACCAGCCTGGGCAACAGAGTAAGACCTTTTCTCTACAAAAAATTAAAAAAATTAGCTGAGTGTGGTGGTGCATGCCTATAGTTCCAGTTACTTGGGAGGTTGAGATGGGAGGATCTCTTGGGCCTGAGAGGTCAAGGCTGCAGTGAGCTGTGGTCACACCATTGCACTCTAGCCTGGGCAACAGAGTGAGACCCTGTCTCAAAAGAAAAAAAGTATGCTAGGATTACTTTTCCTGCTGACATTTCTCTGACCCCATCACATCTTGAAATTAAAAGCATCCTTGAATGAGAATTTACTTAATGGGTATAATGCACGTTATTTGGGTGATGGTTACACTAAAAACTAGACTCCACCACTACACGATATATCTATGTAACAACTGCATTTGTACCCTTGGAATTTTTACAAAAAAGAAAAAGAAAAGCATCCTTTATTACTAGTTTACATTTTGATTTCTTACAGTTCAAATTTGATCTAAGTCTACTGGGAGCTTGGTGCTGAGAAGAGATCTGATTGGGAGTGTAAAATGGGGTAGAATGTTTCTGGGTATAGGATTTCACAGGTGCTAGTCACAGTACTGAAGACAACTGTGCAAGCAGTGTTGTAATTGCGTGGTTTCTTTCCTTGGATATGATTTCTGTTGATATAAGTTTTCCACTGGCTTTACCATTTCCCATTTTCCCCTAGATAACACTAATGGTAAACGAGGCCCATGAATTATGTTATTCAGTGTTACTGGAGGACATGGAGCTTGGAGAATCACTATAGCTTAGGCAAGCTAATTGAAGACTCTGCTCCTTTATCATGTCCTGAGGAGTGTGTTTTCCTAAGCAGGGGGAGAAGAATTTTCTCCAGGTTTCCTTTCTTTTCAAGTTCACCCTGCACTGACATCTGCAATGAGTCAGAAGCCAGTGCAAACATATCCCAGGAATGTAAGGAGGTTTCACTATTAGAAAACCTCTTGATGTAATTCACTGTGTTTTCTCCCATGAGATCATCCCACTGGACATAAAATGAGCGTTTGATAAAATCCAACTCCCATTCCCATTAAAACAAACACTCAGTAATCTAAGAGTAGAAGACAGGTTTCTTAACTTGGAAAAAAGACTATATAAGAAACCTATAATTGGTTATACACTTAATAATGAAATATTAGAAGCATTCCTATTAAAGTTCAGAATGAGGCAAGGATTCAACATTTTTCTAACCAATGCAATGAATGGAAAAATAAAGTAATAAGAAAGAGAGAAAACTATAATTAGGTATATATGAGCTAATTGTGTAGCAAAAAGCCCCAGACTATCAATTGAAAATTATTAGGATTAATAGAGGGAATTCAGGAAGGTGTCCAGATATGAGAATAATACTTATAAACTGATGATACTCTTATATTTTAACAGTAATTAAATGAGCAGAGAAAAACCCACTCAAAACAGCAAAAACATCCTCAAAAATATCTAAAAATAATATTAAAATATAACTGGAGAGGGAATATATATAAGGCTTATATGAAGAAAATGATACAACTTTCTATAAGGATAAAAATTCAGACACAAATAAAAGAAGAGACATGTATTTTTAGATGAGAACACCACATAGATATTTATTCTGCACAAAGTAAGCTTTAAAATCTCAACAAAAATCTCCAGAGGGTTCTTTATGTGATACAATGAACTGACATAATAACTCTTACAAACCAACAACTCAGGAGAGACATAAATTAGAAGCAGCAATCGGGTGTCTATCAAATGTCTATCAGATGTTGACAGTTTGGGGGAAATAGGAATCTCATATATAGTTTATAGAATTGTAAACTGGTACATATCCTTTTTGGAGTTCAACTAGACCAGGCCTATTAAGATTTAAAATCCATTTAACGAACTTATCCTACAGAACAACTCATACACTGACACCCACATATGTGGACAAAAATAAATATAGAAAACTATGCATTTTAAATGGCTTGCAGAAGTCTATTTGTATGAGTAAAATATGAGAAACAGCCAAAATGGTTAAACTGTAGTACATACGTCCTTTGGATTACAATGTAGAGATGAAAAGAACATGGTTCTGTATGTATTAAAGCAGAAAAATCTGTAAGACGTATTATTAAATGTAAAAGGCAAGTTCCAGTATAGTCCAATTTATGTTGAAAATGCCTAGGAATACGCAAAAAGGACTGAAGGATACACCTCAAACTATTAACAATAGTTACTTCCGAGGGGCATGGGAAAGATGGTTGAAGGAAAATATTTTCTTTTTATTTCATATACTTCTTCATTAGAAATTTTCATGAGTGTTCATATATGTTTTATCTTTTGTTTTAGTTCTTCAAAACAATATTTTACAAGGGTTTTAAAAAGGAAGTCTAGGCGGTCTAAAGTCTGAATTAGTGAGTAGTTGATGTGGGAGAGGAAAAAGAATGATACAGATGTGAGTATAATAGCATTGAAAAATGTGCAATAACTGTACAGTGTATGAAAATGTAATATACACACAAGTAAATGTGTAGAAAAAATTTGGAGGGATACGTTCTAACTGTGAATAGTGATTATTCTTAGAGTGTAGGAACTGACGGTGATGGGTCCTGGGTTTTCTTCTTATATAATTCTATACAGTTTGAATTTTTTGTCATAAAAATATTAAAAGGAGTAGACCTCAGAATGAAGTTGTTTTAACATTCATGGTTTCAAGGGTTGGAGTGAGGGTGAAGTAAGGGAACAGAGTTGATTTGCGGCTAGGTCCTTTCAAAATACCTTTTAGGTCTTTGAACAGTGAGAGAGGTATGAAGAATGAACCTGTTTTTAAGCAACGGCTACCCATTTGGTACCAAATTTTCCTCTTTAGTGATGACTCCCTGTCCGAGGCTGGTAAACAAACGGGGCCTTCATGGATTCTTCTAGAAGCAGAGAAGAGGGATCAAAGTTTCCCACAAACTCTTGGTGAACCTAGTAAAATACTGGCTGTTCTGTAGGTTGAGGAAGATGTGACTTCCATTTGTCTTTCATATTCTAAATATTTTCTGTGATTTAAAGCATTCATTGCTTCCTTTTGCTGTCAAGGAAATGAAGGAAACACATTTCAGTAGCACTTTCCTGAATGCACTTATCTTTAGCTACTGCTATAAATATGTAGTGATCAGATTCTAGCAGTGCCCAATAAATCAAGATTTTTGGCCAGAACTTCACTTGTGTCTTATGAAGAAATAGTCTTCTCCCCAAGTTATATTGTGAATTCTACAGTAACTTCCTTCCCCAGGGATAGAAAGTAACCAAAGGTAAATGTGGGTTTAAATAATGCTAATTTCATGGTTTGATTTACAGCAGGCTGTGGAACATCTGTGTGAACTGGTGACTGGCGGGTGCAATTAGGTTTCAGAGTCACTTACTGAGCACCAGTTATGAGCTAGGCACTGTTTTTGGTGCAAAGATTCAAAGAAAAACAAGTCCTGGTTGCTGTTCTCAGAAGCTCAAAGTCTTGAGAGAAAGGAGCCATATTTGGGTCAAAGTTAGAGGCATGGCAATGAATACGCTTAAAAGGAGAAACCCCCCTGATTAAGAATACAGGAATCTGATTTTAAATTTTTGAATATATCATGGCCTTCCCCAATTAAGATGCGAGAATGGCATTTTTACTGTTGGTGTTTTGTTTATTTTGTGGGATTTTATTGATTTGAGCTCTAGGCACCATAGGAGGTCTTTGAATACTGACGGAGTAATGAGTTTGTTATAGACATTCTAGAACACAAGGCATAGTAACTCTCTCTCTACCACCATCCCTAGGATTTCCCTAGACAATCCCTTGCTATGGTCTGAATGTTTGTGTCCCTCCCCAATTCATGTGTTGAAATCCTAACCTCCAAGGTCATAGAACCCTCACCAGTGGGATTAGTGCCCTTATAAAAGAGGCCCCTGAGAGCTTGTTCACCCCTTCTCCTTCCTCCATGTGAGGAGAGAGCAAAAAGACAGTTTTCTATGAGCCAGGAAGCTGACCCTTACCAGACACTGAATATGCTGGAGCCTTGATCTTGGACTTCCCAGCCTCCAGAACTGTAAGAAATAAATTTCTGTTGTTTATAAGCCATCCAATTTATGATATTTTGTTATAGCAGCTGAACAGGCTAAGACTTTCCTCTTAGAGTGAATACAGGAAATCAGTTAAAAAACAAAGTTGCCAGGTATTGTGGGATAAGAGTGCAAGTGTAAATATCCTTAGTATATGACCTAAGCACACTTTAGGCAACTGTTCTCAAACTTTAGCATACATCAGAATCACCTGGAGAGTTGTTACAGCACAGATGGCTGGGCCCTATCCTCAGAGTTTCTAACTCTGTAGGTCTAGGGTGGGGTGAAGAGTGTGCATTTCTAACAAGTTCTTCGGGGGGATACTGATGTTGCTGGTCTGGGGATAGCACGTTAAGAACCACAGCCTTAGAGCAAATGGTCTCAGAGAGAAAGCTGTTTAGTCTCAGAGAAGCTGATAACCTGCTGCTAATCAATCAGTTTTAAATTATGTGCTGTGTGTTTGGTGAATTTGCAAATGAAAGGCACACTCGCAGGCAAGTTGCTTGTTGTCTCCAGGAATTAGCTAACCCTGAGAGGATAGTCCCTGCCGGGCAGCTAGAAACCAGATGCCAGAACATCAAGAATATGGAAAATAAGAAAATATTATTAATACAAAGAGGAAATGTCAAAGGCTATTTGAGATAAGGTTGGTTGTGAGTATCCCTCACCGGCTGGGTGACCTGCATACTTGCTGACTAATGTCTCAGGATCCACTTATTTTGTTCTCTATTGTTACAAAGTCCTATATGCACCGGAGTGCTGGGAAAATTCAAATTCACCGGGAACTGATTGTGTTAATTTACTAAGGTCCGTGATGAAAGAGAGAGTGTGTGTCTTTCCTTCCCTCTGCTCTATGATTGCCCATTAAAATATAGCACCCTCTATTCCAGGATTGCTCAATAAAATACAGGACACTCAGTTAACTTTGAATGCAGACACACAACAAAAATTTTAGTATATGTTCCAAATACTAAAAAAAATTCCTTCTTTATCTGAAATTCAAGTTTAATTAGGCATCCTGTATATTTATTTGCTGTATCTGGGAACTTGACTCTATTCTGTCAGTTACTCAGAGCTTGAAATATTTGTTGAATTAATAAGCGAGTCCATAAATACCAATTTGGATTGAATGATTTTGTTTCAATTCCATTGTCATGAAAAATTGATCAGCAGTGATGCCAGTTTGTATGTGTGCTCTTCTAAGCCTGTTCACTTGCATAGTTCCTTGTTTTTTCAGTCTTCTCTCATATTTGAGGAGACACCCTGTGCCCTACCCTAGATCTGGTACCAAGTCTGAGCTTAGTTAGGATTGGAGCTTAGTTGGACTACACAGAGGTCTTGGTATCGAGTCTAACTTGCAGCCCAGGTTTGGTCATTAAGAAGATCTCTGGATAACCTTCCCAGCACTCCAGATCCTTTAAAGCCAGGACTGAAACTCTGCCTGAGTTACCAACAGCTACCATATTTCCAAATCCAGTAAACATTTCTCCATTCTCATCTTATTTAACTTGTTTTATTTTATGTTATTTTTATCTTTTAGAGACAAGGTCTCACCCTCTTGACCAGACTGAAGTGCAGTGGTGTGATCATAGCTCACTGCAGGCTTGACCGTTTGGGCTCAGGCGATCCTCGTACTTCAGCCTCCCAAGTAGCTGGGATTGTAGGCATGCACCACTCCCAGCTAATTAAAAAAAATGTTGAGCCTGGGCAACATGACGAAACCCTGTCTCTACAAAAAATACAAAAATTAGCTGGGCATGGTGGTGCATGCATGTAGTCCCAGCCACCTGGGAGGCTGAGGCATAAGGATGGCTTGAACCTGCGGAGATTGAGGCTGCAGTGAGCCATGATCATGTCACTGCACTCTAGCCTGGGAGACAGAGTGAGACTCTGTCTCAATTCTTTCTTTTCTTTTCTCTTCTCTTCTCTTTTCTTTTTTCTTTTCTTTTCTTTTCTTTCTTTCTGATGGAGTCTTGCTATGTTCCTCAGACTAGTGTGGAATTCCTGGCTTCAAGCAATCCTCCTGCCTTGGCCTCCCAGTGTTGGGATTATAGGCGTGAGCCACTGAACCCAGCCTCTTATTTAACTTCTGAGGATAATTTGACACAGTGGGGCCTTCTCCTTCTTGACACACTCTCTTGTTTCTGTGACCCCCTCAATGCATGCTCATTATTCCCCTTATAAGGTTGTTCTTTCTAGTTCTCCTTTGCAGGAGTCTCCTCATGTACTAAACCTCTATGTTGTCTGCATATTAGAATCACCTAGTATATTAAAAAAAGCCCTACCAATAGCCCAGACCTCTCATCTGAGCTCCAGATCCACAGATGTGTCTACTTGGTATCTCTACTTGAACATCTTACAGATACCTCATACCTACTGCCTGAACCTACCTGCTTTCCTGCCTATTTATGTAGATTTTTGCAGAGTGAGGACAGCGGTTCCTCCTCTATGTTTAACCCACTCATCATTGCTCACTCACAGATTGAGAGGTTACTATACTCCACTTACCTTGCTAAGTTTCTGAACTAGGTCTCCTTGCATTACATGGATGCTTGTACTATAATTTTTTTTTCTTTTTTTGTCCTGGGCTGCTGCAATAACCTCCTCATGCCTAACTAAGTCATAGGAACTAACATAGATTCTTTTATTTTCCTGATGCATTTGAAATTCATCTTCAAATAGCCATGGCTGTAGGTAAATATCATCCTTGTTTTCTAGCTGGGCAACAGATCGTGATGGAGTGGAACCTGAAGTCCCTAATTTTGGAGATGCTTAACTGTATTTCTCTTAATAAGACTTTAAAAAATTATAAATTGACAATTTATAATTGTATACATTTATGGGATACAAAGTGATCATATAAGTACACAATGTAAAATAATTAAATCAAGCTAGTTAATATATCCATCACCTCAAATATTTAACAATTTTTAATGGTGAAAACAATTGAAATTTACTCTCTTAGCAATTTTAAAATGTACAATACTCTGTTATTAACTATATTCACCATGCTGCACAATAGAACTAAAAAAAATTCCTCATGTCTAACTGAGATTTTGTACTCTTTGGCCATCATCTACCCATTCCCCCATGCCCTCACATTTGTAACCACATTCTACTCTCTGCTTCTATGAGTTCAATTGTTTTGGAGTCCACATATAAGTGAGAACTTGTAGTATTTGTCTTTCTCTACCCACTTATTTCACTTAGCATACTGCTCTCCATTTCAATCTATGTTGTTGCAAATGACAAAATTTCCTTTTTAAGGCTGAATACTATTCCATTGTGTAAACATGCCACATTTTCTTTATCAATTCATCTGTTGATGGACACTTAAGTTGATTCCATAACTTATCTATTGTGAATAGTGCTGCAGTGAGGATGTGAGTGCAGACATCTCCTTTACAAACCAATTTCAAATCTTTTGGGTAAATACCCCAAAGTGGGATTGCCAGATCATATGGTAATCCTACTTTTGGTTTTTTGAGGAAACTCCATACAGTTTTCCATAATGGCTATACAGTAGTCCCCTGCCTAGTCTGAGGGAGATACAAGACACTCAATGGATACCTGAAATCACAGATAGTACTGAACCCTATATGGGTTGTCTAGTATTTTTCCCTCCCTAAAAATACTATGTTTTTTCCTATACATACATACCTATGATAAAGTTTAATTTACAAGTTAGGCAAAGTAAGGAATTAACAACAACTAATGATAAAATAGAACAATTACAACAATGTACTGTAGTAAAAATTACATGGGTGGGGTCTTTCTCAAAATATCTTATTGTGCTGTACAGCAGATAAGTGAAACTATGCATAAGGGAGGACTGCTGTACTAATTTACATTCCCTTTAACAGTGTATGCTATTTTCTACATCCTTGCTAACACTTGTTATCTTTTGTCTTTTTTTGATAATAGCCATTCTAACAGGTGAGATGATATTTCATTACAGTTTTAAGTTGCATTTCTCTAATGAATGATGATGTTGAGCATTTAAAAATATATAGCTGTTGGCCATTTTTATGTCTTCTTTTGAGAAATGTCTATTCAGGTCTCTTGCCCATTTTTATTTTTTATTTTTTATTTTATTTTATTTTTTTTTAAATTATACTTTAAGTTCTAGGGTACATGTGCACAACGTGCAGGTTTGTTACATATGTATACATGTGCCATGTTGTTGTGCTGAACACATTAACTCGTCATTTACATTAGGTATATCTCCTAATGCTATCCCTCCCCCATCCCCCCACCCCACAACAGGCCCCAGTGTGTGATGTCCCCCGTCCTGCGTCCAAGTGTTCTCATTGTTCGATTCCCACCTGTGAGTGAGAACATGCGGTGGTTGGTTTTCTGTCCTTGCGATGGTTTGCTAAGAATGATGGTTTCCAGCTTCATCCAGGTCCCTACAAAGGACATGAACTCATCATTTTTATGGGTGCATAGTATTCCATGGTGTATATGTGCCATATTTAATAGTGCCACAATAAACATAAGTGTGCATGTGTCTTTATAGCAGCATGATTTATAATCCTTTGGGTATATACCCAGTAATGGGATGGCTGGGTCAAATGGTATTTCTAGTTCTAGATACCTGAGGAATCGCCACACTGTCTTCCACAATGGTTGAACTAGTTTACAGTCCCACCAACAGTGTAAAAGTGTTCCTATTTCTCCACATCCTCTCCAGCACCTGTTGTTTCCTGACTTTTTAATGATCGCCATTCTAACTGGTGTGAGATGGTATCTCATTGTGGTTTTGATTTGCATTTCTCTGATGGCCAGTGATGATGAGCATTTTTTCATGTGTCTGTTGGCTGCATAAATGTCTTCTTTTGAGAAGTGTCTGTTCATATCAGTTGCCCACTTTTTGATGGGGTTGTTTTTTTCTTGTAAATTTGTTTGAGTTCTTTCTAGATTCTGGATATTAGCCCTTTGTCAGATGAGTAGATTGCAAAAATTTTCTCCCATTCTGTAGGTTGTCTGTTCACTCTGATGGTAGTTTCTTTTGCTGTGCAGAAGCTCTTTAGTTTAATTAGATCCCATTTGTCAATTTTGGCTTTTGTCGCCATTGCTTCCGGTATTTTAGTCATGAAGTCCTTGCCCATGCCTATGTCCTGAATGGTATTGCCTAGGATTTCTTCTAGGGTTTTTATGGTTTTAGGTCTAACATTTAAGTCTTCAATCCATCTTGAATTAATTTTTGTATAAGTGTAAGGAAGTGATCCAGTTTCAGCTTTCTACATATGGCTAGCCAGTTTTCCCAGCACCATTTATTAAACAGGGAATCCTTTCCCCATTTCTTGTTTTTGTCAGGTTTGCCAAAGATCAGATGGTTGTAGATGTGTGGTATTATTTCTGAGGGCTCTGTTCTGTTCCATTGGTCTATATCTCTCTTTTGGTACCAGTACCATGCTGTTTTGGTTACTGTAGCCTTGTAGTATAGTTTGAAGTCAGGTAGCATGATGCCTCCAGCTTGTTCTTTTGGCTTAGGATTGTCTTGGCAATGTGGGCTCTTTTTTGGTTCCATATGAACTTTAAAGTAGTTTTTTTCCCATTTTGTGAAGAAAGTCATTGGTAGCTTGATGGGGATAACACTGAATCTATAAATTACCTTGGCTTGCCCATTTTTAAGTTGCGTTTTTTGTTTTCTTGCTATTGAGTTGTTTGAGTTCCTTACATATTTTGGATATTAACCCCTTATTGGATATATGGATGCAAATATTTTCTCCCAATCCTTAGGTTGCCTTTGTACATTGTCAATTGTTTCCATTGCTGTGCAGAAGCTTTTTAGTTGAATGCAAACCCATTTGCCTATTTTTGTTTTTGTTATCTGTGCTTTTGAGGTCAAATCCAAAAACTCGTTGCCCAGACCAGTGTTGTATAGTTTCCCCATGTTTCTACAGTTTCTGTTCTTGTTAAGTCTTCAGTTCATTTCGAGTTGATTTTTGTATATGGCATGGGATAAAGGGCTATTTTCATTCTTCTGCATGTGAATACCCAGTTTTTCCAAAACCATATGTTGAAGAGACTATCCTTTTTCCATTGTGTGTTCTTGGCAGCTTTGTTGAAAATCAATTGGCCATACACGTGTGGTTGATATCTGGGTTCCCTATTCTGTTCCGTTGGATGATGTGTCTTTTTTTTTCCCTCCAGTATTATGCTGGTTTGGTTACTACAGCTTCATAGCATAGTTTGAAATGAAGTAGTGTGATGGTCCAGCTTTATGATTTTTGCTCATAAGTGTCTTAGCTATTCAGGTATTTTTGTGGTTCCATATGAATTTTAAAATTGCTTTTCTATTTCTGTGAAAAGTAATGATAGAATTTTGGTAGGAACTGCATTGAATCTGTAGATCTTTCTGGGTAGTATGAATATTTTTAAACAATATTAATTATTCTAATCTATGAACACAGGATGTCTTTCAATTTATTTGTGTTTTCTGCAATTTATATCAACATTTTATAATTTTCAGTGTATAGACCTTTCATACCCTTGGTTAAGTTTACTCCTATTTTATTTTTTTTTGTAGCTATTATAAATGGGATTGTCCACTTAATTTCCTTTTTATAAATTTTCTTGTTATTGTATAGAAATGCTACTGATTTTTGCATGTTGATTTTGTATCCTGCAACTTTACTATATTCATTTATTAGTTTTGACAGTTTTTTTGGTGGAGTCTATAGGGTTTTCTATATGTAAGATCATGTCATAAGCACACAGTGCTAATTTCACTTCTTTCTTTCCTATTTAGATGACTTTTATTTCTTTCTCTTAACTAGTTGCTCTGGAAGGACTTTTACTACTACATTGAATAGAAATGGTGAGAGTAGATGTCCTTGTCTTGTTTCAGATCGTAGAGGAAAGACTTTCAATTTTTTACTATTGAGTAAAATGTTAGTTGTGGGCTTCTCATATATGGCCTTTATTATGTTGAGGTATAGTCCTTCTATACCTAATTTGGTGAAAGTTTTTAATCATGGAAAGACGTTGAATTTTGTCAAATGCTTTTTTCTGCATCTAATGGGATGATTGCATGGTTTTTGTTCATTGTTAATGTGATGTATCACTTTTATTGATTTGCAAATGTTAATTCTTATATCTTGGGATAAATCCCACTTGATCATGGTGAATAATCCTTTTAATGTGTTTTTGAGTTCAGTTTGGTATTATTTTATTTAGGATTTTTGCATCTATATCATATTTTTACATCAATGTCATAAAGGATATTGACTTATAATTTCCTTGTCTTCTAAAGTCCTTGTCTGGCTTTGATAAGTTCAGGGTAATTCCGCCCTTGTAAAAAGAGTCTGGAACTATTCCCCTCTCTTCAGTTTTTTAAAGAAGAGCTTGAGAAAGATTGGTATTGTTCTTCTTTAAATGTATGGTAGAATTCAGCAGTGAAGCCATCAGGTCCTGGTCTTTTCTTTGGTGGGAGAACTTTTATTACTGATTCAGTCTTTTTACTCATTATGATCTGTTCAGGTTTTCTGTTTCTTGATTCAGTCTTGTGGGGGTTGTATGCGTCTAGGAATTTATCCATTTCTTGTAGGTTATCCAACTTGTTGGCCTATAATTGTTCACAGTAATCTCTTATGATCCTTTGTATTTGTATGATATCACTTGTAAGGTCTCCTCTTTCACTTCTAATTTTGAGTCTTCTCTCTTTTTTCTTAGTCTAGATAAAGGTTTGTCCATTTTGTTTATCTTTTCAAAAATCCAGCTCTTCGGGTTGTTGACCATGTCTATTGTTTTTATACTATTTCATTTATTTCTGCTCTCATCTTTATTTCCTCCCTTCTGCTAACTTTGGGCTTAATTTGTTCTTCTTTTTCTAGTTTCTTGAGGTGTATAATTAGGTTACTTATTTAAGATCTTTCTTATTTTTCTTTTTTTTTTTTTTTTTTTTTTTTGAGACGGAGTCTCGCTCTGTCGCCCAGGCTGGAGTGCAGTGGCGGGATCTCGGCTCACTGCAAGCTCCGCCTCCCGGGTTCACGCCATTCTCCTGCCTCAGCCTCCCAAGTAGCTGGGACTACAGGCGCCCGCCACTACGCCCGGCTAATTTTTTGTATTTTTAGTAGAGACGGGGTTTCACCGTTTTAGCTGGGATGGTCTCGATCTCCTGACCTCGTGATCCGCCCGCCTCGGCCTCCCAAAATTTTTCAATGAAGACTTTTTTTTTGCTAAAAATTTCCCTTTTAGAACTGCTTTTGCTGCACCCTATAAGTTTTGGTATGTTGTATTTTCATTTTCATTTGTCTGAAGACTGTTTTTTTTTTAGTATGCATGAGCACTGTTCTTTCCTTACTGAACTGTCATGCTATCTCACTCCAAGCCCCCTCAGATAAATTAATTTCAGACGCCATCTTCCCAAGCTGCTCCTACTACCATTTTAACAGATGCCTATCCCATCCCTTTCCTCGTCTTCCCTGCAGTTCTGGAAAAGGATAATGTCTTTACCCCAGAAACACTGACCTCTTTATATACTTGAGTTGAGAACTTCTTCCCTTCTCCCTAAAGGGAGATTTGCTTCAGTCCTATATCCTTTCTCTGGCAGCAACTTTTCCAGTTCTTTCTCCTTGGATCTACAACATGCACTTATGTCAAGACATTTTAAAAATTTCCCTTTTGAATTTTTCTTTGACCCATTGATTATGCAGGGTAATGTTGTTTAATTTTCATGTATTTGCCAATATTCCAAGATTTCTCCTGTTCTTGATTTCTAGTTTCACACCACTGTGATCAGAAAACATACTTAATATAATTTTAGTCCTTTTAAATTTGTTCAGACTTGTTTTGTGACATGTAATCTAACCTGGAAAATATTTCATGTGCACTTGAGAAGAATGTGTATTCTGTTGCTGTTAGATGGAATATGGTGTATATATGTCTGTTAGGTTCATTTGGACTAAAGTATAGTTCCAGTACAATGTTTCTTTATTGATTTTTCTGTTTGGAAGATTTGTTCATTGTCAAAAGTAGAGTACTAAAGTCCCTGCTTTTACTGTGTTGGAATCTATTTCTCCCTTCATATCTTTTAATGTTTGCTTTATATATTTAAGTGCTCCAATGTTGGGTGCAAATATATTTACAATTTTTATATTCTTTTAGTGAATTGACCACTAAATAATTATATAATGACCTTCTTTATCTCCTTTTACAGTTTTTGGCTTACTGTCTGTTTTGTCTGATATCTCTATAGCCAAGTTGGCTCTCTTTTGGTTTATATTTGCATGAACTCTCTTTTTCTATCTCTTCACTTTTAGTTATGTATGTCCTAAAAACTGAGGTGAGTCTCTTGTAGACAGCATATAATTGGGTCTTCGAGTAAATCCATTCAGTCACTCTATATCTTTTTATTGGAAAATTTAATCCACTTATATTCAAAGTAATTATTGATAGCTAAGGACTTACTACTGCCATTTTGTAATTTGTTTTCTGGTTGTTTGTAGATGATTTGTTTCTTTCTTCCTCTCTGGCTGTCTTTTGTTGTCATTTGGCAATTTTCTGTAGTGGTATGCTTCGAATCATTTCTATGTGTGTTTTTTACATGTACTATATATCTTTGCCTTGTGGTTACATGAAGCTTACTGAAAACACTTATAACAGGCTATTTCAAGCAGATAACACGTTAATTTTGAGTGTATAAAATGATGCACTTTTACTCCCCCTCCATGTTTTATATATCTGATATCAAAATTTACATCAGTTTTGTAATTTTTATCCCTTAGCAATTTATTTTAGCTGTAGTTGTTTTTTAATAGCTTTGTTTCTTAACCCTCATACTAGAGTTAAAATTGCTATATACACCACAATTAAAGCCCTAGGGTGTTCTGAATATGTCTCTGTATTACTTATATCATTGAGTTTTGTGCTATCATGTGTTTTATGTTATTAATTAGTGTGGCTTTCCATTTCAGTGTAAAGAATTCCCTTAAGCATTTTCTGTAATGTGGGCCTGGTGGTTAAGAATTCCCTTAACTTTTGTTTGTTTGGGGAAGTTTTTATTTCTCCCTTATTTCTGAAGGACAGCTTTGCCTGGTAAAGAGTTCTTGGTTGGCAGTGTTATTTTTTCCTTCAGTACTTTAAATATACTATTTCACTTCCTCCTGGCCTGCAGGATTTCTCCTGAGAAATCTGCTGGTAGTTGTATTAGAATTTCCTTATATGTAAATGTGTTATTATGTCTTGCTGTTGTCGGGATTTTTCTTTGTCTTTTAATTTTGATAGTTTGATTATTATGTGTCTTTGTGAACTCCTCTTTGGGTTGATTTTTTTTTTTTTTTGAGATGGAGTCTTGCTTTGTTGCCTGCACTGCAGTGCAGTGCATAAGCTTGGCTCACTGCAACCTCCACCTCCTGAGTTCAAGTGATTCCCATGCCTCAGCCGCTCAAGTAGCTGAGACCACAGGCATGCACCATGACACCAGCTAATTTTTGTATTTTCAGTAGAGATGGGGTTTCCCCATGTTGGCCAGGATGGTCTCGAACTCCTGGCCCGAAGAGACCCACCCACCTCGGCCTCCCAAAATGCTGAGATTATAGGCATGAGCCACTGTGCCCCGCCCTCTTTGAGTTGAATTTGATTGGAGAGCTCTGGACTTCCTGTACCTGAATGTTGGTATCTATCCCCAAATATGAGATGCTTTCAGCCATTATTTTCTTAAATTTGATTTCTTCCCCCTTTCCTCTCTCCTTCCTTAACTTTTATTATGTGATTCTTAGTTTTCCTGATGGTGTCTCATAATTCCCATAGGCTTTCTTCATTCTTTTAAATTCTTTTTTTTCTTTTTGCTCCTCTGACTGGACAATTTTAGATGTTCTTTCTTTGGGCTCACTGATTCTTTCTTCTGATTAAGTCTGTGATTGAAGCCTTTTATTAAATTTTTCAGTTAGTCATTGTATTCTTCCTCTTTAGGATTTCTATTTTCTAAAACTGTTTCTATTTCTTTAAAAAAGTTCTCATTTTGTTTGTACATTGTTTTAAAATTTCATTTAATTTTCTATCCATATATTCTCATAGGTCACTGAATTTTTTTAATAGGATTATTCTGAATTCTTTGACTGTCATTTCATAGATCTTCATTTCTTTAGGGTCCATTATTGGAGTTCTCAGAGTTTCTTTTGATGATGTCATAATTCCCTGGTTCTTTTTTTTTTTTTTTTGAGACAGAGTCTCAGTTTGTCACCCAGGCTGGAGTGCAATGGCATGATCTCAGCTCACTGTAATCTCTGCCTCCCAGGTTCAAGCGATTCTCCTGTCTCAGCCTCCCAAGTAGCTAGAATTACAGGCGTCCACCTCCATGGCCAGCTATTTTTTTTTTTTTTTGCATTTTTAGTAGAGATGAGGTTTCACTGTGTTGGACAGGCTGGTTTTGAACTCCTGACCTCAAGTGATCCACCCGCCTTGGCCTTCCAAAATGCTAGGATTACAGGCATGAGCCACTGCACCCAGGCAATTCCCTGGTTCTTTATAATTCTTGTGTCTTTGTGTTGGCGTCTGCACATTTGAGGAGATAGCTATTTATCCTGGCCTTTTTCAGTGTTCCTTGGCAAGGATAGGCCCTTACCATTTAGTCCAGCTTGTGATTCTAGATGGGCCAGCTGGTAATGACCTCAGTTAGACATAAGTTACTAGTTGGCTGGGCTGCCACTTTCACTCTGGGTTCAGGTGAGGCAGCTGACGGGGCTCCACTGTCTGACAAGACCACTAGGTAGGCTCTGTAATCAGGTGGGACTGTTGGCTGGACACTGTGATTGCCTCTGATCTGTCTGGGTTGCAGAGTGGCTTCTCTGGCTAGATGGTATCACTATGTGAGTCCTGCAGTTGGACAAGGCTGTAGAGAGCTCTGAGGTTAGGCAAGTCACTGCTTGGGAAATATGGGACCAAGCAGGATACATAGAAATGTACAGTTGAGGCTTGTCTCTATCCTAGGGATTAAGGTAGTCTCTGAGGCTAGTGCAATCCACTGCCTGGACTCTTGAGTCAGGCAAGTCCAGCTCTTAAGCTCTGCCAAAATGCACAAGGGTAGGCATCCCCTTGACTGGATGGGGCCTTAGAGTAGGCTCTGAGGCTGGGCAGAGCTGCTGTTTGAACTCTTGTGTTGGCAGTTCTAACCCCTGCTCTCTGCTGTAATGTGTAGTGGTAGGCAAATCCCTGCTGGGCTGGGATCTGTGGTTGGGTAGAGTCGCTGTTTAAACTCCTGGGTTGAGCAGGTCAGCCGCTAAACTCTGGTGAAATGTGTGGGCTGGGCGCGATGGCTCACGCCTGTAATCCCAGCACTTTGGGAGGCCGAGGCGGGTGGATCACGAGGTCAGGAGATCGAGACCATCCTGGTTAACACAGTGAAACCCCATCTCTACTAAAAATACAATTAAAAAAAAAAAGCCGGGCGCGGTGGTGGGTGCCTGCAGTCCCAGCTACTCGGGAGGCTGAGGCAAGAGAATGGCGTGAACCCGGGAGGCGGAGCTTGCAGTGAGCTGAGATCGTGCCACTGCACTCCCACTTGGGTGAAAGAGTGAGACTCCGTCTCAAAAAAAAAAAAAAAAAAAAAGAAATGTGTGGAAGCAGGTAACTCTCTGCCTGGTCCGGGCTGTGGGATGGGCTCTGAGGCTGGGCATGGAAGCTGGCTACTTAGGGACTCAAGCCAGGTTGAACTTTCCTCCGTGCTTTTGAGAATGATTGGCTTAGCATTGTGAGTAGCTATGCTGTTGGTTGGTACCTGTGAGTGGGAGCTATCATCAATAGAAACACAGAGTTACCACCAAGATCTGATTGCTGGTCACTGTGAGCTCTGCCTCCTTTCTTTGTTTCTACCTGACTTCAAGTGGTCCAGCCCTGCCATTATCCCAAGTGTTTCTGGAGAGGTGAGACTGGAATCAGCTTCCTAGGAAGCATTTTGGCATACTAGGGAAGCTGGATGTCCACCTCTGGTTCTCTTTTTCTACTATGGAAACCATAAACCCAGGGGAATTCTCTTTGTGTAGTGCTGTGCCAACTTTGGGTAGGAGAAGGGGTAGTGCAGGCTAAGTCCATTTCTCCTCCTTTTCTAATGTTTTTATTCAATTTTGTGGCCCTTGCAGGAGTCTCAGTCTCATTCCCAAATATTGGGGTTTTCACAAAAGTGTTCTTCTCTGTCAATAGCTGCTGCTTGTACTTTCTGTGGAGGAGGGTAGTGAAGCCTGAGACCTACTATTCTGCCATCTTGCTGATGTCACTGTGTTTCAGCTTCTTAACTTGACTCCTGAGCTCTTTCAGGGATATTTTCATTCATGGATAGTTGTCTAATTGTGCATGGTTGTTTATGTGTGTGTGTGTGTGTGCGCGTAGGGGGAATGAAAGACAAGATCTCCTTCTCTGCCATCTGGCTGACATCACCTTCTCTCCTCTATTTTAAATTGTGGGTAATTATAAGTTTGATTTTGGACCTTTTGATTTTGAAGTGTCACTATGAGATTCAAAAGGAAGTTTCTTCAAGTAGCTCCTTGGATTTATGGATTGGAGCACAGAGGAGATGTCTGAGTTGGACATAAAAACATATGAGTTTTTTGCACATAGATAAGTCATTTGCTTCGATAAATGGGATCATCTAAGAGAGTGTAGAGTGTTAAAAAACAGGTCTGTATTTCAACATTAATTTTCATGGCAGAGAAGAATGAGACAGCAAAAGGAGAAAATTATAATATGGAAACAAAGGGAAAGAGAATATTTCAGGAAGTGAAAGGAAGGAGATATCAGCAGTGACAAATGTTGCTGAGAAGTCAGAGGATAAGAAGGCTGAGAAAGATATTGGCTTAGCAAAACGGAGGTCACTGATGACTTCAGCTTTATCTTTTTTGGTGGATACTTGAGGCAGAAGTCAGACTAGAGTGGATTAAGTTGTGACTATGCAGAGAAGAAATAGAGATCATAAATATAAAATCTTTCAAAAGATTGGTGGTATCTAAAAAGATGTGACTGAGAGTTTGGAGGTTAAAAAGTCACTAAGGAGACTTCTACTTCTAGTAATGGCATACGAGCTGTTTTAGACTGACTTTCCACTTAAGGCAACTAGAAAAGCTGAAGAAATATTTTAAAAAATCTGTTTAAAGGCATTGTAAATCTATAAGAAAGGCACTGAGATACTGTGGGTCAGCATCTGGGAAAGAAGTCTCAGAGCAGTGAGTCCAGCATTTGGGACTGATTTTCCCCTGGAGACATTTGCTCATTTCATTTGCTGATAATAAGCTGAACAGAGACTTTAACAGACTCATGAGTTGAGGCCAAAAGTTGAATTTCAGAGCCCTTCAAAGTGTAGGGGCCCAAATAAGCTACAAATTTTGAGTCAAAACACAAATGGTTGGGATAGAGTCACTATATGAATAAGGGTGCATCAAAAATAGAGCAGTTCTTACAGATACTAAAGCTTAGCTTTGAATAAAAGGAACCCCTGATTGGACTATGATAATCTGGAATTGTCTGTGTTTCAGCCAGGTTGCCTGCCAAAAAAAAAAGATAAATCCTCTCTAGGAAGCCAACATATCCAATATTTCAAATAATCTCTTGATTTTTAAAATAATGTTCAAATTTCAAGCCAAAAAAAAATCCAAGTGTAAAAGTAGAAAAGACTTGTCTATAAATCAGTGGAGACAATATACAATAGAAAAGACTCCTAGGGCATCCAGATGATGGAATTATCAGACACACACTTGCAAGTAACCATTTTTTAAGGAATTAAAATATAGGATTTAAAATTTCATCAAAAAATTGAAAACTATGATGGAGAACCAAATGGAAATTCTAGGGATAAAAATATAATACTTAAAATTAAGAATGCAATGGATGAATTTAATAGCAACTTAAATCAAGCCGAAGAAAAACTTCAGTGAACTGGAAGGTAGGTTAGAAAGGTCAACCCAGATAAAACATGGAGAGATAAAAAGGTAGAAAATAGATAAAAGAAATTAAGAATCATATGAAACATCATGAACAGACACAAAATACCCGAAATTAGAATTTTAGCAGTAGGAAACAGGGAATGCAATAGCAGCAACAGCAACATTTGAAGAGACACAGGCTGTAAACTTTCCAAATCCGATGGAAGATATGAAACCATAGATTCAAGAAATACTATGAACACTTAACAGGATAAATAAAAAGAAAACCATATCTTGGCACATTAGAGAAAACTGCTGAAAACCAAAGACAGAGAAAAAAATCTTAAAGGCAGGCAAAGGAAAAAAAGCTCTGTTATCTTCAAAGGAACAACAACGGCCTAACACTTTTTTTCTCAACAGGAATGATGAAAATCAGAGGATAATAGAATCATATGTTCAAAGTGCTAAAGGAAAATAATCACCAACTTAAAATTTTATATTCATTGAAAATGTCTCTCAAAATTGAAGGGAAAATAAAGACAAAATACATGAATACACTTAAATGTACTATTTTAGATGCCTCATATAAGTGAAATTATGTGGCATTTTTCCTTCTGTGACTGGCTTATTTCACTTAGCATAATGTCCTTCAGGGTCATCCATGTTGTTGCGTATGGCATATCTTTTTTTTAAAAGCTGACTAATATTCCATTGTTTTGTATATACCACATTTTCTTTATCCATTCATCCACTGATGAATATTTAGGTTTTTATTATATCTTGGCTATTTTAAATTATGTTGCTGTAATCGTGGAAATACACATATCTCTTCCAGATTCTGATTTCAATTCCTTTGAGTACATACCCAGAAGTGGGATTGCTGGATTATACGGTAGTTCTACTTTTATTTTTTTGAGGAGCCTGTTTTGCATAATGGATGTAACATTTTACATCCTCAACAACAGCATTCGAGGGTTCCAATTTCTCTACATTATTGCCAACTGTTATCTTTTGTTTTATCTACTGTTTTATCACATCCTAACAGGTGTGAGGTGATATCTCATTGTGCTTTTGATTTGAATTTCCCTGACAATTAGTGATGTTGAGCATCTTTTATATATCTGTTGGCTACTTGTATGTCTTTTTTTTGGTAGAAGTGTCTATTCAAGTTATTCACCCATTTTTTTTTTTTTTTTGAGATGGAGTCTTGCTCCATTGCCCAGGCTGGAGTGCAGTGGTGCGATCTCGGCCTCACTGCAACCACCGCCTCCTGGGCTCAAGCAATTCTCCTGCCTCAGCCTCCTGAGTAGCTGGGACTACAGGCGCCTGCCATCCCTCCTGGCTAAATTTTGTGTTTTTAGTAGAGATGGGGTTTCACCATATTGGCCAGACTGGTCTCGAACTCCTGACCTTGTGATCTGCTTGTCTCGGTCTCCCAAAGTGCTGGGATTACAGGTGTTAGCCACTGCGCCCGGCCTTATTTGCCCATTTTAATCTTATTATCATTTTTTATTCTATTGAATTATAGGAGTTCCTGATATATTTTGGCTATTAACCTCTTATTAGATATATGTTTTACAAATATTTTCTCCCATTCTATATGTTGCCTTTTAATTTTGTTGATTATTTCTGTTGCTGTGCAGAAGCTTTTTAGTTTGATAATCCCACTCATCTATTTTTAATTTTGTTGCTTGTGCTTTTGATGTCATATCCAAGAAATCATTGCCAATGCCAATGCCATGAAGGCTCTTTTGTTTTCTTTTAGGAGTTTATAGTTTTAGGTCTTAAATATGTAACCCATTTTTAGTTACTTATATGTATGGTACAAGGTAATTGTCCAATTTTATTCATTTGCATGGTTTATATCATTTCCTTGGTACCAGTTCTTGAAAAGACTATCTTTTCTCCATTGTGTATTCTTAGCATCCTTATGAAAGATCAGTTGACTACATATGAATGAATTTTTGGGGGCTCTCTATTCTGTTCCGTTGGTCAATATGTCTGTTTTTATTCCAGTATCATACTGTTTTGATTACTATAGCTTTGTAGTGTGTTTTGAAATCAGGAAGTTTAAAGCCTCCAGTTTTACTCTTTTTTCTCAAGATTTCTTTTGCTATTCAGGATTTTTTTTGGTTCCATATAAATTTTAGGATTGTTTTTTCTATTTCTATAAAAAATACTAGTGGGATTTTGATAGGGATTGCATTGATTATTTTTGGTAGTGTGAACCATCCTTGCATCTCAGGAATAGATCCTTCTTGGTCATGATGTATCATCTTTTCAATGCATTGTTATATTGCTAGTTGTATTATAGCTTGTTAGTATTTTGTTGAAGAATCTGAGCATATATATATTTGCAATAAAATCCATGTAAAGTGAGTAGTAAATAGAGTTAAAGTGTTTTAAAGTACTTGCATTTCGGAAAGTAGTAAAATATTTTAAGAAGCAAAAGATACATTGTAATCTCTAGCTTAATCACAAAAACAATAGACAGGTCAATGAGACAGAACGTTAACAAGGATATCCGGGAATTGAACTCAGTTCTGCACCAAGTGGACCTAATAGACATCTACAGAACTCTCCACCCCAAATCAACAGAATATACATTCTTCTCAGCACCACATCACACTTATTCCAAAATTGACCACATAGTTGAAAGTAAGGCACTCCTCAGCAAATGTAAAAGAACAGAAATTATAACAAACTGTCTCTCAGACCACAGTGCAATCAAACTAGAACTCAGGATTAAGAAACTCACTCACAACCACTCAACTACATGGAAACTGAACAACCTGCTCCTGAATGACTACTGGGTACATAACAAAATGAAGGCAGAAATAAAGATGTTCTTTGAAACCAAAGAAAACAAAGACACAACATACCAGACTCTCTGGGACACATTCAAAGCAGTGTGTAGAGGGAAATTTATAGCACTAAATGCCCACAAAAGAAAGCAGGAAAGATCTAAAATTGACACCCTAACATCACAATTAGAAGAACTAGAGAAGAAAGAGCAAACACATTCAAAAGCTAGCAGAAGGCAAGAAATAACTAAGATCAGAGCAGAACTGAAGGAGATAGAGACACAAAAACCCCTTCAAAAAAATCAATGAATCCAGGAGCTGGTGTTTTTTTTTTTTTTTGAGTCAGTGTCTCGCTCTGTCGCCCAGGCTGGAGTGCAGTGGCGTGATCTCCGCTTACTGCAAGCTCCACCTCCCAGGTTCATGCCATTCTCCTGCCTCAGCCTCCCAAGTAGCTGGGACTACAGGCGCCCGCCGTGATGTCCAGCTAATTTTTTGTATTTTTAGTAGAGACGGGGTTTCACCATGTTAGCCAGGATGGTCTCGATCTCCTGATCTTGTGATCCACCCGCCTCGGCCTCCCAAAGGGCTGGGATTACAGGCGTGAGCCACTGCACCTGGCCTCAGGAGCTGGTTTTTGGAAAAGATCAACAAAGTTGATAGACCGTTAGCAAGATTAATAAAGAAGAAAAGGAGACGAATCAAATAGACGCAATAAAAAATGATAAAGGGGATATCACCGCTGATCCCACAGAAATACAAACTACCATCAGAGAATACTATAAACACCTCTATGCAAATAACTAGAAAATCTAGAAGAAATGGATAAATTCCCAGACACATACACCCTCCCAAGACTAAACCAGGAAGAAGTTGAATCCCTGAATAGACCAATAACATGTTCTGAAATTGAGGCAATAATTAATAGCCTAACAACCAAAAAAGGTCCAGGAGCAGACAGATTCACAGCCGAATTTTACCAGAGGTACAAAGAGGAGCTGGTACCATTCCTTCTGAAACTATTCCAATCAATAGAAAAAGAGGGAATCATCCCTAACTCATTTTATGAGGCCAGCGTCATCCTGATACCAAAGCCTGGCAGAGACACAAAAAAAGAGAATTTTAGACCAATATCCCTGATGAACATCGATGCAAAAAGCCTCAATAAAATACTGGCAAACCAAATCCAGCAGCACATCAAAAAGCTTATCCACCATGATCAAGTTGGCTTCATCCCTGAGATGCAAGGCTGGTTCAACATACACAAATCAGTAAACATAATCCATCATATAAACAGAACCAGAGAAAAAACCCACATGATTATCTCAATAGATGCAGAAAAGGCCTTTGACAAAATTCAGCAGCCCTTCATGCTAAAAACTCTCAATAAGCTAGATATTGATGGGACGTATCTCAAAATAATAAGAGCTATTTATGACAAACCCACAGCCAATATCATACTGAATGGGCAAAAACTGGAAGCATTCCCTTTGAAAACTGGCACAAGACAGGGATTCCCTCTCTCACCACTCCTATTCAACATAGTGTTGGAAGTTCTGGCCAGGGTAATCAGGCAGGAGAAGGAAATAAAGGGTATTCAGTTAGGAAAAGAGGAAGTCAAATTGTCCCTGTTTGCAGATGACATGATTGTATATTTAGAAAACCCCATCGTCTCAGCCCAAAATCTCCTTAAGCTGATAGGCAACTTCAGCAAAGTCTCAGGATACAAAATCAATGTGCAAAAATCACAAGCATTCCTATACACCAATAACAGACAAACAGCCAAATCATGAGTGAACTCCCATTCACAATTGCTTCAAAGAGAATAAAATACCTAGGAATCCAACTTACAGGGGATGTGAAGGACCTTTGCAAGGAGACCTACAAACCACTGCTCAATGAAATAAAAGAGGACACAAACAACTGGAAGAGCATTACATGCTCATGGATAGGAAGAATCAATATTGTGAAAATGATCATACTGCCCAAGGTAATTTATAGATTCAATGCCATCCCCATCAAGCTACCAATGACTTCCTTCACAGAATTGGAAAAAACTACTTTAAACTTCATATGGAAGCAAAAAAGAGCCTGCATTGCCAAGACAATCCTAAGCCAAAAGAACAAAGCTGGAGGCATCACATTACCTGACTTCAAACTATACTACAAGGCTACAGTAACCAAAACAGCATGGTACTGGTACCAAAACAGAGATATAGACCAATGGAACAGAACAGAGTCCTCAGAAATAATACCACACATCTACAACCGTCTGATCTTTGACAAACCTGACAAAAACAAGAAATGGGGAAAGGATTCCCTATTTAATAAATGGTGCTGGGAAAACTGGCTGGCCATATGTAGAAAGCTGAAACTGGATCCCTTCCTTACACCTAATGCAAAAATTAGTTCAAGATGGATTAAAGATTTAAATGTTAGACCTAAAACCATAAAAACCCTAGAAGAAAACCTAAGCAATACCATTCAGGACATAGGCATGGGCAAGGACTTCATGACTAAAACACCAAAAGCAATGGCAACAAAAGCCAAAATTGACAAATGGGATCTAATTAAACTAAAGAGCTTCTGCACAGCAGAAGAAACTACCATCAGAGTGAACAGGCAACCTATAGAATGGGAGAAAATTTTTACAATCTACTTATCTGACAAAGGGATAATATCCAGAATCTACAAAGAACTTCAACAAATTTACAAGAAAAAATCAAACAACCTCACCAAAAAGTGGGCAAAGGATATGAACAGACACTTTTCAAAAGAAGACATTTATGCAGCCAACAAACACATGAAAAATGCTTATCATCACTGGCCATCAGAGAAATGCAAATCGAAACCACAGTGAGATACCATCTCACACCAGTTAGAATGGTGATCATTAAAAAGTCAGGAAACAACAGGTGCTGGAGAGGATGTGGAGAAACAGGAACACTTTTACACTGTTGGTGGGACTGTAAACTAGTTCAACCATTGTGGAAGACAGTGTGGCGATTCCTCAGGGATCTAGAACTGGAAATACCATTTGACCCAGCCATCACATTACTGGATATATACCCAAAAGATTATAATTCATGCTACTATAAAGACACATGCACACGTACGTTTATTGTGGCACTATTCACAATAGCAAAGACTTGGAACCAACCCAAATGTCCATCAATGATAGACTGGATTAAGAAAATGTGGCACATATACACAATGGACTACTATGCAGCCATAAAAAGGATGAGTTCATGTCCTTTGTAGGAACATGGATGAAGCTAGAAACCATCATTCTGAGCAAACCATGGCAAGGACAGAAAACCAAACACCGCATGTTCTCACTCATAGGTGGGAATTGATCAATGAGAACACTTGGACACAGGATGGGGAACATCACACACTGGGGCCTGTGGTGGGGTTGGGGGAGGTGGGAGGGATAGCATTAAGAGATATACCTAATGTAAATGACAAGTTAATGTGTTCAGCACAACAACATGGCACTTGTATACATATGTAACTAAGCTGCATGTTGTGTACATGTACCCTAGAACTTAAAGTATAATAAAAACAGAAAAGAATAATTGGTCATAAATAAACCCATGGATAATACTGAGCAACAAGACAGGAGAGATATTAGAAATGAAAAATGAGACTTCACTATGTAGTGTATAGCCATTAAACAACCTTATAAAATATTATGAACAATTTATGGCAATACATTGACACATTTAGATGAAATGGACAAATTGCTAGGAAAATACAAGTTACTAAATTTAGATGAAATAAAAAAACTGTTAGAAAAATGCCACACATCAAAATGACTGGAAAGTTTGAAGACTTCTACGAGGATTAAAAACATTGTATTAGTAATTTCAAACTGTCAGTCAATGAAAACTCCTGGCTTAAATGACTTCTTTAATGAGTTTTACCAGTTACCTTAGAAGGAAACAATACCATTTTTACACAATCTCTTCTAATGGGTAGAAAAAAATAAACTCAGAAAAAACTGTTTTTTTCTTTTTAATCCAGAAAATCAAATATCAGTTCACTTAAAAATGTTAATCTTATCTTATAATTTTAACCTTTTCTGAAAAATTTTAAGATGTAGTCTGGGTGTATTTCAAGTATCTAATTTCCTTTTGGTTCTGGCTTCTTTGATTTGCAAAAAGAATTATTGTTCTTCAAGTCAATTAATAGTAGACTAAGAACTCGGAATTTTCCTTTGTCCAGCATTAAGTTATTTTCATTGAAAGCCATAAAATAATTTACTGATGTGTAAATTTGAGGTGTAATTTCCAATTCCATTAACTGAACGAGACATGAATGTTTCCTTAATAATAAATGTCTCTTTCTGCTTTTAGGTAGGCAGTCATTTATAACAACTAATTTACTTGATTTTTAGATAAGACACCACAATGCTTAAATATGCAAGATATTAACACTAGGCATATTTTTTCAGTAATATTCTATATAAAATTCTGAGGTCATCTATTTTGAACAAATTTAAAAACATCCTTGATATATAAATTTAGTGCTGCTTCTAGAAGACATCTAAGGAGCATTATGAATTTAGCAATTCATCTGCATGAGTATCCAGTTAAATTTCACTGTTTGCAATTTTTAAATGATGAACTATAACATTCTATTTTCTTCACTCTAATAAAGTATAGTGGTGAGACATTTTTATAGAAGAGAGACTTTATTCCTATATTCTCTAGAGATTCTCATTTTGGTTATCTACTGAACATGAGTTCAGTAGTTGATTCATTATTTTTGTCAAATGCAAAAGTTTAGAGAAAGGTCACCAGGAGCTTCAGAAGTAACTGCATAAATAAGATGATATATAAAAGAGGGAATACCTTATCCAAGAAGAATAGGCCGAAGAAACCATAAGGAGTGTCACGAGCGTTGCTGTGAGTCTATGAGGTTAAAATTAAAGAAATATTATCAACAAGGACACCCCTTTGTTTTCATCCTGTCTTTCACAAAATGGTATTCAAAACAGAACGGAAAGTTTTTATGCCAACCATTGTCTTTGAACATGTGAGCTCATTCAGTAATAAACTTTCATCTCTTAACATTGCTGACTGCTCTCAAAGGCAGGTTTCTATTTCCAACCAAGAGTAATTTTACAGTTTTCACAGCAGATCTTTGCTACAGCATGCTAACTACAGAGATGGCCTCCCCTCTGCTGGGCCACAGCCTACATTCTCCCAGAATTAAAGAGGCAGTCTTTGTTTTGACCAACATGAAATAACTTGGAGATTTGCTAAATGAGGTTTGCAGTGGATACAGCACTAAATTCAGCGACAATTTGGCAGATAACCTGGGAAAGTTTTTGAGTTTGTCATTTTTATCAACTCTGCTGGAAGTTTCTTACTCCACTCAGGGCTGGAACACGAAGAATTGCAACTTTGCTGGATTCTGTGACAAAATAAATCCTGGGATACGAGGGTCAAAACTGTGATTCTGAAGGTTGTGAGGCACTTTTTGTACAGATGGGGAGAGAGAAAATGTCTGCGTGCATGCTCAGCAGTCTATGTACCAGCCAACTCCCTTGCCCACATCCCTAGCCCACAGCACCTATCTGGCCAGGTGCTCACTACTAACAGTTGGCTTGACAATAGTTTTGCCCAAGGGCTGTGGTGTTGCTTGCTCAGGCCCAGGTTGTCAGGCTGTCCTGGCTTGGTGACTGTTGGCTCCTGCATATGGTATAAAGCATTCTCCAACCTAACAGATTTTATAAGGCCTTCATAATCTTGATAACATTTCCTGATATGGGCATTATAGGAAAGTAAAATTACAGGCTAATCTCATTCATCAATACAAATTTAAAAATCTGAAATAAGTATTAGAAAGCCTAATCCAGCAATACATAAAAAGAATACTACATCAAGAACAATTTTTTTTTTTGCCAGAAATATAAGTTTGGTTCAACATTCACAATCAACCAATCTAATTCATTGTATGAAAGAATAAAGGAGGCTGGGAGCGGTGGTTCATGCTTATAATCCTAGCACTTTGGGAGGCCAAGGTGGGTGGATTACATGAGGTCAGGAGTTCGAGACCAGCGTGGCCAACATGGTGAAACCCCATCTCTACTAAAAACACAAAAAATTAGCTGGGCCTGGTGGCGGGCGCCTGTAGTCCCAGCTATACAGGAGGCTGAGCCAGGAGAATCGCCTGAACCCGGGAGGCGGAGGTTGTAGTGAAATGAGATCGCACCATTGCACTCCAGCCTGGGCAACAAGAGAGAAACTCTGTCTCAAAAAAAAAAAAAAAAGAAAAAGGGAGAAAAAAGTCATAAGATAATCTCCATAGATGCAGGAAACACATGTAATAAAAATTAGCATCTGTTTGTAATAATAAAATCTTAGCAAGTTGGAAATAGAAGGAAACTCCTTAATCTGCTAGAGCACTCACAAATAATCTTTACACTCATGGTGAAATACTAAAAGCTTCTTTTCCTTTCTGAAATCATATCAGAAACAAGATGAATATATCTACTATTACCATTTTCTGTCTGACATTTTTACTGAAGAGCCTGGCTAGCCATTGCAATTAAAACAAAAACAAATTGCTTATAAAAGGAGAAATAAAAATATAACCCTTATTATTCATAGAAAGTCCAAAATAACACATAGATAAATTATTAAAATGAATAATTGAATATACTGAGATTGTCAAGTACAAGATCAATACACAAAATTAATTATACATTGTACATATCACTAATAACTAATTAGAAAACAAAAAATATTCAGTTTTCAAAAACACCAACTATCTTGAAATATAGCTAAGAAAAATTTGTGATCTCTCTTCTCAGAAAAGTAAAAATGTTAAGAGAAATTAAAGAAGGTCTAAATAGATGTTTGTTGGAGATTATTTGTGGGTACTCTATCAGATTAAATAGTTTCTTTCTATTTCCTGTTTGCTAACATTTTAAAATTATAAGTGGATGTTAGTTTTTATTAAATGCATTTCCTGCATCTGTGGAGATAATCTTATGACTTTTCTCCTTTGTCAGAGGATATATTATATTCCTGGATTGAAAGACTCAACATTGTACAGATGTAATCCCTAGCAATATGTCAGGTTGTGTTGTGTTTGTGTATGTGTAGAAACTGATTTTAAAAATATATGGAAATCAAAGGTCTGAGAATAGGCAAGACAATCTTCAACAAGAACAAAGTAGGAGGATTAATTCTACCAGGTATCCATGTTTATTACATAGCTACAGTACTAAGGAAGTATGATATGGGTACAATGATAGATATACACCACTAAAACAGAACAGAACATCCAGAAAATACATAAACGTGGTAATTTGATTTTACAATAAAGGTGGTACTACAGAGCACTAAGAAAAAGATGATCTTTTCAATAACGAGTGATGTTTTTCACGTGAATAAAATGCTGCTGCTTACTTCACCCCATATATAAGAATGATTTTTAGGTGGATTAAAAGTCCTAAGTAGGAAAGATAACTACTAGAAGTCAACCTAAAGAGAATGTATTCACGAATTTGGAGAAGTATTATTTGATTTACCTTATAGGTAAATTGAAAAGAATAAATGGTTCAGATTCTCTATCTTCTTTATTTTTTTATTCTTTCTTGTTTTCCATTAGATAGAAGGATTTTTTTTTTGTCTGTTAGAAAGTTATATACAGTCATCCTTGGTATACACAGATGATTGGTTCTAGGACCCTCCACGTATACCCAAATCTGGGCCTACTCAAATCCCACAAGTTGGCCCTGCAGAACCTACATATTTGAAAAGTCAACCCTCCGTGTACACAGGCTTCACATCCCATGAATGCTGTAGTTTTGATCTATGTTTGGTTGAAAAAAATCCTCGTATAATTGGACCTGCACAGTTCAAACCTGTGTCATCTAAGGTAAGCGGTATCCTATGTTTGTGCTTTTGGTGGTTGCCTTCTTCAGATTCATGTTTATTTTTCTCTGATTCCTTAAACATATCAATATTTATATACTAAAATTTTATAAGTATACATATTTATACACTTATTTAACAAGAGAAGCACAGTCACATGTGCTCCTACACTTTTTGTCTTCCTGGCTCTATCATACTGATACAGTCTAGAATTTCATCTCTAGTTTATTATAGATGTACTTTTTCTTTTCTTTAGTCCTTTAAATTTGTTTGGACAATGACACATCTTACCAAGAAATTTGATACTCCATTTCTCCCAACATCTCTCGTACTTCTGAATGTGTTTCCTTATCATTATATGGAATTGTGGTAGAAAAAGTTTTGAAGCCTGTGTGCCCAAAATGTTGTATTATGTTCTCAGATTTGAATAACAATTTGGTTGCTTAGGAAAATCCAGTTTTAAATACATCGTTTTTCAATACTTTTAAAATCTTTCCCCACTGATTTCTTCTACATAGTATTAGAACCGAGATGTGTAATTACAATCTGATTCTTGTTTTCTATCAGTGATATGCTCTGTTTCTCTAGAAGCTTTTAGAATTTTGCTTTGTCTTTGATAGTTTTCACCTCTAGACAGAGGTGTCCTTTTCTTTATATCTCTGTTTGGCATTTATGTGCCTTTTTAATTTTCAGGTTTTAAGAAATATTGTTTTATTTCCAGGAAATTTATCTCCATTATTTGTTCAAATATTTTCTTGTCTTTATTTTATGTTGTCTTTTTTCTAGTAGTCCGGTTATTCAATGTAGGCAGTTATTTCTCTTCCCACATCTCTAAAATGCTCTTTTATACCATCTATCTCTATATTATTTCCTCCTGCCTCCTGCAAGAGTTGCTCAGTTTATAAGTTACAAATTCATCCAGCAGTTGTTCCTGTGTGCTCATATTTCCCTGGAGGCATGAGGTACTGTGTCTGATAGTGTGTTTAATAATGTCTATTGGGAAAAGAGTGGAGGCAAAGGAGGAGGATGAAGTACAGGGTGGTGAGCCTGGCCACAACAGAACCACTACTTTACACTCTTGTTTGCTCTTCTCTTATCTGGTACCTCTTTGTACCAGTTTCATTTTCAACCCCTGGCAGGGAACATAGCACTTGGATCAATCAGTCTCTCTTAGTGGTAATTCATAGCCCTGGGTGATCAGAAAGTCTGTGTTTTTCTTCCCTCTCCCAGGTCACCATACTTACCAAACAGCATTCCTTTAAAAATACTCCAATAAAATAAAAAAATTAACTCTATCAAATGCAACAGAAAACAAAGGAAAAAGTATTACACCACTTACAACCTTCAAGGTAAAACAAAACAAAAATTTTAATGCACACACACATGCGCGCGCGCACACACACACACACACACACACACACACACACTGGAGTTTTTCAAACCAGTTGCAACATGATAAATCTTTTACCATAGGCTGAGTGACCATAGGTTTGTGCCTAATGCAGGAAAGAAATTATTCAAGATCAGTATATCCTTTAGTATATATTTTCTAATCATGTTTCCAAGGTCTGTAGCAGAACAATTTGCAGCACTGGTTATGACTTTAAGTGACTGGGCTTGATCACATGGGCAAGTTTTGCTATTTAGTAGAATGCAGATACATCCTGAAACTGGTTAGTCTAGTACTTTCTATCCCCACTTCTTGCTTCTCCATAAAAGAAAAACAGAACAAAATTCCCAAACCTCCCAAACATACACACGCGCGCACACACACACACTTAGACAAACACCCCCCCCCCCCACTCAAACACACGTACAATCTCCAAACTTTAGGACTACTACACGCATAATAGGCATTTAGGACTTTTACAAAAGTAGTTTTCAATTTCAGTTGGCTTTCTCCACTTTTGAAGATCATCTAGATATTAAATAAGCAGCCACTAGCTTTCTATGACAATAGCATGATACTTACTAAATAGGCTTAAAAGCCACAAAACCCAACCAAATCAAACCACAACAATACTAGCAACAATAGTAAAAACACCAAACACCAACCCTGAAAGTTCTAAGAACGGAATGTGTAATGGCATGTCTGAGAACACCTGGAGAGATCTCTTCTTCAAGGGTTGGACTACAAGCAAACGTCCCTGAAGCCCATGGCCCAAGGTTGTGGGTAACAATTTGAAGAGCCTTGGAGGTGTGCATGTTTCCTACTCCTTGCAAGGAAGAGATTTGCAATAGAATGGGGTAGACACTTTCTGTTCATTTTATAGTCTGTCCTGTACAGTCCTGGGTGCTTCCTCTGTGTGATGCTCTAGAACTATGATTTGACCTGTCCTCCTGCTGACCCAACCAGCGATCCCTAGAGGGTAGACTGACTAGCACACAGGGAGGCAGTGTGGCAGAAAGGAAAGAGCCATTATTTGACCAAAGACATTATTTGACTGCCTCTCGGAAATTTTTAAGTGTCATCGCCTTTAGGAAAATTACCAAAATGTGACTTTGTGAAAGCCAGATAATCTCTCTGAGCAGGAATTGGCAAGCTTTCTCTGTAAAGAGCCAGATCACAAATATATTCAGCTTTTTGGGCTATGTGGTCTCTGCACAACTACTCAAGTCTGGCATCATAGCAAAATCAGGCATAGACAAAATGTAAATAAATGGATGCAGCTGTGTTCCAGTAAAAATTTATTTACAAAACAGGTGTGGGGCTGAATTTGGCCATGGACCATAGTTTGTCTACTTTCCTCTTAGAACCTTGGAGACCTTGTGGGTAAAATGGGGAGATGGATAATAGTTTCTGCCTAATGTGTTGGAATCCAGTTAGAAAATAAAGACAAACATTTTATTTTAAAACATACTATATGTGGAAGTGATTATATGTGGGAGTTGATAGAACTCCAATGTCTTGGGAGATTACGTGGCCTTCAAAACCTTAGGCATCCAATTTGCATCCAATTTTCTGGTCGAAAGTAAAAATCTTCACATGGATTTTCTGGCTATCCAATAGTTTCAATGGGAAGGGGTTTGTGTGAGTCAGCTGTCATTGAGTATGAGAGTTGCAGGTTAAATTTCCTCAGAAACGCATGAGAAGTAGGAGTGGTGAGAACTGGGAAGTAGGAAGGAGGAAAGCTGTTTGGCCATAGGTACCTGGACTATGCTAACCTGCCTCTTCTGGAATAAATAATGATTTTGTACTTGGCTTGGGAAATCTCCTTGAGTTACTCTGATCTAAGATGTGTACACAGTTGCCTTTGGCTAGCTCCTAGGGAGGAAAGCTTAGCTAAGAATTAGTCCCTCAGGAAGGCAGAGAGAAGGGGAACTGGGGTGTTTGGGGTGCACGTGAGTGGCACTCACACTAGCTCCTACCCACAGAAAAGGAACTGTCAGCCTTTATTGACTGATTGGCCAGTCTTGTGTTGATTTGTCTGATTTAAATTAGTCATCTTTTTTTTTTTTTTTCTTGGATGGCTGGTCAGCTTTCTTCTTTGAAAGCAGTCAATAACAGTGCATGGACACAGTGATACAAGCAGAGTGCCCAGTGTTTTTATGCAACCCACAACCTAATTTTAGCAAGAGAGATCAGAAAGCTGCCTCTGCATCCCTGTGCTTCACATTGACCCCTAAATTAGCCATGGATGACATTTTTATATTCTTAAATGCCTCACTCAGGGCAAAGCAAATTGCTCCAACCCCAAAATGCAGGAACTAGGAGCCTTTGAGACTTGTTTAGGGGATGTGAGACCATTTCTTTCTCTTTTTCCATCACTTCAAAAGCCCATAACTTAACGGATGATGGGGCAGAGAAATTTATTTCATTTACAGACCAGTTAAAAGATACATCTCATTGGTCCTGAGAGTGAGTGTGAAAAATCTTTGTGGCTCTGAATGAGGAGGGCATGACTGACATGTATGTGATGTCCATAGAACCCATAAGCTCATCCAGGCAGGCACAAGCACTGCTGAAGGGAATCACATTTTTTATTTGAATGTGTGCCACTTAGAAATATTCTCTACTATTAATAATAGCATGGTTCAGAGAGTTCTAATTTTCTCTTGCTATCAAAAACAAACAACTAACCAACCAAATGAAAAAGTAGTATCTCTCACATAACAGCCCAGAGTTAGGTGAGTGGGCGAGGCTGGGTGGGCAGTTCTACTCCATGTGATCATTCAGGTTTCCTCTGTGTTGTTGTTCCATCTTCACCATTCTGTGGTTGTATTCCTCATCTGCTTGGTGAGTGTTCTTGTGTGTGTGTGCGCATGTATACAACACTGTAAGAATATACATTTATCCCATGGGACTCTATAAAGCCATGTTAATTGTATCATTTACTCATTTATTTATTTATTTATTTATTTATTTATTTATTTTAAAGATGCAGTTTTACTCTGTTGCCCAGACTGGAGTGCAGTGGTGCGATCATAGCTCACTGCAGCCTTGACCTTCTGGGCTCAGGTAATCCTGCTGCCTTGGCCTCCCAAGTATCTGGGACTAGAGGCATACACCACCATGCCCAGCCCCATGTTAATTTTAAATGAAAAAATGTACAGCCAACAGAGATTCTTTCCTGATATATTTTTTTGCTAGCAGCAAAGTTGTTCACCTCTGATTTTCATTGTCCTTTTTCAAGAAGTGAATCTCTTGCAGGCCCATTCTTACTGAGTCGTCATTTCTTCATAGCGAGCTACAAAGCTGGTGTTACGGAAATTCTAAGGGGCTCAGTAATAAGCCTGAAGTGAGGGGAAGGAGCTGGAAGCCTCTATGAATAATGAGAAAACCAAACAGGGGGAAGGAACAGTGACAACAGATAGCGTTGTCTTGTGTAAATTAGGTTTGTCCAGAATCAACAGAAGCTTGAATAAAGTCAAAGTGAAATACCATCTTGAGACTCATGTTACCTTCAAAAGCAACTGAAAAAGCTAAAAAGTAACCTAAACCGCTTTCTAATCAGGAATGTTCTTTCCAGGTAACGTTGCCAGCAGAAGCAAAATCCTAAGTGGCTCCCTTTTTATTTATTTGTTTATTTATATTGTCAAATGATAATTGTGAATATTTATGGAGTGCAATGTTTTTGATGGTATTGATTGGCTTTGTTTCATGGGTACACACATAGGTTTGCCCACCGCCCCCTTGTTCTTCAGTGACTTCGCTAGAGAGACGATCCATAGTATTTTGCTATTTCTTTGGCAGACCCTATGTGCTCTTTGCTTCTCACATCTTTGAATAAACATCACACTTTAAAACTGACAGCCCTTGGGTTTCACTTCGCACTCAGGAGGCACAGCTCTGTCAGATTTTAAGTGAAAGGATATAGTTTGTTTAAGCCCTTTTCAGGATAAGTTGGAAGGAGAGATGGTTTCTAGGTGCTCAGAATGACTTATTTTTCTTTTGATAAGCTCTGAGAAGCACTTTCATTGGTTGACATATTTCCTGACCCCAGCCCCTTCCCACCAAATTAGGTCTAGAGGTGGCAAGGCATGAGGGAAGAAGTGTGGTTTTTAGAATCAGATGGGCTTGGGTTGTAATCTCCGCAATGCCAAACCCCAGCTATTTAATCATGGGAGACTACTAATTGTCCCTAAGTAATCATTTCCCCTTCCTTCTTTTGAAAATGGAATGGGACACTTGACTGTCCAGGTTGAGACCATGTTTTCCACCCCTTGAATCTAGTGTTGACAAGTCAGTGAGTTCTCTTAAACTAAATGTGAGTGGATGTGATATATGAAATATCAGTATACCTCCTTAAAGAAAATTGCTATCCCTTCCCCACTGATCTTTACTTGGTCTTATGGTTGGGAACGCTGATGTGGCACTGGAGAGTTAGCTTGCACCAAGTGGATAAGGACTGAAATGTCGAGGATGGTGGAGCAACATGGAAGGAACCTGGGTCCCTGAATGATCACATGGAACAGAGCTACTCACTGTCCTAGCCCACCTGCCTATCTCTATACTGTTAATTAAGAGACAATAGAATTATGTTATTTTTAAGTCACAGTATTGTTTGGTCTCTTTGTTATAGAAGTGTAGCTTATGTTCTAATTAAAAAGTTGACTTTTAGAAAGTTACTTAACCTTTTGCCCCCAAGTTTTCTCATCTGCAAAAAGAGGAAAATATATTGTTCATCTTCTTGATAAGCTTATTGTCAGGATTACACCACGAAATGAATATTAGTGTATTTATTGAGTGTTCTATGTCTGTCTAGTACTATTATTACTTATGTATGTGTATAAGTCTACCAGTGAAGTTCCGATTTTCAAGATAGACAAAATGAAGGCCTATAACATATTTGTATTTTCTCTGTGTGACAACTAAGGTGACCAACCATCCTGGTTTTCCATGGACTGAAGAGATTTCTGGGAGATGGGAACTTTCAATTTTAAAATGGACACAATTCCAGGAAAATTGGGTTAAGTTTCTCACCCTAATTGGAGGCCCAGCTTGAGAGACTTTCAGTGTTAAAATCAAGACTGTCCCAGGAAAGCTGTAAAGAGTGGGTCATTCTAGTAATAACACAGCAACTGGAGAAGTTCTTTGAAATAAATGACAATTCTGAATTTGAAGTAACATGCATGAAAACTCTCTTTCTAAATCTGGTAGAAATTTAACCCACTGATGCCAACCCTACAATCTATATAATTTCTTTCTCTTTGAAACATTTATTCTTATTATTGTAAGAAATACTTGTTACATACTTCTGCCATTACTAACTAGCTCATTGCCACCCTGAAGAAGTAGATGTTTTTCGTTTGCAGTCAGGAAATGTAGGCTATAGACATAAGCAAATGGTGGCATAGTCATTGGATCTCTTCGTCTCTTTATGACAAAATCTAGTTGACTACTGGTTGTTCCCATTGCTGTTACACACATTGGGAAGATGATTGAAATACTGGGTTGCTCTGCTGGGGCAGATTTGGTACGCTTATTATAAACACAGATTTGTTCAGAGAGGAGAAGCCAAAGTATAGGTTACTTATCCTTAAGTACTAAGATTACTGGGGCACCACTGTGCATTGCTGATGCTATATCTGAAATTGGATTTTAAATGTATCTAGTAAACTCACATGATGAGTTTTGACTTGGTGAGGACTTAGAGGATAAAATTTAGATGAGTTTTTGTTGATATGACTTTCTTCGTATTTTACCCATATTCTCTTCTCCTGAGTATGAGGGCAATTACAGTTATATTCTAGGTCAGGTCTGAGCTCATGCCTCCAAATATGACTCAGTGTTTCCAGCAACAACCTGAATATTAAGCATGTGTATCTTACATTCTGGGAGGAGAGTGCACTGGTATGGTGAGGTAGGCCAGGACCACGCATCCGCTGAAATTGCTATACACCTTTTATTTTGGAACTTTTTTTGTTAGTCTTTCTAACTTTCATAATAACTTGATAGTGAGATTTTATAGGATTTACTGGCACTATCTCTAGAAGTACCTGGAAGAAATCTTTATTGTAAGTGAAGTCATATGTTAACAATAGCCCTTTGGGCCTCGGTAAGAAAAAACACTATAAAATCAACACCAATGCAAAGCCAGTATTATTGTAGGCCAGTGATGGTCACTATGTTGATATAATTGAACTGGTGAGCTATAAGGGTGTCCTCCACCCCTCAATTTCCCCAAACTTTATGATGGGCCAAAAAGAATGGTATTTCTCAAACATAAGAAAGCTATGCTTTGTCAAGGATATATGTGTTGTAGGTAGGCAGGCAGTCCAATTCAGTTGGGGAAAGGAGTTATCTAGCTTCACAGATAAGATTGAATTTTCATGGCTAAAAGGTATCTCTTTCTTATCAGATATCTTGGCTATCTTTGCCAAAAAATCAACCTGATGAAGTGTTGCATATTTTTCCAATGTTTCTCTCTAGTGTCATATTGTTATGGTGTTAGTTTGTGCAATATTTATGTGAGGTAAAGTACAGGTCCAGAAACTAACTTTTTTGGTCAACAGTAAGAAGGCTATTATTAGCTAGAAAAAGAGAATATACTTTCTTATAAACTTGCTTTCTTCCTATACAATATCAAAAAAAAGCTCTTACTATAGTCATGGAGCCTTAAACAACACATGCAAGATTTGTGAAGATCCCTATATGGCTAGAGACTTATTTTTTCTTATATTTTGTGGCTTAGGAAGTTTCTATAAATTTTCCTGTTTCAGAAAATTTGAAGTTTCTAGGTGAAATAAATGGCCTTATTTTTTGCAGTCTGACAATTTTATAAACTTATTGAAAAAAGGAGCTAACAAGTTACAGAGTTGCATAGATTGTCTTTGAGAATCTGAAAGAAAAAAATAGAATTGTTTCTTTTTAAATTTATTGCAAATGTTTATTAACTAGATATCTTATCAGCATTGTTTTCTCTTGGGCTTTTGTTTTCTTATCTCATGTATAAAACAGAGATACATTGCAAAGGTTTTTTTGTGGAAATTAAATATGTAATGTTTGTAAAGTTCTTGGCATGGTGTCTGAGACATAGCAAGCACTTGATGAATGCTTTCTATTCTATTATTAATATCATTATTATCATTACACTGTCTAAAAACTGTGGGAGACATAAAGAGCTACCAATAAATAATTTATATTTAGTTGGTAAGGTAGGGCTTATGCTTATGAAGTTTCCCATATGATTTGGTGACACCATATGAGCCATATGTGGGCTACATTTCTAGTTCTATGTAAACTGCTAATATTGGACTGGGAAAGTCAGACTTTAGCCTAGTGGGTAGACCAGAGAATGGAGATTTTGAGAATAGGGGCAGAGGTTGAGTACACAGAAAGTATTCAGGTTATTTTGTAATCAGAATAAATAAATTCAACACATAAAATTTGGGGAGCAGACCATGGGTGAAACTAATAAAAAATGAATAGCCAAGCTGGGGAGTAAGACATAGGTTTGCTGAAAAATTGAACGGAGGTAGGTGTTTCTTTTCTTTTTTTGTGCTGTCTTGCTCTTTTCATAGATCTAGAGATTCCCTTCTTGGTCTTTGCCTCAGTCTTTCTATGTCTATTGACAATAGTATACTGATGTAACTGGAAAGGCTTCATGGAGGAAGTAGGACTCTAACTGGACCTTGAAAGGTGGGAAGAATTTAGACAGTATAAAGAGGAAACAGAATTGCATATCAGACAGGAGGAAGTGAACACTAAATGCAGGAGGGAAGAACATGTGCCTGGGGCCCAGTGAGAAGATTATATAAGGATGTCAGGGATTTATATAAGGAAGTAGGATGATAGGTAAGCTGGAGCCATATTATTGTCAGTTTAAACGATCAGGTTTGTATTTTATCATTTAGGCAGAAAAAAGTATTACATGTAAAAATGGAATCCCTCCCTCCCTCCCTCCCTTCCTTCCTTCCTTCCTTCCTTTTATCCTGACTTCCTCCCTCCCTCCCCAGATTCCACTTTGCTCTGCAGCCATCAGAGGAGGGAGCCTGTGCATATTCCACCCTAGCTGATAGAGTGAGAGGTGTCTGGATGGGCATATTATGGTCAGTTTAAATGATTAAGTTTGTATTTTATCATTTAGGCAGAGGAAAGTATTACATGTAAAAATGGAATTCCTTCCTTCCTTCCTTCCCTCCTTCCTTCCTTCCTTCTTTCCTTCCTCCCTCCCTCCCTCCCTTCCTCCTTCCCTCCCTCCATCCTTCCTCCCTCCCTTTTTTCATTTCTTTCTTCCTGACTTCCTGCTTTTCTCCTTTCTCTTTTAGTTCATGCCTTTTACTAACTGTGTACAATTACTTGCATTCTGGTTTGTTGAAATAGTAGGTCAGAAAACATTTGCCACAGTAATATCTGTCAAAGTGGCTGGCCATTAAAAACTCTAGCACCACATTCATCTGAAGGACACTTCCAATGAAGGTGACTAGTTTTTGTCATTCTCATTCACTATATAGTATTTCAAGATAGCCAGTGTCACCCTCTTTCTCTTATGCTTATTCTTCTTGAGACTTGTATAAAACTTCTTCTTTAGCACCACCACAAAACTTCAAAATAAGATAGAGAGTGTACCCCTTTTGAATTTTGTGGTCAGACGGAGGATGTCCATCTTCTAGTTGTTTGCCAGTGAAGGTCAATTTTTGCTAGTCAGGAGGCATTTCTTCCTTATCCTGAATCTTGGCCTACTGTATGCAAGAGTTCAGTCTCCAAAGTGATGGTCTTCTCTGTGAGGGTTTTAACAAAAATCTGCATTTTGGTGTCCGTTCTGTCACAGTAGATGGCTAGGAAAATTGAAGACTGAAGTTTCAAGACTAACTTGCCCCAAGTCATTATCATTGCTAAGTAGAAAGACGGGGATTGGATCCCAGATGAGTGTACCTCCAAAGCCCATATTTTTTCCCACCACCTGGGCTGCCAATGGGAATCTTTTGGGTTGATAAAAGGTATACATTAGCTCCATTATGCTGGAGGAGAAAGAGTCAAGAAAGACATGTTAGGAAGCCAGTGTGATAAGCCAGATGGGAAATGTCACATTTATAAAACTTCCTGACAAATAAATATCACCATGACAGCTGTGTGAACAGGAGTTACTAATCTTCATTTTAGAGTTGAAAAAGAATATACAGTTGATTCTCATTATTCTTGGTAGTTATGTTCTATAAAGTTACCACAAGTACTGAATTAGTGAATACTGAATTAATGGGAAGTATGTGAGTCTCTGGACATCAACTGATTGATACATAATCTTGGCTTTATGTGTCTTAGAGTTCTGTTTAAAGATATCTATTTAATATTAATATATATTGTTGATTCATTAACATTGAACTCATAGCCATCAGCACTATATCCCAGGCCTAAATGAAGTATATGTAATACCTGTATTTTCTTTGTAATGGACATCACAGCCTTTTTGTGCTCAGTAACACTAAATAACACTTCAGTGTCTGTGATAGCTGAACAGGAAGGCTGTGTTTCCTTGTTTGATCTCCACTGAGAATGTGCACATTGGGTCATTCAAATGTTTTGCTATTCTGGGAATGTTGACCAACAACTGGGAAAGCACCATGAATATTAATTTTGATATTACAAATTAATTGTATCAAGTAAATGAATTTGCAAATACAGAATCCACTAATGATGAAGGTGAACTGCAAAACATTTATTAGGCACTTACTATGAGCCAGGTACTGGGTTAAGAAATTGATCTCATATAAACCTCCTAATACACTCATTTCACAGGTAAGCTGTGGAATAATTGAACTTGTCCATGACAAACTGCTGGTAAGTGGCAGATCTGTGATTCTGTACCCACATCTGTGGTTCTAGAATCTGCTTGTAAGCATCAGGTTGCATGGAAGAAATGGAGACTAAGAGGTTAACTCATTCAAGCTTTCTCAATCAGAAAATGGCAGAGCAAGGACTTGAATTCTTCCTCTCACTCAAATTCATATTCCCAGACAGACCATCTCACAGGATGGAGTGGTGTGAATGGAAAGAAAAGAGGGGTTGTGAACATCAGATCAAAGAGCTTATGTTAGCGTTTTGTCCATGGAACTATGAGATATAAATCTAACAGTTTTGTGATTCTACTTCTGAGCTTTGCTTTGACAGGACTCAAATATACCAATAAAGATAAAAAAATCCATCTTGTTTTTTTTTTTGGATTCAAAATACATGTAATTTGAGGTGATGTCAGAAGAAATAGTAAATTAGAATTAAGGATCATCTTTTAAAAGTTTTTTAAAGGAGAAAGAGATTTTGCTCCTCTCTGCCCATTCTATTGTGTCTGTTGTTTTTGACTTTAAAAGAAAAGTTTGGAGATCCTAGAAGGATTAAATGAATCGGGTGACAGAAAATTCTCCGGATTTGCTTCTTTAACTTGTGAAAAGTGCAAGGGAAATAATAATCTCTCTCGTTTGACTAGGGGAAATACACACATTTCTTGTGGGAGAGTAAATTTTTGCAAACATTTTGGAGAGTAACTTTGCACTAGGCATCAAATGTACATACTAAGAAATACAGCCCAAGGATCATCAAGGTTATGTGCCAGTACTTGGCTCTGAGAAGTTTCCTTGAAGCTAAATATATTAATGAAATTTTGAAAACAACCACAATATCTAACAGTAGGAGACTGGTTAAATACATTATAACCATACAATAAAATACTATGCACATGGTATGATAATAAATGCAAAATCTTTCTGAATTTACTGAACATGTATTATTTAATCCTTACAGCAATCTTTGAGAAAGTTTTAATAATATGAAAATATATTCATATTTTTAAGAGAATAAAGCTGTAAAACATATACATAAACTACTATTTTAATATAAAAATGAATGTCTTTAGAAAAAACTAAAAGGATAAAATATTTAGAAGGCAGTTTTTTCTGAAAAGTATGAATATAGATGAATTTTAGTTCTATTGCTAATATAATGACTAAGAAATAAAATATTATTGTTGTGCCTTTTCCTTGAAAAGTTGGTCTGCAAATTTTTGTGTTTTAATTGAAACAAATAGTCTTTTTACATTTATTGTAATTACTGCTATATTTGAATTTATATCTAGCATTTTATTTTGTGCTATTAATCTGAGCTTTATCTGTTTATTTTCTTCTTTTTTGAGTTTATTGTTCATTTTATCTTTTTCTTTACTACACTCCATTTCTAATCTCTTAGTGATTACTTCTGCAATTAGTACATGCATACCTAATTTATCAAAATCTACAATCAATCAGTATCTTGTTTTCAAACAAAATATTAACTCCATTTGCTCTACTCTTACATTATATGCTGTAGTTATTGTGTATCTTATTTTTGTTTATTCTTAATCTCACAATGACTTTATCATTTTTATTTAATGTGGTTTATATCTGTTTAATTTTACCTATATATTCATCTTTTTTTGTTCTTTATTCTTCCTGTATCTCTAACCTGCCATCTGGAATCATGTTCCTTCTGCTTGAAATCCTTTAGAATTTCTTTCTTCTGGTGACGAACTCTCTTAGTGTTTTGTTTGTCTGCAAATGTCTTTATTTCACCTTAATTTTTGAAGGATATTTTGCTGGGTATGGAATTTGAGGCTAGAAATTGTTTTCTTCCAGTGCATTGAAGATATATTACTTTTTTTCCTGGCTTCCATTGTAGTTTTGGTCAAAAAACTACCCCCTTGAATATAATCCATTTCTTCTCTCTGATTACTTTTACAATCTTCTCTTAGATGTGGGTGTTCTCCAGTATGTAATTATGGTTTCCTTTTAAGTTTTCTTGCTTGGGATTTATTGGCCTTGAAGGATGAACTAAAAATAAACCTTTCTTCCAACCCACTCCCATTCTCATAATCAGGACTGGAAGGAAAATGCTTAGCTGTTGAGAGGAGTAAGACAAATAGTAGTTTTTGAAATATGAAAAATATGAGGGGAGCTGTAACCACAAGCTCCTCTCCTATACTTAGCCTGAAGACAAACTACTTGAATGGCCTGATAAAAACTTAAGAATGTAGTTTAAAGTGGTCCCAGACAAGCAGATTCCCCTCCCTGGCCCCCAGCTCTATGAATGCAAACCCCTACTGGAGGAAACCACTTTCACCCCATTCAGGAAAATAAGAAATTTACTGCCATGATTCATTAAACATTTAGAGAAAAAAGATGTTATGAATGAGATTCAACAGAAACAACATATAATAGAAATGGATCCACAAAGAATCCAGATACTGATATTTTTAGGCATAAAATATGAGTGTTTATAATATTTAAAGAAATAAAATTTAAACAATTTGTAGAGGAATATTAAACCAAGAAGAACAGTTAATCAGATTTGGATTTAATCGGAAAAATGAATTATTTGACAAAATTCTATCAATTTGTTTAACAGGAGATTTGACTACTTTCTTCAAAGCACAGCTGTGTACAGTGTATCTACTTGGATTCTTACTACCGGGTGGTGGTGGTGGTAGTAGTCTTTGAGCATACTTCTGTGAATGCCACCCCAATAAAACTCAACTAGTTGAATGCTACTTGGAGGAGTAATGCATCATCATTTTACCTGCTTTCTGATACAATTCCAGAAAAGTTTGAGAGTTCTATATGGGCACAGCACTGTACTATGCTTTTTAAGGGAATGCAAAATGAATATACATGGTTTGTGCTTTCCAGAACTCTCCAAATGATGGAGGAATAAGATAAACACACAAAAAGCTCACATAAAAATAGACTATGTATATATTCTTACATAAGAATCAATAGCATGCAGGTATACAACATGGGAGTTTGAGAGGGATATAAATTCTGAAGGCAACACAATTGACGAAAATTGTTTTCAAAAAAATTTTATTAAGGATAAATGCTGTAACTTTTTTCAAAAGAAATTTCCTGAAACATCAGTTTGGATGGAAACTGAGATCTCAGGTGTCCTGAATGAATTGCCCTAACTAGGACAAAGCAAGCAATTTGTCGTTGTTGGTGGTGAGGGAGAGAGGTAGAGAGGGAGAGACAGGGAAAGAGTTGGGGGAGAGTGAGAGAGAGCAAAGAAGGCGGGGAGAGAGAGAAAGGAAGTGGGAGCTTGACACCGAGCCAGGAGAGGATGCAAGGTTGCATGCTTTTCAGTGTAATTCCTCTCTTTGAAGTGCTATATCTTCAACCATGCCTACAAAGATTATGAAACGCTTCATATAAATCCTTTTTCATACACTAAGTTGTGTGCTCTGGCCCTAGTAAGGCAGAATGGAGATAGTTTGATGCAGGGCACTGGCCACAGAGTGAAACAGGAGGTTATGTCTCAGGAACTTGAGGATGTGAAGGGGAGAGCTTCACACTAGACCTGGTTAAGAAACTGGAAACTGGCCACGTTTAACTACATTTCTGAGGAGAAGGAGATGCCCCATGACATCTAGATGATGCTAAGAAAGCTTTTGGAAGAGATAGAATTTGAGCTGGGACCTTGAAATACGGGTTGCACTTTAGCTGCGGGAGAAGAAGAGAAGGATATTCCAGGAGGAGGAATGAGAATGAGCACAGACACTGAGAAAGGAGGGTGCTGGGAGCTGTTATCAGGCACTAGCCACGGAGCACGCCTACTGTGTCCCGCACATCAGGCTAGGGGAAAAGCACAGACTGAGTCCCAACTTGAAATGGGCCAGTTAGGACAGAACCTAGGATCCTAGGTCCGAGGCAGGCCGCCGAATGTGTGGCTGGTTCTCATCTTTCCACTGCATTTGGAACCTGGATTGGTATGGCCCCCCTCCCTGTTAGGCTGCCCCACTGGCTTGCTTTCTGCCTCCTGCACACAATGTGAGGGCAGACTGAGTTTTGGGAATGAGGTGCCCACAGTGGTCAACTGCACAATGCCGCATCTCCTGGTTGTAATTAAGTTGTCATTTGGCACATTTTTGCTTGGGTGTGGTTTTCTGGAGCACCTCAGGAGATGTCAAACTCCATAACTAAGCCCTGGGACCAAAATATTCACACACAAGTAAATGAAAGCAGACCCGTCACTTGGGTCTGCCCCCTAAAATATGGCTGCCCACATCTTTGAAAGTTACAAACCCCACTGTCTATCATCCCGCATCGACTTTATGTTGCTGATGCTTGTCAGCTCATATGCAACCTGAATCGCCTACCACTGGGGAAAAGGTGAAGTAAAAGTGCAATAAAACCCACTATGGACTTGCAGTGCACTTGAACGTGATACTCCAGTTCAAAGAATAACGTTTTAAACAGACTAGAGTTTCTGACAAACATATAACTAATGACCATCGAATGCTTTTGATTAAAAAGAGCATGAATCTAAAGCCGTTAAAAGGTGTTTTTTTCCCCCCAAGGCAAAGAAGTTGCTTGCATCTTTGAGGGTTATTTAGTGACCGTAGAACTTTGGTTCAAGGAGCTGGAAATTTGTTCAATGCTATGTCACATTCTGTGTTTGATTTGCAAACATAGTTTCTCCTTCACCAAGTGACCACTCAACTAAAGTCAAAAGTTATCTGATTACAGGAAAATAACTTGATCATTCTGATTACTGTAAATATTTTGTAAGGTTGTTCCAACTAAGCACCCTCAGAAAATTTCCATGTTTTCATCTTATTGTGTTTATACAACTTGGGTTATATTCCTCCAGTTTTAAAAAGGACTGCAATTTGAGAAGATGGCTTTGAGGTCCTTCAAAATTACTTGCAATTTTTTTCCACTGTATTAAAGAGTTGTAGGCCATTCCAATATGATCCCAGTCTAATATGATAAATCAGTAATGCATACTGTGTTTAGAGGTAAGATATGGAAAAATTCCTTCATGCTGCTAATTTCCTGCCTATTTCTAGCCATTAGGTCTTAAAATTCCCCATACATCTCTGTCAGGTAGATAAAAGACTCCAATTTCTTAACTGCCACTCAGACATTTCACACACCTGGTTTCAGATAAGAGTTCTAGAGTAGGAAGAGGGGAGGGTCTAAGGAAAAACACAAGGAAAACACTTCCAGTTTGCAACATCAAATTTTATTACATTGGGTCATAAACAACCACAATTAGCAAAGCATGTTCACAGTCAAAGTTGCCTTTCGAAAGGCAGGTGTGTGTACATTTCCCTAGGAGCAGATGGCAATTGTGTGGAATCGCTGCTCCGTCCTTAGTTTTGGAGATTTATAAGGAGGAGTGGGGCCATGTTTACCAAGCCTGCTGCTTTCCCCACCAAATCAATTCCTTGTCAGGGTACAACCAGACCTCTGGAAAGGGTTAAGTAGGAGTCCGGGGGGACCACTTGACATCTGCTCCACTCAAGACTTTTTGATCTTGTTGTTTTTGGCTTTTGAAGAGCAGGCCCACCTTGAAGAGTGTGTGTCTGTGTGTGTGTGTGTGTGTGTGTGTGAAAGAGAGAGAGAGGGAGATGGGTGGCATTGGCATGGGAGAGGGAGGGAAAATAACCCCACAATGACAGATCAAACGAAGGCAACATAAAATTTTTGTTTAATTTCAGTGGGATTACATGCTATGAAATGACAATAACAGGAACAGGAGGGAGAATGCCAGGGTCTCATGTGTGAAACCCTTTGTAAAAGGAATGTAAACTGTGTGGCTGTTTTGCTGTCATTAACCAACACTTGAACATGGGTGTCAGTGAAAACCACATTTCCTCCTTTACTCTGAGCTACGTCCCCTGGAGCTGACTGACACTGCTGGCATGGAGCTTTCTCTTTCTTTTGCAAAAACAAAACAAATGAAATCTTGCCAAGAAGAAGGTGGGGGACGCTCAGGCCGAGGTGGCAGATACTAACGCTACTGGCCCAGTATCCATCAGGTTTGCCATTTCTGTCCCAAACTCTGGCCCTCATCATCCTTGAGGGGGTGTGGGAAGGAAAAATAAGGGGCAGGGACAAGGAGTGGGGACAGGGGAGGAGAAATAGCTTAGGCATCCAAAAGCCTGAAGGGTTCTGAAGCGCCTTGAATAGGCGAGTAGGCGAGAGGTGACAGGGCATCATTAGATGACGTTAGTGCAGCAGCCATCTTGACCTTTGCCTCCCTGATTCTGCCATTGGCCTGTTATTCACCCTCCTCTTGGTTCTGGGTGGATGGGGAGAGGAAGGCCTGGGTGTGGCGAAGGTGGCCTGGCTCAGGAGTTTTTAGTATTAATGTGCCACCTGTCTTGACTCTGGGGTTTTGTCCCTGATTATGTTTTGTCTTTGACATCTCTTAAAATATGACATAGCAGGACCTACAGAAAGCTATCAGCAAGGCCCTGGTGTCCCTCACAATGTCCCCTCCTACCTTTAGTTGAAGACTGAAACAATGATTGGGCTTATTTACTGGATGTCAGGCATTTTCTTGGTGTACTACACACGTCCTATTAAGCTGTTCTCAGACATGTACAGAATTGCTTTATCTGAGTCTTTCTAAGATAGCACCTCACCAAGTGTGGGAAGCCAAGTTTGGCCATGGGGGGCAGGGACAGCAAAGTCCAGGGTTTGGCAGCAGGAAAGCTTGGAGAGTGGGAAGGACAGGGTGACCCCATAAGGCGGTGTGCCATGTGAAGACATGCAAGACTGTGTTTTGCTGGGCTCTGGTTGATGTGAGGGAATCTGATAACTCCAACTGCACCCTAGGACTCTGTATTTATGGAATGTCTGGAGTAAGTAATGACGTTTGTGTCCTGGTTTAGAGATCATGAAGTTGACTTGTCTTTGGGTATAGAACTAACAAGTGGTCAAGGTAAGATTTCTGTAAACCTGGGAATAGGTATCCTAAATCCTATTCTCTGTCTGAAGGGAGTTGGTGTCTAAGCAATTTCTCCATGTATGCTCAAGAGTTTAGGTGCTAGCAGAGAAGATGGCCTGGCTCATTAATGACATTCCCACTTATACCTGGAGGTGAAATATTTTGTTTCCCAGTGAATTATTTTTTGGGAGATGTTGTCACACGTAACTGTTGTAGATGGAACCTGCCTAGCCTACCTCTTTGGAATCCAGCTGCCCTGGATATCCGTCCCCAGACCCTGGTTTCTGAGTGCAGCCATCTGGAAAGGGGTGCCGGGCTGGGCCCCTGCTGCCCCTCATCTGCCTTTCTTATCACCTGGAGTCTGCTCAGTGAGGTCTACTGTGAGGGCTTAAAACTAATCTCCCATAGTTTATGATCTCAAATCCATTTGCAGTGAGGAAGACCCTGGCTGACCAACGGCTTAAACAAATGTCCCCTTCTGTGGCATTCCTATGGCAAGACTCAAGTTCCACATGCATGATGTAAGTGAGAGCAGGGCAGGCCTTTCTCCCACACGTGGCTCAGAAATCATTTACAAAGCAAACAAAAAAGACAGCCCTGGGCAGGAGACTTTTCCTCTTGCTCTGGGCCAGGCCTGCACTCCCAGGCCACTCCTAGAGGGCTCGTCTGATCTGAATGTGCAATTGAAAACAGGTGTCCACCCAGTGCCTATAAAATATATACTGGCAATGGGGGAGATCCTTGGAGATTCTTTCAACTGGTAGAAATATGGAGACAATTCCCAAATCTGACTCTGCCTAGATCCTTCCAGACCTCCAGCCCCATCTCTCTTAGAAAAAAGAAAAAATTCAAACAAATACTTGGAGGGAAACTGGGAGCATATGGTTCTACCACTACGAAGAAAGAAATGTGAAAAAGATTAGCGGGACTCTGTCAAAACATCAGAATAGGCCTTGTGCGGCTGGAAAAGTGGCTCTTGTATCCTGCCTTACCCCCTTCTCCCCACCTGAGCTACCCGAGTGACCTTGGGCTGTACAAGCAAAGTGGTGACTGTGACTTGGATGCCAGATTTATCCAATTTCTGTTTAGTAAACAAATCGAATGTACTGCTGCTCATGTTTGGGATAAATACCTGATTAGATGCTCTTAAAATATGATGACTACGGCCCATAAAGGAAAGGAATTTCAGCTGGGCAACGTCCGGCTGGGGTGCAAGGATTGGGTTTCTTCTTTATTTGTTGTCAGCAAGTGCTCCTGATCTTTCCTACCTTGCCATCTCATTAAGCATATGCTTGAACGTGGGGATACTGACAATGCAGCTGTATTTCATTTGTAGATAATTGATGCAATAAATGTAATAACCAAACGAGATATGTTGACTCATGAGCTAATTTGGGTGTAGATGTTACAGCACTTGTGCAGCTGGAAATGTTTCCATCACACAATCTGTTTCAGATAAATGTTCCTCGTTCCTGTCTTCACTAAGACAGGAAAAAAAAAAAAAAAAACAAACCACCAAATCATACTGTATATCTAAAAGTACATGTTCATAAGTCATAGCCGGTCTAAGCACTGCTTAAAAGAATACCAATATAAGCAATTTACTATGCAAACAGGTGACATTAACCCTTGACCCTCTGGAGGTGCCCAGTACAGGTGTTCAACCTGGTTTCTTTAAGCACTTTGGTCTAGAAACCTGAGGAAACTTAGTTGGAAGGGTGTGCATCCATTGCTTTTCTTCTGCCTTTTTTATTCTTACTGCAGTCAGAATTTCTTTCCATGACCCATGTATTTCCAGAGGCTCCTCACCTTTTATCTCCTCTGATATTAGGTTGGTGCAAAAGTAACCACAGTTTTCAAAAACCACGATTACTTTTGTTGCAACCTAATATTTTAGCTCAAGCAATCTGAATAATTGTATGTGGGAGACAAAGTCCTGTGATTTTAAAACAAGAGCTCTTGGAATGGACAGCCTTAACAGAAAAGAGTTTGTAATACATGAGAGACCCACACTTTGAAGAAGCTCTTATAAGCATCTATTGATAACCTAGGCTAGAGTTGACAAATTATGGCCCTCAGACCACATCTAGCCCCCTGCCGGTTTTTGTACAGTGCTTGATCTAAAAATAGTTTGTACATTTTTAAATGGCTGCAAAAAATCAAAAGAATAATATTTCGGGATACAGAAAACTTATGTGAAATTCGAATTTCAGTGTTCATAAAATTTTATTAGAACGCAGTCACGGCCAGGCACGGTGGCTCACGTTTATAATCCCAGCACTCTGGGAGGCTGAGGCGGGCAGATTGCTTGAGTCCAGGAGTTTGAAACCAGCCTGGGCAACATGGTGAAACTCCATCTCTACAAAAATACAAAAGTTAGCTGGGCATAGTGGTGCATGACTGTAGTCTCAGGTGCTTGGGAAGTTGAGACCAGAGGAGGATTGCATGAGCCAAGAGGTTGAGACTGCAGTGAGCTGTGATCACTCCACTGCACTACAGCCTGGGGGACAGAGTGAGACCCTGTCTCAAAAAAAAAAAAAAAAGAAGAAGAAGAAGAACACAGCCACACTCATTCACACTCAGCAACATTTGCCCTCTAGCCCTTTACCAAGAAGTTTGCCAACCTCTGGCCTAGAGTAAAATATTACTGATTTCTGCAAGTGAAGGAAAGCTAGGTTGCATTGCAGTGTATTCTGAAATGAAGTTTTCTTACCTCAATTAAGTACATAAAAAAAGTAGCTTAACCTTGTCTGCAGAGGCCCTTGTTAAAGGACCAGATAGGACACATTTATCATTAGCATATCATTAGTTAGTAGCGGCCTCACCTTTTCTCCTTATGTTGACATATGGTAGCACTGTTTATATTCAAACACTGTTTCTAATCTGTTTGAAAAGTTTGTCTTCCTAATTGGGTAATCTAGTATTTTATAATTTTATAATTTCATTTTTGTACTCAAACTGTTCAACAAATTGTTTTCTCAGTAGATAGTCTTAAATGTCAGGTCGATGGAGGTATAATTTTGATACATTATAGAGGTTTATAGTTCAAAGAGTTTTGACCAGTGTCCAGTCATGTAACCACGACCACAGTCAAGATCTAAAATAGCTCTATCACCTCCCCAGATTCCCTTGTACCTCTTTGGAATCAGTCATCTTTCCCCTTTCCACAGCCCCTGACTGTGATGGATCAGTTTTCTGTTCCCATAGTTTTGCGTTTTCCAGAACGTCACATACATGGGATCATATGTGAAGTAATGAATATTTTAAAAGTATGTTTCAGTTCCCTCAACTGCAGTTTAGAAACCAATGAACTCTTAATTGATGAGTTTCAACTATACTTGCAATAAACATTGTATAATTAAGATTAAGTCTATTTTTCTTGGTTATCTGGAAGGGGAATTAAAAATTTGTTGTACATATGCTAAATTTGTGGGACCAGATTTTGAAGTTAATATGAAATGTTTTTTATAAAAAAAAAAAAAGAAAATGTTATCAATCATGCTGAATCTTTCTGGATGAATTTGTTTTTTGGTTATATAATCTTAGGCTTTTGATTTAATAGCCCCCAAATAATTTCTAAAATAGATTTCTCTATGAGTGAAAAGGGAGAATAAATTTTGTTTATATAGTCACAATCTGTCAGTCTAAGCCTTTCTCCTCTTAAATTTTATATATTGTATCTTAAAAGGTGAAAAATATGCAAAAGCATAAAATAACCACTGTGTTATTACTTGTTTCATCAAATATAGGATTATTGTCTCAGAATGGGGATTGGAAAAGTATTGTTCACTATGTGAATAAACAAAAGGTTTATGAAAAGGGGACAGAATACATACGTGCTTGTACTAAAACAAGAAAACCTAAAATGTGTATTTCCCGTGCATCTATATTGCAGTGATTTTCTAGAACATTAAATTTGTTCTCTAGAAGTAGTTGTTAATATGCTAATTTTCTTTCTAGACAATCCTACAACAGAGATCTTCTTATATGCTGGCAATGCTGTGTTAGTGAGTACAACTGAAATTTAAAAAGTAATTTATATTCAAGATCATCAGCCCTAATCTAGTTCCCCCTTTACCCCCTTCTCCCCTCTCTCCTTGCGTATTTAGTGTCTACTATGGGTAGCACACTCTTTCCTCTTGGTGGCCCTTTTCTTAGTGTCTAGGATAGGGAAATTCCTAAGGAACCCTTCAGTGGAAGTCAAGCATGAGCTTAAGTAACACAGTGGATATTTAAATACACCAAAAGTCTTGTTAGATCTTAAGTTAGGTTATCTCCAACATTTTTATGCTTTTGCATTTTTTTCCAGCTCCCAAAAGAGTGTAAAAAAATAGAATCAATGTGTCTTCAGCATCTTTGTTAGTTGTAGGTTTCAATCCAAGAGCACCAGAATTTTGCTGTCTCTCTTTACACAAGTGGGCTTTGGATTAAAACTCAAGGTAGCAAGTTCAGAAATTGGTCTGAAGTTTTTCATTTTATTTCAAACTGAACTCATGTTACCCCTGTTGAAAATTGTACTGACAGGCCTATACATATAATTTATGATATTTCCTATCAAGATGTTTAGCTGAATTAGAAACATTTGTGAACAAGTCCTTCTGCAGCCAGTTAAAAGGCATTTTTCTGCTGGGGAAGGGAGGAGGGTGTGGAGTGCAGAGGCACAAAGGAGAACTCGAATACCTTTTATTTCAATGACTGTTTGATCAAGTAATTGACCGTAAACTGTTTACAACAGTGACCCTTATTGCAACCATGGCGGAGGTGTTTATGGATAGACATTAAGCTCTTTCTTAAGTTGCTCACAAAGTGTGCTGTTTACAGAGTAAACTTCCCCAAACATCTTATTTTTCTCTGAAACATTACATAAAGTAGATAACAAGATTGGCTAGACAGCACCAAGAAGGGTGATTATGTTTTTGGGAGAACCTGACTTTTTCAACAATAATTCCATTTTCACATTTCAGATCATGGAAAAAGGAAACCTCCAAGTAGGATCCATCAGAGGCATTTAAAAAAATCAAGGAGAAACCCAGCATTTTACAAAGAGGCTATTGTATCGACTTGTTAAATTGCTTAAAGAGAAAAGTGATGTAGACCACATTGGCTTTTATGGAGGATTGAGCAAACTTACCAATGAAGAGAAATACAACACTAGCATTGTGTGAGAGAAAATGTATTTGAAACTACATTTCCAGGGGATTAAGATGTGACACCACCACTTTCAGTTAGGTTTGCACTGTTGGTGGGAAAGTACATTAGTCCAACCATTGTGGAAGACAGCGTGGCGATTCCTCAAAGATCTAGAGGCAGAAATACCATTTGACCCAGCAATCCCATTGCTGGGTATGTACCCAAAGGAATAGAAATCATTCTCTTATAAAGATACATGCATGTGTGTGTTCATTGCAGCACTATTCACAATACCAAAGACATGAAATCAACCCAAATGCCCATCATGATAGACTGGATGAGGAAAATGTGGTACATATACACAGTGGAATACTATGCAGCCGTAAAAAGGAACGAGATCATGTTCTTTGCAGGGATGGAGCTGGAAGCCATTATCCTCAGCAACTGCTAACTAAAGTAATGCAAGAACAGAAAACCAAACACCACATGTTTTCACTTATAAGTGGGAGCTGAATGATGAGAACACATGGACACATGGGGGAGGGGAACAACACACACTGGAGCCTATCAGGGGGCAGGGGAAGGAAGAACATCGGGAAGAATAGCTAATGGATGCTGGGCTTAATACCTAGGTGATGGGTTGATCTGTGCAGCAAATCACCACATGTAACTAACCTGCACATCGTGCATGTATACCCTGGAACTTGAAGTTAATGAAAAAAAAATAGATTTTTGCCAAAGAAACACCAATAGATTTTAAAAATGTTTATATATTGTTTGTAAAATAAAAGAAAAATTATGCTTATTTTTAAAAGAATGCATTTTTGGAAGGTGTGATTGTGGCCTAAAGAACAAATTTCTGGAAGAAATTGGTACGAATAACACTGCCCTGTTCACATAAATGTGGCTCCCCAGGTGCAATGTTTGCTGACCTCACACAGTGTGCATAATAATGCCAATTGGTCAGGTATTTCATGAAGTCCCATATATGTCTGCACTCTGCTGGATACACATGAGAGGTATAAGATTCCTTCCCTCTGGTGAGGTGCAAAGGCATGAACAAGGTGAAAAGATAGCTGTCTAATGCAGGCATCGTCATGAACATAACAGAAAGCTTTTGTACCACTCTGGTTGTGAGGGGAAGAGAACACACAGAAGGTGGCAGAAGAAAATGAATGAAATGGGTAACTAAGAGGTTTTGGGAATGAAGAGTTGGCAGGACTGGTTTCTGGTCTGGAAGAAAACCCAGGTGACCATGTGTTTCAAGCTTGAGTGAGCAGGAGTGATAGGAGAGGTGCTTTTACCCTCCACGTGCTTTTTTTTTTTTTTTTTTTTTTTTGGTCTGGAAGGCAGATGTGATGCCCAGGAGAAGGGTTAGCCATCTTACCATCAAGAGGACAAAAGCCACACAGCGTGGAGCGGGAGGAAGGAAGGAGCTTTGGCTCTGGGTAATGTCCTCAAGCACCTGCACCAGCCCTGGAGTTCCTGTTGGGCAAGGAAACCAACCACTCTGGGGTTAAGCCACGGGTCATTGGGCTTCTGCTCCAAGTGGCCAAGTCCTAACTGACAGGGCCTTAAGGAGAGGACCCAGGAAAGCAGAAAGGAGAGAGGAGGGTCATTCATAGGAGGCACAGGGAGACTCAGGCACAGAAGTGGAATGCATGTGTCATACCCAGGGAATAAGGAGTAGAAGAGCCTGAGGAGTCATTTATTCTGGCTGAAAGTGTCTGGTGAAAAGCAGGAAGGACGAGGCAGGCATCAAACTGATTTACTATTAAAGAGCTGTCCTTTAAAAATTCTAGTAAGACCAAACAAATGTGTTTAGTGCTAATTGGGTTGATCAGATTTTCACTGATGATAGTTTTATCATGGGAAAAATGATTTAATGATCAATTATTATAACTTGTCAAATAAGCTTTCATAATGAAGATTCCACTGTCTTATTTGGTAACTGGCTGATGGATTTATGGGGGTTCGGATAGCAGATGTTGTGTCATCAGCATATGATATACATTGTGTCTGCACAATAGAAAGCAAAGTAGAAACTTTGCTTTCTACTGGTGATGGTTCTGATTGATTGCATTTTTCTCTCTACAGAGTGAAGCTTTATCATTCGGTTAGAATTATTCAAGCAGAGGTTCGATAAATCCTCCAAGGAGCTTCAAGTAGTGTCCTTCATCTTTCCAGGGGTTCTTAGACTTTAACAGGCATGAAATTCACTGGGGGAACTTGCTCAAGACCCTCAGAGGTTCTGTACAGCAGATATGGGCTGGTTGTCAGGAATCTTCATTTTTAACAAGCACCCCTGGCGATTCTGTTGCAGATGGTTTTCCGGGTGTCATGTGAGAAGCATTGATCTACGATCTGTTCCCCTTCCTGCTTCCTCTTCTCCTTTTTGCCCATGTTCTGTTGCTATCCAGAAGGAAAAGACTTTCTGAAGGTGAGGGTCTCATTTTATCGCCTGTGACTTTTTGCTTGTAACTGGGAGGTTTTACTAAAGGGCATGCCGTTTTCAGACTCTTTTCATACCTAAAAAAAAAAAAAAGGTTTGTCTTTTGAATTCCAAAGGAATATTTGTTCATTAACTAGAAAACTTGTAAAAACTCAGTAAGGGATAAATAATAAAATATAAATCATCATAATTCCTCTATCTAGACAGAGCCACCATTAATGTTCTGGTGTATCTCCTTTTCTTCTTCTCCCACTTTACATAAAAATTGGAATCAAATATATTTAAAGGCCTATGCTGTTTTTCATACCACTCATGTCTGATCATCTCAGTTCTAACATTGCGGTGAAGGTATTCTGCTCTATTCACAAATCTCCTGTTTAGTATCACCTCATGAATCTCTTTAGAATATTTATGCAAATACGTTGTTTTATGAAGAAAAGATACATTTAGCAAATGAACAAGGTCTTGCTGGTTTAAAATGAGCAGGATAATGTTCATTTTAGGAAAGACTCAGAGTAAAGACATTTATTTTTATTATTTTTGGTGAATTTAAGTTATAAACAACTCTCCCTATGCCATTTGCATTTAAAACCTTATTAGACTACCACATCTCTGTGCATTGTCACAGTGGTCATGGTGTAGTGAGGGCTTACATGTTCATTCAGCTCCTTGAATCAGCCAGGAATCTTTGGTTGCAAGCAACAGAAACTGACCTTGGCTAACATAACATGGAAAGTTTACTGGTCAGACATGGGTAGCTCAAAGAACGGAAAGAAAGGCAGAAGAACTGGGCATTAGGGAATATAGAATAGCTCAGAAGATCTAGGTGGCTCGTGCTAAAGGGTGTTCTCTTTTGGGCATTGGTCCCGGAATTAATCTGCACCAACTGTTTTCTGTTACTGGCTCCTCCTCTAAAAGAACACCAGTTCATTCATTCATGCATCACATATTTATTTATTTTTAATAATGTCAGCTTTTATTTTAGATTCAGAGTGTACTTGTGCAAGTTTGTTACATGGGTATATGGCATGATGCTGAGTTTTGAGGTATAAAGGATCATAGTACCCAATAGGTACTTTTTCAGCCCTTATCCCCATCTCCGCTCTACCCACTCTGGTAGTCTCCAGTGTTCATTGTTCCTATCTTTATGTCCATGTGTACCCAGTATTTAGCTCCCACTTACATGTGAGGATAAGTGGTATTTGTTTTTCTGTTCCTGTGCTGTTTGCTTAGGATAATGGCCTCCAGCTGCATCCATGTTGTTACAAAGGATATGACTTAATTCTTCTGTAGGGCTGCATAGTATTCCATAGTGTATATATACTACATTTTCTCTATCCAATCTGCTGTTGATGGGCATCTAGGTTGATTCCATGGCTTTACTATTGAATCATGTATTTATTGAGTGCAAAGCACCGTTTTAGGTTCTCGGTTTAAAACACTGAACAAAACAGATAAAAATTATTGCCATGATGGAGCTTACATTCTAGTTAGAAGAGACTGGCAATATAAATTAACAAACAAAAATGAATAAAACATATAATATGCTACTTGGCAATTCATGTTATGGAGACTAAATGGAGAGGTTGATGCATTTTTTTGTTTGTTTGTTTGTTTTACTTTTTCTATGGGTGATGCAATTTTAAATTGAGTGACTGGTAAAGGCCTGACTTAAAAGTGAGGTTTGAGCCAAGACCCAGAAGACATCTGTGTAGATGTTAGGGATGAGCTTTCCTGGCAGAGGAGACAGTGATGACTTGCTTTTTAAAAGGCTCACTGTGGGCCAGACGCGGTGGCTCACGCCTGTAATCCCAGCACTTTGGGAGGCCAAGGCAGGCAGATCACGAGGTCAGGAGATTGAGACCATCCTGGCTAACGCAGTGAAAGCCCATCTGTACTAAAATACAAAAAAAAAAATTAGCCGGGCATGGTGGCAGGTGCCTGTAATCCCAGCTACTTGGGAGGCTGAGGCAGGAGAATGGCGGGAACCCGGGAGGCAGAGCTTGTAGTGAGCTGAGATCGCCCCACTGCACTCCAGCCTGGGCGACAAAGGGAGACTCTGCCTCAAAAAAAAAAAAGGCTCACCCTGGCTGCTCTGCTGAGAATACACACCCAGGTAGGAGACGATTTGGGCTTGGGCAAGAGTGACCTTGGTGGAGGTGATGAGAGGGATTGGCTCTGGATCTTTTTCGAAGGAATGGTCATTAGGATTTAATGGCAGCTAGGATACGAAGCATGACAGAAAGAGATGAATCAATCATGACTCCCAGGTTTCTTCACCTGAGCAGCTATTAAGATGGAAAAGGCTACGGGAAAGAGCAGTTTTTGGGGGATTCAGAAGCTTGGTTTCGATGTGTTAAATTGCAAGTAGGCAATCAGGGTTCAAGGGAGAGGTCTGTGCTGGAGATATTAATTTGGGAGACATCAGTAAATCATTGGTATTACAACCATGAGGCTGGTTGAGATCAACTTGGGAGTGAGTGTAGATGGAAAAGAGAAAAAGCCCGAGGCAGAGACACAAGGGGAGGAACTGGAAAAGAGGACTGAGGAGAAGTGACCTAACCGACTAGACCATCTTGTATCTTATGGCCATGCCTTAGTCTGTGAATCGGAGCACCATGCTTGATAGTCTCACCAAGATTGCAGGCAATGGTGGAGTTGGTACTTCAAAGCCATTATCAGAAGGAATGGACTTGTGCAGGCATAAACATGTGGCTACCATATTCCTCTTTCTCAAATTTGCTAGCTATGTATTTCGCTCCTTTCACAAAAGTATGTAATGGAAGTAAGTTGCATATGAAGTACTAAGGCACATAATCTGGATTATATGAAGTTACTGGGTCCTTGTGCAAATCCATGCTGTTTAATTTCTTAATAAAAATAAGCTCAAGAATCCCCACTGTCCTTTGAATTCTTGAAACTCTCGAGTGCCAATGATTTGATTGCCAAACTGGAAATTAGACTGTAAACCTTTAAGGCAAGGATTGTGCCTTATTTGTCTCTGTGTCCCTTACCAAACATAGAGCATGGTATAGGTTAGGTATTTAATATATGCTTTTTTCTTAAAAAAAAAAAAAAAAGAGAGGGTCTTCCTATGTTGCTCAGGCTGTACTTGAACTCCTGGGCTTAAGTGATCCTCCTGTTTCAGACTCCTGAATAGCTGGGACTACAGGTGCATTGCCAGCACACCTGGGCAATATATGCTTTTAAAATAAATCAATGCATGAATCATTTGAGACACTTGACACCTTTTATTTCCTTTTTGTTGTTGGGTAGCATATTTATCAGAACTTTTATTTTCAAAATAGAAACCTAGATAAAACCATCTTAAGCAAGAAATGAAATGTATTGGGTCTCATGATTAAAATGTGAGAATGACTTTAGGCATGACTGTATTCAGGTGTCAAGCAATATATTCATATCTATCTCTCACTTTTGACAGTGCTTCATTCGTTAAGGGCACCGTTCTCACACAGGATCTTTCCCCTGCAAGATGTTCACCAGCAGATCCAGATTTACATTGTACCAGCTTAGCAAACCCGGTAGAAAGGAAACATCTTTTCCCAGTAGTTCCTGAAGAAGTTCTCAGACATGGGCCACATGTGTAGCCCTGAATCAATCACTGTGGCCAGGATGATGGAGTCTTCTCTTCGTTGAGTCCTGGTCAAATGTTCTCCTTGAGTACTAGGACCATGAAGTAGGCTCTGCCCAAATTGCATCAACTAAGAAGTGATCCTGCAGGAAAAATAAAGGTGATAATGGCATAAGACAAAGGAATGGATACTGAGCAGGCAGAAGCAACAGATGGCCACTACAGTTATGAAGTATATCATAGGAGCACATGGGAGAAGCAGTCAAATTCCCTGATCCTTCATAGTGTCTTTTTACACAGAAATTGCCACATCTGGTTGTGTTTGGTTTATCCATGGTTTGGAATGAGTCAGGAAATCACAAGCAGTTGTGCTTGAACTTTGTAAACTACAGAACCACTAGGATAGTGCTGAAAATCTGTTTCCCTTCTCTCTCTGCACCTCAGACCTGGGAGAGCAGCTCTAGGCATTGCTTTGCCCCTCTGAAGGCTCACAAGCCTGAGGCAGCCTGGAGCCCTGCCCAGAAGACACCCTGTTAAACACAGAGATGAAGTTATCACTGGCTTGGCAAATTCTTCTCTGGCTGTTTTATGATAATACCATCAGCCAAGGAGATGAAGCAAGGCTTGGCGCTTCAGAACAATGAAGCCCCTTGGTGGAACAGCATAGACCTTGGAAAAAAGAACTTTGAGACCCCTTGGGGGAAGTCACTGTGATTTTGAAGGTGTTTCACTCAGGAAAGGAGCCTGTGATTTGTGAAGCAAGACTAATCTGCTTGTGGGAAGCTGCAGCATGAAATGAGACAAGGTGTGATAACCTGTCAAGTTCCAAAGAGAGATGATTTAGGAGGAGATAGCGGCTTGAAAACGTGAGGATGGGTGTTACTAACTTAATCCATATGATGCCTTCAAAACAAAAAGTATATTAGGGGTGAAAGGCATGGAACAGACATTATTCATTGTCTCCAGGTGATATTTCTCTTGTGAGTTTACAAGCAAGTGTTGGCATGCTGTGTGCAGACATTTGTACAATAGATTACAGCACCCAGATCGCCTCAGATGAAAAGTAGGGGAGACACCTTTGACTTTTTCCCTTCCCTGGTCTAATTTATCTATCTCATTTATTCCAGACAAGGGCTCCTTTACTTTGTGAAAATTAGAGACATCTGTAGTTATACAACCTGAGTTGAGGACAATCAAAGCTCACGCTGCCAGGTGTGAACAGATTGCTTGTAGGGTCAGGAAGGTGCCTCTTTTCCTTCTCCTCCTCCTCCTTTCATGGGCACCATCCACAATCAGGAGATGTTTTCCAGGAGTGAGTGGGGAGGGAGGGAAGAGGAATCCGTATTCTGGTGGGAGCAGCAGATGCTGAATGGACCAGGATGACTCATACAAATGGAAATGTGCTTCCAATTCCGCAAGACAAGTCCATAGACCCTCCTGCTAATCTTGGGGCTCAGGGTGATACCACAAAGGGGAGGACAGCTCCCTGAATGGCTCCATATTTGGGTAATGTTCCAACTGCAACAACTCACTTCCGCTAGAATATTCACCTCCATCCCCCAGACTGGGAAAAGACCTTCCAAATTTCGGGGGCAGATCCTCAGAAGGGTCTAGCTCTCCTAGGAAGATGTGAGATTTCTAATTAGAAATGAGGATGAGGTTCTATGATGATGCTCATACAATTTTCATTTTGAGTTTGAAATTTTACTTATTAATTAAATTTAAAAATTGACACACAAGTCAGTCATTGGAGAATTTTTAAGTATATATTTGGGACAAATTGGGTATGTGAACCTACTCCTTTTAAAAAATATACTTTCTTTTTTTAGAGTAGTTTTAGGTTCACAGCAAAACTGAAAGGAAGGTAGAGAGATTTCCCATATACCTCCTACCCCACATGTGCATATCCTCTCCCGTTATCTTTGAGAATGTTGAATATTGGCCCCCACTCTCTTCTGGCTTGTAGAGTTTCTGCCGAGAGATCAGCTGTTAGTCTGATGGGTTTCCCTTTGTGGGTAACCCGACCTTTCTCTCTGGCTGCCCTTAACATTTTTTCCTTCATTTCAACTTTGGTGAATCTGACAATTATGTGTCTTGGAGTTGCTGTTCTCGAGGAGTATCTTTGTGGCGTTCTCTGTATTTCCCGAATGTGAATGTTGGCCTGCCTTGCTAGGATGGGGAAGTTCTCCTGGATAATATCCTGAAGAGTGTTTTCCAACTTGGTTCCATTCTCCCTGTCACTTTCAGGTACACCAATCAGATGTAGATTTGGTCTTTTCCCATAGTCCCATATTTCTTGGAAGCTTTGTTTATTTCTTTTTACTCTTTTCTCTCTAAACTTCTCTTCTTGCTTCATTTCATTCATCTGATCTTCAATCACTGATACCATTTCTTCCACTTGATCGAATCGGCTACTGAAGCTTGTGCATTTGTCATGTAGTTCTTGTGCCATGGTTTGCAGCTCAATCAGGTCATTAAGGACTTCTCTACATTGGTTATTCTAGTTAGCCATTCGCCTAATCTTTTTCCTAGGTTTTTAACTTCTTTGTGTTGTGTTTGAACTTCCTCCCTTAGCTCAGAGAAGTTTGATCATCTGAAGCTTCTTTTTTCAACTCGTCAAAGTCATTCTCCATCCAGCTTTGTTCCGTTGCTGGCGAGGAGCTGCGCTCCTTTGGAGGGGGAGAGGTGCTCTGATTTTTAGAATTTTCAGCTTTTCTGCTCTGTTTTTTCCCCATCTTTGTGGTTTTATCTACCTTTGGTCTTTGATGATGGTGACTGACAGATGGGGTTTTGGTGTGGATGTCCTTTCTGTTTGTTAGTTTTCCTTCTAACAGTCAGGACCCTCAGCTGCAGGTCTGTTGGAGTTTGCTGGAGGTCCACTCCTGGATATCAGCAGCGTAGGCTGCCAAACAGCAAATATTTCTGAACAGCAAATGTTGCTGCCTGATTGTTCCTCTGGAAGCTTCGTCTCAGAGGGGTACCCAGCTGTGTGAGGTGTCGGTCTGCTCCTACTTGGGGGTGCCTCCTAGTTAGGCTACTCGGAGGTCAGGGACCCACTTGAGGAGGCAGTCTGTCCATTCTTAGATCTCAAACTCTGTGCTGTGAGAACCACTACTCTCTTCAAAGCTGTCAGACAGGGACATTTAAATCTGCAGAGGTTTCTGCTGTCTTTTGTTTGGCTATGCCCTGCCCCCAGAGGTGGAGTCTACGGAGGCAGGCAGGCCTCCTTGAGCTGCGGTGGGCTCCACCCAGTTCGAGCTTCCCGGACTCTTTGTTTACCTACTCAAGCCCTGGCAGTGGAGGGCGCCCCTCCCCCAGCCTTGCTGCCGCCTTGCAGTTTGATCTCAGACTGCTGTGCTAGCAGTGAGTGAGGGTCCGTGGGTGTGGGAGCCTCCAAGACAGGCACGGGATATAATCTCCTGGTGTGCCCTTTGCTAAGACCATTGGAAAAGCATAGTATCAGGGTGGGAGTGACCCAATTTTCCAGGTGCCGTCTGTCACCCCTTCCCTTGGCTAGGAAAGGGAATTCCCTGACCCCTTGCACTTCCTGGGTGAGGCAGTGCTTCACCCTGCTTTGGCTCACACTTGGTGGCCTGCACCCACTGTCCTGCCCCCACTGTCCTGCCCCCACTGTCCAACGAGCCCCAGTGAGATGAACCCGGTACCTCAGTTGGAAATGCAGAAATCACCCATCTTGTGTGTCACTCAGGCCGGGAGCTGTAGACTGGAGCTGTTCCTTTTAGGCCATCTTGGAACCGCCTTTCCCCTCTCCCGTTATCAACATCCTCTCCAGAGTGGTAAATTTGTTACAATCGATGAACGTATATTGACATGTCATTATCATCTAAAGTCCATGCTTTACATAGGGTTCACTCTTGTTGCTGTACCTTCTATGAGTATTGAAAGATGTATAATGACATGTATCCACCACTACAATATCATACAGAATAATTTCAGTGCCCTAAACATCCTCTGTGTCTTGCCTAGTCACCTGTCTCTCCACTGTAACCCTTGACAATCACTGATCCTTTTACTATCTTCATAGTTTTGCCTTTTCCAGAATGTCATGTTTGACTAAAACAGTATGTAGCCTTTTCAGATTGGCTTCTTTCACTTAGTAATATATATCTAAGGTTTCTCTATGTCTTTTTATGGCTTGATAGCTCATTGGGGTTTTTTTTTTTCTTTTTTTTTTTTAGTGCTGAGTATGATTCCATTGTCTGGATGTACTTACAATTCCCATATGATTTTGAAATGGAGGGTTTTCTCCTTGGGATCAAGGGACATCATGGATAGTGAGGCAGATCTGGAGGACTGCATGAGCCGCAAGCATGCCAGAGCTGTCTCCTGCTCACTGACACTGAAATGCCACTTGTTGCAGTGGTTTAGGGAGCATGGGAAACCTTTTCTGTCTTTTCCTCTCTAATTTTTGACTGGACTTATTTGCTACCACCTGTAGGAGCAGAGATATTAAATGGTGGAAAGAGAGAAAGAGCATGGAATTTGGAATCCAGGAGGATCTGTGTTTGGGTCTCAGTTCTGCTGTGCATGAAGTGTAGGATCGTGGTTAAAACCATTTTATCTGTGCTTCTGAGCTGTGTTGCTCTGTCTATAAAAGGGAGACAGGGGTCTCAGCTCAAAGGATACTTGTGAGATTAAATAGTGTGTGTGATACTGTTTCATAAACCATATAGAACCTTTTGCCTCTCTTTCTTTCTCTCTCTCTCTCTTTCCTTCCTTCCTTCCTTCCTTCCTTCCTTCCTTCCTTCCTTCCTTCCTTCTTCCTTTCTTTCTGATGGAATCTTGCTCTGTTGCCCAGGCTGGAGTGCCACAGCACGATCTCAGCTCACTGCAACCTCCGCCTCGCTGGTTCAAGCAATTCTCCTGTTTCAGCCTCCCAAATAGCTGGGATTACAGGCACGCACCACCATGCCCAGCTAATTGTTGTATTTTTAGTAGAGATGGGGTTTCACCATGTTGGCCAGTCTGGTTTCGAACTCCTGACCTCAGGTGATCTGCCTGCTTTGGCCTCCCAAAGTGCTGGGAGGCATGAGGCACCACACCTGGCCAGAATCTTCAGTGTTCATTTAATAATTGCTCCAAATGAAGTGACAGAGTCCCTGGTATTCTTGTCCTTGGCTTCCTCCCAGGCTGTTCCCTACCTATTCCAGGGATGGGGGACTGTAGGGCCACTTAGTGTACCTTTAAACACTGAAGGTAGTTTTTGATGAGCATGGTCAATTTCAGGGCTGTGTTTCCTCTGCATATTTAACTTATGAATGAATATTCCCTCACCATCATAAACCCCCACCAACCCCCAAAGTCACACTCCAAACACTGGAGGTCTCATAGGCTGACATATATAGGGACTGCCCCGAACTCAACCTGAACCACCCCAAACTCAATTCAAACTGCCTGAACACAAAATTTCCAGTTAATTAGCCCGCAGTTGATTTCTAGACCATGCCACCAGTTGAGCTGTTTCCCCCTGAGTCCTTCTGGAAGCAAAGCCAGTTTTGGGTGAATTTGAGAAAGGTGTTGCTTATGGAGACTCTCAGGAATGCAAAACTTTCACATTTCTCTAGTTAGGCAGTGGAGGTTTAACCATGTCATTGATGCTTGGAGGGCTGATGTGTCCATTACTCATCCCTGACAGAGGTTATTTTTGCCTGGGAAACATATTGATCTTTACTTTAAGCTGTTCCACTGAAAATGCAATGCAGAAACTCAATCAAAAAATGAAGGGAGACATCTCAGGTCTTGTCACACAGTTTGCTTGTCAATTCTTTTTTTTTCCTTTTTTCCTTTATTTTTATTTTTTTATTTTTTATTTTTTATACTTTTAAGTTTTAGGGTACATGTGCACAACTTGCAGGTTTGTTACATATGTATACATGTGCCATGTTGGTGTGCTGCACCCATTAACTCGTCATTTAACATTAGGTATATCTCCTAATGCTATCCCTCCCTCCTCCCCCACCCCACCACAGGCCCTGGTGTATGATGTTCCCCTTCCTGTGTCCGTGTGTTCTCATTGTTCAATTCCCACCTCTGAGTGAGAACATGCGGTGTTTGTTTTTTTGTCCTTGTGATAGTTTGCTGAGAATGATGGTTTCCAGCTTCATCCATGTCCCTACAAAGGACATGAACTCATCCTTTTTTATGGCTGCATAGTATTCCATGGTGTATATGTGCCACATTTTCTTAATCCAGTCTATCATTGTTGGACATTTGGGTTGGTTCCAAGTCTTTGCTATCGTGAACAGTGCTGCAGTAAACATACGTGTGCATGTGTCTTTATAGCAGCATGATTTATAATCCTTTGGGTATATACCCAGTAATGGGATGGATGGGTCAAATGGTATTTCTAGTTCTAGATCCCTGAGGAGCCGCCACACTGACTTCCATAATGGTTGAACTAGTTTACAGTCCCACCAACAGTGTAAAAGTGTTCCTATTTCTCCACATCCTCTCCAGCACCTGTTATTTCCTGACTTTTTAATGATCGCCATTCTAACTGGTGTGAGATGGTATCTCATTGTGGTTTTGATTTGCATTTCTCCGATGGCCAGTGATGATGAGCATTTTTTCATGTGTCTTTTGGCTGCATAAATGTCTTCTTTTGAGAAGTGTTTGTTCATATTCTTCGCCCACTTTTTGATGGGGTTGTTTGTTTTTTTCTTGTAAATTTGTTTGAGTTCATTGTAGATTCTGAATATTAGCCCTTTGTCAGATGAGTAGATTGCAAAAATTTTCTCCCATTCTATAGGTTGCCTGTTCACTCTGATGGTAGTTTCTTTTGCTGTGCAGAAGCTCTTTAGTTTAGTTAGATCCCATTTGTCAATTTTGGCTTTTGTTGCCACTGCTTTTGGTGTTTTAGACATGAAATCCTTGCCCATGCCTATGTCCTGAATGGTATTGCCAATGTTTTCTTCTAGGGTTTTCATGGTTTTAGGTCTAACATTTACGTCTTTATCCACTTTGAATTAATTTTTGTATAAGGTGTAAGGAAGGGATGCACTTTCAGCTTTCTCCATATGGCTAGCCAGTTTCCCCAGCACCATTTATTAAATAGGGAATCCTTTCCCCATTTTTTGTTTTTCTCAGGTTTGTCAAAGATCAGATAGTTGTAGATATGCGGCATTATTTCTGAGAGCTCTGTTCTGTTCCATTGGTCCATATCTCTGTTTTGGTACCAGTACCATGCTGTTTTGGTTACTGTAGCCTTGTAGTATAATTTGAAGTCAGGTAGCGTGATGCCTCCAGCTTTGTTCTTTTGGCTTAGGATTGACTTGGCAATGTGGGCTCTTTTTGGTTCCATATGAACTTTAAAGTAGTTTTTTCCCATTCTGTGAAGAAAGTCATTGGTAACTTGATGGGGATGGCATTGAATCTATAAATTACCTTGGGCAGTATGGCCATTTTCACGTTAGTGATTCTTCCTACCCATGAGCATGGAATGTTCTTCCATTTGTTTGTATCCTCTTTTATTTCCTTGAGCAGTGGTTTGTAGTTCTCCTTGAAGAGGTCCTTCACATCCCTTGTAAGTTGGATTCCTAGGTATTTTATTCTCTTTGAAGCAATTGCGAATGGGAGTTCACTCATGATTTGGCTCTCTGTTTGTCTGTTGTTGGTGTATAAGAATGCTTGTGATTTTTGTACATTGAGTTTGTATCCTGAGACTTTGCTGAAGTTGCCTATCAGCTTAAGGAGATTTTGGGCTGAGATGATGGGGTTTTCTAGATATACAATCATGTCATCTGCAAACAGGGACAATTTGACTTCCTCTTTTCCTAATTGAATACCCTTTATTTCCTTCTCCTGCCTGATTGCCCTGCCAGAACTTCCAACACTATGTTGAATAGGAGTGGTGAGAGAGGGCATCCCTGTCTTGTGCCAGTTTCCAGAGCGAATGCTTCCAGTTTTTGCCCATTCAGTATGATATTGGCTGTGGGTTTGTCATAGATAGCTGTTATTATTTTGAGATACGTCCCATCAATACTTAATTTATTGAGAGTTTTTAGCATGAAGTGTTGTTGAATTTTGTCAAAGGACTTTTCTGCATCTATTGAGATAATCATGTGGGTTTTTGTCTTTGGTTCTGTTTTTATGCTGGATTACGTTTTTTGATTTCCATATGTTGAACCAGCCTTGCATCCCAGGGATGAAGCCCACTTGATCATGGTGGATAAGCTTTTTGATGTGCTGCTGGATTCGGTTTACCAGTATTTTATTGAGGATTTTTGCATCAATGTTCATCAGGGATATTGGTCTAAAATTCTCTTTTTTTGTTGTGTCTCTGCCAGGCTTTGGTATCAGGATGACGCTGGCCTCATAAAATGAGTTAGGGAGGATTCCCTCTTTTTCTATTGATTGGAATAGTTTCAGAAGGAGTGGTACAAGCTCCTCTTTGTACCTCTGGTAAAATTCAGCTGTGAATCTGTCTGCTCCTGGACCTTTTTTGGTTGTTAGGCTATTAATTATTGCCTCAATTTCAGAACATGTTATTGGTCTATTCAGGGATGCAACTTCTTCCTGGTTTAGTCTTGGGAGGGTGTATGTGTCTGGGAATTTATCCATTTCTTCTAGATTTTCTAGTTATTTGCATAGAGGTGTTTATAGTATTCTCTGATGGTAGTTTGTATTTCTGTGGGATCGGCGGTGATATCCCCTTTATCATTTTTTATTGCATCTATTTGATTCTTCTCCTTTTCTTCTTTATTAATCTTGCTAGCGGTCTATCAACTTTGTTGATCTTTTCCAAAAACCAGCTCCTGAGGCCAGGTGCAGTGGCTCACGTGTGTAATCCCAGCCCTTTGGGAGGCCGAGGCGGGTGGATCACAAATCAGGAGATCGAGACCATCCTGGCTAACATGGTGAAACCCCGTCTCTACTAAAAATACAAAAAATTAGCTGGACATCACGGCGGGCGCCTGTAGTCCCAGCTACTCGGGAGGCTGAGGCAGGAGAATGGCATGAACCTGGGAGGTGGAGCTTGTAGTAAGCGGAGATCACGCCACTGCACTCCAGCCTGGGCAACAGAGTGAGACACCGTCTCAAAAAAAAAAAAAAAAAAAAACCAGCTCCTGGATTCACTGATTTTTTTGAAGGGGTTTTTGTGTCTCTGTCTCCTTCAGTTGTGCTCTGATCTTGGTTATTTCTTGCCTTCTGCTGGCTTTCAAATGTGTTTGCTCTTGCTTCTCTAGTTCTTCTAATTGTGATGTTAGGGTGTCAATTTTAGATCTTTCCTGCTTTCTCTTGTGGGCATTTAGTGCTATAAATTTCCCTCTATACACTGCTTTGAATGTGTCCCAGAGATTCTGGTATGTTGTGTCTTTGTTCTCGTTGGTTTCAAATAACATCTTTATTTCTGCCTTCATTTTGTTATGTACCCAGGAGTCATTCAGGAGCAGGTTGTTCAGTTTCCATGTAGTTGAGTGGTTTTGAGTGAGTTTCTTAATCCTGAGTTCTAGTTTGATTGCACTGTGGTCTGAGAGACAGTTTGTTATAATTTCTGTTCTTTTACATTTGCTGAGGAGTGCTTTACCTCCAACTATGTGGTCAATTTTGGAATAAGTGTGGTGTGGTGCTGAAAAAAATGTATATTCTGTTGATTTGGGGTAGAGAGTTCTGTAGATGTCTATTAGGTCTGCTTTGTGCAGAGCTGAGTTCAATTCCTGGATATCCTTGTTAACTTTCTGTCTCGTTGATCTGTCTAACGTTGACAGTGGGGTGTTAAAGTCTCCCATTATTATTGTGTGGGAATCTAAGTCTCTTTGTAGGTCTCTAAGGACTTGCTTTATGAATCTGGGTGCTCCTGTATTGGGTGCATATATATTTAGGATAGTTAGCTCTTCTTGTTGAATTGATCTCTTTACCATTATGTAATGGCCTTCTTTGTCTCTTTTGATCTTTGTTGGTTTAAAGTCTGTTTTATCAGAGACTAGGATTGCAACCCCTGCCTTTTTTTTTGTTTTCCATTTGCTTGGTAGATCTTCCTCCATCCCTTTATTTTGAGCCTATATGTGTCTCTGCACGTGAGATGGGTTTCCTGAATACAGCACACTGATGGGTCTTGACTCTTTATCCAATTTGCCAGTCTGTGTCTTTTAATTGGAGCATTTAGCCCATTTACATTTAAGGTTAATATTGTTATGTGTGAATTTGATCCTGCCATTATAATGTTAGCTGGTTATTTTGCTCGTTAGTTGATGCAGTTTCTTCCTAGCCTTGATGGTCTTTACAATTTGGCATGTTTTTGCAGTGGCTGGTACCGGTTGTTCCTTTCCATGTTTAGTGCTTCCTTCAGGAGCTGTTTTAGGGCAGGCCTGATGGTGACCAAATCTCTCAGCATTTGTTTGTCTGTAAAGGACTTTATTTCTCTTTCACTTATGAAGCTTAGTTTGGCTGGATATGAAATTCTGGGTTGAAAATTCTTTTCTTTAAGAATGTTGAATATTGGCCCCCACTCTCTTCTGGCTTGTAGAGTTTCTGCCAAGAGATGAGCTGTTAGTCTGATGGGTTTCCCTTTGTGGGTAACCCGACCTTTCTCTCTGGCTGCCCTTAACATTTTTTCCTTCATTTCAACTTTGGTGAATCTGACAATAATGTGTCTTGGAGTTGCTCTTCTTGAGGAGTATCTTTGTGGCGTTCTCTGTATTTCCTGAATTTGAATGTTGGCCTGCCTTGCTAGATTGGGGAAGTTCTCCTGGATAATATCCTGCAGAGTGTTTTCCAACTTGGTTCCATTCTCTCTGTCACTTTCAGGTACATCAATCAGACGTAGATTTGGTCTTTTCACATAGTCCCATATTTCTTGGAGGCTTTGTTTGTTTCTTTTTATTCTTTTTTCTCTAAACTTCCCTTCTCACTTCATTTCATTCATTTGATCTTCCATCACTGATACCCTTTCTTCCAGTTGATTGAATCGGCTACTGAGGCTTGTGCATTCGTCACGTAGTTCTCATGCCTTGGTTTTCAGCTCCATCAGGTCCTTTAAGGACTTCTCTGCATGGTTATTCTAGTTGGCCATTCGTCTAATTTTTTTTCAAGGTTTTTAACTTCTTTGCCATTGGTTCGAACTTCCTCCTTTAGCTCGGAGTAGTTTGATCATCTGAAGCCTTCTTCTCTCAACTCGTCAAAGTCATTCTCCATCTAGCTTTGTTCCATTGCTTGTGAGGAGCTACGTTCCTTTGGAGGAGGAGAGGTGCTCTGATTTTTAGAGTTTCCAGTTTTTCTGCTCTGTTTTTTCCCCATCTTTGTGGTTTTATCTACGTTTGGTCTTTGATGATGGTGATGTACAGATGGGGTTTTGGTGTGGATGTCCTTTCTGTTAGTTTTCCTTCTAACAGTCAGGACCCTCAGCTGCAGGTCTGTTGGAGTTTGCTAGAGGTCCACTCCAGACCCTGTTTTCCTGGGTATCAGCAGTGGAGGCTGCAGAACAGCGGATATTGGTGAACAGCAAATGTTGCTGCCTGATTGTTCCTCTGGAAGTTTTGTCTCAGAGGAGTACCCGGGCATGTGAGGTGTCAGTCTGCCCCTACTGGGGGATGCCTCCCAGTTAGGCTGCTTGGGGGTCAGGGACCCACTTGAGGAGGCAGTCTGTCAGTTCTCAGATCTCCAGCTGTGTGCTGGGAGAACCACTACTCTCTTCAAAGCTGTCAGACATTTAAGTCTGCAGAGGTTTCTGCTGCCTTTTGTTTGTCTGTGCCCTGCCCCCAGAGGTGGAGTCTATAGAAGCAGGCAGGCCTCCTGGAGCTGTGGTGGGCACCACCCAGTTCAAGCTTCCCGGCTGCTTTGTTTACCTACTCAAGCCTCAGCAATGGCGGGTGCCCCTCCCCCAGCTTCACTGCCGCATTGCAGTTTGATCTCAGACTGCTGTGCTAGCAATAAGTGAGGCTCTGTGGGCCTAGGACCCTCCGAGCCAGGTGCGGGATATAAACTCCTGGTATGCTGTTTGCTAAGACTGTTGGAAGAGTGCAGTATTAGGGTGGGAGTGACCCATTTTTCCAGGTGCCATCTGTCACCCCTTTCTTTGACTAGGAAAGGGAATTCCCTGACCCCTTGCGCTTCCTGGGTGAGGCGATGCCTTGCCCTGCTTCGGTTTATGTTTGGTGCACTGCACCCACTGTCCTGCACCCACTTTCCAACAATCCCCAGTGAGATGAACCAGGTACCTCAGTTGGAAATGCAGAAATCTCCCGTCTTCTCTGTCACTCACGCCGGGAGCTGTAGACTGGAGCTGTTCCTATTTGGCCATATTTGCTCCACCCTGCTTGTTAATTCTTAGCCTATCTGACTCTCGCATAAGTGTAGACCTGGATCCTCTAATACAAGGTACACTCCATGAGGTCAGGGTCTGCATGTCTTTTACTACCTTTGTATTCCTTACAACTTATTATAGAGCAGAATTTGACCTGGAGAAGTATGAAAGTGGTCCTGCGGCCTCAGGTAAGTGGGGAGGACTGTTGCATAGATAATCAGCAGTGGAGAAGAGGTGATCATTTATGCAGAACACATGTAGACTTCAACACCTTTGAGCAAGATCAAGAAAGGTATGCTAATGCTGTCTTTGACGTTTTGCAGTGACTTTGGGATAGGAATAAGGCTAGCAAAGACAGAAGGTTGAAGTTTTACAATTTCAGGTCTCTAGAGAGGTCACTTTCTTTGACCCCATTAGCATTTGCTTCAAATTCTTTTTTGGAGGTAGAGGTGGTAAAAGAGCAAATATTTTGAGAAAGAAAATTAAGAGACTGTCACAAGAAGGCATTTCTAAATGTGATTATATACATGTTTCAAGGAATAGAGTTTTGTGGTCAATATACCAGATCAAGCCAAGTTAACTCATTGTTGGTGCCATTATTATACTAATGTATATTGTATATTTTCGAGAGGATTTCTATAGTATGTATCACTTCTCAAAATTATTTAATCATGGACCCCTCTTTGTGCAGAACATTTGTTATCAACTCTTCTGAGGACTGTGATTTAGGGAATGCTGCTCTGTTTTGGGTAAGCTCAATTAATGTCAGTGACCTTTTTACATTGCTGCTTTTTTTTTTCTAAAAACTTCAGAGATTCCTGTAATCTAAGAGGGAAATGATACACTAAGGAATAATTGCAAAAGGAGCCATATTATCTTGGTCGGGTGCAGTGGCTCATGCCTGTAATCCCAGCACTTTGGGAGGCCGAGGCGGGCAGATCACCTGAGGTCAGGAGCTCGAGACCAGCCTGGCCAACATGGTGAAACCTCATCTCTACTAAAAATACAAAAATTAGCTGGGTGTGGTGGCGGGCATCTGTAATCTCAGCTACTTGGGAGGTTGAGGCAGAACAATCTGTTGAACCTGGGTTGGGGGGTCAGGGCGGTTGCAGTGAGCCGAGATGTCGCCACTGATCTCCAGCCTGGGCGACAGAGCAAGACTCTGTCTCAAAAAAAAAAAAAAAAAAAAAAAAAAGCAGCCATATTGTCTTAGTTAAATTAAAGTGTTTTTGAAGGTTTTGGTTTTCTCTGAACGTAAATGGAATTTGCAGTAGACCAGATCATAAGAAAGCCCTTGAATACCCACATTTACACTAAACCATTAGGACTCACTGCTTTATCAGGCACGCACTAGAAATGCCTCTCAAGATTCGAATAATGGGGTTTTGCTGTAAAGTTGCTGTATCCAGAGACTGTGGATGAGACAGAGCTGTAGGGGTGACATGTGTCCCCCAGCTCAGCCCACGAGTGGGGAAGGGCCCCTCATGCTCTGTGACCCCTTTTGGATTTATGTAATCTGTACTGCCCACACTTTATGAATCCTACCCATTCTTGGAATGAAGCACAACATATTTTACAAGAGAAAATATTTAGTCTTTTTTTTGAAAATGTAATGACTGTGTCCTAATTAAACTTCAAGCATTGTTTATAAAAACACCTTAGGAATTCCTAACAAATATACAATTTAGAATATCCTTCCAGTTACAACTTAATTTTGAGTGCTTACAAAGTGCTAAGCTGTGCTGTAAGCATATAATACACATTATTTCATTTTTTTCCCTCAAAACAACCCAGTTAGGTAATTATACTTCTTATCCCTATTTTAAAGATGAGGAAATTAAGGTCCACAGAAATGAAATAACTAAAAACAACTGAACTGGTACTTAAACCCAGTCATTCTGACTCACAGTTGTTGCTATTAATCACAGTGATCTGCAGTCATAGCAAAAACAAAACAGAACAAAATAAAGCAAAATCCTTTAATACTTTATTCTGTACTATGTTTTAGAGTTACAAACTGGTTGTTCCAGTTTTCCTGGCACAAAGTTTTGAAATAAATGGAATTTGAATAACTTTGAGCAAGACCTGGACATACTAGTTCTACACTGGACTTTCTACTCTATTGTTTTATTTGCAATGTGATACAGACAATTAGTTACCTGCTTATCCCCGGTAGGCATTTGAGTTTTCTATTCTCTCTAGCTCTTTGTGGCTGGTTCAGAAAAGAAGAGTCTGTGACTGTTGGAATGTCATGATGATCACATTCTTGGAGGCAAGAAAAGTCCAGGATCTCCTCAATATAACCAGGTGATATAGCAAAGAGGTCATAGAGCCTCCAGTGGACTGTGTCACTGTAGCTTCTACTCAATGGAGGAATCCTTTCTAAAGCATTCCTGACATAGACACTTAATGTCTGGTGCAATTGTTTCTATGACAGAGAAATTACTACTTATATATACTTAAGATACATGTTAAACTAGGACAACCTGCATCCCTCACCTAAAACTTTCTTCGAATGCTTCTGCCCATGGAGGAACATAGAACAGATTTTTGTTAGAATGTCCCTTTTATTGGAAAGGCCTCTGAACATATTGACTCCATCAAAGGTTTTTCCATTTATAATCATTTCTATATCCCCTCCTTGGTTTCATCCCATTCCCATGGGTAATCAATAGTGTCACCATGTGATACACAGAATTTGAATAGGGCACTCAGCATGTGTTCAGGTCAGTGCAGGTTGCCTTGGGACCTATATTCATCACCTGGTCACTGTGTTTCTCATGATACAGAACCAAATTGCCTTGGCTTGGCTTTTTCCCTCAACTGGTTCACTTAAATGTATGGCCAACCAATGGCTAAGATCTGTTTCACACAAGGTCACGCCAAGCCAAGTCTCTTGATTCGAGAAAGTTGTTTTAACTTTATCATAATTAGTTTAGAAATGGATGTGTTGACTGAACTCTATACACCGAGTTTTTTGTGAAATGCAACAATATACACTTTGTATAGTCAAGTGACAACTGTGTTATTAGTTATTTTATTAGTAAGTATTTATTAAGAAATTTTAAATAAACATAGTTCTGGTTTTCAGGAAATGTAACATCTGGTTGAGAGGCAAAGGGACCAAGATTCAGGAAGCAGTTAGTGAAGACTATGAGGAACTGGGAAATTGTGTTGAGTAGACCAAAAGTGCTGATCGGAGAAAAGTTAGGACAGTTTTGTTGGGAGAAATAAAAGAAGGTTTCATGGAGGCAGTGAAATCAACCTCATGGTTGAACGGTGGTTTGGATTGGGATGCTGTAGGTTGTTGGGATGGGTTTTGTTGGTGAGAGGATTGGTGTGAGTAAAAGTACAGAGGAGAGAATGCCCTCTGCCCTGAGCATGGTGTAGGTGGTTTTATCTGGTAGGGCAGAGGGCATCTTTGAGGAATAGTGAAGGGTAGGGTGGGTCCAGTTATAGGGGGCCCTGATACTCAGACCAAGGAATATAGTCAGGAGATTGTAGGCCTAGGGCAAGATATGAATTGACAGAAGCGTTGTTGAAGAAGTCTGGTCTGGAAATGATATTCAGGAGAGAGCAGAGGAGCTGGGGGCTGGATACAGGGAGCCCAGCTCCAAGGCAGCTGGAATAAGGAAATCTTGATTGCTAGCTTCAAAGAACCATTTTGAAGGAGAAAAGATAGGATTTATTTGACTGCATGAAAGTGAGGAAGAAGGGTTAGATAAATATGGTTATGTAGTTTCACACCTGGTTGACGTGCATAATGGCTCCATGTCAGAGATGAAGAAGGAAATAGTTTTGATGAAAGAGGCTGATTTTGCTTTGGGCCATATCAAGTGGTGGTGTGGGTATGGGGTAGCATTCAAATGACATGGTCCAGTAAACCCTGTGAAGATAGGACCTGAGTCAACTGCCCATGAGAAAGAAGAGTGTCAACATGGGAATAACTTTTGAATGTGCTTATCTTCTGTTCTGTCTGTGAGTGAGCAGGTAGGTGTATGCCTGGTGCAGAGGTTAAGAGCAGGTGCTTCCGAGTCAGCCAGACCTGGGTTTGAATTCCAGCTCTGTCACTTACTAGCTGTGTGACCTGGACCATCAATGTAACCTCTCTGAGCCTCAGGATAGTCACCTGTAATATGAAGAATAATATACTAGCTTCACAAAGATATTAGGGGGGTTACATAAAATTGCATACAATTTCATTTACAAAGAAGTGTACAATAGTATATAGCACTCTACAAGTCATAGATGCAGTAATTATTATTGTTATCATTGATGTCTGGCTGCCTGTAGTGACTGCAGTCTACAAACCCATTAGTGGGCTTGGGACTCTCAGGTGACCGTCTTGGGGACTAAGGTTGTTCTGAGTGTGAGGGTCTTGCTGATCAACTTTTCATCACTCTGAAGCTGCTGAGCACAGATAAAAGCATTCACTGCTTCTTACGAGCCTGATTGGAGAAAGATATCATTTCACCAGGGTCACAGAGTGTTTTCTTTAAGCAGCTTCCAGAGTCCCCAGAACCTGCCTACCTCCCTGACCACCATGAAAGGTCTAGCTTTGTATAGCTGCCCCTACACAGGTACAGTCCTTTCCAAGTTCTTATCAGCTGTCCCCTCCCCCACCAACTGCCTCTGAGCTTTGACAAGGTTGAGTTCAGAATAACCATGGGCAGTGGCCAAAGCTCACAGCACTAGGACATTCTGCAAACACTCCAGGTCCTGCACAGACACGGACTTTAAATAGCCCTCCTGTGCCAAGGGCTCAGGATGCATTTCAGGAGCTTATAGGTCACTTGGCACTGATTGCAAGACCACAATGGAAATAACAGCCCCGTGATTTTGTGTGCTGCTATGTCAGCAAATGCTGCATATGAATAAGCCAGGGTTGGAGAGCCTGTGTGTGGTGACATAAGTGAGGGCAGCCAAGCCTGTCCCAAGGCAGCAGACTCTGGGAGACCTGAACGGGGACTCTTGGCAGCTTTTGGAGGAGCCAGACTATTAATACTTAGCCCAGGGCTTGGGAAGCTGTTTGCACTTAGAGTGATTATTTTTTTCATGGTGAAGTAAGAGGTGTCAAGTATGATAGCAGAACACCCCAGGACTATGAGAAAGGCTCCCCTCATATGTCAACTTTCATGCCAACTTCTTGGGGAATGACATTGATTGGTCTATCTCCTACCCAGCCTCAGTCTATGTGAGATGCTCTTCAACTGAAGGGCAGAGCCACTGTGTTCTGCTCTTTGGACAAATGATCCAGGCCAGAAAAGGACTGGGCTCTGTGCTGGCACTCACCAAATCCTCACGGCTCTGATCCCCCTAGCATTTCCATTTGGCACTGAATAGGTGCAGTAGTTCCTTTACATATTTAGGTTTGATCGTGGGTACTGTTTTGAAAGACAGATTTGCATAGTTAAGCATTTTATAAAATATTTTCCCAAAAGCATTTATCAAAGGGAAGTGTGCAAGTCCAAAGGTGGACGGAAGCTGGGGGAGGGTGTGGGAGAGGTGGGGAGAAGAGGTGAGAACCGGGGACCAGAACATATACTTTTCAGCTGCCCTGGCTGGCCTTGGAGCAGCCCTGCTCCTGTGGGAGGGGAAGCTCTGCAGGTTGCAGCGTGGATCAGAGAGATTTATGCCCTGCACAGCGAATACATATCCATGACTCTCCACGGCACAATTTTGAAAGGGTGATTATGGGTCTGACGTGAAGGAATATTTTATATGAAATTGCTGAAAGATCTCTGGGCACTAAGCAAGAATCACCTCAACGCTTTAGAAAGTGTTCCAGTTTGTTTCCCATCGGCTTCTTGGCAGTAGGGATTTGCATGCCGTTTAGCATCCAATCTTGGGCATCCTGCATGCCACCATGCTGAGCGTGGGGCTCCCCTTGAAGAAAAATGTATGGCAGTCTGGGGATAAGTCTCAGTAGCTTTAAAAACGTGCAGAGTCTTGGAAGCTGTAATTTCACTTCTTGTAATATTTCAAAGGAAAAAATCAGAAAAAGCATGTTCCATGAAAAGACGCATGTTCAAAGATGTTTATCATAGTGTGATATTTTCGTATGTGTCTTTCCAGAATGTAATGCCATGCAAATGTGAGCGTATATACATTTGAACAAAGAAAAGTTGGAAACAACTTAAATGTGCCAAAATAGGGGATTTGAAGTTTTAAAAAGTAATACAGAATATTACATACTACTAAGTCAGAAAAATAAGTTTTAGAATGTTATATATATGTATAAAATGGCTATTATTCTATTTGCAGTAAATGGACGTATACACTCATTTGTATGGAGATAAATTCTTGAAGGATATCTAAAAACATGCAAAGATGGTCATCTCTGGGTGGTGAAAATTTGGTGACTTTGCTTTTTAAAACATGAGGCTGCCTGGATTTGCTGTGATAAACAGAGATTACTTGTGTTGCAAAGGGGCAGGGTGCTGCCCTTGTCTTCTTTGGTCCTTTGCCCATCTGGGCTTCTGCCCTGAACTCCAAGCTTTGCTTATACAACCTTCATAGAGAGTCAAGCAGAACCAGTTCTGTTGTCGTCCCTTGGTGTCCAGCACACAGACTCTTGCATTGAATGGAGCTACTGTACATAGACTTAGGCTGCAAAGAAGATGACAGGCAGCTTTTCTGAAATTGTGGTTGACGCCAAGGAAAGGAGCCATTGCTTAATTGATATCTTTTGTCATTTGAACTTATACAACCATATGAGACTTGTGGGGAGAACATGGACCACTTCTTCATTGCTGCAAATGGCTGTATGTCTGGCCTTCAGCCAAGTGTCTGTGTACTAGGAGGCTGCTTTCTTTTCTGTTGTTCTCTTGCTTTTCTCATTAAAATTGTATTACTCATTGAATAATACATGAAACTACCATCATGAGTCTTTGCCTCTGAATCTGAGTCAAAGAATGAGAAGCCTGTTGGAATCTGGCATTTGTGCTTTGTAGTTTGTTATCCTACTCAACAGATTGGTCTGAAATTTTTGGTGTAAAGATTCAGATATTGAACTGTCTCATTATTGCAATATAGTAGCTATCAGAAAACCCATCCTGATTTCTTCCTGTATTCTCTCTTAAGGTGAGGTGGGAAGGGCTTGGTTTTTGATATACCTGGGTTTCAAAGTGGCCTTAATTTTTAGTGGTATTTTCACATTCTACACTACTACTCTTACTATTAGAGAAATGCAGTTTGAGCAGAAGGAAATGCTCTAAAACAATTCCCAAAGCAAAAAGAAACTCCCCTCAGTTAAATTGTTTTTTTTCTTCTTATCATATGCTATGCTGGGGACAAATCAATTTAGCTATTTTTAAGCAAAGAACCCAGTGTTCGTCTTGTACAAAGGAAAAATGGTATCTCAAGTACCAGATCTGTTTCTGTGCCACTAGGCAATGAAGTGATGAGTGTCTACAATATTTACATTAAAATTAAAATGGCAGTTTCTTTTGGTATTGCTGGCATTGCATGGGTGAAATGTGTTTCTAGAAGCAGCTATTTGGGAAATCTTTAAATTTTGCAGTTTAAGGAATACACTGAAGATCCCAGGAAAGTTATGTACGGGGAATAACATTTGCTAGGGACTGATAAAGGCTATGTGTTTGAATCCGTATTTCACTGCGGAGCTAAATTTGCTCTCGGCATTCTGATGCTAATGTCCACCATGGACTGACATAGTCACGTAGAGCAAAATGATATTTTTATACTTTTTCCAGAGCTAATAGTTAATTTTTCTTAGTCTGTTTTTTTAAAAGATGAATCTTCTTTGCCTCTTAGAGTAAATAATAAAAAAGGGCTTAATCAGAAATCAAGTATTTTAGCTTTACTTAATCTAGAGAATATTTAAAATTACTGGATAGAGTCTTGGGCTTAGAAAGAGACCATTTAGGTGAGTCTTGTAATTCTACAGATGAGAAGACAGAGATCAGAAGAATTAAGTGACTAGTCAAGGTCCCACAGAGAGTTGCAGGTCAGGGCCTGGAGCTCTAATCCCCTGCTTTTTCACTACCAGATGGTGCCATGTGAGAAGAGCTTTCCATTCAGTTGGTTATCATCTCTTCCTTTTTCCTCATCCACACCCAAGTTCAGCTGTTTTCCGATGAGAAATGATTTAGGAAGTGAATGTTCCCACCTGAAACCAACAGAAAGTACAGGAAGAGCCTTGCTTTCTGTTTTGAGATGGTTCTGCAACCATGAACCTATATGACCATGTCCTGCATTAGCCTCATGTCCGTGTTGAATCCTGAATGATGACAAAGTGGTAACTCACTACACAGGGTCCAGGAAAGCATTTGTTGCACTCCAAATCCTTTGGAAATTCCCAACTGAAAAACAACAAGGGCTACAGAAAAGGGACTCATCTACCCATGAAGAGTTAGCAGGTGAATCAGTGACACCAGAAGTTGTTGATTGATATAGACCATCTTTGGGCAAACAGAAGTAAACTTCACAAGAGTCTTAGATTCTATGTTTTTTACCATGTCTTGGAGTAGATTTCAAGTTAAACTCCATAGGTGATCATGTGACATTACTGAATAGATAAAAACGCATACAAAATATTAATGTATAGAAAAAAGAGACTTTTAATTTTACCTGCCATAAATTATGCTTCTTTTTCTACCGTGAACTAATGTCTACATTCTATTTCTTTACTTTTTTTTTTTTTTGAGAAAAGTTCTTGCTCTGTTGCCCAGGCTGGAGTACAGTGGTGCAATCACTGCTTACTGTAGCCTCAACCTCCTGGGCTCAAGTAATCTTCCCAGCTCAGCTTCCTGAGTAGCTAGGATTACAGGTGTGCACCACCATGCCCAGCTAATTTTTAAATTTTCTGTAGAGATGGGGTCTTGCTATGTTTCCTAGGCTGGTCTTGAATTTCTGGGCTCAAGCAGTCCTCCTGCCTCTGCCTCCCAAAATGCTGAGATTATGGGCATGTGCCACCATGCCCAGCCAGAAAATGTTAATATATAGAAAAAAATAGACTTCTTTTTATTTTTTTCCTGCTATGAATTGTACTTCTTTTTCTATTATGAATTAACATCTACATTCTATTTCTTACTGGTCTGTTGTCAAAAGTTCTGTTCCTCCCCACCCCCCATTCATTCTGGCGTAGAGTTTTTGAATGGTAATAATGGCAGATATCATGCTCTTGCCTTGGACTAGTGGCCCATAGGCCAAATATTTCTCAGCCTAACACTTATCTCAGGGTGACTCGGCTTTTCCACACTCTATTGTTTGGAAAACCTACATAGGAAAATGAAAATACTTTACACTTAGGTAAAAGGTACACTTAACATACCATTTGGTTCAATTCTCAACTTTTATTCTAGTTATGTTTCAACATTTGAAAACTGAGAATCAGAGAGGTGATATGATTTTACCCAGGGCACACAGCTTGCAGTTAGAGCTGGGACTTAATACCAGGACTTGGGCTCCATGTTACATGGTCTTGTAATCTTGCTGGAGTTGATGTTCAGGCCTTGTGATGGAGAAAGGCGCTGTTTTCCAAGAGTTTAAATTAGACATTGCTGTTCAGTTTCTAGATTGTTCATAGATTAAAAAAAACCTCAGCCACTTATTAGCTAAATCAGCTGTCATGATAAAGTTCAGTAGTCACCTTATCCCTTTGTGCCACATTGTCTTGGGAGCAGAGCATGGGCTCTGAGTCTGAAAGACTTGGTTTAAATTCCCAGCGGTGGGGACTACTAGAGGCAGTAGAGAGGGAGGAGGGTAGGGGTTGAAAAACTAACAGCTGGGTACTGTACTCGTTCCCTGGGCTATGGGATCATTCGTAATCCAAACATCAGTGTCACGAAATATACCCAAGTAACAAACCGGCACATGTACCCCCTAAATCTAAAATAAAAGGTGAGATTACAACAACGACAGCAGAAAATTTCCAGCTGTGCCACTGACTAGGTACGTGTGGCATTAGGCAAATTACTTAAGATCTGTGAGCCTCAGTTTCATGAAAAAGGAGGAAAACATCTACTTTAAAAGTTGTCGTGAGACAACATGAGACAATACATATAAAACACGCAGCATAGAACTTACCTAAGTAAGTATTAGCTCCTGCTGTTACTGTTATTGACAATTCTAAGGGTGAGACAATTAAATACATTATGTGAAAGGCTGTCAGACAATTTTAAAACAGTGGAATCATCAGTTTTTCAACCATCTATATCACTGGGTGATTTTGTTAATTTGAGGGCTAATTCATAGTACCTAATAGAGCAGCTTTTTAAGAAACACAAAAGGCATTGGGCATGATCTAACTTCTAGCTGGAGTAGAGATAGCACTTCATTACATTTTCCCAAGGATACTGTGGGACGGGTGCTACAGTGCACATTTTACAGAGGAGGACACTGAAGCTTTTAAAAGTTAACTGCCACATAACATGTAAGTTAGCAAAGTAAGGATTTGAGCACATATTGATTTGAATTTGATAATATGTCAAGTATCTGTCATGCCATCTGTATGAATATCTTTGTGGTGTGACAAAAGAAAAGCCCCAATCACCTTCCTTGATGTTTAGATGATTTAACATGTGAGTGTGAGTGTCAAACAATCATGAAGTAGATTCATCTGTTTAATAGAGTGGTTGTACCACTGAGTCGTGTAAAGACAGACTTTTTTTTTTATTACTAGGAATCCTTTAAATTGAATTGACAGTGTTGAAGATTTGGAAGTCTTTGTTTATTTACTTATATAGCTTCCCCAAGTAAGATGCAAATTAAATGCAGGCGATTGAGTTATAGAAAAAAATTCGTAATCACAATCTCATTTTTGGTTCTGATGTTTTACAATGAATGGAACAGAATGTGGGAGAAATAATTGACACCCAGGAAATTTATTCTAAATTAAAATTTGGGCCATATTAGCATTGAAAAGACTGTAGTGAGAAGTTCTACTTCCTGATTTAGTGGTGACCTCTCCCTAATACTCATTTCACAAATGACTTTCTCACTCCCATCCCTAAAGTTTACATATGTTTTATCCAGCAATAGCACTATATACAAATCCTGACTTTTCTTAAAAACATTTTGAACATGAGATTCTCTGTCTTGGGAGATGGATTTTTTGAATTCATTTGCTCTGCATCCTGGCATTCTGGTTACATTGTGAGAAGCAGCTGTATTCTATGTTAGCGTGATTTGAAAATTTTCTTTGTAAAGGACCAGTCACAGAGAAGAGGACAGAAAAGAGGAAGGACAAGAGGAGGGAGATAAAGAATGAGGCCTAGCGAAAGAGAGGCAGAGGAGAGATGGAGCAACAGAAACATGGGGAAGGAGAAAGAGATGGAGAGAGGTGTATAATAAGAGACAGAGATGGGATGATGGAAACAGATATAGACAGATACGGATAATGAGAGCAAGAAAGCAGGTGTGATGGGGATCAGAGATACAGAAGGAAAGAAACCAAGAAGGCAGAGTCCCAACTCCTCCTGGGCCCAGCAGGGAGCTGGCAAGAAAGCATCTGAAGCCAGAGGGACATATTATCTAGAACCAGGAGTTGAACCTAATTGTAAGCAGACCCTGCCCACCACCTTCAGATGAGTGATGGACTCCTGGCATGTGACCTGGCTTGGCAATCTCCACCCCCTATCCGGGCTGCCATAAGGAGATACGTAATGTCTGGAGTGATGGGAAAGTCATGCTTGCAGATGGTACAGATGGAGCTACCTCATAAAATGACTCACTGTGAATCCTCACTGAAATCTCCGCTATAAAAATGATAATGGAAAAAGCACAAGAAAGCCTAAATGGGCTTGAAAGAAATTTGTTCCAACCTGTGTATCTCCCTTCAAATTTTGAAAAAGACCCTATTAGAAAGTGCCAGGAAGATAATGTATCTTCTTCCCTCCTGGCTAGAGCCCTCCCCCACCCCCACATCTTTTTGGACATCAGCATGTGAGTGAAAATGACAAGGGAAAAGAGGAAAGGTATTGGAGGAAGACGCACAAATTATTTATGCAGCACGAGGGCTGATGTTCTGGAGAGGGAGGGCTGGGAGGCTCTTTTGGAAGAAAGGGAGTGGTATCTTGGGGAGACAGGAGGCAGGCTGTCAGGGAGTGGGAGAAATTGTATTTTGCCTGGTGTCTGGGGTAGGATGTTGCCAGAGTGGAGGGGGCCTCCCTGAGAGTGAGGTCAGACACTGGATGAGGGAGGCAAATAGCAGCATGAGTCATGCAGACCTCTGTAGCAAGATGAGGAAGGTTTTAAGTCCAAAGAGCCTAGAATTCTAAAAGTAATGATTATCAGCTCTTTCAAAGTCACCCAAGACCATGACACATCTACATATGATCCCAAATATAGCTGAGTTTTGTGGATACAGAATCTGATGGAATTTTAGGATATAATCCAATGGAAAGTCTTATGGTTCCCATCTCCTTATCCCCTCTGAAGGTGCTGGGACTGCTCCAGCTATACTGGCTGGTATAGAGTACAGGATGGAGGGGAGGATACAGTAGCACCCCAGCCCCTGAACAGCACTTGGAAACTGGTAGTCAGGGTATAGCTGGTCTTCAATACATGAAGAAGAGCCAGAATGGGATACATCTACTGTATTGATGGTGAGTGCAAGGTGGGTTACAACCAGGCTGTGCATGAATAGTGTGCATTGGGATATTTGCAAACCAGAAATGATCCAGGTAAACAGTGAAGTCATAGTCATAGCTGAGTATCTTGCTAGTGTAGTTGAAGTGTGCAGAGATCTCAATGCAGCATCCTGGACAGAGTAGAGTCCAATGCTTAGGGGGTATAGCATGGCTGGCACACTTGGTGGGATGCAGAAAGGCTCAAAATGTCCTGTCCATGGGGCAGAGTAGGCTTCGGTAGGGGGTGAAGAATCAGGCATGTGGAATGGGGTAGTGGACATGGTGGTAGATATGAACGACGGAGAAACTTTCAAGAAACAGAATGCAGTTCAGATCATTCACAAGACAGTGATGAAGGGAAAGCTGAGAATGGTGTGGACAGAGTTAAGGGAGCCAATCAGGGAAGATGGAGTACTCAGGGACTAGCAACAGCTGGGAGTTGTTACTACCCTAGGTCTGAAGGAGTAAGAGAGAATGATGTCTCTGCAGCCCCTTGAGATCAGGAGCTGTTAGGGAGGAGCTGCCTCTGGCCAATGTTGTGATCACAAGAGGGCAGAGCCACTTCTAGACACAGGGCCCAGACCAGGGAGGGAGTGGAGAAGAAATAGCCTGACTTCTGAGGGCTCTTTTCTGTTCCATTGGTCTATATCTCTGTTTTGGTACCAGTACCATGCTGTTTTGGTTACTGTAGCCTTGTAGTATAGTTTGATATCACACATCTACAACCATCTGATCTTTGACAAACCTGACAAAAACAAGAAATGGGGAAAGGATTCCCTATTTAACAAATGGTGCTGGGAAAACTGGCTAGCCATATGCAGAAAGCTGAAACTGGATCCCTTCCTTACACCTTATACAAAAATTAATTCAAGATGGATTAAAGACTTAAATGTTAGACCTAAAACCATAAAAACCCTAGAAGAAAACCTAGGCATTACCATTCAGGACATAGGCATGGGCAAGAACTTCATGACTAAAACACCAAAAGCAATGGCAACAAAAGCCAAAATTGACAAATGGGATCTAATTGAACTAAAGAGCTTCTGTACAGCAAAAGAAACTACCATCAGAGTGAACAGGCAGCCTACAAAATGAGAGAAAATTTTTGCAATCTACCCATCTGACAAAGGGCTAATATCCAAAATCTACAAAGAACTTAAACAAATTTACAAGAAAAAATCAAACAACCTCATCAAAAAGTGGGTGAAGAATATGAACAAACACTTCTCAAAAGAAGACATTTATGCAGCCAACAAACACATGAAAAAATGCTCATCATCACTGGTCATTAGAGAAATGCAAATCAAAACCACAATGAGATACCATCTCACACCAGTTAGAATGGTGATCATTAAAAATTCAGGAAATAACAGGTGCTGGAGAGGATGTGGAGAAATAGGAACACTTTTACACTGTTGGTGGGACTGTAAACTAGTTCAACCATTGTGGAAGACAGTGTGGCGATTCCTCAGGGATCTAGAACTAGAAATATCATTTGACCCATCCATCCCATTACTGGGTATATACCCAAAGGATTATAAATCATGCTGCTATAAAGACACATGCACACATATGTTTATTGTGGCACTATTCACAATAGCAAAGACTTGGAACCAACCCAAATGTCCAACAATGATAGACTGGATTAAGAAAATGTGGCACATATACACCGTGGAATACTATGCAGCCATAAAAAAGGATGAGTTCATGTCCTTTGTAGGGACATGGATGAAGCTGGAAACCATCATTCTGAGCAAACTATCATGAGGACAGAAAACCAAACACCACATGTTCTCAGTCATAGGTGAGAATTGAACAATGAGAACACTTGGACACAGGGTGGGGAACATCACATACCGGGGTCTGTTGTGGGGTGAGGTTAGGGGGGAGGGATAGCATTAGAAGAAATACCTAATGTAAATAACGAGTTAACGGGTGCAGCACACCAACATGGCACATGTATACATATGTAACAAACCTGCACACATATGTAACAAACCTGCACATTTTGCACATGTACCCTAGAACTTAAAGTATAAAAAAGAAAAGAAAAGAAATAACCTGACCTCTTGTTCTCCTTCTGTTCCATCTCCTCCTGGTTCCTCCCATTGGTCAAACCCAATCTGGAGACAGCAATGAGAGAATCCGTGAAGTCAGCATCCTGGGGCACAGAGCAAGACATACAAGGGTGGAGGATGGTTGGAAGTGAGGGAGCACACAGAGAATAACCAGCATAGATCAAAACCAGCCAGATGGCAGTTGCTTAGTGCCAGGTAATTTGTCTGTGGCTAGAATGAATCAGAGGAGAAGGCTGCTCACAACTATGCATGCTCTCAGGCCTCAGGCTATGATGGGCATGGCTCTAGTGCTTGAGAGTAACTCAAGTGCTAAATGGGGAAACCAACGCACAAACCTTACCCTTTGGAGACTCCAACATGATGGGAGATGGGAGATGAACTACGAGGAATATTGTACAGACTTACTAGGTTTCTTGGCTCTATTCCATTGACTTAGTTCCTGATTCCATTAGATGCGGGTGGACGCAAGGATGCTGATGTCCTTGTTGTCTCCATTCTCATAGGCTCAGGAATTGGGTTGAGTCTGGGACCTCCCAGAGTTTTGGTTGTTGGAGTTGCCACCAGGTGGGGGAGGAAGCTGTAATTGATGCAGGTGCATGGAGTAGTGGTGGACTTAACAGACACAGAGTACAGAAGCCTTAGAAGAAAGGCTGAGTGACTAGGAGCCTAGATAATTAGTTTCTGGAAGCTGAGAGGGCCATCTGTGGGTGGAAAGAGGCCAATGTGGCATCCATACCTAGCAGGGACTTAAAAAACGCAGTGAGTCTCCCTCACAACAGGGCTTTTACTTTGTGGTAAGTACCAGTCTCCATGTCCTTAACCTGGTCCTGTGGAAGGGAGCAGGAATTGGAAAAAACTTGCTGAGGAGTATGGTGGAGTTGGGAGGAGACGCAGTGGTTTTGGGGAGAAAGATCTTGACATTCTCTGGTTTTCACCTCAGTGTTTTCTCAGATTTCCTTAGAAAATATCTCTTAAACATATTGTCCTTTAGTGAGGATTACACCTGAGAGAGGGAACTTTCTACTTAGATTAAAAGGCCCAACCTGAACTGAGTTCTCCATTAACTGACAAAATAATTAACAGACTCTATTATGTGTACACAGGATAGATTTTTTGCATATGTTCATAAATAATACTAAAATGAACTTTTTAAACATGTATGGAATATACCTTAAGCCCCGTGGTCTTTTCTTTGGATGATTACAAAGAACATGATCAATTATTTTCTATCAGACCACGGCGCACATCTTGGCATTTTGAATCATGGTTGTCTTTGTGCCGTTATTCTTTGTTGCTATCCCTGGGTCAGGAGTGGGTCATCCATGTGCTGCTGCCTTCCTTGGAAGTGGCAGCCACACCTCTCTGGAACTGAACCCTGATATCTTATCACCTTGGGCCACCTTTATAGGCATGGTGACTACCATTAAAACTTAATAGATACACATCAATGACACTTCTAGCTTTACGTGGATTCAAAGTTAGAAAACTTACAATTGCCAAAATGAGTAAAACAATCTTGCATTTGTCCTTTATGTGCTTAGAGGATGTTAAAGATAACCACTGATATTGTTTCCCCCACATGTGGGTGTGGCTGGAAAGATCAGTGTGCATCCCTTCTTGGCAGAGAGTGGTTTCCGATTCCAGGGCCTGCCTCTCGGTGTGTGCCCACCTCCCAGATTCACCCATACCCTGTCTCTCAGATTTGCATCTTTGAACCATTTCATCCTCACGTTTTCTGCCTCATGTTGATATTTTATGGCATCTTGAAAATGCTTGACCCAGATGTCTCAGATGTCTTATAACCGAGGAAATAACTTAATAATAATTATGAGTGGCCGGGCATGGTGGCTCATGTCTGTAATCCCAGCCCTTTGGGAGGCTGAAGGGAAAGGATCACTTGAGGCCAGAAGTTTGAGACCAGCCTGGGCAACATATTGAGAACCCTGTCTCCACAAAAAATAAAATAACATAATATAATGAAAAAAATACAAGACAGTTATAAATGGGGAATATAACTGATAATTTACTAATAGTCTTTGGAGAATTATCTCAAATTCAGGTGTCTAGTTCTTGAAATAAGTAACTTCCAGATTTAAGTGATTATGTCAACACTATTAATTCAGATGTGAGGCAATTATTCTACATTTTACTATACTTTTTGGATTCATTATAAGCAGAATTATGTCTTATTTTTGCTTCTAAAATTGGGTTAGTTTATACTAAATTTTGAATCTTACTCTCTAGCTAATTATATTTGTGGTTGAGGCCAAACTAAGCCAGAGGCTGCACCCTACAAATATCTGAGCAGTGTAAAATATCCCAGCTTACCATAGGAGGAAAGGCCTTATTGGCATGACATTTTATAAATATTGAGGAGATGTCAGGATCACACAGTGACTATATGACTGGGTGTTCTGGAATAGTCCCAATGTTAAATGCTGGGCCGTGTGGGTTAAGCACCCATCTTAGCCAATGAGGGGAGGAAATCCTCAGAGTAATTTACAACCTTTCCTCCGTTTCCTGTACCACTCCTGGGTCACAAAGGCCTGTGAGCTGTACCTTTCTATTCTGTTTCTTCCAAAAGAGAATGTGTGTGATGTGCCTGAAGGACAGAATTACTTCAGTTTCTGACTTGTAGACTAAATACATCCTTCTTTACTTTCATTTGTTAACGTATAATTTTAAGTGTATTGGGTGGGAAGTAGTAGTCTTGCTGGAAGATTTCCTTGTAGTCTCTTTTTCCATTAAATTTGTATTTAGTAACTCTGTAATGCCTTTGATTTTTCGCTTATGAAAGTAATATAGAAAAGTATAATTTATTGCCTTACACAGATTTCTAGAACTACTCATTTCATATACAGCCTAAATATTTTAAAGACTCTTAATATACATATTGTGAGATTGTATCCCAGAAAGTTTGTACCAATCCACATTCCTGCAAATTGAGTAAATGAATGTTTTTATTAGAATCAAAAATTATTATTATTATTATTAAACCTTTGCTAACTTGATAGTTGAAACCATCTTATTTTTATTGCATTTATGTAATTACTAGTGATGTTTATAAAAATATCTAAATAAGCCAATAAGTACATATTTATTAGCTTTTGTACACTCCCCCCCTTGGAGGGATAGAAGTGTGACATTTTTTTTTAATTGAGTAAATCCTTCTTTATTTAGAAACAAAAGAACTCATAAAGATAAAAAGACAATGAACAACATTTTACTTCTTTTTACAGATTCTGCATGCTAACTTTTTAAAAAAGCCTTTGTCAATGCATTTTTTTTAAATTTGTACAAATTTATAGGGTGCATGTAAAATTGTGTTACATGTATATAATGTGAAGTGATCAAGTCAGGGCAGGGTATTTAGGGTGTCCATCACCTGAATACAATACATTTTTGTTAAGTATACTCACCCTGCTCTATCAAACATTGAATTTATTCCTTCTATCTTACTGTATGTTTGTACCCTTTCACCCAAGAAGTATAACATTTTTAAGTGCTGAAATGTATTTACCTTTTTCTTGTTTTCTTTTTTTTTTGTTTTCCCTCATTAGAGAGTCTTTCTCTATTCAGAGGTCATCTATATTTTTCTTTAGTTTTTAAAAGATTTGATGCAAAAACAGTTATCTCTTAATCTACAGGAATTCACGTTAATGTGTGTGGTGTGAGGTGTGGATTTAAATAGCTGTTTTTCATTAAAACAATTTTTATTAGTTAGCATTGTAGTTGTAAAGAACAGAATCCACTATGGCTAATTTAAGCAGACATAGCACATACTGAGGATCTCATGTGGCCACAAAATCACTGAGCTGGGGGGGGCGACCTTCCAGCAATTACGTCTAGAGCTGTGTCAGAGCACTGGCCAGGTGAGTGATCTGCCAGCTGCCTCCGCTGCTGCGTTTACCTGTAAAACGTCTGGAGCCTTTGAGGAAAATGTAGCCACATCTGACTGGGGAAGGAACTTTTCTAGAAATTATTTTTGGAAGGCAGTCCTCACAATGTGGGAAATTATTGAAATATAGGGAAAATGTGCATGAGATTGGGTGACCACAAGAGATAGGCAAGTGAGTAAACCAACTACCTAGGCACATTCAACACTGACTTGTGAGGCCACCTCCCTAGATTTTTTATATTAAAAAAGCATAGATTAGTAGGATCAGTCTCTGGTTTATGTAGCCAATTTTATCTGATTGCTGTTGACCCTTGAATAACACAGAGGTTAGGGATGCTGATCCCCTGCCCAGTCAAAATTCACGTATAACTTTTGATTCCCCCAAAACTTAACTACTAATAACTGGCTGTTGACTGGAAACCTTACAAATAACATAAACAGTCAATTATCACATATTTTGTATGTTATATATATATTATGTAGTTCTTTTTACAACAAAGTAAGGTAGAGAAGAGAAGATGTTACAAAGAAAATCATAAGGAAGGGAAAATATATTTACTGTGCATTAAGCACAAGTAGATCATCATAAAGGTCTCCATCCTTGCTGTATTCATATTAAGTAGGCTGAGCAGGAGGAGGAGGAAAAGGAAGGGTTGGTCTTGCTGTCTCAGGGATGGCAGAGGTAGGAGAAAATCCATCTACAAGTGGATCTGCACAGTTCAATCTCGAGTTGTTCAGGGGTCAACTCTATTTTTATACTCTTGTGCTAATGCCATAATTATTTTTTTGTTGTGTTATATTTTACCTACTACTGATGTACAATGCACTTATTTTTCAGTTCTAGTTATTCTTGCCAGTTTATTCTTCTGGACGAACTTTAAGATCGTTTTATCATTTTACGGAAAAAGTTAAAATGGTATTTTGATTAGAATTGCATTAAGCCTTCACATTAATTTGGCAAGTATTGACTTTGTTAAATAACCATTCTTTCCATCGAAGTATGTGATATATATTTTCATTTAGTCAAAAAAATTTTAATGTTCCTTAATAAAGTTTTGTAGTTTTCTTCATAAGGGTATTTACATTTCCCATTAAAGTTATTCTAAAGCATTATATATTATTGCAAATCTAAAGAGACCCAGTTTTCCTTTTATTTTCCCTGTGTTTTCCTGCTGGTAAGGAAAGCTATTAAATTTTGCATAGGTGTTTTGTGTTAAACACTTAAAAAATCTATTTAATTCTCTTTAAGATAATTTTAATTAATTTTGGGCTTTCTAAGTACATGGATATATTCAAATAATAGTCATTTTGGAACATGACATGACAACTATAAAACACATGAAAAATGATTTATATATGATTAATTCAATAAGCTAGGTGTAAAAATACCCTGGAAGAGGAGATGGTTCTAATATTGAAATAATTATTGCATTCCCTCTATACGGATATTCTAAGTAACACGTGTAAAGCTGGTGATTTATAGCATCCAGATATGTTCTGCAAAGTCCATCACATGCCTTGGTTTCCCTGTCAATCTGCACGGCATACCCAGACACACATGGTGTTTTCTCCTTAAATGCAAGTTCTTAGGCTTCACAATCAGATTCTGAGTAGCAACACATTAATTCAAGCAGATTGATGCCTCAAGGAGTCTCTGTGGCCTTGCCTTTCCATTTGCTCAGTAGTGAAAGGGATTTCATAAATGAAAACAGGCCAGGGCTTACTCAGTTCAATCTTCCTGCCCACGCCACTCTCTTCCTTTTGACAACTAAGCCAGGTGTTTGGAGAACAATGTCAGTGGGGTTTGTGGAATGTCACACTTGGAAGATTTTTTTTTTAAATCAGTAAATAAGCCCCAAAACAAGTGGAAAGAATTTGGTGAATGTTTGCTTTTAAGACTTCAGAGACTCAAAATGATCTCGTCTCTCCCAGGCCTGCTAATGACTAAGGAAAGGGGTATTAGTTACATAGATCTTCACTAAAAAACTATGGGATGATTAATGCCTTGGGTTTATAATAGTCATCATTGGATAATAGCCTCTAATTGCATAGGGCAGAAAATACAGAGAAAGATATACATGTCCTGAATAGGACAGAATCTTGCTTAACAAATGTTCCTTGGGACTTAAAAAATTATAACAAGTATTCATTTCTACCTGTCACCTTAAAGGCACTTCATAGACAGCCCCATTCCTTCGTAGCTCATTGGCCATCTAGTCATACTAAATAGTACCTGTGCTTGCTGTTAAGGGCACATATAACAAAGATGAGTGGACTCAACCAAATCCACTTACCTTGCTTCGTCTGTTCTAAGATCCACAGGAGAAGATGGGGTTTGAGGATGTTTTTGCCTTAAGACAGCTGAAGATCCGTTCTATTTCTTGAGGTTTTTGATCTCTGGGACTCTCTTGTGATTGGTCATTTTAGGGTGGTTCTTAATAGACTTAGGAATTTGGCTCTGAGCCTAACCCAGGCACAGCTCAGATTCTGCTCTTTCCGGTCAGAAGTGGAGCAGTGTAACGGGATTTGGGGAGGTCTTCTGATGACATGAGGAGGTGTGTTAAGTAAAACATACTAAAAGACCAAGGTTGAAACTTTCTTAATACTTGAAGGATTGCAGGATATTTGAGGTTGAAAAGGTTGCATTTACAGCCGGAAATACGAGGAATCCTGTCACATCTTGAAGGAGCTCTACAGGGTCTGTAACATTCTCCAGCTGGGCTTAAATATTAGAATCCTTATGCAGTCCTTTTATGCTCACCTTCAAAGCCTGCTGGGTCTGACTTGAGTGTGGAGCCACAGAACACGGCTCCTCACATTTCTTGCTAGCCTGGCAGAGACCAAGAGTTCACGATTGCTGAAAAGTTGAAAAAAAAAACAAAAAACAATTTGATGTGTATAGGTAATATCATATGATGAAACCTCTTTAGAAAAATCTGTATAATTAACATTTTTTCTGTTTAAAAATGTTGCAAATTGATCTGAAGAAAGCACACAATCCTCTTAAAACTTAAAGATTATTTTGGAGGTGAACTAGAAATCTGCTAGAGCAAGGATTAAAAGGTTAATGATTTAATAATTAGTCAATTCTGATAATCAGCTTCATGAGGAAATCCCATTTATTTTGAGAAGGAAACACAACTTCTTTCTGGTTGAAAAAGGCTGTAGGAGTTTTGAGATTAATAAGTGGATCAAAATTTTATAAAAGTTGTGAACTTAAGGTTTCCTGCTTTTAAAATATTTTCTTAAATGATGTTACAAGTATAAGTAACAGCAGATTATTTTAAATTAATTAATGCAATAGAAAATTATATTTTTAATAGAAAATATGATTGAGTGGAACAGTGTTGTTTAATTCAGGTGTGAGTATATTGATAAGTGGTCATATTTGGATCATAGGATTCAAACACCACCATGACCTGAGGCAGTCAAGTGTGGTTGAATAAAAACTATGCTATTTCTCAAAACTCAAATGCAGATACTGAGGGCAAAGTCATGGACCATGTGATAGCTTCTTTTTCCCTCCTCAAATTAACTGCTTTTGGCTGTAAAGCTAGATATATTTAAGAGATTAATTTCTATTAATTTTTTTCCCATTTCTCTCCCCTCAGCAAAGTCAATGGCAGGTTGAAAGTCTAAAAGGAAGACCTCAATTCCTTCTAGCTTCTGTTTTCAAAGGCCAAACTGAAAGGAGTGCTCAAAGTATCCAACAAGGATGAGGAAAGTTGAAAGTCCGTTGCAGAAAGAAGTAGAGTGGCTTGGCAAAAGCAGGGGTTCATAGAAGTGCCTGCTACAGACTAGAAGAACATTCTCTTGGGCTGGATGGAGGAAAGGAGAGAGGTTGTAGGCCCTAGAGAAGTGGGGATCCTGACAGCATCCTACAGAGGGAGCGAGACCCCAGAATGTGCATCTAGGCGGTTAAGGCCCGAGACATTCTCACAAAATCTAGTGTCCTGGGACCATGAAGCATCAGTGAGAAACTGGGCCTCAAGGAGCTACCAGGACTAGACAGTGACCATCTCTTTGGCAAACTGTGTGGGCAAAAAACTATTCCGAACAAACTCACCTCTCTTCTGCCCTCAGAACTTAGATACAAGCTGAGGAAAGGGGATGACCACTGAACCCCTGGCATTGTTTCCTACCAGTCTGATGGGGGCTTAAATTTGAAATTGACTTCCAGGATAGAAAGGTACATTATTTCCTTTAGGTTTTATTTTGTGGACTGAGATTGAGCTTCTCTAAAGCTGCTTATAAGGATCAGTTATCAGTTTTTGTAGTTTTCCACAGTGAAAACTATAAAACTCTTTTGGGTATAGACAAAGTTTAAGAATTAGTCTCTATATGATTCAGTCCCTGAGTCAAAGTTTTGGTCACTGATGGAAGCAATGGTGAGAAAAATATTCATACACTATAGGAGGATAACAGTGACCTAGGACATTTAGAAATACAACTAAAATTAATTTTCTACCTGCAAATTAAGTTATACTTACTATTGACTTTCATTAAATTTATCTGTTAGAGTCCCAGAAAAAAACAAGTGAAATGTTCAAATTGAAGAACTTGAGGAGAGACTGCTGAGAAGGGCCTATTTACAAAGGGGCAGTTAGGAAAAGCAGGAAATGATGGTGCCATAACTTTGAGGCTAGTCACAATGGGAGGTCCTTCCCATCCCTGGGCTGAAGGGGAAAGGGGAGATGTTGGTTATTGGAACCCATAGGGTCGGGGAGGGAGAGGAGAGAGTTTTATGACAAGGGTTACTTTTCAGGAGTTGTGGCCTTCAGTAGAGAGATGTAGTCAACCTGTTATGATTGGCAGGGAGGAAGCTAGGGAAATAAATAAGTAAATAAATAAATCTCAACCTCGCTCTCCCTTTTCCTTTGCAATTTCTACTAGTGCCTTTCTTTGGCCAAGCCCAACAGAAAGTTACAGGGCAGGGAGCCAAATTATATAGTCCAATATGGGTCAGCCTCCTGGGGCACTGAGCAGAGAAGAGGGACACAATAAATTAAGTGGCACTGAGAATAACCACCACGCAACCATGTTGGGAGACAGTCATCTCTCACTGTTGCATGATTAGATTGTAACTTTTTTTGGGGAGGGGGGTTTATTTTTGCTGCTGCCAGCAACACAAAGCAGGAGTAATTAGCATAAAATGAATTAGAACTAAGAAAAAGAAAGGGTAGGGAAGACATCTTCAATTCTGCAAAACAAGTGACTTTGGGTATTCACTTTCTATCAAGTCCTTGATTTAATTATTTTATTAGGTGATTCTTTTTCTGGCAAAGTCATCAGGAGCCATTTGTCATATTAATATTATAGACAGGTTCAGACATGGAGTGACTATACGGTCCTTCTCTTTGAAGGAAACCTAGTAGCATAGCAAGGAAAAGGACTGACACATGTAAGGCTTTCTGTGTTCCACAATCCAGAGAGGGTTGCAATACAGTGTTAAGTGGCAACCCACAGCATACTATTAGATCCCATGTGAATGGAGAGCCTGGGAGCCTGGAGTGTGCAATACCCTGGCCCTGGCTGCTTTTTTTTTTTTTTTTTTGGAGTCGAAGTCTCGCTGTGTTGCCCAGGCTGGAGTTCAGTGGCACAATTATAGCTCACTGTAGCCTTGAACTACTGAGAAGCTACGGTACAGGCTGTGCCACTATGCCTGGCGATTTTTTTCTTATTTTTTATAGAAATGGGGTCTTGCTATGTTGCCCAGGCTGCTCTTGAACTCCTGGCCTCAAGTAATCCTCCCAGCTTGGCCTCCCAAAGCGTGAGGATTATAGATGTAAGCCACAGCACCTAGCCCCTGGGAGCTTTCGGAGAGGCTGTATTCACCCCTCTGATGTTCCACTTATATCTATAAAGTGGGATTCTGTATTACTAAATTTAAAATTTAGTAACTCTACAATTTAGTAATTTCACGTGCCTTGAAAAGTAACCATAACAACATAAATTTGTTTAATGTTCACTGTGTGCTAGATACTATACTAGTGAATCAATCTTCTGGAATCAAAAGATAATTATCACTTTTATTTTAATGGATAAGGAAAGCAGTACTCAGAGAGGTTAAATAATTTGCCTCTGTTTTCTCAACTCATAAGTGGCAAGCCTGGAAGTTGAGCCTGGGAGTCTTTCTCTCCAAAGCCCACACTCTTAACCGCTATCTTCCCACTGTTTATATAAAGGAAAAACTAACTTTCACCTTTATGCATTCAGCTAAATTTTAAGAGTGAAGCCATACTTTGTATGCCCATTGGCAATGTGAATTCCTTGTGATAAAATATTTTAAAAATATAAGATGCCATCCACATGTGGACCAGTGATGGCCATTAGCACTTTATCACTGTCAAGACCTAGGATTTCAGTTGCAAGAGGGAGGCTGGGGCAGCATTTGTCCAGGCTGGTCGGGTGTTCTGAGTTTCCATTTAGTTAGCCTGTAAATGAATGGGGTGTTACTGGAATGTGAAAGACTGCGTTTTCTGCTACTTGTCTATTCTCACTGAGTGAATGATGTATGTAAATTGTAATTCATTCGTTGTTCCCTGAAATATGGCCGTAACTTCTACTTTCCTGACCTTTTCTGTAGTCTGTTTTGGTTGGTCATTTGTCTTTTCTACACAAGGCAGGGAGGCCACTAACAAGGGATAAATTAAGTGGTCAGCTAATCAAATGAGAGCATCACGTAAAGGTCAAGATGTAGCAGCACATCGCAATAACTCACAGAATATGGGAACCGTTGAACAATGGATCCTTCCACAAGGAAGGGATTTAATTGACTAAGAGAAGTATATCCATTGTAATCGTCGCTTTCCCAGCATTGATGATAGTGGATAGGTGAAGTGTGTTTAATATGGTCAAAGTTTTCTACAGAGATGGTTACCAAATATAAGAGAAAAAATTGAACAGAGCCGCTAAAAGGTATTGAAATATCCCATACATACTTCTTTTTCCTTCCTGGCTCCCTGTCTTAGGTCAATTCCCTGGAAGCACAGTCTGAGATGAGGAATCCTGTGCAAGTGATTTATTGAGGGTTTCAGGAAAAATCAGTAAGCAAGTGAGGAAAGCAGGCTAGGGCAGAAGAGAAGCTAAGCACAGACTGGCTTCAGCTGGAGTCTAACTTCAGCCCAATCCCAAGGGGCTCTGGAGGCGTGATGCACCACAGTTGCTCCCATTGGAGGCAATGGGGCTGGGCTTTTGATCCCATATTGATTAGTCATTGGCTGCGGGCTGCACCTGAGTTGGGATAGTGGGGTTGAAACTCCTGGGCATTTCCTGGCAAGATGGCTTCTGTAGGTCAAGGGCAATTAACCAGAGAAGGGTGCAGCTGTGAGCCATTAGCAGTCAACACTCACAGGTGCTGCTGCAAGTGGATGGGTGACAGGCCTGGTAAAGGGGACCATTGAGGCTGGACACCAGCAACATCTACTCCACTTTCAGGCTTCCTCATCACTTCTGCTATGGTTTGAATATATGTGTCCCTCCAAAATTCATATGTTGGCACCTACCACCCAATGTGATGGTATTAAGAAGTGGGGCCTTTTGGGAAGTGATTAAGTAATGAGCACTCCACTCTCATAAATGGGATTCATGCTCTTATGAAAGAGGTAGAAGAGAGTGCCCTAGTCACGTTTTGCCCTTCCACCTTCACCAAGTGAGGATGCCATAAGAAGGTGCCATTTGGAAGCAGAGAGTGAGCTTACACCAGATGCCAAATCTATCTGAAACTTGATCTTGGACTTCCAAGCCTCCAGAACTGCGGAGAATAAATTTCTGTTGTTTATAAATTACCCAGTCAATGATATTTTGTTATAGTAGCATGAGCTGAGAGAGACAGCTTCCTTCCTGACTCATAGGGTCAGAGTAAAGCTCTGAAGTGCTTTAGCCCTTTACATGAAGTAAGAGTAAGAATTATTTGTAAAACATTTTTTCAGCATGTGTAGTGCGTGCATGCTGAAAAAAGTTTCTTATTGTGAACCATAGTCAAAGAAGTTTGAAAGTTAATCCTTCCACGGAGGACTTATTAGAAAGACAGATTTTTTTTTTCTTCTGGTTGTATATACAGAAGGTATACAGACTGACTCAAACTTTACTTAGGGGAGAATCTATCCTGATTGTTCCTACAGCTTTACAGATGGCTGGAAATGCAAAGAACTGCAATTCTTCATTCTTTGCACATTTGCTGAGAAATTAAGTAAGAAACAATGGATTTCTTCCCTAGTCCTCTCATTCCCTGTCCATGCCCTCTGAACTTTCTACAAGATGGGTTCCTCTGCATGTAAAAGCCTCATCTTTAAAATGGGATGACTTAGGGACAGAGCTTCTCTACAATTCTCTCTTTTTAAAAACTCTGGTGGAGAAGAACGTTACAGTCCTTTTACTCACTCTATGCTAGGGGACATGAATGACACCTGATTAGTAAATACTGGAAGAATAACCAGTCATGCTTATTTCAGCTTTATCCATTCTCCTTTCATTTAGAAATGTGCCTTTCTGCAGAGGACATGAGTTCTCTGTCCCATGCCAAATACTGTGGAGGGGCCTTCCCTAGAGGGATCTGCTATTCAGATCAGTTTTGCCATGACTGGGTGGGTGTGTTTATGTCATTTTAATTCTAAGGTTCAGTATTAGCAACTCACTTGGCTAACAGGGTATTTATGATAAAATCTCTAACCAAACTAGGAATAGAGAAAGCGTTCTTTCTTTTCTTTTCTTTTCTTTTCTTTTTTTTGAGATGGAATCTTGTTGTGTCACCCAGGTTGGAGTGCAGTGGCGTGATCTTGGCTCACTGTGACCTCTGCCTCCTGGGTTCAAGCGATTCTCCTGCCTCAGCCTCCAGAGTACCTGGGATTACAGTTGCCTGCTACCACACCTGGCTAATTTTTTGTATTTTTTAGTGAAGACAGGGTTTCACTATGTTGGCCAGGCTGGGCTCGAACTCCTGACATCAGGTGATCCACCTGCCTTGGCCTCCCAAAGTGCTAGGATTACAGGCATAAGCCACCGCGCCTGGCCCAAAAAAGCCTTCTTAACCCAACCAAGGGCCACTATGAAAGCTTAGATCGGAAGGAGGAGCCAAGATGGCCGAATAGGAACAGCTCCAGTCTACAGCTCCCAGCGTGAGCGACGCAGAAGACGGGTGATTTCTGCATTTCCATCTGAGGTACCGGGTTCCTCTCACTAGGGAGTGCCAGATAGTGGGCGCAGGCCAGTGGGTGCGCGAGCCAAAGCAGGGCGAGGCATTGCCTCACCTGGGAAGCGCAAGCGGTCAGGGAGTTCCCTTTCCGAGTCAAAGAAAGGGGTGACGGACGCACCTGGAAAATCAGGTCACTCCCACCTGAATATTGCGCTTTTCAGACCAGCTTAAAAAACGGCGCACCACGGGACTATATCCCACACCTGGCTCGGAGGGTCCTACACCCACGGAGTCTCGCTGATTGCTAGCACAGCAGTCTGAGATCAAACTGCAAGGCGGCAGCGAGGCTGGGGGAGGGGCGCCCGCCATTGCCCAGGCTTGCTTAGGTAAACAAAGCAGACAGGAAGCTCGAACTGGGTGGAGCCCACCACAGCTCAAGGAGGCCTGCCTGCCTCTGTAGGCTCCACCTCTGGGGGCAGGGCACAGACAAACAAAAAGACAGCAGTAACCTCTGCAGACTTAAATGTCCCTGTCTGACAGCTTTGAAGAGAGCAGTGGTTCTCCCGGCACGCAGCTGGAGATCTGAGAACGGGCAGACTGCCTCCTCAAGTGGGTCCCTGACCCCTGACCCCCGAGCAGCCTAACTCGGAGGCATCCCCCAGCAGGGGCACACTGACATCTCACACGGCAGGGTATTCCAACAGACCTGCAGCTGAGGGTCCTGTCTGTTAGAAGGAAAACTAACAAACAGAAAGGACATCCACACCGAAAACCCATCTGTACATCACCATCATCAAAGACCAAAAGTAGATAAAACCACAAAGATGGGGAGAAAACAGAACAGAAAAACTGGAAACTCTAAAACGCAGAGCACCTCTCCTCCTCCAAAGGAACGCAGTTCCTCACCAGCAACGGAGCAAAGCTGGATGGAGAATGACTTTGACGAGCTGAGAGAAGAAGGCTTCAGACGATCAAATTACTCTGAGCTACGGGAGGACATTCAAACCAAAGGCAAAGAAGTTGAAAACTTTGAAAAAAATTTAGAAGAATGTATAACTAGAATAACCAATACAGAGAAGTGCTTAAAGGAGCTGATGGAGCTGAAAACCAAGGCTCGAGAACTACTTGAAGAATGCAGAAGCCTCAGGAGCCGATGCGATCAACTGGAAGAAAGGGTATCAGCAATGGAAGATGAAATGAATGAAATGAAGCGAGAAGGGAAGTTTAGAGAAAAAAGAATAAAAAGAAATGAGCAAAGCCTCCAAGAAATATGGGACTATGTGAAAAGACCAAATCTACGTCTGACTGGTGTACCTGAAAGTGATGCGGAGAATGGAACCAAGTTGGAAAACACTCTGCAGGATATTATCCAGGAGAACTTCCCCAATCTAGCAAGGCAGGCCAACGTTCAGATTCAGGAAATACAGAGAACGCCACAAAGATACTCCTCGAGAAGAGCAACTCCAAGACACATAAATGTCAGATTCACCAAAGTTGAAATGAAGGAAAAAATGTTAAGGGCAGCCAGAGAGAAAGGTCGGGTTACCCTCAAAGGGAAGCCCATCAGACTAACAGCGGATCTCTCGGCAGAAACCCTACAAGCCAGAAGAGAGTGGGGGCCAATATTCAACATTCTTAAAGAAAAGAATTTTCAACCCAGAATTTCATATCCAGCCAAACTAAGCTTCATAAGTGAAGGAGAAATAAAATACTTTACAGACAAGCAAATGCTGAGAGATTTTGTCACCACCAAGCCTGCCCTAAAAGAGCTCCTGAAGGAAGCGCTAAACATGGAAAGGAACAACCGGTACCAGCTGCTGCAAAATCATGCCAAAATGTAAAGACCATCGAGACTAGGAAGAAACTGCATCAATTAACGAGCAAAATCACCAGCTAACATCATAATGACAGGATCAAATTCACACATAACAATATTAACTTTAAATGTAAATGGACTAAATTCTCCAATTAAAAGACACAGACTGGCAAGTTGGATAAAGAGTCAAGAGCCATCAGTGTGCTGTATTCAGGAAACCCATCTCATGTGCAGAGACACACATAGGCTCAAAATAAAAGGATGGAGGAAGATCTACCAAGCAAATGGAAAACTAAAAAAGGCAGGGGTTGCAATCCTAGTCTCTGATAAAACAGACTTTAAACCAACAAAGATCAAAAGAGATAAAGAAGGCCATTACATAATGGTAAAGGGATCAATTCAACAAGAGGAGCTAACTATCCTAAATATATATGCACCCAATACAGGAGCACCCAGATTCATAAAGCAAGTCCTGAGTGACCTACAAAGAGACTTAGACTCCCAAACATTAATAATGGGAGACTTTAACACCCCACTGTCAACATTAGACAGATCAACGAGACAGAAAGTCAACAAGGATACCCAGGAATTGAACTCAGCTCTGCACCAAGCAGACCTAATAGACATCTACAGAACTCTCCACCCCAAATCAACAGAATATACATTTTTTTCAGCACCACACCACACCTATTCCAAAATTGACCACATAGTTGGAAGTAAAGCTCTCCTCAGCAAATGTAAAAGAACAGAAATTATAACAAACTATCTCTCAGACCACAGTGCAATCAAACTAGAACTCAGGATTAAGAATCTCACTCAAAGCCGCTCAACTACATGGAAACTGAACAACCTGCTCCTGAATGACTACTGGGTACATAACGAAATGAAGGCAGAAATAAAGATGTTCTTTGAAACCAACGAGAACAAAGACACAACATACCAGAATCTCTGGGACGCATTCAAAGCAGTGTGTAGAGGGAAATTTATAGCACTAAATGCCCACAAGAGAAAGCAGGAAAGATCCAAAATTGACACCCTAACATCACAATTAAAAGAACTAGAAAAGCAAGAGCAAACACATTCAAAAGCTAGCAGAAGGCAAGAAATAACTAAAATCAGAGCAGAACTGAAGGAAATAGAGACACAAAAAACCCTTCAAAAAATCAATGAATCCAGGAGCTGGTTTTTTGAAAGGATCAACAAAACTGATAGACCACTAGCAAGACTAATAAAGAAAAAAAGAGAGAAGAATCAAATAGACACAATAAAAAATGATAAAGGGGATATCACTACTGATCCCACAGAAATACAAACTACCATCAGAGAATACTACAAACACCTCTACGCAAATAAACTAGAAAATCTAGAAGAAATGGATACATTCCTCGACACATACACTCTCCTAAGACTAAACCAGGAAGAAGTTGAATCTCTGAATAGACCAATAACAGGAGCTGAAATTGTGGCAATAATCAATAGCTTACCAACCAAAAAGAGTCCAGGACCAGATAGATTCACAGCCGAATTCTACCAGAGGTACAAGGAGGAACTGGTACCATTCCTTCTGAAACTATTCCAATCAATTGAAAAAGAGGGAATCCTCCCTAACTCATTTTATGAGGCCAGCATCATTCTGATACCAAAGCCGGGCAGAGACACAACCAAAAAAGAGAATTTTAGACCAATATCCTTGATGAACATTGATGCAAAAATCCTCAATAAAATACTGGCAAACCGAATCCAGCAGCACATCAAAAAGCTTATCCACCATGATCAAGTGGGCTTCATCCCTGGGATGCAAGGCTGGTTCAATATACGCAAATCAATAAATGTAATCCAGCATATAAACAGAGCCAAAGACAAAAACCACATGATTATCTCAATAGATGCAGAAAAAGCCTTTGACAAAATTCAACAACACTTCATGCTAAAAACTCTCAATAAATTAGGTATTGATGGGACGTATTTCAAAATAATAAGAGCTATCTATGACAAACCCACAGCCAATATCATACTGAATGGGCAAAAACTGGAAGCATTCCCTTTGAAAACTGGCACTAGACAGGGATGCTCTCTCTCACCACTCCTATTCAACATAGTGTTGGAAGTTCTGGCCAGGGCAATCAGGCAGGAGAAGGAAATAAAGGGTATTCAATTAGGAAAAGAGGAAGTCAAATTGTCCCTGTTTACAGACGACATGATTGTTTATCTAGAAAACCCCATCGTCTCAGCCCAAAATCTCCTTAAGCTGATAAGCCACTTCGGCAAAGTCTCAGGATACAAACTCAATGTACAAAAATCACAAGCATTCTTATACACCAACAACAGACAAACAGAGAGCCAAATCATGAGTGAACTCCCGTTCACAATTGCTTCAAAGAGAATAAAATACCTAGGAATCCAACTTACAAGGGATGTGAAGGACCTCTTCAAGGAGAACTACAAACCACTGCTCAAGGAAATAAAAGAGGATACAAACAAATGGAAGAACATTCCATGCTCATGGGTAGGAAGAATCAATATCGTGAAAATGGCCATACTGCCCAAGGTAATTTACAGATTCAATGCCATCCCCATCAAGCTACCAATGACTTTCTTCACAGAATTGGAAAAAACTACTTTAAAGTTCATATGGAACCAAAAAAGAGCCCACATTGCCAAGTCAATCCTAAGCCAAAAGAACAAAGCTGGAGGCATCACACTACCTGACTTCAAACTATACTACAAGGCTACAGTAACCAAAACAGCATGGTACTGGTACCAAAACAGAGATATAGATCAATGGAACAGAACAGAGCCCTCAGAAATAACGCCGCATACCTACAACTATCTGATCTTTGACAAACCTGAGGAAAACAAGCAATGGGGAAAGGATTCCCTATTTAACAAATGGTGCTGGGAAAACTGGCTAGCCATATGTAGAAAGCTGAAACTGGATCCCTTCCTTACACCTTATACAAAAATCAATTCAAGATGGATTAAAGATTTAAACGTTAGACCTAAAACCATAAAAACCCTAGAAGAAAACCTTGGCATTACCATTCAGGACATAGGCATGGGCAAGGACTTCATGTCCAAAACACCAAAAGCAATGGCAACAAAAGCCAAAATTGACAAATGGGATCTAATTAAACTAAAGAGCTTCTGCACAGCAAAAGAAACTACCATCAGAGTGAACAGGCAACCTACAACATGGGAGAAAATTTTCGCAACCTACTCATCTGACAAAGGGCTAATATCCAGAATCTACAATGAACTCAAACAAATTTACAAGAAAAAAACAAACAACCCCATCAAAAAGTGGGCGAAGGACATGAACAGACACTTCTCAAAAGAAGACATTTATGCAGCCAAAAAACACATGAAAAAATGCTCATCATCACTGGCCATCAGAGAAATGCAAATCAAAACCACTATGAGATATCATCTCACACCAGTTAGAATGGCAATCATTAAAAAGTCAGGAAACAACAGGTGCTGGAGAGGATGTGGAGAAATAGGAACACTTTTACACTGTTGGTGGGACTGTAAACTAGTTCAACCATTGTGGAAGTCAGTGTGGCGATTCCTCAGGGATCTAGACTAGAAATACCATTTGACCCAGCCATCCCATTACTGGGTATATACCCAAAGGACTATAAATCATGCTGCTATAAAGATACATGCACACGTATGTTTATTGCGGCATTATTCACAATAGCAAAGACTTGGAACCAACCCAAATGTCCAACAATGATAGAATGGATTAAGAAAATGTGGCACATATACACCATGGAATACTATGCAGCCATAAAAAATGATGAGTTCATATCCTTTGTAGGGACATGGATGAAATTGGAAATCATCATTCTCAGTAAACTATCGCAAGAACAAAACACCAAACACCGTATATTCTCACTCATAGGTGGGAATTGAACAATGAGATCACATGGACACATGAAGGTGAATACCACACTCTGGGGACTGTGGTGGGGTGGGGGGGATGGGGGAGGGATAGAGTTGGGAGATATACCTAAGGCTAGATGATGAGTTAGTGGGTGCAGCGCACCAGCATGGCACATGTATACATATGTAACTAACCTGCACAATGTGCACATGTACCCTAAAACTTAAAGTATAAAAAAAAAAAAAAGAATAGCCACCTATTAATGGTGTACATAACAAATAAAAAAAAAAAAGAAAAAAAAAAGGAAAGCTTAGATCAAAAATCTTAATAAATGGTAGAATGTTGAAAGCTTCTGAGATCAGGAGTACAAGGATGACTACTGTAACTACTTCTGTTCAACATTTTACTGGAGGAGCAAGATAGTGCAGTGAGTCAGGAAACAAAACAAAATAAAACAAAAAAAATCAAAAATTACTTATTGTAGAGACAGAATTAAAACTATCAAGATGAAATAATTGTGTAAAAATGCAAGAGTTTTTGAATAGGTTATTAGAATTAGTAGATACATTTAGCAAAGTTCTTCATATTAACTCAGTATACTGAAGTCAATAGCATTCTGTATACCATGAATGATCAGTTAGACAATGGAATTTCAAAGAATTTTATACTTTACAATAACTGCAAAATTATCAAGTACACAGGAATCAACAAAAATGAAGTATAAGCCATTCATCAAGAAAATGATGATGCTACTAAAAGGGATTCTAACTAAAAGGAGGATGTTTCATGTAGTTACAAAGAAAGATATTAATCCCCTTCAAATTTATTCATAGATTTATAGTAAATACAATTCATGTTTAACTTTTTTTAGGATAACTGGTCAACAGATTCTACAATTTATTTGGATAAGCAAAGGGCTCCTGAAATATAAAACCACTCTAGAAGAAGAATAAGACTTGTCTTATTGATTTTTAATAAAGACAGTTTAATATTCATGCAGTAACAGATTAAAAGACCAGTTGAACTAAATAGAAAGCTGAGAGACAAAGCCAGCCTATGTAGAAATTCAACTTTCTAATAAAGTTTAATATGTGAACACTCATAAGGAGAGACAGTTTTAAAAATGCTCACAAAATAATTTTCAAAAAGCAAGCAGGCAAACAGAAGCTATGAACATTTCAATAGGACAAATAAGGTAGGGTGTATTCATATAATGGAACGCTATACAGCAGTAAAAATAAATTAACTACAGAAATAGATATTAAGACAGATGAATCTTAAAAACATCATGTTACTTCTTTGGAAGTCATAAGATATATTTTGTATGATTTCACTTATACTGAAATTCAAAACCAGGCAGAATGAAGCAATACATTGTTTAGGCTTATATCATCAGTAATAAAATCTTAAAGAAAAAGAAAGGAATGATTGTCACAAAATTCAGAGTAGTGGTTCCCTCTGTGTGGGATGAGGGTGGTAGTGGGGTGAAAGGAGGAAGCTTCTGGTTTATGGGGGTTGTTCCGTTTCTTTAGCCAGGTGTTTGGTACATGGGTATTCATTTTTTTTATTTTTCAAACTGTACATATGCATATTATATATTCTTTCTATGTATAATATATTTCAAAATAAGCATAACCATGGATCATAGCAGGATTTGAAATGTGGAAAAAGACACAACAGGCAACAGATGACATTTGGGAATGTAAAGGAGATAAGCGTAGCACCCTTTTGCTGCTGGGATTGTGAACTGTAGTTTGCAGTAGCTCAGCTCAGTGTCACCACTGAGCTCTTCCTAGTGGATCTTACTCTTTCATAATGGATGATGGATATATCTCTTGACAAGAATGGGGAATCCATGGGTTTGATTCTACAGGAATATCCACCATGGAAAGAGCAATAGGAATACCATACGGGCTTTGCAAAAACCTCAAGATGAAGCCACAAAGGGTCAAACCCACTTGTAGCGCTCTTATAGCAAGAATGGAGCCAATGTATGTTCTGACATCTTTAGAAGTTAAAATACATCCTGGGTTGCTGGGTGATGAAGGCAGTAAGTCGTACCTAAAGTTTAGCTCTGAATTGTGTCATAAGTCATTTTTATTACTAATAACTGCAATGCCCATTTTCTAATCATTTAAATTTTGAATAAATTTCGGTGGCTTAAAAGTTTCCTCAATGATATGTCCCTGTGCACTGATATCCTGAAATGCTTTCTTGCATGGAAGAGGAGAGGGTAGCATTTCACTTAGAGGTATTATGAATAGTTATTAGGAATCAGCTTAGTATTCAACTTCTCTGCCAAATATTCTTGTGAAGGAGTGGGTTTCATTACATCTGACTTTGCCCATGGGCAAAATGTCATTGGTCTTCCTTGTCATTGTTAAGAGAGTGTTGAGAACTGCTGGGTTGGAATACTACAGAGGATAGAGGAACACCACCAGGCTGCTTGGAAAAATAACTGAACACTTAAATAACCCCCAAGAGGTGATGTCAGCAAGTGAGACTAAATCTTACTAAGCAGTTGAAAACATGCTGAAGGCATTCTGGAAAGCATTATGGCTATTGCACAGCACTCCTGTGCGAGTCATGGCTATTAACTAAACACGAAAGACCAAACTGTCAGGCAGCAAACCTTTTCCTTATCTGCTTGTTTTCCAATTTCTCTCAAATGCACCTTGAAAACTGTGGTACTAAACTGAGAACAGCACAATGGTTGCTTGAAGTCAGTGTTTCTGAAGGCTTCCATTCTCTCTCGCATGGGAGGAGTGGATACCAGCTGTGTGCCTGAAGGCGAGGCTGTCATGGCAAATCCTTCCTTGCTCACTTCGAAGGATGGCGAGAGTTCTGTTTCCTGAGAATTACCAGTAACTGACAAATCCTGCTGGACTCTGGCTATGGATGGGAAAGTTCAGAAGCCATGTGTAAACAGTTGGCACATTGGAAATATTTGCTAAGGAAAGAGCAGACCCGAGGCATTCTGAAAAAGTAAGAAGTTTGTGTACTTTATTCTCCGGGACCCAGGCCAGGCGTGTGGAAGACTGATTGTAGAAAAAGGATTATGAAATACTTAGGAACTAGGAAGTGGCATCGTGTCTATTTTCATTTCCTGAGGCCAGGAGTTCAGGCTACTCACTGCCTCTCAGAAATTAGTTTGCAAAACACGAATGCATGTCTGTTTCTCTCTCTTTCCTATGTTCTTGTCAAAGTCATTGTGAAACTATTTTCTATTTGTTAAGAAAAGCAAAAGCTGGTTAATGATTTGTAGTTTTGAACACAAAAAGAAAGTTGGCAAATCTATATATAAGCTTCTTACCCTTTACATTCCAGACATTTTTTTGCTCAAATGGTATATTTATTGATATAGTATCATGCTGTTCTATATCTTCTTGTTTATAAATAAGTTATCTTTACAAAATTATCCAATTTTGATGCTAGTGAGATAAAATTTACCCATACATTTATTATCATAGCAGACAATATCCTATGGATTGTTATCCATATATACATGCAACTGGATATACATTGTTCAGATAACACTGTATTATAATTTTCCATGTTGCTGCATAGTTTTCATAGCCATCACTTAAAATAGATTATTAAAAATAAAAGTTGTTTAAAGAAAATATTGGCAATGGAGACAATTGGCAATTTTTTTAAAAAAAAGAAATGTTGCCCAGGCTGGTCTGAAACTCCTGGCCTCAAGTGATCTTCCCTCGTTGGCCTTTTGAGTAGCCAGGACTACTGGTAATTTTTAAGAATTGTTAGTTATCTGAACATATCTGTACATTTTGCTTGAGTCTATTGTCTATCCATACTCTAAAAATACCATGCAATTTAGTATCTTGTTTTTGGTACTTAACCTGAGAAATTTTCTGTTATTACATAATTGTCATATCCCTAATTTTAATGGTTGTATTATATTCCCTTTAGTAGATTTACCAACAATATATTTAAGCATTCTTTCATCATGGACATTTAGAATATTTCCTCTAAATTGCTACTATAAAAAAGTGATCATAAACATCTTCGTGTATGTAGCTATTTCTTAAACTGGATTGCATCTCTAGGATATTACTGGGTCAAAGGCTAATCAGTTTTCTGGCTGCAGATGAGTATTGCCACATGGCTTTCCAAAAGTATTGCACCGATTTACATGGCTACAAACATTGCACAAGAGTTAGCTTCATATAATTCTCAACCTAATAATTATGAATTTAATAGCCCTGTTTTAATTTTATTAAATTAATAGTGAAATTAATTTCTTAATGTGTTTCTGACTGCTTTGCCCATTTTGAGAATTATCAGTATACATAGCTTATGTTTTCCTATTTCACTTTTAGAGTAGTGTTTATCTGATTATGTTATATTAGATTTTGGTATAAGGTTTGCCATGGATATTACTTTTCCTCAGACTTCTTGCATTTTATTTTTTTGACATACTATAATTGTTATTTTTGGCAAATGATCAGTGTTTTCCTTTGTGATTTCTGTTACTTAGAAAGTCATTTCCTCTCCAAAGAATTGGTAAATATTCAATGCTATACTCTTCTAGATTTTTTATAACTTAAATAAAAGCAACTTTTCAAAGTGAAAACTTTGTGGAATGCTTACAATAAACAGATATGAAAAAAAAGGAAATAAAAACAATAAAATAATCAGAAATACTGCTTTCCAGTGAAAACAATATGTAACATTTTGGTATATATCCTCTTAGACTATTTACACGGTAAATGTATAAAGATCAACATATAATCATATACATTTTACAAAAATGGTACTGCATACACAGCATGCACTATTTTGTAAGCTACATTTTTTCCCTAAATTAAGGAAAATGTAACCTAAATATCAGTGACAACAAATGTTTCTTGGAATTTCAAATGGCTACATGGCAGTCCGTTACATAGAAGTCCAGTAACATATTTAACCATTCCTTCAGCATTGGGCATTTAGGTTTTCTTCTATTACAAACAAATTTGAACTGAATTGTGTACAAACATTTTTCACTCTTGTCCAATTCCCAGCAGGATGACACCTGGGATCAAAGCATTTTTAAAAAGATTTTTGATTGTCTTATCAAATCGTCTTCCCTCCAAAATTGTACTAGTTTCAACCCGAGTCAGTTGACAGTGACCTTTTCCTTTTTTTTTCTTTCATGTTTTTGTTTTTTTGGAGACAGGATCGGGCTCTGTTGCCCAGGCTGGAGTGCAGTGGCATCATCTTGGCTCACTGCAACCTCCGCTTCCTGGGCTTAAGCGATCCTCCCACCTCAGCCCTCGAAGCAGCTGGCACTACAGGCATGCACCACCATGCCCGGCTAATTTTTAAATTTATTTTTGGTGGAAGATGGGGTTTCGCTATGTTGCCCATGCTGGTCTTGAATGGCTGGGCTCCAGTGGTCTGCCTGCCTTGGCCTCCCAAAGTGCTGGGATTACAGGCATGAGCCACTGCGCCTGGTCCCTTCTTCTATATTTATATAATTCTCATTAATTTTTATCAGATAGGTAAAAGACAATGATGTCTCATTATTTAAATTTTTATTCTTAGAAATTGCATTTTTTTGAGATGTATTATCCATTTGTATTTCTACTTTTGTTCACATCCTTAGCCCATTAAGTTTTCCCATTAAGTTTTACATCTTTGTATAATTTGGCTTATAATTTAAAATCTGAGGCAGAATGCATCCCCCTACCCCCTACCCCCTTCTAGCAGAGTATACTACCTTATAATCAGTTCTTAACCTTAGGATTAAGTGGGAAAAAAAGTATTCTTCAAGCACAGAACTTGAAGCACAGAATTCCTGCCATCTGCATATATAAGGAAACCACTCCCCTTTTATCCTGAGTATGGAATTATAATTTCTTTTAAATTGCATGAGATTGTGGTAACTGTTATCAAATAAAGGTAAAGCTACATTAGTGTAGGGAGTGGCTTTCCCCTAAAAGTGATATTATATTTTTATTTTAATCACATGAGGAAGAGGGATAGCTCGGAGTCCCAGAAACCAGAATTGAGAGAGAGGATCAAAGTGGGAAGCAGAGGGGGTAGCTGGCCCTTGAGCACTAAGATGTCAAGACTATAAGTTGCAGGTGTAAGAATGCCCTGGGTAGGTGGAGAGAAGACAGCGATTATACCTGAACATGGAAGTTCCCAGGGCCGGTGCTAGGTCAGTGAGAAGGATGCCTGGAATGCCTGAAGCCCTCAGGCAAGTGCAAACACTCTGCCTTGGGAGGAACATTGAGGGTCAGGTTGGAAGCATGGACTATAGACTGCTAATTGCCTCCCGATGTGTCGAATAATTGAAGTACCAATTAATGACTGAGCTGATAGCCATCCATGATAAAGACTGTATTCTCCAAGTTCCCTTGCTGCTGTTTATGCTCATGTGACTAAGAGAATAAGAGAATGAGAATGAGAGAAGAATGAGAGAAGAATGGGAATGCCCCTTTCTCCTTTTTGCTGCCCACAATGTGGATTTGGCGGGTGGACCACATAGTGGCCACTGTTAAAGTCCTGCCCGGTTTCCCTTTATTGGGCCAGAACAACCATCCTCCAGCTGTTGAAAGTGTTGACTGCTAATGGCTCACAGCTGTCCCTTTTCTAGGGAATTATTTTTTTTGGAAGAAGAACAGCAATTTTAAGGTTTCTATCTTGGACTGTGAGCTGGAAACCATGTATTAAGGATAATATACAATAAAGTAGAAGGAAGCTCTTTCTCTGATGATTGTGGACTGTCTGCCTCTGGAATTTTTGTATGTAAAGTGCCTTGGAAGTACTTGAAAACACAGGAATAATGATCACAGCTGATTGGTTTCACTTGTTTCTGTGAGAAGGAAAAACAATATTTCATGTTCTTGCCAGGAATTGTAGGCTCTATTCAGCAGAGGATTTTTCTGAGGGTGTCACCTAATAGATGCTTTCAGCAGGCAGAAATTTGACCACCTGACCAGGCATTCAATATAGGGATTAAGCGTGGGCTTCCATGTACACAGTTAGAATCCTGGTGATGCAGGACTTTTCTCGATCACTTTGCCAACTGGGGGCCTCCAGGACTGGCCACTCTCCCTGACCTGAGCCTCTCTCGGCCATGGGCCTGCCGCTGCAGGTACCCCCCTACTTGGCCCATCTGGGCTATAGCTTGTACCCGCACTAGGGGGTTCCCGAGGGTATTCGTCCATTTTCTCACTGCTGATAAATACACACCTGAGACTGGGTAATTTATAAAGAAAAGAGATTTAATGGACTCATAGTTCCATGTGGCTGGGGATGCCTCACAATCATGGTGGAAGGCGAAAGGCATGTCTTACCTAGCAGCATAAAAGAGAGAATGAGAACCAAGTGGAAGGGGAAACCCCTTATAGAACAACTGAATGTTATTCACAACCATGAGAACAATATGGGGGAAACTGCCCCCATCATTCATTTATCTCCAACTGGGTCTCTCCCACAACATGTGGGAATTATGGGAGCTACAATTCAAGATGAGATTTCGGTAGGGACACAGCCAAACCGTATCAGTGAGCTCTTGTCCTTCATCCAAGAAGAATGAGGATACACTGACAGTTTGAAGGTTGAAGATGGGCAGAGAAGAATTTTATTGAGTAATGAAACAGCTATAAGTGGAGAGGGGACTTGAGGGAGGGTGGTCCCTCACCCCCACAGTTGGGTGGTTTCTCTCTTCCAGTGTGGCTGGGTCCAGGGCTTTTTATGCACTCAGAAAGGGGAATGTGTGCTGATTGGCTTGTGAGTATGCAAAAAAGGTTAAAGCGAAGACACCACTCAAAGGTGGGCACAACAGTGTAGAAAAACCAGTAAGGAAAGGGTAGGTATATGTAAAATAAGTGAAGGGTGGGTACCAATCAGAGGAAAGTGCAGCAAACGGGAAGACAGGTTCTCAATCTGGTCTGTGGATTTACCCGGGACTTGAAGCTAGGCTTTAAACTGTCTTTGGCTTGAAGGTCGGGGTTTCACTGGAGACCCACTCCTAAATGCTTAGGCATTTGTCTGCCTCCTGCCACCATCACTGGCTCCATTGCTTACTCTCTTGGTGACTTTGACATTTTTTACTTGTAAAACAGGTCAAATATTACCTGCCAACATAGGGTTGTTATTATAGAATTCAATATGTAAAACATATAATGCCTTCTGGCTATAGGTGGGTATAAGCAGTATAAGTAAAACCATTTTCCATAAGAATACATTCTTTCTCAGCTTTAAGAAAGGAAGATAATGAGATATTTGAAAACCTTTCAGAAAACCCATTCTAAACTAGCTCTTTTAGATCAAGAGATGCATTAGCTTTTCTGACAGCTCTTCCCATGGAAGCTTTTTCATGGAAGAAAGGAAACTGGAACTTAAATCGATTATCTTCATGGTTTGCTGAACCCTTATGAGCTACTTAAAGCGCATCTGAAGTCACCAAGCATTTCTGTTGCCCTCTGAATAGCTTCATGGCCTCCATATGAAGCTACGACTCTCAGTCAAAATGAAAATCTACACCAAAAGCAAGAGCTGCTGAAATTCTCAAGCTTGACTGGACAAATTTAATTCGAAAGAAGAGTAACTAGTGCTTAGGACAAGAAGATTCAAACAGTCCAATGAGGCCACAGGGAAAGGAGACAGTGCAATGGAAGGACAGGCATTAGGGCAACAGAGGTAGGTGGCATGAAGGTCTGAGTCCCCTGTCTATGAGATTTGCTCTGTACTTGCTGGAGTTCCATCCTGAATATATCATTTTCATTTTACATAAAGTTGTGCTGTGCCTGCTGAATCTTATGATTTGGTGGATATAACGATACCAAGCTCATGATGGGGAGCTCTAAGCGCAGAGTCATTTGTGGCTGTTTTTCAACACAGTGGCTGTTTTCTGAGTGAAGAGTTCTTTGCTAAAGGCCTTGCTCTGGAGCCCTTGGGGCATGTGCTGAACTTTCCTGCTGAGGCTTGTCAGAGACTCCCTGGCACGTCTTATCCACTAGGGATGCCTTCATCAACACTGCACATGGCCTGTGTGTGTGGCAGTTTGTACCAGTCTGGATTTGCTTTAGATTCTTCCCTGGTTCTGGCCACATTTGAAACTGCCAGACTTGTAAGTCACCAAATGTAACCAACACTCTGAGTGCCTGTCCCATACATACTTGGTGTGACTACCCCACCACACATAAATAGCTGCTTATTGTGAGTACCTGTGGCTCTCTGCAGGAGGGCTTTTTACTGGCTGGGGGAGCATTTGTAGCTCCTGCACCATGAACTCCAGCATTAATGTCCCTAGAAGCAGCCCACAAGCAATTGCAGATGGGTTCTTTCCTCCTTCGGGATAATTCTGAGGTGTGTTCTACACTGTCTTCCAGAATTCTCCAGTGGGATTAAGCCTCAGCTGTCCACAATGGTAATCTGCTTAATAACACACCCCTTATTGGATTTCTTCCCTTTCCTATCTCACATCCTAGGATCCTCTTTCTTTCTTTTCTTTTTTTTTAGTTGATCCTGGTTTTTTTTTTAAGCAAATGAGACCATGCCAGACACACTACTCTGCACATTGATTATTTCACTTAACAGTATTTCTTGGATATCTTTCAAAGTCATACTTAAGAAGCTGTCATATTTTTTTCCTGTTTCTACTTTTATTTTAGGTTCAGGGAATACATGTGCAGGTTTGTTACATAGGTAAATTGCGTGTTGCTGAGGTTTGGTGTACAAATTAATGCTGACATTAGTGCTGGTTTTCCCAGTGCAGAGGCTATGGATGCTCCCCCAGCTAGGACACCATCACCAAGCTAATAAGCACAGTTCCCGATACGTAGCCTTCCAACCCAGCTGCCTCCCAGCCTCCCACCTCAAGCAGTTCTTGGTGTCTACTGTTCCCATCTTTGTGTCCATGTGTATTCAATGTTTAGCTCCCACTTAAAAGTTGAGAATATGTGGTATTTGGTTTTCAGTTCCTGCGTATACACTACTGGTACTCATATCCTGCTCTCAGACTCTGCTACTGGGGAACCTAACCTAAGACATCCAATAAATGAATAAAAGCAGTATTCCTATGTGCAGTAAGTGCTGCCTTCACAATCCACGGAGGCCCAGATAACACTATGCCTCTTTCTTACTGGTAGAATGTGCAAGCTATAGCAACTAACTCTTTACCTTAGAAGAGATATCCCAGCATAACTCAGACTACTGTATCTCTTAAAAACTTCATTGATATGGCATGTCTCCAAGACTACCCTACTCTAATCTAGCACATAGGTGATTTCTAGGGCATCTTGCTCCATTGGTCCAATGAACACACTGTCATTAATGTAGTGGACCAGCATAAGGTTTGGTGGAATGTCAAGAAGATCAAGGTCCCTGCAGACTCAATTACGATGGAGAACATGAGTTCACATAGCCCTGTGGCAAGATAGTAAATGTGTACTCTTCTGCCATGTAAGGCTAAGGCAGCTCAGCTGTCTTTGATTCTGCTCATTGTTGTGAATTGAAAATACTCCCCACATTGGAAGTCACATACCAAGTGCCAGAAGCTGTGTTGCCCTCTCTAGAGAAAATACAACATTTACCAGAGCAGCTGTGATTGAGAGAACTACCTGGGTTCCTTTGCAGTAATTCCCCACGATCTGCCACAATTCATCTGGTTTGCAGAGAGCTCAGTTGAGCTGAACAGGGATATGATGAGGGTATGGTTGTGAGATATTACTTCTCATTTTATTATCTGAGTTGGGCAGGGCAAGTAGTTTCAGGTACTTCTAGCTGGCCTTTCCTACCATAATGGCTCTTAATCCACAAATCACAACACAAATGTGAGCTGCTAAATATTCCTATTCCAATTATACCCTTATGGCTTGGGAAAATAACCCATTTGTAATAAATGTGAGATGAAATTAGGATATATAGTCATTTAACACTGGACCTCCAAAACCTCCTCCTACTCTGACCAGAGCACAATAGCATTTTAGTTTTCCATTACTAGTGTTAGCTCAGACTCTGTATTTAAAGTCTCTGTATTTAAAGACTCTGCCATTAAAGTCTGGGTTCTTCCTTTCCTCAGTATACAGTTATCATGGCAAATGACTGCAAATCCCTTGGATAAAATATTAGAGGAATATTGACCATTATATTTGTAGCTACACTGAAAGATCCTTCCTTATGAGGGCCTGCTCTCTCCTATAATCAGTGGGTTCTGAATCTGTAAACTGGATTAGATCTGGGGGAGGGACTCATTTTTTCCATGCTCATGGCTGATGCTGGTCTTCTGCTCTGCAATCTCCTCTCTCTCTCTCTCTCTTTTTTTTTTTTTTTTGACAAAGTCTCACTCTGTGTCCAAGCTGGAGTGTAGTGGTGGAATCTCTGCTCACTGCAACCTCCAGCTCCTGGGTTCAAAAGATTCTCCTGCCTCAGCCTACCAAGTAGCTGGGACTACAGGCATGCACCATCATGCCCGGCTAATTTTTGTATTTCTAGTAGAGAAGGGGTTTCACTATGTTGGCCAGGCTGGTCTTGAACTCCCCGACCTTGTGATCTGCCTGCCTCGGCCTCCAAAATTGCTGAGATTACAAGTGTGAACCACTGCACCCAGCCTCTCTCTGCTTTAATCATACAAGGTGAGCAACACTATAGTCAGCCACCTATCTCAGTCCTAGGCATACCATAATCTAGTAGCCATTGGGTCACAACCCCTGATGACCACCTGGTCCCTGCCTCTCCAGAGTCCCCCATCCCCCAGTGTCAATGGGGATGGTGCGACTCTGGACACTTGTATGAGTTCATGGAAAGAAATCCTCCTCTCTTCTGGCAAGAGAGAGAGGGCTGCTTCTGCCATCCCAGAGGGTTAAGGGTACCCTGAGAAGTCAGGATTCCAGGGTTTTCTGTTTAAATCATGGGCTAACTGTGTCTTAACCAAGGTATACAATAATCATCATAAATAATTGCACTACTCGGGACCCATAGGCTAGACATATGAGGCTACTATGAGTGTTTCAAAGTCATGGATCCAGTTGTTTGAAGAGCTATAAGTGCCTCAAATGAGAATTGGAGGGAAATGTTTTTAACTTCTCATTTTTCTGAGATTTAACCACTGTCTCCATCCTAGTTCTGTAGGCTCATCCTCTCTCTCAATACTCACAGCTGTCTGTGGCCACCATCACCACTATGCCATGATGTCCTTAGATGTGAGGATATGACTAAACATGGACAAATCTCTTCCCTGTGGTTCAATAAGATAGATGTATAGTTTTCCTAATGGCAATCAGATTTTTAGAGGACTGAGATAGTTTGATTATTTGTCCCCTCCAAATCTCATGTTGGGATTTGATTCCTGATGTTGGAGGTAGGGCCTGATGAGACGTGTTTGGGTTATAGGAGTGGATCCCTCATGAATGGCTTGGTGTGTTCCTCAAAGTAATAAGTGAGTTCTCACTCTGTTAGTTCCTATGAGAACTGATTGTTAAAAAGAGCTGAGCACCTCCCTCCCCTGTCTCTCTTGCTTCCTAAGATAAGGGCCTTCTACATACCAGGTACCATGCTCTGATTTTACCTATGTTATTTCATTTTCTCCTTCCAAAATCTTGTTGGATAATTACTTTTGTTCTTATTTTGTAGATGAGGACAGGAAAACTCACAGAGTTTTAATTATTTGCCTAAAGTCACATAGCTAGTCATGAAGAGCCAGGATTTGATCTCTTCAGCTTTATATATTTCTTCCACTATCTCAAGGCTTAAAACATAAAAATAATATTCTCATGCATGTAAGCATATGTGTCACTACATTGAAAGTCCTTTTCCAGCTCTACTATTATTTAGCTATGTGAGCTTCTGAATACCTCAGCTACCTTATCTAACGAAAGCAAAGCAAAACAAAAAAAAGCCCAGAAAGTGTGGGTTCTGAGGCTTTGTAACATTCCCTCTGATCTTGAGTTGTTATACTGCTGGACTCTATAACTTCCTAAGGGAAGCAATCATGGTGAGCAGCAAGCACAGGTATCAGGCTGGAACATGGTCATGCAACAGTGATGGCCTTGCTTTTAATGTTTGAGATCTCGGCTTCAATCCTGAACTTTTCTTTGGGATTTGTTTTGTTGGAGCTTCATCACAGTGTATTCTGAGTATCTTTTTTCCCCTTATGAGAGGCAAGATAATACACAGTTTAAAGATATAAGTTTTATAGTCAAACAGGATGGGATTCCATCACTGGCTCTTTCATTTGTTAGTTGTCTAAGTTTGGACACATTAATCTCTTGCTTTCCTCATCTGTTAAAGAAGAAAGGAGATCAGTACTTCCTTTATAACCTAATATAAAAATTACATGAACTAATATCTGTGAAACACCTACCACAGTTCTGGCACACAGAATGATAAATAGTAGCCATTATTGTATTTGTCATTATTATTACTGACTTTGGGAATGTGGGAGTTAAGAGGCCAGCCTTTTAACAGACACCTTCCACTTGGGGTCACTCATAGAAGTCACAAAGGGACTATATAAATCAGTATTATCTACATGGGGATTGAAAATTAAGGATGATTTTGACATTACTAAAACGTGGAAGAATTTTTGCTGATACACTAGGTGTGACATTTCTATTGCTCAGAAACAGAAGTCTTCTTGGGAAGTAAGCAAAAGGATCCTGGCAGAATTCTAACATTTCCTAATTTGGAGAGCTGAGGGCAGATCATTCAGCTAATGGCAAAGACTCAATGCTTGAATTCTCTTTCCGTGGTGAAAACAGCAGTCTTTAAAAGCAGCAGCACTGGTAGACCCCAGAATGTGTGAACCAAATTCTCTTGAATTCTCTTTCCTTGGTGAAAAAACAGCAGTCTTTAAAAGCAGCAGCACTGGTAGACCCCAGAATGTGTGAACCAGACTCAGCAGACAGCAGGCAGTATGAATGAGCTGGCCCCGCTGTGGGGGCCATAGAACTAAGAAGGACACCGAGGTCAACCATGGTTTGGGTCTGGGGGGCAGCCAGAACAACATGAAATATTGTTATATTAACACATACCAAGGTGCATGGTCCAGAGATTAATATGCATTCTTGAATAAGAGAATGGAATATAGAAACAACAAAGACATAATAGAAAAACAAAACCTTCCCTAAAATGAAGAAACGATTAAATCCAAACAAAATGTTGCCACATGCAAAGGCAAAAAAAGGTTTTCTCTGTATCAGAAGACATCTCCAGATACGATGCAAAATCATTTTCGCAGACAGACACTCCATCTATCTGAGCTATCATAACATTTCAAGAATGATATCGCAGTACAAAACACCAGGCTGGGCGCGGTGGCTCAGGCCTGTAATCCCAGCACTTTGAAAGCCCAAGGCGGGTGAATCAGCTGAGGTCAGGATTTCAAGACTAGCCTGGCCAACATGGTGAAATCCTATGTCTACTAAAAATACAAAATTAGCCAGGTGTAGTGGCACACACTTGTAGTCCCAGCTACTCGGGAGGCTGAGGCAGGAGAATCGCTCAAACCTAGGAGGTGGAGGTTGCAGTGAGCCGAGATCACACCATTGCACTTCAGCCTGGGAGACAAGAGTGAAACTGTCTCAAAAACAAAAAACAAAAAACCAACACAACAGCAGAAACTGAGGACTGAAACCAATTAAAAATAGAATACATATGAATAACTGAAAATATGTAAAATAATATAAAATTTTAAAAGAACAAAGGAAAAGATATATGATATAAATAATAATTCTGAAAAAAATATGTATTAGGTTTGAAATCACATGGTACATCAATAATAGCCAGGACATAAAAGAAGAGGATGAGAAAAAGTAAAAGCAGGCTAATTTCTTCATTTTACATACAGGGAAATGATAGGTTTTTTTTTTTTTCCTTGAATAGGTAATGGACTGTGAACAGTAGAAAAACAAAGAGTTTTTATATCTTATAAACTTCTCTAGAAAAAGAAACATAGTCCATATCGCAAAAGAAAGATAAGGTGATAGCAGGGAAGCATAAAAATAAAACATCAGTACAACTATTGTATATATCAGTTAAAAAAAACACAAAACCCCTCAAAAGCAAACCAAAACATTGAGCAATGTGATACAAATTTGGGTCAAAATAAAATCTACTGGAAAGCTATGGTTTGAATGTCTGTCTCCTCCAAAACTCATGTTAAATTTAATCCCCAGTGTGGCAGTATTGAGAGGTGGCTTCTTTAAGAGGTAATTGGATCATGAGGGCTCTGCCCTTATGAATGGATTAGTCATAGATTAATGAATTGATTGGTTATTTTGGAAGGGGAACTATTGGCTTTATAAGAAGAGGAAGAGAGACCTGAGCTAGCATGTGAGCACGCTCAGCCTCCGGCCATGTGACCAGTAAGAAGGCCCTCACCAGAAGTGGCCCCTTGACCTTGGACTTATCAGCCTCTGTAAATGTAAGAAATAAATTATTTTTTTACAAATAAATTACCCAGTTTTAGGCATTCTGTTGAAAGCAACAGAAAATGGACTAAGACATACATGCTATCTATAAGTGACCTAGAACTAAGAACAAAACCAAAAAGGATAGTCAAATAATAGAAGAGTGCAGCAGTAACAATGTGGCGGAATGCAATTTGCTACCTACTATCCAGTCTCCCTTTCACCTGTAATAAGGGAGTTCTGATTTCCTTGGGAATAGAGTGGCGAGGTGTGCAGATTAAAAGCCTTATTTCTTACCCTCCCTTGCAGATGGGGTGACCATGTGATATAGTTCTCACCAAGGAGATAGAGTAGAAGTTTTTGGGTAGGGCTTCCTAAAAGCTGCTTGACTGCATAGTATTCCATGGTGTATAAAAAAGGATGAGTTCATGTCCTTTGTAGGGACATGGATGAAGCTGGAAACCATCATTCGCAGCAAACTATCGCAAGAACAAAAAACCAAACACCGCACGTTCTCACTCATAGGTGGGAATTAAACAGTGAGAATACCTGGACACAGAAAGGGGAACATCACACACTGGGGCCTGTTGTGGGGTGGGGGAAGAGGGGAGGGAAAGCATTAGGAGACATACCTAATGTAAATGACGAGTTAATGGGTACAGCACACCAACATGGCACATGTATACATATGTAACAAACCTGCCCGTTGTGCACATGTACCCTAGAACTTAAAGTATAATAATAATAATAATAATAATAATAATAATAATAATAAAAAGCTGCTTGAGAGGGAGTACACTCAGCTGTGTCTACCCTTTTGCCCTTTGAGCTTCTGTCTTGGACTGCGAAAGATAAAAGGCCATAGGGAAAGATAAAAAAGTTCCAGAGACCGAGATACTGACATTCTTAAGCCACTGAATTGAAGTCAACCACAACTTATTTCTGGACTTATTATATGGGAGAAATAAGCATCCACTTGGTTAAGTCACTATTTATTATTTGGGTTTGCAGTCAAAAGAAAATTCTAAACATCAAAATAATAAACAGGACAAAGGCTAATTTATATCTATACACATATAATCCATAATGTAGATTGAACAATTGTGAATCTTTATGTATGTAATCATGTGGGTGCTGTGGTCTGAATGTTTGTGTCTCTCCAAAATTCATATGTTTAAATCCTAATTACCAAGTTTATAGTATTAGGAGTGGGGCCTTTGGAAGGTGATTAGCCCTTTTCGAGGGCTCTGCCCTCATAAGTGGGATTAGTGCCCTATGACAAAGGCCTGAGAGATCACTCTTGCCCCTTCTGCCATATGAGGTTATAGCAAAAAGACTACTGTCTATGAACCAGGAAGTGGGCCCTTAATAGACAACAAATCTGCCAGCACCTTGATCTTAGACTTCTTAGCCTCCAGAACTTTGAGAAATAAATTTCTGTTGTTATCCATAGCCACCCAGTAATGACATTCTGTTATTACAGCCTTAATGGACTAAGACTTGGACTAAAACCTGTGAAGGAAGAGAGTTGGAAACACAAGAAGAAACTGGTAGGATCATAGTAGGTTTTTAAACACATCTTTGTCTGACAAATCAAATAGCAACAAATAAGTTTAGGAAAGATTTTTAACAATAAAAAGAAATAATTAATAGGACTGTATTAAATATTAAACCCTACAAGGAGAAAATGCATTTACTTTTTAAGCAGCTATTAACCCTACTAGGCCAGGGAGGACCTTACTTAATGTCAAAAATATTTGCATATCCTTTGATCATGAAATTATATCAATAATCTTATGAACTCAAGTGTATGGGTGGATGTGGTTGTAAAATTACAAAGTCAGTGTAGAGATCTAGTGTGTAAGGAAACTGGTAGATGGGTTTTTGGAAGGCTGATTGAGTTCAGGCTGGAAAATGGGGGCATGTTTTGTTTTTCTTCTCTCTCTTCAGTCCTCCCATGCCACTTCCCAAATGCTATCTCATGAGTAGGGGGATTAATAAAAAATGCTTTTCCCTGGAAATCTCTTATCAGCTATGGTATAGTTATAGATATAGTCTTTTTTAAATTAAAAAAGTCACAGACTTTTATTATCATTCATATACTTCACAGGAAAATATAGCAAAGGGGTCAGAGTTGTATGAAAAGACATCTGGGAGCAGGACTGTCCTGACATCCAGCACAACAGCTGCACTGTCTGATGCCCCTTTGCAGATGAGGTCCTGGGCACACTTGGCACAGTCCACAGAGCAGCAGGAGCAGCAGCTCTTTTTGCAGAAGGAGCATTTGCATTTTTTGCATTTTTCAGGAGCCAGCACAGGTGCAGGAGCCACCAGTGGCCAGGACCAGTCGGGGTTCATCTGGGACCGAGGTAAGGCTGGAGTTCCAAAGCAGGAGGCTAAGAGGCATCAGGGATGTTGGAAGATGTGTTGAAGCTTCCGTACAGTCCTTTCAAGTTTCAAGCTGGTTCCTTGAACAGGTGACATTAGACACCCAGATTTGGTTTATTTGTGAGCAGAAGCTTTACATCTTGTTTGGTTACATTAGTTGTCAAACAGGAAGCAATTAGAAATGTGCCTGACATGTAGTAACTGCCTACTAAAGGACAGCAATTACTATTCATCAGTGCTGTACCTTCCTCTGTCTCTCAAGCGCCTTTCATCCTTAGAATCTGGCTTAGGTCTCTTCCTCTATGACACTGCCCTGGATACTCCAGCTCAGTCACACTATGGCATCTACAACACACTTAATCATTTATTTGTCTTCTAATTGTTTCCTGGTGTTCATAATATCCCTCATCTTCTACTCCAAGTGCCTGAAAGTACAGTGCCAAGTAGTATAGCACTGCAGTCATTGCATGGTGTTGGTGGAGACTGCTGAGGTTCAAAACCCTCTTCTTCTACTAACTAGCTGTATGATCTAGTGCAAGTTATTTAACATCTCAAGGCCATTAATATATTTCTGCACATAGCTTTGTTTTATATTGGGTTCTTTTCTTCCCAGCAATGGGATTACTGGGTCAAAAGATATTGCTTACAGCTGTGTGACTTAGGGAGTTACATACATCTTATGTCTTAGTTTCCTTGCATGTAAAATGGAGATCATAGACTTTCTCATAGTGTGACTCTGACAATTAGCAGATAATACACATAGTTTCTGGCAAATAGTAGACAGTTGTGTTCATGCTAACTATTATTGTTGTCTGATTGAAATTCTTGTGCTAACATTTCTTTATGCTCAGGTGCTCTGCTGATCAAAGGATCAGAAGGATGTTTGACAGAGGAAAATAAATCAAATTATTCCCTTAACTGCGGCTTTTGTATTACCTGAGTTTTATAATATTGTCTGCTTTTCTGACCATCCATCTCCATGATTAATTAAAAGATAGCTGAATTTGATATGGTGACAGCTTTTCACAAGATCTACTAAAAACATGAGCTATAAATGTTGTTTTGGTAATCTGGAAGGGGCAAAAGGAAAAGAGTGAAAGGCCTTAGAAATACAATTCTAAATCTTTCTTTGCTGCATAAGAAGACCAACTTTCTTCTTGCCTGTATAAACAATTTACTTTTAGAGGAGAACTTATGAAATGTAGACCTGGGATGGGAAGGCAAGATTCAATTTGTGGGGTCATGCTTGGTGAGAAAAGTGTTCCCAGAAATAATATTTGAAGAAGGATTACATTCTGAACCCCGGTCAATTTCTTACCTGCTGGCAAAATAAATTATGGTGCTGGGCAAGTTTCAAGCCCATTCAAATGCCAAAGTTGATATCCGATGAGGTTCTATTCAGGGCTTTTTTACACACATTTTCAATGGCTGCCAAGACATTTGCCTTTTCACTACATCTCTGTTAAGCACTAAAGCCCATGGCTTGATGTACCGCACAAGCTGCAGAAGGGGCTGGATTCTGACAGCTAAGTGTGTCCAGAGATTAATAGAGGCTGAGCTCAGCTGACAAGGGAAAGAGAGACATAGTCCCGTGGCAAGGCACTTAGAAATGACTTTGATTTCCCTTATGGAGATAAGAAATAACTCTGTCCCTGTTCTAAAAAGAGTAAAGAATAGGGTCAAACAGTTTTGGCTGAGGATTTGGATAAAGGTTTTATGTGTGTGTGTGTGTGTGTGTGTAATTATAAATGTAATATATAATTATTATTTATAATTACTTATTATGTAATAATAGTATATAATTATATGTGTACATATTATATATATATATATATATATATATATATATATATATATATATATACTCTAAATATGCTTATACATATACCCACAAACATAAACACACATTCACACACATTTATTTTCTCCCTCTCTGTTTTTGGTCATTTAAAATAAAGGAAAAAAAAGATTGAGTTTAGATTAAAAAATTAGTTGGTAACATTTATTGCTAAGTAGTGAACTCTGAATCTGAATCTACCAAAGATTACAAGCCTGATTGATTCACAGCACTAATTTAAGCATCTGAAAGCACTGAATGCTGTTGTCCACTGTGTGATCGATACAGATCCTGTCTGTCATCAACATTCTTTACAAGAAGATTAATTAAAGTAAATAAAATGGAATCAGGATGGAAAGACTAGATTACATTGGAAAACAATGCATATATCATAGATATCATTAGAGGACTAGGAAAGAGTTGATCAAATAGATAAGCAAAAGAAATGCCTGCAGCATATCCAACCACAACACAAAATCACCCAAATGATATGGCTTCACTTACTGCTGGATTTGGTCTTAGTAGAGAAGGTAGATTTATGGTTAGTAATTTGTGTCCTTCAAAATTTTGAGGCAGGAGGCCGATGAAAATATAGTGTGCTCAGCAAAACCTCTCTACAGCTGACTGCTGGACAGAAACTCAAGTTTCTTGAAAACTCATGGAAAAACCATTCAAAATCCTAACTCCTGGACCCTTATTATGATTGTGGGGAAAATAACTTTTAAAACCTGATATGTTCACTTATGCACAAAGGTATATTTTTACAGTATAGCAAAAAAGGTAAATTAGGAATATTCTTATATTCCAAATGACCTGGTATTATTTTATTTTGTCATAAATTGCATGTATCCTGATGTGATTGAAACCCTACCAGGGTTTGAAGTTATAACCGCAGCTAATGTATTTGAAAAAATAAAAAGCTTTTTGTCAGTATGATTTCTGCTTCAAACTGTGCAAGATACACTTATTCTCCAAGATAGAAGCACCCCCCAACTTTTTTTTTTTTAACAAAAACATTAAAAGACTAAGCAGGAAATAACGCACACTCATGGAGACATTTTAGCCAAAAAAGAATAATTGAATGCAAGTGAGAAAGGGAATATATTTTAAATTAAAGAATTTTGACAGGCCAGTGAAAGAACAAAGGGCTGTATTCTACATTACTTATTTTCTCAGGGGTTCCAGACTCTCATAGACTTCGATGGGAGGGCTACTCACAGGAGGGAGGCTTGGAGCTGAAGAAATGTGGATCAAAGCAATCAGCTTAAAGCATCTCATTCTGCCTTCCATAGGCCAGATGTTCTGAAAGTTCTACGGCCTTCCACAGTCATGCCTGCCTTTCCCGAAATGGCAGTTGCAAGACAGGTAAAATCCTCCCCTGAATCACTGGGTTTCCCTTAAGATATTTAGTCCATTTTTTTCCTATATTTACATCGTGGTTCAATGGGGGATCAATGGGTTGAGTAGCGACAATGACCTTTTGGTTGATGGAAAAGAAGGGAGCAACATAAAAATGACTGTTTCTTGGGTGAATAGCATAAAGAAGGCATTTCTTACCTAGGACAAGGCGTGGTCTTGGCCTCTCTGTGCTTACAACATGAGCCACAGAATGGATGTGATGTTGAAGAAAGAACATAAGCTTTCATCAGTTCTGGGTTCAAATCCAGTCTTGCCAGTTGTCAGCCTTGCCATCTTGTCAAACAAGATGATCTTTGACAAGCCTCCTACTCGCTCTGAGTCTCAATTTTTTTTCACTTAAGGTGGCACTAATAATACCCACCCTAGGAAGTTTGGGTGAGGATTAATGATAAAAAGCATATGTGAGGGAAAAGCAGAGTGTCGGGTCCTTAATAGTTATTTAATTAAATATACATCAGTTTTTCTCAAGAGTTCAGTCTCTAGCTTCTGAACTGGATTCGCTTTCTCATTCCACCACTTTCTCTGGGCTGTGTGACATTGGTCAAGCTCTTTTATCTTTCTGAATAGAATATGGCTCATTGGTAAAATGCTAACAGGTCCTACCTCAAAGATTTGCTGAAAACAATTAAATAGTTTTTTAAAAAGCATTTAATACAGCTTCTATAATGCAGTAAGCTCCCCCAAAAATGTTCTCACATATTATGCCCGAGTTCTCTGTTAGTTTGCTTTGCTATTTTTCTTAACCAGTTCCCAAACTCCCAGTTCCTCTAGAGCATGAATCTTCTTTATTTTTCCATGCATCCTCTTTTCCAGCCTTGATATAGAGAGAGGTTATCAGCTGGGATATGCATTGTAGAGTGACCCCCAACCCCTACGTCCACCTTCAGCATTTGAAAGCAACATGAGAATCTACTATGAAATTGGGTGAATTCATATCAATATAATGTTTTAAAATATTTTTTAGATTTCTTAATTCTAAGCACATTTCCATGAATACTTTTCCAGGAATACTTTTCCAGGAATACTGTGATATACCTTAAAGATGATATAATCAGCAATTCCAAATCAAATTAATATGCAAAAGTTCTAAGTTGCGTATCTTGCTGTTATAGTTGGATCATAAAACTAGTGATTCAACTGACTAATTAAGAGTTCAATGACCAGTGATTCTTTTCTTTGCCTTCAGGTTGCCCCACTCCCTAAATGTTGCTAAATAAAAATGGATTGATCTCTAGTCATCCAAGAAAATTCTCTTATCTCCTAAGTGAGGCTCACTGTTGTGTGAAAGAGCCTTCAAGCTAGTGAAAGTTTTTTGGGAGCATAAGGGTGAATATCTCTTAAAAGAAAGAATGAAAAAGAAAAGAAGAAGAAGAAAAAAAGAAATTGCATGCAACATCATCATGCTCCTTACTCCTATATCCAGCCCCTTCCCACTGGGCCATTCTGGTTTCAATTCCCATGGGACAAAAGAAAGGACAGTTTTGAAATTAAATTGACTGAATAATATTTTACAATTGTGATGTGTTTGTATGAAAAACTATATACAGATTGATTATATATTTTATATTTTCCGGAGTGAGCACATATTGCTTCTTTACTCTTAAGGAACAATAAAAATGTGAACATAAACTCAGTCGGAACAGGGCTTTCCTTATTCTCTGCTTCCTTCCCACCAAAGACCTCCAAATTAATTCATCATGTAAGCTGAAGGATTTGTGGTGTAGACTCATTAAAAAAAGATGAGCATACAGATCCTCCACATAAAATAAAGATCCTTTGCTTAGAATGAAGGTAAATATCTAAACCCTGCACCAAACCTCCAAGTCTGGCAGAAATCCTCTCAGGAAATGATGGAGTGTAGGGAGGCCATGATGGCAAAATGACCTTAGGAGACTTTTTCATTGTACCGTTTCTCATGCTATCCCTAAGTCCTAAAGGTTCTTGGCAATGGTTTGGGGCAGAGCAGATGAAGTCAACTGCTTGTGTCCCCATGTGGTATTGTGGAATTTATGCTAGGCTTGTTGGAAGATAAGTTGAAGTTCTATTAAGTTCTGTTACTTAATAACTATGAAAGCTTGGATAAATCACTGAATTTCTTTATGATGCAGTTTCCTCATCTGCAAATTAGGTATAACAATATCTATCTTTCCTACCACACAGAGCAGTTGTGAGATTCAAATGGCAAAAGCATTTGGGGTCCATGCTATACAATGGCAGGGCATTATTTGGTCACACATAGTCTGTATACTCAATATCTGTACCTGTTTATTATAATTATGCATCATCTACATATAACCCATGTATCTATAAAGCATATGAGCATAATGAATGAATGATTTGTAATTGTATACTTGCATAGACTTTAATGCACTTTTGGGATCTAGGAACATTAAATGGCCTATACAAATAAAAGTTATCTTATTTTTATCACTGGGAAAGTTTCCAGGACATTATCAACACATGCTAAAGTTTCCTACATAGAATGTAATACTGAAACCTCTGCTACCTTATGCTCAGGCTCACAACTTCCATATGATTTGCCTCTTAAAAAAGCCACAGAACTTGTCAGCCAAATTCCAAAGTGACATTCAGCAGTGCATATTTGGAATCAGTTTTGGTTTTGCTTTCAGGCTGTCACAAAAAACTACAAAACGGCTGGACACATGTACCTCTCTCCACTCTCCTCAATTTCTTTTTCCTTCTCTAGAGCGCGACTAACATGTTGGTTTCAAAACCACGATCACACGCATTCACATACACACCTTCAGCAGGATTCTTAAGATATTGCTTCCCATATGTAGCTCATAGATCAATTTAACTATATAGCACTGCCCTGGGTTATCTCTCCTGAAACCATGTGGAATACTCATCTTCTCTAATCCTGGTCTATAGTATTTCCAAAGTACTTTACAAGCCCAAGTAGGGCCTCTAATGCCTTGCAGCAGCTGAGCTGGTAGCACACATGATATCTTAAATGTAACAATCAAAGGAGCACGCTGGATCTTGGTATTTCCGGTGGCTTGCAGATGTGCTGTGTCCGGATCCAAAATCTGTAATGTCAATTTTAGATAAAAGAAGCTTTAGACAAAATTGTCTCCCTGCCTTGTGTCAACAACTGAGCCAGGACAAGGGAACGCTCTCTGATAGCAAGGCTGCATGTATTGCATATCAGTTATCTGACCCCTACAATAATTTCTGGGGGTGTGTGTGTCCGTGAGCAACCTTGCTCAAGATTTATGTAATGGAGGGCATTGTTATATTAATCTACACCATGTGGAACTCTCCAGGTGCTAAGCTTTGATCTTCCTGTCCTCTGGTGCATTAAGTTTTCTAGTATTCATTGACAATGATATTTGTGATTTAAAACACTCCCTTTCCTGGCTACAGAGGGGACACAAAAAAGGGTTCAGAAAACTGTACTTTGAACCAGACACCCTCAACTTTCCTTGTTTGGTTTCAGTTTGGTATAAAATCCACTCTGATTCTGTTTAGAATTTGATAGGCACTCCAAGGAGTAAAAGAATATCTTTCTGAAACATTTTATGGCACATTAGATTACTGCTGAAAATGCCAGACTTGGCTGACTGGGGACGCTTGGCCTTTGTCAAAGTGGAATGTGAAGATGGAAAGTAAAAGGCGATTTTCCACTTCTCACTGCTACGAGGAAAAGGGAAAGGGAGGTGGGAAGGATACAAAGAGATACAGACATTCGGAAATCCAAGTCTGTCGTGAACCTAATAGCAACAAGAATAAAATGATAAAATTTTCTAATACAAAAGCATAATAAGCCCTGATATGTCATATTTCAGGAAATACAGTATTACTTTGGAGGAAAATGTAAAGAAATATCAAACAGGTTAAAGGTAATATAGTACACACTGGTTAAGGACACAGACCCTGGTGTCAGATTGCCTGGTCCAAACCCCATTTCTCCTGCTTAACTAATGTCAGGTTCCCCATCTGTAAAATGGGGATAATTACAGTATCTGTCTCCCAGATTACTGGGAATATTAAATGAGCACTCAGAACAGGGACAGTATATCCTCAGTGCTATATAAGTGTTTGCTAACACCTTACCCATATCCTCTGCTGATAATACCTGTAATTTGCAACACAGATTACTTTTTATTTTTATCTCTAGTATTAACTAGTATGATGCCTTTGAACTTCCTGGGCTGGCAGAGGTCAAGGCTGGATTCCTATGAGGTATGTAAATGGCAACTCCTTTATTGGGGAAGAGAATAGGTTCCAACTACATAGATTTGTTCAAGAACACTAATCCCAGAGGAAGAAATTAAGGAAGAGGAACAGTGATGTTCTGGGGTCATGGGATCCCGAGGGCTCTGGAAGGCCCTCCCTATCTTCTCCCTTGTAGGGAAAAGATATTCCCTCTTCTTCAAACCTCTCCATCTGCATAGAATACAGAAGTATTATTGCCTCTATCACCATAGATGCATTTTGCTTCTCCTTAAACTTCATATAAATGGAATCCTGTACTAAAACTTACTCTTCTGTATCTGGCTTTTTCACCCAGTAACAAAACTAAGATTCATGCATGTTTTTGCACATATCAGTAGTTCATTCTCTTTCATTGCTGTGTAGAATTTCATTGTATAAGTATGTCACAGTTTATTTACTAATTCTACTCTTAAGTTGTTTGCAACTTTTGGATGCTATAAATACATTTGAAGATTAATTTTTAAAAGACATTTTAATAGTAAGCTTCATTAACACTTTTGTAGAAGTGTATGCACTAGCTTTTCTTTTTGCTTACACTCGAGTTGAATTCAGGAAGCTTTGATGTTTTCTAAGCATTTTGGTGGGGGTTCTTTATTGTCTAAATCAGATTGTCTCTTTAAGAAGGGTTTAATTTTTATTACGTGGGGCAGTGCCAGCCATCTTTATTAATAATGATAGCTGAATAGTCACAAATGGTGATCAGGTGAGACTCATCCTGTTACTTTGTAAAGCTATTGCGGGATTCCAGGACTGATTTGCTCTAGTTCAAAAGAAAGATCGGAGATATGCTAAGATGATGAAAAATTCATGTTCCTAAACTAGTGTACATAGGACAGAAAAGGTTTTCCTAAGGAAGGCTCCTACATCCACATTCATTTTGAGGAGATGAGTGTGGGACGCTTTGAAGCCAGTGCCATTGCTAGACACAGGTGTTCCAGGACTCCATTTCTTCCTCATATGATGGGAGGCAGAAGTTAAGAGGCATTTTATTCCGGAAGTATCAGAGAGAGGGCATGTGTAACTCTCAAACAGCCTGAGCCTGTTGTGCATTCGTCAGCAATGTCCACTGCTAGAGACACAAGTGGGCAATGCAGTGGGAAATAAATGGAATGGTTGCGGGACTAAAGGACTAGAAGTCCCATTTCCCATTTCAGGATGTGCAGAATGGAGAAACAGCCTTACAAGACTTTTGCAGTACTTGGATATAGTCCAAAGAGAGGAAAAGAAGGCAGAGGAGAGTGCCAGAAAGTCTCCCCCTTTTTAAAGAGAAACTTACCTGCTAAGAATGCGTTAAATTAGCCTTGTTTAGCCTAGGACTGAGGGTTTTCCATTGGCATGGGACTGGTAATGTTAAAATTAAGAAAGTCCTAAGCAAAGCAGGCACTTTGGAGAACAAGGCAGATTTAGCAGATCCCGCAGAGTTCTAGATTGCCTGGGCAGCAAGGGATTACCTAATCGGATTACCTAATCCAGGAGTTGTAAAGTTTGTTTAGCAGGAGACCAGTCTCCCTTTTTTGAATGCAGGATCTTTGGCATTAGCTTAGAAACTCAGCCCGATGAAGTGGAGCTGTGCTGTTCAAAGCAGAGAAGTCTCCATTTAGCCTAACCGCTCCATTTATAGATAGAGAAACTGAGGCCGAGAGACTTGTCACACCCCATCTAGTTTACAACAGGCCTAGGACTGAATCTCGACTTGTCTTCTGAACTGTTCTTGGCCCACTACCACTGTTCTTCAAAGAATGGGCAGGGTATTCCCCACCACCCCCAGTCAGCGTCATCCAAAGCAATTTACAGATGCAGTGTAACGTGCATCTAAATGCCAATGATGTTCTTTATAGAAATAGAAAAAAAAAATCCTAAAATTTGCATGTGATCACAAAATATCTGCCATCTTGAGCAAAAAGAATAAATAATAAAGCTAGAGGCATCACACTACCTGACTTCAGAATTTACTACAGAGCTATAGTAACCAGATCATGTGATACTGGCATAAAAACAGACACATAGACCAATTTAACAGACAAGAGAACCCAGAGATAAATCCATGCATTTCCCGTGAACTCATTTTCAACAAAGATGCCAAGAAGAAACAATGGGAAAGGACAGTCTCTTCAATAAATGGTGCTGGGGAAACTGGATATCCATATGCAGAAGAATGAAACTAGACCCTTATCTCTCACTACATACAAAAATAAAATGAAGATGGATTAAAGACTTTAATCTAAAACCTGAAACTATGAAATTACTAGAAGAAAACATTGGGGAAATGCTCCAAGACATTAGTCTGGACAAAGAATTTTTGTATAAGACCTCAAAAGCCCAAGCAACCAAAGCAAAAGTAGACAAATGGGATCACATCAAGCTAAAAAGCTTCTGCACAACAAAGGATACAATCAACAAAATGAAGAGACAACCCACAGAATGGGAGAAAATATTTGTAAACTACCCGTTGGACAAGGAATTAACAACCAGAATATATAGGGAGCTCAAACAACTCAATAGCAAAAAACAAAACAAAATACCAAAAAACAAATAATCTGATTAAAAATAGGCAAAAGATCTGAATAGATGTTTCTCAAAAGAAGACATACAGTGGCCAACAAGTATATGAAAAAATGCTCAGCATCACTAATCATCAGAGAAATGCAAATCACAATGAGATAGCATCTCGTCCCAGTTAGAATGGCGTTTATTAAAAAAAATAGGCAATAACAGATGCTGGTGAGGATGTGTAGAAAAGGGAACCCTCATACACTGTTGGTGGGAATGTAAATTAGGATAGCCACTACGGAAAACAGTACAGAGTTTCCTCAAAAAACTAAAAATAGAACTGCCATAAAATCCAGCAATTCCACTACTGGGTATGTATCCAAATAAAGAAAATCAATATATCAAAAAGACACCTGTACTCCTATGTTGATTGCAGCACTATTCACAATAGCCAAAATATGGATGGATGAATGGATTTTAAAATGTGGTGTATATACATGATGGAATATTATTCAACAATAAATAAGAATGAAATCCTGTCATTTGCAGCAACAAGAATAGAACTGGAGGTCACTATGTTAAGCAAAATAAGTCAAGCACAGAAAGACAAATATTGCATGTTCTCATATGTGGGAGCTAAAAAAGTGGATCTCATGAAGATAGAGTATAGATTATGGTAACCAGAAGCTGGGAAGAATAGTGGAGAGATGGGGATAAAGAGAAGTTGATTAATGGGTACAAATATATGCTTTGATAGAAAAAATAAGACCTAGTGTTAGGTAGATCAGTAGGGTGACTATAGTTTACCATAATCCATTGTATATTTCAAAGGAGCTAGGGAGAAGAATTTGAATGGTTCTAGTATAAAGAAAAGACAAATATTTAAGGTGATGGATATCCCAAGTACACTGATTTGATCTTTACAAATTATATGCATACATTAAATGATCACATATACCCCCAAACTGTGTACAACTATTATGAAAAAACAATACTTACCAGGGGACTCTGTTCTAGACTATCTTGGAGAAGTTCTAAAAATATGCATTATAACAAGTTCCCAGGTAATTCTTATGAACATGTGGCTGCTTAAGTCTTACCACTCCCACGCCTTACTCCAGGATTCTTACCTGAGAGGTATTGAAGACCATTTACTCTCATAATCTCTCAAGCTTATCATTTGTAATTTGGGCACTGGAGTTTTCTGCAGGTTACTGAACAGGATAATAAAAGGAACCCCAAATCTTGGGGAACAGGCAGTCTATATAAACCAGCCCCTTCTGCTCATGCTTCTGCCCATCACAGCTGGGCTGGAGCTGGGCTCTTCTCTGTCGGCTCAGGGGAGTGACTCTCCCGTGCTGGCCTGGTCAGCTTCGGGATTCACTCTCTTGCCTCATCATGAGTTTTTTGTCACTATGGTAGAAATATTCTTTTCCTTGGACAGAGATAGATGAGTCTTCCTGAGAAGCTCTGCCCTGTTCCCTGGGGGGCTTTAATTCCTCTCCTGTTGGCTCCATTGTGTCCTATGATGATGTTAACGGCATGGCCCAGTATGGTGTGGTTTATATGGCTTTCCTATTTTTTTTCTTCCACTCTTTTTCAGAAGCATCTTCTCCTTCTGCATCATATGGTTGGCTTTGGCTTTGAGAAAATTGATAGGGATAGGAGATCCAAAGGAGGATGTCTCACCTTATAATGCCAGTTCATCATATTTTCCTATGAAAATATTCTACTGTTACGATTCTGGGGTGGCTAATATAAATAATAAACAGCAACCATTGGGCTGAATTCTTCTATATTATCTCCTTTTAAGTTTAAAATTCTTAACTTCTATTTTTTAACAATTAAAAATGTTACAGCTTTATGCATTGGGTTTGCTTCAGTTTCTTCCCGGGAGACCTGAATAATACTTTCTTCTACCCTCATCCCTGAACCCTCCCTCATCCCCTACCAAATAAAACCAAACAAGAGACTGTGGACTTCCAGAGCATCAGAAGCTGGCTGCTAATTGCATATCCTTGGAGGAATATGTTTGTCTAACTTCTTTGAGGCTGGTGGATCTCCATGCTATGGTTTATAAGCTGAGCAGGACTCCACTGTATTCTTCTCTATCAGGCTCTACTCTCTAAGCACTAGCCTGGCTTACTGCTCAGACTGAGCCTGAAGCAGTCAGTTGGATCTGATATGGTTTTGGGTGGCTCACCAAGGGTGGGACTGGCCCTTCTTGAATGTTCTTGAAGACATTGGTAGTGTCAGATTGGGCCCTTAAGAACTGGTGGTGTCAGATTGGGCCCCTAGGAATGTTTAGCCAAATCCCACTCATCTGAATGTATCCACATGCCATCTAGCTACAGACTTGTGAAACCCTATGTTTCTAGATTCTTTAGCTTTAGTAGAATGGAGGAAAATGTCTTGGTATGTCCGCCTTGGTTAGGAATATGCAGGCCCAGGTATGGTTCAGAGGTCCATGTGGCACAGCTGCTAGTCCTTGTGGCTGCAGCAGGTGGGTTTCCTGTGGTGGGGGTGGAGGGGGAAGAGAGGGAAAGGAGAGAATGAGTTTCCTCCTGATGAGGACCTTGTCAAGACATGGTGGCCAGAAGTTACGCTGAGGACAGAGTTCCCTCCCCACCTAAAAAAAGAGAACACCCCACTGCTGCAGTGGGGTAGCTGTGGACGCAGGCAGGGCCACCGTTTCTCCTTTCCTCAGAGGGTTCCATTCAGCCTGCTGAGCAGGCCCAGCCCTGCCTTACTGTCTGTGAATCTCTCTCTAGAGCTAACACCCATGCCTAGACCAACCCACTCTCTGTGAATCTGCTCCCCAAGCTGTACCCACCTTTGACTTGTAACAAACCAGTCAGCATTTGCTGCCTACTGAATAAACCACCCCAAAAGGTAGCAGCATGCAGTGATAAACAGTTGTTTTCATCACAGGTCTGTGTGGTGGCTAGGCTGGCTGTGCTCCCTGGGTTCCTTCTGGGGCTCCAGATGAATGGGTAGCCACCAACAGGAGTTATGGAAACACATCATGGCTCTTGGGGAACCAAGACTCAGACCTGCCGGACACTTACTGCCACCCACATTCTCTGGGCCACAGAGAGTCAGAGACAAGCCCAGTGTCAGTGGAGCTGGGAAATATCTGCCGATGGAGGCGGGGGTGGGGTGGAGTGACTATCTGCTAGGTAATCATCTAACCTACCTCATCTGGTATTCCTCTTCAGCTTCTTCATGAACAGAGCCCAGATCCTGGCACTGACCCCTCTGGGGATTCCAAATGTATCTGCAGGGTGTTTCCAGCAGGAGAATCCGCTGCTAGGATTTAGCTGTGTGTCCATGTCTGTGGTATTGTGGATTGGGCCTGCCAGAAATAGACAAAATAAATGCTGCAGGAGAGACTTTAGTGTCCTCTGAATTTCACCTTTAGTAAAATTAGAGGCTTGTATATGAAGCCGTAGCTCTGAGAGAAGTATTAACTAAAGCCCGAACTCAGGCTTTGATGTTTGAAGTTGATGAGAAGATGGTTCAGTACCACATGGTATCATTACCTATCTGGGCTCCCCAGCAGACATAGCTAATTTTAGATTTCTTTTCTGCGGACAGGGGATGGTAGCAAACAAAATTTCAAGGCAGCATGAAGCACTACTGCTAATAAATTGGATGGCGAGATGGTCCCTTGGTGCTATCCCTGACCCAAGAACTTGAATATAGGTGGATGGCTTAGGTGTGACAGTGTGACACATCAATGGCATTACATTTTTGGGAATGGTGCCAGGTGGCACCAAACTCAGAGAGTTCCTGGACATAGGCCTAATGTCCTTATGGTTCTTACATCCAAGCTTCTGGTGCAAGGAAGATGGGTGGGCAAAGTAGATCAGCTGTGATTGGCAAGGAAACCACCTTCTGGTACTGAGGAAACCAAGTTTACAATGGGCTGGATCTGGGAAAGTGACACAGGGCAATAACAGTGAGTAGAATTATGGATCTCTAACTATCTTTAAAGCACTGCTCAGGCAATGCATTGTCAGCAATCCAGAAGACATTATAAAAGGAATGCTTTCTGGGCAAAGCCCTGAGACTCTGGAAATCAGAAATCATTTTATTAGTTTCACTGAAGATAGCCGCTTTTTGGTGGAATAAAATCCCAAAGGGATGCCACCTCTAGTAATTCAGAAGCAAGGGTATGGTTAGGAGATGCCCTTGAATGACAAGTTTACATAAATCTATAGACAGAGGTCTGGTAGGTCCTCCTGGAAAAGACGGAAGCAGGTAGACAAGTTGTTCAGCACCAAAGCCTTAGGCATACAAGAAGAAAGGAGAGATTTATGTCCAATGAGGTGGTATCTGGCCCCAAGTTTCTGCGCCACCCACCCCCCACTCTTGCTCAGTCAGCTCCAACCAAACTCATCTCTGAGTCCTAAATAGGAAACATTGTTTCACTTAACACTTTATAATTTATTGGGGCCACAAGTCTCTCTGCTTTGGGATCCACATGGAAAATGTTTCCTTAAAGGAAAAGTCAGAAACATTCTTCCCATTTCTTCCCAGGACACCAGGAGGCTTTAGTTACCCTCCAGACCTGAGCGTGACGATACCAGCTGTGTCTGGCTCAGGCGAGGGTGGTTTGCAGACACTGGTGGATCCTGAGGAAGAGGCAGTGGTAGCAGGCAGAGTTGGACGAAATTTGGCAGAAACTGGGTTGCCTGGCAGAAGCCACAGGATCTGGCAGGCAGCAATGATGTGCAGTGGATGGTGGGGCCCTGCAGAACAACTAGGGCTCCCCAGGAAGCATCTCTGTGGGTCTTTGTGGGCAGTCCTGGCTGTAGTGGTAGACAGCACTGAAGGATGGAGGAAGAGAGAAGAAACAGGCAGAAGCCATGTGGTAGTTAACAAGGCTTATTTAGGAGCAAATTGATGATACTCCCTGAGGACTCGCAGAAATTACCAGCAGTGGACAGGGTTATCTGTGGTGAATTCAGTTATTCCACTTGCAGGAGGAAAGCCAGCCAGCAAAGTCATGACTATTCATGTAAATTTGTTTCCCATTGAAATGCTGGCTTGGTGTGGCCTAGAACATCTAGTTTGCAGAAACTTTCCTATTGGCTTCTTGCCCTGCCCCTTCACATGTCCTACAAACACTCTGCCACTTTGGCCTCTGGACCTGGAAGCTTTTTTCTGAATTTATCTTCTGTGAAGGCCAAACAGGCCTTGGAGTCTAGAGTCCATTTCTGATAGGAGAGACCGCTGATTTGATCATATGGAGTAGAGGTTAGTGTGAAGTCTGGTGTCTAACTCCTGAAAGCCACCTCCAGCTCCCATCTGAGTAGTTTTGTGATCCTGGGAAAGCTGTATAATCTCTCAGAATTTCAACTGTGATACAATAGTAGTAGTACCACTCTGAGGGTCCATTTGTGTGTGTGTGTGTGTGTGTGTGTGTGTGTGTGTGTGTGCGTTTTGTGAAAACGTACACAGAGCACTTAGAACAGTCCCTCAGTAGCTACACCTGGTAGCGGCATCATTCATATAACACCTTTTAAATTCATTAAACAAATACTATTGAGCACCCACTATATGCCAGATCTTAGTGAAATAAGCAAAGTTTTCATTAGAGAGGGAGGAGGGATGGGGGTATTGGAGGTTTGAGGAGGGAAGGTATGAAGTAATCACTACAGAGAAAGGGAGGGTGTGTTGATTAGGAAAACAGAGTAGAATTCCTGCACAATTCGGAGGGACTTGAGAATCCCTCCTTAAAAGGTTGAAAAATGTGCAATTTCTTAACTGTGATTTTTCAGCTTCGATTTTTTTTGTTTTTTAAAGCAGAGGAACCACTTCTTCAAAGAAGTCCTGTGGAGGCCATCAGTATATTGAAGGCTAAAGGGGAGCTGTTCTGGTTGAGGTGGCTGGGGGAGTGGTAGCCTCCTCCACACATGGACTCAACCCCTGTCCTCTGTGAATGTCTTTCTGGTTCCTCAGTAGCATCTCTAGAGATCTGGGGAACCCAGTTTAGAAACCACTATTTAGCTCAGCTCAATAACAAAGCCTCAGTCATCAAAGCAGAAAAGCAACTCGAGATCAAGCATCATATTTGACATTCAGATTTGTGAACAGCCCAGTCTTCCATTTACTGTATCTGAGTTTTGTGGAAGTTGCAAAAGACAAAGAAAATATAATACTCATTTTGATATCAAGGGTTTTATGACAGTGCAATTTTATAAACAGCATTACTTTAATACCTTTATCAGATATTTCTTGCCCCAATAATGCTGCATCACAAACCACCTCCAAACTCAGTGGCTTAATTCAGTGATCATTTATTGTCCTACCCCTGGTTCTGTAGGTTGGTGGGGGTGGCTCTGATGCAGGCTGTGGGTCTGCAGGTGGTTTTTTCTTCTGTGTCTCATACTGGAGCCCAGGCTACCCAAGGTAGATTTGCACAGTGATAGCAGAAGCATGCTTGAAGCATCTGCTCACATCTTATTTACTGAAAGCTCATGTTAAAGCAAGTCATGTGGTCAAGGCAAAAGTCAAAGGGCAGGGAAGTACACTCTGCTCATCATGAGGTCACAGTAAGGATGTGGATGTATGTTACTACTAGAGAGGAGTGCAAAAGTGAGACCAGTAATTCAATCCACTACAATACCCATGGAGCAGAGTGTAATCACCTATGGGGAGAGTGACATTCTCTTCCCTTCTGCCTGGACTGCAGCCCAACTTCTACACATTGAGGAGAAGAGAATCCAGGCCTGCTTTGGCACCTGGAGGCTTCCATGCATCAGAGGCAGCACCTGGTGGAAGTGGTGGCAGTGGCCAGCAAGGTTGATGGTGCTTGGTAAGGGTAACTGGACCGTGTGTTCTGGAAACCGTGGCAAGTGTCCACAAGCAGTTTAGTGTGTCAGAGGTTTCAGTAGAAGGCAATGGTAACAGGAGGTGGAGCAGGAGAGAAGGAAAGGATCAGATATTATAGTGGTTAACAGGACTTGCAAGGACATGTGAAACATCCCTAGAGACCCCTAGAAACAACTAAGAGTGACTTCGGGTGTCTATACCAGCAGTTGGAGGTGGTTTATTGCTGTTAATGCAACACCATATATTTCAACAGTTTAAAGTGGCTGGAGAAACTGGTTTTCAACAATCAGACATAGAATCTCAGAGCTGAAAATGACCCTAGATCCATCTGACTCAAGCCTCTGCTCCATAATATCGCAGATATATGTCATTTGACACCTGTTTGAACCCCTTCAATGATAGATAACTCACGCACAGAAGGCAGCTCATCCAGCTTTAGATACCAACATTGACAATGACCTTCTGAGCTTGCAACATTCAGGACTAGAGCATGAAACAGATAGGAGAGGCAAAAGTCTAGAATGAAAAGAGGTTTTTGGAGAATGGCTAATTTAGAGAAAAGGTTCTTTTCATTGTTTTCAGAGGAAGAAGAAGAAGGGAAAGAGAGGCCAACTGAAGACAGAAAGAATGGGAACTATTTTTTTTCTCTTTTGCTTTCATGTTCTTTGTAGATTTAAAAATTAATTACCATGCTTAACAGGGAATAAAACCTGGGAAATGGAGGAAGTACAAGCATTGGCTGCTCCCTAGCAATTGTGTCTATGATGAGTTAGAGTGGAAGGAGAACTTTGGGGTAAGATCTATATATGGTTCTCCTGCAATACATCGACATTAGCTAAAGTTTGACCCTGGTTTAAACCTTCCATTTCCCATCTCATGAATTGCTCTCACAGATAAGGGAGCAGATAGCCAGGGACATACCTACCACTGAGTAATGTCAACCAAGGAATACAAATTTTATCCTATAGTTCTACTCTAATAAGCCTATCTTTAGAGCTGATAAGAACTTGGTGGTAAGTCTAGGGTACAAGTCTGAAGTTAGTTTATACAGTTATAAATTTTGTCCTCAATGTTTAATTTTTAGGGAGTTGGGAGCCAGAACCACTCTCAGGTTCTTTCAACAATAACACTAAAATCAGCTGTCAAGTCAGTTGGGTTGCAGGCGGGGAGATGGGCACTGGTCAGACTGGTTATTTCACTACTTAGGTATAACCAGCCAAAGAAATAACAACTACCACCGACAGTTTAAAGACTGAATTTTAAACTTTTCAACAAGCCGTGCCGACATATAGCGACAACCTTAATGTGCAAACCACTTCAAGCAGAGCGACTTTTAAAAGCTGTAAATTAAAATCACGTTTCTTTTGCAAACCCTTGAAACCTTTGAAAAACAAATAAATCAGTTAGTTGGTCCCCTATTGAGATCCCCAAATTTTTTCAGCAAACTTAGAGCTCAAAAAGAAATTAAAGCAGAAACTTGAAAATGTAATTTTAGACTAACGATTGACTGCCTGTCAGGGGGTATGAGCCACATTTTTATTCAATTTCATGATATATTCCTTCTCCTAAACCTTTCCTCTTGACACCTGGATTCAAATGCAGTCACAATGCTGGTCAACTGCAGCTGGACTTACCTGGTATGTCCTCTATGTGGTGATCTAGATTAGAGCCAGGCCCCGGTGTAGTGGTCTGGCCAGAGCAGAGTAGAATGAATGCTTATGGGCCTGAATGGCAATGGGGTCGCTGTCAGGAGAGAAAGAAACTCATCGAAGTGGCCCGGAGATGAGGTCTTTTTAGATCAAAACTAACATCAATGTTGATCAGAAATATTTTGCTCTAAAAATGCCCATTGTAAGAGGTAGAAACATAGAGTTTCTCAAAACCAGGACTGAGACACCACAGATCTTTGCTGAGATGATTACCACATTAAAACAGGCAGGTTTTGGTCAACAGTAATCTTGGTCCACCTAGATATCTGTGGTTCCAGCTACCTTAGGGGAGACCTGAGGCTGTTTCTGGAATCCAGTTTGTATATGTGCTTTTCTGTTCTCTATGGAAATATACATAAAGGTTTTGGGTTTGTGGCTGCATCTTATGTCTGCGCAATGCCACCATATTCTCCATCGTACAATACCGTTATTTGAGAATAGTCAAACTCACCCCTGTGGTCAGGGGAGAGGTAGAGAGCCTACACCCTGCCTGAATGGCTAGTTAAGAATATGATTTTATGGAGTTCACAAATTCTTCAAGAGGGCCATTCCTTGAAAGAACTATGTAACCCTGTAGCTGCCTCCAGTGACTTAGCAGAGCCACTTGCCCTCTAGAGAAAGAGCTGTCGAATAACCATAGCTGTCAAAATTTTCTGTCTACCAGAATGGCTTATGCTGTACTCCATGGCTGGCAGTCATTTGAGAGGACGGTGGCAAGCATAGCCACGGAGGCAGCAGGAATGGCTACTGGGAACAGAAAAAAATGTAGGACCCCCACATTGCCAGCCTGTTCCTCCATTCCAGCTGGGGTCTTTATTTTGGGAGCAAAGAAGGGTGACTGTTTTGGTGGTTTTGTTGTGCTGGTGGGGTGAAACAGGTAGTAGTCATCAGTGAAAATAGAGTAGGGATGAGTTAAAAATTATTGCAACTAGGAAATCTCAGGGTTTGGGAGTGTGACTCATACCACTTACAAGGTATCAGAAATACTTAATAACTCTCTGTTCTGGCAAACATCTCAGATTCTCAGATGGAAGGATTCAGTGGTGAAGGATGAGGAGAGGGTTTTGGTTTTACATACTATATATATATATATCTATATATATATATCATATATATATATCATATCGTCCATAGCGGACAACAATTCACTATTCGAAAAGTAATTGTTAGCAAGCTATTGGGCTCCAATAGAGACTGAGAGTCTAACTACAGGACAGCAAGTGGCCATGTAGTCAGAAGTGTTCATTATGCAAAGACAATGAGTCATTGCAAGAAGGAAGTGTTACATCCAGGGTTGGCTTGAGAAAGCTCAGAGGGCACAGTAGCTGAATGAACAGATGAAGGGGATTCCATGTCATCTACCACTGTTGCACAGATGGCCCTCCCTCAGCTCTCACCTATGGTTTCGTGGGAGTTTTCCCATGACCAGCTGATAGAAGAGAAAAAAGCCTAGGCTTGGTGGGCACAGTATATTGGTGCAAGCCAAAAATAGACAGCTGTTAGACTACCACCCCACCTAGGAGTGCTGAGGGGAAATCCTCAGGGAGGGGGCGTTTTAGGCAAAGAACTTGGCCATTCATTTTGCGTGAAGGGAGAAGTGATCCAAGGTAAGCATTTACACAGGTGTATGGGCATTAGTGATCGGCTTTGCTGGTGGTTGGGGCCTGGAGAGAGCATGGTCAGAAGATAGAAGACGAAGTGGTCTGGGGAAGAAGCATGTGGCCGATGATGTGGGAGCAGGAATAAAGTGTGAGGAACTTTGTATTGCATAGTGATGCTCACCAGAGAACATCCACTGCAGAAGTGGCATTAAATAACCACGTGGATAGGATGTCAGCCAGCTCTGCCCTTGGCCAACTCACTGGCAAGTTGATTACATTGGAACCTTGCCACCTGGGAAAATCAAGACTTCATCCTGCACAGGATTAACACATCTCTTGGGCATGGGTTTTTCTTTCTTGCTCCTGTCTGCCTGGCTATATGAGGGCTCACAGAGTATCTGAAAATTGGACACACGGTCCTGCAAAATATCACTGTGAAGCAAGGGGCCCACTCTATAGCAAAGGAGTCATGACAGTGAGCACAGAATTATGGGATCCATTGGTCCTGCCCCAGGCCGTGCAGCCTGGTGTGATGGTGGCATGACCCCTTCAAGGTGACAGCTGAGGCTCTAGCTTGTAGATAATACCCTGTGGGGCTAGAGTAGTACATTGCAGGATGCCATATTCATCTTGACCTGTGGACACTGGGTAGAATACGTGGGTCTTGAAACCAGGGGATGAAAATAGGAGGGCACCTGCTCCCCAATCACTCCCAGGGACCCACTTGGGGAATTTATGTTTTCCATCTTCAGTGTTAGGTTCTGTGGATATATACATTCTGATTCTCAGATGCGGATACTTCCACAAAGGTTCAAAGTAGGAATTGTACTAAATTTAAAGCTATGGCTGTGACTGGTCACTTTGGGCTGAACATGCCAGGACAGCAGGCAAAAACAAGACTTGGTCTATTGGCAGAGGTAATTGACCCCCATCATCATGAGGAAGTAGGGTTGCTGCCAAGTCATGGGGGCAGACAGGAAAATGGTTTGCAGTCCAGCGATCCACTGGGGTATCCCTTCCCTGTCAATTCTAACAGGCAATGGGCAATTATAGGAATGCTGATCTGTTAAAGGCATGGTAACCAGGGGCTCAGATTCTTCAGGGATGAGATGAGAACCCTCTGCCAGTGGCCTATGTGATGTTATCTTGACCAGGAGAAAAGCCAGCTAAGGGTGAAGGAATCTAGGATGGTTTAGGGTGGGATGAGGAATTGAATTAATCCTTCAATTCAACTGATGAATTGAAGCCATCAGTTCTAGCTCGGGACCAACTGAGCAGCTGAGACTGTACTCTCTCAAATGAGTCTTCCTTTTATATGTTTCCCTAGACATGCTGAGCAGTCACAGTCCCAGAGAAGCTGTTCCTGGAAGGACTGAACTTAATGTGAGAAACACAGGGCTCCGGGCAGCGGGTTGGTGCCCTTCCTAGGCTCACTTCATGGGGCCAGGGCCCCTCTCTGCAGCTGCTCTAAGGTCAGATGCTAAGCGCTCACAGCTTCACTCATTTCTGGGGTAGCCTGTCTTCAGATGGGAGGTTATGCTTCTCCCCTCTTTTGTAGGGGCAACCTGCAACCAACGACTGCATGATATGGTAGTAGTGGTGGTAATTTATTCTGAGACTATAATTCTGAGTTGTAATTCATGCTCCAGAGCTACCCATAGGATAAAACTGAAACTTGACTTCAGCTGCAACCTCATCCTAGCTGAGTGTTTTCCCCTTTGTGTCCTGCACCTCTTTCTCTCTTACAGGTTTCTCCTGAGCTTTCACAGGAATCTCTCTTTTAGTTCTCCTTCTACGGAACCCAAGCTAACACAGTGGTCAATAGGAGAGACTTTTGCTTGGCAGGCAGCCCTTTTCTGGGAGCTGAGACCACACCGTGCAGGCTCCAAAGATACCCCCTACAAAAAAGTGGTGTTGGGGGATGCATAACCTCCCATCTGAAGAGGAATTTCTTCAGAGATGAATGGAGCTGTGAGTCCTTAGGACCCAACACAGAGAGCAGCTGGAGAAAGGTGCCCTGGGCCTTTAAAGTGGGTCTGCTTGCAAACACACAGTCAGACTTCAAGCCAGGCGGCTCCCTCTTCACATTGACCCTGGGATACAGTCCTGGCCTCACCAAGTTATCATCTTTTTAAAATTCAAGCCCAGTAGGGTGGGGAAACAGGGCCTCACTTCTCCCACCTGGCATCTTCCGGCTCCCTGTGGATCCCCTGCTCTTCAGGCGCCTGGGGCTGCTCTTGTCAGCTTGAGAACAGGAGGGCAGTGGGTGGACAACACCTGGTGAAGAAATTTACACACTGAAATAATGGTTTCCACGTTGGTTTTTCATAATTAACTAAACAGACTGGAGTTAAGTTTCATGGGTAAAAAACTTGTGAAGAACTCTTGACAAGAAATGAAGGTTGATGAGGGAGTTAAAGTTTTTAAAAACTTTCATCTTCCTTGGACTTTGTTCCCTTTTTCTTTGTCTTCCTCCCCCCCCACATTTCTTTCTCTCTGTCTCCCTCCCTCCCTCTCTCCTTCTGTCTCTTTTTCCCTCGGTTTTTCTCCCTCCACCCCCTCTCTCCCTCTCTGCTTCATCTGCTTCCCTCTCCCTCTTCTACTTTTTCATTATAAAACCCTCATTGGTCACGTTTGGGTTTTCATGTATTCATACAAACTTTCACTTCCCAGCATGTGTGTGAAAAGAAAAATAGTAACATCAACAGCTTATATTAGTGCTTCTGTAATTTGAAAATTCCATCTGCAGATGTGTCTCTGATCTTGAAGGAAAAAAATGAAAGGCTTTGTTATGTCTCCGGCAAAAGAGATATGGAAAACAAATGGGACGGCAAGTGGTTGGAGCTGAGATGTGAAAGCACAATGAATGGAGGATGCCACATCATTACCTGGGGAGAGAGCACTCTGCCTTCTCATTGAATCTCAGCAACTTGTCTAGGGTAGGAGGGGGCATTGCTATAAAACCATTCCTTCTTTGTGAAAATGGACCTTGAACTTACCGGTTTCTTTAAGAGCCTACCATATTTGCTGAGAGAACAAAGGGCTTCATTCCAGTGCCTGGATCAGACTTAGATATTTTGAAACTTCACAGCTCATATTGCTGACAAAGAGCATGCTGCTCTTTCATGTGATTTATATGAAATGGTGGCCCAATAAAAACTTGAGGAAGAATGGCTACCTTCTGCCCTTAGGAGATTCTGCCTTTTTGACTCTATTCTTGGTTAGCCAAAAGAACAATGAGAATTAAGGTGCTTTGTTTTTTTTTTTATTGACAATGATTGGTTGTATTTTCTTACTCAGCTGTTCACTCAACACCAAAAGCCTTAAAAAAGTAAGAACCAAGATTGCAGATGGCAGTGAGGCCTTTGAGACCCTCAGTGCTCTGTGACGGTCTTTCAGGAAGTGAGCCTTTTTACCTGAGTTAAGTAGGAACCTTGTAATTGCATAAATTCTCCATGCTTGCTGGTTTTTTTTTTCCCCCAGAGTGGGTTTTTGTGGGTAATATATTATAATGTGGGTTCTGTAACCTTTCCTCATGTTCCAGACACATTTACTCTGACGTGGAGGGTCTATTCTGTGGTTTTTCTTTGGGACTGAATATAGACTGTAGATTCCTCCTACAGGCTCTGGGTGGTTTGGGGTAGACCATGGACATGTTTGGTGCTCTTGGTCATCTGAAGTGCCCACAGTTCCCACCCAACACTGGTATTTGAGATACTCTATATATTAGTTGCTATCTACTTATTTTTAGAAGTACTGCTTACTGATAAAATAGCATTATCCATAATAATTAACATATTGTTTTAGACATCCGAGTTCCTGAAAAAATGCTGTTTTCGGTGCTTAAGAATTGTAGGACAATGGAATCTCTTTACCCTCTTCCCTATAACTTTTTTTTTTAAAACAAATACTTCTATTAGAGAAATTCTAAACCTCATTTTCCAAACTTGATAGATTTGGGAAAATCATTACTTAGCAACAGACCAAACAGAAAACCCTTCTCCAGCCTGTCATTGAGAAACCAGATGAATTGCTTCCAACGTGGCCCCACCTCCACCACAGCCCTTTCCTGTGCCCTCCCCTCATACACAGGCTCTGCCCTGTTCTACCCACCCTCTCACAGCCACCACCCTCTGTTCTCAGCAATCTCCCTGCTTGACTTGTCTATTCTTCCCAATCCAGCTCTCTTCCTTGCCTTTCCCACAAGGACTCAGCTGACTGCTCCTGCTCACCGACTTCATTCTTTCTCTGGACTCCTGTTACACTCGTGTCAGTTCTACATAGCTTAGTATTTGCTTGTGTGTTCTCTAATAATATTATGTCAATTTTATTTTTTCAAACCTTTGCATCTAGTAGTAGTAGTTACAATTTATTAAGTCCCGTTATGTGTTAAGCTCATTAATTATGTGCATGACCTCTAACTGTCACAAGAACTCTGCCAAGTATTGTTGTCCCATTTTTAAGGCTAATAAGGTGGAAGTGAAAAGTGGTTAACAACTTGCCCAAGTGGTAAAGCCTGAATTGAAACCCAGAACTCTCTGATTCTAATTTTCATGCTCTTAACATTTGTCTCAGCCCTGCCTCTCAAAGGCCAACACTATATTGTATATTTTTTGTATATATACACATTTTTTTGAGACAGGGTCTCGCTCTGTCGCCCAGGCTGGAGTGCAGTGGCGTGATCTCAGTTCACTGCAACCTCTTTCTCCTTGGTTCAAGGGATTCTTGTACCTCAGCCTTCAGAGTAGCTGGGATTATAGGCATGTGCCACCACGCCAGGCTAATTTTTGTATTTTTAGTAGAGACGGGATTTTGCCATGTTGGCCAGACTGGCCTTGAACTCCTGACTTCAAGTGATCTGCCTGCCTTGGCCTCCCAAAGTGCTGGGATTACAGGCATGAACCACCACGCCCAGCCTATTTTTCTTTTAGTTTCACATTATTTAGCATACAACTGGGTACAGAAGAGGTGACATATAAATTCCTGAATGCCTCTGTAAGGCTTTATATAGCATTTTGTGTTTTCTCATAATGTTTCAACACAGATGTTTAAAAACTCATCTTCTGTTTAACATTTATTGAGTGTAATTTTCATGCCAAAGCCTGCACCTGCTGCTGTGGACACAGAGATGAGTAAAGTGGGGTCCTTATCTTCCAGGTGCTTACATACCAACCATAAAATCTAATATAACTGGTGCGTTATCCGGAAGGATTGCCCTTGGGCCTTATTTTGATCACTGGTATTGGATTTGTGCAGATGCAGCCATTTTCTTCCAACTTCATGACAAACGTGAATTTTTGTGATGTTTTGCTAGAACCAATCTGTAACAAATATACAAAAAGTAGGAAATCCACATGAATGGAAGAATCCATAACTTTAACCAACTAAGCAGTAATACATAATTGATCTTTTGCATTTTTGGAATATTTCTCTGTAATGGTATGCATGATATGAGTTTAGGTTGTCCAGGGAGTCAATTCTAATTATCTTTAAACAAAATGCAGTGTCTGGACATGGAATCACTAACTACTTTGCAAGGCTAGTATTTTAAGAAATTCTTGGTTCAGTGAAATCTTATATTGATGTTTCAAAATTCCTTAACTTTTTAAACTCTTAGAAAAATTTTAAATGCTGTTTAGGAAGTCTTTGTTGCTATGCCTCTCCTAAGAATAAACTACTGATGATTTGTAACACATATTTTTTCTTCTTTAAAACTCAAGACCTTTAAAATTTCTAGGAATGTTCCTAGATGTATTCTGTGTAGTTGAAATTTTGTGACATCTACCTGGAGAAGTGGAAAGTTACATTCGAACACAAAATGCTGGAAAGTTTATAGTGTATGAAATGTATTTTCCATGTAGTATTCTCAGTGTAGATGAGCAGTCTTTCAAGGAAATTCCCAAACTCTAAGCCATACCAATTAAACGATACATATTTAATTCATAAGAAAATTACTATGAAATGATTAACTTTCCTTTAAACATTTAAATCATTACTTAATTTAAAAAGTGAAATAAACCGTAAGTTTTTAGGGGATTATCTATATTCTGAGTATAGCACAGTACCCCTTGCATTCTTCCTGGTATGTTGATATATGGAGAATATACAAACTGTGGGCTAAATTGAGACACACATTAAGTAGAAATATTTTATTTTTCTGTCATTTGCATATCATCACACACAAAATTTTATGTTGTGATTCTGTTTACTCTTTTTAGCTTCTGACTTCCAGCCAACAAGATTTTCCTTCCAAATTTGCCCTGTTTTATTGAGTTGAAAGATTTGTCCCTCTCATGTAACCTGGTCTGGATCTTCCTATAAGAAATTTGCAGTCGTGCCATGAAAAATGCTTGTAGCACAGACATATGCAAAGTATTACCACTTTGCTTTAATCACCAGAGCAGAGTCACTCCATGAATAATTCGAGCCACTAGCATCCTGTTGAAAGCCAAGACCTCTGGGTTGTGAGTCATCTGTTCTTTTCTGTGGCAGGTGTTGGGGTCAAACACTTTGGATCTTTACTATGGTTTGTAGAAAGGACAGTTAGCCATGTATGTTCCTAAGCTGCTGCGGTTAGTGCACTTTCATTAGATGAAAGCTCATTTGAGGTGGTTGCATCCTGGAGGAGACAGTTTGCTTTTCTTTCTGCAGACCTGAGTTTTACGGTCTCTCTGTAGTATTTCATATGGAAGCAGCTGTTGATGGATTCTAGTTCCTCAGAGTTGGACATTTTATCTGAATCACAAAACCACCAAGTGATTTCACATGAGAATAAACCTGTCAAGGTCTGTTTTATGGAGAGCCAGGTATGGACAATGGTTGGACAGGCCAGTGCTGCTGCCACCTAGATCCCACATTCAATTTGGTTGAATTTTGATATTAATATTAAGTAATCGTCAGGCTGAGAGTAAGTGGGGATACTCTAGTACAATATTATTGTTTAAAAGAGAGTAGCATGAGTACATGAAATCCCAATTAAAAATGATATACTATGACTGAAAAATATCATTCATTCAATTCCTTTGTTCACTCATTCATTCATTCAATCCACTCTGATTAGTGGCAATCAGGAGGTTTATCATAAGTTATGATACTAATTTGTAAGTGGCATATTAATTGATTTTATACGTGCAGATGCCTCAAAAATTCCTGAAGGCACTAAAAATTTCTCCCTAAAGATATATAATACATAAAAATATAATACAGGATAATTTCTCGAAATGCCGTTTTTTCCCTTTCTTTCTGGTTAGGATCTTGAAAAAAGTTAAAAAGCAGTGATTACATTCAACATATGGTGTTGGGAAAATGGAATATCAACAAGCAAAAAATGGGGTTTGACCATTATCTAACATCATATACAAGCATTAACTCAAAATGGATCAAAGACCTAAATGAAAGATATAAAATTATAAAATTCTTAGAAGAAAACATAGGAAAAAATCTTCATGATGTTGAATTTGGCAATGGTTTCTTGGATATAACACCAGAAACACAGGCAAGAAGAGAAAAAATAGACAAATGGGACTTCACGAAAACTGAAAAATTTCGTGCGTCAAAAGACAATATCAACAGAGTAAAAAGACAACCCATAGAATGGAAGAAAATATTTGCAAATCACATATGGAATAAAGGGATTAATATCCAGAATATACAGAGAACTCCTAAAACTCAACAACAACAAAAACAAACAACTGGATTCAAATGTAGGAAAAGGACTTGAATAGGTACTTCTCCAAAGAAGATATACACGTGGCCAGTAATGGCATGTTAAAAAGATGTTCAACATCACTACCATTAGGAAAATGCAAATCAAAACTACAATGAGATGCCACCTTACACCCATTAGGAGTGACTACTATTGCTACTATTAAAAAAAAAAAACCAAAAAACAAACTGAAAACAACCAGTGTTGGCAAGGACATGGAGAAAGATGAAATCCTTATGCGCTTTTGATGTGAATGTAAAATGATACAACCACTGTGGAAAGCAGTAGGACAGTTCCTCAAAAAACAAAAATAGAATTACTGTATGATTTAGCAATTTTGTTTCTGGGTATATACCCCAAAGAATCGAAAGCAGGATCTCAAAAGATACTTGTATACTTATGTTTATAGCAACACTGATTCACAATAGATAAAATGTGGGAGTGACCTAAGTGGCTGCCAATGGATGAATGGATAAACAAAATGTGGTATACACAATACCATGAAATAGTATTCAGCCATAAAAAGGAAGGAAGTTATGACACAGGCTACATTATGGATGAATCTTGGGGACATTATGCTAAGTGAAATAAGCCAGTCACAAAAAGACAAATACTGTATGATTCCACTTATGTAAGATACTTAGAGTAGTCAAGAGCATAGAAACAAATAAAATAGTGATTGCCAGGAGCTGAGGGAGAGGAGAAAGGGGAACTATTGTTTGATGGGTATAGAGTCTCAGTTTATAGAGATGAAAATAATTTTGGAAATGGATGGTGGTGATGGTTACACAACAATATGAATATATTTAATAACACTGAATTGTACACTTAAAAATGGTTAAAGGCCAAGGTAAGGAGATTGCTTGAGGCTAGGAGTTCAAAAACAGTCTGGGAAACATAATGAGACCCTGTCTTTACATAAATAAATAAATAAATAAGCTAGCCATGGTGGCACACATCTGTAGTCCCAGCTACTCAGGAGGCTGAAGTGGGAGGATTGCTTAAGCCCAGGAGTTCGAGGCTGCAGTAAACTGTGATTGCAGTAAGCTGGGATTGTACCACTGTATTCCAGCCTGGGCTGCAGAGCAATACCCCATCTGTAAAAAAAAAAAAAAAAATTTAAAAATAGCCAAGATGGTAAATTTTATGTTATGTGTATTTTACGCCAATAAAAAAAAATGTGATAAGCAGCAATGATTCCACCGTCTAGCAACCATAGGCAATGTCTATATTTTTGCCTCTCTTGCCTCAGGATAGTTAATAGCTTCTTTGGATTTTTGTGATTCTCTAGAGAAAGTCTCCAGCAAGTCTTTGGAAGCCCTGGGGTTTCAAAGGGAAGACGCTGGAATTTCCTGTGTGTGGTGAACAAGAAGTGTGGTCAACTCAGGAGCTGACCTGGGCCTCCTCCTGTGCCATGTCACAGAAACAGCAGGCCCACTGAGGGGGATGGCAGTGTGAGTGTTGGGGATGGGACGCTAAGTGAAGTTTGCCTTGCAAAGTAGGCAAAGGACCTGGGGCAGAGCCAGAAAGAGAGGGGAGATGTTGTGAGCAGAGCAGTTGCTGCCTTCAAATGGTCCATGCTTGCTTGGACAAGGGCATCTCAGGGGTGACCAGTGAGATGCTCCTTCCAATGACAGAGAACCTTCATCCATAAAAGTGGGAAACTATCATAAGGCCCTCATAGATGGTAGAAGGCATATGGTAAAATATTTGATTTAAGTGCTTTGTATATGGTAAACAATAACTATTTGCCATTTTATTATTTTATTTCCTTTTATACTCTTATTTGTCAAACTTAGGTATTCTGAAGGGTTTTTATGAAGGGTTTACCAACCAAAGGCAAACTTCAATCTGGCCTGTGTCCAAATTTTCACAAATTCAGAATTATGGAGATTTTAATATGGATTATATATGTGGTTAGCGTTTCTATTTTTATAGTAAAGATAATTACTACTTTATTTCTATTACATTTGTCACTTGAAAGTAATTTATACTCACTCTAGAAATGTTTGGAAAGCTTAAGAAAGTTAAAGAAAAGAACTTACTCAAGATCTTTTTACTTGGGGTTAACTACTATTAATTTTCATGTATTTCATTCCAGTATTTTTGAATACACATATAGAGTATATATGCACATATAACAAAATTTGATATATGCATATATTATAAAATTGGAATCATTACTATATAAAATTTGTACCGTGTGTTTTTAACATTAGTATTTTATCATAAACATTTACCTATGTTATTAAATATTCTTCAAAAATATGACTTTTAATTCCTACCTAATATTCTATTACAGGACCATACTATAATTTACTGAATCTTTTCCCTATTGTGGGATCATAACTGGGTGATAAATATTTTTGTACATAAATCTTTTACTACATCTCTCATTTACTTAGGATAGATTTCTAAAAGTATTATTGATTCAAAAGTATGAACAATTTTATGACTTATAATACATATTGCCAAATAGCTTTCCAAGTTAAATTCCAATGGAAATATATGAGAATACTTGCTTTTTTTTTAACCTCTATTAGCATTAAATATTACCTTTAAAATGCATTTTAATTTAATAGGAATTTTAATTTGTAGTTAAAAAAATTAGAAGTTAGACATGTTTTCCATTTTCCACAAGTTTTGGGTTCACCTTATGTTTTTCTCTCATGAGTTTTTTGGTCATGTTCTTTTTCTCTTTTTTATTGATATATTAGTATTTCTCCTATTGATTTTTGTAAGAATTTAAAAATCTGGTATAGATATTAACCCTTTATCATATTTATAAATTAGCTAATAATTTTTCCTAGTCATTTACCATTTACTGTTGTTTAGATTTTTTTAACATACAGAGTTTAAAAAATTTAATGTATTAAATATGTGAGTACAGGTTGAGCCTTCCTAATCCAAAAATCTGACATCCAAAATGCTTCAAAATCTAAAACTTTTGGAGTACTGACATGACACTCAAAGTTTATGCCCAAAGGAAATAATCGATTACTGGAACATTTTAGATTTTGCATTTTTGGATCGAGGTGCCTAACCAGTATGTATAATGCAAATATTTCAAAATCTGAAAAAAATCTGAAATTTAAAACACTTCTGGTTCCAAGTATTTCATTTAAGGGATATTCACCTGAATTTACTTTGTGATTTGACTCACTGTTTTATATTTTGAATAGCCTTCAGACTCTGATCAGTTAAAGAGCTTCCTACATATTTTTTGTGCTATATTAAAAAAGAAGTCTGACTCCTTAACTTTTAAAAAAATTAATGTCATTTTAATTGACAAATTGTTATTGTGCACATTTAAGGGGTACCGTGTGATATTTCGAGATACACACACACACACACACACACACACACACACTCACACAATGATGAATGATTAAATCAGGCTAATTAACATATCTATCACCCCACTTGCTTATTATTTTGTCTGGTAAGACATTTGAAATTTACTAAGTTATTTTGAAATTTACAATATATTATTATTATCAACTGTAGTTACCCTGCTGTACAGTAGATCTCAAAACTTATTCCCCATGTCTAACTGCAACTTGTACCTTTTGACCAGTAACTCCCCGTTTCCTCCCCCGTGACTCCTTAACTTTTACGGAAGTTGTTTTAGCACATGCTATAAGACAAGACTCTGACTTTGTGTTAACTGACAGGGCGAGAAGCTCTGGAGCTGAAGGCTCGGGTAGGTCTTATAGACTGGGCTCCCAAAGCTTTCTCTTTTCTCTGTCATTACTGAGTTAGTCTACACAGAGCTAATTGAGATGGGATTGATTTTGTTTTAAGCCATGACATAGGATTTAACTCATGATATAAGATGATCCATGACTTGTTCTCCTTGATCCTATCTTGTTTGTTAAGAGTTTGTATCAGGAAAGGTAGTTAACTTTTTAACATTGATTTATTAATATCTAATTTTCTATATTATGTCTAAAGAATGTGGCTTCTATTTCTAATTCATTGAGATTTCTGTTGTGTCTCATCCTGTAACAAAATCATGTTCTCATTGATTTATTTTTATTTTTATCATTGTTTAAGAGATCAAACACATTTTTAGAGCTTGTTATGAAGAGCAGCAGTCATCCCCCTACCCCTAACTTCCCATCATCTCGACCTTCTCAGAGGCCACCAATCTTTCCGTAGATTGTTTTAGCATTTCCCTCCATGTCTCTCTCTCTCTTTTTTTTTTTTTTTTTTTTTTGAGACGGAGTCTGGCTCTGTCGCCCAGGCTGGAGGGCAGTGGCGCGATCTCTGCTCCCTGCAAGCTCCGCCTCCCGGGTTCACGCCATTCTCCTGCCTCAGCCTCCGGAGTAGCTGGAACTACAGGCGCCCGCCACCGTGCCTGGCTAATTTTTTTTTTTTTTATTTTTGGTAGAGACGGGGTTTCACCGTGTTAGCCAGGATGGTCTCGATCTCCTGACCTCGTGATCCGCCCGCCTCGGCCTCCCAAAGTGCTGGGATTACAGGCGCGAGCCATAGCGCCCGGCCCCATGTCTCTCTTTATAACATATTTATTTTGCTACTTCTCACAATGGAAGCACAAAGACTTACTCTTCTGATTTCCTCAGACACATACAGACACACAGACATACTCGGAGTTCTCACAGCCCCCAGTCTTTCCATTTTCCCCTGATATATTTATATATTTACTGGTAATGTTAGTTTGCTTTCTATTCAGTGTTTATGTTCTCATTTATTACATCAGTACAGTTCACAGCTGGGGAGCACTTGGATGGGACTTATTGATTGTTGGTGTCCTTGCATTTTGAGTTGACTTGGCTGTTTCACTGGGAAGCCAACCCTTGGAGGCTAAGACCTGGGTGACTGCATTGGAAGCTGTGCAGGGCAGAGGCTGGCAAGGAGGGGTGGTGGTGGTTGGTGTGTGCTAAATCCCTTTATTTCTGGTATGGTCCAGCACCCTTGCCCTCACCTGTATCTGATATCCCCTTGTCCAGAGCCTTCTGCTATACAGTCTCTAGAGAACAAACTTCCAATTTTATGTAGAAATTGGAGGAAGGCTGGGGAAGGGATGGGCTGTTGGCTGGCCACCTAAAGTAGAGGGGGGATCTTGGGGATCTAATTACTTCTTAAACGACTTGCACAAATCCTTCTTTAGTCTGACCTTCACCTCCCCCTTACAGAGGTACTTGGTGCTGCCAATTTCTGAGTCTTTTGGGTGTTCTTCAGGGTAAATTGGGTTGTTCATGGCTTTTCCCACTGTCAGCTTAGAATTCCGCTTTCTTAGGTCTGCTAAGTCAATTACCATGGGCCATCTGCTTTCCAGCTTCCAAAATTGTGTTGCTGTTTTCCTTTCTCCTGCTCTGTTTGTTCTTATGAGTTTTTGTCTTTATGAAGCTCCCTTTACTGTCACTTTAATAAATGAAGATTGTTAAGAGCAGTTTATGCAGATGCAAGCAACTCCCTGTCTCTTTAGTAGCTCATTTTTTCTCTATTAAACAAATGCTATGTCCTCATTTTAGAAAAGCTGGGAAATACAAGGTAGGCAAAGTATTTAAAAATCATCCATAATTTCACTTTCCACACATACCCATCATTAATATAATTTTGTTGTAGAGCTTTCAAGATACAAATATTTTTTATTTATTGAATATATTTTTAAAGAAATGGGAATATGATTTCCATACCTTTGGTAACTTCACTCAAGAGCATCTTAATCTGGTCATAAATATAAATTTACTTTATTCTTCATACTATACTTAATTGGAGCAAGTAAAAAAGATTGTCTAGATACTTTTATAAATATGGTTTCAATGCTGAATGTAAATGTCAAAGATAATGCTGAAAGGAAAGATATATTAGTAAAAAATAATTTCAACTATATTCTTGCTTTTATCTACCAAACAGTATTAAACAAAGGCTTAGGAAATGGGAGTAGGAAGGAGGTAGAGTAAATTCCTTCTTTTAGATAACGGGATGTTAAGAGATTCCATTTTATTTTCAATTTTGATTACTAGAAAAAAATACAGCTTAAAAATATTTTGTTTAACTTATGTGGTAAAGATAAGAGTAAATACAACGTAGAAAGAAAAGAGAAATTGCAATGAAATGAATACAATACAAAGGAAAAATAAGAGCAGAAAATGAAAGGCAAAAATAATAATTTCTCATGTAATGTTTTCTTTTTCCTTCTGTATAATTTCTTGTCAGCCTCTTGCAAGTTAGTTAAATTGATTGGACCATGATGCCAACAACGGTAAAAGCCAATTTTCTTGTTTTAAAAGTATTTCTTGTAGGAGTGACTCCAGTCAGTCATTTATAAAAATATATGCAATTTCTCCAAGAGTCTCTAGCAAACATGTGGATGACTGGTAGCTGAAAGACATTCTTTTTTTTTTTTTTTTTGCGACAGTGTCTCATTCTGTCACTGAGGCTGGAGTGCAGTGGTGCGATCTCAGCTCACTCCAAGTTCCGCCTCCCAAGTTCACACCATTCTCCTGCCTCAGCCTCCCAAGTAGCTGGGACTACAGGCGCCTGCCACCATGCCCGGCTAATTTTTTGTATTTTTAGTAGAGATGGGGTTTCACCGTGTTAGCCAGGATGGTCTCGATGTCCTGACCTCGTGATCCTCCCATCTCGGCCTCCCAAAGTGCTGGGATTACAGGTGTGAGCCACCACGCCTGGCCTGAAAGACATTCTTAAATCATGGAACAGTAGATTAGAATACACATCTTTTTCATTGTGAGTCAACTGTATTATGTTCTATATTTTAAAATAGGTGTTATATTGGCACTTGTTTGCTGGGCATTGCCAGGCACTTAAAAGGTATATACATAATCTCTAATCATAAAAATAAGGTCAAGGTATGTATTATCCAGTGCACTTATTATGTAAGGAAGCAAAGGCTCAAAAAGGTTAAGTAGCTTGTTCAAGTTTTCTTACTTAGTATGTAGCAAATTGTGGACTTGAACTAAGGTCTTCTATTATCAAATTCTGTGCTCTTCTGCAAGGGGCTACTTCCAACAGACATAAAGGTTCACTTACTTTTCCCCAATCAAATGATTAAGCTGAGCCCCAGTGCAATTCCACCTCCAAATGCCAATCTTGGAAAACTGTTTTTCAAGTTGTAATTATGTATTCCAATGCTTGGAAAAGCTTAGGGGGATGCCGCATTAAGCAATGATAAATAAACACTTCTGGGAGTCTTGTGAATGCTGGTGTGTATTGTGAATCATTAGAGGCAGTGCTTTATAGCTAATTTTATCAAATTCCTTGACTATGAAACCCCTTTTGTTTCTGATTTTACTGGAATTGATTCACCTAAAATAGTTATATGGGGAACATTGGTTTGGGTCATTATGTTTCCAGTGATCAATACTAAGTAGGATCAATACTAAGTCTTGTAACTTCTTTCCTCCCAAAAAAAAGAAATGGAAAGAAGGAAGGTGGAAAAGAAGGAAAGAAAAAAGGAAGGAAAGAAAAAAGAGGGAAGAGAGGCTGCACCAATTATGGGCAATATCCTTTCCTTGGGGAAAGCAGTCACTAGGTTTTGCCATTGGAAGAGATTTTCTGTGGTTTTGGAAATCACAATAGACAAATGATACAAGCTTTTCATGATTGGGGGAGTGTGTATTATTTAGCTTTATATCTATAGTCCTTAATGCAGAGCCTACCACAGAGTCAGTGCTCAATAAATTAATGAACAAGTGAATAAATAAGTGAACAGAATGGCAAGTCTGAGGTGTGAAGTCCTTGGGTGACTTTGGGAAGCTCACTTGGTCTCTCTGGTCCTTGTGGTTAAAAATGACAACACATCTTTTGTTGCAGGGTGTTGTGAGGTCTACACAGATGGTAACATCCCTACCACAGTGTCCAGGGAGAGTAGAAACTGACCTCATCTCAGTTACCTTCCTTTTCTCTTCCAGGGGAAGACTTCTTGCTTGACACTGGCAGATTATTTTAGGAATCCCTGTTTCTTGGGGACATTAGAGATGAGGTGAAGATGTCCATAAATTAATATGTTCTTAGTATTCAATCATCTTTCTTTTATCTCAAGGATTTTCCTTTCAAATAAGTAGTCTCCGACCCATCCTGTTACACTTTTCTGCACAACACTCATATGCTGAGTATTGATCAAGACTCCAAAACATACAAACGCCTCCTCAACATAAGTATGGGGATTGATTTTATAGCCATCACCTAGCTGCTGGACAGCAAGAAAGTACTGCGTGATGCTTAGCTAGGAAAGTTAATGTATAAAAATAACGGGCTTGTCATTACATGGGCACCAAAGGCACCCCTTGGGAAGAGACAGGCAGGAAACAGTAGGGGTTGGGGCAAAGTTCATTGGCTGGCTTTTAATTATCACCACTTCTTTCTAAAAACTAACAGAATCCATACAGATTTTGTGAATTTAACATTTTTATTCCACTAGGTTTCCTTTCTTTCTCACACCTCTGCTCCTAGTCATGTCGTATTACCAGGGATTGAAGCTTAGCTTGCTTTACCTTCTTCTGTTTGTTTAAAATTCTCTAAGAGAAGAGAGAGTAGTGGGCCAATGAACACCTAGTAATCCTTCAATGAAAGCAGTGGTTTTTCCTTTTTCCTGGTTTTTGGGTGGAATAATTCTGTACTCTGTGTGTGTGTGTATAACTCTGTGTGTGTGTGTACACACACACATACACACCCCCCCACACACACAAATGCCTTTAACAATAGACCAGAGACAGTGTCTGATTTCACACCTGATAAGCCCTACGAATGGAAGGAGGAGAAAGAGAGTTAATTTTAGGTGCTGAATGTGAATACTTTTGTTTCCCCTGGGACCTTGTATTCTGAGACGGTACACAGTTTGACTCCTCAAATTTCCTCAGACTTCTCAACTTGGTATTTAAGCTGATGGTATGTTGACGTCTCTCTCACCAGCAATAGCAAAACCGCCACTGCACATATTTCTTTCTACCTCTCTCTGCATGGATGGATTGCTTTCTTCCAAAAAGGTTTAGTTACCACAGGTTGGTGTTCTCTTGAGTGAGTCTTTTCATTATTTTTCTCAGAAAAGCGAGGGGAGAGGAGGGCTCTTGTTTGAGAGCATGTCTATCCATTAAGACCCGATGAACCACATAACACGTAGGTTTAGTTTGTTTGGGGATCATAGTGTGTGCTCAGCCTGTCACTTGCGGGATGTCGGCCAAGTTCTCCTCATTCTGTTCTTGAGGCCTCCCATTGGCTGGCCTGCCCTCCGTCTCACCCATACCTCTTGTTCCCGCTCTGAGTCCTTCCTTCCCTCTAACTTTGCTTGCTGACTCACCTCCCTCGGGGACAAGCTTTGGAAGTCGCAGAGCTCAGCTCTAAAGAACGTGAGGGGCTCAGGTGATCCCAGTTCCTCCTGTAGGACTCGGTGTGGTGGAAAGACCCCTGGTTGTGAGTTAGAGACCTGACTCTCCCGCTTACTGTCCCTGACCCCTGAGCAAGCCTTGGTAGCAACACCCCATGTTCAAATCTATAAAATGGAGGAATGACATGTGGATGGGTGTGTGGTTTTGTGAGGCTTAAAATAATAATCACTACAAAAGTAGTTTGCATTTTGAAAAGCCCTGGGCTTTCATAGCTATTATGGCTTAGAAGGGGGGAATGTACCTATTTACGTTCTTTTTCCACATCTCAGCAAACCCCACCTGCACTTTCACCAGCGTAATGAGATCCTTTCCACTGTCTCAGCCCTTCTTGGTTCTCTCTCTGATGCTTTACCCTGTTGCTCTGACCACACTGGTCTCTCCCTACTGGCAGACTATGTTTCATCACTTTAACAAATTAGCATAGTTTTGTGTTTTAATGTAACTCCTCTGCTTGTATCACACAATAGATTGATTCTCCTCCTGACTAGTCTGAGCAGTGTCATATTCAGAAAACAGCTAGGTTCAAACTCTAAAATTAATTGAACATCTATTAGGTCATTACTATAATCTTTCTACAAATACCAAAGAGGGCTGACTTTGCAGGACCCAAAAATGCCTCCTCCTCGTCACAGCATTACAGCATCTCTTCTCCTCCCTCAAAACTCCTTTTATAGCCATTATGGCTTAAAAGGGTGGATGTGCTTGGTTTTTCTTGGACCCAGGTTCGTTTTTTCCATCCTCCTGGGTCTATTTTCTTTTCTCTGTGAGTAGATCTCTACTCTACCAAAGATAAAGTTAGCCTTTCTGACCATTTGAGGGAAAAGAATAATTTTGAACCCTTCACAGTGCCTAGTACAAGGCTGTAATAGGCATGGGGTAGGTGCGCACTCAATAATCGTATAGAATCCATCCCATAATAACCATGCAGAGAGTGCAATGAAGAAAATCAGACTGATGGTGCCACAGTTCTTGGGTCTTGGGGTGGCTACAGGAGATGAGATGGCTGTGTTCTTGGAGGCTGGAGAAATGTAAGAAACAAGAGCCTTCGTGACTATTTTGTGTTTCCAGCCTGGCAGCTGGCCAAGGTCTGCTGTCAACTCTGGGGCCAGTGGCAGGCGGAGATGTAGGACTCAGGCTCAGCCCCCGTGTCCTGCCCTCTCCTCCTTGGCCCTTCTCCATTGCACACTCTCCAGTTGGTGCTGTGACCAGGGCTTACATGGTTACTTTTTCTTGGAAAAGGAACCTCTTGAGCACATCTCCCACAATCTCAGTTTATTACCCAGCTAGGCCCTTTTCATCCCTTACATTTGTCAATAATTCCCAGTTTTCAAGCTAATTTCATGTACATTTTTTACGATATGATATTCAAAACAACCATGGAAAACAGAAAATACAGGGCTCTGAAATGGGACATTATCTCCTGTTCACAGATGAAGGAAGGGAAGTAGAAGCATGAAGTTTCTTTTGTCCCTTTCTGGCCACACAATGTCTTCCTAAAACCCTCTCTGGTATATACGTATCCCAGTCCTTTAAGTTTTTTTTAAATTTTTATTTCTTTGATCCATGAGTTATTTAGTTAATTAGTTTTTATAATTGACAAGAGACAATCTACAGAATGGGAGAGAATATTTGCAAACGATATATCTGATAGATTTACTTAGTTTTATCTACTACTTTTCCTTTTCTTTATTAATTTAATTGATGCCATGATCCATTTGTCCTATACCCTTTAGGTTCGTCAGCACTGGTCTGTCTTCACTGTGTACTCTCTGGAGAACAAAATCTCATCAATCTGAACTCATGGAGGGGGAGTCAGCACAGCATTCTGCATTTATTTTGAGAAATGCTTCTGTCTTGATGGTGTTGACAACGGCATGCCTGTTGGAAGCAGGGTTTGGGGGCACAGATGGTGACCAAAGGAGTGAAGATCATTTGGGAAGATTCTCCTCTTTGACATGTAACAGAGTGGAAGGCACACCTGGACTTTTATGGGGGGAAATGAAAGGGAAATCATTTCCAGGAAAGATGGGTCTTTAACCAGCTCCGCCCAGTCCATCTGGGCTAACTCTTAAACATGAGCCCTGCACCATTCATCCATGGTTTTGTGAACATCATCTGGTTAAGATACTCAGGTCTGTACTTTAATAAGCTCGCCAAACCTGACACTGTTTGGGGTCCAGCTGTATTTTACTGTTTTTGCTTTTAAGATCAATGTTCCCAGGTTCAAACCATGAAAAGTAGATGGTTCCTTGAAGTCACGAGTCCTAACCTGGTAGAGTTTGGGCCTCATTTGACCCCACAGATGTGTTTTGTTTAGCTTTCTTTTCTTTTCTTTTCTTTTTTTCTTTCTCCCTTCTGCTTCCCCTTCTCCTTCCTTCCTTCCTTCTTTCCTTCCTTCCTTCCTTCCTTCCTTTCTTTCTTTCTTTCTTTCTTTCTTTCTTTCTTTCTTTCTTTCTTTCTTTCTTTCTTTCTTTCTTTCTTTCTTTCTTTCTTTCTTTCTGTTAGTTTTCAACCTTTACAAAATGTGAGGTTTCAAGTAAAATTGTATTTATGGCATCTTTAGAAAAATTAACTTGTCCGGGGTCAGTGGGGTTGAATAACTGCATGTGAGTGTTTGGCTAGGACTAGCTAGTGTTTGGCCAGGACTAGCTAGTGTTTGGCCAGGACTAGCTAGTGGGGCTGTGGTGTGCCGCAGTCCTATAAGACTGCCTCCCTCATCTGTATTGCTTTCCTGGCCCCTGGGGGCACTTTGAGTTTCCCACCTCTTCTACCTAAATGTCATTTTCCCCCAAAACTCTCTTTTTGAGCATGGCATTGAGAAACACAAAGATGGAATGTGAAGCTAGGGACTGAGGGGAGAAAAGAGGAATGGTTGACAAGGAAATCTTTTTAGGTTTCATTGAACTTCTTTTCTTTCTATTCCCAACCTCTTCTCTCATGGGTAACTTACTTAAGACCAGTGTATTACAAAGAAGAGGCTGGAGGCATGCCAGGTTTGTTCTGTGAATGATAGGTTACAAGAGTGGTTCTTGACCTTGGTGCACACGAACTCCTATACAGTCATTTAGATGAGAACATACCAATGCCTGGGCTCCACTCTGGACCAATTAGAGTTTTTAAGGGTGGAACCTGAGCATCAATAATTTTTAAACTTCCCTTAGTGGTTCTAATGTGCATCCAGGTTGAGAACTGCTGGGTTAGGCTTTTGACAAGGTTTATGGAGGATCTTTCGGGTCTTTGAGCTGAAGGATGTTCTTTACTATTTTGCTAGGTGGACACAGAGAGGCATCTTAGATGCATCTTTCCAGGGTTAGCTGAGAAGACTTGAGGGCAGATGTCTTCTCCATCAAGTTAAAGGGTCCAGTCCAACATTTAATTTCCTGCCACAGTGGGACTGGTACATTGGTCAAATGCCTCATCTAAGTTCATGAAACTTTTTCAAAGCACTAAGGATTCTTTAACTTACACTCTGAACTTCCAATAGAGCAGCAAAAATAAGTTATCTCCTACCCATCCCGAAATAAAATGTTAGAGCAAACCAAGACATTTTTTATTAGCTTTAAAACCAATGCCAGTAATACAAACCAGGAAATTTTATAGCTATATGTAGAGAAATAGGATCCGTGGACAGGGGTTGTATCTCAGGCACTAATTCTATCTGATTTTCAAATGCTACTTTCACCTACACAGGTCAGAGCTGCACGTGTGAGTAATTCTCAGTGAGATGACTAACTGATATGTAGCTAATGGGTACCTCCTGCAACCGTAGATGGTATACTGCAGAGGTTTCAAATTCTGACTGATCATTTTAAATCCCTTGATCACTTTAGAAAAATACAGATACTTAAAGTTCCCACCTGCAGATATACTGCATCAGACTTTCTAAGGGCATGGGGCCTTGGGCATCTTATTAAGAAAAAATTACCCCCACCCCTCCCCTGTAAGACTTCTTGTGTACTGCTGGTGGGATATAAATTGGTAGAACCTTTTAAGAGGGACAGTTTGACTATATCTATCAAAAGCTAAAATGTACTTCCCTTTGAACCAGTTTGAACCAGCAATTCTACTGCATGTATTGGATAAATTTGCACAAGTTTCAAATATATATGCAACTTTGTAATAGCAAAAAAAAAAAAAAAAAGAAAACAAACTAAACATTTGTTATAATGGTACTGGTTGAATAAATTAAAATACATCTCCACAATGGAATACTATACAGTTGTTACAAATAATAAATGAGATAATTTGGGAATAATCTATGTATGGTGGTATGGAAATATACCAAGTATACGCATGTATATTTTAAGTGAAAAAATAAGTTGCAGAAAGACTTGATTATTTTGATCCTGTGCATGTATGTGTACACACACACATGCATACATACACATATTTCAGCCTATAAGAGTACACATGCGGCTACACATCCATATTTGCATGCACATACACATGTGTATACACTGGTTGAACTGCCAAAGTTGGATTCTTGGGCCAAAGAAATAATCCTAGGAGCCTCCCAGGAGATATTCTGTGAATGTCCATTTTAACTGAAGAGAGAACCGCTGCTTTGGTCATGTTAAGGTAGCAACTAGATTGGTTTTGAGACCACCTTGAATGTCAAGAATTCATTGCCGTAGTTTCAAAAGTAGCACTATATTTATTTTTCCGGGCATTTTTTTTCCCTCTTTGCTTTCATGGATAAAGTAAATTCAGAAATATATTTTAAGAATAAAAGAGGTGATCTTGTTTTCCTGGTGGAAATAATATTTCAATGACTTTGACCCTATGCATTTTATTTCATAGTTTTTTATTTTATTAAATAAACTGCTTTTTCCATTTTATCAATGTAAAGAGGAACTTTATGATGGTGACCATTGATTTGAATCAATTGTTCAGTTTCAAGAAAGCAAGAGGCTTTGAGAAGGTTCTTGTTCTTATAAATAGTACATATGACATCAGATGGTGGAGGCACAACCAGTTTCTCATTTAGATTAAAGGCCTACCAAGGTAGCACTGTGAGAAATCTCATTTGAATGCTGTGTAAGTGGTGAGACACAACGGCCTGAATACGAGTGAGGAAAATGCCCGGGTCCTTTTATCAGTTTGGTGCGTTTGCTGCCGCTGTTGCTGCTGTTTGCCTCAAACACTGTTTAAACTGTTAACCTACAAGGTGGCTTTTATGTACAAAGTTGTTAATACATCCAGTTAATGATGTCTGACATGCTATTTTTGTAGGGAGAAAATATGTGCTAATAATAATTTTAGTTAAAATAACTTTAGGGGAAAATTTGCTGAAAATTTGCACTTTTGTTACAATGCTTATGCTTGGTACAAGCTTATGCTGTCTTTTGAAAAATATTTATTTATTTATTTATATGAGATGGAGTCCCACTCTGTCGCCCAGGCTGGAGCGCAGTGGCGCGATCTCAGCTCACTGCAACTCTGCCTCCCGGGCTCAAGTGGTTCTCGTGCCTCAGCCTCCTGAGTAGCTGTGACTACAGGCATGCACCACTATGCCTGGCTCATTTTTGTATTTTCAGTAGAGATGGGGTTTTACCATGTTGGGCAGGCTGGTCTCGAACTTTTGACCTCAAGTGATCAGCCCACCTCGGCCTCTCAAAGTGGCTGTCTTAAATTTTATATATATATAAAAAATAGTTTCTGTAAGAAACCAGCTGGTTTAGAAAAGTTTAGTATGTGAAGATAAACTAGAAGTTATCTTTATATTCTAGTATTTTCAGCACTCCATAAATTCCATTACCCAAGTATTGCCACACTATTTTGTGATTTTTAAATTCTTACTAAGGAATACAAACTTTAATATATGATACAAATAAATTCATTAAAGGGCTACCATTTTCTTGACCCTGCCAACCCCTTCTCCTCTCCTTCTCCACTACCAGGTGATTGCGCACCAATGCAAGGGGTATGAGAAACTAAAGAGAGCAAATGGGTTTTGAGAAGTAAACCATTCATACAAACTTTTATAATTTCTCTGAATAAACTCTGCAAGAAGCTATTACTATTCTTATTTTACAAATGAGGAAAAATATTGACAGGGACTTTGTGAGTTTCCCAAGGTCTCATCCAGTTCGCAAATGTCGGAACTAACATTGGGACTCAATAGGCCCATGTCTTTTCCACTGTCTCCACCAGGTAAGCCCTAAATTAATAATTTTTAATAATAATATTATCTTGGGTATGAAAACAACACAAGAGTCATTTTGTCAAGATTGGAGAATGTTGGTAGCAATTTTAAGTGCTAACCTTTTCCTGACTGATTCCAATATATTTGTGTGTGTGTGTGCAGATCTTCCTTACGTTCTGTGAAATGGTAGCAGGTTAACATTTTAAAAATATTTTCTCTAATTCGTTTTGTCCCTTTGACCCCTTTGCAATTCATTCAGGTAGACTGGAGGTATTGCTTGTCTTAGGGGAGGAATATTATGATAGCAATACTAGAATCTATTTTTGATAGATTCTAGTATTTGATAGGGCTGCAGTAACAATGTTCCACAACCTTTGTCATTTAAGGGTGGCGTAAATGACAGCAATGTATTATCTCACAGTTCTGGAACCTGTAAGTTCAAGACTTACAGAGTTGGGTTTTTCTGAGGGGGGTGAGAGAAAATCTGTTCCATGCCTCATGCCTGGCTCCTGGTGGCTTGTTGGCAATCTTTGGTCTTCCTTGGCTTGTAGATATCATCTTCACGTAGCATTCTCCATGTCTATGTTTCTCAGTGTCCAAATCCCCACCCCTTTTATAAGAACATCAGTCATATTGAATTAGAGCTCACTCTAATGACCTATCTTTACTACTTACTTCAGCAGCAAACTGGTTTCCAAATAATGTCACATTCTGAGGCATTGTGAGTTAGGACTTCAATATATGGATATTTGGGGGACACAAGTCAGCACATAGTACAATCCATGACAGATCTGGAGAACTGAGTGACAAGGAGACCTGTGGCTCACTTCTCCAGCAGAGGACCAGACCCCACAGTGGAAATGACCAGGTAGTAGGTCCATACAGAGAGGCCTCAGCCCTACAAGAGGGAGAGCAGCAGAATCATCCTGTGTGGTTGAGCAAGTAGACATGTAAATTGGAGCCATGGATACCTGGGTCATAAACTGGTTTTAGAGGGCTCATGATGTTTCTGAAACCCATGACAGTGCTGGAGCAGGAGAATGTTTGCATGTGCTGAGAGGGTCCCACTAAACTCAGAGCAAGATCCAAATGGGAAGGGTCTATTTGGACAGGGATGAGAAAGAACAGAGCTGCCATCAACATGGAAACTTGGAGGAAGAAAAGTGATTTCTGTTGTTGTCTGACTGTGGAGAGGACTCAACCCTTCTCTCCTCCCTCCACAAGAGGAGTTTTGTCTGGATGTGTGCACTCTGGCGAGCCAAGCTTGGGTTGTGCCAGGCTAGACCAGAAGTGATGCCCGCAACCTGTTCCTGCCATTAGCGCTAAAAGAGAAAAACCTCAGGAGGGCAGGGGCTGCTGGAGCCAAGCTGGGATTCTGGGGTATGCTATTCTCAGACACCCCCAGAGGAAAGGAGAAAGAGAAACTTCCCAGGGTGGCCATTTAGTAAAACAAATTGACTGACCTATTAGCCAACATTTCACTGCACATTGGGGAAAAACAAGTATGAACTCTTTTCCTCCCCATTGCTGATTATAGGTTGAAACTCCCTTATAATAAAATGCCATGAGACACTAGAAGCCAGGTAGATGTTTCAAAGAGAAACAGACATTTCTAAACATTGGCAATGATTTTCTTTGTAAATAGGTTTAACCTTAGACCTTCTGTCATCTCACATTTTTATACAGGAAATTAATTTTCTTCATCCTCTTGGTGTTTGAGGGAAGGGAAAGAAAGTTGAACAAGTCCCTGAGATTTCAAAAAGCTGCCATATAAACTTTAAAATTAAACAGATGTTATATGAATCACACGTAAATTGGAGCCATGGGAACCTGGGTCATAAACTGAATGGGATGTTCTGAAGTGAGAGAAGTGGTGGATTTTTTGGCAATTATTAAAGGTCTCATGGATCAAAAATATCAAATGAAAATGGATCTTCGTGTTCAGCAAGAGTTAGAGAATATTCCAAAGCATAAATCCTTTCCAGCAGATTTTAAACTTCCTGAGGGCAGAGGCTATATCTTTCTCCACTTTCCATTCCTAGCACCTACAAGTGCCTTGCACAGGGCAGACGCCTGAACCATTTACTGAATTCAACCCTTTGAGAGCAAGCATGTCATTGCAGTAGGTAACTTTTAAGTGCTGGGATTCCTATAGCTGACCCCAGTTTCATTCTTGACTGCTTTAGCTTAGTTTTTCTCAGAAGCAGAGGCTGAGTCAAAGACTTGAGTATAGAAAGTATATTTTAGAGGTGACCTTGAGAAGCAAGAGTGAGGGAGAGGTGACAATGAGAGGAGAGGAGGAAGAGACAACATTACAGTGGACTATCAGGGTCTCTGCTGTAGGAAATGGCCAGGATGGATTTTGCTGGAACCCCTTTGAAGTGTACAGAATGCCTCCTAGAATGGTCCATCCCAAGGACAGAGGCTGGGGCATTTATCCACTGGCTCTAGTGGCCCATGTTGAGAGCAGGCTTTGAGGCAGAAAGACAGAGAGATGGATCTACATGCACTTGAGTGGGACACTTATCATGGGTTCAGCTCTGTGGGGATTGAAATCAGAAGCGGCCCAGGAGGATGTGATATGGCACAGAAGAGTGTTTCCTCCACTTACTGTCATAGCTTCCCTTCTCTCCGTCTTCTTTGATGAAGATGCTCCTATTTGATCTATTCTAGGTGGTGTTTATGGCTATCTCTGAGTATTTTTTAAACAGAAAAAAACTTACCCTTGATTTTAAGTGATTACTTTTGCAATTTCTAGTAACAGGGTGGGGGAACCAAATCGGTATCAGAAAGCTTGTGAGCACATTCTGTCTCCTTAGGTGCTTGCCACACCTTTCGTGGGGAAAGATTCCTGGAGGGTAATTCGTCCCATGCCTTGTCCACTCAACCTCCTTACTCTTCCTTTCTCTCTGCTTCCTACAGTGAGTCTTGGCCCTGCCATGCCAATTTCACTTCTGCCCATATCTTTGCTGATTCAAGTTAGTCATCAATCAATTCACCTAAGAACTGTCTCTCTACTTCCATACCGCTTTCTAGCTGTCATAGGTTGAATTGTGTTCATCCTGCCCCCAACTCCCACCCTTCATGTGTTGAAGTCCTAACCCCCAGTACTTGAGAATATGACCTATTTATAAATAGAGTCATTGCAGGTGCAATTTGTTAAGCTTGTCAATACTTGCCTGTATACATAGCACAATCTCCTTTGTTGATGGCCAGTAGGAGTAGGGAGGGCTCCTAATCAAATATGACTGGTGTCCTAATAAAAAGGGGAAATTTGGACTGAAAGACAGACAAGTATAGACAGAAGACAAAATGAAAAGACACAGGGAGAAATTGGCCATCAACAAACCAAGAAGAGAGAGAAAGTGAGCAGATCCTTCCTTCACAGCCCTCAGAAGGAAACAACCTGGCCAACACCTTGATTTTTTAATTCCAGCCCCCAGAACTGTGAGACAACAACCTTCTGTTGTTCAGGCCAACAAAATAGTTGTGGTGCTTTGTCACCATGTTTGTGATACTGGGTTACCATGGTTTGTGTCACTTTGTTATGGGAACCCTAGCAAACGAATAGGCTAGCCACCCTCCATGCCTGGCTCAAAGCTTTCCTCTTCCATGAATTTCAGTGGATTGTAAAGAGCCTTGGACCAGAAGTTAGAAACTCTGGGTCTAGTCCTGGTACCTATCACTACAAGAAACAATAAATTGTATAAATATGGGCAAATGTCTTAACTTCTTTGGGTCTCTTTCTTCACAGGGCAAAATAAGGATAATACCACCCTGCCCCTGTTGCCTCAGAGCAGGCAGTGGGAATCCAAGGCAAATACATGTGAGAAAGTGTTTGTAAACTAGAAAGCACGACACAAATGTAAGGAGTGGGTGTAAAAAAGAGGAACTTGTTGAATCTTGATCTGGGAGTCAGTGCAACCTTGGGACAGTTGTTTATTTCATTTGAGCCTCAGTTCCATCTACTGTAAATTGAGATTATTTTGAAGGTCCCTCCCAGCTCTCAAGCTCTAGGATTACGTGCTTATTATTAGTCATTTATTGATTCAATAAACATGGATTGTCTGCTCCATGCCAGGCTTTGCATGAGGCACAAGGGATAGGAGCATGAGTAACTTCAGCTCTGGTCTTCCAGGAGTTTTGTTCCTCCAAAATTTTCCTTCTCAGTAAATCCCATAATGGCCATCTCCACCCTTTGATGACATATTTTTCTCATCCTTGGAGGAACAAAAGTTTGGAGAAACGTAAAGATGGGAGTAGGAAGTGATGGTTTTGGAGAGAGACTACTTCCAAAGCCATGTTGTTTTGTCAACAGTCAAGGAAGCTGTTGGCTATGGATTCCCCTTTTATAGGCCAAGAGTGACATTTTATTAAAGTTTCATCTTCCCAAATGTCCTAGCTCAGTCTGGCTTCATTTTGTTGGCATACCTCTGGGTTTACTAACAACATGCAGCTGTGTAAGGTGTGGGGCGAGCATGTCCTTTCCTTGAGTTACTTCTGACAGCCAGTATTTGCACTGTAAGTTGTGTCACCATCTCTTCTTTGGTTTTCAATTAATCTTTGTTGTATTTTGCATCATGGACACTCTGTTTATAAGAAATGTAAGCTGTCTGTCCTTATGTCACTCAGGCAAAACTCTGTGTGTGTTTGTCTCTGTGTCCAAATCACAGTGGCTGGACACTGGACTGAATCTAGACCCTGGACTTGAAGTATTTTATTGATTCATCCAGCAAAAATGCTTTTTAGGGTATCCACACCTGGTTCTCTAATAGTAGTTGGGAACACAATAGTGACAAGCCAGGGAAGCTTATTGTGTGCATTGGAGGTTCCCTTCTGCTGAGAATGTAAGAAGCATATGAGGAAACAAAATAAGTTCAGATAATGAGTGCCAGGACAATGTGATAAACAGAGAGAAGGATGGACCCCAACAGCATTAGAAGAGGTGACCAAATAAGTCCTCTTTGAGAAATGATTTTTGAGCAGACACTTCAATGAAGAAAAGTGAGACATAGATTTGTGGGGAAGTGTGTTGCATGCAGAGGAAGCAGAAAATCTAAAGACCTCAATGACAGGAAGAATTTAGCACGTTGAAGAAATAAGAAGAAGGCATGGATAGATTATAGAAGCTGCTGGAATGCTGATATTATTCCAACCCTTTCCCACCCCTCATTTCTCTGCTTCCCTTTTGTTTGAATGAGTTCTTTGGACCGATTCCTCATCCTGCCTGTCTACTTCCATTTCATCAATCTGCTGCATTGTCTTCATGGTTCCCTGAGAACTGCATTTATTAAGCCTGAAGCTATGAGAAACTGTTTCTTGGGATAGTTTGCTTTAGTTAGGTAAATGGGAGAAGGCAGCACAGAGTTGAAGAAGTGAACTAAAATATATCTCAGACAGGAGTAATTTAATCATAAAAAGATGAACTCATTGAATTAGCATGAGAAAAGTAGGATTGATTGTAAGGATGGAAAGGATGCTCTTGGAACTCAAAGGTAGGGGGTACAGCTAGGCTTCATTGTCTTAGGCAGATCCTCTCTTTGTTGTCCTCTTTACGGGATGCTCGTCCTCTTATATCTACTTTTCTGCATGTCTGGTTCATTTTCTTCTTTGCAGCAGCTTCCTCAGCAAGGCTTTTAGTTACCTCTTGCCCATAACTTTGAATTGCACTTGACTTAGGTGGCAGGTATATAGCTTGACTGTTAGTGCCCAACCCTAAACCCTATAGTGACTATAGCCCAGTAACAATAGACTTCATTCTCAACTACAAATTCCAGAACAATGACTCTGGCTGGCCCAGCAGGGATAAGGCATCCATCTTTGGCCAATTCAGATATATCTGATATGGGGAGTGTTCTCTTGGTTCATAAGAGTGCCTCTAGGGCCTGTGGGTGGGACAGCTTCTCTAATGAAATGGAATAGGTGGGAATAAAGTCAATGCCATCTTTAGCAAAAAGGTTATAGGTAGAATGTGCTTGGAATAGGAGGATTTACACCAAGAGAGAAAATGTAGTCTAGACAGAAAACCAAGAGAGGGAAGGAAAATATTTGGTATTGTTAAGAAGTATGGTGGCCATGAAGATAGAGGTTTAGATTTTTTCTGATTTTTTAATACCATGCTTTTGTATACATGCACACACATACACTCCATCTCTTCCCACAAATGACTTGATGCAGCTTTTATGAAAACATCTAAATTAAAATTCAGAACTGGAAGAAATAATATGGAGCTTAAGCTATTTTATTCTGCTTTATTGTCTATCTTTCCTAAACAGACTATGAATTTTTATATATGTCATCCATAATTAAGATTTAATTATTTAAGGCTGCTATGTGCACAACAAAGTCCATGTTTTCTTACTTTTTTAGCAGATAAAAAACATACATTTCCCAGTTTCTCTGCAACAAGAGGTCTATGTAACTAGGTGGTGGCCAATGGTATACGAGCAAACTTCCCATCCCTGGCCTCTGAAACATTCCCAGTGAATCTCCATGCTCCAGTACTCTTCCATTTTCTGCCATCTTGATCCTGAAGATCCAGTAGGGAATTCCAAATTCATAGAAGCTGGTTTAGCCACTGGGTGGAAAAATCTTAAATTCCTGAATGACTCGATGGAGCAGAAACTGTGACGTGAGTAAGAAATGGGTAAAGCCATTGAGCTGTTCTATACTGACCAATGCATTGAGAATGTAGATTCTTTTCTGGGGTTTCTGCCTTCTCACTTAATGTGCGGCAAAGATGGTGGCATATTTCAATGTAAAACTAATAAATGCATATGATAGAATGGAGTAAAAAATAACTGCAAAGGGGATGTATCCATTTGACCCCAAGGAAATTGTCTTGAAATTGAAATATCTAGGAATGTGCCTAAGATGCTAAATCTTTAGGGATGGCATATAATTCACTTAGTGATTTGTTTTTTGACAACAGAAGTGGTTTGCTTTCCATAAGAATGGATTCATCAGCTTAAGTTCATTCCAAAATGTCATCTACAATGTGCCCTCTTATTTACTAATGTCGTGCAGAGAGACATTTTCTTAAGAAAAAAAGTTAATCCTTTCCTCTGCCAAACAATGAACTTTTGGTAATGGAAATGCAAATAGAAGCACAATTCATTAACGTTTAAATTTTTCCCTGGCCACACATATAACTGACATAGACATGTAATGTAGATGGTATATCCAAATACATAAAAACACACACGTGTGCATGCACACACACATACACAGAGCTATCTTAGTTTGCCTTACATGCTGGTAAAGGTGTATAGTTTGTTTATTCTTGCTGCTTTGAAGTTTCTAACAGTCCTGTACTAATTTGTTTAGTTTTGTTTTATCATGAATTCTAAGTTTGCACGTTGTAGAATTCTCTAAAAGCTGTAGAAAAAGCAGTGAGCAAGAGTCAGTGATTTTAGTCTCATCTCTGCCACTACTTGGCCTGTGACCCTAGACATTACCTCATCTCTTTGGATCTTAATTTCCTTAAGCATAAGATAAAGTTGCAGTAAGAAAATGGGCTTCAGAGTCTGATGGATCTGGGTGACTGGGCAAGTTCTTTAGCTTGTCAAACCTTCATTTCTCTAATTTATAACATAAGGACAGTACCTTCTTCCTGTCAAGGTTGAGGCAAGCATTAGTGAGAAACGTCTCAAGGCCTGGTTCACAGTGAGTATTTAATTATTTGCTTCCCTTGTCCTGTCCTCTGGATATTGAGAGCTGACGCCTTCTACCCAAAGGAGCAGCAGATGTGGAAATCCACTCTTTAGCTTGTTGGAGGTCAGGCTGTTTCAGCTTTTACAGGGCAGAACTGGACTTCTTCTATTCTATTCTCTTAGTGATCAAAGTAGACATGCCTAGAAAAGGAGTGTGTTGGAGACATCATCCATTACATATCACAGTCACTGTGAGCACTGTACCAGATAAGGACCTAGCCCTGTGCAAAAGCAGGGATGGGCACACACCCATGACAATTTAGACTCACTGTATGCAAGATTGAGTCAGCCATTGCATGCACTTTATGTTTGAAATGGAGTCTCGCTCTGTTACCCAGGCTGGAGTGTAGTGGCATGATCTCGGCTGACTGCAACCTCTGCCTCCCAGGTTCAAGCAATTCTCTTGTCTCAGCCTCCTGAGTAGCTGGGATTGCAGGTGCCTGCCACCACACCCAGCTAACTTTTGTATTTTTAGTAGAGATGGGGTTTTGCCATGTTGGCCAGGCTGGTCTTGAGCTCCTGACCTCAGGCGATCCACCTGCCTTGGCCTTCCAAAGTGCTAGGATTACAGGTGTGAGCCACCACACCCAGACCACTGCATGCGCTTTTATGAGGTTCTTGCTTCCTCTTATATGAGCACATAGACAATAGGAGAGAAGAGGTAGGAAGGAGGGTAGAGATCCCATCTTGGCTACATGTTACTCTGATGGTGTCAGAGTAAATCCACAAGGGAGTCATCAAAGATCAGTTATCAAGAAACATGTTTACAATCTATGACTTATAACCTCTTTTTTAAGATACTGTTTTCTCTCAGTAACCAATTGGTTTCTCTCAGTTAAAGGTCAAAAAAGAGAGAAAACATCACTGTTCTCTTCAGCAGAACTTTTGTCAGTGTGATCGAGAATTGTCTCAAGTGACAAGTGAGCTGACCAGGGTAAGACATAGTTTCCTGTGTCTGTTCTTGGCCTTGTTACTTTCCGGGAAGGGACAGATTCCAGAGGACCCCCTCATTGTCCTTGCCCTCAGCCTCAAAATGTGGATTGGGAGTTAGAGTTTTTTTTTCTAGGAACAGAAAACCTCATTTCTTTTTCTTTTTTTTCACACGGAGTTTTGCTCTGTCACCCAGGCTGGAGTACAGTATCACGATCTCAGCTCACTGCAACCTCCACCTCCCAGGTTCAAGTGATTCTCCTGCCTCAGCCTCCTGAGTCTCTGGGATTACAGGCAACCACCACCTTGCTGGGCTGATTTTTGTATTTTTAGTAGAGACGGGGTTTTCCCGTATTGGCCAGACTTGTCTCCAACTCCTGGCCCCAACCAATCTTCTGGCCTCAGCCTCCCAAAGTGCTGGGATTACAGGAGTGAGCCACTGCACCTGGCCAGAAAAACTCATTTCTTGTCCTGGCTTTGCTACTAACTCGCTTGTAACCTTTAGCTAATCTTTTAATTTTCTGGGCCTCGGTTTCTACGTTTTTAAAATTGGAGAGTTGAAATGATTGATCTCTAAGATATTTAGTACTAGTGTTATATAATTTCAGCATAGAATTTTTCTCAAGTATGTTCTAATACATGTGTCTCAAAATTCCCTAATTTGCACGTCACCTCACTCTACAGTTTTTCCCTTTGTCTATGCATTATATAGGCTAGACGATCATTTGTGGAATATTTTTATTTCAGTCCCTTTTGAAATTTATCTTCCTGAGCTGTAACATTCATGAGCTTACAACTTGATGGTATACACACACACACACACACACACACACACACACACACACACAAAATCCCCAGCTATTATCTTTTTTGTGTTCTTACATGTAATAACATATATTGGGAAATGCTACCATAGTATAGTATTTTGTGAGACAGATTAATATACAATACTCAAACATTGATCTTTATCTTGAGTGGCTTATCCAGTGAAGATCAAAAACAATGTGCCAATGTTTATGCTGGTCTATCGCCATTTCCCACTCACCAGGAAAAATCTGAAGTACGATATTGTTATTGTTCTAACAACCTTTGAGGAATGCGACTTGCTCTTCTTGGTAACACCTGTTGGTTTACACCTAGAATTCTGTGCAACACAGATGTAACATAGCTTGCAAGACCAGAAAATCAAAGAAAGATGCGGAAGGGGGGTTAGAACATTATTTAGATCAAATTATGAGTAATAGAATGTTACTTGTTTCACCGAGAAAGCATTGAATCATCTGACAATGCATTGTGTATGTCCTCTCTCTTCTATATTTTTGGCATATGAGCTAGGTTGTATATACACCTTCTTTAAGTCCTCTTTTAGATATTTAAAATATTGAATGTGTACACATTTATTTAATTAATCTTCATTTATTTAATTAATCTTGGAAGATGAATAATTTCTTGTACATCTTGGTTTTGAAAGAGTTCCATAAGAATTAGAATTCATGAAACACACAGCAAGTTTAACCTAGCCTTCATTTTTGAAATCACCTGATATCAATTAGCATTCCTCCAGTTTGGGACTGATTTATGATGCCCTTGTAAGGCCCTGAAAATATGAAAGCAGAGAAGCAGTATTTCAAAATGCAGCATAAAATCAACAATAAAATGTATATTTATAACCTGAAAAGTATGATTTCATCTTGGAGAATTACCAACCCAATAGCAGTAATAAGCATGATTTTCATTGTACCATATTGTACTTATTAAGCACTTCAGGGGACTTGTGAATAAATCAAATTGTGGGATCAGTTTTGGATATCTGAACACATTTTTAAATATTGTAAAAATGTGGAAAAGTATCACAACTGGTTATCATTTGTTCATGCTTTCCAAAGGGTTTTAATCGTAAGCTCATTCTTACATCCTCCTACAAGCTGGACTAAGGTTGGAATGGCCCTTAAAGTGAGGACCTTTGAATAAATGCAGGTTTAATATGGTCAAGAGATAAGATTAGATCCTTCAAAAATCCCATTCAAATACCACAGATTCTAATTTATGCTCATAAAAGTCAGGGAAAACTAGGTGGTTTGGAGGATGCAATGTTATCAGAGAATTTAGGGTGATGTACATGCCTGCTTTGGATTTAAACTTTAATAAAAATATTCAGGATGGAAAGTTAAGGCATTGAATTGAAATGTCCCAACTTGCTCTGTTTGCATTATGTTGGCTTCCACAAGTCAAGTCAATTCAATCCAACAAGTATTTGTTGACAGTGTACAATGTGTCAGGAAATGTGACAGGTGTGGGGGCTACAAAATCAAGAGATAGCAGTTTGGGGGAGCTCTTGCTGGCATACAGATCAGTGTGACAGAGCTGAAGTTCCAGGTTGACCCCAGAGCATAGCCTTCCCAGATTTGGATAGTATTCTGAATTTAGATCAATTATCATGCATTCCAATGGAAAAGGGATGTATAGCTTGGCCTGATCTGCAGAGATCAGTATCCCCAATGAGTCATTCTAGGGTGATCCCAGGTTAAGTCCCAAGTAGCAGTGGGGTTAAGCTGGAGTGTCTGGCAAAAGTGTCTCAGATGGATGGTTCACCTAATGAGAACCTCCATAATCAGGAGTAGGTTGGTAACAGGGGTTTCTCTAAGAAGCTTTAGGATCAGGACAAATAAACAAGATTTTTAAAAATCCCAACATTTTATTGACATTACCTTTTTTTATAGGGTAATTAGATCATAGGTTCTATAGCTGAAAGCAAAACAAACCACTTTTGCTTCAGGGTTATACGCATGTCAGGGTGTAAGCCTCCCTCCAGGTTTCTCAAAGGGAATGATAGACATGAGAGAGCACTAAAGAATTGTGTCAGGATGGCATGCCTTGAATTGGAGGTCTACTCACGCAGCCCTGCCCTGGCCCATATCACACATGCTGGAGACCCAGAGTCTCTGCCTATGAACCTTTGGGTTCTTGCCTACAAAGTAGCTGACCTACAGCTTCTGTAAGCCAAACTGACATCACTTATCTGATTCTGTTGTCTCTTTACAGTGTTAATAATTCTGGGAGGTGATGAGGAGCAAAGGAAAGCAAGTAAAAGGATATGGAGGTTATTTAAAATGTTTTCTATTTATATTCCAATGGGTTGCATGTTTTCAGTTCCAAATTTGCTTGGATACCAAATTCTAGTTCTTACTAAACAATGGAATATTGTGGTAGTTTTGGAAATAAATATAAAATTGGATGACTATCTTCTCACACTTTACTATTCCATCCTCCCTTGGTAACATGCATAGAGTACCTATCTTGCCAGAGAAATGCAGACTGCAGACAGGGGCCACATCTCAGTTGCAAAGTCTAATAAAGGGGACTGATGACACAGATGCTTCCAGTGAGTAGATAATTTGAATATCACTTGCATTTGTGTGTGATCATACCAGTACTAAGACTGATAATAACGGCTACCATTTGTTAAGTGCTTACTTTGTAGGAAAATAACTGTGCTATGTATTTTATATAAGATCCTCCTTTTGAGCCCCACAATATTTCTATGAATTAGCTATCATTACATCAGTATACTTAAAATAAAAAAAATTTAAAGCTCAGAGAAGTTTACTTCTGAGCTGGATCTAAAACCAGCCATTTTTCTTCCACAGCCCACCCATTTTTATTCTTACCCTATACTGCTTACGTTGAGATAATATATCAAGGTTTTCTGATATGCTTTTCATGTTTTTATGAGACTGGGAGTAAACCCCTCTGGAAAACCCCTGGATGGATCATTTGAACCCTGGAAAAATAGACAGTGAGCCAGTGTATTTCAAACTGGATTTTAGCCAGTTAACAGATCACGAAATCAATTATTAGTGGATTGTAATCAGTAATTTTTTAAAAAGGAAATAGACCATAGAATAGAAAATATCAGAATACATAGAACTGAAGCTAACTGTTATTTCATGAAACTTTTGGCATATATATTAAATAAAAATATTATATATTATGTATTATATAATTTTGGGTATATATTTTATATAATATTTATGTGTGTGCATGTGTGTACTCACAATGTAAAATATTTTTTTTTACTGTGAATTTTAGTCACAAAATTTGAAAACCACTGCCTTAGGATATAGATAGGGTGAGCAGGGAGTAAGACTTATGGTGTATAAGGAAGGAAGAAGAATTTGGGGTTATTTGTGGGGGTCAAGCTAGGGAGGAGCAAGGAGGAAGTCAAAGGGAAGAGCAAGGAGACCCCAGTAGCAAGAAACTGTCGCCTGTAACGTTGGGAGGATATACTGGATAAAGGTTGGAACAGAGGGATGTTGACTCTTGTGCTAAGGAATGTGGACTTGATTTTCTGGGAGTGGATGGAAATCCATCAAACAAATTTGAACCAAAATGTGACATGACAAAGCAGTCCCTTGGATGGAATAATCAGGCCACTGTATGTATGATGAATGACAGGTACAGAGACTGGAGCAAGGTGTACCATTTAGGAGGCTTTTGAAATAATCCAGGTCAGGGACACTGAGTGCCTTGAATAGGCAGAGAGGAGTGGGAAAAAAGAGGTGGGAGATACAGTAAACATGAATATGGAAGTAGAGGCAAATGACTGGGAGATAGGCAGAACCTTTGACTAACATAGAAACAGGGCAAAGAAGCAGGCCTCGAGGGTAAGATGATGAATTCAGTTTGGCACATGCCCAGTTGATCCGCAGGAGGGACATCTAAAGTGGATGACTACAAAGCAGGGAGCCATGGAAACATGAAGCTTGGTGCAATGTAGTTGAGTAAAAGGGCTAACACACAGTTGAGCTAGGCAACAATGCAGCATTCTCTATATAGGTGCTGACTGAATGGTTGATCTTGGTGACAGCGGTGGGATATATGCATTTTTCATCTTGATACTCCCTCCATTAATATTGAAAGAGCAATGAGACATTTGTCCACTGGCCTGTGGGATGTTCCAGACTTTGGGATTTTAAGACAGCATTAATACAGAGGAATTGGTTTTGATGGAATGATTATCAGTATTTTTAAGCATGGTTATGTTTGTCAAATATCTGTTTTGTTTTAGAGAAAAGTCTTTTCCAATGAAATGACTAATGGTCTTAGCATCTTTGGGATTAGGATCCTTGGGATCCTTGGTCTTAACATCCTTGGAATGCTTAAGGGTCTTGGCAACCTTATCAACCTTGGTCTTAGCATCCTTGGGATCCTCTTGATTGTTGTTCTTGTCAGGAGAAGGGAGAGGCAACAGCCTACGAGCACTGAAAGTTGCCTAACAGTTGGGCATAAAGGAAATTTGCCTAGGCTTCTCCATGGAGGTCATCCCAAGAGTAGAAACATAACTGGTACCTTGTGATAGGATTATGTCTGCAGATAAGGCATCTTCTATTTGGATGCTTTTTGTGTGTGTGGAGGAACAACTTTTATCACTCCTAAGTGAAGTTTAACTTTGTGGCCTCATTTACAAGCATGAAACCACACGCAATGAAAACACATTTACTTCCCTAAATTTGGAGTTGCTTTGGCTTTTCTGGACCAGGTTTCCTAACAGTATTCAGTTTCATACCCTGAATGGATCCTGGTGCTGATGGTAGTCCTTTAGGTAGAGATTGGGCTGATGTTTTCCACCAAAATACTGACTGGTCTCTGCAACATGCACATGAACAGATGCATTTTAGAGCTTCAGATCCTGAGATGTAGTTCTTATTCCTTGATTGGTAGTATGCAAATGACAGGGATCAGGCCCTGGAGGTGGACCGAGGTCTCTAAGCTGCAGCAGTGACATGCAAGGTGACTTGTTCTAGGAGTTCCTGCAGAAACAGAGTTTGGTGATTTGTGGGCTTTTAACAGACTAAGTTACTTCCTCCATCGTGTCTACCCTGGTCTCTTAGTCTGCAGACCTTACAGTAAGAAATGCCCAATAACCAAGAAGCTGAAAGCAAAGCCATGGCAGGCTTCTCTGCCAGTCAGTGCATTCCTTAGGAGAGCCCTTGGTATAAATCCATTTCCCCATAACTGGTGAGTTGATTTTCACACCATAAAACCTCATCTTGTTAGCTGGAGGAAAATATCATGAAAGTAAGGTATGTCATTTCCATGAAAAGAGAAAAACCCTGAATCATAGTTATCTCTTTGAATACTCTATAACCAATTATTTATTATTTGTGCCTCTAGAAATTTTAAAAATGTATTAATTAAGAATCAATTGTGAGCTAAGGCAAATAAGATCAACGTGTTGTTTGCACACCTTATGATGGTTAAGACATTCCTAGAGTTAGTTTTGTCTGCTGTCAAAAGCCACTCATGGCCCCAGGAATTTAATATCCAGGAACCTGTAGAATTTATGGGGATAAGTGATCCCATGTGATGCTTTTGGGGCCTGGAAGGTCAGCACTAGATCTGGAGTGTAGGTTGACTTAGGATGGGGAAGCAGAGGGCCCTCAAAAGTAAAAGCGGTCCTGTTTGGGGAGTATGAGGAGCACTCTATGAACTAATAAATACCAATGAGGGTCAAAATACCTGGAGAATCCCTAGGACAAAGTATACCTCAAGCCACTGGCTTTATCTCTGTCTTCCAACCGTTTTGTGAATTACTATCTGTGGGAGGCTGAGAGAAAAGGAAGAAAGAAGTGTCTAGAATAAATATGGATTATAGTCAGAATAAATACAGGAGTCTAAATGAGACCTTAACCAACATTTGCACACTCTTCTGCCCTCATGCTCAATGGTTCAGGCAGTTGTGAAGTTCTTACGGCAATGAGCATACTTCTTTTATGTTTGAACCCCTAAGAGTTTCTAGTTTCTGGCTCATTGTGTTAAAAAATTACTGGACAAATGGATCATACAGAATATCTAATCTTTTATTTAAATAATTCCAGAAAAGAGGCTAAAACTTTTGCGGGAATTCACTGCAATATATCTGATCCGGGTTTTTTGTTTCATTTTTAAAAAGTGTTCTTAGAACTTATCTACTATACTGTATAGCATCTATTAAAGGCTTACCATGTGTCATTTATTGGGGTAAGGAGTTTACATTGTATTAAGAGCCTCTGTTGTAGGTACTATTTTTATTCTCATTTCTCAGATGAGAAGATAGAGCATGAGTAGGTCGTATAGGTAGAAAGTGATGGAGCTAGGAGTTTTTATTTCAGATTTTATGTCTGTAGAAAAAACATATTAGAGCTTATTATTTTAAAAAATAGTCACTTAACTGGCTAGGTTCCTAAGACAAGAATCTGTTCTTATCTATACCTAATTTCTCTTGTGTGGTCCTCCATGGCAATGAAGAAGGAGGGTCTGCAGGGTTTAGTCACTTCATTGTCTTGAAGACCACTCTGAAGTCATGCACTAAATTTTTTAACTTAAAAAATATGATTTGAAGTTTTGGAGCTCAGAAGACTTAGACATTTTAATTTTGATATCTCCAGCACCTAACATGCAGCCCGGCAGATCCAGTGTCAGGTTATGATCCCAGGCAGGGTCATGTGGCATATGCCTATGTGAACACTCTCTGTGCAGATGGTGCATCTAGAGTTGTGTGATGTCAGGCCCTAGGCCGCATTCTGTTCTAGTACCTTTCTGATACTAAAGGTGCCACACACTGCACCATCTCTCGGTAAGCACAGATTGATTATTCCAGGAGGAGCTCCAGATGCAAATGGACCTGAAACTACACGGTTCCTGAGGCATGGAGTGCAGAGCCCTCTGGATTTTGAGGTGGAAAACTCAGGGGCAGGTGAGGGGCCATCCAAAGGTTTGGTCTGCATCAGAGTCACAAATATGGTGTGTTCTTACTACTAATTCCTCAGAAACAGCTGCTGGTTGGAACATAGGCATGGTTTCGTGAACTTTTCTTTCCAGAGTCTCAGAAATTCAGACTTTTAAGAGGCGGTTGTGATGTATTAATGTATCATCAGATGTTTCCATGATTGATATTTGTGGAGACCAGGGTCAGGGATAGCAATTTTTCAGGGAATGTTTTGCTTTGTAGTTCCATTACAATAAACAGAATCTCATACACTCTTTGCAATTCTTTTCCACTTCATTTACTCCCACAGACATTTTTGCATTTCCTACTGTGTGCAAAAAAGGTGCTCGGGCTCCTGCCCGCTAGGGATTTAACGTTCACTCCTCTGTCAAAGAATGACATTTTTCTTCTGACGGGTGATTTGCTGAAATGTTATGTATGTGCACTGATTATATATATGCTACTTAAAACTTTAGTGGAATTATAAGGATAGCCAATAGGACAATATAAGCAAATGACTTTTTAAAAGTGAAAATTCTAAATTGTGAATATTTCAAAATTTCTGAAACTGATAGAATGTATTTTCATTTGAAGCCCCCTTGATCTGGCTTGTTAGTTTCTTCTTCCCTTTGTCTCTGGCTGGGGACTCCCTATGTCTCTCCTGTCTCTCCTCTTCTTCTGACTCTAGGACTTTGGGTCTTTCCCTTTCCCGGTAATGAGTCCTAACCATATCTTTCATTTACCCTGAGAACTGTATGTACTCCACCTCCTAACCTGTCAAACTCTCAGTAGTGAGTGAGTCTGGGTCTCCACCTGTTATACTTTTGCAAAATTATCTGGACAAGCTGAGGCAGAGACTGTGACTTGCTTCTCCCTTTAGGTTTGATATTCCAATGGAAGCGCTGCATGTGCGGCCAGGAGAGGGGTGCGCAGGGGTGGTCATGGCAGGCTGTGTGGACCTGGCACCCACAGCAGCCCTGTCAGCATTTGGGTGTCTGGATGTGGATTGTTGTCTTTGGTGAACATCAATAGCACATTTTCAAAGCCCTGCTGGCTGCTGCTTCTCACTGAGGATGCCATTAACCACCTCCCTCTAGACAGCTGATGTGTGTTCAAGGAATAAAAACTAATATGAATCCAGCATATGGACTGTAGACACAATTGATCTGAAATCTTCATAATCTGAGAAATAAACATCAGAATTTTTTCTGCATTAAAAAAATAGACAAGATATAAAACATAGCTGAATTTGTGAGATGGCTTTGGTGCTCCCTTCTCCCCACTGTAAGTCTTTGACTTCTTTAATGAAATAGGGCCAGAGTGCTCAGAGATAGGTGGTGAGGTCACAGTTGGGCCCTCTAGTAAGTCATGGATTCAACTGACTTAGGATATATAGTCTGTTTGGCTATTTGTATAGGATCTCATGTAATACCACTACAGTTTCTTTCTTGTGCCCTAACTTAACATCACGGAGCTTGGAAGCTCTCTGACCTTTACCTCTCTTCTGTGAGGCCTTCAGGTCTTTGGCTTCCTGTGTGATGATGTGTTGTTTTCCCTAGCATCTCTATTCTTTCTCCCATTCCTCCCTTCCCTGCAGGCTTCAATACTCAGATTCTACCTCTTCGGGTGCAAGAAACTGCAAGTCTTCCGTAATTCTGGGAAAAAAGTTGTTGTACTTGGGGTAAAAACATTTCAATTTTTGTTAGAAATCAGTAATGTGTGTGTCATTCATTCATTTATTTATTGGACAATTATGAAATTATTAAGTACCTTTTATTTGCCAGAGAACACTCTACAAGTTGGGAATACAGGGTTAAAATCTCTGCTAGACCAAATAGAAATTGGTACTATTTTCTCCTTATTCTTCAGGCATGGGTGTGTCTTATGTCTCAATTAAAGCGGCTTGAGAGGAGAGATTGCCTTCTGTCAACCACACAGGCAGTAGAATTCACACAGGCTATGGGTTTCTCCCCATCTCCTTTAGAGTGGCTCAGGCTGATGGTAATTTTGAGGGGCCAGAAAAATTTGGGATCCTTGCCTCCCCCAAGGGTAACAGTGTATTTGCAGAGTACCTGCTATTTGGAGCCACGTGGGAGGACTGGTGTCCTGAGGTAGTATATTTAGAGTGTCACCTATTTTCTAGGATGGGCCAAATGACAATTTCATGTCATTATTTGGCAGGGAGGGAAAGGATTAGTCTATCAAGCATGTAACTAAATATGATTTCATTTTACATCTTTTAAATATTCTCACAAATAAAAATACATTCTTGTCAAACTAGGAATCCTAACTTTGGGTTTAGAAATATATGCAGGGACATAATGTAAATGTACATTGATATTTTCAGTACTATCTCAGCACAACTGACATTTAGCTTGACTTGCAATTAAATTCTGTCAGCAGTTTCCAACACTAAAATTTTGCGTGGCCAAGTACACCAAAAGGAAGCCAGGGAAAGTCTTAACCTTGAGTTTGCTTTCTGTTAAAGGGAGTGTTTTTATGGATTTTATTAAAGATCATGCTTGTAAAAAGAATTGGGTACATTATTTTGCCAAAAAATAACTTGAAAATTAGTTTTTCCTCTTGCCTTTCCCACTGTATATGAACCTGAGAAAGAACAAATGTGATGCTGTGCTAGGTAAGAGACATGTGGCTGCAGATGGTCTGGAGAGCCTTGAGGCTACCCAGTTCAAGTCAGATGCACCTGGATCTTTTTCAGGGGTTGGGATAGAGGGGCTTGGAGTTTTTTGGCCTGGTAACTGATGTGCTTGATTAACTAACAGCATCAAATGAAAGCAGGCCAGGGCTTGGCTGTGAATTTCACTACCCTCTGCAGACTCACCTAGAGTCCTCCCACGTTGAGTGGAAGCACAGGCTTCTGTCTTTCATGTGTCTAATCTGCTTTTCTACTGCACACTCTCTGGTTTCTCCCATCATGATCCCTGGGAAAGAAGGAAGGTCCAGTCTCTTTCTGCCCCTCAGGAACAGCCTACCTTATTCTCTCCTTGGCTTCCTGCAGCAGCCAACGCTTCAGGCTTAGAAAGAAAAAGAAAACCCTAAAGGAGAGTGACATCTGCCAGAATGATTATTCCCACATTTAAGGCCTGACTTGGGTTAGCATGAATTGAAAGATCAACAGGCATGTATTTTTTTTTCTGAGGAAAATGTATCTTTCTTATTCTTTTTTACTGGGTGGGGTAGTGGGATGTGTATGGGAAAATCCAAAGACAGGGTGTACTGTGTGTTTCAGAGCTGTATGAATATGAGATATAATCCAGGAGTAGAACTCATGTCTACTCTCACCCCTTAGGCCTCTAGCGGAATTTGTGGAAAATGAAAATAAGACTTGAAATATTCCAGATATGGCTCACTGAGGCCACTTCTTCTTCTTTCTTTTTTCTTCTTCTTTCTTCTTCTTCTCACTTTGTTGCCCAGGCTTGAGTGCAGTGGCACCATCTTGGCTCACTGTGACCTCCACCTTCCGGGTTCAAGTGATTCTCCTGCCTCAGCCTCCCAAGTGGCTGGGCCCACAGGCATGTGCCACCACTTCTGGCTAATTTTTAGTGGAGATGGGGTTTCACCATATTGGCCAGGCTGGTCTTGAACTCCTCACCTCAAGTGATCTGCCCCTCTCAGCCTCCCAAAATTCTGGGATTACAGGCGTGAGCCACTGCGCCCAGCCCTCACTGAGACTTCTAATGTAAGTTGCTAACCTTGACTGAGTCAGTATTAAGTACTAGGTATTGTGCATGTACTTCATGTGCATCTTCTTTAATTTTTACAGGAACCCTGGGTGGCAGGTACTATTGGCACCATTTTCCAGATAAAGAAAATGAAGTTCTAAGCAGTCAAATGACATGTCAAGATCACCCAACTGGTAAGCGACTTAGGGGGTATTCCTGCCTTCCTCAAAGATGTTTGGGTTCCCCCAGTGAGGATCTCATAACATTGTTGATAGACATGTCAAGACACCCTCGAGTATACTAGCTGCAAATGTCCTGTCATACATCCCTGGTGCCACATGATGGTAGGCATTGTTGAGAACAGCTCCAACACCAGGGAGGAGGACATAAGGCGTATATGTAAGGAGCATCTATGATAGAATTCAAAACAAGCAGGGCACAGGCAGAGGGTCTTCTATAGTATTCTTTCATAACTGGGATACCTGTCTTCTTGTGAAGAGGACAGCAGCTACTTTTCATTTTTCTGAAACCTTAAGATTGTAGGGAGGCCAGGGGCTTGACAAAGCAAGCATATGTGTGTGAAATGTGTGTGTGACACAGACTCAGGTCTGTGTCAGTGTATGTGTGTGCAAGGGCACTGATGCTGGTTGGAATCCTTTTCCATCCAGAACCCAGTAAACCTCAGAGAGGGAGGCTTCTTGGCTAGACTCTATCTGACAGGACAGAGAGATAATGGTAGCCATTAGAGGGGATTCCAAGATAATGATTGGAAACCCAGCTTCATAGGCTCACTCATTTCACAAACCCAGAACTATGTCATGGACCAAAGAACACAGGGACAGAGTGAACTATGAGAAAACTTGCATATCTAGGCAAAGGCTGAGGGAATTTCCGAAATTATTTCTAATAAGATGTGAAAGTTAGGCTTAAAAGATACTTGATCTAGTATGTTCATACTTCATGTAGCTTAGAATAAGCTATTCAACAGTAAACTGCATGCTCAACTTGAGTAAGGATCTCTGCTCTACTGCTTTATAAATGAGACGAGAATGTGGTTTGTGGCATCAGCATCAAATGGAAGATTGTTAGAAGTGCAGAATCTCAGGTCCCATCCAAGACCCACTGAATCAGAGTCTGCATTTAAAAAAGATCCCCAGGTAGGTTGGATGTACAGTGATGTTTGAAAACTACTCTGCTAAAACATACTAAACAATAGCACAATGTGCCAAAGATATTGATTAGTAGTCTCAACCCTGGCTGAATATTCCAGTCTTTGGGTGGCCCCACTCCAGACCAATTATATCAGATTTTTTTTTTTTTGGAGTAGAGGCCAGGCACTGGCATTTAAAAAAACTTGTAGGGTGCAGCTAAGATTGACAGTGCCCTGATTTAGATGGTAGGTGCCCCACATGAGTGGGTAAATGTTGCTTTATTGACTGGAGTTCTGAAAGAGTTGGCCCTGTGACATGGTATTACTTAACGTGTCTGTTAGTGATTTAGGAGAGTACATATAAGACATCCTGATTCCATCTGCCAATGATAGGGGATTGCACTATATTGCTAGCTAACATCCTGAAATTCAGCAGGATTAAAATGCTAAGTGATTGTGACAAGAGTGGAAAAAGTGTGGACAAGTGTGAAGGTCCTACTGATTCTCAGAGGACATTCATCCATTCATAACAAGAAATTGTCCAGCGGTCAAAGTGAAGAATGGCTCAGCAATGGAGGGCTGTGATTAAAAAGGCAGAGAAAAATAAGAGCATGAGAAATGTAGAGGAGAAACAAATCATTACATAGTCTTCCCCTGGTACTTGATATTGGTTAGGACTTTCTATGGCATCACCCAAGTTAGGATGCTGGAATTGAAGTGCAATTATGATGAGCTTTGGATATTTTCAGGGGAGAATAATAAATATCAGGCATAAAAAAGCAAAAGAGGCTGCTTTTATTTAGTATGCTGAAAACAAGACTAAGGGGAGAACTTAACATTTTTCAAATACAGGAAAAGGTGCTTTTACATGAAAGATGGTGATTAGCTGATCTTTTACCAGAAGGAGAAGAGAACAGAGAATAGACGTTAGGAAGAACTTTCTAACATCAAAAGTGGGCAGTCTCTGAAAAAGCTTGGGGAAAAGAAACCTATATCTACTAATGTTGCTTTGGGGCCCAAGAGGCAAAACGTGGTCTTCATGAGAAATCTGGAATGTAAGGCCCCCTACCAATGGGTAATAAAAGACTCCGGTAACTTTCGCTCTACATAGAAGGAATGAGACATTGCTCTGGAATCCTGAAAACATTGATGAAGTTAGTGCACCTTGAGTCTGCTAAACACCTGAGACAACTTTGATTTCTGCATATCCAGTCTTAGCCAAGTAGGACTAGAAGAAACTTCTTTATCCTAATTAAGGGCATCTACAGATGCCTTTCAGCAAACATCGCACTTGATGGAAAACATTTGAAAACTCTTAAAAATATTAATATATTATTTTAAATGGACAAATTATAATTGTATACATTTATGGGGTAGAGTATGATGTTTTGGTATTTGTATAGAATATGGAATTATTGAACCAAGCTAATTAACATATCCACCTCACTAACATCATTTTTTGTGTGTGTGATGAGAGCTTTGAAGTTTACACACTTAGCTGTTGTGAAATATATACTACATTATTATTGAATATAGTCACCTTGCTTTTCAATAAACCTCAAAAATGTATCTCTACTGTCTAACTAAAACTTTGCATCCTTTTACTATACTCTCCGGTCTCCCTGCTGCCTCTTGTAACCACCATTCTACTCTCTACTTCTATGAGTTCAAGGTTTTCAGATTCTGCAAATAAGTAAGATCATATAGTCTTTGTCTTTCTGTGCCTGGCTTACTTCACTTAGTATAATGTCCTCTAGGTTAATTCATGTTGTTGCAAATGACAGGATTTCCTTCTTTTTTTTTTTTTTGGAGACAGAGTCTTGCTCTGTCACCTAGGCTGGAGGGCAGTGGTGTGATCTCGGCTCACTGTGCAAGCTCTGCCCCCCCGGGTTCATGCCATTCTCCTGCCTCAGCCTCCCGAGTAGCTGGGACTACAGGCACTCCCCACCACACCCGGCTAATTTTTTCATATTTTTAGTAGAGACGGGGTTTCACTGTGTTAGCCAGGATGGTCTCGATCTCCTGACTTCATGATCTGCCCACCTTGGCCTCCCAAAGTGGTGGGATTACAGGCGTGAGCCACTGCGCCTGGCCAGGATTTCCTTTGTTTTGTGACTGAATAGTATTTTATTGTGTATATATGTCACATTTTCTTTATCCACTTACCTATTGATGGACACTTAGGTTGATGCCATATCATGACTGTTGTGAATAATGCTGTGGTGAACATGGGAGTGCGGATATCTCTTCAACATATTGATTTGAAATCCTCTGGATATGTACCTAGACAGAGGATTGCTGGAGCATATGGTAGTTCTATTTTTAGTTTTTTGAGAAACCTCCTTACCACATTCCACAATGGCTGTACTAATTTGCATTCCCATCAATATTGTACAAGGGTTTTCTTTTCTCCATATCCTTGCCAACACTTTTGTCTTTTTAATAGTAGTTGTTCTAATAGGTGTGAGGTAATATCTTATTGTGGTTTTAATTTACATTTGCCTAACGATTAGTGATTTGAGTATTTTTTCATGAACTGTTTTCCATTTTTATATCTTCTTTTGAGAAATATCATTCAGTTCTTTTGTCCGTTTTATAATTGGGTTCTTTGTTTTCTTGCTATGAGTAGTTTGAGTTTCTTATATATTTTGGATATTACCTCCTCATCAGATGTATGGTTTGCAAATACTTGCTCCTCTTCTGTGGATAGTCTCCTCACTTTGTTGTTTCCCTTGCTGCACAGAAGCTTTTTAGTTTGATGTAATCTGTTCTGCCTATTTTTGCTTTTGTTGCCTGTGCTTTTGGGATCATATTTAAAAAATCAGTGCCTGGACCAGTGTTGTAGAGCTCTTTAACTTATGTTTTCTTTTAGTCGTTTTAAAGTTTCAGGTCTTACATTTAAGTATTTAATCCATTTGCATTTATTTTTGTATATAGTGTGAGATAAGGATCCAGTTTCATACTCCTGCATGTGGCTATTCAGTTTCCCAGTACCATGTATTGAAGAGACTGTCTCTCTCTCATTGTATGCTCTTGGCACCTTTGTTGAAATTCAACAGACAATAAACACATGGATTTATTCCTGGGCTCTCTATCCTGTTACACTGGTCTTTGTATCTGTTTTTACGCCTGTACCATTCTGTGTTGATAACAATAGCTTTATAATATCTTTTGAAATCAAGGAATGTGATGCTTCCACCTGAAAACATTATCTTGAAGGTTGCAAACAAGACAAAGTTGCCTCTGTCACCACTTCTGTTCAATTGTACTGACATTCCCAAACGATGTGTAATACAAGAGAAAGAAATTATACATATGCAAGCCTTAGAAAGGAGGAAACAAAACTATAATTCACAGATGATATGTATAACTAGGGTTGATTAGAAAACCATAATGAATCTTTAAAGAAATGACTGGAAATACTAGCAGAGTTTGACAATGTTGTTGGATATAAAAATCAATATAATAAAATCAATCACATTTCTATATACCAACTACAATTGAAAACTAGTTTAGAAAGATAGCATTTACCACAGAATAAAAAAAAAATTTAAAAACTAGAGTTTTGCTTCCAGTAATGGCTGACTACAATATTCCAGACCAATCTTTATAGAAAAGCTGGATAACATACAGAAGGTTGTTGGAAGATGCAGAGAGAATTTTCAGGATCAAGGCCTGGAATAAGAGGGAAGCTACAAGAGAAGTGAGTTTAGCATTTGGAGGTTGCTTTTCATCTTGAGGTAAATGCAGATTCTGAAATCAAAAGCAATGACTGAGAGATCCAGAAGCTGGCCAGAGCTTTCAGCACTCTAACAGGACTGGAGTGACAAAAGGAGTAGGTCAAGGCCCATTAATAAGGAGGTGCTCTGATAAACACCCCAGGCTTTCAGTTGGAACCCTAAAGGATTATATGCTAGGAGTAAGAGTGAACCTGAGCAAGTCAAATCCTCACAGGACTAGAGCTCAAAACAGCCTAATTTTTATTGGATTAAGGTGATTTGCTCCCACCCTAACTGTCTGAAGAATAACAACATCATTCAGAGTAGCATATTGCTTCTATAATTTGTCCTACGAAATGTCTGGTATGCTATCAAAAATAATTGGGTATACAAAAATATAAGTGTATTAGCCCATTCTTACACTGCTAATAAAGACGTACTTGAGACTGGGTAATTTATAAAGGAAAGAGATTTAATTGACTCACAGCTCAGCATGGCTGAAAAGGCCTCAGGAAAATTACAATCATGGCAGAAGAGGAAGCAAACACGTCCTTCTTCACATGGTGGCAGGAAGGAGAAGAATGAGAACTGAGCAAAGGGGAAAGCTCCTTATGAAACCATCAGATCTCATGAAAACTTACTATCACGAGAATAGCATGGGGAAAACCACCCCCATGATTTAATTACCTCCCACCAGGTCTCTCCCATAACACATGGGGATTATGGGAACTACAATTCAAAATGAGATTTGGGTGGGGACGCAGCTGAACCATATCACTAAGACCTAATCAAAAAACAAGAGAAAAAAGATACAATACAAGCATACTGAACAGAGAGATTCAGTTATTAGAGTTAACAGATATAGAGTTTAAAATAACTGAGATCAGCATATTAAAAGAGCTAAAATAAAATATGGAAGACATTGGCGAAGAATAGGAAAAAAGAGCCGAATGGAAATTCTAAAATGGACAAATGCAATACTAAATTTAACAACCAATGGAAGGATTTAACGAGTATACACAGCAGATGAGAGAATGAATAAACTGGAAGATAGATCAGAATACAATATCTCTACTGAAGCCTGAAATGATAAAGGATGGACATGGGCGACTATAGAAAGAGCATAAGAGGCATATGAGGCAGAGTGAAAACGACTAACAAAAGTTGGTGAGGGAGAATGTGGCAGAAGCCGTATTTGGAGAAGTAACAGCTGAGAATTTTCTAAAATAGATGAAAGGCCTCAAGCCACAGGTTCAAGAATTGCCATAATCCCCAAACAGAAAAAATGAGAAAAAAACCATATCTGGGTACATTTTCTTATTTCTTTGATTCCAGTATTTCTTTCAGCTCAGCTGTCAGTCTTGCTATTGCTCCTATGAAGGTACTACATTTTTTTCCCTCTGACTTGCCCTACCCAGTAGGTATATTGGCATACGGGTAGGAAATAGACCACATGAATAGAATAGAGAGATCATAAATGGACCCATGAATACATGGAATTTATTATGATTATTTGGCAAAGTGAAAGCAAAAGTATATGTTTTTAATAAATCATGTGGAGACAATTGGTTACCCATTTAGAAAATAAATGAAATTTGACTCCTACTTCACATAATATTTAACAATTAATTTCAGGTACATCAAAGACCCTAATGTGAAAAAGGCAAGACTATAAAATTAATATGAGAGAATTATTGTGATATTATGCTAGAGAAGGACACAAGACACAAATAATAACCCATGAAGGGACATATTGATGAAATTAGTTTACAATTTCAATTTCTATTCCTTAAATTACATCAAATTAAGAATTTACTTTCATTAAAAGACACCATACATTGAGTGAATATATTATCCAGAAGATACAAATTCCTACTAATCAATAAGAAAAAAAGCAACATTATAGAAAAATGGGCAAATGAATTAAAGAGAAATTTGAAAGGATCAATTTCACATGAAGAATGAGTCAATGGTCAATTTCATTACTAGTCAGGGAAATGCAAATTGAAACCTACTATTTTATACTCAACTCTTTGACAATACCAAGTCGTAACTAGGACCTGCAGATACAGAAATTCTCGTCCACTGCTCTTGGGTGTAGAAACTGGTATACCATTTTGGAAATGACTTTGGCAGCACTGAATTATGAGCATACCCTGTGACCTACCAATTCCATGACAGGATATCTACTATAGAGGGAATCTTGCATGTGAGACACAGATATTCATAATGACACTTTAAAATTATGAACAAAATATGTAACATATATATTTATATAGTTGTTCATCAATAGAAAGATGTATACTCATATGCTGGAATACTATACAGCCATAAATATGAAACATTCTTTATGTGCATCAACAGGGACCAATTTCACAAACATAATATTGAATACAAAAAGCAAGTCACTAAAAAGAACATATTGCTATAATTCCATAATTTTAAAGTTCTAATATAGACAGTTAAATTACATGTTGTTTAGGGATACGTGCACAGATGGTAAACACTATGAATTATCAGAATTCAATATAGTGGTTACCTGTAAAGAAGAGGAATGGGTTGCAGTCAGTGAGGTATAAGTGGCTTCTGGGGTATGGTAATATGTGATTTCTTGGAATGGATGATGGGTGTCCATTTTAAGAAATATTGCAGCAACTTTTCTCCTTTGTGTGGGGCTGGATGGTATTGCTCAGTGAACCTGTAATCACCGACATCCTAGCAAAGGGTGTGCATCTGAGCAAGCTAACTTAGTTGAGCCAAATTTAGCTAAGTCTCCAATTGTGATTTTCCTTTGGTTGCACTTCTCTTAAAATGATCAACTCACATTCATTTGAAAACACACCTAACTCGTGACATTCAAGTTATTTGTGACCAAATTGCTGAAATATGACTTGGGTATTGCTACTTGTTTCATGAAATCTTTGGAGACTATTTGGAACACTCTTTAAAGTTGTTCTTCTTTTGCCACGCCCAATAAATTCTGACAGATTTGGGATGATTCAGTTTTTCTAAGCTGAAGGCCCCCATCCAAGGTCAAATTATGGTTTTTGCTCCATTTGGATTCCATGAATGTCATGGTTTCACCCTTCTGCACTGCATATTGTTTTATATCAGTTCTCCTGAGCTCAAGGGAACACCCTTCAGTTCAGCTGCAGGAGCCCAGGGAAGCTCCTATCCAGAGGTTTGGAAAGCTCTCTCTGAAAGACGAGCTTGGTGTCACACAGTGTCTGTGAAAGCACAGTGGCTTTCAGTTCAAAGGTGACCTTTCCCTCTCCTCCTAAGATCATCTGCTGTTTGTACAGGCTACCGGTTCTTCCTCTAATCGTTTGGCGTAAATTAGGGTGAAGACCTGGAGGGTGTGTGTGTTTGTGATGGGGTGTGGGAGACTTGAGTTTTCATGAAGACTGTTTTATTTATTGTTTGTTTACCCCTGCTTAATCCCCTGTGATTTGTAATCCTCCCAATGAACCTTTCCCCAGTTTCCTAAAATATAGTGGATTTTAGCATTTCTCTCCTTCCTAGTGTTTTGGTGCTAGTATATACTTTGAACAAATTATATCCACCTAAAAAATCAGGGGAGGAGAGGAGGCTGCAGGCAGATCCCTTGGGTGAGGGCAGGAGTGAGTAGTGGGAGGAGAGAAGGATTGTTTGTGTTTTCTAAAGAGAGGTGCAAATGCTGCTTCTGAAATCTTTGGTGGATAACCCTTGCTTATTTCCTTCTGAAAATTTTGTGAATTACTGTGTTGTCCTTTATTATGCTAGCAGCAGTAGTGGCCGCTCAGGTTTCTAATAAGGAGGAGACATTGCCTCGTGGCCTTATGAATTTCTGGAGGTGAAAGAATGTAAACTTATGGCCCCATGTCCCCACCTCAGACCTTATTATGGCCCGACAGCTGGGAAAAGCATAGGAAGCAATTAAAACACCCTGTATTAGTCACAAAGGAGATCCCAGCCCCAGCCAACAGTGAAAGGAGCTGATCTGCAAAAGAGTGCGAGAGAGAGAGAGAGAGAGAGAGAGAGAGAGAGACAGAGACAGAGACAGAGACAGAGGAGAGTGAGCCAGAACAGTTAAAAATGGAGAGATCCTACCCAAGTACTTTCCCAATTAACTTCAGCACCTGTCTGGTTGGAAATTGTTTGTAAACGCATTAATTGAAAGGGGCATGTGTGTGTTTGGTTGGGGTGGGGGAGCAGTAATTCAACAATCCAGAAACCCAGAGAAGAAGAGGGAGGAGGAGTGGAGCTGAGCAGGGACCACTGGAAAACCATCATCCCAGAGGGGGCCCTGGTGCCTCCTCTCTCTCCTGCTGAAGGGGCTTCTTTGCTGGGACCTCTGGAGGGCAGAGAGCCTGTGATAGCTAAATCACTGGATGCCCAGGGAAGAGGCTTGTTTTTGCTTGGCCTGCTTCTGTTTTATAGCCTGATGGATTTTGGCTCTCTCTTTTCCTCTTCAGAGGCCTACAATCCGCACCAAATGTTTCACATTACTCAGTGTGAAAAACCTCCTATTCTTTCAGATTTTTTACAAGTTCATACATCCTTGGAAACCCGATATTCCATATTTCATTCTGCTTTGTGGATGTCATTGTGAAGGATGCGGGTTCACATGCAACAGGCCTCTTCTGTCTTTGATCAGTTTGACCGCAACTAATTGTAAATGGAGAACAAATGAAAGAAATATTTACAAATTTCATGGGAATTCAGGCGGGGTCTAAGCCTTTCCTAATGCCTCAATTCACTGTAAATGTTTATTGAATACTTTGACTCTACTGTGCACCTCAATATTTATATAGTATTAGTTTCTAGCTTGTTCCAAGGGGATCCAAAGAATTAGTAAAGTGACCTTCCCCTTCTCTGCTTTACCCCCTTCCCCTCCTGCAAACTTCCTTTGTTTCGCATCTCAAAATCTGTTGCTGCCTAAAGAAAACCAACTCAAATTCCAAAGCTACAGCTCTAAGAAGGAGAAGGAGAAAACGGGGTGGGGAGGAGGTGTTAACAAAGAGACCGGAAAATTTAAAACAAATTTTGAGTTGCATAGTCAAGTCGGGAAAAATCAAATGAAAATGTTAAAGATTTGTTCAAAATAAAGTCATAAATGCCTGGAGCCAAGTTAAACAGCTGTTGGGTCAGGCAGGCTAAAGCCTGAGAGGCAGCACCAACTAAGAGCTGAATATTATGCAATTAATCAGCACTTGCCTGGTTATAAACAAACATGTGTAACCCTGTCGGAAGATTTTAAATGGAGGCCTTGCCTTTCCTAAGCACACTTTTCCAGAAGAATTTCTGTTTACTCAGGAAGCAAGCTACCTTCATGGCTTCTCCCTGGAGGTTTTGGAGAGGAGATGCTCTAAGGCTGGGAAAGGGTCAACTGCCTCCCTCCAGCTCCCATGCCTCGTGGCATATGCTGGAAGCCCCGTCAGACATTACCTTCTTCCCACTGCTGTCATGAGCTGCCTGCACTTCCAGGGCAGCTTGGACAGATGACGGGCCAGATGCTGAAGGGAGGAAAGGAGGTGACCTCTGTCCAGAGAGTCCTTTTGCTATCACCTTCTTGGATGCCCAGTGTGTCTGGGGTCTGCCAACGTCGTCATAATAAATGCTCTAACAACTGCTCTTTTAATGAGGAACATTTCACATCTGTGTCTGCTGTACCCTGGGCCTGTTCCACCCCAGGAGTCGTAAAAGTTGGGCTAGATTCTGTCATCTGTGGAGGCTGGCTTAACCTGCCATTCTTCATCTTTCCACTCAGATATGAAAGGCAAGATTCAAGGATCACACCAACTAGAGGGTGAGTGACCCCAAACAACCCCGAATGTTTGATGATACAGGGGCATGTGGCAGAGGGCAGTTGGAAGTGGCTTAGGATAGATGGCTGGAAACAGAGTGGCAAGCAGCTGAACAGAGGAATGGGACTTTGGAGAAGGAAGTCAATGCCAAAGCTGATACAAAACGAGCATGACATCCTAAAGGAGGGTTTGGAGTATTTTACTGGTACAAATTTCTTTATAAAATCCAATTTTAACTTTTACTCTTTGAGGAGACATTGATTTCACTGACATCAAGAAAGCCTTTTTTTCTGAGCACAAAAATTTGAAATCAAAGTTATTGGCTTTTAAAATCAAGGCTTTCTGTGTGTTTTGGTTTCATGGCATTGAGAACATTCTTATTCATAAACATCAGTAGCTTCAAAAACGAAAGGTTTCAACATTTCACTTTGCGGTGTTGATTCTTTTTAAACTGATCTAGAACCTTGAAGGAGGATTATGCAATATTTTTGTTTCAGAATTCAACTGTTGACATTTCCTAACATAATTATAAAAGTCAGAGAAGCATCCCAAAATTATAAATGGCAAAACTATCTATATAAATACAACATCATAATAAAACATGTAAAATGTTTATATGTATAACTAAGATGCATTGAAAATATGGCTGACATTTAATTAAGCACAACATATGCATTCTATGTTAAGAATGTCCTTATTTGCCTAGTTTTATATGAATGGACTTTCACAGTTCTGATTTTTTTTTTTTTTTTGGGAAGGAGTCTCGCTCTGTCGCCCAGGCTGGAGTGCACTGGCCCGATCTCGGCTCACTGCAAGCTCCGCCTCCCGGGTTCACGCCATTCTCCTGCCTCAGCCTCTGGAGTAGCTGGGACTACAGGCGCCCGCCACCGCGCCCGGCTAATTTTTGTATTTTTAGTAGAGACGGGGTTTCTCCGTGTTAGCCAGGATGGTCTCGATCTCCTGCCCTCGTGATCCACCCACCTCGGCCTCCCAAAGTGCTGGGATTACAGGCGTGAGCCACCGCGTCAGGCCGTTCTGATTTTTTTTTAAAGGAGATGTCTGGTCATACACAGTCTACTCAAAGGCCTGTTTACAAAAATTCCTGTATTATTTCATAAGCTATAATGTGTGATATATGTGGACATTCAGATACTTTTGTCAGCGTATCAAACCGTTGGGGATGACTTTTTTTCCAGTGATGGGTGTCAGGATAAAATGACAAATTCAAGATTTTATGTATTTATTCCTGTGGTCTTTTCTGCCACAGACCCAGACTTCCAAATCCAGGGAAGGGAAGGAAAAAGATCTGGCACAGAAAGAAATTATCCCAACACTTCTAGATCTCTTCTGTGGGGAGAATCTCTCTCTCTCTCTGACACTGTCAGAGAACAGCACCCCATGTAGACAACCTTGATCTTTCACTTCCCAGCCAATACCGTCTTCTGGGAGCATTCTTCTCCTCATCCTAGGCTCTCAGTGGTGGAAATTTTAGGCTGCCCTCTTGAAGACCTTGCTTTCTCTCTCAAGATTTTAGGAGGACATGGCATCATGTTAAGCTTCTTCCAGGCTGAATGAAGGAGTGCCATGCACCACTCTGCCCCTGGTTTCACTATGGTCCTTGATAGATTAGTATTGAACAAGACTGAATGGCATCAATAGATCAGTAACTGTAGTTGTGTTAAACATCTAGAAATCAGTCCCTGAAAATCCCACATCCGGCTAGACTGGTCCTGAGTGATGTCCGTTTCACGCTCCTTCCAATTCTCTTCTTTTACCACTGGGGCTGCCACTTCTCGTCCCCAGGAGTCCTGTTTTTTCTTAGATGCCCTCTTCCCATCAAAACATCCTCTTACAGCCCTGTTTACCAGTAAATGTAACTGGATACGAATAACAAACTTTTCATTTTGAAAGAAAACTTGCAGTAGGGAAAATGGACCGACCCGGAGTGGTGGGATAGTGCCACAGATCAGGGCAGCTTGGAAGAGACCTGACTGACCATGTGCAAGCAGTGTGTCCCACAGGTGGTCATTTAGTGGGGGACGCGGGTCTTGTGAGTAAGGAAGTGCTCTGTAGATTCAAGGAGCAGGAGGGCATGGTGCTTAACAACTTCAATTTTGGAATCAGACAGCCAGGTCAAATCCTGTCTTTGTTACTTATTACCTGTGTGATGGGTGAGTTTCCCCAACTGCTGTCTGCTTTGGATTTCTTATCTATGAAACTGGGCTAAGGATAGCGCCTACCGCATAGCTTTGATTTGAGAAGTGAATGAGTTAATACACAAAGAATATTTTGAATGGCACCTAGCACATAATAAATGGTACATCATTTTTAGCTGTTTTTATTGTTTCAGGAGGCAGGAGGCATTTTCTTTATCAAAGCATTCATTAAATTCCTACTGCCATTTTAGCAAAAGGAATGTTTATTGAAGTTAGATTTCTTTACTTTGTTAAAGAGATCCCCTACTTTAGGACCTTTCCTGGATTAACAATCCTATTAATTTACATTTAGCACTCAGGGATTATTGGTATATAAATGTTTTAGTTATTTCTTTTGAATTTTAATCCAATGCTATATTTATTTTTAATCATACATGTATTTTAAGTATGAATTTTCCTCCTTAAGAACTGAGGGGCAGGGGGCGGAAATCCACCTGCAATGCATTTGCAGAAGAATGCTCAATTAGAAAGATCTTCAAACTTGCCCTAGCAGCACAAGTATCCTTAGATCAGTTTTCTTCAATGTGCCTCAACCAAGAAAATGACCTTTTCCTTAATTACCTATTCTAAAGGTGGTGATCAAAATTTTTAAGTGGTCAGATATCAAATGTATTGTTCCGAAACAAAATGAGAGGCTTTGTTAGTCAGTGTTAATTAATGGAAGCAGAAAGAGGAGAATGTGGAGCAGTGTTATTTATCTTTCCTATTAAGAACTTGTCTGGAATTTCATAAATGAGGTACAGAAGACACTTATTCTACTTGTAATTTGAGCTATGAAATTTGTCCTATGTCTAATGCAACCAGCATTTAAAAAAAACACAATTAAAAGAAAGAAAAAGAAAGCTAGCAGCTTGCAAACGGTGCCTCTTTGCACGAAAGGACCACATTTCAGAATGTGGTTTATGGGACTCCGCCTGTATTAAGCTGACCAAAATGGGGGTGACCCATAGACAATAGATTTCTTTATTGTATTGTTTTGACACAGAACAAGTGACATTCCTCAGGCCCCTTTTCATGTTACAGTCTGCCACAAAATACGTCTGTACTCCTTTTACCTGCAGAACTGGGTTATATCAACCCCATCACTTTTAGGCTTATCTGATGACAAATGAAAATTGATACTGGTGGGGAGGCTAATGACAACTTGGTTACCAGACAACCATTCACCTCTGTTTCAAAGTTCTTTGAGCTGTTTCAGTGTAAAACTGGAAAAATGTTTATGAGCAACAATAAACTCACATTTCCATAAATATATTTATACAAGAAAAATGGGAAACCATGGACAAATGTGTTCTTTATATAATATATAATATGTATTAATGCAAAGATTAGACATTATATTATGATTATGTGTACATACAGATTTCTTGTGTACCCCTGTTTATATGTTCTAATATGACTTTATCTGTGTATGTTGATGTGGATATAGTTATGTGTGTAGTCAAAGCATTTTTTGAAACACTCTGGAAATAATGCATATGTTGCTATAGAATGAACAAAGTGCCTAAACCATTGATTGTGTGAATGCTGCTCATATAATATGTAGGTTCTATGTGCTTCTATGTATCAGAATGGCTGGAAAAGGGAGGAGTTCTTAGAATATCTTCTATAATACTCCTAGTGACATCATGATTTCATTGTTTTGGAATATAGCATGAAATAGATTTGTACCTTTTTCCCCCCTTGAGCACTGAGAAAATTATATGTTCTACCAAATAGTAAGGAAATAAGGATCTGTTGAAAACAATCTATTTTAAATATTTTATGAATGATTACACAAGCATTATATAAATATGCAGTAATTACATATGCTAATACATACATTTGATATATCTAAGTTTTCAACTGCAAATATTTTCTAGCATGCTTTTCTATAGTTACATTTACTCTGTATGGAAATTGTATCTTAGCTTTAGCCTTGGATAAATTTCAAAGAATCACAGATCACTGCAAATGGCTCCAGATGCCACTGAATACAGAGATGGAAACCTGGCAGCCAGCATGCCAGAATTTGCCTGCAATGTATATATTTTTGGGCATTCAGTGTGTGTGTGTGTGTGTGCGTGTGTGTGTGTGTGTGTGCGCGTGTGTGTGTGTGTGCTGAACAGCTTTATTGAGGGGTAACTGACACAATAAACTGCACATACACCATACAGTTTGATATGTTTCAATAAAGGTAAACACCTGTGACATCCATTATTTGGATAAAGGTATACACAATGTTAAATTGTTTATCCTAAAGCTGCTTCCTTACGTATTTTAAGTTTGGCCTAAAGGTTTCTGTGTACATAGTGAACTGTAACCTACCTAGATACGGAAATAGACTATAACCTACTCCTGTACCAATCACGGAGTTTTGGCCAAAGGTGGCCAACTATTCAAACCATGTTCAAATAAGGCAAATGCTGAGCTGTAACCAATCGGGCTGTTAACATGCCTCCCTTTTAGTTTCTGTCCATAAATCCTCTCTGTCCACACTGACAGTGCCAGAGTTATTCTGAACCTATTCTGGTTATGGGGGCTACTCAATTCTTTGCTCAGTTAAACTCTGTTAAATTAAATTGTCTGAAGCTTTTCTTTTAACAGTGGGTAAAAACATCATCACAATCAAGATAATTAACATATTCAGCACCATCAAAGTTTCCTTATGCCCCTTTGCAATCTCCTTTCCTGTTCCAGCCCCTCCAGGCAACTGCTCATCTAATTTCTGTCATTATAGATTTGTTTGCATTTTCTAGACTTTTCTGTGAATGGAATCATAAAATACGTGTTTTTTTCTCTCTGCCTTCTTTCATTCAGCATAATTATTTTGAGAGTCCCTCCACAGTCATAGTAATTAAAAAGGTTTCTTCCTATGTTTACTTCCAGAAGTTGTATTATTTAGGTTTTATAATACATTAAAGTCTCTATCTATTTTAAGTTAATTTTTGAACAGTTGTCTGAGGTATTGACAGAAGTTCATTTTTTTCATGTGAATAACAATTTTTTTATTTTTTTGAGACAGTCTCACTCTGTCGCCCAGGCTGGAGTGCAGTGGTGCGATCATGGCTCACTCTAACCTCCGCCTCCTGGGTTCAAGCAATTCTCCTGCCTCGGCCTTCTGAGTAGCTGGGATTACAGGTGTCTGCCACCATACCTGGCTAATTTTTGTATTTTTACTAGAGACAGGGTTTTGCCATGTTGGCCGGGCTGCTCTCAAACTTCTGACTTCTGGTAGTCTGCCCACCTCGGCCTCCCAAAGTGCTGCAATTACAGGTGTGGACCACCACACCCTGCCAGAAAGACTATCCTTTCACCATTGACTTGCTCAGCATTCTTTCAAGCTGGGGCAATTGTAAGGCTCACCTCATTTTCCATTTTTCAGAGACTACTGCCCTTCATTGATTGATGTCCGGTGCCTGGAAAGCCATGGTTTTATGCAGTTTGTGGATTTTTTATTTTTTTTCTTTATTTGAAATGGGAAGGTAAGTCTGATCCTTGTTACTTCATTTTGGTCAGAAATGGAGGTCCCCTACTCAGTGTTTTTTTTCCTGTTTTTGAAACAGTTTAATTTGTTGCCAATGGATAAAAATGAGGAGATATCATATTAAAATCTAGATTTCCGGCTTCTCTTGAAAAATCTGCAGACCTGGATTTACACTCCACCCAGCAACAACAGATTTCAGAGAAGCAGTGGTTTCCCATGGTCCTCTCCTTCCTTCATCCCCCTGGGCCTGATTAGTCCAAACCTCTCATTTTATTCAGGAGGAAACAGCAGCAGACAGGCAAAGTGGGTTGGAATTCGAATCTGAGACTTCTGACTTCAAATCCAATAGTGTTTCCACAGAGATTGAGCAAGTACACTGTATTATTAGTACGAAGCTGAGCAAACTGAAGGTCTGAATATTTGCTGACAGATTTAGATGCTCAGTGCCTCTAATGCACACTCTTTTTTCACTTTCTAATAATGACCTGTGAAGTTTATTATAATTTATCTGTTGTCATATTTGGAAAGCAAACCATGTGGCAGGATTTAACTGTTACTTAATTCTCTTAAAGGAATTGTTCATCCAGCAAAATTACCATTTGAGAATTATGTTTATTTTTTCTCATAAAAAAAGTGCCTGCAGCATTTATATTGAGTGTTTCGATCTTTAATGAGTTCCCACCATAAAAGAATACTGACATGACTACAATGTAGAGAATATGTTTGCAGTATTCCTCATCCATGCATAACTTTCTGACTTACATTGTTGAAAATGTTCATGTCAGAATAAACTGAGAAATTCAATTTGTTAGCCTGGGAAATTGTGTGATAAAAAGCTGTATCTACCATTTTCCTTTCCTGTCTGATTAGCCAAAATGTTACCAAACTCTTGTGCAGTATATAGAAATACAAGTCAAAAAATAAACCGAAAAACCAGTAAGAATTATGTGAAGTAATACTTTGTAGATTTGGTAGACAGATGCATTTTTGGAAATAAACCCAATATTTAACAAAAATTGATATATTTACTCTCAATAGTTACACATGATGAAAATATAGACAATGAAGAATGATCTATAACTTTTGTTTTCATATTCTGACTTTTTCTTTAACCTAGATCCTATACGAGAAGAACTGAAAATAAAATATGAAATGACTTTGATATTATTTTACTGCATTACCACAGATGACTATTACTAATTTAAAAGTGAAAAGGAATGTTGAACTATCTTATGATTTTCTTGTTTAGGATCACATTACATCGAACAGAAACTGTTTTACCTTGCTTGCAAGGAGGTGGAGGCCTCCTTGCCCCCAAGTGTGGTGCCACTTCCGGGTTCCTTGAGCACTTCCAGGTTATCAGCCCAGCTCTCCTCCAGTTTCTGGGGCTGCTGAAGAAGCTGTTGGGGAAAGTAGGTACCCCTCTTGAGTCCTTGCTGTTGCACCGGCCTTCTCCACAGGACATCAGTAACTTCTTCCTCTTAAGCCATAGCATTATCAGTTATACAGAAATACACGTTAGGAAACTATCTTCAGGAGGACCTGGATGAGTTCATTTATACAGTCATCACAGATCACCCCTAAGCTCTACTTCAGTTAGAGAAGGCTGTAAATTCAGCATCTGCACTGATATGAACAGGAACAGGATCAGTTTCAGAGGATTTCTAAATACATACAGATTCTGTGATCATGTCTGGACTTTTGTATTGAATGATGTTAAACTCAGAGAGATGGCAGAGGTTATCAAAGTGAATAAAGTGAAAATTGTAGCCTGTGATGGTAAAAATATAGGCTCCAAATATTACAGAATGAATAGGAGAAAAAGGCTTTTTAAAATGCTATCATCTGTCATTCGGTATCACTTTTTGAAGAGCAGTACTGACAAGATTTAAAAAAAATTTTATTCTAGCAATGCAGAAATGGCTACACTGTGCTACACTAATCAGAGAATGTCAGATGAGAAATGCTTACAACTGTGGCCTTTTATATTACCTTTATTATGCAACATGAAGAAACATAACTTTTTAAATTGACAAAGTAAAAGTTGTCACCTTTCTAGAAACGTTAATAAACCCATGTTTAACTCAATGTGAATAATAATTGGTGGAGCTACGAAACTAGCGATGGGAAGATAGTAGATAAACATTTTGAAAAAGTACCATGTTCTTTGCAAGGGAAGTCAGAAAAATGTGTCATTTCAGTAAAGTCAAGTTAGTTTTATCAATTGTATTTTTTGCCATTGATAAAAAGCATTAGCAGGGACAATAGCAAATCCCAGATAGACTTTACTTAGAAATCAATTTTTTAGAAGTATAAAAGCAGGGGTAACACTGGTATGACAAATCTCCTAAGAAATACAATTCTGTTAGGAAAGTGGATAATCTTTTGTGAGCTTCCCTAGCCAAAACAAAACAACCAAACCAAACCAAAACACCTGTTCCCAACAATGTAAAATAGTCCCTATGTGAAATGTAAATTATTTCCTGAACTGGCCATATTTGCTGAGCCTTATACATTTTAAAATTATCTTAAATTCTGCCAGTTATTAGACTTTCAATTAACACATTTTACTAAGTGTAAAAAATATGCACCTAGTAGATGTGGAGACTCTTGAAGTCTTTAAGTTGAAACTTTTAATGCTTAGATTCATCTTGGTAAACAGGAACACAGTGAGTTGGAGTAGAACTCTGTGTTTTCTGGATTCTTCTTGGGGTTTCAGTAGCTGCCTTTTCTGTGATTCTCTTCAGCTGCCTTCCCTTTTGAAATAAAGGGGAAAATGCTACTATTGTATGGTGCAACCCCAAGCAGAAACAAGTAACAAGCAAAGAAAATTCTCCTAGAAGTAGCAGTTGCTGACCTGCTCATTCTGGCTTCTGGACCTTCACTATAATAGGTTGAGTCCATTGCTCCAGGGGTTCATACACAGCACTTGGAATGATATATTTAACATGGGTCTCTGAAAATTATGAAAGAAGGCATCATGACATGAAGCATCCAGCAAAGTGTGCTTCCAGACCATGGGCATTAGGAAGATCATGCAAGGCTGGGAGAGGTGGCTCATGCCTGTAATCCCAGCACTTTGGGAGGCTGAGGCCGGCCAATCCTTTGAGCCCAGGAGTTCAAGACCAGCCTGAGCAACAGGGTGAAACCCTGTCTCTGCAGAAAATACAAAAAGTAGCCCAGCATGGTTGTGCCTGCCTGTAGTCCCAGCTACTTGAGAGGCTGAAATGGGAGGGTCACTTGAGCTCAGGAGGTCAAAGCCTGCAGTGAGCTGAGCATGCCATTGCACACCAGCCAGGGTGACAGAGTGAGACCCTCCCTCAAAAAAAAAAAAAAAAAGAAAAAGGAAAAAAAAAGATCACACATCTCAGAGTCATCCTGAGGTCCAGGACTCTACCACAGTTCCATTCAAACTGTAACTCTTTGTGTGTGGTCTGAGAGCCCACAATTTGAACAAGATCCTCAGATAACCCTCACTGAAGTTCCGAAGCCTCTGCTCTTGTAGTCAGTTTCACTGTCTCTAGATTGAGTACATCTGAGTTCAAATCCTCATTCTGCACCCTTTTAACTGGGAGAGCTAGAAAAGCTCTTTAAGCTCCCTGAGTTCCACTTTCTCCATCTGTAAAAATAGGAATCATGATAGTGCCTACCTCCTAGGGTCGTGCTGAGAATTAAATGAGATAATGCAATGCACTTACCACTGTAGCTGGTTCATATGAAACACTTATAAATTAGAGAGGCTACTGTTATTACCATTATTATAAAAAGTTTTATGAAGGATATCCAAACCTCCACTCTGGTTTGAGAGCAATAAATAATGTATGGCTAAAGGAATGAGTACAAACTATACACTTCTTCACTAAGGGGAGCCAGTAACATGCTTAAAGCCATGGTTACCTCCCTAGTGCTATGGCTTGAATGTGTCCCCTCCCAAATTCAGGTGTTGTCAATGTGATAATATTAAGAGGTGAGGTTTTAAGAGGTGATTAGCCCATGAGGGCTCCTCCCTCATGAATGGGATTAGGTGCCCTATTAAAAAGGGGAAGTTTGGCTAGCTTGCCTTTCCATCATCTGCCCTGTGGGGATATAGCATTTCTCCCCTCTATAGGATTCATCAATGAGGCACCATTATGAAAGCAGAGAGCAGCCCTCAGCAGACACCAAACCTCTTGGCACCTTAATCTTGGACTTCCCAGCCTCCAGAACTGTGAGAAAATAAGCTTCTGTTCTTTATAAATTACCCAGTCTCAGGTATTTGGTTATAGCAGCACAAAATGGATGAAGACACCTAGGCTTGTGGCATTTTTCTTGTCCCAGATTCTGCTGATGCTCTTTTAGATGCTCTGTGTAGTTCTTGTCCCAAAGAGTAAAAGATACAGCCCTCTGTTATTGGTTTTAAGACCATTATTCCTGAGTTTCTGCTTTTGAAGCAGCTCCAAGGGGAGTCTTTAGCAGATGATTTACAAAGAAGTCTTTGATGTTCTCCAGTGTGTCCTGCAAAATGCTGTCAGTTTGCCTTACTTGTTAACCTTGGTGGCCTTTGAGAACAAGGGCCTGCAGCTGTCTCCCTCCAACCACTTTCTGGTCCCAGGCTGCATCCTTTTTCTGCTGGGTTGTCTTTTCTTTTGACCACAGCCTGTCCTCTATAATTGTAGAATCCCATTTTCTGAGACTTGGCAGGACAAATCACTTCCTTGTGGCCATCTGAGCAGCAGAGGGATCCCTCATGCAAATAGGATAACATTTCCTGGATAACACTACTAAATATTAAATATACTTAATTATTTTTGCAAATTATTTTTGTAATTTTAATCAATTTAAATTTGTTGGAGCTTAGGGGGCATATTAATGACAAAGAATCATTAATTATCATTAATTCTGAGGGTGGAAAAGCTCTTGAGCTATAATTTATTTGACTCTTCTAGAAAATATCCTAGGACAAATCCAACTCTTCTAAGTACAAGAAGCATAATAAATAATAATTCTTTTTCTTTTAAGTAACATTGGCCAACACTACATGTGATGTAAACTTGAAACTGTCAAGGTTAGTTGGAATGTCCTACATTCAACATTCCTTTTTCGTGACCACAGCACTAAGCCAAGGCATTAAGAAAGACAGCCTGCCTTCTACAAGAGTGCATCCTAGTTGGGGAGATAATACTCGTGACCGGAAATAGCTTTACATAAAGGCTGCATAAGGATGTGAATAAGTGCTGAAGAATAGAGGACTTGGGGAAGAAAGAGGCATGTGTGGGACAAAATGATTTCTTGGTCATTTCCTACTTGCATTTCTTGCTCTTACTTCCAGGTGATTCACCACTGACATTGCATTGACTTTGTTAAGGTTATCTGTGGGTAACATACCCACAGTAGGAGCCTGGCAGTCTCAGAAAGTTGGCTCTCATTGGCTGCTGCATCTTGTTGGCAGAGGAAAGGGGAAAGGGGTGGGGACAGAGTGACCATGCAACTGCCTCTGTGTGCAGGTGCTTTGCCTGCAATACCTTATCCAAACTTTCAGCAACCTTGGAGGAAAAGAGGTACCATTTCTGTTTAACATGCAAAAGAATGAAGGCTGGGGGTGTTAGTAACTTCCCCAAGTTATCATGCAATTAGTAAGTGGGTTAAAATTCATGTCTTTTTGATGCTATGACAAACCATCTCATGGTCTACTAATATTGAAAGCCCAGAATTTTAATGGTCATGAATTACTCTCTAGGAAAATTGGCTCAAGTTTAGCAGTAGCCTTATATGCCAGGAAGCTACCTAGGGGGTGAGCTGTGAGAAGACCCAGAAAAATCAGCTATAGACTAAACCATTCATTATGGATCCCTTAGGGCTAATGCTTTATCTCTTTCCACCTTCTCCCTTTCCTTTTTTCTGAAATTGAATGCTCTTTTAATCAGTTCTAGCTGTTATAACAGAATACCATGGGTGGCTTAAACGATACAATTTTTTTTTTTTTTTATCACAGTTCTGGAGGCTGGGAAGTCCAAGATCAAAGTGCCAGCAGATCAGTAACTGGTGAGTGCTCTCTTCCTGGTTTTCAGACCACTGTTTTCTTGTTGTATCCTTATGTGGTCGACAGAGAAATAGATCAACTCTTTTTTTGTCTCTTTTTATAAAAGGGCACTAGTTCCATTCGTGAGGCCTCCAACCTCATAACCTAATTACCTCCCAAAAGCTCTACCTCCAAATACTATCACGCTGGAGATTTAGGCTTCAACACATGAGTTTTGGGGAGATACAGATATTCAGTCCAGAGGCCATGCTATAGCTACAATGAGAGTTTATCAGAGACTCTCATTGTACAACTTGCAAATCCAGGGCACTTCAAGTCTTGTAGTTTGGTTTATGATAAAAAGGCAGACTTGAGATTTCTGGTCCCGAATGGAGTAAAAGATAGAGTCCTCCTGGAGCCTGGGACTCACTGGGCTGAAGAGTCCAGGTTCTTATGATGCCACAGAGGGCAGCATGAAGACCACACATGTCCTTGGTCAGAGAAGCCAGGAGACGGAACAGGCTCTGAAAGGGCAGGGGATAATGCCTGGATTTTATCATTTTTGCTGCAACTCCATCTCACATCGGCAGCTATGTGCAGAGGGTGAGAGTGTGTACATAGGCAGACTGGGCAGATTCTGACCCATTGGAAATTGATTAAGTCTATGGCCTTACCACCCTGAACATGCCCAATCTTATCTGATCTCAGAAGCTAAGCAGGGTTGGGCCTGGTTAGTACTTAGATGAGAGAAACTGGGTGAGCACCAGCTCCAAGCCAGGTACTAAACTTGCCACTTTTTTTTTTTCTATGACTTTAAGCTTTCCTGGGTGGTACCAGACAATCAACTCCCTCTTATTCATAAATGAGGGTCCTAGGAACCAGGATAAAAAATCTACAAGTTCCTTTGGGGAATATGAAATTGGAGCTGGGAGAGCTGGAAGATCTGAGGCAGATTCCATGAGGTGTAGTTCCTAGAGTCCCCTCTTTCTTGGGACGTCTGTGCCACTTGGAACAGGGTGCCAGCATGGTAGAGTGGTAAGAACGCATGTGAGTTTTGGCATTAGAACAATCCTGAATCAAATCCCAGCTCATCCATTTATTAGCATCATACATTTAGGCAGCAGATAACACCCACAACTAGCATTATTGAATTTCTACCATATATATCAGACACTGATCAGGTTTAGACACCTTGCAAAGTATTAACTTACACGTATTTTTCAGTATGCACAAGTAGGCTGTGGGGTACATGCTGTTATTAATGTCATTTCACAGTTGAGGAAACTTAGGCATAGAGGGTTAAATAACTTGCCTGAGGTCAGACAGCCAAGATTGGAACCCAGTAAATGTGCCTTCAGTGCCCATGCGCTTGACCACTATCTCCCATTTCTGTGTCTTTATCTGCAAAACAAGGACAAAAGTAGCTACCTCAATATTGTGAAGATGAAACTACATTGGATATCAATATATGAAGTTGGGACACACTGGGTACCCAACTGCTAGCAGCTGCATTCCTGCCTTCCTTCCTCATAATATACAGGAACACCTTTTTGGAATGAAGCTGGAATACCTCTTGTATGTCCAGCTCTCCTTTCCTTTGTCTCTGGTGCCAGCCACCCTTTTTTTTTATACTCATACCTGCAGCTCCACCTTCCTCATTTCTGCCCTTGTTCATCATAACTCATTATGATTTCTGAGGGTGGGCTTATTTTACGTGAAATCATTTCTAGCAAGCTGCTTCCTGGCCATGTCTATAAGGCACCTTAATCTCTTCAGTTATTCCCTACATCACACTGGGGGGTAGATTACTTCTGGGAAGGGCCATCTCTCTGTGCGTGGCTTTCTGCTAATTTCTCTTTCAGTGAAAATGTCTTTCCTGACCTTCTCTGTTGACTCTTTTTCACTTCCAGTATTCAATCTGAGGTCTGCCTAAGTAGACCAAAAACACTGCTCTAGCTCTGCACCCAGCAGCCCCTGCAGAATCTGAGAATCCACTAGGGAAGAGTCCTTCCCAAGTCCCATGCCTGGGATCTCTCTGGGTTTGACTACCTTGGGGAGGGTCCGTCCTGGTTAATTTTCACTGACAGCTGAGCCTGCACCCTCCACGATCCTCTCTCCTCTGTTCTTTGCCAGGCTGTGTGTTTTCGGAGGCTGACCCCCTGTGGACTGCATTACCTGGGATCTTGTGCCTTCTGGCTTCCGAGTGGGTTTGGCCAATGGGAGGCACCAGCTGCAGATAGAGAGGAAGCAGTAGCTATGGCTGTCCATGACAGGGCCCACCTCTCAAGGGGCTCCAGTCATTCTGCCTCCTCCCCTGGCCCCTGTAGTCCCTGGGGATGCACATGGCTGCTAGGCTCTAGGTATTTTCCCATCTGTTACATATTCCCATAACCCTGCCCACACCTTTATGTGTGGGCTCTTCATTAACGCGTCTTCAATTGAATAACATGGGATGAATTCTGTGTTATTTGGGTCCCTACAGATTTGACATAGGATGAATTCTGTGCCTTTTTAGGTCCTTACAGATTTGGGGTTCTTTGCTAGAACCAAAAGGTAACTGGGGATATCTTTTGTAATTCTCACTTTTGTAAGTATAATTCTTACTCTAACGAGTGAAATCACGAAATTCAAAATAAAAACACAGTGTCTCCAAGTACTTGGCTATCTCTTTACTCTTCAATGCAGGGGGGACGATTGCTATTTTATCAGGACCCTGTGAAGAGCACGGCTTAGTAGAGAAAGTTGTGTTTTAGTAAAAGCTCTGTTTTGGAATCTAAGTTTTTAAGATAGATTTCTAATTGTGTGACTTTGGGCAAATCATAAATTTCTGGATATCAATTTTCTTATTGAAAATGATGAAGCCACTGAGGTTATGAAGTCTAACCTTGTTCTAAAAAGGTAAATATCAGCAAAGGTGCCACTACCTGGAACATTTAGAGCTGGCCAAGGATCTTGCTTTGGGCCAAAGGTTAAGGCTGCCCCAAGCTTTTCCCACTTGCCCCCTGATTTGGACCTCTGAGGTTTCTGGTACACCCTTGACCACCCCTCAGCCTGAATGATTTCATTGCTGCACTTGTTTCTCCCAAGGTGATGTGCTCCATTTTGACACCTTCCCAGGCTTTACATGCAAATTTGTCTTTACTTTCCTACGAAGCTTGAGAGGTGAGATATTTCATTTGCCCTTCTCTTTGGGCCTGCTTATGTCAAAGGTTGGTTACTCTTTTCTATTTTAAATTTTATTTTTTTTTTTTGTCTTTTGCCTGCTGGAAGAACACTCGGAAGCCTGCAGAGTCGCTGCCTTGCTTATCGGGCGTCTTTTTTGCTTTTTCAGAAATTGCTATAATAAGGCATAGATGAGAAATGTGAGAAACAAGATAGGAAAAGTTTCTTAACAGTACAAGGCTGTGACCCGTATGGAAATGTCTCCTTCTGGAGGGAACCCAGAGGAAAAATATCTCCCTATTCCAAGGGTCACATCCAAAGCCACTCTGCAAGTGACCCGAACCCTCTTCCATCTCCAGTGGGCAGACTGTATTAGCTTTTACTTAAGATAACATCATTCACCTTGACAAAGTCAGGTCTCTGATTTCTGCTTTCCCTCAGCCTGAACATTCTTATCCACATTACTACTAGTTCCTTAATCTACTGGATGTTAGTTTCCGACTACTTTAATTTGAATAGTTGAGCTAAATATTTGTAATCACTTCTCAGGGAAATTATGGGCCATTTATATTAGAAAGAACTTTTGTAACTCCAGTGCTAAAATTGAATTATTTCTCGCTGACATTGTGGCAAAAATAACTCAAGGATGTGTACAAAATATCTTGTGGGTTATTTACCTTCAAATAGCCTCATCTGAAAATAATTACAGTAAACTCACACTTTCTGTATCTTGTGATGAAAAATATTGATATTTCACATACAGCATGTTTGAAACAGTTGGCCTCAACAGGCTTTTCAAGTTATTGTTTACATTTATTTTTTTCTTCCAAGTGAGGGATAAGAATGACAGGAGACAACTTCACTCAGCAGATGGGAATGTGGAAGAATCATGACTAATGGTTAGGCCGTGTATATGTTTGGGGTTGCTTGTTTGTTTTTGTCCTACCTATCCCCTCCCCAATCCTGCCAATTACTAGCTTGTGTGTCCTTGGGCAAGTTCACCTCTCTGAACTTGGTTTTGTGCCAGTTGTGCTAACACTGAGAGCAGTGGCTCTTAAGTAGGAATCAGTTTTGCCCCTCAGGGGATGTTTGACCGTGTCTGGAGATATTTTTGGCTATCACAACTGTGTAGAGGTGTGCTACTGGCATCTAGTGGGTAAAGGTCCCAGATGCTGCTAAACATCCTACAAATGGACAAAGACTCTCCCACAACCAAGGAATATCTAGCACTGCATGTCAATAGTGCCAAGGTTGACAAATCCTGCTTTACAGGTCATGGTTATGGAGAAATGTTAGCATCAGGTGCTTTGTGAATTGTTCAGAGATGTATAAATATCAAGTGTTACTATATTATCTCTCAGGCATGAGTGCTAATTATGACTGTAACTATTTAGTACCCAACTGCCCAAAGCACTGTTTAAACTCTGGGACTCCATTTCTTTATTGTGAAAACTTATTAGGCTTCAACGATCTCCAAGAACATTTCTGGCTCTGATAATGTATGTGGGAAAAGCATTATATGGTACTTTGGCCCAAAGTTGACAAAACCAATAGTTGCTAATTTCAGTATTTTTTTTTTTTTTTTGGCTCTCATGTAGATCACTGATCTGAATCTTTGCTCTCCAGATAATCTGAGATTTCCTAAAGCGGAGGAGGCAAAGAATTTTTTATTTATTTATTTATTTATTTATTTATTTATTTATTTATTTATTATACTCTAAGTTTTAGGGTACATGTGCACATTGTGCAGGTTAGTTACATATGTATACATGTGCCATGCTGGTGCGCTGCACCCACTAATGTGTCATCTAGCATTAGGTATATCTCCCAATGCTATCCCTCCCCCCTCCCCCGACCCCACCACAGTCCCCAGAGTGTGATATTCCCCTTCCTGTGTCCATGTGATCTCATTGTTCAATTCCCACCTATGAGTGAGAATATGCGGTGTTTGGTTTTTTGTTCTTGCGATAGTTTACTGAGAATGATGGTTTCCAATTTCATCCATGTCCCTACAAAGGATATGAACTCATCATTTTTTATGGCTGCATAGTATTCCATGGTGTATATGTGCCACATTTTCTTAATCCAGTCTATCATTGTTGGACATTTGGGTTGGTTCCAAGTCTTTGCTATTGTGAATAGTGCCACAATAAACATACGTGTGCATGTGTCTTTATAGCAGCATGATTTATACTCATTTGGGTATATACCCAGTAATGGGATGGCTGGGTCAAATGGTATTTCTAGTTCTAGATCCCTGAGGAATCGCCACACTGACTTCCACAATGGTTGAACTAGTTTACAGTCCCACCAACAGTGTAAAAGTGTTCCTATTTCTCCGCATCCTCTCCAGCACCTGTTGTTTCCTGACTTTTTAATGATTGCCATTCTAACTGGTGTGAGATGATGTCTCATAGTGGTTTTGATTTGCATTTCTCTGATGGCCAGTGATGATGAGCATTTCTTCATGTGTTTTTTGGCTGCATAAATGTCTTCTTTTGAGAAGTGTCTGTTCATGTCCTTCGCCCACTTTTTGATGGGGTTGTTTGTTTTTTTCTTGTAAATTTGTTTGAGTTCATTGTAGATTCTGGATATTAGCCCTTTGTCAGATGAGTAGGTTGCGAAAATTTTCTCCCATGTTGTAGGTGAGGCAAAGAATTTTTAACCTTGTTCCTTAATGAGTAGATAAGATTTATCTGTGACAGTGTTTTCTTTTGTACCACGTAGAATAATAGCAATGTTAACAGCAATAAGTAAACAATGGACAGTGCCTACTGGGTGACAGACATTTGAACACCTACTGTGTGCCAACCCCTGCCATAGCACTGTAACTGCAAGATCTCATTTTATCATTATAGCATGGCTGGTTAGTATAATTGCTTCAATTTTACAAAAATGAGGAAAATGAAATTCAGAGAGGTTGGGGACCTTGCCTGAAGTTGCACAGTTGTTGAGGCATCCACTTGCTTTAAAAGACAAACCAGGAGCACTTTCTGCTTCTCTAGATTCTTACTCAATATGGTCATTATTAGAAATTTGCAGTGGAGAGTTAAGCAAGAGTAAAATGAATGCCAAGAAGGCAGGAGACAGCCTTGCTATTTTGTAAAAAGCTTTGTGCTCTGTGGGTAAATGTTTGGTATCTGGTAAATTGGAGAAAAGACTGGGGGTAAATCTTGCCATCAGCCTGAGTTGTCAGAGGGCAGTAAAGGACAGTTCAAACAAGTGGTCTTTTTCTATCCTTTTCAAGTAATTCATAAAATAGCTCCTATGGATAGGGTCAGGGCAGAGCTCCAGGTACTACTGGAAACATTATTGATGATAATCAAAAAACCTATGGTAATATCAAGTGCCAATAGAGAATAACATATAATCTGAATAAGGATTTCAGATTATATTTGAATGGAGTTTTGAATATATAGGAATCAGTTATTCTCCTTTGATGAGGGCGACCATTCTTCTCAATCTGCGGTTTCAGTGTTGGCTTCCTTTGGGATCTTTAACAAATCCTAATGCCCGAGCTACATCTAGGCCAATTAAATCAGAAGCCCTGGGTGGGATCCTGGCATCAGTAATTCTCAAAGCTCCCCAGATGATTTCAATGGGCAGGCAAATTTGAGAACCAGAGTGCTATATCAGCGGTCCTTAGACATCTGCGTATATCAAAATCACCTGGAGAACTTGGTAAAGCTGGGGCTTCTAGGAGCTTTATTAACTCTCCAGGTGATTCTCGTAAACATCATAGTTGAGAACTGCTTCTCTATTTCACTCTTTAGGGTCTATTCTATTTTAAAATAGAAAAAAAATAACACTCTTCCTAGTTGAGGAATTGCCTAGAGTAAACACTACATGCAGGTGGGCACATTTGGGTCCTCACAACTCATTACTGGGTCTTGTGCCAGGCACTGGCAAGCTCCCATGTCCTGTAGATGCCAACCTTGCCCTCTGCAGCCCTTCTAACTCCTTTCTGGCAATGGCCCCTAGTCCAGTTTTGAAGTATCTCTCAGTCCTAATTTGAAAGTATGGCGAATCTGTTGTTCATATGACACATTTTGAGACTTGGTCCATAAGAGACATGGTGGTTGCTCAGTCAGGAACTCAAGGTAAGGCCACTTCCTGTAGACATCTTGTGTCTTATTTTACCTCTGGTTGCTTTTCACAGATTTTCATGCTTTCTGAATTGCTGATTTTTTTGAAACAGTTTTCTTGGTTGTTGTTTCATGGAACAATTCCCATGTTCCAGAAATGCAGTCCCAAGCCTGCCAGGACTTGTATTGTCAGGCACTTCAGTAAGTACTCTGAGTTTAAACATCTGAATCTTTGAAGCTCAAATTATTTACATTATTCTGTAGTTTGCTTTATGTTCCTCTTGTTACATTCAGTTTTAGGGAGTTGGGGGAGGCAGAAACTGTGGAATGAGGTAGTTCAAATTTATGTGTACTTTTAATTTAATTTAATTCTTTAGAGAAAAGAGGTCTTTGTTACCTGTGATGAGAAGTTGAGCAATTAGAAATTCATGAGGGAGATATAGGATTTGGAGAACACAGCAATTCATACTACTGCTTGTCTTTGGATGTAGCCAAGAGTCCATAGGAGTCCTGAGTGTGCATTTCCAGCCAGTCTTTCTCATTGGGCAGGGCTAAAAGCTTCCAGGAAAGCAATTTAATTGGCCTAATTGTATCAGAAAACAATATTCATGTTATAGCAATTGGTGGGTGCAATATTTAGGGCTATGTTTCTTGCTAGAAGAGCCACATCTTAGGCCACTATATAGGATGATGTGAATTGAAGGATTGACAATAGCCTCTCCAACCAAAAATAACTCTTTGGTCGTAGATGCTACAGTGTTTCAATGGACACAATTAGAGAGCTTTCCTTTGAGTTCATTTATCCAACAAACTTTTACCAAATACCCCTACTATGTACCAGATTTTGTGCCAGGCACCTGGGACATAAAGATGAATAAGACCTGATCTCTCCTGCTGGGAGATTCACAGTATAGTGATGGAGAGAGACAAACAAGTACATTTTGGAGCAAAATGGGGCAAGCACTTTCAAGTATGCATGTATGGAGTGCTGTAAGAGTCAGGTTAGAAAGGGCTTTTTTGTGGGAAAGGGCATTTTGAATTGGGGTTTAAGAGATGAAAAATTATTTTGTAAGTGAAGAAGGACTAGGATGTTTATTCTTTGAATGAAACGTCACTGAGCGAAGGATGTGCATGAAAGCCTAGGGTCCCCAAATGTTGATCAGAGAAAGTAAAAGTATGTGTGTGCCTGGACCATATATGGATGGAAATGGGTGTGGATAATGAGGCTGGATCACATTCAGGAGCATCTTGTACACTACATAGGGAGGGTGGGCCTCTATCCTGAAGGTATTAGAAAACAAATTGAGATGTCTAAGCTGGGGATGGAGCTACGTGTTTATGAATTTTGTGAAAGAATATAACTCTTACAGTATGAGAGATAGTTTAAACTAGAAAGAGGCTGGTTATGAGAAGTGAAGCTTTTTACAATATTTCAGGCAAGAGATGATGAGGCCATAGGCTAAGGATTTCATATATCTGCCATGTGTCCTACTACTCCTTTCTGCACCATAACAGACATTACTAGTCAATCTGTTCTGTTCCCTGGTTATCCTAGAATTTTTCTCCATACAGCACATCAGGAAGCCACTGTTTATTAACATACAACATATAAACATATAACATATAAACATAATAATAATGTTTATAATGATGAAACTTGTTTATCATCTTTGTCAGAGAAGAGGGAAAGAAACAGAATAAACATGATAACTGACAGCTTAAACGTTGAGGCTTAAAGAGAAAGTCAGGAATAACTAACTCTTTCTCTATTGGAAGGCTTAGAGGCATGGTGATACAACTAAATAAAACTGACCTCAAAGGACACAGAACATCCTTGGGGTGGAAGATGATAATTTCAGTTTGGGTTGTGTTTTGAGATGCAAGCACAACATTCAAGTGGAAGTACACGCAAGTTAATAACTACGAGGTGCATATAAGACTTTAAACCAGTGTTATTCACCACATTACCCCACACTGGCTATGGTTCTTAGCCAGGAATGTATGTCTGGAGCTTGCAAGATATTTTAGAGCTGGAAATATAGGTTTGGCATATTTTACTCTAGAATATAGATTTTGCCATTTAAGCCATGGACATCATTCAAGGAGAGGGCTATTAACTCAGAAGTCTTTTTTAAAAGTGTCAATACACATGAGAATAATATTAAATTAATTTACAAAAAAGTATTAGCATGATTTCAGATATCTTTCTCAAGGATTATGGCCTCAGGCAGTATCCTAAAATCAATGGGATATGGAAAGTGAAAAGTGATAGAGGGTTAAAAAGGGACATAGAATGTAGATGAGTAAGTGAAAGACAGATTTCGCTCACTTGGCAATTTTATTTGGGGTCGAGTCAATTCTTAAGGGAGGCAAGACTTAAGAATAGTTTTGATCTGTGGCACTGTTGAATGAAGTACTTTTACTTGGTTTTAGCCATGGAGTTATGTGCTTCCTAGCCTTATCTTAATATTTTCTTCCTCAATGAATAATTATATTGAAGCAACTTGGAGAGAAGACCACATAATAATATGTTAAACTGATTTGTTTTCCTCCTGATTAATGTACACCAGAAGATTTTCCTCTTTGTTCTTGTTAAATCAATTAACTTGGTATCTGAAATACACCAACGGGTTATGTTGCCCAGAGGAGAAATAGAAATGTCTAATATTCTATCATTTCATATGAAAACTATAGTACTGCTTGGTAGTTGTTCGTTTACTTAGGGTTGACTATAGGAAAACAAACCATCAGCCTTCAAAACTGAGATTTACCTTCTCCCTGACCATGACTGGTAGTGAAGTCTTGAGAACTGTGAGGAAATGTTTTGGCTACTTGTTCCCCTCTCGGTGGCCTATAGTGTCTTGGAAGCATGTGGCAGGCATTCAAGGGATGTTTCAGCTTATTTTAAATCCCTGGTTGAAAGGAGTTGAGATACAGACATGGCAAGGTGAGCCACTTGCTCTGGCAGCACAGGCCAAGCTCATTCTTTCCGTCTGTGCTCAGAAAAGCTGCAGCTCCGGGCTTTCCTGGGCTTGGAGTATTCTGTCTCTGTCCACTGGTCTTTTCACTCTTGGGCCGGGGAGGGCATGCAAAAGGAAAGGTTGTGTCTTAGTCATCTTTGGCTGCTATAACAAATTATAATAGACTGGGCAGGTTAAACGCAGGTATTTTTTTCTCACTGTTCTGGAGGATGGAAATCTGAGATAAGGGTGCTACCATGTCTGAGTTTTGGTAAGGTTCCTCTTTCTGATTTGCAGACAGTCATCTTCTAGCTGTGTCCTTACATAATGAAGAGAGAACTGTCTCTCTTCCTGTTCTTCTAAGGGCCCTAATCCTATTATGAGTGCTCCACCCTCATGGCCTCATGTCTCCCTAATCACCTTCCAAAAGCCCCATCTGCAAACACCTTCACTTTCGGGTTAGGGCTTCAACATATGAACTTGGGGGGACACGATTCAGTCCATAGCAGGTTGGCTGCACATTCATAAATTTCTGGGTTTCCTGGATAGCTGGATTTACTAGGCTCATTTCATACCACGCTCTTTCCAATGTATTTACTTTTTTTATTTTTTTAATTGGCAAAAATTGTTTATATTTATCTTGTATAACATGTTTTGAAGTATGTGTACACTGTGGAATGGCTAAATCAGCTAATTAACATACGTATTACCTCACATACTTATCTTTTGTGATGAGAGCACTTAAAATCTACTTTCTTAGCAATTTTCCATAATATAATACAGTGTTATTAACTATAGTCACCACATTGTACAATAGGTCTCTTGGACTTATTCCTCCTGTCTACCTGAAATTTTGTACCCTTTGACCAACATCTTTTCCCCTTTCCTACCCCAGCCTCTGGTGCCCACCAGTCTACTCTCTGCATCGATGAGTTCAGTTTTCAGATTCCACACGTGAGATCATGCAATATTCATCTTTTTGTGCCTTGCTTATTTTAATTAACATAATGTCCTCCAGGTTCATCCATGTTTTTGCAAATGATAGTATTTCCTTCTTTCTTATGGCTGAATAGTACTCCATTGTGTATATATGCCACATTTTCTTTATTCATCCTTTAATGGACACTTAAGTTAATTCCATGTCTTGGCTATTGTGAATAGTGCTGAAATAAACATGGGAGTCCAGATAGCTCTTTGACATACTGATTTATTTCCTTTGGGTTTATACTCAGCAGTGGGATTGCCGGATCATATGGTGGTTCTATTTTTAATTTTTTAGTGAAAATCCATACTGTTTTTTATAGTGGCTATGCTAATTTACATTTCTACCAACAGTGTGCAAGGGTTTTCTTTTCTCTACATCCTTGCCAGCACTTGTTATCTTTCGAAAATAGGCTTTCTAACTGGGGTGAGATGACAACTCATTGTAGTTTTAGTTTGCATTTTCTTGATGATTAGTGATCTTAAATATGTTTTTTCATATAGCTGGTGGCAATTTTTTATGTCTTCTTTTGGGAAATGCCAATTCAGTTCCTTTACCAGTTTTATAATTGACTTTTTTTTTTTGCTATTGGAATGTTTGAGTTCCTTATATATTTTGGACATTGACTCTTTATCAGATGTGTGGTTTGCAAATGTGTTATCCCACTTCATAGTTTATCTCTTTCTCTGTTAATTGATTGTTTCCTTTGCGTGCTGAAGCTTTTTAGTTTGATATAATCTCTTTTTTTATTCTTGCTTTTACTGCATGTGCTTTTGGAATCATATCCAAATAATCATTGCCTAGACCAACATCATGGAGCTTTCCTGTATCCTTTTCTCTAGTTACTTTACAGTTTCAGGTTTTAAGTCAGTAGTTCATTTTGAATTGATTTTTTTATCTGGTATTAGTTAAAGGTATAATTGTATTCTTCTGTATGTGGATATCCAGTTTCCTCAACACCATTTATTGAAAAGACTATCATTTCCTATTGTGTGTTCTTGACACCTTTGTCAAAAATCAATTGACTGTAATTGTGTGGACTTATTTCTGGGATCTCTATCTTGTTCCACTGGTCTGTGTATCTGATTTTTGCCAGTGCCTTGCTGTTCTGATTATTATACCTTTGTAGTATATTTTGAAGTCAGGTAGTGTGATGCTTCCAGTTTTCTTGTTTTTGCTCAAGATTGTTTGGCTATCTAGGGTCTTTTGTGGTTCCATGCAAATTTTAGGATTTTTTTCTATTTCTGCTAAAAATGTCATTGGAATTTTGGTAGGGTTGCATTGAATCTGCAGATTACTTTCGGTAGTATGGACGTTTTAACAATATTTATTCTACCAATCCATGAACTTGGGATATCTTTCCATTTATTTGTGTCTTCTTCAATTTCTGTAATCAATGTTTTATAATTTTCAATGTACAGGTCTTTCACCTCCTTGGTTAAATATATTCTTAAGTATTTTTTTTTCTGGTAGCTATCATAAATTAAATTTTTTATTGATTTCTTTTTTGGATAGTTGTCAGTGCATAGAAACACTATTGATTTGTATATGATGATTTTGTATCCTCCAACTTTACTGAGTTTTTCAGTTCTAGCAGTTGTTTGGTAGATTCCTTAGGGTTTTCTAAATATAAGTTCATGTCATCATAACATGATCTTATATTTATAAATAAATATGAAAGGTAACAAATGTTTGTCTTAAAAGACAAGACAATTCTCTTATCTTTTAAAAACCTAAGTCAGATCTCCTTTCATCTCTACTCAGACCCCAGAATTGTCTTCCCATCTCGCCGAGGGTAAAAGCCAATGTTCTTACATAGCTTGCAAGACCTTTGGTGATCTGGCTCCTGAAATGCTCCCTGTCATTCATTCTTCTGCAGCCATCCTGTCCTCTCTCCTGTCCTTTAAACAATCAGGCACCTCCCTAGCACCTCAGGGCCTTTGCACTGGTTGCTTGTTCTGCCTGGAGCACTCAGATGTACACACGTCTTGCTCTCTTTCTCCTTCAAGTATTTGATCAAATATCCCTTTCACACCTAGGCTAGGTGTGAAATACCCTACTTAAAATAAAATTGTTGCCTGCCCGCTTACTGGTCTGCTCAAACTAGTCACCCTGCTTTATTTTCCTCCATAGGACTTACCAGAGTCTTACAAACAAATCCTTATTTATTTTCTTTATTGTCTGCCTAGCCCCTTTAGAACAAAAGCTCTATCAGGGAAGAAATTTTAGTCTGTTTGGCTCAATGTGGTTTCCATGTCTAGATTCTACGTAGGGCCTGGCACAGGTATTCAACAGACATCTGTTGAATAAATGAATTTTCTTTCTGTGGTAAAGAGAGGAGTCCCTGGGGATATGGTAGAGCTGGAATTTCCCCGTTAAATCCTTTTCATTTCATGCTTTTCTGTTCTGCGTTATGCTCCACTTTGGAATAACTCAACTAAATAACCATTAGGTAGAAGACCAACCCTACACATAGTGTTTTAGAAATTTCTATTCCCCAAATGAATTACATACTCCCAAACATCTCCCTGTGGGCCTACCAAATGCCCCAAATAGTCATTCCAGCATATTTATCCAACTGAAACTGCCTTGTTGAGGACACCAGTGGTAAAAATAATGAGGAACATTTGTTCATTGTTCACCACGTGCCAAACACTGGAGTAAGCACTAATGTGCATTATTAGCTCATTTCCGATAATACTCATTTTACAGTTGAGAGACTAAGAGTTAGAATTGGAGGGGAAGGGGGTTTGTTTGGGAGAAGAATGTCCCAGTGAAAGGTACAGCAAATTTGAAAGTTTAGAGGAAAGTGAGAGTACCGGAAGACATCTAGAAAGGTGGAAGTGGAGAGTGCATGAGAAATGAGTCAAGTTAAGGATGGAAGAATCATAGTTATAAAGGCTTGTGGTTCATCAGCTTAGAAGTTTCTACATAAATATCTCGGTTAAAATTTCACCAATTTTTAGACTCTTAAGCCCATGAAATTCTAATCTATCATTTTAGTCCTTCCTCCACTTTACTGGGAGGTTGTCAGTTGTTTTCATGTAAAGAATTCATTTTCTTCTGGGCATCTTAAAACTAAGGAAAAGCAGGTTCTCTTTTTAAAAAACAATGTGTTTTCCCACTCAGTATGTTCATATTTTTGTTTTTGGTGATTGTCAGACACTTTTGCTTTATAAACAAAAGCTACTGAATTCATAGTTATTATTCTGCTTGATTCTGCTCCAAAGTAGTTAAATGGAACCTAATGTCAGAAAAGTTTACATGACAATGTATTTACTAGGATTAATCCTTCACTCTAAGATCAAACAGGAGAACTAAAGGCAATAATTTTTATCAGATTGCAAATATCTGAAGCAGTGGTTCAGGGAAGAATTAGAGGAAATCACAACTTCAGTCATAAAAGAATTATACTATTTATATAAATAAAATCATTCTAGAGTATTGCCTATTTATAGCAAAGGTTTTTTTTGCCATATGAGATGAATTGATAATTAATCTGTATATATTTTTTGTTGGCAATTTCTTTAGAAAAATACGACAAAATATAAAGTATTATAAAATAAATACAAAAGGTCTACAAAATTGCAACCATATTTGTTATAAGCTAAAAACATAATTCTTTTTAATACTCCAGAAGACATTATCAGACATTTACCAAATTAACATGATAGTGAAGTTTTAATGTAAACTATTAGAAAATGGACAACAGGTAGATAGATATATATCATTTCCCTGATGATAAGTTATATCATGAAGAAAATGCAAGGCTGGGTGTGGTGGCTCATGCCTGTAATCCTAGCACTTTGTGAGGCTGAGGCGGGCAGATCACTTGAGGTCAGGTGTTTGGGGCCAGCCTGGCCAACATGGTGAAACCCTGTCTCTACTAAAAATACAAAAATTATCTGGGCCTGGTGGCATGTGCCTGAATAATCCCGCTACTTGGAGGGCTGAGGAAGGAGAATCGCTTGAACCCAGGAGGTGGAGGTTGCAGTAAGCCGAGATTGTACCACTGCACTCCAGCCTGGGTGATAGAGCAAGACTCCATCTCAAAAACAAACAAACAAACCAACAGACAAACCAAAAAAAATAAAAAAGAAAATGCAAATTAAAACAATGAGATATCTTAAAAAGAATAAAATCATATTTTTGCAGCATCATGGATGAACCTGGAGGCCATTACCTTAAATGAAATAACTCAGAAACAGGAGGTCAAATACCACGTGTTCTCATTTGTAAGTGGAAGCTAAATAATGAGTATATATGAACATAGAGTGTGAAATAATAGACATTGGAGACACAGAAGCTGAGAGGGTGGGATGTGGGGAGGTGGATGAAGGAAGATAAAAACTTAATGGGTGCAATGTACATTATTTGTGTAATGATTACACTGAAAGCCTAGACTTCACCACTACGTAATACATCCATGTAACAAAATGCACTTGTACCTTTTAACCTTATACAAACAAAAAAACCGAATGAGATATCACCTCACATCTGTTAGAATGACTATTTTGAAAAAGAGATGAAAGATAGTAAGTTTAGGCAAGGAATCAGAGAAAAGGTTCAGTTCTGAAGATTCATTTATTCATTCATTTAACAAGTATTGAATGCCAGTTATGTGCCAGGCACTAGTATAGCCACTACAGTGAGTAAAGTAAAATTTTGTGGTCATTGACTCTATATTCTGGTGGAGAAAAACAGACAATAAACAAACCAATAAATATATATCAAATATCAGATGATAATTTCTAAAGATTAGGGGACAGAGTATGCGGGCTGAAGATGTTGCTGCAGAAGTTATATATCAGAGGGCAAAAATCAGATTACCAACCAAATGGCTAACCAGGCAGCTAACAAAGAATGTAACATAGTATTTGTGGCTCTGTTACAAGTCTGGTGTCCTCTGTTCTATGTTCATCTCATACTCAATGTCTGACCCTGGGTACATAATATTTTCTGAGACCCGAATTATTCAATTGTCAAGGAGAGGGTTGTGTAAGTCAGTCCTTGAGGCCTTCTCTGGCTGTGCATTTTCGGCTCTGTCTGAAATTGAATGAATGCTTAGCTGTAGACAGACAAAGTGCTCAGAACCCTGTGCACTTAGTTGAGAAATCAGGGGAGAGGGGAGACTAAAATAGAATATGGTAGTTGTTCCACTTGTAGTTAAATACAGGATCCCAGTTCTCCTTTCTTAGGCTGAATAACGGTCCCCTATGTTATCAAGTCCTAATCCCGAGACCCTGCAAATGCTGCTTTATTTGGAAAAAAGGGTCTTTGCAGATGTAATTACATTAAGGATATTGAGTTAGGGGGATTATCCTGGATTATCCACAAGGGCCCTTAATGCAATCACATGTATGCTTATAAAACAGGCAGAGAGAGACTGGACCCACTCAGAGGGGAAGACCACATGAAGAAAGGTCTGAAGATGCTGGTCTTGATTACAGTGAGGAGGGGATAATCCAAGAAATGCCCACAATGACCAGGAGCTGGAAGAGGCAAAGAATGAATTCTCCCCTAAAGCCTCCAAAGAGAGCATGGCCCTGTTAATACCTTGGTTTCAGCCTAGTGATACTGATTTTGGGTTTTTGGCCTCCAGAGCTCTAAGTAAATAGAACTGTGTTGTTTCAAGCCATCAAATTTGTGGTAATTTGTTCTAGCAGGTTCGAGAAACTAACAGTAGGACTAGCACTTCCCTGTGCAAGTTAGATGCAGCCATATGGTTGCTTTGGCTGATGCCATGTGAGTGGAAGTGATGTGTGTCTTTAGAGCAAGTGCCTGCTTTTCCATGCTCTCTTTTCCATTTGGTGATGGAAAGTTTGGAGATGGTGGCTGCCTTGTTGTCCTGGTAGATTAGAGTTCTCCAGACAGAACCAATAGGAGATATATGTAAATATGTGTAATTTGGAGAAAAGGGTCTTTTATATAAAATTATGCTATATATAAATACATATCTTATGTGTTACATATATTAATTTATTATAGGAATTGGCCTATGTGTTTATGGAGGCTCAGAAGACCTATGATCTGCCATCTGCAAGCTGGAGAACCAGGAACCTGATAGAGTAATTCAGTCTGAATCTGAGGCCTGAGAACTGTGGGGCGCAGTGGGGGGAGGCTGATGATTTAATTTCCTGGTCCAAATCAGAAGACCTGAGGTTGAGGAGTTTGAATTCTCAGGCAGGAGAAGAAGAATTTCCCAGTTCAAAGACAGGAGAGTGAATTCATCCTTTCTCCACATTTTCATTTCATTTATGCTCTCAACAAATTGGATACTGTCTGCCCACCTTAGTGAGGGTGATCTTCTTTACTCAGTCTACCAATTCAAATGCAAATCTCTTCCCAAAACACCCACACAGACATACCCAGAAATAACGATTTACCAGCTATCTGGGCATCCCTTAGTCCTGCCAAGTTGACATGCAAAATTAACCATCATTATAGGGTCTCCGAGTGACCATGTTGAAAAGAACTTCCTTGTTGATTTATAAAGAACGTAAGTGTGATTGCAAAATTAATCTTTGTGGTTTCAAGCTCCTGAGACTTGGGGATTGTTTTGCAAGCCTCTCCTAGCTGGAGGTAAGGAGGCTGACTGGCTGCTGTCAAAACATTTCCAGTAACACTTTGTTGTACCTCTTGCTCTTTGGTGGTCCTGTGGTCCCTGGAACCTCTCCTCTGGCATCCCAGTGAAGCCAGGACAGTCACAAACCATGACCTCCATATCTAGTATTTCCATGTGATGATAATGCATAATTCAAGGTTCTGTAGTCAAATATACAGAGAAATGCTGGGCTATTCAAGGTGAAATGGTTTAATCTTCCTATAAGACTTCTCAGAGGCTTCCGTGTACAGTGCAGCTCCATAGGATGAGGATATAGTGTACGATGTTTCAATCTCTTTTTGTCAGAGTGAGGCAGATCCCAGGTGAAACTAGTTCCTTATTGCATTGGGCCATGACACTTCCCGTGTGTATCATTAACACACCACATTCCCTCACTCAGCTGACCCAGGGGCAGCATAGGTGTAGGATAGCTTTAAAATGTCTTCCTGTTCAGTATGAGTTGGACTGTATTAGACTGTTAGGATAGCAGATTAATATATAACTTGTAGACTATTACCTGACAGATGAGGAGGGCAGGATTTAGGTGCAATGGTGGAGTCATTTGCTTGAGTTTTCCTTATTCTTTGCATTTGCCCCTTTGAGCCTGCCCCAAAGCCTGGTTGTTTGAAGGATGCATCCAAGGGCTTGAACTTGTAAGGCCTCCTTTCAGCTGTTATTTTGATTTTGGATGGATTCCACCTCTCAATTGTCTCAGATATTTTTCCGTCTCTGCAATGGTTGCGATCCCAACCCTAGAGTTCTTGGAGCTCACAGGCACTAAGAAACAGGTCCCTGATTTTTTATTACCCATAGTCCTTGGAAAGACTTAAAGTGCCCTTTTAACATTCAAGACCACATGAATCTTTATGAGAAAAAGAATGTTTGCCAAAATGAAGAATCAGCATAAAAGTTCAAGTGACCTGACTAATAAAAAAATAAATAAGTAAAAAAGGGACTTGACTGGTCCCACAATTTGTGGAGCCTGGCAAAGTCGTCAGTTCTTCTGGCATTGTTGAGTACCTGTTGTAAATTCCAAAAAAGGGCTCCAATTCTTCACCACTCCCCAGATCTACTCCCTTTATGGAGCCCTTCCCCTTGGTGTGTTGTTCTTGTTTCCTCCTTCACTCTGACCTCAGCCATGTGGTTTGCTGTGGGCCAGTGGCACACCAGTTCTGCAGTTTCCATTGTTATAAATGTTGTTGCTAATATTCAGAATCAATAGGTAAGAAAAATCCTTAAATGATGTGCTTTTAAATCAAATGGGAAAGGGAAGAATTCCTATTCTAACTTTTGAGAGTATATACACTTTTAAAAAGGATGGAGATCCTACCAAAAACCTAAGCCCACGTAAGAGGAACTGGAGGAAGAAAAGAAAGTTGAAAATGCTGCTCATGAAGACAAAGGAAAGGGGAATAGACCAGGCGGGTAGACCACAGGCTCCCCCAAGGCTCATGTGAACCTGCCAACGTGCACAAATGGTAACCAAAGGCACAATGTTGGATTAAATATATTATATTGTCATACATGGAAGTATCTTGCCTTATTTCATCTGATAGGGAAAGAGCATGTCTCTATGTTCCTTGAAAGACTGAAGAGTTTTTGTTGGGGGAAGGTTCTAAAAGGCAATTTTGAGGACACTTTTAAGGTAAACCATGGGTCAGGATTTTGTTTTTCAAATAAAACTGACTGAGGGAGTTCGATTTCTCCGTCCTTTCTTGAATTATGTCCCCTCCTCACCACCACTGTTGCAAAATAAGGTGTGAGAAATGAGGTTGTAGATGTTCTCTTGAAAAATATACCTTTCTGTTTCTTAAGAAACCATCACATTCCTTTTTCACTTCAACTTCAGATTATATCAAAGGTAGGCCCATCTTTAAAATGTACAAAATGGCCCAGATGTGCGTTTACTGTTTTCCCCTTTTATCTTTCATTATGTTGTTATTTTGTGGTCATAAAGCCTTAATGCTTTGGTTTAAATGGTAGCTAAATTCAAAAGTACCTTCTGCTGGATTTGATTCCAAGTTCACAAAATTAAGTTTTCATTATATTTATGCCTAGACACTGTTTTTCTTCTCCACCTGTCAGTTATTTTTAAGGACTGAATAATAAGTGTGTGAAGTGTGACATCAAATTATGAGATTACTGTTTCAAGAGGTAAACTGAATTTGAGTATGAAAATGTCATATTCTCTGGAAGTCAGGTGCCATTTCAGTAATACTACAATTATTCAAAAGACTTTCAGATTCCTTTCTTATATTGCTTTCTGGTCTGACTTACTAACCTTAAAAACAAGGGATAAATTTTTGTAGACACTTGCTTGATAACCCCTCGTAGCTTTCCCTACTAGAGTATCACATGTGTGAGCGAAGCAGATTGGCTTCCAGACCAGCCCATTTTAACTGTGAATATGACTAAGCAACTTCAATTGACACCATGTAGAACAGAAGAATCACCAAGCAGAAACTTGCCAGAATTCTTGACCCACAAAAGTGAGAATGACAATAAAATGGTTGTTGGTATAAGCCAGTAAGCTTTAGGGAAATTTATTATGCAGGAGTGAGTAACTGGAAAAGAACTCCTGAAAACAAACAATTGCTAGAAGTTCATTTTCTGTGTTATGCAACTTAAAATGGTTTATCCCTCAGTCAAGACCTAGGTGTCATTGGTTCATTGTTCATATCTAGTGGCGAAATCACTGTGAGACTCAGAGACACTTGTCTCTGTGGAGTGCCTGACACAAAGGTGGCCAATTGTGTCCATCCACATAGGCACTGCCTCATGCCAGATATTGTAGTACCTGGCATGCGGTTCACTGCCATATCCCTAGTGCCTAGTACCCTACATCTTTCTGTGGGATGCAGACAAGATATGAACAAGGACTATATGTTATTTCAGTTGGTAATAAGTGTTGTGGAGAATACTCAAGCTGGACAAGGGGACTAGAATCTTGGGGAAGGTTTGAGAGGGGCAGGTAGAGGGCCCTTGTAATTTTAGAACAAGCAATTTTTTTCTGATAAGATGAAATGTGAGCAAGGATCTGAGGAAATTATGACGGTCTGGAGAAAAACATTCCCGAATGAGGGGACAGCTAGTGCAAAGGCCCTGGGGCAGGAGTGGGCTTTGCATGTGCCAGGACAGTATGGAGACCATCGTGGTTGGAGTGGAGTGCAAACAGGGGAGAGTCACAGTAGTTTGTTTGGAGAGAGAGCAGGGACTAAGTCATCCACGGTCTTGTGGTTACTGCAGTGGCTGTCACTCTGGGTGAAATGGGTACCGACGGAGGCATGGAGCACATGAGTCATATATGTGGTAGTTGTTATTTTTCATTATTAGAATTCCTGTTAGCAGATGATAGGTCTAGAATTAGGCTATGAGTCCATTTAGCTTCCCAGTCCATGCTTTGACATTCCACAGTGCTGTCTTGTTACTTGTGATGTCTGTGGTCTCAGAGTCTTTGTGGTATAAAAGGACTCGCACTCTGCAAGAGTTTACCATGGAAGATAAAGAACCTGAGATTCTGAAGACCCTCTTACCCCTCAGGACTGTGGTATTTGCCAACCTGTGAGTTTTTTCAGCCTCTGTTTATCCCTACTGTTCTTCAGTTTCGCCCAGTTTGCAGGAAGAATTGAGAAATAGATAGACTTCTCCTAAAGGCAAAGAATTGTCCTTGTAGAAAGTTTGAGGGTTTTTTTTTCCTGCCCTCCTTCCTCTTCCTGGGACTAGAAGAATATCTAGATGAAGAATATCTTATTTCTCAAAGGGGAAACGATAATGATATTTGGCCCAAATAACCTTTCTTGGCCTTGCTCCTTCCACTGAGCTCATCACAGGAGGACACAACTTACATAAGAAATGGATCTGTAATAAATTTCCCCATGAATTCTTTCCAGCGGCATGCAAACCTTTTTAGTTCCATGGTGTATGCTCATATAATGATCCTCCACCTGGCTCGGGACCTTTTTATGTGGGAACATTAAACTAATTTTGTTTGGAATGTGGGATGGTTTCTCAAGATGGCACACCTGATTCTAAATCGCAGTTCACAAGGCTCTTTGGGAAGACAGATGGATCCCCGGAGGCTCTTTAGGCTTTTCGTTGCCCTTAGAACTTCTCTCAGAGCCCAGCTCATCTCTGAAAACCTTCTGCTTCACATTTGGTATCCTTGTGACAGCCACCAAATGATTGGGTAGGGTCAAGAAGTCAAATGACTTCCTCATATGCTTCTGCCATCACTCCATGCCTGGGTGGGGGTGGGAGCCAGCTGAGGTGCCTTGGGCTTCTGTAAGGGTGTGAGAGTGACTGGGATACTGATGGGATTAAAATATCAGTTAGAATTCTTTACCGGGAATGGGTTAAATGGCACATGCCAGGAGTTGCTTTTGTCTGGCAGCAGCGAAACTGAGTGATATGATCTCTCCTCCATTGTTTATGACATGAGGATATGCTCTTCTTCTGGAAACAAGCTGATTCTTAGAGGTGCATAGAATGGTGCTACTGGGAGACCTAACAGGGGGTTAATTACTGGGGTGCTGTGAATACAGATGACGTGCATTAAAGTATTTCATCTGTCAGCCACCAAATGCTACTCTGTTCAGAAGCTAGGGGTGAATCTGAGGGAAGCTTGGCATGAAAGGTCTAACTTAATGAAAAGAATCTAAGAAAACATGAAAGTATTATGTTTGCAACTAGACAAAAAGCTAAACTAGAGTCTTGTGGTGTTTGTTGCCTAAATGGTAACTCCTGCTGCTTTCTTAACTTTCAGAAAACCTCAGCTGAATCTAAATCTCCTGCTTATGCTTTGTGGAGTATCTCAGCTTAAAGCAAAGCCACATTATCCTGCTTGATATAGCTGGGATGATTGCGGGGTTATGAGTGTAGTCAGAAAACCCTGGCATGAAAGAGATTTTAAATGAACAGATGAATAGAGCAATCAAAGGGCCATCCAATCAGATCTAAGCAGATTAGAACTTCATGCAGCCTCAGACAGAAATAGAGAGTGCTCTGTGACATATCAAAGTCACTCATCTGAGATGCTCATGTTGCCCTGACCATCAAAAGCTGCTCTCAAGGCTGACTTCAGCTCCATTTTCACAGGTATCAGTCAAATAGTCTCCATGGAATGGGATCTTGACTTTTATTATTGCTGCAATTTGTCTCTTCCTGTTTTTCATTTAAAAGTATTTCTATGTTTAGGTTTGGATCAAGCAGTTTACAATTATTATTAGGATTATTTTCCATGTCTTTTACTTACTGTTTTTTATTTAAAAGTATTTCTATGTTTAGGTTTTAATCAAGCATTTTATTTTTCAAAATGCTTTGATAAAATTTCATTTCAAAAATTTAGCAAGTTTTATCACAAACATTTTCCATACAGTGGCTCTCAACCTGGGGCGATTGGAGACATTTTTGGTTGTCACAACTGCAGGGGCAGGGGCACTACTGGCATCTGATGGGTAGAGGCCTGGGAAGCTACAGTGCATAGCACAGCGACCCCACCAGTGGAGAATTATTCAGACCCAAATATTAATAGAGCCAAGGTGGAGAAACCCTGGGTAGCAAATTTCTATAATTTCATGTTGCCTCAACATCCATTTGGAATCTAAGTTGGGCTGTCTCATACCAGAAGCAGTGCGCAGTCACCCCAACACAGTTTCCAGTTCTCTGTTTCCTCCCAGTTCCTCAATAAGGTCAATCCAGATATTTGCCTTATACAACTGCCTCATGGTGACCACCTCCTTATGGGCCAGCTTAGATACAACCTTCTTCACTCCACCCGTTGGCCCTCACACCCTGCAGGAACAGATACGCAGCAGCAACACACCCCCAGCCCTCCAGTCACAGTGTGACTCCACAGAACTCATGCCTGCTTGCTATAAACCCACCAGTCAGATCTCCTGAGAGAAACCTGCTTGGGTAATGCCCTGGAATCTAAGAAAGGCTTTGACCCCCATCTGTCCTGCTCCCCACCTGCTGGTTGAGGCTGTGTGTTTCTTATGGACCCCTCCCTGCTGCCACCTTCTATAATAGTTGGCCCTGTGAGGCATGCTGCCCACTCCTCTCGGGATCTGTGAGTAATACACAGCTTGTTATTTCATGTTTTGTTGATTTGCCTCCTCTGTGTCTCACTTGAGCGACACACCTAAACCTAACTTCTTTCCCAGTCAGGGCTCTCTGAGAGAGTGGCTATTTTGGTAGAAATAAACTGGACACAGGTCAGACAAGAGCCACAAGAGCATCTGCCAGTGTAAACAAGTTTCCAGTGAGAGGGACAACTTGGCACAGGTCAGACACGAAGGACGAAGTCATCCACCAGGATAAAGAAGCATCCATCCCCTGAAAGGCACACTGAAAAACATCCACAAGCACCTTTCCTGGAGCCCTGCCAGGGCGGGGCTACAGTTCACAGGCCTGAGAGAGACCTCAAGACCAAATCAGAAAAAAAAAAATACGACACCTTGATTTAGAGTGAGGGCATTGGCAACCTGGCAATCTTTGTTTCCAAAACAAAACAAAACAAAACAAAAAAAAGCAAGCCCCCAATAGCTATTGACTTAGGCCAGATCTACTACTTATGTCTTAAGTAGACATTATCAGTAACTTTCTATTTTTAATGATCTGATTACATCATATTTCTGCTTAAAATCTTTTAATGGCTTTATGTCCCTTACTGTGTATAGTCCAGATTCCTTAGCATGCCAGAGCGATCTCCACTCACTCCACCAGACTGAATTCAGCCTCCAGATGAGTGGGTTCTGCCTCTGTCATGTGTCTCCATCCCCTCTAGCATCCTAGCTAGGCAGTACTTCTCCATTATGATAAAGAACCACAACTTTGAAATTGACCTGAGGGCCAAGTCCTGGCTCCTCTGTTGACTAGATCTATGACTTTGGACAAGTTCTGTAACCTCTCTGTTTCTCATTCCTAAAATCAAGATAGTTATAGAACCCACAGGGTTGGGATGAGATAACGCCTCATGCACCTCATGCATGACATGTGAACACTGAGCACCATTTTATTAGCTCAGATGTTAGTCATTTTCAAACCAAGACTATTGCAAAAATTTCTTGACTGGCCTCTCTTCCTCTTTCCTTAGAATAATCTAGGGAAGGTATGCATACTTTAAAAAATAAAGAGTAATTGAAAGAAACCTAAAAAAAGCTATTGGTCAAAGTTTTCTTACTCAAAAAAATAAACAGCTTTATTGGGATTCAAGAGGGTAATATATGGGTTCTTACAGTTTAGATTAATTGCTTTATGAAATTAAAGAACATCAATGAGAAAACTGTTATTTAGCCTCCAGGTAATGGCTGAATATTGTTTAAACAAGAATAGTGACATGAAAGTGGCTTACTATCCTTTCATCCTCAAATGAGATCACAGGTTTTATCACCAAGCTAGGGCAGCTCAGTGTGGCCCCAGGGTCCTGGTTACTTACTACTCATCTTGTCCATTCATCACACTGCTGACTTGGACATCACCCTTAAACACAGGTTGGAATGTGCTAATGTCCACTGCAAAAACCATTAATAGTGCTTCAGTTTCTCATTGCTGTGTTCAGTGTCTCCATTATGCAGGTTTGTCCTGCTTATCCGGTTTTCTCCCACTTTTCTTCTTTACTGACCTTCTCCAGCTACACAGAATGATTCCACAAACATGCCCTGCCTTTTTCATATGTTTATGTGTCATTGCTAACCAAAGCTATTCTCTCATCCTAGAAATCTGCCACATTTCTGCCTGTAGAAATCCTGCCCTTCACTTCTGTGATGCTTCTTTGAATTCTTCCAATCAGACAGGATCACTCAGTTCTCTGTGCTCCCATTGGATTTTACTTGTGTTTTGGTTAAAGGATTGATTTAATTCTCCCAGGGATTATAAGGAGCTCTTCATTTTCACATTAGTGATGATCTATATTGAATCAGGATTGCCTTATTCTTCTCTTCTATCTTCTACCTTTATGTCATAATGCTATGCAAATTGTTGCAAAGCAACCATTGCTCATTAATCTTTTTTCCTAAGGAAAACAGAAAAAAATCACATATTAATATGTTACACCTTTCTCAGGATGGTTGGGATCAAGTGACCTAATGTGTATTAAGACATTTTATAACCTTCACAGTATATTTCAAATAGTATTTTTTGCTCTAATTATTGCACGACGGTAAACCATGGATACTCTTGATAGACAGACTCAAGTTCAATCCGATTATCATTTCCTAGGTGTCATATGCAGGCACTGAAAGCTTTGGGGGCAAGTTACTTTACCCTCTTTGACTCCCCTTTAAAAAAATTTCTATGATGGGGGTTTTTATGAATAATAAATGAGATGGTATCTGTTATTTTCTTAGCCTAGTACCTGGCGCATTGAAAGTACTCAAACATCATTAATTGTCATTATGACAGTTAAATATGTAAGTCATTGTTCAGCTTGGCAAATGAAGACAAAAAGTTGGAGAAACGTGTTACCTCTCTTCTGCATGCATTTCTCTAAAGAAAGGGTAATGTTTTAGCAGCAAATGAGCTGTTGACTTAGAACAGTTTCCAATGTAGAATTGGACAGTTTTCTTTTTACCCACACTATGGCCCTATTTGCTCAGGGCCCCTTCTCTAGCTTAGCACTGGAAAGCCTGCCCTGTTGGCAGGATAAGGATGCTCCAATGTGCTTAGACAATTGAATTCTTTAGAATTGGGCCAACAGTAAAGAAAGATTCTGTGTAAGATTGAGTGAAGAAACATGATATCTCTTCGGGTATACTTTTTTGTTACATTTCTTTATTACAAAAGAAATATGTGTTCATCCTTACCCAGCATGGATTATTACATGCTACTTACTATCTGTCCCATTAAGTGTGTATGCCTTCATGCTCATCTATAACTATTTTTTTGAAGTTTTGTTTTATGTTGCCAATATTATTAGATTTTATAAGTTTTTCAAGGCATTAGCTATGTCTTATGCTATTTTTTTCTTTCATAAATAAGCCATTGATTCATGCGAATTCCTGAAATAAGTATAACAAAAAACACCTTTTCTATTACAGTTTAAAATATGTGCATAGGTGGAGCTTAGAGTTCATAAATCCAGACAACCCTGGCCTCAGTTATGGACCTTAATTTCTACCTATTCTGATATTTTTAACTGTATGGGATTCTTAACTCTGCCCAATGGGTGAGCCACTACCAGCCACAGATAGTTGTTATGCACAAATGCAAGCCAGGGTTGCTGGACATTTTGATTATTTAAGAAAAGGTAGGAATCAAGAATTTTGACTCAAAGTGCCTGGAACTTAAATTTGATGTTTACTTCAATTATTTTTAAAAACACTGGACCAAACAAGATATGTCTGTGGGGTACTGTGGGCCTCTATATTGTGACCTTTGATGGGTGTGGTTGGACATCAACTTAATTTTCAATTTAGGAAGTAATATGGTTTGACTGTGTCCCTACCCAAATCTCATCTTGGATTGTAGCTCCCATAATTCCCATGTGTTGTGGGAGAGGTCCAGTGGGAGATAATTGAATCATGGGGGCAGTTTCCTCCATACTGTTCTCATGGTAGTGAACAAGTCTCACGAGATCTGATGCTTTTATAAAGGGAAACCCCTTTTGCTTGGTTCGCATTCTCTCTCTCCCCTGCCACCACGTAAGATGTGACTTGTTCTTTCTTGCCTTCCGCCATGATTAAGAGGCCTCCCCAGCCATGTGGAACTGTGAGTCAATTAAACCTCTTTATAATTACCCAGTCTTGGGTATGTCTTTATCAGCAACCTGAAAACGGACTAATACGGTACGCAAATTAACAATTTGGAGCAGAGCAAGGGAGTGACCCTTTTCTAGTGAAAAGCAAACTTAAGAGTATCTAAATGATATTCATGAACCATAGGAACTAAGTAAATACCTAGGAAAGGTGATTACTATATTATCAGGGGTGTCTCTGTTAATTTCTCAATTACCCTAATATGTGTAATTATGACTGGGAAGCAGGAGAGAAGGAATAAGTGAAGTAATAGCCCTGATCATGGCATTTTCTTTAAAAGCTCCATTTTGACCTATATAGCTTATGAGCTGTCTTCTCTAAATAGTTCAACACTTAATCAGGTACATAGATGGTGGATCCATCTAGTTAACTAAAAATGTAATAAAACATTTGCTTGTGATCTTTTACAGTTAAGGTTACTAGCTGAGGCAAAGGGCTGTTTTTCTCAAGCCACTAATCATTAGTAAATAGAGATAACTCTATTGCCTGAGGCTGGATTAGAGATTTACGCTGATGTAGACCCTGCTGGTTGCCTACCCAATGTGTTTTTTTCCATTCTTCATTAGTATCAGAATGGGGATTTGGGGTAGGAGGATAGTAATGTGTCCAGAAAATGAACAACCACCCAATAAAAGAAACACTGTACTTCTACTTCTTGCCTCTCAAGTGGTCATTTGACTTGCTCTGGCCAATAAGAAGTCAGGAGAAATTGCTGGATGAGGCTTGTAGAAAATGTTTTTAAAAGCAGACAGATTCACCTGACACGTGCCCTTTGTCTCTCATCTGTCTTCTGCTTTCTGTCTGGAACCTGGACATGATAGTGATATAATATTTGTATTCATTTATTTCCTGGTACACCTCTCCGATATTTTTTCCTCCTACATTGGTTGTCTGCATCTTTTGGTTTTCCTTTTCCTGTGGTCCTACTTTTGTAATACTACTTTCTGCAGGGAGAAGGGAATGTTTTCAGTCTTACTTAGAGAATGGCTGATCACAAATTGATTATTATAGGTAAATTGTAACCATAAACACAGACTTCTGTGACTGCATACAGAGATAGGCTCCTTCTTTGCAGTACTGATCAAGATTGTGTCCCACACACCCAGAAATTCTGTTGGATTCAACTTCATGTGACTAACGTTAAAAAAGAACCAAAAATTTATGTTGTTTATGATAGCATCAATATATTATAAAATTCATTCCTGAAAGCTCATTCCTCAAAACTTCCATTTTGACTTTGCCAGTAAGTACCTAATTTTCTAAACCTCTGTTTATAATTTTACACATTTGATGATTAGTGGAATATTGCATGAACCAACTTCTCAATCGATATTTTCAAACAGTGTCTCTCTTCTCTTTCCTGTTCATCCGTTCTGGACACGGCGGGGCATGTTTGTATTGTGACACAGCCTTGGGCCCTGCATCTCTGTGTTGCTATGTTGGGTCAGGTGGTATTGTGGGCTGTGGGAGAATTCCTGACAGTTGCACCTATACCAGGATGGCTAAAATATCTAGATGTGGAAGTGACTGCAAATCACATAAATATGTCTATATGATCCAAAGAACATCCATGCCTATGTTAACTTCCCTTTCATCAGATCCCTAAAATGTCAGTGGCCACACAGACTCACCTGACAGGAGGGGAAGTGTGACAGAGGCATAGCTAGAGAGGAAACAGATCGGACCCTTACCCTACTACAGTGAACATAGGATGCAAATTTTATTGTGACTTATGACATGTCGACACAAAGGTGGAACCCCTCCTGGGGCATTGGAAGGCAACTGTGCAATTGAGTGTAAGCTTTGTTAGCTTCCGGGTAAATCTGCCTTTGCTAAAAACTTGAACTGACTTTAGACATGTCTGCTTTTAGGGGTAGTGACCTAATTAATATCAGTGGAAAGATAAATTTCTGTCCTGCTCTCTTCTCACAGATACACCTGTGGGTAGACAGCCAGAGCAAATTATAAATTTTAAAGCATTTTTTTAGTTCTATGCTACCAAAATGTAGACTTGGAGGTAAGAAACTATGTTTTAGCTAAGAATACATATGCATATTTAGACAATAAACAGGAGGGACTGAGTGTAGAAGCAAAAACAAGCTATCCTGCATAATAAAGAGGGAAGCATTTACATTATCACTGTGGAACAAACCATCCCAAACATGGTGGCTTAGAATACAAAGTCATTTATTCTCTTTTGTGATTCTGTGGGTTGACTGAACTCACTCGGAAGTTCTGCTCCATGTGAGATCAGCAGGGGCTGTGTCATGTGGTGGCACAACGGTGCCAGCACATCCAGCTTGGTTCACTCACACGGTGGCCAGTTGATGCTCCCAGAAGGGAACTCAGCTGGGGCTGTTGGCCATAGTGTCTTGGCCTTCTTCCATGTAGCTTGTCTGCATCGGATAAGGTTCTTACACCACGGTTTTCAGAGGTTCTAAGAGAGCGTGTTGGAACAAAAATGGAAAGTGTAGTTCTTTTAGGGCCCAGTTTTAGAAAGTTATATAGCATATTTCCAAAACATCATATGGATCAAAGGAAGTCATAGTCCAACCTAGGTTCAAGGAGGGGAGGAACAGAATCCTCTTGTTGGTGGGATGAGTGGTAACAAATTTGTGGCCACCAGAGGAGATAAAGGGATCCAAAGGTTTGCATTCATATAGGGTCATCACTTACATCTGGATTATAAAAATAGAAATAAACAAAGATAAGAAGACAATGCCTAACACATAGTAAATGCTTAAAAATTGTTCATTGATTTAGAATTTATGGGCCTACAACTTTTAATGTACGTGATCTTACATTTTCATTTCTTGAAAATGTTTATATTTTCAAATATTCTGTTCTAGGCTGAGCAAAGTGGCTCATGCCTATAATCCCAGCACTTTTCGGAGACTGAGGCAGAAGGATTGCTTGAGTCCAGGAGTTCAGGACCAGCCTTACAATATAGCCAGACTCCATTTCTACAAAAAAAAAAAAAAAAAAAAAAAAATTAGTTAGGTGTGGTGGCACATGCCTGTAGCCCCAGCTACCCAGGAAGCTGAGGTGGTAGGATTGCTTGAGCCCAGGAGTTTGAGGTTGCAGTGAGCTATGATTGTGCCAATGTACTCCAGCCTGGGTGATAGAGAGAGATCCTACCTCTACAAAAACAAAAACAAAAACAAAAACAGAACAAATATTCTGTGCTAGTCTCACAGCATCCATCAAATAAAATCCTCCATTTTGCTCAGAATATCTGATCACTGTAGTTATAGATCATTTTTCTGTGGTCTTGATCCTATAGATCTATGGGATTTGGGTTTTGTGGGATAATTTACAGCCCCCTTTGCTTTCTTTTTTTACTTTTCTTTGCTCCATTAGCTTTTGTGGATGGTGATGGGAGAGATGGTCTCTATGGCGAGGTCTCCTCTAGCGCATAGGCTCAAAGGCAATTTTCCAGTGTGAGACAATCTGCCACAAGAGGTGAACAATATCACCATGCGAGTGTTATCCCCAACCATAGCACATGTTTGCCTCACACCACAGATTCTGACAATTAAGAGGGTGGAAAACCAGTTTTCCAAAAGCAAAAAAGTTTGGACAGTGGAAGAGGGAAATAAGGGGCTTGCTCGTCCACATGAAATATTAGCTTGAACACAAGAGGAAGCCATGAGAACCATAAAGATGAGGTGGGAATAAAAACCCCTGATGCATGCACAACTCACCTGGGATTAAAACCCAAGGCCATCCTGGAACCTGATATAACCATTCCTGTTGTAATCTAAAGCCTTGTCAACATATTGCAGGTGCACACCACATGACCAGGTGGGGAAAAAAGAGGCGAAGCCAACTGGGAAGAGATGTGTCAGTTTCATCTTCATAATACGTACATCCCAAGGTGCATGTGTGCATCTGGTTTCTATTTCAGAACTTTTTACTAGTAGCTTTACAAAAACCGGGCGGACAATTCTGTGAGTTAAGGAGACCATATGTTAACGAGGGGTTGGGAGGGACGTGGCAGTGTTGCTGAGGGACCTAGCGGGGCTGCTGGGGACCAAGAGGAAGAACCCAAGAGACCTAGGAGGGGGTACTCAGACTTGAGGTTGGGCCACCTAAATGGTCATATGTTGCTTGGCAGTGCTGAATCTTCAGAGTCCAAATAATTTTGAAGACACAAATTAAAAAAAATTGTTTTGAGGCTGATTGCATTTTGGACACAGTGAAAATCCTTTTCTGATGTGGAACAGATTGAATTCTAGAGCTGAAAGGGACTTTAGAGTCATTCTAGTCCCAATCTTCATTGACAGGCGAATCCCTCTTGAAGGCCTTGTGTGACAAATGGGATATTGGACCTGCCCAAGGTTACAGGATTTGTGTTAGAGGCAACCCAGAGACCCATATTCATGAGCCAATCCAGGGGTCTTTTCTTAAATATGTTCTGCTCTTATGGAGCACTAGCCTCATGAATGTGTTAAGACCCCTCAAGTCCCAGGTTCCTGGGCCACTCCTCTCCCTCTAATGATCAACTACCTTGCATTTGTCCAGTGGTCTTCGCTGAAGATCACAGTTGGAACATTTTTCTTATTGTTAGGTAAAGAAATGCCATAATGATACTCTTGCTGTAAGTCCTTCTCAATGGTTTGGCCACACAGGAATTTATTAATTTTCCTCTGGAAAGCTATTGTCTCCACTTTTATAAAGTGGTACCTGGGTCCCCCCTACTGCCATCAATATGCCAGCGCACCCATAGAGTTACTTAAGACCTCTCAATTCGTTCTCATTTATTCATTAATTTGTTTATTGGAGAGAGCTTTATTGAGGACTTATTTTAGGTAAGGCATTATGATGGATCCTATAGGGGCAACATATAAAATGGATATAAACCCCAAACTCAAGAAACAGACTGCTTAGTAGGGTTGAAAATGTAATACTATTTTTTTAGAAGAAGTGTTTAGTCAAAAATGATAATAGGAGTTTGGTTTTACAGCTGAAGTTGTTGATCTGGGACTTAGTTGGGTCAGATTTGGTTGTGGAAGAAGGAGAAGAGGCATCTAGATGGTGGAGGCTATTTGAGTAAGGGCACTTCCTTTGTCTTTATTTCATTCTCATCTTTAGAAGCTGGGGTCTTGAAGAAGAGAATGACTGGGGTGCTCCTCTGCTGTTGCTACCCCTGTCAACAGTTTTCCCAACTCTTTCACTAAGAAGATGATAATTTTTTGAATTTCTCTTTGCTCTTCTTTCTTCCTATCTCTGATATTTTTATTGGGTATCAGAAGAAACTGGGAAACAAATAAACTGTTTCTTAATACTTACCATCATATTATCATCAGACTCTCTAAGTGTCCCATAAAAAAAGAAAAGGGACCACTCATGCCTTGTAAATGTCAAACTAGACTGTTTCCCCTGAAAACATCTACTCTTGTAGTCTCTGAGGCTTTTCCCATGTTCTGCTTTGTTTCATTTTTCTTGAAACTTCCATGATATGCTTCTGAACATCTAGCAAACTCAAAAACATAGGACTGCTTCTCTGAGTGGGGAAAGTCCAGGGAACTCCTTTATGTTGTCCCAGTGAGTTCAAAAGGGCCCATTTCACTTTTCCTGCAGGGACACCCAAGTGAAACCTTCAAGTGATGTGCCAGGGAGCAGCAGGCCCTGATGTGTGCTTATTCTTTTGGCAGTGTTGAGCTGACATGAGCATCTGTCAGGGCTGCTTTTTTATGACTCCCGCTAGACAGCTTGAAAAGAGATGAAAAGGTTTATTGGATCTGAGGAAGAAAGTGGTCAGGAAAGAGCATAAGGTGGGTGGGGCTCCTTGCAGATCTGAAGTTCCCTTCTGATTTCTGAGAATGCATGGTTGTTTTTGCTAGCCAAATAAGGTATGTGGTTTGTGTTCTCTCTTTCTCTTTCTCTCTCTGGGCCATCTTTGCGAAATATCTTAAAAACCTCTTGCCTTATATTTCTTTGTTTTTCAGGACCTGGAGTCAGCCTGTGAACCACCTTTTTTGGTATTTCACATGGCAGCAATCTCCTTAGCCCTGTGTTTTTGGAATCCTTTCTGGAAAATGCAAGAGGAAGAGGAGACGATGATTTAAGTGTCATTTCAATCTTTGTGCAAGCCCCCTACCCATCTCTTAGAACTTCTTGAAGCTGTTTGCTTTTGTCTTATGTAGCTAACAGTACTTCTTTGGACTCTGTGGCCTAAGGCCTCTTTTTGATGCTTATTTTAACCAAATTTTACCTATCTAATGACTTGGTCCCTACCTAAAGTCTTAGTCTTTTTCTAGGCTCTAAAGCCAATGCAGTCTTTGACTGGTTTAGCTTAAGTTTCTCAAAATAAGGTCTTTTTGTTGCCATTTGAGATCTGACTCTGTGACTCAATTTTGTTCATTCATTTGTTAATTTAGCAAATATATATTGACTACCTACTAGTCTCAGACACTGTCCTAGTGTCTGGGAATATGGTAGGGAAAAAAGCAGACAAAATATGTATCTTCAAGGTAGGCCATATGACAACTCAATAAGCAAGTGAATGGTGCATAGAGTACATTAAATGGTGTATTAGGCCATTCTTGCGTTGCTATAAAGAAGCACCTGGGACTGGGTAACGTATAAAAAAAAGAGGTTTAATTGGTTTATGATTCTGCAGGCTTTATAGGAAACATGGTCCTGGCATCTGGCTGGCTTCTGGTAAAGCCTCAGGAAGTTTTCATTTATGACAGAAGGTGAAGTGGGAGCAGGCACATCACATGGAGAAAGCAGGAGCAAGCAGGGCGGCGGGAGTGGGGGTGGGGGTGGGGGTGGGGGTGGTGCCACACACTTAAATGACCAGATCTTATGAGAATTCACTATCACGAAGACAGCACCAAACCATGAGGGACCCATCCCCATAATCCAAACCCCTCCTACCAGGCCCTGCCTCCAGCATTGGGGATTACAATTCAACATGAGGTTTGGGCAGGGACAAATATCCAAACTATATCACATGGTAATAAGTTTTACAGAGAAAGATGAAAGTGTAAAGGGGTAAGATGTGGCAGTAGGGGAGAACATTACGGTTTGTAAAGAGTAGCCAGGGAATTCACTGATAAGGTAACATGTGATCAGTTGCCACATAGAGACCTTGAAGAAGAACATTGCAGGAAGAAGGAACAGAAAGGACAAGTTGCCTGAGAGTCTATTTAGACTGCCTGAGGTTTAGCAAGAATGTCTGCGTGGCTGGAGTGGGATAAGCAAAAGGAAGAGAATAGTTGGAGATGATGGCAGCATGGGGAATAGAGGCTGTCAGATCTTGTGGGCAAGTGTAAGACTTTTTAGCTTTTGCTCTAAGAAAGATGGGAAGGGTCTGAAGGGTTTTGTTCAGTGATAAGAAATGATACAATTTATATTTTTAGGGTATTATTTTGACTACTGTGTTGAGAAAGAACGATTAGAAAGCAAGAAAGAAAGCAGATTGAAGTTTTTTTCTAGGAGCAAGTTGGTGTCTTAGACAAGGGTGGTAGTGGCATAGGTGGGAAGAAATGGGGGTTGGATTCTGGATATACCTTGAAGGTTGAGACAACAGTAGTTGCTGATGGTTTGGATGGGATAAGTGAGAGGAAGAAAGATGTCAAGGACAATACCATGGTTTATAACCTGAGCAGCTAGAAGAGTAAAGATACTGTTTGCTGAGATATCACAGAAGGAATAGGCTTCAGAGTGTGGGGAAATATCAGAAATTGGTTTTGAGCATGTTGTTGGAGATGCCTATTAGACATCCAAGATGTCAACTAGGAATTTGATATAAGAATATAAAGTTTATGGAAGAAGTCAAAATGGGATATAATTTTGGAGTATATCATTTTATATATGCTACTTAAAGCCACGATACTGGCTAACGTCACCAAAGAAGTATGTGCAGAGAGAGGAGAGAAGTCTGAGGACCAAGTCATGGGATATCTCGACATTTAGAGTATGTGAGAGAAGAAGGAACCTACAAAGGCAGATGAGAAGTAGTAGCCAGTGATGTAGTGAAATAACCAAGAAAGGTGCCCAAAGCCAAGTGAAAAGTATGATCAACTGTTTCAAATGTTGCTGATGATTCAAATAAGATGGAGACTAAGAAACTGGCCATTGCATTTGTCAACGTAGTGATTATTAGTGACCACGACTGTGCAAAATCCTGACTGGAGAAAATGGAAGGAGACACATCGGTGATGTAAAACGCTTTGTAAGATCTCAATGAAAATGGAAGATGAAAATTTAAACCTTAATTGGAGAGAGATTTTGGGGTCAAGGGAGGTTTTTTATGTTTGCTGTTTATTTATTTTTGAGTTTATTTGTTAAGATAGGAGATAGTACATCATATTTGATGACAATGATAATGATGAAGTAGAAAGGGAAGGATTCATGTGGACTGAAGGGGAAAATTGTTGGAGTGAGTAGAGGAGAGGGGCTGAGACTTGTGGAACAATTGGAGGGGTTTGCCTTTGATATGTGCATGGAGAGGAAGACAGGAAAGCACTAGAAAGTAACCATCCTGAGGGCAGAGGTTTTGTGTGTGTGTGTGTGTGTATGTGTGTTTTACTGAAAACTAGTTTTATTTTAAAATTAAGTGCATAGCACTCATCTAATTCCATTGGTGTAGACTTTAGCACCATACTTGTTATTTGCAATTAATGTCATAACACAGATACATTTTGGTTTGCAGTCTGTGCTTGAGTAGTGTTTATTTGGTGGACCTCAGTGAAGCCCTTCATACATATTAATCTCTTCACAGTTGTGTGTTTTTTTTACTGCTCTCTCTCGGCACATGGAAAGTAATCAGTTGCTGACTGAATGAATAGAACAGATGCAGGATTTGGCTTAATATCCCTCCATGTTTCTCATTGCACCTAGAATAATATACAAATATCTTAACTCCACATAAAATTTAACTTGTGATCTGTCTCCAGCCTTACTCACTAACTCCTCCATTCTCCTTCTCACCTACTTACACTGTCTTCTTCCATTTCTATGAACTCTTAATTATCTTCCTTATCTCAATTTCCTGTCCTAAAATGCTTGTCTTTTTCATCCCCCACTCTCTCCCCTTAAAACATGGCCAACATCTCCTTATCCTTCAGCTCTCACCTTAAATTTCACTTCTGCAAGAAGGCCTTCCCTGCCTGCCCAATGGTTTCTCCTGTCAATCTCTCTCATCTACCTTCTTCTTCTTCTTTTATAATGTATATGTGTATTTTCTGTATCTTTTCCATCACTTTTAGTTTTGTCTTGTTCACTGTTATATAGCTCAATCTAGCACAGAACCAAGATCATAGTAGGTACTCAAAAATATCTACGTTATAAAAAATGGGGGCTTCCATGTCAAGAGGGCAGATTAAACCATATTTTCCCACTGTTTTCTAAAACCCCACTAAAATGAAAATAAAGGAATAAAAATATAAAAGCATAAGAACAAAGAACAAGGGAAGTGAAAACAGTGGATAACAGATAAATTTTTGGAAGATGAGAAACAGATGGAGGATAGGTAACTGATTTAGTGGAAGAAAGGAAGTTGAAAATACCTCTTTATAGAGGAGAATATATTGACAAGAAGTTAGCCATTCCTCCCTAACAAATCGTGAAAAGTTTCTAGAATGTTAGATGCCAGGCTTATGCCCTTTTGGATAGGGGGTTAGAAGATTCTTCTCTGGAGAAACAGGTCTAGAAGAAACATATATACAGATATTGTTATAGGGGAGGAGGCCCAAAACAAAAGCCCCATCATCCTAAAATAAAGCCCAAAAGCTTACAAGCCTAGCTCAAGCAAACAGAGCTTTAATTTTTTTTAAAAAGGCATTGAAATGACTATTTATTTTTTGTTATTTTATTTTAGATTCAGGGGAGTACATGTGCAGGTTTGTTACATGGATATATTGCATAATGGTGAGGTTTGGGCTTCTAGTGAACTTGTTACCCAGATAATGAACATTGAACCCAACAGGTAATTTTTCAATCCTCACTACCTTCCCACTCTCCCTTCTTTTGGAGTCCCCAGTGTCTATTATTTCCATCTTTATATCTATGTGTATGTATTGTTTAGCTCCCACTTATAAGTGAGAACATGCGGGTATTTGATTTCTCAAACAGAGCTTTTATTCTTTACTTTTCATTATAAATGGATGGTCAAAGAGCAATGGACAACATGAAATACTGAGACTATAAAAATATACTATATGCTGAGAACACAAAAAGAAGAAATGTGGAAGAAAGAGATGATTCAGAGACTAGAAGAGGGATGGGAAGATACTGCATTTATGAAATGAGAAAACGGTACTCCAAAAAAGAACCAGAGAAAAAGATTAGTAAGTAATCCCACGAGAGGCAACATTAAAACTAATAGAAGGGATAGGCATGGAAGATGAAGTCAAATTGCTCCTAGAAAGTAGACAGAAAGATTAAAAGATACTCATAGGAGAGAATACTTAAGCAAATTAGAGAATTGGTACAGAAATCAAAATGACCTAAGATAATAGGATTTCCAGAAAGAGAAGTGGGGGAGATTTTTCTTTCAAAGAAATAATACAAGAAAAAATTTTTCATAATGAAAGGAACAGGAATCTCCATACTGCAAAAGCCCACTTAGTTCCTAAAATCACGACCAGAGCCAGGATACATACTCATGACAAGAAAGAAGGGGAAATCCTAAAAGTTTGCAGAGAGGAAAACACAGCTCACTTACAAAGATGAGAAACTAAGATAACATTGTTCAATAGCAATGATGGAATAAATATAGACCGTAATAGAGCAAAGCCTTCTAAATTTGGAGAGAAAGTGATTTCCAACATAGAATTTTATACCTGGGGAGATTCATAATTAAGTATGAAAATAAAAGACAGAAAATTTCAGGTATGCAAGTTTGCAATAAATCTACTTTCCATGCTTCTTAGAAGCTACTGGAGGAAGTTGTGGAGTCTGGGGAATAGAAATTGCAATACAGTAAAGTGGTGAGGGGAACTTCCAGGATGGCAGGAAGGAAAACCTTGGGACATCAGCTCTGTGGCAGGACTGGAGAACAACAGTCTAGTCTGGAGCAAGAGAAGACAAGAAAAAAAATGTGATTAACAGATTTACCTAATAATTGAAGATATGAAAAATTAAACTGAGGGCCTCTAAGAGAGGGTAGGAATATCTGGCCATAAGTGCCTAGACGTCTAAACAAATCCCACGAAAAGCAAAAGTTTCTATGCTAAAGGTAATCATGCTTAATACTTGTCACACAGGTGAGCAACATTCAACAGTCACAATAATGTATATGTGAAATGATCATGAGCCTGAACAGTGCATTATATCAGGAAGGCGCAGAAAGGGTTAGTGAAGGTATGAGGAAGAGTGCTGTAAAAGAGCTAAAGTCTCCTCTACCACAATGAGAAGTCAACATATAGTGGGTAAAATTGAAATCGGGAAAGAATGACATAAGCACAATATTTAAAAATATTTAGAAAAACTGAAAAACTGCTAATAATGTTGAAAGTGGGTGTTTTTGGGAAAGAAGATGGTGGTGAGGAAGGGAGGAGTGAGTCAAGGAGCTGTTGTTTTTTGTTATATACCTCACAGCATGAATACTTTTTAAAAACTATGTATATTTATGACAAATAAGTAAGCATCGACTTCGGGAAAATTAAAAATGAGTGAGTGAGTGAGTAAGACACAGAGCAGAGGCTCATGGCATCTCTACCTTGGGATGTGAGTGGGGGAAAATAAAGGGAATCGGCAGCTAGTTTCCCCTAGGTCAGTGCATCTGATTACAGGAGTTGACTCCTGATTGAGCCCACCGGGTTAAACAATGATGTGTGTCCTCCTCTCTTGGGAGTAATGTACATCCCCACACTCACCAGAAGTTCTGCAGGATATTTTCACTTGAGTAGCATGATACCAAATATGATTTTTTATTCTTTGTAATTCAAACCTTCGGCCTGGATTTAAACACATACAAAAGTCCCTCTCAAATCACGTCCTTAGCATTTAAAAATGTTATAATCTGGATGGGAAAACCCGAGCTAACTGTTTGCAGGGAGGTCAAGGGGAATTTATTTACAGTCTTGTCTCTACTCTGACTTGACCCACATACTTGGGCCTCAATCCCCTGTACACTCTTATCGACTTCAAACAAAAAAGGTGCACCTTCATCTTCAGGGGTCTGCGAGGTAACCAGATGATTGGCTTATTGCAATAGTGATTCATCTCTCAACTAGGAGAGAAGAAAACTGCTCTAACGATGTAGGACATAAATGGAAACCAGAGCCCTGTTAGACTCACAACCTGAGTGAGCATTCTTATCTCTTGTGTTCCTTTTAAATCAACATGCCCATTAAAAATATATATATTACATGTGATATCATTTGAGGAGAAGAAAGTTGATTCTTTTAACAGGTCTGTTCTTTGCTAGGTGTTATACTCAGTTTTTACAAGGGGCTCCACAGTGTATTTCTGGACACCTTGTATATGTCTGATAAAGAGTAAAAAGCTAACATCATTTGTAGACTGAGGACCTGAACTGTGATGTTGAGTGTGGATATAATCAATAGGACAGTGATGAGTCTGATTAGATATACCGTCTATACTGATGACATCATTTCAATATAAATTATAGTTCAAAAATGTGGTAAATGGGGCAATGTGGTGATCTCCATGTGTGAGTATGTAGAAGTGTGTGCATACTCATACACACATATGTTTAGAGTAAATATGTACAAATTTATGGCAAAGATAAAGCCATAGTTAAGAAGAAAAGGGCGTAAGATCAGTGGTGTAAACCACGGACAAGAACTTGGGATTGTGGTAAGGGAAGGAGATTAGAAGTTAAAGGATTCATGCTGAAAGGTGAAAGTAAAGCCATTTTGTAGGGCTGGAAGGGTTTTTCTGCAACTCCCTTCTGCTTATAAACAAGGAAATGTTGCCCTGGGAGAAGGAACTGACATATTCAGGTCACACGGTTAGCCAGTAACAGAGTTAAAACTAGACCATGACACTGGGCCCAGTGAACTTTGCAATTTATTCTGTTCCTTGCCTGGTCAAGTAGTGACAAGAGTCAGAGGTCATGGTCAGGCTTTCTTGTGACCATAGGATGGTTAGAGTTCACACGGGAGAAGGGTGAAAAGGTTAAGCATCGACTGCAACAGAAATGACCTGTCATTTGCCAGAATTCAGGCTAAGAGGCTAAACAGGTTAGAGATGACTGAAGATGAAAAGAGGTTAATCTTGAATGCATGTTTTATGTGTGAATCCATACCAAGTGGGAGCTTCAGACAAAATGGATTGATAAAAATTTTTCTAATTGCTTTTTATATCTCAGAAATAACCACAGTATAGTAAATAAGAGGTGGCTTTCAATAATTGACTGAGAGTGTTAAGACTGGCTGATGGCAAAGCATGTAGAAACAGATTGGGAGAAGGCATTGGGCTTAGGGCACAGTGTCAGGGTCCAGTCATGGAGAGGAGTCAGGCACTCTTTGAATAAAAAGAACCAACGTTTATTTAGCTGTTGTATCAGAGTCCCAGCTGGAAATAGATGGCACACTCAAACTGAGTAATAGAGAATTTAATAAAGGAATGATTTTCAAAGGTGTGGCCAAGATTTAGGGAAAGCAACACTGATATTTCCACTCTTTAGGGCTGGCAGCAGTGGAGCCCTTAATACTCAAGGCCAGAAGAGACAAGTGGGTCAAACAGGCTCTGGAGCCTGGAGGCAGCAGCTGCAGCTCTAGGAAAGTGTTACTGGCAAGAGATTTTGATGTAAGGATGTAGCCAAATTATGGTGATCTGATGGGAAAAGAGTCAGAGGGTAACAACAACCACCACCCTCATTTCACTTTTCTCCAGTGCTCTGATCTCGTACCACTAACTCTCTTTATCAAAACCTACAAGAAACTGGAAGGCATTGGGGTTCATTGATAGAGTCTCCATGGGTCAACCTCTTAGGGAAGAGCAGGGAAGAAAGGGAATCAGAAGTGGCAAGTACAGGATATCCAACACAGGGGGCTTGAACGATTATGACACATTTCCCGTAAACTGGATATTGATTTATTATCTGGATAGACTTGTTTCTTGAGTGCTGTGGTCTGAATGCTTAAATCTGCCCAAAATTCATAACCTGACTTCCAAATTGATAGTATTAATAGGTGAGGCTTTCGGAGGTGACTAAGTCATGAGGCCAGTGCCTTCATAAATGGGATCAGTGAAGGTCCTTTAAAAGAGGCCCTGAGAGCTTATTTGCCTCTTCCACCAGATAAGAAAGAAGCAAGCAAGCACCATCTGTGAAGTAAGGAACAGGTCCTCACCAGGCATCAAATCTGTCTTGATCTTGTACTTCCCAGCTTCCAGACTGTGAGAAACAAATTTCTGTCATTTACAAGCTACCCAGTCTATGGTAATTTGCAATAGCAGACCAAAAGAACTAAGATATTGAAAAACAATTTTTTAAGAGAGTAACTTACGCCAACATCACACAAAATTACCAGGCTTTGGAAATGATGGAAAAAAGTCAATTCTGGGAGTGCTCCTTATCATGCTTCCATGATTATTTTTACTGTGTGCCACTGTCCTTTAACTTAACATGGTAAGATGGCTTTCTCAGGTGGGTTGATAAATGGAAAAGCCTCACTTGACCTTATATTCTTTCAAAAAAATTCAGCTCTCTTGACTGAATGGAATATATTAGTCACATGACAAAGTCTACTGTGATGACCCAGTCTCCTTACCTTTAGTCCTGACCCATGGAAACCACTGTGGTTTCCAGGTGTAGAGGAATATGAGACTACTTAATTTTGAAAGTGTATGGATTTTAGTGGAAGCAGGAGCACTTGTTCCCCTAGAGGCATTTTCTGCAATATAAGGCTAAATCTTCCCTCACTGTTTGTGAGTTTAGTAAAACATTTTATGAGCTCACCGTGGGGTATTAAGACCTATTAACAAGTAATTGGCCTTATAAGACCCTAATGAATAAAGTAGAATAACAAATAACTCATATACACTAAGAAATACAACTGTCAAATGAACAGGAATTCTTTCTTAGTTGAACATTTGATGGATTCTCATTGTTACCAGAAAGGCATCTCTATCCAGACCCCAAGAGGGGGTTCTTGGACTTCATGCAAGAAAGAATTCAGGGCAAGTCCATAGAGTAAAGTGAAAAGAAGTTTACTAAGAAAGTTAAGGAATAGAGAATGACTATTCTACAGGCAGAGCAGTGGCATGGGCTGCTCAGCTGCTTACACTTGTTGCTACTTCTTGATTATATGCTAAACAAAGGGTAGATTATTCATGTGTTTCCCAGGAAAACGGTGGGCAATTCGCAGAACTGAGGGTTCCTCCCCCTTTTTAGACCATATATGGTAACTTCCTGATGTTGGCCTGGCATTTGTTAACTGTCGTGGCACTGGTGGGAGTGTCTTTTAGCATGCTAATGCATTATAATTAGTGTATAATGAGGAGTGAGGATGACCAGAGGTCACTTTCATCATCATCTTGGTTTTGGTAGGATTTGGCCAGCTTCTTTACTGCATGCAGTTTTATCAGCAAGATCTTTGTGACCTGTATCTTGTGCTGACATCCTATCTCATCCTGTGACTAAGAATGCCTTAACCTCCTGGGAATGTAGCCCCGTAGGTCTCATAGTTATTTTACCAAGCCCCTATTCAAGATGGAGTTGCTCTGGTTTGAATGTCTCTAACATCATCACAGTAAAGAAGTGGTGATGATATAGACAATGATGTTGATGCTAATGAAGGTCAACAGTTCTGGAGTCCTTACTATGGGTAGAGGAGAGTTTCACATATCAACAACCAATGGGTAAGTCTATATTTTACATAGAGGAAACAGGCATGGAGAGGTTAAATACCTTTTCTAAGGTCACACAGCTAGCAAGTGATAGAGGCAGAATTCTTCATTCTAAATGTGATTATTTCATAAATTAAGTGATGAACAGGAGGTATCTTACTGAACAAAATATTAATAAATGTTTGGCATTAGTTTCTTTCTCTGTAAAGTGAGGTTAGTAACAGAACCAGCTGCTTAATGGATAAATGACTCATGTAGGAAAAGTACTTAAAACACGACCTGATACATTAAGGGAAGCAGCTTCATATAGTGGTTAAGAACATAAATTACTGGGGTTCAAATACCAGCTCTGCTACTTACTGAGTAGTGTAGCTTGACAAATAGTTTAATCTCTCCAGATCTTGGTTTTATCATATAAAAATAAGGACAATAGTAAAGGCCTCATAAGGTTATATATAAATTAAATGAGTTAGTATTTGTAAAGCTCTAGAAGAGTACTTGTTGAATAAAAGTTAGCTTTTGTGGTTCAAGGCACCCATTTACTGCTACAGTGCTTGAAGCACATTGAAAAATTCACACTCCTTTCTTCTTTTTCCTTTCATTATATATTACTTCATTAAATCTTCTGCAAGTCCTTTACCTCCTGAGTAACATTTTATAATTCCTCAGATTATAGTTCACATTAAATTCTAGGAACTTTACTTTCTTGGATAGTGTAGTGTATGCTGTGGTATAAATCCAGATTCCTTTTCAAAACAGAGACACTCCTTCTTCCAACTCCCAGGAATTTAGGCTGCCAAAGACTCATGTCCAGCTTCCTCTCTGGGAACTGCCCTTGGCCAAAGGGAGCTGTCTCACACAAGGTTACATCCTTTCCTGAGGGAAGCCCACATCTAAAAGCTGGTCTAAATGGGTTTAGGAGGGCATAGCCCCATGCTTCAGTTAGGGACATCTTTGAAGAACCATTTCAGCTTTAGATCTTCCCATAAGACCAGCTGAGGCAGCAGCTGCAAACGTATCACAGTTCAACTTCTTTCTGTACTCAATCCTATTGTCCTTGCTCCCACACAGGTGTCATGCCCAAAACAACTCCCCAGTAAATTTACTGCATGCAAATCTTCATATTGGAGTTTGTTTCTGACCTGTGACAGTTTGTACCAGGAAAAAACCTCAGAAGCAGATATTTCAAAATGGAATTTTGGAGCTGGATTCTGTCAGCTGGCTGTGAACGAATCTCCATTTAGTGGTGGTAGATGGAGGATTGCCAACTCCTGGCATGTGGTTGCAGAGCAATTGTTAAAACTTACATTGGTGTTGAACTTGGATGAGACACAGGTGGAAAGGACTACACTGCTGATTGCAGTATTTCAAGCTTTTGAGAGGGTCATGTAGTATTTATAAGAACTATAAAATTGGATAGTTCTTGTTAGGGCCTATGGAGATACTGGAAAAAGACAACGATAGGCTGAGGGTGACTAATTACCAATTTAGGCCTGAGTGTAAAAGCCAGAGAGCCCATGGTAGCATATAAAGAGACTCATCTCTTGCAGTTAGAGAACAAAAAGAGTGGATGACCTAGGGCTTTGTTCTAGATTGTTAAGGGTAGCAGAGCACCAGGGAAGGCCAAAGTCTCCACGCCAGTAAGTCTGCTCTGCCAAGGTTAGGACCCTCATTGGAAAAAGTGAGACCTTGAGATTCAGCATGGTGACAATACACTACAAAATTTTGTGTGCTTTGCTTTCTCCCTGAGCCTTCTGGGCCTGCAGAGGGCCTGCTCCTCTCTGTTATAGGCTAGTTCTCCCTCCTTTTTGCAGAAGGTGCAGAAGTATTTGTCTTGGATGACAACTTGTAGCCCTTTTAGGATCTACCCTCACCACCTTCCTGGCCATCAGACCAATGATTAGGGTCATATTACAACATAATCCAGCGGGGAAAGTGCTTTTATGCTAAGAGAGGAAAGGAATTGTACCTCTAAGAAGCTGCAAGACTAACCTAACTTATACCAGCAGGAGCTGGGAAAGTATGGCTCCCATGGGTGCTGAATCAAGTGTGTATGTGTTGGGCAGGGGGAAATATAGGAGAATATAAAGAAGTTTATTAACATGGGAGCATTCTCCTATAATAGAGGATTTAGCACCTGGGAAGGACGTAAGAATATGATGCTAACATGCAGCTAGAATTGCTTTTAAAGATTGTAGGAGGTGATGGTCCACACTAAGTAAAGCAGAGATGCCACAACTGCCATGACAGATGGTGGACAGAGAAATTAAAATGCTCAGAGAAGAGATCATGCTACAGTGGGAATACTATATAAGTCTGAAGAACCTATCAGTCAACTATATTCTGAGTGAGAGTTTAAAGGACACTCCACTTACAAAAGTGATAATGCACTGGTGAGAGGGGTGCTGGCATTGTTGAGAGGCTCAGTGGTAGCTATCCTCTGGGGCCAGGGCTGATAGAAGGGACACTGTTATAGAATGGGGCTCTAATAAATTGGGTTGATAAGAGCCTGATATATAGGCCAAGTGGTGGCACTTGCCCATCAGAGCAAGGTAGGAGCACTTCTTATAATTTACAGCAAGATTGGAATGGCAGCAGGTGTGCCTGATTCACAGAAAGCTAGGGAGATGGTTAATAGCATACAGAGTCCCTGAGGTAAGACAGATGGGAGGCCAAGGATAGTATTACTTAAATAAATCAAGAATAGATGATTAGAAATCTGAGGGCAGATTCCTCAGTAGAAAGTCGCAGTTCCTAGACCTGCTTCAAGACCTGAGCTAGACCACAGCAGTAGCTCACACCTGTATTCCTACTACTTAGGAGGCTGAGGCAGGAGGATTGCTTGAAAGCCCTGGAGTTTGGGACCAGCCTCGGAAATACAGTGAGACCTCATCTTTTAAAAAACCAAAAATAAAAAATAAAAAACCTGAGCTACTCTTCACACATGACATCTAAAAATTCAAGATGGGACTAAGTATTCAGGAAGAAAGACTTATGAAGACAAGTATATACATTAATTATGCTCCCACTCATTTGGCAAAGGGACCTGTGGTCATTTACTTGGGAAACCATACACTGGGAACAGGGTGTGAATCAAATATTTTGAGGACTGTTGGGCACAGATTCCAACTTGACATTGATTTCCAGGGCCCCAAAGCATTATTACTGCCCTGCTATTAAAGTAGTATATACGGGGGCCAGGTTATAAATGAGATTCTGGCCAGGTTTTGCTCATGTTAGGTCTACTGGGCCCAGGGACCCATCCAGTGGTCATTTTTTTCATCACTGATGGTATAATTGGAATGGAAACCTTTGGTAATTGAAAGAACTCCCATATTAGTTCCATGGGCTATGTGGTAAGAGATTTCATAATGAGGAAGACTAACTGGAGGCCTCTAAATCTGCTCTATGCCTGCTGTCTAGGAGAGCAATAAAAATAATAGCACTTTGCAGCAGAATTACAGAGATTAGAGCCACCCTTCAAGCCTTAACTAATGTAGAGCTGGTGGTCTCCATAATATTCCCAATTAACTAACTACTCTGGCACTTAATAAACAAATGACCCTCTAGTTATGGTAGTGGATTTCCACAAACTTAACCAAGTTGTAGGCCTGATTGCATATACTTTGTCAAATGAGGTAATCTTTACAATTAATATGACCTCATGCACATTGTATGTGTCGATTGATTCGGCAAATATTTCATTTTATATCCCTATGAAGAAGGAAGGCCAGATGCAGTTTGCATTCACATGAAATAGTCAACAATATACATCTATCATCTTGTCCCAAGGCTATCTTCACTCTCCAATCCTCTGTCATAATACGGTCTAAAGGAACAACACCATTTGCTTATTCCATAGAACCTCACATTGGTCCACAGTATCGAAGACATCCTGTTAATTGGACCAGATGAGAAAAATGTGGAAAATATGTTGGAGGTGAAAGAATTGGAGAAATGATTCGAGGTCCTGCGATATTAGTGAAATTTCAGGGGTCTCATGATCTGGTGCATGCCAGGGCATCCACTTTAATAAAAGGAAAAAATATTGCATCTTTCTCCTTGCATCATGAAGAAGGAAGCATAATGTCTGGTAACTGGTTGGGTTTTGGGGATAGTATATGTCACATTTGAGAATACTACTCTGACCAGTTCACCAACTGACTGCCAGCTTTAAGTGGGGCCAAGACCAGAAAGAGTTATGCAGTAAGCTGAGAGTGCCTTTAGGTCATACAACCTGCTACATCCTGTGGTATTAAAGGTAATTATGTAGGAAAAAAGAGGCCATGTGGAGTTTATAGAAAACTGCGGGAACTCATTCAATTCCATCTGTAGCAGAATACAATAAACTTTTGAAAAACAGCTCCTGTATACTACTGGACAACCCTATCAGTGTCCGTAGAGATGGACCACCTGAACATGAGTCATGATGTGGCCACCATGAGCTCGGTTCTCAGACCCACCATGTCTTAGGGTCAGGCAGGCCCAACAGTAATCTATTATGAGATAAAAGTTGTACATCCAAGATATCATGAACATGGTCGGGAGTGAAGTTGCTGAATCACATACCCAGAATGCCATGTAACCTACCACTGCCCCTGCTTCTCTATCTCAGATCCTATCTGTGTGGGGAGGGTCCCAATATCTAGCTGACAGGAAAGACAAGAGCCTGAGTTTGGTTCATGCGTGGAGTGGCTCAATATATAGGAGTTGAGAATCGCTTATGGTTGGACGGCAGCCCTATTTATCTGTGTCCTGGAGAGAAAGCAGCAAGAGAAATCCTCCCAGCGGGAAGAGGATTGGCAGGTGCATCTGGCATCCACATAGTGTGGAAAAAGATGTGACCCGATGTAAGAATATATATGGATTTATGGGTAGTGGCAGATGGTTGGTAGTTTCCAAAGAGCTTGGAAGAATATTAGAGTCAAGGAGGTTTGAGAAGTAACAGGCATGTGAATGACCTATGAGAATGGGCATGAAATTTGAAGGTCTTTGCATCGCTTGTTATTTACCACCAAGAGTATCCTTTGAGGAAGAGGCACTACGCAGAATGAGTCGAATAGCTGATGTCAGCCAGACTGTCACTGGCCACTCCATCACTGGCACAATGGACTCAAATGGAGTATCCATGATGACAGGGGTGGAAAGTCCTGAAGGGTCCAACAGCATGGGCTTCCACTCACCAATGTTGTTCTAGCTATTACTGTTGCTGAATGTCCAAACTACCAACCTGTCCAACCTGAGCCTCTGATACAGCACTACTTTTCAAAACCAAGCAGCCACCACTGTGGACCTCTTTCACTCAGAGGGGGAAGGAATTGACATAATTTTAGGTTTGGGGACTGCCTTTCTTAATGGAAGGACCATGAACACCATCACTATCTGCTGCCTTATATAGTGTTTCATTCACTGAAACAAGGTATCACATAATATTGCCTCAGACATGAGGCTAACTCATATCATCAAAAGAGGCAGTGGCACATGACTACAGGGTCCACTGGTCCTATCATATGCCACACCACTCAGAAGCCATCAACCTGCTAGAGAAGCGGAATCACCCTTTTGAAGGTATAGTTGAGGTGCCAGTTTGGAGGTGGTACCCTGCAGGGAAGGAGTACCATCCTGCAAGTTGGAATATGCCCCATATTAATTCACAAAGGCTCTAGGGTCTAGGAACCAAGCAAGGATTGGATGTTAAGGGTAGCCTATCTTATTTGTGATTTACCTGGAGGAATTTATGCTTCATGTTTTTGCAACTCTAATCTCTTCAGTTTGATCTTAGAGACTCTCAAAGGCAGAATATGTGCACTGAGGACATGACAAGGATCCTACTACATTTTAAACTAGGCTGCCACCCAGTCACTTTGGGCTGCTTGTGCTACGAGATCAGAAGGTGAGAAAATGAGTCCTCGTCCCAGCAAGAGTCATTGATCCTGAACCTTAGGATAAGACAGGGCTGCTTTTATACAATGGAGGCATGTCAGAGTGCCTTTGGCATCCAGGTGCTCTAATGGGATGTTTCTTGGTTCTCTCCTATACAATTTTAATAGTAAATGGACAAGTGCAGCAGCTACAGCCTGAAAAGGACATGTGGACCAGGGGTTCAGACCCCTTAGGGATGAGGGCCTGTGTCTCCGATTGGTAAACCATCAAACCCTGCAGAGGTGCTAGCAGAAGGTAAGGGGAATTTAGAATGGATGGTGCAGAAAGGATACAGTGAGTACCAGGTGTACACCCCATGACCATCTACAATCGCAGAAGTTCTAATTTGTCTCAATAACTGCCAACCTGAAAGTGTCCACAGGAATAGACACAAACCAGAAAGATTCCATGGGAGTTGTTTTCTGATGGAGTATACTCACTATAGGCAGCTATTGGTTTTGAGTGACAAGGTGTGGTCCCTACTAAATCTGTGATGTACCCAGGTTTGACTTTAGGAATGAGGTACTTATTTCTCCAGCTGCCACAAGTGATGGCTGCTGATCATTTGTGACTGAGCTCCTTTTGGAGAAATGCCCTCAGCTGAGTAAAGGTGCCTCTCCCAGGTTTACACCTCTCTCTGGATGCAGGTTGCACTCAATGACTGGCCAAGGTGTGGGGACAAATGTCTGGCCTCCATTGCTTCAATTTGGAACACCATTGATGGGCCATTCCAGCTTTAGAAACTTCTGAGGAATTGGCTGAGGTTGTTACTACTACTCTATAGTTTAACTCTTCCTTTATCCAATTCTGATTTCCTGCTTCCTCAGTGAAGTTATTCCCCAATTAATTCCCTTCATGCAAATCTTCATTCCAAAGTCTGTTTCCTGAGGAACCCAAACTACACCAGATAAGCAATCTTTAAACTGGAAAATATAAGAGATGCCTACACTTCTAGTCCTGCAGGGAGTTTAATTAATTTCAATGTTTTTACAGCAGGGTCTTTTCCTAACATTGTTGTTGGATTTTAAGTGTACCCTACATGCATTCTAGGAGTCCTCTATCCCCTTATTGCATTAATTAGTGACACAGAAATTCTATAAATTCTTAGCTACAGGAAAAGTGTCCATTCTGGAAAACATGTGGATTTGCAGTTTTCTATGAGCTTAGTTACTTGGTGGCCATGCCAGCTGTTATTTTGCCCTCTGGATGCTGTTAGAGAAAAATTTGATTCATTATTGTGTGCTTGTTGTACTGGCTCAACGTTTCCACACAGATTGTTTTATTTAGCTCTTAAAGTAAGATTGTGAACTAGATATGATGCTCAATTAACAGATAAGGAAAACTGACCCTCACTGAGGTCGAATATCTTGTCAATACAAGTAGCTAGCAAGTCTTAATAGTCCAGATTCAAAGTCAGATGGTGACCCCAAGTCTAGTATTGCCTTCTCCTTTCTCACCTTAATAACATAGTCTCTCCATGTGTGTTGATTTATATCGGTTGTGGACCATGCCTGAGTGACTCTCTATATTAAGCAATCACCTGCAATGAAGTGGGATATCTTGAAAGCCTTTGGAACACTCCATGTCCCTTACTAACTGGCAAGAATTCACTCTAAGTCATGGATGTTTCCCCCACTTTTGGCGAGCCCCTAAGTCCTGGCTGGGAGTTGCATCACCACCCTTGGCTAAATTTCTCTCTCTTAGATGAGAATGTCCAGTGAAATACTTATTTATGAGGAGCAATAAATATGCAGTGGAAAAGCTCACCAAAGACTTTGTTTGTTTGTTTTCTGCTATAGTCAGTATTACCTGGAAAGTCACCCAGTTTAACTATGATGTAAATTTGCAGTCCTTGGCTCGGAAAAGTCTTGTTGGCGAAGTCTGATACTGAAAAGTAATCTTCTTCAGGAAATGAGCACCAAAGAGCTGTTATTCTGTGTAATAAGAAAGAAACAAAAAGGATCCCAAGAGAAGTAGTTTGGCAACTGATGTTCAATGGTCATTATAGACTGAGTGCTCAAATAAAAATACCTTCAAACCCTGAAGAGTGGATTTCTGTGTTTTAAATATAGATTCTTACTTTTCAAATGGGACCGTTTCCAAATGACCTCCTGACTTGAAGGGGGTAGAGTTAAAGAGCAATTGAAGGCACTCGTGTGGTGGGAGGAAATGAAAGAAGACTAGCTGTGGAAATGGCAGAATACATCTTCTGGTGTTTTGTACTTGAAACAAAAAATCCGCAAGCATACACGTAGGAATATGTAATAGTAAATGTGTGGTATCCAACTGATGTTTGATGGCAAATTATCATCAATTTCATTGGTTCAGTGCAGAGGACTCGATAGGACTCATAATGGCCTCTTTGGAAGGTGATACACGGCAAAACTCCGAAAAGTCCATGTGATTATTCACTTAGAAAATCTCCACACCTATGAATTGTCTAAAGAAAGAAATCACTTTGCCATACAGCATTTCATCTGTGTAAGTCAATTCATTTGGCTGGTGGAGCTAAACTCACGAAAGCAGGAACTGATCTCACCAGGATGGCCAATTCCTTGGCTTTTCTTCAAAACACATTTAAAAAAAGAGACATGTTTGCCATTTGCCCTGAAAGTGTGACGATTTTATATGGCTTCCAGGAGAAGAGAGGATGAAGAAATAGCTCCCATTAACTCCACACATGAATGTTTCCAAAGAATTTGAAAATTCTATATGCATTGTTGCAACTGAATTTACTTTAAATAGCACCAAAAACATAAAAAAAAAAACCCTTTTCATTGGTTGCCTCATTCATTACATTTTCACTTAAGCATAGCATCTTAAAAAGATTCGCTTCAGCCTGATTTCCCCCTTTTCCTTACTTCTACCTAGGATTTTATTTTCTTTTTGCAAAATTTTAAGTTTAAATACATCACTTTTTAATGACTAGTTACCTAAACTAAAAATATCTTTCAAATAAACAGGCATCTTTTGAGTGTGGTTAAACATTTAAAAAGTATTAAAATACACATTTATTGATTCTTTCAACTTGTTAAAGTAAATTAAAACAGAGACCAGGCCTGAAGAACGCCCAGAGTAAGCTCAACCTTGCTTGATTTGCAAACAGAAACAAAACGAGTTATTTCTCATAAGTGCCTATATTAAAGAAACTTAAGCTCAACCAATCAGAAGCTGCCAACTAACTTATAATTATATCACTAGGAACTTTCCAGTGGGAGAGACCAAACAGGACAACTATGTAACTATAACCAATCAAATACATTCTTTGCTTTACCTCTGTGAAAGCCTCCCACTGTGTTCTCTTGGTGGATCTCCCAAACCACTTCTGGTTTGAAGCTGCGTGATTAATGAATTGTCATTTGCTCAAATAACTCTTTTTAAAAAAAAATTTTATTGTGCCTCAGTTTACCTTTTTAAAAAACTCAATATGTGTTGGGTTACTACTCTGGCCCAGGCACTGCTCCAGGTAATGGGTGTCAGCCTAAGGTGAGAAAAGTGTTGAAAACATGGTAGGAATTTTAACATTTGTTGAACTTCCCTGTACATCAAGTTCTGGTCTTTGAGTGACTGCCACTGCTGTGGGAAGTGATGGGAAAGATGAAGGCTGTTGGTGAACTACAACATTTTGTTGAAGTGTTTAGTTTCATTGGTGCCTTACTTTAAAGAGGTATCTTAAATGTTTAAATGGAGCTGCATGAACTAAAAACATCTTGAGTAATCTTAAAGCATGCACCTCCTTAAACTCTTATTGAGCCAATTCCCTTAGAACAAATTTCCATGTCTAAAATATGTTAGCTAATTAAATATGATAAGAATGTGTAAAAAGTATTAGTTTTGGTTATAATCAACAGACTAATGCCAGATAGCTGGGGAGTAAAAGGAAATGTATTACCAGGAAATATGAGTTTTCTCAGGAAATCCAAAAATGAGCATGCAGCTGGGAGTCAGGAATAAACTGAAGGAAGGGCTCACTGTCAGGCTTCTTTCTCCATCTGTCATCTCTGCGCTTCCCTCTCCGCATTTGGTCTCTTTGCAGACTGGCTTTCCCTGTTTCTCCAGTTTCTGTGGTGGAAACCATGGCAATTGAGAAGCCTCCGGTTTCATTCAACACAAGAACCTCCACCAGTATCAGTGGAAAATATCCTTCAACATAAGAATTCCCAATTCTCTGACCCAGGTTTGGCCACATGATCACCCTGGACCAATGAGCTGAGGCTGGATGGGCGGGGTCACATTAGAAGAACTGGACTGTTAGGAGCCCAACCACGTGGGTAGTTAAAGGATGGGGAAGTCAGTTCCCTAGTGTTTAATCCTAAGAAAAGGTGGCTGGAGGGCCTTTGGAAGAAACTATGCTGTCAACAAAATAATGCCACCTTGTCTACATGTATTAGGTATACATTTAAAAATTATTGTGTGAGATATTTTGGCAATAATCATCTATGGGCCAAATCTGTTTCATGGCCTGTTTTTGTAATAGTCCATAAGTGACATTTTAAAATGTAAAAAAAAAAAAAAAAAAAAAAAAAAAATGACAACTATGCAGCAGAAATTATCGGTTGCCCACAAAGCCTAAAGTGCGTATTAGCTGGGTCTTTACAGAATAACTTTGCTGACCCTTGCTCTACAGCAGGTGGATGAGCATGCACTCTCTGCCTGTGGTTCCCTGGGTATTAATCCTGGCTCAGCTATCTAGAGGGAGAACTAAGGCAAGTTGTAAAACCTATCTGTGCCTCTATTTTATCATTTGTAAGATAAGAATAATAAAATAATGCCTATTTCATGAAAGTTATGCAGCATAAATAAATACATGTAAGTAATCTATAATAATGGCTGATAGTAGTTATGAATGTTAAATATTATGTCCAATTATATATAATCCCTGATGTTTATATATAGAACATGTTCATATATATAATATCCTATACATATTTATGTATAAATGAGTATATATCACAAATGAATAAATATATATTCATATACACACATGTATACAAGTATCTGCATATTATATTTTTGTAAATATAACTGCCCATGAAATGTACTCCTGGAGAATACTATTAGAAGGAAGACTGTAATGTAATGATTTGAGAAGGAAACAGGTTTTTTTTTTAAGTGAAAATTCCCAGCTCTCTCTCTCTCTCTCTCTCTCTATATATATATATAATATATATGTAATATTATATATATTATATATATATGTAATATTATATATATTATATATATATATATCTTAAAAAGTCTTAAAGCAAAACAGAACTATATTTGGACATGGTCAGATTCAAAACCATATCTAACCAAATGATGTAAATTTGACGTTGTGCAATACTAATGTTTCAAAATTAAATTTAAAACATTTACAAAACTCCACAGATTCCACTTCAAATATTTTTCATAGTTCTCATTCAATATAATAGTACAATATAAATATCTAAGTATGGATTAAAATCTCCATGAATATAATTATCTACTTTATATGAGTGCATTTTATCCAGAAACAATCCCAATCTCAATCTCTCCCCCTCGTTCTCTGTCTCCCCCCCATATTTACATAAGTCTGTATACACACTGTATATAACATATTAGGGAACATGTAAAGCAAAAAAAAAAGAGGCACAATGTATATTTATCTGTGACCATATTTTACATCACATACTGTCTGCAAAAAATCACCCTTGTAATATTTTTATCAGGAATAAAACCTAGGGGTGAAAAAGTGTATCTTATTGACTTTATGGTGCTTCATTTAACACATATAGCATAAAGGCCCATTTGGAAAAGATCTTTCTGAAAAAGAGGTTATCTCATCAATCAAGCGCTTTCTGTGTATGTATTGTAAATAATAAATGTATGCCACATGTGTGGCTGGAAGAATGCTGGAAAAAACTCTACTGGCATGCCGAGAAAATGCAGCTAAAATAACCTCTCCTACCAACCCAGTTCATTCCACTCAGCAAAAATTGGGGAAGCCAAATTCATCAATATTGATTTCAGGTTTCATCAGCAGGGATTTTTTGAGTAAGACGCTTTTAGTTACATTTTCCATTTGACATTTCTCATTAGACTCAAAGCTTTCTCTGTGTATAAGTCTTTTCATGTAATTCAAAACCTAGCTCATCAAGCAACCTTTCCAACAGAAAGAAACAGGAGACTCGTTTGCTGCTTGAAGAAGTAAATTTCTATATTTAGACAGTCTTCATATGTCAATCCAGAGTCCCTGCTTCCTCCTTATCCCGTATTTTGAAATAAAGATTTTATTTGTTTGTTTTTGTTTTTAATCAGTCACAAAGAAAAGTACCGTCTCCTCATCAGACAATACTGGAAATAGCATGAGGCATGGATTCGGAGGGATCACTCTGCTGGGAATTTAGTGGAACAGAATGCTCTAGTCAGGGCTTTTGGAGTAAACTCATTCTGTCCTGTTGACTCTGGAATTCCGATCTGTTTATTATTCTAAGTGACTTTTACTTATCAGTCTCTGTGTCCATAGGCTGGAAAATAAATCACAAAGTATCTCAGTGTTCAGGTGAGCGTAGACTGTCACGTTGTTGGTTATGCTCATCTTCTTTCATACCTTTGCACCTCTCACCTTCCTCCCAAGCAGTCCCCATAGTTGCGGGTTTTTAAAACATTTTCCTGGCCTGGCGTGGTGGCTCACGCCTGTAGTCCCAGCAATTTGGGAGGCCAAGGTGGGTGGATCATGAGGTCAGGAGATAGAGACCATCCTGGCCAACGTGATGAAACCCTGTCTCTACTAAAAATACAAAAATTAGCCGGGCGTGGTGGCGGGTGCCTGCAGTCCCAGCTGCTCGGGAGGCTGAGGCAGGAGAATCGCTTGAACCCGGGAGGCGGAGGTTGCAGTGAGCCGAGATCATGCCACTCCACTCCAGCCTGGTGACAGAGCGAAACTCTGTCTCAAAAAAAAAAAAAAAAAAAAAAAGTTAAACCTTTATTTTAGGTTCAGGCAGATTTGTTATATAGGTAAATTGTGTGTCATGGGGGTTTGGTGTCCAGATTATTTGATTGCCCAGGTGATACACATAGTTCCTGATAGGTAGCTTTTCTATCCTCGCCCTTCTCCCACCCTCCATCCTCAACTAAGCCCTGATATCTGGTGTTCCTGCCTTTGTGTCCATGTGTACTCAGTGTTTAACTCCCACTTATAAATGAGAGCATGCAGTATTTGGTTTTCTGTTCCCATGTTAGTTTGCTTAGGATAAAAGCTTCCAGCTCCATCCACGTTGTTGCAAAGAACATGATCTCGTTCTTTCTTGCGGCTGAGTAGTATTCCATGGTGTATATGTACCATATTTTTTAAAAATCCAGTCTACTGCTGAAGGTAGTTTAGGTTGATTCCATGTCTTTGCTATTGTGAATAGTGCTGTGATGAACATATGCGTGCATGGGGCTTTATGGTAAAACAATTTATATTCCTTTGGGTAAATACTGCAATGAAATTTTTTTTTTGTAAATTGACAATTTATAATGGTATGAATTTATGGGGTACAAAATGATGTTGGAACTTATTAATATAATATGGAATAATTAAATCAGGCTAGTTAACATATCCACCATCTCAAATATTTATTATTTTTTTTGTGGTGAGAACATTTGAAATTTACTATCTTAGCCATTTGAAAATGTACCATACTCTATTATTAATTATATTCACCATCCTGTGCAATAGAACTGAAAAAGTAAAAGCTATGTTCCTCCTGTCTGAGATTTTGTACGCTTTGACCCTCTCCACAATCCCATTCCCCAGCCTCTGTAACCACCATCGTCCTCTGTTTCTATGACTTCAATTGTTTTAGATTCCACAGATAAGTGAGAACATGCAGTATTTGGCTTTCTGTGTCTGTTTATTTCACTTAACAAAATGTTCTCCCGTTCCATCCATGTTGTAAATGACAGAATTTCCTTCTTTTTAAAGGTTGAATAGCATTCCATTGTGGATATATACCACATTTTCTTTATCAGTGTATCTGTTAATGAACACTTAGTTATCCCATAACTTGGCTACTGTGAATAATGCTGCAATGAACATGGGGGTGCAGACATCTCTTTGACAAACTGATTTCAAATACATACAGTAATTACATTCTTAGTTTTCTGAGGATCCTCTATATGGTTTTTCATAATGGCTATACTATTTTACATTTCAGCCAACAGTGTAAAAGGGTTCCCTTTTCTCTACATCCTCACCAACACTTATTATTCGTTTTGTTTTATTTTTTTGAGACAGAGTTTCGCTCTTGTTGCCCAGGCTGGAGTTCAATGATGCAATCTTGGCTCACAACAAACTGCCTCCTGAGTTCAAGCAATTCTCCTGCCTCAGCCTCCCAAGTAGCTGGGATTACAGGCATGTGCCACCCTGCCTGGCTAATTTTGTATTTTTAGTAGAGACGCGGTTTCACCATGTTGGTTAGGCTGGCCTTGAACTCCTCACCTCAGGTGATCCACCCACCTCAGCCTTCCAAAGTGCTGGGATTACAGGCATGAGCCACCATGCGCGGACTATTTGTCTTTTTGACATCGCCCTTCTGAGAGCTGTGAGATGAAACCTCATTGTGGTTGTAAGTTGTGTTTTTTTATATCCAGAATAAGTCTCAGAAAAGAATCAGTATGGTAAACTAAGAAACTTAACTCCTTAAACAGAGTTAAACAGCTTGGGTAACATAGTAAGACCCAGTCTCTACAAAAACATTTTAAAAAATAGCCAGCATGGTGATGTGTGCCTGTAGTCCCAGCTGCTTGGGAGGCTGAGGTAGGAGGATTGCTTGTGCCTGCGAGGTCAAGGCTGCAGTGGGCCGTGATCATGTCACTGCACTCCAGCCTGGGTGACAGAATGAGACCCTGTCTCAAAGAAAAAAAAGATAGTTAATATTTAATATTTTAAAAACTTACTTTAATGCAAAAGATAACTTCTAGGTTTACAAGCATTCACTCCTCTCTGCGAATAGGCATGATGAATACCGATCCTGCTCTTGTTCTGGGGGTAGGCACTTGATCCAAATTGGGCAAACTAGGTTCTTGCTCCTAGAAATGTGAGATGGGGACTGAAGTGTTCAGGTACCTAGGGCTGCTTGAAGCCTAGTTAAGAGTAAATTAGCTCTTTAGAGAGAGCACAGTCATGGAGACTTTAGGGATGTCTTGGTGTCTATTTTCTCAAGACTTCCCTATTCAACAATTCCTTTAGTTCCAGCAAATTACTACTCTTTGCTTAAATTAATCAGAATTAATTTCTGATGCCTGCAGCCAACACAACAATAACAAACATATCTTTTATTAATTGATAATGCATACAAGGTAATCAATTTAATATTAATCTTAATGTGGATACATTAGGAATACGAAGGATGGAGTAATTGAATGGGAAATATTGATGACCTGAAAATCTTTGCCTGATAAAAGTAACACATAGAAGTGGATCTAGTCCAGCTATAGAACTGTACAAATGAAAATATGCTGATTTATAACTACCTTCACCTAAACTGGAGATTCGTCAGCTTTGTAGCTCCTTGACGTTCCTGGATCATTCAGAATCAATAATCCCAAATCCTGCTACTGAGATGGCTCTCTGTTCTGTATGCAGGTGGACAGTGACTCAGAATCTTTTGGTGCAGTAAAGCAGGAGAGTGGGAGAGAAAGATAAAAACTAGGCTGACTCTCATGCAGCCATCAGCAAAACCTAGGGATTTTTGTCAAGGTATTTTCTTTCCACAAACAAGTGTTCATTCCCGTCACTTCTGTTGTACTTATTTATGAGATGTGATTGCATGAAGTATTCTTATGCTAAGGTCTGCATCTTATTCACCTGTGTACGTAGTGCCAAACAGTTATTGGCACACTATGGGCTCTCAATGAGTGTCGAGACAAATTAGTATATATGATAATACAAACCAAGTTACTTCGCTTGATATATTACTTGAGGTTCTAAAAGTTTTATGAAAACAGAATTCTTGTTCATTTAATTAAATTTTACATATATTAATGTCAGGTATTATTAAAGAGAGTCTTATTATGAATCACTATGGGATGAAAATCATCATCTCCAATTTATACTCCTGATAGTTTGTGTTGCCATGTCACAGATTTGCTTATGTCACAGTACAAGTGTAAACAATTCTCACTTGAAACAATGGAAGTTATCTCTTGAGACAATGGAATGGGATTATAGCTCCCTGAACTTCAGGTTTGCATCTGTCAAAAATTAAAGTAGGAAATTCAGAAAAGCAAGGGGTTGGTGGAAGAGAGGAGAGACCCATCCAGTAGGGGACTGTCTCATAGGGGACTTACTGAACCAGATGGGAAGAAAGCCAGTTCCTTTTCTTTTCATCTTATAGATTTGTAGATACGCATGACATGATTCATAAAAACAAAGTGAAAAACTTAAAGCAAAGGAGAAGTTTTACTCTTTTCTAATGATCTTCGGTATTGTTGGCATGCAAAATCTAATGGCTACATTTGATTATATTTATGAGATCTGACTACACCTTTTTCTAAAATTGAATTCCTATTTGTTTGCTTTCCTTACAGAATAACAATGAATGTTCTAATTGTGAAATTTGGATTCACCTTTGAGTCCCTCATAAAAATTAGGATACCATTAAAATGTACTGTACTTTAAAAATATTTTAAAATTTAATTTCAGGCTCCTTAATAATAGTAGGAGGCAAAAGTGCTTTGCAGTGAATCTGGCAAAATGGGTGAATAGGAGGGGCTCCAGTCTGCAGCTCCCAGAAAGACCAACACAGAAGGCGTGGGATTTCTGCATTTCCAACTGAGGTACCTGGTTCATCTCATTGGTACTGGTTAGACAGTGGGTGCAGCCCATGGAGGGCTAGCAGAAGCAGGGTGGGGCATCACCTCACCCAGGAAGTGCAAGGGGCCGGGGACCTCCCTCCCTAGCCAAGGGAAGCTGTGAGGGACTGTGTTATCCGGCCCAGATACTATGCTTTTCCTATGGTTTTTGCAACCCGCAGATTGTGTGCCTACACAACCAGGGCCCTGGGTTTCAAGCACAAAACTGGGTGGCTGTTTGGGCAGACACCAAGCTAGTTGCAGGAGTTTATTTTCATACCCCAGTGGCACCTGGAACCCCAGCGAGACAGAACCGTTCACTCCCCTGGAAACGGGGCTGAAGCCAGGGAGCCAAGTGGTCTTGCTCATTGGGTCCCACCCCCACAGAGCCCAGCAGGCTAAGATCCACTGGCTTGAAATTCTCACTGCCAGCACAGCAGTCTGAAGTTGACCTGGGATGCTGGAGCTTGGTGTGGGGAGAAGCATCCACCATTACTGAGGCTTGAGAAGAGAAGGTGGTTTTCCCCTTAGGGTGTAAAGGAATCTACCGGGAAGTTTGGACTGGGTGGAACCCACTGCAGCGCAGCAAAGTGGCTGTGGCCAGACTGCCTCTCTAGATTCCTCCTCACTGGGCAGGGCATCTCTGAAAGAAAGGCAGCAGTCCCAGTCAGGGGCTTATAGATAAACTCCCATCTCCCTGGGACAGAGCACCTGGGGGATGGAGCAGCTGTGGGTGCAGCTTCAGCAGACTTAAACCTTCCTGCCTGTCGGCTCTGAAGAGAGCGACGGATCCTCCAGCACAGCACTTGAGCTCTGCTAAGGGACAAACTGCCTCCTCAAGTAGGTTGCTGACCCTCGTACCTCCTGACTGGGAGACAACTCCCAGCAGGGGTTGACAGACACCTCATACAGGAGAGCTCTGGCTGGCATCTGGCAGGTGCCCCTCTGGGACAAAACTTCCAGAGGAAGGAGCAGGCAGCAATCTTTGCTGTTCTGCAGCCTCCGCTGGTGATACTCAGGCAAACAGGGTCCGGAGTGGACCTCCAGCAAACTCTAGCAGACCTGCAGAAGAGGGGCCTGACTGTTAGAAGGAAAACTAACAAACATAAAGTAATAACATCAACATTAACAAAGAGGACACCCACGCAAAAACCCCATCCAAAGGTCATCAACATCAAAGATCAAAGGTAGATAAATCCGTAAAGGTGAGGAAAAACCAGCATAAAAATGCTGAAAATTCCAAAAACCTGAATGCCTCTTCTCCAAATGATTGCAACTCCTCACCAGCAAAGGCACAAAACTGGACAAGGAATGAGTTTGATGAATTGACAGAAGTGGACTTCAGAAGGTGAGTAATAACAAACCCCTCAGAGCTAAAGGAGCATGTTCTAACCAAATGCAAGGGAGCTAAGAACCTTGATAAAAGGTTACAGGAACTGCTAACTAGAATATCCAGTTTAGAGAAGAACATAAATGACCTGATGGAGCTGAAAAACACAGCATGATAACTTCGTGAAACATACACAAGTACCAATAGCCAAATTGATCAAATGGAAGAAAGGATATCAGAGATTGAAGATCGACTTAATGAAATAAAGCATGAAGACAAGATTAAAGAGAATGAAAAGGAACGAACAAAGCCTCTAAGAAATATGGGACTATGTGAAAAGACCAAACCTATGATTGATTGGTGTACCTGAAGGTGACAGGGAGAATGGAACCCAGTTGGAAAACACACTTCAGGATATTATCCAGGAGAACTTCCCCAACCTAACAAGACAGACCAACACTCAATTTCAGGAAATACAGAGAACACCACTAAGATATTCCTTGAGAAGAGCAACCCCAAGACATATAATCGTCAGATTCACCAAGGGTGAAATGAAGGAAAAAATATTAAGAACAGCCAGAAAGCAAGGTCAGGTTACCTACAAAGGGAAGCCCATTAGATTATTAGCAGATCTCTCGGCAGAAACCCTTCAAGCCAGAAGAGAGTGGGGCCAATATTCAACATTCTTAAAGAAAAGATTTTTCAACCCAGAATTTCATAAATGAAGAGAAATAAAATTCTCTACAGACAAGCAAATGCTGGGAAATTTGGCCACACCAGGCCTGCCTTACAAGAGCTCCTGAAGGAAGCACTAAATATGGAAAGGAAAAACCAGTACCAGCCACTGCGAAAACATACCAAATATAAAGATCAATGACACTATGAAGAAACTGCATCAACTAAAGTGCAAAATAACCAGTTAGCATCATGATGACAGGATCAAATTCACACATAACAATATTAAGCTTAAATGTAAATGGGCTAAATGACCCAATTAAAAGACACAGACTGGCAAATTGGATAAAGAGTCAAGACCCTTTGGTGTGCTGTATTCAGGAGACCCATATCACTTGCAAAGAAACACATAGGCTCAAAATAAAGGAACAGAGGAATATTTACCAAGCAAATGGAAAGCAAAACAAAGCAGAGGTTGCAATCCTAGTCTCTGATAAAACAGCCTTTAGACCAACAGAGATCATAAAGACAAAGAAGGGCATTATGTAATGGTAAAGGGATCAATGCAACAAGAAGAGTTAACTTTTCTAAATATATATGCACCCAATACTGGAGCATGCAGATTCATGAAGCAAGTGCTTAGAGACCTACAAAGAGACTTAGGCTCCCACACAATAGTAGTGGGAGACTTTAACACCCCACAATCAATGTTAGACAGATCAATGAGTCAGAAAATTAACAAGGATATTCAGGACATGAACTCAGCTCTGGACCAAGCTGAACTAATAGACATCTACAGAACTCTCTACCCCAAATCAACAGAATATACATTCTTCTCAGCACCACATAGCACTTATTCTAAAATCAACCACTTAGTTGGAAGTAAAACACTCCTCAGCAAATGCAAAAGAAAGGAAATCATAACAGTCACTCTCTCAGACCACAGTGCAATCAAATTAGAACTCAGGATTAAGAAACTCACTCAAAACCATACAAATACATGGAAACTGAATGGTCTGCTCCTGAGTGACTACTGGGTAAATAATGAAATTAAGGCAGAAATAAATAAGTTCTTTGAAACCTACAAGAAATAAGTAAGTTCTTTGAAACCAATGAGAACAAAGAGACAACGTACCAGAATCTCTGGGACACAGCAGAAGCAGTGTTTAGAGGGAAATTTATAGCACTAAATGCCCACAGGAGAGAGCAGGAAAGATCTAAATTCAATACTCTAACATCACAATTAAAAGAACTAGGGAAGCAAGAGCAAAAAATTCAAAAGCTAGCTTGAGCCAAGAAATAACTAAGATCAGAGCAGAACTGAAGGAGATACAGAAATGAAAATCCCTTCAAAAAATCAATGAATCCAGGAGCTGATTTTTTGAAAAGATTGACAAAATAGATAGACTGCTAGCGAGACTAATAAAGAAGAAAAGAGAGAAGAATCAAATAGACACAATAAAAAATGATAAAGAGGGTCTCACCACTGATCCCACAGAAATACAAACTACCATTAGAGAATACTATAAACACCTCTATGCAAATAAAATAGAAAATGTGAACACATACACCCTCCAAGACTAAACCAGGAAGTAGTCAAATCCTTGAATAGACCAATAACAAGTTCTTAAATTCAGGCAGTAATTAATAGCCTACCAACCAAAGAAAGCCCAGGACCAGATGGATTCACAGCTGAATTCTACATAGGTACAAAGAAGAGCTGGTACCATTCCTTCTGAAACTATTCCAAACAATAGAAAAAAAGGGAATCCTCCCTAACTCATTTTATGAGGCCAGCATCATCCTGATACCAAAACCTGGCAGAGACACAACAAAAAAAGAAAATTTCAGGCCAATATCCCTGATGAACATTGATGTGAAAATCCTCCATAAAATACTGGCAAACCGAATCAGGCAGCACATCAAAAAGCTTATCCACCACGATCAAGTCAGCTTCATCCCTGGGATGTAGGGTGGTTCAACATATGCAAATCAATAAATGTAATCCATCACATAAACAGAACTAATGACAAAAACCACATGATTATCTCAATAGATGCAGAAAAGTTCTTCAATAAAATTAAGCACTCCTTCATGCTAAAAACTCTCAATAAACTAGGTATTGATGGAACATATCTCAAAATAATAAGAGCTATTTCTGACAGACACATAGCCAATATCATAGTGAATGGGCAAAAGCTGGAAGCATTCCCTTTGAAATCCGGCACAAGACAAGGATGCCCTCTCGCGCCACTCCTATTCAACATGGTATTGAACAACCTGGCCAGGGCAATCAGGCAAGAGAAAGAAATAAAGGGTATTCAAATAGGAAGTCAAATTGTCTCTGTTTGCAGATGACATGATTGTACATTTAGAAAAGCCCATTGTCTCAGTCCCAAAACTCCTTAAGCTGATAAGCAACTTCATCAAAATCTCAGGATACAAAATCAAGTGCAAAAATCACAAGCATTTCTGTACACCAATAATAGACAAACAGAGAGCCAAATCATGAGTGAACTCCCATTCACGATTGCTACAAAAGAATAAAATACCTAGGAATACAACTTACAAGGGACATGAAGGACCTCTCCAAGGAGAACTGCAAACCACTGCTCAAGGAAATAAGAGAGGACACAAACACATGAAAAAAAAATTTCATGCTCATGGATAGAAAGAATCAATATTGTGAAAATGGCCATACAACCCAAAGTGATTTATAGATTCAATGTTATTCCCATCAAGCTACCACTGACTTTCTTCACAGAATTAGAAAAAACTACTTTAAATTTCATATGGAACTAAAAAAGAGCCCTTATAGCCAAGACAATCCTAAGCAAAAAGAACAAAGCTGGAGGCATCACACTACCTGACTTCAAACTATATTACAAGGCTGCAGTAACCAAAACAGCATGGTACTGGTACCAAAACAGATATATAGACCAATGGAACAGAACAGAGGCTTCATAAATAACATCACACATCTACAACCATCTGATCTTTGACAAACCTGACACAAACAAACAATGGAGAAAGGATTCCCTATCTAATAAATTGTGCTGGGAAAACTGGCTAGCCATATGCAGAAAACTGAAACTGGACCATTCATTACACCTCATACAAAAATTAACTCAGGATGGATCAAAGACTTAAATGTAAGACCCAAAACCATAAAAACCCTAGAAGAAAACCTAGGCAATACCATTACAGGACACAGACATGGGCAAAGACTTCATGACTAAGTCACCAAAAGCAATGGCAACAGAAGCCAAAATTGACAGATGGGATCTAATTAAACTGAAGAGCTTCTGCACAGCAAAAGAAACTACCATCAGAGTGAACAGACAACCTACAGAATGGGAGAAAATTTTTGCAATCTATCCATCTGACAAAGGGCTAATATCCAGAATCTACAAGGAACTTAAACAAATGTACAAGAAAAAAACAAACAACCCCATCAAAAAGTGGGCAAACGGTAGGAACAGACACTTCTCAAAAGAAGACATTTATGTGGCCAACAAACATATGAAAAAAAGCTCATCATCACTGGTCATTAGAGTAATGCAAATCAAAACCAAAATGAGATACTGTCTCACGCCAGTTAGAATGGCAATCATTAAAAAGTCAGGAAACAACAGATGCTAGAGAGGATATGGAGAAATAGGAATGCTTTTACACTGTTGGTGGGAGTGTAAATTAATTCAACCATTGTGGAAGACAGTGTGGCGATTCCTCAAGGATCTAGAATTAGAAATACCATTTGACCCAGCAATCCCATTACTGGGTATATACCCAAAGGATTATAAATCATTCTACTATAAAGACACATGCACCCGTATGTTTATTGCAGCACTATTTACAATAGCAAAGACTTGGAACCAACCCAAATGCCCTTCAATGATAGGATGAATAAAGAAAATGTGACACATATACACCATGGAATACTACGCAGCTATAAAAAAGAATGAGTTCATATCGTTTGCAGGGACATGAATAAAGCTGGAAACTATCATTCTCAGCAAACTAACACAGGAACAAAAAACCAACACTGCATGTTCTCACTCATAAGTGAGAATGTGAACACACGGACACAGGGAAGGGAACATCACACACTGGGGCCTGTTGGGGGTAGGGGGCAAGGGGAGGGATAGCATTAGGACAAATACCTAATGCACGTGGGGCTTAAAACCTAGATGATGGGTTGATGGGTGCAGCAAACTACCATGGCATATGTATGCGTATGTAACAAACCTGCATGTTCTGCGCATGTATCCCAGAACTTAGAGTATAATAAAAAAATAGTAGGAAGCTAATTTAACTCAATGGCTTATAAGTGCCAATGGGTTGGTATTTTGATGGGCATTGTAATTACTACAATATCCAATCAGATTAAAAATGGCAAGTTCTTTTTTATTCTCTAAATGTAAATATGACCTATTTCCACAGCACCTTTAGAAAGTACAATGTTTTCCTGCCCCCTGTAGCAACACAAGCTTTTGAAATCTATTTATATAGAGATCATGTATTCCTCTTAAACATTTTTTAAAAAGGTTTGACTCCATGGCCAACACCAGTTAATGACCTCTTTTTGTGAAAGGATGATACATGCTGAGTGTACAGGGCCTGCTGTAACCTAGAGATTGTTTTAATATCACATTGAGCCTCAGTGCAGAGATAGAACTTACTGTTTTTGAAAGATGGTGGATAGAGGGTTCACAACTGCCTGGACAGAGTTGGGATAATCTTTCACACTCCTGCCCTGAAAATTAAATTAAGATAAAAGAGCAACCTTTGCAAGAATAATTTTTATCATTTGTAAATTCAGTAATTGTATTAGTTTCCTAGTGATGCCTTAACAAAGTGCTGCAAACTGGATGGCTTAAACAAGAGCAATAAATTCTGTCAGTTCTGGAGGCTAGAAGTTGAAATCAAGATGTAAGCAGGAGAATCTGTTTCTTGTGCTTCTGTTTGTTTGTGGTGTCACTATCAATCCTTGGCCTGCGCTATATAACTGCAATCTCTGCCTCCCTCATCACAGGGCTTCCCCCGCCACTGCCACCACCCCGTGTCTTCACATTGTGTTGGTACAAAAAAAACAGTCATATTAGATTAAGAGTTTACTCCAGTATGACCTCATCTTAACTCATCTGCACAAGCCCTATTTCCAATTAAAGTCTCATTCTGAGGTACTCGGGGTTAGGACTTCAACATATCTTTTTGAGGGACACAGCTCAATCCATAAGCCATTATTGAATTTTTTTTAAGGAAGTGAAGTACCTCCGTTTTATTTTTTTAATTATGTGAGGAGAAGTGTTTGATGAATGCCCTGGAGTCTAGGGAGAAGTGTCTCTTCTCTGGAAACACCTGAAGGTTTCCAAGTGAAAGAGTGAAAGCTATTAATGTGTTGCATGTATCTACTCCAAGTTAAACCCATTTCACCATGGGCTTCCTGGAATCCTAGACAGTGGTACTGCAAACAGCATAGAGGACGTTTAGTCCTGGGCTTGTCAACCCTTATTGCTGGGTTTTGAGGTTTTTTTTTAAATCAAGCTTGATCTTGTGGGGAGCTTAATCTTTAAACAGAGGAAGACTGAGCTGCTTTCCTCAATGCAGTGGTGGAGGTGGTAAGGCCCTTTTCACATCCACCCTCTTCCTCTCCAAAACTTCAGGGGCACCTCCACAATCCCAGAGTCAGAATCAGCCAAAGAACATATTAATAATTTAGATGGCTGGGTCCTCCTTCCTCCCTGACCTATGGAATGTGAAGCTCAGGGGTAAGAATTTGAATTGTGAACACACTTCCCAAGTGATCCTTTATGTTCACTAAGGTTTAATAACCTCTTTCTTAAGAACTTCATGGAGCACAGTCGGAAAACCTCTGAGCTAGTCCAACCTTGAAGATGAAGAAACAGCCCGCAGAGGAAGCTGTCAGGCAGATGAGGATGGTTAGAGACAGAGCCAGGGCTCCCCCATTTGGCTGGCCTCCAGCATCTCTGCAACAGCAGTACAAGAGGCAGCTCTTTATTTTCTAGCGAAGCTGGGGAGAAAGCCCACCTCTGAACTCTTTCAGAATGTTTCCCACACATTAATTATCAGTAAAGGGTATTTATTTCTTTATTTCGATGGTGGAAAATAAATCCATTACTCGTGTTTTCACCTAATAGAACACCGTATTCCCCAAGGTCAGCATTTTAAAAACTTATAAAAATCGATCTCCAAGAGCTAATGGCTTCGACCGGGAGGTAAGGATTTTGGTTCTAAGCCCTTTCTGTTAACTAATGGCTCAATAACAGGACTGAAATCATTTGGGACTGAAAGGAATTCCTAATGATGAAGGAACATCCTAATAAGAAATGAGTGGGATAGTGCCATAACCCCGAAATCTTGGCGCATTCAGCCTCGTAAACCTGCCGAAGTCCATGAAAACAGCCTTTGTGCCTCCTCTGGCACCACATGTGAGAGAGATCCCAGATTTCTTATGAAGCGAAGTGGCTGGAGCAATGTATCTGACCGTGTGAGGTGACACACACCAGGTCTTGGAGCTGCCTGTAAATGAAGGTCCCTCTTAGTGTTTGGTATTGAACTCTGGGCAGGCGAAGTCAAGAGGACTTTCCCTTGTTTTTCATATTGGTTGGTTGTTAAAGGTATGCAATGTAACTTGGAAGTGGATTAGAGAAAGGGGAACCCATGTCCATTACATGTAAGTGTAACTTGAGTTTTTAGTAGAATGTAAAAGTAAGACAGGGCCCTAAAGCCTCTTAATTTTAAACAATTTGAATCTCCACTCAAGTCTCACCAGGCTGTGTGTACAATGTTTTAGCACAAGTCAATAAACTAATGTTTTTGTGCTGTGCTTGTTCTTCGGGGAACTGTCTGTGTAGCTAGTCCTATTTCCATCTTTTGCTTGTTGGGAAGTGGCCCAGTGGTCTCACAAAAGATAGACCATGTTTTTCAAGACTCAACATTGTACCCAATCTTGAAAGCTACACTCATGACTGTTCATAAAGAATCTGCTACCATTGTGGCATGTGGGTATGAGCTGAAGACAAAAGTTTCCTTTTTAATTTATGGAGGCTATCAGCTTCCTCACTGACAAGAATGTAGCTGCACCTTTCTGATAACAGTGCCACCTGGCACCTTCCTAAAGATGGATGCTCCACCTGATGACCCATTTGTGACAAAGAGAAATATAGCAGCTGCATGTCTTGGAATGCTCGTGCCAGCATGGGGAGTGTGCCTTCTCTCTCTGTGGGCAGCTTTCTAATTGCAAGCAGTGCCAGCTCCATAATTTATGAGGCCCAGTGCAAAATGAAAATGTGAGTCTTCTTGTTCAAAAAGCAGGAAAAAAATTTCATTAAAGGAACTAAATGGTAAGGCTTCTCCCTGTCTTCCTTTGTATTTCTCTCAACTTGGTATTTTAAATTTACAGTTTAATGTCATTTTAAGTGAAGAACAATAAAAAATTATTAACATGAATTTTACTGTTTATATTGTACAATGCTAGTTTTATAGGCAAATTTAAGATCATTTAACTCATATAGGAATCATGAAAATTACACAATGGGTATTTCATAGCTCACGCATGCATATGTATTTTGTTCTCACAAGAACAATGGAATGGCTGCACAAAACTAACCCAATTGTTTCTCTTTCACTTCTTGATTCACCAGTTTGTACTAACACTCCTCACTTTGGGCTTACTGAGGAATAAGGAAGAACTGAAAGGAAAAAGGAATTATGGGTTTCCCTATATGTTCCTGTCTATGCCATATTTTTCAGCATAAGTAGTTGGGCAATACAGAGAAATAACATGGGTAAGAAGATATACAATAGGGTTCCTTGGTAGTTCTTGTTACTTAGAACATCATTGCATTCTTTCTGCATCTGAAGCAAGTTCTAGTTAGAATGGAGAGCATGGCCACTCTGGGCTATCAGTGTCCCTGCTTATTCAGTTGTAGGCATAACATGCTTACATTAAACTCCCTTTGGATTGTGCTGAATGCCCATGAATTAGAAGTCCACCAGACTTCTGGGCTCATGGGGCATTGCAAATGCTGTTTGTGAATGGAAGAGCATGCACGTTGCCTGTATCTCCTTTGTTCATGTGCCTGCTCCATTGTCCTATTGGATTTCAGTTACAAAACACAGATTCAAAGATAAAATTACTAAGAATTTCAAGATGGCAACAGCAGAGCATTAAACCACACATGGGACCGTTCTGAGCATGGAGACTTGTGTGGCTGCCCAGGTCTCAAAGCCAGGAAGCCATCCCTGATGGGAAGTTATAATCAGAGAGTGTTTGGTAAGCATGAAATAAAGATCAAGGACTTCAGGAGACCTTAAGTGACCATTATGCGGCATTGAGACCAGGGCATGTTCTAGTTCAAGTGACCATTTCGGTCATGGCTCAGATGTCATCTTCTTAGAGGCTACTCCTAATCATCCATTCCAAAGTAACTCTCCCTTCATCATTCACTATTACAGCAGTGGGTCTCAAATTTCAACCTGTATGACTGATGGTCCCACCCCCAGCGCATCTGATTCAGAAAGTCTTCAGTGAGGGCTGAGAATCTGCTTTCCTAACATGTTCCCCGATGATGCTGATACTGCTAATTTAGGGATCAAACTCTGAGAACCACTGCTCTGTTTCATCACCCTGCTCTTCTTTTATACAACATTTTCCTGGAATTATGTTTGTATTTTAAAATTTGCCTATTGTCTGGTTCCACCACAAGAAATTAAGCTCATCGCGAACAGGAATTTAGTCAGCAAAGTTTAACTGCTATGTTTCGAGGATTCAGAATATGCCTAACTTGTTATAGGTACTCAGTAAATATTTATTGAATTAACAAATGGACGCATGGCCAGGAAGTTCAATGGGTGAAAGATTTTTTAGATGGTGGTGATTGGAGTGGGTCTGGGCCACAGAAATACTTGTATCCACACCCAGATAGGGGGCGGTGCTCATCAAATTTTCTTCTAGGCAAATAAAATACAAAGTTGCAAATCTAGGGGCAGGGAGCAGTAATCATGAAACATGATGCTAGTGAACCAACAGGATAATTTCAATAGTAGGGATAGGAGGGCTGCATAATTTCCTCTAAGGCTTGAGTATGTGGCCATTGCTAAAACAGAATAACATGCAAAGCTCCCTCCTGTGCCTAGGTGAATTCTATAGCCTCAGCAACTCTGTACATGAGGGGTCCCTGCATGACTTCTGGTTGACAAAAGCAGTTATTTAAGCCTCTTGGGAAGAAGCCTTTGCTGTTGGTTCTTAACCCCTGGTGTATTAAACTCACTCCTCCCTCCAACCTCTAGTGAATCTAATTTGCTGTTCCTAGGGGAGTGTATTTGGTCTGCATAAATAAGTACCACAGACTTTTTGGCAGGTGGCTTAGACAGCAGACATTTATTCCCTTGCCAATCTGGAAGCTGTCAGAGACCAAAAATTCATCAGGGTTGGTTTCTCGGAAGGCCTCTCTTCTTGGCTTGTAGCTGGCCATTTTCTCCTCTTTGTCTCCACATGGTCTTCTTTCTGCGCTTGTCTGTGTCCTAATCTTTCATTTTAAAGACACCAATCAGATTAGAGCCCACCCCAAGAGCTTCATTTAACCTTAAGTACCTCGTTAAAGACCTTGTCTCCATATACAGTCATATTCTGGAATCCTGGGTGTTAGGACTTCAACGTATGAATTTCGAACGGATGCAATTCAGCCTTAGCAGGTGGGACCCCAGGAAGTTGTATTTCTAGCAGTGTCTCCAGGTAATTTCGATGAAGCCAGGCCTAGAGCCCGTGTTTGGTAGCTTCTACAAACACCTGCTAGTTCTGCAGCCTCCTCCACTGGCATGACCCTCTCTTTTCACCTTTGCAAATGAGGGCTTCTCTGCCAGGCCAGCTGACTTTCAACTAGATTGTAACAGATATGCTCCGGAAGGAATCAGTAACCCAATACCTTGCTGCCTGCAAACATAATCTGGGTTTGTTTGTGGCTGGGCTTCTGGATATCAACCTAGAGACATTTCATTTCCAATGAACTATGTTCTCAAAAGCAAGGTAGGTTTGCTCTTTGCAGAAAAACCTGAATCTGAAGACGGGTTGTAAGTGAAGCTTAGTGTGTTGGAAAATGGATCAAATGTAGACCTAATTGCCTATAATTTATTGTCTGTGGTCACAATTTAGTCTGCTTTCCAAGAATCCTGATTAAATCCTCAACCTCAGGATACCCCAAGGAGCGGTGCAACACTAACAAGCATTTGCCTGAAAAGTCAATCTTCAGTATATATTTCCCTCATATAAATCCTTCCTTTCTTCCACTCTCAAAACTGTCCATATGAATGCAAATAACTCATCTATAGTAGGAGCCACTCTCTCTGCATGTGTGTTTTGGATGTAGGGAGTACGGGGGTGAGGTAGGTTGGGATTAGCCTTCCACCATCTGTGTGAAACAGTTTAATTTTAAAAGCACACTCTATTTGCCATTTTTTTTTGAGTTTATGAAGTGCTAAGTCTGCTCCCAGGTGGAGACAATATTTTCCTTTGAGTTTCGTGGAGCAAGAGCAGTTTTTGAATTGTGCCTTGCATGTCTCAGGGATAAAGTGATACATTTTCTTGACCAATCCTGCTATATTAACAGCGGTGGCGCCAATATCACAAGTTAAATATAGAATTTACTATTGGTGTGGGATGTCAAGGTTCAGCTGTCCTCAGCTTTGATTTTGGACCAAAAGGAGGCCTAGATACAGGGGCTCTATCATTCTTCTAGAGGGTTTGAAAATATGTGGAAATGTGTTTTAGGGGTCACATGTTTGGGGGTATTCCTGAAATGCAATGGAAGGAGGCAGAGAAATGAGACATCTCATTCTGTTCAGAGCAGTTTGGCACAATGAAGACTGATGCACCCAAAATGCTTTTAACAGGCCTCCTGGGAGCCTCACGATGGTTATCAAAGCATGAGTTTTAGTAACAGCAAAGATGGAATGAAAATTGATGTGATGCTTCCCTTCAAACCCTCAAGCACTGAAAACAGGCTGAGGGAAGAGGCTGGCCTGGCTTGTCCTACCTAACTTGTTCAGGAGGAAAGTGGGAGCCGAAGAAGCCAGTAGATCTTGCCTGTGCCTTGATCTCCAGGCCCTGCCTGGTTTGTACTTTGCACAGAACCTACAAGCTCAAGACAGTGCCCCTGAGCCTTAATGCTGCTGGCTTAGGAGAGAGGTGAGGCCACCCAAGTAAGTGTTATCCCCACCCAGAGAGAAACGTAGTCCCATGAAGGCAAGTCAGCCAGGCAGGGAGGAGAGTGTTGGGTAGAGTAAAAAACTGAAGTCCTGAACTTCTCAGAAAGGACACAAGAGTTTATGTGGTTCTGTTTACTAAGGGGCATGAATGGAATATAGGAGAACTATTCTTCCTTATTTTTTGCACTTCATCTGTATAAATTAATACAAGTATTTTCCTCATAACTTCTTCAATTCCTTGGCATCATCCTCAAGGGATATAGGACTTCCTCTTTGATTCCATTTTATTTTTAAACTTGTTTCTCCTGGAGTGGGTACTTTTTTACCCTTAAAATAAATATTATAAACTTTTCGTTTAATTCGACATACTGTTACATTTCACCAAATGGTTAATAAGTAAAACATACTTTTTAAAATTCATTTTTATTTCCTTTAAAGTTTTCAAAAATGATTATTTAAAAAAGAAACAATTGCTGTTGCAAGCACCCTTTCTATTTGTGGGTTGTAATAAGACACCTCAAATAAATTTGGGGATAATTTTGAAAATAATCTTTTCCAAAAATGACTTACAGTTGAAAATAAGATTACTTCTCAAGTAATAGAAAGCATATATTATTTTTAGAACTTGAGATTCAAGAATATCTTATTTTTATAGTAATGGTGGGCAGTGTGAGAACAACATGCATCACTTACTATGGATATAGTTATTACTAAAGTGTTATAATCAAGAAATGTGAAAAATCTTAATTTGATTTCATTATTTTTCAGAAATTTTCATTCTGTATGTGTTGCTGAGACTCTCCAAATGCATTTTTTTCCCTTTGTGAAGAATAAACTAGATCTTATTAAATTCAAAACTTTCTTTTTATTTTATTTTATTTTATTATTATTATACTTTAAGTTTTAGGGTACATGTGCACAATGTGCAGGTTAGTTACATATCTATACATGTGCCATGCTGGTGTGCTGCACCCATTAACTCATTGTTTAGCATTAGGTATATCTCCTAATGCTATCCCTCCCCCCTCCCCCAACCCCACGACAGTCCCCAGAGTGTGATGTTCCCCTTCCTGTGTCCATGTGTTCTCATTGTTCAATTCCCACCTATGAGTGAGAACATGCGGTGTTTGGTTTTTTGTTCTTGCAATAGTTTACTGAGAATGATGATTTCCAATTTCATCCATGTCCCTACAAAGGACATGAACTCATCATTTTTTATGGCTGCATAGTATTCCATGGTGTATATGTGCCACATTTTCTTAATCCAGTCTATCATTGTTGGACATTTGGGTTGGTTCCAAGTCTTTGCTATTGTGAATAGTGCCCCAATAAACATACGTGTGCGTGTGTCTTTACAGCAGCATGATTTATAGTCCTTTGGGTATATACCCAGTAATGGGATGGCTGGGTCAAATGGTATTTCTAGTTCTAGATCCCTGAGGAATCGCCACACTGACTTCCACAATGGTTGAACTAGTTTACAGTCCCACCAACAGTGTAAAAGTGTTCCTATTTCTCCACATCCTCTCCAGCACCTGTTGTTTCCTGACTTTTTAATGATTGCTATTCCAACTGGTGTGAGATGGTATCTCATTGTGGTTTTGATTTGCATTTCTCTGATGGCCAGTGATGGTGAGCATTTTTTCATGTGTTTTTTGGCTGCATAAATGTCTTCTTTTTTTTTTTTTTTTTTTTTTTTTTGAGACGGAGTCTCGCTCTGTCGCCCAGGCTGGAGTGCAGTAGCGGGATCTCGGCTCACTGCAAGCTCCGCCTCCCAGGTTCACGCCATTCTCCTGCCTCAGCCTCCCAAGTAGCTGGGACTACAGGCGCCCGCCACTACGCCCGGCTAATTTTTTGTATTTTTAGTAGAGACGGGGTTTCACCGTTTTAGCCGGGATGGTCTCGATCTCCTGACCTCGTGATCCGCCCGCCTCGGCCTCCCAAAGTGCTGGGATTACAGGCGTGAGCCACCGCGCCCGGCCTAAATGTCTTCTTTTAGAATTGTCTGTTCATGTGCTTTGCCCACTTTTTGATGGGGTTGTTTGTTTTTTTCTTGTAAATTTGTTTGAGTTCATTGTAGATTCTGGATATTAGCCCTTTGTCAGATGAGTATGTTGCAAAAATTTTCTCCCATTTTGTAGGTTGCCTGTTTACTCTGATGGTAGTTTCTTTTGCTGTGCAGAAGCTCTTTAGTTGAATTAGATCCCATTTGTCAATTTTGGCTTTTGTTGCCATTGCTTTTGGTGTTTTAGACATGAAGTCCTTGCCCATGCCTATGTCCTGAATGGTAATGCCAAGGTTTTCTTCTAGGGTTTTTATGGTTTTAGGTCTAACGTTTAAGTCTTTAATCCATCTTGAATTAATTTTTGTATAAGGTGTAAGGAAGGGGTCCAGTTTCAGCTTTCTCCATATGGCTAGCCAGTTTTCTGAGCACCATTTGTTAAATAGGGAATCCTTTCCCCATTGCTTGTTTTTCTCAGGTTTGTCAAAGATCAGATAGTTGTAGATATGTGGTGTTATTCCTGAGGGCTCTGTTCTGTTCCATTGATCTATATCTCTGTTTTGGTCCCAGTGCCATGCTGTTTTGGTTACTGTAGCCTTGTAGTACGGTTTGAAGTCAGGTAGCGTGATGCCTCCAGCTTTGTTCTTTTGGCTTAGGATTGACTTGGCAGTGCGGGCTCTTTTTCGGTTCCATATGAACTTTAAAGTAGTTTTTTCTAATTCTGTGAAGAAAGTCCTTGGTAGCTTGATGGGGATGGCATTGAATCTATAAATGACCTTGGGCAGTATGGCCATTTTCACGATATTGATTCTTCCTACCCATGAGCATGGAATGTTCTTCCATTTGTTTGTATCCTCTTTTATTTCCTTGAGCAGTGGTTTGTAGTTCTCCTTGAAGAAGTCCTTCATGTCCCTTGTAAGTTGGATTCCTAGGTATTTTATTCTCTTTGAAGCAATTGTGAATGGGAGTTCACTCATGATTTGGCTCTCTGTTTGTCTGTTATCAGTGTATAAGAATGCTTGTGATTTTTGTACATTGATTTTGTATCCTGAGACTTTGCTGAAGTGGCTTATCAGCTTAAGGAGATTTTGGGCTGAGACGATGGGGTTTTCTAGATATACAATCATGTCACCTGCAAACAGCGACAATTTGACTTCCTCTTTTCCTAATTGAATACCCTTTATTTCCTTCTCCTGCCTAATTGCCCTGGCCAGAGCTTCCAACACTAAGTTGAATAGGAGTGGTGAGAGAGGGCATCCCTGTCTTGTGCCAGTTTTCAAAGGGAATGCTTCCAGTTTTTGCCCATTCAGTATGATATTGGCTGTGGGTTTGTCATAGATAGCTTTTATTATTTTCAGATACGTCCCATCAATACCGAATTTATTGAGAGTTTTTAGCATGAAGTGTTGTTGAATTTTGTCAAAGGCTTTTTCTGCATCTATTGAGATAATCATTTGGTTTTTGTCTTTGGTTCTGTTTATATGCTGGATGACATTTATTGATTTGTGTATATTGAACCAGCCTTGCATCTCAGGGATGAAGGCCACTTGATCATGGTGGATAAGCTTTTTGATGTGCTGCTGGATTCGGTTTGCCAGCATTTTATTGAGGATTTTTGCATCAATGTTCATCAAGGATATTGGTCTAAAATTCTCTTTTTTGGTTGTGTCTCTGCCTGGCTTTGGTATCAGGATGATGCTGGCCTCATCAAATGAGTTAGGGAGGATTCCCTCTTTTTCTATTGATTGGAATAGTTTCAGAAGGAATGGTACCAGTTCCTCCTTGTACCTCTGGTAGAATTCGGCTGTGAATCCATCTGGTCCTGGACTCTTTGGTTGGTAAACTATTGATTATTTCCACAATTTCAGAGCCTGTTATTGGTCTATTCAGAGATTCAACTTCTCATGGAAAGTGAACAACCTGCTCCTGAATGACTACTGGGTACATAACGAAATGAAGGCAGAAATAAAGATGTTCTTTGAAACCAACGAGAGCAAAGGCACAATATACCAGAATCTCTGGGGCACATTCAAAGCAGTGTGTAGAGGGAAATTTATAGCACTAAATGCCCACAAGAGAAAGCAGGAAAGATCCAAAATTGACACCCTAACATCACAATTAAAAGAACTAGAGAAGCAAGAGCAAACACATTCAAAAGCTAGCAGAAGGCAAGAAATAACTAAAATCAGAGCAGAACTGAAGGAAATAGAGACACAAAAAACCCTTCAAAAAATTAATGAATCCAGGAGCTGGTTTTCTGAAAGGATCAACAAAACTGATAGACTGCTAGCAAGACTAATAAAGAAAAAAAGAGAGAAAAATCAAATAGACGCAATAAAAAATGATAAAGGGGATATCACCACCGATCCCACAGAGATACGAACTACCACCAGAGAATACTACAAACACCTCTACGCAAATAAACTAGAAAATCTAGAAGAAATCGATAAATTCCTCGACAAAACTTTCTTTTGACCACCAATGGGGTAATAAATTCAACTGTTCAATTTTATGAACCTAGTGCATTTAAAGTAATCTTGTAGGTACCTGGATGGGAGATGTCAAAATTAATAAGATGTATTCTTATTTACTATCTATTAGGAAATAGAAATGAGAATTGACATAGCTGGAATCTAACTAAGGCAGGCTTCTATCAGTACTGCAGTAAATCTGTGAGGAAGAAATGATGTGCTATGGAGTGCACAGTTATTCAAGCAATGTTTTTAACACTTGCCAAGCCAAGATCTCTCCTGTGTACTGGGAATACAGTGGTCAAAAAAAAAAAAAAAACATATACTGTCTCTGCCCTCTTGGAGCTTATAGGATAGGGAAAGCATATGTATCCAAAAGGGACAAATTCTGGCTGGAGTAACGAGGAGTAATTTCATTGCAAAGACCATACTGGGATTTTTGTGAGAAGGAAGGTAGTATCTTAACATAGAAACGTCAAAGGGAAAAGCATTCCTGAAACAGAACAGAAGCTCAAGGTAGAGACTTTGGAGAATGTATCTGGAAGTGGAAAGTAAGTCTCAGATGCTGGATCCCATACACTGGAGCACAGGATTAATCTAGAAAGATTTGGAGATTGATTCCATGCTGTGAAAGATTCTCAGTGAGCACCCTTTACTTGCTATTTCATGAATCATGAAGTGACAAATATCTCTCTTAATGGTGGAAGTATTTCCCATTAAAGTTTGTAAGGTAAGCACTTTTTCCCTTCTTGTTGTGAGTAGTCAAAAACAAACAAAACACAAACCATGGAGAAAGCATTTTTTTCCCTTCTTGCTGTGGGTAGTCAAAAAAAAACCTTGGAGAATTTTGATTAGGAGGATACTGTGATCATATGAGAATGGCAGTGGCAAGAGGGCTGTTTCACAGATCTCTATTATGACTACACTCCACTCCTGACTCCCAGTGAACAGGCCATGGTAGACATATCCCCCACGGGCAGATAATGTCTAGAACATCAGCTTACCTGTGGTGCAGCAGTAGGGCCAAAGTCTTGTTTTTGTGAACTTGATCTGTAAGAAATTTGCCATGTAACTGAAAGTGAAAGGAGGCCAAGAAGTGGAGTGTGAGCCACTGCAATACAAAGGCTTGTATGAGCCAAAAAATGGGTAGCTGATGAGGAAGCCAGAAGAGGGATTTGAACAGTGTAGTTAAACAGAGAAGAGCAGAGAACGTGAATAAGAAGAGGACACAGTGACACCAAGAGTGATTTATATTCATGACCATAAGAGTTAGAGGGGTAGCTAGGAAATCCATTGAGGCAGAACATCTGTGTTTTGGTAACTTGAGTGATGTGGAGAGGGGGATTTTGTGATGGGAGAAAGAGTTTAGGAGAACTCATTAGCCAGGCATGGTGACAGACACCTATAATCCCAGCTACTCCGGAGGCTGAGGCAGGAGAATTGCTTGAACCTGGCAGGCAGAGGTTGCAGTAAGCTGAGATCACGCCACTGCACTCCAGCCTGGGTGACAGAACAAGACTCCGTCTAAAAAAAAAAAAAAATTGCTCTAAGATTTCAACACTGAGTGACTAGATTGGTAGTGATTCTCTTGCCTGTGCTAGAATGCAGGTGTAAAGGAATTTTGTAGAGGCAGAAGGTGCTGAGTTCTTCCTTGGGCAAATTGGGTGGATACTTGTGGAATATCTATGCAGAGATGCACAGATGAATGGTCCTGTGAATTTATGATTTGGAAGAGAAATCAGTGAAGGGGAAGGGAGGCAGCATTTATAGTATCTTACTATGCATCAGGTACAGTGCTAAGTGCTTTACAAATGGATCTTCATTTAGTTAACGTTCTCTGGGCAGACTATGTCATTTGCCTGTTTGTTCTCAAATCCATCCCGTTTGTTTGCTCTGTGTTGCACTGAGAAAGGCTGTCCTTGAAAATGGCTTCTGGCTTGATTTGACAAGCGGGAGGGATGGTGGGAGATCGGAGGGCTGGAGAAAGATATTTCTCTCCTCTCTGCTTCCAGTTGCATCTCCAGTAGCAGTAGCTGCTTTATCTTTTCTTTGGTACCCTCTGTAACTGGACAGAAAAAGAAAAGGGGAAAAAAACCCCACAGTCTGTGTGCTAAATTTGGCTGCATCTCTTATATGAACAAATGTGCTAAATTTGTGCATATAAGAGAAAAAACTTGCCAAGAAGTGGCAGATATATATTTATTATATAAAAGATAGGCAGTTCACACCTATTATGGTAGCTTTGCAATTTCTTTAGGGACCTAGTCATGTATCTCTGCTCAGCCATATCTTACATGTGGTTTCTACTCCCAGGGTCTCCTCATGGTCCAAAATAGCTGATGAAGCTCAGCCATCATATCTGTGCTCTAGGCAATAGGAGAAAGAAAAGGTGGAGAAAAGGATTATCCCTCTAATGCCTTCACTTGTATCTCATTGGCTGAAACATAATCACATAGCCACAGGAAGCTGAAAGAGACGCTGGGTAATGGTGTTTTAGGTTGGTTGTAACTACTCAGCTATAAATCCAGGCTCTTTTGGCTTTGAAATTGGATCTTGGATTTGGATAAAAGAGGGGGGATAATGGACAGTACACAGCATCTAGAAGTCTCCGTTTCAGCCATGAGGTCACTATTATCCTCATTTTAAAGATAAGAAGTGGTCCTAGAGAGCCTAATGAGGTCTCACAAGTGGTACATGGCGGTGCTGATACTTCACCTCAAGCCTCTCTGACTCCAAAGTTCATGAGTTTTTCTCTATAGTAAGTGTAGGGCTGGAGACGAAATGGAGAGTCCACCACATAGAACTGATGACTGAAACATGAGGGAGGATGGATGCAAATTTCCAGGAAGAACATGGAAATAAAATAGAGGGGCTCAGGGGAGAAATAAAGAACCAGAGGGCCTGGGGAGGGCCTAGAGTTAAAGGTGGAAGATGAATAGCCATTTGGGGAAAATAAGAGGAAAGGTTGAAGAGGAAGGAAGAAAGCCAGAGAACCAAGGCCCTGAGCAACCAAGGAAGCAGAAGGCTGGGGCGGCAGTTTCACAGTGGAGGAACACTGGCCTTGGAGTCAGGGAAGCTGGGTTTGGTTCTGAGCTCTGTCATTCTTTGATGACATGACCTTGATAGTTCTTCCACAGCTTGAACCTCATTACACTCATTTCCTGGTAAACAGAAAACATGCCCAGGTCATTGGTGGAGAACATCAGAGCCATTTATTTTCGAATACGGATACAGGTCATATTGACAGGGTTGTTCTGCAGGCTATGTACTCTAAGTTTAGAAACACTACTTGATAAAGTCTTGCTCTTTTAATAGTTTCCACTGCCTTGGATGTGGCCTGGGTATAGGAGTTGTAGTTTATGGTGCATGTCTTAATTCCGGATCACTGTTTCTACCTCTATTTACAAAACAGTTGTGAAATAGTCAAAGGCAGGGAGAGGTCAAGCTATTTCCTCCTTTAATTCACTGCAGAATAGAGAGGCTGTGATCTATCAGAATATACCCACACCTAGAATGGGTCTGTGACACTGGACAACTTCAGCTGTCCACCTGTCTCCCTGCACTCCTCTCTCTTTGGAAGCCTCTGCCCATGGACTTGACTAGTGAGTTCCTTTCTGTTCCTTAGGAGAAGGTGCTGTTATTGCATTGGCCCTGTCTGTGATATTGTGCAGTACTCTGCACATTTATAACTTGCATAAATATTGAATAATAATAAATAACTACAAGAGAGGAAGAATATTATAGGCTGGGGAGAGTGAAAGATGCTGAATTCATTATTTGAGGGCCAATCTCAGGCCTCTTGGCTATCTCCTTCAAAGAGATTTGTTTGCCAGCTGTGTTGAGAAATATACTTTCCATATGATGAGCCCAGAGAAGCAGCCAGTTTCCCTACAGAATGCTTTTGGAGTATCCCCAGGAGGGCCTGCAGAATCCTTAGTGGTGTTTCTGAGAGAATAACCCCTCACGCCTCCTTGGCAACTGGGTTAGTGGAAAGCCCTGGGGAGAATGGCTGTAGCAAGATGGTGAAATTAGGGGAATGGGCTAGATCCTTTTTACTTCATTTTGTTTTCTGATTCCATGTGCAAGCAGGGAAGCTTTCCAACCATTTTATGGATGCATCATTGGCTGAGAAGGTCACTTGCTTTTCACTCACAATGATCTTGGCTCAAGGAGGGCATTTCTTGTTTAATACGTAATCCAGGTTCAATGTGTCAATCAGATGCTATCTCCTCCATCTGAAGACTTTTTTTTTTAATTTGATGTTTATGAATGAGTTAAGGCAGACAACTGAATTCTTAAATTTGAGGTATGGTAAAATATTGGGTAAATATTTACAGAGCTGGGAGACTGGAAATACTGTAATAAAAAAGGGCAATATGCAAACCAGTTGGGCTCACATCCTTTGTAGTTCTGACTGGCTGCAGCCCAGCCCAGCAACGGGAGTGTTTAGTAAATAAAACTAATACCTCCTTTATAGCATGATCAATGTCTGCATGTTGTACTGAAAATGCTTCCATTGAACAGATTGGTTTGGTTTCATTCACTCAGAATTTCACATTGTATTCATCTTGTGATGCGAGAGAGGTTTTCCCAAAATCTTGAAGAAACAAGAACTACTACTTGCCTTGCTCATGTGTTCCTTAGCCTTATATGTCAGTGAGCCCTTGCGATCACCCACCTAGCTGGTGAAACCCAGTGGGAGCAGGAGGAGGTGGAAGGTGAGCTGGACCGAAGTCAAAAGCAGGGGATAAAGGTGGGTAGAAGTTGCAGTTTTAAGAACAGCAGCTTAATTATGGTCTTCTCAAGATATCAGGGCTTTGGAAACCCCAGTGTGGATTTGGTTCCCACTGGTAGCTGGTAGCAACTGGCAGCACAACTATACGAAGTGGGAGACTTTTTCCAGAGACCAAGAACTGTTTGCAACTGAAGACTTGGAGATCAGATTTTAGGATTGCAGCTTTTTTTCTAACAAACAGTAAATGATACAGGATAAAAACTTTTCTAACTTGTGTCTCAACTACCCTGCTCTCCTTAAAGAAAGACTCTTAAGCAGATACTGTGGGACCCTTTTCTTATCCTAGAAGACTCATGCCTGTAAGTGAACTAGGGAGATGTAGAAGGGGCCCTCTCTAATCACTCTGTGTAGGAGGACTGACCAAAGAAACCATGACTGTTTCACACAGAGAAGAAAATGATTGTCCCTAGCTAGGCCTTAGTTGCCTTCAAATGTTTGAAGAAATATTACAGGGGAGAGAAATCTCTCTTTCAGAAAGGCCTTTCCTGACTTTCTTAACTTATGATAGGCCTCTCCTGTATATCTATCTGCCTTTGGTTGGTTTCCTTCATAGCAATTCTTATGATTTGCACTTATTTTATTCCTTAGTTTGTTTACTTTTTACATTTACTTCCCTTTCAGGAGAACAGGGATCATATTTATATAATTTATATGAATATGTTTTATTATATCACAATTCACTTCTTTCTCTTTAGCCCTGGGTGTGGTACTGCACATAGTTAACGTTCAGTAAATATTCGAGCAAAGGATGAGTAAGAAGGACAGCCCTGGAGACCCAGAGTGACGCTGTTGTTCCTGAAGGGACAGACTGATCTGAGGGTGTCTGCTTTCTGTCCCAGAGTTACAAGTTGCTCCTAATTCCACTACTAATCCTGCCAGTTGAAGTATAATTTCCCGCTGTGGGTCACCTGGGGGATCAGTAAGAAAAAAATCAGTGAGTTGATACAAATTTTCATTATGTATTATGTACATAAAAAGTAACATAAACTTAAGAGTGTATCTTAAGAATAATTTTCTTTTTTAAAAAAATAGAAGCCAGAATGTAAAAAGTCTCTCCCTCACCCACCCCTGCTCCTCTCTAAATACACACAAAGAAAGAGTGGGCAGTTCCTCTTCACTTTCAGTTATTACTGGTAGACAGCATCGGATTGTAACTCCAGCCTGCAATCAAGCAGACTTTGCACCTGAAATGCGAGCTACTTGGTGAGATGCTGAAGAGTTGGTTATCTGTCAGTTAGCTTCCTTGGGTTAATATGACAAGGGGCTTCCACTATGTTGTGAAGCAAAACAATGACAGTGACAACCCTATTCCCCCCACAAAAAAACAAAGATAGTCTTCAGTAAAACAGTTCTCTGCCCCTAGCTGTTTGTTAATTTCAAATGTATGACATGATCTCTTCCAAACCAGACGTTTGAAGAAACTGAGGCTTTGTTGAACCAGAATTGTGCTATCTTTCTCAAAGCAACAATTTTGTGAGAGTTCTTTGATTGAATGGTATATCATGGAAGCATCCTCTATATGGGTTCAAAACTCAGGTCCCCAACCCTGCCTTTGACAGATGCATTTTCAGTAATCCAAGAAATGGCTCCGCTTCATCACATACCACAGAATTGAAGGGCAGCTTCTAATAGTTACTCTGCCCCCATATGCATGCCAAGGGAGTTTCTCAACAGCGAGTAGAACACAGGAAACACAAGTTGTGTAGCACTTGAAGATCTGACTGAACCCATCAATGTTTATTCTGGATGCAGAAGTTACATCAGTTTTCTTCCTGAAAATGCAAGAAAACAACATGCACATTCTGCAAAAGAAAAAGCCACTGAACAGTCAGTGGAATAAAGTCCAAAGTCCGGGGCCTGTGGCAAGAGTTTTCAACACTGGTATAAAGGACTCTCATTATTTTCCTCACTACAGATTCCAGAAATTTAGCCACATTTTGAATTCAAGACAACATGCCCAGAATAGTCCAGATTGACAGCTCTTCCTAAGCGGCCCATTGGAGGTCATGTTCTCAAGTGTTTGGTCAATATTCAAGAAAGATACCATCCTACTATTACAGGAAAATGGCAGCTGTCTCTCCTCTTCCCTGTCCGCTAAAGGGAATTTGGTATTGTCTTCTGGGTCCCTCATGCCTTCTTCACTGGGCAGATTCTGGATAATGGATGAAGGGAGGAACTGAGGAGAATCAAGACAGGCTTCATTTGATTTTCATTAGAAAGCACCAGAGAGAGATATATACAAAAAGGGTGAAAAGGTGAAGAATCATTGAAGTTGATGTGACCAGATTTGGGGGAGAGTTAGAGTGGAGAAATAGTGAGTTTTGGGGGAACAATTCCTCTTACCGTGAGAAGTAAGGAGGCATAGAAAGAGGATTGTAACAATTTGGTCATACCTATGAATGAATCTTTCTTTGACATTTTTTCAAGATATTGCACTACAGTACCACATAGCTCTACAATAACTTTTGGATCCCAAGCTGATTGATATTTGAATGCAAATCCAGGTCCAAACTGGGTCACATGGTAGCTAGGTTTTTTAAGGGTTGCACAGTTATAAACATACATGTGAATGTGCACAGTCATTCTATTCTGGACAAGATCCCATGCATCACTGCAGGGAGGAGGCACAAAAATCCTCTTCATTAGGAAATAGATCAAGATTCAAGACATTGCTGTCACCATGACAGCCTAATTTGATATTTTCATTTTCTCAGAGTCAGTGAAGGACCTGAACTTTCATTGAGGCAGTCAGTGCTATTCTATTTGGTTTTCTGTATTATCCCAGTTGTTTTAAAAGTTGGAAATACACTTCATGCTGTAAAGGAAAAAATATTAATATTTTTAAAGGAGACTCAACCATCTAATTAAACCAAATGGCTTTAAAGTAATCATTCTTTAATCGGTGGGCCAAACAAATTCTGCTAGTAAGATGACGTTAAAAGTGGATGATAAAGAAGTCAAATAGCCACAATATTAAAATTGCTAGGACTTAGCAATCTATCAATTCCTTATCGGTTTCTTGCAGCAGGCAGGGGGCAAGTTTTGGTGAAGACCTTTTGGGAAGTTTTTTGTTTTTTATGCCATTAAAATTTCTTTTGCCTATGACATTTTTAAAGACTTTATGGGAGTTCCATTTTCTAGGATTTCAGAGTAGTGCCATTTATTAATGCTTTACTGGCATGATATTAGGAGAGGATACAATTCTCAAAAGAGCAGTAAATCTTACCTCAGATATTTTAGTTGGGGTTACAAAATCCCCATAAATCTAGAACTTCCAGTGCTAAGTTCTTGGCCTACTTCTAAAATGCTTTGGAATTAATTGCTCCCCAATGTGAGGTAGATTCAACCTCTTGGGATGTATTCCAAAATCAGTGCAAGTCCTTCTGGCTTCCCATGGCTTCTCAATATCTATTCTATATTCCTTCCATTCAGTTCCGTCACTGATGAATCCTTTAATGTCTACCATCCATCAAAATGAGCATCACTTACCACTTCATATCTTTTATGTTCTGACTTAGCATGTAGGGTCTTTGCCTAGCCTCAAAATACCAGATCCTACAATGTATTTGTCATCTTTACTGTATGTTTAGCATTTAAAACGCACTGGGGTAAAATGCATGGCAAATTTCCAAGACCAGTAAAAGGGAAGATCATCTCAGAATGATTCCAAGTCCTCTACTCCCATTTATGTCTTAGATCTCCATTTTGTTGGTCACTGCTTTATATCAATTATTTATAAAACTAGGGTTTTCTAGGCACTATGTTTCCTAGTAAAGTTTCCTCATTCAGCTCAATCAAACCTAATGCATTTGTGTTTAGGAACCCAAATTAAGAACCACTGTGTCTTTCCACTTTGAGCAAAGGAACAAACTTAGAAGAATGATACAGTCTACTGAGCATGCCTAGAGAAGTGGATGAATAGAGGGGATTTATCAGTAAGACTTTACAGGTTTGTTATTTGTCAACCTGTCATTCCATTTGCAACAACAGTCTTCCCTGGTTTATGTAAATCACAAATGTCATAACATCTCCACCCTTATGAAGACTTCATTGTGACTTCAATTATGATTTTTAAATTGAAAAAGAATAGATTAGAGATACTGCTCTGTTAACATTTGTGCTTAGCTCATTTTAATCACAAGGGCAAGTCTTTGCTGGTTAGTCTGGGTTAGGTTACAAATCTAGAAAAATTTCTGGAATTATATATTCAGATATGCTTTTTATATTTTCTTCTGGAGCCCTCTTAGAGTTATGTTTGAGCTTCTTGATGTATATTTTATACATTAGCTTCTCTTTCGTAATTCTCACCTCTTTGTCTTTCTGTGTTGCGTTCTGTGCGATTGAATCAATAGTATCTTCCAACTTACTAAATATTTATTTTCTTTTCTTATTTTTTTATTTTTAGAAGTAGGGTCTCACTGTCACCCAGGCTAGAGTGCAGTGGTACTATCATAGCTCACTGCAGCCTGAAACTCCTGGGCTCAAGTGATCCTCCCACTTTGGCCTCCCGAAGTATGTAGTGACATTATCCTCCTCTCTGAAATTTTTAGCCATTAAAGGTAGTAAGGTAATAGTGTTCTGGTTGCTTGGCCAGAAATCTGAACCTCAATTTAGGGATAGGGTAAGAAACTTATGACACAGCATATGACTTCTTCAAAACTGTGTATTGAGTAGGTGTAAAGGTAATAATTTTATATACACTAGGTTTTCTGGCTTCTTTGAATACAGTCATTCATAATCCTGCAAAGTTGATTATAAGTTTTCCTATCTCACATAACAAGCGTTCAAATGAGTCGCCTCTGGTTCCATTATTTCTTGGGTTGGATTCCTACCTTGTGACACTGTGAGGATTCTCCCTATAATTTCCACTAAATAGTGATGTATGTAAGCAAGAGTGTGTTAAGCGATTGTGGCCAAATGGGTGTGTGAAGCAAAATGTGGCCCTTCGTTATACATAACCACTGCTCATTCTCCCTCGCTTCTTCTGTAAATCATCAGTAGCAGCTTGATTCCATTCAAAACTTCAATGAGGTGAAAGAAATAGACTATCCATCCAGCTCAAAGCCCTGAAAGAGCAGAGAGTTGAATATGCGAAATGCATGAGAGAGAGAGTGAGATCCTTCATCCCTTTGGGGGAGATCAGGGAGCCTTAAAAAAAAGCTATTTTGTTTATTATTAGATTAGATGTTGCATTAAATACATTAAATTGGGGGGTGGAAAAGTAGGCATGCATATTGTTGCAAATGTATTGTTGCAAAACACATTAAGTAGTGACAGGCACACTTTGTCTTTGGAACCTCCAGGCTCTTTCCTACCCCAGCCTCTAGTGAGAAGGGCACCTTTCTCTGTCCTCAGTATGCACACCTGAACCATAGAGTCTGATTTTCACCTTTCATTCTATCTACTTATAAGGTGGGGCTGGTAGAGTTATTGAAAACAAATGCTCGGGACACATGGAGCCTTCCATCAGCAGAGGTCTGAATTCTGGAGCATAATCTGGCTCCTGCATACCTGTTTATCCTCCTGAACTGCCACACACTCTCTGAACTTCATGCTGTAGAACTAAACTCTCTCATAATCGCAGGTGTCTGTTCATACACTTTGTTCACGGTCTTCAGACTTCACTCCCACCCTTCACATCCCCACACCAGTCTGGCAGACACAGTCTGGCAGCACTTGTCCTTCAAGTGTGCCCCAAGCACTACTTTTTCCAAGAAGTTTCCCCTAATTCCACTGGGTGGATAGAGGCTCTGTCCCTCATATGCACCTGGCTCATTGCAGTCGCCACTTCTAGTATGACTTTGCCTGTTGGTCTGGGCCCTCAGTAAGGACAAGACTATGCGGCCTCACCTTTTTTCCTCAGGGGATAACACAAAGCCTATCCCTGGTAGTCAATACAATACTTGCTGAATGAGTGACTGTGAGCCATGACATCCGGAGGAACTGCCAATGTGACACATCAGAGCCAGAGATTGACTTTCAGAGAAGAGGTGAGAAGGGAACCAAACCTCCAGCTCAACTGTTTACTTTTGTCATGTCACAGGCATCTCAACATCTCAGGCATAACTTAGCATAGTACAACGAGCACCAGAGAGAGATGGATTCAGGTTATTGGTAAAGAAGCAGCTGAAATTGGGTTCAATTTTGATCCAATAGTCTCAGTTTACCAAATACTAAGATTAAATGTTTACCAGATACTGAGACTTTTTTTTTTAATTATACATTAAGTTTTAGGGAACATGTGCACAACGTGCAGGTTTGTTACATATATATACATGTGCCATGCTGGTGTGCTGCACCCCTTAACTCATCATTTAACATTAGGTATATCTCCTAATGCTATCACTCCCCCCTCCCCCCACCCAACAACAGACCCAGTGTGTGATGTTCCCCTTTCTTTGTCCATGTGTTCTCATTGTTCCATTCCCACCTGTGAGTGAGAACATGCGGTGTTTGGTTTTGTGTCCTTGTGATAGTTTGCTGAGAATGATGGTTTCCAGCTTCATCCATGTCCCTAGAAAGGACATGAAGTCATCATTTTTTATGGCTGCATAGTATTCCATGGTGTATATGTGCCACATTTTCTTAATCTGGTCTATCATTGTTGGACATTTGGGTTGGTTCCAAGTCTTTGCTATTGCGAATAGTGCAGCGATAAACATATGTGTGCATGTGTCTTTATAGCTGCATGATTTATAATCCTTTGGGTATATACCCAGTAATGGGATGGCTGGGTCAAATGGTATTTCTAGTTCTAGATCCTTAAGGAATCGCCACACTGACTTCCACAATGGTTGAACTAGTTTACAGTCCCACCAACAGTGTAAAAGTGTTCTTATTTCTCCACATCCTCTCCAGCACCTGTTGTTTCCTGACTTTTTAATGATTGCCATTCTAACTGGTGTGAGATGGTATCTCATTATGGTTTTGATTTGCATTTCTCTGATGGCCAGTGATGATGAGCATTTTTTCATGTGTCTTTTGGCTGCATAAATGTCTTCTTTTGAGAAGTGTCTGTTCATATCCTTTGCCCACTTGTTGATGGGGTTGTTTTTTTTTTCTTATAAATTTGTTGGAGTTTGTTGTAGATTCTGGATATTAGCCCTTTGTCAGATGAGTAGATTGCAAAAATTTTCTCCCTTTCTGTAGGTTGCCTGTTCACTCTGATGGTAGTTTCTTTTGCTGTGCAGAAGCTCTTTAGTTTAATTAGATCCCATTTGTCAATTTTGGCTTTTGTTGCTTTACACATGAAGTCCTTGCCCATGCCTATGTCCTGAATGGTATTGCCTATGTTTTCTTCTAGGGTTTTTATGGTTTTAGGTCTAATATTTAAATCTTTAATCCATCTTGAATTAATTTTAGTATAAGGTGTAAGGAAGGGATCCAGTTTCAGCTTTCTACATATGGCTAGCCAGTTTTCCCAGCACCATTTATTAAATAGGGAATCCTTTCCCCATTTCTTCTTCTTGTCAGGTTTGTCAAAGATCAGACAGTTGTAGGTACGTGACATTATTTCTCTTCTCGAGGAGTATCTTTGTGGTGTTCTCTGTATTTCCTGAATTTGAATGTTGGCCTGCCTTGCTAAAATGGGGAAATTCTCCTTGGTAATATCCTGCAAAGTGTTTTCCAACTTGGTTCCATTCTCCCCGTCACTTTCAGGTACACCAATCAGATGTAGATTTGGTCTTTTCACATAGTCCCATATTTCTTGGAGGCTTTGTTCATTTCTTTTTTTTCTTTTTTCTCTAAACTTCTCTTCTCGCTTCATTTCATTCATTTCATCTTCCATCACTGATACCCTTTCTTCCAGTTGATTGAATCGGCTACTGAGGCTTCTGCATTCGTCACATAGTTCTTGTGCCGTGGTTTTCAGCTCCATCAGGTCCTTTAAGGACTTCTCTGCATTGGTTATTCTAGTCAGCCACTTGTCTAATCTTTTTTCAAGGTTTTTAACTTCTTTGCCATTGGTTCAAACTTCCTCCTTTAGCTCGGAGTAGTTTGATCGTCTGAAGCCTTCTTCTCTCAACTCATCAAAGTCATTCTCCATCTAGCTTTGTTCTGTTGCTGGTGAGGAGCTGCATTCCTTTGGAGGAGGAGAGGAGCTCTGATTTTTAGAATTTTCAGTTTTTCTGCTCTGTTTTTTCCCCATCTTTGTGGTTTTATCTACCTTTGGTCTTTGATGATGGTGACATACAGATGGGGTTTTGGTGTGGGTGTCCTTTCTGTTTGTTAGTTTTCCTTCTATCAGTCAGGACCCTTAGCTGCAGGTCTGTTGGAGTTTGCCGGAGGTCCAGTCCAGACCCTGTGTTCCTGGGTATCAGCAGCGGAGGCTGCAGAACAGCAGATATTGGTGAACAGCAAATGTTGCTGCCTGATCGTTCCTCTGGAAGTTTTGTCTCAGAGGAGTACCCGGCCATGTGAGGTGTCAGTCTGCCCCTACTGGGGGGTGCCTCCCAGTTAGGCTACTTGGGGGTCAGGGACCCACTTGAGGAGGCAGTCTGTCTGTTCTCAGATCTCAAGCTGTGTGCTGGGAAATCCACTACTCTCTTCAAAGCTGTCAGACAGGGACATTTAAGTCTGCAGAGGTTTCTGCTGCCTTTTGTTTGGCTATGCCCTGCCCCCAGAGGCGGAGTCTACAGAGGCAGGCAGGCCTCCTTGAGCTGCAGTGGGCTCCACCCAGTTCAAGCTTCCCAGCTGCTTTGTTTACCTACTCAAGCCTCAGCAATGGCAGGTGCCCCTCCCCCAGCCTTGCTGCCACCTTGCAGTTCGATCTCAGACTGCTGTGCTAGCAATGAGCGAGACTCCGTGGGCATAGGACCCTCTGAGCCAGGCGTGGGATATAATCTCCTGGTGTGCCATTTGCTAAGACCGTCGGAAAAGCTCAGTATTAGGGTGGGAGTGACCCGATTTTCCAGGTGCCGTCCATCACCCCTAGGAAAGGGAATTCCCTGACCCCTTGCACTTCCTGGGTGAGGCGATGCCTCGCCCTGCTTTGGCTCAGGCTCGGTGCACTGCACCCACTGTCCGACAATCCCCAATGAGATGCACCTGGTACCTCAGTTGGAAATGCAGAAATCATTCATCTTCTGCGTCGCTCACACTGGGAGCTGTAGACTGGAGCTGTTCCTATTCGGCCATCTTGGCTCCACACCCAGATACTGAGACATTAAAACTCGTTAGCAGGCAGGCAACATCTAATCTAATAATTAACAAAAAAGCTTTTTTCCCCTAAGTTGTTGAAACATTTGGGGCAGAAGTCCCCTCCCTCAGTTATTTCTAGCTCCTGTTCCTTTCTTTTGCTTGCCAGTGTTGACATTTAACTTGGTTGAGTCACATTTGGAAACACTGTCACAGGTGGGTACTGTTTAGCACAGAGTTTCCACTGGTCTACATCCAAAAAGATTATGGATAACCAAACTCTGAGTTGCAAGAGGAAGGATGTGTCCCTAAAATCTCCATTTTCATAGCAATCTTCCTGGAATCAGAGACAGGGCTGTGCTGTCTAGCCTCTATGCTGGGTGGGTGCCCCATCCCCTGCTTTGGAAAAAGACTCCAGAAGCATGAATGTGATTTTAGGATCCAAGTGGGCCTCTGCACAGAGACTTTCTCAATTTGGCATTGCTGGGGTTAGAGGGTCAAGGTGATCAAACCTGCAGCTCACTTGTGATATTTGCTGGCAGAAACAAGGGGATGTTGGCTTGCTTCTGCAGTTGTTGTGGATTTTTAGGAAAGCTTTCAGAATGTGGAAAATAATTCTGCCTTCATTTTCCCTCACTTGTATCTTCACTTTGCTTTACTTATAGTTTAGGTATGATATTTATCAAAAAACATTAGTTCTAGTTTTAAAAAATGTGTTAAAATTTGCCTCTCTTGTCATACATATTTTTAAAATGTCCCTAGCATATTAGAACAAAAATATTAAAGCTTGAAGGCCCCCAGAGATCATCCAGTTTTTCAGCCTCTTTATAGATAGGGAAACTGAGGGCTGGAGGTACTGTGACTTCTGGGATATCATTTGATAGCATTGTGATTCTAAAAGTGCGATGATCTTGGTCTCTCTTGTCAGACTACAGAGCTCTTTTTAGTTTACCAGGTCACCTGATATGTTTGTGGTCATAGAAAGTCTTAGGTCACAATCTCTGTGAAACAGAGCTCTTCAAAAATATTTAATTAAATCAGTTTGTACTACAAACAAATGAGTGTTCTCTCAGAGTGTAACTTCCCTTTAGTTTTCATTTATGGTCTTTGCAGCAATAAATATATCTGTACAATAGCTAGGCAGTCTCAAAGAAAATATTTTTAGTGGAAATAAATTATTTTTCTTCCACCAATTTCCCTAGGTGAGACTGAATTGAGAATAAGGAAAATAGAGAGGATGTCTGCAAGCCTGTGTGTATTCCATATAGGAATATGGAGAGTGATTCTGTGGTTGATAATTATGCTGCCTTATTTTCTGACAGACCGAGTTTCAGGTCCTAAAAATGTAATATAATCATCAATCTGAAACCTTTTTACAGCATTTGTCAAATTCATCTCTTTTTTTAAATTCAGAAAAATCAATTTTTGATGGATAGAAATCTCAAGGCCCAGAAAGCAGGCATCCTTGGGGTAACTTCCTCTGTAGTAGGCACAGAGCTGTACATGAGAGTTTGAATTAATATTTTGATGTTTCCCAAGCTTCATTCTTACTTGAGTAAAGGGGAGAAGTGGAGGACTGGGGAGGTCTTTAGCAGTGGGAAACCCTTTTCAAACAGAATAAGGAAGACATCACTTTTGATACCTAACCCCAAGCCAAACACAGAATGTTCTAGCAGCCTTAAGATTTCTGGTTTAATTGCTCTATCTAAGAGACTAATTTATATGCCCATCCCCTTGAAAGCTGTCAATCTGAAATTCTCTTTGAAAGTCAGGTGGCTTGCTTTATACTCAGCAGGCATGTTCCATGGTAGCTCTGTTGTCCAGAGCTCTCAGCAGAAAAGTTTATGCTCTTTGTAATTCTATATCTCTCCTTCAAATCTCTTTGTAATTCTACATTGATCAGTTGGGACATGGAAGCTGAAAGAATTTCAGGCCATGCTGCAACTCTGTACATTCTGAAAATTCTCTGGAGGAAATTCTTACTTTACCCTATTTGTTTACTATAGACAAAATATACATATAATAACATATTTATTATTATAAATATAAATATTTGTTTATTATATAATAATCCCAGATAAAATAATCTCAGAAATACTCTGGTGGCAAGTATAGACTGGCTTTTAAATATCTCTAATTATCTGAGCATCTAGGGACTCAATCTATCTAACTTGTGTCATTGGTGCTGAAGTCAATCATTATAATGTGGAAAGAAACCTCTTTTCCATCAAAGTCAAGAATGCCTATCCTTGCACTCTGGGAAAATAATATTTATTATAAAGGCAATTGTGACATCCCAAACCATAGTTGTTATCAAGTTCCTCATACTCTAAGATCCTTTATGTAAGAATGGAGGGAATAAATTTCATAGTTTCATTCTTTCGTAGGTACTGGAATTGCCATCTCCAATATACGTGTTATTAAAAATTATCTTGAAATAATCAAACAGTCAAAGGGGACATTGGAAATGAGGTAGTGAAAAGACTACGGGACTCACAAGTAGATAGACTTGGGTTAACACACTGCGGGTGGTAAGGTGGTTGACTTGGCAAGTGAGTTGTCTAACTTTTCTAATCTCAGTGGTTTTTCTTGTGAAGTGGGACTAATAAAATTATCACAGTGTTGTTCTAAGAATTCATTGAGACAATGCGTGTAAAGTGTCTGGCTTATTAGGAACTTAATAAATACTGATGTTTCTCCCTGCTGAAGACTTTAATACTACTTTTGATTTATGTGCTGGTTTTGTCCTGAAAGTTGTTTTTAGGTCCAGTAGTTTTTGTTGGCTCAGTTGGGAGCTCTGAATGAATGAAAATCCCAGGCAACTCTGACATTGGGCTGGGTGAAAGATCCATTCCCAAGAAGTTCAAGGAAATCAATACCTTCCTAATTTCTTCACTCGGTGTAGAGTTATAGGTGTTGCCCCAAATTCTGATACTCAAGTCTGATAACAGTGTGGTGGTTTCCACTGTTAGAAAACCTACCCAATGTTGTATTACTCCTTGTGCCCAACATCTTCTTAAAAAAGCTGTGGATAAACTGATTTTTTGAGAGGCTATGGAAGTTTGACAAACTGGTATTCTATTGCCTTGGGTAGAGATGGTTAAGTGTGGGAGTCAAATGAAGAAACACCACCATCAGGGAGGACACTAGAGATAGGGGCTCATACACACAGAGCTCACGGCTTGTGCGATGATATTGTGAAGTCATGTTTAAGTGGAAACTCAGACACCAGATGTGTACAGCTGCAGTAGAGGAGCCAACCCAGCCAAAGCCAGAAAAGCCCCATGCTGGTTGTTTTACTTTTGAGTGAGAAGGAAGGGGAAATAAATCTCTCACAATAGATAAAGAGAAGATAGTTCATGTTTTTTTTTATCACCTTTTTCTTTTCCTTTATTTTAAAGTCTAAATGGGGCCATTTGTCTTTAATGTGTTTTACCTATCAAGAAATACGTGAGCAATTCTATATCAATTAAAAAATGTGAACAGTTCTGCAGAAAAATGTTCAGTTCAAGTGGCTTAAGACAGGTTCCATTTGTTCAACAATCTATACTTTTTAAAAGGCTATACTTTTCTTGAGAGTTCCTTAAGTTCATAGCATGAAGAGGGATGAGTTGCTGATCCTATATACGTAAGTATTGCCTTTATAACCGTATTTTTTTCCTCTTTGGGTAAAGATTTCATTTAAACAATCATCAGCAAATGTCTTTGCTAATGGTATATATACAGTGGGACTAACTTTTCTCTGGGGAAGTTAGTCCATTGAAAATTATTTGCTGTAACTTATTCCTTGCCGCAGACAGTATCATGGTCCAACAGAAAAGCATTTAAAACTTTGTTATGTGTTATTAAGGAATATTTACACTTGTGGGGCTATTCTTAAGATAGCCAGAGCACTTTTGTAGCTGAATTACAAAAAGAACACATCCAACCTAGGTTTGTTTGTTTATTTATTTAGGCTACTCCTTGCAGAGCAGGGCTAACTCCTAAGCAGTGTCCCCAGCCTAGTCTTTCTTAAATACAGAAAAGATGAAGCCCAGAATCCTAGTTTTCAGAGTTTATATCTACAAGTCTGACTTATCTGTGAAATTGGCTAGAGCTAGAATATACTTGATTACAACCCCTTTAAAACTGAGCTTCCCATTTTGTCTATACACATATTGAAGACTGTAAAGAAGGAAAACACGTAATGTTTTCTTAAAAATGTCCTAAAATGAGACATTTAAATGTCCTTAAAAATGAAATTCATCATTTGTTATCTTAACATACTAGTATATCTGAAACTTGACAACGCAAGTTTCAGATATACTAGTATGTTAGGATAACAGTAAAAGAAAGATTAGACTAGCAGGGGAATAAAATGCACAACAAAATCTCCTCTCCCTTCCTGTACTCTTATTTGAATGAAAAGACTGGAAAAGATGCTTGGTTTAAACCACATGGGAAAAATATCTTTTCAGCTGCAAACTGCTTTTTATATTTTAGCAATGTAAACACATTGTATGGGAATACAAGGGGCTGTGCTGCCTCCCTGTCCAAATACTGCATGCAGGTAACACCGAACAAGAGGTGGAGTGATAACATGGACAGACTGCCTGGAACACAGATACCATCTCCCAGGGCCCAGGATTCGGAGGCCTAGAGGTAACGCTGGTGTTTCTAGGCTTTGCAACAGTGAAGGACCACTGCCACCTGTGGACAGCAGCAAGCATTAGCGACATGCTGCAGGCCGAGTGAAGTGTCAGTGTTGTATTTTTACAGTGACAACAAGGCAACCTGGTGAACCAGATATTCCAAAATTTTCCCAATAAGTGTTTTATGAGTACCTCCATGGCCTGGGGTAGGACTTTTCACTGCAAATCAATAAGCATCCTTCAGACCATATGTATGTAGGACATGGTCATCATGTGTTAATATAAAACCACAGAGAAGGCATCTTAAATTCTAATGCCTTTGAGGGGCAGTTAGATCATGTAGATGTAAAAGAATAAGAGTGATCAGGACAGCAAATTGGAGACCGCATGCCCTACCTAGATGCATTCAGTTTTGTTTATTTATTTACTTTTTAAAGAATGTACTCCATCAAGCAACATGCGTTTGAAGCTCAGATTCAGCCTGCAACCATCTAGCACCAGAGGTCAGTGAGTGGATGTATGAGATCCCAGGTTACATTTGTGTACCCAGAAGCAAAGGTCTAAGCATGCTTCATTCACTCATTCATTAATGTAGAAATTCAACTTATTCACCGAAAAATACTTATTGCATCTTTGTCTTATTCTAGACATCACTCTATCTTGATAGACAAGTTGGGAAAATAGATATCAAACAAATAATCACACAAATAGAATTACATTTGTAATAAATGAAATGAATGAAAATCCCAGGCAACTCTAAAAATGTGTATCATATTTCATAATATGTGCTTGCTTATAAATCACATCACTACACTATATACCTCTAGAAAAAAAGAAAACCCTGCCAATTAAGTTATAGCTCTGTGCTTTTTTATACATTTTGTCTCATACTTACGGAGAGAATTCATTTTTTACTTAGTGCAACATAGAATTTTTATCACACATTCTTGTGCGTACATAAAAAGGAAAATATAAATTGAATAAGACATTTCTAAAACCTTTTCACATTGAGAGTTGAACTCATTTGAAGCACTTTTTGACACAGAGTCATCAACATCCATGCTGTTGTATGCACTTTAATTTTCTGGTCAGCAAGAGAGACGGACATCAGCATTTTTTGAGAGTGCTCTACTGTTGTCTGTGAGGTGTCTTCCCAGCAGCTGACACTAACTCTTGAAGTTTAGATGCTGGTGCTTTGTTATTTTTATTTTTTATTTTGTAGACATAAGGTCTCTCTCTGTTGCCCAGACTGGAGTACAATGGTGCAATCATGGCTTACTGCAGTTTCAGCCTCCTGGACTCAAGAGATCCCCCCACCTCAGCCTCCCTAGTAGCTGGAACTACAGACGTGTGCCAACATGCCCAGCTAATTTTTAAAATTTTGTGTAGAGATGGAGTCTCACTATGTTGCCCAGGCTGATCTTGAACTCCTGGCTTCAAGCCATCCTCACACCAAAGTGCTGGGATTACAGGCCTGCGTCATTGCACCCCGCCACTGGTGCTTTCTTGATTTTACCAACAGGTGCCAACAGAAGCTTTTCAGACATTAACTAGGATGTCTATACTTTCCTGGAACAGTCCTTTCATAGTTTATTGATGAAAGAGGGAAGGGGGCAGTATTTGCGGAATCACACTGCCAGAGCTAACACTCACATTCACGCACGTGCCAGCAATGATGATCATGTCAGGATGCCCACTGATGTTGAGTGGAGGAAATTGGAAGACCCCATGGTTAGAAAGTCACGTCTTGATTTCAGAGATGTAAAAATATGAAAATAATGATCAATGAAAAAGAGTCACTCTATGATCCGACTTGGTTTTCTCTTGAAGGAGGTGACATTTAGGCTTAGATTTGAAAACTAAGAAGTTATTCAGAAGATGAAGTGGGAAAGTTTGATCCTGGTAGAGACAGGGCTGGATTACAGGGCAGATGAGCTGCTGGACAGGAATGCTATAATATTTCCAGAGTAAATGTAAAATGCGGTAACTGCCATCACAGGTTTTTGTACATGAAGGCTCACCGTCCTGAAGAGATGAAAGTAGGTCTCACCCTCGCTGAGGTGGAGAGAGGATTTGGGAGTGCAAAATAAAATAAAACCATCACCGGTCTGTTTCTTGAGTGCTTTTAATGTGTAGTTACCCAAGTTGCTTGGCACAGCTACTATCTGAAACTGGCAGTCATGATCATCTGAAATTCCAAAACCACATCATGCATAGGGTGGTGATAGTGTGCTGGTATAGTGTTGTGCATAGTGTATGATAAGTGATAGGATTTGTGATCTAAATGCAAAGCCCTTCAATACATTTCCCACCCCCTAAGAAGTTGTCTTGTTTAATAATTGACAAAAGAAACAAATGAAGGTTGTGCACATTTTTCAGAATATTGGTTTTGCTTTAACCAAGTGAATTGAAGTGTTTATAAATCTATTTCTGTAAGCAATTTTTATTAATAGAAAACTAGGTTTACCCCGCTCTCACGAGAGAAACATTGAACAAATATTTAAAGACTATCGGTTTGAAGGAGCTCCAGACACTCAGTCCTCCAGGGCACGGCCGTGTCTTTAGCTGTTGCAGGCTTGTGAGGAGGTTAGTAAGTTCAAGGAATCAAAGGAAGGGCAGGGTATCTGGGACATGGTGTAAATGATGAGGAGAGTGCAGGGAGGAAGGCAGAGGCCCATCCAGGATCATGCCATGGAAACTCTCTGTTAAAGATTTTGGTCTTCATGTTATGGGAATTTTGGAGTTGTCAAAGGGTTTTAAGCAGTGAAATAACATGATCATATCTGCACATTTACTGTGTGTCTCCTGCAGAGCAAACAGTCTGTTGGGAGCAAGTTATTTTCTCTCCGGGAAAGGCAGAGTTCTTTCATGCAGCAATCTGGATTTCAAACATGGGTGAACCTTCTTTCAGGTGTTGCCTAAAAGGGGTATGTGAAGATTATTAATCACTCACAGCAGACATTTGGAAATTTTGCAGAGCAAAAATGAACAAACTACATCAACAATAATAAATCTATAAGTAATCAGATCCCAGTTAAGTGGAGCCTTCAATGGTTTTATTTCTTTTTTTCTTATTTTCATTTTGGATAAATGAATGAAATAATACTTGAACAAAATCAGAATTGGGGACCAAAATAAAATTTCCTTGTGCCTCCTAGGGTGAGAAGAGATTCAATTCAGTCTATACCATATGAATAAACCTCTCAGGTAACATACAGTAAGTTGAGTCTCAATATATATGAAAAAAGTGGCTGGGCACGGTGGTTCATGCCTGTAATCCGAGCACTTTGGGAGGCCGAGGCGGGTGGATCACCTGAAGATGGGAGTTTGAGACCAGCCTGGCCAACATGGTGAAACCCTGTCTCTACTGAAAATACAAAAATTAGCTGGGCATGGTGGCTTGTGCCTGTAGTCCCAGCTACTTGGGAGGCTGAGGCAGGATAATCACTTCAAGCCAGGAGGCAGAGGTTGCAGTGAGATGAGACCCGGCCACTGCACTCCTGCCTGGGTGACAGAGCGAGATTCAGTCTTTAAAAAAAAAAAAAGTAATGACAATGAGGCATTAAACTGTTAATGACAGTTTTGATTTATTTGGTGGCAAATACTTTTTTTTGTTAGAGAATGGTCAAATTCATTTCGAGAACACTCAATGACAAGAACTTATGATAAAGGTGGGTTTTGGCTAATTAGTAATTCCTCTTAAATACTTCTGCACATAGCATTTGAGCTAGGTACTGTGATCATTTGTTCATTACCTTTTTTTTTTTTTTTTTTTTTTTTAGACAGAGTCTCACTCTGTCGCCAGGCTGAAGTTCAGTGATGTGATTTGGCTCACTGCAACCTCTGCCTCCCGGGTTCAAGTGATCCTCCTGCCTCAGCCTCCGAAGTAGCTGGGACTACAGGCATGTGCCACCATGCCCTGCTATTTTTTGTATTTTCAGTAGAGACAGGATTTCACTATGTTGGCCAGGATGGTCTGGATCTCTTGACCTCGTGATCTGCTTTCCTTGTCTTCCCAAAGTGCTGGGATTACCGGCGCGACGCACCACGCCTGGCTTCATTATCTTTTAATTCTTTTAAAAACATTTTGGGGCAAGCATATGATTCTCCTTTTATACCCTTTACCTGCGCATTGCATTTAAATGAGAATAATTTTCATAGTAATGATGAAAGCCAACATTAACACAGCACTTATTATGGGCTAGGAACTCATTTAATTTTCATAACAGCCATCGGAGCAGGCACTATTATATTACGACCTCACTTTTGGAGATCGGAAAATGAAATCACAGAGAAGTTAAGTAACTTGTCCAAGGCCATACAGCCTGTAGGGAGTGATGGATCTGGAATTAGGGCTCAGAGCGCCTGGTTCCAGAGTCTGTGCACTTTACCACTATACATATCAACTCTTTAAAATGAATGCTTTTTGAAAAGTCAGTTCATGATATATAGATATGTACATACACAACATTTTTCTTTTGAACACTTTCACAAACTCCTTTAACTGGGTCACCCCAACATAAAAAATATGGGAGATTTTTGAAACCTAATCCAACTTTATGGTATAAGATGAGTAGAGTTTAAAAGCAAGCAGATGTTTGCAAAGCATATAAAACTCAAAATTGCTCTATACTTGATGTTATTTGGAACACAGGCATAATTCTTTTCAAATATGATTTTTATCTAAATGGTGTCCCTTAAAACTTCATTTTAACACTCAAACGATCCCCAGCTGTTCGGGTAGATTGGCCCCTGCTGGGTCTGTTTCCCAACACTTCCCATATTCCACCATAAATATTCATGATGCAGTACTCCTGCCACCCAAAGGGGGGCCAGGATTCATTTTTATGAACTCCTCTCAACTGGGATTAGCCTCTTTCACCTATTACCAACCCCTGAGTTATGGTTTTGTTCTGCCGTGGTCTCCGTTTTCTTTATTTTTGCTGATATCTGAGAAGCCTGAAGAGAATGTGAAGTGTTAAAGAAACTTCTAATCCCAGGAAGTTGGCCTAAGGACTATACAAAATCAATTTTTAAAATTCAATATCTTATTCAAACTGTACACCCAGATCAGTGTGAAACCACTGTTTTCTTACTTTGCCAGATTTCCTAGGCAACAGCACTGCCTCTGTAAGAGGTTTGTAAACTTAATTTGGGGGCTGGGAGCGGGGAGGATGGAGAAGCGAAATGGAGGGGATGCTATTTCCGCAGACAACACATGCTTGGGCAACAAAAATGATAGATTTTTTCCATATGATTTATGTTTGAATGTGTTTAGACCTCAGAAAATACTAGGAATAAATTTTCTCCTTTTTTCTTTTTAGTTAAGAAAACAACATTTGGGATCGTGAGGTGGCAGGAGAAGTGTGAATTTTCCCATCTCTGCAGTTCTTTCTCTTTCCCTCTCATCTTCAGTAGGCTTTGTAAATCAGACCTATTGTTTACATATGCCATGTTTATAATATATTGTTATGCAACCCAGAAGTGCTCTTGATCTCATCCAGACCAAAATCTGGAAACTGTGACAATTTGCCTCATCAAGGAATAAACACTTGATCTTTGATGTTAAACTTGAGTTCTTATAACTGCTTGGCACTAATCAGTCAGATAAACTTGGACACAATGTTTAACACTTCTTGAAATCTCTACTTTTCCGTTCTTAAATAGGGAGGAATATCAGTCACAAAGGCTTCTTGTGAAGCAAAGTAAAGTATGTAGATAGAATACTCAGCACAGGCCTAAATAAGAAATGTGTGTTCCATTCCCTCTTGCTTTAAGAGACAGCAGCTGCTTTGATGTTGGAAGAAAAAGTGAATAGTGAAAGATGAATAGTTGGACCTTACCATACTGGGGTACAGTAGTCACAGTCCACTTTTCATGGCTTTGCTGCATTGCAAAATGGCAAGAGGTTGGCTTCTGAACATCTTGGAAATACCATCCAATTCTGTAAATGTTTCTGCCATAATATGAGTGAGTTGTGAGGAGGGACAGACTGAATGGACTACACTTCTAGGGTTGATTAACTACATAGTAGAGTGGGCAGTATTTTCAAACAGTCTTTCTGCAAGGGCTATTCTACTCGCTTGAAAACCCACTGGAGGCAACTGATTACCACCAACTACTCTTTCAGCTCCGCCAAGACTACTTCAAGGAGGAGATGCTGAAAGAACCATTTACTCATTGACAAGGATGGATTATTGTCTACCTTGACATGGATCCCATTAAAAAACAAAACAAAACAAAGAAAAAAAACAAAAAAACACCTACTGATACTGATACTGTTCCAGTCAGAAGAACTGGCTGGAACAGAGTCAATGACCAAAAAAACTGGAGGCAGTACATTGGACTATTTAAAGGATAGAAGGATAGTATGGATTTGTAGTCATATTGCTGGGGTTTGACTCCTGTCTTATTGAACCTAACACTATGACATTAGGCAAATCACTTAACTTTTCTGAACCTGGGTTTCTAATAGCAGTAGGACCTGCCTTATATGATTGTGACAGGGATTAAATGAGATAGTCCAGGCAAAATATTTAGCACACTAACAACAGTGTTGGCATGATACCCAACTTATATTAGCTTCAAATTGTTTCTGAAGCACATAGCTGAGAGTAAACATTAGATTCCCATTCCATATTTCATTCATGGGACAAAGGAGCTAACCACGGACACTTAATGGATCATGCTGGCAGAGATGTGAGTGGAAATGCAACAAAAGTATTGAATGTCCATTGAACATAGAAAATAGTTGGACCTTACCATACTGGGGCACAGTAGTCACAGTCCACAGTTGTCAAAGTCCTTGACAACACTGAAGGTTTTAAAAATATGTACTGGTATCTACATTTTGAAGAGCGAAACTTGGTGGATTGCTCTGCTCTGTGTTTCTACGTGGCTCTTTGTGTGCATTTGGAAGGTGCAAGCATGCTTTCCAAGGTGTATGCATGGAATGGTCCTTTTTTGATATGAAGTGGCAGTTACTATACACAGAGCCTGGTGTCACCTGTGATTGCATTTCTTAAGTATGACTGTCACTCACCAGGCAGAGCTATTGGCTATTTCAATCTCAGGCAGCTTCAGGCTTGCCATATTATTTTCAGCTGTACTTCAGCATGTATTTGGAGCATTTCTTTAGCTTTCCTTGCTTCCAGTTACATCATTTGGTCCCTCTTGGGCTGTCTCATGGTCGCTATGCCACTTAGGAGTCTAGCCCTGTGGGGTAGTGAGTATTGTTTAGATGCATTCCGGTACCATACTACTGATGGTCATTTTGCATCAGCTAAAATTCACTTAGCTGATTATTATCAATAATAACATTGTTCAAAATACTGTGTATAACATCATAGTGCACTTTCTTTTTCCTTTGTTTTTGAGACAGAGTCTCGCTCTCCCGGCTGCCCAGGCTGGAGTGCAGTGGCACGATCTCGGCTCACTGCAACCTCTGCCTCCTGGGCTGAAGCGATTCTCCTGCCTCAGCCCCCCAAGTAGCTGGGATTACAGGTGCGAGCCATCACCCCCAGCTAATTTTTATATTATTTTTAGAGATGGGGTTTTACTGTGTTGCCCAGGCTGGTCTCGAATTCCTGATTTCAAGTGATCCACCTGCCTCGGCCTCCCAAAGTGCTAGGATTACAGGCATGAGCCACTGCTCCTGGGCAACATCGTTGTGCTTCTGATGTGACATACATGGCAGAGTGGGGTCAGAAACTGATAGGGAGAAACATCATCACGACCCTTGTCAACTCACTCACCCTTATCTGTTTCCTCAAAAGATATACATTAAAAGAATATTATTTGGCTGGGCATGGTGGCTCATGCCTGTAATCCCAGCATTTTGGGAGGTCAAGGCAGGCAGATCACGAGGTCAAGAGATCGAGACCATCCTGGCCAACATAGTGAAACCCTGTCTCTACTAAAAATACAAAAATTAGCTGGGCATGGTGGCACATGCCTGTAGTCCCAGCTACTCAGGAGGCTGAGGCAAGAGAGTTGCTTGACCCGGGAGGCAGAGGTTGCAGTGAGCCGAGATCGTGCCACTGCACTCCAGCCTGGTGACAGAGCGAGACTCTGTCTAAAAACAAAAAACAAAAACAACAACAACAAAACAAACAAAAAACATTGTTTGAACAAGAAGTGGAAGTGTTGACGAAGAGCCTAGTACAGTATCTCTTATCCATCTGACATGTGACCCCTTGGACTGGGGTTGAGCCTCTTTTGATAGAGTGTGAGAGGGAGAAATTGACTGAGTTCATGGAAAACTGTGGGTCTAGGGTGGGCTATTTTGTGCTCAGGTCAGCAGGTGAAGCAACACAGGAGAACACAGTCTTGCCAACTGTGGTCGGAATTGAACACTATTCTGGCTTGTGAGGAGCTGGCAGTTCCTTGTCTTCTCCAAGCATCATTGCTCAACATTGGCACTATCAACATGATCTAGGGGAAGCTCCTGCAAGCAGCTTCAGTTGACATTGACCAGTTCAGTTGGAATAGGAGGGGAAAAACTGGAGGCCAAGAGTAACTGTGGCTAAGAAAGTGGTTTACTTTAGGGACCCCAGAACATTCTGGGAGAAAGTTCAAGGAAGTTTCTCAGTTCCTACATGGTAGATCTAATAGGTGGTAAATAGAAACTGCTAAAACTATTGTAATTTGGGTGTTTAAATTCAATGTTGTGACCTTAATTTTCATAACAAAACATTTTTTTGTGAAGGAATGTATAGGTGGAACCACTTTTGGAGTAGCCCCTTAGATTGAGATAGAAAAGGATTCTAGGGGAAGGTTGCGGTTGCAGAGTTAGTAGCCCACAAAGAATTTCTTTACTATATTATCCATAAGTAAGTTTTGCACCCAAGTAATTGAAATCAAACATGTACAACTTTCCTTATAACATTATTTATGTGTTTGATTTTATTTTTTAAAAAATTTCAAATAATGGTGAATCTTTACAATAATCTGTAATGAGGTTGTTAGTGATCTGAAATAATATCACCCCAAGCTTAAATGTGTTGGCTATTAAAAGAACTGTTCAATTTTAAGACCTTTCCTGATCTGTTTTCACTTCTAAACATATGTTTTTGTGAGGATAAAAGGAAAAATTGCCATAAAGTGCGCAGCATGATAGGTCCTAAATAATTGGTAGTCTATTATTTCTATAAATTATAAAGGGCCTTACTTCATACATTCTGTCAAGGCAGGATTTTGGGTGTGGGCATTCTGTTCTGAATATAGAGACATCTTAATAAGAATAGGATTTTGGTAGCAATGTGTAGATGTAAAGGGGATTCTGAATGCATGTTAGAAATGCACCATGGTGAATTAGGAGGCCATATTATGCCTTTCTTCCCATAGATCTTTATCTGGGAGCTACTCCTCCATAAGCCTTGATGATAGGAAGGCCCAGGGAACCGTGCAATTCCATCACCCAGTCCCCTAATTCCAGAAGATTGAATGATGAATGGTCATATGAACCAGATCAGGCCAATCATACTACCTCTGCTAGAGTTTTAATTTGGGCCACTGAGGGAGATGAGGCATCTTAGTTTGGTTTTCTCCAAAACTCCAAGGCGAAGATTTAATTGCAGCAGTTTATTTGAGAGAGGATCTCAGGAAACATCTGTAGGGAAGTGGAGAAGTGAGATGGGAAAGGAAAGATAGCAATAAAAGGTGAAGCATCAGCCGGGCGTCGTGGGTCATCCCTGAATCCCAGCACTTTGGGAGGCCGAGGCAGGCAGATCACCTGAGGTCAGGAGTTCAAGACCAGCCTGGCCAACATGGTGAAATCATGTCTCTATTAAAAATACAAAAGTTAGCCAGGCGTGGTGGCAGGCGCCTGTAATCCCAACTACTTGGGAAGCTGAGGGAGGAGAATTGCTTGACCCTGGGAGGCGGAGGTTGCAGTGAGCCGAGATCATGCCACTGCACTCTAGCCTGGACGGCAGAGCGAGACTCCTTCTCAAAAAAAAAAAAAAAGACTCATTAAACTAGTGACAAGTTTGGAACTAGAGCTTAATCCAGCTAGGAGACTCTGGTAGCCCATTTGGAATATGTGTCTCAATTATTCCGTCCTAGGGGCAAAGGAGCTAAGTTATTTATCCATCATTTAGTATGAGTTATTTATTAAAGGAGTTAAGGTATTTATCCATCACTTGGTATGAGTTATTGGTCACAGACTGCCCCCAGGAGGTGTTAATTCACATGCATTTCCTGTGGGCAGAGGAGACCCAAGCCCAGAGATAACACTGGGGTTAGGAGTTGCCGGTGCTGGCATGGCAAATTGAGCCAGCAGTATGGAAGTCTTCAGGGCCAAGGGGATATGAGGAGGGTCATGACAGAGCATGATATAGATTCAGTTTGTTGCCAGGTGATGAGCCATTTAAACAGAGTGTCTGAAGGCAAAGTTGTAGGCATGTGTAGGCTAATGAACGAGAGAAAACTGGTCTTCAAACTGAAGCATGTAGTAGGTACACAGACAAATAAAGAAGAGGGGGGCATGTGGTCTCTGAAACATGGCAAAGGCAAATTCTGCCAGTGAAGACGCTCCAGTTCACAAAAGATTCAGCTGTGTTTGATTTTTCTGTTTCTAGATTGCATAAAAATACGTGGGCCCAGCCCCTCTTAATTTTGCTAACTCAAGTGTTAATTATTCATAAGATGTGGCAGACTGTATTTTCCAGAAATGTCTACAGAAGTACTTTCAGTCTCATATACTCTTTCAGAAATGTAACACTCCCCCATCAGAAGGCTGAGTCTATTTTCCTGCCCCCCACCCACCCTGAGATTATGTGGGCCTTTGTGGCTGCCTTGGTGCGCTGCTGCATGAGTTCTGATGCTCAGTCATAAAAGGTGGATCTTCTACTGGGCTCTCTTTCTTGGCATGCTCACCCTCAGAATCCAGCCCCCATGTTGTGATGGAGCCCTGGACATATGGGGATGCCACGTGTAAGCATTCCAGCTGAGTGTCCCTGCTGAGGTCTCAGCCAGCAACCCGCATCAGTCCCTAGATATGTGGATGACTGATCCTGGAGATAATCCCAGTGCCTAGATTTTGAGCTGCTCTTGTCAACACCATGTGAAGCAGAGATGAGCCATCCTCACTGAACTTCACCCTAACTGCAGAATTGAAAGCAAGTTAAATTTTTTAAAAAGTCACTAAGGATAACTGGAACACAAAATAAAATAAGCTATGTGGATTCATATGAGATCTTTCAAGTGGTTCAGGGTAGTATGAATCCATGCTTAGGTGGTTACCCATTTGTTAACAGTTAAGAACAAGGAAAGGCTGAGAAATGGGCACACAATGGAGAAGATGACTGAGTGCAATGTGGTAACCTTGATTAGATCCTAAAGCAGAAAAAAGAACATTAGTGGAAAAATTGGCATGCTGTCCTCCGAGCCCATCAGCACTACTGGAGTCTTATATGGGGGATTTGTCATAACTCTCACTGGTTCATAGTACCAAACCCAGATCAGCAAACTCTTATCCAACCTAGTATGTCTTATTACTCCATTACAATCATACTCTGGACCCTGAAGGAAGACTTAGAGCCTGAAGCTCAAGAAGACTTGGGGCTTTTTGTACATGCCATATTTTGTTCCTATATTTTTTTCAGCAACTGTGCTTTCCATGCATTGTCTCACCTAATTTTTGTCAAAATTCTGAGATATAGATATCACCTGTCATTTACAGTTGAAGACTCAGAGATTCAAGATTCAATGACTTGCTCAAGACCACACAATAAATGTCAGAATTGGGATTTGGACACAGTTCTGGCTGATCTCACAGCCTGCATTCTTCCTTCTGTGCTGCTCTGCCTTCGTCTTGGGGTTTCAAAGGACTTGGGATTCACAGTTTGTATTTATCCCATATTAGCTATGTTTTGCACTACACAGACTTTGAGAGTTGGCATGGTAACATAACCAATAGTTACACCTTTGGTTTATGAGAAATTACTTTCTGAAGTTAAAAAATTTATCACATCATAAATAGAGGTGCTCTGCTTATATATGTGTGTGTATATATACATACATATATAATAATGTGTACATAATACATTATATAAAACCATGTATCATTACATATATAATATATATTACATATTACATATACAATTTTACATATTACTAGATATGATATGTCTTTACATATTATATATAGAGAATCCATGTTTGTGGTAAGAATTAATAATTTATTTGTGCTGTTCTATGAAAAATGAAGCACTGCTTTATATAATGGCTTATAAATTACTGTCATTCACCTAATTTATTCAAGATTTATTGATTGCTTGATTTTATAACCTTTTATTTTGAAATAATATTTAGATTTACAGAAGAGTTTCAAAGATGGTACAGAGCTCACAATATCCCTCTACTCAGCCTTCCAAAATTAACATCTTTCACACGAAATTAATATAGGTACAATATCACTATCTTAACTATACACTGTGTTAAAATTTCACCAAATTTTCCACTAGTGTTCTTTTTTCTGCTTTAGGGTCTAATCAAAGTTACCACATTGCACTCAGTTATCTTTTCCATTGCATGCCCCTTTCTCAGCCTTTCCTTGTTTTTCATGAACTTGGTACTTTTGAAGAGTGCTTACAGGTATTCTGTAGAATGTATTTCAATTGGGTTTGTGTATTGTTTTGTCATGAACAGACTGGAGTAGTGGGTTTTCTGGAAGAATGCCACAGAGGTGGGTGCCTCACTGACCTTCTCATTGCATCACAGCCTGGGTACCTGGCATCAACATGACTTAGTTCCGATGATGCCAACCTTGGTCACTGGGTTCAGGTGGTGTCTACCAGGTTTCTTCACTCTATAGCTACTATTTTTTGCTTTCCACATTCTAGAAGTGAGTCACTAAGCCTAGTCCACACTCAAAGGGAAAGGAATTAAGCTCCACCTTGCAGAGGAGAAGTATGATTGATTGGTTTTTTAATGTGGCAGTGGGAAAGAGTGTTTTCACTCCTGGAGTGGTCTATGGATCCACAATATTAGTGGACCTCTGGCTTATGGAAACACTTCTGGGAACTTAAGCCTTGAGTCTTCCACGTCTGTAGTTTCTTCATCATCGGAAATATACCTGATAGAGCAATGCCTGTTCTTATTTGCTGTGTGATTGAGAACCAAGTTTTAGGTCTTCTAAACATTCCCTTTTCACCCCTGAAAGAAAGGGCTCTGGTTCAGTTTTGCCTCTTAAATCTTGAAATCTGTAATGTTTGATATAAAGCATACAGAACATTTTTATGTTTATAGGCCTTCTTTTCCCTGAAAGGAAGAGAATATATTTTTTACTTTTTTTGAGAGAGGGTCTCGCTATGTTGCCTCAGTAGGAGTGCAGTGGCACAATCACTGCTCACTGCAGCCTCAACCTCCCTGGGCTCAGGTAATCCTCCTGCCTCAGCCTCCTGAGTAGCAGGAACTACAGGCACATGCCACCATACCCGGCTTATTTTTGAATTTTTGTAGAGATAGGGTTTCACCAAGTTGCCCAGGCTGATCTTGAGCTCCTGGGCTTAAGTGATCCACCTGCCTCGGCCTCCCAAAGTGCTGGGATTACAGGTGTGAGCTACTGTGCCTGGCCAAATATGTCTTTTTTATCTATTAAGTTTCCTTGACATCTAGAAAATAATAATAATCATTATAAATCATAAAATGTATAAATATATAAACATATGTATACACATATTTATATGTTCTATATTATTTGCATTATTATTTTATAAATACATATAAATTTGTTAATATAAAGTTGTAAAACTTATAAACATTATTAGATAATAACAATAATTTCCATTAAGTACCTCCTATGTGTTTAGCATTATGGTTGATGTCATACAATCTTTATTTTTAATCCTTGCAAAAATATCTATGAAGGAAGTATTACAATTCTCATTTTACAATAAAAAGAAGCTGATGTTCAGGTGGAGAAATGATCATTCCCAAGATGGCATAGTAAGCAGCAGGGCTGGGATTTGAATTTAGGTGTCCTTTATCATGGACTGTGAACCCAGTAAATGTTTGTAGATTGACTGATTAAAATTGTTTGGAGGAAAAACAGTATTTGAAGATTGGGCTAGCAAGAAGTATTTCAAAAATTACACACCATCACACATGACTGAAGAAGACAGATGTTAGGCTGTGCTGGCATAAAGAGGAAGTGCCACTTCAAGTCAGTCAAAAGAATCACAATGACACTCAGGTGGATGTGTGAAAACAGCAGCTATGTTCTGACTTCTGCGAGGCCAGAATCCCAGCTTCCACTGCTTCCTGCAATCATGGATAGTGTATTAGTCTGTTCTCATGCTGCTAATAAAGACATAACTGAGACTGGGTAATTTATAAAGGAAAGAGGGTTAATTGACTCACAGTTCAGCATGGCTGGATAGGCCTAAGGAAACTTACAATCATGGTGGAGAGGAAGCAAACACGTCTTTCTTCACATGGCAGAAGGAAGGAGAAGTGCAGAGCGAAGGTGAGGAAAAGCCTCTTATAAAACCATCAGATCTCATGAGTATTCACTATCATGAGAACAGCATGAAGGTAACCTCCCCCATGATTCAATTACTTCCCACTGGGTCTCTCCCACGACACGTGGGGATAATGGAAACTACAGTTCAAAATGAGATTTGAGTGTGGACACAGCCAAATCATATCAGATGGATTATATTATTTAATCTCATATCCTTTACATGCCCCATAAAAAATGATTCCTCTATCTCATGTGGAAGCAGGAAGTAAGAAAGATAATTTTCTTAAAATATCTTCAGAAATCATAGAATGAAAAGAGAAAAAAGTTGATAGAATTGAAGCTCTCACAAAATTATCAAAGAACGATACTAGATGAGATATAATGGAAACAGGTAAAAACCAATCTCTCTCTCTCTCTGTTTCTCTGTCTCTGTGTGTGTGTGTCAGAGAGAGAGAGAGAGAAAGAGAGAGACAGAGACAGAGAGAGAGAGAGACAGAGAGAGAGAGAGAAAATGAGAATGTATGAATATGACTCTCCCAAAACTTTAGCATAAGCAATATTCCATATCTATAATTCTGGAAATAAGTTTAATTTTTATTTTGTGCCCCTTCACTACTATCCTGTGGGATACTTCACATTGCTTATTATTTGGCATTTTCCCCAAACTGCCTCATGTTGAAATGCCTAGAGATCTTAATACTGACCTCTCCACTTAGGACCCCATGGAAATATCCAACGTCTGGCCATAGTGTTCCTTTGGGTTAGGACATAACCTTCTGTACTCTGTGTGGAATAAAGATACCATCACGAGCCCAACTGCTTTCAACTCAAATGACCAGGGACGTCCAACCGTAAGGGTTAGAAAACCCTAACAATCTTGTTTTACAGAAATGGAAACCTCAGCTCTGGGAGGAATGTGTGGGCACTGGTGGCTCAAGGTTTCATGGCCTGAACTGCCTGAACTACTGCAGTTTCAATGGAACAGGAAGTTGAGGGCACCAGAGCGCAAGTCTAGCACATGCATGTCCCATTAGAGAAATCCTAGTTCCCACTCTGAAACGGACTTGGGGATTCCCAGGTGTTTCTTTCCATTTCTCTTTCTTGGTTACTTGGTTTAATATTTCAACTCCAGCCACTGGGAAGCACCAAGAACCTCCTGTTTTCCTAGGCTACCTGGGTCTGCTCTGCTGCTGGAGGAAGAGTTGAATGGGCCATGCATATTGACAGCCACCTTTCCGAGCAGGTTTGGCCCTCGTGGTACCCAAGTTGCTGCTGTTCCACAAAGACTGGTGCTGCCAAGCTGTCGGCTGAACACAGGCCTTTTAGTTTAGCCATGATGAGGTGTGTGTAACTGAGCCCAGGGGACAGACACATGAATCTATGCATGTCTGCTCCCTCCTCGACACCCAGCAACCACCCTCCCCCTTTCCTTTCTTTTCTGTCTTCATTCTGTATTTTAAAGTGAAAACAGAATTTCTGCTCTGCTTTCTTCTTTCCAGTATCCTTTCTCAAGGATTACTGTCTGTTTCTCTTTCTTCCTCAGTGTCAACAGCACCAGCCTATTTAAGCATTAATTTGGGAGACAAACCAGTTCTCATCTGTACTTCCAGGCTGATCTTGAAAGTGTTAAAAGACTTCAGGTTACACTCAGCAAGCCTGTGCCCGGTGGGTCGAAAGGGTACGCAGGGCTGTCCCCTGTTTCTCAGCTCTGAGTTCATTGATTTGATACAGCTTCTTCTGTTACTACTGAAATGGGGGCAGGGAAGATGTGGATTAATAAAAGCATGAAATAGAATACATGTGTAAAATGCAGTAAATAACAAGGAAGGGTGGGGGTGAGGAACAGAGGGCAGAAGAAGCTTGTTGTGTAAAAATGAAAGTTTCTCTGGTCGATCCTGTGGTTTATTTGGGAAATCATGGCGTGGGCACCTTAAGAAATTCACTGAGGACAGTTGACTGATGGATTTCCAAATGAAAATCATGCATGAGAAATGAACTTCCAGGTGTGCATGACCACTTAATTTAGATTTCTTTCCCTTGTTAATGTTGCCACAGGCACAACTTTTATAAGGTAATAAATATATCTTTTGTGTCACTCAGGTTAGGTGCTCTGCATTCAATGGGCTGTGAAAGAAAATGCTCAATTGGTGCAAGCAAAGGCCTTCTTCAAGGATTACTTTGTCTTTATGGCAAGACATGCCTAAACTGTTTGGAAAATACTAAAGAACTTGATAATGGTCCATGGAGGTAGAGTATTATATAAAAAATAATGATTCACTAAAAATATCTATATAGTTGTTATTATTTTGTCTATGTTTGTAAGAAAAAAAAACACTTCCGTGTTTGATGAAAACAGATGCTACATTCTAGTTGCTGTGGTTTTGATGACTGCTGTCATTATAAAGCAGTTATGACATATCTGAGCTCCATCAGAAATTGTATAAACAGACACAGGACCAAATTCCTGACTTTGATCCCAAATAGATGCATCACCTTTTACAAATCTATCAGTCAAGGCCTCATATCTGTGAAGAGAGTAAGTTGGTCTACGTAATTTTTATTTCCTTTTTATTTGTAAAAATTCTGTGATTCTAAGTCACAAAGATTTAATAAGCGTTGATCTGAAGCAACGCTGTAAATTATTTATATTTTGTCTGACTGTCCATCCATGCCTTTATGTGTGGCAAGGGAGAAACCTTATAACTTAAGCTGTGATGGGGAAGAAAAAATCCAATTGCTGCCTCTTTAGCCTTTTCTTACTAAAAGAAGGATTAGACTTTCCTCGTCCTATAAAAGTCATCTGGAGAATGTTCACTTTAATTACATGCAATTTAGTTATTTTAAGTGGCATCCTTAGACAAGGAAAAGTGAACTGAAATTCCTTCAGGATAGACTAGCACATAGCAGTGCATAAAATCTTGCTCAACTGTAGGACAGGCCTCTTCCAAAGCTCCCTTATCAGATGTTCTTAACTGCTAAAGCAGGTCATCCATTGCCTTCATATTTTCTAACTGCCAAAAAAGGCTTATTCAGTCGGCCTCTTAAAAATTATCAGAAGGCATCACAGTTATTCAAGATTCACAATATAGTTCACTTGTTACTTGTTTACAAATGACTTTTCCTTATAATGTATTTTTATGCCATCTTATATTTTTATTTGCTTCTTCGTATACAAATAGTGTAACATTACAGGGAATTTAAAAGCAATATCAAACCCCAACTTTCATTTTGCATATTTATTTCCAGACATCTCAGTGGAAAATCTGTGTTTACACAGTTATCATCATTCTCTTTGGGCGGTGTAAGTCTCTTTTCATCACTGTCAGTGTCAGTAATTTTGATGCTTACTGGGCTGAAGGGTATTTATACAGTTTTATGTGTGTGCTCGAACTTTCTTCTTCCTCTTCATTTTTTGATATTTCCCTTTTGAAGAGGTAGATTCAGCACAAAATAAAAAGAAAGACTAAATAGTAAAACTGAATAACTCTGTATCCAAGTGAATAAATTGGGATGCAGCCTCTCTCCAGAGCTGGAAATCAAATGGGGAAGCAAGCATGTATTGCCTAATCATTGTTAAAAGAGGAAGGAAGGAGAGGACTTGTTCCATGTGGAAACAAGGAATTTTTTTAGCTTGCTCTGTAGCCATCATCTGCCCTGTGCCTAAATTGTTGCTTTTGGCTTTCTTCCATTAAATAAAGATGATCAAATCTCTTTCACTTTGAGTTCTGTTCATGAAGATGGTAACTGTGTCTATATTTATGAAATGAATGGCCTCCTGTTTGGCCAATTGATCATTTGTCAAATGCTGAGAATGACTTCATTACTTATTGGGCTGCCCTCCTATGGTTGGAATCCAAGGACTTCCAAGATTCTAGAATCACAGGCATTAGAGATCATCAAACACAGCCTCGAGCCCAAAGTAGTATCCACAACACAAAATTTCCTTCCCATTGAGTCATTCACCAACTTTCAGTCTTCTAGGGGTAGGGGGCTCACTACCTATGTATTGGTCTATTCTTTTAGAGATACAAATTCAAATACCTATGGGAGTTGATCAGGTAACATAGATGAATAAAATAGTCCTGGAATAAGAAAATCAAATGCAGAAATGGGTTCAAACTGTTTTTATTATTACTGAACTATGACATAAGGATGTAACATGATATAAATATGTAAATGTGTAAATGTTTTAAATCCAAGGTAGAAAAAAATACAAATTGAAAATAGAAGCATTGATTCTTTCAACACCGCATCCTATGTATGCATATTAAACCCATATGCCTTCTCTCCTTTTCCTTGAAATGTGGCTTTTTCAATCTGTCTTTTATTTTCCTACACTTGATATAGATGCAGATTCAGAGAAATAATTCTCTACTGTAAGGAAAAAAATGGGTGAGCATGATGCTAAGTGGCAACTGATATTAAACCCCCAAATCAGGAAGGCAACAGTCCTGTAGTGGGGTCTGTGGTGACCTGAAGAGCTCATGCTCCCTCCAAAATGGGCAGCCGCTACTGAACTCCAGATAATTGTTGACATGTGCTGACACGCAGGAATGTGGGCCGTGGTTACCAATCTTCCCCCTTCTCAAGAAAAGCCAGGAGTCTGGATTTTTAGTAGAATCCTCTAACTTCTAAATGTGTTCTATTTTAAAACTCTAATTGGGCCAAATAAAACATGTCTGGGGTTTATGTGATATTTGCGAGCTGCCATTTTGCCCCTTCTAGCTTATGCTAGGGATTGGCAAATTATGGCCTGTAGGTCAAATCCAGCTCACAGCATGCCTATTTTTATAAATAAAGTTCTATTGGAACACAGCCATGCTTATTTGTTCATGTATTGTCTATGGGTGCTTTTGCACTACAGTAGCAGAGTTCATCAGCTGCCACAGAGATCATATTGACTGTAAAGACTAAGATACCTACTATCTGGAACTTTACAAAAAAAAAGTTTGTTGACCCCTTGTCTATATTGATCTGGTTAAAAAAAAAAAAAACAAAACCCTAACTGTTACAAATCTCTTCATTGTTTTTGAATTAAAATCTGCCTTTCTATAACTTCATTCATTGATCTTGTGTTTGTTCCTGATCACCTTTGGACATTTGTAGAAGATATTTGAATCCTACTGAGGCTATTTATTCATAAGATCATCCAGGATGCATTGAACATCTTTCTGGCCCAAAAGCTGTTACCCAAATTAGACCAGACTTCTTGAACAAGTGATGTATTTTGGAATAATTCAAGACATGACACATTTATCCAAAAGGTGGGTAAAAGTTGTTGGAAAATTGCAGGACTAAAAAGAGCCCAAGAGGTGGTTAATAGGAAGACTGGATCAATCACCACACGCTATGTGAATTCAACCTATGAAAGGTTGACTGATGGCATGTCCCCTATGTAGTCTAAATTCCTCATTGCTCCTAGAATAATATTTGCATTTTGTTGTATGGCCACCATGTTCGGCACTACTAATCCAGCCTCTCCATTCTCTCTGCCATACTCATATTGCTTTAGTCACATGGCTTCTTTTCTAATTGTTCAGACTTTCTAGCTTTTTCCTGTCTTAGGCTCTTAGCTTTTGCTATTTTCCTACCTGACGCACTTGCCCCCATCTCTTCAAGGTGGAAATTCCTTTCTTTTGGATTTAGTTTAATGTCACCCGCTTAAAGACACATTCCCTGACCACCATCTCTAAGATGACACATCTACTTCTAGAAATTACCTCTTAGCATACTTACTCATTAATCAAATTCCTCAAACTTATTTGTAGTAATCTTATTCATCTGTACTCTAGTTTACTGACAATCTCCTCTATTGGAATTTAAGTATCTTAAGCAGGACTCTTCTAGTCTTATTCAATGTTTTTTCTTAGGACCTAGCAAATTGTAGGCACCCCAAAATATTTGAGGAATAAATAAATTATACATCAGCAGTAGTTTGGTATTATATAAATTACACTTGTGATTATTTTGACGAATGAATTTGCAAACTCCATCTGCAGCATCTTAAAGAATAACCTTCTTAACTTTGAAAGAATGCTTTGAATTAAATTATGTCTGCTTGGTAATAACTCAACATTTCTATTTTGGGTGGGCATTTTTTAGGTGTACCCATAAGTGGAAACCAGTAAGCACGCACTAACATGTTGATTATTTGTACATTATTAAGAGACTATTTTCTATCTGATGCTTTGTCATACACAAAAACACGTTGCCAAAAGCTCCTGTTTGTGCTTCTCCCACAAAATGAAAATCAGAAGGACTTAGTGGTTTTTCACTTTATTTTACAGATGAGAAACTGAAGCCGAAAGATTTCTCAAGGTTCCATAGCCAGTTAGCTGCAGAGCCAGGAGGACAAGTCAAATTGCTACATTCCCACCTTCTGTACATTTAATATACTGTATTTCTTTTTCCCTTTGATGGGTATTAGTTTATTTTACACATGCTGGTGGCAGTGAGAACACCCTATGTCTGAATAGTAGCACTTTTTTCTTGTTTTTAAATTTTTAGTTCTGGGGTACATGTGCAGAATGTGCAGGTTTGTCACATAGGCAAACATGTGCCATAGTGATTTACTGCACCTATCCACCCATCACCTAGGTATTAAGCCCAGCATGCATTAGCCATCCTTTCTAATACTCTCCCTCCCCAACCCCAACCCCCGACAGGCCCCAGTTTGTGTTGTTCGCCTCCCCATGTCCGTGTGATACCATCGTTCAGCTCCCACTTATAAGTGAGAACATGCAGTGTTTGGTTTTGTGTTCCTGTGTTAGTTTGCTGAGGATAGTAGCTTCTAGCTTCATCCATGTCCCTGCAAAGGACATGATCTCATTCTTTTTATGGCTGCATAATATTCCATGGTGTATATGTACCACATTTTCTTTATCCAGTTTATCATTGATGGGCATTTGGGTTGATTCCATATCCTTGCTATTGTGAATAGTGCTGCAATGAACATACTTATTTATGTATCTTTGTAATAGAATGATTTATATTCCCTTGGGTGTATACCCAGTAATGGGATTGCTGGGCCAAATGGTATTTCTGGTTCTAGCTCTTTGAGAAATAGCCACAATGTCTTCCACAATGGTTGAACTAATTTAGTAATTTACATTCCCGCCAATACTGTAAAAGGGTTCCTATTTCTCCACAACCTCACCAGCATCTGTTGTTTCTTGACTTTTTAATAATGGCTATTCTGACTGGTGTGAGATGGTATTTCATTGTGGTTTTGATTTGTATATCTCTAATGATCAGTGATGTTGAGCTTTTTTTCATATGTTTGTTCACTACATGAATGTATTTTTTTTTTTTTTTTTTGAGACAGAATCTCGCTCTGTTGCCCAGGATGGAGTGCAGTGTTGTGATCTTGGCTTACTACAAGCTCCACCTCCCGGGTTGACGCCATTCTCCTGCCTCAGCCTCCTGAGTAGCTGAGACTACAGGTGTCTGCCACCACACCTGGCTAATTTTTTTGTATTTTTAGTAGAGACAGGGTTTCACCCTGTTATCCAGGATGGTCTTGATCTCCTGACCTCACTATGCGCCCGCCTCAGCCTCCCAAAGTGCTGGGATTACAGGCGTGAGCCACTGTGCCTGGCTATGAATGTCTTCTTTTGAGAAGTGTCTCTTCATGTCCTTTGCCCACTTTTTAATGGGGTTGTTTGTTTTTTTCTTGTAAATTTGTTTCAGTTCCTTGTAGACTACACATATTAGACCTCTGTTGGATTGATAGATTGCAAAGATTTTCCCCCATTCTGTAGGTTACCTGTTCACTCTGATGATAGTTTCTTTTGCTGTGCAGAAGCTGTTTAGTTTAATTAGATCCCATTTGTAAAGCAAAAAAACAAAATTTTTGTTTTTGTTGCAATTGCTTTTGGCAATTTCTTCATGAAATCTTTGCCTGTGCCTCTGTCCTGAATGGCATTGCCTAGGTTTTCTTCTAGGGTTTTTATAGTTTTGGGTTCTACATTTAAGTCTTTACTCCATCTTGTGTTAATTTTTGTATAAGGTGTGAGGAAGGGGTCCAGTTTCAATTTTCTGCAAATGGATTGCCAGTTATCCCAGCACCATTTGTTGAATAGGGAATCATTTCCCCATTGCTTGTTTTTGTCAGGTCTGTTAAAGATCGGATGGCTGTAGATGTGCAATCTTATTTCTGAGTTCTCTATTCTGTTCCATTGGTCTATGTAACTGTTTCTGTACTAGTACTAGTGTCTGTTTTAGTACTGGTTATTGTAACCTTAGTGTATAGTTTGAAGTCTGGTAGGGTGATGTCTCTACCTTTGTTCTTTTTGCTTAGGATTGTCTTGGCTATATGGGCTCTTTTTTGGTTCCATATGAGTTTTAAAATAGTTTTTTCTAATTCTGTGAAGAATGTCAATTATAGTTTAATGGGAATAGCATTGAATCTATAAATTACTTTGGGCAATATGGACATTTCATCATATTGATTCTTCCTATCCATGAGCATGGAATATTTTTCCATTTGTTGTGTCTTCTCTGGTTTTCTTGAGCAGAGGTTTGTAGTTTCCTTGAAGAGGTTCTTCACTTCCCTTGTTAACTGTATTCCTAGGTATTTTATTTTCTTTGCAGCAATTGTGAATGAGAGTTCATTCATGATTTGGCTCTCTGCTTGCCTGTTGTTGGTGTATAGGAATGCTTGTGACTTCTGCACATTGATTTTGTATCCTGAGACTCTGCTGCAAAAACAATTAGCTGAGTGTGGCATGCGCCTGTAATCCCAGCTACTCTGGAGGCTGAGGCAGGAAAATTGTTTGAATCTGGGAGGCAGAGGTTACAGTGAGCCGAGATCATACCACTTCACTCCAGCTTGGGTGACAGAGAAAGACTCCATCTCTAAAATAAAAACTAAAAAAAATTTAAAAAGCTATGTACAGTGTGATTCCATTTGTGTCATATTCTGGAAAAGACAAAACTACAGGGACAGACAAGAGATCAGAGATTGTCAGGGGTTTGGGGTGAAGGAAGGGGTGACTCTGAAGGGGCAGCAGGAGGAAATGTTTTGAGTTGATGGAATTGTTCTGTGTCCTGGTTATGATGGTGGCTACATGACTCTGCATTTGTCAAGCTTGTAGAACTGTATAATTAAAAATCAATAAATAAGTTTAACTGTAAAAATAATAGTACTTTTTTCTGTATAAAGTATGCATGTCCTGCTGGATCACATGCATGATCCTACTAGATCCACATTAATCCCATGAGAAAATTAAAACAACCTCTATTCTAGTTTTTAAAATTTGAGAAATGACTAAGTATAATTTGGATAGCAGTAATGGCACATGACAAAGGTCTCACAGGTAGAATGTGGCAGAAATTGAATTTGAATCTAGACCTTTTACTAGATGTTCTTTCTTATCCTTTGATATGGTACTTGCCTGTCCTTGTTCTTCTTTTAATGTGGGGTCTGGAATTATTTTCATGTGAGCTCAGTATTTACTAAAATATTATGTGTTTGCAGATTCATAATGATGGCAAAAACTTTATGTAGTGATTAATATATATAGTCATGATTCTAAGAAATTTACATTTATTAACTCGCATAATCTTTGCAAAAATCTTATGAGATAGATGCTAGGCCTATGCCCATTTTAAGGTAGGGGAGGCATCAACAACCACGCCTAAAGTAATACAGATAGTGAGTGGTAAAGCTGTGATTTGAAGCCAGTCAGCCTGGCTTCAGACATTGCCTTAACAACTATGTTGGAGTGCTTACTTTCTGGCCTAAAAATGTATAAAGCTGAAGTAATGGGCATGTTACGAAGGCTGAGCTTAATCCCTGGAGAGCTTGGATCAATAGGGCACAGCAGAATTCTAGGCTACTGGGGTTATCCATCTCCTCTCCTGCAATGCTGTCCTGGCCCATGGAGAGGCGACCTCTGCTCCCTTCTGGGGGAAAAGCTGAAGAAGGTGCTTTCCTCTTCACATAACCTCCTAATTGGCTTCTCTCCATGGAGTAGGAGGGATGTGTTTGGCTGCTGGGATATTCAAAACCTGCCCAGCCATGCTAATCGTACATAACCAACCTGGCTCACCAGGGTGAGGTGCCTCCTCCAGTTATTACCGGCAAGCTCTCTGTCCTCACTCTGTCCTCACACTATAAGGCCGTAATAATCAGCCTGCCATTTGCTGTTGCCCCCACCTCTTATCTGCCTCATGAACTAGTGATTGTCCTTAATGTTGGAAGAGGGCTCAGGTGTTTGGGAATTTGATCAAATATCTTTCCTTTGTATCAAACAGAACAGCAGAGGCAGTGAGGAGAGGGGATTCAGTGTAGTGGTGCTGAGGAAAGGGAGGTCACTTTGGGGCTTTGGCACTCACAGATGAGGGAAGAGCAAGGACAGGTCCTCAAAATGGGCAGTTTTGTGACTATTATCAGGGAATGGAATGCAGAGTAAGAGCAGATTTCATTTACTGAACAAATATTTGTTGAATCTTACTGGGTGCCCAGGCCTTGGGCATTCAGCATTGAACAAAACAGACATTGTCCCTGCTTGTGCAGGCCTCACATTCTAGTGAAAAGAGACAACAAACAAGTGAGTAGATGAATGGGATAATTTCAAAGAGGGGGAAGTGCTCTGAAGGAAAAACAAATTGTCACACTGATCAGTGAGGGGTAGGAGAGGGGTGACTTCAACGTAGGTGGCCAGGGGAGCCCTTCCTAAAGAGGTGATATTTGAGTGATGAGGAGTCAGCCTTGTGAGCTGCTCGAGAAGAGTATTCTTGCAGAGAAAATTGAACCATGACCTGCCTCTCCCTTCCCCTCCCACTTCAGCCATGTGATCAATTTCCCAAGTGCCTCTTCCATCTTGAAGGGTGTGTCTACTCTTGTCTCTCCTAGTTGGCCTGATTCCACCAATGAAGAAAGCTCTGGCATTAGCAGATGTCAGTAAAGACTATCAGGTACCTAGCTGAAGCAACAGCCCCTCTCTCCTGTGAATTTCTTAGTCCAATCAAAAAAGAAATGAGGTTGGCTTGGCATGGTGTGTTTTTAGTGAGCCCACGATTTCCTTTGCTAAGAACTCAGAGCCATCTGTTTAATAATCTATTTTTGAAATCACACAGAGATTGATGTTATGCGCCTTGGGATTGAATCTTTGAAATTCGCCAGTCCCCTTCTTTTGGAAATCTGGACAACATTTGTAAGTTTGCAATCTTCTGGAACCACGCCTGCTTTCTATGATTCCTCCAGGATCGCTGACACTGGTTCTGTGACCACATCTGCAAGTTCTTTTAATACCCTGGGATCTTGATGTGCGGCACAGGAAACTTCAACTCATTCACTGCAGCCATTTCCCCTGTCTATCCTCATCTTTCTTTGGCAACAACCCTTTCCTATGAATATGTTTGTTGTATGTGATTTTCTGATTAGGAAAGTAATGCATGTTATAGAACATTGTGAAAGATAAAAGCAGAAAAAAAAATCACTCATGTTTCCAGTACTTAGTGATGATGACTTATAGCATTTTGGGATATGTCTCTTTAACTTTCCTTCCATCACTGTCCCCATACACATATATATGTACTCACACACAAAAATTCACATACATGCACATACATGTTCAAGTGTGTATATTTTAAAAATTGGGATAGTAAGCATGATCCACATTGTAATATGATTTTTTTTCACTGAAAATATATTGTCAGCATTAATCTTTACAGGTTGAAAATTGCTTTTTATGAAACAAATGATGCAAGGAAAATAGGATTGAAGAGCTCCTTTACCTCTTGGCCATAGAGCATTATATCCCTTGTCTCAAGTAGAAGTAATTCACCTATTCTGCACTTTCTCACTTTCTGTGCTGACCATAACTAAGGAAGCTGTGGGTGGCCCCTTGTAGTAATACTGCCTTTTCTGGAGATTGAGCGAAGAAGAAAGAGTCCGTTTTCCTGTCTCTCCTGGGAATTTAAAAACTCATATTATCCTTGCAGTAGGACTGTGACACTGTCTTGCCTTTGAGATTGTGTAACACTCGAGGCAGTACATTTGTTTAAGTAATTTACTCCAGGTAATTAGTTTCATGCCAGTTAGCAGAGCCTTCTTTCATGGGTCTCCTGGGAATATCTGAGAGAAGAGATCAGCATCCCTTCCAAAAACTTATGTTAAGACTTGCAATTTGCAGAAATTGGTATACATTGTACACATCCAACAATAAACAAGGAGATGTCTTACAGGTATTGGAGATTTGTCGGCCACCTCAGGCTGCAAAACCCAACCCACCCCTGATTCTGCTCCCTCAAAGAGATTCTGCTCTTTGAGGAATTGTTTCAGGTCTTCCTTGGGCTATTCTGAAAGGCTGACCCTCTAATAACCTTTCTCTGTATTATGTTCCTATGTTGCATCTCATTATACCCTTTTCCCAGTTTCCGTAAACACCAGGCATCAATCTGAGTTCATCAGAGTGGCCCTTTTGCAGCTTACATCTTGTAGGCTCCAGAAGGGTAAGGGCCATGTCTGCTGGTCATGCTAATTCTCAGGGCCTACCAGAATGCCTGGCATTACAATATTAAACCTGCTTCATGCCAGGCATTCTGTTAATATTATTCACTAGCTTGACAAGTGCAACTTGATTACTTACAACATGCCAGGATATGTTTCAAAAACTGGGAGTATCCTAGTCAACAAAACAGACAAAAATCCTTTTATGGAGCTTAAATTCTCATTAAGGAAGACAGATAATGAAAACTGATTATAATAGTTACATATTATGATAGTACATGGTAAGTGCTATTCAAAAAATAAAGCAAGGTAACCAGATTGAGATGATGGAAGCTGGTAATTATTAATTGGGTCATCACAGGTTGCCTCATTTCAAAAGCTGATATGCGAACAAAGACTGGAAGGAAATGAAGGATTAGCTATGTGGCATCTGGGAGATATATACAAGCAGAGAGCATCTAGGCCAGAGGCCCTGGGGAGGATGGGAGCTTGTTTGGCAAATTCAGGGAACAGCAAAAAGACCAGCGAGCGTGCATAATTTAAAGGGAACATATTAGGAGATGAAATCATAGTGGTAACAATTAGAAGTATGAAATTGCCATCAGTTGAGATGGGGAGGACTGCAAGTGCAGTAAGTTATTGTGTATGTGTTGCGGGGAGGGGAGATAAAAAATACATATGGGGCATGTTAATTTTGAGATGACAATTAAATATCCAAGTACAGAGGGTGAGTAGGCAGTTGAATATGTCAGTCTGCAATTTGGAAGAATAGGGAGATTTCAGTAGATAGCTGGTTTTAAAGCCAAGAGACATGATTTCAAGTGATTATACAACAATAGAGAAGGGGAGGGACCAAGAGTGGGGTCATGTCATGGTATCCTCTACTGGTCGGAAATCTAGGAGAAGACAAGAAACCACCTGAGAAGGAGTGACCAGTAAGGATGGAGGAAAACCAGGACATTGTAGTACATGGAAGCCAAGGGGAAAAACGATTGAACAAAGGCATTTAGTGTATTCCTTTTGATAGATTTTTAAAAACTCATTTACTTTTCTTGTAGGTTATACCTTTCTCATTTCAGCTACTCCTTAATAATGGCTTTAACGTTCCTCTATTTCTGATTATTTTTCTTTCTGACATCCTGTATTACCATCATGGATCATTTGTAATATAGGTACTATCTATTCCAATAGCTACTCCTGCACCTCATTCTATTTGTGCTAACATTATCTGGCTTATAGGGAAGTGAAACAAAGTATGAGCATAAAAACCAGACTACCTGAGGCACCGACACAGGGCACAGTGATAACTATGAACATTAAAAGAAACCTGGAAGCATTATATCTGGTATCATTTTATCCAAGTCTCTTAATGTGATATTAACCTTCATGTATCAGATCAATTGCTCACTCTCAGGAACTGAAGAGTGTACATCAGAACAAAACCATCAATCAATTTAAGATTTTTATATTGATGAATATCAGTCAAAATAAGAAATAGCACTTTCTATGTAATTCACTATAGTACGTATAATTAGATTTAATATAAAATTCTAGAGCAGTAATTCAACTCAAAAGACTCATTTAAGCAAGTTTATTGTATAGATTGTTATGGCCAATGGGATAACTCACAGAAATAAAAGATGTAATCTGTACCTGTGTTATTGGTAATGGCTAAGCTGCCAATAACTTGAGACTGTCAAGATAACAATATGAGAATAACAATTACTTAAGTAATATACTAATGATAGTTTAAAATCCTTTTGTCTTATTTGAAATTTACAATGACCCTGTGAGGTACAACCAGTCATTTGATAAAGGAGAAAATGGTTCCAAATAGATTAAGTGATTGATCAAGCTCATATAACTTGTTATTAGCTATTACGACCAGAACTCAGATCTCCAGATGAGCATTTTAATTTCTTTCCCATAAACTATATGAACTCAATAAATACTTGTTAAATATACAGTGAAAGAATGCAATAGGAATAAATTCTAACAAAACTTAGCCGTACTTTTCAGTTGGAAGCTGAGGGATTGGGCTCAATGGAATCGTTTTAGCTGATTTTATAATACCATGATCCTATGTGGTAACTGCTGACAGAAACTGGGGTAGATCAACTCTTTGATAACATGGGAAAGTGCTCCCTATCTTAGATTATGATTGCTATTAGTTTCAGATTAAAATGTGGGGTATTTACACAAGACAACTTAGTGCAACCATATTTGAGTGGTTCTTAATGACACATTTATGACCACTTGGTGGCTGAGTCATGAGGAAAAATTACTCAGTGTTGCAGCAGATGTCATTGTTCATATTCCCACTTGAGGTGATGAGTCATAAATTGGGTTGGAATTTAAGATTAAGGCAGAGCATATGGGTGAGACCTCACACAGCTCATAAATTCACTGTCCAGAGAGGCAAAAGTATGCCAAAGAGAATACTTAATGAACCTGTTATATAATTGAACTTAGTGGGTTCAACACATATAGCATAAGCAATGACCTTCCAATCCTCTTCCTTAAAACTATACAGGGTTTTACTTGATTTTTGAGATAGGGAGAGGAGAACAGATATATCTATATATCTATATCTATATCTATCTATATGTATATATATCTATATCTGTCTATCTATCTATCTATTCTTTGGCATTTTGATGTGGAAATTTAAAATTAAAAAATCAGCTGTAACATACTTAATATTATTGTTTTTAGAGATGTAGCCTACACAATGTTTTGGACTATTTTGGGGTATAAATTTTGTCAAAAACAGAGTAGTTGTGGCATATAGAATTTGCATAAATAAGTTGAGAAATTCCTTGGATGACATTGTACAGCATAACAATTATACACCTGTTGGAGGGCCTAGAAGCATGAGTGTGCTCAAGCTACAATTGAAGGTCCATGCATATATAGGGATGTGGTAAGCATTTCATGGGCTGCTTACAATGGGGCTGGGTTAGGGTGGGGAGAAGAAATCAGATTTCATGGTGGGGCTCAGACTGTTGGAAAAATCCCATTAACATGTGTGAAGCGTTTACTGAATTCAAACAAACAATTATCCAAGCTTATATAGATATTGTGAAGTGCTATGGAAGAAGCAGGTTGAAACTATGGGTGATGGGGGAGGAAGAATACCTTTAATCCCATCACATCACCTATAAATTTCCCTCTTAAAGAGCCTGGTTAAGAAACAGCAGACCTCTGGGAGGCCTGAAACTAGCACAACAAAAAGAAATTTTATACAATATCATTGTTGGCCACGCTTTGCATAATGACCAACTCCAAAGAGCATATCATAAGCTAGCCCAACCCCTCCTATCCAGGCCTTTTAAAACAGCATAACGCAAGCACATACATTCAATAAGATAATGTATTTTATAATACATTTAATTTAATTAAATAATACTATCCTGCCATAGCACCTTACTAGAACCCAGAAAACAGAACATGCTAGTGTCACTCTTCACTCCTAACATAGATTTAAAGAAGGTGGTGATAGTGACCATTTGTGGTCGCTACGACACGTCCCTTGAAGGGTCTTACTCTTTCTCTCCAACGAGGTTATAAAAGCGCCCAACCACACACAGTACTTTTCCCGAGAGGTGCTCTGATAAATCTACATTTTTCTATCTAGTGCACTATTTAGCCAGTGATGATTTAGTGCACCTTATAGTAACAAGGCAATTTCCCAGTTGACCTGCTTCTTAAAAGTGCTTTTTCTACAAGTTCTCTTATATGCATACTTAAAAATTGCAGTTTTCAAATTCACTTTACGCTTTCTCATTAACTCCACAGATATTTGAGGACTGTCTGCAATTTAAATGTGCACAGAATGAGACTCAGAAAGGTGGAGACTCCCAGGTATGATGGGAAGGAGAGAAATGGAAAGTAGGCTGTGATCCTCTTTACCACTAGGGGGTCCTCTTGCACACCCGGTGAAATGCTTTGTTTAATTTGCAAACATTCTACTGGTTCAGAGACCAGTAGAAATGGACGAGTGAGGGTTTGAGGCAGAAAGGAGTGAGGCGTGGATGTATTTTGGGGCCCCTTGAATGCTGCAGACAGCAGAAACAAACAAACAAAAAACCTAATAAGAGGATAAAGCTTTTTAGGGTATTTTCCTTATCAGGGTATTCTCTTGGATAACATGCCTTGAAGGCAGCAGAAGGAGCCTATGCTTTGTGCTTCAGCTTGGTGTGGACACAGAGCATGGGGAAACACTGGAAGGAACACAGGAAGAAAAGCAGGCGGGGGGTTGGGGTCATATTTAGCTTTGGGCACTCTAGGCGTGAGGAGCATATGGGACACCAGGTAGAGATATCCCATCCATAGGGATCTGAGGCTCGAGGGAGCTGGCCTGCAGTAGATGTATTCATTCAGGGGTCATTGGCCTTGAGGTAGAAGTTGAAGTGGTGAGAGTGGAAGAGCTTTCTAGGGAAAGATAGGTAGAAGGAGAAAGATAACAGAACTAGAACAGACCTCATGGGAACCTTGTACAGTCCAGGCTAGGCAGAGGAAGGGGAGGAAGCAGAAAAGACTGAGAGGAAGAGGCGAGTGGCTCAGGAGGCCACCTGACTCTCGGTGGACCAAGAGGTCTGAATTCCACAAAGTAGGTTGCTTAGGGATGTTAAAGTGCTTTATGGAAGTCAAAGGGCAAAGGGATTTAAGTAGTGGCTATTGGATCTGTCAATCAGGAAGTTATAGAAAACCAACTGATACCTTACAGTCTGCTTCTTGTGTCCAGAAATGGCACAAAAATGTATCAGACTGTGTGTCTCAGTTTTCTAACACAAAGCCCCCAGCACACACGTTCGAGATAGAATTGTTGCTCCTCTGTGCCCCCGTCCCTGCCCCCCGCCATGCCTGAGCTGCCCTTTCTCTCTTCTCTCTAACCATTTTATTTTTACTCCTTTCTCAAGGTGTGACTCTCTCCTCCCTCCTTCTCCGACCAGCCTCCTGGCACTTGCTACTAAGACACTTGTTGTCTCTTAGCCTTTGTGTGCTCATTACCTCAATTAAAGGCCCATGCTGGTCATCATCTATTTGAGGACAGGAGCAAGGTTTTCTTTCTTATTCTGTTTGCCCCAGCTTTCAGCATGGGGCCTGAAATACAGGGAAGACTCAGAAATTATTTGAACGATTGTTAAATATTTGCTGCTTACATTAGCACAATTAATATAATCTTGGATTATTAGAATTTGAGGGGCCCTTGACATCATAAGAGACAACACATTCATTTTATTTCAGTTTCCAAGAGAAAAATAGAAACTCTGAGTTTAGTAACAAGACTTCACAGCTTGAAAGTGAAGTAGTGTGAATTTGAATCCAGGCCTGTTTAATTTCAGAGCTCATGTTCTTGCTGCTACTCAATGCCGTTGTCTCACCAGCAGCCCATTATTTGTGCATTTACCAACTAAAATAAAACGTGCATTTAATGAAGTTCAAAGTTCAATTTGGTAGGGTGCACGTCTTTCTACCAAGGTCACCTCATGCATTCTCATGCATTCTTTCTCTTGGTTGCATTTCTGCCATTTCCTTTGCAAATTAGAGTGGCACCAGGGAGATAAATGTCAGGCTTCTGTGGCAGGCTGGGAGGTCAGCAACTTGGTGTCTGCAATTCACACAAACCACAATAATGGGAATGGAAAGCGCAGATGTTTGTCTAACAATTATTATACTGAGCGGGAGTACAAGCAGCCTCATCTTTGCAAGAACAGTGTGTGTCTGTAGATCTTTCCAAAGGGGGAGTAGATTTTTCCCCTAAAGTTTTTCAGATCAGGAAATAAAAGTGGGCTTCCCAGAATCAGCAAGGGAAAATCTCCTGTCTTTAATTAGCAGGCACTTTGGTGTGAAGAGACAGTCTTCTTGGACTGGAGTGGGAGTGGATGGACAATAATTTCTGGACAATGTAAATGTTAAGAAATGAGGCATTTGGACACTACCTAGAATCATGTTGTCCTCAGATGACCCACCTAAATCATAGGAAACCCTGGAGCTGGTGCTCAGTGGGGCCTAACAGCTGACAGCTGGGCAGTAACTCAGGTCAACTGACGGGGACAAGAAGGTACAAACTCCTACTCATCCCTCAGGACCCCATGTAAGCCTTTTTTTCCTCTGTGAAGCCTCCCCAATAACCCCAGGGGCAGAGTGAATTATCCTGAAAAGCACAGATGGCCTTCCACTGTGTTATGCCTTGCACCATATTGTATTTATCCATGATTAAGTATCTCTCCTCCCTAGGACCGTGAACTTTCCAAGGTAGGGCTGACTCTTATTCAACTAGGCCTACCCAGTGCCAGCTACTGTCCTTGGAACACCAGAGGAGTTCAGTAAATGTGTCAAATAAATGAATGACAAATCTTGAGGTGCTGAGAGCTGACGTTTGAATGAACTGTGGCACGTATTTTTATGAGCTGTAAAAAATGGGAAACACTTGTGACACTAAGCTTCCCTTTATTTATCCAACTCAGCATTGCTCACAAAGCATGTTTACCTACATTAGTTCATTTAATCCTCCCATAAATCTTGTGTGGTTGGGAGGGACAACACTTTCCTTATTATATTGATCATAGAACTGAAGCTCAGAGAGTTGACACAATTCATCCAAGGTCACACAGCTAGCAAATTACACAGGGAAAAGGAGGCAGAGGGGTGTAACATGAAAAACAGTGATTTATTCCCTCCTTTTGGCCTTCTTCCCTTCATGCCTCTTCTCCTTCCCTCCCTATCTCCCTCCCTTTCCCCCTCCTTCCTTCCTCCTTTCCTTCTTCTCTCCCTCCCTTTGTTCTTTCCTTCCGTGGATCAATCCTATAATTGAATCTTGGCCCAGTTTTCTTTATCTGCATAAAACTGAGAGTAATCTTTTCCTTTCTGACCTCACTTTCCTTATCTGTGAAGTGGGGATAAGGATAAGCAGCCTTTCATTGGAGGCAATGTAATTATAATAGATAATAAGTAACATGTATGGGTTACCATTTGCTTTGCAGCCTTTTTTTTTTTTTTTTAACTTTCAGAACAGTTTTGCATTTACAGTAAAAACTGTGAAGATAGTACAGGGAATTCTCTTATACCCCACACCCTTCTGGCACTATTTTTGAGTGTTTCACATATATTTTATTCACTTAAAGCCCATAATAACCCTGTGAAATATCAGCCTCATTTTATAGACAAAGTCATTCAACTGAGAGGTAAAGTGATGTTGCACCAACTGCTAAATGGCATTGGAGAGGCCAAGACACAAACAGGCTTGGAAGTCTGACTCCAGGTCTATGCTCTTAACTGCTGTGCTCTCCTGCTCCCTGGGAGGTGAGAGCATAGGCCCGGGCCTAGCCATGCTGGGTGTGTCATTAGACTTAGGACCCCAGTCTTTAAAAATATAGTCTAATCTCCTCCTACCACACCCATGGTGTTGTTGACAAAACTGATGGAATCACCTTTTGTCATTCCTACCTACCATTTAGTTTTCAACATTTAAAGTTGCCTTTGTATTTACTTAAAATTGACTTTTCTCAAATGGAAATTTTAGGAACAATAGAACTCATCATAGATGTTTTTGGCATCTCCCTAGGGACATATAACCCATAAATCACCCAGTTTTCTAGTTTTCCTTAAGAATCTGTAATGTACATTGAACCCTGAGTGCAGCATGCTGAAACGGAGTCTTTTTGGAATGTAGTGAAGTCAGGGCTATTGAGACATGTGTTTACGTATATGTACCTTCTCTCTTCCAGTAAAGGATGACAGAGGGCACAGAAGCCACCAGCAGATTCTTTGGAAGGAAGTAACAGGAGTGGAACTTCATTTTCCCATGGATTGTAAAGGGTGAGAGAAAAGCCATATAAACGCCTAGCCTTCCTAAAATGCCCTTTAAGCTTGTAGTGAATGATAGGCATTCCTGGCAGCAAAAACTTATTTTCAAGAGGGTCTTTCAGGTTTGAGAAATGAGGTAGTGGCTATGATATTTCAGGAAAAGGGAAAGGAGCATTTTTTGATGTTTTGGGGAATATTTTGATGTCAATCATTTTTAACTGATATAAGAAATTCCAAGGGGAAAGCTGAACTATTTTCAAATGACTGTTGTCTTTTGAACTATGCTTTTTGAACAGCCTGCTACTCAGAAACACAATGTGTGGGATATACTTATATTTCCATTATACAGAACTTTTATTGCAATGGTCAGATTAAATAGACACATCCTACACAGTTTTATTATAGTAACTGGAAAGATTGTTTAACTGGGACTTTGGAATAGCAACAAAAATTGTGTAGAGAAAAACTTACCTCACTCTGCAATAAAAACTATATACACTTTGGAGTTGATTTAGTATAAGCATATAATCCTGTTTTGAAAAATATACAGGGTGGTCCTGCTATTGATTTCCAGATTCTTCTCACCCAATGATAGATGAGAACCTGTTTTACTCTGGTTTAGTCCAAAATCTTCTGCTGGCTTTTTGTTAATTCTCATGACTAGTTGTCTTGTGTTCCATCTTGTCCCTACTTGCTGTGGTTAAATTTTGTATTATCCTAAAATGTGTATGTTGAAGTCCTAAGCCTTGATGTGATGGTACTTGGAGGTGGGGTCTTTGGGAAGTAGCTAGGTTTACATGAGGTCATGAGGATGGGTGCCCTGTTTTGGGATTACTGTCCTCATGAGAAGAGGAAGAGAACAGAGATGGTTTTCTCTCCCCTATGTGAGAATACAGTGAGAAAGCAGCCATCTTCAATCCAGGAAGAGGCCTTTACCAGAAACCAAACTTGCTAGTACCTTGATCTTGAGCTTCCTGGCGTCCAGAACTGTGAGAAATAAGTGACTGTTGTTTAAGCCACCCAGGCTGTGGTATTTTGTTACAGCAGCTTGAGCATGCTAAGACACAAGTTAAACTGGTCTATGCCAGGAGTGACAGCTTCTTGAATCAGGCGTCTTACTTTCAGTGTCTCCTTTTGACATCCCAAAGTTCATCTTCAGTAAAGTATTTAATAAGGTCTCACGAAAAATTGTCCCTGCAAATTTCGATTTTGCTTTCTTCCAGTATGACTGCAAACTAACAACTGTACCTGCAGCAGCCTTTGTTCCACACAGTTTCCTTCTCTGCATTTTGCTCTAGCTGCTCTGAAGGGAGGGGGTGATGTTGTTTAATAAGGAGCAATTACTTCTCCAATGGACTCGGCAGTAAAACTGGCTTTTACAGCTGGACAGAAATATGTAAGCCATGAAGTTTCCTATGTAACACCATTAAGTACTCCGGAAACAGCATGACTTGGTGGAGTGCCACAAATTAACCACTTCATATCCAATAACCTATGGTCTATAAGCATTATTACTTAAACAATTAGAAATATTAGGGGAGAAAGATATTTCACCACTTCTGTCCTAAGTATTGAATTGAGCCTTTTCCTGATACCTCGAGAAAATGTGCTAAATCATAGAGCAGAGGGAAGTATGTGATAAGTACCTTCATTCTTAAAGAGAATGCCAAGGATCTCCTATATATTTGCTCAAGGCTCCCTTACCACCCAATGCCCCATATCTCAGACTATTTCAAGTGAGGAATAAAATGGGAAGAGGGCTCATGGAGGTAGAGAGCTTTAACTTGTCTAGTAGATACAACTAATTACTTTTTTTCTGGTTGGAGATGGTAAAGGAATGCTGTGTCCTAGGCCCAAACCAGGTCCAAGTGTGGGTGGTTCAAGAGAATCACTCATCATTGACATCGTAGATGACAATGTAAAAAGCCTGCAGGAAGGGGAGAGAGCATCTCAATTTCAGGCTGTTTACTGAGGAGGCAAAAGTTGTAGGCCCACTCATGGCACCAGAGCAAAGCATGGTGAGAGAGATACTAGGAGAACTTGTGTCACCTGCATGTACACAAAACATGCCTCTTTCCACAGAATTGTAAAGGCAGCAGTTTGGCTAGAAGAGCCAGTGATGGGAGGGCAAGGGAGAGTCAAAGTAGAGCATTGCATCCTCTTATTGGTTGATACGGCCAAGATGTGGAGCTTCCTAGGGCCAAAGTGGGTGCTGCAGAATGTGACCAACTCTAGCTGTCTTGTTGAAATCCAAACCAAGAGCACAACTTCTAGAGCAAGGGGACTTCAGTAAAAGAGACTGTAGAGTGACCCTCTGGGGCAGGAGCTGGGAGTGAGGAGTATGTTGAGGTCAGCAGAAGAGCACCTCATCTATGTCAGGGAACAGTAGTGCAGGTACCTAATGGATCTCTGAAGCACCCCAGAGCTTTGTGTCATGACAAGGCCAATGTTTAAACATGCACTACACATTTGCTGTTTTCCATTTCCTCTCCTTTCATCCTGAGGAACCCATTACAGAATGGGAAGAATCAAGGAGAAAAGGAAGGAGTGCACCTCATCTCCTTTCAGTGTAGGCACCTGAGCATAGGTCAAGCCTGAGTTGGAGGAAGGAGGGAGGGTAAATTTTATGTGAAATCAGAAGATCATTTTTTAATATCTGGGAGTCAATTTTAATGAAACAGGATATAACAAATGTAAGACTGATGAAGAACCTGAAACCTAGTCTAGATGAAAACATTATTGAAGAATGCCTCCTGCTATTAAAAGAAAAAAATCGCAAAGGCTGAAATGTCTGAAAATAAATGGCTAGATGTGATGAACAGCTAACAACAAATTGAGAACCAAAATCTATACCATATTTTATATAATAAATCTATGTATAAATTTAATGCATAGAATATTCACGGAAAAAAATTAAATCATGATGTAAAGGAATAACCTGCAATAATTATAGTGAATGCAGCATAAAAGTAAAAAGAGAAAAAAATTAAAAAGAAGTGGATAGATATGGAGAAGCCAAGTATAGTCCAATAAGTATCAACTGACATTCCTAAATAATAGAATCTAAAAAATTGAACCATTCAAAGACATAATGCTGGAAAAATCTTCTGACATAAAAGAAGAATTTCACAGGCAAAGCAAAAAATTGAGTGCCAGGAACATTTGATTCAGAACGATAAATATCTAGACATATTCTGGCTAAAAGAATTAATGTAAACAATGACAAATTTTTTAAAGAAAATGAGTAGGAAAACAGGTCATCTACAATAAAACAAAAATCAGGCTTAAGTCTTCTTTATAGCACTATTCTATGGCAGAACACAAAGGAGAAATGTCTACAAAGTTCTGAAGGACAGAAAATAAAAGCAGACCCAGGAATCTTGCATCTATCTACTTGTTCAAATATAAACAGAACTGTCAATCTCAAGTATACAGGAAATCAAGGAATATAGCACTCGTTAGCACTTCTTAAAAATCAACTCTGCAATAACATCTTGCCCCAAAAAAAGATGAACGAAAAGAAAGAGCTCAGGAACAGAAAATACTTGGTAAATCTAAATATAAAATTAATTTAAATTTGAATATAGTATAAATTTAGTAAATTGAGCAAAGATAGCTAGAGAACAAAATGAAAAAGAGTTAAACCATGGCAAAGTAAGTGTGCTATATCATCCTATATGGAGAGAGAAGAGAGGGTGACAGGAAATGGAAATATTTTAATCTGGTGGTAGTGGGAGAGACAGTACTTCCTAAAATATTTATCTAAAGTTCAAACAGAAATTATGAAACAATTAAGAGATTGGAAATTTTCTTCTTAAACTTCCTTAAGTCTCTATTTCAGACAATATAGGTGGCTACTTTCTCATAATGCATCTGAATGTATAAGACATACTTACAAAAAAACTATTAATAATTATATTGAACATGGTTATCAAGTTATTAAAAAGAATTGTTTGATATCAAAATAATTTTGCTTCTTTATTAATGCATTAAATAACCAAATCCAATAGTGGGTTTAATAAATATTATAATTTTAAAGAAGTGACAAGTGTTAATGGTATTTTGAAATATCTGAAACACATGTAACGTGATACGAAAATGTCTGTCACAGGTACTATCAATGCTACTATGATTTGCAGTCTTCCTTCATAGTTGAATGAAATACTAAATTTCAATTAGAGCTTAGCAAAAATGAGGATGTGATTTTTTTTTCCTCATTCAGGTTCACAGACCATCTGAATTCTTTCTTTCCACAGGTTTCCAGGCATCCTTAGACTTTCATATTAAGAAATTCTTTTCTAATGCTAACATAATTTAGACTCTCATAATTTTTTCATACTTGAAAAATAGTCTTAAATATATGAATAGATGAAATTATTTTTTCCTCTGTCCTTAAACAGTGATGAAATGAATCACTTTTCCTCTCATTATATTCAACTTCCAGTGATTGATTTGTAGATTACAGTATCAGTTTTAAGTGTCCTTATCTTGATACATTTAGATTATGAAAAGAAGAAAAGGCTAGGAGAAAATTTTGTTTTCAGTCTGAATTGCCTTAGGTAGGTTATGAATATGGGAAATAAGAGATGTGGCATTTGCTTGCACACAATGCCTTCTTTCTGGTTTCTTGGTGCTCACTAGCACTATATTGGGTGAATGAGAAATTCCCAAAGAGTTGTAGTTATGGCCTCTATAATTCCTAGTGGCATTAAACATTTCAACACAACAGAATTTGAAAATAATACATCAGTTATAATTTGCCTACCTGAAACCATTGAACTTTGTCAAGTAGAAAAATACCATATGTTCAAACAACTGACTCTACTGAAGCTGCAACTTTAGAGACAAACAGAAGGAAACGCAAGTCTGGGGGGCATAAGGTAAACCTTGGCAAAGTGACTTTTTTCTAGGATGAGAGCCTGGTAGACATTTAGATTGTTTTATAACTAGGATTCTCTGCAGGATGTGGGATAAAAAGAATTTTACTGCCTGTCCAATGAATCGAACCGGTTTTTTATTCATACATTTTTGAGGTTCACTTGAACTTGACTTTGTCCTCAAACTCCCGTGGCCACTCTGGCTTCCTGTTATTATCGGCCAATGAGTCCAAAATGTATCATTTTCTTCCTTGATTCCCAGATGGTCTGTATATGCTGTTCACTCTTATACTGCATGTTGGGCTTGCTCTGTCAATCAAAGATAGACTATTTCTTCCTAAAGCAGCCTGCTTGGGTGGTCAGTTGGCCTCCGGGTTTCTATATAATAATGTAAGATGAGAAATTACTCAACACATGCTGAGTTATACGAGGAACATTAATGGGACGCTTCCTGGGATAGAAAACGATGGCCCCTTTTTTGCCTTTGAGTTCTTTAAAGGTTCCACTGAAAACACTTTAATAAATGTAGGAGTCAGGCAATAAATGCCTCATTTTTAAATAAGCAACTCCATTGTGATTTAGACAGCAGACATCTCACAGTTCTTAGGCAAAAGTATCAACTTCCAGGAATTTGTTTTCAAGTATTCATTTACAATAGCAAGAATAAAATATGCTACTGGATGCCGGGTGCTGTGTATTGCAGTGGGTTTCTGCCAAAGCAATAATCATAACCTATTTGCCAATAAGGTTCCAAAATATATAATAGATTTCTAGGTAGTTTGGTGTGCAGTGAATATTTATAATTGGCAGTGTCTATGTCTATGGTGCAGAAGTCTGTGTAGTGTAAATAATAAAGTTAGTTACCAATGAATAAAGTAGCGCTCAACTCTAGGAGTGGCTGGTATCTTCTGCATTCGTGAGAGATCAGAGGAGATTAACAGAGACTTTCTGAAAACAAAGACAGGTATGACAGACTTTGAATTCACAAGTATTGCACTAGACTCTTCTATAGCAATATGTAAATTACCTGCCTGTGTCTCCTGGTGAGTAAGCATATTCTAAGAAGGCAGAAGTAGACTCATTTTTCATGAGAGAAATCTAGAAAAGAAACAAAGTCATGAGAAAGTAGAACTCCCTTGAGAATAAAAGAGAAGAAGGTGCAGAAATGGTGACTTCATAAAAAGATGAAACTAGCAAGCACTATGGAATGTCCCTTTATATCTGCATGCAAGAGTTTGGCCAATGTTGCAAGAGATGATATCTTCTGAGTTAGCAAACATAGTTTGTTGGAAGCATTTATATTTTAATTAAAATCTTGCATAACTTATATCAATTTCCTACTCTCAGTCTTCCATGTTGTTGTGTAGGTATTCTTTAGATTAGATTAACATTTAAATCAGTAGACTTTGAATAAAGCATATTACCTTCCAATCAATTGAAGGTCTTAAGAAAAAAACTAATTGAGCTCTCCCTGAGGAAGAAGAAATTCCAGTCTGGCAGCAGACTGGCTTCAGACTTCAGCTGCAACATCAGCTCTTCCTTGGATTTCCAGCCTACCTAACTACTCTGCAGATTTTGAACTTGCCAGCCTCCACAATCATGTGAGCCAATTCTTTGAAATAAATTGTTCTCTCTCTTTCTCTTTTTTGTCTCTGTCTCTTTCTCTCCCTCTCTTCACACACACACACACACACACACACACACACACACACACACACACAATTAGTTCTATATCTTCGGTGAACCATCACTACTATAGGTCCTTACCAGAGTCTCTTTCAAAACGATAGAGGTCTCCAACTCCAGAATACCCTCATGATATGTTTGGGGGACTGGACAAAAATTGGAAGTGCTGGTGAGCCCTTTTGTATTTGAGGCCTGAAATGGGAAGTGGCCCTAGCCCAGGACAAGCAGGTTAAGGCAGGTTCTATTCATTGGCAGAGGTCTCAGCACAAATGGAGCCTATGTTCCCACATCAGCTTTTGCCCAGGAAGTAACTGTGTATATAAATGGAGCTGGGAGCAGCTAGTGTGATGCCATCTCTCTATGCCACCTCCTATCTCTTATTATTGCTGTCATCTATTTACCAGTGGGTTATGCCACTGCAGCCCACCCTCAGTTCCCTGACAACTTTGGCTCCTCACCCTAAATCTATTGCCATTTTTTGTGACTTCAACATCTACAACAGATGACCCATCCAACACCTGGTTCTCATTCCCTTACTTCCTTATATCCAACAACATACTATTTATTTTCCACCCCACCACAGTCAAGTTTCATCTTGGACCTTATCATCACTGGTGACTGCTCCAATTCCAACATCTCAATTTCAAATTTCACTCACTCCATACACTTCTTTCAGCTGACTTGTTCTAATATCCCTCTTCTACAATTCTTTGACCAAGAAGACCCACAACTCCCTTGATCTATTGCTTTCTCACTCTCTGTCCATGTCTTCTTGTTTTGCCTGCCCCCATTCTTGTTCAATTTATCATCATCTGGTTCCCATTGTGCTAACACCATGGCAAATGCCTTCAACTATGTGGAGGAAAAATGCGTGCATCTCACTGAGCATTTGAACCTAGGGATTCCTAAAAGACTAGGCCCTCATAATTTTGAAGGGTAGTATATTCTTAGGAAAGGTGATGAGGTAGCAGGGGCACTTAAAGGCCTTCAGGGAATTGGTAACAGATTTATCAGCAAGTAAATTAAAAGTAAAAAGCATTTTTGTTAGTTTATTTTAGTTTATCGGGTTGGGGGCTCCTTGTAGATGGCAAGAATTAACCTTGACTTTCTGAATCCCCTCAACTGAAGTAACTTTATGCAGCCACCAGATCTGAAAATCCTTCCCTTGTTCTAAATGCAAACGAATAGAAAGATTTTTTAAAAAATAACATTTAGGCATTTTGTGGGACTTTTTGTTTCATATTGAGTAAAGACATATATCATCACAGTTACATTTGCTGGTGGCTGACTGCTCACTTCCAAAATCATCTACTCGTATTTATTCCAAGGGGTTGGTAGTTCAAATAATCTGTAAATTATCTGCTCATGTTGGTGAGCTAATAGCCACATATAACTATTTAAATTAAAAATAATTGAAATGAAAGAAAATTAAGAATTTAATATTTTGGTCACATGAGCCATATTTCATGTGCTCAGTAGCCATATATGTCTAGTGGCTACCGTGTTGGACAGTGTAGAGAAACTTTCCATCATCACAGAAAGTTTTATTGCACAGGAGTAGAGACTACGGCCCCAGGCCAAATCTGGCTCCTGGCTTATTTTTGTATAACCTGCAAGCTAGGAATAGTTTTCACATTTTAAAAAGATTTTAAAGAAAAATATGTGACAGAGACTGTATGTGGCCTGCAAAGCCCTAAAATATTTCCTATCTGGATTTCTACAGAAGAAAGATTGTCAGCTTTGTCTTAGATAACAAAACACTTAAATGTGGATGTTTGTGTAATGCAGTTTGGAACGTTACTGCTCATGGTCAAGAATTTTATTTGTCACTATATTATGGTATGCAATTTAGTATAATACATGGTTTATGCTATTGAGCACTAATTCAATTAAATACTGAAAAAAAATTAAAACGTCAGTTGCTAGAAATGCTTAGATGAATAATGCATTCAAGGAATTCACATTTTGTTGGAGTAGGTAGATGTACAAAATTCTACCTGTAGCATTAATTAGACTATAAGTACTACTAATAATGGTATTAGACACAATGGTATTCGAGAGGAGAGCAGGGAGTGAAGAATTCTGACTAGGGCTGTGTTGCTTGGACGTAAAGAATGCAGCATCTAAGTGGGACTTAAGGATGAGTATGAATTAAGTAGGGAGGCAGGGAGAAAGGAGTTCCAGGCTATGGAAGCGGCAAAAGCAAATGTGTGGTGTGTGGTGAAAACACATGGGGCATCTGAAGAAATGTCAAGTAGCTGAATGTGATTAATCATAGCCTGAAGAGTAAGTGATGTACCAGGGAAACAAATAGGAATCAGAGTTGGTATTTGATGAGAGATGCTGCTTTTCTATTACTAGGCAGTGAGTGGGCAGACTCACAGGTCCTCAGAAGAAAGCCCTAATCTGTTGGGTACCTGAAGTATTACAGAAAATGATATAACCATTTTTTAATCCCTCTAGGTTTGGTATCTGTATTTACCAGATGTGATCAAGGGCTTTGAAGCTGCAGGAATGGTAGATTCAGGGACACTGTAGCAATGGGAAATTGACACAGCCACCTCTAATGATTTAGCTTGACTTAGTATTTTTCAGTTTCCATGTTGCGTTGGGCACAGCAAGTCATGTTTGGTGGGAAGAAGGATTGTAATGGTGGTCACAACCAAACAATTCTGAAGGTACAACCATAAAAATGTATATTTTGCCTGAGACTGCAGAAAAAAAACTGAAAAAAATGTCCCCCTCTGCACAGGAATTCTGCACTGTTGAATTCCCAAGAAACCAAGCTGAGTGATAGAGTCAATGTAAGAATCATAATACTATCTAAGAATAGTATTATGAACAGAATGGCATTGGATCTGATGAACTTGTACCCCTTCCACCTGCATTTGCTGGAGTTTTATGATTGTGAACATTTGACAAAGGGCTTAACTGAGCCCTCTGAAATTCTAGTACTTTGTTTCTGGGAGCAAAGCAAGTAGCCTGTGAGCTTCTTAAATAACAGGCATGGTTGATCCAAAACTCATGAGAAAGAGTTTGGATCTTTCCCTTTGCTGCATGATGACATCCAATGTCTTATTATTAGCTGCATTTGTTTAACTTTTTCATTTTATTTAAAACACAAGAGACTATCTTCTTTAGCCAATGGCCACAAGGACCAACTATAGGATAGGTTATGCCAAGTTTAGAACCTATTCAAAATTCGTGGATATGAAGTTTCAACCTAAACTCAAACCTTTTGGTGTCTGTGTTAATTTATATCTGGCAAACAATAATTTCCAGATTTTAAAAAGGAAAAACAAAACAAGAGAAACCTTCCTTGGAAGCATATATTAAGGCCTCTTCGATACTGTATACTTCTGAGGAAAAAAAAAACCCACTGATGTTTTAAGAGAAAGCCAATAAGAAACATATGGATTAAATTGCCCTCAAAAGACAGAAAACTTCAAAAGTTAGGAGGGAATAGGACTTTCCAAAAACCTGCTGATGTTTTAATGACCCCAAACTTTGTAAGAAAAAGGGATAAGCCCAACATATAACCATAAAGTGAATGTTTTTATTTCTAGCCAAAATTAATAATCACCAATTTGTCTCCCATTATCTCTGCTTCATGGATGATGAAATTGAGAGAGTATGTTGCTAAATCATGCCACAGGGAGATATAGGATTCAGATATCAGATGATGATGTCATTGCCCTTGTTTTTGAGTATGAGAAAAGGAAACTGCTGGAATGGTTTGCCTGGAAGTCCTAGACATAGCGACCTGGCATCCTGGTGAACTTCTCCAATCCTTTGGTCAATTTTCCCACAGAAAAGGACAAAAGAAACACTGGTTATCCATTAAGTCTAGATTTTGGGCCACACGCAAGGGATTATAAGGTATACTCTTTATATCTTGATGTAGTAGTGCTGCATCACCAATACATTTCATGTAGTAAACTCAACTCTGAATGCAGTCCAAAATGTAAACAGAGAGAGGGGGAGCAAAAGGACAAGAAAATGCAGGTAATTCCAGTGCCATTCTACTCAGTGAGCTTGAGATGGGAGACCAATCTCTTCAACCTCAGCTGATCTCAATTCCTAAGTAACTTTCCTAGTGAGCTCATCTTGCTTCACTGAAAGTAATTCTAGTGATTAAATAAACAGACATAAGTATTTATAGAAAATGACCCGAGTGTAAGCCACCTACTACAACTGCAGCTTGACTAAAGAAATGGTGATTTATTTTCCAAAGATAACTGTAATGGATTCACTGAGAAACTGTACATTGACTTGCCATGTGGCCCCTTTCTAAAGACTTTTTCAATAACAATTTTGATATCCTGCATGTTCCTTTTCTTTCGCCTTGACTTTAAAATTAAGCCCCTGCATAAGATGGTGTGACAGATATTTATTTATTTATTTATTTTTTTACTATAGTTGCTGCATCGGCATTCATTTCTAGGCCTAACATGAGTGTTTTGAAACCCAGTAGTACCTTTGGACTAGTTAAAATTTCCCCTCTCTGTGCATTTGTTTGTGAGATAGCCCACTTGCTCCTCATCCCACTGACAAAACACCAAGACACCTCACAGCTGCTGACCACAAATATCCCAAATGATCAACACCAGGGTCATGTAAATAAATTCTCCACTTCCCACGTGTTTCTGTAAACTAGCCAATCCACAACCCCTGAGGGAAAACCTAAGTGTTATCACACGTGGACCTTAATAAGGGCATAGTCCCAAATGCTTTTATTGAGAGGTCCACGGGTCGTCTTTTTCTCTCCCCTTACCTGCAGGCTGGGCTCCCTTCCACCTCTTCTCACTGGCCTCCTGTTTGTACCCCTGACCTCTCCGGGATCTGTAAGTAATATATTTATTCTGTGTCATGCATTTTGGGCTTACCTCTTCGTGTCTCAGCTGACTGACACACCCCAATCCAACTTTTCCCCATCAGGGCTCTCCTAGAAAGTGGTTATCTTGGCTTATGGCCCCTTGAAGTCTAGAAAAGACTAGAAGACCAAATTAAAAATAAACCATAACAATAAAAATCACAGCAGAAGGAATTTTTCCACTATGACCCACCTGCAGAAGCCCAGTAACTGGATAAAGACGAAGGAAATTCAGAGAGATGGGAAACTATACCCATGGTATAGCATTTTCAGTTAATGTTCAATAGAAAACATTAAAGGATAGAAGATAGAGCTGCTTACAATAAAAACACGGACAAGAGGCAGGCTTCGCCATAGGGGTTTCTTGTATATATTATTTGTCTCCCAGATATTAAGCCTAGTACCCATTAGTTATTTTTCTTAGTCCTCTCCCTCTTCCCACTCTCCACCCTCCAATAGGCCCCAGCGTGTGTTGTTCCCCTCTATGAGTCCATGTATTCTAATCGTTTAGCTCCCACTTATAAGTGAGAACATTCAGTATTTGGTTTTCTGTTCCTGTGTTAGTTTGCCGAGGATAATGACCTCCTGCTCCACCTATGTCCCTGCAAAGGGCAAGATCTCATTTTTATGACTACGTAGTATTCCATGGTGTGTATATACCACATTATCTTTATCCGGTCTATCATTGGCTGGCATTTAGGTTGATTCCATGTCTTTTCTACTCGGAATAGTGCTGCAGTGAACATACACGTGCATGTGTCTTTATGATAGAAGGATTTATATTCCTTTAGGTATATATTCAGTAATGGGATTGCTGGGTTGAATGGTATTTCTGGTTTTATGTCTTTGAGGGATCCCAACACTGTCTTCTGCAATGAAAACCCTGATTTTCTATATCTGGACAAAAGACTAGGACATAACGAGAATTTTAGCGGAAGGAACTGAGGGAGAGAGATTGCACAGCAGACAAGGACAAATAAAGGGAAGGTGGAAACAAGGGTAAGTGGACTTGCCAAAGAAATAGGCTTAATAGGAAAGAATTGTTACATGGGTATGTTTATGACTTTTAAGCATTTGACTTGCAATAAGAGTGCAGTTACTGTTTCTAATGGAAAATGGCAGACACTAAAAATACTGAAGATCGGCCGGGCGCGGTGGCTCACGCCTGTAATCCCAGCACTTTGGGAGGCCGAGGCGGGCGGATCACGAGGTCAGGAGATCGAGGCCATCCTGGCTAAAACGGTGAAACCCCGTCTCTACTAAAAATACAAAAAAATTAGCCGGGCATCATGGCGGACGCCTGTAGTCCCAGCTACTCGGGAGGCTGAGGCAGGAGAATGGCGGGAACCCGGGAGGCGGAGCTTGCAGTGAGCCGAGATCGCGCCACCGCACTCCAGCCTGGGCGACAGAGCGAGACTCCGTCTCAAAACAAAAACCAAAAAAAAAACAAAAAAAACTGAAGATCAGTTATGAAGGTGAGCAGTGATTGAGATTAAAAAACAACACAGGGTTTGGTGTCAGATAAAGAAAGTGAGAATTATAACGATTTTTATCTGCAAAATGGCTATAATAATAGTGCCCAGGTCACTGGATTGTTAAAAGGCTTAAATGAGGCCCAGCATAATGCTCGGCAAATAGGATGCAGAAAAACCTGATCTTTACTTGGGGGTATTCAGAAATTCTCTACATTTAGATATCTTCCCAGATCTCATAAGACCTTGAAATAAAACTCCATCTTCCTGGATATAGAAAGTAAGACTGGATGTAAGCCTTTGGGGTTAAAATAGGCTTGAATTTGAATCATTTTTACATCTCTAGCTTCTTGATACCCCTCAGACAATACCTCGATCTAACTTTCACAGTTCTTGTGAGGATCAAATGAGGTAATATATACATTAAAAGACTTAACACATGGTTTTCACTTAGAGAATCTTTGTTCCTTTCTCCTTCACTTTTTGTATTTTTGAAGTATCTTAAATAGCTTTAATAGGACTTTTTAAAAAGTTAGAATTACTTTTGCTCGTGATAAAGATCTGACATTTTTAACCGAAAGATGGCTTCAAATATTTTTAATTAGCATTTTCTAAAACTACAGATTTTGAATTTATAACAACCTTTATCACTATGTTTTCAAATATATTCCATCTTTTCACCTCAGATTTGTTTGACTACCTAATATTTGTGTGCGTGTGTGTATATAAATACATAAATTCAAGGGCAAAGAAAGTACTTTTGCTAGCTTTACTGAGGTATAATTTACATATAAAATCCATCAATTTTAAGTGCCTATACAATTCAATCAATTTTGACAATTGCATAAAGTCATGCAACCACGGGCACTATTCGGTTATAAAATATTTTCAGCACTCTAATATGCCTTCTGGCAACCCCTTCGGTGTCAATGTCTTTGTGCCACTACTGGGTCTCTGGTAAGCACTGATTTCTTTTCCTTAAAATATTTTCCCTTTTCTAAATGTTTATATTACTGAAATCATAATGCATATAATCTTTTTTTCACTTAGCATGAAAATGACAGGATTTCATTCTTTTTATGGCTGACAGTACTCCACTGACTATATATACACCACATTTTGTTTATGCGTTGATGGACACTTAAGTTGATTCATATCTTTGCTATCATGAATAATGTTTCAGTAAACATGTGATTGCAGGTGTCCCTTTGATATACTGATTTATTTTCCTTTGGGTAGATATCCAGCAGTGGGATTGATGGATTGAATGATAATTCTATCTTCAGTTTTTTGAGAAATCTTCATACTGTTTTCCATAGTAGCTAAACTAGTTTACATTCCCACCAACAGTGTATAAGTTCCCTTTTCTCCACATCCTTGCCAACATTTGCTACTTTTTGTCTTTTTATTCATAGCCGTTCTCACTTGGGTAAGGTAATATCGCATTGTGATTTTGATTTGTATTTATCTGATTAGTGATGTTGAGCATTTCTTCATGCACCTATTATCTGTTTGTATGCCTTCTTTTGAGAAATATCTATTCATGTTCTTTTCCCACTTTTAAATTGAATTATTTGTTTTTTGTACTGTTGAGTTTCTTGTATATTCTGGATATTAATCCCCTGTTGGATGTATAGTTTGTAAATATTTCCTCCCATTCAACAGGTTGCCTCATCACTCCATTGATTATTTCTTTTGCTTGAAGAAGCTTTTTAGTTTAATTATGTCCCATTTGTCTGTTTTTGTTTCATATGCTTTTGAGGTCTTAGTAATAAATTCTTTGCCTAGACCAATGTTCTGAAGAGTTTTCTCTATGTTTTATTCTAGTAATTTTATAGTTTTAGGTCTTACATTTAAGTCTTGAATCCATTTTGAGTTGATTTTTGTATGTAGTGAGAGACAAGGATCCAGTTTCATTCTTGCGCACGTGGCTATCCAATTTTCACAGTAACACTTATTGAAGAGGTTGTCCTTTCTCCAACTTATGTTTTTGTGTGTTTTGTCAAAGATCAGTTGATTGTTAAGTATTTTGCTTTGTTTCTGGATTTTCTATTTTGTTCTGTTGGTCTATTTGCCTACTTTTATACCAGCACCATGCTGTTTTGGTAATTAGCCTTGTAGACTTGACGTCTGGTAATATGATATCTCCAGCTTTGTTCTTTTTGCTCAGGATTGCTTTGGCTATTTGGGCCCTTACTTGCTTCCATATGTATTTTAGGATTGTTTTTTCAAATTCTGTGAAAAATGGTGTTGGTACTTTTATAGGGATTGCATTGACTCTAGATTGCGTTGGGCAGTATTATTTTAACTATATTCTTCTGATCCATAGCAAGGGAAGTTTTTCCTTTTGTTTGTATCATCTTCCATTTCTTTCCTCAGTGTTTGGTAGCTTTTCTTCTAGAGATCTTTCACCTCCTTGGCTAAATTTATTCCTAGGTATTTTATTTTTGTGGCTATTGTAAATGAGATTGCCCTGTTGATTTCCTTCTCACCTAGATTCTGATTGGTGTATAGAAATGCTATTGATTTTTGTATGTTGATTTTGTATCCTGCAATTTTACTAAATTCATTTATCAAATCTAAATTTTTTAGGGAAGTATTTAGATTTTTCTAGATATGAGATTATATCATTAACATAGAGGAACAGTTTGACTTCCTCTTTTCCAATTTGGATACCTTTTGTCTCTTGCCTGATTGCTTTGGCTAGGACTTCCAGTACTATGTTAAAATAGGAGTGGCAAAAGTGGGCATGCTTGTTTTGTTCTACTTCTTAATGGACAGCTTTCAACTTTTCCCCATTCTGTATGATGTTAGAAATGAGTTTTTCATATGTGGCCTTTATTATTTTTAAGGTACATTGCTTCTATGCCTAGTTTGAGAGTTTTATTAATCATGAAAGGGTATTAAATTTTTTCAAATCCTTTTTCTGCTTCTATTGGGATGATCCTATGGTTTTTGTCCTTCATTCTGTTAATGTGATGTATCGTTTTTATTGATTAGTGTGTGTTGAACCATCCTTGCATCCCTGGTATAAATTTAACTTGATCATGTTATATTTTCTTTTTGATGTGCTGTTGGATTGTATTTGCTAGTATTTTTCTGAGGAGATTTTCATTTATTTATTCAGGATATTAGTTTATAGTTTTCTTTTTTTGTTGTATCCTTTTGTTTTGATATCAGGGGATGCTGGCTTTGTACAATGAGTTAGGGAGAATTTTCTTTTTTTTTTTTGGAATAGTTTGAGGAAAATTGTTATTAGTTCTTCTTTTTATGTTTAATAGAATTTGTCTGTGAATCCATCCATTCCCAGGCTTATCTTTGTTGTGAGATTTTTTTCGTTTTTTTAAATTTAATTTTATTATTATTATACTTTAAGTTTTAGGGTACATGTGCACAATGTGCAGCTTAGTTACATATGTATACATGTGCCATGCTGGTGTGCTGTACCCATTAACTCGTCATTTAGCATTAGGTATATCTCCTAAAGGAGATTTTTTATTACTGATTCAACCTTACTACTCATTATTGGTCTGTTTGGGTTTTCTTTTTTCCTGGTTAAATGTTGGTAGGCTCTGTGTGTCCAGGAATTGAATTTTCTCTAGGTTTTCCAGTTAGTCAGAATATAGTTGTTCATAATAGACTCTGATAATCTTATTTATTGCTGTGATATCAGTTATAATGTCTCCTTTTTAATTTTTCCTTTTTTTTTTTTTTTTTTGATACAGTCACACACTGTTGCCCAGGCTGGAGTAGAGTGGCGTGATCTCGGCTCACTGCAACCTCCGCCTCCCAGGTTCAAGCGATTCTCCTGCCTCAGCCTACCAAGTAGCTGGGATTATAGGTGTGTGCACCGAGGTAATTTTTGTATTAGTAGAGATGGGGTTTCACTATGTTGGCCAGGCTGGTCTCGAACTCCTGACCTCAGGTGATACACCCACCTTGGCCTCCCAAGTTGCTGGGATTTCAGGCTTGAGCCACCATGCCTGACCTCCTTTTTAATTTCTGATTTTGTTTATTTGGGTCTTCTCTCTTCTCGGTTATCCTAGCTAGAAGCTTATCAATTTTTTCTATCTTTTCTAAAACTTTTTGTTTCATTGTTCCTTTGTAATTTTTAGACTCTTTCATTTAGTTCTGCTCTGATCTTTATTTCTTTTCTTCTGTTTTGGTTTTCTTTATTTTTGCTTTTTTGCTTGAAGTGGATTGTTAGGTTGTTAAATTGTAATCTTTCTACTTTTTAAATGTAGGTAATTGTTGTTATAAGCTTTCCACTTAGCACTGATTAGCTGTATCCCACAGGTGTTGTTTCCATTTTGTTTTAAGAATTTTTTTGTTGATTTTCATAATTTCTTCATTTACCCAGTGGTCATTCATGAGCATGCTGTTTAATTTCTGTGTATTTGTATAGCCATCTTAAAATTGATTAGATAATTCCATTGTATTGTCAGCTCATAATTTGTTTAGACATTAACAGGTTGATAGACATTTGCATTATTTCATTTTGAGGATATTGGGAATAAAACTGCCATGCACATAAATGCATAAGTCATTCTATAAACATATATTTACATTTCTCTTGAGTAAATATCCAGATGTGGAATTACTAAATCTCATAGTAAAAGTTTGCTAAAATTGATAAGAAACTCTTAAGCTGCCCAAAAATGATTGTCGCATTATGCTTTCTCACCAACAACATAGAATAAACTTTAATTTCTCCATCTCTCTCAGAATACTTGCTGTTGTCAATTTTTTAAATGTTAGTTTTTCTAATGGATGTGAACTACAACACAGTGCAGCTTTTATTTGTATTTTCCTAGTGACAATTATGTTGAACACATTTTTACATGCTTATTTACCATTCACATATAGAGTGACCATTCAAATCTCTTACCCAAATTTTTTAGTTGTCTGTCTTACTATTGAGTTATAAGAGTTTTTATAGATTATAAATACAAGTATTTTGTAGGATATATATTTTGCAAACATATCCATGTGTATGTACATAAAGAGTTCGCAATTTTATTTTCTTGATACTATCAAAGAGCAAAATTTATTAATTTTGGCAAGATATAATTTCTCCTTTATATGTCATACTGTTTATGTCTTATTTTAAGAAATATTTGCCTAACCCTAAGTTTTACTGTTCATCTCCTACCTACTTTTTCTTCTAGAAGTTTTATTGTTTTAGCTCTTTTATTTAGAGTCTCTGATCCATTTTGACATATTGTATGAGGTGAAGGTCAATGTTATTAGTTTTTAAAATATGGAGGTACCATCATTCTAATACAATTTGTTGAAAAGAATTCCCTTTGCAATAGCACTATTTTGGCACATTTGTCAACCCTCGATATCCAGTATATGTGTAGCTCTGTTTTTGGACTTTCTGTTTCATTGGTCTATGTATCATTCCAATACCAGCCTGTCTTTTTTTACTGTAGCTTTAGAGTAGACATTGAAATCAGTGTGAATCTTCCAACTTTGTTCTTCATTTTCTTCGTTTGTATATTCTGGATCACTTGGGTTTCCAATGGATTGCAGCATCAGCTTGCCAATTTTTACAAATCATTTGGACTCTGGTTTCTCCTCAGATCATATAAATCTTTCACCTTTACGAATAAATCAGTTGGGATTTTGCTTAGAAATGCATTGAATTTATAGGTCAGTTTGGAGAAAATAGACATTTAGCAATATCAAAACTTATGATCAGGTGAATGATACAGCTCCCCACTTTTAGATCTTATTAATTTGTCTCTGCAATCTTGTACGGTTTTCAGTAAATAGGACTTGCACATATTTTATTAAATGTATTCCTGTATCTTGTGTTTGATGCCAGGGTAATGGTATTTAAAAAATTTCATATTCTATTTTTACTAATTATAGGCCTGTTCAGATTTTTTAATTTCATTATTTATTCACATGGTAGGTTATATTTTTCTAAGAATTTATCCATTTTTTTTAGGTTATCCAATTTGTTGATACATAATTGTTCGTAACAGTCTTTTACGATCCTTTGTACTTCTGTGGTATCAGCTGTAATGTCTCATTTCTGATTTCATATCTTTGTGTCTTCTCTTTTTTCATAGTCTAGCTAAGCACTTGTCAATTTTGCTTAGCTTTTCAAAAAACCACCTTTAGTTGTGCAGATATTTTTAAATGATTTTTTTGTCTCTATTGATATCTGTTGAAATCTTTATTTCCTTCCTTCTGTCAATTTTAAGCTTATTCTTTTTTAAGTTCCTTGAGGTGTAACATTAGGCAAGTTTCTTGATCTTTTTTGATGTAGGCATGTAATGCTATAAACTTTCCTCTTGAGCTGCTTTTGCTGTATCCCGTAACTTTTTTGTGATGTTTCAATTTTCATTTGTCTGAAGGGGTTTTTTAAATTTCCCTTTTAATTTCTTCTTTGACCCAATAGTTGTTCAGAAACATATTGTTTAATTTCCATGTATTTGTGAATTTTCCATGATCTTCCTATTGTTTTCTAGTTTCATATCATTCTGATCAAAAAAGATACCTGATATGAATTCCAATTCTAAATTTGTTAAGGCTGGTTTTGTGGCGTAACATATGATCTATGCTGGAGAATGTTCCATGTGTGCTTGAGAAGAATGTATTATGTTGCTGGATGGAATATTCTGTAGATTACTAGATTCATTTGGTCTAAAGTGTAGTTTAAGTCCTATGTTTCTTTACTGATTTTCTGTCTGAATGATCTATTGTTGAAAGTAGAGTATTGAAATCCCACACTATTATTGTGTTGCAATCCACGTCTCCCTTCAGATCTCTTAATGCTGGCTTTATATGTTTAGGTACTCTAACATTAGGTGTAATATGTAGTTATAATTGTTAATGAAATTATATATATACATATATTTACAATTGTTATATCTTCATAATGAATTGACACCTTTATCACTATATGACGTTTGTCTCTTTCCATAGTTTTTGACTTAAAGTCTCTCTTGTCTGATATACAGTTACCCCTGTTCTCTTTTGGTTTCCATTCCCATGGAATAACTTTTTTTGCCCCTTTATTTTCAGTGTATAAGTGTCCTTTAAAGTGAGGTGAGTCTTTTCAGGTAACATACAGTTGGTTCTTATTTTTATTAACTCAGCCAATCTATATCTTTAGTTTGAAAAATTTAATCCATTTACATTCAACATAATTATTTATCACTTAAAAACTCACTAGTAAAATTTTGGGTCTTTTTATGGTTCTTTTGTAAATCCTTTGTTCCTTCTTCCTCTATTGCTTTTTTCCTTTATGGTTTTATGGTTTTTTATAGCGGTATACTTTGATATCTTAAATCTTTTGTGAGTCTACTTTAGGTGTTTGCCTTCTGGTTATCCTGACGCTTACATAAAACATCTTATACTTAAACGGACTATGTTCAGCTGATAACAGCTTAATTTTGATTACATATACAATTTCTACACTTTTACTTCATCTTCTGCCATGTTTTATGTTTTTATGTCACAATTTACATCTTTTTATTTGTATCTGTGAAAAATTGTAGCTATAGTTGTTTTTAATACTTTTGTCTTGTAACCTATACAGATAAAATTGATTTACATATTGCCATTACTGTATAAGATATTTGAGGCTAATCTATGGAAATATAATTGAGTTTTATGTATTGGCCTAGTATCCTACAATCTTAATAACCTCACATATCATTTCTAGGAGGCTTTTCGTAGACTCCTTAAGATTTTCTTCATAGATGATGATATCCTCTGTAAATGAAGACAGTTGTAATTCTTCTTCTCTGGTCTGTGTCTGTTTATTCTTCCTTTATTGTGCTGGCCATGATTTACAGTATAATGTTGAATGGAAATCATTAGAGCAGACATTCTTGAATTGCTCTTTATAAGAGGGACAGTGTTCAGTTTCTTCCCATTAAGTGTAATGTTAACTGTAGGTTATTTTTAGATGTCGTTTTTCATATTGACAAAGCTCCCTTTTATTCCTCATTTGTTAAATTGTAAAAATCAGGAATAAATATTAAATTTTGTTAAATTCATTTTTTGGCTATTGGGGTGTTCATATGTGTTTCTTTTAAAGATACTTAAAATGAAGAATTATATTTATAGATTTGCAAATGTTAAACTCTCCTTGAATTACTGGGATTAACCTTAATTATTCATAATGTAGTATCCATTTTGTATATTACTGGGTTTAATTTGCTAAATTTTTGTTAAACATTTTTTGCATCTACGTCCATTATAGATATTGTTTGGTACTTTTCTTTACTTGTAATTTCTTCTTTTGATTTTTGTCAAGGCGATGCTGGTCTCATCAATGAGTTGGGATGGGTTCCCCACTGTTGTACTTTCTGGAAGAGTTTATATAGAGTTGTCATTATTTATTTTTATGTCTTAGAAAATTTTCCAGTGATGACATCTGTGCTTGGAGTTTTCTTATGGAAAGTTTTAAAATTATGGATTCAGTTTTTTAATAGATACAAGGCTTTTCAGATTACCTATTTAGAGTTGAGCTTTGGTTGTTTGTGTCTTTCAAAGAATTTGTCAATTTCATCAAGTTATTGGACTTATTTTCATAAAATTGTTCATAGCATTCCCTTTTTAATATATGTAGGATTTGTAGTGATGTCCTTGTTCTTCCTACTGATATTGGTAATTTCTATCTTCTTTTTTAGGGTAAGGTGGTCTTTAATTTTTATTTTCTTCACAAAATAATATGTCAGCATTAAAACTTTTTATTTTTACTTTATATAGTCCTATGGAACTGAATATAATTATTTTGTAACCATAAACATTTTCAAAATCTATCTTTTGAAATAAAATTAATAGAGATTTTCCTATATATGTAAGTTTCTTTAAGATGATTAACAGTCATTGATTTCCAATCCCTATTTAATTGCTATTTTCATTTTACAAATGAAGAATTGGTGGTCAGTGTATGAGCCTTGAACTGTTTTGTCCCAAGTTCATGATTTCTCCAAGAAGCAGCAAAACTTTTTTTGACACTTACAGAATATGTAAAAATAACTTTGATTACTCTCATTTTAGACTAAGGAACATAAGAAATGTGTCCTAGAACATGAAAGAAATCAATGACCAGATCAGAAATAGAGCCTATGCTTCATGACCATATTTCTTTTTCATTTTTTAAGACAATAAATAATTTTTCTTTTTTGTGTTAGCATACTGGTTTTGTCTTAAAATATTTACAGGTCAAATGGTTTACATCATATTTTATGTAACAGTCCCTCTTTAAATTTAAGTCTCAAGTTGTATTTTTTAAAACCACATCATTGAGGTATAATTGACATACAAAAAGCTGTACATAATTAATGTATACAGTATTTGTTGAATTTGAAGATAAGTATACACTGATTATCTCTTCATTAGTCTTGCTAGAGGTTTATCTAGTTTATTGATTTTTAGAACAGCTTTTTGATTCATTCTGTGTTGTCTGTTTTGTTTCGAAGTACTGTTTCAGCTGCGTCTGACAAATTTTGATATGTTGTGTGTGCCTTTTCATGTAGTTCAACTGTTATTCCCTTTGGTTTCTTCTTTGAGCAAGGGTTATTTAGGTACATGTCATTTAATTTTAAATATATTAGGATTTTCATGTTCTTTTCTATTAATGACTTCACATTTAAGTATGTTTTGATCAGATAATATACTGGTATAAAGTTCTTTTAGTTTACTGATACTTGTGTTATGGCCCAGAATATGGTCTATTTTTGTAAATGTCCTGTGTGTTCTTGAAATAATGTCTTGACAATTACGTATATTGCAAACAGTGTTCAATAAACGATGATTATGTTCAAGTCTGCTATGTTTATACTGATTTTATGCCTACTTGTTCTATCAATTATTGAGTCAAAGTGTTTAATTCTCCAGCTATACAGTTTTAGATTTCTTTCTTCTTTCAGTTTTATCAGTTATGCCTTACTATATTTTAAAATTCTGTTTTTAAGTGAATATACTTTTCAGATTGTTATGTCTTCTTGACACATGACATCTTCATTATTATAAAGTGATCTCTAACACTGGCAATTCTATTTTATTTAAAATTCAGTTTATCTGATAATAACATAACCACTTCATCTTTCCTTTGTGTTTATATGGTGGTATTCTTTTCATTTTTTTAGTGTTAACATTTGCCTCTCTTTATATTTAAATGGGCTTAATGTAGATAGAATATAATGAGGTCTTTTTTAAAAAAAAAAAAATCTGGAGCCTGAACCAGTGTCTCGTGCCTGTAATCCCAGCACTTTGGGAGTCTGAGAAGAATCACTTGAGGCTGTGAGTTTGAGGCCAGCTTGAGCAACATAGTGAGACCAGGTCTCTATTTAAAAAAAAAACAAAAAAACCGGCTGGGTGCAGTGGCTCACGCCTGAAATCTCAGCACTTTGGGAGGCCGAGGCAGGTGGATCACCTGAGGTTGGGAATTCAAGATCAGCCTGACTAACATGGAGAAACCCAGTCTCTACTAAAAATACAAAAATTAGCTGGGCGTGGTGGTGCATGTCTGTAATCCCGGCTACTCGGGAGGCTGGGGCAGGAGAATTGCTTGAACCCGGGAGGCGGAGGTTGCGGTGAGCCAAGATCACACCATTGCCCTCCAGCCTGGGCAACAAGAGCGAAACTCTGTCTTAAAGTCACCTTTGCTCCAGTTCCCAGCAAGTTCCTCATTTCCATCTAAGACCCCCTCAGCCTGGACTTCATTGTCTATATCACTATCAGCATTTTGGGCAAAGCCATTCAACAAGTCTCTAGGAAGCTCCAAGCATTCCCACATTCTCCTTTCTTCTTCTGAGCCCTCCAAACTGTTCCAATCCCTGCCTGTTACCCAGTTCCAAAGTTGCTTACACATTTTGGGGTATCTCTGGAGCAGCGCCCCACTCTGCTGGTATCAATTTACTATGTTAATCAGTTTTCATGCAGCTGATAAAGACATACCTGAGACTGGGCAATTTACAAAAGAGAGAGGTTTAATGGACTTAGAGTTCCACGTGGCTGGGGAGGCCTCACAATCATGGCGGAAGGTGAAAGGCACATCTCACATGGTGGCAGACAGGAGAAGAGAGCTTGTGCAGGGAAACTCCTTGTTGAAAAACCATCAACTCTCATGAGACTTGTTCACTATCATGAGAACAGCCTGGAAAACCAGCCCGCATGATTCAATAACCTCCCACCAGGTCTTTCCCACAACACGTGGGAATTCAAGATGAGATTTGGGTGGGGACACAGCCAAAAGGTATCATATAATTTTAGGTTAACAGTTGTTTAAAAAGAAGTAATGGTATTCTCATATGACTTGAGTTGTTTTTAATGTGAAATCTCCTTTCAGTCTTGTCTTTGTTTCTTTGGCTGCATTTCTTTATCATTTGTTTTTAAAAAAATTTGGTTATGATATGACTTGCTGAGGATTTCTTTGGGGTTTGTTGCTTGGGGTTTGTTGACTATTTTGGATCTGTGTATGGTTTTCTTCAAGTTTGGAAAAAAATTGTCATTTTTTCAAATAGTTTTGCTTTCCCATCCCAACCTCCTTCAGGGGCTCTAATTGCACATATATTGAAATGTGTGATATTGTCCATAGGGCTATCACTCAGCCTATCTAATCTCTATTTCACTGTGGATAGTTTCTATTGCTATGTCTTCTGGTTCCCCAACCTTTTCTTCTACAATGTCTTCTGATTTTAATTTTTCACTTCACATATTGCATTATCTATAAAAATTAGTTGGGTGACTTTTTACTACTTTTCATTTCTGTTTTAACACTCTTGTCTGCTACTTTCTGTCATGTCATTTCTCATTCTATTTTTTTTTTTTTTAACTGGTTAGAGGTCACATTAGTAAAAATTTTTTTTTTTTTTTGTGACAGTCTTGCTATGTCACCCAGGCTGGAGTGCAGTTGCGCCATCTCGGATCACCACAACCTCCACCTCCTGTGTTCAAGTGATCTGCCTCAGCCTCCCAAGTAGCTGAGATGACAGGTACGTACCATCACACCCAGCTAATTTCTTGTATTTTTAGTAGAGATAGGGTTTCACCATGGTTCCCAGGATGGACTTGAACTCCTGACCTCAGGTGATCCACCTGCCTTGGCCTCCCAAAGTGTTGGGATTATAGGCATGAGCCACTGCGACTGGCCAGCAACTTTTGATTTGGATGAAAAAAAATCTGAATTTCACATTCTTGGATGCTAGGGGTGTTTTTTCTTTCATTTCTTTAAATATTGTTGGGGTTTGTTTTATAATCCACTTAAAATGTAATCAGTTTGATATTTTTGAAATTTGCTTTTAGTTTTATCAAAGCAGGTCCAGGAAATACGTTAGTTTAGTATACATTTGGCTCCACTATCGAGGATTCACCTGATACATTTTTACTACTCAGGTCTCACTCCTGTGTTCCTTAGCTGCTCTGTGTTAGAAGGTGTTTCCATTCAGAGTGTTAGGAATCAGAACTAGCTCACTGGTTCTTTGAGTGCCAGAGATTTCTGCCTCCTCTTTTCCAGCAGAATTTCTGTGGTATTGTGGCTGGGAAAAAGGCATAATGTAATCTTGGATAAACAGCAGACAAACTGAAATTGAGGAGGACTCTATAAAAATAATTGGCCTATATTCTTTGAAATGTCAAGGTTATGAAATCCAGAGGAAAAACTGAGGAATTTTTTAGATTAAAAAACTGAAGATACAGGACAACTAAATGCAATGAATAATCCTGGATTGGATTTTGGACTGGGGTTTAAAAAAAGCATTTAAAGGACATTGTCGGAACAATTGTAGAAGTTTGAATATAAACTGTGGATTAGGCAATAGTAATGTAACAATGATAAATTTCCTGATTTTAATGGTTGAACTGTGGTTGTTCTTGTCTTTAGGACATACATGCTGGAGTATTTAGGTAAAGGGGCATGAGGTATGAAACTTAACTTCAGAGGGTTTAGGAAATCACACACTCCACAAGCAAGCAACGATAAAGCAAAATGTAAATAAGTGTTGAATCTGGGAAAAGGGTATATATAATGTATAATTCTTGTAACTTTTCTGAAAGTCTTAAAATTATGTGAAGAAAATATTACCAAAAATGGGTTGGCTCAAACACACAGGATTGAGTTTCTTTTTATTGCTAGGTACACCTTGCTCAGCTTCCTGGAAGAGTTGATAGTTTCAATCTAAACATAGAGAAAGTAGAATGATTTATAATTATCTCCTGATACCTCTTTCTTTCCAAATCAAATTGACCCACAGTTCAGCAGCCCTCTGTTGCCAGGACTGACGTGATGGTAGCTTATCTTTGTCAGTGAAAAGAAAGTTTGCTGCATGCCTTCATGCCACTCCCCATTATCTAGGGAATGGAACTGACACTGAAAGAGAAGAAGCATAAGAAATAGCAACCCTTTCTTCCTAGAGTCATTCATCATGAGCTTGAGTAGCAAAATGTTCCCAAATTGCAAGTACAGCCTCATGAAACTGGAGCTGACTTCTTGCTAAATTCCATTATTAGTCACAGTTCTGTGGTCACAGTGCTTTTTGGTTGGTTTTTCTGTTTGTTTTTGTTTGTTTAATAAGACATTTTTCATGACTTTAACAAGTTACTATGGGTGGAGGCAGTAAAGTTTGGGGCCGGGGAGAAGAGGGAAGCAATTCTCTATCATCTCCATCACAGGTGATCACAGACAGCACAAGAGGGGCAGAAAATCTCTCAGAAAGTGGTGAGAGTTGTCCAATTTGGTCAAGCAGGAACAATGTGGGCAGTGTTACACGCGAATGAAGACTTTTCAGCGAGAGTGGAAAGGGGTGAAATGTGTAACAACCCACACAGAGCTGCTTTCAGCTTCACTCACCTAGTCAGGTTGTGGATGGCCCCATAACCCCTTTTGTATTTGCTTGTTAACAGGGAAGAATGCGTCTGATCTCAGTGTCTTGTCCAGGTGATTAATGGGGATGCTGTTGCAGAGATGCATGCTGCTTTCTTCCATGTAGCCTTGGTATCAAGTAGCACCAGCTCAGTAACCAGGTTGTATTATCTTAAAATCAGTAAATGAAATCGGGGAGAATCCGAGTGAGTGTCCTGGACTAATGGTGATGTTTAACAGGGCAGGAAGCTGAGCTGTAAGAGTGATGCTGGAGGGTCATATGTTTGGATTCTTCAATCAGTTTAAATATGGCCTGGGTCAGAATCATGGACTGTTACTATGCAGAGATTATTCCATTATCCTCCCTAACATATCAACTTTTATCCCAGGAATACACTTAACAGTTCCAGAGAAGTTGAAGGATAGAGTAAATATTCGCAGGGCTGGCCCTAAATGAAATGACTATTTCATGTTCTGCCCTCATGCTCCAATTTTCTTTCTGGGGACTCTTTTCTCTCATTTCTTCCCACTAGAGTCAATCTTATATGAGCCTTGAGATTTAGGATTGCACTCTGGAAGGGTGAGGGTTTAAAAGGAAGCGGTCAAGTGCTGACCTACATGACTTAAATAGTCTCTTGTCTATCTACAAACCTTCTAAATGTGTTATTACTTCTGTTTTAGAGATGAGGAATCTGAGGCAGTTTCCAAAAAGATAAGCAATTTTCCCTAAAGCAAACAGGTAATATATGAAGGAAGTAGGGTTCAAGCCCAATTCTGCAAGACTCAAAAGTTGTCTTCTGCACCAGGCTGTGGAGATGCAAATCTCTCATTCCACGTCTATTCTACTCACAAAAACTGCCACCTAAATCCTACCTCTCCTTCACTCAAAAATATATATCTTGAATACTTTATATGCTAGGCACTGGTCCAGGTTTTGGGAATACAGTGCCAGTGAGACTAATATGATTGCTGCTTTCATGAAACTCACTAGGCAGTGGGAGACATGAAAATATATAAGCACAAAACTGTAATTACAGAGATAGATAAGTTTTATAAAAGGAAAAATATATGATATGATAGAAGATACGTGTGTAGGGAGGGGATCTTTTTTATTTGGTTAGGGACAGGCTTTCTGAACTAGTCACATTGAGGCCTGAGTCCTTACAGATGAGAAGCAGAAAGCCACGCAAAGCACTGAGCATTCTGGACAAAAGGATCAGCAAAAGTAAAAACCCTGAAGCAAGGAAGAAATGGTCTGTCCATGGAGCTGTAAGTAGACCATCTTGGGAAAGCATGCAGGGAAAGATATGAGATGTAATTGGAGATTGAAGCTAGAGCAAGATCATTAGATCGTGTAGGTCCTCACAGGATTTGATTGCATGCTAAGTGCACGAAACAGGTGCCAGTGATCATGTTACTCTCCTGCTTAAAAAGCTCCAGTGGGTTCCACGTTCAACTCTTTGTTGCTTGTGTACCTTCTATGTTGCCTTGTGTTGGTTTTGACTTCTCATTACAGGCCCTTTTGCTGATTTTAGGATAAATGACAGTACTGTTAGTTAAGCAGGGAGATCCTAGATAACTGTCCCTGCTAGTTCACAAACAGTATCTTTTACCACTAACAATTGTCTCCTCCAACCTCCGCAGGAACTTTTGATTTGGTTTTAGTTCTCATAGAGTCTGTCATGGAGACACAGAGGGAGGAGGATGAGCTAGGGAACATTTCAGCAGGTTTCTGCCTCCATTCCCACCCTTTTCTTTGTGCTTCAGCAAATCTAATCAATTAGGTTAAAGTTTTTTTCTAAGGACCATGCAGTTTCAGACCTCTATTCATTCTTCACATCTTTTACAAATCCTTTGTGTGTGTTCTTGATTCTTCCTAGAGTACCATTTTCTATAGTTTGCCTGTTTGGCAACCTTTAAACCAACTTTTCTTTGAAGACTCTCTGAGAATTACTCTAACTAGTTATGTTTCCTTTATGCACTTCTATTAGTTCCCTTAACACATTTTAATTGCTTATACACAGGGTTCACATCCTTTATTAATGTATGAACTCACTGGGGTTATTGACCTTGTTCATTTGTCTTTGCGTCGCTGGCACTCAGCTTAGTGCCTAGCTCAAAGTAGATTTTCAAGAAATGCTAAGTGAATGCCTAGTGGAAGTTCATGCTCTGTAATTAACTCAGAATTGATATGCATGCTCTTAGGCAAGTCATTTACCCTCTCAGAGACCTTAGTAAGTTATATAATTTATACTACTATGTTTTCCTGGTTTACTTTATAATACTAAGTTACTGAAAACTTGATCGATTGATAACTTACTCTGTACAGGCCCTATGCTAGGGGCTTTTAGATGGATTATCTCAATTTACCCTTAACGTCAACCCCATGAAGTAGCTTTAGATATTATCCTCAGTTGACAGACAAGGAAACTGAGACCCAGGGATGAAAAATGACTTGTGCAAAGTCACACAAGCTGCTAGAGTATGAGAGATTCAAACTAACTATGTTGCACTCCAAGGCCCAGGCTGTCAAGTGTTCTTCTGCTGAATTGTTTTCAACTCTCTAAATCAGTGGATAAAGCTACTCTTTTCTTTTTTTTCTTTTCTTTTCTTTCTTTCCTTTTCTTTTCTTTCTTTCTTTCTTTTTTTTTTTTTGACAGAGTCTTGCTCTGTCATCCAGACTGGAGTGCAGCGGTGCGATCTCAGCTCACTGCAAGCTCCGCCTCCCGGGTTCACGCCATTCTCCTGCCTGAGCCTCCCCAGTAGCTGGTACTACAGGTGCCAATCATGCAAATCAGCCATCATGCCTGGCTAATTTTTTGTATTTTTGGTAGAGACGGGGTTTCACCCTGTTAGCCAGGATGGTCTCGATCTACTGACCTCATGATCCGCCTGCCTCGGCCTCCCAAAGTGCTGGGATTATAGGCGTAAGCCACCATGCCCGGCCTAAAGTTGATCTTTATGAGGTTAACCTTTTCTCCTTTTCTTTCTGATTTAGATAATTCTCAAGCCAATATAGATGGCGATTTTTAAAAGATTAATCTATTTTTAAATTGACATATAAAATTGTATGTATGTAGTTTGTACAACAGGATGCTTTGAAGTATATATACATAGTGAAATGGTTAAATCTAGTTAATAAATTCATGTTATATGGTAATTTTTGTGGTGAGAATACCTAACGCATTTTTCAAGAATATATCATCAACTATAGTCATCATGCTGTACAAGAGATCATTTGAACATAATCCCTCTAACTGTAGACATGTATCTTTGAACCAACAGTACCCCAAGCCCCTCTACCCCCTAACCACCCCAGCCTCTGATAACTACCACTCAACTCTCTGCTTCTATGAAATCAACTTTTTAAGATTCCACTTATGGGTGACATCATGCAGTATTTGTCTTTCTATAACTGGCTCATTTCACTTAATGTTCTCCAGATTCATCCATGTTGTCACAAGTGGCAGGAGCATTCTTTTCATGGATGAATAGTATTCCATCATGTATACATACCACATTTTTTCGCCTGTGAATCTATTGATAGACACTTAGGTTGCTTCTATATCTTGGCTACTGTGAATAGTACTGCAGTCACTATAGGCATGCAGGTCTCTTCCACATACTGACTCCATTTCCTTTGGATATATATCTGGTAGTGGGTTTGGTGAGTCCTGTGGTAGTAATAATTTTAACTTTTGAGGAGCCTCCATGCTGTTTTCCATAATAGCTCTACAGTATGATTTACATTCCCATCAACAGTGTACAAGGGTTCCCTTTCCTTCACATCCACACCAAGATTTATCTTTTGTCTGCTTGATAATTGCTCTTCTATGAGGTGATATCTTGTGGTTTTGGTTTGCATTTTTCTGATTAATAATGAGCATTTAAAAAATTATACCTGTTAGCCATTTGTATATCTTTTAAGAAATGTCTATTCAGGTCATTTGGCTATTTTTAGTTGGGTTATTTGCTTCCTTGCTATTGAGTTGGGTTCTTTATGTACTTTTATATTAACCCCTCATCAGATATATGATGTACAAATGTTTTGTCTTCACTCTGTTTTTTCCTTTGCTGCACAGAAGTGTTTTAATTTGATATAGTCCCATTTGTCTATTTTTGCTTTTGCTGCCTATGCTTCTGGGGGCATATCCAGAAAATCATTGCCCAGACCAACGTCATGAAGCTTTTGCCGCATGTTTTCTTCTAATAGATTCATAATTTGGAGTTTTACATTTAAGATTTCATTCAATTCTGAGTTGATTTTTGCATATGATAAAATAAAAGAATTTAATTTCATTATTTTACATGTTGTAATACGGTATTTTTTTGTGTCTGTTTGCTAAATGTGATGGTTGGGGAAGTGGGGTCTCTCCCAGGCTGAGGTAAAACTCAGCTTTGAGTCTTTAACAGGATGTTCTGAAAATTAGGTCTGAAGTGAACTTTTAGGAAGGGTACATTCTACCACCAGGAGTGCTCCATCTGGTAAGATAATCAGGAAGGACTGGCACAGCACAGGAAAGGGAAGCTGGTGGTGAGGAGAACAGTGGGGAGCTAGTATAGGAGGTAGCTGGATTGAAGAGAAGGGGTAGAGGCCTCACAGTGAAATGTAACCAATTTTAAATCCAAAGCCTTTGAAGCAAAAATAATTCAACCTTGAAACATGACTATATTTAATTAGTGGAGGTTTAACATCATGACTCCACAATTTAACCCTGGGGAACAAACAAAGCTCAAATTACGAATCTCACAGAAATGACAATGGCAGCCTGAAAGACAAGTCACTCAGGTAAGTAGGATCTTATAACCAGAATACTGCCAAGCACCTGGCCTGCATCACAGCTGTGGGTCTGTCTTGGTCTTTGCCTACATCAGCTACTTTAGGGGGAGGATGGACATCATGGAGTGGGGAGGAAGAGATCAGGTGTCACACAGATGCATTTTAGTAACACACAGGTGGCGCAGAGTTCTGTAGTTCAGAGTAGGGCTGAATGGCAGCTGAGCTGCATACAGTGTAAAGACAGACCATGGAGAACTCAGAAAACATGTGTGAACAAATGTACAAGTTAGTGTTTTCTAACTCCTGGCTTATCACAAAATGACCAGCGCTGCCCTAAAGGTCAGGCCCCAAACCAGAGGTCTAGTTAGGAAGGTTGTCTGAATCCTGGATCATCTTCCTGTTTATACCCTCCATTTTTCTCCCCAGACAACCCAAGGCCATTCCAAGTGCTTTTCCCTATTTGACTCTTGAAGGGCTGCTGCTGCTGATAATCAGAAGAGTCATCAGTTCTGTTTACCAAATACTCTTATTGCTATAATTTGGATGTTTGTCCCATCAAACCTCGTGTTGAAATTTGATCCCCAATGTTGGAGGCAGGGGGACTAATGGGAAGTGTTTGGGTCATGGGAGTGAACTGTTCACGAATGGATTGGTGTCATCCTATGGTAATGAGTATGTTCTCACTCTTATTCCCGAGAAAGCTGGTTGTTAAAAAAGAGCCTGGCACCTTCCTCTACTTTCTCTCTTGCTTCCTTTCTCACCATGTGATATCTACACACGTCAGCTCCATTTCACCTTCTGCCATGAGTGGACGTGGTCTGAGGCCCTCAGCATAAGCAGATGCCGGTCCCATGCTTCTTGTATGGCCTACAGAACCGAGAACCAAATAAACTTTATAAATTACCCAGCCTCGGGGTTCTTTTATAGCAACACAAATGGGCTAAGACACTCTAACGTAACACTCTATCCTGGAAATCCTGAGGAATAAGTATTGTTACTCTCCTCATTTTATACCTTAAGAAATGGAAGCTGAGTAAAACAAAATTATTTGCCAAAGGCCACAGGCTAAAAATTGTCATAAAACCATTGTTAGGAAAGAATCAAATCACTTAAGTGCAATATTTGTCTTTGCTGTCCGCCCTCCCTCCTTTCTTCCTTTCCTTCAACTGTCTCTCGGTTCTTCTCTGCCTCCTTCCCTCCCATACCTTTTCCCTTCCCCCTCTCTCTCCCCTTCCTCTCCCTCTCTGCATGTCTTTCTCTTACAATGTCTTTCTTGTACTCTCTCTCTCTCTCTCTCTCAGATGCTCTGTCTCTCTCCTTTCTCTTGCCCTCACTGTCTCCCCTTCTTTCTCTACCAACATTGACATTTAGAGTCTTTACCCAAGTAAAGTCTGTCATATTCCTATGAATTAAGCCAGCTCCACTCTATTAGAGAATATTAGCTATATATCTGAGCTTCAACAAATTTTGCATGAAATGTGATATGTGGGAGCTCCAAGTTTGTAACTGCTGTCAATTTCTTCTGAGAGAACATCTTTGTTAGGGTGACCAAGAAATTTATTGTCCAAATTGGAATATACTCAGATTAAAATGAACAATAAAAATAATGAAAATTATATGATAAAATAATTTTGAAATATTTACTTATTAAGTAGGTATACAGTTATATTAAAACAACTTTAATATACATAATTCCTTCTAAAAATAAGAATAAAAAATTTTAAAAATATGGATTATAGAAACACTAATAGTAACATATGCAAAATAATTATTCAGGTTCTTAAGGCCAAGTGTGTTTCTTATATCAAGTCACTGATACTTTTCCTAAAGAATATATGTTTTAATATCACCATATTATTATCTTTTTAAAAAACACTTTTAGGTACATGTAATTCACATGTACCCCTGAACCTAAAAGTATTTTCAAAAGGTTGTAAACCTGTGTCACGGGGGTTTATTGTACAGATTATTTTGCCACCCAGGTATTAAGTCTAGCACCCAGTAGTTATTTTTTCTGACTCTCTACCTCCTCTTTACCCTCCTCCCTCCAGTAGGTCCTGGTGTCTGTTGTTCCTCTGTGTCCATGTGTTCTCATCATTAAGCTCCCACTTATAAGTGAGAACATACTAAATAACTTACAGTTGTCTTCAAAATAACATTTTATAGTCAATTGAAATTTTTGGTACATTCATTGATTCTCTTATGTAGACCACAATGTTGTTACTAGAAAAAGATTTTTCTCTACAGGAAAGCTCAGAGCAATTTTACTAAATAAAAATATTTTCAGTTTTAATATTTTATGCTGAAATGCATACATATTTCAGTCTGAATATTTTCATAAGTACTATGATAGTGCTTTCATTTAGTGTATCTTTCTTTAACAAGTAGCTTTATTGAAAATCGAATAAATGAACTACAGTTGTTTAAATTTCACCAAAAATACATGTTGTAAAATTCAGGCTTTCTTCGTTTCATTCCATTCTGATGTAGAATACAGCTTATGCAGTTAAAATGAGAGCTCCATCAAAGATTTGCCACAAGTCAAGATATCTTAAAATTCAATTATAAAATTTCAAAATTAAATACCATATACCACTAGCATTCTCATTGTTTAGTTGGCTCAGTTACCTCTAGTTAACACAGAGATAAATTTCAATGTCTTCCAGTTTTTTAGCTTTGTTTTTAATAAATGCAATTTAATAAAAGCAAACATAAAGAGCAAAAATAAGTTTTTGTGCTCTATTCATTGAATTCTTTGACTAAAGCTTTCCTAATGATTTTGAACAAATTGCAGACAAATTGCATACAAAAAGTTTGCCATTGTAGTACACTTAGGTTGAATTATGTGATAGTTTTTGAAAATCTCAAACTCTTTCAAGATTTTTATTTTCGAAGGGAAAAGAGAAATTTAGTGAGACATAAGGTTGATATGTAAAAGTAGGCAGCCAAAAAAAAAATACCTCCATGCTATAACATTTTATTCAATATTAGCTTCATTGCAAAAAATTGTGTTCATTCGCTCTGCACATAAATAAAATATTTGTAGATTTTGATATTATGGGTTTTATATTTTAGACTCTTAATTTACAGACTTGCAGGAAGTTGCAAAAATAGTAGAGTCATGTGTACCATTCATCTAGCTTCCCCGAATGGCACCATCTTAGACAGCTGTAGTATGTCAATATTAGGAAATTGACATTGATATACTATTATTAACTGACTACAGACCTTGAGTTTTCCCCAATTTAAAAATTTCATATATGTATGTGTGTATAGTTATATATACTTTTATCCCATATTTAGATTCATGTGCAGCAGTCCCCCTTTATCCATTAGTGATATGTTCCAAGACCCCCAGTGGATGTCTAAAACTGTGGATAGTATGGAACTCTATGTAGGCTATGTTTTGTCCTATAATGTAATGGGTGGATAGTGTTTACAGCATGGATATCCTGGACAAAGGGATGATTCACATCCCAGATAAAGCATGACAACATGAGATTTTGTCATACTACTCAGAACAGCATGAAGTGTAAAGCTTATGAATTATTTCTGCCATTTTTCATGTAATATTTTCAGACAACAGTTGACCACAGGTAACTGAAATCACGGAAAGTGAAACCGCAGTTATAAAGGGACTACTATAACTACCGCCATAATCAACAACCGCACTTGTTCATCACTGTAAAAGAAAATGCTTGTGCTACTCGTTTGCATATGCGCCTTCCCCATCTTCCCACCCCTGAAATCCAGTCTCTATCCCCTGGCATCCATTAATTTGTTCATCTCTTAGTTTTATAATTTCAAGAATATTATATAAACAAAATCAACAGTGCGTATCCTTTGGAGATAAACTTCTTTTTTTCCACCAAGCACAATGCCCTTGAGGCACATCTAGGTTGTTGTATGCATCAGTAGTTCATTTCTTTTTATTGCTGAGTACTGTTACACTGCATGGATATGCCAGAGTTTGTACTATTATTTGCACATTAAATTATATGTGAGTTGTTCCAATATGTTGCTATTATAAATACAGTGGATACAAACATTTTTGTACAGGTTTCTGTGTGAACCTAAGTTTTTGTTGATTGCTGGGTCATATGGCAAGTACATGTTTACCTCTGTAAGAAACTGCCAAACTCGTCATTTACATTAAGTAAAATACCACCTTGGTTTCCAAGAAATAAAATGTAACGAAAACCCAATGGACACAGGCAATCGAATTTTTAGTTGCTTATTATTTACATACCATATTCTTATTAATGATAGTTACACATTTTTCATTTAATAAAGGAAGACTGTTCGGATGTCCCTAACTCTCCCAGACCCACCCACCAAAAAAAGAGAAACTGCCAAACTATTTCTAAGAGTGGCTGTTCTCTTTTATGTTCCCATCAATGGTATATGAGGCACTCACTTTCTCTACATCTTTACCTTTGATATTGTCACTTGAGAAAAAATTTAAAACTGTTGGAATGGATATGTAGTAGTATGTCATTATGGCTTCAATTTGCATTTCCCTAGTGGCTAATGACATTGAACATCTTTTCATATGATTATTTACCATCTATATCTCCCCTTTGATGAAGTACCTGTTCATATATTATGCAGATTTTTAATTAAATTTTCTGTATTTTTTTAATTTTATTTTATTATTTCAGTTTTAGAGTACATGTGCACAATGTACAGGTTTGTTACATATGTATACATGTGCCATGTTGGTGTGCTGCACCCATTAACTGGTCATTTAGCATTAGGTATATCTCCTAATGCTATCCCTCCCCCCTCCCCACAACAAGCCCCGGTGTGTGATGTTCCCCTTCCTGTGTCCATGTGTTCTCATTGTTCAATTCCCACCTATGAGTGAGAACATGCAGTGTTTGGTTTTTTGCCCTTGTGATAGTTTGCTAAGTATGGAATACTATGCAGCCATAAAAAAGATGAGTTCATGTCCTTTGTAGGGACATGGATGAAGCTGGAAATTTTCTGTATTTTTAAAAAGTTCTTGAGTTTAGAGAGTTCTCTATCCTAGGTATATGGCTTTTTTTGGAAATGTGATTTCAAAATATTTTGTATCTGTCTGTAACTTGCAGTTTTATTCCCTTAACATGACTTTCATAATGCAAAAGACTTTAGTGTGAAGTCCCTATTAACATTTTTTTCTTTTATAGATTGTCTTTTTGGTGTCATGTGTAAGTAGGCTTCACCTAACCCCAGGTCCTGGATGTTTGCCTAAATATCTTCTGAAAGTTTTATAAATTTACAAATTATTTTAAATTAATTTGGGGATACAGTAAGAAGGTTGATGTTCTTTTTTTCTTTTCCAATGGGTGTCTAATTGTTCCAGCATCATTTGTTGAATAGAGTACGCTTTCTCCATTGAATTGCTTTTGCATCTTTGTCAAAAATCTATTGGGCATATTTGTGTTGGTCTATTTGTGGATTCTTTCTTGTGTTCCATTAATCTACATGTCTATTCTTCTGCCAGTACCTTACTATATTGATTATTATAGTTATAAATTCAGTCTTAACACCAGGTAGAGTGATTCCTACCACCTTAAACTTCTTTTTCAGAATTGTTTTAGCTATTATAGCTCCTTTTGCCTTTATATATAAGTATTAAGCTAAGCCTGTTCTGTCTTTATAAAAAGCTTACTTGGAACTACAACTTCTATTCATTTCTAAATAACTTTATTGAGATATAATGCACATAGCATACAGTTCACTCATTAAAAGTGTACAATTCAATGGCTATACAATTCAATGGCTTTTACTATTGTCAGAACTGTACATTTATCACCATAAGCAATTTTAGAACATTTTTACTAACCCATAAAGAAGCTCTGTTCTTGTTCATCTTCACCCCGCTTCCCCCCCGCTGCCCCAATCTCCTCATCCCCTAACTTTAGGCAATCAATTATCTATCTACTGTCTCTATAGATTTGACTTTTCTGGAAATTTCACATGAAAGAAATCATATAATTTTTGGTCCTTTTTGACTTTTTCATTTAGCATAGGCTTTCAAAGTGCATAAATGTTACAGCATCTATTAATGCTTCATTTCTTTTTGTTAAATAATTCATTGTGTGGAAATGCTATCTGTTTCTTATCTGTTCATCAGTTGATGGACATTTGGGTTGTCAACATCTTTTGGCTACTATGAAAACTGCTGCTATGAACATTCATGATGAGTCGTGTGGACATATATTTTTATTTGTCTCAGGTAGATTCCTAGGAGTAAAATTGCTGGATTATATAATTCAATCTTATTTGAGGAACTGTCAGCCTACTTCCCACAACAGCTGTACCATTTTATGTTGCTACTGGCAGTGTATAAGTGTTCCAATTTCTCCTCATCCTTGCTAACACTTACTATCTCTCCTTTTCAGTATAGCCATCCTAGTGGGTTTGAAGCAGTAAATCCTTGTGGCTTTTCTTGAAGGCTAATTATGTTGAGCATCTTTTCCTGGTGCTCATTTGTATATGTAATCTGGTGGCCATTTGTGTATCTTCTTTGGAAAAATATCCATTTAGATCCTTTGGCTCGTCTTCCCATCTTAAAAATTGGATTGTGTGTCTTTTTAATTACTGAGTTGTAATTTTTTATATATATGTACTGTATATAGCAACCAGCTACGTGATTTACAAAACCTTTCTCCCATTCTGTGCACTCTATTTTCACTTTCTTGATACTGTCTCTTGAAGCCCAAAAGTTTTTAGTTTGATGTTCAGTATATGTTTTTGTTGTTGTTGTTGTTGTGTTTGCTTTTGGTGTCATATCTAAGAAAATATTTTATAATTTAAGGTCATTAAGAACAAAGTTGAAAGACGCACATTTGCTGACTTCAAAACTTACTATAAAGCATCCCTCATCACAAATTCATAGTACTAGAATAAAGATAGATTTATAGACCAATGGAATAGAATTGACAGTCCAGAAATAAATCCATACAGCAACAACCAATTGATTTTTGAGAAGGATGTCAAGAACATTCATTGGGGGTAAAAAAAATGGTCTTTCAACAAATGGTTCTGGGAAAACTGGAAATCTATACTCAAAGAATTTGGACGCTTACCTAACACCATATACAAAATCAACTCAGAATAGAACAAAAACCCTGACTGTAAGAACTAAAACTCTAAAACTTAGAAGAAAAATAAGAGTAAATCTTTATGACATTGGATTTGGCAATGGATTCTTAAATATGACACCAAAAGCATAAAGAAAAAGTAAATAATTTGGACTTCATAAAAATTAAACTTTTGTTCATCAAAGGACACTACCAAGAAAGTGAAATAAGTTACAAAATTGGAGAAACTATTTGCAAATTACATACTTGATAAGAGACTACTATTCAAAATATATAAAGGAATCTTATAATTCAACAATGAAAAGACAAGCCAATTAAAATATAGACAAAGGACCTGAATGAATGCTTCTCCAAAGAAGGTATACAAATGGCTAATAACCACATGAAAACATGCTAAACATTATTAGTCATTAAGGAGATGCAAATCAAAAGCACAAGGAGATATTACTTTACAAACACTAGGAGGTCTAGAATTTTTAAAAAAGGAAAATAAGTGTTAGAATATGGAGAAATTTTCAGCCCTCGTATATCACTGGTATTGATGTAAAATGGTTAAGTCACTGCTGAAAACAGTTTGTCTGTTCCTCCAAAAGTTAAACAGAATTAACCCAAGGGCTACCAATTCCTCTGCTAGGTATATATTACCAAAATTTAAGACAAGTATTCAAACAATAACGTGTATACAAATGTTCATACCAACACTATCCACAATAGCTAAAATATGGAAACAACTCAAATGTTTATTAACTGAAGAATAGAAAAGCAAAATACAGTGTATTTGCACAATGGACTACTATTCAGCCCTAAAAAAGAATGCTTGTTTTGATACACACTACAACTTGAATGAACATGGAAAACATTATGCTAGGCAGAGAAGCCAGACACAAAATGTCTGATTTTGTGTGATTCTGCTACAGACAGCAGAGAGGGAAACAATGGGTAGAAGAGGGTGGTTCCCCAGCAAAGGTGGTTCCCCACCCTCAAGCCTGGAAATTCGTGGCCCTAAATGGGAATAGGGATTCCTGTTTTCATGCCCAGAAGTTGCCTTTTGGCCACCACGTCCCCCTATCCTGTACCTGTATAAACCGCAGACCCTAGGATCTAGAAGCAGACAAGGTAAGAGATAAACAAAAGAGCAGAAGAACAGCAGAATGGCTTGGCAGAGGAAAGAGGAGGAGTGTCTGAACATGGAGAGGAGTTTGGCTGGGGACGGCCAGAGAGGAGACTGGCTGCTGAATGGCCACACTCCAGGGGAATATCATCTTCCCACTGCATTCCCTTTCCAGCTCCCCATCTACCCCACTGAGAGCCACTTCCATCACTTAAAAACTCCACATTCGTCCTTGAAGTCTGTGTGTGGCTTGATTTTTCCTGGATGCTGGACAAGAGTTTGGGATACAGAATGCTGTCATACTGGCCCTCTGCCCTTGCAGAAAGGCAGAGGGTCTACTGAGCTAACACTTAAGCCACCTGCAGACAGCAAGGGTAAAAGAGCACACGGTAACATGTGCCCACTTGGGCTTTGGGAATCACAGGCACCCACCCCTGGACACTGCCATGGGGCCAGAGCCCAGGAGCACTTGCTCAGGCTCCCACATCCGCCTGTCTGTGTGCTCCCGCTCCTTAGGGGTTTGAGCAAATAAGACAAGCCATAACCCTGTCACACGTCCTGTAAGATGGGTCAGGGAACTCTTCCCATTTCAATTCCATTTATATGAAATATTCAGATTAGGTAAATCCATAAAGACAGAAAGCAGGTTAGTGGTTGCCAGTGCCTGATGAAGGGAAAACATGGAGAAATATGAAAACGTTTTGGAACCAAATGGAGTAACAGTTGTACAATACTGTGAATGTATTAAATGGCATTGAAGTGTATTTTTTTAACAGTTAATGTTATACTATATGAATTCTACCTGTGGAAAAAGAAAAATTAAAGATCCTGAGCAAATACTAAGTCAAATGGGACACTAAAACAATAGGCATAAACAAAGTACACCAGTTCAGAGGGTAACCCTAACGTCTGCATGTTAGGGCTTAAGAGTATTGAAGTTTTAAAAAAACGCGTAAAGATACATTTGCTATATACTCTATTAATTTTTCATTACCCTCTCAGTTCTTGTCTAAATCCAGCCTATGTTGGCAATGTTCTTCTCCTGGTCTTTCTTCCACTCAGGAATTTGCTATGAATTACCAGTGATTTCCTTTTATAGGAGTTCCCAAGAACAAATCTGAATGTACCAGTGTTACTTTCAGTCAATTGAGACGCCAACTGTCACACAAATTTTCAAGAGACAACTGCCTCTTTTACCAAAGTTAATATGTGGTTCACACTTAGGTTCTTCATCTTTTTCCCAACATCTCACTGAAAATCAGGATTACAGACTCAAATGCTGTCACTGATGAGGAAGGAAAAATTAACGCAAAGAGTGTACAGATAAAGTATGATAGGAAGATTAGGGTTTCTAGCAAAATGAGATGCTCTACTTAAGGAAAGTCAACCTTTAAGACACTGTACCAGCTAAACAAGACTTTATCTACAAGCCAGAATTCAGCCCATCGTCTGAATTTACAATTTCTGTAAGTAAGTGCACTGTCATAGAAAACTGTTTTCTGTGCTCTTGCTCAGAAAGGTTTGATGGAGATAATACAGAGAAGAAAGATTGTTTTTTGTTAAAATAAAAAAAAATTTCTTTTGTAAGTGAAAATAGTTTAAATTCATTTGTTCCATTTTATGGTATCATAGAACCTTAGATCTGGATGGAAACTTCGAGTCTCATTTTCCACTTAAGTGCAGGACTCTTCTCTGTAATACCACTGACAGAGGGCCCCAGGTGTCATTTAACACTTCTTGAATGAGGACTTCACAATACGTAAAGGCAGTCATTTCATTACTGGCCTGCTGAAGTTGTTAGGAGGTGGTTTTTGAGATGAGCTGTGTTCTACTTTCTTGCCTGTATCTCCTTTCCATCTTGATTCTCCCTGTTGTCTGGAGACAAAATGAATCCATTCCTGCTTCTACAGGTTTTCCCTTCAAATATTTGAAGATTGTTCTCAAACCTCTCTTTGGTTCTATCTTTTCCAGGCTACACTGTCCCAGTATTCAGTGATACCACATTTTGACATGATTTGCAATTCCTTATCTGATAGAATGCAATCCTAAAATGGCCCTCTCTTTCATCATTACCCTTTTGATTTTTGGTATCTTTAGAAAAAGACATGCAGTCCAAAGAAAGTATGAAAACAAAGCATGGTAAGACTAGTGCTTCTAGTGTTCTGAACTTCAGCTCTTATTCTTTGTTCTTCACCCCTTTTAGATTGTATGCTGCATGAAGTCAAGGACTGTGTTTTTCTGATTCATCGTACTGTTCCCAACACCTTATACAGTATCTGTAATATAAAAATTCCCAATACATAATTGTTGAATCATTTAACAGTTAACTTATGTCACTGTCCCTTCATTGGCTAGATGCAGAGACTGGAAATAAAATTTTGTAATACCTGGTCCTGTTGGGATATCCAGTTTTCTCTTTTCCTCCCTCCCTCTCCTTTTAAAAATTTCTCCAAATCTTTGGAGAAATTTAGAGACGTGAATATTACAAACTAGTGAACTCATGACAGTGTGTGAGCTAAATGCCATCTGTTTCAGGGAAATATTGTCCTGTGCCCATCAGTGTTTTTCACCCAAAGTGAATTCCAACATGTGCAAAAACTGGAACTAGAACAGAAGTACTTTATCCCTTAAAGCCTAGATTGCTGCAGAGCTCTTTTTCTTGGTGAATGTGTGTGCACGTGTGTGGTGTGGTGTGTGTGCATTGCATGTAAGAGTTTATGGGATAGAGAGTAAGCCTCATGGCCTGGGAGCAGGGCTGATCAACTCTGTAGAGCAGTGGTTACCAGTTCGCTCATGGGTGAAATAACTGGAATTAAATTAGCAATTGCCATACAGCAAGTGATGGGTGGAATTGGGAATCAAACTCAGATCTTGTGAGGATAAATGCAGTGCTCTATCCATTACATGGGTGCTTCTTAGTTTTAAAATGTAAAAACGAATACCCTCCAAGTTAATTTGCCCTCTACTTTGATGAATGATTTTATTTTTTGGATCAATGGCCCTTGGTGGAATGAAATTTCACCAGCTCTGGACTACAGGGCCCAATTGTCATCCTTTATTTCTACTTCTTAGAGATATGGACAGCTGCTTAATTTGTAGCAACCTAGTGCATTTGCAGATCCTGGGACACTATTTCATGTACCAGAATCCAAAATTTTATGGAGTTTAGAAATTTGCATTTTTAACTATAAACTCAATTATTCTCTATAGGCTAGAAAGAGAACATGGTTTTTGTGTGATTGTTATTTTGTCCGGGGTATTAATGAGGGAAAATAAGCCCTAGGGAAAAGGTTTTTGATGCGGGAAGAGGTGCTGGAAGTGAGCAGTAGGTCTGTAAAAATATCAGGTGGCAGGATTTCTACAAACAAAGGGAACAAAGGAACACATGAAGAGTAATTCAGTGGTCTAAGGCCATCTAATTTGGGGAAAATGGCTATGCTTATCTAAATGACTGGCATCACAGGGACTTGCTCAGTAAAATGATTCACATGAATATGGATGATGAATAGACACAACATCTGAGCAGTTACATACATTCAGGTACCTTTATTTTAAAAATAGAATCATTAAGAGGAGTGATGAATTTATTAGCATGGAAAAATGTCCACAACACATTAAATAGGAGAGGCCCTGCTTAGATAGTGAAAGTATAAAGAGAAGGGCAGAAGTGGTCACTGTGACAGTTTTCTTAGTGGCTACCTTTTTGGGGAGAAGAAAGGGGCACAGGATTGTGAGGGTAGCAGGAGTGACTCTCTGGGATGTTGGTGCTATACCATTTCTTGGCCCCTGTGCTGGATACACAGACACTGGCTTCATGATAACCCCGGAAGATGTATGTTAATAAAATGTGTGCCCTTTCCTGACTTGTGTGCTATCTTTCTCAGAAAAATAGCTAAATTTTGAAGTTTTAACACCAGCACCTTACTATTTGAATTGTTTCAAATTCATTTAGGAAAAACGCCCAAATCTAGTTTCTTATTCCTGAAATGGAAACGTTAAATGTTTACATTTATCTGTGATTCATATGACTTGATTTTAAATAGGTGGCATGAGAACTCTCTTAAACAATTTGCTGGTTTACTCAAAGATGTTATACTCTAGAACTGAATCAGGATTTCTCAGCTTAAAACCAGTTCTTGAGTCTTTGGTCTTTATCTTTCTCTTATTTTCTCATTAAAAATTGTTTCCCCCTGTATTACTTTATGGTTGTTTTTCTTAATTCTAAAAAGCTGATACTTTACAGGTCCACTGTGTGGTTTACAAGCAGCTTTGCCTGAACTGTTTGATTTGTTTTGATTTGATTCAGAATATTTCTCTAAGGCAATAGAGAGGTTCCTCCTAACCTCACTCTATCCTAGGCTCCTCACATATGAAATAAGTGAAATTAACTTAGCTGTTGCCATACACCAAGTGATGGGTGCAATTGGGAATCAAACTCAGATCTTGAGTATAAATGCAGTGCTCGATCCATTACATGGGTGTTTCTTTTAAAAATGTAAATGCAAGTGGCATCCAAATTAATTTGCCTTCTACTTACCAGGCTCATGAATGATGTTATTTTTTAGATTACTGCCCTTGGTGGAAAGAAAAGAAAATTTTAACAGCTCTGGACTACAGGGCCCAATTGCCATCTTTTATTTCTACCTTGTAGAGAAATGAAGAGTTGCTTAAATGAAAAGCTTTACATTTTACATTCAATGAAATATACATACAGAAAAGTGTACATTGGTGTGTGTAACTCATTTGATTTTTTCCCAAGCAAATATAACCTTGCAACCAGCACCTACATCAAGAAAGGCAGTCTTTTAACATCTCAGATGTTTCCCTGTTACTAATGTTGAATCAGTATCCACATCCAAGGCCAGGCACTATCATGACTTTTGCCCCATAGATCAGTTTTGCCTGTTTTTATGCCTTCTGTAAATGGAATCACATAAGATGCATTCTTTTATGTCTGGCTTCCTTGGCTCCATGTTATATTTGTGAGATTTACACACATTGTTATCTGTACTTACAGAATATTCATTCTCTTTACTGCATAGTATTTCATTGTATGAGTATATCACAATTTTTCTATCAACTATTGATGGGCATTAGGTTAGTTTTTGGTTTGGGAATATGAAAATCATAATACTGTCATCATTCTAGTCTAGGTCTTTTGGTGAACAGGTATACATATTCCTGTTAGGTATATGGCTAGGAATGGGATTGCTGGGTCCTAGCTTATGAAGTGTTCAGATTTAATAGAGATTGCACAAAATCTTTCAAACAGGTTTATACTCCCACTGCTCCATGACAGCCAGCTTGGAAGAGAGCTGGGGAAATAAGTGCCCTACTCTATCTTCTGATTTCTTGCATGTGCTTTCCACTGTCTGAGCCCAACCTGAAGCTGGAATAATACATTACTTGAGGTCAGCCTCCACAATGCTGAGCAAGGTGAAGGGGGCTGATTCTGGAGATTCAAGGGGAAGGCATCCAGCTCTTCCTTTCATTCCATGCTCCTGGGAAAATTGCTGATTTTCTTCTCTGCATGAAAATTTTTTTGAGTTTTTCTCTTATTTTCACTACTTCGTAAAAGCACTTTAAAAAAGTAAATGGAGTTATTCGGGCGGGCGTGGTGACTCATGCCTGTAATCCTAGCACTTTTGAGTGGCTGAGGTGGGTGGATCACTTGAGGTCAGGAGTTCGAGACTAGCCTAGCCAACATGGTGAAACCGGTCTCTACGAAAAATACAAAAATTAGCCAGGTGTGGTGGTGTGTTCCTGTAATCCCAACTACTCAGGAGGCTGAGGTATGAGAATCACTTGAACCGGGGAGGCGGAGGTAGCAGTGAGCAGAGATTGCACGACTACACTCCAGCCTGGGCAAAAGAGCAAGACTGTTTCAAAAATAGTAGATGGAGTTATTAAATATGGATATGTGAACTTTTTTATGTTCCTGAAGTGTTGTCATATCTAGAAATGGCACATCTGGACATATCACACTTAGATCTGTAATGTGAACATGCTTCTCCATATGTCCATATTTTAAGTGCTATCATACTTGATGCATGCATTGTTTTGGACGGAAAAGTTTTGGGGAACGTGAAATAGTAAATGGTAAAGTAGAACCAAAATAGCACACGTCTAACCATCCTAATTTAGAAAAAGGAAAACAACACAGGGGGAAGGGAATATGAAGGCGCAAACATGTGTTGTATGTTTACTATGCGACAGGCACTGTGCCTGCATACGTTTTCCACAAAATAAGAATGGTGCTCAGAATTCTGATTCTTCACATACATGATACATTGTAGGTGCTACCACAACTACTTCATTCTATCAGCTGTAGTGTATCAAGAAACGGGTAGTATTAGGTATAGAAGTGAGTTCTGGGATGCATGAGCAAGTTGCAAGCATAGGTTGCTCAAGTTCTTAGTGTGCCTACACCTGTCCACCGCACCACCCCCCGCCCCTGTGGCCTGACCTCCCTCAGTCAGCCCCTTTGGGTTTTTGGGGCTTCCCATGACCAGGAGTCAAAAGATGAAAACACTTCGGCCTAGATAACAGATGAACCTTTCCACTATGCCAGCACAGGTGGATTGCTGCAATATTACAGCCTCTCATGGGAGGGGCCCTGCAGGATGGTGGGCAAGTAAACACTCCCAATAGGCAGAATTGAGGCAGTGTATCTTGTTGGATGAAGACATGGCTAAGGTCAAGATTTACTGTGATTTCTGAACAGCAGGTAATGGCCTGGCCCAGATAGTCAGGATAATGTTATGAGCAAGATGGGGGAATTGATGTGAACTGTGTCATGCCATCCCATAAAACGCTTGATTTATGGGAAACAGAACGTGTGTGGCCCAGAGCAACAATCACAGATTATTCTGCGGTACCTTACTGCCCACTAGGAACAAATGCCCGTGTTCACAGCCCTTGCTGGGAGGGCATGTTTAACTGAGCATTCTTATATCTGGTGACTCACCTAGCCCAGCAGGTAGGACTGGCATATGTTATGAGGGTAGAGGGAGAATGACAGTTGTCTGGGCTGAAAAAATTGCATTCTCTTGGATAATTTGAACTTAGACATTGTGGAAAGTCACAGGTGGGTTTCAGAGATTCTGGAAGCAGACATAGGAAGACAACAGGCCAGGTTACTGGTAGAACATCAGCTTCCAAACTCTAGAAGTCAGGCTGCCCGAACTTCACAACATCCCTCCAGCCTCCAGTTCCCTTTCCTAACAACTTTGGTGATGCCTCATTTCTCATTCTGGCATCCAGGAAGTCTATATCCTTACAACACCTAGAAGTTTGCTTTAACTCGATTGACTGAAGTTTTATGCTTTCAACTAATAAATCCTTGGTATTAAAACAACTAAAACCACATATTGGGTCTTAGGCTTCTAGGGATTGACAATATGTGGTTCCTGCTCACATTTTAGCACTGAAAATTTTTAAAAAGTAATTTATGCTATTTATTTTGATAAACGCTATAATTGAAATAAATTTAAAACAATACAAGCAAAACAAGGAAATGGCTAAATATATCAGTGAGTTTTCTGTGAAGTTAGTGAGCTTAAGGGTCAGGGTCTCTCACTTGCTCAGAACCCTTCCTAAGCCCTGAAGGGAACCAGGTGGTTGTGTTTATATACATTTTGCAAAAATAAGGTATTTTTACTGCAATTAATATCCATAGTCTTTTTAAATTTTTATTTATTTTTTTTGAGATGGAGTCTATCTCTGTTCAGGCTGGAGTGCAGTGGTGTGATCTCAGCTCACTGCAACCTTCGCCTCCTGGGTTTAAGCGATTCTCCTGCCTCAGCCTCTGAGTGGCTGGGACTATAGGCACCCGCCACCATGCCCGGCTAATTTTTTGTATTTTTAGTAGAGATGGGGTTATTTGTCCTTTGGGTTCTGCAAAACCAGGATCTGCTCCTTCTGGGGAGTTTAGTAATGACTTCAGAGAGGAGGTGACTTTGAGCCAAGTCTTGAAGGATGAGAATTTTTCTCAGGTGGACAGGGCAGACAAGCTAGGATAGGCAGTAAGAACTGTGTGTCAGGGCATGGCAATGTGAATCAATCTTGATTTTTTGGGGAACAGACAATAGTTTGAAGCTAGAGCTAAGCGGGTGTTGGCAGGGAGTGGATAGCACTGGAGTTGGTGAAGAAGGAATTCGGGGAAATGGGTGGAAGCCAGTCATGCAGACTCATGTATGCCATGCTTAAGATCTTGGATTTATCATGTGGGTGATGGGAGCTGGGAGAAAGGGATGATGGCACGAAGGAATCCTAGGTAGCTTTCATAGATGGAGACTCCCTGCACACCCCAAATGTTTCTAGCTCTAGAGATGTTCAACAAGATCAGGAAGCCTGCAAGCTTTTACAGATGCAGTAACATCGAGAAGGTGAGAACATGGTAATAGAGAGAGAAGAAAGCAGTAACATACATTTGGAGAGAAAGGTAACACAGTGGGTGAGAATAAAAAGTAAATTGAATTATTGTAAAAAGTGCACAGTTGAAAAGGTTGAAAGCCATTTCCAAAATGTCGGGGAGGAAGCCTAGAAGAGAGGTGGAGAATGAGAAAGATATTTTCATCAGCTTCTACTTAAAGCAGTCATTCCCATAGTGTCTCCACTGAGAAAAAGATGAGACACAGTCCAGAAGAAACAGCAGTTGGTTGGAATTTTCCCAGGAGTCTCCACACATGCTTGTGTAAAAGTGCATGCCTTAAGTGCTGCTTAGTTTAGATCAGGGGTATGAAGTCCAAAGTGGCAGGGAGGGGCCCTTTCTAAATGCCCACCTCCTCATGAGCTATGACTCCCCAGCCACTAATCCCACACTTTTTCAAGAAATGCAACATAACTCATAGCCAGTCAGCTCTGGGATTTCAGCATGTGGCTTTGCATGCCCATAACCCTAGTATCTTGATGACAGTTGCCCTATCACTTCTGCTCCATAATTCTTATCTGGGCATGAGAAGTTTTTACATTGCATTTGAGGCTAAGACTTCAGCAGCAGTAAGTTAAATCCAAGAAATAAGCATGCAAGATTGTACGTGTGTTTCTATAAAGCTGTTGTGTCAAACAGACATCCATTAGGTGGTTGCCCCAGATGTGGCCACTGGTAGATTTCACACATTAGGGAGCTGTTTTTTGACCTATGTTTGTCAAATCCATGGCTCTGGTGAGACATACATGGAGCCAAGACAGAGGCTCATGACTTCAAACCCCTACATCAAGAAGAGTTTTCCCTATGGGTGCTCTGTGGTCTGCATGCAGAAGCATGCATTCAACTTCATTGTTAACAAAGGTCCTTCCAAATGGGCGTCGGTCACTTTCTGCTTCCTGTATCTGATATCATCTGAAAACAGCAAGTCTGGGCAGAGGGTAACCACCAAATAGGTAAGAATTAGAGCATATTGTCTTTGCCTCCACCTCCACCTCCATAGTCTCACAGTATCAACTCCATGCATTTTAGCAAAAAGAAAAGACATGAGTCAGGAATAAGGTGTGATTCAACTGACATTTGTGTTAGCTTAATGAATCTAACATTTCTTGGGCTCTTATAAGGCTGTTATAAAGCCATTAAAGCCCAAATTTCCTTTCCCACTTTTCAGAGCAAGGAGGCCAACTTAATGCCTTGTGAGCCAGAGAATATAGGCTAAGGTTTTCTCTTCTACATCTTTGGTCCTTCAATGGAGTGCCAGTAACGGCTCCCCAAGCCCATGTCCAGACAAACTTCCATCAGGACCCGAAAACCAGGGATGAAGCCAGGGTATTTAACCCATTTATGCCAGAGGCTGCAGTTTTCTGAATTGCAGATGTGTGAAAAATCAGACCTTGGCAATGACCTTGAGCAGTAAGATACAAATAACTCCCACATGCTTAGTGTTCCAATAATAGAACATTAAGCATAAATGAGTGTGATTAAGATCTTTATGGATGGATGCATTACCACTCTCATGAGCTTCCTGTCCAGGAGGGCCTTTAGTGCCTCAAGTCAACTTGGTATGAACTCTGAAGTCCTTCCCACCCCTACAAGCCACCCCTCAGGGTGAACTGAGATCAGCCAGTGGGGAACAGTGGTCAAAAGGAATTGTCCTGGGGGTTGGTTAGCAAGCAGGAGAGCAAAAGGTGAGAAGAAAACCATGTACAGGGTTTTGACACCTCTAGCTGAAGAAGGTGAGGCATAGAGGTGTCTTACCATTAGGGGATGTATCCGAGTCACAGCACCAAAGTATGTTAGCAGTGGCGAATCTGTACAGGTCTGCCGAAAACTCGATTCTTGCCTCAGAAGAAACACTTTGGCCCAGGGACATAAGGCAGAGTGAGAGACTGAGGCAAGTTTTAGAGCAAGAGTGAAAGTTTATTAAAAGGTTTTAGAGCAGGAGTGAGAGGAAGTATACTTGGAAGAGAGCCAAGCAGGCGACTTGGGAGGTCCAAGTGCTGTATCTGACCCTTGGCTTGGAGTTTTAGATATTGGCATGGTTCTGGGGTTTGCATCTCTTCTCCCTTAATTTTTCCTTGGGCTGGGCTGTTTGCATGCACAGTGGCCTGCCAGCACTTGGGAGGGGCCACATGTGCAGTGTGTTCACTGAAGTTGTGCACATGCTCATTTGAGGTGTTTTTCTTTGCAGTCGGGTGTTCCCAGAGGAAGGTCACATACCAGTTAAACACCACCATGTTGCCTCTTAGTGTGCATGCTTGAGCCCGCTCCCTCACTCTTGAGATCTTATGGGGAAGCTGAGATCACCAGTTTCAGGTGTTTTCTGTCTATTGGGTAACTCCTTTTCCCTGGTGCTGGCTGCGAGCAATTATTATTTTAAAGAGTTTAACACCTGCCTGACCATCATCTGATGGTCACCTGACATTCCTGGGCAGGGTGGTGGGTGTAGAATGGGGATGGTGGTGGGGAGTGGAGGGGGTGGTAAGGGATGACAGGGGGCCTCTCCTCCCCTGCTTATGTCTGCCTACCCACTCTAACACTGACATTATGACAGGACTCCACTGCACCAGTACAATATACACAGCCGATGCCAATTATGACTGAACTTCACAGACAACAAGTCAAATCTCACTTTGTGTGCCTCTTTTAAATTATTCCCTTTTTAGTAGAACATTGCCACTTTTACTCATCACTTTCCCCATTACCCCAAGGTTAAGTAGAGCCTGATGTTGAGCACATGGACCCTGGAACCAGACTAGCTGCATTCTAATTCTGATTCCTTTACTTATTTCCTGTGTGACCCTAGGCAGGCGAGTTACTTGACCTCTTTGTTCCTTCACCTATAAAGGGAGTATGATGAATAGTAGAGAAGACTATAGCCTGCTAACTTCCTCATTCCCAACATACAGAAGAAAAACAGGTTAGGGAGAATTGTTTTTAAAATTGAATTAATTTATATAAAGAAACCACTCCATACCTGGCACATAAGTATTCAAAATGTTACTGAAACTGTTAGCAGGAAATGAAGAAGTCCCCGGTATCTAACTTCGGAGAAAGATTTCGGCCAAGAGATGGTTCAAAGACAGTGGAGACCTTTATAATAGGAAATAGGGAGCAAAGAGCTTATTATAGGGGGAAAAATAAGTACACTTCAAGGGAAGAGTGGGCTGATCCTGTGGGAAAACAGCTCTGAGGGTCTTGAACTGTGAGTTTTATTTATCATGTCAGATTCCTTCTTCAGGTTCCCACTTCTGTCTCATCTGCCTTTTTTCTTTGTTTAGTTTCTGTTTCTGCCTTAGATCCCCACCTTTGTCCTCACCTAGTTTCCTCCCAGGCTTGTGGGACCCTTCCTTACTGCTGAGTAATGCGCATATGTGCGCCAGGAATCAATACAAATCTTGCCTAATGGCGGCATTGCTCATTACTGCCACTCCAGGAAGGCTGTATAGCAGTCAAATCTATATTTCTTGCAACTGTGTATCTCTTAGGAATTTCCTCTTTGTACTAATATATGCTTATGATGCTGGTGTATCTCTTAGGAATTTCCCTTTTTACCCTCTTTCCTTATCAGTATGTACCTTGTGACATCCTGACATTTTAACTGCAGAGTATTGGGGAACTTAAGAGGCATTCTAGGGCCTTCCTTTCTGCCTAGGCACCTCTTCTTCCTACTCACAGTTGACTAACTGCTCACCCACTCCAGCATTAGCGATGCTATTAATATGCAAATTTTGGGTGGTCCCTCAGGCTTGAGACTTCCCAGACTTTTCCCTTCTGCTCATATCTGGCTTTCTGCCTATTGTGACATAACCACTGGCTTTTTCAAAATCTGAACTTACCTTCCCATTTCTTTGGAGGGAGTTGTGGAAGGAGTGGGGGCAATGGAGTCACAGATTTATTTTACCACTTGCTAGATCATGACTTTGGTTAAGTTACTCCCACTAGTGGATTACTTTTCTTTCCATAAGACGTTCATATTAACAACGCTATGTGCCACACAGTAAATATTCAATACATATTTTTTTCTTTCTTCCTGTTTGATTCACAGACCTCTTAAGACAAAGAGATAATCCATATGAACTTCTTATTGAAAAAGGAATCTCTTTTCCATGTTTTCTAAGAAAAAAATGGGTAATGGTGAAAGCTTTTAGCTAAGAAAAAGTATTGAATGAGGATAAAGGCCCCAAAGATCTGCTTTGCTCCTGATAGCAAGATAAATATGGAGGAGGGGTTGATGTGCAGTTAACTAAGGGTAACATAGTGAGCTCTGGAATTTTTCCTTTTGAGCCTAGAATTTAGAAGTATGCCACTTTATTCGGCTCTCTTCTTTGTAAAACGCTGTAGGGTACCAGGAGGAGATGGGACTAAACAAGAGATCAGAGACATAGTCCCTTTTTACAGAGTCAACAAACATCTAGTGTAGTATACTGCCATAGAAACTCCCAATAAGATGAAGATATATAGTGGCCAAGTGATACGGTTTTGCTGTGTCCCCACCCAAATCTCATCTTCAACTGTAGTCCCCATAATCCCCACGTGTTATGGGAAGGGCCTGGAGGGAAGTAGTTGAATCACTGGGGGTAGTTACCTTCTGCCATGATTATAAGTTTCCTGAGGCCTCTCCAGCCATGCTGAATGGTGAGTCAATTAAACCTTTTTCCTTTATAAATTACCCAGTCTCAGGAATGTCTTTATTAGCACTGTGAGAACAGACTAATACACCAAGATAAGAAGGAAAAGGGAGAAATATATGACCATATACAGAGAACTCATGAAGTCTAATCAGAGGCCACATGAGCCTATTCATTTTATCAGGGTATAAAATGCATAAAAAGGACTATGCCTATTTAACTCCAGGGAAAGAATCAACAAAGACTTAATTAGAAGACATATTCCCCAAAGCAAGGAATAGTTAGACAATTATAATACTTGTTTACTTATGTGATAAGTTATATATGAAGCCAAGTACCATAGCATTCAGCATAATTTCATAAAATTCAAACTGTATTGCTAATTAAAAAGATGAACAACCATAAGCATAAATGACCAATTAATTTATAGGGTCTCTTTTTTGCTGGAGGATAACTCAAAATCCAGAAACCTAATTATTGGTAGCAAACATTGCAACAGAGACATAAGCAAAGTTCTGGGACATTGATAAAGGATGTTTAGGGTAGACCTGTAGCCTGAAGCTCCTTCCTCCCTCATTAAGTTGAGAGCTCGCTCCTCCGAATGTCACTTTGCAGTATCTGTGCTAGAGGGTGTGTCTATGAATAAATAACATAATTAATAACTTCTAAGAAGACAGGGAGTTATTAATTTTGCTCCTAACAATATGAGACTTCTCTGGGTCAATGTTTATTGTTCTTGATATCCCTTTGGTTTGGCTTTACTAAGCTACATACTAAAAGTGCAGAAACCAAATCTTTTCTAAATTCTGTTCCCTTAACATAAAATGCCTAGAAATGCACAGCCCCCTTTGGGCATTTTGCAAATGATTATCGGAGCCAGAGGGATTAAATTACACATAAGCATTCTGCTTATCTTATAGGAAATTATACTGATCTCATAACAGCTCTTAGCCCAAGGTATAACTTAAATTTTCTAGCATGGTGTGGACTCCAGAAACTGGCAATCCAAAGGATTAGGTGTAAATGAGACCAACGTAACATCTGGGAGTGGTGGCCATCTGGTTCAAAGAAAGTGAGACCAGTTAACTGGGCTGTGGAAAGTTGATTGGCTCCAGACTCTCTGTTCTTACTGTGCATCTCTGAGCTATTGGAATGCTAAGGCAACTTCCACAAAGCAAGCAAGCAAACAGCCACATGGAGTCCTGTAAGATGCTTGACAGCTTTTGACCATTAAGCCAAAAGGGCAGTGTATATAACCCAATGTCCCAGTTGTCTCATGGCCCATCAGCCATTGGTTGCTAAATCTCAAGTTCTATAATGGAAGAATAGGGAAGTTCATCAGTGATCCTGCAGACAAGGATAAATTCATCAAGGTAAGGCTATAAGATGAGAATGGTTGAAAACTTTGTGGTCATGAGAAAACCATATCTACCCCTGCCAAGATATCTTGACCCTCATTCTAAAAGCTACTTTGTTCTTTTACTCTGAGAAGTTTTATACTCCATCAGACTAAACACTTCTCCTTTTTTTGTTTATCATGGATATTATACTTCCCCCTGTTCTATTCTGAAATGGAAGTATGTTAGGTAATATAACGCCACCTACATTCATAGAAATCAGGGCAATACCCTAAATGTAAAATAAAAGAATAATATAAAGAAATTAATAAATTATTATTTATTTGAACATGCACATTTTGGGGTGTAAATAAACTCTATGACATAATTGTAACTATGCAAAGAACACTGATCTACAAGTGCAGATTGATACCCTCAGGTATCACAAGTGGAACTGCTATTGGTGATGCAACTTTTCTGAAATGATGAGCCATTCTTGGTAAATAACAACATAAAGATAATCTTCCCTTGATTTGAAGGTAGCTGCATTCCTAGAAAATTGAGCATATATTAAAACTAAGAAAAAATACTTGATGTTTATATTTTAAATGGAGTTAGGTTCTAGGCCTGTTTAATTTTAAACAGATGTTTCATCTATATGGATGCCTGGCAAGACATTCAGAAATTATGGAAGATGTGAAACAGTTCTTCTTTGGGAGGGATTATTCCATATATTATAAAAGAATTTGCATCTTTGACCACATCCACTAAATACCAGCAGGAGATTCCACCCTACAATTCCACAATCGTTGTGACAACCAAAAATTCTCTCCCAAATTTCCAAAACAACCTAGAATGTAGTTGCATTAGTTCAAGTGCTCAGAAAGCAAATGCTATGATGGGATTAGACATGTAAGAGATTTAAATCATGAGGGAAAATTGAGAGGGAGCAGGAGGATGCTGGGAATACTGTCTGACCTTGATGTAGGTCTGCCTCTTAAGAGGAAAGAGAAGGAAGGAAGGAAAGAAGCTCTTAGACTGTAGTGAAGGTCTATAAAAGTTTTCACAGAGTCAGCAGGAGACAAAGTTGCCTATCAGAAGAGTCTGAGTCCCACGTCTTTTAAGAGTGTGCCTGCCTTAGTTTTCCTGCCAAACTCAGTCATTGGGTGGAAACAGCCCACAGAGAGCATTATCTTGGCACAAATACAATGGTGGTTTTCAGAGGACAGACTCCTCCGGCAGGAGATCTGAGAGGTGCATTTTTATGGCCACCACCAGTGTTCCTCTTTTCTACCTATATAACTTTACCGGAATTTCAGCTCAAATTCCAGGCCTCATCTAAAATTGCCCTAAACAGGCTTCACATTCATAGGTTTAATGTGTAGTATCAACCAATTTTGAAAACCTAGGAGGTTCATGGTGGGTAATCATTGGAAATTTGACTGAGATTTGTTTTGAACTCCAAGAACTATGAGGCTGGCTTACATAAGTGAGGCATATGGCTAGTGACTGCCTTTAGCTGACTATTCATCCTCCATATCTCATGTTTCTTTGTGAACACAGCAACTATAGTATAAAAGTTTTTTTTTTAGCATAATTTTTCCCATAAAGAAACATGTTGCTGGTTCTGGTAATGGAAGTAAAAAGCAACTGAAGAGTTACAAAAAGGTGATTGTTCCTAGCCAGAAATAGGGTATATTGCATATGATTTTCATCCTATGCAGAGAAAATCACTGGAGTCTGGCAGTGCCATTTAAATTTTTGACTACATTTTATGAAAGTTTTATGTGATATATTTGGGAATTCAAGAAAGTCTTGGGACATAATTCTTAGGATATGAAGAGTCTTTTATACTGCTCAAGCTATATTGTATGCATCTTGTCTTTGCGCTGTAGATAGTGTGACTTCCCAAGAGTAGGAACTATTTTATTACTCCATAGCTCCTAGCATGGATCCTTTTCCAAATATACATTGCTCAATAACACCCCAAATTTTCAGATGCAAATGTAGGCCACACAATTAATGGGAAATAAATGGCAAAATGGCAAAATGAACTGTAGCAGCCAGGGTTGATACTGATTTCTGCTCCAGTTTCAACCTAAATGCCAATATGGAAGACACTCATTCCACCAAAAGTAAGTAGATTACAATCCTTCCCTCATCACTACAGTGATCTACTTACATCACTATAGCCACGCTTAGAGGCAATTGACAAGAGAGTGCTCAAAGAGGGAAAGAAAGTTTTCAGCTATGTGGTTGAAATGAGAAAGCACTTCCTGGATACAAATTCATTGTCACAAGGCATTTAGTAGATAGTGTTGGAGGAAAGTGACCACTTTTGAATAGAGTAGCTAGGATATGGGAGGGGGCGGGACAGGGAAATACTGGCTAGATAAAGGCAGGTCCCTGGCTCTAGGGCTCTACCCTCGGGCCTGTGCCCACAGACCTAGGTGTGGATAGGCACTCCTGCCTTTGTGCCCAAATGTTGCGTTTTCCAAAACCATTGGCCCACCACGTCCCATCCTGTGCCTATAAAAACCCCAAGACACTAGCAGGCAGTGACCACAAGCGGCCGGATGTCGAGAGGAGCACATCAGTGGAAGAACATACAACTGGCTGGACATTGAGAGGAGCATATTGGCTGGAGCATGCTGACAGGCACTGGCAGACTGGCAGGCCATCAACTGGTGGAACGATGCAGAGTTTGGCTGGGGCGGTCAGAGGAGAGCCCAGGCCACCAAGAGACCCGACTCCAGGGGAAAACCATCTCCCTTCTGGCTCCCCCATCTGCTGAGAGCTACTTCCACTCAAAAGCTTGCGCTCATTCTCCGAGGTCATGTGTGATCCGATTCTTCTGGTACACCAAGGCATACGGAAAGCCCTCTATCCTTGTGATAAGGCATGGGTTTAATTGAGCTAATACAAGCCACCTATGGACGACTAACCTAAAAGAGCACTCTGTAACACACGCCCACTGGGGCCTCAGGAACTATGAACATTCACCCCTGGGTACTGCTGTGGGGTCAGAGCCCCACAGCCTGCCCATCTGCATGTTTCCCCTTAGAGGTCTGAGCAGTGGGGCACTGAAGAAGTGAGCCACACCCCCATCATATGCCCTGTGCGAGAGATAAGGGAACCTTTCATGTTTCAGCTTGATCTTCCTTTTTAAAGAGAACTTGGAATTTTTGGAAATGCAGATTGGGAATCTGGGACCTTTATATGGGTAAGTGACCATCACCATGCAGGCTACTGTGGGGCATGGCAGCATAATGAATACACAAAAAAGGAGAAACAGGATCAGGATACAAGAGAAGTCCAATAGGGCCATTCTCTGAACTGCACCCTTTGGGGAGTTCACCTGGAGTTACAGGGATGAGAAACTGGAAATACACAGTCAGAATTCCGTTGCGCAATGCAGGTCGTAGGGCACAGTTGTGTTGAGGTCAATGTATGCTATTTTCATTTCATATAAAAAGTTGAATACTACTTCAGTTAAAGTATCCCTCCAGGTATTGCTGTAGAAAGGGGCAAAGCTGGTACTCCCATCTGACCATTGTGGTCAAGATGTTGCTTCTCAGATTCGGCAGATCCAAGCAAGGTGGGTCCCTTTAGCTAATGCTAAAACTTTAAAACATTAATAAATTTCATTTCTTTCTGGGTGGGCTATTTGTTACACCAATTTCAAAAGAAGCAGAAAAATCATCTTTTTTCCAAAATGATTCAGTAGGTCAGTACTAAGTGGTCAGGTTTTCTCTGAACTGTAATGTTTGCAATAAAAGGGGCTGTTTAAGTAAATTTTATAATTCTCACAGTACTTAATAATCTGCCCAATGCACCATTCAATTAAATACTTGATTATAATAAATGATAAGAAAAATAAATGAATGATGCTTTTGGACACCATCATTGTAAAATTTTCAGGCACTCTGGATTTCAATTTGTTTGACTCTGGGGTCCTCTTAAGCATGTTTTTGGCTCTGAGTTTTCAGTCATCAGCTGACATAATGAGGACATCATTTCAAAACTGAAAGAAGGCAAGCCAAAGAGTCTCTTCATTTTATAACCACATAATCATATTAACTCAAGAGGAAAAACATGTTATTGAAGAAAAAAATTCCTAAAAAATATTTTTAGATGCTCTTAATTCCATGATTTTCTGAATTGTTTTAGTTATACTGTATTATGGTTATAGCCTCATTGTTTTCCTTTTGTAAAGGGGGCAGAGTGATGTTAGCTTCTCACATGGTTCTCTATTTGTCCATACCTTGTTTCATTGTAAAGTGTGGTAAAAACATTTTAAAGTCAGTAGTGGTCAAATGCAAAATACTGTGTACTTACTATTTCAGAGTTCAATAGGTACTGCTTAATGATCTAGTTTCCCCTTCCAAAGACGGTAGCAACCACAAATTTGAGGCAGCTTGCTCCTTTTAGCTTCTCTGGACAAAGATACCTATTTACAAACTATGAAAGATCCCATTTCTGGTTATTTCTTCTTGTGTTTTGTTAGCTGTTTGCAGATCTCCCTTACTGTGATCAGTGTGAGCATCCCCAGGGCAGGGACTATGTCCTAGTCATTCATCTTTAGATCCCCTACGGCACATGACAGAGTGCCTGGCACAGTAAACGTCTTGAAGTCAATGAAACTGAAGGAGGACAACAAAGTCCTTGCCCTTTCAAAATAACTGACTGAAGGAAATGTCCAGTCTTCAGTATCTTTAAGAAGTTTAACCAGAATGGATGATATTTCTGGAACCCAGGCTTTCCTTTGGAGTTTGGAACACAGTCACTGGCTGGACTTCATGTTAGAGCAGCTTTTCACACACTGGATTTGGAGGATGTTCTGGGAAATGTATGGAAGGATAGGTAAATTACTGTGTTCTGATATCAGGGACCCATTTGTGTTTAGGCCAAAGTTGTGCTCAGCTTGCAGCTCTCTAGAGGAAACAGTAAACTTGGCGTAGTAGCAAGTGCCAGGGGTTTGGCCTCTGCCAGAAATACACACAAATGTTAGCACTTAGCTGTGTGACTGAAAAATAAAGATACAATATTATATCCACTAGGAATTTTGATTTTGGGCATAGCAAAAGTCCACCTCAGACTGATGTAAAGCCAAAGGCATTTTATTGGCTCAAGTATCTTATAAGTCCAGGGGTAGTCCAGAGGTTCAAACCTTGAACTCAGGTCAGGTATAGTTTCCTTGAATCTTTTATTCTGCCTTCCTCTATGTAATGATTTCATCTTGAGTTGGCTTTCCTCATGGCATAAAAATGGCTGCAGGAACTGCAAGCTTCATATCTGAATACTACCAAGTCCAGTGGAAGAGAGGAAACTCCTCTTTCCCAGAAGTCTGAATATACATTTCCTTGTGTCTCATGGACTCTGACTGGAATTCTTGCCATCCTGGAACCAGTCACTGTGCCAAAGGGAGTGTTGTGGACTGGATTCTGTCCCCTCCTGAGTTTACATGTTAAAGTACTAACCTCCAGTGACTGTATTTGGAGCTAAGACTTTTGAGGATGTAATTAAGTAAAATGAGTTCATAAGTGGGCCCTAATTCAGTACGACTGGTGTCCTTATAAGAAGGTCATATCCTTATAAGAAGGAGAGATTAGGACAAGCACAGAGGAAAGACTTTGGAGACAAAGAAGAGAAGATGGTCATCTGCAAGCCAAGGAGCAGGGACTCACCAGAAACCAGACCAGCCAATGCTTTGATCTTGGGTTTGTAGCCTCCAGAAATTTATTTTATGAGAAAATAAATATTCTCATAAATTTCTGTGGCTTGAGGCATCCAGTCTCTGGTATTTATTGTGGCAGCCATAGCAAAGTAATACAGGGAGACAGGACACGTTGATTAGTATGCACCAATCAGGATCTAATCATAGTAATGGGAGTGTGGCCAGCTTCTTTCTTTCAACTTCATGGTTAAGGATAAAGACAGACAAATTTCCCAAAGGATATTCTAGTTTCTGTTTCTAGACAGAGGAGAAATAAATCCTGAGTAGCCAAATTGACATGCCCATTATGTACACTTACTCTATGGTTTCCTGAGGAGAATTAAATAAGATAATATATTTAGTACAAGGCCTGGTTGATTGTAGATACTAATAAACATCTATGTCACCCTTTCCTGCTTTCTTTGTCTTCTCTTAAGACCAATTCTATTTTATCTCTGTAATTGTACTGAATTGGTTTCCTAAGAGGCCAGAACTTTCCAATTTCTCGCACAAAGTCCATGATTTTCCTTTATTTCTATACATTCTTTTGGCCCCTCAAAAGAAGTCTTCCTGAATTTTAGCAGGATTTGCTTCACATTTTCCTGGTGTGTTAGGAGTTTCTAGAAAATGAAGATGCATTACTTAAGGAGGTACATGGAGTCTCTTTCCATCGTAGGGGTGGAGTATCATCTTATTGGAAGTCAGGTCAGTGCGAACCCACAGGGATAATTGTCAACTGGAGGCAAGTGAAATAACAGGCACGTGAGTCAGTTTATCAGGAGCCCACATAGTCTGCATGGTGTTCTGTAATTGTCCATGTGGTGAGAAAATTACCCTTCTATTATTCCATGAAAGAGTGGGGTTGAAAAATGTGCAGCGATGGGGTCTATAAACCAAAAGTAAAATTCGAAGGCCCCTCGCCTCAACTATCTGAATGGACTTCCTCCTTTAGGTCAGGACCCTCTAATTTTAACCTGAAAGACTGGTTCAGGGCATGACAGGAAGGGGCTGGTGTGCAAACATGTCTTATTATGCACTCCTCCCTTTTGGAATTCATGAAAAGACAACCAGCATGTAACATCAACACAGACCTTAAGTCTGATAAGAAACATTTACAACAAGTATGTCCCATCTTTTGGCTTCCCTGGGCCACATCGGAAGAAGAATTGTCTTGGGTCACACAAAAATACACTAACATTAATGATAGCAGATTAACTTTAAAAAATCACCAAAATCATAAAAGTTTACGAATTTGTGTTGGGCTACTTTCAAAACCATCCTGGGCCGCATGTGGCCTATGGGCTGGACAAGCTTCATTTACAATCTGTTCTCTCTGAAGCCTGCTACCTGGAGGCTTCAACTGCATGATAAAACTTTGGTCTACATAACCTCTTATAACCCAGACATTCCTTTCTATTGATAATAACTGTTTCAACTATTGCCAATAAGAACATTAAAAAATCCTAGCTATAATCTAGAAGCCCCCTGCACTCCCCAGTTTGATGGACCAAACCAGTGTATATTTTAAATGTATTTGATTGATGTCTTATGTCTACCTAACATGTATAAAACCAAGCTGTGCCCTGACTACCTTGGGGATATGTTCTCAGGGTCTCCTGAGGGCTGTGTCATGGGCCATGTGTTACTTATATTTGGTTCAGAACAAATCTCTTCAAATGTTTTAGAGTTGGACTTTTCTCATGGACAGGTGGGAAGATTCAAGTCCAGATTCTGCCTATGAATCTGAGAGGTCTTGCTTGGGGATCTGCTTTGATCCTTGGTTTCTTCACCTGCTACCGACTTCACTGTGTGTTCTAGATGGTTGCTGTTTGCCCCTCTAATCTTCCCCTCACTCTCTGTACTCTGAAGTCCTGTGTGGACTTCTGGCTTCTGTCAGTCTCAGCCAATGAGGAGCATTAGCAGAACCAAGGAAGGGAGGAAGGGTGAGGCCAGCTATTGAATTCCCTGCCCCTTCTCTTCCTCATCAATCTGAGGTCACAGGCCCTGTCAGATCGTGCAGAGCTCTCTGTGACTCTGGGTTCCTGTGACCGTTTTCTCCCCTCCTTCCTTCAGCCCTGGGGGTAGGAACAACACCCCAGTAAAATTGGCCCTGCCTGGGGCGCTGTACTGTCTTACTGATTCCCTATACCCAGCCTACAGCCTTGCACATACTTTATTAATCTGTCCTTAAACTACTCATTTTGAGTGTCATCACCTTACTGCAGGGATCCTGACACATGGTCATGTACTACTATTTGAATAATGTGTCACAGCTTACAAAACTCTTCAAGATAATCTTACCTCAAGTTATTTTACTTTTTAATGTATTTAGTGATTAAGTGCATGGGCTCTGGAGTTCCTAGAAATATGACCTTAGGCAAATTGTATAAGTTCTCTGTGCCTTAAGTTCCTTTATGTGCAAAGTGGTGATGATAATAATAGTATCTATCCCACGAGTTTATTATTTTCCTTAGGCTGAAACAAGACATATACTGAATATAAAGCACTCAGCAAAAATCCCTGGGTCCTATTAGTGCTCAATGAATTTTACCCATTGCTGGTTGGAGTATTTGATTATTCTTACTGCTTGTCTGCTGCTTCAGGTTTTGGATTCTCCAAAAGCAGACACTGAGATGGAGTTTGGGGTGCAAAAGGTTTATTAGTGATCAACACCTGTGAAAGGCAATGAGGAGAAAGTAGGGCTGAACAGAGGAAGAAACTGACCTGTGAGGCAGGCCTGATGAAGCTTCAGTCCTCCCAGCAGTGAACTCTGGAGTGAATATTGCCCATCAGTGTTCCATATTGAACCAAAATGGACCAGCCTTTTTATCCCTGCCTCCTTCAGTTGCCAGGAGTTGGCTGTACAGAGAAGGGCATGACCTTAGCTACCTCTGTGCAGCTGAAGCCAGAGAAGGAGCTGGCAATTGGAAGCTGTCTGCTTATGGTCCCCAGACAGGCAGCAAGTTCATCCTTGAAGAGGAATCTGGGCTGTACAATTCTGTCAACTATAGTGCCTTTCAGATTCACTCTTCCATATACATTCAGGGAGCAACTTCTACAGGATCTGATGGACTTCACTTCCTGAGGGGAAATAAGAAGAGGGAGGTTGGAGGTATAAACTATAGTCCATGCCGTTGTAGTTGGTTTCAGAGCTACTAGTTGGTGCTCATTTCCCTCCTTCACTATTCAGCCTAGGTTACCCTCCCCTCTGCCTCAATGGCTTACCTGTTAATGAATGAAACCCAACCATCATGTTGAAGGGGAGCACCTAAGCACCTGGTCATTATGCCCTTCACAGGCTAGGGTTACTGCACTTGTCTATTTACAGTCAAATTGGGCAAGGGAGTACCAAGTGAATCACCTGGGTTCCACGTGTATTCCTGTCTCTGTGCACACCATCCCTACCTTCTCCTCATGATCAGGGTCAATTGCCCCTGCCAGTGTTGTGACTCCTCTTCTTGCCTATCGGTCTCTGTCCACAAGTCACAAATTCAGAGTGCCCAGGTGGCAACGGCAGCTGAAAATTTAATGGGACTCTTGCGTTGTCTCCTAGCAGTGAAAGTGTATCTCATTTGGCACCAGAACTTCTAACTGTCCAGAGCCTGGAGTGGTAGGAATGGAAAGCACAAAGTCCCCCTGTGGGTGATAAAGAGTGATAGTAGGTGGGGCCACTACTGCCTCTTCCGTTTGGTTTCCACACACACGTATTCTTCCTATTGGAGACATAATGCCATATAGCATTTGATTCATTTCTGTATGCTACACCCTGAAGGATGGCAACCCATCATTATAAATTATTATGTATGGGGCTGGCAGTTATGCCTTTGGCAGGCCATTCCAGCACTCTATCAGGCTGGTAGCTCCTGGGTACCGTGGTATAAGTCCAGGAGGATCCCAGCAGTGGGTCCTGGGACCACTCCTATACCTCTTTTGCTGTCGTGTGAATCTACTGGTCTGATTTGAAATTTGTGGAATCCCATGCCATTGGAGCAAGCATTCCTTACTCAGATAGTCATGTGGATTAGACCTTATGGGCAAGAAAGTAAAACCTATATATGAGTAAATTGTCTATTCCAATGGGAAAGAACCATTGGCCCTCTCAGGATGAAAGGATCCAACGTATGCAGCTTGCCACCAAGTGGCCAGTTTATGTCCTTGAGGAATGGCACCGTATTGGGAGCTCAGTGATGGTCTCTGTTGCTGGTGCATTGGATATTTGATTGCAACAATTGCTAAATCAAACTTGATAAGTGGAGTGCATGCTGTTGGGCCCCCATTTCTGCCACTGTGGTCACTAAGTTCATGTCCCATTATGCCAGCACTGAGATGGTCAGTGACAGAAACTAGCTGGCATTAAGTGGATAAATAATTTTGTCTGGTTGGTATCAACAAACACATTTTAAAAAATCTTCAGATTTCGTGTTCAATCCCATATGTTCATCCATGTGACTGAATCACAAATTCCTTGCTTTTGATCTTCCAATTTTTTCCCTTCCAGACCCCCGGCCAGCTGTCCAGTCTATTCAGTGCTACACAGCAGTCCATATATATTCTAAATTTGGGTCTCTTCTCTTTCCAACTAAGAAAGTGAATGACTCATGCACTGCCCAAAGCTCTTCCCATTGGAGGGATTTTTTGCCTTTACTGTCATTTAAGGCTATCCCTGAAGGTAGTACAGCTGCTTCCACATACAGAGCCAATTCATCTGTAAGCCATTTTTTTTCCTCCTCTTTTAGCTGGTCATAAGGGATCTGTCACACAGATATAGATATGAGCTGAGAGAGTCATGCTTTTGTAACAGTGTTGGACACCATGGGAGTCTGAGCTACCTCCATGGTCATATTGATGCAAAATATAATGCTTCCGTCTTATGATCAATTGTTGCTAAGCCCATTTGACTTTATGATTTGGTGTATCTGGTAAGACTTAACTAATCATGGGCAGTTCTAGTATGGCCATTTGGTGTCCCATGCTCAGGAATTCTGTCCCTCCAGTAGCCTAGTAGCATGTCAGGGGTTATTTTCGAAGGTATATGCTCCTCTGTTGTGAATGACATAACCTTGCTCCAGAATTCCAGGTGCCTGTGTTGAAATTGGGCTTATTGCAAAATCCATGTGACACCTCTTCCCACAACTGAAATCTGCAATAGATAGTCTCCACCAATATGTGTGAGCTATTCTATGTGTCAGGATCCTAGTTTTTTGTCCTTTTTTCCCCCCCAAAGAAGGCCTTGGCATTGGTTTAACCTATGTCCCTTGGCAGAGCATTTAACCGCATTTAAATTCAGCTTATCGGATTGGGCTTGGTCCTTGACTTTCTTGGTCATTCCTCGTATCCAAAGTGGCCCTTTGTCTTTCATATTTGGCTTTCAATTTCTTGAAATTAAAATTTCTCAATTTCATGCTCACTCTTAAATGTTCATTTTCTTTCCGTAGCACATCAGTGGTCCTTTGCAAAAGGTATTAATACCTTAGCCTGATAGCTCTGATTTCCTTCACATGTATCAAATGCCTGACACGTTGCACCCATTAGCCTCCATTCCACTGGTTCTCAATTCCAATTCCTTCCAATAAAAGTTTAACAGTTGAACTGCCAAAACCCCATCTTGTCACTTTTCCTCAGCCCGCTTCTAGAACAACTCTCACATGTTGGGTTCTTTGGAGTTTAGGACATGATGTTTATGGTTGACCACCTGCAATAGTAAAGGCAGGTGGGGAAGCAGGATTGGACTAGGAAGAAGTTGCACTGCCAATGCATGCCTGACAAAGTCTCAGCCTGGTAGGAAGTGAAAACTGCACATCTGAGTGTCCCACATTAAGCCAAAATGGCTTGGCCTTCAGACCCTGCCATTCTCAGCCACCTGGTAGAGCCTGCTGCAGGAAGTGTGTGGCCTTGGGCAAAGTGGTTCTCTGTAGCTGAGGCAAACCCTAAAGAGAGTCATCACTGGAGGCTGTTTGCTCATTGCAGCTGGGTAGAGAGTCCTTCCTTGAGGGGAGATCTGGGCAATACATCTCTGTCTACCACATGTGCTATTATTCAGCAGTTGGCATATGAAGTGGTATCAAATGTAATTGCAAGGCCACTTATTCATAAGTAGAATGTCATAAAATTCTCTTTAGATGGGGAGAATTATCAGCTTGATACAGAACAGCTTGGATCACCATTTTCCCAGAAGTGTCTTCCCATTATCGTTAGTTCCATGAGAAACGCTAAGCCAAAAACAACAACAACAACAAAACAAAACAAAAAACAAAAAAACACCTCAAGTCAAATCCATTTGAAAAGGTTGATGCATTACATCCCTCTCTTGGAGATTCATAGTGACAGTGACATATTTCAAGCTTTGAGAAGTCCTGCATGAAAAATACATGTTAAATTAGTTTAATTCAGTGTATCTAGCATTTATTTGATTATGGGAACCACCCCCACCTCTTCGTAGGTAACATCTGTCAGGAACTTGTGGAAATAGGATTCATAGAAACATACTTAGGACAATGCTAGGCTAGAGCACTTTGAGTGGTGGGCCCCAAGGAATCAAATCACCTCTGTGTTACACAACCCACATGTCTATTGACAGATAAGTGGATAAAGAAAACGTGGTACATACATACAATGGAATATTATTCAGCCTTAAAGAAGAAAATCCTGCCATTTGGGACAACATGGCTGAAACTACAGGATATTATGCTAATAATCCAGTCACAGAAGAAAAAGTACTGCGTGATTCCACTTACATGGTGAATCTAAAATAGTCAAACTCATAGAAGCAGGGAATAGAACCGTGGTTACCAGGGGCGGGGGAGTTGTTGTTCAATTGGTGTAAAGTTTCAGTTATGCAAGATGAATTAGTTCCAGAGATCTGCTGGACAGCATGGTGCCTGTAGTCCACAATGCTGTATTATGCATTCAAAAATTTGTTGGGAGGGTAGATCTCACACATTGTGTTCTTAACTAACACACACACACACACACACACACAGACATAGGAAATGTTGAAGGTGATAGATATGTCTATTGCCTTAATCTTATGTTAATAGTTTCACAGGAGTATGCTTATATCCCAATTTGTCAAATTGTATACATTAAATTTGTGCAGTTTATATCAACTGCACTTCAATAAAACCTTTTAAAAAATCACCCCTATGTTACAGTGGTACTAGCTTTATCCATCAAGCCTAACCCTGGAACTCATGGAAGGTCCCTAGAAATGCAAGAGGTTTGAAACAGGAGAAAGAGCTTATTGAGGAACTGACACTGCCCCTTAAAGGGAAGAAATGAAGTGCTCATGTAGATAGGACAGTCCTCAAGCACAGGAGGAAGGGGGTAAATGATTGCAGTCAGAGCCTGTGGAATAAGAGTGCTGCTTTCAGAAAGTGGCTGCAGAGGCTAGGATCCATTCTGCAAAGAGTAGACAGGAGCTGCCCTTCAAGAGGCAGATGACAGGAGGGTTCCATAGTCAACAGCAGGACACATGGGCCAACTTCCAGGCCAAATGGATGCCTTGGACTCTGGCTCTTCCAGCTGTTGCTTTTGGTCTTTTCATATAACCAAATCTAATACCAGTTTAGAGAAATATTTATACCAGTAAGCACCATGAATAAAACATGTACTTGGAATTGTTTGCATATGACATCACTTTGGAAAAATCATGACACCTGTTCACACAGTATTTACTGATTAACCAATTTAAACAAATCATGTGTAGAGAATTCGAGGAACAATTCAAGATTGTACTATTTTCCCCATAAATGGTCTCTTTTATACCCATGGAACTTGGAGTCCATAAACATTAGATTATAAATATCTGAATACAGTTAGGTGCCTTTCAAAAGCAGCAGGAAAGAAAACAATATGGAATCTTTGGGGAGAGTAAATGGTCAAAAGGTCATGGAGAAAACTCAGTGGCATCTCCAAACTGGGAAAAGCAAAACACATCTGTTTTTTTCTCCTTTCTGCAACAACACTTTTCCCCCCACAGGATTCATGCATGTGGCTGTAAAGGCTTTATAAAAAAATTCATTTACATGATGTTCTGAATAGATAGGAATTTTTATTATATAAAATTGTATAAGTGGAAACACATGCATTCTCCTTGTTTCTTATCTCTATAGTTACATTTATAAAGAGTAGCTTCTTCTCTAGGAAGATGTGTTTATTTGGTAACTCTCAATGGCAGACAAGCAGTGCGCCACGGAGGATTGACACACCCATATCTCTCCTTCCATCCTGTGCCTTCTGTAGGTTCTGTATTTCCCGGTTCCTCTGGGATTTGCATCTCTCTAGAATCATGCAGCTGAGTTTTGACTACAGAACATGGTCAGAAGCCATGTGTCCTCTTGTTGACCTCCAAGCTTACTGCATTAAAACCTCCCCCACAATCCTCCATCTTGTCTTCTGCTGTCCACTGGCAAGATGCAAAGGACCTGGCAGAAGGTTCTGAGGCTGCAGGGCAGGGTGATGCTACATGGAAGGCCATCCATTGACCTGGAGCATGCACGTTGCATTTTGCTTCAGTAAGAAATGAATTCATATTTGGTTAAGCTTCTTGAGGTTTCAGAGTTTGTTTGTTATAGCAACCAGCATTTCTTAAGTAACATAAGTTACTTACCATTGTGTTGAATGTCGTTAAAGAGACAGTTTCACAAACAAGGGAGGGGAAAAGTAGAGACAGACTAAAAGTTTATATATATATAATTTTTTTCTTCCTCCTCTTTAAATAGAAATAAAGATCTCAGAGCTTTATTTACACATTCATTTCCCCACCGTAATATCACATCAATCCCTAATTTTTACAAATGACAACACTGAGGCTCAGAGAAGGGCATTGATTTTCAGTGTCATATCAGAGAATGGTGGAGCTGGGACGTGAACTCTGTTCTATTTCTACTATGCTGTGAGTCAGTACATATTTTATCTATTTCATTTCACCAAGAACTTTGAAAAACCAAAATGTAATGAATGTTAGGGAGGTGATGATCAAGACAGAGAGCTGGGCCCCTCATCCCAGTGAAAAATAACTTCGTAAATTTAGACAAATCATTTAACTTCTCTGTGCCTTACTTTCTCATCTGGAAAAATTTAGATGTTGGCCCTGCAACAATTTGCAAAATATACACCACAAACCTCCAGGATTTCAAAGAATTCCTGGACAGGAATGGTGGGGGCAGGACGAGTGTCCTGGACTGTAGCCTACGCATCCATTTCAACCAGGACGGCTCCGCATGACCTTTTTGTGTATATAAGTGTTCCTTTAGATACAGGTTTATATATAAGGTTTTGTTTTATCAATGTTTAACTACTAATACAATTTCAACAATTGGAAATTGTACTTCCAGGTCCATGCCTGCAGTATTCTAAAGAAGGGGCGCATAGCATAGAGATGTTGCTGAAAGGATTGCACAGATTAAGTCTTTGGTTATTAGGTTTTGTCCAAAGCATTCTCAACTCTGATAACTCCAGTTCATCTGACGGACTTCTGTTTTAGCTGTGCTCTTTTGAAATGTCACTCTCCACAGTGCCCTACAGAAGAGAAAATTCAATTATGCAAAAAACCTCCACTCCAAATGACATCACCAATTTGTTTTACCTTTCCTGCCCTCTTATATTCCACCCCCAGCCTTTTGCAAACATAATTCAAAATAAATATTGCCTCTTTCATCAAGACTGGAACTTGAGGCTTTGTTTGAAATCACCTTGGCATATTCCTTAGGCCAGGGGTGAAGAATGACAAAGTGAGACCTGAACATGCTGAAATGTTGGGCCCCTTTATTGCACCTCAGGTCCTGCCAGCTCCCCTTTCCCAGGTTTCTAAATTGCCGAACACTCAAACTCCTTTTGTACTTCCTTCTATGGGACTTAAACTTATATTGTCAGATCTTACAAGGCCAAATGGTGTCATGAATAAAGTGGCTATGGGTGGCAAGGATGGAGGTCATGCATGGGCTCAGCCAAATGTACTTCTACTTACCAAGGTGGACCTGGTTACAGCAACCACTGAATATATACAAACTGTTAGCAATAGAGGCCAACACTCAGCTCCAATGTGGTACCATTCCCTGGGGTGATCAGCTAGCTACCTGGTGGCAGGAGATTGAGTTATGGTATAGGGACATGTGTTTGGGTGCCAAGTTGACAAGGGGTGGACTTAATTGTATGTGTCAACTCTACTGGGTTAAGAGATGCCTGGGTAGCTAGTAAACATTATTTCTGGATGTGTCTGTGAGGGTGTTTCCAGAAGACATTAGGATTTGAATTAGTAGATTGAGCAATGAAGATTTGCCCTGAGTAAAGAAAACTTGAGGACATCATCCCATCCTTTGAGGACCCTGATAGAGCAAAGAGGGGAAGGAAGAGCAAATCCTGTATTTCTCTTCTTGAACTGGGACATCTGTCTTCTCATGCCCTCAGACATTGGAGCTCCTAGTTCTCAGACCTTTGACGTTGGGCTGCTAGTTATATCATTTGCTCACTGTGTTCTCAGGATTTTGAACTTGGATTGAATTGAACCACTGGCTTTCCTGGTTCTTCAGCTTACACATGGCATATCTTGGGTCTTCTTAGTCTCCATAATCATATGAGCTAATTCCTCATAATAAACCTAATCTCATCTATCTATCTACCTACCTACGTACCTACTTACTATTATCTATCTACTATCTATCTGCTTACTGTTAGTTTTTTTTCTCTGCAGAACCCTGACTAACACATAGGGGATGGATGGTGTTATCTGAACAAATAAAATATAAACAATCTACTTCAGTGAGGACATCAAAAATCTGTTTGCAAGAGGGAAAATTCTATCCAGGGTATAGTTCTTCATTGATTGTATCTTCTGAGTTATGTTTGGTACTCTTACAACAATATCTGAGGAGAGCAAAACAAATTATATCCCAAAACCAAAAGGCAAACAGAATGAAAGGAGAAAGTAAAAAATATTAATTTCATTGGAAGTTAAAATTCATAATACATCCTTGACTCTTAAGATACATTCCAAGGATTTTCTGACTGATGTCCACATATATATTTTTTATTGCGGTTAAATTTACAAACATAAAATTAACCATTTTAAAGTGAACAATTCAGTGGCATTTAGTACATTTCCAGTGTTGTGCAACCGTCACCTGTATCTAGTTTTGAAAACATTTGTGTCATCCTGAAGTAAAGTTCCATACTTGTTAAGCAGTTACTTTCTATTCCCCTCTCTCTCTCTTCAGCCTCTGGCAACCACCAATCTACTTTCTGTTTCTGTGTATTTACCTATTCTGAATCTTTTATATAAATGGAGTCTAACAAAATGTGACTTTTTGTTTTTGACTTCTTTTCACTTAGAATAGCATTTTCACAGTTAAATCATGTTGTAGCCTATATCAGTATCTCATTCCTTTTTATTGCTAAATATTCCAATATATAAATGTACCACAAGTAAAAAATCTATTCATCTGTTGATGGAGATTTGGTTTTAGACTATGGTAAACAGTGCTTCTATGAACATTTGTGTACAAATACTTTTTTGAGCACCTGTTTTCAATCCTTTCAGGTATATACCTAGGAATGAAATTACAAAGTCATGGAATAATTCCATGCTTAACTTTTTAAGGAATTGACAAAACTATTTTTCACAGTGGCTGCACCGTTTTACATTCCCACCAGCAATGCACAAGGGTTCCGATTTCTCCATATTCTAACCAACACTTGTTATTTTCCATTTTTTAAATGCTAACCATCCAAGTGAGTGTGAAGTGTTATTGTGGTTTTGATTTGCATTTCCTGAATGACTAATGATGCTGAGCATCTTTTTAAATGCTTCTTGGCCATTTGTATATCTTTCAAGAAATGTCTATTTAAATTCTTTGCTCAATTTTTGATTGGGTTGTCTTTTCATTAAGTTCTAAGGGTTCTTTATGTATTCTAGATTCTAGCCCCTTACCAGAGATGTGATTTGCAGAGATATCCTCCCCTTCTGTAGGCTTCCTTTTAACTTTCTTGATAGTGTTATTTCATGCACAAAACTTGAAAAAAATTGATGATATCCAATTTATACATTTTTCTTTTGTTGTTTGAGTGTCATATCTAGGACATCATTGCCAAATCCAAGGTCATGAAGATTTACCCGCTTTCTTCTAAGAGTTTTATAGCTTTAGCTTTTATATTTAGGTCGTTGATCCATTTTGAGTTAATTTGTGTATATTGTGTGAGATAGGATTCCAGTTTTATTCTTTTGTGTGGAGATCCAGTTTTCCTAGCACCATTTGTTGAAGAGACTGGTTTTTTCTCCACTAAATAGTCTTGGCCCCCATGTTGAAAATCAATTGACCATAGATGTATGGGTTTATCTTTGAACTCTCAATTCTATTCCAGTTGTTATTATATGTTTGAAAATTGACCTTGAGCATAATAAAATTTTATTCATCATGCAACCAACATAATTCTGAATTAATTAGGCTGAAGTTTTTCCAGTCAAGGTGTAAAAGCACTTTGCATCAGCCATCAATGGATGCTCAACATGGAGATTATTTCAGGGTTAGATTGCTCTGTAGCAGCATCTGCTTTCCTTCAATATTATGCCTTCAAACAAAATTTCAGTACACGTTTTCTGTCTAAGTCCACATATGTCAAGTCGAAATGACTCACTTTAGATTCCTTGACCTAGGCAGTCTCAATATGAATCACCTCTTCTCGCTTTGCTTTTCTGCTACCAACTTTCCTACTCCCACCTTCCATGTTTTGTAAATACTTTTACTTCTTTTTAATGGGAACTAAATACTTAGAATGAATTTTATTCTTCTTACCTTATCTTTAAGGAGAACTCATTTAGGTATAAGTTCACATGCTTCTGGAAGTTTTTAGGGGAGTTCTTGTAGAAGGGAAGAAAATTATAAAGTAACTCTGTACTTTACACTTCTGAAAAAATGCAACTACAGCAAAGAAATTGGCAAGTCAATCAAACAGTGGTTAGCAAACTCTTCAGATCCTTTTAGAAAAGGTCGTATGCCTGATTAGGTTTGTGATTGAGGATGACACTGGAGAACAAGGGCTCCATTTGATGTCAAGTGTGCACTGCCTTTGTTATGCTACATGCTAGATATTTTTGATAATGGCGAGAGATTTTGCTTCCTGGATTTGCCATGAAAACCCTATTTTTAAAAAAATGTAGTCCTTGGCATGGCGTCAAAGCACCTGCCTTCTCCTTAAATGGAGCTGCTTTTGGGAGTTCCTACTTAGCCACTCAACATGGACAATGTATGAAACCACATTGCATTTATCTACATGACAACCACAATCCATTTTATTACTAATAGGAGCAATTGTGTTTCCTTTTGAAAGGACAGAGTGGGTGGGAATGGAGTAAAGTATCACCATCTCACATCTGGCTCCTAATTTATGTCTCTCAAATCATTGTGGGTTGGAGGAAGGCAGTGACAGAGAAATTCCAAATATGAGTCTGAACTGTTGATGTTAAGACTTTCATGACATTATTGAACAAAATAAGTTCCTAAATATTCCTCTTTGTGAGTATCATGACTATTCATTTGTCTCCTAATCTAAGGATGTTAGAAGGGGTAGGCAGGTACAGGTAAATCTAGACAAACCGTTGGAAAAAAAATCTCCTTTTCCAACATAGCTAAGTTATGATTTTAGAAGTTAAGCCATTCGTGTAAATGGAGCTAGCTCACTCCATGGTGATTCTAGCTTTGCAGCCGTATACTTAATGCCTGCTACTTGCTCACATGTTCTTCTGTCAGCTACCCAATGCATGAGATTCCATTCCCTTGAGTTTTCTTCCTCCCATTTAAAGCTCTGATTACCTCCAAAATGAACGTATAAGTAGGCTAATACCGAAGTTATTAAGGCAAATTTATGCTTTAGTGTAAATGAGAGTTTGAGCTTCAGGGTTCTGACATTTTGATAACTGGGTCTGATTTGGGGAATACTGTGCACAGATTGGAAAGGGGGCAGTAGCTCAGTCTAATGAAGCCTGTGTTGTGGGAGTAACTACTCTCCAAATTTTCCTCAATTTACCTGGATTGACGACTGACTTGCACTTGTTGCCATAGGCAGAATTTCATCAACTGTTGGGAAAGTGCGGAGGAAAGAGCACTGAGTTTGAGCTGGAAGATCTCTCAGTCACCAGCTGTGTGATTTTAGACAAGTCATTTGATCTCTCCAAGCGTCTGTTTCTACAGCTGTAAAACATGGCTAACAATTCTCTTTCATTGATGTGAGGATTAAATGAGCCAACACATATAAAGGACTATATACGTGTATATCTATTATTATCTGAGGTATTTAAAACATCAGAAGTGAGGTATAAAATCTTGCAATCCACTCATTAGCTCTGTCAGTGGAGAGAAGAAGAACGGATTAAATCTGGCAGGTACTAAGCTTCAAGTTTGATTTAAGTTTCTTTCCTCCCACTCTCCTATTTGCAAAGAGTTTTCTTCCATTGTTGAGAGTCACTGGAGCTTGGGCCAATTACTTGTGTTGACAAGTCATTAAAGAAAGTCATGTAAGCATCTGGCTCTGGAGTCTAGGAGATCAACAGCAGCTCCAGACCCTACCAGGTTGTGTGTAGTTGGAAAAATCTGTCTCTCCCCTTACTGGGCACACATGGGCCTGATAGTAGAAGCATGGGCGCCGTTAACTCTGCTTTCAAGAGTGAAGAAGATTGAAAGATTAGCAAGCTGAGCTTTTAAATGGAATTCTTATTTTTCTTTTAAATATTTCATTATAATTATTATTATTTACATGTAAGGAAGCATGGGCTTCCTGACAGTATGTACTCACTCAGAGCACATGACTTATTTATAATAGTCACCTGAGATTTACTTAATCCAAATATATATTTATAGCCATTATTGTATTTTGTCCACTACATAATAATTATTTTAAAAAATTTGGAAAATCTGTGTTTATGTTTTTACATTATGCAAAGAGGTCCTTTTAAGTCAAAACACTTAAATAGCAGTACAGTATAGTTAATTGAGAACTAAACTCACACCATAGAATTAAGTTGGAAGACCATTCACTTAAGGCAGAATATATATACCGCCAACATGTACACACACGCATACAACACCTATACACAGACACGTACACACATATACATGCACACACGTATTTATGTTTGGAAGATATTTATACATATATAAATACACATATACACACACAGATATATAATGGTATGCTGACAGTGTTTAACAACTGGCTCTTCAAATAAAACAACTCTATAAAACTCACTGTTTTGTAGTTTATCAATTTCCATTGTGTAAATATTCCCATTGTGGCTGATTTTAAGCTACTATGGTGATGTCACCGAATGTGGAATTGGAAGACATGTGCACAATCAGTTCTCACCAACCAGTATGGGCTGGCTTCAGCACACTGCTGGATAGATGCAGTCAGAGTATAGCCACTGGGTGGATACATACAGATGTCAATGAAGAAAGTCAAACTCTGTAAAATATTTAAAGAGATTTATTCTGAGCCAAATATGAGTGACCATGGTCCATGACACAGCCCTCAGGCGGTTCTGAGAACAAATTATGGTAAAGAAACATGTTTTGGGGTAAAATATTTTGATTTTCTTCTTTGTCACATAATGTTATGCCAGAGTCAGATTGGAAAGTGTGGGTGAAGGATTACCCAGGTGCTGAGGCAAGAGACTGAAGGCACAAACTGTAGCAGTATAATAAAGGAAATAGTTAGAATAAAGAATCGTTATCATACAAATTGGATATAGAGATGATCATGGACAATTATCAATCATTAGTATAAACATTAATCATTAGCTTTTAATATTATTCTTTGTTACATTACTAACATAACCTAGAAATAAGCGGTGGGTATAGGGTTAGGTGCTGAGGGGACATTGTGAGAAGTGACCTAGAAGGCAAGAGGTAAGCCCTCTGTCATGCCTGCATGATGACATACAATAAACTGCACATATTTAAAGTGTATAGCTTGGTAAGTTCCGACAGAAGTATGCACCTGTGAAATGACCACAACAATGAAGACTGTGGTCATGTCCATCACCCCCAAAAGTGAAGTCCGGCTTCCTTTGTAATCACTTTGTAATCTTGTTGTGCACCGCAGGAAACAAGCCAAACTGGCCACTTAAATCAAGGCAGGTAAAATTCTAACAGTGTTCAGCTCTTTCTTATTTTCTCCACGCAGCACACGTGTTAAAGCCGACGTCCTTTATAGTTGGTAGTCTCAAGTCTGACCCAGTGTAGAACCTGTGGGGTAATTAGGGGATAATAAGAAGGGGGCACAGAAAGACACCCAGACCCCTATTTTTAAACAAAAGATTATTACTCTGATAACTTAGTTATGAGTTTCAATATCTGGATATGACAAAATTTGCCAGTCATATTCAGACAGTAATGCAACTTTTACAACGCATTAATTAGGAAAACGAGACATTCTTTTCACTTTGTCCGAGTTCGGTAACCTATCCATCCAGATCTCTTATCTTCTAGCATGGTTTACATACGTCCGTTAGCCTTTCTTGCTCTGGTTCTCCTCCAGGTTATTTTTGGATCTACCTGCTGGATAGAAAATTAGCAATGAAGAATGACAACAGCAACCTGTTTTTCCCTTGGTTATCTGTTCGATCATTCAGTTAGGAAATAATGACTTTTCAGATTTTAGTTGAACATATTTTTACTTCAAAATACAAAAGATACTTAAAATAAGCTTTTTTCAGTGATGTATATAACAAGGATTATCTTAATTTTTTAGAGTTCCTGGAACTCAAAAGTTCAAAAAGAGAATAGTGAAAAAATTAAGAATAACATATTTGATGGTTCATATTTCACCTATGTGAAGGTCAAGTTCTTTAAAAATAACTTTAAGTCATTTTACATTGTGAGTCTCAAAGTTTGTTCCTTGATATACAGTATGAAGTTTTACAATTGTGAGACAAACCCTTAAAAAATCCACTCAATATAAATTCTTTCTTACCCTAGATGAGACAATATTTCAGAAACAGTGCTACTGATGTTTCCTGCTTTAGAGCATTTTATAATTCTTCAAAGCACTTCACTTATACTACTACTTCTGATACTTTCTGTATTGCTGTGAAGCAGGGAAAGTAGTTCTTACTTCCACTTAAAGATGATGGAAGAAAACTGAGGTCTGAGGGATGAACTGACTTGACTAGAGCTGGTTGATGGTGTTGCTGAGATTAAAACCCAAATTTTCTAGGCTTTTCCCTCATCCAGGACTATTTGTGTTCATTTTCCTGATAAGCATAATTTTAGAAAACTGTACCAAATAGTAGATAGGAGAATATATGTATTTTATTATCTTACATTACATTCTAAGTGAAGGAATTCCTTATAAGTCATTTCTCTATCTCAGACAAATGAAACTAGCTGAGTTACATGAAAATAAGAGTTTTTGCTCAAACACTCTTCAACAACAGTCCGGAAATAGTTAAGGGACAAAATCAAATACCCTGTTTGTAGTTCCCCCTTGTGTAGAAAAAAAGACAAAAGAATGACCGTTGTACAGGTTCCTGCAGGCAAAGCAAAGGCTGGAACTTCTCCTCCCCATCTGTGTTTATTATGAAAAATACCATTTAATCTTCCACTTTCACTTCCAATTGCTGGATTTTTTTTGTTAAAAATAAGAAAAAAATGATGACAACATAAAAATAAAAGGCAAGGCCCAATTAAGAGTCCTCATTGTCTACAGAATAGTTCTGAACAAATCTCTGCTCTGGGCTCCACCTGTCCTGTCAGCTCCTTAGTGAAGGAGAAAGATAGACGAAGGCCCTGAAATTTCCATGTGAATAGAGAAAACCATTTCCCAGGTCCACAGCTGAGAGTAACATAAATGAAACTGTTAAGACAGTCACCAAAGGTAGAGAAAACCAACCAAACAAAAGGCAAACAAAAACATTTGTTTTCTTGGCCAGACAGTGCCAAGAGTAAAAAATTAAGATCGTTTAAGGTCAAGAAAGAAAACACTACCACACTGAAGCGGGTGATAAGGCCCTAAGTCAGCCCCTTGCCAATGTCACAAGCTCTCATGGCTATGGGAACCCCACCAGTTGCTAGTATGAGAAGGACAGATGGAGAAAGAAGATGGAAAACAGGAAGCCACATACCATTGTGTGTGTGGGTAAGACAAAAGCTGAAGTCATTTGAGCTCTCACTTTAACCTCCTAGGCTATTGGGCTTTGGAACTGTAAGGAGATGGAAATGGCTTATTTTGAGTAACTCATGGGTTTTGTGTTATTAACATACAGATACACCTTTTATTATTTTTTATTTCAATAGCTGTGGGGGTACAAGTGGTTTCTGGGTACATGGGTAAACTGTACAGTGGTGAAGTCTAGCATTTTAGTGCACCTGTCACCTGAGTAGTATATATTATACTCAATGGGTAACCGTTCATCTCTCACCCTCCTCCTATTTCCCTGCTTCTGAGTCTCTAATGTCTGTTACACCACTCCATATGCCTTTGTGTACCCATAGTTTAGCTCCTACTTATAAGTGAGAACATGCATCGTTTGGTTTTCCATTCCTGAGTTACTTGACTTTGGATAGTGGCCTCTAGTTTCATCCAAGTTACTGTAAGAGACATTATTTTATTTTTTATGGCTGAGTAGTATTCCATGATGTATATGTACATTTTCTTTATGAACTCATTGGTTGACTGATGGGCACTTAGGTTGATTCTGTATCTTCGCAATTGTGAATTCTGCTGTGATAAACATACACGTGCAGGTGTCTTTGGATAGAGTGACTTTTCTTCCTTTGGGTAGATACCCAATAGTGGAATTGCTGAATCAAGTGATATGTCTACTTTTAGTTCTTTGAGAACTATCCGTACTGTTTTCAATAGGGGTTGTACTAATTTACATTCCCACCAGCAATATCTAAGTGTTCCTCTTTCACCACATTCTTGCCAACAATTATTGTTTTTTGGACTTTTTAATGTCATTTTGACTGGGATAAGTTGGGGTAAGCAGTTTTGCTTTGCATTTTCCTCATAATTAGTGATGCTGAGCATTTTTTATCAGATGTTTGCTGGCCATTTATATATCTTCTTTTGAGAAATGTCTGTTTACGTTATTTGCCTACTTTTTAATGGGATTATTTCTTTTTCTTTATGACTTGAGTTCCTTGTAGGTTCTGGATATTAGTCCTTTGTCAGATGCATAATTTGCAACCACTTTCTTCCATTCTCTAGGTTGTCTGTTTACTCTGACAATTATATCTTTTGTTGTACAAAAGCCTTTTAGGTTAATTAGGTCCCATTTATTTTTGTTTTTGTTGCATTTGCTTTTGGGGTCTTAGCTATAAATTATTTGCCTAAGCCAATGTCCAGAAAAGGTTTTCCTCTAGAATTTTAATGGCATCAAGTCTTAGATTTAAGTATTTAGTCCATTTTGAGTTAATTTTTGTATATGATGAGACATAGGGATCCAGTTCCATTCTTCTACATGTGGCTATCCAATTTTCCCAGCACCATTGATTGAATAGAGTGTCCCTTCTCCAATTTATGTTTTTGCATACCTTGTCAAAGGTCTGCAGTTGGTTATAAGTATTTGGCGTTATTTCTGGGTTCTCTGTTCCATTTGTTTGTCTATTTTTACACCAGTAGCATTCTGTTTTGGTTACTATAGCCTTATAGTATCATTGAAAGTCAGGTAATGTGATGCCTACAGATTTGTTCTTCTTGCTTAGGATTGCTTTAGCTATTCAGGATTTTTTTGGTTCCATATGAATTTTAGATTTTTTTTTCTAGTTCTGTGAAAAATAATGTTAGCATTTTGATAGGAATTGCAGTAAATTTGTATATTGCTTTGGTCAGTATGGTGATTTTCATGATATTCTTCCAATGCATGAGCATGGGATGTATTTCCATTTGTTTGTGTCATCTGTTATTTCTTTCAGCAGTGTTTTTTAGTTCTTCTCATAGAGATCTTTCACCTCCTTGGTTAAGTATATTCCTAGGTATTTTATTTTTTGTAGCTATTATAAAATGAATTGAGTTCTTGATTTCATTCTCTGTTGGTTGTTCTCGGGATATAGCGGTGCTACTGACTTATGTTCATTGATTTTGTAACCTGAGACTTTACTAAATTTATTTATCAAATCTAGGAGCCTTTTGGAGGAGTATTTAGGGCTCTCTAGCTATAAGATGGTACCATTGGCAAATAGAGATGGTTTGACTTGTCTTTTCCAATTTGGATGCCCTTTATTTTTTTCTCTTGCCTGATTGCTCTGGCTTGGACTTCCAATACTATGTTGAATGGAAGTGGTGAAAGTGGGCATCCTTGTCTTGTTTCAGTTCTTGGGAGAAATGCTTTCACCTTTTCCCCAATTAGTATGATGTTCATTGAGGGTTTGTAATATACGGCTTTTAGTATTTTGAGGTATGTTCCTTCTATGCTTAGTTTGTTCAGGGTTTTTATCATAACGGGATGCTGGATTTTATCAAATGCTTTTTCTGTGAGACATACCTTTTCCCTTCACCTTCTTCCATCCACCTTGCGATTTCTCTTCCAGCCTTCACACATTTTTTCCATGGCTCCAATTTCACCAATGTGTCCCCATTTAGGTCCATCAATTTTCTCGGATTAAATCAGCCAAATGCCTGCAGAAAATCTGGAAATGCTAAGAAATCTCTCCTTACTCTTCCTTGCCTGTGCTTATGCTAAGCTGGGACCGGTCAGTCATCTTGCCTGCTATGACCAGCCCAGTTCCAGTCCAGTGAGCTCTCACATGGGTCTCCTCTTCTCTCTCCCTGTGATGTCAGCCCCTCTCTAATGTTCTTCTAATGGCTCTGCCTTTCATCTTTTCTACTCCATTCTTTCCTAAATGTTTCCATCAAATTAGTATTTCCTGGATGCCCATTCACTCAGATCACTCTTCCACTCAAAACTTCTCAGTAACTCTTACATATGTGAGAAAACCTAGTTTGGCCTTCAGCTATGTTGAGGGAGATAGTCCGCTGCCTTGGGTCAGGAGAATCTCTCTCTGCCTGTCCTCTCTGAGGACACCAAATGAAAGTCCTAACAGTCCTCTGGCCCTGAGGTGTTTTTCTAGCTAGTCACTTGTCATGGCAACAGCAGCCTGACTACCAAGACTGCTTGCTCCTTGAGAGGAAGGGGACTGCCTTGCTTATTGCTTGCTACAAAGAGTGCTGAGCCTTTGGCTGTGGATTCCTCAGTGGCACCACAATCCACTGCATGCGTAGCTGTATTTGTGTCCATTGCATCACCCCTTTGGGAAAACGGGACTTTGGATACGGGAGTGTATTAGTCCCAACTAATAGGATAGATGTATATGTGAACGGGAGTTTATTAAGGAGAATTGACTCACATGATCACAAGTCAAAGTCCCACGATAGACCATCTACAAGCTGAGGATCAAGGAAGCCAGTCTGAGTGGTTTGCCAGGGGCTCTCAGGCCTTCGACCACTTCCCTCAGGAGAAGCCAACAGTGCAAGCCTTCAGTCTGTGGCTGAAGGCCTGAGAGCCCCTGGCAAACCACTGATGTAAGTCAAGAATCCAAAAGCTAAAGAACTTGCAGTCTGATGTTCGAGGGCAGGAAGCATCCATCACTGGAGAAAGATGAAGGCTGGAAGACTCAGCAAGTCAGCTTCTTCCACCTTCTTCTGCTTGCTTTTTCTAGCTGTAATGGCAGCCAATTGTTTGGCACCTGACCACACTGTGGGTGGGTCTTCCTGAGTGTGGATCTTCCTCTCTCAGTTAACTGACTCAAATGTTCTTCTCTTCTGCCAACACCCAGAAACACCCAGATAAACCCAGAAACAATACTTTGTATCCTTCAATCCAATCAAGTTGATACTTAATAGTAACCATCCCAGGGAGCCACTGGGAGTGTGCTGATACTTCTGCTGTTTACTATGCTGTGAGGAATGAACCATCTTGCATGGATCTATTGAGTCTTATTGTCTACTTCTGCCAACTGTGAAGCTGGCCACACTGACCTGCTTACTTGCTTAGTCTAAGGGGGTGGGTTCTTTCTGACCAAGTGTTTTTATTTTTATTTTTTGTTTTTTTGGGGTTTTTAAAAATAATCTACCTCCCACAATTCTTTCTAGTGCTGGATATTTATTGTTTAATGAGTCAAGCATCAACCAAACTCATGAAACCAATTTGTTTAATGAATCCTCAGCGCCAGCCAAATTAAGCTGGGCTCTTTTCACTTAGAAACCCACTACTTATTCACATCTGCTTATGCCTTTGCCGTCACCTGGAGTTGTCATTTCTTGCATCACACCGTGTTCAAATTCTTCTCTTCCACTAACAGCCACCTCTACTGCTACCAGCCATCATAGTCTGAGTTAATTAATCTCTTCTTCCTTTGTTCCTTTGACCTCCCATAGGGCATTAAATGCACCTCTCATACAACACTGATTAAGTATTTGTACTTACACATTTAGGCATTTTCAATTATCTTCCAAAACAATAGGAATTTGTTAGATACTTGACATATGTCAGAAAGGGAACTATTTGTAGAAAATGTTGGAAATGCAAAATGAATAAGATATGGTCCCTACCCACATTAACTCTCATTCTGTAACAAAATAATCTTGAATAAAGTGAATAAAAGTATAAATTCTATCATAAGAGTGTTTTACTGAATTCTTATGATAGTACAGCAGGGGCTACAATTCTCCATGAATGGAAGGTCTAGGAAAGCTTTAAGGACAAGGGTACATTTTTTTCCTATGTTTGTCACTTATGCCCATGGGCATGGGGCTTGTCTACCTTCCTTACTAGTTTAGTTTTAAAAAGGCTATATTGTGTCATCTTTGAATCCCTCACAATAAACCAAAGTATTCGCTTAAATAAGTGGATACTTATTTAAATAATTTTAACTTAAATAATAATTTTAACTTAAATAATTTTAGTTAAATAAATTAAGTAAAATTAGTTAATTTAGTTTAAATAGTTATTTAATACTGAATTTAGGTACATTTATTGAACACTACTAGGTACAAGGCAATAAACTAAGAACTAGGTAACATACATCTTTTAATAAAGGTACTCCTGCCTTAGGGAAGTGCAACCTCTTAGCTACTGATGTCCATAAGGCTATACGGAGAGGATCTCAATCTCCTACGGGAATGTGTGCCATCTTTATTTACGATGTTCAGATTTAACTTAAATCATTGCCCTAATATAATTTATTTCAATAGGATTGTCACCGTATTTGTACAGTTTTTATATGTGGCATACTTGTATTCACTTTTAAAGGCTCAGTTCAAATGTTATCTCAAAGTCTTTTTTGATCTCCACACTTAGAAAAACTTAACTGTTCCCTGCTCTCTGCTCCTATGTCATTTGTTTGTATCTTTATTGTGTCTGTGTGTGTTTAATGCATCAATTTCGTCTTTAACAGTGAGCTCCTTGAAGGGAAGTATTTTTCTCCATTTTATTAGGGCCTCTCAAAGTGATTGGCACTTAGGAAGTACTCAATAAATATTTAATGAATTAATCCAAAACTGTTCCTCGTCTAAACTTCTGACAGCTTGATCAAGCAACTGTAGTCAAACATAATTTAGAAGTGAACTTTAAATGTTATTGTGACTAAGGACCTGCATTTAGAATATATAAAGACCTCTCATAAGTCAATAATAAGAAGACAGCCCAATAAAAAATAGGCAAAGGTTTAATTAGACACTTTATAATAGATTTACAAGTGACCAGTAAGTCATGAAGAAGGTGGTCAATGTCACTAGTCACCAAGAAAATGCAAATAAAACCATAATAAGATACCATTTATCAAACCATAATAAAATACCATTTCATGACCTTGAGAATGGTTAAAATGAAAAGTGACAAAACCCAGCGTTAGTCAGATGTGGAGCAACTGGAACGTGAAAACATTGCTGGTGGGAGTGTAAAATGTTACAGCTACTTTTAAAACCAGTTCATTACTTTCTAAAGCAAAACATATACCACACTTACAATATAGCCCAGCAATTCCACTCTTAGGTATTTACCCATGAGAAATGAAAAGCTACGTCCACACAAAGACTTCATAAATATTCATAATAGCTTTAATCTTGAAACAATCTAAGTGCCTATCAACAGGTAATTGAATAGACAAAATAGGGTATATCCATTCAATGCAATTCTACTGAACATTGAAATGAAAAGGATACAGATACATGCAATAACATGAATAACACTCAAGATTGTTTTGCTGAGTATAAGAAAGAAGCCAGACTAAAAATATGACACCCATGTCTAATTCTATTTATATAAAAATCCTAGAAAATGCAAACTCATCTATATTGACACAGAGCAAATGAATGGTTGCCTGGGATGAGATGGAGGTAGTGATAGATAGAAAAAAGGCCCATGGAAACTTTTGGGGGTGATCAAATGTTTGTTATCTTGATTATGGTGACGGTTTTGCTGGTGTGAGTCCATATATGTGTGTGTATGTGCATTTGTGTGTGTGTGTGGGTATGTCAAACCAATCAAAGTGTACATTTTAAATATCTGTAGCTTATCTGTAAATTGTATGGTAATGAGTTATATCTCTAGAAAGCAAGAAAAGTAGTATTAATTTTAAAAATAAATGCTACCATGTCTCATAAAAACAATGAAAAATGAAGTGACAAAACACAACCTGAAAAGCATCATTTGAAACTGCCCTTGATAGCTGTCACAATGTTGCCACACTGAGTACAATCCAAGCACAATTGAAGGGTACCTGCCTCCACAAATAGCATTTGGAACTCATTGAGATTGGCTGCATCGCACAGGCTATGGGACTAATACAGGAAACACTGGGGAATGTTTAGGGGACTTTTATGTTCAATTCAGATGTTAAATTGAAATAAAGCTCATCTGAGAAATGTCTACAGCACATTTTCCCCTAGCCTGAAATTCCTTGATAATGTTGCTATTAGAGGACAAGACAAATACTAGTATCATCCTTGTTGGCTAGCAATATTACAGTAGGCTTTTACATATAGGAATGATGTTTTGATTGTGAAGATATGTAAGGATGAGGAGTGATACAGTGGGATTCTGTCCTCCAGAAGCATAGGGTCTAACGGGAAAACATGACATAAATACCACCAAGAAAGATGTGGTTTATAAATTATGCACAAGAATCAAGAAAAGATTCACAGACAGATGAGTGAACAGCCTTCTGCCTTTGTGAGCAGGCTGAACAAAAGCTTCAGAGCTTAGAATTTGGCATTTGGATTTTAGATGGCCAGAAAATTTCATAAAATCTTAAATTTTTTAAATTTGGTTTATATAAATTTGATTCATATAAATATAAATAAAGTATGGCTGTGCTTATGGATACAGATACAAACAGATCTTCTCCTCTGAGGCTGTCCATGGTATGAAACTCACACTCTATAGTGAAGAAACCTTTGGCTTAAAGACATTTTAAAGAAAGAAAAAGATAGAAGGTGGGATTGTGGGTGTCTTGAATAAATAGTGTTTATAAAGCACATTTTGGAAAATTTTATCAAAGTAGATGACTTTAAGATGCTGTGTGTGTGTGCATGTGTATGTGTGTGTGAAAGGGAGAGAGTGGGAAGGAGGGAGAGGGAGATAAAGGCAGAGATAGAGAAAGATAGATACACAAAGCCTGACATAGAGAGATTGAGCTAGCGAGAGCAAGTGTTTGCATGTATTTAGAAAACTTCCATGTGTGTCTTTGGAACAATGGCTATTTTTCTTCCTCTATCTTTTTGTGTTTTCTTTTTTTACCAAGAATTTTTCCTAAATTTGTCATCTTAGTCATCTAAGATGACATGAAAAACCATGCATTAAGTGGCAAGGAGAGTTGACTTACCTGCTGTGTTCCTGAGACACCTGTGGAAGAGATCTGTTAGTCTTAACTTGCAGCTGGAGCCCTAACAGTAGTGTCAGTCATCGGGTAGAAGTCAATAATGAAAGAATTTTAAAAGCCTGTCCATATTCCCATGCCACCCAGATTCCTTAAGTGCCATGAGAAGCAAAATTCTGACAGGGATTTTTTTGTTTTTGTTTTTTACTTTAATCAACTTGGGAATGGTGTAGCTTCACTAAGTCTATGAAAAGTAAGAAAGAAAAAGGAAAAAGAGACAATAATATTCTTGTCCTTTTCATATGTTTGGAGAGCTCTTTGTTGCTACTAATATGGGATTTGTTTCAACATAAAAACTGGTTAAGGAAGTGGGAGGAAGGGGGCGGAGTTCTTGGGAACAGAGGATAGAAATAGATATCATAAAATGTCTTGTGTGTTGGGACCCCTAGCCAGTCCCGAGTGACAGGGCATGGCCATCCTGGAGACAAAAATATTAAGATTTGTGCTCCTAGGAATGGGTACAAATATATGACCAGGCTTTTTTCTTTTGTGTAGCTTTTCTTTGTTCAGAATCAGTTCTTTATATGTTTTTTCTTATGTAACTTGGTGTTTTCATCTCCCCAGGTTTCTTTACCTCTTGGGTAGCATGCACCTGAGGGCTGAATTTAGACCACTGGGTTCAGGTTCTAGGTTCACCACTTACTACATGTGGGAGCGTAAACAAGTTATTTAACTTCTCTGCGTCCCAATTTTCTCATTCATAAAAGTGAGAAAAGGATTAATAATCATTGCATAGAAATTTAGAAAGAATTTGTCATGATAGTACCTATGCATTGGAAATGCTTGATAACTGTTAGTCTTTTATGGTTTTTATTTCTCAGCCTCAGCTGCCTGCCTTTTCCTCTGCTTCCTGCACCAGATGGACATCCTCAGAATAGTATTCACGAACCCACAGCTTGGTTAACTAAGGACTCAGGGAAAGCTGGGTCCTACTAATTGTCTTGGGTCTGGTTACTCATATGTAGATTCTCAACATAGCAGTCTGGTAAGAACAAATATTTCCAGACCACCTGTTTGTCTAAGTATATGCCACAGCCTTGGGGGCAGAAAGTGAGGAGGAGGAAGAAAAGGAATAGGAAGAGGCAGAAACAACATATTCTATTTTGAGGCTGCAATAAATGAAAGCATTCAGAAACTATTAATTGAGAAGCCAGAGTAGAGTCTCTGTGAATTATAGATATTGGTATTATAAGCAACTTGGTATGAACACAAGAACGTAAAAATCAGTAAGCAAACGTAAGTTATGAGAAAGGGAAAATTAAAATGGGTAAAGAAAAAGTACAGTAGAACATCAACAGCAGTTATCTTTAGGTAAAGAGATTGCGATAGATCTGTTTATATCTATGTCTGCATCATGGTACTTTAAGGCTAGAGACCTTTTAGCAAGTGACGTTGACTATTCATCTGTGGATGGATATTTGGGTTGTTTCTGTATCTTGCCTATTGCGCATAATGCTGCAATACACATGGAAGTATAGATACCCCTTCAAGATCCTGATCTCAATTCTTTTGAAGATATGCCCAGAGGTGAGAATGCTGGATCATATGGTAGTTCAATTTTTAATTTTTTAAGGAACCTCACCAACACCGCTTATCTTTTTTTTTTTGCTAATAGCCATCCTAATAGGTGTGAGGTGATATCTCATTTTTGATGTGCAAATGGATAAACAAAATGTCATATATACATACACAGTAATAATATTTACTCTTACAAAGGAAGAAAATCCTGTCGTTTGTACCCTTCAACATGGATGGATCTGGATGACTTATTAAGTGAAATAAGTCTGTCACAGAAGGATAAATACTGCATGATTCCTCTTATATCAGGTATCTAAAATATTCAAAGGTATAGAAGTAGACAACAGGATGGTGGTTAACAGGGTATGGTGGAGGGGAATGTGGGGAGTTGTAGTTCCATGGGTATGAAATTATAGTTGTGCAGGAGAAGTAAGTTCCAGAGATTGGCTATACAACATAGTGCCTGTAGTTAACAATAAGGTATCATATATTTAACATTCTGTTAAGAATGTAGATCTTATGTTGTGTTCTTATCACAAAAAACAAACAAACAACAGAGGGACACAAGGAAACTTTTGGAGGTGATAGATATGTTTATTACTTGGATTGTGACAGCAACACAAGTATATACATATGTCCAAACTTGCCAGATTGTATACATTAATTACTGCGGTTTTTCTATGCTGATTATACCTCAGTAATACTGGGGTGTGGGAAGAAAAAGCAACACTTTGAGAGCCTTGGTTTTAAAGGGAACTAGAATGTATAATGTTTTCGTGATGCTTTGACCTCCGAGAGATGCCGCATTTCTTTCAGGGAAAAAAGATGAGTGCTTTGGGGCTCCAGAAATCTTGGTATTAAAGGAGCAGACTGCAAAAAACCACAGATATAAAATAATGACACAAATATTTGTCTAACACTTTGAGCTCTTCCTTGTAATTTATCTCATTTGATCCTGGGAATAACCCTCTGAGGTAGGCAACATGGCAAGATAATTTACTGACATTTATTTCAATGAATGGGTTTATTGATCCCTTCACTTATTCATTCACTGAATTAATATTTATGAAGTCTTACTATGTGCTGGGAATTTTGACTAGCACTAAGGATAATAAGAGGATAAATGGGGCAGAATTGTAGTTGAGGGAGACAAACAATAAACCAATAAACAGGTCCACAAGATAGTTGCAGATGCTAGAGGAAATACACAGGATCTAGAAAGACCTTTAAAAATAGGATTGCCTGAAAAGACCTTTCTGAGGAAGAGATGGTTGAGTTGGGACTCAAGTTACCAAAAAGAGCCAAGCTGTTCACAGAGTTGGAGAAGGAATGTTTGAGAAAAAACAAGCACAGGCATAAAGTCCCTGAGTCAGGAAGGAGCTGGAGCAGCGTCAGGAGCAGGAATGATGGTACTGTGCCTCGAGAAATGTGAGGTAGGGGCAGGAGAAACAGAAAATGCTTCTCCCCCTGGCTTACCGAAAAAACATTATTGAGGTCCTTGGTACCTCCTTGCCTAGGGAAATCTTGTAAAAACTGATGGAAAAGTAAGACTCTTGTGGTCTTTTAGAAAAGCTTTAGCTTACTGTAGAATACGATAAAGCTGGAAGGCGGGGTGGTAAGAGAGAGGGAGAAGTGCCTCTACTTGGTTGTTGATTGACTGATAGGTAGATTGAATTTCCAGAGACTGGGAAGTAGACAAAGGTTAACAGTTCCAGATGTTGGCAGGACACCCATTCATTGGATGTATCCTGGGGAGGTGGGATGACTTCCAGTGGGAATAGTTCTATGGCCACCTGTGGAGGCCAAATGCAGGCCACAGGGAATTGCAGTCAACTCAAAGGTTCTGAGCCATGCCATGGAGAAGTTACTTGGACCACCAGACCCAAAGGGACCATTCAAGGTGAGTTAAGAGGCACTCAGAAGCTACTCAGGTAAATTAATGACAAGTGAGCCTCCCCAGTTCCTCAATCTTTTGGCATGGAGGAAGATGCCAGGAACTTGGCCCAGCTCCTGAGGGTTAAGTAAGGAAAGGTAGGAAATAATGACAAAAACTGACAACGTGTGAAACAGTGTGGGGGCAGAAATAAGTTAGTTGCTGGTTATTTTCTGCTTGTCCCACCCCTAGATCCTCTATGCTCTTATCTTTTCTGCTGTATGCCTAGAAGGCCAAACCCTATGGTATTTACTCCCATTTTCTCTTGACCTCTGACTTATACTTGGATTCAGCCAGTAGAAGACACTGGCAGATGCAGGAGGGTAAGAGAATGGATTCAGCTAATGAGAGACACTGGCAGATAAATATAGGAGGGTGGGAGGAGCAGGACTTCAGGCATTTACTGTCCTAGTTCCCTTTCTCTTGGCCATTTTTCTGGTAGTGGCTGTGTTCCTGGGATCACAGCTCCTGGTTATCATCCCTGCTTTTAGGGCTCTAGCTCTCCCACTGACCCTCGTAACATTTCTTCTGCCCTCTGCCCAGAGAGGCTTAGGAGAGGTCATAGACTGTTGCTCTTGCTAAGCCCTGTGTAGCTCTCCTTTGTTTCCTTAACTCTGCCACATCTGTAAATAGCCTTTTCATGAAATCCCTTCAAATAAATAAATACATTAGAGTGGGCCATGTAGTTCTTGCTGGGGTACTCATGGACTTAAAGAAAATTAAGTGATAGCTCTTACAAACTCAAGTCTGTAGACTGAAATCAATGCCTTATGTGTTAGGATGGGAATTATTCTTCCTCATTTTACAGATGGAGAAAGATTTAGTGAGTTGTCCAAGGCACACAGCTGGTAAGTGTCACAGCCAGGACGTTAACTCAGTAATTCTGACTTGGTGCTTTTTTCTATATACCAAACATATTAGAGCTAAGAAAAACATAATGTTCCTCACCACATGCAAATTAGGATAGGGTAAAGTACTTGCTAATCATCAAGGTACAGACCCATGAGAGGCAAGATTGATATCCAAAGAGAAAACACATTTGTTCACACAGGAAGAGTTTCCACTGCTAGGAGTTTTCCAAATCCTGCAATGTCGAGTAGCTCCCTGGTTGTCAGCAGAGTGGACATCGATGGTCAGTGCCACCCTGGCTTTACAGGCAGGAGTAGGAGAAATGGGCTCTAGCCCTACAAAGTTCAATGTGGCTTCTCCAGTTCAAGTTTCAATAGCCATCAATTAAGGGTTGCAGACAAACCTACTGTTTCCTTTACTAGTTGACCTATTAAAGAAATGTGTGAAGACAACTGTTTTTGTTTTTCCTTGCAGACAGAATAGCCCCAGTGATCCTAAACTGTGTACCCACAGGTCTTTTAGTTATGTGCATGGTGTTTTTAAAGGTGAAGTTACTGAGTTTTGCGTTTAGTTTGGAAACAGTGCCACCCATTTAATCCCTACTGCCTCACATCTGGTGCTGTCACTCCTGTATTTGAAGGCCATGCTCTTTGCAGTCATTTCACTTTGGGTGCCTTGATCTAAACCCACACCAGAGAGAGAATATTTTCTCCATTAGCAAATGGTCATCATTATGCTGAGAGTCATTAGATTTTGTTTTTTCCTGCTATTCTTGGAGCTTGTCTGCAAAAGGCCTAGAATTAGACTTTTTCGTTATCATTTAAAAAGTTTTTATTCAAGTATAATTTATAGGCAGAAAAGTGAAAAATGCTGTGTGCAGCCAAAGTTTCACCAAGTGAACACATCCATTTCAACACTACAGTATCAAAAAGTTGGGTCACCTTAGTGGTCTCCTTTTTAACCCTTCCCAGTCATTCCATTCTTCCACAAAGGTAACCACATTCCTGGTGTCTATGACTATTGATGGATTTTGCCTGTTTGGGGACATTATATAAATAGAATCACATAGTATGACTTTTGTGTCTGGTTTCTTTTGCCCAGTATTTATGTTTGTGAGTTTTACTCATATTTTTAGTGTAGCTAATCCATTCCCATTACTATATAGTATTAGTTGCATGATTTTATCAAAAGATAAAAAGATTGTATGAAAAGTATTGATGGACCATTTGTGTTGTTTGTTTTTCTGCTATTACAAATAATGCTGCAAGGAAGATTCAACAAATTTTGGTGCACATGCAAACATATTTTTGTTGTATATCTACCCAGAACTGGAATGGCTAGGCCAAATAGTATGCATATGTTCAACTTTAGTAGATAAAACTAGCTGCCAAAGAATGTATTTAAATCTCCTTAAATAGCATATGAAAATTATAATTTCTCAAAACCTTTGCCAACACTTGGTTTTGTTAGTCTTTTTAGGTTTAACCATTCAGATGTATATTTAATTTTTATCTCCCTGATGACTAACGAAGCTCAACATCTTTCTCTATGTTTATTGGCTATTTGGTATCTTTGGCAAAGAGCCTGTTCAGTTCTTTTCCTATGTTTTTCTACTGTGTTGTCCATATTTTTCTTACTGATTTGTAAAAATTCTTTATTCTGAATGAATGTTTTATTAGTTACAGATAAAGTACATATCTCCAGTATGGGGGCTTGCCTTTTAGTCTCTCCATGATTTGTTTTATGGATGCTTTCAATTATTTTAATCATCTCTATTTTTGTGTGCATTTTCATCATTTTAGACATTACATTTTTCATTTTCTGCACATCTAAGACACAACGGGGCTAATTATATTTGTAAAACCCCTCAAAGTTTAGCACAAATAAACAACCTGGGGGTCTTCACTAAATCCAGGTAGATCAGAATTGAATTAAATTGTAGGGCACTAAGCCGGCTAATTGGTTGGGGTGGAAAAAAAATACCTCACACATTTGGTGTCAGAAGTGGTATTGAGAATAAAAATAGATCATAGTAATGTTGTAACTGAGTTTTTTTTTTAGAGGAGAGCCTCTGACTTTAGAAACACATGCTGAAATGTATATACATAAAATTGTATGATGTTGAGGATTTGCTTCAAAATAATCCAGAGTACAATAATATTGGACATAGTAGATAATTGTTGAAGTTGGTGATAGGTACAGAGATTTTTTATACTATTACCTTTACTTTTCTAGATGAAAAGTTAAGAAAAAGAAAAAAAGAGTAGAAAGAGAGAAATTACAGGTATTTGGTCTAGCTAGCTCTTTCAAGGAGTTTTTCTATGAAGGAAAGAGGAATATCAGATATTATCTGGAGAGAACTGTAAGATCAGAGAAAATTGTTTTGTGTTGAACATATTACCTCCCATGCTAAACCATCTTTGTAAGGTATTTGGGAATACTCCAGTAGAGAGGGAAAATTTGATATGCTAGAGGGAAAAAAGATAAATACATAGTCTTTTTGTGGCAGCAAAAATAGGAAGAATATTCCAAAAGAAGGAATTACATGGGCAAAGGTTTTAGGACAGCAGTGAGCTTAGAATATTCTAAGAGCAAGCAGAAGGCTAGAGGGCTTGTAGTGAAGTGTCTAAGAGGAGGCTGGGCAGCAGGGCCACATCCTGCAGGGCCTCCAAGGCCATTGTAAGAAGTTTGGTATTATTTTACTGGTAATGGAAAGCCACTGGATGAATTTAAATAAAGAGTTAAACTTTAAATTGGTCTGGCATGCTACCTGGAATAGACTTGGGTGTAGGCAAGGTAAGTGTCTGTGTGTGTGTGTGTGTGTGTGTGTGTGTGTGTGTTTTGAGGCATGAAGTAAGTGTGGAGGCAGGAAGAGAAGTGTGGAGGCAGGAAGAGAAGTTTGGAGACTATTTCAGTGTTCCAGATGAGAGATAATCGTGGCTTAGACTGAGACTGTTGAAGTGAAATATTATGAGTTAAAGTATATTCCCTCAAAAAAAAAAAGGTATGTTGAGATCCTAATCCTTGGTACACAGACTGTGGCTTTGTTTGGAAATAGGATCATTGAAGAAATGATTAGTTAAGATGAGGTTATACTGGAGTAGGTAGGGACCTTAATTCAATATGACTTCTGTCTTTGTCAGAAGACAGCCATGTGAAGACAAACACACAGGGAGAATACCATGTAAAGACAGAGAGTTGGAGCAATGCATCCACAAGCCACAAAACTCCAAGGATTGCAGGCAACTCACCAGAAGATAAGGAGATGACAGGAAAAATTTCTCTATAGATTTTAGAGGCAGCATGGTCTTGCTAATGTTTTATTTTGAACTCCTAGTCTTCAAAATTGAGAGACAAGAAGTTTTAGTTAAGTCATCCAGTATGTGGTGTTTTGTTACAGCAGCCTTAGCAAACTGATATGGAGGTGGTGAAAAGTGGTCACACATTTTGAAGAAAAATACTTAATAAATATAGTGTATTATTAATGTAGATTATAACTTATAATTAGTAATATTAATTTATTATAATCTTATATTAAAAATATACTTATATATTGATTAATGTCATTTTAATTTATCATTCTATATGACACATATTTTATATATGTTGATTAACATAGTTTTAATTTATTCTATATTATAAATATATTTTATATATTGATGTACTCATTTAGAAATTATGAATATTTATTGAAAAACAAAAAATGCAGAAAAAAATGAATAAATGTTCATGTTTGAAAGGTTGGCATCTTAAAGGTGCCAGTGGCCCCCCAACTTAATCTATACAATTTCAAAATAAGTCACAGAAAGATACTTCAATGAAGAATAACAAAAATGGGATTGTTCAGATAACAGTAGGTATCAAAATTGTTTATAAAGCTATAGTAGTGAGACTGTTGTGGTATTGGTACAATGTCAGAAAAAATAGATTAAAAATAGAAATAAACCTACATAAATGTGAAAAATTGGTATATTTTAGTAATACAATGAATGGTAATACAAAACAATAAGAAAAAAAATGGATCATTCAACAAAATGATGCCATGAAACTATAAAGAATATCAATATGTGTGATTCTTACCTGAAATCACATAAACAACAAAAATTTATTTCTGAAAGCTAAACACATACGATAAAATATCTAAGAAAATACAAAATAATATATTTGTTGTTTAGTGACAAAGAAGTATTTTTAATGAAAATACCAAAAGCAGGAGGAGCCAAGATGGCTGAATAGGAACAGCTCCAGTCTACAGCTCCCAGCGTGAGCGATGCAGGAGACGGGTGATTCCTGCATTTCCAACTGAGGTACCCTGTTCATCTCACTGGGGTGTGCCAGACAGCGGGTGCAGGACAGTGGGTGCAGCGCACCGTGCACGAGCCGAAGCAGGGCGAGGCATCACCTCACCTGGGAAGCACAAGGGGTCAGGGAATTCCCTTTCCTAGTCAAAGAAAGGGGTGACAGATGGCACCTGGAAAATCGGGTCACTCCAGCCCTAATACTGCGCTTTCCCAACCGGCTTAAAAACCGGCACACCTGGAGATTATATCACACACCTGGCTCAGACGGTCCTACACCCACGGAGTCTCACTCATTGCTAGCACAGCAGTCTGAGATCAAACTGCAAGGCGGCAGCCAGGCTGGGGGAGGGGTGCCGGCCATTGCCGAGACTTGCTTAGGTAAACAAAGCAGACGGTAAGCTTGAACTGGGTGGAGCCCACCACAGCTCAAGGAGGCCTGCCTGCCTCTGTAGGCTCCACCTCTGGGGGCAGGGCACAGACAAACAAAAAGGCAGCAGTAACCTCTGCAGACTTAAATATCCTTGTCTGACAGCTTTGAAGACAGTGGTGGTTCTCCCAGCATGCAGCTTGAGATCTGAGAATGGGCACACTGCCTCCTCAAGTGGGTCTCTGATCCCCGAGTAGCCTAACTGCGAGGCACCCCCCAGTAGGGGTGGACTGACACCTCACACGGCTGGGTACTCCTCTGAGACAAAACTTCCAGAGCAACAATCAGGTAGCAGTATTTCCGGTTCACCAATATCCGCTGTTCTGCAGCCACCGCTGCTGATACCCAGGCAAACAGGGTCTGGAGTGGACCTCTAGCAAACTCCAACAGACCTGCAGCTGAGGGTCCTGTCTGTTAGAAGGAAAACTAACAAACAGGAAGGACATCCACACCAAAAACTCATCTGTACGACACCATCATCAAAGACCAAAGGTAAATAAAACCACAAAGATGGGGAAAAAACAGAACAGAAAAACTGGAAACTCTAAAAAAGCAGAGTGCCTCTCCTCCAAAGGAACGCAGCTCCTCACCAGCAATGCAACAAAGCTGGATGGAGAATGACTTTGATGAGTTGAGAGAAGAAGGCTTCAGACAATCAAACTACTCCGAGCTACAGGAGGAATTTCGAACCAATGGCAAAGAAGTTAAAAACTTTGAAAAAAAAATTAGATGAATGGATAACTAGAATAACCAATGCAGAGAAGTCCTTAAAGGACCTGATGGAGCTGAAAACCAAGGCACGAGAACTACGTGACGGATGCACAAGCCTCAGTAGCCAATGAGATCAACTGGAAGAAAGGGTATCAGTGATGGAAGATGAAATGAATGAAATGAAGCGAGAAGAGAAGTTTAGAGAAAAAAGAATAAAAAGAAATGAACAAAGCCTCCAAGAAATATGGGACTATGTGAAAAGACCAAATCTACGTCTGATTAGTGTACCTGAAAGTGACAGGGAGAATGGACCCAAGTTGGAAAACACTCTGCAAGATATTATCCAGGAGAACTTCCCCAGTCTAGCAAGGCAGGCCAACATTCAGATTCAGGAAATACAGAGAATGCCACAAAGATCCTCCTCGAGAAGAGCAACTCCAAAACACATAATTGTCAGATTCACCAAAGTTGAAATGTAGGAAAAAATGTTAAGGGCAGCCAGAGAGAAAAGTCGGGTTACCCTCAAAGGGAAGCCCATCAGACTAATAGCTGATATCTCGGCAGAAACTGTACAAGCCAAAAGAGAGTGGGGGCCAATATTCAACATTCTTAAAGAAAAGAATTTCAACCCAGAATTTCATATCCAGCCAAACTAAGCTTTATAAGTGAAGGAGAAATAAAATCCTTTACAGACAAGCAAATGCTGAGAGATTTTGTCACCACCAGGCCTGCCCTAAAAGAGCTCCTGAAGGAAGCACTAAACATGGAAAGGAACAACCAGTACCAGCCACTGCAAAAACATGCCAAATTGTAAAGACCATCAAGGCTAGGAAGAAACTGCATCAACTAACAAGCAAAATAGCCAGCTGACATCACAATGACCGGATCAAATTCACACATAACGACATTAACTTTGAATGTAAATGGGCTAAATGCTCCAATTAAAAGACACAGACTGGCAAATTGGATAGAAAGTCAAGACCCATCAGTGTGGGGTGTTCAGGAAACCCACCTCACGTGCAGAGACAAACATAGGCTCAAAATAAAGGGATGGAGGAAGATCTACCAAGCAAATGGAAAACAGAAAAAGGCAGGGGTTGCAATCCTAGTCTCTTATAAAACAGACTTTAAACCAACAAAGATTAAAAGAGACTAAGAAAGTCATTACATAATGGTAAAGGGATCAATTCAACAAGAAGAGTTAACTATCCTAAATATGTATGCACCCAATACAGGAGCTCCCAGATTCATAAAGCAAGTCCTGAGTGGCCTACAAAGAGACTTAGACTCCCACACAATAATAATGGGAGACTTTAACACCCCACTGTCAACATTAGACAGATCAGCGAGACAGAAATTTAAGAAGGATATCCAGGAATTGAACTCAGCTCTGCACCAAGGGGACCTAATAGACATCTACAGAACTCTCCACCCCAAATCAACAGAATATACATTCTTTTCAGCACCACACCACACCTGTTCCAAAACTGACCACATAGCTCCAAGTAAAGCACTCCTCAGCAAATGTAAAAGAACAAAAATTATAACAGTCTCTCAGACCACAGTGAAATCAAACTAGAACTCAGGATTAAGAAACTCACTCAAAACCGCTCAACTACATGGAAACTGAACAACCTGCCCCTGAATGACTACTGGGTACATAACGAAATGAAGGCAGAAATAAAGATGTTCTTTGAAACCAACGAGAACAAAGACACAACATACCAGAATCTCTGGGACACATTCAAAGCAGTGTGTAGAGGGAAATTTATAGCACTAAATGCCCACAAGAGAAAGCAGGAAAGATATAAAATTGACACCCTAATGTCACAATTAAAAGAACTAGAGAAGCAAGAGCAAACACATTCAAAAGCTAGCAGGAGGCAAGAAATAACTAAGATCAGAGCAGACTGAAGGAAATAGAGACGCAAAACACCCTTCAAAAAATCAGTGAATCCAAGAGCTGGTTTTTTGAAAAGATCAACAAAATAGATAGACCACTAGCAAGAGTAATAAAGAAGAAAAGAAAGAAGAATCAAATAGATGCAATAAAAAATGATAAAGAGGATATCACCACCGATCCCACAGAAATACAAACTACCATCAGAGAATACTATAAACACCTCTACACAAATAAACTAGAAAATCTGGAATAAATGGATAAATTCCTCGACACATACATCCTCCCAAGACTAAACCAGGAAGAAGTTGAATCTCTGAATAGACCAATAACAGGCTCTGAAATTGAGGCAATAATCAATAGCTTATCAACCAAAAAAAGTCCAGGACCAGATGGATTCACAGCCAAATTCTACCAGAGGTACAAGGAGGAACTGGTACCATTCCTTCTGAAACTATTCCAATCGATAGAAAAAGAGGGAATCCTCCCTAACTCATTTTTTGAGGCCAGCGTCATCCTGATACCAAAGCCTGGCAGAGACAGAACCAAAAAGAGAATTTTAGACAAATATCCTTGATGAACCCTGATGCAACAATCCTCAGTAAAATACTGCCTAACCGAATCCAGCAGCACATCAAAAAGCTTATCCAACATGATGAAGTGGGCTTCATTCCTGGGATGCAAGTCTCGTTCAACATACGCAAATCAATAAATGTAATCCAGCATATAAACAGAACCAAAGACAAAAACGAAATGATTATCTCAATAGATGCAGAAAAGGCATTTGACAAAATTCAACAACACTTCATGCTAAAAACTCTCAATAAATTGGGTATTGATCAGACATATCTCAAAATAATAAGAGCTATCTATGACAAACCCACAGCTAATATCATACGGAATGGGTAAAAACTGGGAGCATTCCCTTTGAAAACTGGCACAAGACAGGGATGCCCTCTCTCACCACTCCTATTCAACATAGCATTGGAATTTCTGGCAGGGCATTCAGGCAGGAGAAGGAAATAAAGGGTATTCAATTAGGAAAAGAGGAAGTCAAATTGTCCCTGTTTGCAGATGACATGATTGTATGTCTAGAAAATCCCATTGTCTCAGCCCCAAATCTCCTTAAGCTGATAAGCAACTTCAGCAAAGTCTCAGGATACAAAAATCAATGTACAAAAATCACAAGAATTCTTATACACCAATAACAGACAGAGAGCCAAATCATGAGTGAGCTCCCATTCACAATTGCTTCAAAGAGAATAAAATACCTAGGAATCCAACTTACAAGGGATGTGAAGGACCTCTTCAAGGAGAACTACAAACCACTGCTCAATGAAATAAAAGAGGATACAAACAAATGGAAGAACATTCCATGCTCATGGGTAGGAAGAATCAATATTGTGAAAATGGCCATACTGCCCAAGGTAATTTATAGATTCAATGCCATCCCCATCAAACTACCAACGCCTTTCTTCACAGAATTGGAAAAAACTACTTTAAAGTTCATATGGAACCAAAAAAGAGCCTGCATCACCAAGTCAGTCCTAAGCCAAATGAACAAAGCTGGATGCATCATGCTACCTGACTTCAAACCATACTACAAGGCTACAGTCACCAAAACAGCATGGTGCTGGTACCAAAACAGAGCTATACACCAATGGAACAGAACAGAGCCCTCAGAAATAATGCTGCATATCTACAACCATCTGATCTTTGACAAACCTGACAAAAACAAGAAATGGGAATAGGATTCCGTATTGAATAAATGGTGCTGAGGAAACTGGCTAGCCATATGTACAAAGCTGAAAGTGGATCCCTTCCTTACACCTTATACAAAAATTAATTCAAGATGGATTAAAGACTTCGATGTTAGACCTAAAACCATAAAATCCCTAGAAGAAAACCTAGGCAATACCATTCAGGACATAGGCATGGGCAAGGACTTCATGTCTAAAACACCAAAAGCAATGGCAACAAAAGCCAGAATTGACAAATGGGATCTAATTCAACTAAAGAGCTTCTGCACAGCAAAAGAAACTACCATCAGAGTGAACTGGCAACCCACAAAATGGGAGAAAATTTTCACAACCTACTCATCTGACAAAGGGCTAATATCCAGAATCTACAATGAACTCAAACACATTTACAAGAAAAAACAACCCCATCAAAAAGTGGGTGAAGGACATGAACAGATGCTTCTCAAAAGAAGACATTTATGCAGCCAAAAAACACATGAAAAAATGCTCACCATCACTGGCCATCAGAGAAATGCAAATCAAAACCACAATGAGATACCATCTCTCATCAGTTAGAATGGCAATCATTAAAAAGTCAGGAAACAACAGGTGCTAGAGAGGATGTGGAGAAATAGGAACACTTTTACACTGTTGGTGGGACTGTAAACTAGTTCAACCATTGTGGAAGTCAGTGTGGCGATTCCTCAGGGATCTAGAACTAGAAATACCATTTGACCCAGCCATCCCATTACTGGGTATATACCCAAAGGATTATAAATCATGCTGCTATAAAGACACATGCACACGTATGTTTATTGCGGCACTATTCACGATAGCAAAGACTTGGAACCAACCCAAATGTCCACCAATGATAGACTGGATTAAGAAAATGTGGCACATATACACCATAGAATACTATGCAGCCATAAAAAATGATGAGTTCATGTCCTTTGTAGGGACATGGATGAAGCTGGAAACCATCATTCTCAGCAAACTATTGCAAGGACAAAAAACCAAACACTGCATGTTCTCACTCATAGGTGGGAACTGAACAATGAGATCACATGGACACAGGAAGGGGAACATCACACTCTGGGGACTGTTATGGGGTGGGGGGAGAGGGGAGGGATAGCATTAGGAGATATACCTAAAGTAAATGAGGAGTTAATGGGTGTAGCACACCAACATGGCACATGTATACATATGTCACAAACCTGCACGTTGTGCACATGTACCCTAAAACTTAAACTATAATAATAATAAAAAAAATACCAAAAGCGAAATCCAAGATAATAAGTTTATAGATTTCAACTACATTAACATAAAAGTGTTGCATTAAAAGACTACTCAGGTTAGAAATAAATGTATCATGTCAGATAGAAAGATGATTAGGCCACGCAAATATAGTCAAATTGTGGTATCCAGTTTATTTAATAAAATTCCATAAATAAGAAAAAAGCAGCAGAAAATTGAGCAATGGATATGCATAGGAAATTCATAGGTGAGGAATCCAAGGGGCCAAAAAACGTGTTTAAAATATATTCAATATAATGAGTAATTAGGGAAATTCAAACTGTAATATTGATACATTTTATCCACAAATGGACAAAGAAATGCAAATCATACAAGATAAACTGAAGAAAATTTTAATTGAAGGGCAATCTGGCAATGTGGATCAACATTGGATTTGTGAATTCTTTTTAAGCAAACTCTTCTACCCTTAGGAACCTATCCACAGAAAATAATTGGGCAATAACCAAAGATGTACACATGATGATATTCCTTGTGGAATATTTTTCATAATAGTGAAGATTAGAAACAATGTAAATATACCTCAATAGATGACTGATTAAATAATTTTAGATGCATTTATTCAATGAAAAACTATGTAACCATAAAAAATCTAGATATTTTTTGGTCGTGTAAAGCTATTTGTGACATATTATAAAGTGAAAGTGAAAAGATTACCAAAGGGTATTTAAATGCGTGATTCATTTTTATTAAAAAAAAAAAAACCTTTTGGTGTTAAGTGCATAAAAGCTTAGCTCTATTTTAAAGTGTGCAATAAGATCATAAGTAATGAGTTTGCATTGTAATGAATGTGTGTAATTTTTATAATATAAGATATTTTGATTTGAAAATAAGGCATTAACAACTGAAAAAAAGAATCATTTTAAGCCAAAGCCAGAAATTTCAACAGTTTCTAAATACAGTGAGGTCATATCATCTGTTCCTAGAAAATGACATACTATCACGTTCTGACTTTATCTTTACCTCTCTCCAGAAAAAAAGAAAAAGGTGTAAAGAATTAACATCTCAAATTGGAGGTCAATAGATAAAATACAGAAAAGTAGATGATATTTTCCCACCAGAGACAATATTGTCACCAATGGGACAAAAATTGGTTCTTGAAGAGTGAAAAAATCTTAGATATTATAATGGTTTATGGCCTTCCAAAGCTTAACCCACCCGAAAAAATATTATCCCGTAGTTTTTAATTTCTCTATTAGGAAAAATTAACCTAATTAAAATATAAATTATTTTTCCACCTTTATTGAGATATAATTGGCAAATAAAAGTTGTATATATTTATGTTTTTTTACATGTGTACATTGTGTAATGGTTGCCACAATCAAACTAATTAACACATCTCACATAGTTACCCTCTTATTAGTAGGCTAAGAACATTTCAGATCTACATTTTTTTTTTTTTTTGGGACGGAGTCTCACACTGTTGCCAGGCTGGTGTGCAGTGGGATGATCTCGGCTCACTGCAACCTCCGCCTCCCAGGTTCAAGGGATTCTCCTGCCTCAGCCTCCTGAGTAGCTAGGATTACAGGCACCTTCCACCATGCCTGGCTAATTTTTTTTTTTTCTGTATTTTTAGTAGAGACGGGGTTTCACTATGTTGGCCATGCTGGTCTCGGCTTCCCAAAGTCCTGGGATTACAGGTGTGAGCCACTGCACCTGACCCAGATCTACTTTCTTAGCAGATTTTGAACATATCGAATGGCATTTTAACTATAGTCACCTTGCAGTGCATTAGATCTTCGGAATTTATTTACTTGCGTAACTGAAACTTTACAGGTTGTGACTGTCATCTCCCTACTTGCCCCAACCACCGTCCCTGGAAAACACCATACTACTAATTCTGTGAGTTTGACTTTTTTTTTAGATTTCACAAAAATTGAGGCATTCTGTATTTATTTTTCTGTGTTTCTAAGGCTTGTTTCACTTAGCATAATGACCTTCAGTCTCATCCACATTGCTGCAAATGACTGGATTTCTTTTTTATTGTTGTTAAGGCTGAATAACATTGCATTGTGTGTGTGTGAATGTGTATATGTATATATCACATCCGATTTTCTTTATCCATTCATGCATTCATGAGCACATATGTTGATTCTGTATCTTGGCTATTGTAAATAATTCTGCAATGAATATGGAGGTACAGATATCTATTCAACATACTTATTTTATTTCCTTTGGATATATACCCAGAAATAGTATTGCTGGATCATATGGTAGTCTACTTTTATTTTTTTTTTTTAGGAAACTCCACACTGTTTTCCATAATGGCTGTACCAATTTATACTCCCACCAACAGTGTACAAAGGTTCCTTTATTTTCACATCCTCATCAACACTTGCTATCTTTTTCCTTATGATAATAGCCATAGTAATAGGTCCAAGGTGATATCTTATTGTCATTTTGATTTGCATTCCCTGATAATTGGTGATGTTGAACTTTTTTTCCCACATATCTTTAGGGCATTTGTGTGTCGTCTTTTGAGAGATATCTGTATAGGTATTTTGCTCATATTTTAATCAGATTACCTGTTTTCTTGCTATTGAATTGTTTGAGTGACTCACGTATTTTAGATATTAACCCTTTGTCTCATATATGGCTGATGAATGTTTTCTTTTATTCCACCAGTTGCCTCTTCATTTTATTGGTTGTTTGCATACAGAAGGTTTGTATTTTGATGCAATACTGTTTGTATAGTTTCACTTTTGTTACCTATAATTTTTGGATCACATCCAAAAAGGCATTGCCCAGGGCAATGTCTAAAACATTTTTTCCTACACTATATTTTCTTCTAGTAGTTTTACAGTTTCAGGTCTTACATTTAAGTATTTAATTCATTTGAGCTTATTTTTATTTACGGTGTGAAGTAAGGGTCTAATTTCATTCTTCTTCATGTCGATATTCAGGTTTCACAACACTGTTTTTTGAAGAGACTGTCCTTTCCTCATTATGTCTTCTTGGCAAGTATGTGAAAGATCAGTTGTCTGTAAATATATACATTTACTTCTGGGCTCTCTATTTTGTTCTATTGGTCTATATGTCTCTTTCTATTCTAGTAACATAATGTTTAGCTTACTATAGCTTTGTAGTATAGTGTGAAATCAAAAAATCAAATGGTGTGATGAGTCAAAATTTGTTCTTTTTTCTCAAGATCGTTTTGGCTATTTAGTGTCTTTTTGTTTCCATATGAATTTTAGAATTGCTTTTTCTATTTCTGTGAAAAATAGTATTGGAAAAATAGTATTGGAATTCCTGTGAAAAATAGTATTGGAATTTTGATAGACATTGCATTGAATCTATAAATTGCTTTGGGTGTAAATTGCTTTGTATGGACATTTTAACAATATTATTTCAATCTACAAGCATAGAATATCTTTCCATTTATTTGTGTCTTCTTCAATTTCTTCCATCAGTGTTTCATGGTTTTCAGTGTACTGATTTTTCACCTTCCTGGTTAAATTTATTTCTAAGTATGTTACAGTATGTGAGATTGTTTTCTTAATTTCATTTTTGGGTAGCTTGTTATTGATGTTTAGACATGCAACTGATTTTTGTATGTTGATTTGGTATGCTGAAAATTTACTGAATTAGTTTATTCTAACAGTATTTTTTTTGAGACTTTAGGGTTTTACATATATTAGATCAAGTCATGTGCAAATACAGACACTCTACACTTCAACTGTTCCTCCTCCCACATTTTCTGTTACTGATTCAATTGGCCTCTTTTATTTATCATATATTAATTCACAAATTATTATATAGTTATTACTTACATAACTTTTATATGAGTTGAAAGTGATTTATGTATCACCATTGCAGTATCTGAGTAATCTAATTTGAAATACATTCTTTTGTTGACAGTCAATTTTATATTTTCACATGTTTCTATGTTGTGTCAATTCATTCCAACTTGAAGTTCCTTTAGTATTTCTTATAAGGGAGATCTAGTGGTGATGAACTCCTTCAGCTTTTGTTGCCCTTGGAGTCTTCATTTCTGAAGGGTAGATTTCCTGTTTATACTATTCATTGGTAGGCAGGTTTTTCTTTTGTCTTTCAGCACTTTAAATATATCATTTTTCTCTTTCCCAGTTTGACTTTTAAGGATTTCATTATAATGTGTCTCATTAAAGATATCTTTATGTTTAATATTTGGAGTTCTTTTGGCTTCATGGTCTGGGTGTTTATTTCCCTTTCTGGATTTGGGAAACTTTCTGTTGTTTCTTTAAATAAGCATCTTACCCTTTCTCTTTCTCTGCTCCTTATAGGACTCCCATAATGCATAAATTAGTTTACATTATGGTGTCCAATAAGTCCTATAGGCTTTCTTCACTTTTTAAAGTTCTTTTTTCTTTTCAGTCTTCTCACTGGATAATTTCAAATGACCTGTCTTTTGTTTGTTTGTTTGTTTGTTTTCTTTTTTTATTATACTTTAAGTTTTAGGGGACATGTGCACAATGTGCAGGTTAGTTACGTATGTATACATGTGCCATGCTGCTGTGCTGCACCCACTAACTTGTCATCTAGCATTAGGTATATCTCCCAATGCTATCCCTCCCCCCTCCCCCCACCCCACAACAGTCCCCAGAGTGTGATGTTCCCCTTCCTGTGTCCATGTGATCTCATTGTTCAATTCCCACCTATGGGTGAGAATATGCGGTGTTTGGTTTTTTGTTCTTGCGATAGTTTACTGAGAATGATGATTTCCAATTTCATCCATGTCCCTACAAAGGATGTGAATTCATCATTTTTTATGGCTGCATAGTATTCCATGGTGTATATGTGCCACATTTTCTTAATCCAGTCTATCATTGTTGGACATTTGGGTTGGTTCCAAGTCTTTGCTATCGTGAATAATGCCACAATAAACATACGTGTGCATGTGTCTTTATAGCAGCATGATTTATAATCCTTTGGGTATATACCCAGTAATGGGATGGCTGGGTCAAATGGTATTTCTAGTTCTAGATCCCTGAGGAATCGCCACACTGACTTCCACAATGGTTGAACTAGTTTACAGTCCCACCAACAGTGTAAAAGTGTTCCTATTTCTCCACATCCTTCTCTAGCACCTGTTGTTTCCTGACTTTTTAATGATTGCCATTCTAACTGGTGTGAGATGGTATCTCATTGTGGTTTTGATTTGCATTTCTCTGATGGCCAGTGATGGTGAGCATTTTTTCATGTGTTTTTTGGCTGCATAAATGTCTTCTTTTGAGAAGTATCTGTTCATGTCCTTTGCCCACTTGTTGATGGGGTGGTTTGTTTTTTTCTTGTAAATGTGTTTGAGTTCATTGTAGATTCTGGATATTAGCCCTTTGTCAGATGAGTAGGTTGCGAAAATTTTCTCCCATTTTGTAGGTTGCCTGTTCACTCTGATGGTAGTTTCTTTTGCTGTGCAGAAGCTCTTTAGTTTAATTCGATGCCATTTGTCAATTTTGGCTTTGTTGCCATTGCTTTTGGTGTTTTAGACATGAAGTCCTTGCCCATGCCTATGTCCTGAATGGTAATGCCTAGGTTTTCTTCTAGGGTTTTTATGGTTTTAGGTCTAACGTTTAAGTCTTTAATCCATCTTGAATTGATTTTTGTATAAGGTGTAAGGAAGGGATCCAGTTTCAGCTTTCTACATATGGCTAGCCAATTTTCCCAGCACCATTTATTAAATAGGGAATCCTTTCCCCATTTCTTGTTTTTGTCAGGTTTGTCAAAGATCAGATAGTTGTAGATATGCAGCGTTATTTCTGAGGGCTCTGTTCTGTTCCATGGATCTATATCTCTGTTTTGGTACCAGTACCATGCTGTTTTGGTGACTGTAGCCTTGTAGTATAGTTTGAAGTCAGGTAGCGTGATGCCTCCAGCTTTGTTCTTTTGGCTTAGGATTGACTTGGCGATGCGGGCTCTTTTTTGGTTCCATATGAACTTTAAAGTAGTTTTTTCCAATTCTGTGAAGAAAGGCATTGGTAGCTTGATGGGGATGGCATTGAATCTGTAAATTACCTTGGGCAGTATGGCCATTTTCACAATATTGATTCTTCCTACCCATGAGCATGGAATGTTCTTCCATTTGTTTGTATCCTCTTTTATTTCATTGAGCAGTGGTTTGTAGTTCTCCTTGAAGAGGTCCTTCACATCCCTTGTAAGTTGGATTCCTAGGTATTTTATTCTCTTTGAAGCAATTGTGAATGGGGATTCACTCATGATTTGGCTCTCTGTTTGTCTGTTGTTGGTGTATAAGAATGCTTGTGATTTTTGTACATTGATTTTGTATCCTGAGACTTTGCTGAAGTTGCTTATCAGCTTAAGGAGATTTTGGGCTGAGACAATGGGGTTTTCTAGATATACAATCATGTCATCTGCAAACAGGGACAATTTGATTTCCTCTTTTCCTAACTGAATACCCTTTAGTTCCTTCTCCTGCCTGATTGCCCTGGCCAGAACTTCCAACACTATGTTGAATAAGAGTGGTGAGAGAAGGCATCCCTGTCTTGTGCCAATTTTCAAAGGGAATGCTTCCAGTTTTTGCCCATTCTGTATGATATTGGCTGTGGGTTTGTCATAGATAGCTCTTATTATTTTGAGATACGTCCCATCAATACCGAGTTTATTAAGAGTTTTTAGCATGAAGTGTTGTTGAATTTTGTCAAAGGCCTTTTCTGCATCTATTGAGATAATTATGTGGTTTTTGTCTTTGGCTGTGTTTATATGCTGTGTTACATTTATTGATTTGCGTATATTGAACCAGCCTTGCATCCCAGGGATGAAGCCCACTTGATCATGGTGGATAAGCTTTTTGATGTGCTGCTGGATTCGGTTTGCCAGTATTTTATTGAGGATTTTTGCATCAATGTTCATCAAGGATATTGGTCTAAAATTCTCTTTTTTGGTTGTGTATTTGCCTAGCTTTGGTATCAGAATGATGCTGGCCTCATAAAATGAATTAGGGAGGATTCCCTCTTTTTCTATTGATTGGAATAGTTTCAGAAGGAATGGTACCAGTTCCTCCTTGTACCTCTGGTAGAATTTGGCTGTGAATCCGTCTGGTCCTGGACTCTTTTTGGTTGGTAAGCTATTGATTATTGCCACAATTTCAGAACCTGTTATTGGTCTATTCAGAGATTCAACTTCTTCCTGGTTTAGTCTTGGGAGAGTGTATGTGTCAAGGAATTTATCCATTTATTCTAGATTTTGTAGTTTATTTGCGTAGAGGTGTTTGTAGTATTCTCTGATGGTAGTTTGTATTTCTGTGGGATCGGTGGTGATATCTCCTTTATCATTTTTTATTGCATCTATTTGATTCTTCCCTCTTTTTTTCTTTATTAGTCTTGCTAGTGGTCTATCAATTTTGTTGATCCTTTCAAAAAACCAGCTCCTGGATTCATTAATTTTTTGAAGGGTTTTTTGTGTCTCTATTTCCTTCAGTTCTGCTCTGATCTTAGTTATTTCTTGCCTTCTGCTAGCTTTTGAATGTGTTTGCTCTTGCTTTTCTAGTTCTTTTAATTGTGATGTTAGGGTGTCAATTTTGGATCTTTCCTGCTTTCTCTTGTGGGCATTTAGTGCTATAAATTTCCCTCTACACACTGCTTTGAATGTGTCCCAGAGATTCTGGTATGTTGTGTCTTTGTTCTCATTGGTTTGAAAGAACATCTTTATTTCTGCCTTCATTTCGTTATGTACCCAGTAGTCATTCAGGAGCAGGTTGTTCAGTTTCCATGTAGTTGAGCGGCTTTGAGTGAGATTCTTAATCCTGAGTTCTAGTTTGATTGCACTGTGGTCTGAGAGATAGTTTGTTATAATTTCTGTTCTTTTGCATTTGCTGGGGAGAGCTTTACTTCCAAGTATGTGGTCAATTTTTGAATAGGTGTGGTGTGGAGCTGAAAAAAATGTATATTCTGTTGATTTGGGGTGGAGAGTTCTGTAGATGTCTATTAGGTCTGCTTGGTGCAGAGCTGAGTTCAATTCCTGGGTATCCTTGTTGACTTTCTGTCTCGTTGATCTGTCTAATGTTGACAGTGGTGTGTTAAAGTCTCCCATTATTAATGTGTGGCAGTCTAAGTCTCTTTGTAGGTCTCTAAGGACTTGCTTTATGAATCTGGGTGCTCCTGTATTGGGTGCATATATATTTAGGATAGTTAGCTCTTCTTGTTGAATTGATCCCTTTACCATTATGTAATGGCCTTCTTTGTCTCTTTTGATCTTTGTTGGTTTAAAGTCTGTTTTATCAGAGACTAGGATTGCAACCCCTGCCTTTTTATGTTTTCCCTTTGCTTGGTAGATTTTCCTCCTTCCTTTTCTTTTGAGCCTATGTGTGTCTCTGCACATGAGATGGGTTTCCTGAATACAGTACACTGATAGGTCTTGACTCTTTATCCAATTTGCCAGTCTGTGTCTTTTAATTGGAGCATTTAGTCGATTTACATTTAAAGTTAATATTGTTATTTGTGAATTTGATCCTGTCATTATGATGTTAGCTGGTTATTTTGCTCATTAGTTGATGCAGTTTCTTCCTAGCCTCGATGGACTTTACAATTTGGCATGATTTTGCAGCGGTTGGTACTGGTTGTTCCTTTCCATGTTTAGCACTTCCTTCAGGAGCTCTTTTAGGGCAGGCCTGGCGGTGACAAAATCTCTCAGCATTTGCTTGTCTGTAAAGGATTTTATTTCTCCTTCACTTATAAAGCTTAGTTTGGCTGGATATGAAATTCTGGGTTGAAAATTCTTCTCTTTAAGAATGTTGAATATTGGCCCCCACTCTCTTCTGGCTTGTAGGGTTTCTGCCAGGAGATCCGCTGTTAGTTTGATGGGCTTCCCTTTGAGGGTAACCCGACCTTTCTCTCTGGATGCCCTAAACATTTTTTCCCTCATTTCAACTTTGGTGAATCTGACAATTATGTGTCTTGGAGTTGCTCTTCTCGAGGAGTATCTTTGTGGCATTCTCTGTATTTCCTGAATCTGAACGTTGGCCTGCCTTGCTAGATTGGGGAAGTTCTCCTGGATAATATCCTGCAGAGTGTTTTCCAACTTGGTTCCATTCTCGCCATCACTTTCAGGTACACCAATCAGATGTAGATTTGGTCTTTTCCATAGTCCCATATTTCTTGGAGGCTTTGTTCATTTCTTTTTATTCTTTTTTCTCTAAACTTCCCTTCTCGCTTCATTTCATTCATTTCATCTTCCATCACTGATACCCTTTCTTCCAGTTGATCACATCGGCTCCTGAGGCTTCTGCATTCTTCACATAGTTCTCGAGCCTTGGTTTTCAGCTCCATCAGCTCCTTTAAGCACTTCTCTGTATTGGTTATTCTAGTTACACATTCTTCTAAATATTTTTCAAAGTTTTCAACTTCTTTGCCTTTGGTTTGAATGTCCTCCTGTAGCTCAGAGTAATTTGATTGTCTGAAGCCTTCTTCTCTCAGCTCGTCAAAGTCATTCTCCCTCCAGCTTTGTTCCGTTGCTGGTGAGGAACTGTGTTCCTTTAGAGGAGGAGAGGTGCTCTGCTTTTTTAGTTTCCAGTTTTTCTGTTCTGTTTTTTCCCCATCTTTGTGGTTTTATCTACTTTTGGTCTTTGATGAAGGTGATGTACAGATGGGTTTTTGGTGTGGATGTCCTTTCTGTTTGTTAGTTTTCCTTCTAACAGACAGGACCCTCAGCTGCAGGTCTGTTGGAGTACCCTGCCGTGTGAGGTGTCAGTGTGCCCCTGTTGGGGGGTGCCTCCCAGTTAGGCTGCTTGGGGCTCAGGGGTCAGGCACCCACTTGAGGACGCAGTCTGCCCCTTCTCAGATCTCCAGCTGCGTACTGGGAGAACCACTGCTCTCTTCAAAGCTGTCAGACAGGGACATTTAAGTCTGCAGAGGTTACTGCTGTCTTTTTGTTTGTCTGTGCCCTGCCCTCAGAGGTGGAGCCTACAGAGGCAGGCAGGCCTCCTTGAGCTGTGGTGGGCTCCACCCAGTTCGAGCTTACCGGCTGCTTTGTTTACCTAAGCAAGCCTGGGCAATGGCGGGCGCCCCTCCCCCAGCCTTGCTGCCGTCTTGCAGTTTGATCTCAGACTGCTGCGCTAGCAATCAGCGAGACTCTGTGGGCGTAGGACTGTCCGAGCCAGGTGCGGGATATAATCTCGTGGTGCGCCGTTTTTTAAGCCTGTCGGAAAAGCACAGTATTCAGGTGGGAGTGACCCGATTTTCCAGGTGCCATCCGTCACCCCTTTCTTTGACTAGGAAAGGGAACTCCCTGACCCCTTGCGCTTCCCAAGTGAGGCAATGCCTCGCCCTGCTTCGCCTCGCGCTTGGTGCGCGCACCCACTGACCTGCGCCCACTGTCTGGCACTCCCTAGTGAGATGAACCCGGTACTTCAGATAGAAATGCAGAAATCACCCGTCTTCTTCGTCACTCATGCTGGGAGCTGTAGACCGCAGCTGTTCCTATTCGGCCATCTTGGCTCCTCCCTGACCTGTCTTTAAACTCACCAATTTTTTCTTCTACTTGATTGTGTGCTGTCTTAAATGTCTCTGAGAAATTTCTCAGCTTCATCTTTTGTTTTTCAGCTCCAAAGTTTGGCTTTTTTTTTTTATGGTTTCTACATCTTTGCTGAACTTCTAATTTTGTTCATGTATTGTTTTCCTGTTTTTTAAGTTGTCCTTCTGTGTTCTTTTATAGCTTGATGAACTTACTAAGAAAAGTATTTGGAATTCTTTGTCTGGCATTTCACAGATCTCCATCTCTTTAGTGTTGGCTACTAGCACTTTCTTTTGTTCCGCTATTGGTGCCATGTTTCCATGATTATTTATGATCCTGTGGCTTTGCATTCGTGTCTGCACATTTGAAGAAGTAGGCACTTCTTCCAATCTTTGAAGACTGGCTTTGGCAGGAAAAGCTCTTCATCAGTCAACCCATCCAGAAGTTCTGAGCAGGCCAGATGGTAGGGTCCATGGGTAGGTTTGGTACTATAGTCCTCAGGTGGGTTGGTCTGATGCCTCTGTCAGTGAGTAGGCCTGGCTCCTGTGTCCACAGGGCTGGGCTAGTGTCTGGGTCCACATGGGAAGACCTGGTGCCTTGCTCTGTGTGGGCAAGCCTGGAGCCTTGTTCCATGGGTGCAGGCCTGGATCCTGGTTCCACAAGCATAGCGTGGAGCCTATCAGCTAGGTGAGCCTATCAGCTAGGTGGGCCTATCAGCTAGGTTCACTCAGGTGGGCCTATCCATACTAGGTCTGGAGTATGGGTCCACTGGGGTGCGCCAGGAACCTGGGTTTGTGAGGGCCTTCTGGAAGCCTAAGTCCACAGGGGCTGATATATTGTCATGGTGCTGCAGCAGGCCTTGAGCCTGAGTCTGCAGGGTCCAGCTTGGTGCTACAGTGGGTCTGCCACCTGGGGCCATGAGGATAGGCCTGATCCTGAGTTTGTGGGGTCTGTCTTAGTACTGTGATCTACTCAGGTAGGCCTGGCACCTGGGTCCACAGGGGAAAGCCTGGTGCCTGAGACCATGGAGGTGAGGGAGGGAGCAAGGTGAGAGTGGAGCTGAATCCTCAAAGATAGGCTTGGATTCTGGGTCCATGGGGGCCGGCCTGGTGCTTGACAGGTATGAAGCCTGGGTTTACAGGGGAATGGCCTGGTACTGGTGTGGGCTTGGAGTCTTGGTCTGTGAGTGCTGACCTGAGCACTGGGGCTATGGGGGCCAGCTTGGAACCCAAAGCCATGGGAGCAGGTCTGGTGGCAGAGTTCACTGAGGTGGGCCCAATACTGGGGTTGATGGTGAAGCTGGGTGCTCGCTTCAGTCTCCTTTCCTTATGTAAAGGTTATCTTTCTTTGTACTCTGCTGTGTGGGCTTGGGGGAGGAGTGGCTGAGGTAATGTAAAACTGTCCTTCCTACTCTCTTTAATGCATATTTTCTTATTTCTGTGCTTCAGCCAGGTGCTGTAATTTGTCACCTGGATTCCTTAACTCTTGTGAACGTATTTTTAAGCATGGATGTTTGTTCAAATTAATGCTTCTGTGAGGAGATAAGCCCTGGATACTCCTGTGCTACCATCTTGGTGACATCACTCTCCAAATGTAAATTATTTTAATTAGTTACATTATTTATAGCAATAAAATTTAAATTTTTTCCTCAGGGCACAATGCTGATAAAGAAATTGAAAAATATCAGACTATATAAACTAAATGAGGGGTGCTTAATCCCCTTCAAGGAGGTAGTAGAGAATTTAGTACTAGTTTATCTCTCCAGATAGTGATTCAATTTTTTTTCAATTACAGTTATTCTAGATATAAGAAAAGGGACAGGTTTGGAAGATTACATTATTATTTGGAGACATTGATCTTAGTCACTATTACTGATAAAATTCAGCCTAGTTTATGTCTATAGACACATAATAAGACTGCATGAAAGCTATTAGGATCTAAGTTTTCTACATTGGATAACCTCTCCCTTTCACCCTTACCCTAGCCTAAGTTTTCCCATATCATTATCAAATCCTCACCATTTGTAGAACTGTCTACCCCCTCTCACTAGCCATCTACTGCAAACACACGCTAATACACAGACACACACACACACACACACACTCAAAGGTAGGGGGAAAGAATGGTGGCTGAAAATATAGCAATGACAGGGCTTCTTTGTGAATGGGCTCAGGGAAAAGATGTACTGTACATGCCAAATAATTTCACTAAGTTCTTGATGGATGGGAAGGACAATGGAGGGAGGGACTCATAAAGGATTTATGGGGGCCAGGATTAAGGGAGCGTGTGAGAATGCCGTCACTAATCTGGCTTGAGGTAAAAGAAACATGTGGAACGCTTCAATGAGACATTAACTAATGCTTTGGCACAGGTGCAGCTGAATGGTGCTAACACCTTATATCAGGTCCTTTTCTTGTTGTCCACCATGTCTGGGGATACACAAAGAAAAGTGGTGCAGACAGGGAGGCAAGAAAGGGGAGGGAAGCCATTTCTACATTTCTTGGTTGCCAGTTTTAGAAATGTAGCTTGACTCCATACCCAGAATGTGTGTGCCTGTTTCTACCCACCCTGTTAGCCACAAACTTTTCCAGTAACTATTAGTTCTCTGATATTTTTAGCATTATTAATGATGCATAGAGTAGGAAAAGAGAATAAGTAAAGGGAAATGAACAGCCTGGAAAAGGCTACTGGGGCTATTGTCCATTTGCATCCATATGAAATTTAGAGTTTTTGAAAATCATTTGCAAGATCTAACTATGTTGTACCTACAGGGAAGATGGATAGAGAACAGAAATGGCTAGAGGATAGAGCACAACAGATACAAATAAATGGTTCTAGAACTTTCTCCTTATAATTGATAATCAAATTCCCTGCTTATTTTTCATTATAAAGCAGACAAAAGAGCATTTAGAATACCAAAACTCCAGAGAAATCAAATCAAATGGGCAAGAATCTCTCTTATAAATAGTAACTATTCACTGACACACCAGATGCCAATTGAGCACCAACATGTATGTAATACCACATTGTACTGTTGAGGGTTATACATCTCTTCTCTTCTTCATTTGGTTAAGAAAAGTTATTGATCACTACTATTCTATGCATTGTCCTAGAGGTTGTGAGGCAAACAGATATATGAGACATCACAGAATAAAATGGAGGCTAATTCAATGAAAAAATTCAGTGGATATCAAGGAAACCTAGGTGCTGGAAAAGAGACATTAAAAAAGAACCACCTAAAATAATTTCCAATGGTGTATTTAATTTGTTTAGATAACATTCTTATTTTGAAATAATTTTAGAATTACTAAAACGTTGGAAAGTAGTACACGGTGTTCCCATATTCCCTCTTCCCAGTATCTTCTATGTTGTATATTTGTCAAAACTAAGAAGTTGGCAGGGCGCAACGGCTCATGCCTGTAATCCCAGCAATTTGGGAGGCTGAGGAGTGCAGATCACTTGAGGTCAGGAGTTTGAGACCAGCCTAGCCAATATGACAAAACCCCGTCTGTACTAAAAATACAAAAATTAGCCAGGCGTAGTGATGGGCGCCTGTAATGCCAGCTACTTGGGAGGCTGATGTGGGAGAATTGCTTGAACCCAGGAAGCAGAGGTTGTAGTGAGCCGAGATCAAGGCACTGCACTCCAGCCTGGGCGATAAAGTGAGACTCTGTCTCACAACAAAACAAAACAAACAAACTAAAACTAAGAAGTTGATATTGGTACAATTCTGTTAAGAATTTGAGTTTCACCAGTTTTTCCACTATTTCCTCATTCTGTTCTGAGACCTGATGTAGGATACTACATTACATTTAGGATGTGCTTGATTTTAAGATTGTTTCTAACCATTATTATTACCTTATCATGGTTGAGTATTTTGTGGTGGGCAGAGTGAATAATATAACTGGCGCCACCACCTAGGGTATTTTTCCGGGTCACAGAAATCTTGATCACGGTGTAACTCATGTATTATTCTACTAATTCACTAAAGAAGCTGATTTTGAACCTGGATGTTGACAGCCTTCACTTTTCACCTTCAGCTTGGTAGATAAGCGTTTTTGACGTTTCCACAATTATTTGCAGAAACTTACTAAAAAGTGTATATATATATAATCGAAATAGGCCTGACAGCTAATCTATTTCAATCTACTTATTTACAGCTGAGGAAATTGAGACTTGAAGAAGCTTACATGATTTGCCCAGGGTCCCTCAGTGAGTCAGTGGCAAATTTGGAATTTATCTTTGGCTCTTTTTCTCCCTTTGGAGAGGTACATAAAGTGTTCCACAAATCCTACAAAACATATACATATAGATACATAATATGTGTGTGTATATATATATGTATGTATATATTTTGGCACAAAAGGAAGGACAATGGTGTGAATACTTTTAGAGAGAGTGAAAGCATTTATTTAAGTTATGCTCTTTTTCTTCATCTCCAGCTTAATACTGTTTTTATAAAACATGCTCTCCATTGTAAAGAATGTTTACCATCTCTGCATGTGTGGCCTTTGGAGAATATGTATCCTTTTTTTCTGGATAATTGCCTGTTCTCAACTTTCTACCACACCATTTCAAAGAAGTTGGACTTCTCAAGTCTGTGGAATTTCTCAACAACTACTTCATATCTCACTTTGTTTGGGGGCTAGTTAAGCTTTCTTTTCCTTCTTTTCTATGTTCTTTCTTTCTTCTCAGGTTTTGCTTTACCTGTGTTAAGTTTTAGTTTATATTTCCTTATATAGCTAAGAAAACTGTGGCCAGGTACTTAAGAAGAAATGCCTGTGGAAATCATAAAATGATTCCACTTAATCCACTATGATTAATTTTTCCATAACAATTTTGAGTCTATTAGGCTTGTTTTTATAGCAGTTACTGAAAAAGGATGTCTGTCAGGCATACCATATATTTCTTTTAGGTGCTGTTGTTAACGAGCTGAAGCCAACATATCACTTTTCAGTTTTAAAGTGGTAGGTATCAGATGAATAACCAGAAACAAAACTTGTCAGTTGTGTCTGGAAAGTCATTGTTCAACACACACTAAATAAAACAAAGTGCTTCACTTTCAAAGAAAACAGAGTTCAGTATTTGAAAATTCATCACCTAGCCTCACCCTACACAGAAACATATAAGACTATATCTTCTTGGAGTATATAGATGAATTTAATAAAACAATGGCTTAATGACCAGTTAGAAATGTAAAAAATAATAATCTTTTTTTGAGTTAACTATTTAGTTATGTCTAGAGGCATAAATGAAAAGAACATTTACTTTGGAGTCAGGCACAACTGGATTTAAATACAAGCTCTTCAATTCATTTTCTGCATGGCCTTTGGTAAGTTATTTATTACTTTTGGAGATTCAGTTCCTCCCTCTAAAGCACATCTCATAACCAAATTGAAAGTGAAAATAAAAAATATTAACTTTTCTATACCTTCTTAGCATTTTGCTATATTCCATAAGCCAGAGTGATTTTAAAATCATATCTCTTGAAGTTATCAAATGGATAAAAACCTTATATTGCATATTTAATTCTAGACACAACTCAGCACTCTTTTTCATTTAGTTAATTCTACATCACATCTATCCCAGAAGTTAGTAAATACCTTGAGGTCCTGAGCAACAACATATACTTCTTATATTTTGGCTTTTCTATATCTATTGTGCTGCCCCTTGGACAATGAAAGATTAATAAGATGAAGAAATAAGCTGAATTGAATTGGGTGGAATAGTCTTATAATGATTAAAAGGAATTTTCAATTAAGAAATCCTCTATGGAATATAGAGGACAGGTTAACTATCTGTAATAAGCAAAATAATGTTTCCTGCAAAGATGTCATAACCTAATTCTTGGAACTTGTGAATACAGTTACTTTAAATGTCAAAAGGGATTTTGGAGATACGATTAAGTTAGATTATCTTTGATTACTTTGGTGGGCCAAAACTAATTATTTGGGTAATGTAGGACTTTTACAGAATTGTAAAATAATAAATTTATGTCAATTTAAGCCACAAAATTTGTTTATTTGGTAGAGCAACAATAGAAAAATAATACACTATTTCTGTAAAATACCCTAAATTTAAGGTAAGGAAAAAAGAGATAAAATAATCAAGGCATAAGAGACTAGAAATTCTCAAGAATATGCTTTATTCAGTTCTTAGAAATTCAGCAAGGAGCTTAGTGTCCCTAAAATAAGAAGAATAAACCCAGAGATATACCAGCATCAGAATCTAACAGGAAGTCAGTGTTCTAGTGATAAGATCAAACTAATGGTCCATAAAAGAATAGCTCTACTTCCATATGGACTTCGGGGACTGAAAGGCCTGATTGAGCAAAGTCTTAGGGATAGAAGTAGGGTCCGTTGTCAAGAGCCTAGGACTTAATGAAAGTTGGGTTTAATACTGGTAGCATTATTTATTAGCTTTATGAATTTAGGAAAACTCCAAAACTGGTCCAAGCCTCAGTTTCCTCACCTGTCAAATGACAATATTAAACATGCATTACTAAAGAGGATGTCATGAGACACATATGTAACCTCAGCACAATTCTGTGCACAGAATAGCATTAAGTAACCACTTTCCATTTTCATTATTCTTACTGGAAATGAATTGATATTACTGGACTCTAGCAAACTAAAATAGAATAGCTGTAGTAGATTAATTTATTTGATCTATCAAAGGGTTTTTCTGTGTATCATATACTATATCAGGCACTTGGAATAGAGCAATGAATAAAACATAGTGCTACCCCTCACTAAGCTTAGTGTCTCCTAAACAATAGTTCTTTTTAAAAACAATAGGGTGATTTAATGTTTTCAGCCAGTGACAGGGAAACTGAGTGCTGAAAATATAAACTTCTGATATACTTCAAGAGCATATAGTCTATGTCATAATATTAATAATATATGATCATTGTAATGAAAACCATACATAAATGTTTATTGAGCTTTATGTTATTTAGAAAGTGACAGCAGAATGTCATTTATTAATGTCAGACAATTGGGAAATCATGATGTTAGTGGGCTGTTTGGGGAAGTGCTGTATTTTCTCACTGCAATTTCTCTGGGCCCAAGTTTACCATTAGAAGTAAGTTTGTGCCAAAATCTCAACAGATGTTAAAGATAAAATTTGACAAAAGAAAAAAATCACTTCACTGAACCAGCAAATGGGTGAAATGGTTTATATTGAGAGAATGATTTAAACTTCCTCAAGCAGTATATGAAGATAATAGTTCTTATTTTGAAGTTCTGCTGTAGAAGGAAGACAGGATTATCAGGACCAAATGAGAGGGGCTGAAAGCAAGAAATTCTACATGTACACTATTTAGGGCCAGTATCAGCCCATGCAGGGGCAAGGAACAGAGTGATAGTTTCTTGAGAGCTGGTTAGTTGTCATAGGGCTGACATTATCACAAGCATTGTCCAGAGATAACCTAGGACAGTCATAGCAAATGTTGCTTGTATATACTATTTAAAATGTTTTCTTCCCCCCCCTTTTTTTTTAAAAAATTATACTCAAGTTCTGGGACACGTGCAGAACATGTAGATTTGTTACATACGTTTACATGTGCCTTGGTGGTTTGCTGCACCTCTTAACCCGCCATCTACATTAGGAATTTCTCCTAATGCTATCCCTCCTCTTGATCCCCAATAGGCCCCAGTGTGTGGTGTTCCCCTCCCCTGTGCCCATATGTTCTCATCGTTCAACTCCCACTTGTGAGTGAGAACATGCAGTGTTTGGTTTTCTGTTCCTGTGTTAGTTTGCTGAGAATGATGGTTTCTCGCTTCATCCGTGTCGCCACAAAGGACATGAACTCATTCTTTTTTATGGCTGCATAGTATAAGGAAAATGTGGCACATATACAGCTTTTACTTCTTACTTGTGGAGAATTTAGGGCCTTCTTGGGTCTTTCTTGAGTATGTACGTAGCCCTATGCAAGAACATGTCTCTGCATGTGAGGGCCCTTCTAGATTCGTAGGAAAATGTCAGATCTTTCCTATGCTTTAATAGATGGATCCGACAAGCTTTTTAAAAAGTGTTTTGGTCAACACGTCCTTTCACAACCTGAAGCAATTGCCACTAATTATTTCAACAAATATCCCTGGGCAAAACTGTGTTTATACTGAAAGAGCTCTAACACAGGTCACATACAGACAAGTATTGGGAGTAGGATTTTCCAAGGAAATGCCAGACAGGCCAAATAATGACAGGTGAGAATGGAGCTTTGTAGGAATTCCAACCCCAAATACATTCTCCAGTGGCTGCTAGACTACTGGTTTCAAGATAATTACAAGGCTATTGGTTTTCAAGGCTACCACAGATGGGAAGAGGAAGATGGGGATAGGGTAAGTTGAAACATCACAAAACTTAATGTTTTTACTGAGAATGTCATTTTTCTTTCTTTTTTTTTAAATTATACTCTAAGTTCTAGGGTACATGTGTACAACGTGCAGGTTTGTTACATATGTATACATGTGCCATGTTGGTGTGCTACACCCATTAACTCCTCATTTACTTTAGGTATATCTCCTAATGCTATCCCTCCACCCACCCCACGACAGGCCCTGGTGTGTGATGTTCCCTGTCCTGTGTCCAAGTGTTCTTATTGTTCAATTCCCACCTATGAGTGAGAATATGTGGTGTTTGGTTTTCTGTCCTTGCAATAGTTTGCTGAGAATGATGGTTTCCAGCTTCATCCATGTCCCTACAAAGGACATGAACTCATCCTTTTTTATGGCTGCATAGTATTCCATGGTGTATATGTGCCATTTTCTTAATCCAGTCTATCATTGATGGACATTTGGGTTGGTTCCAAGTCTTTGCTATTGCGAATAGTGCCGCAATAAACATTCATGTGCATGTGGCTTTACAGAAGCATGATTTATAATCCTTTGGGTTTATGCCCAGTAATGGGATGGCTGGGTCAAATGGTATTTCTAGTTCTAGATCCCTGAGGAATCGCCACACTGACTTCCACAATGGTTGAACTAGTTTACTGCCCCACCAACAGTGTAAAAGTGTTCCTATTTCTCCACATCCTCTCCAGCACCTGTTGTTTCCTGACTTTTTAATGATCGCCATTCTAACTGGTGTGAGATGGTATCTCATTGTGGTTTTGATTTGCATTTCTCTGATGTCCAGTGATGATGAGCATTTTTTCATGTGTCTGTTGGCTGCATAAATGTCTTCTTTTGAGAAGTGTCTGTTCATATCCTTTGCCCACTTTTTGATGGTGTTGTTTGATTTTGTCTTGTAGATTTGTTTAAGTTCTTTGTAGATTCTGGATATTAGCCTTTGTCAGATGGGTAGATTGTAAAAATGTTCTCCCATTCTGTAGGTTGCCTGTTCACTCTGATGGTAGTTTCTTTTGCTGTGCAGAAGCTCTTTAGTTTAATTGGATCCCATTTGTCAATTTTGGTTTTTGTTGCCATTGCTTTTGGCATTTTAGTGAAGAAGTCCTTGCCCATGCCTATGTCCTGAATGGTATTGCCTAGGTTTTCTTCTAGGGATTTTATGGTTTTAGGTCTAAAATTTAAGTCTTTAACCCATCTTGAATTAATTTTTGTATGCAGTGTAAGGAAGGGATCCAGTTTCAGCTTTGTACATATGGCTAGCCAGTTCTCCCAGCACCATTTATTCAATAGAGAATCCTTTTCCCCTTTCTTGTTTTTGTCAGGTTTGTCAAAGATCAGATAGTTGTAGATGTGTGGCATTATTTCTGAGGGCTCTGTTCTGTTCCATTGCTGTATAGCTCTGTTTTGGTACCAGTACCATGCTGTTTTGGTTACTGTAGCCTTGTAGTATAGTTTGAAGTCAGGCAGCGTGATGCCTCCAGCTTTGTTCTTTTGGCTTTTGGATTGTCTTTCCATATGAACTTTAAAGTAGTTTTTTCCAGTTCTGTGAAGAAAGTCATTGGTAGCTTGATGGGGATGGCATTGAATCTATAAATTACCCTGGGCAGTATGGCCATTTTCACAATATTAATTCTTCCTGTCCATGAGCATGGAATGTTCTTCCATTTGTTTGTATCCTCTTTTATTTCATTGAGCAGTGGTTTGTAGTTCTCCTTGAAGAGGTCCTTCACATCCCTTGTAAGTTGGATTCCTAGGTATTTTATTCTCTTTGAAGCAATTGTGAATGGGCGTTCACTCATAATTTGGCTCTGTTTGTCTGTGATTGGTGTATAAGAATGCTTGTGATTTTTGTACATTGATTTTGTATCCTGAGACTTGGCTGAAGTTGCTTATCAGCTTAAGGAAATTTTGGGCTGAGACAATGGGGTTTTCTAAATACACAATCACGTCATGTGCAAACAGGGACAATTTGACTTCCTCTTTTCCTAATCCAGTACCCTTTCTTTCTTTCTCTTGCCTGATTGCCCTGGCCAGAACTTACAACACTATGTTGAATAGGAGTGGTGAGAGAGGGCATCCCTGTCTCGCACCAGTTTTCGAAGGGAACGCTTCCAGTTTTTGCCCATTCAATATGATATTGGCTGTGGGTTTGTAATAGATAGCTCTTATTATTTTGAGATACATCTCATCAGTACCTAATTTATTGAGAGTTTTTAGCATGAAGCGCTGTTGAATTTTGTCAAAGGCCTTTTCTGCATCTATGGAGATAATCATGTGGTTTTTTTCTTTCGTTCTGTTTATATGATGAATTACGTTTACTGATTTGCATATGTTGAACCAGCTTTGCATCCCAGGGATGAAGCCCACTTGATCATGGTGGATAAGTTTTTTGGTGTGCTGCTGGATTTGGTTTGCCAGTATTTTATTGAGGATTTTTGCATCGATGTTCATCAGGGATATTGGTCTAAAATTCTCTTTTTTTTGTGTGTCTCTGCCAGGCTTTGGTATCAGGATGATGCTGGCCTCATAAAATGAATTAGGGAGGATTCCCTCTTTTTCTATTGATTGGAATAGTTTCAGAAAGAATGGTACAAGCTCCTCTTTGTACCTCTGGTAGAATTTGGCTGTGAATCCATTTGGTCCTGGACTTTTTTTGGTTGGTAGGCTATTAATTATTGCCTCAATTTCAGAACCTGTTATTGGTCTATTCAGGGATTCACCTTCTTCCTGGTTTAGTCTTGGGAGGGTGTATGTGTGCAGGAATTTATCCATTTCTTCCAGATTTTCTAGTTCATTTGCGTAGAGGTGTTTATACTATTCTCTGATGGTAGTTTGTATTTCTGTGGGATCACTGGTGATATCCTCTTTATCATTTTTTATTACATCTATTTGATTCTTCTCTCTTTTCTTTATTAGTGTTGCTAGTGGTCTATCAATTTTGTTGATCTTTTCAAAAAACCAGCTCCTGGATTCATTGATTTTTTGAAGGGTTTTTTGTGTCTCTATTTCCTTCAGTTCTGCTCTGATCTTAGTTATTTCTTGCCTTCTGCTAGCTTTTGAATGTGTTTGCTCTTGCTTCTCTAGTTCTTTTAATTGTGATGTTAGGGTGTCAATTTTAGATCTTTTCTGCTTTCTCTTGTGGTTATTTAGTGCTATAAATTTCCCTCTACACACTTCTTTAAATGTGTCCCAGAGATTCTGGTATGTTGTGTTTTTGTTCTCATGGGTTTCAAAGAACATCTTTATTTCTGCCTTCATTTCATTATGTGCACAGTAGTCATTCAGGAGCAGATTGTTCTGTTTCCATGTAGTTGAGCGGTTTTGAGTGAGTTTCTTAATCCTGAGTTCTAGTTTGATTGCACTGTGGTCTGATAGACAGTTTGTTATAACTTCTATTCTTTTACATTTGCTGAGGATTGCTTTACTTCCAACTATGTGGTCAATTTTGGGATAAGTGTGATGTGGTGCTGAGAAGAATGTATATTCTGTTGATTTGGGGTGGAGAGTTCTGTCGATGTCTATTAGGTCCACTTGGTGCAGAGCGTATTTCAATTAACTGGATATCCTTGTTAACTTTCTGTCTCATTGATCTGTCTAATGTTGACAGTGGGGGGTCTAAGTCTCTTTGTAGGTCTCCAAGGACTTGCTTTATGAATCTGGGTGCTCCTGTATTGGGTGCATATATATTTAGGATAGTTAGCTCTTCTTGTTGAATTGATCCCTTTACCATTATGTAATGGCCTTCTTTGTCTCTTTTGATCTTTGTTGGTTTAAAGTCTGTTTTATCAGAGACTAGGATTGCAACCCCTGCTTTTCTTTGTTTTCCATTTGCTTGGTAGATCTTCCTCCATCCCTTTATTTTGAGCCTATGTGTGTCTCTGCACGTGAGATGGGTTTCCTGAATACAGCACGCTGATGGGTCTTGACTCTTTATCCAATTTGCCAGTCTGTGTCTTTTAATTGGAGCATTTAGCCCATTTACACTTAAGGTTAATATTGTTATGTGTGAAATTGATCCTATCATTATTATGTTAGCTGGTTATTTTGCTCATTAGTTGATGCAGTTTCTTCCTAGCCTTGATAGTCTTTACAATTTGGCATGTTTTTGCAGTAGCTGGTACTGGTCTTTCCTTTCCATGTTTAGTGCTTCCTTCAGGAGCTCTTGTAAGGCAGGTCTGGTGGTGACAAAATCTCTCAGCATTTGCTTGTCTGTAAAGGATTTTATTTCTCCTTCACTTATGAAGCTTAGTTTGGCTAGATATGAAATTCTGGGTTGAAAATTCTTTAAGAATGCTGAATATTGGCCCCCACTCTCTTCTGTCTTGTAGAGTTTCTGCCGAGAGATCAGCTGTTAGTCTGATGGGCTTCCCTTTGTGGGTAACCCAACCTTTCTCTCTGGCTGCCCTTAATGTTTTTTCCTTCATTTCAACCTTGGTGAATCTGACAATTATGTGTCTTGGAGTTGCTCTTCTCGAGGAGGATCTTTGTGGTGTTCTCTGTATTTTCTGAATGTGAGTGTTGGCCTGCCTCACTAGGTTGGGGAAGTTCTCCTGGATAGTATCCTGCAGAGTGTTTTCCAACTTGGCTCCATTCTCCCCGTCACTTTCAGGTACACCGATCAGATGCAGATTTGGTATTTTCACACAGCCCCATATTTCTTGGAGGCTTTGTTCGTTTCTTTTTACTCTTTTTTCTCCAAACTTCTCTTCTCACTTCATTTCATTCATTTGATCTGCAATCACTGATACCCTTTCTTCCACTTGATCAAATCGGCTACTCAAGCTTGTGCATGCATCATGTAGTCCTCGTGCCATGGTTTTCAGCTCAATCAGGTCATTTAAGGACTTCTCTAGATTGTTTATTCTAGTTATCCATTCGTGTAATCTTTTTTCAAGGTTTTTAGCTTCTTTGTGATGGGTTTGAACATCCTCCTTTAGCTCGGAGAAGTTTGTTATTACTGATCGTCTGAAGCCTTCTTGTCTCAACTCATCAAAGTCATTCCCTGTCCAGCTTTGTTGCTGGCAAGAGGCTATGTTCCTTTGGAGGAGAAGAGGCACTCTGATTTTTAGAATTTTCAGCTTTTCTGCTCTGGTTTCTCCCCATCCTTGTGGTTTTATTTACCTTTGGTCTTTGGTGATGGTGATGTACATGTGGGGTTTTGGTGTGGATGTCTTTTCTGTTTGTTAGTTTTCCTTCTAACAGTCAGGACCCTCAGCTGCAGGTCTGTTGGAGTTTGCTGGAGGTCCACTCCAGACCCTGTTTTCCTGGGTATCACCAGCAGAGGCTGCAGAACCGCAAACATTGCAGAACAGCAAATGTTGCTGCCTGATCCTTCCTCTGGAAGTTACATCTGAGAGGGGCACCCATCTGTATGAGGTGTCAGTCAGCCCCTAATGGGAAGTGTCTCCCATTTAGGCTACTTGGGGGTCAGGGACCCACTTGAGGAGGCAGTCTGTCCATTCTCAGATCTCCAACTCCATGCTGGGAGAAGCACTACTCTCTTCAAAGCTGTCAGACAGGGACGTTGAAGTCTGCAGAAGTTTCTGCTGCCTTTTATTTAGCTATGCCATACCCCCAGAGGGGGAGTGTACAGAGGCAGGCAGGCCTCCTTGAGCTGCGGTGGGCTCCACCCAGTTTGAGCTTCCAGGCTGCTTTGTTTACCTACTCAAGCCTCAGCAATGGCGGACTCCCCTCCCCTAGCCTTGCCGTCACCTTGCAGTTCGATCTCGGACTGCTATGCTAGCAGTGAGCAAGCCTCAGTCAGTGTGGGACCCTCCAAGCCATGCGTGGGATATAATCTCCTGGTGTGCTGTTTGCCAAGACCATTAGAAAAGCACAATATTAGGGTGGGAGTGTTCACATTTTCCAGGTACCATGTGTCACGGCTTCCCTTTGTTAGGAAAGGGAATTCCCTGACCCCTTGCACTTCCCGGGTAAGCTGATGCCCCACCCTGCTCCGTGGGCTGCACCCACTGTCTGACAAGCCCCAGTGAGATGAACCCAGTACCTCAGTTGGAAATACAGAAATCACCCGTCTTCTGCGTTGCTCACGCTGGGAGCTGCAGACTGGAGCTGTTCCTATTCGGCCATCTTGGAATCCAAAAAGTCTAAAATGTTTTAAATCTTTGCCTTTCAAATAGATATACAATGCTATTTCATTGTAGTCTTCATTTGCATTTCCCAGATCACTAATGAGGTTTCATATGTTTTTATATCTGTATTGGCCATATCAGTTTCCTCTACTCTATAAATATTTGTTCATGCCTCTTCCTGTCTTTTGCTCATTTTTCTACTGGGTTGTTTGGGCTTTCCTTTTTGATTTGTAGGGAGTTATATAACCTTGATATTTAATTGGTTTAGTGAGTTGAATGGTGGTCTCTTAAAGGTACATCACCTGGAATCTGTGAATGGGCTTTCTTAAAAAAAAAAAAAAAAAGAATTTATGCAGATTTAATTAAGTGAAGGATCTCAAAATGAGTTCATCCTAAATTAATCTGGTTAACCCTAAATCCAATAATACATCCATAACAAAAAACATTATACTGGAAGATCTAATCAGGGCAATCAGGCAAGTAAAAGAAAAATCAGGTATCCTGTTTGGAAACGAAGAAGTAAAACTATTTCTATTCATAGATGACATAATCTTATATATAGAAACCCTAAAGAATTCATAAAATATTATTAGAAATAATTTAAAAGTTAGGCAGAATTGTGTTATACAAGATAGACAAAAATCTATTGTGTTTCTATGCCTTAGTAATGAGCAGTCCAAAAGGAAGTTAAGAAAAATCTCACTTTTGGTATCATAAAAACAAATAAAATACTTAGAAATAAATTTAGCCAAGGAACACTGAAAACTACAAAATGATGTCGGAAGAAATTAAAGAAGACCTAGAAAAGTGAAAGAAATTTGTGTTCATGGTTTGGAAGATGAAATATTGTTATGATGGCAGTACTTCCCCAAGTGTTATAAGGACCTTGAATCCAGAATGTATAAAGAACTCACAAAACTCAGTAATAAACAGACAAATAATTCAATTAAAAATAGGGAAAGCATTTGAATAGACATTTCTCCAAGGAAATATACAAATGGCTAATAAATGCAGGAAAAGATGCTCAACATTCTTGGCCATCAGGGAACTGAAAACTAAAACTGCTGTGAGGTACCACTTCACATCCCTAGACTGGCTATAATAAAATAATAGATATTAACAAGTGTTGGCAAGGATATGGAGAAATTGGAGTCTTCAGACATTGCTAGTGAGACTGTAAAATGATGCAGTTATTTGGGAAAGCAGCTGGCAATTCCTCAAGAAGTTAAACATACCATTACCATATGACCCGGCAATTTCACTCCTAGGCATATGAGAATTGAAAATACATTTTCAAACAAAAGCTTGTTATACACATGTTCATATCAGTTTATTCATAATAGCCAGAAAATGGAACAAGTCAAATACTCATCACCTGATGAATGGAAAAATAAAAGGTGGTTTATCTATGCAATGGAATATTATTCAGCTATACAAGCAATAAAGTATTGATGTTAATACATACCACCATATAGATATATAGATAAACCTTGAAAACATCATGCTAAGTGAAATAAACCAGTCATGAAAGACCACATATTGTATGATTCCACTTCTATGAAAGGTCAAGCATAAGCAAATCCATAGAGACAGAAAACAAATGAACGATTGACTGGAGGTGGGTGGAGAGAAGAGAGGTGATTGCTTAATGGGTGTAGGGTTTCTTTTGGGATGATGAAAATATTCTGGAATTAGATTGTGGTGATGATTGTACAACATTGTGAATGAACAAAAGTTTACTGCATTGTATACTTTAAAATGGTTAAAATTGTGGACTTTATGTTATGTGAAAATTGCCTTATTATAAAGAAAAAGAAAAATGTTGTTCTGCAGTTAACCATTCCAAGCAACTGCAAAGGAAAAGAACATGCAGGAATGCATGGAAAAATTGAGGTGCCCATCCTGGGGCAGGGGCACCATATTAGAACTCCATTAGCTAGAACACAGTCACATTCTGTGCCTCACCACAAGGCAGGCTGGGATGTATGGTCTAACTGTGTGCCCATGAAAAAGAGGAAATGGATAGACTTTGCTAAGAAGCCAGTAGTCTCTGCACACTACAGAAATAGAATCTGTGGAAATGGGCTTAGAAATCTGCCAGTTAAACTTCCCATATTACTCTCATGCCCACGGATGTTTGATAACCACAATTCTAGATACCCAGGATCCAAAATTCTGTCTCTGCTATTCTGTTTGCAGGTTCCCATTAATAGGTAAGAAAGCAAGGTGTAGAAAGAAGTCAGAAGTACAAAAAGAGTTCTGAGGGAAAGGGAGGTGACCTCTAATTCAAACACTAGAGATCATATGTTTGAAAATGTTGGGCGTTTACACCAAACCAAGAATGTGAAAGAAAAAAGCGAACAGTCTCTCACTGATTCACAGATGAGCACAAAATAAACATTTAAAATTTTAATACTTAAGGATTAGTCCCAAGGCACACAGTAGTACCTTAAATCCATTCTTCTTTTAATGATGTGAATAGATACTTTAAGATGAACAAAACATTCATTATTTTTAATAACAGTGGTGTTTTGGAACATAAGCATAATTGAACAGAAATGTGTAATATTACTATGTGCTATGTCTATAGCCAAAGTCTACATGTTAAAATACAAATTCATAACCCAATCAGTACTCCTTGTCTACTCTCAGATTTTCCTCAGTGCAAAGAACTTAATAAATTTTTTTTATTTCCCATTTTACGATGTTAAATGGGAGATAATTATAATCTTACCACTAAAGTAGAGATCTAGTTAGGTCGCTACTAACAACAATTAAAAACAACAGTAACAAAACGCCAAAATGGCCAAAAAATTTGGTAGGCATCTAGATGGCTAAATGTAAAGATACATCCCGGAATACCCATGTGAGAAATGTTAGAATTGACCTTCCTGGGGGAGGTAGACGTGAGTCAGGATAAAATCTAAAAGAAAAGGATTAATTGCAAATGTGTAGAAGAACTGTACCAGTTAGCTTTCTCCAGCTACCATTCTATTTTCACTTACTACTTCAGGCAAAGGTTTACCCTCAGGGGGAGAAAAATATGCAGAGAAAATCAGTGAGTGAGTAAGGTGTGGGGATGGGACAGAACAGGGAAAGAGAGTAGAAGAGACAGAGACACACAAGACACACACACACACACACACACACACACACACAGAGATAACTTATAGAATAAAAGTTTTAAAAGCTGTGTCAACTATTCAACAGTTAACATCATACCTAATATTTAATATTGAAAGACTAAATGCTTTCCTCTTAAAATCAGGTTATAAAACAAAGATGTCCACTTGAACCATTTCTCTTTTTTTTTTTTAATTTCTGGGATACATTTGCAGAATGTGCAGGTTTATTATATAGGTATACATGCGCCATGGTGGTTTGCTGCACTTATCAACACATCATCTAGGTTTTAAGCCCTGCATGCATTATGTATTTGTCCTAATGCTCTCCTTCCGCTTGCCTCCAACCCCCCGACAGGCCCTGGTGTGTAATGTTCCCCTCCCTGTGTCCATGTGGTCTCATTCTTGAACTCCCACTTATAAGTGAGAACATGTGGTGTTTGGTTTTCTGTTCCTGTGTTAGTTTGCTGAGAATGATGGCGTCCAGCTTCATCCATGTCCCTGCAAAGGACATGGACTCATTCTTTTTTTTTATGGCTGCATAGTATTCCATGGTGTATATGTGCCATATTTTCTTTATCCAGTCTATCATTGATTGGCATTTGGGTTGGTTCCAAGTCTTTGCTGTTGTAAATAGTGCTACAATAAACATACATGTACTTGCACCACTTCTATTCAGCATTGTACTGGAGGTTCCAGCCAGGGTGACTGGGCAGGAAAAATGAAAGACATTCTGATTGGAAAGGAAAAAGTAAAACTATCTTTATTCGCAGATGACATCATTTGTATGTTGAAAATTCTAAAGAATCCCCAGAGAACTATTAGAACCATTAAATGAGTTCAGCAAGTTTGCATCTATAAAATTAATATACAAACATAAATTGTTCTTCTACAAGTAATGAACAATCTGAAAATGAAAATAAGAAAATTCCATTTACAATGTCAACAAAAAATAAAATATGGATAAGTTTAACAAAATGAGTGCAAGATGGTATTCTATACACTACAAAAACATTGTTAAAAGAAATCAATGAAGATCTAAATAAATGGAAAGACATCCATAATCATAGATCAGAAGACTTAATATGGCAACATTCCTCAAGGAATGGACCATCTATATATCTATATTGGTATATCTATATAGATATATAGATAAACCTTGAAAACAGACTCAATGTGCAATCCTTATCAAAATACCAGCAAAGTTTTCTTTTTCTTTGTCATTTTCTGCAAAAAAAAAAAAAAAAAAAAAAAAAAAATCTAATCCAAAAATCACGTGAAAATTCAAGGAACCCAGAATAGCCAGACAATCTTGAAAAAGAAGAACAAAGCTATAACTCACACTTCCCAGTTTGAAAACTTACTATATATCTGCCATAATCAAGACAGAGTGATACATAAGCATAGTTAAATCAATGGAGTAGAACTGAGAGTTCGAAATAAACCCCTCACATTTATGGTCAACTGATTTTTGACAGGATATCAAAATAATACAAAAAAGGAAAGAATAACCATCCTGGTACAACTGGATTGCCACAGGCAAAGGAATGAATTTGGACTCCTTCCTTATACGATACATAAAAATTAACTCAAAATGGATCACAGATCTGTTGTAAGAGCTAAACTATAAAACATGGAAAATAAAATTTAGAAGCACATTTTCTGAGCTTGTATTAGGCAATGGTTTCTTAGCTATGACACTAAAGCATAAATAACTAAAATAAAGAATACATTGTACTTGATCAAAATTAAAACTTTGTGCTGCAAATGACAATGCCAAGAGAGTGAATAATCTAGAGGATAAGAGAAAATCCTTGCAAATTGGATGTTTAATTGCAGATTTGTATCTAGAATATATAAAAACTCTTCTATATTAAAGTATATATCATATGTAATATATAAATACAAAATAATATATAACTTCATAACAGCAAAACAAAGATAATATATTTTAATATATAATATCAACAAAGTTAACTCAATATATAATAACAAAGAAAAATAATCCCATTTTAAATGGCAAAGGATTTAAGTAGACATTATTTCCCCAAAGAACATTAACAAGTACCATGCAAAAAGATCCTCTAACACCATTGTGGAGTAAGACAATGATGAGATAGTACTTCACATGCACTAGGATTTGGATGCCATGACTGTAATCAAATGGCAGTAATTAAAAAGATATATCAATAAGTGTTGATGAAGATGTGGAAGAATTGAAATTCTCATACACTACTGATAATAATGTAAAAATGGAGCAGCCACTTTGGAAAATAGTCTGGCAGTTCCTCACATCATTAAACAGAATTACCATATGACTGAGTATTCCACTCCTAAGTATGTATCCAAGAGAAATGAAAACACATGTCCAAAGAAAAATGTACACTAATATTTATAGAAGTAATATGAATAATGGCCAAAAAGTACAAACAGCCCAAATGTCTATCAGCTGATGAATGGGTAAATTCAATGTATCGTATCTATACATCTGAATGTTATTCATATATAGAAAAGAATGAAGTACTAATTCATGTTACAGAATGCATGAACCTTGCAAACCCCACGCTAAGTGAAAGAAGTCAGTTACACAACAGACTACATTAATATGAAATATCTATAATAGGAAAATTTATAGAGACAAAGTTGATTAGTGGTTGCCTATGACTGGGGAGTAGAAGTCACTGATGAATATAAGATATCTTTTGAAGGTGCTGAAAATGTTCTAAACTTAGACTTTCATGGTGGCTACACAACTCTGTGAATGTTCTAAAAGCTATTGACATGTACATATTAAATAGGTGAATTTTATGTGTTGATCTTATCTCAAGAAATATATTAAAATGTATACTGTCTAATACAATTAATCTGTTTCTCTCCAAAGGAGTTTCGTTTTCCTCAGGTGGCAGGAAAATAATTTATCTATAATGTCACACAAATAATAGATTTTTCCTCCATTTATGTTTCTGTGTGTGTGTGTGTGTGTGTGTGTGTTTTCCTTTGTGGGGATGCTGAGGAAAGCCCTAACATAGGAAAAAAAGTGGGGTAAAATACTACCCTAACAGGCCCTGTCTCTCTCTGCCCTGGCTTTGCCGTCTTTGGGCCACAGAGCCATGAACTGACAGAGCATGGCACTCTTTCTTGCTTCTCCCCTTTCATCACTGGGCACTTTTAAATGGCTGCTGCTGTGTGATAAGCAATATGCTATGTACTGATAGATGCTAATATGTAATGACCTGGTGGGGAGGTGAAGAGAGATGTTTTCTCAATAATTAATAGCATGTTAGATAATTTGCCCAGGGTCATACATATCCAATAGGGATGGCACAAAGGGCTTTGGAGCAACTGAAGAGTGTTGGGGATGACTCTGGAGGAGCTGTTTTGTAAGCAGTGTCTTGAGTAGGAGTTTACTGCTATGCCTGGGTCAGGCTCTCATGGCCCCTTAGCTGTTTCATAGGGAAGGCTTCCTCACACATCCTTGTCTGTGTAGTCTTTTATCTAGCAATCCTCCACTTAGCTGCCAGGGAATAAGCACCACTTCCCTTGATTTACAAGCGCCCTGTATCCTTAATGGCTAACAAAACAAAACCTTAGCATGTGTATTAGTCTGATTGGGCTGCCATAACAAAATGGTGGCCCAGATTGAATGACCTCCGCATCAGAAATTCATTTCCTCTCAGTTTTGTAGTCTGGAAGTTTGAGATCAGGGTGCTAGCATGGTCCAGTTCTGGTGAGGGCCCTCTTCTGGGTTGCAGACTGGACTTTCCCTTGTATACTCATATGGCAGAAAAAGCAAAAGATGGAGTGCTTTCTGTGGTCCCTTTCATAAGTGCACTAATCCCATTCACAAGAGCTCTACCCTCATGATCTAATTATTTCCCAAAGGCCTTACCTTCTAATACCATCACATTAGGGATTAGGATTTTAACATTTTAGGGGAACACATTGAAGCCATTGTATAACCTCCTCTAGAGTCTTCTGTGTCTCCAATGTACTTTATGTCCTTATTAATTAACCATGTGACCTGGACAAGTTTCTTATTCTGTACAAACTCCAGCTTCCTCTCTGTAAAGTGAGGATAAAAATAACGATATGATATGATCTATCTTACTGGGTTGCTGTCAGGATTAAGCAGGTCAAAGCACAGGAAGTACCTAAAGCACACAGGGGGAGTGCTATGATTAATCTTATTCTTTCTTATATCTTCCGTGAGACAGTGGGCTCCTTGACATGGGGGCATAGTCATCTCTTTTATTCAGCATTTTTTTTCTTTTTATTTCCAAATAATATTCTGTTACATAAATTTACCACCTTTTGGTGTTTCTTTTTAATTTTTTTGTTTCAGTAACTTTAAGGAGTACAAGGGATTTTAGAAACATGGATGAATTCTGTAATGATAGAAGTCTGGGCTTCTATTGTCACTGTCAGCTGAATAGTGTGTATTGTACCCAGTAGGTAGTTTTTCGTCCCTCAGACCCTGTACCTTCTTCCCTTGTGAATCTTCAGTGTCCATTATAACACTCTGTGTGCCTTTGTGTACCCATATCTTAGCTCCCACTTGTAAGTGAGAACATGCAGTATTTGGTTTTCCATTTCTGAGTTACTTCACTTAGGACAGTGGCCTCCAGTTCCATCTAAGTTGCTGCAAGTGACATTGTATCTTTCTTTTTTGTGGCTGAGTAGTATCCCATGGTGTATATGTACCACATTTTCTTTATCCACTCATTGGCTGATGGGCAATTAGGTAGATTCCACATTTTCAATTGAATTGTGCTGCAATATGTGTGCAGGTGTTTTCTTTATATAATGACTTCTTTTCCTTTGGGTAGACACCCATTAGTGGGATTCCTGGATCAAGCAGTAGGTCTACTTTTAGTTCTTTGAGAAATCTCCATACTGGTTTCCATAGAGGTTGTACTAAGTTACATTCCCACCAGCAGTGTATAAGCATTCACCTTTCACCACATTTGTGCCAGCAACTATTGCTTTTTGACTTTTTATGATAGCCATTCTGGCTGGTGTGACGTGGTATCATCTCAATATGGCTTTACTTTGCACTTCCCTGATGATTAGTGATGTTGAGCATTTTTGCATATGTTTGTTGGCCATTTGTATATCTTCTTTTGAGAAATGTCTGTTCATATTGTTTGCCCACTTTTTAATGGGATTATCTCTCTTTTTTTTCTTGATGATTTTAATTCCTTGTTCATTCTGGATATTAGGGGGACATATTCACCTTCTTATGCCTATGACACAGTACACAGCTATGGACACAATAAACAGCGATGGACCAATCAGACCTGAAAGGATCCTTCCACATCATCCTCTAACTCACACATTTCAAAGATCAGTTTATGGAGTTTCAGAGAGAAGGAACTTGCCTGGGGACCCACAGTTAATTGATGATGGGGCCAGGGTTCTGACATCAGAAAAGTGCTCTCTACTCTTTCTCATGTTGCCTTGTGAGCTCACAAATTGAGAGACTCGTTTTTTTCTTCTTGGGCAAAACTCTGTTAAGCCTATCACAATGATTAAGTGAAGGCAAGGAAGGGTTGCTCATTCTCTGAGCAAATATGTGTGATGTGAACCTGCCTGAGGCAGAAGTTCTATAGGATGCTGCTGCTGGGCAGCTATGGCTGCATGTAACCACCAGGAAGCCTCTGTCCACACCAAATTTCCTCCCAGAACACCTCTCCTTCTGCGGCCCCATAAATCACTGCAGAGAGTTTGCCAGACTTAACCAGTGCATGGTTTTTTGTGTTTCTGACAGTCATTCAACTGAGTTATGGGCAATTGAACATGAACATACGCATTTCACACAAATGCTCTGAGACCTCTCAGAGCATTTGTGCAAACTCATCAGAATCTGAGTCTGATACAAAGTTTGTGACCCAAAGAATCTAGAGAGCTGTTAGAATACCTAATCCCCTCTACATTTTAATCTCCCCCTTTTTAAAAAAGACAATGGTCTTGTTATTATTTTCTTGTTTAATATTGAATTAACACTTCTGACACATATAATAGGAGAGGCTCACAGTGTACAAGAAGCTCTGATTTATTATTGAAGTTCCCACTTTCTAACTAACAAGTGGACACTTGCAAGTAGTTTAACCTTTCTGATCATCAGTTTTCTCTATGGTTTCTAAGATCTCTTCTAGCGTCAGTGTTTCCTGTATCTAAATCTACTCTATTACGTATTGAAATGACTCTTCAGGGAGTGTCTCTGACTAACTTTTTTGATAACTACATATTCCTATGGCTGGCAGTTATGCCATCTCCCTCAGTTTTGTACAGAAGTGGGTGAAAGGAAAACACAAGATTGGCATTTGTTCTGTAACAGGAGATTTCATGACATAGAAGAACGAAACAGATGGAGATTTAACTCTTAACACTGCCAGTAGTAACATTCTATGAGGCCGTAGTTTCATTATACAGTACATATCTAATGCGCTTAGCCAAGTGAATTATATTTATTAAATTTAGGTGTTTGTGATATCTATATAATGCACCTAGTACAATGCCTGGCATACAATAGATGCATACTACATACTAACTGACCATCTCTCTCCTGTTGCTGTTCCTGCTCCTCAGTAGCGACCCTCGGTGGATGGATGGCAGCTGCCAATCTGGAGCTTCTAGTGATTTTGTCCTGAGCTCCCTTGGGGACCTATCACATTGAGCCAAACTCCTTTGCTTGCAGAGAGCTAATTGGAAATTATATCTCAGGTAGCTTCCTTGGAAATTCTATGTTTTATAATCAAGGGACGTTCACTCCTGTCATTGTTTAGTAATTATTTCAAGCTGGACATTACAAACAGGCAAACTAGAAGGATGGTATTTTGGATGGAAAATATCTAGGATAAGAGATTACCTAGAAATTCCAGATCCATTCAGACCTTTTAATCCCCAAAAGGCAGGTAATGTGGAGAAACTAGCTGTTTGCAAATGTTTTTGTAAGTCCTCCTCACTGAAACAGCCATTAGACATTCTAATGAGAATCGAATCTTTTGCTCTCTGTGTGTCCAATTTTTTGATACACCTTCTATCCTACCTCAAAGGCGACATTTACCAGAAATTTTGCTTCCAAGAAGCTTTTTCTCCTTTTTGAAGCAATTTGTATACTGACCAAATACAATGCATTTTATTGCCTTAGCCCTGGGATTTCCTAGTGTAGTGGTGACAGAATTAACTTCCTGTACTACTTGGGGATCCTTTGCTCAGTAACAGGCCCACAAGCACTAAGATGCCTCAACTATCACGTTGCATTTAAATAATCTCTTCTTGTTCACAGAATCTGGGGAGGCAAGTGGTGTATGGGAAATTCTCCATCCTCAAATTCATGCAAACACTTCTGGCAAGTGACAATCTTTTCCACAAATTATTCATTTACCTGGTAAATTCAACTAGCTGCCTAACACATGGACCAAGCTCAGCACCTGGCTGTGTTATTTTGGCCTTTGCAGGGTCCTGCCTCAGCATATGGATGTGACTATTTCACCAAAAATTGATTTTTATCTTTGGTTGTTACAAGCTTTTCAGGCAATTTCCTAAGGCAATATTTAACGGAGATAAGGTTATTGGCAAATAGATTGGAACAGGAAGTTCCAATCTATTTGATAATATCCTTCTCTCAGTTAAATAGTTGGGAAATGTACATTTCTTGCCAAAATGCTTTCCGGGAGAAATGTTTAAACCAAAATTTACTTTTTTTCCCTCTTTCCCTACCTCCTCATTCCTACAGATTTCTTGGAAGATGGAAAGAAAATTTTACAATATGCTAATGTATTTGTCCCTTTGTTATATTTGAAAAAAAAAAAAAACAGACTTCAGTCCCTCCAGATGTTAACTTATTGGCTTATTTTAAAATTATGACCAAGGAATTTCTTTTATTTTTATAGACTTATTTAAAATATCCTGTTGTTTATGCTTATTAAGTGCTGTACATCAAAGATAAAATTTATATATTCATATTTGACTCGTTTGATGACCTCAAAACATTTATTAAGTAGACCCTTCAGAAATCCAGTTATTTCCTTTGATGAGGGAAGGACAGTCCTCTTTCCCAGGCAGAGCCTGAGGCCAGGAAAATGGCATGTGAAAGCCCTTCTTCTGCAGCTGCCTCTGGCTCTAAATCAGCAATTCATGCCCACCTCTCTCCTCCAAAAACACTATGGCTTGGCAACTTAGGAAAATGCAAAATAGCTACATAGATTTCGTCCATTTTTATCAATAAATATCAAATTTCAATGAAATAATTCTAGTTTTAAATATATACACATATCTGGCTGGGCGTCGTGGCTCATGCCTGTAATCCCAACACTGGGAGGCCAAAGTGGGCAGATCACTTGAGGCCAGGAGTTCGCGACCAGCATGCCCAATATGGTAAAACTCCATTTCTACTAAAAATACAAAAATCAGCTGGGCATGGTGGTGGGCACCTGTAATCCCAGATACTTGGGAGGCTGAGGCAGGAGAATGGCTTCAACCCAGGACGTGGAGGTTACAGTGAGCCGAGATCATGCCATTCCACTCCAGCCTGGGTGACAGAGGGAGACTCCATCTAAAAAACAAAAAACAAAAAACAAACCTAATATATATATAAATATAAAATATATAATTATATGTATGTATATATGTAATATATAACATATAAATACATATATAATGTAATATATATTTTATATAAACATATACATATACGTGTATATAAACAAACATGTATATACACACACACACATATCTACATATGCATGCACACATGCTTCTTAGGTTAGGTTTCCCCAGAAGTATACCCTAAGACATAGATTCGGGGTGAATATTTCATTTAGTTGGTGATCCCGGGAAGTACTGGTATAAAGTAAATACACAGCATGTTAATAAGCAGGCTAATGTTGGAACAACTACAGCTCAGTACTGTTAGGGTGGATATTGTAGTTTGAGTTGTCCCAATAGAGGAATGGAGAAGGCAGGGTATTGATCCACTAGCTCTTAACTGCCAATGATTGAAGGTCCATCCTCTGGGGGGGTATAAATGCTTAGCACTCCCAGCTTGCCCTGTGTCTGCCTAGCATGTTCTGTTAAGCAGAGAGTTGCACGTGCTACAATAAAATACTACCCTGGAATGGTGGATGCCAAGTGGCCACACCTGGACACTAACACCTACTACATATGCCATCTAGCGCTTTCATAAAAGGAAGTTGAAGTGGGAATGAGGAGTAGCTGTGAGTTGTGAAGTCAGATAAATGCTTCAATAAGATGGACAGGATTTCTCTCTTCTTTTAATTCTAATTGCACAATCATTTACACAGTGCTATAGGAATTAAAATCACTTTTTAATTCAGCTAAAATGAGAAACACTTTCCTTTGTGGCTATTCTTGTTCTTTTCTACCTTTCCTATTTTTTCCTACCCCTTAATTACTAGCACCACGTCCTGTACATAATAGGTACACAGTAATGTTTTTCTACAGCTCTTATTTCTTAATGCCAACCTTCCAACTTCCAAATGCAGCCTGCCCTTTCAGGCTCCAGCCTTCCTTTGCCTCTCAGTATTTTACAGAATCTGGTCTAACTTCTAATTTCATACATTAGGTTTTAATGATTCCAACAGGTGGCCTGCCTTGGCCAATGTAAATAAGCAACTGTCCTGTTTACCAATCCCCTTTCAACTCCAGCTTGTCACTTCTGGTTCTTATTTGTTTAATTGCAGCAAGTTTTCTACCCTGTAAATTTTAATAAACTCCCATCAGTCCTCTCTGGTCCTAAGCATTCAGTTATGCCTTGAGTCTGAGGAGGACTGGGATGCAACTCCATCCCCCATCCCGGGACTTTTTTTCTTTGCTCAGGGGACCAGCTTTGGGCCAGTATTGCCAGCTCCATCCTCAACACTGACAAGCCTTCTGACTTGAGTAGAGATAACAGCTTAAATGTAAAGGGTCTGTTTGCTACCAAGGAGAGGATTTTTGTTTTCTCAAGCACTAAGAAATGAAGCAGCCTCTCACTCTAAGAGAAAAAAAATCATCTTATTGTCACCTCATCTATGAAGCCAGACAAAGGTATAATTCTTCTGCAGATCTCTAAATTCCTTCTTGATTTAAAACTTAGATCTTTAGATTTTTTTTCTCCTACAGTACTTTATAGTCAGCCTTCAGTCTGTGGCAAAAAGAGTGAAAAACTGAAATAGGAGGCTGCAATCCCAAATCCACAATTTAAAATTTGCCCCAACCCATTGTTTGGCTGGAGGCTGAATCAGTGACATCACAGCAAACAACCAACCAACCAACACCTAAAACAACTTACTGCTTTAGGGACGGGGACTATCTTTTATGTTGTCACAGCCATTCCTGGTAAAAGCTCAGCCAGAGATGAGAATACTTATATTAATAAATGGTATAGGAGAGAGAGTCCTGAAAAGTCAGTAGACTGACATGCCCTTGTAGGTCCTCAACCCTTATTGAAAGACCAAACGATGTGTGTAAAGAGTCTTTCTAATTTTAGGACTAATTAGTCATGTAAATATGGACAAAGGGGTGTGTCTGCCTGTGTCCTGGACTGTACAATAGGGACGTATATGCCCTTTTCACCTAACAAGAGCTTGGAGAGGATAAAATAATACAACAGAGGGAAAGATCTATTTTGTAATCACAAAAGTGACAATTATTGACTTGGATTCTTAAGGAGGGAAGTAGGTTGTAAGGTCATTGATTATTTCAGCTATAGCAATATTTAATTTCTTTCTGAGTCTTGGAACCATATAGAATTTTAATTTTTTTCTATAAGACATGGAAGATCTGATTCCTTTTAGCTTCTAACCCTGCCCTGAATTCCCAGCCTGTTGTTCTCAGCCAAGACTAGCAGAATGTTAGGACCCTGCTTTGGCAGGATTGAGATGTAGACTTTGCTCCTCAGTGACCAAATGCTTAAGATCAGTTTATAGCTATAAAACCTACCATGCTATTAAACATATTCTGAAATGGAAAATGCTTTTTCCCCATTAAAATATTTATTTTGTACATTGCTAGTACCACAGTTGCCCCAAACCATTGCTGTAAGGTGTTTATTTGTCCCTTATGAAACTGGAGGTACATTTGGGTTACTTCCAGAGTATAATGAGAAGAACTCCTGTCCTAGAACCATACTCTGGCTTCTGCTTTTCCTTTGTCATAGCTAAGTCCACTCTACTGAACTAGAACACTGTGCATGAATGCGTTAAGTGCCTACCATCTGCTTTATGCTCTGTAGGGCTCTGGGGAGGGTAAGATGGGTTATTGTGGATGTGTTCCTGATAAACAGACATGAATACTTCTCCCTTGGCAGCCTGAGACATCTGCCGAATTTGGGAGCATGACTATCCTTGTTCAGCATAGCCACCGGCTCAGTTTACTTTCTGTCACTATGCTATTGTTTCTTCTGTCCCTTGGTAAGGCCTGGGGAGATGAGCATCCCTTCCTCTGATGTAGAGCCAGTGGCCCCCAGTACCAGTGAGGGCTTCTTCATCTTTATTGTGCATGGACTCATTTGGAAATCTGATGAAACCAAATAACTCTTCTTAGAGTAGTATTTTAAATGCATAAGAAAATACATAGAGTTATGACAAAAAACAATTATATTAAAATTTTATGATGAAAAACTCTAAAAATCCCTATGGGTGAGGAATCCTTCTTTTTTGATAAAGAACAATGGTGCTACACAGAAAGAGATTAAGTATTTATATGGGTCTTTACAGCACTTTTCCTTGAAGTGCTTACAGAGTTTTATTAGAAACATTTGAACTGTGATAACGTCTCCTCAATATAGACACAAAAACCCAGTCAGTTCAAAAGCTGCTACGGTGGAGGGCCTCACCTCTAGCTTTCTCCCGGCTGTGGCTCTTGCCAATGGAGTGGACCAAGACTATCCCAATTCTCAAGTACCTGACCATTAGGGAGAGTCCCAGGGGTGTAAGGTGGTGTCGCTATTAATAGTGTTAATATAAGAGCTTGGAATGAGAAATGCCAGAGGTTTCATATAAGACTAGGTCATATGTAGCAAGCTTGGAGAGGATGGAACAGACAGACAAAGCCAAAAGTAGTCCCAAGAAGTGAAGTATGGATGTACAGCAATGGTGGGTGAAAAAAGCAGTGGAATCCCAGATTGGGTTAATTTCTAATTTTGCCAACTATGTCATAGCATAGTTCTGCTGTAATTTAAAGTGTCTAAGCCAAGAGAGAATTAAGTGAAATTTTAAAGGTAATAGTAGCAATATTTGGTAGTGTAGTATAAAAAACACATATTTTATGTTTTCTGCAGGTTAATAAAAATTCCCATTTTTGCAAACAAATTCTAGTCATAAAAAACAAACTTGGAAACGTCCTGTAAATTTTGTTGGCCAGTTAGGATTGTGTATTTATTTCTAGTTTCTTACTGACTACTTTAAAAAAATTGAGGCAACAGATAAGTCATCCTCATCCACATAACTGCTTAAGAGAGGCATTAATTCTGTGCTATGAACCCCTAACTTCCCTCATTAAACTAGTCTGTCCTGAGCAACAGAGGCACCTAGTGGTTGTTACAGGAAACTCTCTAATGCTGTTTCTTTAGTGCTTCTCAATCTGCAGCCTGCAGGATCTTCAAGAGCGCTAGTTAAAACACAAATTGCTGGACACCACTCCTAGAGTTTCTGATTCAGTAGATCTAGGATGGGGCTCAGTAATATGCATTTCTAACATGTTCCCAGGAAATTTAGGAAAGCAATGCCGCTAGTCTTGGAGCCACACTTTGAGAATCTCTGCTTTACCATAATGGTCGTTCTTCTAAGGAACGTATGTAAAGGTTGTATGCCATGATTTTCAACACTTTTGCTGACCACAGGTCAGCTCATTTCACACTTTAGACCATTTTTTTTCATATGGACCCACAGCTTCTTATGTAACTGCATATTTGTACCATGTCTTGTCTAGCATTTACCTAAGACATCAAGAAAAAAGATTTTTTTTTGTTTTTCCTTTCTTTTCATTTTCTTTTTCTTCTTTTTGTAATTGAGATTAAAAAAGGAAAAAGAAGAACCTGACATGGTCTGATAAACATGACTGGTTAACACATCTGATTAAATAAATAACACCACAAGCTTTGAAATTTGCCAATTGCCATTATATACTGAAGCCTTAGAAAGTGTCCAATTATTCTTATCTCCACTAAAGTTTCCACTTGCTTCCACATCTTCCTCTAATTAAAGCGTGTTTTCATCAATAAATAATATGCAGAGTAGAAAATGTTATTGTATTATTTTTGTTGTTATTATCTATTTTGTTGAAAGCAAGCATAGAATCTCATAAACACATTATGTGTTAAGGAGATTTTGAGAAGCCATAAACATAATTTATATTCTTATTTCTCTGTGGAACAGGCTCTAACTTCTAAAATATATCAACTTATAAGTGACCTTTGGAAACTATCCATTTATAAGTTTATAAATGCTCACACAAGGCTTTGGCGATTCAGTTGCCTTGTGTTACCTATAGGAATCATAAAAGAGAATTAATAAAAAAAACAGCAGAGAAGCAGGTCTGTGGTGCTTAAGACTGTTACTCACAACCAAATGGGAGAATGTGGCTTACCCTATAACTTTCAGAATTGTCATGGTGGTATTTTTAAAGGCCTTATCTTTTTATTCAACGTTAGGAGCATTTTGAAAATAAAACTACACAAACAACTGTTCCTCCTAGTTTTATCTTTTCAAAAAAAACCCCAAAAACCAAAAAGCTTCATGAGACATTGATGCATGTGCAGCTTCCTCAGAGCCAGTGTGCAATCCATCCGTCACTTCCCCCCAGCAATTATGTCTCAGACTCTAAAACAGGAAGCTCGAGTATCCACTCTCGATGGAGATGAAAGATGTGTGGAGAATGCCCTGACGCCACCTTTTCAGTGTCTCCACAGCTAGAATCACTTTATAGGCCAAGTGAAAAACTACTGAGGACTAATTTGTCAACAAAGACTTTCTTTGAAGTTAGGCAGACAAGTGGATTCAAAACAATTGTATGTGTGAGTAACATTGGGCATGCTTTTTTTTTTTTTTTTCTCCTGGGAACAGCCAGGACTTTTGACACAGCAGAGCTACAAGTGTGGAACATTGATTTAGTAGGACCTTTGTGACTGACAGTCTCTTAGATCTCTCAACCTCTGGAAAATAAGGAAAGCTTATAAGGTAAACTGAGGTGTTGATGCTTCCTACGTCTTTTTCAAGGTTTCTTCTGTGAGGAAAGATGGAGCCATAATTCTCCTCTCCATTCAACCCTGAGACCCAGCTTCTGCAGCCCTAGCTGGGATAAGGTATTGGTTTATGGAAAATGGATATTTAAGATCATAAAGGTATTGCTGACACCCATTTACCCAAAGACACAAGCCCTGGAAGGAAACATGGGAGTTAATACCCTGTTATGTCTCCATGGGTCTTGGGATTCTGGCTCCAACAATGTTGGGATGTTTGTCTCTTACTGAGAGTGAAATTCTTTGGAGATAAGGTTATGTGACTGAGACTCAAGAATCTGGTGCTGAGCTGCACCAGATTGCTCTGGCCAAGAGTGTTCTCTTCATATGCTCCTGTAAGGTAACTAAATCCTTATCTCCTAGGAGCAGCTGCTGTGTTGCATATAACCGAGGATACCAATCATGCTGTAATCAATATAATTCAAATTTAAATTATCCAGCATTATTCCTGCTTGCAATTCACAACCAAACTCATCAGTGGCAAAGATTTCATCATCTTATCAGAAAAACTCTCTTCGAATGTATTAGACTCATTATACTTGTGTACTTAATTCCCACCAAGACCCAAGTGGAATTATCTTCAAATCAGCTTGTTTATGATAAGCAGTCCAAAATGACCTCAAAAATCGTGGACAAGCCTGAAAACCTGAGAAGGATGACAGTCTTCTACCAGGAGCAAGGGATTTTCCAGGTTGGGTCCCCTTTTTGTCTTCTTCCTTCTTTGCCTTCAGGGCAGGATTTCTACCAACTCTTGGTATTCTTTGGTTCCAGAGCCCTCCCTTTGCAAAGCAGCTCCGATATCCTTACACTGGGGAGAGTCCAGAGAGTCCAGGCCTGCAGTGCAGAATACCAGTGCCTCTCTGTGTCCGGAAGGCAGCACGTCTGTATTTATCATGGTCGGAATAATATCAGCATATGCAAAAAACAACTGCTGCCTTCAGGTCTCCAGCACCCAAAAACAAAAATAAGTCCAACAAACCTAATATATTTTCCAGTGCGTGTCCCAGAAGGTTGAAAAAACTCCTTAAATTGCTTTTCTTTCCATTTTTATGGCCCTGGAAGGGGGGAATATCTATCAAATTTAATATATGCATTTTAGTTTGTGACACTTTCAGATTCAGCCATATCTGTAATGAAAACAGAGCAACCTTTAAAATTAAAAAAAAAAAAAAAAGTCCTTTCTACCAGAGACATGGCCTGAATCAGGGCCAAAGATTTCAAGCTGGTGAACCAGCAAAGGAGTCAGATAAATCAGAATGAGTGTAACAGATCTGATCTATTTCAGCTCAGATTAACCTCTTTACTATGTCTTCAATGGCCAAAAAGCCTGGGTCACAGGAGTAAAAATGTCTAATAAAGCAGAACCCTGGGGAAAAAAACTAAAAGAAGTGAATCGCATAAAGAAAAGTGAGACGTGTGACCATGGCAAAACATGACTGGCTATGGTGAGGATTGAGAAAGGGGAGGGAAACATTCTTTACCATGCCAGTCCAAGAGGCAGATTTATTTCACTTGTATATAATAATTCTAGATCCCAGTGACAATTTACATTACTTGACAACAGCTGCTTATAGGTCAGGTAACAATAGCACTGAATAATCTCATAATGAACAACTGTGGATTTCACATTGGTGTTAATTGCATTTCATGCTCTTTGAAAGCCTCAAACAGGCAGTGTGAAAAACACAACCAGGTTCTTCTTTGCTTATTTTTTTTCCCCCGGGAGAAAGCCTTTCCAAATCCTCAAAAGGAAGGTGGAGGGTGAGAAGATGATCATGCGTCATGGACCAAGAAGGCCTTTCTGGGCCAAAGTTTGTGGATGTTTTCTAAGAATGAAGGGTACCCATTTAAGCTAAAAGGAGTGGGAGGAAATGGTAAACCAGTCCATTCTTGGGGGCTGACCAGGACTGAACAAGATTTTGTACAGGATGAGCAGGGAAATTAACACACAGGGTTTACCCACTCTGTGTCAGTCGTGTGTTTGGTTTAATTCTGCAACTTAAGTGTTACAGTGACTGGAACAGCCCAGATCAAATTCCAGTCCTGTAGGCTTTGGCTGGATGAGTGTGCTAGATCAGTGTTTCTCATACTTTAAAGTGCATATGAATTACCTAAGATGTTGCCAGAATGCAGATGCTGGTTCAGCAAGTCTGGGGTGGAGCCCAAGATTCTGCATTTCCAAGGAGCATCCAGGTGATGCTGAATGCTATCAGTTTTTGGACCACATTTCCAGAACTGGGCTATAAACTCAGGCCTTTCAACAGTTCTAAGTGTTTCTGATTCTGAGCACCATTAAAATTGTAGACTCTCTGGGACAGGAGATGTTACACCAGATGGCCTCCTGTAATGCTGAATGCTTCAATGCAAAGTTAAGTTGGGCCAGTTTCTGATTCCTTTTCCTCATAATTCATTAGGGTTACTCCAAAAAATTTATTGTGCTGTGACCACTAGCTTTGTTTACATTTTCCCAATAGATATTCTCTAACTTACCTGTGGACACTCTAGAGACAGTTATGACAAGGCTTTGGGTATGTGTCAAAGTCTGTGACCCTTCCTCAGCTCTGATATTCACTAGCATTTATCAGAGACACGAAAATATAAACTTCAAGCACCCACACACTTTTCCCTTTGAAGACTCCATTTTCATTTAAATATTTATTGAGAAGGAAAACAGTATTGGCAAACAGGACCAGGCTAAGAATGGCAACTTTTCATTACAGTGTGAGATTTAGCATAGTATATTCTCACTATATATAACTCCTTGGTTTTGTGATAAGATCAAGAAGCTTTACATGAATTTTGTTATAAATCAATACAAAATGTTAACACATGTATATAATTTTTAATTTTATTATATACATATGAATTTTTCTTATGAAAAGCGTGAATTTTTAGGAAAGATACTTTTAATGAACTTTGATGATATTTTTCCTCAAAACTATGCAAATTCTGTTGCATTGGAGATGTCTGTAGGACATCAAAGAGCTGGTCTCCACAGAGGAGGTGAAAATTCAAGACTTTGACACATACCCAAAGCCTCTCAGCAGAAGTTTGAGGACTTTCCACTATAGTGATATTTGGAGTTGTAGGATGGAAGAGAAAATTCAGTGGAATATTGGGGAATGTCTCCTTCTGCCTAAAATCTCCTCTGCTAGCAACAAATACCCCATTTACATGATGTAATTATCATGCATTGCATGCCTATATCAAAATACCTTATGTAGCCCATAAATATATACAACTATGTACCCACAAAAATTAAAAATAAAATATCCTCCTCTAGTCCAGCTGAGATGTTCTTTATTTTATAAATCTCCCACTCCTAAGCAAAACACTGAGCAAGATAATTAAAGTTGAAAGGGACTTTAAAGTCATTTAATATAACTAGAGTGACTATATGATTTATCTTCCAAACTGGGACATTTTTGATAGCGAAATGGGGTAGAACTAATAATTATGCTAGGGAAACATGTAAACTAGAACTGTCCTGGGAAAACTGAGATGCATGGACACCCTAAATATAATCCAGCCTTTCAATGAGGTTAAAAATTCACCCAATCTCGGCGCCGTGGCTCATGCCTGTAATCCCAGCACTTTGGGAGGCTGAGGCAGGTGGATCATGAGGTCAGGGGTTCAAGACCAGCCTGACAAACATGCTGAAACCCCATCTCTACTTAAAAAAAAAAAAAAAATTAGCCAGGTGTGGTGGCACGCGCCTGTAATCCCAGCTACACATGAGGCTGAGGCAGGAGAATCGCTTGAGCCTGGGAGGCGGAGGTTGCAGTAAGCGGAGATCGAGCCACTGCACTCTAGCCTGGGAGACAAAGGGAGACCCCGTCTCAAAAAAAAAAAAAAAAAAAAATTCACCTGATCTCATCTCAGTTGGTCATCTGAACTCTTCACTACAATACCTGAGTAGGGGTACCCATGCCTGCACAAAGGAATTTATTCCATTGTTAGGTAAATTTAGATTATTTTAGTTGTGAGAATGTTCTTTCTACCATTGCCATGGTATTTGCAAAACATTCCCTTAACTTCATGCTGCCACTTTGGACAACCCAGTACAAGTGGGCTCCCTCTTGTTGGTGTTACTGCTGAAAGGACTGAGTGATTTTCTCTGTTAGGCTGAGTTCCTCAAAGCTACTTGCCTGTGTCTCCCACTCTGTGTCTCTCCCCACTAGTGAATGATTGACTCAACTGATAGACGAGTCCCTCTACAAACAATCTGAGTCTTACGAAATGTCCTAATTAGGACTATTGGAAGACATCTAGTCCAACCTCTAATCCAGTGTTCTCATCCAAAGGAAATCAGAATTTTCTCTAAGACACCCCTTCCAAGCTGTTGTCTATTCTGTCTTTAAACATTTCCAATCAATGGGAAATTTACTGCTTTCAGAGGTAGACTATTCCATCTTTGCCCAACTCATGACTGAAGAATGTCCTGCCAAAGTGCTTCAAAGTTTCATGATACACTCTATGGGAAATTTTGTGATAGGAATTTTGATCTTAGGATTTTGGAGTCAGTCATAAGACGAAATCCACGTTTAGGAAATATACATACATTTAGAGTGAATCATTATTGCTTTAATTTATTCAAAAATATTTGTTGACCATGCATTACTTTTCAGAGATTAACCAGGTATGCTGCTGAGTCCCAAGAAAATTGTCATCAAGCGAGAGATGATAAAATTATATGATAGCCCTTATAACATTTTATTTTTATTCACTTATAAAACTTACATAGGCATAAAAAAAAGGGAGACCAATTCAGTGTTGGCAGGACAGGAGAGACTCCTCAAAGGAAGTAGTAGATGAATAGATGAACAGTATTTCTCTAGACAAAGAAGATGGAGAAAGCCACCCAACAGAGAGTACAAGATGTGCAGATATAAGCGTCTCAAATTAGATGACCCAACAGTTCTCAGAATTGATTCCACTATTGATTTTCAGATTAAGTGACTGGGCTATTTTTATATTCAAGAATGAGATTCTTAAATTTGTTAACACTGTATCTTACAGTGTGAATGAAGCTGACTTGGCGATTCTTAAAGTCTTCCATGAATGTATTCTTGGAAGTCTTTGTTCTCGTACTTGAAGTATAAGGGATATGGACTAGGTAATCCCAAGATTCTGTTATAACTGGAAAATTCTATTAGTTACATGGGTGCAGCAGTAAAAAATTCCTAGACTGGGAGGCTGAGAGCTCTCCTGTGTCCAAACTTCACTATGAATTAGCTATTGCAACTGAGAAAAGTCCTTCTTCTCTGTAAGAATTTCCTCTTTGTAAAATTAGGACCATACAAAGTAATTGTTAAAGTTCTTCCTGGACTTTCTATTTTATGATATTATCTCCTTCCTTTCTTTGAGTTTGCTCTATATCCTTTGTAAGGAAACTATCTTCCTTTCTTTCCTTGTGTATTGTGTAATGTCCATGTTAAGAATTGGGAACTGGCTTTGCCTGAGCTTGAGGGTGACCAATGGTCAATTCCATTGATTAGAGGGAGCTGAGGGTGAAGGGGAACAGAAAAGGGTTAGGGAAGTTAGAGACTGCCATGTATCTCAGCGCAGCAATTTGAATAGGAAGTATGAAGCCTATAAGAGATACAGGGTGAGACTTAGCATTTTACTACATTTTTAGTATCCTCAGCTCTGGAAGAATAATTCCCAGATTCCCAGAATTAACTCATAACTTCCTTTTCTCAGTATTTCAAAGAGTATCAAATTTGTTTTTTTAATTATGAAACATACTTTTAATTTTAAACATACTGAGAACTATAGAAAACAGTATACAGACACCAGTGTACCTACCACCCAAATTTAATATTTTTTGTCTACATATGAGCTTCAAATCATTTTTCTTATAAGAAAATATTGCATTACAAATGTAACTGAAGCCCTAGAACACTCCTCCGAATTCCCTCCTCCCCAGGGGTAAATACTGTCCTGAAGTTGACATATGTCATTCTAGTGCATACGTTTTTTACTTCCACACGTTTATTCTTAAAATATACATGTATAGTGCTATATTGTGCCTTTCAAAATTTCACATAACTGGTATTATTATCTCTCTGTCTTTTTTTTTTTTTTTAAGGCAGGGTTTCACTCTGTTGCTCAGGCTGGAGTGCAGTGGTGCAACCATGGCTCACTGCAACCTCAACCTCCCAAGGCTCAGGTGATCTTCCCACCTCAGCTTCCTGAGTTTCTGGAACTACAGGATTGCGTCACCATGCCTGGCTAGTTTTTCTATTTTTGTAGAGATGGGTGTTGCCATGCTGCCCAGGCTTGTCTCGAACTCCTAGGCTCAAGCAATCCACCTGCCTTGGCCTCCCAAAGTGCTGGGATTACAGGCCTGAGCCACTATGCCTGGCCATAATGGGTATTATTCTCTATGAATCCTTGTGTGACTTTTTTTCAGCTGACACTATTTTTTAAATATTTGCCCATGTTGATACTTGTAATTGACTCAACATCACATTGATGTAGCATTCCACTGTATAAATTAACCTTCTCTCTTCTTTATTCCCTATTGAGGGCTGTTTTTCTTTAAAAAAATAAAAAATCTGGGAAGAAGAACCCAAGTTTAAGGACCTTTTCTTTGTGCCTTTGTTATATCCTAGCTATGTATGGGCCTTTTGTCGCATTTATCCTGTTGTTTTCTCATAATTAATTATCTTTTTTCCTGAATAGACTAAAAATGCATAAAAGCAGTTTCAACTCATTCATGCGTGCATACATTCAAGAAGCATTTAATTACAGTTATATTTTGCTGAATACTTCCAGAATAAAGAGAGATAGCCTGGATTAAAAGTCTTGAACTGGAGGTGCACGAGCTAGATTCACCACACAAAGTAGTCTTACTTTGTTTATAACTAAGCTAACCTTGAAAAATGGAAAAACCACATAAAAATCTGAGGTTCTGACTTCTCTTGAAAAAGTGCAATACCACCTTACACTGTTCTTTGTTGAAAACTGAGTGGAGCTGTATAGTGGCTGTGCCCTTTAGATGGGGCAAGCATTCTTACTTGGCCCACTTCCCTCATTTGTAGTGTCTGTTTGCGCCTCGTAGCCCTTCAACTTGGTCATTCTTCACATAGACGAAGATGGGGGAGCCACGGCTGAGATCATATCTATTGAGGCAGAGCATAAGGCTAAGAAATGGAGCTGTCTAACCAGTAAGGTGAAGTGTTGGAGTACTGACAATCTATTTAGCACACAAGTAGTGTTTTGTTTAATCTCCCTTAACAGTTGTGTTTGTCATTTTATCTTTGTATTTTACTCAGTTTTTGTGTCTTGTGAAGTATTTGATCCATGATATAATGTTAGTGTCTGCCATAACTTCATTATATGTTTTGACAATTCTAAATGGTCTCATTTATCTCATGCAATACTTTTCCCTCCAATTCTACCCTCTTAAATATCAACAATATCCATTTTCTTCCTTTCTTCATTGGATTTGCATGATGATTCTTTGCTCATCTTTTTTTCATAACTTTTTAGTGTCATTTTGTTTTATATGTCTCCCATATATGATACAGTTTTGGTTTGGAGATATTTATCTTTTGATAGAGAAACATAACCATGTTATACTTATTATCTTTGTGTTTTAAGAAGAAAATTTAAGCAAATGATATTTAATTTAATTTGTGTTGCATACCTTGTCTTGTTTTATGTTTTCTGATTTTGGTGCTTGCTCATTTTTTTCATGCATTTTCGGTTGACTTAATTTTACTGTGTGATTACACTCTTATGGTTAGTTTAGTTTTTTAAGCAGTGGTCAGGATACAAAATAATTCGGATTCTCAGTGTATTAGAAATTGATTTCAGACTTATAAAATTCATAATTAACTGTGCATTTCCTTGCCAAAGTCAAAGACAGACTAACTTCATTTGGTCTATCCATGCCCAAGGAGCAACTTAGCATGTCTTTATGCCCCTGTTCTTCTTACTCCTCAAATCTCCTTTCTGTCAATTTAATCAGGGGTTAAAGACATCACTTATGATTATCATATCATTATTATATTCTTACAATACTAGTCATATTTTAAAGAAGGTCTGATGTCATTTGATTCTATACATTTGATGGGTTTTCCTGCACACTTGAAGTCCTTTAAATACAATCCCCTATTCCTTTAGTCTTCTGTGTAAAAAAAAAAGAGCCAAAGGGAGGAAGAGGAGTTTGTATAGCTGGCAAGGTTGTTCCAACACAGTGCTTAGTTGGGTACCCAGTTTTCTGGTCTCTCTACCCACTTCAACTTAGAGTAAGCCCAGTGAGGATTGGTGGATTGAATGAGGTGTTTCTTAATAGCAAATCTTAATCTTTTAAAGAACAAATAATAGGAGAAAGAATCACCAAACGTGGGTGCTAGACGAAGAGGATGTGAGAAGATCTTAGAAAATAGTTTTAAAGTTTAAAGACTCAGCAATTTCCACATTTGCTCACCTATCAATTTTCAGAGATCTATCATCTTGGGGCATTTCCTATTTAATGACTTACAAGAGACAGGATGACTGGTGGATGGTACTGTGGTATTACAGAGGCCTGGCTGTGGACTTTGACTCTGTCCTTTGCCAGCTATTCACTTTTAGATGGGACATATTATGTATCCGAGCCACTGATTCTTAATCTGTAAAGGGGAATAATGAAGCTCCCTTCACAGAATTAAATGAAGCAACAAAGTACTAGGGCTGTGCCCGATATATATTAAGTCCTCGATTTTAAAATATTACTTAGAGAGTTTTAGATTTGCTGTTTCCAGACTTGCTCTAAATAGTGCACCATAGGTTAAAAAAAAAAATCTGAATCCCAATCCACTTGATTGGCATAGAGAAGGGAGAAGACTGACAAACTGGTGTGCCTTTAGGTGTATTAGCAGGATGTTCCGAAGTTGCACACTCAGCCATTCCCTAATTCGATAACTCAGAGATTATCAGCTCTGCCTTCTTATTTACTTTTGTCTTTCTGACTTATAATGACCTCTTTTGTAATGCAGTTTACCCATTATTTTTTCCTCTCTCTGCCATTCACAGACTCACTGATAGTGTTTCCTTTTCCTTCATCCTCATGCTGACCTATATTTCACTTCTGAGCCTTGCCTTTGCCCTCATGGGTCACGCTTTATGAAGGTCTCCTCCGTAGCTCACTAGTTAGCAGTGTTTCCTTTTTGTCCTGTCTCATAGGAGTGCATCTTGAGGTTTTTTATTCATTCTTCCTGGGCACTCTTGTCTATTCTCATGGCTTCGATGGCCATCTATCTCGACTCCCAGTTCTGTATCTTTAGTGAAGGTCTCAATCTAGATACTAGTTGTTTGTTGGATATTTCTACCCATGGATCCTGTAGAAACCTCGACCTCATTACAAGGCAGGTTCACTGTGCATTGGTATCAGTCCCTGGAAAAGGACTCTAAACACCTTGGGCTGTGCCCATTTCTATCACTTGTATGTATCTGATGAGACAAAACACATATACACAACAAATTACTTGAAGCAGGTTTATTACCTACAGATAGGCATCAAGGGATACCAGAAACCTAGGATGCATGGCAAGCTGATCACCCCAAGGCTCAAGGCTCAGGAAAGCTGCCCAGGATAAATGAAGTCTTGTCTGCATGTCCCCTACTTGCACCACAGCTGAGGGACCCTAGAAAGCATGCTCCATTCTGAGTTTTATACCCAGGGGCAACATGAAACACTGAGCTAAAGCACTGTAAGACATCCTGTTCTAGGAGAAACTGGAACAGAGCACAGGCTATTCTGGTCACTTCCTCTTCATCCCAGGATATTGCATTCTCAGCACATTCTACAGTTGTTCTGAGAACTACAAGGGAGGAAATGAGGAGGAGCTAGGTTAGTTCAAGGTCACCTGGAGAACTCTCCTGCAACTCATCACATTTCAAAATGAGTATATATCTGTCCCCTCAATCTGAGCTCCTCATTCTGTGCTCCCTGGCTCAGGGTACTATGGTGTTGTTCTGAATGATACCATGTTCTATCAGGGAAAATGAATCAAGAGCTGTGAAGTTCATTCTAGACCCCTTCTGCTTTTCCTCAAGTTTGAGGGGAAAAGACTTTTGAAATCCGACTTCAAGTAGCACCAAGTCCATCACACTGTCTTTATCCTCACCACTGGTGACTTTCTTCTCTCCCTTCCTATTTGTGGATGAATGCTACAGGCCCTTTGCTTTCCAGTTCACTGTCTTCTGATATGCTTTATCTTCTAGGAGGTGGATCATTTCAAAATTCAAGTTTTCTTATGTTACTTCTTCTAGCTTTGAAACTCAACAATTTCTTCTCTTAACCTTTAGGATAAATCCCCAAATCCAAAGCCTAGCAAATAAAGCCTTTTGTTACCTGACCACTGCCTCCTTCTCCTGTTTCACCTCTCCTCATCCTCTTGTGTCCTCTCTGGGTTCCACGCATGCCAAAATATATGCCCTTCCTTGGAGACTCCACACTTTTCCTTGCTACTTCACCTTTAAAAATGTCATTCTCTTTGGCTGGAATACCCTCTCCTCTCTTTATCATTAGGTTAATTCCATCTTATTTTTTATGACCAAGCTCAAGTGTTACCTCCTCTGAAAAGCCCTCTGTGAACGCTTGTGGCATATGTTAATTAGTTAGGCAGATATTAGGACTCTGAGCAGAAGTGACAGTGTGACTTATGGACCAACACTGTTAGTAGTCAATGTGCTGCTTCCATTCCTCTCTTTCTCTGCCATGAAACCTTGGAGTCCACACATTACAAATGGCATAGCTACAGGAAGGCTGCCCAACATGCATCAGCCTCAAACGAGAGAGCAATAACCCTTGTTAAGCCCCTTAGGCTTCAGAGTTGATTTGTTACCACAGCAGAGCAAAGTCATGCTGAATAGTATCACCTCCCACTAAAATGAATAGAGGACCTTTCCTTTTTGCCTCCCCAGCCTGTCTCCACTGCAATCGTTGAGTTATTACTCTGTCTTCTTTGCTAGACTATGGGTGTCTTAAGGAAAAAGATTGCTTTTTATCTCTGTGGACTCACTGCAATGCAATGCTAATGCACACTAGGAACTCAAGAAATACTTGCTGGATTGAATTGCATTTTGATTCTTTCCTAACCATAGACAGGGCAGCCATTATGATATCCATCTTCAGAGGGATTCAGAAGTGCAAGATGACTCTGCCTAAGGTCACTCAATCCACTAGACGTCAAATATGCTCCTCATATGCTCAGCTCTTGTGGTTTGTGAGGCTACCAAAGATGAAGCTTGGGTCAGTTAAAACTTTTTGTCTTCTCTCACCTTTATCAACCAGGGTCCCAGAGAAAACAGATGGCATCTTTGTGTGGGGATTGTGAAAAAATTTTTAGATGAAAGAATGATTTAGAGAAGAGTGGGTAGGTATAAAAGAACCCAACAAGGAATATTGAGGCACCCAGGCACTAACATGAAGAATAAGTAGAAATGGTGTTCCTGGAGCCCAGTTGAGAGCTGTAGCCAAGGAAGACTATGGCAGAAGCTACAGTCATAGAAGAATATGGTGACTAGTATAACTGCAACAAATCCAGAAGGAGTGCAATTATCAACACCACTCTCCTTCTGCTATTGGGCTCTTCTGCTCGTGTTTCCATGTTGGTCAAACCCAAATGAAGCCCAAGAGTAATGGAGTCCAGGTGATGCAGTCTCTAGAGGTCATCCTCTCAGAGAAGGGATGTCAATCATTCAGGGAAGAGAGGATGAAGAATAACCAGCATATACCCTCAAATCAGCACCTGAGACTTGGTGAAGATTTCCCTTCCAAGCAGGCTTCTAGTGAAGTGTAGAAGGTAAGGTGAAAACTCAGTTCATTTTAGCACTGGCCTTTAACTCATCCTTCAAGGCCAATCTGATAAATCACATCCTCCAGAAAACCTTCTCTAGACCCTTCTCTATGTCCCCTTATCTTCCAGTGCCTAACTCTTTCACAACACTTAACAAATTTCGCTGAAGTTATATCTATGTGTCTCTCTCCCTCACTGGACTGTAAGCTCCTTGAGGATAGGGATTATATATTACACACCTTTGCATCTAACATAGTGTCAGGCATCTAAAATTTCCCACTTTGTACCAGAGATTTCTTATTCAACAGTATACATTTTCCACCAAGTTCTTAGTCTTCAAACTGCAAACTTTCCCTTGCATGGCACTGAGCATGCCTATGGCCCAGTGAAAACTGAAAAACAGTGGTTCATAACACAGGGATACAAAATCAACATGATGAATGTAATTGAATTTCTGGTCCATTGAGGGAAAACATGAAATTATACAACTGCTTCATGCATTATATTGACCAGACATCTCAGCCAGATCACTGAACAGCAGCATGAGGCAGGCATGGTTCTGCTTGTAATGCCTGTGGGCACTTGTAGTCTGTGACTAACCCCCCATACAGATAGGTAAGCTGAGGATAAAGAGATAACTTAAATTTTTCTTTCAGATTTGCTTAGTTACACAGTGTCTTTTTATTTGTAGGTAGTGCGGGAATAGTGCAAAGCCCCTGACCCTAAAGATTAACGTGATTTGAGGTTAAATTGTAGCAAGTCACTTTGTGAGCTTGGACTAGTTTCTGACCCTTTCTGAGCCTCAGTTCCACATGGAGTTGTGAGGATTAAATTGAGCAACTTTTTGTAAAGTACAGGGTTCAGTGTAGGCACTTGCTGTGAATTTGTTCCTTTTGCTTTATATTATGGTGCCATACTTGTGGACCAAAGATGAGAAATGAGAGCCTGCCTTCCATCCTACACAGACAACGGTGGAAATTTAGTTATGGAGCTGTATAGGTAGATATAAGATAAGATACCAAAGGGAAATAAAATCCTTGGAATATGATTAACAAAACAAATATCTGAATTGCTTGAACCACAACAACTGGATCAGGTCTAAATCTTCTTTGCATTGATGTGCAAATACAAGCTGTCTTTGAATCAGGGACGGGGTCTGGGGGGCAGTGGGTGCACCTATCCTCTCACCCAAATTTCCTGTGCTCTTCGTTTCATTATAGCCCTTCAGTGCCCTTCTCGGGGCTGTCAAAACTTATTTCCAATCACCTCTTCTTCTTTACAACCAACACTCACCACAACCACACAACACGGTGAATAAAGCTGATGTAGAAGGGAGGTACAAAATCTTCCAAACAAAATGAGGAATGGGAAACAACTTTGTCTCCGTTCTCTGCTGTCAATTCTTGCTGAGTGTCAGAACACAGTCCCATAGTAGACAATGCCATCTTGTGGTTCTTGTGAAAATCATTCCTTGGAAAATTCAAGAAGGTCATTGTTTAAATTTCACCACTAGCGTTCCTTCCTATCATATTTGTACAGATTAAATCATCATCCCCTGAGGCTTCACCTAACAAAAACAAGAGCCAGATTATTGATAAATGAGAAGGTCACTTTAAAATGGGAAAATCCCACTACTCTGTTTTTAAAGAGTCTTAGCACATTTATGCTTTCGACTGAAAGATAGAGGCAGGCTGGCTTGGTGGTTTGTTTTCCTTGGGAAGCAGTCACATATAATTTTTTATAATAACATAGCCTGGAATACCAATTCCCATGCCATACTGTCATCCTGCATGTCAGCACTTTGAGTATTGAATCCTGTGCAGAAAGCCCTCATCCGCACTTGTCCGAGAATGTTTCCTCTGGGTTAAAACCCGCACATAAAGGTTTCAGCAGCAGCAGCAGCAGCTGTTTGGGCCACTTTCTGGAGTTATGTGAGTACTGTGGGTTCAGTTATATTTCCTTGGAACATAAAAATAGGAGGTTTTGGTTTGTTACCTTTGAAACCTCAGGGAAATCAAAACCAGAGCTCATTTTGGATGCTGAAGCGATTAATCCATACTGCCCTCTGAGCTGAAGTAATGATTTGATGCACTGGAATAGTTTCTGCAGCAACGTTCTGTCTCTCTTCTGTTTGTAAGTGATCAGAAACAGCATTTAAAAAAATCCCACAGTAGGACACAGAGTATTCTTATATATAATAAGCATACCAATTAATGGGGTTTTTTTTTTTTGTTTATAACCCAATTCCAGTGGAATCTATTAAAAGCAAATGTATATAAAATGTGGTTTTAAATTATTAATATTACAGTTTAATTTGTCATATAGTATTAAAACACTTTGGTAACGTTTATGGGAAAAAATAGACTATGTTTTGTAAGACAACTTGCCCTTTTAAGACCTCAAATATTCTCATAAAATTAACTTATTTTTTCAGTCAACAGATTTTTTTGAGGACCTACTAAGTCCCAGATACTCTGTGAGGGGTTGGGTACCAGAAAATAGTAAGACATGATTCCTGCTCTGAAGGAGTTTACAGTGCAATGGGAGGAACAGAGAAATAAACAAGTAGCTACAAATGCATGTGGTTAGTTCTGTAATGGGGGGAATTGTGGGCTATATGAGCAAACATTGGAGCAACACAGCATCCAATCTTAGTAATTATAGGTTTCTAGACAAAAGTGACAAAATTAAAGATGAGAGAGTTCACTAAGTGAAGGAATGAGAAATAATATTTTGCCCAAACAGAATAGCATGGGCAAATATCTAATATAAATAGGGTCTTTGACTCAGAGAATGAGAAGTACTTAACTAAGGTTGAGACAAAGAATAAGGGATGGACTTGATTCACAAAAGGAGCAATTGGGCCTTCAAATTCATATCAATAACTGTTCCCAGTATCCTGAGGATGGAGGGAAGCTCTGGAAGGGTTAATAAAGCCAGAGGGACCAACTGTCCTTATTTTTGTGGAAATTTCACAGTTCTAGCACTGAAAGTTTTGTGTTTAAGGAAACCCCTCTATCCCAGACAAACCAGGGTTGTTGGTCACCTTAAATGTGCCACGACATAGTTTGGTTTTAGAAATATTATCATGGCTACAAGATGGAGACTTGATTACAGGGAGTGTGACAGAAAGGAAATCAGTTAGGAGGCTGTTGAAGTGATATGGGAGAGAAATAACTGTGGCCTGAACTAAAATAATGGTGATGGGGGATGAAGAGAAATGAAGTGATTCAACAAGAGATGCTAAGACAAAGACTAGACAGAGGTCATATTAGACTTGTATGGTGTATTAGTGTGTTGTCACACTGCTATAAAGAAACTACTTGAGACTGGGCAATTCATAAACAAAAGAGATTTAAGTGACTCACAGTTATGCACGACTGGGGAGGTCTCAAGAAATTTACAACCATGGCAGAAGGTGAAGAGGAAGCAAGGCATATCTTATATGGTGGCAGGAGAGAGAGAGAGTGAAGGAGGAAGTGCTACTTTTAAACCACCAGATCTCTTGAGAACTCACTCAGTATCACAAGAATGGCATGGGGGAAACTGCCCCATGATCCAATTACCTCCCACCAGGTCCCTCCATCGATACGTAAGGATTACAATTTCAGATGAGATTTGGGTGGAGCCACAGAGCCAAACCATATTATTCTGCCCTAGCCCCTCCCAAATTTCATGTCCTTTTCACATTTCATAACCTATCATGCCTTCCCAACAGTCCCCCAAAGTCTTAACTCATTCCAACATTAACTCAAAAGTCCAAGTACAAAGTCTCATCTGAGACAAGGCAAGTCCCTTCTGCCTATCAGACTGTAAAATAAAAAACAAGTTAAGTACCTCCAAGATACAATGGGGGTACAGGCATTGGGTAAATGTTCCCATTCAAAATGGAAGAAATTAGACAAAACAAAGGAGTCACAAGCCCCATGCAAGTCTGAAAGCCAACAAGGCAGTCATTAAATTTTACAGCTCCAAAATAATCTTCTTTGACTCCATGTCTCACATCTAGGGTGCACTGATGCAAGGATTGGGTTTCCAAGGCCTTGGCAGCTCTGCTCCTGTGGCTCTGCAGAGTATAGCCCTGTGGCTGTTTTCACAGACTGGCATTGAGTGTCTGAGCCTTTTCCAGGTGCACAGTGCATACTGTTGGTGGATCTACCATTCTGGAGTCTGGAGGATGGTGACCCTCTTCTCACAGATCCACTAGGTAGTGCCCCAGTGGGGACTGTACTTGGGGACTCCAACCCCACATTTCCCCTCTGCATTGCCCTAGTATAGGTTCTTCATGATGGCACCGTCCATGCAGCAGACTTCTGCCTGGACATCCAGGAGTTTCCATACTTCCTCTGAAATCTAGGCGGAGGTTCCCAAACCTCATATCTCATTTTCTGCATATCCACAGGCCCAGTACCATGTGGAAGCTGCCAAGGCTTGGGGCTTACACTCTGAAGAAATGGCCTGAGCTGTACATTGGCCTTGTTGGGCCCCTTTTAGCCACAGTCTCTTGAATGCTTTGCTGCTTAGAATTTTTTTCTGCCGGATACCCTAAATCATCTTTCTTGAGTTCAAAGTTCCACAGATCTCTAGGGCAGGGGCAAAATGCCACCCATCTCTTTGTTAAAGCATAGCGAGAATGACTTTGCTCTAGTTCCTAATAAATGCCTCATCTCCATCTGAGACTACCTCAGTCTGCCCTTCATTGTCCATATCACTATCATCATTTTGGTCAAAACCATTCAAGTCTCTAGGAAATTCCAAACTTTCCCACATCTTCCTGTTCTCCTGACATTATATTCTGCTGGCCTATAGGTCTTAGTTCCAGCAGGAGGAATGCTGCCACCAGGAGACACAACAATGATTCCATGAAACTGGAAGTTTAGATTGCCACCTGGCCACTTTGGGCTCCTCCTACCTCTAAGTCAACTGGCTAAGAAGGTAGTTACAGTGTTGCCTGGGGTAATTGACCCAGACTATCAGTATGAACTCAGTCTACTACTCCACAATGGATGTAAGGATCAGTATGTGTGGAATACAGGAGATTCCTTAGGGCATCTCTTAGTATTACCATGCCCTGTGATTAAGGTCAATGGGAAACTACAACAACACAATCAAAGCAGGACTACAAATGGCCTAGAACCTTCAGGAATGAAAGTTTTGATTAATGCATAAGGTGAAAAACCATGACCAGTTGAAGTACCTGCTGAAGGCAAAGGGAATACAAAATGGGTAGTAGAAGAAGGTACCAGAGACAACCATGTGACCAGTTGCAGAAATGAGGACAGTAATTGTCATGAGTATTTCTCCCTTATTTTGTTAAGAATAGGTTTGTGCACGTATACATTTGTACTAAGAAAATACCTTCTTTTATTTCCTTTCTTTTTCCTTTATCATGTGACATAAGATTTATTGACTTCATGTTGGCATTTAAGTATTGTTAACTTTATGCATTAATAATAGCACTTAGGTTAAGCATTAGTGCACTTCCAGTTGTACAAAGGATAGCTGTATTATGTTAGGTGTAATTATGACCTTATTATTATCTTTATTTGGAGGTTAAGTATAATTTCAGGAGATGTGTATGGGTTGAAGTTGACAAGGGGTGGACTTGTGATGGTTAATATTAAGTGTCAACTTGATTGGATTGAAGGATGCAAAGTATTGTTTCTGTTTGTGTCTGTGAGGGTGTTGCCAGAGGAGATTAGCATTTGAGTCAGTGGACTGGGAGAGGAAGACCCACCCTCAATGTGGGTGGGTACCATCCAAAAGGCTGCCGGTGCGGCTAGAAAAAGCAGGCAGAAGAAGGTGAAATAAGGTGGCTTGCTGAGTCTTCCAGTTTTCATCTTTCTCCCGTGGTGGATGCTTCCCACCCTTGAACATCAGACTCCAGGTTCTTCTGCTTTTGGACTCTTGGACTTAAACAAGGGGTTTGCCAGGGACTCTGAGGCCTTCAGCCACAGACTAAAGGCTGCACTGTTGGCTTCCCTACTTTTGAGGCTTTGGGACTCAGACTGAGCCACTACTGGCTTCCTTGCTCCTCAGCTTGCAGATAGCCTGTTTTGGGACATTGCCTTGTGGTCATGTGAGTCAATTCTCTTTAATAAACTCCCTTTCATATATACAGGTATCCTATTAGTTCTGTCCTTCTTGAGAACACTGACAAATACATATGGTGTGGAAAGGAAGAGAGTGGTGTGGGAGAATGACGCATTTCGGATAACTCTTAGATTTATGGCTTAGTTGACTGGGTAAGTAGAAGTGCCAAACGCCAAGAGAGGAAACTAAAAGAGAAATGAGTTTGGGGAAGAAAATGATGAAAGAGTTTTGGAAATATTGGTAAGTCCGAGGTGCCTGTGAAATTCTAAGTAGACTGATCCTGTAGACAGATAGTTTAGGTGAGAGATTTGGGTGAATGCATAGACTTGAGAGTCTTCTAGATATAGATGGTAACTTGGGAATGGGTGAGGTCACCAAGGGAGTATGTGAAAAGATTAAGAGAGGATAGCTAAAGTCTATAATTAGGATTTTGACATTGTCAAAGGAAAGCACAGAGGAAACTTCCAGGAAAAGGAAAACCAGAAGAGAATAGTGTTATAAAAGCTAAGGAAAGGGGGGTTTTCAGAAAGAGGGAAGTGGCCAACATTATTAAGTGATGTAGAAACGTTTAATAAGATGAGGATAAAAAGTGCCTATTGGGTGATCGTACCACTGCACTCCAGTCTGGGCAACAGAGTGAGACCCCATCTCCAAAAAAAAAAAAGTGCGTAGTGGATCCAGCAACATAGAGCTTATTGATAGCCACATGGATATCAGTTGCAAGGGGCCCCAAAGGTAGAATCAAGTTTACGGTGAATTAGTGACAGGTATTGTAAATAAAAGGTAAAAGTAGAGAAAGAAATTGCAGATAGATCTTTCACAAAGTTTGGTTGAGACAGGATGGAGGGATGATGATAGCTAAAAGATGATCAGGGATCAGAGAAGATCTTGTTCAAGATGGAAGTGCTCAACCTTCATATAGGACAAGTGTCTTCATGCTATATCTGAGATAATTCTAGCAGTGTTGTGACTACTGGACCCCAGAATTCAGGCACTCCTCAGTGTACACTGCTATATCCCTGTTTGAGAATGACTGATGTGCCTCCCTGGAGACTTGTGCCAATGGTAACACTTACAGTAATCATCTCAAACTGGTATAATAACTTCAATAGCCTTTCAACTGGTCTCTCTTTCTCTAATATTTCCAACTTCAAACCCATTTTACACCAGCAGCTTGTGACCCTTTAAAACCGTAAACTATTGAACAACCACAAAGGAAACTACCCAAAGAGATACTATTAAAATTCTATTAAAAAGTAAGATGGGATTCTCAAAATTGTTCGAGTAACACAGGAAGGCAAGAAGAAAGAAGCATGGGAAGACAAATCAGAGACAAATGAAAAGCAACTAGCAAAATGGCAGATGTTAGCTCTACCATATAAATAATTACCTTAAATTTAAATAGTCTAAATTCACTAATTATGAGGCAGAGATTGGCAAAGTTGATAACTTTTTTTAAGATTTACTACCAAAAACATAATGCATAAAAAGAAAAAATGATAAATTTGACCTCATCAAAATGAAAAACTCTTGTTCTACAAAAGACCCAGAGCAGGAGAAAACATTTATAAACCACATATCTAACAAGTAATTTGTATCTGAAATATGTAAAGAAATCTTAATACTCAATAATTATTAAAAAAAAAAAATCCCTGTAATCCCAGCACTTTGGGAGGCCAAGGCGGGTGGATCACGAGGTCAGGAGATCAAGACCATCCTGACTAACATGGTAAAACCCCGTCTCTACCAAAAAAAAAAAAAAAAAATTACAGTCATGGTGGCAGGTGCCTGTAGTCCCAGCTACTCGGGAGGCTGAGGCAGGAGAATGGCATGAACCCGGGAGGCAGAGGTTGCAGTGAGCCAAGATTGTGCCACTGCACTCCAGCCTGGGCAACAGAGCTAGACCCCGTCTCAAAAAAAAAAAATCAAATTAGAAAATGAGTAAATACATGAACATACATTTAGTTGAATGGTATATACAGATGGCCAATACACACAGGAGAACATGTTTAACATGGTTAGTGATTAGGGAAATGCAAGGCAAAACTGCAAGGACATGTCATTACAACCTATAAACAAAATGAATTTTTTACAGTGGCAACAACAAATGCCAGGAAGAATTTGGAGAAAATGGGTCACTCATACATTGCTGGTGGGAATGTAAAATAGTACAGGCACTCTACAAAATAGTTTGGCAGTTTCTTATAAATCTAAACATGTAATTCCTATAAGACCCGGCACCTGCACTCAGAGAAATGAAAGCTTAGGTTTACACAAAAAAATTGTACGTGAATATTCACTGTAACTTTGTTTGCAATAGCCAAAGACTAGAAGCAACTCAGATGTCCTTCAATGAAAAAAATATGGTTGAACACACTGTGGCATATCTATACTATAACATATTACTCAGCAATTAAAAAGGAATTATGGAAATACACAACAATCTGGATAAATCCACAGAGAATTATACTGAGTGAAATAAGCCAATACCCAAAGACTAGATACTATTGATTTCACTTATAAAAGATTCTTGAAATGAAAAGTTACAGAGATGGAGAACAGACTAGTGGTTTTCAGGAGAGAGGAATGGGGAAGGAAGAGGGAGGGAGGGAAGTAGGTATGATTCTAAACAAGCAACCCATGGGGGATCATTACAGTGATAGAACTTCCTGTATCTTGACTGTGTTAGTAAAGACACAAACATGTGTACATGATAAAAGTACAAAGAACTGAAATCACAGACTGGGATAAAGTACTTGAAAAGGATATACTGATAAAGGACAGTTATCCAAAATACACAAAGAGCTCTTAAAACTCACCAACAAGAAAAGTCAGAGGAAGCAAATGAGAAACAACTAACAAAATGGAAACCAATAGGAAAATGAACTACCCGATTTAAAAACGGGCAAAAGACCCAAATGGACACTTCATTCACCTACTGAAGCACAATTTGGCAGTTTCTTAAAAAACTAGATAGACTCTTACCATAACATTCAGGAATCTTGTTTTTTGGTATTTAACCAAAGTTGAAAACTTATGTCCAGACAAAAACTGCACATGGATGTTTATAGTAGCTTTATTTGTACCTTTCAAAAACCAGAAGCAACCAAGATGTGCTTTCAGTAGGTGAATGAATTTAGGAATATATACAGATGGTAAATAAATACATGAAAAGATGCTCAACATCATACGTCATTAGGGAATGCAAATTAGAACAACAATGAGATACCACTACATAAACCTATTTGAATGGCCCAACATCCAAAACAATGACAGCACTAAATGCTTGTGAACATGTGGAGCCACTGGAAGTTTCATTGACTGCTAGTGGGAATGTAAAATGGTACATCCTTATTGGAAGACAATTTGGCAGTTTCTTAAAAAACTAGATAGACTCTTGCCATAACATTCAGGAATCTTGTTTTTTGGTATTTACCCAAAAGTTGAAAACTTATGTCCAGACAAAAACTGCACATGGATGTTTATAGTAGCTTTATTTGTACCTTTCAAACACCAGAAGCCACCAAGATGTATTTCAGTAGGTGAATGAATAAATACACTGTGGTACAGACAATGGAACATTATGTGGCACTAAAGGAAATAAGCTATCAAGTGACAAAACCTGGAGGAATCTTAAATGCATATTACTAAGTACAGGAAACTAATCTGAAAAGTTAAATATTGTATTACTTAAGTGTATGACATTCTAGAAAAGCCAGAACTATGGAGACTAAAAATTGCAGCCAACAGACGCATGAAAAAATGCTTATCATCACTGGTCATCAGAGAAATGCAAATCAAAACCTCAGTGAGATACCATCTCACGCCAGTTAGAATGGCAATCATTTAAAAGTCAGGAAACAACAGATGCTAGAGAGGATATGGAGAAATAGGAATGCTTTTACACGTTGGTGGGAGTGAAAATTAGTTCAACCATAGTGGAAGACAGTGTGGCGATTCCTCAAGGATCTAGAACTAGAAATACCATTTGACCCAGTGATCCCATTACTGGGTATATACCCAAAGGATTATAAATCATGCTACCATAAAGACACATGCACACGTATGTTTATTGCAGCATTATTCACAGTAGCAAAGACTTGGAACCAACCCAAATGTCCATCAATGATAGACTGGATTAAGAAAACATGGCACATATACACCATGGAATACTACGCAGCCATAAAAAAGGATGAGTTCATGTCATTTACAGGGACATGGGTGAAGCTGGAAACCATCATTCTCAGCAAACTATCACAAGTACAGAAAAGCAAACACTGCATGTTCTCACTCATACATAGGAGTGAAACAATGAGAACACATGGATACAGGGTGGGGGAACATCACACACCGGGGCCTGTCGTGGGGTGGGGGACTGGGGGAGGGATAGCATTGGGAGAAATGCCTAGTGTAAATGACGAGTTGATGGGTGCAGCAAACTAACATGGCACATACATACCTATGTAACAAACCTGCACATTGTGCACATGTACCCTAGAACTTAAAGTATAATTACGTAGATAGATATGTAAATAAATAAAAATTCAATGGCTGTAGAGTTTGGTGGAAGGAAGGGATGAATAAACAGGGCACGGAGGATTTTTAGGGCAGTGAAACTATTCTATCTGATACTATAATGATGGATACATGTAATTATACATTTCTCAATGCCTATAGAATGTACAGCACCAATAAATGAACACTAATGTAAACTATGGACTTTAGGCCACAAAGATGTGTCAGTGTAGGTGCATCACTGGTAACAAATGTGTCACTATAGTGCAGGATGCTGACAGTGGGGGTGTCCGGGCCTCGATGGAGAAGGGGGCATTTGGGGATTCTCTTTACTTTCTGCTCAATGTTTCTGTGAATGAAAAACTGCCTAAAAATAAAGTTTGTAAAAAAAAAAAAAATTACATAGAACTAAACACACAAGACAAATAAAACTGAGGGAATCTGAATAAGATTGGTTGCATTAATGTCAATATCCTGGTGGTGATATTGTACTATCATAGTTTTATGATATTATCATTGAGGTTTATGAGAGATATTATCATTGGGAAAACTGGGTAAAGGGTTCATTGAGTCTGTTCTATTTCTTACAACTACATGGGTATCTAAAACTATCTCAAAATTAAAAGTTTAATGAAAAAATCTAAACCAGATCAAGTCTCCATTTTGTTTAAAAGCATTTAACTTTTCATATCCCTTAAAATCAGAGCTGCTTTCTGTATTGTTTATGGTCTTACACAATCTCCTCTTTGTCATCTTCTCTCTTTCTCTCTCTCTCTCTGCGTGCACGTGAGTGTGTGTGCATAGGCTTCAACCACAATGACTTTCTCTCCGTGCCTTGGATATTCCAGACTACATTGCTCTCTGAGCCTTTACGTGGTTGCTTCTGCCTCGACTCTTCTCCAGGTCATTTCTATGGCTGCCTCCGTCTTGTTCATTAGTTCCAATGTCACTATTTCAGCAGATATGTTCCCGATCGTTCTATTTAAAATGATTTTCCCAGACACTCCATCACATTACCTCTATTACTTTATGTATTGTACTCACAATTGGAAGCTCTCTACATTTTTATTTGCCTTTCCCCCCTTGCATATCCTCCTCTGCAGAATGCATGTTCCATCACTCAAGGAATGATTGCTTTGTTTCCTACTGTGCCTGGTACCCAGCTCAGTACCTGATTCCCAGTAAATGCTCAGTACAGATCTGCTAAGTGAATGAAGTTTTTTAAATGCATGAATGTCTCAAAGAAGATACCCATTTAAATGGGAAGAAAATTAAGAGAAAGAAAAAGAACTATAGCTTAAGGCCTTCAGAATGCAGCTGTTTAAATCGCACTTTTGCTGAGAAAAAAAGAGCTTTAAAGGAAGGAAGACATACTGCTTGGTGGGAACCAAAATCAATTTCCCAGCTTTTCTGAATATATGTAGAGGTGAGTCTGAAAAGTAATTAACTACAGGTTCCCACTCCCTATGCTCTGGGTCTGTGAGTAAGGTTAATGTGCTCTTAGAAAGAAGAGTCCCTGTGCCTCCTAAGATGAAGGTCTGAGATCTGAAAGAATTACGAAGCATGTGTTTTTGGTACAGGATGCTAGGATGTTTTATTCGAGTTCATTGTTAAATCTATTATTTGCATACTGCTTGTCTGATGGCTCCCTCATTTCACTAGGTTTGGTGCCTGGAATGTATGAGGGAATGGTGAAGCATGAAAGAAAAGACATCCAACTTCTTGGGGGATAAAATGTGTTTACTCACCACAGCAGCACTTTGGCCTGACTCCATTAGGTAAAAATTGTTCAGAAGCAAAGCTCAGAAGAGGGCGGCAGGCGTTGCCACCCTTACCCCTCACACGACACATTCTCCTGATGTTTGCTGCTGCTGCTAGTCCTCTAGCTAGACTAGGAATGATTTCTCTATTTCCTGCTGTCTTCATTCAAGCTGCTATTACAAGATACCGTAGACTGGATAGCTTAAACAATGGAAATGCGTTTCTCATATGTCTGGCAGCTAGAAGTCTAAGATCAAGGTGCCAGATGATTTATTCCTGGTGAGGATCTGCTTCCTGGTTATGTCCTCAGAGGTGGAGGGAAGGAGGGAGGGAGAGAGAGGGAAGGAGAGAGAGAGAGACAGAGAGAGAGAGAGACAGAGAGGAATCAGGCTGTCTCCTGTCTCTTCTTATAAAGACGCTAATCCCATTATGAGGGCTCTACTCTAATGACCTAATCACCTCCCAAGGTCCCACTTCCAATGCCATCACATTGGGGATTAGGGGTTCAATATATGAATTCTGGGGAGCAACAACATTCAGTCCATAGCTACTGCCAATCCCATTTTCTCTCTTCTGCCTCCAAGGTGGGTTTACCAAGATGTAATTTCTTAATATCCAGCGTCCATCTATAACCCAGGAGAGAGAAATGTATGAACAGTGAAGCTTTAGTCAGAAACCTCAAACTCTCTTAGTGGTTGTGAGAACTGACCTTCACAAAGCCCAGGTTCTCTGCCAAAGGATCAAATTCTAGTACCCCCAACTCCTCCTCCTAAAACAGCAAGGTTTTCATATGTTTTCTTTGTTGCCTTCTTTGGAAGATTAGATTTAGAAATAATTTCTGAAAGAGTTATATTGCTGTACCACAGAAGTTTGAAAATGGCTCTAGCATACTTCTGAATTTCCTCCTGGTTTAATTGCCAATGAGCTAATGAGTTAGTCTTCTTTACTGGACACCCTTCATAATTCAAACTTCTAAGCATCAGGGTGATTCAGGGCTCAGTCCTCAGCTCTCTTTTTTCCCCTCACTCCTGAGGGGTCCTTTCCAGTTCCTTGACTTTAAATACTATCTACATGCTGATGGCTCACAGACGTGTATCACCAGCCCTGACATTGTCTCTGAACTCCAAACTTCTCTGTGCAGCAGCCCATGAAGCTTTTCCACCGGAATGTGCACTGGACAGCTCAAGCCTAACCTGTCCAAAACAATTTTGGATAGAGCCATTCATTCTATATTCTTGACGTTTCTCCAAGTCATACCCCATATTTCATCCCTCAGTGAGTCCTGAATCTGCCCGGTCTTCAAAATATATCCCATCACTTCTCACCACCTGCACGGCATCCTCTTTGTCTCCTGTGGTTTCCTGCTGTGCATCCTAACCATTGCCTTAATTTCTACTCTGACCCTCTGCAGTCTCTACAGAGCAGCAAGAGGAACCATTTCAAACTATAAATCAGATCATAGCATTTCCCTTGCTGAAAATCCTTGAGTGGCTTCTCATTACCCAGGGAATAAAATCCAAGCTCTTTACTTTAGCTCAGGAGGCCCCACCTGGTCTGGCCCCTGCCCCTGCCCCTTCTCCAATGATTCCTTTTTCTACACTCTCCCATAGCTGCCTGCTCCAGCTACGCTGGCCTCCCCGCTGTCCTTGCGCTCCTCTTCAAGGTATCTGCATCTGCCTTTCTTTCTGCCTTGACCACACTTCCCCCGGGTGTCTATATCCTTAGTCCCTCACTTCTTCAGGACTCGGCTCAAGTGTCTCCTCCTCAGAGAGGCCACTGCTGACCCTTCCACCTAAAATAGCAAAGCCCCTCACCATCGTTCCCTGTTCCCCTTACACAGATGGCTCCCAACTTGTGATGGGTTGACTTAGGATTTTTCAACTTTATGATGGTGCAAAAGTGATAGCATTCAGTAGAAACCATACTTCAAATTTGGCATTTTGGAATTTTGATCTTTTCCTGGACCAGCGATATGAAGTTTGATACTCTCTCTTGATGCTGGACAGTCGCATGGGAGGCACAGCTCCCAGTCAGCCCCGCCATCATGATCCCAGGGTAAACAACAAATAGTGTAGTGCATTGCTGGATAATTTAGCCCAACTGTTGGCTAACATAAGTGTTCTGAGCACACCTAAGGTAGGCTAAGCTAAGGTACGATGTTCAGTAGGTTAGGTGTAATAAAAGCATTTTTGACTTATATTTTCAATTTACAATGGATTTATCAAGCTGTAACCCCATTGTAAGTGGAAGAGCATCTATATTTCTTTTCTTAATACTATCCCAGTCTGATTTATATTATATTCATTATATTATAGTTACTATACTTTGTTCATTGTCTGTTTGACTCACTAGAATGTAAGCTCCATGAAGGCAAGGAATTTCTCTTATTCGTTCTTCTATCTCCATCAGCCTTCAAAACAGCACCTGTTATATGGCAATTGATTAACAAATAGTTGCTGAACAAATTATCTAATTTTTCAGATAAGAAAATTGAAGCCCAGAAGATGGAAACACTAAGAGGTAAGAAACTGAAGCAATTGCTTAAAAAAATAAAAACTCCTCTAAATTGTTTTCCACAGTGGCCGAACTAATTTACATTCCCACCAGCAGTGTATAAGCATTCCTTTTTCTCTGTAACCTTGCCAACATCCATTATTTTTTTTACTTTTTAATAATAGTCATTCTGACTGGTGTGAGATGGTACCTCACTGTGGTTTTGAATTGTATTTCTCTAATGATTAGTGATGTAGAGCATTCTTGCATATGCTTGTTGGCCAAGTGTATGTCTTCTTTTGATAAGTGTCTGTTTATGCCCTTTGCCCATTTTTAAATGGGGTTGTTTTCTGCTTGTTGATTTGCTTAAATTCCTTGTAGATTCAGAACTTAAAACAGAACTACCATTTGACCCAGCAATCCCATTACTGGGTATATACCCTAAGGATATAAATCATTCTACCAAGAAGACGCATGCACTTGTATGTTTATCACAGTACCATTCACAATAGCAAAGACATGGAATCAACCTAGATACCCATCAACGGTGGACTGAATTTAAAAAAAAAATGTGTTACATATACACCATGGAATACTACACAGCCATAAAGAAATAAATCATGTCCCTTGCAGCAACATGGATGCAGCTGGAGGCCATTATCCTAAGTGAGTTAATGCACAAACAGAAAACAAAATACCAGGTTTTCACTTACAAGTGAAAGCTAAATATTGAGTACACGTGGAAACAAAGAGGGTCACAACAGACACTGGGCCTACTTGAGGGTGGAGAATGGGAGGAGGATGAGGGTTGAAAAACTGCCTATCAGGTACCATGCTCACTACCTGGTGACAAAAGCATTTGTACAACAAACCCCAGTGACATACAATTTACCCATGTAACAAACCTACACATATACCCCTCAACCTAAAAGTTGAAAAGGAAGAAAAAACCCAAACATTATTTTCAATGCACAGAATTTGTTCACCAAAATAAATTGTCACATTCAGGTATAAGGCCAAATAAAAAATCAGCATTTCCCTTCTTGACTGGTTATATTAGAGAACTAGTATTTCTGAAGGCAAGAGATACCAACATTTGCAGAGACTTTCTCAGTTTTCCACTGACATGAGCAATGACCAGATAGTTGAGATAACATGCAAAACAAAAATAATGTGAAGCCTAGGAGTATGAAGTGAGGCAGAAATTGTGCAGTAATTCCTTAGTAATAGTCACATTCCTAGAGGGATGCACCCCTACTTTGAGATGCTGTGGTCTGAGAGGAGCCCCCTTGAGAGTAAAGGGGGATAGAGGCCACATCCATTTGTGCTCTGTGAGCAAAGAATATGTGGGTGCCCAAACAGAAGTAGCCAGTCATGCTATTTCAGGGTTAAAATAGATGGCTGAGGGAGTAAGAATAGATATGTCTGATATACATCCCACCCTATCTATAGTATTATATCAATAGCTCACTTAAGCATTTATGAAAAACATACAAATACCTATAGATAAATACTTTGCTCTCCTTTATAGGACAATTATTTTACAAAGCAAAAAGGATCGTTGTACTAATTTCTTGATAATTAAAAAAAAAATTTCTGATCTACTCATTCTGTGTCCATTGCACCACAGAGAAAATGGGAGGAATGTCCGCTGGCAGGTCAACTGGTTGTCTCCGTGAAATCATCAGTGAATCCCGAATTGGGTCTCATCAACCTCTTTGGCCTTTAACATTGCTGTGGCTGACAGGCTGTTTTATACAATCTGCCCCTTCCTACCTGCATGTGCACACACATGGAGACCTTCACACTTGTTCACATCTGGTACTAATGGAAGTCAAAGTCTTCCTGGGAAATGCTGTGCCATGATGGTAGGAGTCCAAGCCAATCCTGAATTTTGGGTAGTGCCCAACCTGATATCTTAATTGTACTGCTAGAAGAGAGAACAATTTTCTTTCAACAATTTTGGCATTAGCAAAGTCTACTCACTCCCGGAAAAGATGTGCTGCGAAACACAGTACCATTGAACTTGACAAGTCCTGACTCTTAAAAAACTGGGTTTACTAGATTATTCTGCAATACAGACAGCAGTATAAAGGGATAAATGAAGAGGGGTTATCAAATTCTCTCCCTTGACATTGGTTTCACATTGTATTCTTTCTTTCTGAGTTTCATTCAGTGGCCATCTCTTGTAAGCAAGCAATCTTCCCCCATTTTCGCAAATTCACTTAAAAACATAGCCAGTTAACTTGAGCCACATCATTGAAGTGCAACAGGGCTACAATGATACAGGTACGTGCTCATCAATTCCTTAATGATGGAGAGGCTTACCTGCCTTATCTTTCCACTGTACAGTATGCTCTGAGGGAAGGCCCAGAATAAAATCAAAATTTTAAAGTCTATAATCTAGCATTCTCTAGAACCTCATATGGGGCATGTTAATGAAGCAGTGGCTCTGGTCCATGGCTGCCCATTAAGATCACCTGGCAACTTATAGAAAACGCCAATGCATACGCTCTGTCTGCAGGGAATGGGACTTCATTGGTCAAGCGGGGAGCTCAGGTAGAGGGCTTATTATTTTTAATGCTCCCAAGGCATTTCCTATTTGCACCAAGGAATGGCACTACTTGGTCAGGGCAGATTTGAAAGCATGTTTCATCGTATACTACTTGTATTGTCCTGACCAAGTTTGCTCATTTTCGAAGACAGGACTAACAATTAATATTTCCCTGGATTGTTATTCCCTGGATGGGATCACATTTTCCCCATTTGGAACTGACATCGCTGCTTGAACTCTGTAGGCTACTATTTAACAGGTCAAAGATTTAGATTTCCTTTTGTAAAATGGAGAGTTTTATAAGTATAAACATACAGGTTTAGTGTGGGGATTGAGTGAAATAACGTGAAAAGTACTTAGTCTGGTGCTTGGCACATAATTAGATTTCAGCAGGCCTTAACCACTCTGTTCACTGCCTAGCAGAGTATTTGGCCAAGGGTACACTCTATAAATCTAAATCATTTCCTCTCCTTTCCTTCCATCTATCACTATCCCCTGTCCTGATCTCTATCGTTATAATTTGGGGTGTTTGTATTTAGTAACCAAATTCCTCTACAGGAGATTAAGATGTCTAAGTACAATTTTGAATTCCGTCTCTTTTAAAATGATGGTGAATTAAAGAGGACACAGTGTGTGTACTTGTGGGACAATGAATATACTTATAGATACAGTTAAGATATTACTCAGGTTCTAGTTTTTAAAGGTAAAGCATGTAAACATTGGGCAATGCCAGGCACCTCATAGAAACTCACAAACATTCACAGTACCTTATTACTCAAAGTACAGTCCTTGGACCAACAGAGTCAGCATCTCTTGGGAGCTCGGTAGGAAACCATGTTCTGAGGCCCCACCTCAGAACTGCCAAATCAAAATCTGCATTTAAACAATATGGCCAAGTGATTTGTGCACACACTGAAGTGTGAGAAAGACCGCCATAGAATGATAAAATGATGGCTGACAATTGAAAGTACCCATGGACCTAGTTTACAGAGGTCTTAGTATCAATTCCTCACTGCTACTCCAGGCCATCCTCAGCCCAGGCTGCCAAATCAGCTACTAGGACCACATTGTTGCAGTGTGAGGAAAAGCTCTGAGTCTGAAGTGGCTCTAAACCAAATGCTCTAAACCAAATCCCTTTAGTGTGAACATACAGAGCCCTGGCCCTATTCACAAGCTGTGCCTCACACCCCATCACCTTTTTCCCATACCCGGATCTCCAGATCTCATCCTGACCTCCTGGACCTAGGGCTCATTGCCTTAGCCTCTGAAAATTCTCATACTTTCCCACTGGATCTGGCAAATGGTGATGCTCTTTCACTCCTCATTCTTGACTTTCCCCTTTTGGCTGCAATTGGCTCTTCTTATGTTCTCCTCTTCTTCCCACTCTGTAAAACAGCTCCACCCGGGAGGTGAGGACTCTAGAACTAGACTGGCCACTGAGAAAGGAAATCTGGGTAAGGAGGCAGAGTCAAGTGGGCTGTTGAGGGCTGCTTTGACCCTTTCAAAGTCATCTGAGCCTCAGGCTGGCTCTGCGGGGGTGCAGCATTCCTTACAGGAGCATCATTTCTTAGAGGAGGTGTGGGGTGGGAGAGGGAGTCTGTGAATGCTGCCAGAGTAACCCTTGTTTGGTAAAGGGAACACTGCAAGTGGCTAATACCACTCCTGATTTTCTCTTTAGGAACTGCCATTTTGAAATGGCCTTTCAGGTTCTGGACTTTCTCCCTGTCTATTCATCTTGACCAAATTGGTTAAATAAAAGACACTCCGCTGTGCAAACCACAATTATGTGGGGAATGAAACTCAATAAAAGCTGCATCTGATGTATACATCAATAGATCATTCATTCAGCAGTTGCTAAAGAGGATCCACCAAGCTGCCCTTGTTTTCCTGCAGATATGGTATTTTTGTTTATTTTAGTGCATACTGTTTGGCATCTTAAAGTAGTTTTTTATTCCAGTCATTTCACAAGCAAACTGATTTCACTGGTAAATTCCCCCCATAATGGCAATTTCACCACTTATTTTCATTTTACTAGGAGACGGCCTGTGGATTATTAAGCAGGTGTCAGCTCTCACCCACCCACATACCTTCAATGCAATCAGAAAAAGATGTCATCAGTTCTAAGGTGCGCCCAGATGATATGTAGTTTCCACAGTTTCACATTTGGAGGCATATATCATGCTATTTATGCATATAGGTTAGCTCAAGTATTTGGGATTTGTTTTAAAGCCTACTAAATTAATTTGAGGATCTCTGAATGCAACGATACAGATTTTAATTGGCTATGTTCTAGTAATATATGATTTTATACTGAATTAAAATATACTGTTATTGGTATTAGTTTAGGTTTTAAATAATATTTTGTATTTCACAAAGCCCATTTAAAAAGGTATTTGACTAGAATGAATAATACTCTATGAGACTGGCAAATTCAGGAAAAGGCAGTCTGTGGCATCTTACACCTATAAGTTCAACTGATGTCGGGGGTTGGCGTGATCCATTCCGCTCGATGAGCTAACTATTCCTGTTATAATCACACCTTCCTCCAATGCAGTAACACTCACATATTACCAATTAGGCAGATACTTTTTCATCCAGTCCCTAATATAGTATTTTTCAAAATGCCAGTTACAATCCTTTAGTGAGCCATAAAAACAATTTAGTGAGTTTCATACGGTATCTAAAACAATAGAATTGAATAGATCAGAGTGCCTCACAGGCAAATTTCAGTGACATGTATGTGTGTGTATAATTACATGGTAATATAGATTATATTGCTTATTATGGGTTGTAAAAAAAAAAGTTTGAAATACACAAATGAACCTAATATTGGTTCCCTCTTGAAATGATTCCATGATTTGGAAATCAAGGATTTTTATCTCTTAAGAAGCCAGAGTCCTTAGATCGCTACAAAGCTAATGGCTATCACCATGTCCAAGGAATGGCTCTGGATCCTCTAGTTAATTAATAATATTGAGAATTATCTAATTATCCAAATTGGAGGTTTTCAAAGTGTGGACCCAGGACCAGCAGCATCAGCTCTCAGCATCACCTGGGAACTTGTTAGAAATGCAGCTTCATAGGTCCCACCCTAGACCTGCTGAATTAAAATTTTAGAGAAGGGGCCAGCGATCTGTGCTTTAACAGCCCTCCAGGTGATTCTGATGCGTGCTGACATTTGAGAACCACTGGTCTATCCCTATATGCAACCCAAGTATGAGTCTGGATTTTGCTTCTACTTGTTTATATATGACCTCATCCATCTGAAAACCCCACCCCAAGTATTTCTGCAGGGCCTCAGAGGGTGCCTCCCATATGATGATTAAGTCTATTCAGTTATGACTTCCAACAATGTTTTCCTCCCCTTTTGCCCGTAGCCTCCTGCCCTCGGTTCTGCTAAGACCTGCTGGGTACTGAGACTACCTTTGTTTGGGCTTGCTGTCTCCCACTGGTACCATGAAGGCCCGGAAATGCCAGTGCTATACATGGCTACTTCATAAAGCCAGAGAACACAGCATAGTCAGAGGCAGGGGCTTATTTTATGCAGAACCGTATAAACTCATACTAAATGGTTTTGTTTGAAAATATCACAGTCCATCCTATTCACTGAAGGCTCTTTAATATAATTTGATATATCAGTAATTCTTGTGTGATTTTATGTCCATTTTATGCACTTTTTAGATCTTGAACAGAGATAGCTTATTTAATATTTCCATAAATCTTATGAGGACTAAATAAGATAACTTAGATAAAATGATTTTTAGGTGTATGGCACAAAGTATGCATTCGGTTTCTCTCTGGCAAGATGAAGACCCTTGGCTGTTAGTTTAACAAGGTACAAGACTTTTCCTCAACTGTAAGTGTTCTGGTTTCCACAATATGAGCCCTAGTGTTTAGGGGACTACACGCATATACTTACATGAGGTTTTCAATCTGGAGGGGCTAAGTAGTGTTTTTCCAACAGAAATCCCAGTGTTTAAGTGGCATAGAATTTTCTAAGGACTCAAAGGGCAGAGAATAGTAGGCTCTTTAGGCTGAAAAATTCTGCCATCACATCACACACACACACATCCTACAAATATCCCCACCCCCTACACCACATACTATATACACACATGGACAGACATACATGCACACCTTACAAACACATGGCACACATAACCATGTCCATACCACACACTGCTCCACACTTTCCCCCATATCATACACCGAGCACAAACTCACACACATACATAACACCCACACACATAACACAAACACACACAAACACACACACACACAGAGTCAGTAGGGTCTTGCTGCTATGGATTCTCTTTGCCCTGCCTCTGAGCCTGCTTCTACTCTGTATCATTTGGGAGATGAGGCAGCCATGTCTTTTCCTTGACCTCTAGCCATGAGAGTAGGTGGGAAAAATGTAAAGTGTGGTTTAAAGAAATGTGAAGGCCGGGCGCGGTGGCTCACACCTGTAATCCCAGCACTTTGGGAGGCTGAGGCGGGTGGATCACGAGGTCGGGAGATGGAGACCATCCTGGCTAACACGGTGAAACCCTATCTGTACTAAAAGTACAAAAAAATTAGCCGGGCGTGGTGGCGGGCAGCTGCAGTCCCAGCTACTGGGGAGGCTGAGGCAGGAGAATGGCATAAACCCAGGAGGCTGAGCTTGCAGTGAGCCGAGATCGCACCACTGTACTCCAGCCTGGGCGACAGAGCAAGACTCCGCCTCAAAAAAAAAAAAAAAAAAAAAAGTGAAGAGATCATTTATCATGGAAAAACATTAAACACAGTTAGAAAACTACTCTAAAAAGACTTCAACTCCAAATCACGTTATTAAGAGAGATTTCAAGCCCTCAAAATATAGATATGTCTTGGCTGGGTGCGGTAGCTCACACCTGTAATCCCAGTACTTTGGGAGGCCAAGATGGGAGGATCGCTTGAGCCCAGGAGTTCAAGACCAGCTTGGGGAACATGGTGAGACTTCATCTCTACAAAAAAATTTAAAAATTAGCTGGATGTGGTGGTGCACACCTGTAGTAGCAGCTATTTGGAAGGCTGAGGTGGAAGGATCAATTGAGCCAAGGAGATCAAGGCTGCAGTGAGCCCTGATTGTGACACTGTACTCCAACGTGGGTGGCAGAGCAAGACCCTGCCTCAAAAAAAGAAAAAAAGTAGATATGTCTCTCTATATAAATTATCCCAGAACACAGGAGAAGAGAAAAATTCCCAGTTCACTTTATAAAATTAACATATGGTAGAAGCCAAAGCTAGACAAAGAAATGGCAGCAAAACATATCAATTATACCAATTATTATAGGTGTAAAACTTCAAAATTGAATGTTAGCAAATAGAATAATCCATCAATATATTTAATGAATAATACGTGATAACATAGTACTTTAATTGAAGAATATAAAGATAGTTCAATATAAATAAATACATAACCCATCATATTAGTAAGGTAAACAGAAAAATATATGATCATATGTATGAAAAATTATGTTCATATAAGTCGACATTCATTCTTTTTTTAATCTTTTTATTGTGGTAAAATGTACCACATACAATTTACCATCTTAATTTATAATTGTAAGTTCAATGTTATTAAATATATTCATAATGTTCAATAATCACCATCATTCATCTCTATAACTCTTTTCATCTTGTAAAACTGAAATTCTGTACCCATTAAATAACTATTATCTCCTCCCACTAGTGGGCAACCACCATTCCACTTTCTGTCTCTATGATTTTGACTACTCTAAGTATCTCATGTAAGTGGAATTATACAGCATGTGTCTTTTGTGACTGGCTTATTTCACTTAGCATAATGTTCTAAAGGTTCATCCATGTTGTAGTTGTAGTACATGTTAGCATTTCCTTTTGAAGGCTGAATAATATTCCATTGTATGTATAGCTCATATTTTGCTTACCCATTAATCCATCAATGGATACTTTGGTTGCTTTCATGTTTTCCCTATTGTGAGTAATGCTGCTATGAACATAAATATGCAAGTATCTTTGAGATTCTGCTTTCAGTTTTTTTTATTTATCCAGAAGTGGAACTGCTGGATCATATAGTAATTTTAGTTTTAATTTCGAACTGTCATACTGTTTTCCACAGTGGCTCTACCATTTTACATTCTCACCAACAAGGGTTCCAATTTCTCCACATTCTTGTCACCATCTGTTACTTTCTCTTTTTTTCTTCTTCTTTTTTCTTTTTTTCATAGAAACCATACCACTAGATGTGAGGTCATATCTCATTGCAGTTTTCATGTGTATTTTCCTAATGAACGGTCACGTTGAACATCTTTTCATGTGCTTACTGGGCATTTATATATTTTCTTTAGAGAAATGTCTGTTCAAGTTCTTTGACCATTTTTGATATGGGTTGTTTTTCTTGTAATTGTTGAGTTATTTAATATAGGAGTTCTCTGTGTAGTCTGGATATTAACCCTCTGTCAGACATATTATTTGCAAATATTTTCTCCCATTATGTGGATCGCTTTTTTACTCCATTGAAATTGAATTTTAATGTAAAAATTTTACAAATTTTGTGAAGTCCCATTTGTCTGTTCTACTGTTGTTGCCTATGTCTTTGGTGTCATGTCCAAGAAAATGTTACTGAATCCAATTTCATTAATATTTTTCTCCATTATTTTCTTGTTATTTTTTTTTTTTTATTTTGGAGACAGGGTCTCGCTCTGTCACTTAGGCTGGAGTGCAGTGGCATAATCTTGACTCACTACAACCTCTATCTTAGGGCACAAGCAATCCTCCCACCTCAGCCTCCTGAGTAGCTGGGACTACAGGTGCATGCCACCACGCCTGGCTAATTTTTTTGTAGAGATTGGGTTTTGCCATGTTGTTCAGGGTGGTCTTAAACTCTTGAGCTCAAGTGATCTGCCTGCTTTGGCCTCTCAATATACTGGGATTAGAGGTGCAAGCCACCATGCCCAGCCTCTCTCATGTTTTCTTCTAAGGGTTTTACAGTTTTCAGTTTTATACTTGGGTCTTTGAGAACTTTTTGTTAACTTTTGTATATGGTATAAAGTTATGTGTCCAACTTCTTTCTCTTGCCTGGTACCATTTGTTGAAACGTTTCCCCATTTCAACAAATGGTGAAACAAATGGTTTTCCCATTGAATGGTTTTGGCACCCTTGCCAAAGATCATTTGACCATGTATGTGAGGGTTTATTTCTGGGCTCTGTGTTCTATTCCATTTGTCTAGATGCCTGGGTTTATTTCAGTACTGTGCTATTTTGATGGCTGTAGCTTGGTAGTTTTGGAATCAGAAAGTGTGAGACCTCCAACTTCGTTCTCTTTCAATATTTTGGCTATTTGGGGTCCCTTACGGCTTTCCATATGAATGTTGAGATGGATTTTTTGTTGCTGAAAAAACATCCTTTGGATTTTGAGAGAGATTTCACTGAACCTATAGGCTGTTTGGGGTGGTATTGAGTTTTTAACAATATTAATTATTCCAATCCATGTACATGGAATGTCTATCCATTTATTTGTACCTTCTTTATTTCAGCAACATTTTGTAGTTCTCAGTGTATGGGTTTTTCTTCTCCTTGGTTAAGTTCATTTCTAACTATTTTATTGTTTTCGATGCTATTGTAAATGGATTTGTTCTCTCGATTTTCTTTTTGGATGATTCATTGTGAGTATATAGAAATGCAACTAAACATTTTGTGTTGATTTTTTTTCTTGAAACTTTGCTTAATTAGTTTATTGTTAATTCTAACAGGGTATGTGTATGTGTGTATAATCTTAGGGTTTTTTATATATAAAATAATGCCATCTGCAAATGGAGATACTTTCACTCTTTCCACTTTGTATGCCTTTTATTTCTTTTTTTTGGTCTAATTGTTCTAGCTAAGACCTAGTACTGCATTGATCAGAAGTGGTAAAAACAACATCCTTGTATTGCAGAAAGAAATTTCACTTTGTCATGGTGTGTAAGCCTTTTAATGTACTGTTGAATTCAGTTTGCTGGTAAGTTGTTATTTTTGCATCAGTATTCCATCGGGGACATTGGTCCTTAGTTTTCTTTTCTTGCATTGTCTTTGTCTGGCTTTGGTATCAGTATAATGCTTACCTCATAGAATGCGTTTGGAAGTGTTCCCTCCTCTTCAGTTTTTTAGAAAAGTTTGAGGAGGATTGGCATCAATTCTTCTTTGAATGTTTAGTAAAATTCATCAGTAAAGCCATTGAACCCTGGGCTTTTCTTTGTTGAGAAGTTTTTGTTATTCAGATTTTCCATTTCTTCATGATTTAGTCTTGGTAGGATGTGTACTTCTAGGAATTTATCCACTTCTTCTAGTTGTTGGTGTACAGTTGTTCATAATTTTCTCTTAGAATTCTTTTATTTTTCATAAAATTTCCCATCATGTGCCCCATTTTGTTTCTGATTTTAGTTAAGTCTTTCCTCTTTTTTTCTTAGTCAATCTAGCTAAAGACTTATCAATTTTATTGATCTTTTTGAAGAAGCAAATCTTGGTTTTTAAAATTTTCTCTACTATTTTTCTCTATTTTGTTTATCTCTGTTCTAATATTTATTATTTCTTTCCTTCTGCTAACTTTGGTTTCAGATTGTTTTCGTTTTCCAGTTTTTTAAAGTGTAAGGTTAGGTTATTGATTTGATATCTTTCTTCTTTTTTAATGCAAAGGTTTGCAGCTGTAAATTTCCCTCTTGGCACTGCTTTTGCTGCATTTTGTAAGTTTTGATATTTTTTTCGTTTTTATTTGTCTGGGGATACTTTCTAATTTTTCCTGTGATTTATTATTTTTTTCAGCTAGTGTTTGTTTAAATCTTCCCATGCATTAGTGATTCCTTTGCTTATCATTACTTCTGTATTCACACTTTTTTTTCTGGGATTATTTCTTTTTTTCTGAGGTTTATCCTTTAGGAGTTCCTTTGGTGAATTAGAAAACTAATTTAATTTCTTAGTGCTCTCTATTTTAATTGCTCTGAAATATGTTTATTTTATCTCTTTTCTTTTCTTTTTTTTTTTTTTTTTTTTTTTTGTTGTTGTTGTTGTTGAGACGGAGTCTCGCTCTGTCGCCCAGGCTGGAGTGCAGTGGCGCGATCTCATGTCACTGCAAGCTCAGCCTCCCGGGTTCACGGCATTCTCCTGCCTCAGCCTCCCCAATAGCTGGGACTACAGGCGCCCGCCACCACACCCGGCTAATTTTTTTTGTATTTTTAGCAGATACGAGGTTTCACCGTGTTAGCCAGGGTGGTCTCAATTTCCTGACCTCGTGATCTGCCCGCCTCGGCCTCCCAAAATGCTGGGATTACAGGCATTAGCCACCGCGCCCGGCCTCTCAAACAAACCTGCACATTGTGCATATGTACCTTAGAACTTAAAGTATAATAAATAAATAAGAGAAAATATTTATCTTCCAAAAAAAAGTGGTTTCACTAGGTATAGAATTCCAGGTATCAGTATTTTTAACATATCGTGTGACCGTCTTTGGCTTTCTGAGGTTGCTATGGTAAGCGGAATAATGGACTTCCCAAAAGGTCCTCATTCTCATCCCTGGAATCTGTGAATATGTTACTTTACATGGTAAAAGGGACTTTACAGATGTGATTAAGTTAAGGATCTTGAGATGTGGAGATTCTTCTGGATTATTTGCATACACGAAATAAACACAAGAGTCATGATAAGAGATAGGTACTAGGATTAAAGTCGGTAGTAGGAAATATGATAATAGAGATTGGTGTAATGGAGCTGTGGAGTGCTGGCAGCCTTTAGAAGCTGAGAGGCGCAAGGAACAGGTTTTCCCCTGGAATCTCTGAAAGGAACCAGCTCGCTGACATCTTGATTTTGGCCCCATAAGATTCATTTTGAACTTCTGACCTCCAAGACCATAAGAGAATAACTGTATGTTTTTTAAGTCACTAAATTTGTGATAATTTGTCACAGCAGCAATAAAAATCTAAGGCAGCCTGTTGTTGGTCTAATTATAGTTCTACTTTAATCGTTGTTTTTTTGTGTTTTTTTTTTTTTAATCTCTGGCTGCTCTTAAAGTTTTCAGTTTTGTCTTTGGTATTCTGTAATTTTATTTTGACGTCTAAGCTTGGATATCTTTTTATTTATTGTGCTTGAGATTCGTTGGGTTTTCTAACTGGTGTCTTTGATCATTGCTAGGAAATTTTCACCATTGCCTCTTCTAACATCAACTGTCTCCTCCATTCTATTATATCCTCTTGGAAACCCACATTATGTTTGCAGGTATTTTTACCGTATCCTGCATGTCCCTGTTTCTATGGGCTACATACTCTGTACTTTCTCAAATCTCCTTTCCATAGTCCCTGTTTACCTGCGTCTAATCTTCTGTTTATTCTGTCCATTGACGTTTTAATGGAAATGGTCATATTTTACATTTCTAAAAGCTCTATTTGGTCCTTTTTCAAATATGTCTGGTCAGTTTTGATAGCCTTATATTATTTTACCACACATTCAACATGGTATTTTATTTCTATAAACATAAAACACACTGATTTTATATTTAGTGTTCAATCATTCCATTATCTACAGTTTTTATAGATAGAATAATGTGCTTTGTTGCTGTTTCTCATGACTTGCTCATGGTGGTTTGTTCCCTCCTGTGCTCAGTGAGTTTTTGAGCTCTTGTGCCTTGTAAATTTTATGATGGATTTATGGAAATTCTTGTAGGTGTTTGTATAAACAGTGGTCCTCCAGAAATAATTTACATTTGCTTCTGCTAAGCACCTTGGAGAATTATCAACCAGGAAAAACTTTAAATTTCAGTTTAGGATTTTGTGTCACACAATCAGTATTAGTTTAAGCCCCACACCTCTGTGTTTTATGAGCTTGTGCATAAGGATTTTAAGGGGAGACTTTAATCTTTTTTACTCTTCTCTCTTCTCTATCTAGGGTGAAGCCAAAGACATGTCAAAGCCATCTTCTTTCTCATGGTAGTTTCTTTTCTAGATCTGTATTAGTCCATTCTCATGCTGCTATAAAGAACTACCTGAGACTGGTTAATTTATAAAGGAAAGAGGTTTAATTGACTCACAGTTTTGCAGGGCTCAGGAGGCCTCAGGAAACTTACAATCCTTGTGGGAGGGGAAGCAAACACATCCTTCTTCACATGGTGGCAGGAGAGAGAAGTATAAGAGCAAAGAGGGAAAAGCCCCTTACAAAACCATCAGATCTTGTGAGAACTCACTCACTGTCACGAGAACAGCAGCATAAGGTAACCATCTCCATGATTCGGTTACCTCCCACTGGGTCCCTCCCATGATATGTGGAGATTATGGGAACTACAATTCAAGATGAGATTTGTAGGGGGACATAGCCAAACCATATCAAGGTCACCCACTGAGCATGTCACATGTTTGATCACATGTGAATGGGGGAGAAGGTTTCTAATTAGACTTCCCAATCTGCCTAGGCCCAAGGCTTTGCCTCTGTCGTGAGTCCATTAAAACCCAGGACCTGAGTTACCAGGGACTGGCAGATATCTCAAAGGCAAAACAGACTATAGTATTTGCTTATCGGCTACTGAGATTTTACTTCTTGTATTTCTGAGTATTCCTTTATTTTCCTGGTAATTCATGTATACATTAAGAAATATGTCATCTGTATTTTATGCAGCATCTTTAGGTGTGAGGCCTCTAAAAAATCTAGTATGCTATATTGTTGAAAAGATCCTTGTATTAGTTATCTATCCCTGTGTAACATATTATCCAATACTTAGTGTATTCAAACAGAAAACAACTATTATAAGTTCTGTGTGTCAGGAATGGATGTGCAGCTAATCTCTCTGCAAATCTGCAGTCAGTGTGTTGGCCAGGGCTTTCGTCACTTCTAGGCTCTGCTGAGGAAGGATCTGCTTCTAAGCTCACTCACAAGACTCTTGGAAGCTCATGAAATGTTTATTTCATGACTCACTCACATGGCTGTTGGCAAAACTCATGTCCTTGCTGGCTATTGGTTAGAGGCATTAGTTCCTTACCATGTGGATCTTTCCAAAGGGCAGGTCAAAACACAGCAGCTTGTTTCTCCTAGAGTCAGGACTCTGAGAGAGGGAAAGAGGGAGAAAGTAAGAAAAGACAAGGTGAGCAACATGGAAGTCACAGTTTTATGTAACCTAATTTCAGAAGTGACATCCCGTGACTTACCATCTTCTATTCACCAGAATCAACTCACTATTTCTAGCCCATATTTAATGGGATGAGGGAGAAATGTATTTACCTAATGTGAATACCAGGAGGAAAGAACCATTGGGAGCCGTTTTATTTTATGCTATTACTTTTGTCCTTTTTTTTTTTTTTTAACTTTCGTTTTACGTTGAGGAGACACCTGTGTAAGTTTGTTACCTGGGTATGTTGCATGATGCGAAGGTTTGGGTTATGGATGGTCCTGTCCCCCAGACACTGAGCATAATACTGAACAGTTTTTCAGCCCTTGACACCTCCCTCCTTCCCACCTCCAGTAGTCCCAGCTGTCCATTGTTGCCATCTTTATGTCCCTGAGTACCCAGCGTTTAGCTCTCGCCTATGAGTGAAAACATGCAGTATTTCGTTTTCTGTTCCTGTGTTAATTTGCTTAGGATAGTGGCCGCCGGCTGAATCCGTGTTGCCTCAAAGGACATGATTTTTTTTTTGTTTTTTGGTGGCTCTGTAATATTGTATGGTATATATGTGCCACATTTTCGTTTTCCAATCTACCTCGGGGTGACCGTTTTAAAGGTTGCCTACCTCACTTCTATAAATCAATCTTTTTTCAATGAACACCAAAGTGGAAAAAAATTAGGAAAATAGGGATTTTTTTCAAATAAGAAATCTAAATGTCTGCTGAATATATAAAAAATGTACAACTCTCTAGTAACCAAAGGAGTGTCATTTAAAATAGTAATTAGGTAACAATCTTCATCTGACAAATTTTTTAATGCCAGACGTTGAGAATATATAAAAACTAGCAAACTTGAACAAAGCTGGTAGGAGTGTAATTTAGTATCTATGTTGTGGTTTAATTTGGCAGTATGTCTTAATACCCTTAAAAGCCCAGGTGTCCTTAAAAATCTATATATTAAATCCATATTAAAAATTCATTGTTCCCAAATTTCACATTGAATCACTTATCCTAAGGAAAATTATAACATAATAAAAATATTTATGTAAACTATGGCCATATTTATGATAAAATCATTGGAAATAAATACCCCTTCTAAAAGAAGGCGTTGGTAAATAAATTGCCCCACACACTCATAAAAGAAAACTATGCTTGTGTTAAAAATAATATTACAAATCTGCATACATTAACATGAAAAGAAATACCCAACATATTGTTTTGTAAGCAAAATAGTGTATATTGTATGGTTCATTTTTATTACACATAATGCTTAAATACATGTATATGTAGGGAAAAATAGAGTATAGGTAATGCTCAAAAACTTCTACATGTGGAGAAAAAATAGCAGACTATAGTAGACTATAGTTAATGAGGTCATCTATGGACAATGGAATTACAAGTGATTTTTATTTTCATCTTTCTTATCTGTATTGTCTAAATTCTCTATAATAAAGCTTTACGATCATAATTTTAAACAAAAAATGTTTATTTCTAAAATAAAAACAAAAACTATAATCCCAGTAATCTGTAAGAATATATAACTTTCTAATTATCTAGTAGTTCTTTCTAATGTTTTCACTAGAATTTCAGAAATATACATTTGTCACTGCATTGAAGGTCAATGTGTAACGCCAATATTTATTTTGTAGCCAGGAGTCCTGCCATTAAGAAACGGTCTCCTGACCCACAGATAATTATGCATTTAATGTAATTTTCATATTGTTGCCCCATTATCAAACATAAAAATAATCAAACTTATCATATGATAGTATAAAACATACAAAGCAATTTTCACATCACCAGTTTATTCAGTCATCAAAATCCTACTGTTGAGATAGGTATCACAATCATTGTCCATTTTACAAATGAGGAAATGAGGGTTCAAAAAGGTGAAGTAACTTATTGAAGACATGATTGTTAGCAAATGGAAGAGCTGAATCTAAGAATTGTGCATCACTGACTCCAGGTGCTGGATGCCTTTTAGCTTCCAAGACTTTGGTGCATCTACGTCATGCTGAGGCACTCTGCTAAGTGCAGGAAACAGAGGGATTAATAGGGACATTACTCTATCTTTGAGAGGTTTACATTAAACCCTGCAGGTACTCTTCTCACCTACAGATTGTTCTGCAAAAAAATGCCTGGAACAGACCATTCTTTATAATATACACACCCAGGTGTTTGAACCCATCGCTTGCTGACTAAGCCTATGTGTCCCTTTCATGTAATGATTTCCATAGCTGCATTTTACATCTTGGCAGTCTAGGCTGGCTGGATTATCTAAGTTCAAGGACTTGCCTTACTTTTGAACACTGTGCAAAGTTAAAACTCTTCGCGTGTACCAGTAATTGGAGTGGAGGATCTATGATGCCCAACAGGTTACTGCAGCTTCAGAGGAAAATGCAAAATGGTCCTCATAGGAAAATATATAATGTGCCCTCACAGCACTGTTCCTTGACTGCAGTAAGGAGTCAGGAAATGGTAGTTGGAACCCTCTGCAGACCAGTCTTAGAAATTTGAATTAGAACTATTGAATTTAGTTATTGCTTTAATTTCTACTTGATTTCCACTTTTAATATCCCTGCCACTTTATGGGAATTAGTATGAAGTTCTATTTTCTCAGCTGTGTTGTGTAACATTCCTTTTCTACTTGTGTTTTTAAAATAAGCTAGTTCTGTTTTAAGAAAAGAAGGTGCCGTGTGTCATTAAAAAGCACACTTCTAAGAGAAAAAGAAGAATTCTGTGGCAGAATTGGAATCAAATAGCCCATTTTAAATAGTTAGGTTTGAAGTGTGATCATATTCACTTTATCTAATGAATTTAGTTAATTATCCTCAGCACATTTCATCTATATTCTTAACCCCCATTTTGAGATAATAGTAGTAGTAGTAGTAATAATAATAATAATAATAATAATAATAATAATAATAAATGTACTTATAGCCCTATGTTTGTTTTAACTGGCACCCAAAGGGAGGGATCAGTCCATTGTCAGGGCAACTGTAGTGTAGGGAAAATAGAAGTGGGATATGATTCAACTCAACAAAAATCCTTGCTCCCCAACCTACTAATTGTTTGACTTAGGTAAGTCACTTACGATCCCTGAACCTGTTTCCTATTTAGCAGATATGCATAACAATGGTTATGAAGTTGCTGTAAGGATCAAACAGGATAATTCATATAATGATATTAACATATATTTATTGAAAACTTACTGCATCTACTGTTTTAAGTCTTTTAGGTAAATTATTTGTCACAACACCACTCTTTCAATGAATACTATTATTTCCATTGTAATCCTCAATATACAGGTGAGGAAACCAAGGCTCAGAGAAGATGTAAGAATTTGCTCAGCTTTACGTTACACAGCTGATAACAAAGCCAGGATTCAAACCCAGGCAGTCTGGCTCAAGTGCTTATACCCTTAGACAGTGAGCTATATGGCCTCTCAAGTAAAATCCCTTATTGGGTTCTAGCTCGTAATGGTGCACAGTGAAAAGTAGTTCTTATTATAGTTAATGCCTGTAAAATGCAGTCATTAAAAACCACCTTGCAGGGCTATAGTAAAGATAAATGAGACCTGTATATCAAATTACATGACACAGACCAGCCTGTAATATATGCACCACATCTTGTGGATTCCACTGTTTATAGCACAGAGTAAAATAAAGGAGCTAAGCTGGGTGAAGTTTAGAAAACACCCAGGGCTGCATCCTGGGGTATAACAGAGCACTTGAGGCCACTGTCGGTTTCAGAGGAGGAGAAGTGAAGGCTTCTGTTGAATCCCTTCTGCTATCCTATTCTAGGGCTTCAGCAGATGGGAGCTCCAACTTCTAGCTATTCATCAAAAATATCTTCTCTGACCTGAAATTGCCACTGCAGGTAGGATTCCATGGTAGAAAATGTCTTGTGCTACCAGTAAAGGGAAAGGAAAATGATTGGATACGTTTTAGTGCCAAGAGGAAAGAGTCTGTGGAGAGATGGTTATAGGAACAGAAAAGAAAGGGACTAGTTGAGTATCGCAGTTAAAACAAAGGGCTTTGGATTTCAACACACTTAGATTCTGTCTCCAACTTAGCCACTTACAGTGTTTCATTGCATTTACACTCTCCAAGATGCTATTTATTTATCTCTAAATGGGTATAATAATACTTTCTGCCTCATAAAACTATTAGGAAGATTAAAGGGAATATTGCATCTAAATTATTTAGTGCTGAGACCAGCACACAATGAGAACTCAAAAAATATTAGCTTGTGCTATGATCCTGGAAGGTGTGGAGGTTGGAGCTGCCTGGAATCTGAATTTGCCATCAATATAGGTGAACCAGAGCATGGAAAGGGATACTAAACTCCGAAAACCCTGCCAAAGAGGTGCAAGAGAGCCCCTGTGGGTCCCAGCAACCAGAACTGCCTATCAAAGGGAAAACCCGCATCCTACCAGTTCCAACACATGATGATTTTACAACACACTGTTTATTAGAAAACTCCTGGCATTCATGAGACCAAGATAGAAATTGACAGGCTAAGAGTTAGTCTGAGCTTAAATTCAAGGAGTTTGTCAACTCAAGCCATGAAAAACCCTCCTGTATAAAGGTAAATTCCATTAACGCCAGTGGCTGTGCATATGTGAGGGCGGGATGGGTGCCTCTTCATGTCATTTTTACATTTTCTGGCACTGCAATTTTTCTCCTTTTAAAGCATTCTTCTTAAAGACCTATGTGAGCGTTGAAAAACTAGACAGGAAGCTTGGGGAATATGAATACGTGTAAATAACAAGTCAGACTTTTTTAAGGATGTCACTTATTCTAAAGTGTGTAAGAATTACTTCAAAGCCATTAGTGTCTAGAATTCTCTAAAGGTAGAGACACGTCTTAAAAACACACTTTTTCAATCAGACTTTAATAGTGTTAAAGGCAAATCTTTTTTCAATGAGAAAGAAACAAAAAATATTGCTTTTGACCTGACAAACCACAACATTCGCCTGTAAGCTTTTCATAAGGATCTCAGACACAACGTCTTCAGGTGTTCAGCCATAAAGAGTTACTCTGATTAGAAATGTAAAGGAAAAAAAAAATTATTGCTGAATTGAGGTTCTATATTTGAGGGTAAGTCAAACCTTGAACAGCATTTATTGTTTGGATTTCGATTATTACAGATTTTGACCTGTTACTTTTGTGATCTGTGAAATCAGAGGCAAAGAATGATTCATTCTTCTTTCTTTTTTTCACTCATCCTCAAATCATGCGTTGGGCATCTTTGCATTGTAGTGTTCTCTAGATGGCTCCGTGCATGACACAAAACAAGAATAAATATTAAAGTGCCAGTGTTAAAGATTTTAAGTGAATCTTGAAAATCTGCTAGCCTTTAAGAGCAAACTTCTCTTCACCAAAGGATGACTTAAAATAAGAAAGGTAATAATGGTACGTCCCAGCTGTGTTTCATTCTGGCTGTTTTCACAAACTTCCCTCTTCTCTTGGTGCTTCCTTTACCAAGTATTTCAGAGAAAGCCGGTATCTGTTCTGAACTAACACCTCACCCTGCAAAGACTTAAAGGTAACTGTTTTCATTCTTTGCCCTTTGCATGCCCTCTGAAAAATTACAGCCTGATGTCAATTGCTTTGCATAGTGGATGGGAAAAATAGGTTCGAAAGGAGGAGAATCTTTGCTGGATTTAGATTTTTGCTGATTCTGGGAACTGGTCTAATTTCAAATTGCAAACAGTTGCCTGAAATGAAGTAAGTGTCCTCTTCTCTCTGTCTCTTTCTCTCTAATGTGAGGGCAATGTGAAGAAATAACTTTATCAGAAAAGTCTTCCCTGACATTTTTTTGTTTGAAACACAGGAGAGATTTTGTTTCATGCCACCAAGAATGGGGAAGGAGAAAGCCAGACAGAAGACAGGAAATAAGAGAGAAAAGGAGAGAAAGAAAAACACTGTAGAAACACGATGTGTTGTTCCCAACCTCTGCCCCAATGACATATTTGCTCATTCATTTGAACATGTACCTGGAATTAATTTTAGTTCCAGCAGACAAAGGAGAATAATACCTGGATGATTTCAGGCATTTATTTCACCTTGACCGTAGTTTGAATGAGTAGAAAATAACTTTCAGACCAGGCAACTTGGTTGGAAATGACAATTTTGTGATGCCTCTCTCAACCCTTTCCACCACTTTGTGAGAAACACTACTGTTGTCAGCAAGTGACCAGTTTGTGTGGTGAGATGATAATTAAATAATATTTCTGTTTCTCTGTTGGTATATTGAAGTATTTGAGAATGTGTGACATGTGATATGTTCATGGAAATTCAGACAAATTACAATTACTTCAATACAAGTTTGATAAAGCCATCTGAAAAACAAATCTGAAGATTAAATGAATTCATCTATGGGAAATACTAGAACAGAATGTGGAACAGAGTAAGTGTTCCATAGGATTAGGTGTCATTATTGTTATCGAGGCTTTCTCTTCTTGTCAGAAACACTATTTTGCTTTGAAACCGCATGTGTAAAGGTATTAGAAAAAACTGGAAAAACAAGTTGACTTTAAAAGGAATCTGAATGATCAAATTGTCCCAGGAGACAAAAGTAAGTTTTGTCTTCCACACACTGGAGATCTATGTCTGCCTGTGTTCTAAAGTCGTTTCTGATCCATATTCAGTGAAATGGATATTAACCTTGAGATGTGGTGAAAAAGATACAGGCACTGGTGTCCGACTCACATTCAAACCCTGCCGTATTCTTTGGGATTGGGGCAGATTCTTTATGTGTAATCCTCAGTAGCATCCTCTTGTTTTATATAATTTCAATATTTCTTTTAGATTCAGAGGGTACATGTGCAGGTTTGTAACCTGGGTATATTGTGTGATGCTGCGGTTTGAGGTACAAATAATCCCACGGGAATAGGTAGTGAGCATAATGCCCAATAGGTAGTGTTTCAGCCCTTGCCCTCCCCTCTAGTAGTTCCCAGTATCTATTGTTTCCATCTTTATGCTCATGCTTTATGCCAATGCTTAGCTCCCACCCGTAAGTGAGAACATGTGGTATTTGGTTTTCTGTTTCTGCATTAATTCACTCAGGATAATGGCCTCCAGCTGCATCCGTGTTGCTGCAAAGGACATGATTTTGTTCATTTTTATGGCTGTGTAGCAGTCCATGTTGTATATGGACTGTATATGTATATTATAAAGAAAATGTGTTTTCTTTATTCAGTTCACTGTTGATGGGTATTTAGGTTGATTCCATGTATTTGCTATTGTGAATAGCGCCGCAGTGAACATATGAATGCGTGTGTTTTTTGTTTTTTGTTTTTTGGTAGAATGATTTATTTTCCTCTGGATACATACCCAGGATTGGGATTGCTGGGTAGAATGGTAGTTCCATTTTAAGTTCTTTGAGAAATCTCCGAACTGCTTTGCACAGTGGCTAAACTAATTTATATTCCTACCAACAGTATATAAGTGTCTGTTCTCTTTTCTCCACAGCCTAACTAGCATCTGATGGTTTTTGACTTTTTAATAATAGCGATTCCAACTGGTGTGAAATGGTATCTCACTGATTTTGATTTGCATTTCTTTGATGATTAATGATGCATTTCTCTGATAATTAATGATGTTAAGCATTTTATAATGTTAGTTGGCTGCTTTTATGTCTGTCTTTTGAGAAGTATTTGTTCATCTCTTTTGCACACTTTTTAATGGGGTAATTTGTTTTTTGGCTATGAATTGTTGATAAGCTCCTTATAGATTCTGGATGTTAGACCTTTGTTGAATACATAGCATGCAAATATTTTCTCCCATTCTGTAGGTTGTCTGTTTATTCTGCTGATGGTTTCTTCTTTTGCTGTGCAGAAGCTCTTTAGTTTAATTAGGTCCCACTTGTCAATTTTTGTTTTTGTTGTAATTGCTTTTGAGGACTTAGTCATAAAGTTCTTCCGAAGAATTCTGATGTCCAGAATGGTATTTCATAGATTTTTTTCTCGGATTCTTATAGTTTGAGGTCTTACATTTAAATCTTTAATCTATCTTGAGGTAATTTTTCTAGATGGTGAAAGGTAGGGGTCCAGTTTTATTCTTCTGCATATGGTTAGGCAGCTATTTCAGCACCATTTATTGAATAGGGAGTCCTTTCTCCATGGCTTATTTTTGTTGCTTTGTCAAGATCAGATGACTGTAGGCGTGTGGCTTTATTTCTGGGTTCCCTGTTCTGTTTCATTGTTCTGTGTGTCTGTTTTTGTACCAGTACCATGTGTTTTGGTTACTGTGACCTTATAACTTAATTTGAAGCTGGTTAATGTGATACCTTTAGCTTTGCTCTTTTTGCTTAGGATTGCTTTGGCTATTTTGGCTCTTTTTTGGTTCCACATGAATTTTAGAATAGTTTTTTTTTCTAATTCTGTGAAAAACGATGTTGGTAGTTTAATAGGAATAACGTTGAATCTGTAGATTGTTTTGGACAGTGTGGCCAATCCGTAAGTATGGAATGATTTTTCCATTTGTTTGCACCATCTATGATTTATTTCGGCAGTATTTTGTAGTTTTCCTTGTAGAGTTCTTTTACCTCTTTGGTTAGATGTATTTCGATGTATTTTATTTTTTTGTAGCTATTGTAAATGGGATTGCATTCTTGATTTGGCTTTCAGCTTTAAATTTAATGGTGTATAGAAATGCTACTAATTTTTTTTTACATTGAGTTTGTATCCAGAAACTTTACTGAAGTCATTTATCAGTTCTAGGAGCCTTATGGCAGGCAGAGTCTTTAGAATTTTCTAGGTATAGAATCACATCATCAGTGAAGAAACATAATTTGACTCATCTTTTTTGTATTTTATTTGGATGCCTTTTATTTCTTTCTCTTGACTGATTGCTTTGGCTAGGACTTCTACTACTATGTTGAATAGGAGTGGTGAGAGTAGGCATGCTGTGTTCCTGTTTTCAAAAGGAATGCTTCCAGCTTTTGCCCATTCAGTATGATGTTGGCTCTGGGTTTGTCATAGGTGATTCTTATTATTCTGAGATATGTTCCTTCAATGCCTGGTTTCTTGAAGGTTTTTATCATTAAGGGGTGTTTGATTTTATTTAAAGCCTTTTCTGCATCTGTTGAGATAATCATGTGGTTTTTGTTTATGTGGTGAATCACTTTTATTGATTTGTGTATGTTGAACCAACCTTGCATCCCAGGAATGAAACCTACTTGATCCTGGTGAATTAACTTTTTGATGTACTGCTACTTTGCTAATATTTTGTTGAGGAATTTTTTGTCTATGTTCGTCAGAGATACTGGCCTGTTGTTTTCTTTTTTTGTTGTGGCTTTGCCAGGTTCTGGTATAAGGGTGATGCTGACTTTGTAGAATGAGTGAGGGAGAGTCCCTCTTCCTTGCTTTTTGGAATAGTTTCAGTAAAATTGATATCGGCTCTTCCTTGTATGTCTGGTAGAATTTGGCTGTGAGTCCTTCTGGTCTGGGGCTTTTTTTGGTTGGTAAGTTTTTTATCACTGATTCAATTTCAAAATGTGATATTGGTCTGTTCCATGTTTCAATTTCTTCCTCATTCAATCTTGGGAGATTGTGTGTTTCCAGGAATTTATCCATTTTCTCTAGATTTTCTAGGTGTGAGCATAGAGGTGTTCATAATAGTCTCTGAGGATCTTTAGTATTTCTGTGTAAGCCTCAGTGGCATCATCATCATCCCATTATTCCCAATAATGGGAATAATTGTCCTGTGGTTGGAGGAAAGATAACATGAAAACTAGTTACAGTTTAAAATGGATTCATTTAAATCAGTTGTGACATAAGCATATTGTTTGTCTTTTGAAGGACAAGAAAAAAATTACTAAATCATCTAGAAATATAGCCATTAAGGCCTTGACTTCTAGTCTTGGCTCTCTCTAGAATTCTTAAGGAATACATTGATCTGTTTGTTTACATTTCTATAGGAAATAAGGTGCTTTCTTTCAGTAGCTTTCTTCCCTTTCCTCCTACGTGGAAAGCCTTAGGAACTTAAAGGCACACCACGTAAGATTCCTGCCCTGTGGAATGCTAGGGAATCAGGTCACATCCTGACACAAGAGGAACTCTATTCAAGACATGTGCAAAGAGACATTGGAACATGAAGGAGGGAGCCACTGAAGCTGCCTGCAACAGTGAGAAAGCTTCAGGGAGGAGAGTTTGTAGAAATCTTCCTTTCATTCAGGAATGAAGGTGTCTTCAGGGGAAGAACATTTTTGGCTAACAAGGGATAATGAGTAGCATTATGCTGAGGACTGTATGTACCTGTTCACTAGCAGTATTGGTAAACAAAAATATTTGCTTAGATAAAAGACTGTATATCATAATTAGTATATAAAGCTGAGGACTGTATGTACATATTTACTAGCAGTATTGGTAAACAAAAATATTTGCTTAGATAAAACGCTATATCATAATTAAATAGTATTAGTATTATTCAAAAGCAAAATTAAAATGTTTAGAAATTTCATTTCCAATATGAATGGCAATATTTATTGTTTACTAAACACACTGTCCTGCATACTGTGTATGTTTTAACTCAGGATGCTATTATACCCATTTGACAGGAGAAAACTGAAGCAAAGAGATGTTAAGATGCTTGCCAAAGATTACACGTCTAGGAAGTGGAAAAGCAAAGATTTGATCCAAGACAGTCTGGCTCTGGAATCTAGGCTCGTATCCATTACACTCTACTTCCTCTACAGCAACAATCTGGAGGTTGAAATATCAAGGCGTTATTTCCAACGCTTTAAAATATTATTTACACTACAAACTAGTCTAGGTGATTTTCTAAAAACAGGCCTTCTCAGCTTTGCAGTCCTTGCCAAAGCATGTAAAATGTGAGTTTGGGAGATTTACCAAGAATTTGAAAATCACTTTCAAATTCCTTTGTAGAATTCCATGGGAATGGGAGAAGAGACTCCAGGTTCATTATTAAAAGCATTTGGCATTTCACCCACCTATAGTAAGGAGGACACTGAGCTAATTTCTTTCATGCTGACTTAAGTTAGCCATTTAGTCAATCAATCAATAGTTCCCTGTTGCAAGAGGCAATATGGTTGGATTTATGTTAAAAATTAACAGTAATGAAAATCAGAGGGAAGTTGGGTCCAAATGTTTTCCTCCTTTAAGAGTGACATCATTTTCCCCAGTGATAGCTTTTAAGCTCTCTTCCCCATTTATAGCTAAAGAATTTGGTTTGGTTGCTGTGACATTCAGGTTGTCATATTAAAAATATTATTATTATTTCATGACTTTCTAACTCTCGCTTTATGCTTGCTCAAACCCAGGGTGATGAACTCACTGCTCTGAGCAGCCTTGTTGTGGCCAGCTGCCATCCCTTTGAGGGTGTCTGGGCTCCTCCACCCGGAAACACCAGCATCTGGGAATTATATAGGGATCTCTTCTCTTCCATTTTTTTTTCCTCGTTTTCCTATTTACCTTTCTTTCTCTCCTTCTCTCCTTCTCTCCTTCCTTTCACACACTCCCTGCCAAATGCTCAGCTCTGCCTTTGGTTTTAAGAATGACCTTGATTACAAATGCCTGCTCAGGCAGGCCCAGCCTCCCAGACAGAAAACCTGCCGTGGCCTTGGCGGCATCTTCAGTGGTACCTCGAGCAGTGCCGGAGAAGCTAGGAATCTGCTTCAGCTCTTGTTTCTTGATTAGGCCCCGGAGCCAAGGCTTCCAAGAGGAGCCTCACTTGTCAGCTGTCAGTCAGGAGGCAGCCTGTTCCTCCCAGGCACTGCCCCTGCCACAGGGGGGTGACCAGACTGTAAAAATGAAATAGACTTCAGTAGGATGCCTGAAATTCATTTTCTCCCTCGGATGCTTTCATCTCACTCATTTCACTGTGTTTACAGGCCCACAGGTTTCCTGAGGGCAGCCGTGATTTAGATTTACAGTTCCCGAGGCAGTCTGATTCTGAGGAAAAGTTATAACACCTGTAATGTATTACTGTCTCCTAGAGGAGCAAAGAATGTCAGGGGCTGTGGAGGTTGGCTACCCCAGTAACTGCAGACTCTCTGTACTGCGGCACTGAAAAAATTGCAGCCTTCGCTGGACCAGCCTCGGCCTCTCTCACTGCCTACCTGCTCATAGGCACACAACTCACTCAAGTTCTTAGAGATCTGGGGTCTGTGTGTCAGGGCTGCATGGCCATTTCAATGTGTAGCTCTACAAGGCTCTGTGTAACAGAAGTCCAGCAGCCAAGTCCCTAAGAGTGGACAGGACAGAGAGAATTCAGATATAAGGCACGAAAACTAGACTGGATTTTGGGGGGAGTAGAAACACAAGACAATCTGGCTGAGATGAGAAAAGGGACTGCAGTTAGCAAACATAGAGGCTCCATGTTAATGCTTGCCTGTCTCGTTGATCTGTTTCACTTAAAATTGGTGCATCTTTGCCAGGACAAGGTAAAATCGTCATTCAGCTGAGCCTTCCCCAAGGAGTGTTGTCAAAGGGGTGCCTGCAGGGCCCTACACCAAGTGAGAGGAAGGCGAGCCTCTGCCCTGCAAGGTGCCACTTCTGGTCATTGTCCAGTAGAAATTCAGCTTCCTTGAGAGTCTGGCTGCTACTGCTGAGCTCAGTACCCGCTTAGGAACAAAACCACAACAAAATCACTTTCTGAAATAGAAGGAGCTGATGAACACTTGAAAAGTTGAACCGGGTTTATTCTATAGCTTGCCTCCAGCACAGGCTCTTGAACATGGAGTTCCAAAGGCTTCATTGTCCTTCCTCACGGTGCCCTGTCCTTGTTCTCAAAGATCCAGTCTGAATTCAATTCACTATTCCAGCTATGTCTGTATTGCTCTCACTTCCCTAAGGGTGGACAAGATCCTGAGACACTAATTTGCTTCTGTATTGCCCTTTCCCCACCTCCACCCCCTTCTTGTTTTGCTCTGCTGTCTAACCTGCCAGAGGGTCTGTTGGCTCTCACTGTGGGCTGCTCAGGTCAGTTAGCATGTGGATGATGAAATAACTGGACAGAAACCCACATTTACCTACAGAGTTAAATGTGGCTTATTAATAACAAAAATTTCTATAGCATCAGGAGACTGTGTCCTCCAAAACCCAATGATAATCTCACATTTTGAAAGGACATGATAGGTTCTAGCATCAGTATTTATCTTCCCCTTTTGCCTGATGGCAATGTTTAGGGAGAGCCCATGGTTGTATGTTCAGTAAATAATTCTTTAATTGGTGCTAAACTTTCTTTTAGACGTGATCCGGGATACTGAAGGAAAAATGTCAGTGACCCTTTAAATTTTAACATTTCAGTCAGGGGCAGTTATTAATTTTTAAAAAGTGGAGCCCTTTGAAGGACTTGCCAAGTGCTTGGGGATCTTAAAGTGAAATTTTACCATAAGGAGGACCAAAGACTAAATGTCAAGGTGAGCAACAGAAAGAGTCCAGCATCTGGCCAACTTCCAAGTCTGGAAGGTCCTGAGGTCCCACATGGTTCTGTAGATGCTTTGCTTTCTCCTTTTACTGGATGGATGCAGGGGAGAACCAGGCTCTAAAGGATGTAGAGTCACAGGATATAAGGAGCCTGGTCCCTGAATGACAGCATGGAGCAGAGACCTCACTGTTCCCCTTTCCCCTCACCTACCCTTAATACACACCCACCTCCATCCCATGTTGGACTCTGACGTGGGTGATAAATAAACTTTTATCGTGTCAAACCACGGAGGTTTTTGAGTTTATATGTGTTAGCAGTTAGTGCTACTTATCCTAATGAATACATGTCTCTTTTTGGACTCTGGATTCTGGGCCATGAAAATTACATAAAATATTCTTAGTTTCAGTAATTTGTTTGTACACGGTGACCTTTGAAGTTATTGTTTTTAATGTGGTATCACAAAAAACTCATTTTCTTTAAATATAAAATTTTAAAATTTATTCTACTCTTAAGCTGTATTAGGTTATGAAAATAAAATATCTCCACTTTACTCAGATAAGTGGAGACATATGTATTCATTCACTTAAAAAAAATGTATTGCCTTCCTAAACTGTGGCTAGCACTGTTCTAGATGCTGAGAACAAGGACAGGGCACTGTGAGGAAGGATAATGAAGCCTTTGGATCTCCATGTTCAAAAGCCTGTGCTGGAGGCAAGCTGTCAGAAGTGTCAGAGGTGATGGTGACTATGATGAAGTAGGCCCCTACTTTCATGGTGTTTGCACTCTAAGAGGGAAAGACAATAACTTGAAAGGTAAAAAAAATACATAATTTATAAAGTGATAAGCATTGTAAATAAAGTAAAGTGCTTGATAAATAATAAAGCAATAAGATAAAGAGTTCTGGAAGAGTTGCAGAGCAACATTCTGTCACCCCTCCTTTAACAGGCTGAAAGTGTAATTGATCTGTAGATCTTTCCATATAAATTGTAATTTCAAGGTCTTCTTTCTATGAAATCGTCTTAAGATCTAGACCCTCTTTCTTGGCGTGAGCCTAGGACATTTGTTTCTTCTGGAGTGGGCCCAGGAGATAGGCCAGTTCTCAGGTCATACCCAGTCAACCGGGCATGGCAACCCTGAGGAAGCTAAGCTTGCTTCTAGAGAACACAACAGCTTCTTATGAACTTTCAGACCAAGCTCTGGAGAGATGGGGAAGCACAAGGCTGGGTGTGTCAAGGCCCAGTAAAAATAAAAAAAGCTATTTTGTGTTGGACCAGATATTTAAAATACTTCAAGAGATGGGAATTCCATTATGTACATTGTAAAATTTTCTCAATTTTCAAATTTTAAGAAAATGGAGTAAATGACCAAAGTATAAAGTTAATTCAAATATTTTATTTCTCATGTATCTAATCAAAAGAACAACCTTCAAAAGATGACACTCAGTTAAACTTAACATACAATTAAATAGAACACCTCATTATTAGGGTAATTACTTAATATTTTACTCTAGCCAAATTCAGAAAAGAAACTTTAATGAAAAATTTTACTGGTTTAGCATTGATCATCATACAGGAATGATATAGGTCAAAAATTTAAAAAATAAAATAATTTTTCTTTTAATTAAAAACAGTTTTGGAACTTTATATCTCAATAAGCTTCAACATACCTTTCCCATCCACCCTACCCCCTATATTTTATTGCTAGTGATCCCTTTATTTTCTCCACCAATGCTGTTTTATTTTTGTTCTGGTTGAAGAGGTTCACCTTGCCAAAGAAGACAGGCAGGCTTATCAGTTTGGATAAATACTCCCAGAAGGATATGCCAATTTGCAAACACTAACATAAACTAAGTGTTCAGCAGAAGAAAGTGAGATTAAATTAGGTGTATTTTGCTTCCATTCAATTCAGTTTAGAACATTAATAATATTAAGAGCATTTCCTATTTGCTGATATGTCATAAATAAGATAGTTTAAAGATATTACAACATTCTTAAGGAAAAATTGCAGGTATGAATAATAAGAGCTTCCATTTATAGTAGGGTTTATATGGGCCAAACTTTGTGCTAAGCACTTTGTGTGAATTATTTTCTTTAAGGATAAAGAAATTGAGGCCTGAGAGGTCATGTAAGTTGCTTAAGTTTACATAGCTGGAAAGTGGCAGACCCAGGACATCAATAACCTAAGACAGCCTGGCTCCAAAGTCCATGCTCTTAAATACCATATTTCCCATAATGAAAGATCAACAAATGTCAAGTCATTCTTATGATGAATGGTGTATTCTGAATACGTATACTGGAAAAACTCCATATTTTTGGACCAAAAAAATCCACTTTACTTTTCATAACAAGGGCTGTTGAAATGCAGGTGTATTATGGCCATTCTACACAGGACTTTTGACAAACAGATCGTCTTCGTTCTGAATCCTCAGTGTTGATTTTCCTTCCCCATGGACATGTGGCTTGGGATTTATGTGATTTTTCTTTACCATGTTCTATCATGGCCAGATCTCACCTTAGCTGACCCTGTTCTCCAAATTATACAGAGGTCTGCATCTTATGATGACAGCAAACTCAGGGAGAAAGGGACATTTAGAGAGAGACGCTGGATAACTTCCCTAAAGATACAGGTTTCATTTTTATTCTCCCACAAGATGTTACTGCCATGATAGCACTCTGGGATGGCTTGGGACAGCTACAACAGAATTTCTTGCTATTCCTATATTAAGCATGTGTTCTCAGAAACAGCTGGTGTGTTACAAATGCAACTGAGTGCCTTAAGAAGTGGGATGATTGGAATCCCACTCCTAAGCACACAGGCTGTTGATGTTTGAGATTTGGTAAATGAGATAGCAGGAAGGGGTATGATGGGACCTGACAGGGTGGAGTGTAAGAGTAGGAGCCAAGCTCCATGCCTCCGCAGACTTTGTGAACCTGTGTCTTTCACCTAACATGGACTGTGGAGGACTGTTGTGGGAAGTAGTTAGTTTATATTTGTCAATCAGTTCTCAGATCTTTGCAGTAAGATGTTGGCTGAGAAGAATGCTTTGTGACAATCTTCGTGGACAAACATGGATGGCATATGGATAGCTGTGAGCAGTCATTCTTCATTTCTTCTGAGATAAAATGGTCAAATTAGTGTGGGAGGACTTTTTGTTCACTTAGATATTAGGAAAATACCCTAACCTTAAGGCACATATTGGCAGTAGATGCTGCATCATCTTTGTTTAAAATAATCACAACTAACAATTATAGAATGGTACATAATTTCAATTTGATTTTATATGCATTGTCCAGTTCATCTTTCAGCAAACAGTTAAGTGGGTAGAACAAGTATTACTGTTGCTGTCCTCATTTTAAAGACCAAAAAAACTGAGAATCAAAGAGGTTAAGTGACATGCCCAGTTCATTTGCATAAGAAGTGGTGTTATGTTCATTACTCTCCACCCTTCTTCCTTTTGACTCCCTACTTTTGGGGTCCAGGAAAGTGTGTCCCTGGTTCTTCATTTACCATTTGATTATTCTTCCTCAGTATAATTTTTTGGATTTTTTTTCTGTCTTCTCTGAAGTATTGGCATTCAAGTTTTTCATTTTCTCTTTCCCTTCTCTCCCTTTTTTGATAAACAGTCCTTGGAAAAGCTCATCCATCCTCTTTAAAAAACAAAGATTGGTTTCCTCAACATTCATTTCAACCTCTTCCTATTGCATCTTTCCATACAATAGAAGTTGCGAAACTAAAAAAAAAAAAAAAAAAAAAAAAAAAAAAAATCACATTTCCCAGACTCTCTTGCAGCTAAATTTCTGGGTACAGAATAAGCTTCGCCAATTAGAAAATACGTAAGATTTTAACGTCTTTATTGAGATATAATTCATGTAACATACAATTCATGCACTTAAAGTGTATAATTAAATGGCTTTTGGTACATTCATAGGGCTGTGCAACCACCATCATAATCAAGAAAATATGTAAATTTTGAAAGACAAAAGGCCAAGGCCATCTATTTGCCACTTCTGATTGTCACTGCTGGTAAGCACTGGGTTTTCTTGGCACCACTTTTGTAGTATCCAGTCACCAGCTTCTTATATGGCAACAGGCATTTGCAGCAGCAGTGGTGGCTTCCTGGTGACTTGATTGAGCCTCCTAATTATTATGGCAATTGTAGCTTTCCTGGCTTATTATTTCTGCAGCCATTTTCTAGGCATTATTACCGAAAATTCAACTTAGAACCTGCGCCTTCGGCCTTTCCAATGATTTCATAAAACACTTAACCCCCATATTAATTTCCTTGCTGAATAAAGTAGCTAGAGCGATTTGTTACAAATTAGTTGATTTGAGCCCAAAGTTTTATCTTTAACTTCTAACATTTTACTAATCTTCTCCTATCTTGAAAGGCATTCATAGTCAACATGCCCCCAAATGAACTCATTATCCTCAGTCACAGACCTTATCTCCTTCCTGATTCTCTACCTCGGTGAATAGATCTACCTGATAGCCCATTAACCCTGCCAGTAACCTTGGAGTTTTCCTTAACTACTTTCCCTCAAATCTCCCCTTTCATTTTTTACAATTAGTTAATCAGTTACCAAATCCCAGATCTCAGGCTTCTCTGTCATCTCTACAACTGCCTGAACCTCTATTCTCTGTTGCTCAGATTGTTAGGAAGAGTAGCTTCCTATTTATTCCTCACTAGCCCTTTTCACCCTCTCAGATCATCCCACATGGAGGCCAGAGTGATCAGTCTAAAACAGTGGTCCCCAACTCCGGGGCCATGGACTGGTACCGGTCTGTGGTCTGTGGCCAGTAAGGAACCGAGCTGCACAGCAGGAGGTGAGTGGCAGGCAAGTGAGTGAAGCTTCATCTGTATTTAGAGCCACTCTCCATCACTTGAATTACCACCTGAGCTCCACCTCCTGTAAGATCAGTGGGGGCATTAGATTCTCATAGGAGCCTGAACACTACTGTGAACTGCACATGTGAGGTATCTAGGTTGCCTGCTCCCTGTGAGAATCTAATGCCTGGTGATCTGAGGTGGAGCTGAGGTGGTGGTGCCAGCTCTAGGGAGTGGCTGCAAATACACATTAACATTAGCAGAAAGGTTTGACTGCAGAGACTATAATAAATCAATTGCTTGCAGACTCATATCGAAACCCTGTCAGTGAGTGGCAAGTGACAATTAAACTGCATCTTGTGGCAAGCTTTATAGTGGCAGGTGAGTTAATGTGCTTCAATTGTACAACTGCATCTGGTGGCCTTAAAAGTATGTCTAAGATAACTTCAAATCTTTGTATGTTCTGGATTAAAGTTGAGGCCTTAAAAGTATGTCTAAGATAACTTCAAATCTTTGTATGTTCTGGATTAAAGTTAAGGCAGACTATCCTGAGATTGCCACAAAAGCAGTGAAATGCCTGCTTCCAATTCCAACATCCTATCTTTGTGAAGCAGGGTTTTCTGCAGTGACAGCAACCAAAACAAGATTACAGAGTAGACAGGACATAAGCAATACACTTTGGGCGTCACTGTCTTCCATTGCCCCCAGATGGGACCATCAGTCTAGTTGCAGGAAAACAAGCTCAGGGTTCCCACTGATTTTACATTATGGTGAGTTGTATAATTATTTTGTTACATATGACAATGTAATAATAGTATAAATAAAGTACACAATAAACCTAATGAGCTTGAATCGTCCTGAAACCGTCACCCCGCGCCCAGCCATCCCCCTTCCTGTCCCAGTCCCTGGAAAATTGTCTTTCACGCAACTGGTCCCTGGTGCCAAAAATGTTGGGGACTGCTCATCTAAAGCACCGATCTCATCATGTCATGTTCTTTTTTGAAATCCTTCAGTAGTTCCTCTTGCCTAGAAAGTAAAGTGTATGTAAAATTTAAGTTTCCTTAACATAGCATTCAAGGCCCCTTATGGCTTGGCCTCTGTTTAGCTCTCCAGATCCTTTCTATGCTGTTTCTTATTTTTTCGTATTTTGTACTTTAGCCATATTGAACTATACACCATGCCTTTTAATGCTCTCTTATTTTTGAGTATGGAGTTTCTCAACCTATTTTACTGATGAATTCTTTTTTATTTTATTTATTTATTTATTTTTTGAGACGGAGTCTCGCTCTGTCGCCCAGGCTGGAGTGCAGTGGCGCCATCTCGGCTCCCTGCAAGCTCCGCCTCCCGGGTTCACGCCATTCTCCTGCCTCAGCCTCCCCAGTAGCTCGTACTATAGGCGCCCACCACCACGCCCGGATAATTTTTTGTATTTTTAGTAGAGACAGGGTTTCACCACGTTAGCCAGGATGGTCACGATCTCCTGACCTCGTGATCTGCCCGTCTCGGCCTCCCAAAGTGCTGGGATTACAGGCGTGAGCCACCGTGCCCGGCCTTTACTGATGAATTCTTATTTGTTATTCAAAAATCCTACTCAAGTGTCATCTTTGTGACTATGAAGACTTTGCTGATCAACTCCCCTAAATGCCCCCCCACATACAATTCAGTATAATCAATCATTCACTCCTTTCTTCTGTTTGCTGCTTTCTATTGTTGCCTATATTTCAAGTGTCATGTTTGTTTACCTGAATTCTCTCCCACTAGTCTGGTGCTGTGTCTCAATACCTGTGGACCCCAAGTGCCTAGCGTAGAGCCTGACACAGAGTAGATACTCAGAATATATTCGAAGAATTTAACTACAATGGAACCCAGTCCCAGACCCAGTAATCTTTGACCAAATGTTTGAGATAAGGTGGATAAGCCAAGGCACTCTTCTTTAGCAATTCTACTTTTGGGTATATTCACTTCCGAGTCCAAAAAAAAAAAACTGAAAGCAGAGATTCAAACATATTTTGCACTAATATTCATAGTTACATTATTCACAATAGCCAAAATGTGGAAACAGTGTAAATGGCCATCTACAGATGAATGAATAAATAAAATGTGATACACACATATGATGGGACATTATCCAGCCTTAAAAGGGAGTAAATTCTGACGCATACTACAACATGGCAAGCCTTAAAGACATTGTGCTATGTGAAATAAGCCAGACACACACACAAAAATATTATATTATTCTACTAAGATACATATAGTAGTAAAAATTCATAGAGGCAGGAAGTAGGATGGTGCTTATCAGGGCCTTAGGGAAAGGAGAATGAATCAAGGCTTCAATTTAGGATGACAAAATGTTCTGGAGGAGGATAGTGGGGGTGGTTGCACAACAGTGTAAATATAGTTCATGCCACTGAAGGGTACATTTAAAGTGGACAAAATTATAGATCTCATGTCTATTTTACCACAATTGCTATGGTCTCAATGTTTGTGTCCCCCCAAAATTCGTATGTTGAAGTCTAATCACCAATATGGAGGTATTCGGAGGTGGGACATTTGGGAGGTAATTAACTCATGAGAGCAGAGCCCTCATGAATGAGATTACTGCCCTTATAAAAAAGGCCTTAGAGAGCTACTTTCCCCCTTCCACTATGTGAGGACACAGCTAGAAGGGCACTGCCTATGAACCAGAAAGTGAGTCCTCACCGGACACTGAATCTGCCGGTGACTTGATCTGGGGCTTCTCACCTTCCAGATCTGTGAGAAATAAATTTCTGTTGTTTAAAAGCTACCCAGTCCATGGTATTTCCTTATAGTACCCCAAATAGCCTAAGATAACAGTAACAAAAAAGCAGTATTCTGATCAGGATACGTGAGTTCTATTCTCAGATCTTCCATCATGCAGGTATGTATAATTGAACTATCTGATACTCTGCTTTCCTAGGACTCAGTTTCCTTATCTATGTAGTGAAAAGCCTAGAATAAAGGCCTGACATTTCCTTCTAGCTATAAAATTGTTTTCCCACCCACTGGAGGATCTAGTTCAATTAGGTTGAAGGTCCATGTCAAGAAACATACTGCAAAAGATCCACCACATCACAGCCCGAAAGAATCTATAACTTTTCTCCTGCAGGCTCATGAAGGCCAGTTGAGTTTCAGCAGGATGGTCTTAGCAATGGTTGACCAGAGTATGATGCATCCTTTCTGTCCATAGCAGATCAAAAATGGAATAGAATATGTATCCAGGATTCAAATAATCATTCATTCAGCATTTATTATGTACCTGCCATGTGTCAGGGACTCTACTAAGTGCCAGGAGTATAGATATCAGTAAGACATGTGGATCAGAGCGTTCATATAATAGTAAAGTAGGAAACACTGGCATATTAACAAATACTTAAGATAAAGGAATTCAACATTAAAAAACCAAATAGAGACATGTACAAAGAACTAGGGATTTGTAGGGTCCCTTACTACCTGTGAGGAGTAGAACATCACAGAGAAAGTCAATTTTGAGCTAGTTTTGAGGGATGAGGAGTTCTTGAAGCAGGAGCTGAGTAGTAGAATTCTTGATTTTCTTCTTTCTTGATCTGCTCTCTGTGTTCATGTTGCCCCAGCATGGCAGCTGGGATATGAGAGGAATTCAGAAAGGTTGCTGTATCCATGGTACGATGGCTGCTATAAATAGCATTTTTCCTTAAATCTTATTTCTTCTGATACATTCTCAAAAATATACCCTCTCTTAATATCCTTTAAAGACTCCCTTAGGCAAAGATAAAATATTACCCACAATGTGCTATTCTCTTAATAGCTTTGCCAATGTTTGCTGTTCCAATGTCAACAGTCATTATATAGCGTGGCTTTCAATTTGGGATTAAACCTCTTTTATTCTTGCAGTAATCAGAAAAGTAATTGGATAGTTAGTATGCTCTTTGGAATTCCATTGAAAAAGAATGAGATTCTGCCAGATCCTGTCATGGAAGAAGAAAACAGGTGCAAAAGGTGAAGAAAAAGCTCCTGAAAGGGAAGTGCTGACAGGTGACACCAGTCACAAAACAGACTTGCAGCACCCAAGGGGCACCAGCTTGGGAGATGTGCCAAAATTGGCCTGTGGGTCCCAACAAGCAGGAGCTTGAAGGAAACTAATTAATTAAAGAGTGTCAAACACATTGTCAGAGTGCAGACAGCAGAAAATAAAATGGACTTCACATGGTTTGACCAGTAGGGCAAGAGTAAGATCATACTGAACTCATAAACTTTTTTTTCTGAAAAAGATCAAGCACATTTTAATTCTATCATGGTTAGAAGACAAATTGCTATTTCAAATTTTGGCTGAAATAGAGGCTTCCTAAAAAGAGAGAAAGAAAAACTAGTATTTATTGAGCACATACTATGTGCCAAACATTGAGAGAAGCCTTCTGGACAAATAAGTTGACACTTCAAGGGGCACAATTTACATTGTAGTATATGTGAAGTTGTGCAGGGTTTCAGCACTTCTGCCATTTTGTGCATGTCAACTCATTTAAACCTTGTGAAAGCTCAGTGAAGGAAGATGTTATTTTTACAGATGAGGAAATAGACCTGGGTCTTGACTTCAGCTCCCCAATGTATTAGCTATGCTATCTTTGAATGTTACTTAACCTTGCTGAGCTTAGAAGTCCCTCCTTATTCCACTATCCCACATGGATGTCAGATGGCAGCCACTGCAGTATAAATGGCTTCCATGGAAACAAAAACTAAAGAAATTGTCTAAATCTGTTTTGTGTTGCTATAGGAGATACCACAAACTGAGTAATACAGGCCTATGAAGGCCCTTTAAAGGCCTATGAAGCCTTGACCTTGGACTACCCTGCCTCTAGAACTGTAAGAAGTAAATCTTCTTACAAGGTCAAATATCTTGTGAGGGCCTTCTTGCTGTGTCATCCCATGGCAGAAAGCAGAAGGGCAAGAGAGCACACACTTGTGAGAGAGGAAGGGAGACCAACTTACCCTTTTATCAGGAAACCACTGTCATGATAACTAACCTACTCCTACATTAATGGGATTAATCCATTTATGTGGGCAGAGCCCTTATGACTTAATCACCTCTTAAAGGTCCCAGCTCTCAAAACGTGCACTGGGGATTATGTTCTGAACACATAAACTTTGAGGGACACGTTCAAATCATAAAATGGTGCTCCAAGGTCCCCAAATTAATATCCTTCTCACATATAAATACATTAATTCCATCACAGTAACACCAAAGTCTAACTCGTTCTGGCACCAACTCAAGTCCAAAATCCGAAATCTCATCTAAATCAGATATGGGTAAGACTCAGGGCATGATTCATCCTAAGGCAAATTCTCTTCTAGCCATAAACCTTTGAAATCAAAACAAGTTACCTACTTCCAAAATGCAATGATGGGACAGGTATAGGATAGACATCCCCATTCCAAAAGGGAGAAATAGGCAAGAAGAATGGGTAACTGGTGCCAAGTAAGAACAAAACCCAACAGGGAAAACAACATTAACTCTTAAAGAATAATTTTCCTACAACTCCATGTCCTGCATCCTGGGCACATGGAGGCCCTCAAGGCCTCAGGCAGCCCTGCCCCTATAGCTTTGCTGGGGTTAATCCACCCAGCAGCTCCCACAGGTTGGAGTCTTGTGCTAGTACCTTTCTTAGGCTGGGATTACACACTGGTGACCGTACAGTTTTGGGGTCTCATGAACTGCCCAGTTCTGTGGCTCCACTAGACATTGTCCTAGTGAGGATTCCTCAGTTGCTTTGCTCCTACAGCTTCATGGGCCATACCCTATTGGGTGTTCTGTGTGAAGGCTCTGCCTGGGCCCCTAGGTTGTCCATGACATCCTTTGAAATCCATGTGGAAGAAGCCATGACCCCATAGCTTATATCCTGCATGCCTGTAGTATTAGCACCAATGGATGCTACCAACATTTATGGCATGTACCTTCTGGAGCAATGAACTGAGATGCACTTGGGCCTACTTGAATCATGGCTGGGGCAGTTGAGTGGTGCTGTGTCAGAATTTTGGGAGCAGAGTTCTGAGGCAGCAAAAAGCAGCAAATGCAGAGGACCTTGAAGCATCTCTCTGGAAACCTTGCCCTCAAGATCCTAGATTGCCTCAAAAAATCTTGGAAATGTCTTTGGGTATCATTCTCACATTGTCTTGATGATAGCACCCAGCTTAATATCTTTAGCAAACAATCGCTTAGCCATGCACTTGGTTCGCTCTCCTAAAGATGCCTTTTCACTGTTTACATGCTAGGCTGCAAATTTTCAATATTTTTACATTCTGTTTATCTTTTAGTTATAAATTCTCTATTTAAGCCATTTCTTGTCTCTCACATCTTATTGTATGCAGTTAAAAGTAGCCACATACCTCCTTCAATATCTGCCTTAAAAATGTCTTATGTCTTATATTCTAGTCCTAAACTTTGCCTTCCATAGAGCCCTCAGGCATGGACACAATTCAGCCAAATTCTTTGCTACTTTATCACAAGGATGAGCTTTATTCCAATTTGTAGTACCTTATTCCTCAGTTCCATCTAAGACCTCATGGAAAGTCTTTATATTTATACCAATATTTTGATTATGACCACTTAAGTAATTACTAAGAAGTTTCAGACTTTCCCTACGTTTCATTTCTTCTGAGTCCTCAGCAGAATTGCCCTTAAGGCTCCACTCCTGACAATCTAGGCTTTTTCTAGCCTGGTTCTCCAAATTCTTTCAACCTCTTCTCATTACCCAGTTTCAAACTCACTTCAGGTATTTGTTATAGCAGAAGCCCCACTTTTCAGTATCAATTTTCTGTCTTAGGCCATTTTGGGTGGCTATAACAGAATACTACAGACTGGGTAATTTATAAGAAACAGAGATTTATTTGCTACATTTCTGGAGGCTGGGAAGTTCAAGGTCAAAGTTCCTGAATTTGATGAGAGCCTTCTTGCCACATCATCCCATGGCAGAAGAACAAGAGAGCACTTTGGTGCAGGAAAAGAAGGGGGCTGAACTTATCCCTGGGGACACACATACAAACCATAGCAGAAATAGTCCCAATGCTTTAGACTTTGCTGGCCTAAGCAAAATGCTGACATGGACAGAATTTCCCTCATCAAAACTTTTCTCCTCAAGGTATGAGCTTTTTAAAGATCTTCCTCTTTTCAAAAACCAGCTCTCAAATTCTGCCTTTATGTCAGGGCATAAAATTCCCATGAAACTTTTTTGGTGTCTACCCTTTCAAAAATATCTGCATTTTAACAGATAGGTAAGCATTGAACTAGGGTCCTTTAGTAGCCATTGACATCTGTCTGGAAACCTGAGAATCTTACCTGAAAAAGTTTTCCTGCCAAGTCCTTTTCTTTTCTTTTCTTCTTTCTTTTTCTTTTTTTTTTTTTTTAGACGGAGTCTCACTCTGTCATCCAGGCTGGAGTGCAGTGGCACAATCTTGGCTCACTGCAACCTCTCTCTCCTGGGTTCAAGCAGTTCTCCTACCTCAGCCTCCTGAGTAGCTCGGATTACAGGCACCTGCCACCATGCCCAGCTAATTTTTGCATTTTTAGTAGAAATGGGGTTTCACCACATTGGCCAGGCTGGTCTCAAACTCCTGACCTCAGGTGATCTGCCCACCTTGGCCTCCCAAAGTGCTGGGATTACAGGTGTGAGTCACGGCACCTGGCTCTGGCCCTTGCCAAGTTTCTTAAGGAGCCTATTATTAGCATGGCATCTTCATTTGTGGCTGCTTCTAGAATTAGGCTCTTAGATTCATATTCTCCCTACGGAAGGGTGCTGTAGTGTCTGTTTCACTCATAGGAAGGTTTCTGGCTCTATTATCACATTGTCCTCTTCAGTATCTTTACATTTTGGTGCTGTCTGTGGGGCCAAACATAAGGTTAAAGCAATGCTCATAATAGAAAAAGGTAAAACAAGGAAGAGCAAGTACCTCCATGCCCATCCAAATGAGACTGTCTTCCCAATCTATTGTCATGCCTTGTCTCTATGGTTTGTTGGAGTCCCCTCAGGAATGAGATACACCATATTGGGCTGGGCTCCCTTTCGTAATCTAATCACACTTGGTTATTTTTCCTTATATACAACAGACTGCCCACTTATCTTACAATTGCAGAAATAAAAATAAATAAAATACTTGTTCCTTACAAGAATATTGGACATTCTTGGTTTCATCAAAAATAAGAGAAATATAGAAGACACATGTTTAGGCTTCAGGGTATTGTTAAAGGGTGGGAGGGGATTTGGGTGGCCCATGATATTTCTTCATGCTCTAAAATCACACTAGCAAGTAGTCAACTACTTCATGTAACTTGAGGCTATTCTTGCTCAGACTTCAATAATAATTTCTCCCTTAACCAGTGGGCACCATTGCCGCTTACTTAAACTATTCCTACAGAGATGGTTCATGCCTGCCTTCAGGTTTCTATCTGGTATGTTTTCCTTCAAGGAGCTTAGAAAAACAGGTTCTCATTTTGTTTCACTGTCCTGAAAGTTTGAAAGAACTGAAAAGAGAGAGGGAGAGAAGTAATACCCACTGAGTACCGATTATATGCTTGGCTCTTTGTATAAATGACTTCACTAAATTCTTCTTAAAGATACTGTGTTGCAGATCTTATTATTGCCATTATACACAGTGGGGTATACTACATCCTATACATTGTACTGAATTTACCAAGTCATTCACTGTAAATAGCAGAGCCTTGAAATGAGCCACTCTCTTATATCATCTCACTCTACCATTGCCCCTGACACTCTCAGTCCTAGTCCTAGACTTTCCTCATTATCTCCATAATGTGAGGAAACTGGGAGGAACTTATGTTCTGTGGGAGTTACCTTTGGTTGTATATTTACTGCCTCTGTCTTTGGAAATTATTATTAATCCTAATCTGAAACTGCAAAGCAGCTCAGGTCAGAGGAAAAAAGAAGAAAAGCTGTGAATCAGCAACACAAAATCACAGAGCTGAGAGAGGCTTGAAAATTATCTTAGTTTCTTCCCCCTTTGGAGATAAGGGACCCTGAGGCCCACAGAGAGACTGATGAGTACAGGGTCACATAAATAATTAAGCTCAGCTTAGAACCCAGATCCTCCAGATCTTAAAGGCTGGTGCTTCAAAGAACATTCCTGTGACCACATGCAGTGTTTCTTCCTCCACGTAGTTCCACAGTTTTCTATCTCTGAGCCTTAGAGTGGGGTATGAATGCAGCCGTTCGGGATGTGCTGAGAAAAAACAATCCAATATACTGCATTGTTTCAGGATATCACGTTATTCTGTTAAGGATCCTAGACATTCACAGGACGTTCAACCTCAATAGCTGGATATATCCACTACCAAGACAGAGTTAGCAGTGCAAGTCCTAGCACATGACACCTTGCTTGTTTTGATTTACCCATTGTCTAAAAAATGATCTAGAAGTTGGATGCTACTTCTAAATCACCTGGTTTTTCATTGTAAGTGACAACTTTTGCATTTTATTAGCCTGGTCTACTTTTTAATAAGCCTTTACAGGACTAATATATCATAAAAACATCATTAAAACATTCCTCTCTACTGGTTATAAATTGCCTTGATGGTGCTATGACTACATCTCCCAAAGCACTTTTGACAGAATGAGCCTTAAGATCCAGGCATGTCATTGTCATAGCAGAAGGATGACATTGCAGCTGGCCTGACTCCTTCCCCTCTGCAAGAAAAAGACATATGGTGGTACAAGAAAAGGAGACAGGCAACTGTCTAGGGCGTCATTGGTGGGTCTGTCACTGATGAGCTACCTGTTAGACTTTGGAAACCCACTTAACTTCTCTGGGCCTCTTTGTAAAATAAAATCTGCCTTGTCTAGCTCACAAGGTTGCTGTGAAGAGCAAATAAGACAATGCATATGAAAGCATTTTGAAGAGCAGGTTGGGCTCTTCAGAAAGAAAACTGACAGATTGTAGTGCACAGGTTGTTTATTGGAGAGTGCCCTTGGTAATCACACCTCTGAAAGAAAAGCAATGTTGGATACAGGGAGAAATGCAGAAATTATGCAGGCCCAATGACAGCCTCAGATACCCCACAAGAAAATCTAGAGCTAGCTTGGACCATCGGCATTGTGTCAACTTTTGCTGAAATGACCAAGCCTTTACAGCTGGCATCAATTAGTCATTGGATGTCAGTTGCCACAGGAAGGGGTGTGAGTGAGGGCCATGTGGCTCTCTGCAGCTTAGGTATGAAAGATGAAAATTGTCTACTGACAGGACTCCTAGTAGCTGGAGCAAAATTCTTTACTTGAAGAGAGAACTTGGTGGTGAATCAGAGTGTCCACCACAGTCCACCCCTTGTGCTGTCCAAATTCACATCTTCATTTACATTCAGGAAGCAGCTATTCCAGAATTCCGGGAGCCTCTTTTTCTTGGGGGAAACATGTAAAAAGATGGTGAGTAGGACAAACTATAGTCCCTGCTGTGCTGCTGCAGCTGATCTCAAGCCCACAAGAGATACTTTTGCTCACCCTTCTCCACTATCTATTTCAGATTCTCCTTACCTCTGCTAGCACCTTGGTTCATCTTATTTGCTGACCTGGCATAGTGACTGAGATCCTCAAGCTTGATGGGTTTGAACACCTCGTCCCACTGCCCTTCTCAGGCTTGCTTTACCTGTCCATTTCCTTTCATCGTTAGGCAAGTAAGTACCAAGAGGCATGCAAATGGATCTCCTGGGTGCCAGACATATTCTTGCCTGCCCCAGTTGTGTAAAATCAGCCCTCTGATGAGGGTTGGTCCCTATGCATAAGAATCATGAAATGAGCAGATGGAAGCTGTAGCTTACTCTATGTATTCAATGTACTCTAGCTGTGTTCTCTGGCTGGAATGTTCCCCCTTGGGTGACCAGGACTGCTAAATCCACACAGTCCAACATTGTGAGAAAGGAAAGCATAAGTTTTCTAAGTGGTTCCTTAAGATTGATGGTAGCTGGACTGCTTCCACCCCTTGATTTACATGCTTATGTATTCTGAATATTGGAAACAGAGCCCATGTATAGATCTTTAGTTCAAATTATCTGCTGTGTCCTGGAGACTGGTACAGAGTCCTTGTAACATACAACTTCTGAGCTGGTGCTTCAGCCTGGTCTTCTGCAAGCTATTCCAATGCTCTATCAGGCCAGCAGTGTCTGAATGGTGAGATATACTATATGGCCAGTGAATCTCATGGTCTATAGTCTCTTACTGTCTCTGCCGTATAGGGTCCCATGGTCTGATTCTCAGATATGTAGGACCATATGTTGGTGGATCAAACACTCCACTTTTAGGAATATTTTCCCTCACAGCTCTTTTTCAACATTAACCCTGAGTGAAAATACAGTATAGCCATCCACTTTCAGCTTTGACCACAGAATGAACCAACCCATTCATTTGTATTTCATGGGTCCTTTTTTCCTCAGTCAGCTGTTCATAGGGGCTTCCCCTACCTTCTCCTTACTACTGGGCCTGTGGTCTGACAGAGTGATGCCAGTGCAACAGTGGTGGATGACACTGGAGTCTGGGCTCCATGCAGCTGACTTGCATCTTCCATTTGCCTTGCTTGTGCTTGATTCCAGATGCCCCACTTGCATCTCACAATGTGTTGTTCTGGGCCTGTCTGACTTCATAACTGGCTGGATCTGACAGAAGCCAGTTTATGATAGGCCATTCTGGGTGCCTAGTCATTTGATGTCCCATGGTCAAATGCCCTCTATCTATCAAGGGTTAATAGCATGCCAGATGTTGTTTTTCAAGAAGTGAATAATTCTGCAGTACAAATGGCATGGCCTTACTCAGGAAGCTCGGGCACCTGTTTTAGTCTCCCACTTGGCTTGTCATAAACTCCATAAGGCAACTTTTCCCACCACTGGCACCTCTAATTATACCACAGGGTCTTGGGCATATTTGAGTTGCAACCTAAACCTCTTACTGGAGGTCCTATTTTCTACTTTGGGCTCTCTAAAAACTAGCATCCTTCTTCAGATAAACTGAAGCAGAATTCTCAGGATATTGCCTTCAGAACATGAAAAGGTCTAACACTCACTGATCTTCCTTCTTTGTGGTAGGAAAAGTATAATGAAATAATTTGACTATTTCCTTTGGAAGGCATAACACAACATGTCCCTAACCACTTGATCTCATAAAATTGTACTAATATGGCAGGCCTCTTGATCTTTGTAGGATGTATCTAAATGCTGGAGCACATGTGTCTTACTAAGGTCTCCAAAGTGCTAGGCACTTCTTGTTCAACTCTCTGTAGGTCAGTCCCCCTTGGTTATCACTCTGATCTTCCTGTTCATTATAATAATCACATCCACTTGTCTTCCAAGTGGCTTGGATCTGGCTTCTGTGGTTTGGGGTCCTATCATCTCCACTGCTGTCAGCGAGTCTAAGTCTATAATGGCTTCACCCAACGTCTCGGGTCTATAGACAGGAACACCACTGAGCTCTTTAGTGGTGCTGGTGCCCTTCTCACAAGAGCAATTTTATGGCCTCAGCAACTGGTGTATCCTCTGAGTTTCCCATGTAGCATAATCATGTGGTGGGTTTTTTGGCTTTACATAGTATATCCGCTCCAGCATGCCCACTTCCCTTTGCCTTTTGTTCCCTGTCTCCACCAACTGCATGAAAATTCCACATTTGAATCTCGTTCAGTGTGGGCCATCACTTTTTCCAAGTTTCTAGAGCCATCCTAGCAGCAAATTTACACTTTCTCCTGGGGTCCTTGCCAGGCTGTTAAATCCTATTTCTCAAGAGAATACTCCCAAATTTAAAAACTCTCCCTTACTCCATTTAATGTTCTTGTCCTTTTGATCAAATACCTCAAATCTAATTCCATGTTCTTTTTTTTTTTTAGCTCCTGCCACACTTGGTGGCTGGGTTTTACAGCTCCTATGGGGTATGTTCCCTTTCCTCCCTTATTAGGTCTGGAATGTCCCCAGCTGGGTTTTCCTGTGATTTAATCCTAGGGGCCTGGAGAGGAGGCAGCTCCAGGGAGGGGGACATGTCATCTTGCAGGAGAGAGGCCTCTGTATTCTTTAAGCAAGGAGATAAGGTTAATGGGGAGTGCTGGGCCACTTCTGCAGATTCAGGGAGTTTAGGGGGACCTAAGTATTTGAGATCTTCAGAGCCACCAATCCAGCTCTTTCCATTCCGTGTGTAAGGGTCCCAGGTTTTCCCAGCCAATGTCCTGACCATGAAACAGCAGTCCAACCTTGGTTCAGAATTTAACCTTCTTGAGAGGTTGGCTACATTTATTATTAATGTTCCAACCCTGGTCCTAAGCATTCTCTGCCGTTCCGTTGCAGGAGAAGAGAGTATCTTCATGTGTCAGCAAGGTAGCCTTCTTGTTTTCATATTTGGCTTTCGGTTGCCTGTTAATTTCTCTTAGCCTTTCATTATCTTTTTCTAGAATGTCATCCAAGCTAAGTATTAATCATTGAATGCTATCCCTAAAGTTACTTTCTCCTCACATTTTTCAAAAGTCTGGTACATTGCACCAGTCAATGTATTCCCATCCACCTGTATACCATCCCAGTTCACCCCAGGTGAATTATTTCTATTTGCTGCACAGTGTGAGATGTGCTTTACATGTGGGCTTTTTCAGTTTTCACAGCTACAAGGTGAGGTTTGGCAGTGGGATCTTCCAAACCCCAGGTTAAACAGCAGGCTCTTTATTTTCATTTGAGGCACAAAGAAGCAGGAAGACCCACAAGTTCTATCGTGCCATTCCTGACATACAGACTCTGAAGTCAGTTCTTGCTTCATTTCTTGGAAAAATGTAGTTACGTCTGCAGAGCATAAATCTGTGAAAACACAAAATTAATACATCATATCCATCTTCAAAGTATCCACATTTGGGAATTGGGAAACTACAGTGAGTATTTTTTCTGCAACAAATCAGAGACTAAGCCAGACACTGAAGCCCCAGAATGCACCTGTGTTCAACAGTTCTATCTGCGGAGTAACCCGGCATGATCTACTGCACTAGCTCTTTCAAAGAGAAGCCTCAGAAGGGAGGAGAAGAATGTCTGAGGGTTTGTCTGGGGAAAAATAAAAGAAATAATTGTTCTAAAAAAAGGAGAAATTGGTATTTCACTGGCAGCCCAAGTTGCACAGGAACACTTTAAACTTCTGTGGCCGGTATCCTTCATCTGAAAATCACCAACTTGTTTAAAAAACCCTCATCTGGGGATTTAGTTGCCTGCAATCACACAACCTGAAACTGAGTGTGTCTAGATACCCATTTGTCCACAGCAGGGGGCCCTGGGGTACTCTGGTGGGCTGCAGCATGAATTCTGTTCACCAGCATATGCATGGGAAGCAGCTGAAAGAGAAATCCATTTTTCAACCTAAGTTATCAGCCATTAAGAAGAAGGAGGGACATGGAAATTAGATCATGATTTTGATGGGCCCCATGGTGTATGATAGAGGGGCCATTTCTGCCCCAGACTTGGCACTTGACCACGCTGTACATGGTCCCCAATTTTCGTTCCCTTAAGATAGAGATAACATGATCCTGTCTAAGAACAATACATGTGGCCATGGTGCACAGAGCTTTGGGGTATGTGTGTGTCTGTGGGTAATGAATCTAAAACCCTCCCTTCAAATTGAATTTGGTTTAATGTTTTTCAGTCTGCACCTACAGTATTTAATTTCTCTCTCATCTTTTTTAACTGTGAAATTGTACTCTTTCACTGGTAAAGCATTTTGGCATGCTGCAGGGGTAAATGGCATTGTGGAAAATAAAGCTGAGTTATGTTGTAGTAATAATATTAAAGCAGCTCAGAAAGAGGCTTAGTAGCATCTGGCATAGCGGGTGGCCACGTGGACTGGAAGTCAAGGACCTGAGGGCTCATCTTTATCCTACCACCATACCAATGTGTAACTTTAGCCAAATCATTTATCTTCCTTGGGTTCCTGGTTCTTTATTGATAAAATGGACAGATCATAGGTGGTATGCAAGATCTCTTTCCACTTCAGCAGATTCTGGTCTGCGTCACTTTGCAGAATTCTTTTATTCACCTGCAAACATTCACCTACCATTATGTGCCATTTACTGTTCTAGAGCTTGGGGATTCAGGAATAAATAAGCTATGGTCCTGCTTCCGTAGAATTCAGAGTCTAATTCAGGAGGGTCAGCAGTGGCATGAGGAATGTAAACATACATGAAAATGACTACAACACAATAGCTGTCAGAAATACGGAACTTTTAAGGACAGAGTAGTTAATTCTGGGTGCTGGAGTGAGCGGATCATGTCATGATTTGAAAGATAATATAACATTTATCTGGATAACAGGCAGGAAGTTTGCCAATTAAGAAGGATGGGATGTACAAAGATCACTCCAGGCTAGAAAAACCCCAGGTACAAAGGGACATAAGCCAGACATAGAATGGTATGTTTACAAGACAGCAAATAAACTAAAGGGGGAATGGTGGGCCATGATGCTGGCAAAAGTTAAATTGGGGTTACCTCATGCCTGACCATATAGAAAACAGGGAAGTAAGTTTAGTTATTGCCATGTAGTACACACAATACAGATTCGAAATAGGGAGCATTCGAATAGGGAGCATTCGAAATAGGGAGAAACTGTTGGAAAAAGAAATAGATGTGGTTGAGGGAAAAAGGTGAAATAATAATTCCTGTGGTAGATGAATTGAAAAAGATAAAAATATAATGATTTTCGCTTTCAAGCTTGGTGACTAGGTGAGTAGCAGGAATATTTCCAGCAGCAAGTGCCAAAAAATTCAACGAACGGTTATTTAAGCCATAACAGAATTTGTTATTTTCTTAATGGGAAACATGGAATGAGATGGTTTTGGAAGATAAAGCTTCTTTTTGGAATCAGTGTTTTCATCATGATCCAGAAGGCCTTATTCATGTTTGAAGCTATGTTTTGGGTGCATACTGATTAAGAATCGTATATCTACCTGGTAGACTGACTTCCATATTATTATGACATGCTACTCTCTATTGTTATTCTTGCCTTAGTTCTATATTTATTCTTGCCTTAGAGAATAATTGTGAAATATTAGTGCAGTTACATTGGCTTTCTTTTTCTCTTGCTAGAGTTTGCATGATATATGCTTTTATTTTGAATTTTTCTGTGTATTTACAATCAAGACATTTCTAGTAAGCATCATATAACTGGGTTTCATTATTTTATCCAGGTGATAACATTTATATTTTACATAGATTAGTTAATTTAAAGGTAATTTCAGACATATTTAAGATTTTTCTCTACAATCTTACGATTTTTTTCTTTTTGATCCTCCTGCTTTATGTTATTGTCTTTTGTTGATTTCTTTTAGAATAATCAAATATTTTAAGCATTTAATTTCTCCCTTCAAGATGGGTAGTTATATATTCTTTTCCAATTTTGGGGGAAGGTTACAATAGAGATTACATTTACCACTGACCGACTATAGTCTAAAACAAATTATTACCACTTCTTTTTGTTATTTAACATTTACTATTTATAGCCTTCTGCCTTTTGTGTTATCATTGTCATGTATTTTAATGTTATAACTATTTTAAATTTCACAAGATAATACTCATTATTCTGTACAGTCAGGATTTATATTTACCCACATTTTACCGTTTCTGTTGCTCTTCTTGCCTTTTTATACCCTGTGTTTCCTTCTGGGATCATTTTCCTTCTCTCTACATAACTCATCTTACTATTTCTTTTTAGAGCAGATTTGCTGGTGAATTATTTTAGTTTATGTTTGTCTTAAATTTGTTAGTTTACCTTTTAGTTTTAAAGGATAAAATTATAGTTAGTACTTTCATTCAGCACTAAAGATGTTATTCCATTGTTTCCTGATTTTCATTATTTTAATTGATAAATCATCTTTCAGTTTTATGGTTGCTTTATTGAATGTAACGGATCCTGTTTTTCTGACTGCTTTTGAGAGGTTTCTCTTTACTTTGGTTTTTGGTGTTCTTTCTGTGATGTGCCTAGGTATGGTTTAGGTTTTTATTTATGTTGATCTGTCTTTCAGTTTACTAATCCTGTCTTCTACTATGTCCTGCTACACTCATTTGGTGTCTAACCCATATAATGAATTGTTAATTTCAGATTTTTATGTAGTAGTTCCAAAATTTCCATTTATTTCTTTTTTATAGACTCTAATTCTCTGGTGATATTACAAGACTTTTATCTACCTTCTGCATCTTTTCACCAATTACATTAAATATATTAACCATGATTATGTTTAAGTTCTTTTCAGCTAACTACAGTGTGTGTGTGTGTCTTCTGTTCATATGGCAGGTGGGGCGTGGCACACACAGCCTTGCATGTGCATGCACAGGCACGTGTTTCCCTCTTGGTTTTTAGTTATGTGGTCTTATTGGTCTTATCTTTCGTCAGGTAGATAGAGTAGTAATTGATTGCCTCCCTTAATCCATTTAGGGACAGGGCTGAATCAAATTTAGTGTCTCTAGTAAGACCTAGTCTGTCTCTGGTTCATGCTGGGCCTCCAAGGTTTTCAACAAAAATCCTGCTGTGTCCTTTAAGATCCTTCCATGTGGTGTACACCATATTCCAATATTTGTCTCATAAAACTATTCATGCTCTACTCTGCTTTTCAGAGGTTTTCTGCTTAGATCTTTAGCCTCCTTCCTTGCCCAGCCCCAGAATTCAGCAAATGTTCTTAAAGAAAAACTAGTTGCATGCTAAATTTCACTTGACTACTTCACCCCAGGTCTCAGCCAAAAACTCTGCCAGTTTCTCTATTCCCTAGCAGCAATTGGTACAAATCCCAGAATCTAAACCTCTTGCCCAAGCTCAGAATCACTAAATGCCGCCAGATTAAAAATGGTTGCAGAATTAAGCTCACCTCTTTGAGATCTTTCCCTCTCCGCAGTTTTAGCACACATAGTTCTCATAGCATCAGCAGCTATCCAATGCCTTTAAACAAATGATTGCTGCATTTTCTCTGACATTTTTAGCTGTCATCAGTGGGAGCACTGGCCTGATGCAAGGTATTCCAACCATCAAAATTGGAAGCCCTTCCAAGCTTTTTACATAGTTTTGCTTTATCATCTCAAGATGAGAACTTTCTACCCTATGCTTTTTGTCTCCTGGTTGTAACCGGAGGTACTACTTATATCAGTAGCTCAGCATGAAAGAGTGCGATGGATAGAAAAGAATCTTCCATTTACTTTCAGAAGCCACCAAGCATGCTTTTCTTTAGCTCAAATAAAAGAACTAGGTCACATGCTCACTTCTGGTTATGAGGGAGTCTAGAAAAGTGATTATCTTGCAAAGGGAAATAATATTGCCATTATTGGCAATATTAATAAGCCAATTATGGTTTATTTTCCAGAAATGGGCATTTTGCCACCCCCTTCCAATTAAGGTTCTATTATCAGGGAATAAAGGTGGTATGGAATGACCTTTGAATGAACAATCACATTCTACTTCACCGTGGTTAAAAGACATGGGAATGTAGACAAAGGAGTATAATAAGTAGTCAGTGTCCTGCTTCTTCAATGGATAAATAATATATAAATGACAAGATATTCATTTTGGATCAGTGATTGGAGAGCAAAAGATAAGTATGCCCAATTGGTCTTTCCATTTCCTTTACTGACTTACTGACTTATATACCTACTTGTGTGTCCTACAAGATTCAATAAGGACAGACATTGTGTTACATCATTTTGTAGTTAATATGTTGTCAGACAGAAAGCATTCAATTGTCATGTGTTAATCTGAAGATAACTTTAAAGATTGGAGAGGATTTGAATAGTTCTAGAGGATAGGGCAACAGTTACAGTGATGGCATGGGGGTGTTGTGTGTGGGGGTGGGGAGTAAGCGGTTGTGAGGTCTGTGTGAGTGTGGGATATGTGAGGGCTAGACAGTGTGCAACAGCCTAGCTCTGTTGGAAAGTCCATGCTGGTGATAAATGAGGCATTATCTACCAGGGCTGAGCTTTTAGAGCTCTTATACAAATAGGGTATGGAACGATAGGTATTTCACTGGGCATAAAAGGAAATCAAAGAATAATAAATGAACCAGCCCAAGGTCAGAGTATATAAGATAGAATTTATTATATAATCCATATGGCCACTCAAACTCTCCAACACTCCATTAAAATGAAATCCTTCCAGTGAATTTTAGGGAGTTTTGAAAGACATTCTTTGACCTAGACACCAGATAAGTTATACACAGCTAGACTCCACTTAATTGCATAATGAATGAATCAACTCTTTGAAATCACTTTACAAAATCCCATACACTATCACATTTCCTTCCTTGTTACCAATACCTGTTAAATGCAGTCCTTATAGAGAAATAATTCACTTCATTGTATTTAAAAAAAAATGCCCAATTGGAGTTCTTTAAGTGTTGCAGTTCTAATTATCTCACCCCAAATCCACTGTGAAGTGATAATTAAGGGCTAAAAGCTAAACCGATTACTGCAAAATTTTCTCCTGACAGCCATTTAATAGCTAATCAGGTGTTAAATCCCCAAATTATGCATTTCTCAGCAGCGCACTGATCACAATAAATTTTAAAAGTTTGAGTTATCAACTTGTCTTTCACAACTTTGCCCCAACACACCAAAGCTAAAGGAATTACCAATTTAGAGGAGTCAAAATTCTTAATAATTTATTCCATTTCTCTATTTAGAATGCTTGTTTTCATTAATGGTCCTAAGTCTCAGTTCTGGTGACAGTACCTTATCATAAAACCTGCCTTTGCGCAGTGAAGAATAACCCATCTTATTAGTATCAACATATTAGATTGCTTAATTTGCATATCTATAACACCTACAACTAGATCTGTGAAGGTCATGGAGCCAGTATATGCACTAATGGTATTTAGGACCATCTTATATGGCTTTACTAGCTTTAAATGCCCTGAGTTTTCACTGTTATATTACACATGCTCCCGCTGCAGGGGTACAAGTAGTCCCACCATTGTTCTAATACTGCAAAGTTGAGTCTGTGGCCAGAAACTCTGAACTTCACTCTAGAGGGACCACTCACAGCACATCCAATCTACAGTGACCAGATAGACACCTTTCAGAGATAGAGTGTGAGAGGGAGAGCAAAAGAGTGAGAGCAAGAACAAAAGTGAGAGAAAGAGAACAACAATATATCTATGTGTTAATTAACGGACCATCACATACAGCCTCCTAATGTTGAGGAATTGTAGCCTCATATCCCTACTTCAATAAAATGGGGGAAGTGAATTAACAGGAAAGTTTTATTTAGATAGATCAGATGGTTTATATACATAGTGTGTGTGCAAATATATATATATACACATCTGTGTATAATTTTTCATTGTTTTGAACAATTCTAAAATAAAAATAATTTACAAAGGCTATCTGTGGTCAGTTTCCACATTTTAATGATAAAACCAGTGGAGTAATATAACACATTTATTTCAAGGTCAGTGGTTTTCAACCAAGGGAGATTTTTCATCCTAAAGGATATTTGGCAATATCTGGACACATTTTAGTTGTCACAAGTGGAGAGACGATATTACTGGCATTTAGTGAATAGAGGCCAGGGATTCTGCTAAACATTAAACAATGCAAAAGAAAGCTCCCAACTGACAACAACAAAAAATATCTGGCTGGTACTGAAATGGGATAGTTCCCTTGTCCCCTTCATGGGACTCGTGAGGAAGGTGGCTTGTTTACTCAGCCTGCAGCTCTTAACCCCTCACAAGAGGAGGCACACGCAGGTGAGTGGATGCAGGGGCTGAGATGAGTTCTTCTGGGTGCTGGCAAAAATAGAACTCCGTGCAGTCCCACAGCAGCATCTGGCGAGGGCGGGGGTGTTATCCATGACCCCTGGAACCCCAGAGGACATCTGTTACAGTGTGCTTTTTTAGCTTTGCCATCCAAGGATGGCTTAAGTATTTAATGGCTCAGTGGGACAGCCCTCTGTATCTTGAGCTCTGGTTTGGCATCCAGGAGGAATAAGGTCACAGGAACGAATTGAAGATGGTAAATGTGGAGGATTTTATTGCCGATGAAAGTGGCTGTCATTGGGATGGGGACCTGGAAAGGGATGGAGTGGGAAGATGGTCTCCCCCTGGAGTTTGTCCATCCCTGGCCAAACTCTTCTCCAAAGTCCCACCATCAAGCTGTCCCTTTAAAGCCAAGCTGCTCCTCTCTAATGTCCAGCTGCTGCTTCTCTCCTTCTCTCCCACTCCAGTGCTAATGGAGCCTGGGGTTTTATGGGTACAGGATAGGAGACAGGGCAGGCCAGGGGGGCTTTGGAAAAGGCAACATTCAGGCTGGAAAACAGGAATGCATGTTCTCACTTTGGGCCATGGGTCTAGGCTTGAGGGTGTGGCTTTGCCAGGGACCTAACCCTTCTCTGCCTGGTATTTCCCTGCCTTCTGTCCCTATAGGTAATGCCAATAGTGCTAAGGCTGAGAAACTCTGCTCTAGGTGCTAGACTCCCATGGCTTTGACACTTCACTACATCTGTATTCCCCAGTCCTTGGGGACAGTTAAAGGGCATGATGGAACATGGGAACAAGGTCCTATAGATCTTATTTGGAGGGTCCATTCTGTTCACCATCTTTTTTTTTTTTCTTTTGTGAGACCAAGTCTGGCTTCATCACCCAGCCTGGAGGGCAATGGCATGATCTCGGCTCACTGCAATCTCCGCTTCCCAGTTTCAAGCGATTCTCGTGCCTCAGCCTCCTGAGTAGCTGGGATTACAGGCGCACGCCATCACGCCCAGGTAATTTTTGTATTTTTAGTAGAGACAGGGTTTCACCACATTGGCCAGGCTGGTCTCGAACTCCTGACTTAAGTGCTCTGCCTGCCTTGGCCTCACAAAAGTGTTGGTATTACAGGGGTGTGCCACCACACCCAGACCACCATCTTTTAAGAGAATATATAATTCTACTATTAACTCCACGATCTTTTTCTCCCATTTTTTAAATCTTCATTAATTCTCCTCATTATTCACCAAAATACCTCCTCACTGCCCAGGTGCATTTATTGGTTTAATTTTATATTTACATATTTATTTAGCAAATAACCTTCAAGTGCCTATTGTGTGCTGTGTATGGTCCTTGACCTCATGGATATTAATTAGACATTAGTGGTAAATACCAGGAAAGATGTAATAAATATAAAAACTTAAGAAAAAATATATATACCAGATCACTTATATTTGTGGATCCTGATGGGGATTATTTTATTTGGACTGAGATTTTCTTGGGGGAATAAGTAGGGAGAAGCACATCAAAGAATAAAAATTGGAAAATGACCTATTTATAAAAGGAATGGGTTTAGAACTGGGACAGTTCAACCTATAGAGGGTAAAGCCAAAGTATAATGTCATAAAATGATAAAAGTCTTAATTATTTCCTTCTTTTCTTCAATTTCTCTTCTAATCAAAATAATACATGTGTTTGTTTCAAAGTCATGCAATAATTAGTATGAATAAATAGCAGTTCCATTTCCCTGTGTCCCTCCCTGTGACTTGACACCTGATTATCAAAAGTATTCACTTTTGCTTATTTTACCTATTTCTTGTGACATTAAGTATGATATTTCTAAATAACATGCTTATACCACTATTTCTTAGTTTTTCCTAGCAGGGGTAGCCTCCTGCTTCAGAGGCCCTCAAGTGTCATAAAAACACAAAACAACCTATTAGAAAACGTACAAGCACCTCTACCTTGTAGTATGTGTTGCTCAGGACTCACATAGAACAAACTATTTTTCTAAACATTGGCACACATGACCAACACTACTCAAGCCCTAGGGAAGCACTTCTTAATATTTCTTTTCTTGTGTTCTAAAATCAAAGAGCCTGCCATTTGGTGGGTTGTGACACTACTGATACATAGACATCACTTCACTGTGTGCCAATGATTTGAGTGGCAGAAGCTTTTAGTAAAGACAAAGGACAAATTAATTAACTTGTCAAATCCCCCCTCTCAGATTCTTGAACAAAGACTCATTTCCCAGGAACTTCTAGTGTCCATTGTCTAGTTCCCAATGTATAGTTTCATAGGTAATCACAAGTCAACACAGTATTTACAGTAATTGCATGTGGTGACTGAGGAAAAATTTTGCTTTATTAAACAGTTTATGTTATTCCTCATCAAATTTGGGAAGCTTTTAAAAATTAATAGAGTTTAATTTTTTTTAATTTTGTTTTTTGGAACAGTGTCAGATTTACAGGAAAATTGGGCAGATAATACAGAATGTTCCATGTAACCCTCTATGTCTTTTTCACAATTTCTCCTACTATTAACATCTTACATTAGTGTGGTCCATTTGTTATAATTAGTGAACCAATACTGATATATCATTATCAAGTAAAGTCTAAAATTTACATTAAGTTTCCTTGTGTTATACAGTTGTGTGTGTGTGCATGCGAGAGAGAGAGAAAGAGAAATACAGTTCTATGGGTTCTGGTAAATGCATAATGCCATGTATCCACCATTACAGTATCATACAAAATAGCTTGGCTGCACTAAAATTCTCCTGTGCTTCATCTGTTCATTTATCTACCTGCTCAGAAATTCCTTGAAACCACTGAGTTTTTACTGTATCTATAGTTTTGCCTTTTTCAGAATGTCATATATTATAATCATACGATATGTAGTCTTTCCAGACCAGACTCTTGCATTTAGTAATGTATATTTAAGGTTTCTCCATGTATTTTTGTGACTTGATATCTTTTTGTAAAAAATCACTGAATAATATTTCATTGTATGTATGTACTATAGTTTGTTTATTCATTTGCCTATTGAAGAACATCTTGCTTGCTTCCAGTTTTTGGTGATTATGAACGAAATTGCTATAAACCTGTGTACGAGTTTTGTGTTTTCAGAAATTTCCAAATGTTTTCATCTGCCTTTTTCTCCATTCCATTTAGGATTCTAGTTACATGCATACAGGACAGCATTTCACCTTTGTACAGGTCTCTAAGACTTTGTTCATTTTTCAATTTTTAAATTCTCTCTGTTCTTCAAATGGCATAATTTTATTGATCATTATGTTTATTGAGTCTTTTTATAATCACAAATCTTCTGTTGAGGTCATCTAGTGAATTTTTAAGTTCAGTTGTTGTACTCTTCAGCTCTAGAATTTCCACTTGTTTCTTTCTTCAATTTTATTAATACTTTCAATTTCTTTGTTGAGATTTACTCATTAATGCAATTTTTAAAAATTCCTTGAACTTATTTATATTATTTCATTTAGAGAACTTTCTGATAAATATATAATAATATCTGGGCCCCACTTGATATCTGTTTGTATTGGTGCCTCCTTTTTTCTCTGATATGGATCAGTCTTTTCTGTTTATTTGCATCTCTGGTGATTTTTGCTTGAAGACTGAACATCATAAATAATATGCTATAGTGACTCTGGATTCTGTACTGTTCTTCAAAAGATGCCTGAGGTTTCTGCTCTAATATACAACTACCTTGTCTGGACTCCAGCTACGAAATCTGAATTCTCATGAATGACAGTTTGTTGTTGTTGTTTTTCCCGGCTTCCAGTTGCTGGAAAGTTGAAAGCTTCCAGCTGCTTGAAAGTTTATTTTCAACATGGCCCCCTAATTACTTTTCCTGTGTCTGCATAGTTTAGCATTCAAGAATTTGAGTGGGTTTATACTAAGATTTTGGGGTTTATCCTCTTTGTGCTTCTGCAGTTCCCCGTAAATTTCCAGTTGGTTCTTCAGCCCCTACTGAAGTTCTTCCTACTGATATCTCAAGCCAGTAAAGCTTCCACTTTTTGCCGCACAAACTGTATGTGGATAGGGAATGCACTCAGTAGAAGGCATAATAAGTTTACAAATCTCATTGAGCAGCATTGTTTTTCACTTGTAAACAATTCTTTAGTTTCTGCCGGCTTTTTTGTTGAGCTCCCTGAGATCTCCTGTGTACATATACAGTTTAGCAGTCAGCCACGGATTTGAGCAGAGTTAATACTCATATTTTGGATCTCAGCCTTTCTGATCCTCTCTCACTTCCAAAAATTGCTCCCTTAAATTTCCTGCTACTTGATGATCTGATGATCTGAACTTTCTTGTCTTCCACCTCAAGCTGGCAAGATTGCAATTTTCTGTCACCAGAGCTGGGACGGGGATTGAAGAGGTATTTAGGCAACAAAGCCACAAAATCCCAGTTCTCACCCAAAGCACTAAAAGTCTGTCAAGACTATCGCCTTCTCCAGTCTCTACTTGTCATTGGTCATTTTCCAGTGCCTTGAAGTAATTGCTTTATTTTTACCCAGTTTTTAAAATAATTGTCTATAGGAGGTCAACTTCTTCATGTCAACATCACTGAATATTAGGCTTATATCATATTAAACTTTAATTTTTTATAGAATTTAAAAGACAAAAGCATTTAAAATATGAGAATGGGTACATATTACATATACAAATATGTAATTTTTTACAAAGTGTGGGGTGGAACTGTAAATGAATAGCATTTTTGTATGCAATTGAAGTTGTTATCAGTATAAAATCAATTGTAACATTAAGATGTGTATATAATCCCCATGATAACCACAAAGAATATCTACAGATTATATACACAAAAGAAATCAAAGCATATCACTACAAAAAAACTGACTAAACATGAAGGAATAAAAGGATAAAATGAGGGACAAAACTATGAGACATATGGAAAACTATAAAATGGTAATATTAAGTCCTTCTCTATCAGTAATTACTTTAAAAGTAAGTGGATTAAACTTCGCACTTGAAATACATATATTGGCTAAATGGATAAAATAACAGGACTTAACAATATGCTTCCTATACTAAGAGACTCACTTTAAATATAAGAACATTATAGGTTGAAAATAAAAGGATGAAAAAGATATACACAAATCAATAAATGTAATCCAGCATATAAACAGAACCAAAGACAAAAACCACACGATTTTCTCAATAGATGGAGAAAAGGCCTTTGACAAAATTCAACAACCCTTCATGCTAAAAACTCTCAATAAATTAGGTATTGATGGGACGTATCTCAAAATAATAAGAGCTATCTATGACAAACCCACAGCCAATATCATACTGAATGGGCAAAAAGTGGAAACATTCCCTTTGAAAACTGGCACAAGACTGGGATGCCCTCTCTCACCACTCCTATTCAACATAGTGTTGGAAGTTCTGGCCAGGGCAATCAGGCAGGAGAAGGAAATATAGGGTATTCAATTAGGAAAAGAGGAAGTCAAATTGTCCCTGTTTGCAGATGACATGATTGTATATCTAGAAAACCCCATCGTCTCAGCCCAAAATCTCCTTAAGCTGATAAGCAACTTCAGCAGTCTCAGGATACAAAATCAATGTACAAAAATCACAAGCATTCTTATACACCAATAACAGTCAAACAGAGAGCCAAATCATGAGTGAACTCCCATTCACAATTGCTTCAAAGAGAATAAAATACCTAGGAATCCGACTGACAAGGGATGTGAAGGACCTCTTCAAGGAGAACTACAAACCACTGCTCAATGAAATAAAAGAGGATACAAACAAATGGAAGAACATTCCATGCTCATGGGTAGGAAGAATCAATATCGTGAAAATGGCCATACTGCCCAAGGTCATTTATAGATTCAATGCCATCCCCATCAAGCTACCAATGACTTTCTTCACAGAATGGGAAAAAACTACTTTAAAGTTCATATGGAACCAAAAAAGAATCCGCATCACCAAGTCAATCCTAAGCCAAAAGAACAAAGCTGGAGGCATCACGCTACCTGACTTCAAACCGTACTACAAGGCTACAGTAACCAAAACAGCATGGTACTGGTACCAAAACAGAGATATAGATCAATGGAACAGAACAGAGCCCTCAGAAATAACACCACATATCTACAACTATCTGATCTTTGAGAAACCTGAGAAAAACAAGCAATGGGGAAAGGATTCCCTATTTAATAAATGGTGCTGGGAAAACTGGCTAGCCATATAGAGAAAGCTGAAACTGGACCCCTTCCTTACACCTTACACAAAAATTAATTCAAGGTGGATTAAAGACTTAAACGTTAGACCAAAAACCATAAAAACCCTAGAAGAAAACCTAGGCATTACCATTCAGGACATAGGCATGGGCAAGGACTTCATGTCTAAAACACCAAAAGCAATGGCAACAAAAGCCAAAATTGACAAATGGGATCTAATTAAACTAAAGAGCTTCTGCACAGCAAAAGAAACTACCATCAGAGTGAACAGGCAACCTACAGAATGGGAGAAAATTTTAGCAACCTACTCATCTGACAAAGGGCTAATATCCAGAATCTACAATGAACTCAAACACATTTACAAGAAAAAAACAACCCCATCAAAAAGTGGGCGAAGGACATGAACAGACACTTCTCAAAAGAAGACATTTATGCAGCCAAAAGACACATGAAAAAATGCTCACCATCACTGGCCATCAGAGAAATGCAAATCAAAACCACAATGAGATACCATCTCACACCAGTTAGAATGGCAATCATTAAAAAGTCAGGAAACAACAGGTGCTAGAGAGGATGTGGAGAAATAGGAACACTTTTACACTGTTGGTGGGACTGTAAACTTGTTCAACCATTGTGGAAGTCAGTGTGGCGATTCCTCAGGGATCTAGAACTAGAAATACCATTTGACCCAGCCATCCCATTACTGGGTATATACCCAAAGGACTATAAATCATGCTGCTATAAAGACACATGCACACGTATGTTTATTGCAGCACTATTCACAATAGCAAAGACTTGGAACCAACCCAAATGTCTAACAATGATAGACTGGATTAAGAAAATGTGGCACATATACACCATGGTATACTATGCAGCCATAAAAAATGATGAGTTCATGTCCTTTGTAGGGACATGGATGAAATTGGAAATCATCATTGTCAGCAAACTATCGCAAGGACAAAAAACCAAACACGGCATGTTCTCACTCATAGGTGGGAATTGAACAACGAGAACACATGGACACAGGAAGGGGAACATCACACTCTGGGGACTGTTGTGGGGTGGGGGGAGGGGGGAGGGACAGCATTAGGAGATATACCTAATGTTAAATGACGAGTTAATGTGTGCAGCACACCAGCATGGCACATGTATACATATGTAACTAACCTGCACATTGTGCACATGTACCCTAAAACTTAAAGTATAATAATAATAAAATTTAAAAAAAATTAATCCAGGAAAAAAAAAAGAAAAAGATATTTCATGCAAACAGTAACCAAAAGAGAGCCAAAGTGATTATATTAATATGAAACAAAATAGAATATAGGTCAGAACTTATCGCAAGAGACAGGGCATTATATAACCACACAAGGGTCAATTTACCAAAAACATTTAATAAGTATGCAACAAACATCAGAACTCTTAAATATATAAAGCCAACATTGACAGAATTAAAGATATAGGTCAACAATAATAGTAAGAGTCTTCAAAATCCCATTTCGATAACGAATAAAACAACCATAGAGAAGATCACTAAAGAAATAAAGGACTTCATCAACACTGTAGTTCAAATTGAAGTAAAAGATAGATATATAAAGGACATTCTACTCAACAACAGTATAATATATGGTTTTCTTAAGTATGTACATGGAACATCCTTCAGGATAAAACATATTAAGCCACAAAGCACGTCTTAATACATCTTGAAAGATTAAACCATACGAAGTATTTTTTCCTGATTACAATGGAATGAAACTAGAAATAATACCAGAAAAATTATTGGAAAATCTATAAGTATCTGGAAATTAAATAACAGCTTTAAATAAACAATAGATCAAAGAAAAAATCACAAGAGAAATTAAAAAATGTTTTCAGACAAATGAAACTAAAAACACAATATACCAAACCTGTGAGATACAGTGAAAGTAGTGCTAATTAGAATATTTATAGCAGTAAATGTTTACATTAAAAAGGAAAAAAGATCTCAAATCAACAACCTAACTTTACACCTCAAGGATCTAGACAGGAATAAACTAAACCCAATGCTAGCAGAATGAAGAAAATATTAAACATTAGAGCAGGTATTTAAAAAATAGAGACTAAAAAATAGAGAACATCAATCAACCCAAGAGTTGGTTATTTGAAGAGATCAATGAAATTGACAAACCTTTACCTGGATTAACTAAGGAAGAACAAAAACACAGAAGACTCATGTAGCTAAAATCAGAAATAAAAGAAGCAACATTACAACTGATGCCACAGAAATGAAAATGATTATAAGAGGAAAATTTCAACAATTGTATCCCAACAGATTTAATAAGCTAGATGAAATAAATAAATTCATGGAAACACACACCTTACCAAGACTGAATCATGAAGAAACAGAAAAATCTGAACAGACCTATAACTAGTAAGGAGATTGGATGGGTAATTAAAAATCCTCCCGTTGCAACAACGACAAAGAAGCCCAGAACCAGATGACGATGACTTCACTGGTGAATTCTACCAAATATTTAAAAAATTAATACCAACCCTCTTCATCTTCCAAAACATTGAAGCAGAGGTAACATTTTCAAACTCACTCCATGAGGCCAGCATTAACCAGACCAAGACTATGCAGGAAAACTAAAGACCAGTAATCCCAATGAATACTGATGCAACAATCCCCAACAAAATATTAGCAAACCAAACTTAATAGCATATTAAAATAATTATAAACTATGACTAACTAGGGTTTCTTTCTGGAATGAATGATTCAACATACAAAAATGAATCAGTGTAACACTTCACGTTAATGGAAGTTTTGCAAAAACAGATGATCAACTCAGTTGATACAGAAAAATCACTTGACAAAATTCTACACCTTTGTATGATAAAAACACTCAACAAATTAGGAATAGAAGGAAACTAGCTGAACATAATTAAGGCCATGTTTTTTTAAACCCTGCAGCTAACATACACAATGGTAAATGACTGAAAGCTTTTCTTCTAATATATGGAATAAGACAAGTTTGCCTACTATCACCTCTTCTATTTAACATAGTCCTGGAAATCTAGTCAAATCAATTAGGTAAGAAAAAGACAAAAGGCTTTCAAATTAGAAGGAAGAAGTAAAATTATCTCTGTTCACAGACGATAAGATCTTATATGAGAGAAAACTTAAGGATTCCACACGCAAGAAGAGTTATTAGAACTAATAAGTAAATTAGGAAAGTTACAGGATACAAAATAAACACACAAAATGCAACTGAATTTCTATACATTAACAATAAATAATTCTAAAAGAAAATTAAAACAGTTCCTTTTATAATAGCATCAAAAGGAATAAAATAGAATAGGAGTAAACTTATCTATAGGTGGAAGACTCGTACACTGGAAATTACAAAATGTTGCTGAAAGAAATTTAAAAAGATACACATAAATGGGAAAACATCCAATCATGGATTGGAAGACTTAATATTGTTAAGATGTCAATACTACCCAAAGTGATGAATAGATTTAATGTAATCCCTTTCAAAATCCAATGGCGTAAATGCATGAATAGAAAAATTCATCCTAAAATTCAGATGGATTTTCAAGGGTCTCTGTATAGCCAAAACAATCTTGAAAAAGAATAACATAGTAGAAGTCTCACACTTTTTTCAGATTTTAGAATTTATTACAAAGCTACAGAAATCAAAACACTATAGTACTGGAATAAAAGCAGACACACAGACCAATGAAATAGAAAAGGAATCTCAGAAATGAACCCTCAAATATTTGGTTAACTAATTTTCAACAAAGGTGTCAAGACTATTGAGTGACAAAAGGGTAGTCTTTTCAACAAATGATGCTGAGAAAACTGATGTCCACATGCTAAACAATAAAGATGAACCTTAACATATCACAGATAAAAGCTAACTTAAAATTAATCAAAGACCTAATGGAAGCACTAACACTATAAAACTCTTGGAGGAAGGCATAAGGAAAAAGCTTTAGGACAGTGGATTTGGCAATAATTTCTTGGAGGTGACCCAAAAGCACAGGCAACAGAAAAAACCTGGATAAATCAGAGTACATTAAAATAAATATTTCTGTGAATAAAAGGACAACATCAACAGAATGAAAAGGCAACCTATGTAATAGAGGACAATATTTGCAAATCATATATCTGATAATGAGTTAATATCCAGAGTGTAAAAAGAACTTCTACAACTCAACAACGACGACAAAACACAAATATCCCAATTCAAAAATAGGCACATGACTTCAACAGATATTTTTTTCTAAAGAAGTTATCCAAATGGCTAAGAAGCACATGAAAATATACTCAATATCAGTAAATATTAGGGAAATGCAAATCAAAACTACAGTGAGATACCACCTCACATCCATTAGTATGTCTACAGTAAGGAAAAAGAAGCAGAAAATAAGTGTTGGCAAGGATATGAAGGCATTGGAATTCTCCTGCACTGTTAGTAGAGATGTAAATGTTCTATTTTCTATGGAAAACTGTATAGTGGCCCCTCAAAAATTTAAAAATAGAGTTACCATAATAACCATTAATTCCACTTCTAAGCATATATCTAAAAAAAAATGAATGCAGGATCTTGAAGAGATATTTGTACACCTACATTCATAGCAGCATTATTCACAATAGCCAAAAGGTGAAACCAACCAAGGGTCCATCGATGGATGAACTGATAAATGAAAGGAGCTTATGTATACAATGGAATATATTCAAGCTTCAAAAGAAAGATTATTCTGACACATGGTTCAACGTGGATGAACCTTGATGACACTATGTTAACCAAAATAAGCCAGTCACCAAAAGACAAAAGACAGTATCATTCTATTTTTATTGGATATCTTGAATAGTCAAATTCATAGAAATGGTCGTGACAAAGTCTCAGGGGAGGGGAAATGGGAAATTGTTGTTCAATGGGTAGAGCATTTCAATTTTATTAGATAAAAAGTTCTGGATATTGGTTGCCCAGCAATATTAATTATCTCCAGAAAGTGAATTTTATGCTTTAAAAAATTGTGATGGTAAGTTTTATGTTTATTTTTCCATAATTTTTTAAAAGACCAATCTTCTATTAATATAATCAAACACATATTTTGTTTGTTTGTTTTCGAGGTATCCGTTCTATAACTATCTTCCAGCTCTAGTATAGACTGGTCTCTCTTTACTCTACAGCTACTGTCAAGCTCTCCTTTTACCATTAGCTTAAGGATTCCTTTTTTTTTTTTTTTTTTTTTTTTTTTTTTTTTAAATATGGAGTTTCGCTCTTGTTGCCCAGGCTGGAGTGCAACGTCGTGATCTCGGCTCACTGCAACCTCTGCCTCCCAGATTCAAGCGATTCTCCTGCCTCAGCCTCCTTAGTAGCTGGGATTACAGGCATGTGCCACCACGCCCAGCTAATTTGGTATTTTTAGTAGAGATGGGGTTTCTCCATGTTGGTCAGGCTGGTCTCGAACTCCCGACCTCAGGTGATCCACCCGCCTCGGCCTCCCAAAGTGCTGGGATTACAGGCGTGAGCCACTACACCCGGCCAGGATTCCTTTCATTTAAATCTGTTGTTATGTCCTCTGGTTCTTGGATCCTATGCCTTCTCTCTTTTAGTTTACTGCACTGTTTTGTAGAACACCTTCTCCAGCAGCTTCCAAAGAAGGAGTTCATGGGAGGTTTGTTTTTTGTTTTGTTTTGTTTTTTTCCAAAACTATCATGTCTGAAAATGTTTTTCTTCATTCTTACACTTGATTAACCATTTTGTTGTGGAAACCAGAATTTTGCAATGTTACTTAATTTTTTTCTTTTTTCGCTGGGGTGGTTGAAAACTCAACTGCCATTTGGATTCCTCATACCTTTTCTGAAGTTAAATTATCTATCTATCTACATTTTTTTTCTGGCGGTTTAGAAGATCTCTCCTTGTTTTGGGTTATGCTGGTCCCAGATTTTGAAATTTCAGTTATTTACCCTGGTACGTGTCTACCATGGTGCTGATTCACTGGGCCCTTTGAATCTCGAATCTCAAATCTCATGTTCTTCGATTCTTAGGAAAATTTCTTGAATTGTTTCTTTAACAAGTTTCTCTCCTTTATTTTCCGTATTTTCTTTTTCTAGAAATCATTTTTACATGTTACTAATTCTATCATTTTCTTACGTTTTCTCTTCTATTTTCTATCTCTTTCACCCCTAATTTCTAGGGCATTTCTTTTTAATTTTAGATTCTAAACATTCTATTGATTCTTTTTCATTTCTGCTATCGTATTTTAATTCCAACTACCAAATTTTAATTTTTTGAATCTTTGTTCTATTTCTATGCCTTCTTTGTTCTTCTTTCAGCATTCTGAGAGTTATATATATTTCTACCTTTCTTCTTCTCTTTACATTGTCTCTGTTTCCTTCAAATTTCTTTCATCATGTTTGTCTGTACTGTTTGCTGCTTTAAAGTTAGATTCTTTTCTCAAATGTCTAGTGATCCATGGCTGGTCATTCGATTTAAGAATGAGTCACTATTTATATGATTGAATCTCTGTCTCCATATACAGGGATATGGATTGGTTATCAGGTAGGATAACCTAGCCATTTTGTTGAATTACTACTAAAGGCCAGAATCTCTTGGTTCTGTCCCTTTCTCTAGAAAAGTATCCTCCATTCTCCTGCTTGGCTGCCAGTGCTTTCAGGAGCCAAATAGTGAGGAGTCTATAAGGGGAAGAGATTTAGTGGTGTCAGGTTTTACTTATTACCCTTTTTTTTTTAGACTCTTGCCTTACTCTTACATTTTGCTATATCAGCCATTCACAAGTTATGAACACCTTTGTTTCCAACCTCTCCAAATCTTTAATCTGGAATTTTATTCCAGGGCTGAGAAAGGAACAAAGGGCAGTTCCTTGGCTGTGTGGGTTGGAGAAAGGATCTGGAAATGGAACTGCTTCTTACATAGACTTTAAATTAACCCTGTTTTCAAGCCCACTCCCATTCCTACTCTCATAGCTTCCTAGTATTTCCAGTACCGCAGTTTTTAGATTCTGTAGGGAGAATTGCTAGCTTCTAGGTCTCCATTACTACCGGTGAGGTTTTCAGCTGTCTTTGGTATGCTAATTCAGCTACCGAAAATAATCTACTTTTTTGCTTTCATCAATTTTGTGCTGATGTATCTTAACCCATGCTCCTTGATCTTTTCTTTGAAATCATTTTAATCATTACTGTGTCTTTAGGTGTATTTTAAGAAATAATAGAGATAAAAGCACGTGCTCATTTGAACAACTTCAATATCTTCATTCTTAAATCTCTTTATCTTGGCCCATGTTCAAGGATAGAATTGTCTATGCTGAGCAGTGTTTTGTTTTCTCCTCATTATTGTTCACTCATATTTTCAACATGTACTACATGACAAACATTCTACCAAGCTGAACGAGACATTAGGTACATTGCAAGGAACAGTCTCCTCTTGAGAAACCTATTTCTGCCTTTGCTGTAAGAAGGTTGTTAAGGAAAACACTTACCACATAAGCCTCTACATGAATTATTTTGCCTTCAAATACTCAGAAAATCTTTGCTTCTTCTGAAGAGTAAAAACCCCACCCCATATAAACTGTGCAATTTAGCATGCCTCACTTTGCACCTAGGTTTTCAGAAAGCTTATTATTAACTGTGAGATTTTAACCACATCTTTATAAGTTACAGGATTTTCTTTTCACCTCTTATTCTTGAATTTCTATTCTTATATCTTTATCTTTCTTGATTTTCAGTTCAAAAATATTATATAGGTTTCTTTCAAGATGCCTCGTGCTATGGTTTGAATGTGTCTTCCAAAATTCAGGTGTTGATACATAATGGCCAATGTAATGATATTAAGAGGTGAGCCCTTTAAGAGGTGATTAGGTCATAAGGGCTCCTTCTTCATGAACAGGATTCAGGTCCTTACAAAACAGGCTTGATGCAGCATTTACCTTGCTTGCTCTTCCACCTTCCACCATGCGAGGACACTGCATTCCTCTCCTCTGCAGGATTCAGCAAGAAGGTGCCATCTTGGAAGTAAAGAGCAGTCCTCACCAGACAACCAAACCTACCATTGCCTTGATCTTAGACTTCGCAGCCTCCAGAACTGTGAGAAAATAATTTTTTTTTGTATCTCTATAAAATAATGAAGATAATTCATATTATTTGTTCAATGAGATGGCATTTGCATTTCTATTTGCATTCATGAAGAAGACAAATAGTTAATAAAAATTAACTGAGCACTTCTTGCTAAAACACTTAGAGTGAACTTTAAGGAACTTTTTCAAAGAAAAGGAAAAGCTTTTCTTCTTCTCTATTATGGATAGAATAAGGGTCAAATAATAGTAACTTGCATCAATATCGGGCATTTAGTAGTTTCTTTAAAATATTTCCTAAGCAAATGAATGAATGGAAGAATTTCTTAGCATTCTTGTTAATTATCAGAATTAAGGTTTGTTAATTATCAGAATGCTTTGCTGCTGCAAAATTAAATGATCCCTTTCATTGGCATAAATCAACTAACATGTATTAAGTACCTTTTTAGTTTGATGTCTTCTTTAATTAAAACCCTTTTTTTTTTTTTTTTGGTCTGGAAAAAGAATAAACTTGATCTCTCAATGGCCCTGTCACTGTAAGATTTGATGCTTTCTGTGATTTTATAGCACTACTCGTTGTTTGATTTTATATTTTAGAGCAAGTCTCTAAGCATTTAAGAAGTCAGTAAAGCAATTTAGACCTTCACCCAGATCAATGCCTTGAACTTCTGAAGACTGGATTTTTGTCATCCTCCCATGTTTCAGAATCATATAAAACAAAAACAAAATCAGTCTTGGTTGAGTGATGGGGTGCTCTTGGAAGGGCCGGCTATATTTCCGGGTATGAGAATATATAGCTCTTCTCCAAGAGTCTACCCACCAGCTCTCACCAGGTTCTCCCGTGCAGATGCCTCACCCTCCCTAAAAATGGCAAAAAAATTGACAGGTAGTGTAAGATCAAGAGAGTTCTTACACTTAGTAAAATCTATAAAAGTTTGATTATTCAAGATTCTGATCTTGAATAATCTTTTTAAAATAGGTATCTGATGGATTCTGTTGTTGGTTGTTGATTGTTGTTATTGTTGTTGTAACGCTTATTTGCCATTCTGCCGGTTTCAGTCAATATTAGCTAGTTCATGGCACTTCCAAAGTATTAATACAATGCAAGGATTTATAATTTTCTTGGGTGGCTTACTTTTCTCCATGAGGGAAAGGTGGAAGAAACAATATTGGCTAAGCAAATGTTAATATTCAGAATATGATTTAAAGTACAGAGCTCAGATTGGCTTTTCCATTACACTGAAGGATTACAGAGATGCGGAGAAACACTGTTGGTTCATCATTACTAACACATACGTGCCAGGACATACAGGCAGGTCGAAAGATTGAAAAGCAACCACCTTAGCTCTGAATTCCAGGGAGTTTACAGGCTTAAATCACAGAGACTTGACATCAGGCAAATGGAGTTTCTGAGGCTGAACAATAATTTGGAATCAAAGGTATTTGAGAATGCCAATTATTAAGAAAAATTCTTTTCTCAGGATCACCATAGCAAAGAAACTCCTAGAAATGTGGTTATGCCAGTTCTTGCCTTCCATAATTTAAGCTGTCTGTACCTTTTTGTTGGAAGTAAGCATTTTGACCAACCTGGTTTGATATTCCACGTAGTCCTGTGAGAAGATGGGGAAAATCTGTGATAGAGGTTCCTGGAGAAAAAAAAATCTCAAGCCTGTTAAAAGACAGGGCAGATTCACCTTTGAACAGGATTACATCATGTGTATTCAAGGACTGGGGCCACTGCACTTCTCCTCTTAGTGGGAAAAGACCATTTGACCATATCTTGACTTTCTTCACCTTTAGGTGAAGAAAGTAGAGATTTTGACTGATGACATAATAAAAGTTGAAATTTGGAGACTGAGTTAAAGAAGGGAAGGCCTCTTCTTGATGTTGACGTGATAGGAGACATACATACACACAGACACACACACACACACACAGACACATACCTTAGATATTGTTTGTTAAGCAAAAGATTGTGAATTTGAAAGAGCCAGCAGCTACTCTACTACTTGCAGATGCTATTTAGCACTTCTAGTACTGTTATTTAATGTTTTCATGTCCAGTCACTTCAACTACATTGTAAGCCCCTTAAAATCAGGGATTAGCTATTTGATGCTTCTCCCAGTGAAAGTAACACATGGCCTCACACTGTGATGGAAAACAGTCTGATATAAGGAGAAAAATCTTACCTTAGGGGAAAAGGTATCTGGGGAAGGTTACTTCACTATTTGTAAAATCAGAGAGTTAGACTAAAGAAAGAAGCACAGAAGGGAGAAATAAACATGCGAGAGGGCAAATAATCCATAGGCTCCCTTGTATCATTCTCAAGTATGCATTAAAACTGGTTTTGATTATCTATTTTTTATTTACAAAACTTGTTTTTCTCAACCATATTGCAAGACAAGGTCTCTTACACATTTCCATCAGCTTTTTTTAAAAAAACCTTTTCTTTTCTGGGTTATGTTAATTATCTTAGTTATTCACCAAAATACCTCCAAATTGCCTAAGTGCATTGTAGTTTGAGTACATACTTACATGTTCATTTAACAAATAATGTTCAAGTGCCTACTTCGTGCTATGTATAGTCCTGAGTTTATGCATTTCAATTAGACATTAATGGTAAATATCAAGAAAAGTTGTGGTGAAGATTTAAATGTTAATAAAAGAGATGCAATATATCAGGTCATACATAGCTGAGGGTCCTGGAGGGAAGCATTTTCACTGGGCAGAGACTTTCTTGGGAAATACACAAGGGAAAATCAATCACATTATAGAATAAAAATTGGAAAATGACTAATTTGGAAAGGTTAGTTTTAGAACTGGAATTATTTGATCTCTAGAGGGAAAGATTAATGTTTAATGTCATAAAGTCATAAAAGCCCCAATGATTTTCTTCTTTTATATAATTTCTCTTCTAATCAAAGTAATGCACATACTTAGTTTAAAAAGGCAACTATTAATTACTGAAAAATAATAATTTTCAGCCCATCTCTCCATGTCTTGACACCTATCAAAAGCATATACTTTTGCTTATTTTATCTATTTTTAAATATTTAATAGTATATCATGTTTAAGTCTGGATTTAAACAGTTCTGCTTATCTATTTTTTATTCCCAAAACTTGTGCTCTCAATGAAATTGCAAGCTCCTGGGGTACAAGGACCTTGGGTGGCACTCTCTCCCTCATGGTCCCTGTACTACACTGCCAGGCAGACAGAAGATAGTCGCTGTTTGTTGCTTGATCAAATGTGGCAACCTTTCCTGAGGTTCCTCTAAATGCTCAAATGGCGGTGAGGATCAGTGGCCTCCCTAAGCAGCATCAGAGTTGGGGAGATTATATTAGAAGGGAGGATGATGGAGTGGGAATTTGGAATTAAAAGATGTTTGTTTGAGTTCTGTCTCACTTTTGCCTCTCTGGGTTTCAGTTCCTATCTGTAAAACAGCATTATCAGTTGTTTCATATAAAAGTTTTATTGTAAGGCCGGGCGCGGTGGGCCACGCCTGTAATCCCAGCACTTTGGGAGGCCGAGGTGGTAGGATCACAAGGTCAGGAGATCGAGACCATCCTGGCTAACACGGTGAAACCCCATCTCTACTAAAAATACAAAAAATTAGCCGGGCGTGGTGGCGGGCGTCTGTAGTCCCAGCTACTCGGGAGGCTGAGGCAGGAGAATGGCGTGAACCCGGGAGGCGGAGCTTGCAGTGAGCGGAGATCGCGCCACCGCACTCCAGTCTGGGCGACAGAGACACCTTCTCAAAAAAAAAAAAAAAAAAAAAAATACATTTTAAAGGGAACTAAATGAGATTTACATATACAACTGTAAAATGGTCCATAAATTAATCATTTGTCATTCTTACACTGTCCAACAGAACATCCTGTGAGGATGAAAATGTTGTATATCTGCTCTATTCAATATTGTAGCCATTAGTCACTAACTACATGTAGATACTGAGCACTTCAAATGTGATTGATATGACCAAGGAAGTGAATTTTAAAATGTATTTAATTTTAATTAATTTCAATTTCAATAGCTGATTTGGACAGCATAAATTTAGTCTACACAGAAAGGTAAACCAGGAGTCACAGCATCTGGACGACTTCACACTGACCTAAACCAAAATGTGAAAACAGATGGGGTCCTAAGAGGCTTACATGAGCCCCCGATGAAGGAATAGTAGAGAGTAGAAAGGGATGAGCCAAGTGGAGCAACACAAAGGGACGGAAATCAGCTTATATTTCTTTCCTCTAGTTCCACCCTTCTAGCACACCATTATGTAACTCTGAATCTCCAGTTTGTGGAAAGAACTAAAAGTCTTCACTCTATCACTCATTATCTGTGAGACCACCTCTCCAGTTACATTTTGCCATCTGAAAAGGGACAGTTTTATGTTAGAGGATTTCACAGGATATTTTGAATGCTAACGCCTCATGTCCTGTGATTCAGATCTAGTTGCCTTGGTAGCCCTTCTAGAACTTCTTGGAACTATCCTGGGTAGCTCCAATTCAAGGTTTCTTCCTAGAATCCGTCTAGAGACACTTGAAATGAGATGCTGGATGGCAAAGAAGGTGGATTAACTGCCTCATGACCGTCTTCAAGGAATACACAAAACATGTCCCTACACAAAAGTGCAACACACACCTGGATATGTCAAATACACACAAATGGTATGTTAGTTCTGCAAGAAAAACATAAAAGTTCAAGTTTCTTAGATGCTTGCCATATGCTAGGTATTGGTTTTCTCAAAAAATCCTTTGAGGTAGGTGTAATTGTTATTGTCCCCATTTTATAGACACTTTATCTAGGTAACACCATTAAAAATCTGATTTGAATATAGATTGTGTGACTACAGAGTCCACACTCTAATGATTAGAATACAATGAATTCTCTATAAATGTTCAGCACAAAGTAAGTTACTTGGAAAAATAATAGCTGGAATCCTGCAATTCACGTGATGGCTGGTAGTTTTGAAAGAAAGCCTTTCACTAACATGTACTTTCGCCCCCTACTGCATGACTAGTCATCTTTGTATAACCAGTGACCACCTACAGAGTCTGGTACTGAGCAGGTGCCCAAAACATGATGAATGAATGAAAGATTAACTGAATAAATGAATGAGTCCTAAGTCCTGATTTTTTTTTTCTTGCGCAAATTTCTACCTAAGTGTTCTAGGGAGTCATGCCCTATAAACCACAAATTTTCATCAGAGGGGTTTTATTTGACCCTGTTTATTGTGACTTACTTTTCAATCTGACTCTGGCATAACATTATGAGATAAGGAAAAAAAAATATGTAACCTTAAAATATATTTTCATGCCATATCTTAAAATTGCCCTGCAAATTCTCTTGTGTGGAAAAGTCCACATTCTATAAAAAATCCCCTTCCCCCTTTGTTTTCCTACCTTACTTGCCAGATCCAGGAGATCATCAACTAAGAGTCAGGCACCATTTTAAGTCTGATAAAAAACAATTTACAGCCTGCTCTCTCTAAAGTCGGCTACCTAAGAGCTTCCTCTGCACAATAAAACTTGGTCTCTGCAATTCTTTATATTTAACCTGAACATTCCTTTCTATCGATCCCAGGTCTTCAGACAACCTCAACCAATTGTCAACCAGAAAATGTTTAAATTTACCTATAGCCTGGAAGTCCCCACTTTGAGTTGTGCCACCTTTCTAAACCAAACCAATGTATTTCTTAAATGTATTTGATTGATGTCTCATGCCTTCCTAAAATATATAAAACTAAGCTGCACCCTGACCATCTTGGGCACATGTTCTCAGGACCTCCTGAGGGCTGTGTCATGGGCCATGGTCATTCATATTTGGCTCAGAATGACTCTCTTCAAATATTTTAAAGAGTTTGACTCTTTTTTGTCAACATGACAAAAACCATACAGACAACTTGTCTCTCCTACCTCAATCAGAAGTAGAAAAATTGGGGTATTATTCTACATGTTCAGTATGAGAATAGCACTTTCTTTCTGTTGAATGTATGGAAATACAAACAGGTGTTAGAAAGCTAGTGTTACATTTCAAGGAAATCCATTTAAATAAACATGCCTGGGCTTGCCATAGTTCATTGAACTTGGAATGTAGCACAACCACCGTCAAAAAACAGAGTGAATTTTACTGGGAGCTCAACAAAAAGCAGTTTGCACAGGGGGATCTATGTATCAGCAACTTTTCTTGCAAAGGGATGCTTTGGTGACCATAAACCAGATTTTTAACCAGACACTAAGCAAGATATCATGGGGATTGGGGTCATTAACCTGTCCAGAAATGGACTAAATGATCACATTCATCTACCAAAAGAACATCTGATAAATCCCTGCCTTATTCACAATTTAATCTCTAAGAAGGTATAAAAAGTAATGAGGGACAGGATTCTTCGATTTGAAAAGAACACTGGGACTGGGGGTGATTATAATGGGTCACTGTAAATTCATCAATTGTAACAAGTATGAAATTCTCCGTGGGGGAAGCTATGCCTGTGTGGGGTTTAGGGATACATGGGCAGTCTCTAAGCCTTCCTTTCAATTTTGCTGTGAACCTGAAACTGCTTTATGAAGCAGTCTTTAAAAAAAAATATATTGATGACAAAAAAGGGTAAGATTATTGTAAGAAATTATTTATATTATCCTCAAAGAGTATGATTGTAAAAAATGTAATTCTAAGACCTTCAAAAATATCCTCTGCCTTTAGGAAAACATATATGAAAAACTTAATTTAAAAATGTATTTGAATCTATGAGGGAGGGACTCTGCTTCTAATATACCACTTATTGTCTGCGTTGTGTCTACCATATTTATGCTTGCCTTCTCAATGAGGCATTGTGAGTGCCTGGAGAGCAGACATCTCATCCTGTCAATCTTTTTCTGCCTTCCAGTACCTAGCAGGGAGTTTTCAACATAGCAAGAGCTCCATAAAGTTTGAATTAGTTTAAATCAGTTCCAGAAGACTTAACATGTACAATGTGAAATTCTATCAAGCCATTTATGGATAGATAGCCCTGATGACTATGATAAGGAGGAATGTGCTATGGTTTGAATATGTCCCCTCCAAAATTCAGGTGTTGAAATGTAATGGCCAGTGTGAGGCATTAAGAGGTGGGACCTTGAGGAGGCGATTAGATCATAAGTGCTCCTCCCCCTTGAACAGGATTAAGGCCCTTATAAAAAAGGCTTTGCACAGCTTGCTTATCCTTCTGGCTCCTGCCATGTGAGGACACATTCTTCCTCCCCTCTGGAAGTTGCAGCATCAAGGTACCATCTTGGGAGCAGAGGGCAGCCCTCATCAGACAAACCTGCCGGCACCTTGATCTTGGACTTTCCAGCCTCCAAAACTCTGAGAGAGAGAGAGAAAAAAAAAAACCTGTTGTTTATAAATTACCCACTCAGGTATTTTCTTATAGCAGCACAAATGCACTAACCCATGTGCCAACAGAATGAACTCTGTATTTAGCCGAAAAGAGTAGACACCAAACATGGAAGAAGTAACAGAGAATGAAGGACTAATAATATAGTGAATATGTCTAGCCTACTTCCAACAATACATTTTGCCATTTGCTCCTGTGGAAACAGTTAGCTATGACTGCAATCAGTCATAAAGGAACAGGTTAAAGTGTACAAGTTACTTGGTATTGGGAAGCCATGTTATTTAACGAGAATGCTTGACAACATGGATGACCATGGATACGTGATGGTAAAATGCATGGTTGATTTGATCCATTCAGTCAAACAACTAATTCCCCTTTTCCTGCCACAACCTGTGTAGGTAGCCTCTTGAGAACTTGGGGTAACATTGAAAAAGGCAAAGATCAACCTGCTACAAATAAACTAAAGATAATTTACTGACTTCAGTATAATCTTGGCCATTCTTTTTGTTTTTCACAATTTTGATTCTCCCCTTTGGCACCCATTATTTCTTGCTTATGGCAGGATGACCTCAAACCATTCAACACAGGATCATGCTACCACATAATTTATTTCTTGCTGTTATGTTTCTCTGGACACTGTCTGCTTAATACACTGTCTTGGATCCCAATGTACTTTATCTAATACCTATAATGAAAGCAGGGGTCAGAAGAAAGAAGCCACTAGGGGGCCTGTGACACATGGGATTGGAAAGATGAGTCAAGAATGTTCACCTTGGAGACTTCCCAAGATGCCTCCAAGAACTGTCCTAAATTTTTTTAGACATCGCAGAGTCAGGTCCATTCTTTGATTACTGGCACTGAGAATTCTATAACAAAACTAGGTGAGAATGTTTTCTTGGCAATATAACTCCCTCAATTTTTATAGTGAAACCCCAGACTTTATTTTCTCATCCATCCTCAGCTATTTATCTCCAGTGTCAGAGGAGAATACCTTTTCTCATTTCCAAAACTAATTTTTTTACCTAAGGATTTCTTCCCTCCCAACCTCTTTAAGGACTTGCCCCATCAATTATCTCCACTCTTACTTAAGTCTGAAATCTCTCCCTCTCCCTGATTGTTTCCCATGCTTAAGTAAATTGTTCAAGTCTTTCACACCTTTTAAAACAAATAAATCAGCTTCCTGAAGTCTATAGACCTCTTCCTAACTGCAATTATAACTTCATTTGTATAGATACAACAGTTTATATTCACCGGCTTCATTTTCATGCCCTCAACCCATATTAGGACCTGGAGAATCAAGCTCAGGGAAGTGCCCAATTCTATATATTAAACTTTGGATTTCACTCAAAATTATTTTCTCTTCCCAGGGTTGGGTTTTTGATAAGCCAGAAGACAGGGAACGTGGACATGGTCCTTCTTTCTTCTCTTTTTTTTCCACTTAATGACTCCACTTCTTCTCACTTATCTGGTATCATGATTTTAATGCCACCAGGGCTAAAACCAGAGGAAGGGAATGAAGTCTATGAGGGCAGAATATTCTCACTGAATGGTTAATCAGCTAAGACAGCGTTATGCTCTCTGTCCTGACAAAGTTTAAATCTAACCCTTTCTTTTCTTGGGTACTTTTGAGGTTCTTCACAGGCCCTATTGGGAACATCATTTGTACTTTCCAGGTGATACATGACTCCCATGTGCCGTATGAAAAATTTTCCTTCATCCTTTGTCCAAAGTGTCTGGAATGTGGGCCAAGTCCCATGCAGCGGCAACTCTGTGCTCCATTACCAAAGCAGGACCCAGACTCTTGCCCTCCAAATTACTCAAATCATTATCAGACACAGGCCAAAGTTTCATGGGACATGTATCAAGCTGACAGAATGATCCTGTTGGACTTAAAGTGACAAGGGAAGCATCTCCTTTCCCTATCATTATCATAAATTATCTCTCTCAAACACAATTGTTTTATATCCTCAATGCATAGGAATGATAAAACATATGCTTGGCACTTTGAAATTTGTGCATGTTTGTTCAGGTATCTATCATGTTAGGGTATGTTTGAAAGTGTACTTTAACATGCTTTTGGCAACACAATTCCAGAGATGCAGGTACTTGGAGACAGACTGACATACCTTGATCCTCAGTGGTTTTGGTGGTTGGAGAGATCATTGCCTTGAAAATATCTTCATCAGGAGCAGTGAATCCTAAATATCTATGTCTCCCCACAGCCTTATTACACCTGGGGTTCACAGTCTCAATGATCTCCGGATAACATGATCTTAACCCTGTCAAGGTCTCTATCTTATTTAAGGTGATCCCACATGAAATGTGTCCCATCTGGAGGCTCCATTTGACATGAATTTTAAAGGATTTTAAGAATTAGGGCCTGGTGAGTATGGGAATTGGGAAGATATTAAAAGAAGGGGCAGTAAATTGTTTTAGGACAGATAATGTAGCATTTTTTTTCAGGTTAAGGGATTTCCACCTTACCTTACAGAAATCTTCAATTTCTACCATCCAATTCCATATCCTTAAATATTGATCAAGGATAATTCACTTCTATGAAGAACCACTGGGGATGCTGCAGAAAGAATGCTTCATGAATCCCAATGGTAAATTACAATCACTAAAGTAAAATGAGCACGTCTGTCTTATACACAGTCTGAAAAATCCTTATTGTTAACATGAGGGTTACAACTGGGTTCATGAGAAGGTTTAGGTACCCTTCACCTTCTATATTGTCTCCAATGGTGGAGACAATATAGAAGTGAGAGCTGAAGAGTAGCTCTCACTAGGCTTTATAAAAATTTAGAAGTTTCAAAGGTGGATTTGGGTCAGGGTCGTGTAAGGGGAAAGAGGATTAAAATATAAATTAAGAGACTTTTAAAAAGTGAGAGATCAGGTTGAAGGGAAAGGATGTAATTTCAACATTTGAACTCAGAAAGTTGGACTTGGATAGGAATGTGCTGGGGCTCTAGGCAGATGGGATGAGTACAGGGATTGAGCTGAGCTGGATGGAGATGGGACAAGGCTGTCTTGTGGAAGACAGAAGGGCTCCCTCACCCACATCTCTCTTGGTCACAGCTTCCCAGAATATTCATAATTTGTCTGTATACCTAGACTTCCACTGGGAAGGCCAGAGAATCAAGGGATCGCCCAAGCTGTTTTCTCTTTCCAGAGCAAGATCAAACAGGATAGATCTGGAGCCAAGGCTAGCATTCAAGGCTGACTGACCAAGGGCTGAGAACCAGACATACCCAAGTACCCAATTCCCTGAGGTCTTCCCATGTAGGGGTTACAGGCAGATGGAAGCAGGGGGAGAGAAGAATGTAAGAGAAAAACATTATTTATCCTCTACTTGGCTATTGCATAATTTAAAATCTTAGACCTGGCCACATCACTTCTTTATTTTCAAATGTCCCCACATCTAAAAGAAGAACAAACACAGTGTGGCAAACAAATGCCCTCCACAACATGGCATTGCTTTCCTGCCTCCTTAAACTCATCTTTCACATACGCCAGTGCTCTCACCATAGGTACTGCCAAAATTTCACCATATTCATGCCTCCTTGTCCTTGTTTATGCTGTACCTCCTGCCCTTACATCTTTTCTGCATTTGGTCAGCGTCTACACATCCCTCTGAGCTCGTCTCCTCTGATCTTACTCAACCTTCCTCCGTATCCCCAGGGAACCCAGGCTTAATCCTTCCTTTGCTGTGGAGTTATACTGTGCGGCTTGCCATTCTGTTTGTAAAGTTTGGTGGTCATGGTGGACTTGGATAACCTGATTCTTACTATGGATCTGCCACTGCTAGTGTGTGACCTTGAGATATTTATATAACCTCCTGAAGTTTCATTTTTCTCATTTTATTATCTGAAAAAAATGAGAATAATAATTCATACATACCTCATCTGGTCATTATGAGGCTTAAGTGAAATAATGCATGTAAAGCATTTAAAACAGTGCTTAAAACATTTAAGCTTCTATTAAACGTTACTTGATATTAATCATAGCATTTATGAGACCTCATATAGTGTCAGACTCAAGAAAGAAGCAAAGAGGTATACATTTTTCTCCTCAAATTTTGAAAGTATTAATAACATTGAATTTCATTATATTAAAAATTAAACCTTTGGGAGGAGGGGCTTGGAGGGGCTACTAGATCAAAGAACAATAGGAGACAGGCATTCCACAGAGCAGGGGGGTCTACTTCCCGGCAGATATCCGTGCCCTCCTCTTACTCCACTGTAAAGCAGTCGCTCCAGCCAGAGGCAGCCGAGGCCCAGCCATGCCATGGGTGAGAGGCAGCCACTTTCCAGGCGCAGAACTTTCTCCTTCTCTAAGAGAAAATGGCAAATAAATAAATAAAATCTGTATAAATTTAAATAATTGGAAGGCAGCTTGACTGAAAAAGACACTTTTCTTTTTCACCACAAATGTCACCATCTGGACTTTTCCTTTTTTAATTTCTTTGGGACCTGACAAGTCACTGGGCTGCTATAATCACACCCAGTCAAAAATGACAGACACATCTCGGTGAGTTATGGTGGGCAGAGTTCCAGGGTGGCCAGTGAGGACCCAGAAATCAGTGGGAGGGTAGTTTCAACAGCCACCCCCTCCCCAGAACACAAAAGCTCCTGAAGTGTGAGCAACCTGAATACACCACACACACACACACACGTGAGCATTTGTGGACGTGTGTGCACTTTCGAGATAGCATTCAATTAACCTACTAGTTAACTCATTTTCTAGCAAAAAACTAAAGGGCAGGAAAGGCCACTCAGCAGACTGTGCTGCTATTAATAAACTACATGTGGCCACCTGTGTCTCTGCTTGTCTTGGTTTCTCCCAAACTGTCCTTCATCAAGCAAGGCAAGAATAATCCAGGGGAACCAGCAAAGTGGATCCATTTTTCTATATTGGTCAACTGAGAAACTCCATGCAGCCACAGGTCTACAGGCTTATTCACAGCAATCACATATAAATATTCCTACCCACAAAATCACATTGTTTAATATTTTATTTTTGCTATTCCTGTACTATTTTAGTTACAATTGTCTGGAAAGTACAACGCCTCCCCTGTAGATCTTGTGCAGAGTACTTTTTCAAAACAGAAAAATTTACCATTTTGTAAATTGTCTTCTATGGCAATTTACAAAGCTCCAGTCTTTAGGAATATTTGCCTATTGCTTAGTTTATTTGCATAGGCCTTAATGAGTGTATGTACATAGATGGACATATACATACATACACACATATATGAATATGCATATATTCATTTGCCCAATTTTTGCAGTGTTCTATGTATAAGTAAGCACTGTGATAAAATTACAAGCTCAAGGTCTACTAGGACAGTGCTTTTCAAACTGGAATGTGCGTACAAATCACATTAGGAACTTTTCATTTACTAGTCTGTATTTCTAGTAAGTACCAGGAGATGCAATGTTACCGGTCCATGGACCACAGTATGAGTAGCAAAGTATTACAGGAAATAGACATAGTTTTGTTTTTGAGATGAAGTTTCACTGTGTCACCCAGACTGGAGTGCAGTCGTGCCATCTTGGCTCACAGCAATCTCCACCTTCAGGGCTCAACCGATTCTTCTTCCTCACCATGTTGGCCAGGCTAGTCTTGAACTCCTGACCTTAGGTGATCCTCCCACCTCGGCCTCCCAAAGTGCTAGGATTACAGGCGTAAGCCACCGTGCCCAGCCCAGACATAGTTTTTAAACTCGAAATTTATGAGTCCTCCTGCAGATACACCTCAACCTCACATTCCACACCCAATCATTACCAGAGCAATCACTTTATAAATGCCTCTGAAATGCACCTTTTGTTTCCACCTTCGGTGTCACTAGGCTGGCCCATCTCCATCACAACCACTTGTCTCCCAGACTAGGGTAGTTTTGCCTTTCTTCGACCGTATTTAACAAGCACTGTGGCCAGAATGATATATTTAACATGCAAATCAGAACCTCGGCTTCTTGGGCTTAAAATTCTTAGATGGCTTCCCATTGTCCTTAGGATCACATCCAAAATGCTTAATATGGTCTATGAAGCCCAGTGTGATCCAATTCTCTTCTATCTGTGTAGCATCATCTCCCACCAGACTCCCTCTTTATCACTTACTTCATCTACTCTAGCCTTCTTTTGGCTTCCTGAGTATGCACAACTTCTTCGTAACTGAGGGACTTCAAACCTGACATTTCTACCCGCTGCCTGAGACTTTTTTTCTCATGATTTCTCCTCCTCTGCTGCCCTCCTACCAGCTACTCCCAACCCTCTACTTCAATTCACCCTTCAGGTCTCAGCTGAGATTTAAGCTGTTCAACTAGGTTTCTGTTTCCTGTTTGACGCTATCAAAGGACTCTGCATTTTGCTTTCGTAGAATGTATTAATGCATTGTTTACATAGTTGTTTTGCTTACTGTAAGCTCCCTAAGGACAGGGTCTAGGTCTACCTCAGCATCATTGAACCACCAGCACGTAGCTCAGGATGTGGCATACAGAAGTCTCTCTTACTGAATGTTCTGAATGAATGAAGAAAAGAGACTGAACTTGTGACCAGGGATGCACAAGTGGTATGTAAAACTCCAGTGAGAGTGGCTCATGCCTGTAATCCCAGCACTTTGGGAGGCCAAGGCGGGTGGACCACTTGAAGTTAGGAGTTTGAGACGAGCCTGGCCAACATGGTGAAACCCCATCTCTTCTAAAAATACAAAACATTAGCCAGGCATGGTGGCAGTTGCCTGTAATCCCAGCTATGCAGCAGGCTGAGGCAGGAGAATCACTTGAACCAGGAGGTGGAGGTTGCAGTGCGCCGAGATCATGCCACTGCACTCCAGCCTGAGGCAGGAGAATCACTTGAACCAGGAGGTGGAGGTTGCAGTGCGCCAAGATCATGCCACTGCACTCCAGCCTGGGCAACAAGAGCGAAACTCTGTCTGAAAACAAAAACAAAAACAAAACAAAAACAAAAAACTCCAGTGACAGCCAATAGTGAGTAAAAGTTTTACTGTGCAGATGAAGGGCAAGAGTGGAGTCAGATGTTGTGACTCACATTGGACGGGGATTCAAGGAAAAGAAGTACTTGGGCAAGATATTAGAATAGGTGCTTGTGAGGCAGATGTGAGAGAGAGTGTTCCAGACAGCAGGAAAAGGGGCAGGCAGTGCCCAGCGTGGGCAGTCTTTTATGCTATGGCAAATACTTTGGCCTTTAGCTTATCAGTGGTACGGCAGGACAGAGAAGTTTTAAATCTGGAGATGATGTAATTTTATTATCATTACATTTGTGCTTCAGAGACATCTCTATGGAAGCAGAATACAAAATGGGAAGGATAAAGAATTGTGACAGAGAGGATGGTTAAGAAATGTTGGTATTAGCCCGGGTAAGAGATGAAGCAAAAACAAATATCATTATAGAAAATAATATTTTAATATTTCCAGCTTTCTTGAAGTTGGGACATAAACATGTGACCTGGACTCAACCAACAGATGTCACTCACCAGAGAGTTTGAATTGAGGACTAGTGACTGAAAGAACAGAAGCAATTAGGGATCAGTTCATTCATTGACTCATTTGTTCAACAAATGTGTATTGAATACTTTATCTATGCCAGGCACTTTTCAAGTTACTGAATCTGTAGCAGAGAACAAAGCTGACTAAAATCTCTGCCCCGTGGAGTTTACATTCTATAGCAGGCAGAAAATAAACAGGTAAATGAGTGAACTATATAGTATGTCAGATGCTGTTAACTAATATTTTATTTAAAAAAAATAAAAGCCAGCATCATGGATTAGAATATGTTGGAGGAGGGGGCAGATGGTAAGGGTAGACAGTTTTAAATAGTGTGATCCCTGAAGGTCTTGCTGAAAAGGTGACATATGAGCAAAGACCTAAAGCAAGTTGGGAGACAAGCCATGTGGCTATCTGGGGGAAGAATGTTCCAAGAAGAGAAAACATTTAGATGGTGGTTACATCAGCATCTCCCAGGATGCAGTTCTCCAAGGTCACCAGCAGTTTTGGTGCCAGCAGCCATGTCTCTACCCAATGGCAGCAAGTCGCAGCTGTGGCACAGGGCCCCTTCAGCAGTGATGCCCTCACCAAATGGTTCTGTGATATAATGCTGGCTGTAGTTCTGGTTCCTTCTGGCCTCTCTTTTTCTGCTTGTTTTTAGAACTTGGTTCTCCAGCTTTCCTAGTGATTTTCTAAGTACCCTAAAATCCTTTCACTAAATTCCTATTCTTACGTCAGCCAGGAATGGTTAACTAAGAACCCTGATGAGTTCCAGTGAGTTCCCAATCCTCAGGGAGCTGAGATCTCTGAGGTTAAGAGGACACCTCTATCCCACTTCCCTTACCCACAGCTCTAGTTCATGGTGGCATAAGAGATTTTCAGCTTCTATGTCATGCTACCAGCTGCCCTGCCCAGAAGAAATGGAATCACACATGCATTTCTAAGAATGAGCAGGTAGAATTATAGACTTGAGAGGAAAATGGGAATACAAAGGGCTTCCTTTGAAAACCATGCTTTCGTGTCAGAATAAGGAAAGACAAAAGAGACCCAGTTAAGATATATGGGTAAAGTGTCTTAGCACCTGAATTGAGATAATGGCACAAGAGTCTAAGCACCATGGCCATGCAAAGAAAGGAGAAAATGGTGGGGGTGAGGCATCTGCATCCATTAGGGAATGCATATTTTCTCAATTTTGAGTTGCATTGTTTTTTCATATTTTATTTTATTTTATTTTATTTGAGACAGAGCCTCACTTTGTCACCCAGACTGGAGTGCAGTTGCACAGTCTCGGCTCACCACAACGTCCACCTCCTAGGCTCAAGCGATTTTCCTGCCTCAGCCTCCCGAGTAGCTAGGACTACAGACATGCGTCACTACCACCTGGCTAATTTTTTTTTTTATTTTTAGTAGAGACAGGGTTTCACCATGTTGGCCAGGCTGGTCTCAAACTCCTGACCTCAAATGATCCACCCACCTCGGCCTCCCAAAGTGCTGGATTTACAAGTGTGAGCCACTGTGCCTGGCATGCTTTTTCATATTTTAGTAGCACTGAAACTGATATGCATTTTACCACCAATTGTACATGTAATATAGTGTCTTCCCTAAATTTTCAAAAATCTGTTATTAAATCTATGGTGCATCCTGCAATGGACAGCACTAGGAAATGAGCAAAATATGAATAGATAGCATCTTAGATCAGGGAGGCTCTCTGTGGCTTATATTCCTTTCCTAGTTAGCACACATACAGCTTATCTTCCAGAACATGATGTAAGAATACGGGAAATGCCAGTAGTGAATATGCAGCAAGCTCATTTCTGAACACTTTCACTCCCTAGTTACACAGGGATAACTCTGATACTGAGGCTTACTGCTGGTATAAGGCCACTTACAAGACAGCGTAGGGACAACTCCACAGAAACAGCTGTTTACTAAAAACACACCAAGTAACTTAGAAATTCCTTGCTCCTGGGGTGATGAGGACATCTAGTTCAAAGGAATAAAGAGAAACTCACTGGGGAAGCAAAATCATCATATGAACTGTAGTAGGAGCAAATCTGATACTGTGATGGGCTCCAGGTAAGCAAAATAATGACAATGGTAGTATAGAATGTAAAATGTTTTAATATGACATCCACCACAGTAAGTCACTAGGCTCACAAGAGCACAGAGCACATTCCAGGAATCAGAGACATAGACGTCTGACAGAAATGTGTTTAATATAGTTGCTGCTTTGACATCCATTTCTAGGCCTGACATAAAGTTATTTGAAACCCGGTCATACTCCATCTCCTTTGGCCCCTTCCCATATGATTGTTTGAGATGTAGCTCACTTGTCACCAACCCAAAACTAAAACATTGCACAGCTGCTGACCATGATAAAACCTAATGCTCAACACCAGAGTCGTATAAGTGGGTTTCCCCCTTCATTAGTGTTTTATTTAAGCTAGCCAATCCACACCCCTAAAGGAAAGCCTAAGGAATGACACCTGCAGACTGTTATAAAGGCATAGTCCTCTCTCTCTCTCACTTGATCTCCACTGGCTGATTGAGCTCCTTTCTCCCTCCAGACTTCCCACTGGGTTCCAGCCGGCACACCCAACCTCTTCAGGACCTGTGAGTAATAAATTTATTTTGTTTTATGCATGTTGGTTTTACCTCCTCTTTGTGTCTCACCTGACACACACACCTGAACCTTCCTTCCTTCCCATTAGGGCTCTCCTAGACAGTGATTATCTTGGCACATTGCCACGGTCAAGAGCGACACCTCAAGACCAAATTAGAAACAGTCACAATAGCTTCACTTCTGTCAATGGTTCAGCCTGAGCAACAGGCATAAACTTCATTTTTCTTCACCTGATACTCTCTGATTCAACACCCTACATTTCTGCCAGGCTTGTGTGGTCTCTTTAGAATGGCCATACTCTAAAAAAATTGCAAATGGAACTGCAAATCCACTACCTGTGTGTCTTCGGACCAGCCATGTCACTTTTGGATTTCTCACTTATGAGATGCAGTAATTGCCAGTTGCTCTCCCAAGCCTAAAGTACAATGCCTTTTACCACAGTTATTGATGAACACTTATCTGAATTAAAAGGAACTTAGCATCTTCTTAACTGAGGTTGAAGTGTGCTGGTGCCTTCTGTTTGTTTCCTGGTTACTGTCTCCATCTCGGCAACCAATATAAGAGGGTGGGATGAGTGGCATCTACTCACTGTCTGTATTCATTTACTGTATAAAAAACGTCCACAATGTCTCATAGGCACACAACGATCTGCATTTATTTAGCTTATGTCTGGGGATGGTAAGTGTTGGCTGGTCCTGTCCTGACCTGACCTGTCCTGAAGTGACTCTGCCCCACATGCCTCTCATCCTCCTCCTGGACCAGAAGGCTCACTTGGGCACGTTCTTCCGGCACTGGTAGAGTGCCAGAGATGAAGGTCAGTTGTGCAAGTGCTTTTCAAGCCTTCAATCAGATCACACTCCTTATATTCTATTGCTTGAAGCAAGCCATATGGTCAACGCCAAAGTCAAGGTACAGACAAGCACCCTGCATCCTGGAGGTGGGGAGTGAAGGAGGGCACCTTTGCCTCATTGCCAAGCAATGACTGGTCCCAAAGTGTGTCATCAGGGGATTGCCAGGTTCTGAGTACCACTTGGTTCTGACTTACTGGACTGCTCTGACCCTGGTTTCTGGTTTTAATTCCAGTCACTAAAACAGATGTTAGTGTCCACTAGGAACTCAAATTTTCTGAGCCCTTAGTATAGGTCAGACCCTATGTTATATATTGCATATTTGTTATTACATACAGTCACCTATAGCCAGCCATACCTACAGATGAATCAAGTAATTATCCTCAATTTTAGTGAAGAAAATAACACTCAGAGTGGATCAGTACCTCCAGGCACTCTTTCAGGTGTCTTGGGAGTATACAAAGTTGAGTAAGAGTTCATGCCACACACCCTCACGGAGCTTGCTGCTCTACTACTTGCTGATTGTCCACTTTAAATAAAATTCCTAACTTCCTATATCCTTAACTGTCCAAGCCTTGGCTACTAGAGCTGTATTTTTCTGATTTGTCATCCACTATAGTCCTGAAATGATCCTTCAAAAGACTGTAACCAGCTGAAATATAGCAGGCTGCTCAATATGTTCACATAGTTATTAGATTTATTTCTTATCCAAACTAGAAGGAACTAAGAGGCTTCATGCAGAAGCGTGCCGATACCTTCTAGCCTCACTAAGAAGCCATTGGAAGAATCTGCTTCCTAGCCACTGTTAGCTTTCTTCACCTATGAAGCCAATCTTAGAGAGTAGGATAAATGATATCTACTCACTGTTTTTGTTTACTGCTTAACAAACAACCACATCATCTCAGAGGCACACAACAATCGGCATTTAAGCGTATGTTTCGGGGGTAGACTTTGGAACCGGACCAATCTAAGTGTGAATATTGGTTGGCCTGTCTCCTCATCAGAAAAGTAAAACTATTAACACCTCCCCTACCATGTTAGTATAAAGATTACCTGGGGATACACTACATAAATGTACCTAATACAGACCCTGCCATACTAAATATTTATAGGTTCCTCTCTCTCCTTCTTTCCCAAGAAATTTGGTCATCAGCAGTTGCATCTTCAGCCACATATAAATCCCTGAATTAGACTTTTCAGGACAAAAGAAATAATGTAACAACTTATGATGTTTTATGGAGCTTTCATTTGAGTAAAACATATATATATATATATATATGACACCTATAGGATGAATCTTGGATTTGTACGTGTGGATTAGAAAGGCAGGAGTGCATTGGGGGAAATGGCACTGAACTAATAAGTTCCTGTCTGTGATTTGACCTGCTCTGCGCCTGACTAGCTGCATATTCATGTCAATTTCCTCCCAGTTACCTAGGGCAAGAAATGAAGAGGAAAGATCTTTAATCATTTTTTTATTCTAATTGAAACATTTTCCTTGCAAGTGGAGAGAGAACAGGTGCCTAACGAGCCCACATGATGATTCACAAGGTAGTAGGTATCGCCACAGATATAATTAAACTGGAAGATCAATGAAAATTTCCTTTTTGGACTGCTGCCAGGTCACACAGACAAGGATCCAGCTAGCTGTATTTATGCACAGCAATATCCAGAAGTGTGTACTCACACAGGTGTGCCCTGCAATATTGTATCATGATAAATTAAACAGCCACAGACTCGCACATCCAGTATTACTTATTTAGAAAAACACCTCGATTTCTCTGTGCAGTTAATGATGCTGGACTACAAACATTGTCTGTCAGGAAGGCAGACAATTGCTGCATCTTATCAAATCTCACTGTCCTTTTTCCTTTATTATGTTTTTCATTTCTTTATATAAAACAATCACATAAATAAGAACTGCCCTGGAGGATCAAGACCTGAAAGAAAGGGAAGAAGGGGAGAGAAATGGAGGGAGGGAAGGAGGAAGAGAGCCAGCAGGGGATTGAAGCATTGCAAATAAGTGGGCTTTCCTTTGTAGCGCCAGAAAGTTGTAATGCATTTACTTCAGGATGTCTAACCTCTCTGGGTCTCAGGATTCTCAGACTCTCTCAGCCTATAAATAAGCCTATTCCAATCTTGACTGTACAGAGTTCTTCTGGTAAAGGCGGCAAGGGAAGAACTCAGGGGAGGGACTGGCGTTTGAGACTGGCCACGGTGCGAATTTTGCAGGACTGAGAATTTTCATAACCTCATATTCTTTGAAATTTCTCCGTAGAAATGAGAAAAAATAGTCATCCTGACAGTCTTTTCAGTTGTTTTGTAACAAGACTGTAATTGAAAAAGAATCACTCCTAGCGTTAGATACCAAACATGTTGTTAGTTCCACAAAACAGAGGTTAGTTTGATGCCTAAAGCTCATAGGAAGATCAGTGCTTTGCATATATTTCAGTTAAGAAAAGAATGCAAATTATAATTCAAATACTGTATTGCCCACTCATAGTTTGCAAAAGAAAAGGAGAGTTAAAAAGAATATAAATTGTTTCATTAGGTCCTTACAGATAACTCTAGGTAAACATACCTGTTTTCATCAGACGAGGCTAACTACTGTAACACTTTCAAATTTCAGTGGCTTAATGGAATCACAGTTTGCTCCCATTCACACAAGGTCTAATTTGGATGTTCCCATTTGGGCAAATCTCCTTCAGGCAGTGAAGTTAGAGATCCAGGCTCCTGCCAATGTGAGGCTTAACCAACTCAGAGACCTTCAAAGTCATTTGCAGAAGGTGGAAGATCACATGGAGCATTTTATGGCCAGGCCTGGAAGTGACCCACATTCCATTGGTCAGGACTTAGTCATATGGTATCATGTAGATGCAATGGTTGCTGGGAACTGTAGTCTTCCTGTGTGAGCACAGGAGCAACCCAGAGCACTGTCTCTGCTATACTTCCGTTTTCCAGATGAGGAAAGTAAGGCTCAATAAGTGGATCTGATTTGTTCAGAATGAATCAGTGGCAGAGGCAGGACTAAAAGTCATGTCACCTCACTCTATCTTTTTTCTTTTATATCTCATTGTTTCCTAGGGTCTTTGCAGAGGTGCAGCAAGGCTTCAGTTTTCTTAAGAAGGATCTGTAACCACAAGGAAGAAACTTCTTCCTAGAATTCAATGTCGGCTTTTTGTACCCTTATCAGAGGAAATGTCTAGAGAAAATTTCAAATCTAATTAATGGGTTTATTTAATTCATTAAGATTTTTCCTAAATGATTTCTCAGATAGTTGTCCTGACTTCTGGAAAGGTCACGCATTCATCAAGAATGATGAATTCCTTTTGATCTTTCATAACATCTAATAGTGCAAGGCATGTGGTCATTGACGGATAAATATTGTTGCCAGCCATGGTAATACTGTTTCTTAAAAAGGTATCTATGTGAAAATGATAAGAAAAACAAATAACATTCTGATAAAAGGGTAGGCAGTCATTCCATGTAGTCATCAATGTTAGGCATAGTTCTAGGTTCTCAGGATGAGGTAGAGGAAATGTTTGCCAAAAGCTCAGTTGGTATCTGTAGCCTAAACTTAAGGTTCTCTAAAGCCTGAATCTGTGCAATACATGGACATGTTAACTACTCCTACTTTCCCTTCTTGTATCTGTAAAAAAGATGTGGCAGCAATAATCTCAGATCTCTCTGAGCTGTTAGGCAAATGGTCGTAGAGTGAGTAGAAATGCAGAATGATAGGAAATAAAACACCCAGTGATAAACTTTTAAGGAAGGCAGGTTAATGGGGCAAGTATGTGGAGGGCAACCTGCCTGGCTTCAACAGGTCATTATGTATCCTTTCTTCAGAAGAGCTTGTGTTTGCGTTGCTGCTTCTGAAAATAGGGTAACAGTGATGGAAAATGCAGGGCAGCGCTAAAGAAAGGGTTTAAGGTAGCCATAGTTACATGAGATGAGTTCACTGAGATTTATGTCATTATTGTAACAAACCACTGAAGGAATTTATAATGATGAGATCATTATAAAGGATTCTAAATATGCAGTTAACTGGACATTATGACATCATCTCTCACAGTTTATTCAACTTAGACAAATGTCTGCACCTTTAGGCACAACTAGATCTTCTCTTTTCTTTTTATAAAGAAAATGTTTTTTATTCGTTTGTGTACAGAAAGCCTCAAGATCCTTCCAGCTTTGTCATTCAAAGAACATGGAATACTCAAATGGGTACTTCCTCAATAACTGTCCCTCAGGCTACACAGAAGTGATAATCAACGAGACACCTGTTATTCCTTTTGCACAATTATGTCAAAGTTTTATCCCACTAGGACTCTTAACCAGATCCTGTTATAAGCACAACATCGCCCCTGATACCTCTGTTTGCCCTGAGCTTACAGCCTTTGCATTTTCTGTGTATGTTTTAATCTTCTAGATAGCAAACTCCTTAAGCAAAGGGACTATGTGTTACTCAGCCCTTTATCTCACATGCCTTCCCCAGAGATTGGCTCATACTACATGCTCAGTAAGTATTTGAGAATGAATGATGATGGTTTTCGAATGAGAACAGTGTCTGTGCATGGGTATGTATTTTTCTGTGCCCAACATCCCTTTGAAGAAGTGAGGGTAATGTTCCTGATCAGGGGCCAGCAAACTTTTTCTGTAAAGGAGCACATAGTGAATATTTTAAAGTTCGTGGGCCATATAGTCTCTGTGGAAACTGCTCAGCTACGCTGCCGTAACACAAAAACAGCCATCAACAATATGGAAACAAGTGGGTGTGCTGTATTCCAAGAAAACTTTCTTTATGGGCGCTGAAACTTGAATTTCATACAATTTCCACACATCACACAATACTCCTCTTCTTCAGATTTTTAAAAAAACATTTAAAAATGTAAATACCATCATTGGCTTGCAAGATATACAAAAACAGGTGGTGGGCCATTTGGCCCAGGGGCCACAGTTTGCTGACTTCTGAACTGGATCATGGGGTTGCTGGCACTGGTCTCAGTGGTGGGATTTACTAATTATAGAAAGCTGCTTTCTGAAATCTTCTCCGTTTTCTTAGCGAATTCATAAGTGCTTTAGTCGGTCCAATTCCTAAGAGGGGAATTACTATTTTGTCTGACTGCTATCTTGAAGGGCACTCTAATGAATTAAGGTTATGGAATTGTTGGGCAAGATGTACCACCTTACGATTAAAGAGTTATGATTAAAATATTAAAATGGAAGAATAAAATATAATTCATGATTTATTGCAAATCATCTTAGATACTTTTAGAAATCAATAACCCATGTCATCATTCTCATTTTCCCTGTGACATTCATTTATTTCACAAAGCAAGCATCCTCAATAATAGGAAATGATGCCAGACCACATGCATGGGTCAAGCTAAATATGCACCCCAAATTCTGGCACTATTGTGAGACATGATGAAAAACAAATACATCTACTTGTATAATTTTAGAAATCAAGTTTAGATTTTAATATAATGTTAATATTTATTATAAAATACATCACCCTGATGATAATTTTGCTACACAAAATATGCACACAAAAACAGTAATTTAAGCAAATATACACAACAATAATACAAAAAAATCACGGCTGAGCACAGTGGCTCACGCCTGTAATCCCAACACTTTGGGAGGTTGAGGCGGGCAGATCACTTGAGGTCAGGAGTTTGAGACCAGCCTGGCCAACATGGCCATGAACTAAAAATACAAAAATTAGCTGGGCATGGTGGCACGTGCCTGTAATCCCAGCTACTGAGGAGGCTGAGGCAGGAGAATTGCTTGAACCGGGAAGTAGAGGTTGCAGTGAGCTGAGATTGTGCCATTGCATTCCAGCCTAGGTGAAGAAGCAGGACTCCATCTCAAAAAAAAAAAAAAAAAAAAATCACAACATAACACCTTTACTTTAAGGCCGCCTACTTTTACACACAGTTATTTGTTGAATGTAGGTGGGAATCAGACTGTGTTCTTTACCTGCTGTCATTTTGGAGAGAATGCTTGTGAAAGAGGGTTGATTTACAAGGAAAATGCATAACAATTCCTATGCAAATCTACTTCCCAAAAAAGGTTTTAGTTGCTAAAAGTGTAGGCTATAGATTCAGACAGTCCCAGGTTCAAATCCTGACCTTATCACCTATCAACTGTGTGACCTATTAACTTAAGTTGCTTACCCTCTCTGAGCTTCAACTTCTTCACCTAAGAAATGGGAACACTACTAATAATTGCGGGTACCAGTGAGTTAATGTGCGCAAAGTACACTACACAGTTCCTGCTCCTCTGCAGTAAGCAGTCAACAAATAGCAGTTGCTATTATTAGTACATTTGTCATTAGCAAAAATAGAGACTTTGGTGCAGCGAAGTAACACACTTTTCAATGGTATAATGAATTTCAAATATAAAGCCATGTTGAAGTTCTGAGGAATGCTTTCTCTTGCCTGGGTTTGGGAGATGGTAATGGTGTACATGCATCTCTGTTAGATCTGCTTAAACACAGGCATCATTGTGCCTTGGTTTTCATGGTGGCTGTGTTTTGGTTGCATTGTGGGCTCTGGTCATGTTCTCTGCAATTTTCACTGCATTTATGCAACTTCCCCTTACCTAATATTTTGGAATTCCATCTTAATTTTATTTTTCTCATTCTTATTCCCTTCTGCTTATTTTACGGGCTCATTATAATTTATCAAATTCTTACGTATTCAAAAGCCTCTGATTTCCAATTCTTTTTAATCAAGATGTTGCTCATCTACTTAAGTCAATGTGCTGAGTAAACCAGTAAATGGATACTTACAAATCCTTATCCCTTAGTGTTTAGGTGTACAAAACCCAGGATACCAAAAAGTCATGGGCTCAAGGGAAGATATGAAGGCTTATTTATAACACAGGATGCACTCAAGGCTGCAGAGTGTGATTCAAAAGGCATAGGATTAGGAGTCAGAGTTTACTTGGATTTGGGGATTTTCTCAGCCAGCACAAACTGTAGAAATCTCAGGAAGTCATTCAGTCTCTCTAAATTGACTGTATTGGCCAGTAAATAGGGAATGATTATGATACTTAGGTTATGTAGTTTAATATAATTAACAATGAATATAATAATCACTTTGTAAAGTATAAGTCACCATGCATAGTGCTACAAGGTTACCACTATCATGATTTTCATTATTTACCACACATGTGCACGTATCTAGAAGATTATCCTTTAGGAAAGAATTTGTGATAGAAAGAGTCTAGTTTTGCCTCTGATACTAACCTGGTATGTAACTTTGGATAAGTCTTTCATTTACTTAAGTACTAATTTCCATATCTACAAAATAGATACTCATCAATGTCCTTTCTAGGTATAAAAGGTTGGGGTTTCACTAATACCAGGAAATAGGCACGGAGAAACAGGCTGACTAGAGTCTTGAAAAGCAGAAGTAGTGAATATGTGATTCTGTAGTCAATGAGGCTACTGTAAATGTGGAAGTTGAAAGATGGCAGGGAGAAAGTGACTCCAGAGGAGATTCACTGGGTAACAGGGTGCACAATGGGCTCAAGGAAATGTTGGCTAACACAGAGCCCACATGGTTCCAAAAGTAGTAAGACTGAAGTGCACGCAGAGCACCTGAAGGAGACAGGAAGTCACTGTTGTGCATCGCCTTGCATAAAGTGACAAAGGACTGGCCCAGGGTGTCCTTCACGTAAGTGAAAAAGGAAAGAAATAGAGTAGGTTCAGGAATTACAGCCTCCTGAATGGGCTTCATGCCACTCTCCTTCCTCTCTAGTCCATCCACCACATTACCACCAGAGGGACCCTAAACTCAAATATGGCCCTCCCCCTTGCAGGATTCAAAAGCTCTGATTGCTTCTTATTATCTACAGAGTAAAATCCAACACTCTGCCCCCACCTTATGCTTATAGGGTTGTTACTATATATATGGTCTACTGTCAGTCCTCAGCCTCATGAGTGGCTTCTCTTTCCTAAGACCAAACCATGCTGAACTTGCCGTCTTTGTTTTCTTCATAGCTCAGTGTCTTTGCATATGCTGTTCCTCTACCAGTAATATCCTCATGCAATTCCCTACTTGGAGAGTTTCTTCTTTTCCTTTCAGACTCAGCTTAAATATTATCTTCATGGTTCAAAACTGCATTATGCATTTGACGTACGTTTTTTAAAACAGGTGTTTGCATGTCTGCTTCTCTACTCGCATGTGAGCTTCTGGAAATGAGCCCATGTTTTATAGTACCAGTATGTACTTTGTTAATATTTTGTAAACTTTATTAATAGCTAATTAAAATAATCCAAAGGATAAAGATTAGGGGGCATCTGACAAGAACAGAGAAGTACAGGACTTGTTAGAATATAAACAGATAATACCTAAGAAAGAACAAATTTGAACTTAACAAAATTATAAACACAGTGGATAGGATAGATATGGACATCTTTACCAATTAAATGATTTATGCAGTAAATAGTAAATGTCTCTTATGAACCAGGTGTTCAGGGTACAGAAGCAAACAAAGCTGACTTAGCATGTTCCATCAGTTCCAATACCAGTATCCCAGGAGTGTGGTGAGCAAGGGGAAGATGGAAGAGAAAGAGGGCTTGTAAGTTATGGTGAGAATTTATTTCTATCGCAAGTGCAGTAGAAAGCCTTTGCTTTAAAATTTTAAACAAATCTTAATGATGAGATGATTTTGTTGAAATTTTGAGGGAGTCACTCTGGCTCCTCTATGGAGATCAGACAAGCGTATAAGTATGGATACCAGTTAGGAGGCCAATACATTAGACCGGGTGATAAATAATATTGATCAGAATCACCTGGAGGGCTCTTAAAACACAGATTTCTAGACCCCACCCCTAGAGTTTTTGATTCTGTAGGTCTTGTGAATATGCAGGTGCAATGGGCGCATGGGGTGGGCAGAGAATCTTTGTGTCTAACAAGTTCCCAGGTGGTGCTGATGCCTCTGATCTGGAGGCCACACCCTGAGAACCACTGGCCTCTATTATGGCGATGGCAATGAAGTTGGAACAAAGTGGGCTGATTTGAGAAAAACTCTGAAGATAAGATTAAAAGGGCATGCTGATGTACCAATACTAGAGAATATTAGGACAAAGCATTTTCCTTTAAAACATGTAGGAGATGAAATACTACAAAATTTTAGGAAAAGAAGTATCTGTCATATGAAACTTGAATGAGGTTAAATAAGAAAGAAAAACAAAACAAAACAAAAGAAATACCCTTCACGTAGTAGGCAATAAATGTTTGAATATCATTTACTCTCCCCTTCACACTGACTAGTAAAAGCAAATGGTTTCCTAAAGTGTTTGAAATAATTGTAAATTTCATTACCAAAAGCAGCTTCTAAAATGTAGGATCTTGGGGATGGTTGAATAAGAGAAGATAACTATGCTTTTTCATTGTCAGAGCTTTGGGGTGTCAAAGGAAAAAGGAGAAATGAAGTGGTATAAACAAGTGTAAAGCCTGCCCATTCACCTGCCCAGATTAGCTCTTCTGTTTTAACACCCAATACTGTATCCATCTCTCTCCTGGAATGGACTCCTTACCATAGCAGCCCTCTCTCCACATGTGCACCCTACAAGTCCATTTAAAAAACAAACAAGAACTCTGCATGCCAGTACCTTGGGGACCCTGCCCAAGCCCTGCCTCCTGATTTACCTTGGTATCTCCAATTTCTGCCCTATTAGCTACCATATTTCTGCCTCTTTGTCCAGCTCCATTATGAATTGTGTCCTTCAAACATTTGTATTTTGAAATCCTTAGAATGTAACTTTATTTGGAAATAGAGTCATTGCAGACGTAACTAGTTAAATTAAAATAAGGTCATTAGGGTGGGTCGTAATCTAATATGACTGGTGTCCTTATGAAAAGGAGATATTTGGACACAAAGATATACACACAGGGAGGTCATCATATGAAGACAAAGGCAGAGATCAGGATGATTCTTCCACAAGACAAGAGCTCCAGTGATTGCCAGCACACCCCCAGAAGCCAGGGGAGAGACCTGGACCACATTCTCCCTGAACGCCCTCAGAAGGAACCAACCCAACGACACGTTGATTCCAGACTGCAGCATTCCAGAACTGTGAGACAATACATTTCTGTTGTTTAAGCCACTTTCTCAGCGGTACTTTATTACAGCAGCCCTGGGGAAGTAATCAAGTGCCTTTTGATGATTGCTTTAGTTGAACTGTCCACTCAGCTCTTAACTCTGCCCTCTTTGTCTCTCAGATCTGCTTCTCTTCTATGCTCAGTGGGTGAATGCGGACCCTTCCATAGTACAGACCAGGCCCTCTGGGACCCCAACCAGGGCTCAATGCCCTGGATTCCCAGCTTTCCAAATATGGGGTTCTGACACTCATTCCCATCGGACAGTTGCCTCCTTAGGAGTCTGTCCTGTTTTATTATTCATCTTTGGGTCCTATCAATTATCACAGTGCCCATCTCATAGCCAGTCGGTTTGTTGAATGAATAATACAATTAACGAACTAGTCATTATTTATTTTTTCCCTTTGATAAACAAAAAACTCGAGGCCTTTTGACCTTCATGCTGGTGTATTTTTGTCAATACAATGAGTGGTTTATTTGAGAAGCGTCTGTTTTTGGATCACATTACTCAGTAAATGTGTATTCTTAATGAAAGTGATCAGTGCAGATCAAGCTGACATTAACACTAAAGATATGTAGGATTGCTTTGGTGTGCAAATGGAAATGGTTTGGTGCCGGGGGATAATGAATACATGAGAATTAGGACTGCGTTATTAAACTGAGGGGATGAAACTTGTCATTAGTTCCCACTGCTTCTTGGAGTTATTGTTAATAGCTATTTGAGTGAGGAGACGGGAACATGTGGAGAAGAGGATGTGGAGAAACAAATGTGTAGATAACGTCTGCTCGCTGAGATATGTGATGTTTGGAATTGATCATCCTGCAGTTTTCGCTGAGATGCTAGTGATTTTGAACTGATCTGTTTTCCCAAACTCAATCAGAGGTGCGAGCAGCTGACAACCCTGCAGATTCCTCCTGTTGTCTGCACAAGACTTTGATTTCCAATGAAATGCAAAGTCCACATGCTACATTTGGGGGCCAGATCCCAAAGAATGATGATCTTTGTTTATCCAGGGAGGAGTTGCTCATGGAAAGGATGCCGATAAAAATTACCAAACTGTCTTAAGTCTTTTTGAGGAACTATAATGGAATGCTGGGTGGCTTATACACTTTAGAAATTTATTTCTCACTCTTCTGGAGGCTGAAATGTCCAAGATCAAGGCCCTTGCAGATTCAACGTCTACAGAGGACCCACTTCGTTATAAGACCATCTTCTCACTGTCACCTTACACTGTAGAAGGGCTAGTTCACTGTCTTTTATAAGGACACTAATCCCAATCACAAGGTCTCTGCCTTCATGACCTAGTCACCTCCCAAAGACTCTACCTCCTAATATTGTCACCTTCAGGGTTAAAATGTCAACATATGAATTTTGGGACAGAGACATTCACATCACAGCACAGACCAAAGCATTTTTGAGAAGGAGGCATTATTTATACTTAAGTAGGGACAACAGTATAACCTGTGTTGTTCCCGGGCATACTGGAGAAAACCATCACCCTACTGATGAACCACCCAAAGTCCTATTAAAATTTGATCAACCCCCATTCCATGTGGTTTCAATCAGCCTTAACCAAGAAACATCTCTGCCAAGGTCTGCTCTTGTGTTTCTAGAACTTCATACATAAGAACATTTCTCCATGAAAACCCAACATAACATTATGGTCTATGTAGTTTTATGACATGGCCCAAATTTTCAAAATTGTTATTATTATTAATTTTTTTTTTGAGATGGAGTCTTGCTCTGTCTTCCAGGCTAGAGTGCAGTGGCGCGATCTAGGCTCACTTCAAGCTACACCTCCTGGGTTCATGCCATTCTCCTGCCTCAGCCTCCCGATTAGCTGGGACTACAGGCGCCCGCCACCACGCCCAGCTAATTTTTTTTTGTATTTTTAGTAGAGAGGGGGTTTCACTGTGTTAGTCAGGATGGTCTCGATCTCCTGACCTCATGATCCGCCCGCCTCGGCCTCCCAAATTGCTGGGATTACAGGCGTGAGCCACCGTGCCCGGCCTCAAAATTATTTTTAACTTCCTTGAATTTTAAAAAATTGAATTATAAAGCTATGCTACCATCCCCCCTCTCCACAACACACACCACAGACAGTTTGAACAAATAGGCAGAGAAGAAAATAGGCTTGACTACTCATTAATAGATATCCAAAATTCAACTCAAAAGGGTAGAATAGCCGGGAAGCACAAAAAGCTCATGGAAGTAGTGGAGTAAAAATTGGTGTGACATTTGGAATAAAACAGCTTGAGTTTGAATCCCAGCTTGGCCTTTTCTAGGTGGGTGATGCTGACAAGGTCATTTCATATCTCTCAAGCACTTTTTCTCATCTGAGAAATGGGGTAAATATATACAAGATTTTTTGTCAGGATTGAATAAAATAATGCAGAGAAAATGCCGAGCACAGGACTTGACACATAAATGTTCAATTGATAGTAGCTGCTGTTGCTGTATCACACACTGATTTTTACTACCAACCAAACTATGCTTATTTTAAAAGAACATTTTTATGTAATGATTCTAATACATTTTTGAACATTTATATTCCACCCTACCTCCAAAATACTGAAGTTTGTTGATATGTTTCATGATGCACCAAATGACTGTAAGTAAAAAATCAGAAATTTTGGCAAATGTGAAAGAAAAACCAAAAAGATTTATCAGGAAATATGCCTTATTGCCTGTGATGTATTTTGTAAGCCAGACATAGTAAAACTAAATTATCTCTGGAAATTGCAGTATAGCAAAAACTGATTAGAATTTAGGTCAAAGAAAAATCAGTGAATGAGTCTTCCAAATGATCATTACAGCTATAAAGGTATTTTTCTCCCAACCAAACCACAGATGTAGGAAACAAATTATTGAGCTGTTGGTTTCTATGATCTGAAGTCTCCATCGTGAGTCTTTACCATGAAGCTTCTAATATTCAGTAATGTGGAAACCTGCACACTGTTGCCCATGAGTGGTTACATAAGAGTGCCACCTACGGGCAAGGGGTAATGCATCATGGCATAGTAACTAATTTTTAAAAATCATTTTTATGTATTTATCCTGACAATTCTTTCTCAAGTGAGAATCGAATCAGAAAATGACTCTTCCCACAACCAGAAACGGAGCATGCATTGCAATGTAACTTTACATAAACTGTAAATGGAACAGTCTAGTCAGTTAGTAGCTTGGTGACTCTGGGAGTGAAGCTGCATTTGACAAAGGGCAGCTTGCCTGAAGAAAGCAAAGCCCAGATAGGAGAGTAGAAAGATGCAAGGGGAGTGAAGGGGATAAGAGCTAGATATCTGCAGAAGGGGAAATAAGACTTTTGATAGAATGAAGGAGAACAGTGAGTAGGAAGGGAGAAACTGGCATAGGGCCACCCATAGTAGAAGGGATGAAGGGTAAGGGATGTGACCACAGCTGTCATGGGGAAGGGGCAAAAAGAGAAGACCACACAGTATCTCCAAGAATATGCATATGTTGTGAGCACCACCAATATCCTTTGTAAAAAGACCAACACATCATTGGAGACAAAAAGGAAGCTAGCAGAAGCTTAGAAAGTCTGAATTTGGGCTGGCACGGTGGCTCACGCCTGTAATCTCAGCTCTTTGGGAGGCCGGGGTGGTCAGATCACAAGGTCAGGAGTTCGAGACCAGCCTGACCAACATGGTGAAACCCTGTCTCTACTAAAAATACAAATATTAGCCAGGCATGATGGCGTGCACCTGTAATCCCAGCTTCTCAGGAGGCTGAGGCAGGAGAATTGCTTGAACCTGGGAGGGGGAGGTTGCAGTGGGCCAAGATGGCACTACTGCACTCCAGCCTGGGCAACAGGGCAAGACTCAGTCTCAAAAAAAAGGAAGTCTAAATTTGGTAGCTTTATATTACAACAATGAAATAAACCGTGTTTTAGGTAAATGTAGCAGGTATGACTCTACAAAACAAGTTCTCTTTGTTTTTCTGAATCAAACAAAATCAGGCTCTGGGCCTTACTCATCACAAGTAGCAGAGACTCCAGTGTCTGGCACTTTTCAGAAACCCCTCCCAACTCCTTTGGAGTCATACTAGAGCCTTGAGGCCCACACTGCCCATGAAACTCGGAAAAGTTGCAGGTCCTTAGCCCTTGTGGCTGCTGCTCCTGGTGTTCCGTGTTCAGGCCTGTGTCTTTTTTTAAGATGATTCTACCTTTCCCCAGGGCCATGCAAAACAGCCAAAGAGGAAAGCCACCACCAACTGGGATCACCTGCTTTGGACCTTTATATTAGCACGAACAAACTTCCAGTGAATTCCTGTGATCATATAATCTTAAATTTGTTTTGCTGTCATTGTAACAATAGTTTAGTCTACCCTAACTAGCATATTTTCTTATGCTACTCTATAGTTCAAATTCTGTCTATATGATAAATACTTCCAGAAGAAAAGATGGAGAACACGGAGATTCATATGTATATTTTGTAAAGCTAATCACTAGAAAATAGTTGTAAAAAATAATTCCACATGTACTACCAGAGCCATAAAACACAGAAGAGGGATTATAACAGAGAATGTGGATTTAGGGTTAATGTCTGGGGTAGAGAAACAGCTGCAGAGGCCAGCAGATCCATAGCAGTCTTTCTGGATTACTAGGAAGAGTGGACAGCTGGTGCTTTACACCTCTCCACAGAAATCTGTGGACAAAGGTGATATTTACAGGGTGCTTTGAACCTTTGAGGAAGAAAAGACCAAGAACTTCCCGCAAATAGAAATAAATAAGGGCTCTGATATAAAGTGGTAACCTATCTCAATAGAGATATTATGTGATGAAAAGTAAATTATATTTCATCAGTAGAACCTGGAAGTAATGCTGATGTAGAAGTTCTACAGACCAGCCTGAGCTATCCAGGCTTTTATGATCCCTGAAAGTCATTGGATGTGGGCTAGCCTTTGATAGGGATGTGGCTTTGAGTGAGGCAGGTTTCTGAAGCTGAAGAAATCCCTGAGGGGGCAGGCAGCTTAAGACCACCTGCTCACAACATTCCCAGGAGCTGGGCCACAAGTCCCTCATGGAGGGGGATCTGGGAAGCATCTGAATCAGGACCCTTTTGTGTATGAATGAGGGCACTGCTAATAAAGATGCTGTGACAACAGGCACAACCATGACTCTCCAACTGGGACATGTGGCCACCTTTACTGTGACAATCCTTGATGCTACCCCACAATAGACACTTTGACAGGAAGTATAATACCAGGGACTATAATAGAATTCAGACTGGACCAGAACAGAGACTATCTCAGAAAACATATCAGCAAAAATGCTTCCATTGGTTTCTCATTAAAAAGAAATTGGAATTTACATCAGAACCCCCCTATACATTTATATAGATTAGTACCTTTGTAAATTATAGTAAAATGTATATAGTCTTTATTCCATAGTTTGGGGTCAGTCCATTTTTTTAAGTACTTCTGTTATTTCCACAAAATCCCAAGTTCATGAATCTATCTAGGTATTATTGCATATGGATTTCTAGGCCAAGAGAATGCCATCCAATCATTTTAGTGAAGACCTTATCATCTCAAGAGGGCAAAACTAAGCATACTTTTCTCCTAATAAAATGTTATCCCGACCAAATATATTTCTATCTGGCATGCTGAACTTTGTAGTGTTAGTTAGTCTCTACATTCATATATGAAATTTTAATATTTCAAAATCTGGACAAATAAGATTTTTGTAAAAAGCCCAATAGACTCTTAATGTAAGCCAAGCTGAGAATTTGGCCCCAAATATCCTTTATTATTGATAATCAAGGTAGACTTGGAATTCATAATCATTTCCCTGTGGCAGCAATCAAGTTTTATATTTGAAAAGAACTGTGAATGATAGAACTGGGTGTAAGGAAGAAATTTTTTTGCTTCCATCATTATATTATTCACTGTGGTATCACTGAGGCCTGATTTGCGGTCTGGCACATTGCAGGAGTGCAATAATTGTTGAATAAAAGATTGAAAGAATGAATGAATGGAACAAGGAGAAATGTTCAGATAGGAAAGGAGTACAGGTCTTAATTGTAGCAATCATATTAAATTCTACAGTACTAACAGCAGAACAAAGGACTGTCAAATGTCTCCTGGGGCTAAATTCTGGCACATAAAAACGTGTCATTGCATGGACCTCAAAGGACCTCTGCCCAGCCAGAGGCTGCCCTGGCTGTCTGGAGCCATCATTGCACTTTTTTTATATTGTTGCTTTAAAATTAAGCAGCTAGGTTAGTTCCTAGGTTAATAGTATTAATGACATTCCAAGACTTGATTTTTCCCCATTTTTAATCAGAAATGGAGACATGTCTTTTTAATAGTTTTAATGATTTCTAATTTTAGAAATGTTTATGAAATCAAATAGTCCACATTTTAAATGGAGCTACAGATATCAAAATCGGGTGATTTTTCTATTTTAGAAATATACTAGTTTTCAAGTGGAATACCAAGTGTGTTTAAGATTTACATATCCTTGTAGAATTTCCATTTATTTACCCTTAAAAAATGAGATAGATTGGATGTCTTATTCTATTAACCTTTTATATGCAGACTGCTTCATAGCTCTCAGTGGAATCTAAAGTATTGTTAACTCAAAAATCAACAGTGTGATTATAAAGCTTCTTGAAGCCAATCACCAGAATGCATTAAGTAACTAGCAAGATTACATGGTGTTTCTAGCCTAATGTGGCACAATTCAGATTGCAATAATTGTTGCCCAGTGAAGGAAAGTATATGTCAAATCAATGAACTTATTCTTCTATGCTGATAACTGAGCCTAGCTATTAAAAGTCATTGATTAGCTTGAGAACAGCTATTAAAAGAAAGAGGCCAATAGGCTGACTGGGATGTTTAACTCTAATATTAAGTAGCTTTGCTAAAGTAAATAGCTGTTGTTCCTAAGCAATAAATCAATGTCTGGAAGAGCACATCAGTCATTTCCCAAGGCAGAACTCGTCAGCCACATTGACTGGCTCAGCTCATGCATGGTGCTTCCAATTCCATTTTAGGAGGTTTTGTGCCAAAAGACAGAATGGAAGATGAAATATTTTGACTTTTTATTGCAATATTGTGCTAGATTTGGGGCGTTGGCCCTCCTGGCCTCAATGTCTAGTCCCTTCTGTGTTCTCTGCTGTCTTAGAGGCCTCTGAGTGGCCTTCCACACTGGGATCACTTTTGTACCACAGACCACGGACTCCATGTGAATGAAGGCCATGCGGACTACCACTTATGCCTATTTAGGTTATACATGCACAGGCCAAAGAAGTGTCTATTGGATGGTTTTCTTGACTCAGTGGGACCACTGTGAGGTGAAACTTGGATAGGACTACGTGTATAACCTGGCTTCTGTGTGCCCCCAGTTGAATAGGGATGTCATGATGATGTTTTGGATTTCTAGTATCAATGTCAATTTGGATTCTGGGTCCAACAATCCTCAGGATATTTATGCAGTCCCCTTTCCCCAGTTCACAATTACTCAAGTAAATAGCCATCAGCCCCTTCAGAGAAAGACTAGTGGCATTTTCAGCATTCCCACCTGCCAGTTGTTTCAGAGTCCTTTTTCCAGGGGACCCAAACTCTTCTTTAATCAGGTTTCCAGTGATAAAGCTGTCTCAGGGTTTGGAAACTGGACAATGGATTGAGGCTTTTCATTGGAGCAATTATTCTTAGCTTCCTGATCATCCACCCTTCGTTTCTTTTGATGCTACAATTTGGCCCAGCGTCAAAAGCCCCTCCCAGTATCATTGGTTGTGGGTTGGCTTCCCTGGGAAGCAGATTCTAAAGCAGAGTTTAATGTGTGCAGAGTATTTATTAAGGAGTGCCCCAGGGTCATCATCTGTGAAAGGGAATGCAGGAAGGCAGGGCTGGGCAGAGAGAAAGTAAGTGTCAATGCAGGTTCTCAGGGACCCCCCTGGGGCACTTGAGAGCCAGAACTCTAGGACCCTTCAGGCAGCCTGAGCTATCCAGGCCTTATGATCTCTGAAAGTCATGGATGTGGGCTAGCCTTCGGAAGAGGTGTGGCTTTGAGTGAGGCAGGTCTCTGTGGCTGAGGCAATCCCTGAAGGGGCAGGCAACTGAAGACCATCTGCTTAACAACATTCCCAGGAGCTGGGCCATTCCCACATGGAGTGGCCATCTGGGAAGCATCCGAATCAGGACCCTTTTGTGTATGAATGAGGGCACTGCTAATAAAGATGCTGTGACAACAGGCACAGCCATGACTCCCCAACTGGGACATGTGGTCACCTTTGCTGTGACAATCCCTGATGCTACCCCACGAGAGACACTTTGACAAGATGCTTCAGCATATGGTGATGTGCTGATGTGGAGAAGCACTCATGCCTCCCTTGCACTTTCAGCTTCTACTTATCAACCACAGGATAGGATCGGTCCTTCAAAGGATATTAACAAGGACACGATATGAAGGTTATCCTCTATGCGCTTTTTGACGTGAGAAATACTTTAATACAACTTTTTTCAAGGGAAAACTATGCCTTTTGTGTAAAGTACTTAAAAATAGGCAAGTGACATTAAATTAAATATTCCCAGACTTATTTCTCTAAATCCTGACCTCACAAGGCAGAAAATTGTACCTCAAAATTGATGTCATTTACTTGATATCATCAATTATTAAGAGGTGTTTGGTGCATGATGGCTTCAGGAATCTTGATCAGAAGATAAATGGAGGATGAAACAATGAGAAAAAGGATGTGAGAGGCACTGAAGTACTGCGAATGTCCTACTGGGGCCTTTACATGTCCCTTCCTTCCCACATCTCTGGCATAGGACCTTAACCCCTAACTATTCCTCCCTATCCCCTCTTGATAAAATTCACGTTGTCCAAACAATAGGTGCTAATCCACAAGAACTTCTCTCTTTTGAGAACCATTCTTATTCACAACTTAGGAAACTAGCTGAACTTGCTGACCCCTTCCTGCTAAATCCCTATAGAAGACCCCTCCTCCTTCTCCAAATTAGGAGGCCTCTTCAGAGCCTCTCCTGCCTGGCATGTAACAATGAAGGCTTATACTAATGGCATTCTGGGCTGGATGTGGTGGCTCACGAGCCTGTAATTCCAGCACATTGGGAAGCCCAGGTGGGGAGATCACTGGAGCCCAGGAGTTCTAGACCAACCTGGGCAACATGGCAAAACCCATCTCTGCAAAATAAAATTTAAAAAATTTGCTGGGCATCATGGCACGTGCCTGTAGTCCCAACTACTCAGGAGGCTGAAGGGGGAGGATCACTTGAGCCCAGGAGGTTGAGGCTGCAGTGAGCCGTGATCATGCCACTGCACTCTATCCTGAGCAACAGAGTGAGACCCTGTCTCAAAAAAAAAAAAAAGAAAAAAAGAAAAAAGAAAAAGAAAAAAAAATCCCCAAACTAATAGCATTCTGGTTGATTTTATTCCACAGAAGGAGAGATATTAGAGTGAATTAAGAAGTTAGATATCAGGGGAAAGTTACTGGTTTTATGACTGCCAACCTTAGCAGGTGAGCTAGCGTAAAAGCACAAATTGAGTGTTTAAAGCCACAAATATGATAGCTTGGACTTTTTGTTTGTTTATAGCAACTGTCTTCCCCTGAGCACATCAAAAAAAATAATCTCTAAATCATAAAGAATAGAAGTGGTTTGACTTCTGTATCCCTTGATGTTGACAAACAAGAATTCATTGGATCTTCACAGTAAGATAATAAGATAGACAAGAATAGATATTAACATCAGCATTTGACAGATAAAGTAAGCCTTAGGATGATTATATTAGGATGATTATATTAGGATTATATTCAGATGATTATATATGACTTGCTCTAAATTGGCCCACAGGTAGCAAAGTTTTGGAACAAACATTTTATTTCATGACTTCTGGAAATTAAATTTGCCCTGAAATGAGAATTATAGGAGAAAAAATGAAACCATCTAGATTTTGGGAAGGGACCATTGTTTTTGTTCCATCACTGCTTTATCTTAGCACTAACAGAGTGGCTAGAACTTAGGAGATAATAAATATTTACTGAATGAAAAGAAAAAGAGTTCAAATGAGGTCTACTGCACATGCTCCTGTGCATGGCAGCCATGGTGAGAGAAGTAATATTGGATAAGAAAAAGCAGGCAGAATCCTTAAGGGATTAGAGTAGAGAGGAAGCTAAACTTGCAAGATCCTGGGATCTAGTGGATAAACCTATGCAGAGCCAAGGAATTTCCAGGTAAAGCTATAATTTATAAAGCACAGCTGGACTCTGTTTGCATTTGTTCTATTATTTTTTAAATCTAGGTTTTGTTAGACTCAGGATAAGTAGCCGATCATTTTAGGTGAACAGGTAAGAGGAATAAAGATAATTTACCAGCAAGTAGCCCAAAGTCTTTGTCTTCTCCATGCCATACGTAAGGCGCACAGCCAGACTTCAGGTCGAGTGACAAAACCTGTTAATACCTACAGTCAATGTGATAAGATGTAGGTGGAGAAGAGAGTGAGTTGTGACTAAGGTGAATAGAAATATTCACTTGCAAATGTTTTAAATGACCACTTTTTATACTAAGGACTTTAGTTTATGTTGCATTTATTTTTGTGTATGGGGTAACGAAGAAGTAGAGTTTATTTTTTTCATATGGATAGCTAGCTGTCCCAGTACCATTTATTGAATGAACATTATTTTCCCATTGGTCTCAATGGGAAATGGAGCTCATTCATGTATCTGCATACAGCTGGGGCCTGACTGGCACTGGAGTGACAGGGTGACTGGGTCCACCAGCAGGTCAGCCTAGTCTTGCCCACGTAGTAGCTGACAGCATTTCTCTTAAGGTGTACGCACAGAACTGGCACACATTGACCAAATGACATTTCCACTAATGTCATTGATTAAGGGTTCATTTTTAAGTGGATTTGTTTGTATTATTTCTATTCTATTTCTAATTTATTTTATAAAATTTATTATAAAAATTATGAAGCATATATATATATATATGGTATAAAGAATAATATAGCAAACATCATGCAGCTTTAGAAATAGAACATGTCCCCTGTATATTACTCCCTGGTTGTAATTGGCTCTTCATAAAAATGTTTCTAAGTCTCCAAATTTACTTGAATCATAGCATCGTAAGTTTGGAAGACCATTTAGTTCAGGTCCTCATCAGTCTATCAGTAAGAGAATGAATAAGTTGTGGTATATTTATACACTGAAAAAGTATACAGCAGTTACAATAATGGTGTCAATGTGTGTCAACGTGGATTTTTCTTTTTTTCTTTTTTTTTTTTTTTTGAGACGGAGTCTTGCTCTGTCACCCAGGCTGGAGTGCAGTGGCATGATCTCGGCTCACTGCACCCTCCATCTCTCAGGTTCAAGTGATTCTCCTGCCTCAACATCCTGAGTAGCTGGGATTACAAGCGCCTGCCACCACACCCAGGCCATTTTTGTTTTTTTAGTAGAGTCAGAGTTTCACTGTGTTGGCCAGGCTGGTCTCGAACTCCTGACCTCAGGTGATCCTCCCACCTCGGCCTCCCAAAGTTCTGGGATTACAGGTGTGAGCCACTGTACCTGGCCAACATGGATATTTATCAAAGCAAATTGGAGAGAAAAAGGCAAGAGGCAATAGGATATGTAATGTATGGTACAATTTATATTTCATTTAAACACCTTTATATAACATTATGAACAGTATCTACTACTGATGTTGTATAAGTGCATATATAGCAAAGGTATTCTTATATGTACTAGAATCGACCCCAAATGTCAGAATAGTAGAAATTTCTGGAGAGGGAAGGAGGTAGGAAAGGAAGAAGGGGAATACAATTTGGTGAGCATTTAGCTTTGACTATTGTATCAGTTATCTATTGCTGTGTAACAAACTACCTCAAAACTTACAGGCTTGAAAACAAGCATTATTTATTGCTCTTGATTATGTGGATTGATAGTTCAGGTGAAAATAGCTAGGCACCTCTGATTTAATCTGGGCTCACTCATGCATCTGCATTCAACCACCAGATCAGCTGGGGCCTGACTGGCGCTAGAGTAACAAGGTGACTGGGTTCATGTCTCTCACCACCCGTGGAATGGCCTGGTCTTGCCCACATGTAGCTGACAGGGTTTCTCTAAGTGTTGAGCTCAGAACTGGCACACACTGGCCAAATTAAGTCACAGAGCCACATTGTATTATCTTCATCAAGTCACAAGGCCAGCCCAGATTCAAAGGGTGGTAAAATAAACTTTTTCTTTGATAGGAGAAAATACAAAGTCATAGTGGAAGAGGTGTGCCCACAGACAGAGGTGGAGGTGGTAGCTCTGTGTGTTTTTGTAATCCACCCCAGCTGCATCTTTAGCTTCAGTTTTAATCAGAAAAAAAAAAAAGGTTAAAATTTCAAAACTCTGAGGAGTAGATATGTGGGCATTTGTTATTCCCATACATTTCCGCATGCTTGAAATAATTTATAATTGATCATTTTAATAATATTTAAAATGTGATTATGTGGTCATCTTGGCGTACCAGAAATATTTCCTTCATCCCATCAAACCAACACAATAACTGTTAGTTACATACCTAAGAATCACCACCTGGATCCTTTAACAGTGTATGGATAAAATTTGCCACATATTGGGGATCTGGGTGAATTTCCATTTAAACAGCAAAGTTCAGCCTTCTGATTTGCTCCTGTTGTTCTAATTACTTACCTGGAGAAATCGTTTCCTGATTTTCTAGCCTATCCTGCCATAGGCCTCTGCTGTGCCCAGTTAGATCCTGGCTTAGGAAAACAACTGTAGACTGCATGATAATAATAGCAGATCTGATTGCATGGATCTCTGTGAAGGTATGTGTGTGTCTGCAGATGTGCTTATTGTTACAAAAGGAATGAAACAAAATATGTACTAGGCATGAGAGATATTGCCACAACTTCTCCATTATCTACAGAGGGATTTATCCACAACCAAATTTTAATATCAGGGTAGAATCCTCAAATGTATTTCTGAGTTTTCCCCTCCTGCTAATTGTGTGTAAGGGGAGCACAAGCTAATTCTAATAGCAGCCTGGGAGAAACATAATTAAGGATACAAATATAATACAGGCCATATATTCCCAATTCTAACACATATTATGTTGGGTAATCTGCTATTTTGGATTATCTCTTTATTTCTAAGGTTGACAGTTTTCTATTTCCACTATCAGCTTCCTCATCTATGTATAGATAAGCCCTTTAAATTTGTATTCAACCTAAAGTGGGACCTGCTGTACCCAAGAAATACCAAGAATTAGTCTCCTTCCGTGCCACCTTTCCAGACCTTTGAGTCTCCCCATTCAGCCACGTGTGACAATCTGTCCCAGAAAATTGGAAAACCGTTCACTTTAATTGGTTCTAAAATGGAGGATTCAGTGCCTGTGCTGAGTTTGGGGATGAAACTAACATCTTACAAAGCCCAGCCCAGCAGCAGCTGCCCTTTGGGATTTGGGAGGTAGAGCAGCAAGTCACTCTGGAATTTAGAGCTTTATTACAAAGAAGTGCTAACTCTTCGGGTTCTGCTTATAAATGGAATAAAGGGAGAATCTGGCTCACCCATGAGCGCTTTAACCTTGTACATGCTCAATATCCTTATGAAATGCAATATCTTATGATCCTTTAAATAACAAATGACCTTATTCCCTTTTATGGGGTCATTAAGGCCTCTAACAGTCCAGGTTTAAATCCCAGCTACTACTGTGCATCTTAATTTACTATTCATATGTGAATCTCTCTCTGGCTCCCAATTACTATACAACAGCAACCGGCTCATCAGATTATCCCCATCGGAATGTGTCTGTTAAAGACATTGCAGTTTACATCTTAGGGCCCTAATTAAAGTCACAATACTTGATAAACCTTGAACAACTAGTAATTGGAAACTAACAATTAGTACCAGCCACCTTAGCTGAAATCAGCTCTACTGCTGGCTCCATGAAGAAGCAAAAGGAAATTAGTACACCAGAGATGGCCCAGATGCCAAATATATGTTTGAGCCACTCCTGGGTTTCAGCCAAAGCAATGAAAAGGACTTGGCATTAAAATATTATTAGCTAAAAATCTTTATATAGACATCTGTGCCATGGAATAGATCAGTCTGATATTCCTGTGGCTTTTCAGCCTTTATCATCCTCATTACAGTTTTCATCATCCTGTCTCTGGGTATCTGTGGAGATGGTGCTATAAGACCACCTCTTTGAGCTGCTTTTCCTCTCAAAAGCCTACAGCTTGCTTTCTTTCCTAACAAAGCGCAGGTCACATCATCCTACTGTATTCTGTATATACTCTCCCTCTTTGCACCCCTTGTTGTCTACATCTTCAGAATGTCTGAGGCTGAAGGCATAGTAGGAAGCCCACAGATTGATTTGGGGAGTATATGAGAAGCTTGAAGGACTGTAGGCACTATGTCATGTCTCCCAATTAGCTGGCATATTATTCTGGGAACACACGCTTTGGAGGCAACAGGAAAGACTATATCCTAGTTCTCTATCCTGGAGACTTGCTGATGGGCCTTTTGCAAGTGAAAATGTGTTAACAGTGGCACTTTGCAATGGGCAGCAAGAGAGGAAATCTCCTCAGAATGACCTTCTGTTTCGTTGGTCAGCATCCTATCTCCACTCTCTTATTCCCATTTCATTGAATAGCTAATGGAATGGGATATTACTCTAAGGAGCTTCAGCAGACTTGATGAAGCATCCCAATTGCCTTCTCTCTAATCCACTTACCTCGTGATTTTCCAGGAGTTCTTGGCAATGGGAAAAGTGTGATGTTTAAGCAGTCTTCCCTGAAAACATGGCTTCAGTTGCCATGGCATATACAATTTGGGATGGTTTTGTAATCTTAATCCTCCTCTGTTTCACCCTTCTCAAGAGAGCCCAGATGGTCATTTCAAAGTATTCCAAAAAATTAATCAGACAAATGAATGATAGGTGGGTTGGACCTTGCATTTTGTGTTTCTTTTTAAAGTGAACAAGTATGTCTTAAGTAGTTTTGGAGTTTTATCACAAAATAAATACATATTGTCAGCAGCACTTTATCTGCTCTACAAACTTGACTAAATAAGTTTTTCACACCTGCATTGTGTTCTGATTTATTCCATGGCAGGTTCTGGGATCTCCTTCAAGCCTGTCCTCATATAGCACCTGGATCTATATAAAATAAATTTCCTGTACTATCCTACCATGGTGGATCAAACCTAGAAGAGAGTTGAGCCAAAGACTATCCAATGTGAAGAGAGATGTAAGAGGTTCTGCTTGTACAGTATACAGAATAGATCCTTATTCCCTGGGCTATTGTCATGATTAAATAATTTGAAAAGCAATGATCAGTATACACAGATGGGACACTTCTTAACTGGTTTTGTGCAGAGTTTATTCATATTTTGAATCTAATCGGTGCTCTTTTGAACTACATAAAATAGATCTAAATTCAGATCCTGTAATTTCCTGTCAATCAAAAGTTTAAAGCTGTGAATAGATATTGGCCAATGTGTAGCAGTTCAAGAAAGGCAGTGACTTAACTGTTGACACTCATAGCCATGAACAACCCTCAGCAAAACCATCTAATGAGTGTCTCTTCTCTACTCTACAGCTCTTTATCCTCTTCCTAGTTTCTCCCTTTCTCCACACCTATCCTACAACCATTAATAAAGGGCAGACTTTCAGCTGGTGGAAAACCAATCCACTGTAAGAATAAGCATGACAACCATAAATATTACCTGATATTCTATGGGTATTCTTGACAACCCAGAGGCCTCAAGAGAAAAAAGAATGAAACTCTGATCATGTATATAGTATAACAAATTAAGGGGCACAGCTTACAGAGACCTTGCAAGCAAAATAAGCAGCAAGAAGAAAGTAGAAGATAGTGGGATAAAGGAACCTACTCTTTGTTGTACCTTTTATCAAATGGAATTTATACAGGGCTATCTGCTAAAGAACTCATCAAATCTTTGAGCCTATAGGGTCTGTAGAACTTAGAGTTGATGTAGTCCAAGACTTTTTTCTAACGTATTAGTCTTTCCTGGATGGTAATTGATATGGTTTGGCTCTGTCCCCTTCCAAATCTCATCTTGAATTGTAGCTCCCATAATTCCCACGTGTTGTGGGAGGGACCCAGGAGAAGATAATTTAATCATGGGGACAGTTGCCCCATACTGTTCTCATGGTACTGAATAAGTCTCATGAGATCTAATTGTTTTATAAGGCATTTCCCCTTTCACTTGGCTCTCATTCTCTCTTGCCTGCCACTATGTAAGATGTGCCTTTCTCCTTCTGCCACAATTGTGAGGTCTCCCCAGCCATGTGGAACTGAAAATCAATTAAATCTCTTTTTCTTTATTAACTACCCATTCTCGGGTATGTCTTTATCAGCACTGTGAGAACTGACTAATACAGTCATTTAGTCTCTCTTTGAATACCTATAGGGACAAGTGAGTAATTATTTCAAAGTGTGGCACATAGTATTTTTGCAATATTCTGATTCCTTATGTTAAATCAAAGTTTGTGTCTCAGAACCATTCTCCCATTGGTCTTGGATCTTCTCTCTAGAGATATTCAGAAAAATAGCTGTTTCTTCTTGCTTATAAGCAGTTTGTTTACTCATTATTCCCATTATTCTCATTGTAACAATTTTTTAGAAAATACAAAGTAGAAAAATACTAGTAAAACTGCAACCAAATAGAACCACTGTATTAATATTCCAGTATTTATCTTCCAGTTTTTATACCTTTATAGAAAAGTTAAGATTATAGTGTACATATTTTTATAAAACTGACTATGTATTTCAATAATATTAATCAAAAAAATTTCATGTGTTATAGCATACACAGTATTCTTCCACAGCACTATTTTTTCTTAGCTGCATCATCTCCTTTTGTATGATTGGACCATATTTTATTTATTCCATTCCTGCTGTTAAGCATTTAGGTATTTTCTAACATAAAACCACTACAATTCATATTTATTAATTCATGTATGAATATGCGTTGATTGTCACTTTATGCTAACAATTGTACTCGGTACTGGGAAAAAGAGGGTAAAAGAATTCCAAAATGATCCCTGTCCTAAAGGAGCTCATATCCTCCTTTTAGCTTAATTTATAGTAATTTGATTGCCTTAGGTAATAGGTAATTTTACTTCCCTATAAGGGAAGGGAAGTAGAACAGAGAAAATACACATTATACACTGGAGAAATCTTTGGCTTTTTATTGAGAAGTAGTCATCCAGGTGTACACCTTCCTTGTTTGAGAGAGCCTTTTTCCTCCCAATGTCCCCAGCACTGAATTTTTATCACTTTGTTAAACCTTCCAAATTTGAGGTTGACTATAAAGAAATCACACTGTTATTTTAATTGGAATTTCTTTAACTTCTAGTTATTTACTGTCATTTTTTGGGTGGGAATTGTTAAAACAAGCCACTTTCAGCACACTATTCATCATAAAATACTCTAAGATTTAAAAAATGCTCTTTTATAAGCTAACAGAATTTTAATCAAAGATAGAAAATGCTTATGACCTCATTTCATCTTTTATATGAACTACGCCAAATTGTTTGCTTGCTTCTTCAAGTGACTGGTGTGTTTTTTTTAGCAAGTGTTACAAGGTGTTCACAAGCTAAGTGCTTTTTTTGAACACCTGACTTCTTCCACTGAAAAGCCTTTGAGCCCAAGAAAACAGGTTTCAATAGGGTTAATTTAGTTACTCAGGCTGTCACAGTGACTTCACTCCCAATTATCTTGTGGTGGTACGTATTTGTCTCAACCTACACATTATTTTAACATAGCTGTGTTTAATAGCATGTGGAGAGAGTAAGTGTTTACTTTCATTTAACAGAGTAGCACATGATCTGTTCAACAGCCACCATCATGAAACAGAAAATAAGTTGGTCTCAGAGCATGAGAACAGAGAATCTAAAATGCAAGTCCAGGCCTTGGTAATACTGGCAGATTCCCTCTGGGGTTCACCACAGGTCTGTGACCCTCTAACAGATCACCTGAGCTTGCCTGGTGGCCCATAGGCAATGATAGATGCCCTAAATTATAAGCAGGACCCAAAGTAAAGAAGACCCAGGCATGCTAGTTACAGAAGGGTTCTGCTTATTCTCTAAGGAACTGGACAGACTCACTTGCTAGAGGTTTCTTCCTCTGTTCTCTAGCCAAGTTGCCCTCACCTTTTAGCCACATTTCTCTCTTCTTCTCTGAGATGGTTGGGAAGCTCCATGCAGTTAGACTAAAGATATATGTGGTTCATCTTAGGTGACACTTTTCCAGGAAGCTCCTTCTGGTCCTTTCAAATGTGTATACTGGATCTCTCTTCTGAGGCCCAAAGGCACTAATAATAGCAAACACTTCTATAGTGTTAATTATGCTAGGCATTCTTCTAAACACTCTCTTTAATTAACTCACTTAATCCTTGCAACAATCCTATGAGAAGAATATTATCTCAGTTTTATAAATGAAGAAAATGCAGAAGATAGAAGTACCTTGCCCAGGGTTACACAGTTGATAAGTAGAACCAGAATTCTAGCCCTGGCATTCTGGCCCTAGAATCCATTATGCTGTAGTTTGTACCTCTCCTTTGGCAAATATACTCAAACACAAACTCTGCCCTGAAAAGACAATTCCAGTTCCCTTTGTTTCATGATATGGAAACAAAGCTCAGAGTGATCTGCCTAAAGCCACACCGTCAAAGAGGGGCAGAAGTGAAATTAAAACCAGATGTCCTGGCTCCCCCTTCATTATATTGCTCAAGGAGCACATCTGCTATCATAGTTATTTGTCTGCTTCTCCTACTCACATCATTGGATGTAAACATCCTCAGCATGGCAGAGTGCATTGTTTTTTAAATGTTAATCTTTTATATTGTACCTTCCCTATCTGTACCATTATTATTTTAATATTTAATTTAATACAATTTTTACTGCCCTTGGTCTCATCCTATGAAACAATATTGAAACCATGGCTTTGCCATCCTGATTTCATCTATTTTTCTAGTACATGTTAAAATAAATACCTGTTGTTTTTTTTTTTTTTAGATTTGCTTGTGTGTTTCCTAAAGTATGGGGCCCTCCTTCAGAAGACATAATGCCACAATGAGGAAACACTGGTTCAGTAAACAGAGACACAGATTTAGAGATGGGGTCAAGTGCTAGCTCTGTCAGTTACTACCTTCTGGGCTAATCATTGGAGCTGTGGTCATTCTTCTGGAGCTCTTCTGCAGATAGGGTTAAAATATCTTTACCCTGTTTACCTTTATGGCTGACTGTGAGGCTAGGTTGAGAAAGAGATGGTACTTTATGAACTCTGGAGCACAAATCTCCTCTTTTTGCTACTCCTCCTTGTAATCCTCATTATTCACCTCTGTATTCCCTATAGCATCAGTCTGAGCACGTTGTGGGTAACAGACACTTGAGGCATGACTATGGGATGAATAGAATTGTGTTCTAAGTCTGTATTACCTGAGTATCTACTGGAAGTTCAGAGGAGTAAGAAGAAGGTTAAATCTCACTTGCTATCTTGAAGGTGCTCCCCTGGTTACTGCATCACAACTTAACTCTGGCTCTCATCAAAGCTCCTATACTTTGGCTGTCTCCCATTAGAAATGCAATCACTCTCAGCATTTATTGAATTGATAACTTTATTAAAGAATTGAGGTTAGAGCCAAGCTGGCTGAACAGGAACAGCTCCAGTCTACAGCTCCGAGTGTGAGTGACGCAGAAGACGGGTGATTTCTGCATTTCTATCTGAGGTACCGGGTTCATCTCACTAGGGAGTGCTAGACAGTGGGCACAGGACAGTGGGTGCAGCACACCATGCACGAGCTGAAGCAGGGCAAGGCATTGCCTCACTCGGGAAGCGCAAGGGGTCAGGGAGTTCCCTTTCCTAGTCAAAGAAAAGGATGACAGACGTCACCTGGAAAAACGGGTCACTCCCACCCTAATACTGCGCTTTTCTGACGGGCTTAAAAAATGGCGCACCAGGAGCTTATATCCCGCACATGGCTCGGAGGGTCCTATGCCCACGGAGTCTCACTGATTGCTAGCACAGCAGCCTGAGATCAAACTGCAAGGTGGCAGCGAGGCTGGGGGAGGGGTGCCCACCATTGCCCAGGCTTGCTTAGGTAAACAAAGCAGCTGGGAAGCTCAAGCTGGATGGAACCCACCACAGCTCAAGGAGGCCTGCCTGCCTCTGTAGGCTCCACCTTTGGGGACAGGGCACAGACAAACAAAAAGACAGCAGTAACCTCTGCAGACTTAAATGTCCCTGTCTGACAGCTTTGAAGAGAGCAGTCGTTTTCCCAGCACGTAGCTGGAGATCTGAGAACGGGCAGACTGCCTCCTCAAGTGGATCCCAGACCCCTGACCCCCAAGCAGCCTAACTGGGAGGCACCCCCTGGTAGGGGCAGACTGACACCTCACATGGCTGGGTACTCCTCTGAGACAAAACTTCCAGAGGAACGATCAGGCAGCAGCATTCGCGATTCACGAAAATCCACAGTTCTGCAGCCACCGCTGCTGATACCCAGGGAAACAGGGACTGGAGTGGACCTCTAGCAAACTCCAACAGACCAGCAGCTGAGGGTCCTGTCTGTTAGAAGGAAAACTAACAAACAGAAAGGACATCCACACCAAAAAACCCATCTGTACATCACCATCATCAAAGACCAAAAGTAGATAAAACCAAAAAGATGGGGGAAAAACAGAGCAGAAAAACTGGAAACTCTAAAAAGCAGAGCGCCTCTCCTGCTCCAAAGGAAGGCAGTTTGTCACCAGCAACGGAACAAAGCTGGACAGAGAATGACTTTGACGAGTTGAGAGAAGAAGGCTTCAGACGATCAAACTACTCCGAGATACAGGAGGAAATTCTAACCAAAGGCAAAGAGGTTGAAAACCTTGAAAAAAATTTAGATGAATGTATAACTAGAATAACCAATACAGAGAAGTGCTTAAAGGAGCTGATGGAGATGAAAGCCAAGGCTCAAGAACTACTTGGAGAATGCAGAAGCCTCAGGAGCCGATGCGATCAACTGGAAGTAAGGGTATCAGCGATGGAAGATGAAATGAATGAAATGAAGTGAGAAGGGAAGTTTAGAGAAAAAAGAATAAAAAGAAACGAACAAAGCCTCCAAGAAATATGGGACTATGTGAAAAGACCAAATTTACGTCTGATTGGTGTACCTGAAAGTGACGGGGAGAATGGAACCAAGTTGGAAAACACTCTGCAGGATATTATCCAGGAGAACTTCCCCAATCTAGCAAGGCAGGCCAACATTCAGATTCAGGAAATACAGAGAACGCCACAAAGATACTCCTCGAGAAGAGCAACTCCAAGGCACATAATTGTCAGATTCACCAAAGTAGAAATGAAAGAAAAAATGTTAAGGGCAGGCAGAGAGAAAGGTCGGGTTACCCACAAAGGGAAGCCCATCAGACTAACAGCGGATCTCTTGGCAGAAACTCTACAAGCCAGAAGAGAGTGGGGGCCAATATTCAACATTCTTAAAGAAAAGAATTTTCAACCCAGATTTTCATATCCAGCCAAACTAAGCTTCATAAGTGAAAGAGAAATAAAATCCTTTACAGACAAGCAAATGCTGAGAAATTTTGTCACCACCAGGCATGCCCTACAAGAGTTCCTGAAGGAAGCACTAAACATGGAAAGGAACAACTGGTACCAGCCACTGCAAAATCATGCCAAATTGTAAAGACCATTGAGGCTAGGAAGAAACTGCATCAACTAATGAGCAAAATAACCAGCTAACATCATAATGACAGGATCAAATTCACACATAACAATATTAACTTTAAATGTAAAGGGACTAAATGCTCCAATTAAAAGACAAAGACTGGCAAATTGGATAAAGAGTCAAGACCCATCAGTGTGCTGTATTCAGGAAACCCATCTCATGGGCAGAGACACACATAGGCTCAAAATAAAAGCATGGAGGAAGATCTACCAAGCAAATGGAAAACAAAAAAAATGCAGGGGTTGCAATCCTAGTCTCTGATAAAACAGACTTTCAACCAACAAAGATCAAAGAGACAAAGGCCATTACATAATGGTAAAGGGATCAATTCAACAAGAAGAGCTAACTATCCTAAATATATATGCACCCAATACAGGTGCACCCAGATTCATAAAGCAAGTCCTTAGAGACCTACAAAGAGACTTAGACTCCCACACAATAATAATGGGAGACTTTAACACCCCACTGTCAACATTAGACAGATCAGCGAGACAGAAAGTTAACAAGGATATCCAGGAATTGAACTCAGCTCTGCACCAAGTGGACCTAATAGACATCTACAGAACTCTCCACCCCAAATCAACAGAATATACATTTTTTTCAGCACCACACCACACCTATTCCAAAATTGACCACAAAGTTGGAAGTAAAGCACCCCTCAGCAAATGTAAAAGAACAGAAATTATAAAAAAACTGTCTCTCAAACCACGGTGCAATCAAACTAGAACTCAGGATTAAGAAACTCACTCAAAACCGCTCAACTACATGGAAACTGAACAACCTGCTCCTGAATAACTACTGGGTACATAATGAAATGAAGGCAGAAATAAAGATGTTCTTTGAAACCAGTGAGAACAAAGACACAACATACCAGACTCTCTGGGACACATTCAAAGCAGTGTGTAGAGGGAAATTTATAGCACTAAATGCCCACAAGAGAAAGCAGGAAAGATCCAAAATTGACACCCTAACATCACAATGAAAAGAACTAGAGAAGCAAGAGCAAACACATTCAAAAGCTAGCAGAAGGCAAGAAATAACTAAGATCAGAGCAGAACTGAAGGAAATGGAGACACAAAAAACCCTTCAAAAAATTAATGAATCCAGGCGCTGGTTTTTTGAAAGGATCAACAAAATTGATAGACCACTAGTAAGACTAATAAAGAAGAAAAGAGAGAAGAATCAAATAGACACAATAAAAAATGATAAAGGGGATATCACCACTGATCCCACAGAAATACAAACTACCATCAGAGAAGACTACAAACACCTCTACACAAATAAACTAGAAAATCTATAAGAAATGGCTAAATTCCTCGACACATACACCCTCCCAAGACTAAACCAGGAAGAAGTTGAATCTCTGAAATAGTGGCAATAATCAATAGCTTACCAACCAAAAAGAGAGAGTCCAGGACCAGATGGATTCACAGCCGAATTCTACCAGAGGTACAAGGAGGAGCTGGTACCATTCCTTCTGAAACTATTCCAATCAATAGAAAAAGAGGGAATCCTCCCTAACTCATTTTATGAGGCCAGCGTCATCCTGATACCAAAGCCTGGCAGAGACACAACCGAAAAAGAGAATTTTAGACCAATATCCCTGATGAACATTGATGCAAAAATCCTCAATAAAATACTGGCAAACCGAATCCAGCAGCACATCAAAAAGCTTATCCACCATGATCAAGTGGGCTTCATCCCTGGAATGCAAGGCTGGTTCAATATACACAAATCAATAAGTGTAATCCAGCATATAAACAGAACCAAAGACAAAAACCACATGATTATCTCAATAGATGCAGAAAAGGCCTTTGACAAAATTCAACAACCCTTCATGCTAAAAACTCTCAATAAATTAGGTATTCATGGGACGTATCTCAAAACAATAAGAGCTATCTTTGACAAACCCACAGCCAATATCATACTGAATGGTCAAAAACTGGAAGCATTCCCTTTGAAAACGGGCACAAGACAGGGATGCCCTCTCTCACCACTCCTATTCAACATAGTGTTGGAAGTTCTGGCCAGGGCAATGAGGCAGGAGAAGGAAATAAAGGGTATTCATTTAGGAAAAGAGGAAGTCAAATTGTCCCTGTTTGCAGATGACATGATTGTATGTCTAGAAAACCCCATTGTCTCAGCCCAAAAACTCCTTAAGCTGATATGTAACTTCAGCAAAGTCTCAGGATGCAAAATCAATGTACAAAAATCACAAGCATTCTTACACACCAATAACAGACAAACAGAGAGCCAAATCATGAGTGAATTCCCATTCACAATTGCTTCAAAGAGAATAAAATACCTAGGAATCCAACTTACAAGGGATGTAAAGGACCTCTTCAAGGAGAACTACAAACCACTGCTCAATGAAATAAAAGAGGATACAAACAAATGGAAGAACATTCCATGCTCATGGGTAGGAAGAATCAATATTGTGAAAATGGCCATACTGCCCAGGGTAATTTATAGATTCAATGCCATCCCCATCAAGCTACCAAGGACTTTCTTCACAGAATTGGAAAAAACTATTTTAAAGTTCATATGGAACCAAAAAAGAGTCCGCATCACCAAGTCAATCCTAAGCCAAAAGAACAAAGCTGGAGGCATCACGCTACCTGACTTCAAACTATACTACAAGGCTACAGTAACCAAAACAGCATGGTACTGGTACCAAAACAGAGATATAGATCAATGGAACAGAACAGAGCTCTCAGAAATAACACTGCATATCTACAACTATCTGATCTTTGACTAACCTGAGAAAAACAAGCAATGGGGAAAGGATTCCCTATTTAATAAATGGTGCTGGGAAAACTGGCTAGCCATATGGAGAAAGCTGAAACTGCATCCCTTCCTTACAACTTATACAAAAAGTAATTCAAGATGGATTAAAGACTTAAACGTTAGACCTAAAACCATAAAAACCCTAGAAGAAAACCTAGGCATTACCATTCAGGACATAGGCATGGGCAAGGACTTCATGTCTAAAACACCAAAAGCAATGGCAACAAAAGCCAAAATTGACAAATGGGATCTAATTAAACTAAAGAGCTTCTGCACAGCAAAAGAAACTACCATCAGAGTGAACAGACAACCCACAAAATGGGAGAAAATTTTTGCAACCTACCCATCTGACAAAGGGCTAATATCCAGAATCTACAATGAACTCAAACACATTTACAAGAAAAAAAACAACCCCATCAAAACGTGGACAAAGGATATGAGCAGACACTTCTCAAAAGAAGACATTTATGCAGCCAAAAAACAAATGAAAAAATGCTCACCATCACTGGCCATCAGAGAAATGCAAATCAAAACCACAATGAGATACCATCTCACACCAGTTAGAATGGCAATCATTAAGTCAGGAAACAACAGGTGCTACAGAGGATGTGGAGAAATAGGAATGCTTTTACACTGTTGGTGGGACTGTAAACTAGTTCAACCATTGTGGCAGTCAGCATTGCGATTCCTCAGGGATCTAGAACTAGAAATACCATTTGACCCAGCCATCCCATTACTGGGTATATACCCAAAGGACTATAAATCATGCTGCTATAAAGACACATGCACACGTATGTTTATTGTGGCACTATTCACAATAGCAAAGACTTGGAACCAACCCAAATGTCCAACAATGATAGACTGGATTAAGAAAATGTGGCACATATACACCATGGTATACTATGCAGCCATAAAAAATGATGAGTTCATGTCCTTTATAGGGATATGGATGAAATTGGAAATCATCATTCTCAGTAAACTATTGCAAGGACAAAAAAACCAAACACCGCATGTTCTCACTCATAGGTGGGAATTGAACAATGAGAACACATGGACACAGGAAGGGGAACATCACACTCTGGGGACTGTTGTGGGGTGGGAGGAGGGGACAGGATAGCGTTAGGAGATACACCTAATGCTAAATGACGAGTTAATGGGTGCAGCACACCAGCATGGCATATGTATACATACGTAACTAACCTGCACATTGTGCACATGTACCCTAAAACTTAAAGTATAATAACAATAATAATAATAAATTGAGAGATTTATAAAATGGTATCATATATCAGTCTACATAGCTTCTGTGAGTTCCCAGATTTTCATTTTCATTCATTCATTCGTGCTCTCTCTCTCTTTCTCTTTCTCCTTCTCTCTCTTCATTCATCCATCCTTTTATTCCGGCCCTGGTATTCTCACCCATGCTTACCCTTGAAAAACCCAAGTAGTTTTATTATTTTAATATTCTGACTGCAACTGTGCTAACAACAATAATAGCAGCGTTCCCCTGCCACATCTTTCATTTCTATGATAATCCTGTAAGACAGACAAGGCAAGGACCACTGTCTCCGTTTTACAGGCAAGGAAACAGTCTTTTAGACATCCCAAATCAGTTATGATATTCTCATAAGAAGTTAAGATTAGAACCTTGGTCTTATTCTGAGCCCAGTGCACTCTTCTTTTCAACAAGTTCTCAAGTCATCATCTCTGTGAAGCCACAATATGTACAGTCATTGAAGCAAGTAAGATTTCTAAGGAAAGAGTTCAGCTGTGTGAGGAAATGAGGGATTCCAAAATGGGGCCCTAAGAAATGTCAGCATTTACAAATCAGCTATAAGAGAGAGACACTTACAATGGATTCTGAGATAAAGTGGCCAGAAAAGTAGGAGGAAAACCAAAAAAGAGGGGTATCATAGGAACCAAAAGAAGAGAATGCTCTAAAACTAAAATGGTGGTCTACTGGATTTCATCATTCTGAAAAATTTACTAGGAAGAAGTCAGAGCAGATTCACTGGATACAGCAACATGAAGATCATTGATGATCTGGGAAGAAAAATTTCATTGGAGCACTTGGGGAGGAAGCCATATAAAGATGAGTTGAAGAATGAATGGGATATGAAGACTTGAAAATAACACTTGCAGACATCTTGGGGAGAAGTATAACAGAAAAACAAGGTGGTAACTGGAGGGACATGCTACTTTACGGAGGATTTTTAAATTTGAGATCAGATTTGTTACAGCAAGTTTGAGTGCAATTGAGGAGATAGGATATGCAGGAGGAATTGATTGAAGGCTTTTAAAATTTATTTTCAGTATCATTTTATTAATTCATTCTCTCTCTCTCTCTCTCTCTCTCTCTCTCTCTTTCTCTCTCTCTCTCTCTCTCTCTCTCTCTCTCTCTCTCTCTCTGTCTCCAGGTTCCTAGTGTCTTATTGCTTTTATGCTGTCTCCTTGAAAGCCTAGCTGCAATCCACAAAAGCCAGCTTACCTACCCTCAGTTCAAACCTTAACCCCTCTCACACTTCATTTTGTCCCAATTATGGTATTCTTTTTCCCAAAAACCAATTTTTCTCTCTCCAATCACAAAGGAAGACTTTCAGTCCAACAAATTTAGAGCAAACTGAGAGTGGTAATTCAATTTATGTCATTTTTCAGAGGATATTAACATTTTTAAAGAGCTAAAATGGGAATAGTAATCACCCTGTATAATAATTTTTTATTGCTTCTTAACAAATTATCACAAATTTAGCAGCTTAAAACAACACCTGTTTATCATCTCACAGTTTCTGTAGGTCAGTAGTCTAGCATGGCACAGCTGGTTTCTCTGCTTAGGGTGTCATAGGGCCAAAATGAAGGTTTTGGCCAGCTGGGCTCTCATCGGAAGGCTCTTGGAAGGAAAGAACTCTAATCTCATTCAGGTTATTGGCAGAATTCGGATCTTGCAGTTGTAGAACTGAGGTCCTCATCTCCTTGCTGGCCATCACCCAAGGGCTATTCTCAGCTTCTGGAGGCCACAGGCATTTCTTGGCACATTGTTTCTACTCTCTCTAAACACAGGGATGGCATGTCGAATTGTCTCATGCTTTGAATCTCTGAATTCCCTTTCTGCTAACAGAGAAAAAGCAGCTTTCAGCGGCCTGGACTGATTAGCTCAAGCCCACTCGTGTACTCTCCACATCTTAAGAGAGATATATAATTGGCTTAAATGCCTTCTCAGCAGTACCTGGATTAGTGTTTGGTTGAGCAACCAGAGGATGGGAATCTGGGGAGTCATCTACTATACCCTGGAACTAAAGAATCTTCTGAGTTCTTCAAGGAATCTCTCCACCATACCTACAGCCACCTGTGATAGACACTGCTCTATCCACAGCTCCCAGGCAGCCATGTTTTTTTGTTTGGTTGATTGGTTGTTTGGTTGGTTGGGTTGTTTGTTTTTTTGTTTGTGACAGAGTCTTGCTCTGTTGTCCAGGCTGGAGTGCAATGGCAAGATCTCGGCTCACTGCAAGCTCCACCTCCTGGATTCATGCCATTCTCCTGCCTCAGCCTCCCGAGTAGCTGGGACTACAGGCGCCTGCCACCATGCCTGGCTAATTTTTTGTATTTTTAGTACAGATGGGGTTTCACCAGGTTAACCAGGATGTTCTCGATCTCCTGACTTCGTGATCCACTCGCCTCAGCCTCCCAAAGTGCTGGGATTACAGGCGTGAGCCACCGTGCCCAGCCTAGCCATGTTTTTATTATGTGACATCAGAGCCATCCCCCTACTACAGCTTACTGAACTAAGTGTGACTCCCTGACCCATGGAGCACACTCAGCCTCTTTTAACTTTCAGTTCTTAGTCCTAGTCCTTCAAAAAACACATTTGTAGGTGCTGCCCATGAGTTAGGTAAAATAAGTTAGTGTTTTGCCCTGTTGTGGAAGCCAGTTTGGGCAGGTGTTCATTACTTGAAACCCAAAGACCACTAGATGATGGGTTGATAGGTACAGCAAACCACCGTGGCACATGTATACCTGTGTAAAAAACCTGCATATTCTGCACATGTATCCCAGAACTTAAAATAAAAAATGAGTGGCTAATGGATCTGAAAACTGTTATTGGATTCACATTACTGGAGACTATCACCTGTGTGACATACCAGTTGAGCTACAGGGCTAAACTGAGAAATCAGGAAAAGAGACCATCAAAGATGATCCTGATTAAAACCACTGTTATGCCAGGGTGACTTTGTGTATATCCAAGATGTGTCTTCTGAGAAGTGAAATCAGGGAGGTGTATATTCTTCACTGCCATAATCCAGCCAGGTTAATAAATAAACAACTAAAGAACATCAGAAAGGCTTGGGGATGAGTAAAGAAATTAGAATCCAAATATGCCAACTTATATTATCTAAATGTAAATTTTCAGTAAAACGTGCCAAAAAAAAAAGAGACAGAGAAACCAGGGCATTGTTAGTGACACCCTCAGGTCCAACCACTCATTTATTTATTTCAAGAATCTTTAGCAAATTTTATGTCCAAGGCATCCTCTTAAGTAAACATTAGGAAAGAAAAGAAAACCGTATCTGGCTTGAGGAAAGCTATCACCCTGAAGTTGCAGGGAATCATTATGTTTTGGAGAGTGAGGAAGACTGATTGAAATGATAGCCAGGTAATGTCCTTCCTGTGTCTTCCTGTGTCTGCTCCTACTGTGACATTTGGCTCAATCACATGACTTGCCTGGACCAATAGGATGCTAGCCGACTTGACAGATGCAGAGGCCTGGGAAAGGGCAACACATTTTTGGTTTCTCTTTTGGAACCCTGCAGCCACAAGAAAAAAAACCCAAGCAGTCCAGGGGAGGATGAGAGATAACACGAGGTAGAGCTGAGCCAACCCAGCCCTGGATGGACCCACCAGCCCCCAGCCAACCTGACAGCTGCACACAGACACATGAGTAAGTCCCATGCAGATCAGTGAACTACCCACCCAACCCACAGATTTGCAAAATAATAATAGATGAGTGCTGTTTTCAGGCACTAAGTTTTGGGGTGTTTTGTTATGCACCAATAGATACGTGATACAGAGAGAACCAAAGTAACTTCAGAACTACGGGCCAGATATTTTCTAACGGGCCAGATATTTTCTAATTTGGAGAGAAGGGAAAATCAGTTGCCTAAGATTTATGGCTTTATTCAATTGAGAGAATTCAAAGGTAAAGGGGCCTCAACTGCTTCAAATGCCGCCCAGCTCTCCCTCTGTTCAGATTTTAACAAATTTGCCAGCCTTTTCTGGCATCCATATCAGGTCATTTAATTAAGTAATAGAAAGGTAATTAAGACCGAAATATGATTATTTGGGTTAGTCTTGTGCACCCACAGAGGAAGAAAAGCAGAATGTGCCAGCTGCAAACATCTGCAGTGAAAGAAGTCTGGGACAAAAAGCAGTTTCTGCTCTTGCCTCCTGTTCTTTCAGAAAACACCAGTCTTCTAGGGCAGTAAATTAGTAGTGAGTCACTAGCTGTATAATACGTGCTGCTTGTCTCATGAGACATTAAACCGAGGTCCCTTCTGCTCACATCGTGCACCTGTCACCAAATGTCCAATAAAAATCCTGTTCTCTGAGGGCATGTCAGGAAGGAGCAGGGCAAAGACTTGCCCAAGCCTTCCTCAGCAGTCCAGGAGAGCCCCCAGGCAAGGTACTCCCTGTGGCCTGCCCCAAGGCTGAGTCATCAGAGGCCCTCATCCGCAAATCCCACCTGATCTATGGCTGCTGGCAATCAGACACAGAGAAATGAATGCCAAATAAGGGCTGTGTGTGACACACTCAAGTTTACTCCCTCTCCGAGGTGGTCTGGGGAATTTCTGAGGTAGATCTCACCTAGGTAGTGGGGAAGAATGGGCATGGGCCAGAAGTCAGGAGACTTGGTTTCAAAGCTTTTGTCATGTAGTCAGTGTGTGACCTGAGACAAGATTCCCAACTTCCCAGATGGCTCTCCTGCATTATCTCCTGTAAAATAGGGACAGTGATAGCTGTTTGCCAACCTCACACATCAGCCTTAATTTTTTTTTACACTGGATAATGTATGGGAAAGGGGGCTTGAAATGGTAAGAAGCATTCAAAATTTGACATTCTCATTCTCGAGTTATGTGATGTAAAAGCATAATGTCTAGGGCTAGGTGACCTGAATTTAAGCCTCTGCCTCTTACTGACTGCGTGACCTTGAGCAGGCTACTTAGTTCAACTTTCGTCATCTGCAAAATGTGGCTGCTATAACAATACTTCTAAAAGTTTTGAGGATTAGGGTTGGTTCCAAGTCTTTGCTATTGTGAATAATGCCGCAACAAACATACGTGTGCGTGTGTCTTTATAGCAGCATGATTTATAGTGCTTTGGGTATATACCCAGTAATGGGATGGCTGGGTCAAATGGTATTTCTAGTTCTAGATCCCTGAGGAGTCGCCACACTGACTTCCACAATGGTTGCACTAGTTTACGGTCCCACCAACAGTGTGAAAGCATTCCTATTTCTCCACATCCTCTCAACCCAAATGTCCATCAATGGTAGACTGGATTAAGAAAATGTGGCACATGTACACCATGGAATACTATGCAGCCATAAAAAATGATGAGTTCATGTCCTTTGTAGGGACATGGATGAAATTGGAAATCATCATTCTCAGTAAACTGTCGCAAGAACAAAAAACCAAACACCGCATGTTCTCACTCATAGGTGGGAATTGAACAATGAGATCACATGGACACAGGAAGGGGAATATCACACTCTGGGGACTGTGGTGGGGTGGGGGTAGTGGGGAGGGATAGCATTGGGAGATATACCTAATGCTAGATGACGAGTTAGTGGGTGCAGCGCACCAGCATGGCACATGTATACATATGTAACTAACCTGCACAATGTGCACATGTACCCTAAAACTTAAAGTATAAAAAAAATAAAAAAAAAACAGTTTTGAGGATTAAATAGATTGTGGGTAAAGCCATCAGGAAAGTGAGTAGAACACAGTGGCGAACAGTACATGTTCATGCATTATTATAATTTTATTGTTGTTTTCATTATCATGAATCTCTACTCTGTACCCATGGCATTTCTATTTACAAATAGGTACATATTTGGATTTATATTCCAGATCTTCAGCTTCTGAATCCTATAACCTGGGAAACTATTGAACTTACCTGTTTTTTTTCTCACCTGCCCAGTGATGGCACAGAGAGGATTAAGTGACACTGTCCATATAAAGTACCTGGAACACACACTAGTGCAATATTATTTGCCTTCCTTTTTTCTTCTTTTGAGATTTTAAAAACAACAACATAACAACATTTACCATTATAACCATTTCCAAATGTGTAGTTCAGTAGTATTAGAGCATTTTCACTTTTTCATCTAGTAAAACGGAAACTGTAAACCCACTCAACATGAATGCCTTGTTCCCTCCTCCCTGCAGTTCCTGGTAACCACCGTTCTCTTTGCTTCCATAAATCTGACTACTCTTGATACCTCACTGAATGGTATCTTATAGTGTTTATTCTTTTGTGACTGGCCTATTTCATTTAGCATAATATTCTCAAGGTTCATCCACGTCATAATATGTGACTGGATTTCCTTCCCTCTTAAGACTGAATAATATGCCATTGTACGTTTATACTGCATTTTATTTATACATTCATCCATTGATAGACATTTGGGTTGCTTCCACTTCTTGTCTATTGTGAATAATCTCACTGCTATGAGCATGGGTGTGTAGCTGCCTTCCTTTTATCCCCTATGCTGATGCAAATAATTGAATGACAGGCAGGTACAGTTCCTTTCATGTTTGCCTCTTCATGGTCAAGGCAAATTAATCTTGAATATCACTAGCATTATGGATGTTATGTTTCTCAAGTTGATTTCCTAATATGGAAATTAATATTTTCTGTATTAATTTATTAGCATGCTTCTATGATAATATTTCAACATTAATATTGACGTTCTTAACATTTCAACGTGGAATTAACAGAAGTGAAAGAAAGGAAGCAAAATGGAAAGAAAAACACTCATTCTGCATTTATATGTTTATTACCAGAGGCATAGTTGGCTGTTGGCTCCTACTATGTGGTTGGTATTCAGGGAGATAAAAACAGTCAGATTTTCTTCAAACCTACACTCATCTATATTGTTAACGGAGGTGAGTAATTTTCAACACTATCCTTCCAAAAGTACAGCTCACTTCTGACTTCTTGTTTCATATCTCAGCTCGGTGTAACTTCCTCTGGGAAGGGCCTTCAGACCCCAACTGAGGTCAGAGTCCTTTGGTTTATGTTCTCATAGAACTGTGCTCCTTTTCTTCAGGACACATCTCAGTTTTACTTGGAAGTTTACTACTGCAAATTTTGGTGAACATTTGTCTCCCCTATTAAATTGTACATTCTCTCAAAGCTGGGACATTGTCTATTTTTACTCCCTCTTAAATCCCCTGCTCCTTGTCTGGTGCATAGCAGACACTCAACAAATACTGCTAATAAACCCCAAGTGAATGAAGTTCTCCAAAAGAAGCAAATCACTATGACAGGGGAATATCAAATCTCAGGCTGGAAAAGAGAGATATTTTATGTTGGAAAATTAGGAGAGGAAAAGAATTACTTTTCCAAGGAGAAAGAGCAGAGTCTTGATGTGCTAGGTCAGCAATACTTTCCTATATCGAAGATGATAAAATGGTGTTTTTTTAGAAAAAATTCTTCCTTGAGCTAAGCACTTTTCCATCAAAGTCTAAATGGAAGAAGACTATTTTTTTGATGCATGTGACTTATGCAGTCCATACATTTTCTGTAAGTTACCAAGCAAAATTATAAGACTCTTCACTTTTCTACAATGGCTTTTTGTCTGAAAGATTCCACACCAATAATTATTTAAACACCATATTACAAATCCTCCTACCTGGTTGAGATCATATGCTAGAAACAATAACTCCTTTGGAAAACACAATGTCACAACTAACAGTTCAATTGGTTGAAATGCATACTGAAGCAGATTGCCTTACTAATGTGCCTCAGGCACGTCAGGGGTAAAAGACAGAAAAGACCAGCAAAAGCAGACTGCAGAAGGGAATCCCTATCATCATTCTCATTGCCCCATGCCCTCTTGGTTCTTGAACTCAGTGACTGGGACTATGAATAATAGGCAGAGGGTGGGGGCAACCTTCTCTGGGCATTGAGTCTCCCCTAAAATTGACATTAAAAGAATCATAAGAGAGATGTAATTATAGGCTAGGCACGGTGGCTCATTCCTGTCATCACAGCACTTTGGGAGGCTGAGGCAGGCAGATTGCTTTGAGTTCACAAGTTCAAGACCAGCCTGGGCAACATGGCAAACCCCCATCTCTAAGAAAAACAAATTTACTGGGAGTGGTGGCATGCATCTGTGGTCCCAGCCACTTTGGAGGCTGAGGCTGGAGGATAGGTTGAGCCCAGGAAGTGGAGGTTGCAGTGAGCTGCACTCCAGCCTGGGCAGCAGTGTGAGACCCTGTCTGAAAAAAAAAAAAAGAAAAAGAAAAAGAAAAGAAATTATATTACATTGTCGTAAGATAAACACAGATATAGTCCAGATCCATATCTCATGGTAAATCTAGACTTCATATTGGATGAAGTGCTAGATTACCTCTAAAAGCTTTTCAGCTGACTAGAGTATAAACCTACAATTAAAAAATTTGGCCTTCTTTTGAAAAATGTTTGTTCATATCTTTTGCCAACTTTTTGATGGGTTGTTTGTTTTTTTCTTGTAAATTTGTTTAAGTTCCTTGTAGATTCTGGATATTAGCCATTTGTCAGATGGGTAGATTGCAAAAGTTTTCTCCCATTCTGTAGGTTGCCTGTTCACTCTGCTGATAGTTTCTTTTGCTGTGCAGAAGCTCTTTAGTTTAATTAGATCCCATTTGTCAATTTTGGCTCTTGCTGCCATTGCTTTTGGTGTTTTGGTCATGAAGTCTTTGCCCATGCCTGTGTCCTGAATGGTATTGCCTAGGTTTTCTTCTAGGGTTTTTATGGTTTTAGGTCTAACATTTAAATCTTTAATCCATCTTGAGTTAATTTTTGTATAAGGTGTAAGGAAGGGGTCTAATTTCAGTCTTCTGCATATGGCTAGCCAGTTTTCCCAACACCATTTATTTTATGCAGTCAACAAACGTATAAAAAAAGCTCATCATCACTGATCATTAGAGTAATGCAACTCAAAACCACAATAAGATACCATCTCACACCAGTTAGAATGGCGATCATTAAAAAGTCAGGAAACAACAGATGCTGGAGAGGATGTGGAGAAATAGGAATGCTTTCACACTGTTGGTGGGAGTGTAAATTAGTTTAGCCATTGTGGAAGACAGTGTAGCGATTCCTCAAGGATCTAGAACCAGAAATACCATTTGACCCAGCGATCCCATTACTGGGTATATACCCAAAGGATTGTAAATCATTATACTATAAAGATACATGCACATGTATGTTTATTTCAGCGGTGTTCACAATAGCGAAGACTTGCAACTAACCCAAATGCCCATCAATGATAGACTGGATAAAGAAAATATGACACATATACACCGTGGAATACTATGCAGCCGTAAGAAAGGATGAGTTCATGTCCTTTGCAGGGACATGGATGTAGCTGGAAACCATCATTCTCAGCAAACTAACACAGAAACAGAAAACCAAACACTGCATGTTCTCACTCATAAGTGGGAATTGAACAATGAGAACATATGGACACAGGGAAGGGAACATCACACCGGGGCCTGTCAGGGGTTGGGGGCAAGGGAAGGGATAGCATTAGGAGAAATACCTAATGTAGATGATGGGTTGATGGGTGCAGCAGACCACCATGGCGTATATATACCTATGTAACAAACCTGCACATTTTGCACATGTATCCCAGAACTTAAAGTATAATTTAAAAAAAGAAAAGAAAGAATTTGTCCAAGGTTACCATAGCTAGTAAATGACAACACCAAGTCTTGAGCTTAAGCTCAATCTTCTGATCCCAAATACAAAACTATTAGATGTATAATAAATTGACGGATGGATGCATATATCAATACTACTACTGAGACTTTAAGAAAAAGAAACAAGATCTCTGATCACATTTTGCCAACCAAATATACTACCCTATTTTTTAAGTTTGGCTCCTCTTCTCCAGTTATTTTTCTTTTTAAAAATGAAGTGCCAGGTTGATTATCCAGCTCCTCAGTGTGATAAGCTTGAACATTAAGTGCTCTCCTATAATCCATCTGCAGGGCTCCCCAGCCAACAACTGGTCTATCACAGTCTTGAGCTTTTGGTGCCGAGGTCAATGACACGTGATGTGTGACGAGATGTCCAGCACCCCATCTGACAACATCATCCTGTGTCTCCATGAAGGGGAGAAAGAAGCCAGCCAGCGAACCCTCTGGAAAGGCATTTGCTAACTGCCCACTAGCAATTGTTGAGCGATAACACATGCAGTTCCCCACATGTTTATGCAGAGTCTCAGATTTATCTGACAGTTTTACACCCTCAGGCATGATACACAGTAATTAAAATTAAAAATGTTTTGACAGCCTAAACAAATGGCTATATAAATTAGAAAGCTGTAAAAAGCCACAGTAGCCAAAAATAAAGATATATAGATAAATCATAAAATTATAAACAAGGAAAATATTTTAATACAGGCATGTTTATATCCAGACACTTAGAAATATAGGCTAACTTTTGCCTGAAGGAACATGGTGGGGAAAAAGAACTGTGGAGACTAGCAAAGCCATTCTTTCCTGCCTAGCAATTCTTACCTCTACTCTTCTCTGGTAACTAAAGAAAGGAAGAAATTTGCCGAGGCTGTCCCACTTCCTCAAATTCTATAATCAGCTGTAGGATCTTCAAATTTTAAAAAGCACCTAAATCAGTTGCTTAGAATTTTACTATTAACCTTACCAAATGTGTAAAATGATGTGGGCTGTACAAAACTTGGCTTGCCTTCACATTTCTCAAATGCATGGCATAAAACGTGTGTTTATGAAATGAGCCAAATATATGATCTGCATGTGAACATAATTCCTTTCAACTAAATATGCACAAATGTTTAAGTGTCATTTTTCACTTAAACCTATCAGGTCATTGTCCCAAGAGACCATTGTGTCACCTGGCCTTGATATTTTTCCCTTTCTCCCAAGGAAGCCTGCTCACCACTGCCCTAGTGCATTGAAATATCAGAACATTTCAAAGGAGGAAACAAAATAATTGGAAGTAATCCATGGGATTTTCTGTACCTAGAAGAGCTGGATTGCCAGAAACCAGTCATATCATGTGGATAGTCTTTATGATAAATTTTCAAAGCAGTCCTTTATTTGTCAGAGTTCCTAAAGATCCATTGGTACATCATTATCATGCCTCAGTATCCATGGATTAAGAAGAGAGAACTGCAGAAACCCCAGAGCTTTTCACTGCAGTCATCCTAGACTCCTTCTGCTTCTTCCTGGTCGCCTATTCTCAATCCTTTGTCCTCTTGGCTCCATTTCTTATCCTTAATCCCATTCCTGTCCCCCTTGACTTGGCATTGCTATTTTGTCTTCCGATTTTAATGCTCTACTCCCCCCATACCTCCTAAGGACCTGTTTCAAAAGATCTACTCTGTGTGATCAGCCATTGTGAATCATGTGTTCCTTGTACCAAACCCCCATTCCACACTAATTTTTATAGTCTTGCTCCATCTCCAGGAGGAGGGGAGAGAGAGTTTGACCTTTCTTTTCAAATATAGAAATATAATCATAAAATAACCACATTTGCAATAATCCATGATTGGAGATCTTTACATTTTAGGGTTTCCCAGGTGTTTCTAATGACCAGGCAATTTTATAGCAGAACTCTTTGATTTAGTGAAATCTTAAATAAATAAAAAATAAAAATAAATAAATACTCCTATATGCAGACAGAGAGTTCCTGATAAAACAAAGAAATTATAAGATGAATAAAATCATTTCTTGTTAGATAAATCTGGACCAAGGGTAGCACAATCGAACGCCTAGTGGTATTTAAACAAATGGAATAGACCACATCCAAGGCAACAGAGTCATAAGAATAAGGCTGTGTTACCTTTTTCTTTTTTAAAGAAAGTAAGAAACTGCGATTTAAAAAAATCTTCCAAATGTAACTGTTGACAATTAATTGAATTTTTAAAAACACTCTTTCTACCCTATGAAACAAAATCTTGTCAGCATACCAGAAGTTTCCTCCAGTCCTCAATTTGCAACCTCCAGTTCAGACTTTTGTTTTAGTTCTCTATTCCTGTGAAACAAATTTTCTCAAAATTTAACAACTTAATACAACAAACATTTATCTCACTCAGTTTCTGAAGGTCAGGAATCCAGAGATGGCTTAACTGGATGGTTCTGGATCAGCGTCTCTCACAGGTTGTAGTTAAGTGGTCAGCCGGGGCTGTAGTCATCTCAAGGCTCTACTGGGGTTCAATCCTGTGGCCATTGGTAGTCCTCTGTTCTTTGCTGGCTGTTGGCTAGAGACCTCCATTTCTCTTCATATGGGCCTTTCCATTGGCCACCTGAGTATCCTTACATCAGGGCACTTGGCATCCCTCAGAGAAAGTGACCCACAAAAGAGAACAAGGCAGAAGCCACACTGGCTTTTAAGACATAGCCTCAGATCACATTTTACACTTTCGCCTTATGCTATTGACTGCACAGACCAGCCCTGGTACAATGTGGGAGTGGATTACACAAAGGCGTGAATACCAGGAGATGGGGATCACTGAGGGTCATCTTGGACACTGGCTACTACAGCTTTCAAAATATCAAAATGGTCCTAATCTTAGCTGTTCAAATTTGACTCAGGAATACATAGCATAGTCTTGGGGCCTCTTTTTTTTTAAGCTCCTTTCCTTTGCCATTTCCCCCATTTTCTATCTTCCCTCATCATCAACTTGATTCACAGGATAACACTTACTTTCCTCTTCAATATTCTCTTCAGGCTGTGATTCACCAGTTAGTTCCTGCCCTTCTGGTCCTCCAATCCTGATGCAGTAAAATGCCTACATGTTTGAGTTTGGGCTCCAGCTGGTAATTTTTAGTACCATATGTCAAAGGTCTAGGAGGCAGAAAGTTTAAATTAGAATTAGGAGTCTGCAGGTAACTGTGGCTCAGATACCAAGACTCTGTTCAGCAAATGTTTGTAGAGAACCAAGTATGTGGCAAACCCTGGGCTGGTATTTGTAATTTAGAGATAAATCCAATACGGCAGATAAATCAGGAATTAGGAACCCAGCTGGTTACACAGAGGGATGGGGAATCAGACAGGAAGCGTAGTGATGAACAGGAAACCACTGAAAAGATCTCAGAGACTTCCCGTGAATATGTTTACAGAGTGATAAAAAGACAAGAATGTATAAATTGGAGAGAGTTGAGGCATAGCATAATTATCTTAAAGTTATCTGATTGTCTAATGAATGCTTTCTATAGGAGTTGGTGTCAAGATGTGGGAGAAACTGGATCCAGATGTGTGGGGCAACAAGATAGCAGTTATCTAACAGAAAAGCCACTGTGGCTATAGTGGAGTAGCTTAGATGATGTTTGACAGCTGGAGGTGACAGGTGAGAATAGAAATTAGAGATTTGTTTTTATTCCCAGGCGTCATTTTCTGGAGAGATCGTTGACTGGATCAGTAGTTCTCAACCCTGGCTGTGGCTGTATATTAGAGTTGCGGGGGGAAGGGGTGAACCAGCAAATGTACCTTTCTGGACTCTCCCACCCACAAGATTTTGATTCAGAATATTTGAAGTTTTGATAGAAAAAGATATTTTCCTAAACGGATTACACACAACTCCCTAGTTTCTTAAATAAATTATTCTGAATATGGTATAATTTTTTCTTCATTTTGAAGGTTATCATGATTGTTGATTGATATGGCAATAATACCTTTAGGGGCTTTTGTTATATAAAATGTTGACTCCTCCACTAAATGACCCCAGACTTCTAAATGTTTTGAGTTATTATATTCACTATTATGTAAAAGAGTCAGTAAAACTACCCTGCTAATGGTGTCCAGTCACTGGTGCTATCGGAATCTCTGCTTCAGATAGTGGCTTCCTTCTTTCCAATTTGCTGCCTCTGTTTGTCTCTTGGGGATACAGATGACCAAGCTTATTAGGGTTATCTGTAAAAACATAGATAGACTCTAAGTAAGAGCCTGATAACTCTTCCTATAAATAAAATGTACTTGGTCTTTATTTTATCTATTTAAGTTAATTAACAGGTCTTTTCTTGCTTCTAAATAGTTGATATATCCTGATAATTGACTGCCTCACTCTGGGGATTTCAAATGGAAAGAGAATTATTATAAGAAATTAGAAACCTACACCATGATGGGAATAGCTAGGGAGTACACATCAGGAAAATCTCCTTGGGAGAGATCAGGAAGTATAAGGATCATAGAGAAGCTGCCAACAATAATCTCAACTGCCTGCAGCACTGATATGTGATTCTCATGACTTTAGGGGCCCAATAGAAGCCAGTTCTGGTGATTTCAGATATCTGCAGTACTTCAGTGATGATTCTTAAAAGTCTGACTGGAATCCATGGAAAGTCCCATAAATGCCTAATTTTAGAAAAATTCCTCAAAGTCAAGGGAAGCTGTTGCAGATCATTTTGGCTGTCTATTGCTGTTGCGGAAATAATGACTTACCTTTCTCTTCCACTTTCAAATCTTTCACAATTGCTAGAATCATGTAAGGAAAGTAATTCTGTGAAATACAGAGCCAGACTTCTTCTCTGCAATTCAAAAGAAAATACAGAAGGTATCGAGGGTGTTGTATAGTTGAAAATAGTCTGATGCTGTGCACCCCTTTATCAACTTAGGAATTATACACATTTCTCTACCCATATATAAATTTTCAAATAACAAAAACAAAGGCTTATGGCTAACATATACACCTATACCTTGTATAATCAAAGATGTGCTCACTCTGTTTCCCAAAATGAAAAACAAAAATTTCTGAAGTTATTCTATATTTTCACCTTCTGTTTCCCAAAATGAAAAACAAAAACTTCTTAAGTTATTCTATATTTTCTCTGAGTAATTCTCATTTCTTTTCTCAATGAGTCCTCTTTTGATATTCTGTAATTTAAGCAAGGAGAAATAAATTATTGATTAATATATAAAATATACATAATAAAACTAGAAACAAAATATGTATAGCTAGGACAGTCCTCATTTCTGAAACTGGTCATGAAACCATGCTGGTTATATTTGTTCTTCCTGGTTTGTCATGTTCTGCTTACCCCGGCTAGGATAACTAATTCTGTCCCAAGCTGTCTCTGTCTGTTCAGGCTGCTATAACAAAGTATCTTAGATGCAGTAATTTATAAAGAACAGAAATTTATTTCTCACAGTTCTAGGGGCTGGGAAGTCCAAAATCAGGGCACCAACAGATTCAGTGTCTGGTGAAGGCTTGTTCTCTCCTTCCAAAATGGTCCCTTGCTACTGTGTCTTCATATAGTGGAAAAGCAGAGGGTTGAAAGAGGTAAACACACTTCCTCAAGCCATTTTATAAGGGCACTAATTCCCACTCACGAGGGCTCTGAGCTCAGGACTGAGTCACCTCCTAAAGGCACCACTTTTTTAATACTATTGCATTAGGGATTAAGTTTCAACTTGAACTTTGAAGGGACACAGACGTTCAAATTATAGGATTTTGTTCCTGCCCCATCCCCCCATGTATGTCCTTCTCACATACAAAATACATTCATTACATCCCAACAGACCCAAGGCCTTAGCTCATTCCAGCATCAATTTTAAGGTTAAAGTCCAAAATCTCACCTGAATAACATCTAAATCAGATATGGGTGATACTTAAGGTATGATTCATCCTGCAACAAATTCCCCCTCCAGCTGTAAGCCTGTGAAATCGAAAAAGTTATGTGCTTTCAAAATACAATAGTTGGGACAAACATAGGATAGGTATTTTCATTCCAAAAGGGTGAAATAGGCAAGAAGAAAGGGGTAACAGTTCCCACATAAGTCCAAAAGCCAACAAGGCAAAAACTACTAAATCTTGAGGCATGAGAATAATCTTTTTGAGTCCATGTTCCACCTTCTGAACACACTGAGGCAGAGGCTGGGCCCCCAAGGCTCTGAGCAGCCCTGCCCTATGGCTTTTCTGGGTGTAGCCCACGCAATAACTCTCATGAGTTGTAGTCACATGCCTGCAGCTCTCCTGGGGTGGAGTTACAATGTTAGTGGCTCTCCTAGTTTGATGTCTGCATGTTGGTCCTGTCCACATGGCTGCACTAGTTGTTGCCCTAATGGGGGGTTTCTGTAGTGGCCCTGACCTCACAGCTCCTCTGGGCATTGCCCTAGCGGGTATTCTCTGTGGCGACCCCACACTCAAGACTACAGTAGGCATTGGCCTAGTGAAGGCTCTCTGTGGTGGCCCCAACCCCACAACTCCTGCACTCTGCACACCTACAGAGTTAGCACTACATGCCTGCCATGGAAGTTTATGGCCTCCACCTTCCAGAGGGGAGGCGATGGCAGGATGCACTGCACCTGGGCCCACTGGAGTCACACCTGGGGCAGCCAAAGTACATGGCTCCAGAATGTGTGAAGCAGAAACCTGAGGTAGTTCTGGGCAGTAATCTCTGAGGTCCTATGGGCATGCTGGGCCCCTCCCTGAAAATGTTCTGTCCTCAAGGTCCTAGCACTCTGGGTTTATGATGAAAATGGCTGCCTTGAAGATCTCCAAAAATGTCTTTGGGGTCATTCTTCCATTGTCTTGACGAATAATATCTGACCTTCTTCTGTCCTTACTAGTCTTTTTATCAAACACTTACTTGGCTATAACTTTGGTGTTCTCTCCTGGGCATGCTTTTTCATTCTTAACATGGCCAGAATGAAAATTTTTAAATCTTTAAGTTCTGCTTCCCTTCAATTATAAATTTCATCTTTGTTTCTCTCTTTATTTTTTTTTCTGTAAGCAGTCACAAGAAGCTATGCTTCACCTTTAACACTTTGCTGAGAGATTTCTTCTGCCAAATATCCAATTATATGTTGCCATTAGTTTTAATGGCAAAAACCACAATTACTTTTGCACCAACTAATAGATTTCTTTTAAGTTCTGCTTGCACAAGTATCTAGGACATAAACACAATTCAGCCAAGTTCTTTGCCTCTTCATAACAAAGACAGCCTGTCTTCCAGTTTGTAATAGCATGTTCCTTATTTTTATGTGAGACCTCATTGAAATGGCCTTTGTTATCCATATTTCTACCAACATTCTAATCATAATCACTTAAGTAATCTCCAAGAAGATTGAGGCTCTGTCTACAGCTCTCTTCTTCTGAGCACTGACCAGAATGCCCCTTTATGATCCGTTCATGGCGATATGGGATTTTTGTAGCCTGCTCTTCGAAATACTTTCAGCCTCTGCCCATTACCCAGTTCTAAAGCAGCTTCGACATGTTTAGGTATTTGTTACAACAGCACTCAAGTTTTTGGTACCATTTTCTGTCTCAGTGCATTTGGGCTACTATAAAGAAATAACTTAGAATGGGTAATTTATGATACAAATTTATTTCTCACAGTCCTGGAGTCTGGGAAGTCCAAGATCAAGGTGCCAGCAGATTTGGTGTCTGATAAAGGCTTGTTCTCTGCTTCCAAAGTGGCATATTGTTGCTGTGTTGTTAGGTGGAAAGGCAAAAGAGGCAAACAGATTCCCTTAAGCCTTTTCATAAGGTCACTACACCTGTTCATGAGTGCAGAGCCCTCATGACATAACCTCCTCTTAAATACTCCACCTCTTAATAGTAATGCTTTGGGGATTAAATTTCAACATGAATTTTGGAGGGACACGAACATTCAAACCATAGCACAAACCTTCAATTATAGAGCCATTAGTGGTCCTCCCAGCATTGCATTGCTATAGTCTCCCAATAACTTTTATTCTATAACCAGTAAGTTCTAAGAGTCTCACAAGAGAATATTCTGATTTCAGACTACTCCTTTCTGCCCTGCTGTACAACGTTAGGAAACTGCCCCCATTTTTCCCTGACAACCCAGCAAAATTGATATCTCCAGCTAGCACCACATGCTGCTTTTCCTTAAGCATTAGGTATATAGCATTATGGCTAATTGGTATAAGAAGCCCAAGGTGCCCAGGGAGTATCCTCAACTTCCAGTTGATTGCAATTATTACTGTGCCACTAGTGGAAACACGCCTTCCTTGGGAATTTATATCTTTGAGTTAGAGAGCCCAAAGCTACAACAACAGGAAGCAAATGATTTTGGGGTAGGTTATTAGAAGATAACAGATAAGGGCACTTTTACCCCTTTGTTCTAAGAATTGTATATATTAGCTATAGGAAAAACTGTGCCATTACTGGTTGCTGACTCAAGAAAACGTATGGAGTCATATTACATTTTCCCAGATTCACAACTGTGCATGCACCATAGCAGGGTCATCAGTAGGTTGTTCCACTCTTCTACTAGATCAGTTACATTGGGGTTACAGGCTAGACAGAATCAGTTGCTATCATAGTTGTGTATCTACTATTTTGCTATAAAGTGAGTTTCTTGGCCAGAAGTAATGTCAAGTGTAATACCTTGATGATGCAAAAGATATTCAGTAATTCTACAGATGAAGTTTCTGGTAAAATCACTGCATGGAGAGTAAGCAAATAACTTGTAGAGTAAGTGTTTATTCTAGTAAGTAAAAATTGCAGATTTATTTATGATAGTGCATTTTAATTAAATTACTCGACACCAAAGGATTGGCTAGTCTAGTCTCCCCTAGGAATGACACTATATCGAGCACTCATGTTGTCTCTGCTGTTGACATTTTGGGCACTCAACAGTGACTGTTAATCCATGTTGTTAAGCCCATTCATTAACTTTAACTTCCATGCTTCCTGCCAAGGCCACTTTGTTCATAAACCCATGGCTAGAGAAAGAGACTTTACTGGAACCCACAGGAAAATCTATCTTGTCCACTTGATTAACAGGAGACTCCTTTTGAAGGAAAGCTTTTTGTGAGCATTCGCATGGGTACAAATGTTCTCATGCCTTATGTCGATTCTGAGATTATTCCATCTATGTACTTCTTCCTTAGTTTTCCATGTCGGTGCTCCTCAAATGCACTCCCTTTGACCATCTGGCCAAACCATTAGTCAGTGCCCATAAATTGCCATAAATTTTTACATTTGTATATCTATCCATCTAGGTAAAAATAACAAGTATATGCACTACTAAAAGTTCTGCTGAAAGTATTTCCTTTCCATCATTATCTTTCAGGGTCATCTCAGAATATCCCCATAAAACTGAAGTGGTCCAATTTGGAGTTGTAACAGCATTTTATGTGGAATTATCTGTGTAAAACAGGCCTAAGTTTGTTCTCTCTTACAACTGTTGATGTGAAATTCTGTGTATGGATTAAGGAAGAAGTGACTGTGCAATAATAGTAGGTACCATAAGAGTCAGCTGCCTGTACATGAACTTACTTGTGAATTCATTTCCTGCTAAAATCCAGTTTCATATATAGCACTTCCATTTGATGTTGAAAGTTTGTTACACATGCCCAAATTTATGTCTTGGTAGAGTATACCATACCAAGTTCACAAGGTGTAACTCAGGTGGCATAGTTACTTGGTGTTGTAAGGTCAGTTGTACAGTATTCTTTAGGGCTTAGCAGAAAGCCATTACTGTGCTTCCAAAATGAGAATAATTCTTTGCAAAACAGGACATGGATTTCTTTCCAAATTCTAGAGTTACACTTTGTAATTTTTCTCATTAGGATTACCAAAGACACCGTGTCAAAACCACATGAATCATAGAAAATTATATTACAATTGAATCTGATGGTCATATGGCTAAAATGGAAAATCAGCTTTCACTGGACCTGCCACAAAACTTCCTCTTGCTCTGGGCTCTAGTCACAACTGGCAACTGGGTAAACACTCAGTAAATGAGTAGAATAGCAGAAGATCTTCACTAATTATTCTAATTCTATCTTAGCAGTAGGAGGTACAAAGTACAATGATTTGTCTTTCTCTTTAAACAGGATCTCTCAACATTCCTCAGATTCCTGGACTCCTAGAAACCTCACTGAGGTAGCAGGCCCCTGAATTTTCATAGGATCTTTTTTACCACCCTCTAATATTTATATAATACTTCACAAATTCACTTTGAGTATTTGTTACTTCCAGGTTTAACCAGCCTTGTTATCTATTTAGTGGACCAGTGTGACACTCTATATGAGATGGTGATGTGATCAAAGTCACTTTAGACAAGATCAGTCCTTCTCAAACTTTAATGTGCATAGAAAAATTCAGTAGGTCTGCAATAAGAACTGAGTTTCTGCATTTCTAACAATCTGCCAGGTGACGGTAACACAGCTGATCTGCAGATCACACTTTGAGTAGAAAAAGACTGGTTTCTGTGGGAGGGCCAGAAAGTTGACATACCCCTGAGGAAAGTCAATAATGGTATAATGCTGTCTCTTCCAAGTGAAAGCAAACTGCTTCTGGTGATTCTGCCTACTAGTATAGAGAAGAAAGCATATGCCAAATCAATATCTGCTTATCAGTTTGCAAGGTTTATACTGGATGTGCCCCAGTAAATAGGCCACAGTTGGAATTGTAAATGCAATTGGAGTCACTGCCTGATTAAGTTTGTGATAATATACTTTTATTCTCCAAGAGCATTCCATCTTTTGCACGAGCTAAATAAGGAGACAAAAGAGAATGTAATAGCAATCATCACCCTGCAAATCTTTGGTAGTGGAACTAATCTCTGCATCTCCTTCAAGAAAGCATTAACATTTTTTATTTATTGTTTTGCTAGAAAATGCATTCCAGGTGGTTCCACTTGGCCTTTCCTACCATAATAGCCCTCATTGCATGGCTGAGGTGGTAACCAGAGTATTCAATGTGTATACTGTGCCGGTTGCAGAGTATACCTGCCTCTTCCTTCTATGCATTTAGTAAATGGGAAAATAGCTACAGAGTCGGGTTGTAGATTCCCTGGTCTTACTCAAAATTGACTCAGGCTTAAACTTTATTTATCAACTGACTTTCCTAAGCCCCTGATATATCAGATCCACAAATATGAGTGTTTGCATTAGTTTATAAGCAGTACACTGTGATCTCTGAAAAGTCTAGGTATTTCTATTTATCCGGTATAGAGCCACCACCCTGATAAATAGCCACTTTGGGGAAATGCTTGGAGGGAGATACATAGGTCATACTCGCGGCAGTCTTGTACAGTTTTTCTTCAAGGATCCCAGGCTTACCCTTTATTCAAAAAGCTCTGTCTGTACTGCCTCTAGTTTGGGACTTGAATGGAGTTGTGATTTTCTTCTTTGGTGTCTGAAGTCAGATCATTATTAGGACTAGAGGAGATTTTTTTTTCCTGCTGCTTACATAAATTATGTATATCTTTCTAAGACTGTTTGTCTTCTTTAGTCATAGAGACATTGTGACCACTGCAAAAGATTTCTAAAGGCTGCATCAGACCATTCTGAATATGGTTGTAGACCTGTTATCTGTTGCACAAATGTTGACCATCTCATAGGCACTTAAGCCCTGCTACTTAGCCATCTCCCACTGCTGGTTGCCATGATCCGCCATTGAAATCAAGGAGCCTTTTTCAGGGACTGTATCTCTCACCATAATTCCTGGTTCACAGAGGAAAACCACACAAATCTTTCAAGGATCCTGTTGCTACCCTTCTCACTGCATTTCTTAATACCGTAGTGAAAAGTATGTCCTCTAACCCTCCAGAGAGCACAGTAATGGTGGGCTGTGTGTGAGAACTGATATGATAAATCAGCTTTATCGTTCTGATCTTCATAGACGTCGGACCTCTTCTCTACATCCTACCAAGAAGTTCTAACAATTCAAACCTCACAGGAAGAAGGCTAATATTCAATTTTATTTCACTTAAATAATTAAGCAAAGGATTGAATACTAGCTTCCTGAGATAACACACTGAATGCAAAATCTCCACTAAGTGCACCCACATTGATACATTATTTCTTTTCCCCTTCTCTTGTACTCTTAAAATCCATTTATCTGTACATTCCCTAAGTTCTGCCAAAAGAAATAGGCAACATTCTTCTTTCAGTGGATATGATACCTCTTCCAGAGTCAGGCTTTATAACCATCTGTCTGGAATCTGTCAGGATTTGTCTCAGGTTATGAGTCTGGAAGCAAAGAGAAGTGGTGGTCATGAGTGTTAAGGATTATTGGAATCCCCTTGCAAGGCAACTGTTTCAAATGAAGTCCTTAAAAATGTCTTTCAGCAAGGGAAGGCTAACATTCGTAGTGACCTCTGGGTGGTAAGGCCAGTGATCACAAATGCATTCATGGAAACACAGGGAGTCAAGTCAATCAGCCTCATTTATCCTGGGGCCTCAGACAGACATGCCTTACTTACGAAAATGACATTAAGAGCCTCCTTGTCGTGTAGCTAAAATTTGCATACTTTGAAAAAATGAATATTTAAATGCTATGTATTCATTTAGTACTAGGTGTTGGTAATGTTTGTCATTGATTTCACTATTAAAATTTTAATTATATAATAATTATCTAACCTAAAGCATGGTAAAGCAAAGAGAAGAAAATGTACCAATTACTTATATAGATTTATTTTGCTTTTAAATTTATTTCATTTGCAGTTTCTTTTGAGCATTCCTCTAATTTGTATTTAAATATTATAAATCATGTTTTCCAATAAATTTCCCCCAGAATTATATGTCTTCTTTCTTTTTTTTTTTTTTTTTGAGACGGAGTCTCGCTCTGTCGCCCAGGCTGGAGTGCAGTGGCGGGATCTCGGCTCACTGCAAGCTCCGCCTCCCGGGTTCCCGCCATTCTCCTGCCTCAGCCTCCCAAGTAGCTGGGACTACAGGCGCCCGCCACTACGCCCGGCTAATTTTTTGTATTTTTAGTAGAGACGGGGTTTCACCGTTTTAGCCAGGATGGTCTCGATCTCCTGACCTCGTGATCCGCCCACCTCGGCCTCCCAAAGTGCTGGGATTACAGGCGTGAGCCACCGCGCCCGGCCTCTTTTTTTTTTTTAATTTAAGTTTTAGGGTACATGTGCACAACGTGCATGTTTGTTATGTATGTATACATGTGCTATGTTGGTGTGCTGCACCCAGTAACTCGTCATTTAACATTAGGTATATATATCTCCTAATGCTATCCCTCCCCACTCCCCCCACCCCACAACACGCCCCGGTGTGTGATGTTCCCCTTTCTGTGTCCATGTGTTCTCGTTGTTCAATTCCCACCTATGAGTGAGAACATGTGGTGTTTGGCTTTTTGTCCTTGTGATAGTTTGCTGAGACTGATGGTTTCCAGCTTCATCCATGTCCCTACAAAGGACATGAATTCATCATTTTTTATGGCTGCATGGTATTCCATGGTGTATATGTGCCACAGTTTCTTAATCCAGTCTATCATTGTTGGATATTTGGGTTGGCTCCAAGTCTTTGCTATTGTGAATAGTGCCTCAATAAACATACATGTTCATGTGTCTTTATAGCAGCATGTTTTATAATCCTTTGGGTATATACCCAGTAGTGGGATGGCTGGGTCAAATGGTATTTGCAGTTCTAGATCCCTGAGGAATCGCAACACTGACTTCCACAATGGTTGAACTAGTTTACAGTCCCACCAACAGTGTAAAAGTGTTCCTATTTCTCCACATCCTCTCCAGCACCTGTTGTTTCCTGACTTTTTAATGATTGCCATTCTAACTGGTGGGAGATGGTATCTCATTGTAGTTTTGATTTGCATTTCTCTGATGGCCAGTGCTGATGAGCATTTTTTCATGTGTCTTTTGGCTGCATAAATGTCTTCTTTTGAGAAGTGTCTGTTCATATCCTTTGTCCACTTGTTGATGGGGTTGTTTGTTTTTTTCTTGTAAATGTGTTTGAGTTCATTGTAGATTCTGGATATTAGCCCTTTTTCAGATGAGTAGATTGCAAAAATGTTCTCCCATTCTGTAGGTTGCCTGTTCACTCTGATGGTAGTTTCTTTTGCTGTGCAGAAGCTCTTTAGTTTAATTAGATCCCATTTGTCAATGTTGGCTTTTGTTGCCATTGCTTTTGGTGTTTTAGACATGAAGTCCTTGCCCATGCCTATGTCCTGAATGGTAATGCCTAGGTTTCCTTCTACAGTTTTTATGGTTTTAGGTCTAACATTTAAGTCTTTAATCCATCTTGAATTAATTTTTGTGTAAGGTGTAAGGAAGGGATGCAGTTTCAGCTTTCTCCATATGGCTAGCCAGTTTTCCCAGCACCATTTATTCAATAGGGAATCCTTTCCCCATTGTTTGTTTTTCTCAGGTTTGTCAAAGATCAGATAGTTGTAGATATGTGGCATTATTTCTGAGGGCTCTGTTCTGTTCCATTGGTCTGTATCTCTGTTTTGGTACCAGTACCATGCTGATTTGGTTACTGTAGCCTTGTAGTATAGTTTGAAGTCAGGTAGCGTGATGCCTCCGGCTTTGTTCTTTTGGATTAGGATTGACTTGGCAATGTGGGCTCTTTTTGGGTTCCATATGAACTTTAAGGTAGTTTTTTCCCATTCTGTGAAGAAAGTCATTGGTAGCTTGATGGGGATGGCATTGAATCTATAAATGACCTTGGGCAGTATGGCCATTTTCACAATATTGATTCTTCCTACCCATGAGCATGGAATATTCTTCCATTTGTTTGTATCCTCTTTTATTTCATTGAGCAGTGGTTTGTAGTTCTCCTTGAAGAGGTCCTTCATGTCCCTTGTAAGTCAGATTCCTAGGTATTTTATTCCCTTTGAAGCAATTGTGAATGGGAGTTCACTCATGATTTGGCTCTCTGTTTGTCTGTTATTGGTGTATAAGAATGCTTGTAATTTTTGCACATTGATTTTGTATCCTGCGACTTTGCTGAAGTTGTCTATCAGCTTAAGGAGATTTTGGGCTGAGACAATGGGGTTTTCTAGATATACAATCATGTCATCTGCAAACAGGGACAATTTGACTTCCTCTTTTCCTAGTTGAATACCCTTTATTTCCTTCTCCTGCCTGATTGCCCTGGCCAGAACTTCCAACACTATGTTGAATAGGAGTGGTGAGAGAGAGCATCCCTGTCTTGTGCCAGTTTTCAAAGGGAATGCTTCCAGTTTTTGCCCATTCAGTATGATATTGGCTGTGGGTTTGTCAAAGATAGCTCTTATTATTTTGAGATACGTCCCATCAATACCTAATTTACTGAGAATTTTTAGAATGAAGGGTTGTTGAATTTTGTCAAAGGCCTTTTCTGTATCTTTTGAGATAATCATGTAGTTTTTGTCTTTGGTTCTGTTTACATGCTGGATTACATTTATTGATTTTCGTATGTTGAACCAGCCTTGCATCCCAGGGATGAAGCCCACTTGATCATGCTGGATGAGCTTTTTGATATGCTGCTGGATTCGGTTTGCCAGTATTTTATTGAAGATTTTTGCATCAATGTTCATCAGGGATATTGGTCTAAAATTCTCTTTTTTGGTTGTGTCTCTGCCAGGCTTTGGTATCAGGATGATGCTGGCCTCATAAAATGACTTAGGGAGGACTCCCTCTTTTTCTATTGATTGGAATAGTTTCAGAAGGAATGGTACCAGCTCCTCCTTGTACCTCTGGTAGAATTTGGCTGTGAATCCTTCTGGTCCTGGACTTTTTTTGGTTGGTAAGCTATTAATTATTGCCTGAATTTCAGAGCCTGTTATTGATCTATTCAGAGATTCAACTTGTTCCTGGTTTAGTCTTGGGAGGGTGTATGTGTCCAGGAATTGATCCGTTTCTTCTAGATTTTCTAGTTTATTTGTGTAAAGGTGTTTGTAGTATTCTCTGATGGTAGTTTGTATTTCTGTGGGATCAGTGGTGATATCCCCTTTATCATTTTTTATTGCATCTACTTGATCTCTCTTTTCTTCTTTATTATTAGTCTTGCTAGCTGTCTAACAATTTTGTTGATCTTTTCTGAAAACCAGCTCCTGGATTCATTAATTTTTTGAAGGGTGTTTTGTGTCTCTATTTCCTTCAGTTCTGCTCTGATCTTAGTTATTTCTTGCCTCCTGCTAGCTTTTGAATGTGTTTGCTCTTGCTTCTCTAGTTCTTTTCATTGTGATGTTAGGGTGTCAATTTTATATCTTTCCTGCTTTCTCTTGTGGGCATTTAGTGCTATAAATTTCCCTCTACACACTGCTTTGAATGTGTCCCAGAGATTCTGGTATGTTGTGTCTTTGTTCTCGTTGGTTTCAAAGAACATCTTTATTTCTGCCTTCATTTCGTTATGTGCCCAGTAGTCATTCAGGAGCAGGTTGTTCAGTTTCCATGAAGTTGAGTGGTTTTGAGTGAGTTTCTTAATCCTGAGTTCTAGTTTGATTCCACTGTGGTCTGTGAGACAGTTTGTTATTATTTCTGTTCTTTTACATTTGCTGAGGAGTGCTTTACTTCCAACTATGTGGTCAATTTTGGAATAGGTGTGGTGTGGTGCTGAAAAGAATGTATATTCTGTTGATTTGGGGTGGAGAGTTCTGTCGATGTCTATTAGGTCCACTTGGTGCAGAGCTGAGTTCAATTCCTGGATATCCTTGTTAACTTTCTGTCTCGCTGATCTGTCTAATGTTGACAGTGGGGTGTTAAAGTCTCCCATTATTATTGTGTGGGAGTCTAAGTCTCTTTGTAGGTCTCTAAGGACTTGCTTTATGAATCTGGGTGCACCTGTATTGGGTGCATATATATTTAGGATAGTTAGCTCTTCTTGTTGAATTTATCCCTTTACCATTACGTAATGGCCTTCTTTGTCTCTTTTGATCTTTGTTGGTTGAAAGTCTGTTTTATCAGAGACTAGGATTGCAACCCCTGCTTTTTTTTGTTTTCCATTTGCTTGGTAGATCTTCCTCCATCCTTTTATTTTGATCCTATGCATGTCTCTGCCCATGAGATGGGTTTCCTGAATACAGCACACTGATGGGTCTTGACTCTTTATCCAATTTGCCAGTCTGTGTCTTTTAATTGGAGCATTTAGCCCATTTACCTTTAAGGTTAATATTGTTATGTGTGAATTTGATCCTGTCATTACGATGTTAGCTGGTTATTTTGCTCATTAGTTGATGCAGTTTCTTCCTAGCCTCGATGGTCTTTACAATTTGGCATGTTTTTGCAGTGGCTGGTACCAGTTGTTCCTTTCCATGTTTAGTGCTTCCTTCAGGAACTCTTTTAGGGCATGCCTGGTGGTGACAAAATCTCTCAGCATTTGCTTGTCTGTAAAGGATTTTATTTCTCCTTCACTTATGAAGCTTAGTTTGGCTGGACATGAAATTCTGGGTTGAAAATTCTTTTCTTTAAGAATGTTGAATATTGGCCCCCACTCTCTTCTGGCTTGTACAGTTTCTGCCAGGAGATCCGCTCTTAGTCTGATGGGCTTCCCTTTGTGGGTAACCCGACCTTTCTCTCTGGCTGCCCTTAACACTTTTTCCTTCATTTCTACTTTGGTGAATCTGACAATTATGTGTTTTGGAGTTGCTCTTCTCGAGGAGTATCTTTGTGGCATTCTCTGTATTTCCTGAATCTGAATGTTGGCCTACCTTGCTAGATTGGGGAAGTTCTCCTGGATAATATCCTCCAGAGTGTTTTCCAACTTGGTTCCATTCTCCCCGTCACTTTCAGGTACACCAATCAGATGTAGATTTGGTCTTTTCACATAGTCCCATATTTCTTGGAGGCTTTGTTCATTTCTTTTTATTCTTTTTTCTCTAAACTTCTCTTCTTCATTTCATTCACTTGATCTTCCATCACTGATACCCTTTCTTCCAGTTGATCGAATTGGCTACTGAGGCTTGTGCATTCGTCACATAGTTCTCATGCCTTGGTTTTCAGCTCCATCAGGTCCTTTAAGGACTTCTCTGCATTGGTTATTCTAGCTAGCCATTCATCTAATTTTTTTTCAAAGTTTTTAACTTCTTTGCCATGGGTTCGAACTTCCTCCTTTAGCTCGGATTAGTTTGATCGTCTGAAGCCTTCTTCTCTCAACTCGTCAAAGTTATTCTCCATCCAGCTTTGTTCCATTGCTGGTGAGGAGCTACGTTCCTCAGTTGGAAATGCAGAAATCACCCGTCTTCTGCATCACTCATGCTGGGAGCTGTAGACTGGAGCTGTTCCTATTCGGCCGTCTTGGCTCCCAGACCTGTCTTCTTTCTCTCCCCACTAACAGGATAGGACCTGATTCAATGAACTTCATTTCAAAGCTAGTGGAAAAACCTGGTTTTTCATAGATTTACATAGAAGAGCTCAAACTTGATATGTCTTGATGACTAGTGAAGAAATTTTTATTTAATTTTTAAGTATTCCAATAAAATATTTTAAATATTATATTAAGAAATAGTAAATAATATAATCATATTTAAATGTGTATGAACACATGTGGTCATACTGTCGACCAGGATTTCTTCTGGGGAAGCATAAACAGTCATCATTTAAGCTACTATTTAAATTATTTTAAGATTAACTTCCAAACAGAACAACATTAAAAAGCCTAATTCTCACCTGCATAACGTTGCTCTGGAAATCACTGTCTCCATTTAAGAAGTGCTTCTATTTAGCAAGAATTTTTTAAAAAGTGCCAATGTTTAATTCTCTAGACACGAACCATCAAATGTATATGTATGTCCCAAATAAGGTGGCAACTTCACCGAAGCCAGTTTTTTAGCTTGTATATGGTTTACAATAGAATGCTAATTCTCTTGACATTAATGCATGTTTATTTATATGCAACCAAAAATGATTGAAAATAAAAAGTGTCGAGTAATAAATTATGTGAAATAGACATATTGAAAAAGTGAAATGATATAAAACTGCATATAAAAAATAATCACAGCATTTTTTCTAAATGGATGCCTGATTGGTTTTATACTCTCCCTGAAGATTTTCCTTCAGCCTCGAAGGATAAATTACACAAAAAGGCCAAGTTTACATTAATCTGCAAGCTGACATTTTTATAATAAAAAGAGAAAAATGTTTAAGTAGTACTAAGTGTTGGTCAGAGTGTCAAAAAGCAGCAGACTAGAAAAGGAGGGTTGAAGTTCCATCTTCTTTAATTTGTGCAGGCAGAAACCAGGAAATTTAAAACTAAAAACTATATTCTGCTAGTGAACATTGCTTATAAATAATAATAATAATAGTCAGCCCTTCAGAACAAATTTAGTCTGTCTTAAAGTCATCTACATTTAGTTGATGAATTAGCTGCATGATTTATTAATAACCCCTATGGATAAACTTTGGCCAGGGATTCAGAAATTTGGGGAAGGGCATTAACTTGTGTGTAGGTCTAGCTCTTTGTAGACACCGGTTATGTTTTAATGGCTGGAAGAATCATTGCCAAAATCATCGAGAGTACAAAAATGCACATCTAATGGCTCAACATCTAATGGCCCCACTTATGACCATGAGTTCTAGCTATCAAAGAAAATACAAGCAATCAGGAAAGATTTAACCACCTCACCTGTGATCTATCCGTCCCTGTATCTCTATTGCCTGACAGCTGTCCTGTGAGTAAGGGTAAACTGTACACATACCTAACTAACGTCAACCCATCCCATCTCCTTTCAGCGGCTCAAGGACATGACTCCAGCAATTGCCTCTTCTCTCCTGCATCTTGATTCTATCCTTTCTGTGAGATCATCTGCATAAATTCAAAACATCCTGTCATATCTGCATCTTTCAAAAATCCCCTTTTGGCCCCACATTCCTCCCAAAGTTCTGCCCATTTTTCTATTCTTCTGTATAACAAAACTTCTCAGAAGAGTTACCTGTGTTCAGTGTCTTTACATACTCATCTCCTATTGTCTCTTGAGCCCTTCCCTTTGGGACTTTGTGTCCATCTCTCCCAAACAGCTCTTGTCAAGACAGTTCAAGGCCTCTTTGCTGCCAAATCCAAAGGGAAGTTCTTAGGCCTGTTTGCTTCAGTCTCCTGAGCGCTGTACACCTGGTCTCTCCCTCCTACAAGGTGCCCTCTTTTTCCTTGGTTTCTAAGGCCCTGTTCTCAGAGGTTCCCATCTGTCAGGCTGGCCCCTCCTTCTGATGCTCCTTTGCTGGTCTCTCCTCACCTCCCCAGCCTGCAAGTTCCTTTGCTGGTCTCTCCTCGCCTCCCCAGCCTGCAAGTTTGGGATTTTCTATGACTCACTCCTGAGACCTCTTCTCTGTCTAGAATCTCTCCCCTGTCATGACTGCTGAGTACTCCCACATGTAACGTTCTACCCTAGGCCCCATCCCTGAATTCCAGTCTGGGAGACACATTGCCTGCTTGACATCTCCACTTGGATATCCAATCAGTATCTCAAATGCAAGAAAACTGAACGTCTGATGTCTCTCCCCAAACCTGCCTCCCCACTGTCTTCCCCCTTCTCAGTGTGTGGCAACTCCACCCAGTTTTTTAGGCCCAAAACTTTGGAATCATCCCTGATTCTATTCTTTTTCTCATATCTCCATCATCCAGTCCTGTTAACCATATCTTCAAAATAGTTTCAGGCTCCAGTCACTTCTCACATATTCATCACTACCATCCTGAACTATTGCCAAGCATCAGTGGGTCTCCCTACTTCCACCCTTTCATCTTCCAGTGTAATCCTTAGAAACCATAAGTCAAATGATAAACTCATTTGTGTGGAATTCTCCAATGGCTGGTATCTCAGAAGCAGACCTGAGGTGGGTTTCTTGGTCAAATGATGAAGGGGAGACCACCAAGGAAGCAGAGCAGGGCAGGGAAGTACCAGAAGCCAAGAAGCAGGATTGAGTTCAGGCGCAGTATTTCCTGCTTCCCACTCAGCCTGATCCCTCAAGGGAGAGCTGGGGTATAAATTTACCTGTGAGTTTTTTCCCTACAAAGCATGAGACCCAGACATCCATATTCCCCCACCAGTTTATTATTTGTTTTAGACCACTATTTTGCTGTTCCCCGAAGAAGTCAACCAGCTCCTCTATTTCGCCTTCCCTCTGCTTGAATGTTCATCCATCCATCACTGTGGTCTTCTCGCTCACTCCTTCTGGGCTCTGCTCTGACATAATCTATCAGAGGCTTCCCCTGGCCACCCTATTCAAAGGAGCAACCCCACTCCTGACTCTGGCTCTCTTTATGCCCTTTAACTCGTTTGTATTTTTTTTTATCACTCATGGCATACGTATATATCAAGTTGACCTCCCCCACTAGAATGTAAACTCTGTGAGGGCAGAAGCTCTGCTTCACTCGCTTTAATACTGCAGAGCCTAGCACCTAGCAGGCCCTCCATAAATATTTGTTGGAAAGACAAATGAAAACATCATACAGCATCAGGGAAAGATTAATCTTTTGGAAAACCTTTCCCTTAGGATGGAAAGGAAGATTTAACTGCTTTGTTTAGATCAGATTCTCTGCCTAAAATATAGGAAGCAACTTTCCACCAAAGTCTTTAAAAAGAAACAGTCAGTGCCCACACAGCTGTGAATTTTTAGCTCACTCTGCAGGTTGGTGGATACTGCCCCTTACCCCTTTGTGGTTGAGGGTGAGAGCCTCTTTCAGTTATTGTACAAATATTAATAGTTCTTGTGACTAGAGATCCTGCCACCATAGGAAACAGAGAAAAGGGAATCAGAACTCCTATGAACAAAGTGTGTTGGACACCAAGGATGAGCTGCCTCCAGGTCTGACATATCCCTCTCTTTCTCTCTCTCTTGAAAACCCCAAGATTCTGAAACCAGTTATTAGGGACTGAAACAAGAGTGAAGTTTCTCAGGAAACTAGACTCCTTCCCACTCCTGTTAGCTGTGACTCTCCTCAGAGTCTTTCATGTAGACATTTCCAAATGCTTTTAAAAAGCTAGTAGAAAAAAAGAATTTTATTACTTTACAAATAACTAAGAAAATAATTAACATCAATCAGTTATCTTTGACAGTCTAAGGGAGGTGAAGAAAAGTACAGGTCCACAAAGCAAGGCTCGCCCTTCTGCAGGGATGTGGAGGCCTCCAGCTGCAGGCTTGTCTGTGCACCAAATCCAAACAGAGATGATAAGAAGTGCATTCGCATAGCGCTAGGGTGGGAGTATCTTCATTATGCTTTCATATTTCGTATAGTTAAATATTAACTAAGTATTCTCACATACAGTGTCCTCTATAAATTAGCTCCTGTCTTCCTCAAAATCTCAGATTCTCTAAAATGACATGCTTAAATAAAAGAAGTGGCATAATAGAGAAAATTGGGATGATTAATTACCATCCCAGAGCTAAAGCATGACATTGCCATTCTTCTGATATCTGCCATTCTTCTGATATTTTTGTGATATCATTAAAAAGAGAGAGTTGGCAGCTGTCTTTACCCTGCACATGATGTCCCTCTGGACAGACCACGATACCTGTCTGATGTACCTCCATCCTTTGGGCTTGAGCCTATTCCGGTAGGATGACTATAGGAAAAAGTCCTGGTCCTTTTATAGACTGAAGGGGGTGCTAAGAAAATGCATGTCTTGTGAGGAAAAGAGAGGGCGGAGGAGCAAGCCTATTCCTGGGAAAAAGGATGTATTAGTTTCTGGGCACAGCATAACAAAGTATCACAAACTGGGTGACTTAAAAAATAGAAATGTATTATCTGGTAGTTCTGGAGGCTAGATGTCCAAGATGAAGTTGTCAGCAGGGTTGGTGTCTCATGAGAACGTTAGAAAGAATCCGTTCTGTGCCTCTCTCCTGGATTGTGGCGACTTGCTGAAAATCTTTGGCACTGATGGGCTTGCGGCAGCAAAACTCCACTCTTTCCTTGGCATTCTCCTTGTGTCTCTGTTTCTTGTGTAAAATTCCCTTTTTACTAGGAATATTCATATTGGATCATGGCCCAACATAATGGCCTCATCTTAACTGATCACCTACATATTGGATCATAGCCCAACCTAATGGCCTCATAGGATCATATTGGATCATGGCCCAACCTAATGACTTCATCTTAGCTGATCATCTACAAAGACCCTATTTGCAAATAAAGTCACACTCACAGGTACTGAGGGTTATAGTTTCAATATCTTTTGAAGAGACACAATTCAACTTATAACAAAGGAGGATGTCATACTCCTTGGAAAGGAGTGGAAATTAGACCTGAGAACCTCCCTCACCCTGCTCCCCTGTTCTCCTAATCCTCTAATCACATTTTCATCCAGGTATCTATACAATAATGGGGGATGGAATGGGGTAGGAGATGCATTTCATTTAAAGACTTCTTTAGGAGGCTCTGCAATTAGATTGAGGTCCTAGCTCACTCTGGATGAAATGCAAATGACTGATAAACATAAGATACTCAACCTCACAGGTAATCTGGGAAAAGAATTAAAATGGTAAGATACACAAAAGGATTTTAAATAGGGGAGTGAGCTGGCCTAAATGCTTTCTAAAGAAAAGCACCATTATGTCAAAATTTCAATACTGAATATAGGCAGGTATCAAGATGTAAACAATTCAAATTTAAGATAGTTGACGCTCCAGAACACTGAGACCCCGACAATCCTAATTGGAATAACATACCTAATTGAGACTAACCCGAAAACATCCCAATTCCACTGATTTCCAGGGGCAGCTTGGTTGGAGTCAGAGTAAGTGGATTTTTAGAATTAAGCACTTTGAAAAGAGATTAGGTTTAAATTCAAACTACTTTAAACAATTATTTCTGAAATGACTGGACTCACTTGTTTTACACTAATGAGGAGTTATAGTCTGTAAACACCCAGCAGGCTAGCCACCCAGTCTGGCCAGGAGAGGTTTTCAGCTGGAGGTGTGCAGTGTAGTCTAGAGTCTAGTACTTGGCCTATGAAGAAAAACAGATCTCAATCCTTATCTGAGTGCTACCGTTTACTAGCACTGAGCGTTGGCCAGGTTATCTCACCTTCCTGGTCCTGTGTCCTCATCTGTAAAACAAGACTGACGGATGTACAGCTTCTAGAGTCCTGGTGAGGATAAAATGAGATGAATGTTGAGCTGTAAAGCACTAGGACCTTGCCCAGCATATTGTGAGGGCTCGATAAACAGTGAGCATCGGTAGAAAGAGCCCAGGAGAGCAGCTCCTTCAGCTTCTTCAGCTCCATGCGAGGAAAACTGTGTGATGTATTAAGTTCTATATTGGCACATCCTTTACACTACCTTATGTGCCACTAATGAAAGAACATGCTTTTTTTTTTCAAATGCCAAAAAAATCCCACAAAGGAAATAACTGAAAATCACATACTCACACCACCATCACTATCCCCGCCCTCCAAAAAAAGATAACGGCTTTTCATTTATAACCACTGGGCATCTTAATCCAAAAAGAATCCTTATCATGTACAGATGGATGTCATTTGAACAAAGCTTATTACAAATCAATACCACAGTGCATCTTTCCTAGTTGTCCCAAATTTCAAAGGGCTCGATTACCCTGCTGTGTATTTCTTCTTCCAGTTCAAAGCTTACAAGAAGCTGACAAGAGAAACTGGCCCATATAGTTCAACTGTCTTTAGTGAGAAACAGCATGTTCTCTGGGTAAATATAAAAATGAGACTCAGACCTCCCAAGGCCCAGGATTTCCATGCTAGTTGACCTGTCAGAAAATACATACCAAAATAAATAGGCAAATCTGGATTTAAAATATATATATACAACACTTCACAACATCCATAGGGAATGAAGGTATCCAAAATTAAAGTGGTGCAAAGGCCAAAACATTTTAAATAAATTGTTAAGAAGCAGACATCAAAGTTTCACATTATATGCATTTAAAGCCAGTATGCCATCTCTTTTTTATGTCTTGTATCTGTTCTGATTCTTCAGTTTAGCTCCAAATGTAACAACTACTTTCTGACTCCTACCAGCTCATTTATTTTCAACAGAAGGTTATCAAAAAGTCAAAATTCTTTATAGAGCTAATTTGGTTTACATTATAATACAACACATTTCTCTACCTTGAAAAATGGGTCGGCTTACCATCTCAGTATTAGGAATATGCATTTTGAGGTAGCATTGGATTGGCTGAATTATTGGAAGGGCTTTGTTTTCCAAAGGCTCATCAAGGTAGGAGTTGCCTTTTGACTAAGCAGTTAATCAATACTATTACACTGGTGCAAAAGTAATTGCAGATTTTGCCAATCAAAGTAGTAATAATATGTTCTGGGCACCCTGGGTGATGCAAAGATGATAAGACACAATCCATTCCCTTGGGGAACCAACAACATAAATGGATGGTGATATAGTTTGGATGTTTGTCCCTGACCAAATCTCATGTTGAATTGTAATCCCCAGTGCTGGAGTTGGGGCCTAGTGGGATGTGGTGGGGTCATGGTGGGAATCCCTCATGGCTTGGTGCTGTCTTCAAGAGAGTAGGTTCTCTTGAGATCTGTTTGTTTAAAAGTGTATGGCACCTCCCCTCCTCCTCTCTCTCTTGCTTGCTACTGCTTTCACCATATGATGTGCCTGTTCCCCCTTTGCCTTCTGCCATGGTTGAAAGCTCCCTGAAGCTTCATCAGAAGCTGAGCAGATGCCAGCATCATGCTTCCTATAAAGCTTTTAGAACTATGAGCCAATTAGGCCTCTTTTCTTTATAAACTACCCAGTCTCAGGTATTTCTTTATAGCAATGCAAGAACAGACCAATATAGATTTTCAGAGAATACAAAGCCAAAAGGCATTGTATGGTAAGTATTATATACTGCTGTATCAACACACATTCTGTGTTCACAGGAGAGGAAGGTCCTCTGATTGGGTGTTGAGGCAAGCTTCAGAGTTGAAGGAGGATTAAAGGGTGTTCAAAGTTTAGGGTTGAGGAAGAATGAATGTCCTGAGCAAAGCTGTGGAGATGGATACGACTACGCATGACTGAAAGGAGGAAACAGCCTACTTTAGGTTGTTTAGCAGGCGCGGCTGAAGTTCTGCCTCCTGTGCCCTTCCCACCTGAGTTCACCCACACTGGTGAGAGACAGTTTCTTGCACACAGTCTGCTTCCCGTATTAAGCTCCTTTTCTCTCTGTTTCTCTGCCTGAGCAAAGGGAGGGCGCTCAGCAGCAGTAGGCAGCATGTTCTTTATAAAAGTATAAAAATGTGTGCTTGCAGGGGAAAGGATTAACACTCCTAGAAGGAGCCTCAACCCATAACCCATGGGAGATGGGAGTTGTGCATTAAATGCCCCAGCCATGAAGCTTGCTCCTTGCTTTCCCAGGTGATTCCAGTGGGATGGAGGGAGCCCCAGGTGCTCACATTAGTAAACCACTCTTCATTCAGCCTTCATTGACTTCTCTCCCTTCTTTCCTTTTCTCATTTGTGATTCATAAACTACCTAACCCAAGTCCTTGTTTCAGGGTCTATTTTGAGGGATACTAAAAGAAAGTCAGGTTGGAAGAAGAATGGCATCCATGATCTGTCCCTGCAGACATCTCCAGGAATATCTCCTTCTTTGCAGTATCAAGTCAGCCGTTAGTCATAATCAGCTTGTGCTATTGCCATAACCAACTACTCCTTGTACATTAGTTCCCCAATTGTGCATGCTGGTTTGTACCCTGGGTCTTGTGTTTGGCTTGTGCTCTGCCCACTGGGAGAAATAATCCCTGTGCCCACTCCACCCCCAGTCTCCTACACAAGTACTATTATCCCTCAAGATTCCGTCCAGACATGACCTCCACTGTAAAAATCCTCCTCTGCTCCACTTTGCCAGCCCCTTGGAGGGATGGATGTGCCAGGCCTCTGTCATAGTATGGATCACATAATTTGGAAACAGCTAGCCTAGCTGTCTGTCTCTGTGACTTAACTGTGAACTCCTTAAGGGCAAGCAGGGACTTCTTCCTGCTTTTCTCTGCATTCCCAGCAATGACCCATGGACCTGATAAATAAACAAATGTGCAATATTTGTTTTTTTAGAATAGCAGTGTCCTGGGGAGGTACCCACCTTGTGGATTCCTTGTTTTATAGTTTCCTAGTGGGAATTCAAGCAACTAGATTTTATTATCAGAGGTCTCCATTTGCCCTTATTTTCAGCCTAAACTTTTCAAGATTGGGAAGTACAGAATCTGGTTAACATTTTGAAAATAAGCAAAATGTATTAATCTACTGAGGCTCAGCTTAATATTTGGCCTTGCCACTCCACTATAGCAGAAATGCAAGAAAAGCCTACTTGTGTATTTTCACCCCCATTGTGACAGCGGATCATCTGGAGACTATATTTTCCTTCTTACAACATATTTTGTCAGGATAGCCTCGTTCTCAAAATTTCCAGCTGCTTTCGTCCGTATTTTAATGCCATTCATTTTTCTCATCTCATCAGTTTAATTCTTGTAGATTTTTCCTCGTGTTGCCTGATCTCTGGAGTCAGAGCTTTTATTTGATTTCAGTTCCTGAATTTTCTACTTGCTGCCTAAGTAAACTAAAAACTCCCACAAAGGATGAGGCCTTGGTTGATAAATTTCAAAATCTATCTGATAGCCTTCAGTTGGCTTAAGTTAGATCTGTTCCCTTGTTTTTGCTAACTTGTCCTGGTTTCCCATCTTTATTTTGGAATTTTACCTTCCCTCCCCCTTTTTCTCTCTTTTCTTCCTCCCCTTATATGTAGGAGTTCCAGCATTCTGTTTTTGGCCTCTGCTTGTTTCTGTACTGTCTCTGCAGCTACCACATCCATTCAGTGCTCTCACTGCCCGTGCTCAACAGATGAGTCCCTTCTTTATCTTTGGCCCTAGGCTTTCTGACAAATTTGGGTTATGTCATACCAGTTTCCTGTTCGGTGTCTCCATTTTGTGTTCAACTGATGGCACAAACTCATATTAAGATCTAGATTCATCTGCTTTTTATTTTTTCAGTTTTCTACTTGCTCTAGACTTCCTGGTCACTACCATCTTACCCATTTATGTCTACCTCCCCCTGCTTCCCCCATAATCAGTCAGACACAAAGTCATAACTATTCCACCTCTGAAAGATCTACTGCACTCTAGAAGCTGCTCTATCCTCACTGCGACTGTCATTTTTAAAGGCCCTTCTTAGCCTTACTTGGTACCATTGTACTAGCTTCCTACCTGGTCTTTCCATTTGGATCTCTCCTCTTCAATCCACTCTGTTCATAGCACTAGGAGAATTAGTTAATGCCACTCAGAATTATGTGTCAGGGAGAACCCTTGAATCCAGGCCCAGAAACCTTAACACTAACCAACTGGGTAATAATCATCTCCTTCTAGCTCTACAGCTTGTTTTTGTTTTTGTTTTTGTTTTTGTTTTGAGGCGGAGTCCCGCTCTGTCGCCAGGCTGGAGTGCAAGGATGCAATCTCGGCTCACTGCAACCTCCACCTTCCAGGTTCAAGTGACTCTCTTGCCTCAGCCTCCCGAGTAGCTGAGATTACAGGCACGTGCCACCATGGCCAGCTAGTTTGTTGTATTTTTAGTAGACACAGGGTTTCACCATGTTAGCCAAACTCCTGACCTCAAGTGAGCCGCCCGCCTCGGCCTCCCAAAGTGCTGGGATTACAGGCATGAGCCACCATGCCTGGCCTAGCTCTATAGTTTTTTAACACCTTTATTAGAATATAATTTACATACTTCATAAAGTTCACCTCTTTTAAGTATACAATTCAATATTTTTTACTATATTCATAGAATTGCACAACCATCATAATAATCTAATTTTAGGACGTTTTCATCTTCCCAAAAAGTGACCTAATAGGAGTCCCTCTTCATTTCCCCCAACCTCGCCCTCTAACCCTAGGCAACCACTAATCTGCTTTCTGCCTCTACAGATTTGCCTCATTTTGACATTTCATATTAATGGGATAATACAATATGTAACCTTTTATGTCTGGCTTCTTTCACTTAGCTTAATGTTTTCAAGGTTTATCCATGTAGTAGCATGTATCAGCACTTCATTTTAATAACTGAATAATATTCACCTTATGGATATCCACATTTTTTAATCCATTCCTCAGTTAATGGGCATTTGTCTTGTTCCCACCCTTTGACTATTGTAAATAATGCTGCTTTGACAGCTCTAGAGTTTTAGACATTATCCTTACCATCATATCAAGAAAGAAATATAGCAATATTCCAATTTTCTTTATTCTTTACAGACAAGCTGTAAAGTAATCTTTACATGAAGATTCTCAAAGCAAGTCTACTAACAAAAGTCTAAGGAAGTGGCCTACCAGCAATTAAAAAAAGAAAAACTTGAAGAAGTTTCTGTTGCTGCTTTCAACTGTGTAACCATGTCTATTAAAAGCCACTTGTAAATAGCTAACTTCAGCTCTGGCATGCCATAGATTAGGCATATTTGTTTTCCAGGGAAGATTATAAATAGAGGGGGGAGGGGGGAGTGAAACAGAATGTATTTTGCAAATGAGCCCAGATGGAAAACTAACAGATGGCCATGCACTGTATTTTGTGTGTTCAGACCTACATTTAAATTAAAAATTTTCATAATTATGATTAACGTCTGTAGCAACACTAGTTTTCCTGTGGTAGCATCATATATCATGTATCGGAGGTATTGAATAGAACATTTTCATGAAAAGGTTTCAGACTTCATACAAATTTTGGTACTTGCCTGCCCTACACTTAAGAAGGAAACAAAACAAAACCTCATTCAGCCACGATGGAGAATGCTGAGAAAACTTCAGTACAAGTGGACTTTCTATAATAAGCCCGTCTGCCGCCATCTGGCTTTTCCTCCCATGTTAAAACTCAAAGCCAGTAATTCCATGCAGAGGGGGAAATAATGGGCCCTTATTTGCATGGCTATTTTTTAAGATTCTGTTGTGAAGAGTTTTCTCTTGGATCACACACATTTCTTGATTTCTATCAATACAATCAATATATTTCTCTCTAAGGGTGCATGTCTTATCTTGTTTATCATCCAGGCTTCTTTGCTTCTCTTTTTCTTTTTCCCTTGATGATTCTGTGTTTATTATTTTCCCAGTCTTCTTAGGGGTGAGCGTTGCTGAAGAAGTCCATGAAATGTTTGTCTATCTAGAATTATGACTTTGGAATCTTCACCATGAGAACATAAAACCCAATTCACTCTTTCTGGGGCCGTTGGTCAATTGTGTGGACTTCACGCAGGGGGTTGACCTGCTTGTGCCAAGTCAGATTCTAGATGTGTAAAATGGGGGACTCTTCAGAAGGTGTGTGATCTACTCTACTTATTTGCTCTGCCATGGTGCCCTGTTCTGGGACGTTTCCAGATTGCCTCTCATTTTGATGGTTCCTTACTCTTGCCGCTCTTGCCTCCTGCTCCTCTGACATATTCATCAACTCACTTTGGATTTTTACCTCCAGCACAACTGTGCTCATTTTTGACTTGCTACTCTGGCTCAACATAGACCTTTTGTCTTGAGCAGGAGTTTTTCTCCCCCAGCATAACTTATTTTTCTGGTTATAAGAACTATCAGACACAATTCTGCTATTTGGCTCCAACACAAGACATTCCTTCTGGCACTCATCAGGTTATTCCTCCCAGGCCCTCTTGTAGCCAGGCTCCCCCTCCAGTGGAAAGATCTTGGTGTGGAGCTCCATCCTGGTGATACCACTGACCATGGCAAGCAGTTCAGCACTTAGGAGGGGATTCTACATTATTGACATCCTACAGCTGCTGCATTTTGGTCAAGGCAGCCAACAATATTGACAAACATTATGAGTTTATGTAGTAGTAAGGCCCAAGGTTTACTGTTGAGGGAACAGTGTATTCATATCAGTAGCATCCCTTGATTGAGTCTGGAAAATGGAGTTGAAGAAACGTTCTTTTAGACATTTTCAGCTGTCAAGAGGTTGGAGGGTGGGGTTGGGTGGGAGAGAAAAGCTAAGCTCTGGTGTTCCGGCCCTTTAACTCCTGCTTTCTGATTTGGTATTAGAAATGTTACCCTCTAAATATAAAAATACTAGAGAGAAGAAGATGAAAGGTGAATAGGAGAATGTGGACAAAATGAACAAGCTTTAGGATATTGAACTTACAATTTTGAAAAGTTAAGTTGAATGTTTTTACAAAAGACTCATCCATCCCTTTTTAGGTTCTCAGATATATGATGAAAGGGATAAAAACAGCAGCAGCCCATTTTATAAGTCAAGCTAGCAGCCGTGTTCTATGAACACTTTAAAATACCATAGGTGCCCATACACGGGAGAATGAGCATATTTAATGCCAAAAAATAAGACTTGGGAGAGCTGCTGAGCACTTAACAACATCACTAATTATTTGTATAACATTTGGCAAAAAGTCAAAACCGTAATTTTTTTCCTGGTAAACATATTTTTACACATTTGTCCTCCCTACAAAAATAACCAGTTGAGATGCATATATTTTCACTTGCACATGTTTGCATTGCTGAGGCATAAACCAATCCTCCTTTAAAAGGTTCATTTCAAAGTTATTAGCTAATTCATAGGTCCGGTAAGCCTGGAGATCCACAAGCATATGCTTTGCATTGAAACACCAGCTTGGTAATCAAACAAGGAGCAATCTAATATGAGCTTTCAAGGCAGGTGAATTTGACTGTAAATCATGGTTCTGCACGTAGGTTTGTATTTTCTAGTCTTAATTACATCTGTGCAAATCTCCATTTGTTTATGGTTGCCTAATACATCGAGTGGGCTATTTGCATTCCCAGAGGCACATTTTCCATGGTGTGCACTTCTCTGAGAAAAAAAAAAAAAAAACTGGTTCAGCCATTAATTCAAATATTAAGTGCAAAAATGATGTAGAAGTGAATGCTCTTCAATTCAGCAAATACTTCTGGAGTACCTGTGCAAGGCACTCATAGGGATACACAGGAAGGGCATTTTGCCTAAACTCATTGAAGCTCAATTTCCTCATCTATAAAACGGGAGTAATAGAAAAAAAGAAAGTGTTCATTTAAAGTGCTATATAAATATGAGCAAGCAGCAAGTAGTGGTGGTAGTAAATTGCAATCCAATATTTTTTTTTTCCTGCCAGCATCACTTAATTACAGATACTTTCCTATGAAAAGCTTTCTGAATTTGACAGGAACAAATACAGAAGGCAATTGTTCTTACATTCAAGTTGCCTTTTTTTCACTTTTTTCAATCCTATTGACAAAAGTAATATATAAAAATACTTCAGAAAGGATTTACAATAGTCAGTGCCGATCAAAAATGTGTGCGATGTACGATGGAAAAGCAGTATATCCTTGAGGCATGACTTTTAGTTGGGATTCACTATCTGCTCTGTAATAACAGAGAAGGCAAGGGTTGGCTAGCTCTAGGTAAGTTTTAGAGAATGAACAAAAAAGACCTTCAGATTGCTTCTAAGTGATGCAATGGATTTCCCAGGATATGTAAGAAAGCAAGGAATACTAGCAGATGATTTATCTGGGATTGAAAATGATAGGTCTGACTGTACCCTGCCCTCCAGAACTGTATCTGTCTGTAAAATGGAAATCTACTTGTCCTACCTACCACATTGTGTCCTCATGAAGATCTGAACTCATAATGTGTGTGAAAGCTCTTTATAATACCAAGCAGCCAGGTCTTTATTGTTTTCCTCTTCATCCAAGTTTAGGGAATGAGAAGGTGTTGAAGAACCCCAAAGGATACGTTTCCTCAAAGGAAAAGGAATAAATGAGTAAACCAAGAGGCACCTTGGGCTCCACCTGACTCTGACATTTACATCCAAATTAGGCGCCATGTTGTCCCCTTGAGGCCATCTGAGTACTGAGGGTTACGCACAGTGGCAAGACTGAAGCTAGATCCAGCCTGTCAAGGACAAAAGGGGAAAGCGAAAGGAAGTCTTATGAATTTCCTTAAGAAAAATCACCTTCTCTCCTCAAGCCTGCAGTTCCTCATCCGTAATGTGAAGGGGCCAGGCAGATCAGATGCTCTCTGAGGTCTCTTCTGACTGTGATCCCTAAGTCAGAGAACACAGGAGCACTCGTATGCATGTCAGCTGACCTGGGTGATACCGTGGGGACCTCCTCTTCAGTGCCATGAAGATCTAGCATCAGAAGAGTCTCCTAACACGAGAGAAAATGTGCTTTACTGCCTGAGGTGGCCACATCACGTGGTCACTAAAGCCCAGGGAGGCTTGTTCTGAAAAACTGAACCTTCTGCTAGCCTAGCTGATGGGCCGAGAACTGCCGCTCGTTATGTCTGTTTCCCTGGTTTCCCCTCACATGCACTGCAAAGGTGTGATTTCCCCAGGTAACCCCAGCCACTGCAGTGACAGAGGATAATATTGCAATGGCCTTTCAAGAGTGTTTCAAATTAGAAGTGACCACAATTGATGTCCTCAGAAGCCACAGGCAATTGATACTCTGCATTTAAGAATCTCACTTGAGAAGAGGCAGTAAGTGCCTCTAATGCTTTCTTTCTCCTATGCTTGCTCTTGTCCATCCCTCTCCTCCTCTTCTTTATTCATCCATGTGTTAACTCATTAAGCAACAACTTCAGTAATGTTTTTCCTAAAGAGCCATTTGCTGTTTAAACCATGATCAGTTTAGTAATTGCTGATTGGCTAGACAGCTGTGTCATTTTTGGAAAATTTCCCCCTAAAATGGCTTTCTCTTGCCAAAGTATAAAGTCACAGTTAGAAATGTAAGCCCTGAACCAAGCTGAAGATGAAAATATGGGTAAGAAAACTACTAATTTTTAAGAACTGAGATGTTAAGTGATGTGCCTAAGGTCTCGGTAAGTGTTAAGGCTGGGATTCAAACCCCAGCCTTCCTGGCACCAAAGTCTACATTGTTCCAGGGCCCCCACACCACTGGAAGGAAAACTATCCAGCAAGGATAAGCAGCCACTCACTAAGAGTTTCCTTTCTGCCTACAGAGTTCCCAAAAGGCACCACATCCTCAAGCTTTTAGCCCTGGTGATGCTCTCTGTGACCCAATCAGTCTAGCACTGAGTCTTAGATCCTAACCTGCTGGCCTCAGCATTTTTACATGCTTGAGCTCTGAGGTAATTCCATTATGTGGCCCTGATTTAACATTTAGGATAACTTGGTTTCCTGGGAGATCATGATGAAAAGCCTTCATCATGATAGTGAGTCTGGTGCATTTAGTGCTTGGGAGTTGAGGCATCAGATGTGCATGTTCTGAAAGCTTCCCTCTCTATTGCTGAAGGACCTTCTTCTTGGGTGGCTTTGGCAATGGCAGCAGAAGCTTCACAGAGCATAGTGAATCCCTCCATAGCATCAGATAGTAGAGCTGGACACACTTTCCAGTATTCCCGTGTGGAATCAGAGCTGTGGGTTGTGCAGGGAAACTTGCGAGTTTTAAGAATTAAGTGGCTTGCTGTCCAGTTGTAAGCTAACATTCACTAAAGCAGGTTCTATGTGACAGGATTTTAATTGATCTCAGGTGTATTTTGGGTTGTTCTGTCCCATTTTATTTTGCCAGGGGTTGCTGTACATAGACAGTAAAAATCCCAGGTAACACAAGTGTGTGATAACCATTTCATCCCTTTATATTATTTGAATTTAACTATTTGAGTTCTCTTGTGTTGGGGTTGTGAGAAACTTAACTTCAATTAGGGTCATGTCAAGATTTCAGAGGTTCATGCATGGCTAAAACTTTGCAGAAAAGAAGTGGGACATCCTCCTTTGCCTCGTTCTTAGTTTTCTCTGGTTGTGGTCAAACCATACGAAGCAGATCCACATGGCTCCTTCAGGCTGACAGCAATCTGTGCCTTCCTGGCTATGGTTGCTTATAAGTCCCTTGGGTAAGTGTCCCATCTGCCTTCATTTACCACTGGGCTTTGCTCCGCAGGGACTTGCTGTCTCCATGCTAGCCCTGCCAGGAGGTGGGGCTGAGATGGTTCATTTTATGTGTCAATCTGACTGAGCCACGGGTTGCCCAGACATTTGGTCAAATACTATTCTGAGTGTGTCTGTGTGGGTGTCCCTGGATGAAATTAACATTGAACTGGTAGACTGAGTAAAACTGGTTGCCTTTCTTAATGTGGGTAGGCTTCATCCAATAAGTTGAAGGACTACATAGAACAAAAAGGCAGACCCTCTGGCGAGTAACGGGCAACTTCTCCTCACTGACTCCCTATGAGCTGGACATTATTTTTTTTCCTGCTTTCAGACTCAAACTGAAACAGAAGCTCTTCCTGGTTCTAAAAACTGTTGTCTTTTAGAGTGGAAATACCACTATTTGCTCTCCTTGTTCTTGGGCCTTCAAAGTCAGCCAGTGTGGTATACTGTAAGAAACAAATCATGGCTTTAATTACAGCTGTGAAGCTCACTCAGTCATCTCATTGGGCCTACACTCTGTGTCACTTAGCAGGATAGTGCAGCCTGCCCTGGGGATTTGCAACCCAGGCCAAAGGGATTCCCAGAAGACAAGACTACCTTGACACAGAAGTGAATTTCATAAACCTTAAAGCTTACCTTTTCAAGAATAGTTTAGACTCCCTTCATGAAAGAAACACCTGGTAAGTGACCCAGACTGAATATAAGTAAAAGAAGGAGAAAGGATCCCTTAAACTCTGAGAATTATCTTCATGACAGAGACCCTCTTGGCCAGTCAGTTCCTGACTGTTTCTGGCCCAGAACCCTAGCCTACTTCAGCTATTTATCTTGTGAGAGCACTACCAGAACAAACTGCTTGAGCATCACGGTCTGGGACTTACCTTTCATCTGAATTGGATCAAATGGGAGGAGTTGCCCCTGCGGAACCTAGTTACCTCGGACCACCTGAAACCCCTGAACATGACAGACTGGAACTGCATCATGCCATTGGCTTTCCTGGATCTCCGGCTTGCCAACTGTATATCTTGAGACTTGTCAATCACCATAATTGCACAAGCCAATTTCTTACAGTAAATCTATCTGTCTGTCTGTCTGTCTGTCTATCCATCCATCTATCCATACTATTGGCTCCTCTTTCTCTGGAGAACCCTAACCAATATGAAGGCATAGCTCTTCTTTGCTGCTGGCATCGACAGCTCTCTCTGTGTCTTTCTTCATTCTCTTCTTCTCTTGTGAAGCCTTCCTTCTCTACCCGTGTCAGACTTCTGGCCAAGATAATTGTGTATTTATGAGTTTTATATTCATTTCTTGGTGCTGCTGTAAGAAAGTACTACAGACAAATTTATTCTCTCACAGTTGTTGAGGCTAGAGGTCTGAAACCAGGCATTTGGCAGGACCGAGCGCTCTCTGAAGGTCCCAGGGGAAAATCTTTGCTGCCTCTTCCAGCTTCTGAAAGGTTCTGGTGGGCTCCAGCAACCCTTTGTGTTCCTTGGTTTGTAGCATACTGCATATTGCTAAGTGAAGGAAGCCAGGCTGAAAAGGTGATATATTTTATGATTCTGATTACATGACTTTCTGAAAATGGCAAAATTATAAAGACAGTAAAAAGATCAGTGGTTTCTAGGAGTCTGGGGAGAAGAGTGGAGGATTTGAGTAGGTGACACACAGCAGACTTCTTAGGGTAGCGAACCTGTTCTATGTGCTACTGTAATGGTGGATGCCTTACATTATGCAGCTGTTAATACCCATAGAACTTTATAGTATAAACTGGAACATAAACAAATTTTTAAAATCATTTAGGAGGTTGGGATATCACAGGAAGAAATGCAGACTGTGACGAAAGAACTGTATTAAAAATACATGACACAATCTCATAGAAGTAGGTGAGGGAAAAGTCGCTGATGTAAGCAACTTGGAAAATGAATGGAGTCCAAGACTAAGACTAAGACTAAGGACAAAAGGAACTGCATGTAAGCACCTACTCTAGTTAATAGAATTTCCCATGAAATTTCCATGAAGGTGTGGCTTAACAATTCTGATACTGCCATATATGTATAGTGAAACTAAAAAATTAACTAAATGTGTGGCAGATGGTTGAAGCCAGGTTTCTCACTGTTAGAGTGGGAATTTACAGTTAGGTGAGGAGGCTAGAATGATCACTGTGGTAATGGATTGCAGTTGAAGACATTACTATGCACTTCCGATTAACTTAATATAAAGATGATTGCATATAAAATAAGTTACATATGTATGTACACGTGGGTTAGTATACATATACAGGTATTCCCTTGCTCCATCAGCTGAGAGACACTAGAGGCAACAATATCCTAGTAGCAATGAGCACACTTAGCACCCAGATCTTGGTTTCTAATACCACTCTCCAATAGAAGAAACCAAGGCTCTTTAGAGAAGTGGCTGATTCTAGGACTGAAGTGGAACGTACACAAGACGTATGTGGCACATCTTACAGTGACAAAAAGTAAGAAAGTGATAACAAATATTGATGAATTTTTGTCAAAGGGACACAGGACAGTTTAGTCCAATTGAAAGTGTTATTAATGACCAAAGCTAGAACAATTTGAGCAACAAAATTAAGTCGTGTTGGGTTATTACCCAAAGTATAAAATAAATATCCATGAGTCCATACAGACATAAATGAATAATTGAATTAAATACATAAGTGGAAGAAGAGACAAGTACTCATATGAAATTTCAAAATAACTTATGTAGATATTTTTTCCTCCAAAAGGGGATGGATTCATCCCCACTGCTTAATTGTGGGCTGTGCATAGTGACTTTCTTTCAAAGAGCACACTATGGAAAGGAGAGGAAGACTAACTTTATAGAGGAGAAACCTGATGTATGCTACCTCATCAGGTGACTAAGGTCAATATCAACAATGATAAATCATGTTGATAGTATGTACCCTTGTTATGACGAGATGAGAGTGTCACTTTAACTCTGTGGTCTTCCTCCTCCAAACCCATAGCTCCAGTCTAGATATGAAGAAAACATCACAAAAATTCCAGTAGAGAGGCATCCTACAAAATGCTTGTCTAGTACTCCTCAAAACTATTAAGGTCATCAAAACAAGAAAAGTTTGAGAAACTATCACAGCCAATAGGAGGCATGACAAGAAAATGTGATGTCTTTTCATTCTGGAAAAGAAAAAAAGACATTAGGTAAAAAGTAGGAAAATCTTGATAAATTATAGACATTAATTAACAATAATGTTTCAATGTTGGTTAATTAATTGTAACAAATATACCATACTAACATAAGATGATAATAATAGGGGAAATTGAGTGAAGGGTTATATGGGAACTGTCTGTTCTATCTTCTCAAACTTTCTGTTGATCTATAACTATTCTAAAACATAAAGTCTATTTTGACAAAATTTAAACAAGGAATAAAAGCATCTTATCTCAATCACCTTCACAAGTATTTCAGAATGTAGTTTGTCTTCTACATCTCCAAAATAATTTGTTTACGTGCCTTACTTTTCAAATACCTGACCCTTCAGCAGTCATTCCCTCCCTTGTTCATTGACTCCATTGTCATGATAGATTATATTGATAGATTACCCTAATACACCCTCAAAACCAACACCAAACTATTTAAAAAGTTATCTCAATAAACCACCACCGATGCATCCGTGCTTCTTTCTACTATAGTGAAGGGAGAAACTAAATATTTTATGTAAATGTCAGCTTCAGATTACAGCCATATAAGCACTTATATTCTTGAAAAAATTCTTAACTAGAGCAAAAATATTTAGGAAGATATTAATTAGAATCTTAGAACTTTTTTCTTTAAGTGAGCCTTTTCAAGTGACAAAGTACAATAGGAAAACAAGGCCAGAATGTTTCTAACTGGAGCTAAGTTTTTACATGTAATGTTCCCTACAATTAAAATTGTAGCCATTTCCATTAACTGATCAAAAACATTTATTAAACACCGATTATTTAAAAGATATACAAATTTCTAGTAGCAACTAATTAATGTGATTTCATTTCTCCCTTCCTTCTTCTATCAAGCAGATACTTATTCTATAAAGATCATGTGAGAGCCTGAAGCTCAGAAGAAAGGCCAGGCCTGAAAGCAGATTTAGTATGCTTCTCCCTAAAGGTGACAATTACAGTAACAGGACTGGAAGACAGCTTCCACTAAAAGTCCCTAGAAGCTGGGCATGGTGGTGCACACTCGTAGCACTAGCTACTCAAGAAGCTGAGGTGAAAGGTTCACTGGAGCCCGGGAGATTGAGGCCAACCTTGGAAAATAGTGAGACTCTGTCTCTTAAAAAAAAATTCCCGGAAAAGACAAGGAAAATAATTAATTTAAAAAAATAAGAGGAATAGGAAAATACTACCATAATGTTTCATAACAAATTATCCCAAAACTCAGTCATAAGTCGTAAGTCAAAATCATAAGGATTTATTCTCATGCTCAGCTTCACTGGGGCTGATGTGTACATATTGCTAGAGCCCAGGATGAAGGGAGGCTATGCAGGAGAACCTCTTCTTAAGGCAATGACAGAAGAATAAGCATTTAAAGCATTTGTTTAGGTTAAGTATATTCACATTGACCAAAGATTGGGGCTACTATGAATAAAGCTATAATGAACAGTCATGTACAAATCTTGTGTGGACATATATATATATATATATATATATATATATATAAAATATATATGATATAATATATATAATATATTATATATATAATATATATAATATATTATATATATAATATATATTATATTATATATATAAAATGTAATATATATAATATATATAAAATGTATAAAAATATATATATATTATATATAAAATACATATATTTTATATAATATAAATATATAAAATACATATATTTTATATAATATAAATATATAAAATACATATATTTTATATAATATAAATATATAAATTATATTTTATATAATTTATATATAAAATATAATATTTAATATAATATATATTATATATATTATTATATATCATATAATATAATATGTTATAATATATTATATATCATATAATATAATATGTTATAAATTTTATAATTGTAATATATAATTATAATTATATATATTTATATAATTATATAATATATATAAGACATGTATAAGACATATATTAAATTATATAAATATATATTATATATATTTATATAATTATATAATATATATAATATATATTTAAGTTCTAGGGTACATGTGCACAACGTGCAGGTTTGTTACATATGTATACATGTGCCATGTTGGTGTGCTGCACCCATTAACTCGTCATTTACATTAAGTATATCTCCTAATGCTATCCCTTCCCCCCATCCCACAACAGGCCCCGGTGTGTGATGTTCCCCTTCCTGTGTCCAAGTGTTCTCATTGTTCAATTCCCACCTATGAGTGAGAACATGCGGTGTTTGGTTTCTTGTCCTTGTGATAGTTTGCTGAGAATGATGGTTTCCAGCTTCATCCATGTCCCTACAAAGGACATGAAATCATCCTTTTTTATGGCTGCATAGTATTCCATGGTGTATATGTGCCACAGTTTCTTAATCCAGTCTATCATTGTTGGACATTTGGGTTGGTTCCAAGTCTTTGCTATTGTGAATAGTGCCTCAATAAACATACGTGTGCATGTGGCTTTATAGCAGCATGATTTATAATCCTTTGGGTATATACCCAGTAATGGGATGGCTGGGTCAAATGACATTTCTAGTTCTAGATCCCTGAAGAATCACCACACTGTCTTCCCCAATGGTTGAACAAGTTTACAGTCCCACCAGCAGTGTAAAAGCATTCCGATTTCTCCACATCCTCTCCAGCACCTGTGGTTTCCTGACTTTTTAATGATTGCCATTCTAACTGCTGTGAGATGGTATCTCATTGTGGTTTTGATTTGAATTTCTCTGATGACGAGTGATGATGAGCATTTTTTCATATGTCTTTTGGCTGCATAAATATCTTCTTTTGAGAAGTGTCTGTTCATATCCTTCACCCACTTGTTGATGGGGTTGTTTGTTTTTTTCTTGTAAATTTGTTTGAGTTCTTTGTAGATTCTGGATATTAGTCCTTTGTCAGATGAGTAGATTGCAAAAATTTTCTCCCATTCTGTAGGTTGCCTGTTCACTCCGATGGTAGTTTTTATTTCTCTTTGGTAAATATCTGAAAGTGTTATTGCTGAGCTATATGAATTTATGCTTACTGTATAAGAAATTTTCCACCTGTTTTCAATAGTAGCTCTAATATTTTGTATTCCTATCAGCAATGAAGATTCCAGTTGTTCCTAATACTTGCCAATATATGATATTGTCTGCCTTTTTTATTTTAGCCATAATAGCGGATATGTAGAGCTGTATTATTGTGATTTTATTTCTACTACCCTAATGACTAATTAAGCTAAAGTTATATCGTGTGCTTATTTGCCCTTTGAGTATCTTCTTCAGTGAAGTTTCTGTTCAAATATCTTGCCCATTTATTAATTGATTGTCCTTCTTCTTGGTATTTAGTATGAGGTGTTCTTTATAGAGTCCGAACAAAAGGTTTTTTTTTCTCAGATACATGTTTTGCATATGTTTTCTCCAAGCCTGTGGCTTGTCTATTAATTTTCTTAGCAGTATTTCTTAAATAATAAACATTTTTAAATTTTTTATAAAGTTCAATTTATCAATTATTTTTCTATTTTTTGTGAATTTTATGACAAGAATTATTTGTTCAATTCAAGTTCTCAAAGTTTTTTTTCTATGTTTTTATCTGGAAGTTTTACAGTTTTATCTCTTGCATTATGATCTAATATCTATTCTGACTTAATTTTTGTATGTATTGTAAGATAATGTTTGAGGTTCATTTTTACAAAAATATGAACATTAAATTCTAGCGCCATTTGTTGAAAAGACTCTTCCTTTGATATCTTTGTTAAAAAAGAATTGGCCAAATATAGGTGGGTCTTTTTCTGAATTCTCTATTTTGTTACATTGTTCTGTATGTCTATCCCTATGCCAACAATAATCACTGACTGGATTATTGTAGCTTTATAATAAAGTCTTAGAATCGGATAGTGTAAGTCCTCCAACTTAATTTTTTTTCTAATTTGTTTTGTCCATTCCTGGTCCTTTGAATTTATATACATTTTAGAATCAGCTGGTCGATCACTACAAAAAAAAATCCCTGCTGAAATTTGTATTGGGATTGCATTGAATGTGTAGATCATTCTAGAGAGAATTAAAATCTTAACAATATTAGTCTCCTAATTGATGAACATGGTATATCTCTCCAATTATTTAGGTGTTCTTTAAATTCTATCTGCAATGTTTTGTGGTTTTCAATGTATAGGTCTTGTACAAATTCCTATTTCTAACTTTTTTACAGTTTTGTTACTATTATAAGTGTATTTTATTAATTTCCATTTCCAATTGTTCATTTTTAGTATATAGTAACAAAATTAAATTTTCTATATTTACCTTATATTCTGTGTGAAATATGCTTATAAAACTTATTAGTTTTAGTAGCTCTTGGGTAGAATTGTTAAAATTTTCTAAACAGATAATTGCATTATATTTCTATTAACAGTTTTACTTTTTATTTTACAAATTGTATATGCCTTTTCTTTTCTTTCTTTTCCTTTTTTTTTTTTCACCTTACTGAATTAGCTGGAACCTCAAGTCCAATGATGAATAGAAGGTGGTAAGAGGAAATCCTTGCCTTGTTTCCATCATAGGAGGAGGGCATTTTAGTCCTTTACCATTAAGTATAATTTTAAGCTATAAGTTTTTGTAGCTTCCCTTTATCAGTTTAAATAAAATTACTTTGTATTCCTAGTTTCTGTCATGGATGGGTGTTGAATTTTGAGGAAAGCTTTCCTGCATTTAATGAGATGATCTAATGGTTCTTTTTTTTTTAGTTTTTTTATATGATGGGTAACATTGATTGTTTTTTGACTGTTATTTCAAAATTATATTTTTATATGTCACTAAATTTGATTTGCTAAAATTTTGTTGAGGATTTTGCATCTATGTTCATGAGGTATTCCTTGGTCTTTTCTTATAATTTATTTTTCTAATTTTAAATGAAAGTAATTCTGGCATCATAAAATGAGTTTGGAAGTATTTACTTCTCTTTTAAGTCTGGAAGAATTTGTGTAGAATTAGTATTATTTCTTTATTAAATATTTGGTGTAATTCACCACTGAAATTATCTGTGCTTGGAGTTTTTGTGGGGCAGTTTTTACCTACAAATTCAATTTCTTCACTAGGTAAAGGGCTAATCATGTTACGTATGTCTTCTTAGGTTGACTTTGGTAGTTTGAGTCTTTTGAAAAACTTTTCTATTTTATCCATGTTGTTGAACTTCTTCTCTAAAGTTGTTCAAAATTTTCCCTTTTTATCATTTTAACATCAAGAGATTTCTAGTGATGTCTCTTCTTTCATTTGTGATATAGGTAATTTGTAACTCCTTTTGAAAAAACCAATATTATTATAGATTTTTATTGATTTTTCAAGGAATCATTGTCATGCAGTTATATAATATTTGTCTTATTATTTATGTGTGTCAGATTGCAAGTTTGTATTACTGTTTTGATATATTACAATCCATTTTACAAAATGTCCAAACTGCTTAGCAGAATTCATATAATCTGAAGAATGTTGCTGGGGGCTGGGCACTGTGGCTAATGCCTGTAATCCCAGCACTTTGGGAGGCTGAGGTGGGTGGATCACCTGAGGCCAGAAGTTCAAGACCAGCCTGGCCATCATGGCAAAACCCCATTTCTACTGAAAATACAAAAATTAGCTGGGCATGGTGGCACATGTCTGTAATCCCAGCTACTCAGGAGGCTAAGAACCAAGTATTGCTTGAACCCAGGAGGTGGAGGTTGCAGTGAGCCAAGATCACGCCACTACACTCCACCCTGGGTGACAGAGTGAGATTCTGTCTCAAAAATATATATATGTAACATATATGTATATATGTAAATATATGTATAATTATATAGATATTAAATATTATTTATATATACATATAGTATATATTCGTATGTATATATTTATACATATATATTTTTATATATACATATATAGAGAGAGAGAGAGCGCCAGGAATTTTAAAGTAAATCTTAACATCAAGAAAAAAATTGGCCGGGCGCGGTGGCTCACGCCTGTAATCCCAGCACTTTGGGAGGCCGAGGCGGGCGGATCACGAGGTCAGGAGATCGAGACCATCCCGGCTAAAACGGTGAAACCCCGTCTCTACTAAAAAATACAAAAAATTAGCCGGGCGTAGTGGCGGGCGCCTGTAGTCCCAGCTACTTGGGAGGCTGAGGCAGGAGAATGGCGTGAACCCGGGAGGCGGAGCTTGCAGGGAGCCGAGATCCCGCCACTGCACTCCAGCCTGGGCGACAGAGCGAGACTCCGTCTCAAAAAAAAAAAAAAAAAAAATTATGAAGTAGTTAATAGAGTGTCTGTGCAAATATAGAGGATGAATCTGAATGAACAATAAGTGAATCTGCAAGTATTATTTTGTAAAAGTATTAAAAATAAAGTACAAACAGAAAATACAAGATTTTTATCTAAACATTGGTTTTTAATGAACTGAAGATCCATTTTCTCTTAATCTTTAATTCATTATTGTAATTGTTTCCAAAAGTGGCAAGAAATTATCAGAATTTCTTGTCATTTTTTTACCAGAGCACAGTGACCATGCTAATAAGCCAACTGAGTTTTTCTAGTACAAATGCAAATGTATACCTTCCAGTTAGACATGATGAATTTCGCTACCAAAGGAAGAGATGAAATAAAATGTATTCAAAGTTGCATCAAGAAAAATAGGTATAATTCAAATTATTGCAGAGGAAATATAAAACCAGTCACAAAGTTAATGACAAATAGTGTGTACAGCAGGAAAAAAGAAAGTTTATTAGTTATCTGTTGCAATGTAATAAATTACTACGAAACCTAGTAGCTTAAACCGATTTATATTTATTATCTCATAATTTCTATGGGCAAGGAATTTAGTACCAACTTATCTGAATGGTTCTAGCGCAGGGTCTCTAAAGAAATTGTAGTCGAGATATATTGCCAGGGCTGCAGTCACCTTGAGGCTTGACTGGAGCTAGAGGATATGCTTCCAAGATGGCTGACTTGCACAGTTGTCTGCAGGAGCTCTCACTTCCTTTATGCTTATTGGAAGAACTCAGTTCCTTGACACATAGACCTTTCCATGGGGCTGCTTGAGTGTTCTAAATCAATGGCAGATAAATTTCACCAGAGTGAATGATTGGAGAGAGACAGAGAGATGGAGAGAAAGAAGAAGCCATAATGCCTTTTATAACCTAGTTTCAGAATCTTCACACCATTTCTGCCTAAGCCATTTGTTTCAGGTGAACTACTAAATCCAGTTCATATTCACCAGAATAAGAATTAAGGTTGACCCTGTGAAGAAAGGGATGTCAAAACAAATTGTGGACATATTTTTTAAACCACCGTACACAACAGGCTATTGGTAAAATTCATCTATAACATTTGGATAACATGTTACAGTGTCATACTATATTAAAAAGCAACCAGCCTTGCATTTCAGGAATAAAGCCTACTTGATTGTGGTGAATTAACTTTTTGATATGCTACTGGATTTGGTTTGCTAGTATTTCATTAAGAATTTTTGCATCTGTGTTCATCAGGGATATCGGCCCGTAGTTTTCTTTTTTCATTGAGTCTTTGCCAGGTTTTGGTATCAGGTTGATGCTGACCTCATAGAAAGAGTGAAGGAGGAGTTCCTCCTTGATTTTTTTTGGAATAACTTCAGTAGGACTAGTATGCAAATTAATGCAGAAACAGAAAACCAAATACTGCATTTTCTCATGTATAAGTGGAAGCTAAACACTGAGTACACATGGTCACAAAGAAGAGAACAGTAGACACTGGGGCCAACTTGAGGGTGGAGAGCGGGAGGAGGGTGAGGATTGAAAAAGTAGCTATCAGGTATTATGCTGATTACCTGGGTGACAAAATTTTCTGTACACCCAACCCCTGTAACATACAGTTTACCTGTGTAACAAACCTGCTCACGTAACCCTTGAACCTGAAATAGAAGTTGAAAAAAAACCGTAAAACTAAAAATCCAAGGAGCTTTCAAAGAAAAAGAGAAATCTGTTGGATGAGTTTGTTTTTTCATTAATTGAAAATTTGTGGCACAGAACAGTTTTGGTTTGTTTGTTTACTGAGTGTTCACTTTATGTACCATACATAGATTGTCGTGGAAGAAACGCTAAATGTTATACCAGTTATGCATGTAGAAAGGGAGGGCATCACTAGACAAAGAAAAATGTTTGCCCCTCAATGCCTAATCACAGAGTACTTTATCACAGAATGCAGGTGGTGACCACCCATATTACTTGTAATATTTTTTTGGTTTTGAGGAAAATAGTGACTTTTTAAATGCAACCAAGTTGCAGTCTTTTCGGGTTTGTTTTTTGGCAAAGAAAATGGCAGCCGTGTAAAATGCTGCTTTTCCATACACTAGTACACTTTCCGTCAAGAAAAGCAATGCTTGCATGAATTTTTATTAGACGACGAATGAGATTAAAATATTTTTCAGAAGTTGATATTTCTGGCCACAATTGTCTCTGTGAGTGGCTTGCTTAAATTGTGTAATCCAGAATGAAAGCATAGCAGTTAAATCTTAAGGAGATGGAATCGGATTGCCTGGGTTCAGAGCTTCACAGGACCATTCACAAGCTATATGACTTTAGACAAGCCACTTAATCTCTCTAGGACTCAATTTCATTATCAGTAAAAAGCGTTATAAATAACTCCTACCTCAAAGAATTGTCCTAAAAATTCCATAGGAAAATTTATAAAAGTGCTTATGCTGCCTAATAGTTCTCACGCAATAAATATTAGCTATTCTAACAATTACTATTATATTCTGAACTTACCTAGATTTCAATTTAGCATATTAGACTGCTGAAGAAGTCATAATTGTGATGAAGATAGTTCAATCACCATGATTTTGACTCTTTCCCAACACTGAATTATTTCCTTTAATTGTCTGAGGATAAAGAATCTATAAGCTATTACGGAGTATCTTTTAAAGCTATATCTATAAACTGCTATAGAATATGAAGAAAAACTTAGCTGAACCAAGTGAAACAAAATGGTGCATTAGGAATCCTTCACCCCCTCTCCCCATATAAATCACTCAACTTTCCAGCTTTGTTGTAGGTGTGCTTATCAACTTAAGGTATACAGGAGTGCTGTAATTACACATTAGTGAGGAATCTATCCCTAATTTCTGGCCTATGTTCAAGTTTAATGTCCATAACTATCGATGAAAATCATCTACCGTGAGCTAGAGTTTTTAACTTTAAGCAGTAATAGAAAATAAGGAAAAAGATGACTGGGGGAGAAAACTGACCTATGAATTGAGCTATTTGTCACTTAGCTGGATATGAGCATATTGCTGAAGTATTTCAGCACTTTCTCTCTCTTAGGTATGAAATAACAGTTATTTTTAATTTTTAAAATATTGGGTTTTAAAAGTAAATATTTTTTAATTATTTTAAAATCAGTCCTCGTTTTGAGAAACACCTAATGGGCATTGATCCACAAAAGCTGAGAGTCGAGTAATCCTGCTGCAATAGGAGAGATGCTAGAGCTGTAATGTACATGCAAGATCCATAAGACAAAACCGGCGATGCAAGTGATAGAAATTTGGAGAAGGGAGAGAATGCGTTGGGGAAAGAGGTCACCAAAGGCTCTATAAAAGAGATGAAATCTGAATCCTTGAAGGATAGTGGAACTTTTAGACATGTCAGTGGAAAGGCAACTTTTCAGGCAAGTACAACAATACACATGATAGCAGGAGAGTAGGAAGGGTTAGGGCATGACCCAGGGACAGTGACTAGAATTATTTGACTAGAACAAACTAGTAAGGAATAGAGACTTTGATTAGAGTGATCCGGTGAGGTCCACCAAATACTTGGCACCAAAGCTCCCATAAAGCATTCACTTATAAACTATATTTAGAAAGAGTATAAAAAAGTAAGAAAGTAGGAGAAAGAAAGTAACCATAAAAAGCATTCACAGGGACACGGCTTATTTCTTTGTCTTATTTCTATTCTCTGGTTTGATGTTCCATATTGTCAAGATACACATTTTTACTCTTCTGAAAAATAATCCATGAAGGATGTCTTTCTCAGTCAGAAAGAGAAACCTTTCTTTGTATAATAAAAGTGGCGTGAGGAAATCATTAATTAAATTGTCATGGTGTTGTTTTTGCTATGAAATGGCAGATTTACAAGGCTTCACTGTTTGTATTTATGACTGTGATGGGGAAGACAACCAAAGTGGATATATATCTCCATGACTTTGAGTAAAATTCAAAAGTCATTTCAGCAGTTTGAGTTAACAGAATACAATGCTATTCAAGAAATGTAAACAAAGGCTTTATTTAGTCCCCTTCTCTATTAAAAGTTGTGTTCATGGCTTAATTTTATGGATTCAGAAAATACTTATTCCTATATGATAAACAATTCCTCAAGCAGGTTGATCTCTTCTCTTCATCTTTTATAGCCCAACTACCTGACTTTATTTCTCTGTAAAGAAAGACTTGACCTTACTGTTTTATTTCTTCAGGAAAATTTATTCTTTCATTTTTGATGGGTTAACAGCCATTAAAGTAGTGATTAACAGCCTTCCCCCTTACCCATCCCCTAAAACACAGGATTCAGACACAATATAGGACAATAAATGCTTTCTCTCTTCCCCATGCTTTCAGAAGAAAAAAAATGTTCTTGAGAGAAATGTAAACTCAGATAAAAATTGCTGCTTCCCAAGTGGTGTCCCATGGTGGGGAGTAGGATGTAGGGTGGTTGTCAGAGGACACACATTGTGCATTTATGTAGTGGTTTGTGGAAGAAAAAAGAGCTAGAAGGTTAAGATGTTGATCCAGGGCAGCATGGATGAGAGAGAGACAGTTTTTCTAGATTAGCTTCTTGAGGGTATTCTAAAAATATCAACATTCTGGATAATATGAGGGGGCAGGGGATTTTAATGGGTTTCTGTGACTTCCATGTCATAATGGCTCACTCTATCGACTCATTTGTCTCCCCTCTCTCCTGGCACCCCATGTAAATTATAACGATAGATTTGCATTTCAGATAAGCTCATACAGTATAATAAAGGGCCATCATCAGACAATATATTTCAACAAATGTTTCAGATACGAAAAGCAAATGAAAAAATGACTGACTGAAAGAAGTAGAGAAAGCTTCAGTCCAAGAGTTTTGCAAAGCTACCCAACATAGAAGAAATGTTACTTCTCGGAAGAATCTCCATGAGACTGCAGACCTGGCAGCAGCAGATATGGAATGAGAGGAAGAAAGAGCGAGCAGGCCGAAGACAATGGGCCTTGGCACAAAATATACCCTCTTCTTCTCCATTGGCATGGCCAGCAGCCAACTAGGTATTTACCCCAAAACAAAAACAAACCCCGAGAAGTTGTCTTTTTGGAGAAATGGAAAAGACTGCAAACTATCTAGTGAAGAATTAGGAAAGGTAGTGTAGTTGCTGGAATTCCAAATAAACACTTAATCTTGGCTTCTGTGGACCAAACCCCACCCAGATTAATGTCTGGCTCCCTGCTCATCACACCAGCAAATGTTCTCAGTCTCGCAGCCCCACTACCATATCCACAATATAAATCCTTCATTCACAATATAAATCAACAACCAAGGACTCCCAGATATTTCATCAACACTTTCAGCATGAATGAAAAGACCAAATTGAACAAATATAAAAATTGAAACAAAACAGAGATAGGAACAAAAGGGAACTTTTAAAAAAATCCCTCTATTTTTTTCTGAGAGATTTGAGAAAATATTGCATCCATAAACCAAGAACAGGAGGCTATGAAAATATGAAACAACCAGAGAAGAAAAAATAGTTCTCAGAAATTTAAAAAATATAATTACCAAAAAAACAGATTCAAAAGAAAGATGGGAGATTAAGGCAAGATGCTCTCCTAGAATAAATTGTAAAAAGAGAAAGAGAATTAAAGAGGAGATTAAATGAATTTCTAGAAAGGAAGAGAACTAAAAAAATGAAGAGGAGGACATTTACATAGACATAGTAAAATAAAAATTTTCAGACCTAAAGACAGATACACGTGTCTTCTAACTGAAATGGCTACCCTAGATATAGATTCTATATATTCTTATTCTCCTTCTCTCTCTACCTCACCCCTCTTCCACTAAATAGGTGATGTAAGTTAAATCCTTATTTATCATAGAAAATTCATAAAATGTCTAAAGCAGAAAAAATAATAGAATTAAAACCAATAAGGCTTGTCTCCTAGAAAAGAGATTTTGACTGGGCAGGGGTGGGATGGTGGACAAGTGTTTTCTGCTTTTTTGTTTTGTTTTCTGTTATAAGCTATCTATACCATTTCGTGTAAAAATTAGGCATATGTTTACTTTGATTTTTTTTAAGTAATAAAAATCGAAATAAGAATCATGGACTACACACTTGCTAAGGCAAACACCTGATTAAAATTTCAAGGGAGGTGAAGAGAAATGGAAGAATCCCTGGCTCTTTGTTCTCACTCCTGTTCCCAGACTTGGTGGTCACTCATTTTCCTTCCTACTTTCTCCATTCAGGTCCCCTGGGTCTCCTCATCTGCCATCTGATATCAAGACTCATTTAGCCTTCTCTACAACATTTGAGGCAATGGAAGAGGAAGAGAAATAACATTTATCAAGCATGCATTATGCTTACACATTTACCATTTAATTTTCCAACACCCCCATAAGGTCAATGTTAATCCCATTTTAACAAGGCCAAAAGAGCAAGGAATCAAGTTAGTATTCAAACTGATGTCCATCTGTTTTGAACACCCATGCTCTTTCTAGTATATTATGATGCCTCTTTGTTTATTCATTTAGTTGTTAGATAATTAATTTTTTTCCACTGGGGGAGAAAAGAGAGTAAATTCTGTGAGGAAGTCATATGTTTTGCTATAATGATTTTCATAGCAAGAAAGGTGACCGCTATACTATTCTGAGTGCTCTATGGGATTAAAGTGCAGTGAGGTGAGAACTCAGAAATCTCCAGCATGAGCAAGCAGCTGAGAGACCTGCCCAACAGTTCATGAGCTACTTGGTACTACTTGCTTTCAGTCTGTGAGCAGGAGGGGCTCAGAATCCATGAAACTGGAGAAAAGAAACAAAAACAGAAGAAACTTGACACATTGAAGATACAGTTCATTTATTTAGAAAACTTCAAAATCAAGAGTCAAGACTTCTATCTTCAGCATAAAACACAACTAAAATGGAGTTGCCAAAAACAAGAATAAAGTTACCAAATGGATCTGAAATCTCAATAGTGCCTTCTTAGCAAACACAGCATCAACTGCCCCAAATACTTTCCTGGGCATCCGATTTGTATTTGAGGTGGCCAGTCCCTTGACTATAGTATCCTAGCTAATTTTTCTTACGACGCTTGTTCTTTAAGAACTACTAAAAGTAATTAGTTTGATGACCTGAAAAATCACTCTTAAAATTCTCACAACATCTTGTAAAATAAAATAGCACATGAAAAGCTTTAAAACTGATAAATTCCTGATTTACAACTGTTAACCCTACGTGTTCCTTCTTCTTCTAGCAAAGTAAATAAATCTGTAGTCATGTTAGGAATATTTGTTAAACTATTACATTCTGAGAGTAGCTTTATTTTGTAGGTACTCAAACTTTCAGACAACTTGGATGAGAGTGTGGAAATTCAACTGTTAGTTGGCTGGTAAATCAACTTGCATTACCTGTAAACTTAGGTTACCGAGGAGTTTAAATATACTATCTTGTCTAACCTATCAGGCCAAGGATGCATCTTTTCTACATTTTCTTGCAGGTGATTCTTCTTACTTTTTTTTTTTTTTTTTTTTTTTTTTTGGAGACAGAGTCTCCCTTTGTCACCCAGGCTAGAGGGCAGTGGCTTGATGTCGGCTCACTGCAACCTCCACCTTGCCTCCTGGGTCCCAATTCAAGCAATTCTCCTGCCTCAGCCTCCGGAGTAGCTGGGATTACAGGCACATGCCACCATGCCCAGCTAATTTTTGTATTTTTAGTAGAGGCGAGGTTTCACCATGTTGGCCAGGCTGGTTTTGAACTCCTGACCTCGTGATCCACCTGCCTCGGCCTCCCAAAGTGCTGGGATTACAAGCATGAGCCACCACGCCCAGCCTCTTCTTACTTTTAATAGTGCCTAGAGTAGGAAGCTCAGTTCCTTATAATTATTTATAAAGGAGATCTTAGATTGAGAATGAAAGCTATGTTTATGCTGGGATCCAGGTGTGGCTGAACATGTCTTGGAGAGACTGCTTGGGTAGTCCGTTAGAAAACTGCTCACTTGAATGTCTGAGGAGCCTCCCAAGAGAAACTCATCCAAAGGGAAGAAAGTAGGAGTAAATTTGGTTCAAGGTTAGTGAAGTAAACACCTATTGTGTTGTCTCCCCATCTCATGTCTTCTCCTAGAAACATTCTTCACCCAAACGCTGCTCACACTACTTCCTAGAAATTCCATTTCCATGCTTGCGAATAAGGCAATGGGCCACATGATCTATGGCCACAGCAGATGGGACCAGGGACAGACACCTAACCCCAAATGTGCCAGTTCGATTCTCTCTCCTGGGAAATTTAAAGTAGCACCCAAAGACTCTGGTTAATATTCACTGAATAATCAGAAAGTCAATGTCAGCTGAGGCAGCCTTTCTCTAAACTGCACATAAAGAAGTAAGGAAATATGGTCTTAGAGAATGAAGCATGTAGCGAACTTCCAAGAGAGAGATCTGTAGCTCTAGAAATTGAGAGAGTTGCTGTCTTGATTCCTGATGCTATTGCAATTCCTGGTTGTAATCCTTTGTAAGAATTGAAATACCCCTGCATCTATATAATAAATTTCCCATTTGAAATACTCCTGCACCTGTACAGTAAATGTCCCATTTTCACCTTAAATTCACTGGAGATAATTTTAGTTACTTGTTTAATTCCTGGGGAGAAGGAATGAAGTGGAAGTGAAAGGAAGGAAGGGAGGGAGGGATGGTGGGAGTCAAACAACAAAAAAGGGTCATTTTGCCAAAGTATCTATAAAATATTGAGAGTAAAAGTCTGTGTAACACAGGGCAGCACAAGGTGACATGAACTTTTCCTAATTGGAGTGATTGCTAAATCACATTTAGCCCCAAGTGGACCCAACAGGCTGAGTAGTAAGAAAATCCATACTCAGAAGCTGAAGAGGATGAGTCTTTGTGGCAGTGACTTCATGGTGGGTTGTGCTTTGGATCATGAGGGTACAGTAGCATCTTTGGTGACATTAGCAGTAGTCAGCCAGAAACAGAAAATAATAGACATGGGAGCTAGTTCTCAAGGACACATGAAATACTCACTGACTTCCAGAGCATTTGGAGGAGGAAGGGTTGATGTCCCCACACATCAGAGTGGGATGTATCCATAGATATATTATTTTGTTACAGCTACATGGAACTCATTTTTAACCCTCTGGCTCATGTAGCCTGGGGTAACTTGTGATATACAGTGGGCCCTCTGTATTTGTGGAATCTGCATCCATGGATTCAACTAAGTGCGAATTGAAAAGATTTTAAAATAAAACAGTTGGTTGCATCTGTACTGAACATGTATTGGCTTTTCTTGTCATTATTCCCTAATCAATACAGTATAACAACTGTTTACATAGCATTTACATGTATCAGGTATTATAAGTAATCTATAGATGAATTCAAGTCTACGGGAAGATATTCATAGGTTATACGCAAATACAGTGCCATTTTATATCAGGGACTTGAGCATCCCCAGATTTTGCTATCTGTGGGGGTACTGGAACCAATCCCTCATGAATATTGAGTGGAAGACAGTGTGTGTGTATATCATATCTATCTATCTATTGATTGATTGAATGATCGATGGACAGATAGAGATAGAAAATTGATTGCTGGGAAGTTTCTGTTGGCTTCTAACTTCTACTGTTTTATTTATTCTGTATAATTCCAAAGGGTAGTCATATGACAGTCCTTCAAATATTTGAACACAATCATCATGCCTTCTCTAAATCTGTGATTCCACAAACTATACCACCTTTTATCTCAGAAACTTCACCATTTCCTTATCCTACCTGGGTGCCATAACTCAGGCATGTCCTGTGCATCAGAATCACCTGGGACCCTTGTTAAAAATACAAAATACATATTCTTGGTCCCATCTCCGGAGACTCTGATTTAGTAGCTCTAGGTTGGAGACCAGAAGTCTCTATTTTTAAATAGGTGATTTTTATGTCACTGATCAAGCCCTGGCATTGGTTCTGACTGCTTTACCTTCTTGGTACCTTTACTTTAAAAGTAGGCAATTAGTCATCAATTATGAGGTATCCAAAGAAGAAAACTGTACTCCATATATGACTCACCTATTAAGGCAAAAAAAAAAAAAAGAAAAAAACACTTATTTTTTCTTCACCCAGAATCTATCGATGCAACTTTGAATTACATTAGCTGTTTATCAGTCTCTGGTGAATCATTATAACTTTGTAATCATTATAACCTTATAATAAATTAAAATTCATATGTTGTTTGCACAATTTTTGGCTTCTTCATTCTGTACTTACGCAATTTTTATCTGGAATCTAAAAGTAAAAGTTTACATTTCCCTTTGAATTGATCCATAAATATCTTTTAGAATTATTAGCTGAAGCAATATATATGCATTCTCTCCAGCTTTGTATTATATAAAAATTATATAAGCATGCCTTCTATGGCTTCATATAAATCATTAATAGGAGTTTTGTATAGGTTAAAGAGCATACAATTCTGATGCTCATTAGAGAAAAGTTTGCCCAAAGGTACTGTTAGTTTCCTATTGCAGCTGAAACAAAGTACCATAGTACCATAAACTTGGTGGCTTAGCACAACACAAATTTATCTTATTTTTATTATTTTATTATTTATTATTATACTTTAAGTTTTGGGATACATGTGCAGAATGTGCAGGTTTATTACATAGGTATACAGGTGTCATCGTGCATGACAGGTGATGGGCTGCACCCATCCACCTGTCATCTACATTAGGTATTTCTCCTAATGCTATCCCTCTCCCAGCCCCCCACCCCCTGACAGGTCCCACTGTTTAATGTTCCCCTCCCTGTGTCCATGTATTCTCATTGTTCAACTCCCACTTATGAGTGAGAACATGCAATGTTTGGTTTTCTGTTGTTGTGTCAGTTTGCTGAGAATGATGGTTTTTAGCTTCATCCATGTCCTTGCAAAGGACATGAACTCATCCTTTTTTGGCTGCATAGTATTCCATGGTGTATATGTGCCACATCTTGTTTATCCAGTCTATCACTGATGGGCATTTCGGTTGGCTCCAAGTCTTTGCTATTGTGAACAGTGCTGCAACAAACATATGTGTGCATGTGTCTTTATAGTAGAATGATTTATAATCCTTTGGGTATATACCCAGTAATGGGATTGCTGGGTCAAATGGTAGTTCCGGTTCTAGATCCTTGAGGAATTGCCACACTGTCTTCCACAATGGTTGCACTAGTTTACAGTCCCACCAACAGTGTAAAAGCGTTCCTATGTCTCCACATCCTTTCCAGCATCTGCTGTTTCCTGACTTCTTAATGATCGCCATTCTAACTGGTGTGAGATGGCATCTCATTGTGGTTTTTATTTGCATTTCTCTAATCATGTGTTTGTTGGCCACATAAATGTCTTCTTTTGAAAAGTGTATGTTCATACCCTTTGCCCACTTTTTGATGGGGTTCTTTGTTTTTTTCTTGTAAATTGATTTAGGTTCTTTGTAGATTCTGGATATTAGCCCTTTGTCAGATGGGTAGATTGCAAAAATTTTCTCCCATGTTGTAGGTTGCCTGTTCACTCTGATGATAGTTTCTTTTGCTGTGCAGAAGCCCTTTAGTTTAATTAGATCCCATTTGTCAATTTTGGCTTTTGTTGCCATTGCTTTTGGTGTTTCAGTCATGAAGTCTTTGCCCATGCCTATGTCCTGAATGGTATTGCCCAGGTTTTCTTCTAGGGTTTTTATGGTTTTAGGTCTTACACTTAAGTCTTTGACCCATCTTGGGTTAATTTTTATATAAGGTGGAAGAATGGGGTCTAGTTTCAGCTTTCGGCATATGGCTAGCAAGTTTTCCCAGTACCATTTATTAAGTAGGGAATCCTTTCCCCATTGCTTGTTTTTTTCAGGTTTGTCAAAGATCGGATAGTTGTAGATGTGTGGCATTGATTCTGAGGCCTCTGTTCTGTTCCATTGGTCTACATATCCATTTTGGTACAAGTACCATGCTGTTTTGGTTACTGTAGCCTTGTAGTGTAGATTGAAATCAGGTAGCGTGATGCCTCCTGCTTTGTTCTTTTTGCTTAGGATCGTCTTGGCTATGCAGGCTCTTTTTGGCTCCATGTGAAATTTGAAGTAGTTTTTTCTAATTCTGTGAGGAAAGTCAATGGTAGCTTTTTGGGGATAGCATTTTATCTGTAAATTACTTTGGGCAGTATGGCCATTTTCACGATATCGATTCTTCCTATCCATGAGCGTGCAATGTTTTTCCATTTGTTTGTGTCCTCTCTGATTTCCTCGAGCAGTGGTTTGTAGTTCTCCTTAAAGAGGTCCTCCACATCTTTTGTAAGTTGTATTCCTAGGTATTTTATTCTGTTTGTAGGAATTGTGAATGGGAGTTCATTCATGATTTGGCTCTCTGTCTATTATTGGTGTATATGAATTCTTGTGATTTTTGCACATTGATTTTTGTACCGTGAGACTTTGCTGAAATTGTTTATCAGCTTACGGAGATTTTGGGCAGAGACAGTGGGGTTTTCTAAATATAGAAAACTCTTTTGCATTTGCTAAGGAGTGTTTTACTTCCAATTATGTGGTCAGTTTTAGAGTAAATGTGATGTGATGCTGAGAAGAATGTATATTCTGTTGATTTGGGGTGGAGAGTTCTGTAGATGTCTATTAGGTCTGCTTGGTCCAGCACTGAGTTCAAGTCCTGGATATCCTTGTTAATTTTCTGTCTCATTGTTCTGTCTAATATCGACAGTGGGGTGTTAGTCTCCCACTATTATTGTGTGGGAGACTCTTTGTAGGTCTCTAAGAACTTGCTTTATGAATCTGGGTGCTCCTGTATTGGGTGTATATATATTTAGGATAGTTAGCTCTTCTTCTTGCATTGATCCCTTTACCATTATGTAATGTCCTTCTTTGTCTTTTTTGATCTTTGTTGGTTTAAAGTCTATTTTATCTGAGATTAGGATTGCAACTCTGCTTTTTTTTTTTTCTGTCCATTTGCTTGGTAAATATTCCTCCATCCCTTTATTTTGAGCCTATGTGTGTCTTTGCATGTGAGATGGGTCTCCTGAATACAGCACACCGATGGGTCTTGACTCTATCCAATTTGCCAGTGTGTGTCTTTTAACTGGGGCATGTAGCCCATTTACATTTAAGGTCAATATTGTTATGTGTGAATTTGATCCTGTCATTATGATGCTAGCTGATTATTTTGCCTGTTAGTTGATGCAGTTTCTTCATAGTGTCGATGGTCTTTAAATTTGTTATGTTTTTGCAGTGGCTGGTACCGGTTTTCCCTTTCCATGTTTAGTGCTTCCTTCAGGAGGTCTTGTAAAGCAGACCTGGTGATGACAAAAATCTATCAGCATTTGCTTGTCTGTAAAGGATTTTATTTGTCCTTCACTATGAAGCTTAGTTTGGCTGGATACAAAATTCTGGGCTGATAATTCTTTTCCTTAAGATTGTTGAATATTGTCCCCCACTCTCTTCTGGCTTGTAGGGTTTCTGCAGAGAGATCCACTGTTAGTCTGATGGGCTTCCCTTTGTGGGTAACCCGACCTTTCTCTCTGGTTTCCCTTACCAATTTTTCCTTCATTTCAACCTTGGTGAATCTGACGATTATGTGTCTTGGGGTTGCTCTTCTTGAGGAGCGTCTTTGAAATTTATCTTATTATTCTGGAGATCAGAAGTTAAAAATGCATCTCACCGAGGCTAAAATAAAAGTGTTGGCAAGGCTACATTCTTTCTGGATGGTTAAGAGATATTCAAGTTTTCTTGTCTTTTCCAGCTGCTTGGATTCCTTGGCTTGTGGCCTCTTCCATTTTCAAGGCCAGCAATGGAATCATTATGCTATCTCTGTGGTTCTGATTCTTCTTCTTCCCTCTTCCTTATTTAAAGAACCTTGTGATTACATTGGGTCTGGGATAGTCAAGGATAACCTGCTTCAAAGTCCATCTGCAGCCTTAACTCCCCTCTTGCTGTGTAACATAACGTATTCATAAGTTCTGGTGATTAGGATGAGGACATCTTTTGGTATTCTGCCTACCACAGGCATCAATAACAATAGTTCCCTGAAGGTCTTAAACTTTTCTGATTGCAAAACCGATTCCCATATATTGACTTGTTTGATGCTTATTCATCCCCATGTGCTAACAAAGTCAGCTGTTATTAGATCCACTTTAGAATCCAAAGTGCAGAAAGAACATGTAACCTCCCTTAGGGTAAAAGGTTACTAAGTGATGGAGTTAGGAAAAGAACCCAGGTGTTTTATTGCTGTCCCAGTGATTTTTCATAAGCATTTAAACAGCTATGAATCCACCTAATGTCTTATGATCTGACATTTCCCATGTCGGTCACAAGAACATCATGAACGGTATCGTCAAATACACTTTCTCTCTGTCACTCTTCTGGTCTGCAGGTCAAGTAACTTATCAAAAAGGGAAATAAACTTTAATTTTTCAACATGCCCTTAGGGAATTCATGTTACCTCCTTGTGACAGCAGCTTTCTCTTTTTTACTTTTTGAAGAATATAAAAACAACTAAAAAGCCAGTCTTGGATGTTTTTAGAGCTTGACAACTAACCTATTGGCTGTCGATTCTGCAATGCACCTTTTATGCATTTGGATGATATTCTCTTCAGAATTCCTCAACCCACCTAGAAGCTGAATCCTCCTTACCATTGTGTGATGGAGGTGAGATGTAACTGTTTCAGGAGGCTTAAAATCACCAAGTTTCAAATCTATTGTCTATCTCTAAAAATGCCATCTCTCCTCTCCTTCAGTTTCTTCTCCGTGTCACTATTTTTCACTTGCTAACTCGTTGATACCAATTTTAATTCTCTTCTGCCTCTTGAAAAACTCCCCCTTACTGGCTTCCTTTCTGTATGATTTCTTCCAACCTATCCTGGAAACCTTCAGCCTATTTAATAAGCTCCTCCATGGAGACACATACTTAAAGTGCTTTCTTTTCTCATCAAGCGAAGAGACCAGATTGCATTCACAGCAAGCAAAATTGTGTGCTCGAGAGCCCCAGGTAGGAAGACACAAACAGCTGCAGCTGCTGCAACAATATTATTGTTTTGCATATTGAGGACACTGGGCTAGGTAGGTTGTATTATCCCCATTTTGTAGCGTTTTCTACTTTTGGCCACCACCCCTTTCCAAACTCCTTTGTTTTTCTCAGTAATCTGGTTCAGCTTCTCCAGAGGAGGAATCGGTCTTTTGAGTCTCTCTTTTCAATTTCCCTCTTTCCCCTGCTGCCCCTAAATGTGAGCACCTCCCAGGGCCCTACCGTCTTCTTTTTGTGTGGTCCTTCTCCAAGATCTTGTCTCTTCTCATGATTTCAAATATATCCCATGTGCAGATAATTCACCATATATATATCTCTCAGTCTAACCTTTCTCCTTTGAGCTTGTCCTGAACATCTTACTCTCTGAAACTTTCCACTCTTGACTGGATCTTAATGTACTTAAGATGGAAAATTTTACCAGCCTAGGATTATTTCTCCTGAATTGAATGTTTCAAAATTTCATCAGAGCTACCCATTTAACATCTCTGTTTCTCCTTTTTCCTCTCTACCTGTAATAATTTCTCCCCAAATATTATAGTGATTACTTCTTCCTTTACTGACATAGTGCCTGCTCCATTTGATCATTTCCCCTGCTATCATCCTAGCTCAAAAACTTATTATATGCTGCATGATTGCAATAATCTAACTCAGTGATTCTCAACCCTGGTTGCACATTAGAATCACCTGGGGGAGCTTTAAAAACATATCTGGTCCCCACCTCAGAGATTCTGATTAAATTGGGCACAGATGGGACCCTGACACTGGCATTTTTTTAAACTCCCCAGGTGATTCTAATATGCAGCTAGGCTTGAGAACCACTCAGCAAACCTTCCATTTATCCTCATCTTTAATCCCTTTTGCCTATTAGAATATGACTCTAAAGGATTTCTTCTTCATACACTCACCCATTTAAAACCTTTAGTTCATTAACACCTCTATGATAATTTTCAAACTCATTAGCTTAGCTTCCTGCACTCTGAGTAAGTGACCCCAACTCACCCTACTAGCATGAATGGATGAGCCACTCTATCTCATCTCCCGAATCTGCCTTGCTATTTCCCACCTTTGTGCATTGTTGACTGTCTTTCCCCATACCCATTTCTGCCTACTGAGAATATGTTCAGCATTTCTATGTCCAACCCAATGCCTTTCTCTATTCAGCAACCTGACCCCACCCTTCCCTAAAATCCAATTCCTTTGCAGTTTGCAATGGACTCCAAGCACTTTTCACATAGCCTGTTGGTTGAAGGATCAGGCTTTTGCATTAGAAGCAACAGGTTCAAATCCTAGCTTCTTTGCTTCTTGCTATGTGACTTTGGGGTATCCTGGAATTTCTCTGATCTTTGTTTCTACAGCTGTTAAATGAGTGTGATAGTAGTCCCCACCTCCTAAAGTTGCCTAAGGAGTAGATTAAGTAAAATCATATATGGAAAATGTCTAGCACATAAGAGGTGCTAGATAAATGTTAGCTACTTTGTTATTTTTGTTATTTTTTTTTGTAAACATGTACCTCTAGCCCCAAATAGATTGTACTACATTGAAGTATAAGACAGTGTTACAAAACCTCTTATCTTCACGACGTCTAGTGCTGTTCCTTGAACATAGTAAGCGCTCCACATACTCTCTTAATGAGTAACTTGATAAATCCAAATATATCAAATGAAATTCAAGTGACTGTGACCTCTAGCCTGCCTGTATTGCCCTTTGGTGGTAAATGGACTTAATAGAAAACTTTGATTAAAAGCTTATCTTTTTTTAGCATAGCCTTAGAAAGAGATGAAAATGCGCCTTGAAGCCTTTTAAAATGTTTATGATTTCCTGGGTCCGGTTCTAATGTCAGTCTTTAAGCGTCTCCAAATCTCCTGAGATTCTGCTAAATGTATTTGGTCCATCCCTCCAAAAATGAATGTTTATATAATCTTAACAAAAATGGACCAGCAACACAAGGTGAAATTAATTCTTTTGAATCCAATTTTCTTATTTTTATTCATTGGCCAGGACAGCCTTGGTAAGTAGTGCATTTCTTGTTTGACTATATCTATGATTAAACTTTGTCTGTGCAGACATATTTCCAAAGGGATTACATGAAGAATACTCAGGGTTTGAATTCAGACATTCCAGAGATCATCATGCCAACTTCATATTTCATGAGGTTTTAAGTCATAGAGAGGCCAGTTTAAGATATTTCTCTTTTCCTGCTTGTTCTTTTAGGATTTTCTCTTCTTATGCAATTTTCTCCTAATCCATACTAAAAAAGCTAATTCTGAAAGGTTAATCCGGAATCAATTTGCCTTTTAAGGAAATATACATTATAACAATTGACAGAAAAATTCTGCTCAAATGCCAAGAGCAATCGAATCTTATACACACCAACACCCCCAACACACACACACATGCACGCACACACTGTTTTGAATTAAACTGTGTCGCCTCAATTCATATGTTAAGGTTCTAACCCCCAGTATGATTGTGTTTGGAGATAGGGTCTTTAAGAAAGTAATTAAGATTAAATGAAGTCAAAAAGATTGAACTCTAATTTGATAGGACTGGTGTCCTTATCATAAGAGGAAGAGACACCAGAGATCTCTCTTTCTACACATGCCAGGGTAAGGCCCGTGAGAGGACATAGCGAGACAGGAAGGAGGCCTCACAGAACCACCCCTGACAGCACCTTGATCTTCGACTTCCAGGCTCCAGAACTGTAAGAAAATCAATTTCTGTTTTTTAGGCTATCCAGTCTGTAGTACTGTGTTATGTCAAGCAGGCTAATATACACACTCACACCCACAACCCACCCCACCCCCCTCACCACACACATAACAAATGCAAACATTTTAAAACTTTATTTACTGGAAGGAAAATACTGATTTTCTTCTTCTTCCTCTCTATTCCTAGTCAGTCATTACTATTGGTCCTCTCCTAGCCTTCTTGACTCTCTCTCTATTGCCCTAAGATTTTACCATTGGTCACAGTAAACTTAAGCAATTCCATATGAACTATTTTCTTGGCTGAGCATGGTAGCTCACACCTGTAATCCCAGCAGTTTGGGAGGCCAAGGTGGGCAAATCACCTGAGGTCGGGAGTTCAAGACCAGCCTGACCAACATGGAGAAACCCTGTCTCTACTAAAAGTACTAAATTAGCCGGGCGTGGTGGTGCATGCCTGTAATCCCAGCTACTTGGGAGGCTGAGGCAGGAGAATCACTTGAACCCAGGAGGCGGAGTTTGCAGTGAGCTAAGATCATGCCACTGCACTCCAGCCTGGCAACAGAGTGAGACTCCATCTCAAAAAAAATATATATATATATATATTTATTTTTTCTTATTAAACCTAGAGTACAATGACGACTTGGCTATCTAAACCCTGGGGAAAGTTCTTCTGAAACACCACATTTTTCTAGACAATTCACTGTCAACCCTATAAGTACTGGCTTGTTATCATCCTTGGAGGAATTCTTATATTTTAAAATCTTTCTAAAAACACTAACACTTTCATACCATCTTAAACATTAGATGAAACTTTTCATTTCTGTCTCTTGTTTGTTCTGGGTTATCATTAAAAAGTGCTGATAATAAAGCTATAGATACATACAGAGGCAGATGTTGGAATTTCAATAATAAACCCTTATGCAGTACTTACATGTCGGTGAATGTTTTAATCCATTTACATATATTAAGCCATTTCATCCTCAGAACCACAGATATAAAGTAGGTATTGTCCTAATGTGCAAACAAGGAGACTGAAGCACAGAGAGGTCCTTAGAATTGGCAAAGGAAGAAGTTGGGCTTTAAAATGAGGCTGAGATGGCTATAGAGCCACAGACTTAACCACTATTTCTTTCCTCTGCTGAAGACTGAGACATGAAGCTTAAAGGGGCCAAACACCTGACGCCCTATTGTCTAGTTTCTTGACAAATTCTTTGACGTCAGCTCTTTATACCATTGACTCCTTTTCGTAAATATCACATAGTGCTTCTGCAGGAGCATCAGCTTATGTGCAGTGTAATGGAGCCAGGTGTCTGCAGAAGACATGAGTGTTTCAAAAGCTGGAGCACGTTTCTTCTAGGTGGGGTTCACAGCCTCTGAAATATCATTGTCTTCTGAATTTTGATATGGATTCTCTGATCTGTGAGAATAATGTAAAGCATTATCTAATGCAGCATCCTGATATGCTGGCTCACACTGGAGTGCTAGAGTGGAGCTATCAGAACTTTAGTGAGGTCATACTGTCTAGCATCCAGACCGTGGTTTCTAATACCATTCTCCAATAAAAGGAGTTGGGATTCTGTGAAGAAATTGCTAAGTCTAGGACTGGGGCAGGACATATATAAGATAAGCCTGAATCATTTTATAGTGTCAGAGTGTAAGAATGTGCTAAAAAGAAAACACACACACACACACACACACACAACTGTGGGGATATGCCAAAGAGAACAGGAGCCGATTAAAGAGCTACCAATGGTCAAAGCTGCAAAAATCTGAGCAACAAAACAAATAAAGTAATATTCAATTACAACCCAAAGTATAAAATAAATATAACAAATAAATAAGAGTCCATATTTATTTATTTAAAATAAATAATTGAATGAATGAAAAAATAAATAGGGGAGTAGAGACATTTGCTATGCAGAAAAATTTCAAATAAATTATGGAAATATTTCACTCTCCGCTGTTTATGGATTGTGCATAGTGTCTTTCTTTCAAACAGTACTATATAAAAGAAAGAAAACTTTAAAAAAATAACTTTACAGTGGAGAAAGCTGAAAACTGCCACCTCAGCCAGGCGATCAAGTCAACATGAACAGTGATCAGTCATATAAATATATCTCCCGTGGATGTAATGTGATGAGACTGGCCTCTGGATCTTCTTTCCAAAAGCATATTACCCTATTACCCCATTCTGATAATGACAAAAACAAACAGATCCTAGTTGAGGGACATTCTACAAAGTCCCTAACCAGTAATCCTCAAAGCTGTCAAGGTCACCAGAAAAAAAAAAAAAAGTCTGAGAAACTGTCACAGCCAAGAGCCTAAGGAAACATGAAGACTAAATTTAATCCTGGATGAGATCTTGGAACAGAAAATTGACATTATGTAAAAACTCAGAAATTCTGAATAAAGCATGGACTTTAGGTAATAATAGTATATCAGTATTGGTTCAATGACAAATGTACCATGTTAATGTAAGATAACAGGGGACACTGGATGTGAGGTACAAATGAACTCTCTGTACTATCTTTGCAATAGTTCTATAAATCTAAATCTATTCTAAAATAAAAAAGTTTATTTTAAAAAATAGTTCCTGCAGTACAGCTACTGCCCAGGCAATGTTGGCTACAGATGCAGTTGCACGATCACCCACGCTTCAGCTAGCAGCTCCTTGGATTCGGATGTACCAGCCTTTTCACACTCCTCTTATTTACCCTCCTGTTGGCATGCTATGACCTGGATATACCCTGCCCTTAAAGTCCCTGGGACCATTGACTCATACTTTGTGTTTTGCTAGCTATTTTGTCCTCAACATGAATGATGTAAGTAGTTATTTAGATCCAATAACATTCATATTTCCTATAAATAACACCTGCATTATTCTTTATTGAGGGCTCTGATATCACAACACCTTCACTTCTGCTCAAGCAAGATATCACACATGCAAATTCTTATTAATTTTCACTTGTTAATGCATAAAGATTATGTGTAACACATCTTTCACTGGCTATTCAGCTTGCAGATTCCACATCATTTCCAAGCATTTGAGCTCCAGGATTATTTATTACAAAGCACACATAGGTTTCCTCACCTGGGTTACTCCTAGTCCTCCAAAAGAGATGCCAATTTTGGGTTAAACATACAGAGATTTTATTACCAAAGCGAAAGTAAATAGGGAGAAGTCAGAAAAGGGCTGGAGAGCCATTAGACTGTGAGGTAAGTCTGACCCCAAGCGAAGGAGAGAAAGAAGAAACTTTGGGTGAAAGTGTCCTAGATCACTATGCAGACTAAGAATGGTTGTGCAAGGCCAATAGAGACTCCTCAAACCAAGGCTGACCATCAGAAGAGTCTTGTGTCTTTCAGAACAGGCCTGCCTTGGTATTCTTTCTGCACTCAATCATTAACTGGGAGCAGCAGTAGGAAGCAAGACCTCTGCACACAGCAGCTGGAGTCCCAGAAGTCAGTTATGCTTACTGTAGTTGGAAATTGGAGCGTCTCATTCTCATAGCTACCACATAAAGGGAAAGGAGACGCTGTGCAAATGATATTATCTACAATTTCTACCCAGTTTGTCTTCATGTTTGACTCAGAAGAGGATTTGAGGCACAAACAGCATGAGATAGTGCATATTTTGTATTGTAGCGAAATTTAAAGTATCTGCAAATTGTATTCCCAGCAAAAACATTCAAATTATGAATGATGTCTTTATTCATAGGTAGATTCCAGGCGGTAATAATAGTGGGAAGGTACTATGAGAAAATAACAGTGGGAAGAAGTTAGTAATAACCTTGTTATCCTTGAGTAAGCCCATACCTTTTAGGTGCAAACATATGGTAGAACCAGTTTATTTTTACAAAGTGGTCCGGTAGGTCTTAGCTTGTACCCTAAAATCTATGTGTAACATCAATAAAACCACTTAGAATGATGACATATGTCACTTCCCAATTACTTTAATTTATAAAAGAATATAATATTTGCACATGTAAGAATGGCCAGCATGTCATTATTCTGCTTGAAACAAGAGTGACTTTATTTGTTAGCACCTAACTAGGAGTGAAGCAGTCAAGCATCATCTAATTACACCAAGGCAATCTATCAGCACAAAACTGGTCAGAAACTCATTCATTCTCAAAAATGCATTTCATAAAGCAGAAATTATTAACTGTTTACTAAAATTCTATCTATTAGGTTGGTGTAAATGTAATTGCAGTTTTTGTCATTACTTTAAATCTTTTCAGTTTTTGTCTTACTCAGCCTTTAGTTATTACAACTTTTTACTGCTCTGGTTCAGTTTTCAATGCCAGGACTAACCTTTCAAAAATCAGAAAAGAGATTTGGCCCCTTTGAAAAGCATTGGATCATGAAAAGGAGTGTCCATATAACTTTTTTTTTTCCTGATAACTACTCAGATAATGGACAGCATTCTAATTTAGGCATATTCACTAAGAGGTGCAGACCCACAGTTTTCCATGATACCAAATCCACAAAAATGTTTGATAGCTTCTGATCATTGTTTCTTTGTCCTAATATCATTCAAATCAAATTACTCTATCTTGATTCTGCCAGACTCAGTAATGTGACACAGAGAAGGGTACTCACAAGTTATGAGGTTGGCAATAGATAATGTATTAACAACAAAAAGTGCATAGGTTATGATTTACTTTTCCAAATACAAAAGCAAATTAGATTCATGATCATTTTTATATAATCCATCATTATGCTATCATATTCGAGAGGAGGGACAGCAAACTGCCTTTGCTTACTATTAGTAATAGTAATTTACTAATAGTAAAACTAATAGTAAGAAAGCTTACTATTAGCAAATCAAGCACACCCTGATAAGGCAGGGGAATGTTATAAAATCTCTTGCTTTGGGTCCTATCTTCTAATTTATGGAGAGTCTACAATGTAGTGCATTTTGTCCCTGCTCACCTACTCAGTAGGCATAGATGTTTCACTCTGGATTTTGTGGGCCCACAGCCCCCATTCACATGGCTACCCCTCTCATAATCACTATAGCCAAGAGCCCTTCACTTTGCATAGTTCTCTGTTCTCTTCTTGCCATATCCCCACAAACACTCAGATTTTTGTATTCCTTTATTCTCCCCTGCAACAAGCATGGATCATCAGACATGTCCTTGTACATACTTTCATTGAAGGTGTGTGTGTATGTGTGTGACAGAGGCTGGGTGGGTAGCAGATCGGATCTTTGTGTAGAGCAAGCATTCCACATTCTCAACATAGGCCTTCTCTATATTATGCTTAAAGAGTCTCTGAGTCTTACTCAGCCTTGAGTTGCTTTATCAAATGCTGCCTGTGTTCCTCCTAGCTGTAATAAGTGCTGCCCCACAAGAGGAGAGAATTCTTCCTGCTGTGTTGATACTAACATTACTATTCCGTGCATTCTAACATGCTTTTTGAAGAAGTAAGAAGGAAGTGGTGGCAGGGCCCCAGAATCATCTATCGTGTATATCACAGAGAGAAAAGTTTCAGAACTCATATTCTAGGTCCCTATATTGGGATGCAAATCGTTCCTCCTTACATACAGAGTGGAACTGACCTATGCTTTAAAGGACTCCAGTACTGAGACAGGGCACCTCATTCTTCCTTTGCGCCGCACAATTCTTTCATCTTCTCTTCATCTCTGGCTCTTTGCTTCTGTACCCACAGAGACCTCATGCACTGCACAATGTCCTCGTCGCTGAATATAATTTCTGTGCGATATCTGCACTGACTGTAGCCCCTAATGTTGCGTCGGTTTCTCTTGCAGAAGTTGTCTGTTTGCCTTGATCTAATTTTCTACAACTCCTGGGTTTCACAGTCACCATACTGCAATCAGAGTACTCCTTTTTTTCTGCAGGCAACACCCTCCAATCAGAGCGCCCCTTTGTTCTGCATGGCTGACTGATCCCACAACCGTGCCGCTGGATCTCTGTCTTTCCTGGCTTTGTTTTCTGCTGAGAAAGGATTGATTTTCTTGGCCACCCAACATTTTCCTTCAAGCTGCTTCTATATCTGTAACAATTCCAAAAGCTTTGGGGTTATTTTTAATCTCCCTTTCTAGACCTTCCTTTCTGTCTAAAAACTCAGAAATGCTCAAAAGTTCAGATACTGCAGTTAGGTATAATAATGCTGCCTGAGATGGGAGCTATTAAGTCTTTATTGGCCATTGACGGTTATATCCTTGAGGAGCATGTCGTACTAGCCTGGGCAAAGAACAGAACACAGAGGAAATCAGACACAGGACAGGATTTTTAGGAGAAATGGGTGGTTGTCAATACTCAAAAAAATTGTTAATTAATGAATAAATAGGCTGTGGGAAGTGTTTTACAGTCATATGAAATTGACTAAGAATTATAATATCTCTATCAGAAGTTTGCAAGTTACAAAATAGTCATAAGCTCCTTTATTATATAGTGACTGCAAATACAACTCTAAAGATATATAACTACAAGTACCCTTAGTCTAAGAACAAATCATGTTTCAGTACCATTGGCTGATGATTATGTACCTTGAAGGCTAACAAGATTGTCAAAACAGGCTAAGATATAATTTTAGACAAATTGTGTATTTATTTAGCCATCTGTCTTTGTATCTTCCAGCCTTCATTTTTCTTACTATCATGGACTTGAGAAATGACCCCTGAGGTCCCTTCAGATTTTAAGATGTTGTGATTCTAGGAAACGTTTTTATCAGGGCTGCCTCACAAGTTGCAAAGATCATTAGTTACTGAACAAATAGAAGAATGATCTGATCTGAGTATAACCTCTACTCTCTGCCCCAGATCAGCCCTCAATAGATGGGCTGGAGAGTAGTGAATGGCCAAAAGGAAACCATCAGGAAATAACGGAAAAAAAGCAACCAGACATTCATCAAGAGTAAAATTGGGGCCAGGTGCTGTGGCTGACACCTGTAATCCCAGCACTTTGGGAGGCTGAGGCAGGCAGATCACCTAAGGTCAGGAGTTTGAGACCAGCCTGGCCAACATGGTGAAACCCCGTCTCTACTAAAAATACAAAAGTTAGCCAAGCATGGTGGTGGATGCCTGTAATCCCAGCTACTCGGGAGGCTGAAGCAGGAGAATCACTTGAACCCAGGAGGCAGTGGTTGCAGTGAGCCGAGATGGCACCACTGCACTCTAGTCTGGGCAATAGAGCAAGACTCCACCTTACCCTCCCCCAAAAAAAGAGTAAAATTGGGTCCACCAGTAGTATTTTCAAGGCCTGGGAAAAGAATAGAAATAAAACCACACAGCCTGACCCCACGTTTCTTCCACCCTGCTCTACTCTTCACTGTGCACCTGTGCACCCTCCACCCTGTTCTGTCCTACACTGTGAATGGCCTTTTGCGTGTATGTATAGGCATTCTAACTGGAATTTCCAAGCTCTGCCTGCCATCACACCTACGCCCTCTACCCACCCCTCTCCTTGGTTACCCCTCATGCCTAGGCTTTTGCATGCCAGCAGCATTGTCTACCCTAAGGAAGAGAAACCTGATGAAGAAAGTGCAGCTAGCAAGAGGACCTCAAATGCTGAAGCCATGTAGACAGGGAACTCCAAGGTCTCAGGTTCTCACAGTGTAGGCTAAAAGGAGAGGCTAGAACTCTGGTAGGCATTTCCTCTTTGCTCCTGGACTCCTTGCCCCAAGGTGAGAAATGTGACTAGAGGAAAGCCAGAGAAGGGCTCTCCAAAACACAAGCCCAGGGTGGGGTCCTTTCTTGCCCAGGCTTTAGGTTGTGTCAGCTATATTCATACTTGCAATAGAAATGTGGGAATGTAACTGTTCAAACATTGTCCTCCTTACACCATGTATTCAAAAACATAACAAAGGTGACAAACATCAGGCATCTGAAAAACTCTAATAAAAGATAATGTAGAATTTTCTCACCCTAAAGCTAGAGTAGTGGGAATGGTTAGCCAACATGAGTAATTATTGCTAAACCATTTATAGATTGACTTGGGAATATCTTTAGATAGCTATATACTGTTACACTGGATTCTAGCTCCATCTGAGTGTAGAATCACCTTATTTGAAATTAAATTGTATGGTCAAACAATAAAAATCTCCCTTTGGAACAAGAGGGCAATAACCCAAATCTCCATAGTGTGTCCCTCAGTTTAAATTTCTTGTGGCTTCTAGCTCTTCTCTTTCTGAGAAGGGAGAGGCAAGATTATGTATGAATTCTTCTCTAATGCTATGATTCTCAGATTTAAATTTAACTAACAGTCTAGTAGCATTTGCTATTTGTGTCATGCCAGACCATTTCATGTACATCTTGTCAATTTAACCATATCTGTGAAATATCGTTAGCCCCACTTTAAGGTGAGAAAATGAAGATTTGGAAAAGTAAAATGACTTGGTATAGATCTCATGACTGTGAATACACAGGTGATTCTTGAACACAGATCTTTTATCTGCAGGTCCAGAGGTCTCCCCACTATAGCAGGGTGGTCTCCTGAGGTCATCCTTGATATCACCGCCTAAAACGGACAGAGTGAGGGCTTTAAGAATGAGGATTTTATTCATAAATGTATCACCAGTACCTAGAACAGGGCCTGGAACATTGTCAATGGTTCAAAACCATAACTAGTTAAATGAACAAACAAATAGAGGACTATCTACCCATCCACTAAATAGAAGTAATGAAATATTTTGACTTAAACACTTTCTTTCTAAATATATCCTTATTTTCTATAACATTCTGGGTGACAATCAACACAAATCCTGGCTTTGTGGAATGAGTTCCTCTCCTGCCTTGAGTATCTGTCGTTTAAGTTAATTTTTTTAAAGGACATTTTCTCCCAACATTCCCCCATCAATATCCATTACATGCTGCTTTTGCCAGTCTTTTTCTGGCTTAACAGTGTCAGGCATTAATGCATCTATCTACAAGGGAAAACACTATTAATCTAAAAAAATTATAGCATCTCTGCCATGCCATAAATCCAAATTTTATCAAGAATCATCAGCTGCTCTTCTGTTTCTTTCATACCTACTTGAATTTCTTTCATAGGCTTATAGCTTTGGAATAACTCTTCACGATAATCTAGGCCATTTTTCCCCCAAATTGGTACATGTGCTAATCATGGTACTTGAGATGACTTTTAGGTGGTGTATAAGTAATGAGTACTTCTTTTCTAATAATTATATATTTCCTAATAATTATACTTTTCCCTTTTCATTTTCCTTTAATGAAAACCTGAAATGTTATGAATATTATTGTTTAGGTTGTTAGGACCAGGCTATCATAGGAAATACTCATCGCCATGTAAATGATTTATTAACTTAAATATTTAAATATAAATGTTGGATAAAAATAATATATATGGTTCTTAGATATGGCAAAAACCAGGAAGGGAATGACTAAAGTTTGGAGAATAATTTTCTAGTCCACCCACATCATTTTTTGGCTAAGGCACAGGGTGACATCACTTGCCCAAGGCCCCAGGGTTAATTAGTAAAAAAACGAGGACTAGACTCTAAGTCTCCAGATTCCAGGTAACTTGTTTATGTCAGTAATGCCCCACTTTTAGAACTGGAGCACCATTAGCCTGCTGTTATATGATTCCTATTGTGAATAAATTTTTATACACCTCTGACAAATGCATAAGATTCTAACTTTTGTAATTGAAGCTTCAAAGACAGAAAAGCCCTCTGGCTGTTTCAGAGTAAAAAGCACTCTTAGATATAATTACAATCTGTGTTTTATAATGCACTTTTCATTACGGGACTTGAATGGACTCTGAAAAATTGATCTGATGACTGGTATTATCCTTGTTTTATACACTGCGAAACAATGGCCCAGACAGATTAAGTGAGTTGTCCAGGGTCAGCCAGGATGTCAGTCACTGAGAAAGAGACAGAAGTAATCTCTAATCCCAACCTCACCTTTGCCTTCAGTTCCTAATCCCTTACCAGATTTGGAATTAGAAGGATCTAGTCTAAGAGTTCCACTTTGAACCTTTCCAAAGTGCCTGTGGTGGGTGTCCATTTTCAGGCTTCCTAGTTTAATAGCCTTGTTTGATTTTATTAATTGAGCATATAACTGGGTTTAAATCTTTTGCTTATTGTTCTCTTTGGTTGTTTTGAGATTATTTCTGTATGTCTAGAGTTCTTTGTCCTACCTATTCCTACACAGATGAGGAAATAGCTATCATTATGGCCAAATAAGATAAGACACACCCTGAGATATTTATACTCTACCTACTCAGAATCCCTAACTCAACCACCTGACTAGCTCCTGGACAAAAGAAACCAATAATTTATTGCTTGAGTCATTTATTTCCTACTTTTGCACAGTGGATCATACAGAACGTGTGGCCTTTGGTTGACCACAGGAGGTCAGGTCCTATTGATCTGATGTCCTTCAAATGCCCTCTAGTGGTCGAAGGCCCACATGGGCTTCACTTTCCCTCACGTGAGACACCACAGGCTCTGAATAAGTAGAATAGCTGTCCATTGAAAACTTGCATCTAGAGGATCCATGTGTATCCCAAAGAATTCAGTCCTCTCTTCTCCCTTGGCCCATTAAGCTACCTCCCAATAGCAGATACAGGGCATAGTAGTCGCTGCTCTGTAGCCTTCAGAATAGCTGCTTTTGAACACCAGCTCTATGGTACACACAGTTATGAGTGCACTGTATACATAATCTTTGTATTAGTTTCCTAGGGTGGTAGTGACAAGTACCACAAGCTGAGTAGCTCAGCAACAAGAGAAACTTAGTCTCTTACAGTTCTGGAGACCAAAAGTTCAAAATCAAGGTGTTGCCAGGTCCGTGTTCTCTCTGTTCGCCCTAGGAGAGGATCCTTCCTTGCCTCTTCTAGCTTCTGCTGGGTGCAGGAATTCCATTCCTTGACCTGTGGCAGCATAACTCCAATTGCTGCCTTCGTCCTCACACTTGCCTTCCCTCTGTGTCTGCGTCCTCCTCACATGATAGTCTCCTCTGTGTGTATGTCTGTGTCCAAATTTCCCTCTTACGAGGATACCAGTAGTATTGGATTAGGCCCACCCTAATGACCTCATCTTAGCTTAATTCCATCTACAAACACCCTATTTCCAAGTAAGGTCATATTCACTATGACTGGGGATTAGGACTTATTTCTGAGGGAGGTATAATTCAATTCATAAAAATCCTTTGAGGTAGCTACTTTTGTCCTCATTCCAGATGAAGAAATTGAGGCATGGAAAGGATTCACCTTTTGCCCCTAAGTAAAATGGCTGAAATGGTGTTGCAGTGCCGTCGAGTTCAAAGGCCAAGTCTACCCCATTGCCCTTTACAACTAGGAAAATAACTTAGTAGCTATCGGGGGCCTGGTAACAAGGGGTGCTATTCTGACATCTAGTGAGGAAACTTCAAGGACTAGAAAGAACATTCATGTGATACAAAATTACAGACAAAATACTGAGTGCTAACTTTCATTGCATTCTCACCAAGTGCCAGGCACTGTTTTTAGTCATTCCCATTTAAGTCCTTTAACTTCTACAGTGACACTGACAAATGTACTTTTTTTTTTTTTTAATTACACTGTCTCTATTGCCCAGGCTGGAGTGCAGTGGCGTGATCTCGGCTCACCGCAACCTCTGCCTCCCAAGTTCAAGAGATTCGCCTCCCAAGTAGCTGGGATTACAGGCGTGTGCCACCAGTCCCAGCTAATTTTTGTATTTTCAGTAGAGGCGGGGGTTTTGCCATGTTGGCCAGGCTGGTCTCAAACTCCTGACCTCAGGTGATCCGCCCACCTCGGCCTCTCAAAGTGCTGGGATTACACATGTGAGCCACCGTACCCAGCCACAGATATACTCTTATTATACTCATTTTACAAATGAGAAAACTGAGGCAGAAGAGTTATATAAAATGCCCCAGACCATGCTGCTTGTCAGTGGCTGAGCCAGGATTCAGCCCCAGGCAGTCTGATCCCAGAGTCTATTGTAATGCCTGGATGGGGGTTTCTTGACATTCTCTTCCTCAGTCCTCTAAAATAATTGTTTCATATGTATTAGTGCTGTCTCCTTTTCCAAAATGTAAGCCTAAAATATAATCTTGTAGAGAGCAGAACTGATAGCTTCTATTACTTTGTACCCTTCACAACTTTGGGTGCAGTGCCGGTCCTACCTGTAGCTTTTGGAAGAAACTTAACTCTGTGGTTCAAGCAGGGCCACCTCGGCGCTGTTAAAGTGGATTAGGCGAATGCTGGACCTCAGCTGAGTGTCCTGCTAAGAGGTCCTTCGCCCTTCATAACCCACCAGTGAAGCTTCCTATACACCTTAGAAACAAGTGCAAACCCCAGAGTGGAAGAAAGTCACGGTAATGCCCCTTTAAGGTTTGGTTAAACTTGACACGTGTGAGCAAATCTGCCTCTGGGAAGTCCTTTCTCCACAGTGAAATCACCTGAAGAGATATTTAGCTGTTCTGCTCCAAGGTTTGTACCTTGAGAGCAGGGTCAATTCCCTTATTTAATACCATCTCTTGCACAAAGCTATAAATCCTAGATCTAGTATTACAACTGACTCCTACAAGGGGCCTGAAACTCTTTTAAAAAGAGCGATTAAAGGAGTGAGATGCTGCAGATACGGCCCCTTCATCTTCCCTATGAAAAGTCTAAATAACCTAAGAAGAAATTCTGCCAGTCCCATTTTGGAGGTCTTAGAAATCACACTGTTCAAATCTTCCATTGGGCTGCCTCAAGCCTTGAAAAACAGCCAGCTTCTCTCTAGGCTGGAATGTGTCTGCAACTTCAACCCTGGGTGCCCGTGGAAGAAGAGAATGGCCTGCTCAGTGCTATATGTGGATGTGTAAATTACAGCAGATGATGCACTTAGCAATTATGTTCTTTGCATACATAAGCAGGAACAACAGCTCCCAAACTGCCAATATCCTTCTCAATTCTCACAGAATGACTATGTGTCACACGGTCACGCAGCAGGGGGCCTGGAAATGAGATGAAGGAATGGCACAGTATGAAGTTTCAATTTTGGAGAAGCACCCCTCCTGCAGTCGTGAACGAGCAAACAAGAAAAACTTCAGAAGGTGCGATGCCCTGGCTGCCCGCCCAGCCCTCCAGAATCTGGACATGGCGTGCAGAGGAAATGGAGGAAGGGAAGCAGGGCCAGAGGCTCCTAAGCTACCACACCTGGCACAGCTGTGACTATGCAGACGAACCTGGGAATGCTGCTAACTAGTTGCAAACTGAGTGAAGGCTTTAATGAAAGAGCTGAAGCTACATCACAAATCCAAATGCCTAGATGGGACAGGCAGGTCATGTAAACAAGGAAAGTGGGTCCATTGGCAACTCTGGGAACTCTAGAGAGTGCACGTGCCCCATTGACTCATCTAAAGAGTGGCTGCACTCCATCTCACGCCACTGTGGCTAAGCAGGAAGAGCCAACTCTTTCATTCTTCAGGAGAAGCTGAAAATCCTTGTGTGGAGGGGAGTGTGTGTGTGTGTGTGTGTGTGTGTGTGTGTGTGTGTGTGTGTGTGTGTGTCCTCTCCCAGTTTATAACTATTAGCAACAAATTAAATTATTCTAAAACATTGTCAAGATTTACGTTAGTTATCTATGCAGTAACAACCCCAAAACTGCTGGCATAAAAAAAAATTTTATTCTGCTCTTGACTTTTTGTTCAGGAATTAGAGTAGAGTTTGGCCTAGTGATTCACATCTAATCTACCTGGCATCAACTGGGGCAGCTGGCGCTGGTGGATCCACTTCCAAGCTGGATCCTTCCCCACATACCCAGCACCTCTATACCTATGCTCCTTGCCACCCCCATTCCAACCCCCTATCCCTGTGTCTGCATGGTGTTTCATCCTCCAGGGTCTCTCCACGTTCCATAGTAGGGTTTCTATGGACGTGGGTGTCAAATGCTGGGGTTGGGGGAGGGGCGGCATTAGGGAAAGAGAGGACAGACGCTGAGATGCAGGCACAGGTGACAGCTGGGGAGAGGGCTTGGTCCACAGCAGAAGAGCTCCAACCAGGAGCTCTCGTGACCCACAGAAGGCACAGCCAAGCAGCCCTCCTGGGCAGACAGAGCCCAGCTGGAAGAAAGAAAAGACAAACCCAAGGACGTCCCTGCTTCTACACTGCTTGCTATGTCCAAAGTCAAGATCATTGCTGGGGCTGGACCTGGTGGCTCACGCCTGTCATCGCAGCACTTTCGGAGGCCGAGGTGGGTGGATCTCTGGAGGTCAGCCCTCCAGAATGTGGAGACAGCATGGTGGTCTCAAGAAGTTGTACATTTTATATGGCAACTGGCATCCAAGAAATAGAAAGTAGAAGCTCCCAAGCCAGTTAAGGGCCATGCTTGGATCAGCCACAGCATCACTGTCATCCTATTCTATTGGACAAAGCAGTCACAGTGCCCACTTAGTCTCATGGAGGCGGAGAAATTGACTCAGTCTTTTGATGGGGAGTGACAAGGTCACCCCACACAAGAGCATGTGGTGTGATAGATGTGGTTGCATTCTATCTCAAGGTCAAATACAACACATATGGAGTGAATATGACCTGAGCCCACCAGTTTGCAATCTTTAAGTTAAAGGGCATTGATTGGGGTAGTATGGTAATTCAGAGTACGTATTTTGAGCCAGACTGCCTAGTTTCTAACCCTGACTCTACCACTTACTCTCTGAGGCATCTGGGGCAATTTACTTCACTTATCTGCATCTCAGTTTCTTCTTCTAACATAATAATATTACTGAGCCTATCTCCTGAAGATTTTATTAGCCTAGAGGAGTTAATATTGTAAAGTGATTAGAGCAGAGCCTCACACAGAATTGGTGCTCTATATGTAATAGATCATGTATTCCTTTGCTAGGGCTACCATTTAAAAAGTACCATAAACTGGATTGCTTAAGCAACAGAAATGTATTGTCTCACAGTTTGAAGGCTAGAAGCCCAAAATTAAGGTCCTGGCAAGATTGTTACTTTCTGAGCACCGTGAGGGGAAGATCTGTCCCAGGCAGGCCTCTCTCTTTGGCTTGTAGATGTTCGTTTTCTCCCTAGGTCTCTTCACATCATCTTCCCTCTAGGTATGTCTGTCTCTGTGTCCACATTTCTCGTTTTTGTAAAAGGACACCAGTCCTATTGGATTGTAGCCCTCCACAAGAACCTCATTGTAACTTAATTACCTCTCTAAATGCCCTATCTACAAATAAGAGCACATCCTGAGGTACTGGAGGGTTAGGATGCCAATACACCTTTTTGTGAGGGACACAATCCAACCCATAACAGACAGGACTGTGGTGATTCATTCATCCAATGGATATTTCTGGTGTGGCCAGCAGATGTATATAGCACAGTCACATGCACTAGAAAGATGTGTGCACATATATAGATATTTTGCATATATACATATTTCTCTTTGAGGACTATATATAATGTATATGTTGTTATATATACATATATATTTTCCACATGTATATCTACATTGCTCATATGTGTGTGTGTGTGTATATATATATGATATTCTCAAAATGCACAAAGAAAACATTTACTAGCAGCACAAAGGTATAAATGATCAAATAGCATGTGAATAATGATGGTAAACATGTATACTAGCGAAATTTGAAGGAGAGAGATTATGTATCTGGTGTCCCCAAGGTAAGACCTATAACCGGGGCATAACTCGACTTGAACGGTTGCTTCTGATGTCCTGCTGGTCTTGTTCACATTGCTTGTTTGACTCTCTGGCCCTAACATGGGTATCACTTGACATCACCAGATTTCAAGCTCAGCTCCAGGACAACTCTTGCAGCCCATAGTCTAATGTAGACACTGCCCTCTGGATTGCCAGTAAGTCTTTATGCCTCATCACCAATGCCCAGATGTGAACATTGACCCTGTTCTGCTGAGGCCCATCCATTGTGAACAGTTTTAGTAAGGGGAGTGCTCGGGAAAGATGATGTACATGAGATGGAATTCTAAGTAGGTCCTAAAGATTGTGGATGATTTCCTCAGATACAGAGGAAGGGAGAGAGATGACCAGTTGAGGGAGCATGTGAATACTCAGGAGAAGGGCAGTGCACACTCAGAGGACATAGGGAAGTACGTTTGGCTGACTAATAGGAAGGCTTTGGGAGCAGAGGAAGGGATCAGAATAGAAAGGCCTCCCTGATTCCTGATTGTATTCTTTTTAAATGTCTCTGACACTAATCCTCTACCTTACTATCCTCCTCCTCCACCTGCTCCCCATGTACACGCAGACAACAGCTACTATAGAGATGTGCTTATCATATGAGTAGACCTCAATAACAAGAACCATAGCTTAGCTAAGCAGCTCAAGCCAGGTGCTATGGTCTGAATGTCCATGTTCCCCCCAAAACCATATGTTGAAGCTCTACCCTCCAATGTGATGATATTTGGAGGTGGGGTTTTGGGGAGGTGATTTGGGTTAGATGAGACCATGAGCATGGAGCCCTCATGATGGGATTAGTGCCCTTACAAACAGACATGAGGGAACTTGCTTCCTCTCTCTCTGCTCTTCACCATGTGGAGGATACAGCAAGATGACAGCCAACTGCAAACCAGGAAGCGGAACTTCACCAGAACCTGCATGCTCATCTCAGACTTCCCAGACCCCAGAACTGTGAGAAATACATTTCTGTTGTTTAAACCTCCCAGTCTGCAGCAATTTGTGATAGCAATCTGAACAGAGTAAGACACCCAGTGATGCCATTTTAGAATAACTACTCTATGTACAACTCACCAGGTACCTCTGGGTGACTAGGAAGGGGTCTCCAGAATCTTAGAGTGTTTCTCTTCTTCTGTTATATATGGTTATGTCTATTTAACAGAATGCTAAGATTAGACTACACATGCCTCAGTTACACCTGAGCCACTGGTAGGATACAGAGGAGGAACACAGTGAATGTAAGCTGAACGCCGTATGCTGTCTTCTCTCTAATTCCATAGCTTCTTGTTAAGCATGAACACTGTCTCCATTTCTAGGAAACATCTTGCCTGTATTCCCTAGAAGGCAAAGATAAAACAGGATGGCAGAGTGGCCGTAAGCTTGGACCTCAAACCAGACAGCCTGAGCCCAAATTCTGGGTCCATGTCTTACCAGCTGTGGGATCTTGAGAAAATCACTTAAGCTTCTATGCCTCTGTTCCCTCAGCTGTAAAGTGGAGACAATGATTACTTGTACATTATGAGTTAATAGATTAAAATCACATAGAACAGTAGAAAAGCACATAAGCACCAGGTATATATTAACTGTCATTAATATTGGCTACAGGAACATGTAAATTACACAGTGTTTAGAGCAAGTGTGAAAACTCCAAGAGTCTGTGAACTCTTTAGGAACAGGATCCTTCAACCACGCAGAAAACCAGAACTAAGAATGCACCGTAATTAGCTCCACAATTAATTTCCTCAAAGGAATACACTTTGCGGTGCTACAAAGGCGGAATTATATCTGACCTGCCCTCCAAAAAAGAAAAAAATGTTGGATTTGGCAGAGGGACAGCCAAGATAAGGACACCCAACTTTAAGTACTTTAAGATTCCAGGTATAAATCAGTAGGCAGCAAGCTCTTCTAGTCATCAAATCCTGTATTTACCTCCTTCCACTTCTCAGCGCTCCCCTGCCTTTCCAAGAAAAAAGTGATATCATCAGGGCTCATAGCAAATAGGCTCAAGGAATGCACTGTGAAAATTTTTCAACACCTGAGCAAGCATTACCCTCCTACTATTACTGTTCAACCTGAATTAATATGGCATATATCTATAATTATGAAATATTTGTGTATCTCTGCATATATTTTATACATATAAGCACATATTGGCACACATGCACACATGTATACTATGTTGAGTGTTTCTTCAGGTCTTCCTTATGTGTCCGAAATGCATCTCTTGCCCTTCCAAATGGTGCCTTAAAATAAAACTATAATTAATTCAGCAAAGAACTTGACAAAGTCTAGAATTACTGATAATCTGATTTATCAGTATTTTATCTGAATTACTGATAAAGCTATGGAAAGGAGATATTGAGATAATGTATGTTATGTTCAAAATAAAACAAATATAAATCATCCTATAAAACTTTATATTCCACATTCCTGGAAGGGAGGTGGGAGTACTTTAGAAACTGTTATCTAGGGGACAAAGGAATTCAGAGTGAAACAGTGCAGCACAATGGCCTAGAACTACAAGGTTTGTAGAAAAGGGCATAGTTTTAACCTCCAATTCCACTTGTTTGGCCCTTGGTACCCCATTTCTTTTCAACAACACTGCAGACCTGAGAAAAATATCTTGGCTTAAGTTGCATGTGTAAATGAATTTGTAGGTCTCAACCCGGCTCTTGTGGCTGAGTGTAGCACTGCATAATTTGACACGATTCAGCCTGATTGACAGTGGGAAGCAGACTGCAAGATCTCACAGGTCAGGACAGAAAAGGGGCCTGGCAGAAGGGCCCAAGGCATGTTGGGTAGCAGACTGCACTCCCCCAAGCCCTCCCCACACATGAAACAGAGCAAGAGTCCAATAAGCTCATCTGAAAGGCCTTGGGTTGTCCACAGAGCAACCAAGGAAAAAGCACACTCCAGCTGGCCAAAATGAGGTCTTTAATGCCTGACCAAACTCCAGCAGGGGAAGAATCCCCCAAGGAGGAAAAGCCCACAGTGAGATGGATCTTCACTGATGGCTGTTCACAGGCAGGAAGGAAACCATAAGAATTCTGACAGCCCCAAAGATTCTATTTCACGAGCACCTTTCACCGCCAGCCTATCTTCATTCTGATTGGAGCCATCTGTGCAGTCCCATACCTACTTTCTCCAACCCTGTCATTCACCTCCAAAAGCCTAATGATTTTTAGGGTAGATTGAATTTATTGGCAGACATCCTTGACTCTGAGCTTTCCAAAGTCTTTATCATTTGACAGATACTGCATGCTCAATTAGCAGATGTCACTGGGTACCTGTCCTCCGAATTTGGTCATGCATCACACTTCTCCACCATGACCATGTGCTCCAGAAGGTAACCTTATCTCTGGCTCAAGAATAAATATTGACTAGTCTAAGGCACTCTTGTTACCACCATTCTCCTGGCAAGGTATTTATTTTGGGACCCAGTCCTGACAAAAAGGACATGAGAGAAAGTTTTCTTAGATAACTAGACAGAATTTTCCAGTCAAAAGGAAAACTGTCTCTTGTTCTTCTGTTGGATATTGTCATGTCTGTGTAACTGGTTGTTAAAATAAGACTATCCCTGCCTCATCTGTGACCGAGATACCAGGAGGATACAGAGCAGATATGCAGTAAAGGTGAGCTGAAAATCCTTTATGTGGCATTTCCACAGGACCTAGTGAAAAACCAGCTCCACAGCTCTAGCGGTAAGATGTGAAGGGAAAGGAGTATTTTGGAGATGGTATTTCATTAGAGAGAATTGTTACCATGCTGTAGTCCTCTCTTCCTCCAGAGGAAACAGGGAGGAGTATTGACTGCTGCATCTTAAGCCTGGAGAGGCTGGGCTTCCTGCACTGTCCCTGAATTTGGAAGAAGTTGTAGAGTTAGGTTTGCCTCTTGCCTCTACAGCAGTGGTCCCCAGCCTTTTTAGCACCAGGGGAACTGTTTCATGGAAGACAATTTTTATCATGAACCAGGATGGTTTGAGGGCCTGGTTTCGAAATGAAACTGTTCCACCTCAGATCATCAGGCATTAGAATTCTCATAAGGAGCACACAACCTAGATCCCTTACATGCACAATTCACAATAGGGTTCACACTCCTATGAGAATCCAGTGCCACCACTGATCTGACAGGTGGTGGAGCTCAGGCAGTAATGCTCGCTGGCCCTTCGCTCACCTCCTGCTGTGCAGCCCAGTTCCCAACAGGCCGGGGACAGTCTGTGGCCCAGGGGTTGGGGACCCCAGCTCTAGAGGATGTGAGAAGGGCTAACAGGTCCAGCGCAGCCAGGACAGAGCTGATACTTTGAGACTGGCCTGTATTCCCAGTTTGCCAGAATGAATGACACATGATTCTCAAATACTAGTCATGAACCATGCAGAGGAGAGACAGCACTGGCTCATCACAGGGCACCTTGAGGGTCACAGGGACTCCAACAGAAACACCCTAAAAATGAACCTTAGATTCCTGGGGCTAAGGAAGGAGTTGTGACTGACCATCCAAAAAGAGATACATCTACCCACATTAAGAAAACAGCAATCCAATTACTGGGTATATACCCAAAGGGTTATAAATCATTCTACTATGAAGACACATGCATATGTATGCTTATTACAGCACTGTTCACAATAGCAAAGTCTTGGAACCAACCCAAATGCCCATCAATGATAGACTGGATAAAGAAAATGTGGCACATATACACCATGGAATACTATGCAGCCATAAAAAAGGATGAGTTCATGTCCTTTGCAGGGATATGGGTGAAAAGGGAAACCATCATTCTCAGCAAAGTAACACAAGAAGAGAAAACCAAACACCGCATGTTCTCACTTATAAGTGGGAGTTAAGCAATGAGAACACATGGACACAGGGAGGGGAACATTACACACCAGGGCCTTTCAGGGGTTAGGGGGCTGGGGGAGAGCATTAAGAGAAATACCTAATGTAAATGACGACGATGGGTGCAGCAAACCAACATGGCACATGTATACCTATGTAACCTGCATGTTGTGTACATGTACCCCAGAACTTAAAGTATAATAATTTAAAAAAAAAAACTGCAGGTGAGTGGCCCCATGGATGGAAGTGTCCTGTGAGCCCACAAGAGTGCCCTGGGTTAGTTTTAAACAACACTAAGAAATAAATAAAAGTAATAGATACATATGCAAACAGATAAATAGATATCAGAGCTTTCCTATCCCCCAGCACTCTTCTGTGAGCCACTCCCTGGCTAGCAAGCAGGGAGGGTGGTCAACACACCCTTCTCCCAGAAGTGAACCATAAGAGGGCCCACAGGAGCGGCACACTAAGGAAGCAGGAAAACAAGGCCCACAACATTTTGGAGAATTTTGGAACAGTAGTAATACTAACTAAAATCAGTCTCAGTCTGTTTTTCATGATCACTCTGCAGTGACAATTCTAAACAATGCCAGTGATAAAATCCCCTCCCCACAGGGCCGACTATGGACCACTGCCACCACATCCCACACCACTCTTGACTTTTCTCACTGTGAGCTTCCAGCCTGAAGCTAACATAAGGTGGGGGACAGCAGGAGGAGAAAATCTTATGTTAAATCAAGTTCAGAGTTTTGGATAATATCCTCTATTCAACATTCATAGTATCGAATCAAGATTGTGTTTGCAGCTTAATGCGATTGTAGGCTTGTCTATTAACTAAGAGCAAGTAGAAATTTATGAACCTTTTGGAGGCTTCATCTAGAGACTGACAGAAATTACCTGCATTGAATAAGGTTCTAAGGGGCAAGGGGTTGGGAAGACAAAGCAATTGCATTTTGATTGCTCATGAGTTGTGGTTGGTCAGCATAGCACTTGGTAAAAGCACACATGGCCTTACTGAAACTATAAGAACAATCGGCCTGGCTGGGCATGGTGGCTCACGCCTGTAATCCCAGCACTTTGGGAGGCCAAGGTGGGCAGATCACCCAAGGTCAGGAGTTTGAGAACAGCCTGGCCAACATGGTGAAACCCCGTCTCTGCTAAAAATATAAAAATAAGCTGGGTGTGGTGGCTCATGCCTGCAATCCCAGCTACTCAAGAGGCTGAGGCAGGAGAATCGCTTGAACCCGGGAGCTGGGAGTTGCAGTGAGCCAAGATCGCGTGCCATTGCACTCCAGGCTGTGTGACAGAGTGAGACTTCATCTCAAAAAAAAAAAAAAAAACCATCAGCCTAAGGACAAGCCAACATGCTGGCAATGGCCAAGGAGAAAGAAGGAAGCACTTGAGTCTGACAATGTTGTTGAGCTGTTGAAGCTGTCAATCCCAAAGCTTCCATATCATTGGACTCTTACGTGAGACAATAAAGGTTCCCCATTGTTTAAGGCATTTGGAGTTGATTTTTTTTCTATTTCTTGAAGTAAAATGCATTGAGCTAGACATGGGGCAAAGTAAGTTGTTTGCCATCAAGAATGTTATAATTTAAGTCAGGTCTGGACTGACAGAAGTTTTTTTGGGGTGAATTTTACGCTCAATTCAAGTTCTGATACCAGCCAACCATTTATTGTACAGACAGTAAAAAGACATTTGAAGCTGTTAACCTATTGAACAGAAGCTAGCTCACTGGAGAAGGACAAGAAAGCTTCCTTCCCATGTATAAGCACATAGTAGCTGTTTCACTTGGCTGTCTCCGGGTAGGAAATAAGAATCAAAATTTCCAACTCAGTATGAACTTCAGGGCCACATTAAGTAAGTTGGCAATCAAAGCCAATGCAGGAGTCATCATGTCCTTTGCCACACAACTGCTTTTCGCTGTCTTCTCCTCGTCCCTTTCCCAACACCTCAGGCCAATCCTGGATACTCCCAAGTGAGTTGCCAATCATTCAACAAACACCTCTGAAGAATCTAGTGGACTCCCAGCATTGTGCTAAACACTGGATCACAGATCTAGATACAGTGGTTTGCCAGAAGCTTTTGCAGAGAAGGAAATTGAGCTTCCAAACGACTAAGTGAGATTCAAAACAAGTTCAGTCCAACTTGAAAGTTCTTGATCTTTCCACTAGGCTACTCAGCTTCTCAGAAGCATAGAAACATAAGACTTGGTCCCTGCTTCAGTGAGCTCATAGCCAAAAACATATAAGGTGAGACAAAAATAGAGAAAAGGAAGAGGAATTTATAAGTGACAAGTATTGCTTAGATATGCCAGAAGATAAACTGGATATCCACAACAGGAAGGGAAGTAGGGTGACAATAGAATAATTTATGTTTTGTCCCTGAGCAAATGCTTCTGGATTTTAGCTTCTGTGGCCTAATTCATTCACTAGAGCTTAATTTTAGCAAAATAGCAATATATATGTCTTTGATCCCCTTACAAGGCTATCTTTAAGGGCCGTTTTATAAGAAGCCCTGCAAACAGAGCTCCCTTGAGTTTCCAATTTTTTTTCCTTCCAGTGACATTTTCATTCTGATAAGAATAAGTTCTCAAGGAAGAATTTGTTGGCAGTGGATAAGATAAGCAGTTTTAAGCAGGGGCTTTTCCTGGTGTCTCCCAATATGAATATGGGCTTTGACCAATTATTCCCAAACCTCTTTATTAGAGAAAGCAGATGTGTTAAAGAATAGAGTGAACCATTTTGGTGTTTTTCTGGACAGAGTGGATGAGTGAAATGAAAATGATGTCACTGTTCACATATATTTTACGCTCGTATTTAGGCTGATTGTCAGAATGTATATTCCCCAGGATTTTTTTTTTTTTTTTTAATTTCTGAGTCTTTTCTACCAAAGATCTTTTTGTATATGTGTGTGTGTGTATATGATCTTTTGTGTATATGTGTGTGTGATAAGAATACTTAACATAATATCTACCCTTTTAGCAACTTTTAAGTATAGGTACAATAGTGCCTATACTTGTTAACTATAGGCACTCTACACTATAGTAGAATCTCTAGGACTTACTCGTTTTGCATAACACCCTGAATTCTTACCTGTCTTCTTTTTCTTGCCTGGGAGCAAGTACCTAGAGAAAAACTTGCAGGGATGTAAAGTTCTTATTATTTCATTGGCTAGCTTATCTATATATATAAAAACTTGGTAGAAAAATAGGAGAAGCCATTTTCTATTATCTAGGCTACCCTGCAGTTATTTTTCCCATGTTTTTATCATATATATGTTTAAAGGTTGTCTGCATTTAGAACAATCTTTATTCTGCTCAAAAGACAAATATGTATTAACCTGTGTTAAATCTTCATAGAATCGAAGAATCTCAGAGTTTACAAAGATCATAGAAAAATTTCCCAGACTCCAAACAAATACTTAGATGTCTTCTACAAATACCTCTAATCTTTGCTTGCAAACTTTCAGTTACTAAGGTAGCTTTTTCTTGTTGGGGGAAATGAAAATTAATAATGAGAATTAACAAAATGTTTCCTTTTTTATTTGCTTTTGCACTTCAGCAATTGGACCCTGATATGGTTAGGATGTTTTGTCCCCTCCAAATCTCATGTAGAAATGTGACCTCCAATGTTGGAGGCGGGGCCTAGTGCCCTGTGTTTGAGCCATCGGGGAAGATTCCTCATGAATGGCTTAGTGCTGTCCTTGCAGTAATGAGTGAGTTCTCACTCTGTGAGTTCACATGAGATCTGATTGTTTAAAAGAGCCTGGAACTGCTTCCCTCTCTCCCTTCTCCCTCTCTCGCCATGTGACATGCCTGCTCCCCCTTTGCCATCAGCCATGAATAAAAGCTTCCTGATGTTCTGACCAGAAGCAGATGCCAGCACTGTGCTGCTTATACAACCTGCAAAGCTGTAATCCAAAATAAACCTCTTTTCTTTATAAATTATCCAGCTTCAGGTATTCCTTTACAGCTACACAAAACAGACTACCACAGAAAGTTGGTATTGAGGCTGGGCATGGTGGCTTACACCTGTAATCCCAGCACTTTGGGAGGCCGAGGCAGGTGGATCACAAGGTCAAGAGATCGAGACCATCCTGGCCAACATGGTGAAACCCCAACTTGGTGAAACTCCATCTCTACTAAAAATACAGAAGTTAGCTGGGTGTGGTGGTGTGTGCCTATAATTCCAGCTACTTGGGAGGCTGAGGCAGGAGAATCTCTTGAACCCAGGAAGCGGAGGTTGCAGTGAGCCGAGATCGCGCCACTGCACTCCAGCCTGGTGACAGAGCAAGACTCCGTCTAAAAAAAAAAAAAAAAAAGTTGGTATTGAGGAGTGGGCCACTGCTATAAAGACAACTGAAAATGTACAAGTGGCATTGGAATGGGTAACAGGTAGATATTCAAAGAGTTTGGAGGGCTTAGAAGAAGATAGGAGGGAGAAGGAAAGTTTGGAACTTGCTAGAGACTGGTTAAGTGATTGTGACCAAAATGCTGATAAAAATATGGACAGTGAAGACCAGGCTGATGAGGTCTTTCGTGGAGATGAGAAAGTTATTGGGAATCAGAGTAAAGGTCACCCTTGTTACACCTAAGCAAAGAATGTGGCTGCATTGTATCCACGTCTTAGAGCTTTGTGGAAGGTTGAACTCGAGAGTGACAACATAGGATATCTGGAGGAATACCTTAGGATAACCTGGGGTATCTGGAGGAAATTTCCAAGCAGCAAAGTGTTCAGGCATAGCTACTTCTAACAGCTTATGATCAGATTAGAAGCAAAAAAAATGACTTAAAGTTGAAACTTAAAAGGGAAGCAGAGCATGAAAATTTGCAGCCTGGCATTGTGGTACAAAAGGAAAAAGGATTTTCAGGAGAAGAATTTAAGTTGCCTGGGAAGCAACTGCATGCTGGAGAGATTTGCATGATGCAAAGAGAGCCAAGTGCTAATAATCAAAACAATGAAAAAAGGGTCTTGAAGACACTTGAGAGATCTGAATGGCCCCATCACAAGCCCAGAGGCCTAGGAGGAAAGAATGATTTTGAGGGCCAGGGCCAAAGCCCCACTGCTCTGCTCAGCCTCAGGATACTACTTCTCATATTCCCCCTTCTCTAGCCTTAGCTTTAGTTCAAAGGGCCCCAGATACAGCTCAGACTGCCTCTTCAGAGGGTGCAAACCATAAGCCTTCACAGCTTCCACATGGTGCTAAGTTTGCAAATGCACAGAATGCAAGAGTGAAAGAAGCTTGGTCGCTTCCACCTAGATTTCAGAGGATGTATAGGAAAGCCTGGGTGCCCAAGGAGAAGCCTGCTACAGGGGTGAAGCCCCTATAGAGAAAATTTACTAGGGCAGTGCCAAGAAGAAATGTGGGGTTGGAGCTTCAATACAGAGTACCCACCAGAGCACTGCCTAATTGAGCTGTGGGAAAGGGCTGCCACACTCCAAACCCAAAAATAGTAGAGCCACTGACATCTTGCACTCTGATCTTGGAAAAGCCACAGGGACTCAACTCCAAACTGTGAGAGCAGCCACAAAGGCTGCACCCTGAAAAGCTACAGACATGGAGCTGCCCAGGGTTTTGAGAGCCCACCCATCACAATAGTTTGCCCAGCATGTGGGACATGGAGTCAAAGATTATGTTGGAGCTTTAAGATTTAATGTCTGCCCTGCTGGATTTTACACTCGTGTCTTGAGCCTGTTGCCCCCTTCTTTTGGCCAACTTATCCCTTTACCCAATGCCTGTACCACCATTGTATCTTAGAAGTGAATAACTTGTTTTTGATCTTACAGATTCATAAGTGAAAGGAAATTGCCTTGAGTCTCAGATGAGACTTTGGACTTTTAGTAATGCTGGAATAAATTAAGACTTCTGGAGACTATTGGGGAGGATGATTGTATTTTGCAGTGTGAGAACATGAAATTTGTGGGGCCAGGAGAAGAATGATATGGTTTGGATATTTTGTCCTCTGCAAATCTCATGTTGAAATGTTAGAGGTGGGCCTAGTGAGAGGTGCTTGGGTCATGGGGGCAGATCCCTCATGAATGGCTTGGTGCTGTGCTAGTGGTAATGAGTGAGTTCTCACTCTATGAGTTCATGCACTATCTGGTTGTAGAAGAGCCCCAAATCTTCTTCCTCTCTCTATTACTCCTCTCTCACCATGAGACATGCCTGATCCTCCTTCACCTTTAGCCACAAGTGAAAGCTTCCTGAGGTCCTAACCAGAAGCAAATGCCAGCACTATGCTTCTTCTACAGCCTGCATAACTGTGAGCTGAGTAAACCTCTATTCTGTATAGATTACCAGCCCCAAATATTCCTTTACAGCAATGTGAAATGGACTGCCACAGATCCACTCTGCCCTCTTTTTTTTAGTTTTTTTAATTTTTTTAGTTCCACAGGTTTTTGGGGAACAGGTGGTATTTGGTTACATGAGTAAGTTCTTTAGTGGTGATTTGTGAGATTTTGGTGTACCCATCACCCGAGATACTGCCCTGTTTTCTATGACAGGCCTTCAGATACTTAAATATAAATCTTGTGACTTCTTCTAAGTCTTCTCTTTCCCCAAATACACACATTCTATTAGGAATATCATTTTCTCCTTCTGCCACATTTCTGTCCTGGCCCAAAATAGGAATTTTCACCTTCCAGAGGTATTGAGAAGGAATGTTTTCCTTGTTCCTGGTCCCCTGTCATTATTCTTCTCAAAGGCTGAGGAGCACCTTATCTAACTAGGTGTATTAATAAAGTCCTGAACATGTGAGGCTGAGCCTTTGATCAGGCATCTTTTTGGCTAACCTGCTAGAGAGATGAATGTGTTCACTTCTATTCCTGGTTCCATATGGTGATACCTGGCCAGGGCCTGGTGCTGCCTTCTAGAGACGTGGTTAGAGAACCTTCTCTGTCATTGCTCTTGATGTTAAACAGATACAAGGCAGACCACAGGCCTTCAGAGGGGCTGGGTCAGTGTGTCTCCTCTAGGTTCCATCCTTGCAAGTATAGCTCCCAAAATGTAGGTGCTGCAGGTCCAAGTCATATCCATGAATCCGGTATTGCCAGCAATAAAAATAATAGTTTTTACTCCTCTGTTTGTATTTCTCAATTGTGTCTAAACTTGAATGAGGAAAGAATGCAATTATTATTCATGAGGAAAACACTCAACATATTGCAATATACCACATGCATCATGGTTGCTAGTCTCTTGAACACTCTCCAGTGTGTCAAAGTCCCATCCCAGTGAGGTTGCCAGAACCGAACAAAACAATGAAGTGTGGATTGACAATATAGAAAATTCCCTGTGTTCTGGATATTAAAGCTTTTCAACTAAATAACTGAGTCACAGATACTTTACAAACACAGAGTCTGGATAATTTATAAAGATGTTATATTTTACTTGACTAGGATCTCCCAAAGAAAATTGGGAAAGTGGCTCCCCTGAAAGCCCAGTGGGCTACCACTAGCTTCCTCCCTGCCCTGACACTTTCAAATAGGCCTCTCACTTCTGAAAGCCAGGCATTAACAAGGCTTTTGGTCCCCTACTGTAGAGACCAGTACAAAGGAAAGGGGCAGACCATAAAGTTCTGTCACTTCTATTTCTTGGGAGCTGGCTCCAGGGTTCTTTCTGATTCCACAGTGTTGGAGGAAGGTGTTTCATTTAGTTTCCAAACCACAGGGAACTGGAACTTTGGGGAAGTTTTTGATCCTGTGGTTTATCAATCGTATCATTCTCTTTTCTGGGCTTACTGTTCCATGATGCAAGAGCTGCTGTCTATGTTCAGGAAGCTGGTCTTTTCTGTTATTCGTTTGACTAAAATATCAAGCAAGTTGTGGAATCCCTCAGTCTTGGAATGGATTCCTTTAATAAAACCAAAAAAAAAGTACGTCGGGGTTGAAGGGAAGGAATTATTCTGTTTAGTGAAGGAAAACTCAGTGATTTCTAAAATTGCTGAGGTCTAGATGGAGAGTGCTCAGTGTAGAGGGGATTCTCATCTGATTTAGAGTCTCCTCCCTCTGTTTTCCCTGGGAGCCCTCCATATCGAACCTTCCTGCTGCCACCACATTCAACTCCAGGGGTACATGTGCCCCATTTTCTAAGTTCTAGTTTAGTTTCCCTCAAAAGCAGAGCCTGGGGCAAGAACTTGAGTGCTGTTAGTTTATTTGGAGGCAATCCCAGAAAACATACATGAGGGATTAGGAAGTGAGATACAGAATGGAGAGAAGCCAATAAAGGATGTGTTAATGAGGAAGTTACTGCTGCAGTTACATTGGTCCCCGTCCTACTGGATATCCTCTAGAAAACTGTGAAATACACCTCCAAATTCACTCACAAGTCAAAAGAGGCTGGGGCATTTTCCCAGTGACTCTCATCCCCGTGGGCCCAGAGCTAGCCTGGAGGAATTAAATTCCCTGGCCATCCAGATTGTACCTCGTTTTGTGGAGCAAGCTCCTTTGATGTCAACAGAGGACCCTATCAGAGAAGAAGGGAGCAGCAGGTATCTGTACTGGGAAGCTGTGATGGAATGCCAGACGCCATCTTCTCTGGTAGCAGGTACACTCAGATAAGGCTAGCGGATGAGGTGGAGCATCCATGATGACTGATGTAAAACCCCAGGAGCCTACATGAAGGTGAAAAAAAAATCCTGCTTTTCTTGCTTTCCATTAGTCCAGATGAAAGAGGCGACTATTTAAAAACTCCTCCAAATTGTTAAGATGGAATAAGAAATAAAGGAAATAGAAACACACAAAGAAACATAGTAGACCAGGTCCTGAAATACAAGTTGCTGGTCCCCAGTAACTGCACTGTCTTCAAGGAGAGTACCAAACTGCCTACTTCCCTCTAAGCACCTGTCCATCTCCCCATGGTGAACACATTCTAGCTTTTGCCACACAGGACGACAGATTCTTGTCATTTTTATTGTCAAGGTCAAATGGACCACTCAGCCTCCTTCCTTGGCTGGTTTTCTTATATGAGAATAACTTGTGCATATTTTTCATATAACAGCTTATAATATTGGTCACCAAAACCATGGTCTCTAGAGCTAGATATCTCAGTTGGAATTTTGGCTTTTTACGTGTTGTGCAAATTTGGGCAAGTTACTTAATTGCTTTGTGCCTCAGTTTCTTCACTTGTAAAACAGAGATCATGAAAGAATCCAATCATTAAAGTTGTAAGGGTTTAATGAGTTAATATAGAAACAATGCCTGGTACATAAACACACTATACAAATATTGAATGTTCTTCTTATTATTAGGCTGTAGTTTACACATAGGTAATATCTCCCCTTTCAGCTTAACATAATGAAGTGACCTTCCATTTCAGAGCCACTCTATAATGCCATAACTACTCAATAGCCACAACCTGCAATAAGAATCAGGGCATACACAGTAATAAGAAGGTCTTTCTAATGGTGAGAACATTACTAGGCTGGAGTGAGTTGCTAGGGTTTTATTTCTTTCTTTAATGTGTGTGAATTTAGCCAAGTCTAGCAGAATCTTTTCTAGCCTTTCCTAACACCCTTAAATTGGAAGATAGATTTGCCAATCCTGGACTGGAACTGCTTGCCACAGGCAGAAATTGCCATCTTTAAACATGTTTGTCTCCTCTGTGGCTTCAGGTAGGCCAAACTAGAACTTTTCCGTAATGCTTCCCAAAGAAAGTACTATGATCAAGATGGCTGACTACCCAGCCCAGCACTCTCCTCCTACACAAGAAAGGAACAGAGCAGCAAATAGACAACTATATATTGAATAGACTGTCTAAGGAATTCTTGCTGGAATTTAGCAAGAAAGTGACGAAAATCCTCTGAGGCACAGAAACTTGGGATGGCAGCATAGAGGGGGAAGCAAAGCACCCAGCTGGGATTGACTTAGAGCCAAGAGGGATTCACCATTGTTAGGAAAAGGTTAACAGGAGATTCTCAAAGTCCACTTTGCCACCACAGATGCCCACAATACTAGCTACAAGAGAGCCCCACAGCCCTCTTAGGGTCCTAAGCCCAGTAGAGGGAACTGCATGGAATCTATGTGACTGCACTCTTCCAGAAAAGAAAATTTATACTGCATGCTCCTCACTCGCTGGGATCCAGCCTACTGCACCATGATGCAATTTTGAGAGAGAGGTCACCAGCAGAGTACATCCTGCCCTGGAGCTGAATAACCCCTGTATCTTTACATCCCTAGGGTTCACTGACACCTCACCCAGAGGACTGCAGCAACATAACACCAGCTGAACACAGCAGTGCAGCCATGACGCAGCATGAGCTCACACAGGGCCCTACACACCAGACACAGGCCATCCAGCACAGTAGGAGGCTGCACTTAGGGCAAAGGGAGCCAACATATGCACTCCCCACAGCCTAAAACCTGCCCACTTGCAACCTTGCCCCCTCCAGCAGCAGAGCTGCTGCACATGCGCATGTGCCACTCAAGGGCTTGAGGGCTAGCCTGCTTGAGGCCCACTGCTGCTGCTGGCAACCCCATTCCTCCAGTGGCAGAGCCACTACCTGTACACGCACCCCATCCCAATACTAGCTGCTCAGTTTCTCCACCCCAGCAAAGCTGCACCACAGCTTCCAAGAACAACTGCAGCCTAAGCCGTTGAGGCACTCACAGATACCAGTGACATTTATTACAGCCAAAAAAATCATATAGAGAATACACTACTGTGCCCACTCAGAACCAAAGCCAAAGCACTCTACCCAACCAACACTATAGGACACATCTACAGGAAAAAGTCTCCCTGTAGAACTATCTCATACAATTGAAAGAAGCAACTGTCTCACCAGATGCACATATATTAACATAGGAACAGCAGAAACAAGAAAAAGCAAGAAAATATGACACTTCTAAAAACACAATAATTCTCCAATAGCAGATCTTCCAAAAAAGGAAATCTATGAAATGTCTAAAAAGGGATCCAAGATAATGATCTTTTTTTTATGATTATTATACTTTAAGTTCTAGGGTACACGTGCACAACGTGCAGGTTTATTACATATGTATATATGTGCCATATTGGTGTGCTGCAACCATTAACTTGTCATTTACATTAGGTATATCTCCTAATGCTGTCCCTCCCCCTTCCCTACACCCCACAACAGGCCCCAGTGTGTGATGTTCCCCTTCCTGTGTCCAAGTGTTCTCATTGTTCAATTCCCACCTATGAGTGAGAACAAACTGAGATATAAGAGAACACAGACAATTCAACAAAATCAGAAAAACAATTCATGATCTGAATAAGAAATTCAACACAGAAATAAATAAATATCATTTTTAATAATGAAACAAATCTTGAAACCAAAGAATATATATATATATATACATACACACACACACACACACACACACACACATATATTAGAGAACTTCAACAATAGATTAGATCAAGCAGAAGAAAGAATTTCTGAACTTTAAAACTGGTTTTTTGGAATAAACCAGTCAGACCAAAAAATAATAGTAATAATAAATAGAAAAAAGATTTTAAAAGAATGAGGAAGGCCTATGGAATGCCATTAAGCAAACCAATGTTCACACAACGGGAATTTCAGAAAGAGAAGGAATAGAAAAAGGCATAGGTAACTTATTTAATAAAATAATAGCTGAATATTTTCCAAGTCTTGGAAAAGATACAGACATCTGGATATAGAAAGCTGAAAGAGTCACAAAAAAACACAATCCTCTCCAAGACACATTATAATCAAACTGTTAAAAAATAAAAAGGACCAGTCGCAGTGGCTCATGCCTGTAATCGCAGCACTTTGGGAGGCCGAGGCAGGTGGATCACCTGAGGTCAGGAGTTCAAGACCAGCCTGACCAACCTGGCGAAACCCTGTCTCTACTAAAAAATACAAAAATCAGCCAGGCGTGGTAGCATGCACCTGTAATCCCAGCTACTTGGGAGGCTGAGACAGGAGAATTGATTGAAGCCAGGAGGTGGAGGTTGCAGTGAGCCGAGATCACACCACTGCACTCCAGCCTGGGCGGCAAAGTGAGACTGTGTTTCAAAGAAAAAAAAAAAAAAGATAAAAAGAGAATTTTGAAAACGACAAGAGAAAAGCATCAAGTGACATATAAGGAAATCCCCATCACACTAACAGCAGAGTTCTCAGAAGAAACATTATAGTCCAGGAAACAATGGAATGATAAAGAGCCAAAAGAAGTAAAGTACCAGACAAGAATACTAGACCCAGTAAAGCTATCCTTCAGAAATCAAGGAGAAATCAATCTTTTTTAGTGAAACAAAAACTGAGGGAATTCATCACCACTAAACTAGCCGTATAAGAAATGCTTAAGCGATTCCTACATCTAGAAATGAAAGAATAATATCTACCCTCATGAAAAAACACAAAAGTATAAAACTCAGTGGTAGAGCAGATGTACAAATACAAAAGAGAAAGGAATCAAATATTATTACTACTAAAGATCACCAAACTGCAAAGATAAACAGTAAGAGAGGAAAAAAGAAACAAAGGATATATAAGACAATAAGAAAACACTTAACAAAAAGACAGGAGTAAATCCTCACATATCAATAACAACCTTGATTGTAAACCATTTAAATTCAGAATTAGAAGATATAGACTGTCTAAATGTATAAAAAAAAGACCAAACTGTATTCTGCCTCCACAAACTCACTTTACCTGTAAAAACACATATAGACTAAAAGTGAGGGGATGGAAAAAGATATTCTATACAAATGAAAACCACAAGTAAACAGGAATATCTATACTTACATCAGATAAAATAGACCTTAAGTCAAAAAAAGACAAAAAGAGACAAAGAAGGTTATTATGTAATGATAAATGTATCAATTCATCAAGAGGATATAACAATTGTAAATATGCATGTACCCAACACCAGAACATCCAGATATATAAAACAAATATTACTAAAGCTAAAGGGAAAGATAGACCCCAGTACAATAGTAGTTGAGAACTTCAACATCCCACTTTCAGGATTGGACCAGTAATCTAGATAGAAAATTAACAAACATTGGACTGAACCCGCAATATAGAATAGATGAACCTAACGAATATTTTATCCAACAGCTGCAGAACACACATTCTTCTCACCAGGACATGGAACATTCTCAAGGCAAAACCATATGTTAGGCAACAAAATAAATCTCAACAAATTTTTAAAAATCAAAGCAATATCCAGCCAAACTAAGCTTCATAAGTGAAAGAGGAAATCCTTTACAGACAAGCAAATGCTGAGAGATTTTGTCACCACCAGGCCTGCCTTACAAGAGGTCCTGAAGGAAGCACGAAACATGGAAAGAACAACCGGTACCAGCCACTGCAAAAACATGCCAAGTGGTAAAGACCATCGACGCTATGAAGAAATTGCATCAATTAACGGGCAAAATAACCAGCTATCATCATGATTACAGGATCAAATTCCAACATAACAGTCTTAACGTTAAATATAAATGGGCTAAAATACCCCAGTTAAAAGACACAGACTGGCAAATTGGATTAAGAGTCAAGACCCATCAGCGTGCTGTATTCAGGAGACCCATCTCACATGCAAAGACGCACAGAGGCTCAAAACAAAGGGATGGAGGAAGATCTACCAAGCAGATGGAAAGCAAAAAAAAGCAGAGGTTGCAGTCCTAGCCTCTGATAAAACAGACTTTAAACCAACAAAGATCAAAAGAGACAAGGCCACTACATAATGGTAAAGGGTTCAATTCAACAAGAACAGCTAGCTATCCTAAATATATATGCACTTAATACAGGAGCACCAAGATTCACAAAGCAAGTCCTTAGAGACCTACAAAGAGAATTAGACTTCTACACAGTAATAATGACAGACTTTAACACCCTACTGTCAATATTAGACAGATCAATGAGACAGGTTAACAAGGATATCCAGGACTTGAACTCAGCTCTGGACCAAGCAAACCTAATAGAAATCTACAGAACTCTCCACCCCAAATCAACAGAATATACATTCTTCTCAGCACTTATTCTAAAATTGACCACATAATTGGTAGTAAAACATTCATCATCAAATGTAAGAGAACAGAAATCATAACAAACTGTCTCTCAGACCACAGCGCAATCAAATTAGAACTCAGGATTAAGAAACTCATTCAAAACCACACAACTACATGGAAACTGAACAACCTGCTTCTCAATGACTACTGGTAAATAACGAAATGAACGCAGAAATAAAGATGTTCTTTGAAACCAATGAGAACAAAGACACAATGTACCAGAATCTCTGGGACTTGGCTAAAGCAGTGTATAGAGGGAAATTTACAGCACTAAATGCCCACAAGAGAAAGCAGGAAACATCTAAAATTGACACCCTAACATCACAATTAAAAGAACTAGAGAAGCAAGAGCAAACAAATTCAAAAGCTAGCAGAAGGCAAGAAATAACTAAGATCAGAGCAGAACTGAAGGAGATAGAGACACAAAAAACCTTAAAAAAACCATGAATCCAGGATGTGGTTTTTTGAAAAGATCAGCAAAATAGATAGACCACTAGCAAGACTAATAAGGAAAAAAAGAGAGAAGAATCAAATAGATGTAATAAAAAATGATAAAGGGGATATCACCACCAATCCCACAGAAATACAAACTACCATCAGAGAATACTATAAACACCTCTGCACAAATAAACTAGAAAATCTAGAAGAAATGGATAAATTCCTGGGCACATACACCCTCCCAAGACTAAACCAGGAAGAAGTTGAATCTCTGAGTAGACCAATAACAGATTCTGAATTTGAGGCAATAATTAATATCCCACCAACCAAAAAAAGTCCAAGACCAAAAAGTCCAATTCACAGCCGAATTCTACTAGAGGTACAAAGAGGAGCTGGTACCATTCCTTCTTGAAACTATTTCAATCAGTAGAAAAAGAAGGAATCCTCCCTAACTCATTTTATGAGGCTAGCATCATACTGATACCAAAGCCTGGCAGAGACACAACAAAAAAAGAGAATTTTAGACCAATATCCCTGATGAACATCGATGCGAAAATCCTCAATAAAATACTGGCAAACCAAATTCAGTAGCATATCAAAAAACTTATCCACCATGATCAGCTTGGTTTCATCCCTGCGATGCAAGGCTGATTCAACGTATGCAAATCAATAAACGTAATCCTCACATAAACAGAACCAACAACAAAAACCACATGATTATGTCAATAGATGCAAAAAAGGCCTTCAACAAAATTCAACAGCCCTTCATGCTAAAAACTCTCAATAAACTAGGTATTGATGGAACATGTCTCAAAATAAGAGCTATTTATAACAAACCCACAGCCAATATCATACTGAATGGGCAAAAACAAGAAGCATTGCCTTTGAAAACCAGCACAAGACAAGGATGCCTTCGCTCACCACTTCTATTCAACATAGTGTTGGAAGTTCTGGCTAGGGCAATCAGGCAAGAGAAAGAAATAAAGGATATCCAATTAGGAAAAGAGGAAGTCAAATTGTCTCTGTTTGCAGATGACATGATTGTATATTTAGAAAACCCCATCATCTCAGCCCAAAATCTCCTTAAGCTGAAAAACAACTTCAGCAAAGTCTCAGGATACAAAATCAATGTGCAAAAATCACAAGCATTCCTATACACCAATAATAGACAAACAGCACAATCATGAGTGAACTCCCATTCACAATTACTACAAAGAGAATAAAAAGAATCCAACTTACAAGGTATGTGAAGGACCTCTTCAAGGAGAACTACAAACCACTGCTCAATGAAATAAAAGAGGACACAAACAAAAGGAAGAACATTCCATGCTCATGGATAGGAAGAATCAATATTGTGAAAATGGGCATACTGCCCAAGGTAATTTATAGATTCAGTGCTATCCCCATCAAGCTACCAATGACTTTCTTCACAAAATGGGAAAAAAACTACTTTAAAGTTCATATGGAACCAAAAAAGAGCCCGCATCGCCAAGTCAATCCTAAGCAAAAAGAACAAAGCTGGAGGCATCACGCTACCTGGCTTCAAACTATACTACAAGGCTACAGTAACCAAAACAGCATGGTACTAGTACCAAAACAGAGATATAGACTGATGGAACAGAACAGAGGCCTCAGAAATAACACCACACATCTACAACCATCTGATCTTTGACAAACCTGACAAAAACAAGCAATGGGGAAAGGATTCCCTATTTAATAAACGGTGCTGGGGAAACTGGCTAGCCATAGGTAGAAGCTGAAACTGGATCCCTTCTTTACGTTGTATACAAAAATTAACTAAAGATGGATTAAAGACTTAAGTGTAAGACCTAATACCCTAAAAACTCTAGAAGAAAACAGGCAGTACCATTCAGGACATAGGCATGGGCAAAGACTTCATGTCTAAAACACCAAAAGCAATGGCAACAAAAGCCAAAACGACAGATGGGATCTAATTAAACTAAAGAGCTTCTGCACAGCAAAAACTATCATCAGAGTGAACAGGCAATCTACAGAATGGGAGAAAATCTTTGCAATCTACCCATCTGACAAAGGGCTAATATCCAGAATCTGCAAAGAACTTAAACAAATTTACAAGAAAAAAAACAACCCCATCAAAAAGTGGGCAAAGGATATGAACAGACACTTCTCAAAAGAAGACATTTATGCAGCCAACAGACATATCAAAAAATGCTCATCATCACTGGTCATTAGAGAAATGCAAATCAAAACCACAATGAGATAAATCTCACACCAGTTAGAATGGCGGTCATTAAAAAGTCAGGAAACAACAGATGCTGGAGAGGATGTCGAGAAATAGGAATGCTTTTGCACTGTTGGTGGGAGTGAAAATTAGTTCAACCATTGTGGAAGACAGTGTGGTGATTCCTCAAAGATCTAGAACTAGAAATACCATTTGAACCAGTGATCCCATTACTGGGTATATACTCAAAGGATTATAAATCATGCTACTATAAAGACACATGCACACATACGTTTATTGCGGCACTCTTCACGATTGCAAAAACTTGGAACCAACCCAAATGTCCATCAATGATACACTGGATAAAGAAAATGTGGCACATATACACCATGGAATACTACGCAGCCATAAAAAAGGATGAGTTCATGTCCTTTGCAGGGACATGGATGAAGCTGGAAACCATCATTCTCAGCAAACTATCACAAGGACAGAAAACCAAACACTGAATGGTCTCACTCATAGGCGAGAGTTGAATGACGAGAACACATGGACAAAGGGTGGGGAACATCATATGCTGGGGCCTGTCAGGGGGTGGGGGGCTAGGGGAAGGATAGCAGTAGGAAAAATACCTAATGCAAATGACGAGTTGATGGGTGCAGCAAAACCACCATGGCACATGTATCCCTATGTAACAAACCTGCACGTTGTGCGCATGCACCCTAGAACTTAAAGTATAATTTAAAAAGGAAAATTTTTTTAAAGTGCATACATTTTCAAAAATATGCATAGAAAAATATTTGAAAGGATGTATACCAGACTTTTTTAAATGGTCATTTCTTGATGGCATGATTATATGACTTTTTTTCTTTCTGTTTACCTATTTTTTTAAACTTTACATTATAAACTCATCTTAATCTCTGCCAACAAGAAAAAAAGTGCCGTTAATAATATCTGTAATATGAATGACATAACTTCTAGAATTATTAAGCTTGAGAAGTAGTGTGCAGAAAAGAGTTAACATAGCAGGTCTGACTACTATCCTTCAAAAGACCTGCTTAAAAGATGCCTCTTAGCTGGCATTTGGGAACTTAGATTTCAGAACAGTTCCTGCCACTCTAACTGGTAAGAGTGGCTCACCGTACCTAAATAATACGGTTTATGCTGAATATTTGCTTTCCTTCTGGGAGTTTGGAATTTCAGTGCATACTAGGCAGAAAATGTCTATGTAACCACACCCCCATAAAAACCTAGGTTTTGAGTCACTAATGATCTCCAGTAACACAAAATTTCACATATGTTACAATTTGTTGCTGCAAAAAAAATAAGTACACCCTGTGTGACTCCACTGGGAGAGGACTCTTAGAAGTCTGTACCTGTTTTCTTGGGATTTCACCCCATCATGCACTCTTCCCTTTGCTGATTTTTCTTTGTGTGCATTCACTGTAATAAATACTGCTATGAGGAGTATGACCATTAAAAAAATCAAAGCAATATCAAGTATCTTTTCAGACCAAAATGGAATAAAACTAGAAGTCAATAACAAGAGTAACTTTGGAAACTGTACGTAAAAATTAAGTAACATGCTCTTGAACAACCGCTGGGTCGATTAAATAAATTAAGAAAGAAAATGGTTTCTTGAATCAACTAAAAGTAAAATTATAGCATAGCAAAATCTATGGGATACAGCAAAAGCAGTACTAACAGAGAATTTTATGGAAATAAATACCTACATCAAAAACTAGACAGATTTAAGATAAACAACCTAAAAATACATCTCAAGGAACTAGAAAAGCAAGAACAAACCAAACCCAAAATTAGTAGAAGAAAAAAAATAATAAAGATTAGAGCAAAACTAAAGAAAATACAGACTGAAAAAAATATGCATAAGATGAATAAAATGAAAAGTTATTTTTTGAAAGATAAATAAAATCAATAAACCATTAACTAGATTAAGAAAAAAAGAAAGAAAATCTAAATAAAATCAGAAACAAAAAAGGAGACATCACAACTGATTTCACAGAGATGTAAAGGATCATTAGAGGCAATATGCCAACAAATTGAAAAGCCTAGAGGAAATGGATAAATTCCTGAACACATATAACCCACCAACACTGAACCCAGAAGAAATAGAAAAGGGAAACAGAGCAATCATGAGTAACAAAATTGAATCAGCAATAAAAAGTCTCCCAAAAAAGAAAAGCCCAGGACCGGATGGCTTCACTGCTAAATACTACCAAATATTTAAAGAAAAACTAACATTTACATCCATGTAGTATGGGAAATTAAAAAGAAAAACTAACACCAATTCTTCTCAAACTGTTCTAATAAAGTTGAGAGGGGTAATTTTTCCTAACTTATCCTATGAGGCCAGCATAATCCTGATACCAAAACCAGACAAGGACACAGCAACAACAAAAAAAGAAAACTCTAGTGAACATAGATGAAAAAATTCAAACAAAATACTAGCAAACTAAATCTAACAGGACATTTAAAAGATTATACACATGATCAAGTGGGATTTATCCCAGGGATGCAATGATGGTTCAACATACACAAATCAATAAATGTGATACATCACATCAAGAGAATGAAGGACAAAAAACATATGATCATCTCAATAGATGCAGAAAAGGCATTGGATAAAATTACACATTTCCTCATGATGAAAACTCTCAAAAACTTAGGTAGAAAAAACATACCTCAACAAAATAAAGACCATATAAAACAGCTAACATCATATTGAATGAGGAAAATAAAGTTTTCCTCTAAGAACTGGAACAAGACAAGAATGTCCACTTCTACCACTCGCATTCAACATAGTACTGGATGTCCTAGCCAGAGAAATTAAGCAAGAGAAAGAAAGGGCATTCACATTGGAAAAGAGTAGGTCAAACTGTACCTCTTTGTAGATGACATAATCTTATATATAGAAAAACCTAAAGACCTCACCAAAACACTCTTAGAACTGAAAGAGGAATTCAGTAAAATTTCAAAATACAAAAATCAGTAGCATTTTTATATACCAATAACTAGCTGAAAATGGAACAAAGAAAGCAATAACTACAACAAAATAAAAATCTCATGTTCATTAATAGGAAGAACTGATATTATGAAATGACCGTACTGCCCAAAGTAATCTACAGATTTAATGCGATCTCTTTCAAAATACCAATGACATTCTTCACAGAAATAGGAAAAACAATCCTGAAATTCATATTGAACCACAAAAGACTCCAAATAGCCAATCCTGAGCATAAAGAAAAAGTCGGAAGTATTATACCAGAAATACTAGATTTCAAAATATTCTACAAAGCTAAAATAACCAAAACACATGGTACTGGCATGAAAACAGACACATAGACTGATGGAACAGAATAGAAAAGCCAGAAAGAAATTTATACATTTATAGCCAACTGATTGATAAAGGCACCGTGAACACACACTGGGGAATGGCAGGCTTTTCAATAAATGGTGCTGAGAAAACTGGATATCCACATGCAAAAGAGTGAGACTATACCCTTATTTATCGCCATAACAGAAATTAACTAAAAATGGATTTAAGACTTAAATGTAAGGCTTAAAACAATAAAACTACTGGAAGAAAATATGAGAGAAATGCTTCATGACATTGGGCAAAGATTTTATAGGTACAACTTCAAAAACACAGGCAAAAAAGCAAAAATAGACAAATTGGATTATTTCAGACTAAAAAACCTTAAGCACAACAAAGGAAACAATTAACACACTGAGAGACAACCTGTAGAATGGGAGAAAATATTTGTAAGCTATTAACCTGATGAGGGATTAATATCCAGAATATTAAAGGAACTCAAACAATTCAATAGCAAGAAAAATAATCTGGTTTAAAATGGGCAAAGAATCTGAATAAATATTTCTCAGGTGAAAATATCTCTCAAATGGCCAAAAAGTATATTAAAAATGCTCAACATCACTAATCAGGGAAATGTGAATCAAAACCACAACGAGATACCATCTCAACCCAGTTAGAAAGGCTATTATTTAAAAAGACAAAAAAATAACAAATTCTGGCAAGGATGCAGAGAAAGGAGAACTCTTACACATTGTTGGTGTCAATACAAATTAGTACAGCTATTTTGGTCAATAGTATGGAGGTTCCTGAAAAAAACTAAAGATAGAACTATCATATGATCCAGCAATCCCACTACTAGGTACTTAGCCAAAGAAAAGGAAATTGACATATCAAAGAGCTATCTGTCCCCCTTGATATTTATTGAAGCACTAGTCACAGTAGCCAAGCTATGTAATCAACCTAGGTGTCCAAAAACAGATGAATGGTTAAGTAAAACGTGGTCTGTACACACAGTGGAATACTATTCAGCCATTAAAAAAGAATAAAATCCTGTCATTTGAGGCAACATGAATGAGTCTGTAGGGCATTATGTTAAGTGTAGTAAATCAGGCACAGAAAGATAAATACTACATTTTCTCACTCATATGTGGTAGCTAAAAAAGTTGAGCTCATAGAAGTAGAGAGTATAATTGTGATTATTAGGGGCTGGAAAGAGGAGGGAGGAGAAGAGGGTAAGAAGTGGTTGGTTAATGAATACAAAATTGCAGCTAGATAGGAGGAATAAGTTCTAGTGCTCCATAGTACTGTAGGGTGACTATAGTTAACAACGATTTATTATATATTTACATATAGCTAGAATAGAGGATTTTGAATGTTCCCAACAGAAAAAAATGATAAATGTTTGAGGTGATGCATATGCTAATTGTTCTGATTTGATCATTATACATTGTATATATGTATTGAAATATCACTCAGTATGCCATAAATACATATAATTATGATGTCAAGTTTTTTAAAAAAAGACTACTATGAAGCAATTATTAGGCTGGGCATGGTGACAGAAACCTGTAATCCCAGTACTTTGGGAGGCCGAGGTGAGCAGATCATGTGATGTCAGGAGGTCAAGACCAGCCTGGCCAAAATGGTAAAAACCCATTTCTACTAAAAATACAAAAAATTAGCCCGGCGGATGGTAGCACATACCTGTAACCCCAGCTACTCACTCAGGAGGCTGAGGCAGGAGAATTGCTTGAACCTGGGAGGCGGAAGTTACAGTGAGCCGAGATTGTGCCACTGGACTCCAGCCTGGGCAACAGAGTAAGACTCTGTCTCAAAAAATAAAATAAAAATAAAGAAATTATTATACATTTGTCTGATTAAACTACATCTTTTTTCATTCTGTCCATTTTTTGAAAGTTTATAAACATCTGCATTAGAAAAAGATAACGGAAACCAACTTCATCAGTTGGGCTAGTTGCTGCAGCAAAAGTCTGAATGGTCCAGTTTCTGAATAGCTAAAGAAAACCATCTATTTATGTGTTCCTTGCTATGGATAAATGGACATTTAATTTTTCTGTAGCCAAGAAGCCATCCTGTATCATCCTTTCTCCCTAGACTTATATTTCTGGAAAACTACCACAATGGTGTGAAATTGCAAGGAGTTGCTTCCGGTTCACAGTGAGAGCTCAAAACTTGAGTCATTCTACGTAGGTGCCACTGGTATGGAAGATGCTGTAAGAATAGGACACCTTGAATTTGCATTAGCCTAAGTCTTGCTTCCTCTCTCCTACCTCCCCTTAATTACAAAACACAAATCACTTCACCTCCTCTGGTACAGAACAAATTGACCTCTACTCCCCCCTGGTGGATCACTACAGTATGCTGGGCGAGTCACTTCTGAAATCGCCGCATGGGCCCTTAAGACTTAATAAATCAAGGGCCACCTCTTGTGAGCCTTACATGTTCTAGTCCAACGTACTAGTTATTTAGAGCTGAAAAGTAATCTGCCCCCATATTGTGCTAGTATTTTTTGGCTTGTGTCTTCCAAGTTGTTCCTTTATTATTCCAATGTTGCATTCTTTATTGTGATTGCCTGGTTACTTGTCTATCTCCCCAAATAGACCATAAACCACAGAAACACAATAATGTGAAGTGATTTTCTTGAGGCCACATAATCAGGAGAGGATCCCAATATAGAAATCAGGTTTCTCTATTCATGAGCCATTGTGCTGTTCATTCACAGCGATGTTCTGTGTTCTGAAATCTCTTTCTCAGAAGAAGCATTGAGATGGCAACACACCAGGGCTCAGAAAACAGATCCTGCTGTCAGCTCAGTCACGCATCTCGCCAAGCCCCTAATGTTTCTCATCTGAACAATGATGGTAGTTTCTTCAGACCATTGCTAAGGTTCAGTACAACTTCGAATATCTAGGATTCAACTGGAAAGAATTGCCATTCATGGGCAGTTGTAACACATTGAGAGAGAGAGAGAAAAGAGAAAGAGGGAGCATTCATCTATTAATTAAACAAATATGTCTTCATTTAACAATTATTCAGCATCTGCAACATGCCAAAGTGGATGCCAGATACACTGGTGAACAAAAAACACAATGACCTTGACCCTGAGAACTTTTGTCTTGATCCTTGTGGAGTCACTGGCCAGTGCCTCTCATTGATGATCCCAGATAAACAGATTGACAGGCCTTTGATCAGCACGCTATTTTGAAGAATTCTCTCATGGATATGTGTTTGTGTGATGGGGTAGGAGAGAATGCTGGTGACAACTGCCACACTTAAAATTAGCATATCTCAAATTCTTGAAACAAACAAAAACAAATAAACAGCAGCAACAAAACAGACTGGGTATGTCCAGCACAGGTGTCCCCTGCCTGTAAATGTGCAGTTTCCCTAAATCAAGCCGTGGTTGCTCTCTGCTGCCAAGATGCCAATGGGAGTGCCCAATTAGTGCCAATTTGTTTCTTGTAATACAGACACCTGTCACCAAAGAGCTTGATAAAAATAACCATCTCAGTCACTGCAGATCCAAACTGGGCTCTAACTAATCACCTAGAGGTAAATAGGAAGGCTTCAAATCCCACTGCAAATTCTCCAAGGGACTCAGTCCCTCTGACTGTGGACAAATTTATGCCGTATTTCTCACTGATGGCAAGACACCAACTGGCAATTGATATTTTTTTTTCTTTAAATGCAAGTTATCAGCCTTTCCTCCCAGTCAGCTACAGGCTTCCCCCTGGCAGTTCAAGACTCAGGGTGATAATGGATTATCTTTACTTTTAATAGCAAATCACCTTCCACTGAGATGGAATGAATGCTGCAGGAGAAGGAGAACAGATTTCACCAAGAAGTCCTTTAACTCTCTTCAGGAAACATCTCTAGTTCAAGCATTTAAAAAAAAAAAAATAACCTTTAAAAACTAACCAGGTTTCCGCTGTGTGGTTGAGCCAGCCATGAGGGTTGTGCTGGTTACATCTGAATTAGCCCTGCTTGACAATCACTTTCAAACTCTGTTGTACTTCATGCCAGCAGTTTCACTCCCTGGGTGTGCAATCGTATGGGGCAGATGCCTTCGAAGGAGCTATCGGACCCAGATGAAGAACATATAATATACAATAAACAAATGAGAAGGCAAGACATTTTTACAGAATCACCCAGGCAGGAAAATCAGCACGTCCTGCTCTTCAATAGTGGGCCCATCTAGCCTACTGCTTTATGGGGAGCAGAAATGCCTGGAATCTAAATCTGCCACAGGAGGCGTTTCTTTGCCTCCTCTCGATGCTGTGAGCTGAATGGTAGATTGCATCACCTCCATTGTAAGGCAGCTCTCGTTATGAGAAACCAAACATAGAGCCTGGCTCCTAACTGGAGTATTAATAATGAAAATGGATTATGTGCATCCTGTTTGCTAAGCAATTATCCCAAGGCAGGGATTGAGTCCAGATTTTTTGCCTCACTGCCTGAGTGGCAGAATGTGAATAGATAGACAGGTATTTGCATGCAGTGTCTCTGACCTGGAGAAAATGTCAGGAGCTTTATAGACTGCAGTGAGAGCTGCAGATGCATATTCTTTTCAAACATGGCTGGGTTTTGCAGTCTATTCTTGGAAAAGGCAAAGAAAGGGGGAAAGAGTTGGATTTGCTGTTACTGTTTAAAGATATCCTCCTGAGTCAAGGTGAGATTATTTTATTTTGCCCACCTTAAGTTTTTTATTAACTGGAAGTGACTTCAGCTCCTACCTTCTCAAGGAAATGAAATGAGTTTTATTTAGTTGATGGCGAGGAATACTTTCCCTGGATGTTTAATAGACCTGGGTCTGATCTGCTGAACCTAGGCACATTTTAATGAGAGGAGGCATTTCTCTAATGCTTCAGATGTACATTTTCTTCTTCTCCTCCTCTTTCGCTTGCTGTGATCCTGCAAGGTGGCAACTGACTTCCTCTCTCTGATGCTCATGCTCTATTTCAGGGCTATATTTCCAGGGTGAAATGAATCCTGCATAGGTGTATGCAGTACTTTAGAATCCTTCAGAGTAAGCCCTGCCACAGCTGTGTCACCTCCAGTCTCTGCTCACCACCCTCCTCCTTTGTCTTGCACTCACATGTTAAGTTGCAGGATGGAGAGATGGTAGTGGAAGTTCATGCGGACAAGGCTCATTTTCACGGGACCACAGAGAGTAGTCCTACAAGACTCAGGCAGGTAGCAGGGGCAGCACACCCCTAATCCTGTGGCAGAGGTCACTCAAACCCTAACACAGATTTTACACTCAGTTAAAATTGCCTGGGGAATGGATAAACAACTGTAATACATCCATGTGGTAGAATACTACTCAGCAATAAAAAGGAACAAATTACTTATATATACAACACCGTGAAAAAATTATCTAATTCGTTATTCTACGTGAAAGAAGTCAGACTCGAAAGACTACATACCGTATGATTCCAAACTGGAAAGGTAAAACTATAGGGACCAAAAACAGATGAACAGTTTCGAGGGCTGCAAGCAGAAGGAGAGGCTGACTTAATAGGATGACCAAATCACCTTCATTTGCTTAGAACTGTCCCAGTTTTAGCTCAAAATGTCTCCATCCCAGAAACCCCTCAGTCCTAGACAAATTGGGACAGCTGGTCTCCCTGGAGCTTGACTACAAAGGGACACAGAGAACTTTTGAAGGGGATAAAACTGTGTTTTTAAAGCTCAGAGAACTGTACACTTACTTAAAAGGGTGAATTTTACTCTATGTAAATTATAACTTAATAAGTGAATGGGAAGAATTGCCCAGTCTCTCCTGTGTCTCTCCACTGGGCAGTGGGCTCTCTTATATGCAAGGATTTCATCTGTCCCATGCCACTGTCCCCCCTGGCACCTAGTGCTGTGCCTGGCATGACATAATTTGCTAAAAGCATGCATGCTCATTTTCCTCAGATGCTACGCGTCGTGTCAACACCAGTGGATTCTTTAAACAATCCAATGGTGACTAAACATGACATTTTCTTCCTGGAAATGCTCGAATTAAGGTTTTCTCTGTTTCTTTTAGGTTGTGAGTTGATCGACGTGCTCTCAATATGATACAACTATAGTTATCAGTGTTTTCTAAATACATTGAACATAACAAATTCCTGGAGTGTTTAAAAAAAAAAAATTCCTGGAACTCTACCCAGGTTGACCAAAGCTGAGCTTCCAGGGGAATGGCCTGGGAATGTGTATATTTTTAAAGTTTCTCAGATGATTCTTATGATCAAATAAGGAAAGCAGAAAGAAAACTGTGGTGTCAGACCTCAGCACTGGCCTTTAGGGCTGGTCAACACATCTAAAATGTGATCCTTCTATCAGAGTCTTTCCCTTGAGGAGTCATTCATTCATTGATTCCATCTGAGAACTAGTTATTGAGCAACTACTCTAATACTACAGCCTGAAAACAGGACAAACAAATACACGGGATAAGTTCAATCACTGCCAGGAACTGCGACAGGGCTAGGTACCACTTCAATACAAGTCAGGAAGGATGCAATTCTTGTTGATTTCTGGCTCTAACCTCATGCTGGTTTCCCATGGGGAGTGTACTTGGAATGCCACAAACATGTTCTCATCCCAGCATTGCCAAAAACATCTGCCACAGACTAGCCTCAGCGTCTGCAAACATGAAGGGAAAGACCTAGACATTGATCCCCAAGGTCGTCTTCTAGGCCTGACATTGTATGTTTCTGGAGTTTATTATTGTAATCAAATAAAACGAATCTGATACATATTTAATGATATACATAATTGTTATTATGCTGCATGATAATTAGCTATCAATGGTAAGCAGTTCACAGAAATGACTGTAATTAGTATTTCTTATACACAGTCAACCCAAGTTTGGGGTTTTTCTCTCGTCTCACTTTTTTATTCTGTAATCAGCATCAGAGTTCTCTGTTCTTCTACACTATGTATCATTCCAGGATAATCCGTGTCCTTCTCTCACACACACCAGCTTAGGGATATTGATGCTTGAAAACATCAAGGCCCAGGATATTCTCTTCAGAAGCTAACCAATCCGGAGAGTGCTGTGTTACTGCATTCCCTGCTACCTCCAGGAGACCTTTCAGATACTGCTTTCTTGGCCAGGTGTGGTGGCTCATGCCTGTAATCCCAGCACTTTGGGAGGCCGACGGGGGCGGATCCCTTGAGTTCAGGAGCTCCAGGCCAGCCTGGCCAACATGGTAGAACCCCATCTCTATCAAAAAATACAAAAATTAGCCGGGTGTGGTGGTGTGTGCCTGTATAGTCCCAGCTACTTGGAACGCTGAGGTGGGAGAATTGCTTGAACCCTGGAGGTGGAGGTTGCAGTGAGTGGAGATTGCACCACTGCCCTCCAGCCTGGGCAACAGAGCAAGACCCTGCCTCAAAAAAAAAAAAAAAAAAGATATTGCCTTCTGTTAGCTTCTTCCTCTGCTGTCTCAGGTGCAGCAAGGACCTAAAGGAACTGCAAAAAGTTTAGACAATCAGAATTTTTCCATGAAGGAATGGGAAATCCAACAGGGGAGATAATACATGAGGATGGACCTGATATCTTGGTTTCTGAGACTCTGGCAGCAGAAGGGAAGGTGTGTTAGTTTCCAGGGCTTCCACAACAAAACACCACAGATGAGGTGGCTTAAACAACAGAAACTTATTTTCTCACAATTCTGGAGGCGAAATGTCTGAGATCAAGATGTCAGCAGGTTTGGTTTTCTCTGAGGCGTCTGTCCTTGGCTTGCAGATGGCTGTCTTCTCACTGTGTCCTCACATGGTCTTCTGCTATGCACACACATGTCTGGTGTGTATGTCTCTCTCTAGGTCGAAATTTCCTCATCTTGTATGGATACCAGTCATATACGATTAGGGCCCACCTCAAAGCCCTCATTTTAACCTAATCATCTCTTTGAAGACCTCATCTCCAAATATGCTCACCTTCTATAAGGTACCGGAGGTTAGGACTGCAACATGTGAATGGGTACAGGAACGTAATGCAGCCCGTAACAGAAGGGAAACTGCGAGGAAGAGCTAACTCTCCAAATATACAAAATCCAGTATCTCTCCAGGTCTAACAACTTCCAGAGCTTCCTTTCTGAGACTCCTTAACACCAAAGCCATGCCCCCAGCTAATGACTAGCATCTAGCCACCTTAAACAAAATCTCCCTTTCCACAAGCAAGAATGAAAGTCTTAAAAGATGTAAATACCTGGGAAAGTGAGCCTATGGGTGAGAAATAATTTCTGGCACCTTGTCAAGGCTCTTTCCTGTTGTGATAATGGGAGGGCAGGAGGCCGAGGGTGAACTTTGGGAACTTTGTGGTTGCTGGGAAGTCCCCATTGGTCTTCTCTGCTGGCCAGCTGGTGGCTGGGTGGAAAGGATCATGGTCAGCTGAGTGAGCCAGCATGCCTTGGGCCCCAGTGAGCTTGCAGACTGTTGCTTCCACTGCACTCTCTGTTCTTGCCCCCCGCCCCCATCCTCCCTGCCTTCTGAGCGCCAGACTATGATTCTCATAGTGAGATCTGAAAACAGAAACTCCAGAATGATAGAAACTTGCTAGCAAAGCTTTAGTAATAACAGCAGCAATGGGGAAAAGCCCCAAAACCTCCTAAGATAGTTTTCTGAGGGCAAAGAGCAGCAACGTGGACTCCTAACAGGCCACATGTGTTTCTCTCATTCTGCCCAGCCCCTCACACGGCAGGAGAGGCATAATAGCACTTGGTCAGGAGTAAAAATAGAAATGGATGCGAAGAAAAGCAGACCCAGGGACAGAATGGAAAAACTATGAATATATAATTCTGGAAAAGAATTTTACTTTAACTTGGTGTTTTCACATTATAGGCCTTCTCTATTCTCTTTCTAAAATCTCAATCTAAGAACAGGATGCCCAAATTTCAATCTTCCTTCCCTATTACCACGTCAGTCAGCTGGTCATATAACCTCTCTTGGTGTGGTTTCTGTATCCTTAACTTGAAGGGCTTAGGAAACACCATCTCCGATCCTGCTTAGATATTTTCTTCTGCAAATATATTTTGACAAAACAAAACTGAGCCAATTAATTAGCAGGGCAAGACTTAGTTACTGTTGTACCTCTTTGGTTAGATGTCCCAGCTAACTTATATGTACTAAAATCTCATATTCTGTTTCTGATGAAACTTGTAATTTACTCATCAATAAAGTGGGGATAATATTTGTCTCACTGGGCTTTGTGAGAATTTGATTATATACAGGATGTGAAGGAGACAATGGCTGCTGAATAATAGATGCTGAGTGTTAGTACTTATCATATAAGCCCTGGTAACCCCCTTTGTGCCTGGCTTGGTTGATATGCAGTAAATATTTGACTGCATATTGGACTACTTGTGAAAGTAAGTTAGAGACACCGCTTGGGGCAGGACCTAACACAAATACAAACCAAAGGGACTAAAGAGTATCAACAATAGTGGGGAAATAGTTATCTGTCCTTTTTCTGTCTGTGAAACAATGCTCAGTACCTAAGCACACAAACCCAGGATTTCCATGAAGGTACATTATTTGTCATATTTTAACGTGTTTGAGGCATAACCGCGAGAACCACAATGGAACATGATGATCTGGGAAGGGCCAAGGCCTATAACAGGTGGTCCAGGTGATCACCAGTAATATTGGGAATAGAACTGTGCTCACAGGGGCGGGCTGAAAATGAAATCAGCAGCAGTGCTGGTGGCATTATTGAGCCCTTAAATGCTTTACTAGTTATTTCATTTTATCATCACAACTCTTAGATATGATACTGATAGTCCCACTTTTTTCTGATAAAGAAACTGTAGTTGTGAGAGGCTAAGAATCTTGCCCAAGGTCACAGAAGTAGTGAACGGTCATTCCTAGATTTGAATGCAAGACTGCCTTCCTCCAAAGCCCTTGTACACTCCACTTCAGTGGTGGACAATCCTGGAGCAGGCTCTCTTCAGAATCAGGGACCTGCATTAGGGATATTGGCCAGGTGGGAACTGAGGGACCAAGGCATTAATCTAGGGTCAAGACAAAACTCCAGAGGTGAATAAAAGCCAGGCAAAAAAACAAGGAGAGAGCCCTGACAGGTCGCCAAGGTGGGATCTCAGGCACAGAGAACAAGGCAGAGTTCCCAAGTGTAGCTTGGGGCATAGGGAGAATCTAGGGACGAGGCAGAAATTTTATCTTAAGAATTAAGATAGAAGGTCTGAGGCAAATAAGTGGCCCAAATGACTCAATAGTCCAGCATATTGGGCAGAAGCCCAAGATTGTAGTTTCTCCTAGAACCTGGAGTGGGGCTGAATCTACAAAAGGATGGGAGAAGGAGAAGGAGGTCAAAGGGTCCCTATGGGAGAGAGAAATGTTCTGGCTCACTGGATGTTTTGGTGATCAGACCAGACACGTCTCCCAGAGGATTCAAATGACCAATTTTGGTGCCCTCTGTTGTCACTGATGTTATCTACAAGACTCAGGAAGTTTGTGCATATGGCAGACAATTCCCCAAGACAAGTCTGTGGACATTCTTTGCGTTAATAAGGACTTTTTTTTTTTTTTTTGAGATGGAGTTTCATTCTTGTTGTCCAGGCTGGAGTGCAATAGTGCGATCTCGGCTCACTGCAACCTCTACCTCCTGGGTTCAAGCGATTCTCCTGCCTCAGCCTCCCAAGTAGTTGGGATTACAGGCATGCACCACCATGCCTGGCTAATTTTGTATTTTTTTGGTAGACATGGGGTTTCTCCAGGTTGGTCAGGCTGGTCTTGAACTCCCGACCTCAGGTGATCCGCCTGCCTCGGCTTCCCAAACTGCTGGGATTACAGGCATAAGCCACCACACCAGGCCTTCTTTTTTTTTTTTTTTTTTTTTTGAGACAGAATTTCTCTCTTGTCACCAGGCTGGAGTGCAGTAGCGTGATCTCAGTCCACTGCAACTAAAGAGGACTTTCTAAACAGCCTCATAGAAATCTGTTTTCTAGTATTACATGTAACTAAAACTGAGGCTTCTTAATGCCATCTCAGCATGAGTATCCTACAAAAAATAAAAACTGGCATTCATATAAGCATTGACAAGTAATTTAAATATTTACTGAAATCTCTGAGGCACCAAAGAAGCATATTACATTTTATGATACAAAAAAATCCTAATGATCCTCGTCAGCTATTTTTCTCCCCAAAGTTCCACTCATTACTGCTGTTGCTTGCCATTTCCCAAAAATTACTTCTCTCTTTCTCTTCAACTATCTAAAAAATCCCCACCCATGATAGAAAGCAGAAGTAAGAAAGCTATAATTAATATGTACCATTTGATATCCTATCACAGACTTTCTGGATGAATTGTAAACAGAAAACCAGTGTTAAGAGTGCTGTTGGCCATTGTTTGTTGCTTCTTTGCTATTCCTGTTAATACTTTCCAAGTGTCCCCCTCCCGTTGCCACCAGCGGGATACACTCATTCATTCTACCAACCAAAATTCAAGACTTGATTTCCCACAGTGCATAGTGAAGTAAGAGACATATAGGACACGAGTCTTGCCCTCAAATAACCTAGAATTGAATAAGGGCAATAGAGCACACACCCAAATTACTACAATAGAGTAACAGTATTAAGTGACTGATCCATAAAATGTGGATTAAGATCCCAGAAAATCTGGGAGATGAACTGATACAAATCATACAGTGTAATTACTGCTTACTTCCACCTCTCTCACTAAGACACAACCCCCAGCTCCCTCTCTAGTCACATGCTCCAGACAGATTTCTCCATAATATTAGCTTGAAGGAAAATACAATCAGATCAACAAGGACCTAAGTCCCAGAATGAAAGAAAAAGAATGCGCTCAAAGAGAAAGTGGAGTGTTTGTCGAATGAAAGAACAATCTGACAGATGGCTTTGTGGGGGCGTAACCTAGAACCCATAAGAATTTTGTTATCAGTAGATCTTACTAATCTAGGCTGTACAGTGACTATCACCAAGATAATTTCTAAAAAAGCAATCTGATTATGTCTTATTTGAAATGTCTCATCACTTTTGAGATTTCCCCTTGTCCTCCGATTATGACTCACAAGTTCATTTTTGAGTAGACTCCTAGCTATCTCTCTAGCCACATATCATACTCCTCCTCATGCCTGTACATTTTCTGCTTCAATCTGACTTTACCATTTGCAGTAATGGGTAATATCTGCATCCCAAGACTACCCCCTTCATATCCTTATCATATAGCCCTATAATTGCATTTTCCCAAGTTTTTCAACTACCAGACAATAAGCAGACACAGGCCAAGGTCTACCATATTCACCATTGCATCCCTAGATCCTTTCTCAATGCCAGGCATATAGTAAATATTTAATGAACATTGCCTGAATGACTAACCGAAAACATAAGGAAATCACTGCCTGTCTTGAGTTGGGTTTCCTGAAACCGTACTCTGAGATGGAGTTTTGAATTAGGTTTATTGGGCAGTAACTGAGGTAGGACAGTACAGAGAGAGAAGCAGAATTGCACTGTGGACTCCATAAGGAGCTCTGAAGCTGAGGTGACCCTTCAGACTTGTCTCTAGTGTGGCACAAAGGCCAGGTGCTTATACCCCTGATCAGCTGATTATCAAATGCTGGTGCCCTGAGGGAGAAGGTGTCAACTTGGGTAATTTAGCTCCCTTGAACAAGGGAAATTCCTTGAAAAGGACTCAGCTGTCAGCAGTTAGCATCCAACCCTGCTGGTGGCTAGAGAAATGAGTGTCTTGATCCTGAAGGGGAATTTGAACAACGTACTGCAGTGTCTACGGCATTTCCCTTTAACCAACAGCAAACAGCATGCATGCCTCAATTTGCTAAACTCTAGAAGTATCTCCCTGCTTTGAAATCCATTTAATTAACAACCGCCAGTGCTCAACCACTAGTGGAGTGATAATCAGTTCTGCCACCATCACAATCAAGGATCCATTTAGTGAGTATTTGCAGGGCACCTATTATGTGTTGGGCATTATTCTAAGTATGAGGGATTCAGCAGTACATCAAACGGGCAAAAGGTCCTGCCTTCACTGAGCTTTCATTCTAGAAGACAGACAAGTTGTGAAGAAAAAATATGCAATTGAGGGTGATAAGTGCTAAGAAAACAGTAAAGAAGAGACAGGGAATAGGGAGTGCCAGGATTTCAGGAAGGATGGATGTTGTGATAGTAAATAGGGAAGGCCTCACTAACAAGGAACATTTAAGCAAAGTCACTTAGATATTTGAGGGAAGAGCTTTATAAGCATTGAGAGGAACTTTCATCAAGGCTTTGGGTGGGAGCAAACCTGTGTGTTAGAAGATAGCCCGGAGGCCAATGTGCCTGGAAAGGAGAGAAGGAGGGAGAGCCCAATGGGAGACGAGGCCAGAGAGAAGTGGGTAGCAACCTCTAGGCCATAATAAAAACTTTGTCCTATCCTGTCAGTGAGCTGTGAGGCCAGGGAAAATTTAAATAGAAGAATAACAAGATCTGACTTACATTTTCAAAGACTACTCTGATTGCTACTGAAAATAGGTATTTGCTATTAAAATAGGTATTTGCTGTTGCTATTGAAAACAGGAAAAAACAGATGCAGTAAGTCTAGTTAAGAGGCTATTAATATATTCCAGACAGCAAATAATGGGAACTTGGGCCAAAGTAATAGTGGTGAAGATGATGTGAAGTGTGTAGATTCTGGAAATATTATTAAGATAGGGCTGACGGCAATTGCTGGTGGGCCAGATACAGGTTATGAGAAGAAGACTGGAGTCAAGGATTTCAGTCTGAGCAAATGAAAGGACACAGTTGTCATTTATTGAGATGAGATAAAGCATCTTGGTGAGGGAAGCAGATTTTGGGGAAGATGATTAGGAGTTCAGGGTTGGCCGTCTTAAGTTGGGGATGCCTATTGGACAGCTGAGTGGAGATGTTGAGGATATGTGAAGTGCAGGGAAGCAGTCCAGGCTGGAGATATAAACAATCAGAGCCATCCACACACAGATGGCTTTTAAAAGCCATGGGACTAGATGAAATCACCAGGAAAGTGAGAGGAGGAGAGAGGGTAGGGGAGGGGAGGGGAGGAGAGGGGAGGGGAGGGGAGGAGAGGGGAGGAGAGAGGTTTTAAGACTGAGCCCTGGGGCACTGCACACACAGTCTTTCAATCCCTCCCACAGCCTCACACGTCATTCTCCTGCTGTACCATGAGAAGTTGCATTGGACTGAAATGCCTCCTCACCATATTTGGCATGGCCAAAAGAACTTGGGCTTGAGAATTTGAGACACACCTATGTTAGAATACAATCTCTGGCATTCACTATGGTAATTGAATTACTGGTTCCAAGTCTTCTCTTTCCCATAGAAATATCATATACCCATTCCTTTGTCATGGCCCAGTGATAGGAGGCATGTACTTCCCTGCTCCCTCAGCCTTGGCCACATGACTTACTTTGTCCAATGAGATTTTAGTGGCCATGAGGCAAGCAGAGGCTTGCAACGTGCTTGTGTGATTGGGTTTACCTGCTTATGTTTCTGCCATTCCCATGAGAATAAGTAGTTTTGGTAGCACACACCTCCAGCCTGGGATTCAGAATGAGATACATGGAGCAAAGCCACCCCAGACCCCTCACAGAGAACTAAGAAATAAAATGTTTATTGTTTATGCCACTGTGATTTTGTAGCTGCTGGTTATGTAGAAATAGCTGACTTATACAGTACTGACTTACCAGCTGGGTAACTTTGTAGTCTTTGTTCCTTCATCTACCCAAAGAGATATGAATATGCCCTCTCTCTCTGAGTTGTAATAAAGATGAAGTAACGTAGCATATGCAAAATTCCTGACATAGTGCCTGGCGCAATATAGATGCTTGTTAAAAGTTAATCAGCATCTTCAGGTTCCTCCCCTCCAGAGTCAATGGTCAGCAATGACTTTCCACCCATGCTAGCATAGGTTTCAAGAGCAATAATATTTTTGTCAAAGAAAGGTTATCCCTGCCAAGGAGAAGGAGTGGGTGTCCAAGTTGCATTTGCCAATTGCCTTTATCATTTGGAATTTTAACACAAGCTATAGCAATGCACTTTCCTAGGTTTCGTGATAAACAACTAGAGCCTGAAAAGCCAGCAAATTCAGTTTCATCATTTCATCATGTGACCCACTATCTTTAGAAATATAAGCCTCTTTCAGCAGTGCACTTAGGATAGCCTATGTCCCTTGAGAAATAACTGGCTTTTGTTTATGACGAGCCAGAATGCATGCACATGTGCACACACTACACCATACATACTGCCCTTTATCATTCCAGGCTTTTGTTCATCAAAATAGTAGCAAGTAGTGGCATAAAGCCATTTTCTGAGAAATAATTCATTATAAACAAAATCATCCAAATGCCAGTTCTTCTGACCAGAATGACCTTCAACAGGATAGCTTCTGTAGACTCACCTGCAGCAGTCAATGGCAGTAACATAACATTAAGTCCAACAGTGCTATTGCCTCACCAGGTTGTCACTAGCTTTGGCTAATTCTTTTCATGCCTTTACTGACCTTTAATCCTTACAATCAGAATACAAACAGTTCAACAGCTCAAGTAGCGTTCTTTGAGGCTGTGGTGATGAGCTGAATAACACCTCCCTAAATGCCCCCTCCTCCTTAGGGAAAGCGAGAAGAAAAAATCTAAGCAAGGCCATGGGGGTGCCTTTGTATAGATCTGGGGCAGCTAGACCACGGAAAAATTTAATGAACTACAGAAAAAAAAAGGCTTGTTACAGGTGTGAATCCCAGTCCACAAAAACAGGATGTGTGATGAATGTCCATTTCTTTGTTTTCTTGAATCCACACAGTGTGGCAAGCAATTAGTCCTGCCAATATTGGAACTGACCTCAGGATTGGGATAAGTTCTTGGGGTATTACCTCAGGCCAAGACATCAGGAAGATTCTTCCTGATATGGGTCCATGCTAGGTACCACCAGACTGCGCACTGTACCAGCGTTTATTCCCTTGAAGCATTAGGTCTCAGTTGCCATACATACATGATGTCTCGGAGTCTTTACTGAGGCTGGCACCCCACTGCCTGGGGACCAGCCTTCCAAAGCACATCATAGTTTGCTCTGAGGTTGGCCACAAAGAGGGCATGAGTCCCACACTCCTCTCATGTCACTCCCACAGTTGTCTCTTAGCCTGACCTCTGCCCTCTCTCTTTAGTATCTCAGCAAAGTTTGCCCTCTCCTCTGCCAAGTATTCTCAAAGACTTCCTTTCTTTTCCAACTGCCCTAAGAGTGCTTAGAAACTCTTCAAAACATTTTGACTTTTGAAAATAAGTGAGAGAAAAGTACCTTCTACTTTTGGTAGAAAATTTTGTGTGCAGATTTGGGTTGATGGTGTGAAAAACACACACACACAAATTAACATCCCAGAAAATTACCCTGCCATAGGTTGATTATTTCATTATTTCTAGAACAGTTGCTTCCTTTCAAGAAGGAATGGAGTGGTGGTTAAGTTGTGTACATATGGGAGTGAAAAAGAAAAACTGGATGTAGAACCTGTACCCAAAATCAAACATTAGGAATTACCTCAGCCTGGCTTTTCCAGAAAGTAGATCCTGAGCCAAAGGCTTGGGCCAATAATATACTAGGAAATCCATGCCCAGGAGCCAGGGTGAGGGGCATGGGGAGTGGAGCAGGGAAGGAGGCAGAGCCAGTATGAGCCAACGTTGAGCTGGGCTGGTCACCTCTAAGTATGTCTGAGGGCGCACCCTCACTGGAGCATCCTCTAGGAGGTGGAATAAACATCTCAGCAGCATCCACCTTACTAGAGGGAAAGAAGGGGAAATATCCACCACTTTCCATCACTCACAGATCAAACCTCGCCCCAAAATGTTGCTGTGGTCTGAATGTTTGTGTTTTCCCCCAGATTCATGTGTTAAAACCTAATCCCTAATGTAATGCTTTCAGCAGGTGGAGACTTTGGGAGGCGATTAGGTTATGAGGGCTCATAAGGGGATTTGTGTCTTATAAAAAAGGCCTCAGAGACCTGTCTTTCCACTTCCACCATGTGAAGACATAGCTGGAAGGCACCATTTATGAACCAGAAAGCTGGTTCTTACCAGACACCAGACCTATCAGCACCTTGATTTTGGACTTCCCAGCCTCCAGAACTGTGAGAAAATAATTTCTGTTGTTTATAAGCTACCCAGTCTGTGGTATTTTGTTACAGCAGCTTGAGCAAATTAAGACAGGCATGTAACTCCTCCACTATTCCACTTATATGTGCCTAGGTGTCAAGCACAGTACTGCAGGGGTCCACACCTCAATGTCAACAGAGAAGCACTGGGGCTGGGACCAAGAGGCTTCCAGGTAGTGAGTGTGTGAAGTTGCTTGGAACCCACAAAGCTGGTCATCTCAGAGACATCTGGAATTGGAAGCAGATGAAGCCAGGAGCATATGAAGGATTGCTGAAGGGGTGTGTGATAATGCGTGTAATGTGTGAATGTGCACTAAAAGGCACTGTGAGTGAGCTTTTAGCAAGCATACTAGGAAAGCTTTGTTAAATATGCAATATATTTTATGTAAATTATATACACAGTATTAATTTGCATATGCAAATATATACCGTGTATATAATTTACATAAAATATATTGCATATTTAACAGCGAGCAAAAGAGGTATATAAATTATATATTGTGTATATATAATTAATACACCTCTTTTGCTCAATGCAATATATAATTTATACACCTGTTTTGCTCATTGTTAAATTATATATACACTATATAATTTATATATCTATACAAAATAATATGTGTAAAAATAAAGTATATAATATGTAATTACAAACATTGTATTAATATATTTTATATATATAAAACATTCTAAATCTGAATTAGCATTGTCCTTATCAGATTTGCCATTCATTCATTTGCTCATTCATAAGTATTTGTTGGGTTAACAGGTTAACAGTGAGCAAAACAGGTAAAGTCCCTGTTCAAGGATGATATAATTTAAAAAAAAATTTGTGAAACTTTTAAAATCATCTTAAAAGTCGGCATTGAATTCTTTTAATATCTTTAATCATCTCAAATTATTCTTTTTATGGATCCATTTGATTTGGGAATTACCAGCAACCAAAACATTTAGATCAAGAAATGGTCAACCTGGGTAATAATGTGATTGGTCAAGAAATAATATAAAAAATGAGACTATATTTCTTGTAGGTGTGTCTAGAAAATACAAGTGTTATCAGATGGAGTATGTACATTTTTAAAAGTAGATTTTACTTATATCTTCTGAAACTACCTCTTTTTAATGTGAGAAGCATTACTTTGGAAGAGACAGCAAGATAAGTGCTAAGTTGCTCCTTTGTAATCTTCCCTCTTTTTCTATGACATATCAGGAAGCTATGACAATCCTAAAAATGCTGACATTTTTCTCACTTAAGAATGATGATAGAAATAAAAAAGATTTCTTCTTCTTGCTCAGAAAGTATACAAGCAACTCTATAGTCTCCTTCTAAAATGGAGAATTGCTTGAATTGGAGACTCTAAGTGAATGCTTATCATCTTTGCACATACAAACACAAAAATTAGCAGAGATAATCTACCCTATCCCGTCACTAAAACTCTAAAATTTGAAATGGAAAACAATACCAACTTTAACAATTATTTCCAGTGTATATTTTTTGCTCATCGATCATTCTGTTGGTCTGTTCCACAAATACCAAGATTCACTTCAGTCTCCAAACTTGCATGCTCCCATTCTACAAATAAGGAAACTGAGGCCCAGAGAGATGAATCTTAACTAGCATTACTCCATTAATTAATGACTGCAGACAGTCTGTAATGCAAGGATTTGACTCCTCCGACTGGGATTTTTTCCTATGTATAATCCCTCACAAAGGGGACATTAAAAGTAGCTCAAATATATTTTAACTACTTCCTCCTTTGCCATACAAGGCCATCTCTTTTATTATGGACAGCAATTCAACTCAGCCTCAAGTTTGCTTATGCCCATTATTTCATTGTTCAGCCAAACAAAAAATAATCCAGTTCTTTAGAAAAATAATCTAGGTTATTTAGAAAAAACTACTTACCATAAATTTTTACCCAGACATACCATTCAAGGACTCAGCTCCTTATGCCACTGCCACCCCAACAGCTTCCACAACCAGAGTATTGACATGAAAAATATTATACCAAGTGTGGTTTTCTCTTTGAATATATTAGTATTTTTATATGAAAAGTAGCCTATACTCTTCTAAACCTCCATTCATCTACGTATTCAACAAATATTTAGTAAGATCCTACTTAATGTGGCAGACTCTGTTCTGATCAAAATATTATAAACATCTCAAGTCACAAAATATAGTTCTGCAACATTGTTTCAAATGGCTACATGATATTTCATTAGCTAATTTTTCCAAAGTATATTTAATGTGTTCCCTGTTACTTAAGAGTGAGATCCTGATAGTCCACCATTCCATAAATCATCCATGAGGATGATGGCATCTCCAAGCATTCTTGTCTGCTAGATCAAAATGCTCCAGCCCCTCTTATTATATATCCCCTAACTTAATTTGATCAAATTTGGAAGAAGGTTATGGAACAACAATAAGCCTTCACCTTTTTCTAAGTGAAGAAACAGAGGTGTTCATTATTTCTTCAGTCAATCATTCAACCAGAATTCATCAAGGCCCTCTTTCAGGTCAAGTGATGTGATGGAGCTAGCAATACAAGGATAAATGAGGCAAAAACACCTCACCAGGGACTGTCACTATCACAGGACAAACTTTTCCTCAAGTTAGACAATTATCCTCCAGCTGAACCAGAGCAGAGACTAAGCCAGCCTTACCCATTCCTGGTCGAGAATGTAACTCCAATTTGTGTATCTTATTCCTGCACAGCTCTTTCATTTAGTTTTAGGACTTGTATTAGTTACCCATTGCTGTATAACAAATTACCCCCAAAATTAAGCAGCTTGAAATATCAGACATTTATCATCTCACAGTTCCTGTGGGTCAGGCACCTGGAGTGGCTTAGCTGATAGTTGAGGCTCAGAGTCTTTATAGCTGGATCTGCATCATCTGAAGGATTGACTGGGGCTGGACAACCCACTTCCAAGAGGGCTCATTCAGATGACTGTTTGCAGGGAGTCTCAATTCCTTTCTGATTTTGGCAGGAGACCTCTGTTCCTTGCCAAGTGGACTTCTCCGGAGAGCTGCTTGAATGTTTTCATGACATGGCAGCTGGCTTCCCCCTGAGTGAGTGGTCCAAGAGAGAAAAAGATAGCATCCATAAAGCCCTTTATGACCTGTCCTTGCAAGTCTAATCACTTCTGCTGTATGTTATTGGTCACCCAGACCAACTCTGGTACAATATGGGAGGAGACTACACGAGGGTGTGAATGCTAGGAAGAAGGGCTCATTGGGATCCATCTTGGAGGCTGGCTTAGAGTTTTTAGCAATTTTTAAATCCCAGGTAGCCTAAAAACTCAGAGAAAAATGTTGAAGAGTATTATATTTATTTAAGTGGCGTATTTCATATGAAGATCACCAAATAGTTAAAAACTCTCCCTAGCTCCAGGAGAGATCATAGAATAAAAACTATAAAGCAAGAGAGGAACTTTGAGATTATTTTCCTAGTCTATTAATTTGATGTGTCTTTTAGGGAACTTGATGAGGTGAAAAACTTTAAAAAAAAAAATTATACCAACCACTTCCCTGAATAGGACTGGAGACAGACTATCACTTTAAAAAATTTCTCTTTATTAAGAAAAAAGTTGCTTGTTTCATAAATGTAAGGCAAGCAGATACCCAGAGCCCTGGAGAAAATGTGTAACAGATCCCTTGTTTCTTATGTGCCTTCCAAGACTGCCTGTCCCAATCAATATCCCTTGCTATGCAGAGCTCTAGGGAGGGTGACACATATTGCCTAGAGATTCTGGGGCCTTCTTGGAAAAATCTATCAAAATCCTCACCCCTTTCCCGAAAAGTGATGGAAACCTGTCTAGACAGAATAAGCGATTTTGACGAAGACCCAATAGTAAGAAGGGCAATGGGGTACCAGAAACGCAATGACCACGAGGGCATACCCCAGTACCAGGTTGGCAAGAGGAAGCGTGGGGCCTGAGTCTCTGTCTGCCAGGTGGAAGCCCTGAATGTTACCTGTACAGTGTAATGGATAGGGAATACACAGTGCTCCAAGGGCAGCGCTCTTACCTTGGGAAAATGAGGGAGGAGTGAATCAGCAGAGTGTTGAGCACCCGGAGCAATCATTTGAGGGAGTCAAACCCCAGGGAGTACAGTTGTCTCCTGGAGAGACAATCCACAGTTTTGTCCAGACAAGCACCACCACAGGCCAACCACATGGTGCCTGAGAATTAAGGCAGAAAGCAGAGATAGGAGGTGGCAAGAGACTGACTCTTAGCAGAGTTTAAAGCTCAGAATCCAGTCACAGCTGAAGCCTAGGACTTACCATCAAGAATGGGCATCTGAGTTGGTTTTCTTTCTTGTTTTCCTCTTTATGGAACTCAGGTCCATGGAATTGGATTAATTGTAGTCTTTGGTTCATGACAACTGTTAGTTCAAGCATAATCCTCTTTTAATTATTTTAACAATATAATGAAAACCCATAATCCTTTATCCCAAGCAGGGATTATAACCTAATAGCCACCTTAGGGGTTGAACTGTGTATTCCTAAAATTCAGATGTTGAAGTCCTAACCCCCAGTACCTCTGAATGTGACCTTATTTGGAAATAAAAGCATTGCAGGTATAATTAGCTAAGAGGAGGTCATTAGGGTGGGCTGTAATGCAATATGATGGGTTTCTCTATAAAAAGGGGAAATTTGAACAGAGACAGAATTTCATTGAAGCAAAATGATGTGAAGAGATGCAGGGACAAGACAGCCATCTACAAGCCAAGGAGAGGAGCCTGGAACAGATCCTTCCCTCACAGCCCTCGCAGGAACCAACCTTGATTTTGTATTTCTAGCTTCCAGAGCTGTGAGACAATACATTTCTGCTGTTTAAGCCACACTCTGAGGCGTTTTTTTTTTAAATGGCAGCCCTAGTAAACTAGTATAATTAGTAACTTACATTTACCCACAGGTTCCTCTCATCCCATTCTCCTGCCTTCCCTTTAGAATTGACATGTCCCAAAATTTGCACTTATTATTTATCATTGTCTTCCTTTATTACGATTCATTACACACACACACACACACAGAGACACACAATTTGTCATTTAAGTGTATTTGGTTTCTGAATTCTATAAAAAGGGCAAGAGGGCTTTACTGTACAAGCTGTCCTCTGGGACTTGCTTTTGTGATTCCAAATTATTTAAAAAGATTATCCATGTGTTGTATGTGGCTATAGTTCATTCATTTTCACTCTGATTAATATTCCATAGGGTGATAACGCAAATTTTCTTATTGGGTGGACTCAAAGAGTAGCAAAGAATGCAAAACCCTCACAAAGGCACCTCTGAAAAGCTGGCTCATGGCCTCACACCATGAAGTCATACCCCAAAACAATCTATTTCTGATGTCAGTTGTGGCACCTTCATCTTTATAAAGTTAGGTCTATAGTTCTGTAGTTGGGTTTCTTATTTAAACACAACAAGACAAAAGAAACAACAGGAATGCCTGGAATAGGGTTGGCCGGGAGAAGGGGAAGACTTAAGGGAGAATTTCAGCAGACACTGTGAACAAGATAACCTAGTATCCCTTCCTTTCTTCCTTAGCTTGTTTCCACAGTAAAGCTAAACTCTGTGGAATAAAATCCTGTGGTCCCACAACGCACCCCACAATAACACATTCACAAGCAAGGGATGGCTCCCATGCTCTGCCCAGCTCCCGTCTGTGGGCTGAAGTTTTTTTCTTCTTCAGAAGGAAGGGTGTGTAACTAGGAAGTGACTTTGAGACTTTCTCAGTTTAGTGGATGGCCAGCTGAATAAGTGTTTTAGTATTGTTACATAACAGTACATATGGACTTAAAAATATAATTTTTGTTCAACTCAAATCAATGCAACCCTACATCCTGTGCAATTAACATTTTAGACCTCACTAAATATATTATGGCAGAGTTTTGCTGTGTTCATCTTCCCATGAACTAGGACTGGCCAGGTGACAGAATTCTGATCAATCAGACCTGAGCATGAGTCTGCTAGGGATGTTGGGAGAAAGTTTTTGTTCTTCTAAAAAAAAAAAAAAAAAAAAAGCATTCACAGCTGCTATCACATCCTCCCTCCCTCGGCCCTTTTATAGCAGCCTTAAAAGAGAATTTGCTGCCGGTAGCTATGGTGGCCAACTCACCCCCAAAGGCGAACAGATAAGAAAACTGCAGAAGCAGCAGTCCTGACATAATTGAGCCACTGAACTGAAGCCAGCAGCTGCCTACCCCCAGAATTCACATTATGCAAGAAAAATAAACATTTATATATTTAAGTCACTGTTAGTCAGAGTTTCTGTTACTTGCAGCCAAAAACATTACTGGGTAACACAGAGATGGACTAGATTTTCTGCTGAAGTGGGTGTAAAAGGGTTTGAGAATTGCGTGTTGGAACTCTACTTGTGGAGGAGAAACTATTTGAATATTCAAAACACTAAATATAACGTTAAACATCCCAAGCACTTCTAGATGGGTAAACCAAGGCTCAAGGAAGGACAGTGATTTGCCCTGTGGTTTCCTAAGTATGGCAGGGAGAAGCCTCATGGAAAGGACTAATATGTGTGCACGTTTAAAAAATGGCAACTGAGGCTGAGGATGGCAAATATAGAAATCTCCCAATGCCCAGCTCTATAATTTCAGTTGTCTTATTCCCAACTTAACTTTCAATTCACTAGACTTAGTTTTATCTCATTTTGCCTCCCACTTAACCAAAAGCATCTCCCACAGCCAAAAGTTCTGTCTCACTTTCATTATCCTTTCCTGCCACAAAGCAACACCAACATCCCTGGACGGGAACCCTGTAAAACAGCTGTTTCAATTAAGTTAAATCACAAGTATTTGGAGAAAATTCTAAGTGTTGGTGATGGTTAGATGCTGTGTGTGAGGACTGACTCACTGTGCTTTCTTTTTTTTTTTTTTTTTCCTTTTACAAACATCCTTCCCCTCACAAACAAGTGCACACTATTCTGGAGAGTGTATTCTTGGAAGATAAGCAGCTAAGAAAGATAATCAAGAAAAGACACTTAGTAAGAAGTGATCTCATCACTACAGGAACAAATATGGAGTGCTTGGCTTTGTCCGTGGGAGGAAGAAACTGTCATCCCTCTCTCCCGGCATAGACCATGGCTGTGTATTTCCCTAATTAATTTCCTATTGAATGGCCTGCACAAAGCTACTTTCTGTTGTCTCTTAACTCAGTCCCCAAAGTGCTGAAGAAAATCTTATACTACTTAATTACCACAGCAAAAGTGATGGAGATCCTTAGTAGCACCGATAATACAGACATTAAGGTTTGGATTACTGCTTTGGAACATTGCTGTTAATGAAACAGTGGTTTGCTAGACTGCAACCATTCGCCAAATCACAAGGAACAAACTTCTACATGTGAACACTGTTGTTGGTATCTGTGTTGGAGAAGGAGTTGGCAATGGTGAGTTATACCTCAAAATTTTGGAAGTAATGAAATTGTATGAGATAGAGTACAAAGTCCACACTAAATGGATGGGAGCCAAAGGCATCTCGTAGAGAGAATGGTTCTAAGCCAGTAAGACGAAACAGTTGGGAGAACAAGGATAACAACAAATCCTTAGAAATGGTGTCAATCAGGAGAAAAGATGATCTGGAAAGGAGGCATAAACAGAGTTACAATGACAAGAATTGAATTGCACAAGCAGATTTGATCAGGGGAGAGAAGTCTTGTCTAGTGGACCTTCAATATTACTATTTTACTGGCATATTCCTATATGGAGATGAAGACATCAAACTAATGTAGTCTGATGTCATTTAAAGATCATCTACCATCCCTTTTTCTGATTTGATGCTCAAGAGCCAAATTATTGATAATATGGTTGTCTGTGGAAATCTTCAAATAGAGAGAAGACATGCCAACATAAATATTTCAGACCACAAGACAGGGATAGTTCCAAATATAAGTTAATTAAACAGGATTAGAATTTTCTGGTTTTATACACCAGTATCTGCCAGATTGGTTAGGATGAATCTGCCTCTGAAAATGCACCTACTTTCAGTGGCTGAAAACCCAGTTTTATAGACCTGTGAGACTGAGAACTGGTCCTGCACTGTGGCAAACTTAACATGGTACACCACCGTGTGAGGCATCCTCATGTGGCTATGTCCAATCCTCACCAGTTGTCTTCCTGGTGCAGTTCTATCTTTAGTAAATATGGAATATGCGGAACCAAGTTAATAGAGCTGGATCCTAGGGCTCTTACATTTCCTTGCTCAAGTCTTTCAAGAGGCTATGATTTCTGCCTTAATTAAAGCCATGCTCTCATGTCAGAAGGATACATTAGCAAATGGTATGATTAGGCTAGAGCTTGAATGGGCATCTATTTCATCCTCTTGACTTCAATTAAATAATCAACCTGTTTTCTTCCAAACTCCACAGAAAGGAAAGATGTCCATCAAGAACCCCCTGAAGGGAGATGACATTTTTTATTTCAATCTGGAACCCCTTGAAGGCAGATAACATTTTTTATTTCAACTTGGAACCCCCTGAAGGCAGATGACATTTTTGATTTCAATTTGAAGGGGCAAAATTGAAAGACATCTGAACATACAAAAGACAGCAGCTTGAGATTCTTTTGCTGAAGCCACCTGTCCCACCATACATTGTGAAAAATAGAGGATGGGTAAACATTTGAACTTGAGTTATTCATTGCTCTAGTCACCGAGGGATGGGAAACAGCAATGAAAAAAACAAGGTGGTACATAGATAGGACTGCAGTCAGGGAGTAATAATGCTGAGCTGAGTTCTAGTGCAGTGACTACAGTGGGGCAGAACCTCTGGCCATCTCTTCGCCTTAGTCCTCTCCTTTGCCAAAAAAGAGTGCTCAACTCTCTGAGATCTAAAAAGTCCCTTCTCGTGCATTCTATAATGCCAGAAGAGAAGGAAGGAAACTGCTGCCTGGTAAGAGCACTTGGTTTTGGCACTTCCTGCAACATAATTCCTCAAATCCCCAAGAGGTTTGCAGATGAGTCCTGAGGTGGCTGAACATCTAATTGGACCAGGCTTCCCTAATAAAAACCCCAGCCATTCATTCCTGCCAAGGTAGTGTTTTTACTCCCATTGCAAAATGTGTGGATAAGGAAGGTGATGACTAATTTGTATCATTTGGGAACTACAGATCTTGGCACCTGATCTTGCTTTAAGGTGAGGGAGTCCCATCTTTAGCTGAAGATGTTTGCAGAGTTATCATTCTCAAGTATTGTTATTTATGCTGGTCATCCACTGAGGACACAGAGACTTCAACTGACTGCATGATCACTAAACAACAAGAATCTATTGATGCTGATGGCCTCTGGGTAAGGACCTGAAACAATGGCAGGGGGTCTGTGAAAGGGAAAGAAAATTGAGATGTATGGTTAATGTAGGAGGTAAGGGTGTACCAAGAGGCCTCAGGAGGGATCTGCAGCAGAAAGCCTTCACTGAGAGAACCTATGGAGTTAAGCACCTATTCCCTAAGTTGCCCCTGCAGGGTTCACCTGCAAAGCTAACAGCAACATTTTCTATAGCAATCTTGTTATAGGAAAAGCACCAACCCCAAACAGTAGATATGACATCTAAGCAAGCTTTGTTGGCAAAGGAATTCCTACAATTTACTAACTTATCTTGCTTTATGTGGGTAAATAAAAAAATTAAGCCAAGTCTAGGAGTCAGTTAATCTTTGAGTATAGACATATATTGGAATTCATTTTCTTCCCAGCGTAAAGACAAGAAGGTATTGAAAAGGAGACCTTGCATGAGATACCTATGACCCAGAAGTACAATAAACTTGAGACAAACACTGCCCTGAATTTGCAGAGCAACATCACATGTAGACATACAAACATATGTACATATACGTGTGTATATTAAGAGGATAACATGTGCTTAAAGACAAAGTGATTTTCCCAGCATGGAAAAAAAATAAATTCTCAGCATGAAAAGCAAACGAGACTATAGCAAGAGTCCCTTGCAGAAACAAAATTGTTATTCTTTTTTTTTTTTTTTTTTTTTTTTGAGACAGAGTCTCACTCTGTCACCCAGGCTAGAGCATAGGGGTGCAGTCTCCGCTCACTGCAACCTCTGCCCTTGGAGTTCAAGCCATTCTCCTGCCTCAGCCTCCTGAGTAGCTGGGATTATAGGCACGTGCCACTGTTCCTGGCTAAATTTTTTTTGTATTTTTAGTAGAGACGAGGTTTCACCGTATCTTGGCCAGGCTGGTCTTGAACTCCTGATCTTGTGATTCACCCGCCTCGGCCTCCCAAAGTGCTGGGATTACAGGCATGAGCCACCATGCCCAGCCAAAATTGTTATTCTTAAAGGGATCAGATAATAGGTATAACCACCTACCATATTTTAATTCAAAAATAACTAACGTGTTCGAAGTTTTGGAGCTTTCTGGGATAATGCAAGTGAGCATTCAATGGGCCATCTGGTCAGTGAATGCCTTCTGGCCCAAGCTGACTGCACCTAAGTTGATGGAAATCCTTTTATAGATTTTGCTGTTCCTCCATGTTATATCACACAAGGACCTATGATGGCAAAGGCCTAACCCTATAAAGTGAGACATAATGATGACCTACAGATTGAAGAGGGGGTGGCTTTCACTTTGGAAGTGATGGATATTACTCACCAATATAAAGTAAATGTGGCAGATGAAAGAAAAGGGAATAGGTTCCTCGCCTGCAGGATTCAATGAATGGACAAAGCTGCTCTGCCAATGAGCTAAATGACTCCAGATAGCTTGGCAAGCCTCTAGCAGAATAATCTATCTATAAAAGGCATGAAAAAATAGAGTGTGAATTTTAATTTTGGGACACACTTTATGTCTAACGAACCTGAAAAAATGAGAAGTGATTGGGTTGTGGACATCAGCCCTTTTTAGTATTTTATACGTGCATTACTTTTTAACAAAATACACAATTAAACCTCATTAGTGCTTTCTGTCTAGGCATTTTAGGAGGAAAAATGTTTCTCTCTGTTACCCTGAACTTCAAGAAACTCAAGATACTTTGTTTTGTTTTACTATGGCCATGGCAATATATGAACTTTTTAAAGTATGTATTTGGGCTTTGTCTATCTCCAGTTACATGGTATGAATCACTATAATGCTTACTTGAATTTTTTCTAATTTAACAAGTTGACAACCATGGAGCCTAGCCTAGTATTCTCAGCAGTCTTTGATAAATATCTGCTGCATTAACCATATAATCTTCTTGCCTGCTTATGATTAAAACACAATATTTTGAATGGCTGTCCCTAGGTCTGACCTTCAGGGGAAAAAATGCAGGAATGTAAAGGAACCTTCAAAAGTCTCTTTCTAGAGGAATGCATTCCATTCTTCAAAGATACTCAGTATTTTACAGCTGGAGGCATCTCAAATTATCCATTCTAACTTCTTCATTCTACAGATGAAAATGAAGCTAGGTTATGACATTTGTAAACAGGAACATTATCAGGCCACCCTTATTTTCTAATACAAAGTATTCCTTTTAAATGTTCTTTTATCAAAGTAATACTTGAACATTAAAATAGTATAAAATAGTTCTACCATTCCACCCCTGCACAACCCTAATTCTGCTACCTAGAAGATCATTCTCTTAAATACTTAACCCTAAATGATATGCCAATAACTGTTGGCCTTGATTTCTTGATTTCAGAAATCATTCACTGACTTCTCACTAAGAGAGATAAGGATTTGGTTCACTTCAACTACCCTCTTTCTACTTCAGAATTTTATAGCATTTTACTCTTATTACTTCTTATAGTGCTTTGTAGTATTAAATAATCTACTAGAACATCTTGTGTTTTATTTTATCAATATGCTACGGTTTTGCTTGCTTCTGTACTTGAGACTGTTCCTGCCCAATTCTTCTCTGTCTTTCCAAACTCCAATTCCTGTCCCTGAATGTTCACATTTACATTATGTTCTAAAACCATAATTTTATATTGTTTTACATTTATATATATATTCTTTTACGTTTCTAATTAACTGATTTTTAGAGATAAAATAAACAACCACTACTGTGTATTAATTGTTCACATAAAACCAATTATATTCTAGGATTACATTTGCTTTCTATGCGTATCTAAAGAGGTAACTATTGTACCATACAAAGATGAATGATCCTAGAATCTAGGATGAATCAAATCTCTTCTGCTGTATCAGGGCCTCAAAATCATGCCACATTTTAGTTTGCTTCATAGTTTGACCATTACCTTTCTATATAGATTTTTGTTTTTCCTGGAGTTAGTAATAATATTTTCTTTTTCAGAAAAGAGTTGCTTGATTTCTTTGCTATATTTCATAGCCTTCCTTTTCTAATGCTTAGAAATCATTGCATTCTTCTTGAAGATATTCTTGGAGCTCATTTAATTCCCATATAAAATAGCTGAGTTGCTTTCAAGGATTATTGAAATGTCTGTCAGCCTGTGATTTCATTTCACTGGACTCCATATCATTCAGTACCCAGTCAAGAAAACAGAAACCACTCTAGATAATTAAAGCATGAAGGGATTCCATCCAGGTAATTTATCACAAAAGTATTAGAAGGATATGAGGAGCAAAGGGTGGTCAGTGGTATTCCCCAGGGGCAATAACTGCAAGAGCCACCACCACCCTTGCAGGAACTTGTGAGCTCATGCTTCCCTTTTCCACCAAGAAGCTCGTAAGCCTCTAATCCCCTTGATGCTGTGGGAACACATATTTCCACGGATGCTGTTGGAAGTCCTGCCAATGTGGCTAGTACAGTTGCGCTAATGCCTCTGAAGCCACTGCCAAAATCAGAAGGTGTTTTACCTCCTCTCTACCTTCTGATTTCATTCAAAATCCTCCCACTGCATGAAACAAACCAGAATCCAGCTGGCAATGGAGTCTCAGAAAGGTAGTTTTCAGGCTCCTGGCCCCAGCAGTAAAAGTACAGAAGATCAGTGTGTGGCTGAGCACCAGCAGAAAATGTTTGGAACAGATTCTTTAATTAGTTCCATCATTTTTTATGGCTTACATCTTCTTTTTGTTTGTTTGTTTACTTTAAGAACTTTTAATTCCTCAACTAAGTTCTTGAAAAGTATGCCTGGAAGGTAAACATTCTATATTTGCATGTTGAAAAATCTTTGTATTTTGTCCTCACATTTGGTTGATAGTACAGAATTATAGATTCAAGTACAGAATTCTAGGTTCAAAATCATTTTCACACAAAATTGGAAGGCAATAGTTGCTGTCTTCTATAAACTTGTATACCTATCAACAAGTCTGTTACCAGCCTGGTTCTCATTCCAGGGTTATTAACTGTTTTTCTCTTGAAACAAACAAACAAACAGAGAAACAAAAAAAAAAATCCCTCAAAACCAATTCTTCCTCAAACCGTATCTTAAGTGTACTCACTTCTCTCACCCTAGGGACATCCACCATCACTCTGGAACTGATCCACTAAATCTCTCAATTGGTTTATTGCAATAGCTTCCTAACTGCCTTCTGTTTCCACTCTTTGGCCTCTCAAAAATACATTTCCACAGAGCAGCCAAAGTTATCTTTTGAAAATGTTTATGAGCTAATGCCATCCTCATAAATTAGAATGATTCAATGGCTTCCTATATCAATTAGCTTTCACTGCACAACAAATCACTCCAAAATTCGGGGGCCTAAAACAACAAATATTTCTTACAATTGTATGGACCAATGGGAAGTGTTTCTTGGCTAGTTGAGTTGTAATTGGACCTGGATGGTCTAAGAGAGTCTTACCCATGTGTCTGGCAGGTGGTAGACCAGTTGATCTGAAAGGGAGGGGGGGGTGGTGGTGTCTAAGTTGAAGTGGCTCATCATTTTTTTGTGCGGCTAACTTACCTTCTTCACATGGCAGTGTCAGGGTTCCCAAGACAACTAAAAAGAGAAAGTCTTAGTGTACAAGTACTCTTCAAGTTATTGTTAGCATTACACTTACTAATGTCTCATTGGCTCATGCAAATCATGTGGACAAAGTGTCATCAGTTAAAGAAATATACAACTGTAGTTTATGCAGATTTAAGAAATGAAGTGGAAGTTGAATGCAATAAAACATTATTCTCTCAGTGGATGGATAGCTCTTTTACTAGAGATTTTTCCAGACAATTCTAGCCTTCATTTACTTCAATAAACCATCATTGTATGTCTACTCTGTGCTAAGTGCTAAATAAATAAATATAACTAAGACATAATCTCTGAATTTAGGAGGCCCCTGGGGTGAGGCAGTCATACACAAGTAATCTGTGATTAAGATAATTGAAGGAATCTACCTGAATTGAGAAAGACACAAATGTGCAAATTGAAAGAGCTCACCACATCATATTTTAGTAGAACCACCAACCCACACTGAGACAAACTCTGGCAAAATTTCTGAATGGTAAATATAAGGAACAAAAACTTTTTAAGCATAAGAAAAATTAAAGACAGGAATCATCAAAGGAGAAAGATTACAAGCTGACCTCACATTTCTCTGAAACATTATATACAAGAATTCATGAGTAGTATCATGAACAGTTTTTAAAAGGTAATGTCCTAAAAAATTTCCCCCAAATTGTCTCTGTCTTTAAAGAAAAATGACCTGTTTCAGGGACTTCCTTTTAAAAAGAAAAATTATTTAAGTAAAAAATCTAGTTAATAGAGAAATGAATTCATACTAGGAATTCTAAAATAGAGAATTCAAGTTATGAAAAGGCTTGAAGGCCATACTTTCCTGTTTAGGCTATAGATTCACAAATCCCTGGACTTTAATTTGACGTTTGACCAGTTGGACCTAGCAGACATCTACAGAATACCCCACTCATCAACCACAGAATGTACATTCTTCTTTGCATATGGAATATACTCCAAGAATGACCACATGCTTGGTCATTAAACAAGCCTCAATAAATTCAAAACAAATTTAAATCATACCAACCATTCTCTCAGACCACAGAGAAATAAAAATAGAAATCAAAATTGAGAAGTTCTCTCAAAACCATACAATTAAATAAAAATTAAAAGACTTGCTCCTGGATGACTTCTGGGTAAATGATGAAATTAAGGCAGAAGTCAAAAGGTATTTGAAATAAATGAAAGGAGATACAAAATACCAAAATATCTAGATACAGCAAAAGCAGTGTTAAGAGGGAAGTTTATAGCACTAAACAACTCTCTCAAAAAGTTAGAAAGATCTCAGCCAGGCGCGGTGGCTCCTGCCTGTAATCCCAGCACTTTGGGAGTCCAAGGCGGGCAGATCACGAGGTCAGGAGATCAGACCATCCTTGCTAACATGGTGAAACCCCGTCTTTGCTAAAAACACAGAAAATTAGCCGGGCGAGTTGGCAGATGCCTGTAGTCCCAGCTACTTGGGAGGCTGAGCCAGTAGAATGGTGTGAACCTGGGAGGCGGAGCTTGCAGTGAGCCGAGATCGCACCACTGCACTCCAGTCTGGGCGACAGAGCAAGACTCTGTCTCAAAAAAAAAAAAAAAAAAAAAAGTTAGATCTCAAATTAATGATCTAACATCACACCTAGAGGAACTAGAAAAACAAGAACAAACTAACTCCGAAGCTGTCAAAAGAAAATAAATCACTAAAGTCAGAGCAGATCTGAACAAAATTGAGACCCAAAAATCCATACAAAGAATCAATAAAACCAAAAGTTGATTTTTTGAAAGGATAAACAAGATCAATAGACCGCTAGGTAGATTTGACAAATAACAAAAAGGAGAAGATTCAAATAAGCACAGTCAGAAATGACAAAGGTGACATTACAGAAATCCCACAGAACTACAAAAGATCCTCAGAGACTATTATGAATACCTCTGTGCACACAAACCAGAAAATCTAGAGGAGATGAATAAACTCCTAGAAACACTCACTCACGCAAGATTGAATCAGGAAGAATTCAAAACCCTGAACAGACCAATATCCAGTTCTGAAATTGAATCAGTAATTAAAAAAAAAAAACCTACCAACCAAAAAAAGCCATGGGCCAGATGGATTCATAGCTGAATTCTACCAGATATAAAGAAGACCTGGTACCAATTCTACTGAAACTATTCCACAATATTGAGGAGGAGGAACTCCTCCCTAACTCATTCTAAGAAACCAGCATCACCCTGATATCAAAACCTGGCAGAGGCTTAGTGAACAAAGAAAATCACAGACCAATATCCCTGATGAGCATAGACACAAAAATCTTCAACCAAATACTAGCAAACCAAATCCAACAGCAGATCAAAAAGTTAATTGACCACAGTCAAGTAGGCTTCACTCTTGTGAGGCAAGGTTGGTTCAACATATGCAAATCAATAAATATGATTCACCACATAAATAGAATTAAAAGCAAGAACCATATGATCATTTCAATAGATGCAGGGAAAGCTTTCAATAAAATCCAACATCTCTTTATGATAAAAAAAAAACCTCAAGAAATTAGGCATCAAGGGAACATACCTCAAAATAATAAGCCATCTATGACAAACCCGCAACCAACATTATATTGAACAGGCAAAAGCTGGAAGCGTTCTGCCTAAGAATAGGAACAAGACAAGGATTCTCATTCTCACCACTCCTATTCAACAGAGTACTGAAAGTGCTAGCCAGAGCAATCAGGTAAGAAAAAGAAATAAAAGGCAGCCAAATAGGAAAAGAAGAAAGCAAACTATCTCTTTTCACTGATGATATAATTCTATAATTAGAGAACCCTAAAGACTCTGCCAAAAGGCTCCTGGAACTGATAAACAACTTCAGTAAAGTTTCAGGGTACAAATAATGTATAAAAATTGGTAGTATTTCTATATACCAATCACATTCAAGGTGACAGCCAAATCAAGAACACGAGACCATTTACAATAGCTGAAGGAAAAAAATACCTACAAATACATCTAACCAAGGAGGTGAAAGATGTCTGTAAGAATTACAAAACACTGCTGACACAAACAAATGGGAAAACATTCTATGCTCATGGATTGGAACAGTCAATACCATTAAAATGGCCATACTGCCCAAAGCAATCTACAGAGTCAACACTATTCCTATGGGGCAAATAACCAATGTCATTTTTCACCAAACTAGAAAAAAACTATCCTAAAATCCATATGAAACCAAAATAGAGCCCAAATAGCCAAACAAATCCTAAGCAAAAAGAACAACTGATAAGTGGGACCTAACTAAACTAAAGAGATTCTACACAGCCAAAGACAGTATCAACAGTGTAAATAGACAACCTGCAGAATAGGAGAAAATATTTGCAAACGATGCATATGACAAAGAGCTAATATCCAGAATCTATAAGGAGCTCACACAAATGAGCAAGGAAGAAACAACCCATTAAAAAAACAGGCAAAAGACATGAGCAAATACTCCTCAAAAGAAGACATGTAAGCTGCCAACAAACATGAAAAAATGCTCAACATCACTAATCATTGGACAAATACAAATTAAAAGCACAATGAGGTACCATCTCACATCAGTCAGAATGGCTATTATTAAAGAGTTAAAATACAACAGATGCCGTCAAGACTGAAGAGAAAAGGGAATGCTTATACACTGTTGGTGGGGATATAAATTAGTTCAGCTACTGTGGAACGCAGTTTAGAACTTAAAACAGACCTGACATCCAACCCAGTGATCCTATTACCAAGTATATATTCAAAACAAAATGAAGTATTCTACCAAAAAGACACACACATTCATATGTTTATCTCTGCACTATTCACAATAGCAAAGACATGGAATCAATCTATGTGCCCATCAGTGGTGGTATGTATACACCATGGAATATTACACAGCCATAAAAAAAGAATGAAATCCTGCCCTTTGCAACAAAATGGATGCAGCGGAGGTCATTTTCCTAAGTGAATTAATTCAGGAACTGAAAACCAAGCACTGCATATTTTCACCCATAAGCAGAAGCTAAGCAATGGATATACATGGACATAAAGATGGTAACAAGAGACTACTTGGGACTACTACAGAAGGGAATGAGGGAGAGGGCAAGGGTTGAAAAACTAGCTGGTGGGTACTGTGCTTAGTACCTGCATGACAGAATCAATCATACCCTAAACCTCTGCATCACACAGTATACTCAGGTAATGAAGCTACACATGTACCCCTGAATCTAAAATAAAAGTTGAAATTTTTTTTAGAAATTAATTAAATTAATTCAAGAATCCAGTTGGATTATATTTGTATATGTCAAGTGGATACTATAGCCTGGGGAAATGTTTGACCCTGTATTTAGGTATTGTTCTCGTTCAGCTAGTCTTTATTTCTTTTTCTGCTCTTTTCTCAATTAGAAGAAATATTTTCATAAGATATGGTTTGGCTCTGTGTCCCCACCCAAATCTCATCTTGAATTGTACCGCCATAATTTCCATGTGTTGTGGTAGGGACCCCATGGGAGACAATTGAGTCATGGAGGAGAGGTTTCTCCCATACTGTTCTCATGGTAGTAAGTCTCATAAGATCTAATGGTTTGATAAGGGGAAACCTGTTTCACTTGGCTCCCATTTTCTCTCTTGTCACTGCCATGTAAGAAGTGCCTTTCACCTTTTGCCATTATTGTGCTGCCTCCCTAGCCATGTGGAACTGCAAGTCCATTAAACCTCTTTTTCTGCCCAGTATCGGGTACGTCTTTATCAGCAACATGAAAACATACTAATACAGTAAATTGGTACCAGGAGTGGGGTGCTGCTGAAAAGATACCCAAAAATGTGAAAGTGACTTTGAAACTGGGTAACAGGCAGAGGCTGGAACAGTTTGGAGGGTTTAGAATAAGACGGAAAAATGTGGGCAAGTTTGGAGCTTCCTAGAGACTTGTTGAATGGCTTTGCCCAAAATGCTGATAGTGATATGGACAACGAAATCCAGGCTGAGGTGGTCTCAGATGGAATTGAGGAACTTGCTGGGAAATGGACCAAAGATGACTCTTGTTATGTTTTAGCAAAGAGACTGGTGGCATTTTGCCTCTGCCCTAGAGATTTTTGGAACTTTAAACTTGAAAGAGATGATTTAGGGTATCTGATGAAGAAATTTCTAAGCAACAGTGCATTCAAGAGGTGACTTGGGTGCTGTTAAAGGCTTTCAGTTTTAAAAGGGAAACAGAACGTAAAAGTTTGGAAAATTTGCAGGCTGACAATGAAATAGAAAATTCCATTTTCTGAGGAGAAATTAAGGCTGGCTGCAGAAATTTGCATCAGTAATGAGGAGCTGAATATTAATCACCGAGACAATGGGGAAAATGTCTCCAGGGCATGTCGGAGACCTTTGCTGAAGCCCCTCCCATCACAGCCCTGGAAGTTTAGGAGGAAAAAATGGTTTAATGGGCCTGGCCAAGGGTCCCTCTGCTGAGTGCAGTTTAGGGATTTGGTGCCCTGCATCCTAGCCACTCCAGCTGCAACTGAAAGGGGCCAAGGTACAGCTCAGGTTGTTGCTTCAGAGGGTGGAAGCCCCAAGCCTTGGCAGCTTCCACATGGTGTTGAGCCTGTGGGTACACAGAAGTCAAGAATAGAGGTTTGGAAACCTCTGCCTAGATTTCAGAGGATGTATGGAAATGCCTGGATGCTCAGGCAGAAGTTTGCTGCAGGGGTGGGGCCATAATGGAGAACCTCTGCTAGGACAGTGTGAAAGGGAAATGTGGATTTGGGGCCCCCACACAGAGTCCCTACTGGGGCACTGCCTAGTGGAGATGTGAGAAAAGGGCCACTGTCCTCCAGACCCCAGAATTGTAGATTCACTGACAGCTTGCACCATGCACCTGGGAGAGCCACAGGCACTCAGCACCAGCCCATGAAACAGCCAAGAGGAGGGCTATACCCTGCAAAGACACAGGGAGCTGCCCAAGGCTGTGGGAGCCCACCTCTTGCATCAATGCATCCTGGATGTGAGACGTGGAGTCAAAGGAGATCATTTTGGAGCTTTAAGATTTCACTGCCCTGCTGGATTTTAGACTTGCTTGGGGCCTGTAGCCCCTTTGTTTCAGCCAATTTATCCCATTTGTATTTACCCAATGCCTGTACTGCCATTGTATCTAGGAAGTAACTAACTTGCTTTTGATTTTACAGGCTCATAGGTAGAAGGGACTTGACTTGTCTCAGATGAGACTTTGGACTGTGGACTTTTGAATTAATGCTGAAATGAGTTAAGGCTTTGGGAGACTGTTGGAAATGCATGATTGGTTTTGAAATGTGAGGACATGAAATTTGGGAGGGGTCAGGGATGGAATGATATGGTTTGGCTCTGTGTCCCCACCCAAATCTCATCTTGAACTGTATTCCCATAATTCCCATGTGTTGTGGGAGGAATCCAATGGGAGATAGTTGAATCATGGGGGTGGTTTCTCCCATATTGTTCTCATGGTAGTGAATAAGTCTCATGAGATCTAATGGTTTGATAAGGAGAAACCCGCTTCACTTGGCTCTCATTCTCTCTCTTGCTACTGCCATGTAAGAAGTGCCTTTTGCCTTCCACCATGATCGTGAGGCCTCCCTAGACACATGGAACTGTCAGTCCATTAAACTTCTTTTTCTTCTCAGTCTTGGATATGTCTTTATCAGCAGTGTGAAAATGGATAATACAGCCATATTCATCCCTTCACCCTACAGAGGGCATCTCTTTTTGTTTTGTTTTGTTTTGTTTTGTTTTGAGATGGAGTCTCATTCTGTCACCAAGCTGGAGTGCAGTGGCACGATCTCAGCTCACTGCAACCTCTGCCTCCCCAGTTCAAGAGGTTCCCCTGCCTCAGCCTCCCAAGTAGCTGGGATTACAAGCATGTGCTGCCATGCCCAGCTAATTTTTGTATTTTTAGTAGAGATGAGATTTCACCATGTTGGCCAGGATGGTCTCAATCTCCTGACCTCGTGATCTGCCTGCCTCGGCCTCCCAAAGTGCTAGGATTACAGGTATAAGCCACCACTTCCGGCCCAGAGGGCATATCTTAGCATGTTTTATGTATGCTTAAAACAATTGGTGGAGCCCATCCAAAATGGCTAAATGATTTACATAATTTATACATTGCTTGGATGATTAATTGACAACTTTTTTTTCCTGTTACACTAACGCAGAATTGCATTCAGTCATTCATTCATTAATCCCTTCATTCATATATCAATTTATTCAATAGATAGTTATTAGGTGCCTTTATTTGCCACACACTGTATTATACATTGATAATATAACAATGTATATTGTAAAATAACAGAGAGTTACTTCTTTTATAAGATTTGTGTATGTGAATAAAATAAGAAAAATACTGTAAAGTCAATTTTTATTGCTAATTATCTGAATCAACTATAGAGTTTATATTTTTAAAATACATGTTGAATTCACTGGTTTCTCTTCAGATCGAATAAATCTTTCGCCTTTTAAAATACATGTTGAAGGACTTGAGCAATTGGAGATTTTGACTGGCATATATTTTCTGTCACCAAAACTCTCTTCATAATATCTTCTAGCTAAGACCTATTAATGTTCTTATGCAAAAATAAATGCATAGAGAAAATGGCAGTGAGAAAACCTTCTAAAATATTAAAAGTGATTACCTCAGGAGAGTGAAAAAGCAGATTTTTTTCCTTTTACTTTCTGAATTTACCAAATGATCTATAATTGGCACAAATTTTCATAATAGTGTATCCGTGGAGGTAACTATAGCTCCTGGTACAGGAAAAAATGTCAGTAGTTTGTCACAACATAAGTTGTTTATTGCTCATATCACAGTCCACTGAAGTTGCTCCTGATTGTATGTCTTTTTTCTTTAAGTCTGATTCAGACACTCAGAGCTGCTCCATTTTGTGGCTCTGCAATCTTCAATAAGCCACTCCCAAGTTTTCCCTGGGAGTTTTGCTTATCCTGTTTTCCAGAAGGAAAAAAAGATGCTCCTCTGGGAGGAGTGCATGGAAGTCATCTGTATCACTTTTACCCACATTCCCATGGGCCAAATCTCAGTCACTTGGCCACACTCAGCTGTAAGGAAAACTGGAAAATGTAGGCTAGTTGTGTGACCCATGTGAAGAAAAAACAGGGCTGGTGAACACATGGAAGGTCTTGGCCCTAATCTGCTCCTCTGTTCCATTTGGAGCAATTTACTCCCATTCCCATGCATAGAACACCCTTACCCTTCCCCAGAGATGACTTGGAGAGACCGCTCAATGTCCCAACCAACCACAGCATCCATTTCAAAGCAACCAACCACAGCATCCATTTCAAAGCAACCAACCACAGCATCCATTTCAAAGCCCTGTGTCTCCATAAAATGCACAGCCCATGCCATCCTTCCAGATGTGGCTCCTCATGGTCCAGGGACCTTTGAATTAGAAAGACAAGTTATATTCCTTTGCCTCTCATCCCAACAAACCCATTCAGTGGGCCAGGGAAAGGGTAACAGCAATAAATACTCCACATAGACGGTGGATGAATAGAGACACACACTGCAGACTGATATCTGGCAATAATATACTCCTGCTGGGTTGTCATTGTGAGGTTCTGGTTCCCCGGCAGGATGCTCAGTCCTTGATTCCACCGTGGTTCTGCCCTCTGGGAGAAGCTGTTTCAGCCATTGCTCCTAGAATCTGGCTCTTCTGAGAAATTCTTTATTGTTCATTCTTCTGCCAGACCATTTTCAAAGTCACTATTGAGAAGAAAACCCTCCTTGGAGGCTATACATATACAGTTTAAACAGCAAAATTCAAGCTGATATAAATTCAGGGTCCTGAAGTATGTTTTAAGTCTCAAATAGTTAAGTTTTTTTTCTGTGCAGACTTATGGTTTTGTTGGCAATCACTGTGCCATAAAAAACATAGTCAGCTTCTGGTATATATGCTTTCATCCAGTTTTGTGTACCAGTAACCACAACCAAGGTTATTTCCTAAATGTTATTTTCAGAACTAAATTATTTCTGTGTTTTATCAACCCCACTATGCCTCTCTCACATCAGTGGTGACTTTCTTGTGCTATCTGGGATTATGGTAGCGGCAGGAAGGCCACATCTTCCACCTGATTTTTGCCACAAGACTGAGTCTTATTGGGCCTTTGATGTATAAATTTGTTTCATGCTTATCTCTTTCTATTTGTGGCCTAAAGAAAACAGCTTCTCCAACCTTTTGGTGCCCCAAATTCCTAGACTTTCTAATCCCTTTTATCATGCTTGAAAACTGCTCAATTCCATCCTAAAGTTATCTCCTTTTATTTATTATTATTGCAGTAAAGTATTCATAACATAAAATTTATCTTATTTATTTTTAAATATATTCATATTGTTGTACAACCACCACCGTCCATCTATCCACAGAACTCTTTATCACCCCAAATGAAATTCTGCACCCATTAAACAATAATTCCCCATTTCCGCCTCCCTCTAATCCCCTGGAAACCACCATCATTCTACATTCTGTCTCTATCAATTTGATGACTTTGGGTATCTCATGTCAGTGGAATCATACAATATTTGTCCTTTAGTGTCTGGCTTAGTTCACTTAACTTTATGTCTTCCAGGTTCATCCATGTTGTAGCATATGCCAGAATTTCCTTCCTTTTAAAGGCTGAATAATATTTCATTGTGTTTATATACCACATTGATATATCGATGGCCCATGTTTAAAATTTTGTTATAAATTAGTATCCCATTTGGTATCACTTACTTTGCTTCTGAAGACAACTCTTTGGAGCCTGTCAGAGGGTGGAGGGTGGGAGGAGGGAAAGCATCAGGTAGAATAGCTAATGGTTGCTGGGCTTAATACCTAGGTGATGGGATGATCTGTGCAGACAACCACCATGGCCCACGTTTACCTGTGTAACAAACCTGCACATCCTGCACATGTACCCCTGAACTTAAAATAAAAATTGAAAAAAAAAAAAGACAACTCCAGAGGTTGTAATAGATAAAATATCAATGGCTGTCAGTGAGTTCCCCCAGAAGCAGAGGCTGTTAAGGACCTGAGTGCTGGTAATTCATTTGGGAGGTGAGCTCAGAAGGCAAGAATGAAGGAATAAGGAGACAAAGACAGGGAAGAAGGGAGACATGGTATAAAGTGTGCTACAGAGGTCACTGCTGTGGGTTCAACTCTGCAGAGATTCCTGAGGAGTACATAGAATGCCTTCAAGAATTGTGTACCTGAATGGTAGAGATTGGAGCATTTACCCACTCACTCCTATCCCCACTGGTTGAGTGCTGCCCCTGGAGATGATAATGTTCTTGCTTGTCCGTGATGCATTTGCTTGTGAGCAGGCCAAGCCTATTTCTGCAAGGTAGAGAAGACCATGAGGCAAAAAGTAGGGGATGCACATGGCATACTAGAAGTGGGACACTGTCAACACCAAATCTGTCCAAGTTATTACAGAATTCTTCACCTCAGCTACAGCTGAAATCAGACGCAAGCTGAGGGGATGTAAGAATGTGACATATGGTACTGGAAGTGTCTGCTACAATTAACAAGATACAAGTTTAGTGCTCACTAATGTCACAGCCAATTGCATGTGTCCCCGGTGGCCCACCTCTAAATAGCAGGACCCAAGTATCTGTCATCCTGTGTACTGTCATATTCAACACATGATTGCCAAGGACACAGTGGTTGTTTTTTTTTTTTTTTTAATTCAACCGGGACAGGAACATAGGGAATTGCCCAGGGAAGTTTTTATAGTCTAGGTCTAGAACAGGCCTGAATCATTTTTATCCACAACCCACTGGCCAGAACTCAGTCACATGACTATACCTCACGGCAAGAGAGACTGGGAGATGTAGTCCATTCTGTGTGCCAGAGGGTGGAACAAATAAATTTTGTTAAACACAAAGCAGTTTCTACCCTAGGTGTTAAGACTGGTTGTTTGTTTGTTTTTGTCTTTGATTTTTTCACTGAAAGAAAACAGTACATGATGAACTGTTCAGAAAGGAAGGTTGTTTTAACATTTCATAACCGGATATCTGTTTGGCCCTATATGTGCACATGGGGAAAGAAACTTCTACAGTCTTCTTCTATTTACCTACAAACACCTCTTGGTGTTAAAATCTTTGATTCATTGAAAGAAAGAAGTGCATGAGAAACTGCTCAGAAAATAAGTTGGTTTTTTTTTGTTTTTTTTTTTTACTTTTCAGTGCTAGATATCTATATGGCCCTACAGCTGCATATTGGTATAAAAAAACTTCTGCCACCTTCTTTTGAATTTCTGCCTAGAAACTCCTCTTACTGTTAACATTTTCCATTCACTGAAAGAAAACAGTACATGATGGACTCTTCAGAAAGGAAGCTTGTTTTTGCTTTTCAGGGCAGAATATCTTTATTGTTCTATTGGCACCTATGGGTGTAAAAATCTTCTGCTAGTTTCTTCTAAATAGGACTGTCCTTTTTATAAAGAATAAGATTGAAGGCAATATATATTAAACGTGTTAAGCCTAATCACACCCTTTGTCCTAGAAACTGCACTTGTAGAAATCCTTCTGTGGTGGATATTCTCCATTTGGTCCTCCAGATCCATCCTCCACCCTTCTTTCTCCCTGAATTGGGGCTCCCTAGTCTTCTAACTTCTGGTTAAGTTGGGCCAATGGAAGGCTCCAGCAGAATCAGTAGACAGGATAAGAGAGAAGTGGGAGTATATAGTTCCCTGGCTCCTCCTAGTGAGGCCACGTGTTAGAAATGGCTGAATTCCCTTAGCACAGGCCATGATTCCTATTGGGAAGCGACCTCCTGCAGCTGTAGCAACTGCCATGGCTTCAGCTCCACTTGTCTCTCTCATTTCCTGTCACTGCTTCCTCACTTTGCCCCTTTGGTTTACTGGTCTGCCTCAGTGATGCTCACACTTTCCTAAATAGTCCTCAGTTACCCCATTTAAGTGTGCTTTCAGTTTCTTGTATGAACTCTAACTAATATACTATCCTAGAGAAATACTCAGAATTTAGAAAAACATACAAAGATGTTCAGTATTGCAATATTTAGAATAGAAAAAGCTCTGAAACTAAGTGCCTAGTATATTACCATGAATCCATGATAGAAAAAAATACACAAATATGTAAATGTTCACTGCCTTTTCTGTCTCCTACCACCAATAACCCCACCTCTATCCCAGGAAAATTCTGGTGAAGTCTCTCCCTTGACTTTCCTGTCCTCGAATATGCCCCCTCAGGATGTGTTACTGAGTTCAAAAAGGGGGAGAGGGGGAGGGGTTTGTATTTAAAGAAGTAAAATAAATAGGTTGATTTACATAGAAGGCAGGCAAGTGTGCCTGGAAAAAGAGAAAACATTATTCCATGAGAGGAATATGAGAACCAAAAAAAAAAAAAAAAAACAAAGGAAAAGAAGATATGAGGAGATGAATGGGTAAACAAGGGTTTTTCCTGCATGTTTCTTTTTGTAAACTCACCCCGTCAAGGAAACTTACAATAAGCACTTTCATTACTTACAACACACTCACTGAAGCCTCTGAGATGGGATTCCTGTGTCTCTGACATTTATTGATTCCTCACTTTGTACTACTGTGTAAAGTAAGTTACCTGCATTATTTTATTCAATGCTCTTTAAGGCCTTTCCATATTCAAGATGAGGAAACTGAAACACAGGAAGTTTGGCTAGATTTTCATGCCCCACTACTCAGATGATACATTCATATGAAAATATATTACACAGAAATTGTGTTTTGAAAGTTTAAAAAATCTGAATATGATAGAGTGTTGTCTTTTTAAATTATGTTTTATTTTCTGCTTGTAAAACCAAAATATCTAAAAATCTGAAAAACTAAGTAGAGGCAAGAAAAAAGAAAAAGAGAGAGAATAAGGAATGAAAGCAAATACAGTATTTATTTAATAAATATTTATTGAGCTTAGGCTATAGCAGTGAACCAAACAAAATCCCTGCATTTATAGAACCAGCATTCTCAGAGAGAGACAGACAATTGGACAAAAAGTAACAGGTAGTAACATGATACACTTATACCATTGGGATAGTAGGTGAAAGGGGCTATTTTAGACGGGATATTCCCAGAAGCATCTTTACAAATTGACATTTGAACAGAAACCTGAGGAGGCATCGTTGAAGAAATGAACGTGGTGAGGCAGTCGGCAATAAGACCATCTGGAAGAAGAGCAGTTCAGAAGAAAAAAATAAAGCAAGTACAGGACTCAGGCGAGAGTGTGGGATACACAAGAGGCTTCCCTTACTGGAGCTCAATGAGTGAGAGGAAGAGCATACTCTCTGGGGTCTTAGGGACAGCATGGATGTCACGTGGGCCTTGGAGGCCACAGGAGGAGCTTTGGATTATAGTCCAAACATAATGAGATCTCACTGGATGTTTTTGAACAGGGGAGTGACATGATGTGATTCATGTTTTAAATAACTTACTCCATCTACCCTGTGGAGAATAATGGTAAACTCTTGGTTAAACTTTGGGTGTTTTTGTTTTGTTTTTTGTTTTCTGCTTTAACCAAAAGCATATTTTAGTTTTGCATGCAAAAAAAAAAAAAAAAAAAAAACGTAACTTTAAAAGACCAAAGGTCAACTGTATTAATTATTCATTACTGCATAACATATTACCCCAAAGCTCAGCACCTGAAATCCATAAGCATTTATTATCTCATGGTTTCTGTGGGTGAGAAATCCAGAAGTGGCTTAGTTGAGTGGCCCTGGCTCAGGATCTCACAAAAGGCTGCAATCAAGGTGGCAGGTACCTCATCGCCCCAATAGGGGAAGATCTGCTTCTGGGCTCTCTCATGTGGCTTTTGGCCAGCCTCAAATCTTCTCTGGCTTTTGGTTCTTCACAAAATGGGTAGCTTCCTTTCCCCAGAGTAAGAATATCCAAGAGACAGAAAGAATGAGAGAGTTCCTAAAACAGAAGCCACAGTCTTTTTATAACCTAATCTCAGAAGTGACATCCCATCACTTCTGCTGTATTCTACTCATTAGGAATCACTAGATCCAGTATACACTCAAGGGGATAAATTACCCAGGAACATGAATACAAGGTGGCAGGGAACATCAGGGGCCTTGTTGGAGGTTGCTAACACAACAATCATTTCCTCCAAGCTCTCTCATTTACAGAAGCAGAAACAATCCAAGTATAAACCTGGTCTCTACCACTTGCCTTCAGGCCTTCACAGGATGGTTGTGAGGATGCCTCTGAAAGGAGTTTGAAAATGGTCCAGCATGGGGGAGGATAGGGGCTTACTTTGCTTTTCTCATTGGCCCATTCTCTTAATATCCAGTCCAGATCTGGTCTATGTTCTTTTTCATCTTTTGTATCAATGACTTGTTTTCATACATGGGTTACAATTTTTTTTTTTTACTGGAATAAAAACCTTCTAGTTTGAACAAAAATATACAACAGGGAGGAACAACACAGAGTGCCAACTCCTCCAGGTTCAGGAAGAACTTTCTAACTGCTTACCTCCTAGTAACAGCAGTTCTGACAGCCCAATCCCAAAAGACCCACACATCCAGCAGACGTGAAGCCAACAGGATGTGTATGTGAGGGGAGGGCCAATGATAAGCAGGATGTTCTATATATTTGTATTGACAGTTGTCTTATCTCATTCCATAGTTCTCCAAATTTGATTATAAATCCCTTGAAGGCAGAGACCTCATTAGTATCTAAACTCTGTCCTCAAGCTCCAACATTAAAGAATTCCCTGGGAAAAATCTTCATCTCTTGAAAGCAACTCAGTTTTTTAAAACAGCAGCAACAAAAACAACCTTAAATTCAAACTTGCTTAAAGTGTATCATGGCACTCCACAAAGAACATTCCTCAGAACACAGCTTCCACTTTAAGACACAAAGATCTGACTCTGGGCAATTCTCTAAATCTTCATGACTTTTTCACCCCCAGTTGACTTCTCCTTCATCCTCAGCCTTCTCTTCAAGTACTGATACTTACCTCCTATACCCACCTTTTATCTGATTTCCCTGAGACAGAAATTCAATTCATACTCTTCATACTACTTAAGTATTTGCACAGACACAATTTCTCCCTCCATCTAATTACAGTCTGGAAGGCTTTTTCCACCCGCTAGAGGAATTCTTCGGCAGCGGCAGGTGGCCACAGGGAGTGGGGAAGAAAGGAAGCTCCTGAAATCACAGTAGTTCAACTTGTTTGAGCCAAAAATTAAGCAAGAGTCGGTCTCTTTAGGGTGAATGAATTAGGAGGGAGGTGTCAGAATGGACTGCCTATTATCTGAATTGCTTATGAATACATTAGCATTAATTAATACATACATGAATATGTTTTACATTAATTTGTGTTGTTGAAATATATGTGGGCCGACCATCTGCCTAAGGGCATGCAGGAAGCGTTCCCAGAATTCTCTCAGTAGCCATGAACTAAACAGTTCACTCTTATGTTCTCTGTCCATGTTTGGACAAGGGATGTTTCAGCTACTCAAACAATTAGGTAAAGACTTGTTTACAGGGAAAAAGGCTAAGACAGGAAAATGATGGTGTCAGCAGCTGTTCTATTTAAATAAAACATGAATGATGTATGCTAAATGTTTGGTGCCTACTCTATGCCAAGCATTTTACAACTATGACCTTATTTGAAGAAGCTGAAAAGAGAAGCAGCTACAGTTTACTGATTGATTTATACAGTCTCAGGTACTTGACACGCATGATTTCATTCAGTTTTCCACAAAAACCCCAAAGTAGGTAAATTAGACCAATTCTACAGAGGGGAAAGGCGAGGTCCAGAGAACATAGTAAGTGCAGAGTCACAGAGCCAGGCTGTGTGTTCAGATACATTTCACTCCAGAGGCTCTGCTTTTGAAGATGGCATATCAGCTTTTTCTTTGTTTGTTTGTTTGTTTGTTTGAGACGGAGTCTCGCTCTGTCGCCCAAGCTGGAGTGCAGTGGGCTGATCTCGGCTCACTGCAAGCTCCGCCTCCCGGGTTCACGCCATTCTCCTGCCTCAGCCTCCCGAGTAGCTGGGACTACAGGCGCCCGCCACCGCGCCCGGCTAATTTTCTGTATTTTTAGTAGAGACGGGGTTTCACCGTGTTAGCCAGGATGATCCCGATCTCCTGACCTCGTGATCCACCTGCCTCGGCCTCCTAAAGTGATAGGATTGCAGGGGTGAGCCACCACGCCAAGCCAGCATATCAGCTTTTACAAAAAGAGACTCTGAGGTCAAAAAGGCCAAGTCCTCAGAAGTCCTTTTCAAAAGTGAGAGAGGAAAGCAAAAGTAGGCAGAGACTTGGGAGAAGAAAGGAAAGAAGACAAAGAGAAGAGGCTCTTGGAAAGGATAAAAACATAGAAAATGAAGAATAAAAAGAGAAAGAAAATGAGCTTCAGGAAAGGAAGAGAGAAAAAAAAATGACTACCGTATAAGGGAGAAATTAACTGCTTTTTAAGAGAGAAACAATCACAATTAACAATGTTCCTTAAGAGTTCTATTGCTGAACAGAAAATTCATTTGCTTTTATCTTTTAGCCCTCCAAATAAGTAACGACTATAAAAGAGAAAAGGAAAAACTACTATTTGTTAAGCGTCTTATTTGTTAAGTGTCTTCTATGAGGGCTTTGGCTAGCCCACGGGTTTGGGGAAAATTAGAAAAAAGAAATCCTCTCTTGTTTGAGGCAGCTCCACAAGCATTGTGCTTATTCCCTCCTCTGGAGAACAGCCGGAAGAAATGTGCAAGATGGCTGGTCTGCTGTGTGCTAGGACCTTGATGTATTATCGCATTACTATAGTACAACAACAATTATCCCCATATTGCAGACTAGCAATCTTAGGAACCTGAGGTACAAAAGAATTAAATCTCACACCATACCACACACACATGCACACACACACACCCCAACATCTTAAAAGTCTAAAATAGTATTAATTGCAAGTAATTTAAACCCAATAAACAATAAAGGTAATTTATTAGCTGACCTAATTAAAAATCCCAGAAATAGGGTGAGCTTCAGGTTAGGATTGATCAGGAAATGAACTGATTTTCCTACAGTCTCAATCATAAGTCCTCCCTGTGCACCACCTTCATCCTCACACCCTCACACCTCAGCAGTTGCAAAAGGCACAGCTACACACTACACAGTTCAAGGCATCTTTTCTAGTAGTTCTCACTGAGTAAGAAGAAAGCCCGTTTTCTACGAGTTCCTAGCAAATGTCTCCTCTATTCTCATTGTCCCCAATTGGATTGCATGTTTATCCTTAAACTAGTAATTATGCCCAGAGGGTAGGATTATGCTGGTAACCTAAGCCTGATCACCTTCCCAATCTATAGAACTGAGTAAAGCATTAGTTTTCCCAAAAGGTACAATTGCTAAGGAATCGTGGATACCAAAATGAAAATGAAAGTAATTACCAAAAGAAGGAATGAATATTTGGGTGGGCACCAATACGTCCATCACAGCAAGTGTGATAGATTTTATGCTATCACTTAATTATTTTTCATTCCTTCCCTACCTTCATGAGGGGGTTATATTTCCTGGCCCCCCATTGAACCTGAGCTTAAGCATGTGACTTACTCTTCCCTGCTCTTGGCTTCCAGCTTGTTCATATGACTTGCATTGGCCAATGGAATATTAGCAGATGTGATATAAGCACTGTTAGATTTACCTTCGTGCACTTCTGCCGTCTCCATAAGAACTCAAGCCAGGTAGCCCACTTGCCCAAGAGAATGAGAGCCCACATAGCTCTCATAGAGCAGACGTGGACCTAATCTGCAGCTCGGAGGCAAACCCGGATAGACCAAACCTGGGTCAGCCAACCCCCACCTGACCTGCAGACTTATGGGTGAGATTGAATAATTGTGTGAAGCTGCTGAATCTCAGAGTGTTTTGCCATGCAGCATTATTCTGGCAAGAGTTGACTGAGAGAGCAGCTAAGTCAATTCTAGGTGTGTATTATTTTTTTACAATGCAGTGCAGAGCATTGCTCTGTACGTGTTTTCTCTTCTCCTTGGCTGCAATCTAGCCTGGGTCTCAGCTGAAAATAAAGCCTGTGGCTTTATTCTCCATTCTCAGTCTCACAGAAACATCTGATCCTGTCGGCAGCAGCTTTCGAAGGTCCTTCAAGATGGCTTGCTGTCACACCACGTGAGGTGGTCACCCCATGCAGCAAAACCACACAGCCATCGCTTCCAAACCCTGCCAAGCGAAAGCTTGCAACATTGAAATGGCTGCACCTCAAACTGTCATGTGATTTCTGTATCATAGGAATTTTAGAAACAGATGGTGAGCACAGACGACAGTGACGGTTGCACTACGCGTATGGGGCAAAGGGGAATGAGCGAGCAAGGGGGCGAGAATCAAGCAAATTCTGGAGGAGCACTGGAAGAAAAGAGGACTGCTGAGAGCTTGCCTTCTGCCAGAAAATACAACCACAGGTTGCAAGAAGTTGGGGGAAACAAAATGCCTGACAGGCAGTTGGGGGAGCAGGGTGGGGAAGAAGCAAAAAGAGGTATTTTGCTTCTAAAACAAGGAGGACTATATGATTAAACATTTTTTTTAAGTTACACCAGAAAAATAGGCAGCCAAATTGATCGATTCACCTAAGCTTGACCTTTTGGCAAATGATTTTGTTGCTTGAGGAAATATGCAGTGTCAGAAGAGTAGAAGATTGAGAGCATGCCTGGGAACCGGTTTTAGAAAAATGACCCGATACCCCACATCCACGGCCACCAGTGCCCTGCTCCCCAGACACCGCCTTCCATTTCGAGGGGGGTGGCGATTTCTGTGGACGTCTCAGATGGCTGCTCTCCTAATTCTATCATGAAATGTATTTCCCCTGGAGCTGGCATTTATCGCTGAATTCTGGCACCGCTCCTGAAATGTTGCATCTGCACCGCTAAACTGAGGTTACTTGTAGTTCATTAATATGCAAAAGGGGCCATGAAATCATTCCTGTTCCTGACAGGAGTTCGTACATGCCTTTCTGGAATGCTTCATTTCTGAAGTGGTCTGGCACTGAGACTTCCCTTGTCTTCTTTTAATCAGCTCCATCTTGTCACTGCATAAAGAGTTAAAAAAAAAAAAAAGAAAAAAATTGCTTTCTGAATTCTCCAGGAAGATGTGGTGCCTCTTTCTTTCTCTTTTCTTTCGTTTCTCCTTTTTTTTTTGTCATCCCCCACCCCCTTCCATGAACACATCAAAGTAAGAAGTGACATGCAGTGCCCTGGAGCTCTTAGCAACATGCTTTTAGGTTTGGAAAATTTCATTTGCTACCTTATGATGATTACATGAGGAAAGATGAAATGCTCGCTTTGAGCTTTATTTGAGAAAGAGATGTAATAAATGTTGTGGCTTCCCACTGAATGGGACAAATCCATTTTAGTCATGTGAGGATATTAAAAATTACATATGTGTGTGCACAGACATAGCCCGTGTGACTTAGTTGGCATTTGTGGTCCCAGATACTGAAAAAGGAGACCTTGGGTGGCTTCTTTCAGAAAATGCTGAATAAAGTTTTTCGTTTTATCTGGCTCTGAAAGCATTTGATTCCAAATGAAAATGAGTTCCCGCCCTGTCTGAGCTACAGCAGTCCCCTTTAAACCAGTCCCCCACCCCCACCAACATACAGACACACACACACACACACACACACACACTCATTCATGCACATAAACACACACACATACACACAAAGAAATGTAGAATTCACACCAACTGACACAGCTTTCAGAGTCCCCATAGCTGAAACCCACAAGTGTGCCTGCCTGTTGAGGAATTAATTCAATGTCCCCTTTCCAGCAAGTTTATTTTTCCAAACACTGGAGAAAGGCAGAAGACATTTGTGTTTTGTTCCATCTATCCTGATTTTTTTGTGTTCGTGTGTTTGTGTTTTTGCCTGAGGAACTTCTCTATTAGCTGAGAGCTGAATGGAAAATGATATGCTCACCTTGCTCAGGAAACACAGCCAGCAAAGTAGAGAAATCGCCTCATGGTTTCGGCCCTAAGCTCCAAGTAGGAAAGGATGCTGGAAAAGAAAGAGTATTCACTGAGTAAACCATTTTCCTGCACACAGAAACATGCAATCTCGGGCTCTATTCAAAGCTCTCCCATCACATATGCCACTCTTTGTTCAGCCCACAGCTGGACCACACAGGTTGTGAGATCCAGCATTTGCCTAAGCTTTGTTTGTCAGCTCTGGCAGCCCATCCGCTATAAAAAGTCAGTCATCAACCACCCTCAGGGTCAGTTCCTCAGCTACTTGTGATCACGCTGATCATTCACATTTGGAGTATAACTATGAAATTTTTGCTTTGGCTGCAGGAATAGGAGAGATCCTGATCCTTTTTCATGAATAACCTAAACTCCAGCTATTCAATGATGAGTAATCTCTGTTTACTCTCCCTCCTAAGGCAAAAAGAAATCGCTTTGGTTGAATGCTTACTATGTGCTCTCAGATAGATTTCCTGCCCTTCTCCCGCTCAGCTCTATATCTAAAGGGAGATGACAACTTGTAAATATATTTAAATATTTAAAGTTTAAAAGTTTTCTCATTTAAGCCTCACATTCCCTCTGGGGCAGGTACTATTACATTTCCTACTTTATAGGAGAGGAAATCAAAGCTCCTTGAGTCTATACAATTTCCCTACGGGCACACATGGATGGAGGAGCTGAGATTCAAATCCCCAGGATTTCGCTTTACAGCCCATGCTGTCAACTGCCATGCTAGACCGCCTCCTGTTGGTGGGAGGGTCTTGGGGTCCCAAGGTCCTGTGTTCCCCTCCTAATCACAAAGTATTGCAATTTCTGCTTATAAGTTCATTTCCTCCATAGATTGTGAGCCCCTGGAGTAATTTTAAGCATTAGCTCTCCAGCGTCTGACACCTTAAAAGTGTTAGATTAAATGTTTGTTGAATGAATTAAAAAACTAACTAATGAGGCACAGAATGTCAGCACATTTAAGGGAAGGCAAGTAAAGAATAAAATTCAGAGGAGAAAAAATTAAGTCTCTGGTTGAAAAAAAAAAAGAGATAGAATGATGCAGGGAGGTGGATTCAAATAAGGAAAGGGGAGGAGATCTGGTGCCAGTAGGACTCTTTCTGGATACATTACGCCGCCATTTTTGGGAAGGTCCCTGAGAAGGGGTGGGCAGGGAGAGTGTGCACACCAAGGAGAGACGTTGTTGCGATTCCTGATTGAATCGGAAGGGCCGCGTTTACTACTCACTAGCTGTCTAATTTGGGGCAAGTTCTTGACCCTCTTTGGGCTTCAGGCTCTTAGTTTGCGTGGTGACAAAACTGGATTAGAGGTCCTTGCAGCAGGGTAGAGAAGCAGAGAAATATAATTATGTCATAAACTGGCTGCATGCATCTTAGAAATACAGCATATGAATAACTTATTATTGTCAATACTAAAAATAACACATCAAATAAGTGCTTTTTATGAACCAAGCATGGCGGGTGGCTGGGTCTGTGTGTGTGTGTGTGTGTGCGTGTGCATCCCTGCCCAAGAAGATATGATATAGTCCTCACTTTAATGAAGGCAGAGATTGAGAGTCAAAGAAATTATAAAATATGCTCAAGCTCATGTAGCTAGTAAGTGGCCAAGCTGGGATTTTAATTTAGGTCAGTCTGTCTCTGAAGTCCACATTTAGGCACATTAAGAGCCCAGTGCCACTCCATTCCTCAGGAAATGTCCCTCAGAGGAACCTGCTGTCATTTTGACTCAAAAAACCCTGGTGACTGCCCAACTCCCATGTTCAATCCTGCTCTGTCCAGTGTGACAGTCCCTGGAGAGAGGCTCCTCAGAGGTCCCTTCAGAAGGTTAGAAAACATTTAGCAGTACTACTATAGTGCTGCCTCTACAGCCGCCGCTGTGCCTGCTGGGGTCAGACCAGCAGCAGACTGCCTCAGGATGAGTAAACTGTTCCCCAGAAACCAATCTTTCCTGCTCCTCTCCCTTGTACACATTGAAGCAAAATCCCCTTGTTAATTCAAGAGGAAGCAAAATGTGACTTCACTGTCTCTAAGGCTGTCATTTGCCCATTCATTCAGTACTTATTTGCAAAAATTCTTTCCGGATGATATCAAATCTTTTTCCTACAGTGTCTCTAGCTACTCCCTCCCATATTTAAAATTTGCTTCCAAATATTGTATCAAAGATATCAATAGAAAATTAGTATAGAACGTAGGAGCTTTTAAATAAGTCATCCTCTGGCTGTGATCATTATATTCTAAATATCTTTAAATAAACTCTTTAAAGACTACCAGTATATCCATAGTCTTTTAAATATAATTAAATCTTATATATCTATGAATATATAAATGTCATATGTGTGCATGTATATACCTGTGTGCGAGGTAAATGTCAATATCTATATGTAGGTATCTTAATCACACACAAAGGAAAAGCTTATCTTGTTTGTTGTCATTGTTGTTGTTGTTTTGAGACAGAGTCGCACTCTGTCACCCAGGCTGGAGTAGGTGACATCATAGATCCCTGCAGCCTCCAACTCCTCAGCTCAGGTGATCCTCCCACCTCAGCCTCTCAAGTAGGTGGGACTACAGGCACATGCCACCACACCTAGCTATTTTTTAAACATTTTTTGTATAGATGTTGCCCAGCCTGGTCTTGAACTCTTGGGCTCAAGCACTCCTCTAGCCACAGCCTCCCAAAGTGCTGGAATTACAGGCATGAGCCACTGTGCCAGCCTATCTTGTTTTTTGAGGAGTGGAACCTGGGTCAATAATTTGCTCATTTGTTCTCAGATAATTCCACTGCCACCCTAGTCCTGCTCAGCCATGTTTTTTGTTTTTTTGAGATGGAGTCTTGCTCTGTCGCCCAGGCTGGAGTGCAGTGGTGGGATCTTGGCTCACTGCAAGCTCCGTCTCCTGGGTTCACGCCATTCTCCTGCCTCAGCCTCCCAAGTAGCTGGGACTACAGGCGCCCGCCACCACACCCAGCTAATTTTTTTGTATTTTTAGTAGAGAAGGGGTTTTACTATGTTGGCCAAGATGGTCACTATCTCCTGACCTTGTGATCCACCCGCCTCGGCCTCCCAAAGTGCTGGGATTACAGGCGTGAGCCACCGCACCCGGCCTGCCATGTTTTTAAAGATAAGAACTTGTAAATATTTGTAAATGTTTTAAAAATATTTATTTGTGCCACCTTATGATATATTTGTTGGGCCTAGAACAAAAGGTAGTAGCATGGTCTTGTGATATAAGGTGTTTTAAAGGAGCTTAACCACACTTTCTAAAGTAGTCACAGCCAACCCTGGTGAATGGACAATTGGAGTAAAGGTTACTTAAGGTGGTGGACAAGTTTGAGTAAGGTGACTAATTTCAAGAACAGAATAGAGTATTTTGCAGAGTCCAGTCAGGTAAATAGAACCCATTCCAGGTCATTCAATAGAGGGAAGTGAATGTGATGAACTATTAAAGGCATAGAAAGAACTGAAGTAGCAAACGGTGTAGCAACTGGAGATTAGACACTGAAAGATGGCACTCTCATTCTCAGGGCTGGATGGACAAAGAGAGGAGCCCACAAGAGGGGGCTGTTCACAGGCAGCTGGGTCCAACAAGGAGGCTGGCCAGATAGCTGCTGGAGCAATGGAGGGGCGACAGCCACAGCCAGAGATGCTAACAGACACAGAGAGAGAAAGGAGGAATACTCTGGCTTCTTCCTTCCTCACATCCTTCAATCTCCCGCCAGAACCTACCATTGAAGAAACCTAAGAAAAAATCAAGGAAGCTCAGGAAACATATTTTGCAAGGGTCAGCACTCTGCAACACAGGGCAGGGCTGGCAAGTTGAGGGATGTGGCCAAGAACAAATGAAAAAGGACTGGCCTTGATTTTATCACTGAAAAACTAGTTAAAACCTTTCTTAATAATTTGCACAAGTATGTTTATTGCGGCACTATTCACAATAGCAAAGACTTGGAACCAACCCAAATGTCCACCAATGATAGACTGGATTAAGAACATGTGGCACATATACACCATGGAATACTATGCAGCCATAAAAAAGGATGAGTTCATTTCCTTTGTGGGGACATGGTTGAAGCTGGAAACCATCATTCTCAGCAAACTATCGCAAGGACAAAAAAACCAAACACCACATGTTCTCACTTATAGGTGGGAATTGAACAATGAGAACACGTGGACACAGGAAGGGGAACATCATACATCAGGGCCTGTAGTGGGGTGGGGGGAGGGATAGCATTAGGAGATATACCTAATGTAAATGACAAGTTAATGGGTGCAGCACACCAACATGGCACATGTATACATATGTAACAAACCTGCACTTTGTGCACATGTACCCTAGAACTTAAAGTATAATTTAAAAAAACCTTTCTTAATAATTGAGATGGACATCTAGATGTAGATACTACTGTATATATTGCATAAGCATACAGACTCTATATATAGGTTGCTGGTCCATGTGACTTTCATTTTCCCCTCAGGAGGGGGCATGTTGATCTCGAGTGTGTGACTTGCTTTGCCCAATGAAATATGAGTGGAATTGATGTATGCTTTGTCTGAACAGAAGCTATGAGCCATACATAGCTCTACCATGGTCTCTTTCCCTCTGCCACAAGATCTGTGGCATTCCAGATTAGATAACATGACCGTGTAATTTATTATCCAACCTGGGACACACATTCCTTACACTTTTTTGACAAATCCACAACTGAACCCATTGTTTTAAATATAGAAGTGCTTCATCTGAATAGATGTCTGGAGTTTGAAGGAAAAGATTCTGCATATTATTTGAAAATATAGCTAAATACTGTTTAAAAATAAATTCATCTTCTGTTTCCCAGCTTTTCAGATGCCTGATAGTCATAGGCAAATAGAAGAAGAACACTCAACCATGTATTGAATGAAAATGGTTAAGGCCTCAAAACAGAGCCCCCAAGTTCGCACAATTAATCCAAGCTTTGAGATGAGTAAATTCTAATGGCACTTGTGGATTTCCAGAAGTGATCTTAAAAAAAAAAAAAAAAAAAAAAAAAAAAAAAAAAAAACTAGCCATATCGCTCCCTTGCTTAGAAATCTCCCCTGGCTTCCGGCTATATCCAAGCATCCAAGCTTCCCAGAAGATAAAAAACAGACTCCTTTGCTTGGCATAAAATCTAACCCCCATTTACTGTCCAGCTCTATTTCTGCACAATGCACCATATATCCCAGAAAACTAACTTCTCACTATTATTAGTAAGTTGTTTTGCATAGATTCATGCGTTTCACATGCCCTTCCCTGCAGGCCAAGACTTTCCTCTCTACCTCTACTCACTCCTCTAGCCTCTTCTTGGCAAAATCTTACTCATTTTTCAAGTCCTGGTTCAAAGCCCCTTTTCTGTGAAGCCCTCTTAAGCAACTGCTCCCCGTGCTGCTCACTGTAGCCCCTACCACACTTCCTTGTAATTCTCCTGTCCATCCATCTCTTGCATTTGACCAAAGCTCCCCTACAACTATATCTGCTTTATCTTTGCATGCCAAGCGTCTGTTATGGAGGCCAGTACATTATAGGTCCTCTCTAAATACCTGTTGAATAAATGAATTAAGAGTTTCTCTATTAACCTTCACATACTTCTCAGAAATTATGAGATTCCCTGAAATCTATTAAGAATTCCACCTGCCCAAGTTTTAAACTCTAGATATTTACCTATGCCAATTACAGATATGATACTTTGTAATACTGTATATGGTTAAGTTTGGCCTGTTTCATGTAGGGTATTTAGAATAATTTAAGTTTAGAGCTAGAAAGAATCAGCGATTAGCCAACTTCCTTCAGACACAGATGAGGTGTGTTGGGCAAAAAGAGATTAAGTTAGAAGACCATGCTGCTAGAAGCCCCAAAACTAACCCAGTATTCTTTTTCTTCTACTATATTCGATTCTGGTTAGGGAGAAGTTGGATTATGTAAACATTCACGGAAGGAAATATGAAGAGAAAATAAAGCATATGGAAAATAATTATGCTTGATAATAATCAAATAAATATAAAGTAAGGTTCACTGGTATTATTTTAAACCTGCTAATTTTTAAAAAATAATTATATGCTTCAAGGCTGCAGTGCAACTGGATTCTTATATACTTCTATTGGCATTGGAAATTGGTATCGCCTTTTTGGAAATGTGTAAGAAAATACAGAACAAGAGTCATAATATTCATTCTGCTTTGACTCTGTATTTAAAGTACTAGAGATTTATTCTATGAAATATTGAAGCAGTGCTAAAAATTGTTTGTAAAAAAAATATTTATTGCTGCCCTACCTAGTAAGAACAATCTCAATATCCAACAAGATGGGATGGCATATTAAAGCAATGGAATATTTTGCAGTCATTAAACATTACAATTACGTGGAAACGTGGAAAATATATAATACAAATTGGATATAGTAGAAATCAAAATAGTATGTGCATTATGATAGCTACTCCATAAATAGACTTTTTTTTTTTTTTTGCGACAGAGTCTCGCTGTGTCACAGAGGCTGGAGTACAATGGCACGATCTCGGCTCACTGCAACCTCTGTCTCCTGGGTTCAAGCAATTCTCCTGCCTCAGCCTCCCGAGTAGCTGGGATTACAGGCGCCCACCACCATGCCCGGCTAATTTTTGTATTTTTAGTAGAGACGGGGTTTCACCATCTTGGCCAGACTGGTCTTGAACTCCTGACCTCGTGATCCACCCGCCTCGGCCTCCCAAAGTGCTGGGATTATAGGCGTGAGCCTCCGCGCCCAGCAAAAAGACATTCTTATAGAAAAGCATTGGAAGGCAATTTTTTAAACAGTTGCAATAGGGTTAGGATTATGGTTTTCTATTCTTATCAACATTTTGTAATGTTTCTATGACATATTTTCTCTAATAAGAAGCAGGTAGAAAGTAAATTCGTTCACCAGTGGGAATTGAAAGGGTACGAAGAGACACTATAAAACAGGTGAGTCATATGTGTTTTTGCCCCAAGCATGCATTACTCTGCAATGGTGGGAACAGAGTGAAGTCAAGAATTGTTGTCTTCTGTGGGAAGTCTGTTTAATTTGCAGGAAATAGTGGATAAGCAGAACTTACTAAAGAAATCTCACTCAATTTTGCTAAAGAGGGAGAATATGATTTGATTTTATGCTACCTTAATATTTAAGCAAGAGCACTGCTTTTCTTCGATTTCTGCCACCTATCATCAAGTCAACTATTTATAAAGAGACTACTCAGTGCCAGGCACTGATCTTTAGAAACTCGAATCCTCATAACAATTGGGAAATATACTACCATACTACTTTTTATATTTCCAAGGGCAGATCGTAGAACACTAGGCCTGCTTTCAAAATATCTTTCAGTTGAATTAAACCATAGGCCAAACTGATACATAGACAAATGATTGTTCCTATTACCTGAAGTAAGGGGAAAAGGAGCTCAAATCACTTGTCTTCCTGCCACATGCAACCACTCTGTTAGGCCTCTTACATATGTTCTCATTAAACCATAGCATGAGGTGGGTATATAGCATAACCCCTATTTTGTCTCAAAACTCAAATAGCAAGGTCACAGATAGCTAAGTTATTCCTAGGCTAGACTCGAAGGCTTAGGAGTGCTTGGGACTTTCCTAACATTTGGACTTCCTTGTAGTTATTCTCAAAGGAGGAGCGATTGGCATTTTGGACAGAGCACTTCTTTGTGCAGGACTGTCTGACAGATTGCAAGATATCCCGTATCCCTGGCCCCGGTTATAAAAGGCTTGGAGCATCACTCCTTGGTATTGTGACAACGAAAAATGCTCCTCCACTTCCAAATGTTCTCTGGGGTGGGAGGATTCCACCTTCATTAGAGAAACATTAAGAGATTTTTTTTAAAAATTCATATTCATACCACCGATAAATGTTTATCAGGTCCCTTCTCCATGCCAGGCACTTTGCTGGCATGAGAGATGTTTAGTGGAGAAGACTGACGTTTAAAGTGGTGTCACAAAATACAGCAAACTCTGCAACAAACCAACATGCCATGAGCACAGAGAGGAAAATGCCTCTGTCTAGAGCATCTGGGCCAAGCTTGGTGACCTGTTACCGTGAAGTACCCCAGGAGAGTGCCAGATTTGCTATTCAAAGCCCTCCATTCATGTGATCAATCAGAATCTTAATTATTATCTCACTTCAGGCTTCTAGCTTTTTCTCACTAAGAATTAATTTCTCTGTATGAAAGATGGAAACTATAATACTATCATCTGTCCTACCTACCGAACAGAGTTGATTCAGGGGAAAGCATTAGGGCGTGCTATGCACGTTTAGTAATGTAGCAGGGATTCGAGAGCCTAATTTGTGTTCTCTGCTGGGAATCAGGCATGTCTGGAAATGTCCAATGACTTGGCAGGGTAGGCAGCCTACTGGCATCTATTTTTAAGAAGTTGGTTTCCCTGGATTCTCATCTGAGCCCTGTGGAGAGAGAGGTTGTTTGCAGAGTCTGAGGAGGCTGTTGTCATAAGGGACTCTGTGAGACGCAGGGGCTCAAGCTATGCTCTCTGGTACCCAGATAACAAACTAAAGCCCAGAGCTAGGGGCTGGGCAGGGTGGAGATAGGGCAGAAAACCTCTCCATCTCTGCTGTAAACACAGCATGCCTGTAGTGCCAGAAGGAGTGCTGAGGACTGCAGAGGCCACAGCACCGCTTTAACTCCCAGGGCCATACTAGGTCCGTCACTAGCAGCAGCCACGTGAGGAGATGCCCACCTTTCGATGGCCTTATGGGCAGGAAACGTCAACCAGGACAGCCTGGAGTGAAAAATAAAAAGGCAACTGATTGTTAGACATAGGTGAGATAACATTCGTGTTATCTGTACGCTGGGTGAAGGTATTGACAATCGAAATGTGATTTATTGCTGTTAATGTGACCTCATTTATTCTCACAGGCTAGGAAAACTTAGGTTACTGTTATTTACTACGGTAAGAATGTATGTCACTGTGGCAGGAGGAGTGACAATGGCTGTCCAGAGGCCTGATCCTAGCACACATCACCTACTCCCCACCAGGCCGGAGATTAGCCCTGACAGGGAGGCACTGACGTGGAAGCCCATTGCCATGGAAACCTGAATTTGGGATGCCTGCCTCTCAGTGGACAGGGTATAGGAGACAGCAGTCTCCCCCAAACAACCTAATTCTTCGTAAATGCAAAATGAGCTACGGAGTGTTTATTGAAAGGAGTGGTGCCTGAAAATTAGTGCTTGACTCTTAATTTCTGAAACTTTCATGAACGCAGTGACTTCTGGACAGCCCAGGATGCTCATATGTGGTGGGGGTGAAAACTCACCCTCTGGGGCCTCCACAGGTGTTTTAAGAGCTAACACGTGGTCAATAAGCTTCCAGGCTAAGTAGCTGACTGAAAAAATGCTTCTCCCTCATAGAAATTTATTTGTTTTTCCCACTGGAGCAGTCTATATTTTCCCAAGATAGCAACAACAGCATGTCCCATCCCACATACCCTTCTTACAGCGTGACCTCAACATTATTTCCACAGAAGGATGGGACCAGTACTCTCTCCTGTTGACTCAGGGCAAACCTTCAGGACTGCTTTAAATATTAATACAAAGTGCAGTAGAAATGGCCTCATCTCTTGGGTCTCTAGAAGTCTCCCTCTCTCTATCCCTTCCAGCTCCCCACCCCTAGTCCCAGAGACATCTCTGAAAATGCTGCCACTGCTGTCTCTCACCCTAGACCTCTAGGGGACCTGTACAGCCGGGTGCCAGGGGCCGTGTGACTTCCCAGGCTAGAGCATTAGAATGCCACGCACTTCTGCCAGCTCTCTCTAGACACTGACCCTTAGACCCAATCTGGGTGCTCAGAGGAAGTCCAAGCAGCCTGTGATGAGGCCCCCATGGAGAGAAACCAAGACTCCTAGCCCCCAGCCCAGAGAAGCTTCCAGACAATGTCCAGAACCTCCTTGCCAGCCTCCTGAGTAAGGAATCCCGACATGGACCTCCCAGGTATTGCTGTCATCATTTCTTCCTCCTGCTAACACACTGCTGCCCTCTCCATTGTTGCTATTCATGATACAGTCCACCTGTGGTCTGTATCATGTTGTCTTATTATAAAATGGGATTTTTTGCTTTCTAAATTCTACTGGTTTGCACTTTGGAATTTGTGTTATCACAAAAACATGGATTTGGTTCATTAATTCTGGCCCTTCTTGAGGGAAAAATGCAGAACATGAGAAACACAAGACATTACTTTGATGTCCATATTCTGAACGTCTTTCTAAAATTATCAAAGCCCTAAAGGGGGGCTTTTCTCTAAATGTACCACACCCTAGGAATGGAAAATAATCCCTCATGTTGGCTTGATGTGTTGTAATGGAGGGCGGTGGGAGAGGTAGACAGAAGGGGTGGGATTTTTGATTTATCATCCGAGTCTCCTTCTCTTTCCACCTCATTTAATGTGATCCTTAGAAAGATATGTCCTTGTCTTGCACTCATTTAAAACAAAGACTCCTCTCAACAGTTTCCCCAATTTTAAGTTTGTGAAGTAGAAAAAAAAAAAAAAGCTGGTAAGATCTGCTGTTACACTAATTTCACTGATTCTTACCTGGTTTCAGAACCATGTTATTCTTCCTGCTGCATTTCCACCAGCCATTTTCTTCTGCAACCTGTAGGTTTCCTGCAGAGGAGGACAATGGGCAAGTTAAGCGAGAGAGATGATTTACAAGGCTTTTTTCTTTTTGCTCTAATTTACAGGAAAATCGTCCTTGCATGGGAAGACAAACTAAAGCCCACATCACTGAAGGATTTGTCATGATGAAAAAGAAAATGAATAAAAACAGAATATATTTTATATTAGTAATACCACATACATCTGATGATAGTAGTACACACACGCCTTGCATATCAGTAAAGATGCCTTTAAAAAAAACCTGAAAGAATATTTGCATTTATTTTAGATGGTACTTTTCCTCTGTTCTTTTGCAAGTGTTAATTTGTATGTTTCAGCTAGGATTATATTCTGCTACATAAATTTTTTTTAAAACCTGAAAGAAAACACACAAAGTTATTTTATTTTATTTTAAGTTCTGGGGTGCATGTGCAGGATGTGCTAGTTTGTGACATTGGTAAACGTGTGCTACGGTGTTTTGCTGCACTTATCAACCCATCACCTAGGTGTTAAGCCCAGAATGCTTCAGCTATTTGTCTTGATGCTCACACCCCACCCTCCCCCAACAGGCCCCAGTGAAAGTTCTATTTTCTCATGTAGAAATCCAGAAATGAGCAGTCCAGGGCTGGTAGGGCAGCACTACAAAGAGATCCAGAATCAAGACACCTTCCATCTCCCTGATTTACCATTCTTAGCACAGAGCCTCTATCCTCAAGCTGGCTGCTGCTGCTCCGGCATCTTGTCTGGGATCCTGGAAACCACAAAAAGGAAAAGGGAAAGGGAAACTCACACAGTTTTCAGTTGAGTCAGCTCCATTTAGAAGGCTTCCCTGGAAATTTCATACAGCGGTTCTGCTTATCTCCCAATGGCCAGAATCTAGCTACGTGATATATTAGTTTGTTCTCATGGTGCTATAAAGACATATCTGAGACTGGGTAATTTATAAAGAAAAAGAGGCTTAATGGACTCACAGTTCCACATGGCTGGGAAGGCCACACAACCATGGCAGAAGGTGCAAGAGAAACAAAGCCACGTGTTACACAGCGGCAGGCAAGAGAGCGTGTGCAGGGGAACTGCCCTTTATAAAACCATCAGATCTCATGAGACTTATTCACTGTCATGAGAACAGCACGGGAAAACCCACCCGCATGATTCAATTACCTTCCACTGGGTGCCTCCAGTTGCATGTGGGGATTATGGGAGCTACAATTCAAGATGAGATCTGGGTGGGGACACAGCCAAACCACATCACGTGATCACCGCTAGCTGCAAGAAATACATTAACATCACAGTTACAGAAGTTCTTCCCTTCTCCAACTTCCTTCACTGCTTATTGTCTGCATGACGTGACCTAAGACCACCCTCTTCTATTGTTCCGTGCTCCATGAACAAGAAGAATCCTTTACTGGAAATGTAGTCTTATTGGGTAATTAATTACCATATCCCTTTTACAGCATCTTTCATAGTTCTTGATATGGGGTTAGAACACATTGTCGTACCCACAAATTATGGAGGTTCTATCTCTCATGAAAAGAAGGAGAATGGATATTGGATAGATAACTAGCAGTCTGACAGAATAACATTAATGCTTGATGACTAATTCATCATATATATTATATTTCAATTTAATACAATTGAATATGTATATTTGGAGTGCCTCCTGTGTTCCAGATCCAAAACAAGAACTATAAACGGTATGGTAACAGCATGACACATGGTAATTAATTACCCTCACTGAACTTACAATTTTATTTTTATTTATTTTTATATATATATATTTTATTATACTTTAAGTTCTAGGGTACATGTGTATAACGTGCAGGTTTGTTACATATGTATACATGTGCCATGTTGGTGTGCTGCACCCATTAACTTGTCATTTATATTAGGTATATCTCCTAATGCTATCCCTCCCCCCTCCCCCCACCCCACAACAGGCCCCGGTGTGTGATGTTCCCCTTCCTGTGTCCAAGTGTTCTCATTGTTCAATTCCCACCTATGAGTGAGAACATGCAGTGTCTGGTTTTTTTGTCCTTGTGATAGTTTGCTGAGAATAATGGTTTCCAGCTTCATCCATGTCCCTACAAAGGACATGAACTCATCCTTTTTTATGGCTGCATAGTATTCCATCCTGTATATGTGCCACATTTTCTTAATCCAGTCTATCATTGGTGGACATTTGGGTTGGTTCCAAGTCTTTGCTATGTGAATAGTGCCACAATAAACATACGTGTGCATGTGTCTTTATAGCAGCATGATTTATAGTCCTTTGGGTATATACCCAGTAGTGGGATGGCTGGGTCAAATGGTATTTCTAGTTCTAGATGCCTGAGGAGTCGCCACACTGACTTCCACAATGGTTGCACTAGTTTACAGTCCCACCAGCAGTGTAAAAGTGTTCCTATTTCTCCACATCCTCTCTAGCACCTGTTGTTTCCTGACTTTTTAATGATTGCCATTCTAACTGGTGTGAGATGGTATCTCATTGTGGTTTTGATTTGCATTTCTCTGATGGCCAGTGAAGATGAGCATTTTTTCATCTGTCTTTTGGCTGCATAAATGTCTTCTTTTGAGAAGTGTCTGTTCATATCCTTCGCCCACTTTTTGAAGGGGTTGTTTGTTTTTTTCTTGTAAATGTGTTTGAGTTCATTGTAGATTCTGGATATTAGCCCTTTGTCAGATGAGTAGATTGCAAAAGTTTTCTCCCATTCTGTAGGTTGCCTGTTCACTCTGATGGTAGTTTTTTTGCTGTGCAGAAGCTCTTTAGTTTAATTAGATCCCATTTGTCAATTTTGGCTTTTGTTGCCATTGCTTTTGGTGTTTTAGACATGAAGTCCTTGCCCATGCCTACGTCCTGAATGGTATTGCCTAGGTTTTCTTCTAGGGTTTTTATGGCTTTAGGTCTAACATTTAAGTCTTTAATCCACCTTGAATTAATTTTTGTATAAGGTGTAAGGAAGGGATGCAGTTTCAGCTTTCTCCATATGGCTAGCCAGTTTTCCCAGCACCATTTATTAAATAGAGAATCCTTTCCCCATTTCTTGTTTTTGTCAGGTTTGTCAAAGATCAGATGGTTGTAGATGTGTGGTATTATTTCTGAGGGTTCTGTTCTATATCTCTGTTTTGGTAGCAGTACCATGCTGTTTTGGTTGCTGTAGCCTTGTAGTATAGTTTGAAGTCAGGTAGCGTGATGCCTCCAGCTTTGTTCTTTTGGCTTAGGATTGTCTTGGCAATGCGGGCTCTTTTTTGATTCCATATGAACTTTAAAGCAGTTTTTTCCCATTCCGTGAAGGAAGTCATTGGTAGCTTGATGGGGATGGCATTGAATCTATAAATTACCTTGGGCAGTATGGCCATTTTCACAATATTGATTCTTCTTACCCATGAACATGGAATGTTCTTCCATTTGTTTGTATCCTCTTTTATTTCGTTGAGCAGTGGTTTCTAGTTCTCCTTGAAGAGAGTGCTCCTTCACATCCCTTGTAAGTTGGATTCCTAGGTATTTTATTCTCTTTGAAGCAATTGTGAATGAGCGTTCACTCATGATTTGGCTCTCTGTTTGTTATTGGTGTATAAGAATGATTTTTGCTCATTGATTTTGTATCCTGAGAGTTTGCTGAAGTTGCTTATCAGCTTAAAGAGATTTTGGGCTGAGACAATGGGGTTTTCTAGATATACAATCATGTTATCTGCAAACAGGGACAATTTGACTCCCTCCTTTCCTAATTGAATACCCTTTACTTCCATCTCCTGCCTGATTGCCCTGGCCAGAACTTCCAACACTATGTTGAATAGGAGTGGTGAGAGAGGGCATCCCTGTCTTGTGCCAGTTTTCTAAGGGAATGCTTCCAGTTTTTGCCCATTCAGTATGATATTGGCTGTGGGTTTGTCATAAATAGCTCTTATTATTTTGAGATACGTCCCATCAATACCTAATTTTTTGAGAGTTTTTAGCATGAAGGGCTGTTGAATTTTGTCAAAGGCCTTTTCTGCATCTATTGAGATAATCATGTGGTTTTTGTCTTTGCTTCTGTTTATATGCTGGATTACATTTATTGATTTTTGTATGTTGAACCAGCCTTGCATCCCAGGGATGAAGCGCACTTGATCATGGTGGATAAGCTTTTTGATGTGCTGCTGGATTCAGTTTGCCAGTATTTTATCGAGGATTTTTACATCGATGTTCATCTGGCATATTGGTCTAAAATTCTCTTTTTTTGTTGTGTCTCTGCCAGGCTTTGGTATCAGGATGATGCTGGCCTCATAAAATGAGTTAGGGAGGATTCCCTCTTTTTCTATTGATTGGAATCGTTTCAGAAGGAATGGTACCAGCTCCTCCTTGTATCTCTGGTAGAATTCGGCTGTGAATCCGTCTGGTCCTGGACTTTTTTTGTTTGGTAGGCTATTAATTATTGCCTCAATTTCAGAGTCTCTTATTGGTCTATTCAGAGATTCAACTTCTTCCTGGTTTAGTCATGGGAGGGTGTATGTGTCAAGGAATTTATCCATTTCTTCTAGATTTCCTAGTTTATTTGCATAGTGGTGGTTATAGTATTTTCTGATGGTAGTTTGTATTTCTGTGGTATCAGTGGTGATATCCCCTTTATCATTTTTTATTGTGTCTATTTGATTCTTCTCTCTTTTCTTCTTTATTAGTCTTGCTAGTTGTCTATCAATTTTGTTGATCTTTTCAAAAAACCAGCTCCTGGATTCATTGATTTTTTGAAGGCTTTTTTGTGTTTCTATCTCCTTCAGTTCTGCTCTGATCTTAGTTATTTCTTGCCTTCTGCTAGCTTTTGAATGTGCTTGCTCTTGCTTCTCTAGTTGTTTTAATTGTGATGTTAGGGTGTCAATTTTAGATCTTTCCTGCTTTCTCTTGTGGGCATTTAGTGCTATAAATTTCCCCCCACACACTGCTTTAAATGTGTCCCAGAGATTCTGGTATGTTGTGTCTTTGTTCTCGTTGGTTTCAAAGAACATCTTTATTTCTGCCTTCATTTTGTTATGTACCCAGTAGTCATTCAGAAGCAGGTTGTACAGTTTCCATGTAGTTGAGTGGTTTTGAGTGAGTTTCTTAATCCTGAGCACTGTGGTCTGAGAGACAGTTTGTTATAATTTCTGTTCTTTTATATTTGCTGAGGAGTGCTTTACTTACAACTATGTGGTCAATTTTGGAATAAGTGTGGTGTGGTGCTGGGAAGAATGTATATTCTGTTGATTTGGGGTGGAGAGTTCTGTCGATGTCTATTAGGTCTGCTTGGTGCAGAGCTGAGTTCAATTCCTGGATATCCTTGTTAACTTTCTATCTCGTTCATCTGTCTAATGTTGACAGTGGGGTGTTAAAATCTCCCATTATTATTGTGTGGGAGTCTAAGTCTCTTTGTAGGTCACTCAGGACTTGCTTTATGAATCTGGGTGCTCCTGTATTGGGTGCATATATATTTAGGATAGTTAGCTCTTCTTGTTGAATTGATCCCTTTACCATTATGTAATGGCCTTCTTTGTCTCTTTTGATCTTTGTTGGTTTAACGTCTGTTTTATCAGAGACTAGGATTGCAACCCCTGCCTTTTTTTGTTTTCCATTTGCTTGGTAGATCTTCCTCCATCCCTTTATTTTGAGCCTTTGTGTGTCTCTCCCCATGAGATGGGTTTCCTGAATACAGCACACTGATGGGTCTTGACTCTTTATCCAATTTGCCAGTCTGTGTCTTTTAATTGGAGCATTTAGCCCATTTGCATTTAAGGTTAATATTGTTATGTGTGAATTTGATCCTGTCATTATGATGTTAGCTAGTTATTTTGCTCATTAGTTGATGCAGTTTCTTCCTAGCCTTGATGGTCTTTACAATTTGGCATATTTTTGCAGTGGCTGGTACCAGTTGTTCCTTTCCATGTTTAGTGCTTCCTTCAGGAGGTCTTGTAGGGCAGGCCTGGTGGTGACAAAATCTCTCAGCATTTGCTTGTCTGTAAAGGATTTTATTTCTCCTTCACTTATGAAGCTTAGTTTGGCTGGATATGAAATTCTGGGTTGAAAATTCTTTTCTTTAAGAATGTTGAATATTGGCATGCACTCTCTTCTGGCTTGTAGAGTTTCTGCCGAGAGATCAGCTGTTAGTCTGATGGGCGGAATTCCCTTTGTGGGTAACCCGACCTTTTTCTCTGGCTGCCTTTAACATTTTTTCCTTCATTTCAACTTTGGTGAATCTGACAATTACGTGTCTTGGAGTTGCTCTTCTCGAGGAGTATCTTTGTGTCATTCTCTGTATTTCCTGAATTTAAATGTTGGCCTGCCTTGCTAGGTTGGGGAAGTTCTCCTGGATAATATCCTGCAGAGTGTTTTCCAACTTGGTTCCATTCTCCCCGTCACTTTCAGGTACACCAATCAGACGTAGATTTGGTCTTTTCACATAGTCCTATATTTCTTGGAGGCTTTGTTCATTTCTTTTTATTCTTTTTTCTCTAAACTTCTCTTCTCGCTTCATTTCATTCATTTGATCTTCAATCACTGATACCCTTTCTTCCAGGTGATCGCATCAGCTACTGAATCTTGTGCATTCATCATGTAGTTCTCGTGCTACGGTTTTCAGCTCCATCAGGTCATTTAAGGACTTCTCTACATTGGTTATTCTAGTTAGCCATTCATCTAATCTTTTTTCAAGGTTTTTAACTTCTTTGCGATGGGTTCAAACTTCCTCCTTTAGCTAGGAGAAGTTTGATTGCCTGAAGCCTTCTTCTCTCAGTTCGTCAAAGTCATTCTCCGTCCAGCTTTGTTCCATCGCTGCTGAGGAGCTGCGTTCCTTTGGAGGAAGACAGGCACTCTGATTTTTAGAATTTTCAGCTTTTCTGCTCTGTTTTTTCCCCATCTTTGTGGTTTTATCTACCATTGGTCTTTGATGATGGTGACGTACAGATGGGGTTTTGGTGTGGATGTCCTTTTTGTTTGTTAGTTTTCCTTCTAACAGTCAGGACCCTCAGCTGCAGGTTTGTTGGAGTTTGCTGGAGGTCCATTCCAGACACTTTTTGCCTGGGTATCAGCAGCGGAGGCTGCAGAACAGCGAACATTGCTGAACAGCAAATGTTGCTGCCTGATTGTTCCTCTGGAAGTTTTGTCTCAGAGGGGTACCCCTCTGTGTGAGGTGTCAGTCTGACCCTACTAGGGGGTGCCTCCCAGTTAGGCTACTCGGGGGTCAGGGACCCACTTGAGGAGGCAATCTGTCCATTCTCAGATCTCAAACTCTGTGCTGGGAGGACCACTATGCTCTTCAAAGCTGTCAGACAGGGACATTTAAGTCTGCAGAGGTTTCTGCTGCCTTTTGTTTGGCTATGCCCTGCCCCCAGAGGTGGAGTCTACAGAGGCAAGCAGGCCTCCTTGAGCTGCAGTGGGCTCCACCCAGTTCAAGCTTCCAGGCCGCTTTGTTTACCTACTCAAGCAAGCCTCAGCAATGGCAGGCGTCCCTCCCCCAGCCTGGCTGCTGCCTTGCATGAACTTACAATTTTTGAAAAGTATTATGCTTGGTCATGGACCACAGAACAATAGAAGAGAGCTATAATTACACTATATATTTTATATATATATATATACTATATACTATATATACTTTATATATATATACTATATAATATATATACACTATATATATTATATACTATATATGGTGTATATATAGTATATATAGTGTATATATATAGTGTATATATAGTGTATATATATTATTTATTGTATATATAGTATATAGTATATAGTATTATATATATATAATATATAATACTATTTATACTATATATAATATATACTATATATACTATATATAATATAGTATATATTTATAATTATAATATAAATATATATAACAAATATTACATATATTTATAATATATAATTATTGTATATTTAATTATATATAATAAATATAATATTAAATATTATTATATAAGTATATAATATATAATATATATACTATATATACTATACATAGTATTATATACTATATATTATATACTATATATGGTATATACTATATATACTATATATGGTATATACTATATATAGTATATACCATATATAGTATATATAGTATATAATATATAGTATATACTATATATATTATATATAGTATATATACTATATATTTTACTATATATATACTATATATTATACTATATATATGTACTATATATATTATATAGTGTAGGCATTAAGGATTGAAGGAAATTGGATAAGGGAGGGACCTCTGAAGGCTATGGAGCTAACATGTTGCCAAAAGAGATAGAAACTGCAATGAAAATCAAAAAATATGATGTACAAGCATGATGGTTAACCTTATGTATCCACTTGACTGGGCCATGTGGTGCCCAGATATTTGGCTAAACTTTATTCTGAGTGTGTCCATGATGCCGTTTCTGCATGAGATTAACATTTGAATCAATAGGCTGAAAAAACAGATTGCCCTCCCCAATTTGGATGGATCTCATCCCATCCGTTGAAGGCCTGAATGGAACAAAAGCTGAGTAGAAAAGAATTCTGTCTCTGCCTGACTGTCTTTGGACGGAGGACGTTGGTCTTCTTCCACCTTTGAAATTGGACTTGGACCAGAACTATATATCATTTCTCCTGGATCTCCAGCTTGCCAACTGCAGATCTTGGGACTGCTAAGCTTCCATAATCATGTGATCCATTTTCTCATACTAAATCTCTTTCCCCCTCCCCTTGTCAATCATCATCTATCTTCTGTTGGTTCCATTTCTCTTGAAAATCCTGACTAATACAACAGGGTGCAACAAAACTTTTAGCACATTAAACTTGTTCCTAGCTCCAGTGAGCTAGCAACAGGAATAGAGAAGAAAGATAGATCCCCATTCCTGAAGTCACACATGGGCCACTGAGGGAGAGGGAAGAAGACAACCCATGATGATGGCATGTGAAAGTGCTGTGGTAGAAGAACACATGCACAGAGTGCTGAGGGACACAGGCAGAGGCCATTACCTCCACTGGAGGCAAGGGAGGTCTCCAGGGGACAGGGAAGTGTGTGTCTCAGAAGACTTCTCAGAAAGGGAGTGTGTAGGAGTGTGTGGGGTGGACTTCAAGGAAGGTGTTTTGGTTTTGTTTGTCTTGTTTTTGTTGGAGAGACTTGCTTGTGTTTAAAGGCTAAGGAGAAAATACCAATAGAGTAGCAGATATTGAACGTACACAGGAAGGCAAGATAATGAGTGAAAAGAGAAGACAGGAGGAAAAGAAACTCAGAGCCCACGGGAAGCCCATGGGAAGAGCTTAGCCTTCATTCAGAATGAGAAGTGGTGACAAGCCACTTGGACACTGACCTCAGAGATAAAGGGGCCCTCCAGGTTCCCTAGATTATCAATCTTAGAGCCATCATGTGGAAAGCAAGAGGCATATAATATGATAACATGTCCAGGGAGTAAAGACTGTGAATGTGTCATCAGAGTTCCCTATGCTACATTTCACATGAATCTGATCATGACCTACAGAAACTCTCCAAACAGCAGGACCCAGGTGAGGCCCCTCCCCACCCCCACCCCGGGGATCCACCTTGCCTCCTTTCCTCTCTGCTCATTCCTGTAATGTATTTCTGTCCACTATCTGCTTGGTGTCTGACTGTCTCTGTTCCCCTTTCTCACATACAGTTCACTCACTTTGAAGTCTCACAAACCCAGTGTGCTTCCTTTTATCATCACTTTATGTGGATCTGTTTGTCAAGCATTTGTTGTCACTATTCTGAGTAGTACAGTCCATTCTGGCCCCTGAATGCTGAGCACAGCCTCCTGAGATCTCCACCTCCCTAAATGCAAGTCCACGAATGCCTGGGGCCTGGTGTCTTTGGAAGTCACAAGGTGGACATAGGGGTTCCTGCTGGCCCTTGAACGGTTCCATGCAGTTTCTCTGCCTGGATCCAGAGGCAACTGGGAACGTAAGGAGGGTGACAAAGGGATTCAACATATTCCAGCAATACACAGTTTCAGGTTGGGGTGATTTGCTTTGTGTGATTTGTAATAAATGCAATAAGAGCATCATTTATTTCCAACTCTCTAGTAGGATTATTAACTTTTTCTTCCAAAGATAAACTTGATTACATTACTTATTTATACTATGTACATTGCATTAGGAGTAAAAAATGCATCAAGGAAAGAAATCATATACAGATTTTTTAAATTAATGTTTTCTCATCCACTGCTAATAACAGCTTAGATTATTAAAAAGAAAGAATCTTAAATATGCAACTCACCTTCAGGTCTTGATACTGCTTGTTTTCTTTTACACATTTTGCAAAACTTGACAATCTAGAAATATCATCTGTACTCACTTTCAATTCCTCATTTTTATACCAGAGCTGAGCTTTTGTGTTGGGATCTATGACATATCAGGACCGGCAGCATGATATAGGGGAAAAAATGGAAGCTTTGAAGCTGCATATATTTTAGTTTAAAATCCAAGTAAGCCTTTTACTAGCTGAGGATGGTAGTATCTAATTAGAAAGCAATTTTAATCATGGTTTTTAAATTTTCTACATAGAGATGGCAAATAAATGTAGTGGATAGTTATTGTGAACTAGGCACTACGCTAAACACTTCACTTTGTTATCACATTTAATCTTGACAACAGTTCTATAAAATAGGCCTTATTATTTTCTCCATTTTACAGATAAGCCAATTGAGACTTAAATGAGCTAACCTGCTCAAGGACATTCGATGAATAAGTTAGGGGTCAAACCTATGTGTTTGACTCTAAAGACTCCCTTCACCATTGTCGTATACTGCCTCCCATATAGATCACCTCCAATCCCAGTCGCAGCATCTACAAGGTAGGTGTCATCTCCAACTTAAGACGAAGAAACTCATGTGAGAAAAAATCTTGCCTCCCCAGCTGCCCTCATTTTCTCTTCTGCTGGCAGGTGTGCAGCCCTGGCCCCATCAGTCCTTTGAAGGATGCTGCCCTCTATGGGTAGACCGGTAGGAGAGGCCGTGCCATTCAATTCAATTCAATTGATGCCTTCTTTGTTTCTCCAGTCTTTAAAGCGGACTTACCAATAACGACAGCATGTTTCCATGTTCTTTTACCTTTCTCAAAGTGCTATACGTATATTATCTCATTCAAACCTCCTAACAACCTTGATGAAAATGAAATTCAGGGAGTTAAAGAGACAGGCACAAGGCAACAGAGTAGTTCTCATTAGTGCAAAGGGAATTTGATTGCAAACTCACCATGTTTGTGTTAGTTATAACATTTAGTTATGATTTCTCCCTGAGTGCTTAAATGCAACATGAATGTAATAAGCACTGAGTGCTCAATTATATGATCGTAACACCCCCCCCAGCTTTGAAGCCTCTTGGGGAAGTCCGTCACTTTTGGAATAAAGAATAAACTCTCGGCCGGGCGCGGTGGCTCACGCCTGTGATCCCAGCACTTTGGGAGGCCGAGGCGGGCGGATCACGAGGTCAGGAGATCGAGACCATCCTGGCTAAAACGGTGAAACCCCGTCTCTACTAAAAAATACAAAAAATTAGCCGGGCGTGGTGGCGGGCGCCTGTAGTCCCAGCTACTTGGGAGGCTGAGGCAGGAGAATGGCGTGAACCCGGGAGGCGGAGCTTGCAGGGAGCCGAGATCCCGCCACTGCACTCCAGCCTGGGCGACAGAGCCAGACTCCGTCTCAGAAAAAAAAAAAAAAAAAAAAAAAAAAAAAAAAAAGAAGAATAAACTCTCGCATGACATACATGGGCCTCACTGTCTATCCCCCTCCCAACCTTTCCAGCCTCATCCTCCACTGCCGCCCTAGCCATATACCTTCTCCACTCAAGCCGTGTTACAGCAGCTGCTCTGACGGAATTTCAGAATATGCTTCATCCCTTCATCCATCCAGGCTTGTCCTCTGCCCCATTCAGTGCATGGAAAACACTGACCACTCTTTAGACACCCATCACATTTATCACCCTCGCTGCCCCAAACTTTTATCCCCCCAAAAATGATTGTTCAACACTCTGTAAATACACGCCATACTACATCATAATTGTTTGCTACATATTGTTCTTCCTGCTAGAATACGTCTTCTTCAAGAGCAGCAACCATCCCATTCATGTAATGCCCATCACATAGCTATATGTATCTAGCACATAGGAGGTAGCTGCAAATGAGTTTTTTGTATTGCTTTTTAGCTAAATGTGTTGTGTTTGCTATGTGCCAGGACATTGATCAATATCCTTTGCCTCTCATAACACACTCAATCCTCACAACAACCCTGTGAAGTGTGTTCTGTCAACTTTCTGACTCATTCTACAAATGAGAAAACTAGGCACAAGTGAGAAAATTTTCCCCCAGGTAATCCAGCTAGTAAGTGGCGGAGGCAAAACTTAGACCAGAGGCCAGGGCACGAGGGCTGGTGCTGTTAGGAACTCTGCTATGAGGACCCTATTTGTTGGTTAAAGGTGTGTCAAATGAATGAACTAGTTGCCCAAAGCTCCCACAATGTTAGAAGCTTGCTATACCTAGAGTCTGATCCTATACCTATAAGGAAGGAGATAAGGAAAAATTAATAGTAAGAGAGCCTTGATTCTCAGTTCTACCAGAAGCAAAAACTGCAATCATTTTCTTCCCCTACAAAGAGTATTGCTACAGTGTCACATTGTCTTTTAAAAAGGTCTCAGGAATAATAAATTCTGACCATATCATATCTTCATCATAGTTTGTGACATCCATTGCTTTTCCTTGCCATCCCTTCAAAGACCGTGTATGAATCTAGTAAAAAGTATAATTAGATGTAGAACCCCTGGTTGGCTTTTCTTTTTTCTTGGTGACACTGAAGGTGGCATTTAGGGTGGAAAAGGAGGAATTGGAAAGCGCATTCCCTCTGGCATCCTTAGGGAGGTGGGCAAGTACCATAATTCAGATAATTTCTTTTAAGTGCCTCCTGATGTAAAAAGAAGGATAGGAATTATTTTCTCTTTCTTGAATGCACAATGAATAATGTATCTTTGGGTCAATTCTCCAAATGAGCTACGTGCCATTGCAGAGCAAAACTGGAGAGTGAATTACAATGAATTTTCTTTCCTTTTCCAAGTCCTTGAGAGTACCTTATTGCATTCTTTATCCAAGTCAATATATATATTGGGGACCCCAAACATGGTGTTATTGTCTATGGCAAAAATAAATTTGGGCCTTCCTCAAGGAACTTCTAATATATCAGAGACAGTCATGTAATCCACAGACTATAACACAATGTATACTTAAATTATTAATAAAACAGATATGAAAGCAAAGTGCTAGAATAGCTCATGGGGAGAATTTCCCATAGAAAAATAGGAAATTCTTCATGGAGGGGGAATCCTTTCAGCATTCCATGATTGAAAGAAAAATGAGGCTGGATGCGGTGGCTCACGCCTGTAATCCCAACACTTTGGGAGGCCAAGGTGGGTGGATCCCCTGAGGTCAGAAGTTTGAGACCAGCCTGACTAATATGGCGAAACCCCATCTCTATTAAAAATACAAAAATTCGCCGGCCGTGGTGGTGGGCGCCTGTGATTCCCAGCTACTTGGAAGGCTGAGGCAGGAGGATAGCTTGAACCCAGGAGATGGAAGTTGCAGTGAGAAGAGATAGCGCCACTGCACTCCACCCTAGGTAACGGAGCAAGACTCTGTCTCAAAAAAAAAAAAAAAAAAAAAAAATGAGCTCACTGAGCTCATTAACTCTTATAAGCTTTTATCAAATTGTTTAGAACCTGACATAATCACACAATTTCACAGAGGAGCATACTATTGGAGGAAATAGAAATTTAGAAAGAGATAATAGAAGGTATAACGATGATAAACAACATTTAATAAATGCCTACAAAATACCAAATGCTTTAAATATTTAATTTAATTTAATCCATATAAGAATCTTGCAAGGCTGGTGTTATTGGTGCATTGCACACTTGAAGAAACCAGAGCTCAACGATGTTAAGTAATTTGCCCAGTTCACAAAGTTCCTAATTGCCAATGCCAGGATTTGGAGCTAGGTCTATTTTTTACAACCTTGGCTTTTCCTATTTCACTATGCTACCTTAAAAAAAGTATATAAAAGGCAAGTAAGTGCTTGATGTCATTCTTCCTGAAGGACATGAAAGGAATGTGCAAACAGCACGGTCATTTTCTATAGTAAAATCTTTTAATTATGACCCAAATCACAGCACTGCGGTGCTAAGCTGATTGTGAGCTCACCTGAAGTCAAAGCACTTCCCAGCAAGTTCAGTGGCAACACTCGGCTCCTTTTCTATTAGCAAATAGAGAACCCTAGGAAGGTATGTTTTATCCAACTTAGACCAAAATGTTATGGAGTGAAACATTTATAAGGTTGCCAGTGGGAGGTGAAAGAAAAGAAAAGGGTAGAGTTTGCAACTTAGTATCTCTAAAACTTCATTTAGGGACCTACTATTATTACCGTTCTGGAAATAAAGTACCTGTACGGCCCTTTTAAGGACTGTTTTAGACAATATTCACAGGGAGCATAAAAGCCCTGAATGAACAAGTTGACAGAATTGTGTGGCTGGGAGCATCCGTCTAATTTGATGAGTTTAGAACCAATTCTGCAGCCCAAATGAAGAGTCTGTGTCTCAGATGATACTCATGATTCACTAATGGGTTGCTTTTCATAAGTAACGAGATGACTCACATCATTTGTTTCCCAAGGTAGGCGATGTTTTCTGTCATTACTTTTAATGATTTATTTACCCTTCACCATTTTTAATCATTGAACGCTGTCAATTCATTGGAATCCTCTGGACCAAAATATTATAAGTTTATCTTCTTTTAAAGCTTAGAATAAAATCAGGCAATTGCTTCACAGAACTTCAGTTTACTGCCTTGCTTATTCTTTTGTGTCACATCAGATATACATGTATATATAAAATATATGTAATATATATGTATATATATAATATATATGTATATATAATATATATGTATGTATATATATTATATATATGTATATATAATATATATGTATGTATATATATTATATATGTATATATAATATATATGTATGTATATTATATATGTGTATATAATATATATATAATATATATGTATATATATAATATATATGTGTATATATATAATATATATATATACACACACACACATATGATATAGGAAAATTCAGAAATTAGAATTGAGCAAATGCTGCCCCGGTTCTGCCTGCAACCCTATTTTCCATGATAGATGGTAGAGAAGAGTATACTTGAAGATTCCAAGTAAAAATATCTACCAGAACTTTGAAGAGGAAGACACAAGAATAGAAAAAGGAAATATATCCTGGGACAAGGTATGCATATGGAAAAGCCAATTAAATACTTTGTTTTAATTAATTTAAGTGTCCTTTAACTCACTCTTGATAATATATCCCATCTTGGATTGATTTCTCTGTAAGAACACGACATCCAACCTCATCATGTCTTGGGGTAAAAAAAAATTCACCAAGACCATGGAATTCATTCATCCACTTCAACATTTACCGAGAACCTATTATTGCTACTCTGTGCTCATCACTATACTTCCAGTTTTGAGTGATGAAAATAGAGAATTAGCAAGGGTCATAAAACAACTTATTCCCCAAGGCTTACAGTTAATCTATTGATTATGCATATTTGTCACCCATAGGGGTATAATTTCTGGTTCTCTCTGGAATAGATAATTTGCACATTTGAAAGGTTTTTAAGTGCGCTTTCAGTCCTGAAGCAGTAAGTGTATCTCATAAGTCTAGTTAAGAAATAAAGGCATGCTAAGTCATACTCCTCAAAATATTAATACATAACTGAAGAATATTTGGCTTACTGTGTTGTCTTGTTAAGGAAAATGGAAGAGATGGTGACTTACCATGACAAGGTAAATATCAAAAGATCAATGCTAGAATTTTAATGAAAATCATTTAAGCTTGCCCCATGGGAAGTTTAGCTGATCAATTCTGAGTACTAGGCTTATACTTCAGAGGCATGTTAATGGTTAAGCAATTTTGTTCATTTATAAAAGGAGTGGGGGTGTGGAGAATAGGAACCCAGTGATTGGCAGAGTACTTACAAGTCTGCAAGACACAGGAAAATTGCAAAGATAATGTAGTAGTTTTCATGGAGCATTGCCCTGTTACTATAGTTTCATCTCAGCAAAGGGCACTATCAGCACCAAACAAGTGTGATATACAGCTCCTCAGTCAAAATGGGAGCAAAACCAGACCTGCTAAGGAGGAAGACACCATGGCAGAAGCGCTGGTCAGGCTAAAGGCCAACTATGCCTATGAAATCTGGGACAAATAGTAAATACCAGCAATTTGAGGTTGGCTCAAAAATGAAGGGACAGGTATGAAGCAGGAATGCATGAGATATTCTTTGAAGCAAGATGGTATGACTGTCTTTTCCTCCCAGGTTTTATTCAGCATTTCCATGTCCCTTCTGATCAGACCTCTGACAGTGGGTGAGGCCAAAAGCCAGACAGACACTGGGCCACTATTTCCTATGTAAGGAGACTACTAGGTACAGAGTACAGTATTTTGAATTTAGGGGTAAAGTGGGCCAAGAGCTCTGCAAAGATGACTCTTGATGTGAAATAATGACCACTACATTCTCTTGGGAGCAGCTGGTGTGAACCAGCACCCCTGAGCAACCAGGACCTGAGAGAATGATGTGTTTATTTATGTGAAGCTGGGTGCTGATGCTCATCATTTTCATAATTACTTTATTTCTCATCTCCCCCATTTCCATGGGCCAAACATAAAGTGTGCAGGAAAGCAACTACCTATATGTGCTTCTATTTACTCAAGTTTACAGCTATCGTACAGTACTGATTAATCCTCCCTTCTCCATGACACTGAGGCAGTAGCATTCTAATGCCATCTTTATTATTGTTCGCCAGATCGCATACTACTGCATACAGAAATAGGGTAAATCACGGAACTAGTGTTTGAGGTCCATAAAATGCAAGGTTATGAATATTTCATTACTATACATTTTATTTCCCTGTCTATTCTGCATCTCCCAAAATGTTGTTTGTTTACTTATTGGCTCACTGTTCACCAGAAATACTTAATTCTTAATACAAAGTGTGGACTGGATCACCAACCCCTGCTTTGTGGCCTGAGCTACATTTGAAAGTAATGATGGACTTTTTTCTCTCTCTTTTTAATCATCCCTTCAATCCACAAATACTTGACTGCCAGGTTACTTCACTAACAGGAGTTTCAGCTTCTTCGTCATAATTGTATTGATTTGCAAGCCCCGCAAATCAATTCCCAAACATTTCTCCTGTGAACTATGGCTACGTATTTAAATTTTTCTCAACGCCCCATTGTATCCGTCTTTGGCTGAAGTAAGCAGTTAGACTTTTGCTGCAGATCTTGGCAATGAAAGACACATTGTGCAAGTGCAATTAGCTTCACTCCCTGCACTGTACAAATGATTTGTATGAATCAGCTGGTCCCGCGAAAGATGCAGCCATTATCACCTGCTTCTGAGTTTTCCTTTAACCACAAAATTTATATTAGTAAATAGCCAGGGGGATTCAATCTCAGCAAAATCAGAGTCTGAATCCCCAGCATTAAGGTGCTAACTTCTCTCCTGCTATAGGGTATAGTAGATATTAATACAACTCTTTGGTACAGACTGCAAAATATATAAAATGTCATAATTATATCTGCAATTCAGCAATGAAACAATTTTCCTCCTTTCTTCACTGTCATCAGCATAATAGCAGCCTATGGGATTTGTATTTTCTGGCTGTGAGCCCTTTTATGGGCTGTAGAAAAAAATACAAGCAGGTTAGTTTCACAGCTCTGAGAAGGCCTCATGACAGAAATATTGCTTTTAATGTTATTGTCTCTTTCTAGCTTGTAACCCACTCTCTTTAGGTAGAGAGGCTTCTGTGCTGATGCAGCACCACTTATGTTTTTCTGATAAACCTCTGTGTTCCCTTCCTGGCTTCCCCCACCCATCTGGACAGAGAAATAATTAACCAGCTTTCAGGATCATGCTATGTTATCTATAGATAAAGGGGAAACATGAAATGGGAGGGGGTTAGTCAGAGGGGAATGAAGTCAGGAGGAAGCATGTCTCTGAGGTTTCTCTTGGAGACATAAAAGAACATAAGAAAGATGCATTCTGAGTGAATCTTCACATCCCGTTTATTTTGCTAGCCAAGACAAATATCACAGCTCATATCTAACATTTGAAAAGCAGGGCCAAAGAAAATGATGGATTAATAAGTCCAAGGACAGAATAATAGAAGGAAAATATATTATAGAGAATGATGCCCCTGTCAATCTGAAAGGGGCGGGGAAAAAGCTGAAATGGAAGTGGAAAAAAAATGTACCATAGCAACCTTAAATAGAAACACCCTCCCGTAGTTATGCTAAACATTAACTAACATTACTCAAGACCCCTATGGTACTATTGCTTCAGAAACAGGTATCTTCAGACCATTTGCGATTCCTTTTGTTATAACCTACACTATGGGCATTGTGAGTTGAACAACAGGCTAAATGTTCCCTCCATAATTATTGGTAATAATATTCCATGCACATTTCTATCCCCCATCATCATCTGTGATGAGGCTAATCCAGTACTTTCTGCATGAACTGTTATAATACCCAAAGCAGCAGGACGGAGTATTATCAAGCGTGGGTTTACCGATGGAAACCTAATGTAACAGAGTTCGTTTCCAGAAAATAGGTAGGGATGGAATTTGTCAGCATCAGCCATAGAGACAGACACCTGTAACATGCTCCCAGGCGACTCACTCAAGTGACCATTTCTCATAATGGTTTCTTGTCAGTCACAGGAAGCATTCTAAATACATTTCTATAAAACGAAGAAAATACTCTTTAGTCAAGAGGCAGGTCTTTAATGAGAGGTGAGGTGATCAGAATTCTGCTGTCATCTCAGCCACAGACACTTAGCAATGTTCCACTGACCACTCTGTGGCTCAGTTTCATAAATGCTGAAAGGTAGACTACAGAAAGAAAACTCTTCAGGAGTGCATATAATTTTAAAATCTGTTAGTGGCCCAGAGATCCCCAGAGACAAATAGTTCCTCTATTGTGATTTAAAACTAAGTGATGAGACCAATAGTTTTGCAAGCAATAAATCATTATTTGAATAGAATTGTTCAAAATGTCCTGTAAAAGGAAGTAATAGAAGGGAAAGCCTAGAAGTTACTAAAAAGGACTCAATTGTAAAATAGCAAAACTGTCATATATGTTAGACCCTTCTTGAACTATAATATTATAATGAGGAGACCATGGCTGTGCCCACATTTAAGAAAAAAAAAATTGCAGCATACGAAAATTCAAATTTACAAACCAGATCAATTAATGGGTGATTATTCACACTATAAAAGGATTTATCGCTTTACAAATGGATTCCCTGCAGGGTTCCATTTTAATAACTGAGCTCTCTCAGTGTTAGGAGTCACTGCCAATTAAAAGTCAATCAGAAGTGAAGATAAAGCGCCTCTGAGATTAAAATGTATGTCGATGGAAAATCATCATAGAGTTACAAAAATTCACATTACATACAGCTTTGTGGGGACACAGAATTTATTTCACAAGTATATTGAGCACCTACTATAAACTTAGCTGGTCCTGGGAATCACTGCCTTGGGATTTAAAGAGTAAAATAAATGGTTCCTGTTTTCAGAACTTCTGCAGTGTGGTTGCAGCAGTGTGGTATGGAGGGAGTCCCATCAGCATTCTGGGTGGGACAATGCTTTATTGTGGAATTTGATTCTGCACAATGTCAGTTGATATAGTTTAGAGATCTGTTCCCACCCAAATCTCATGTTGAACTGTAATCCCCATTGCTGGACCTGGGAGGAGGTGTTTGGATCACAAGGCCGGATCCGTCACAGCTTGGTGCTGTCTTCGTGACGGTGAATTCTCCTGAGATCTGGTCATTTACTCTCTCCCTTTCTCTTACTCTTGCTTTCACCATGTGACAGGCTGCTCCCCCTTCACCTTCCACAATGATTGCAAGCTTCCTAAGGCCCTCCCCAGAAGCCAAGCAGATGGTGGGGCTATGCTTGTGCAGACTGCAGAACCATGAGCCAATTAAATCTCTTTTCTTTATAAATTACTGAGTCTCCAGTATTTCTTTATAGCAATGCAAGAATGGCTTAATACATCAGTTCTCATTCGCTAAATGCCAAGGGAGCTCCCTGTCATTGTATCAACACAAATTCCCCTATACATTTCCCAACATTTTTGTGTCACTACCCGCACAGCATGATTGAGGGCCTTTGTGGCACTCAGAAAGCCTCGTTGAATCTTCGGACATCAGTGCTAGAGGACATATTACATTCAACTCTTTCATTTGGATGAGAAGGAAATGGAGGCCAAAAGAAATGAAATGGCCCACTCCATGGATCTTTCTAGTAAACAAACTGCTTTGGAGAAAGTGAGCGCATTTGATGGCCACTCTCTGAATTCAACATTTTTCCACTTTGAATTCTCTCCCTATTTTCCTTGTTTTCACTCTCCATCTCTGCCCTTTTTTCTCATTTCCAGGAAAGCAGTGCTCTTTCTGTTTGTTGGCTTCAGCAAACAAAGCAGGTGGAAACCTGCCGCCTGGAACCTCCCTTCCCAGGGCATTGCTTCTTCTAATAGCAGGATTTTAGAATAGAAGGTGAATAGGTGAAAATCTAGCCCAATGACTCCAATGGTACTGTGAGAAAGATTTTCTAATGAAGTAAGGAAAGTCCTCTGCCAGGGATTTAAGGAGGGGAGAAGGTTTGAAACAGTGCGGAGGGTCGTAGGGTGTAAACAACAGGATGAATAAAAGAAAGTCTTTTTTTATTGTATTCGGTTCTGCTAAGGTTCAGCTGGTGAGCTTGCACAAAACCTTAACTGACCTAATCAGCGCATTTTTATTATTTCCTTCAGCAGCTTTCAGCAGTGAAAGAATGTGAGAAGAGAAAGCCCTCTTGGAAGTCGTTCATAACTGATGAATGGTTAAATGCAAAGAGAATGAGGGATTTAGATATGAGAGCAAACACATCATTGAAATGGCTGGCCATGAGGTTTATGCTGGGGGGGCCGGGGGTGGGGGTGGCTAAAAGGACACAACAGGTGATCTGGATCCCCCAGATCTACACCTTCAAGGAGCCAGAGGCACTTGACATATGAACTCTGGTGATGAGACAATGGAAGAAAGGGATGTGGAGTTTCCAAGGGGGAAGGTCAGAGTTTCAGATCTCAAACAGGCAAAGGTTTGTGTAACTGTGTTGTCTCTGATATGGCCAGCTGGTGTGGTTGAGGCTGAGTGAAAATGAAGTTATTAAGATAAATGTGAAATCTCCTAAAAACGGTAGGGAAAGAGAGAATGAGACAGGTGTTGAAGTCATTTTTAAAGTAAATGGAAGTGAATTTGAAAAGAATGACTCAAATTTCCATTAAAATGCCTCTGGGACAAGAGATTACAAGAAGATATGCAACAATTCTCAACTGCCGTCATATTAGTTGAATTCGTTTGGGAAACCTAAAATAAGTCTTCGTTTACTCATTGAATTTATATGGATGTCATTATTATTCAACCTATTGGTCGGTATTTTGGATACATACTGTGCCTAGTGTAAACAGTACGAATATCAACCCTGTGTCAGATACTGTACTAAGCACTATGATACAATTGGGAATAAACAGGTACCTGCCCTTAAGAAGTTTACAGCCTAGTGTAGGAGGAGAAAAAAGACTCTGTCTTCACGGGGATGTCATCATAGGAGGAATGTCTAACCCAGACTCTACAGTCAAGGAAGGCTTCAGGAGGAGGCAACATCTAGGCTGGGACTTGAAAGATAAAATGAGTTAAAGAAGTCAAAGGTGATACATGACAGGAACAGTAGGAGCAGAAAACAGCAACACACACAGAAGAAACTGAGGGTATGGCACTGTGAAAGGAAGTTAAACTGTGAGAGGGAGTGGTAGGAGCGGAATGGGCAAAGACCTCTAGTATCACTTGAAGGGGTTATTTTATCCTGAAAGCGTAGGAAGCCATTAAGAGATGTTTACACTGGAGGAATGGCGTGATCAGATCTGCATTTTAGAAAGCTCATTCTCATTGCCATTAGAGTGCATTAGTGTGAACAGGACTGGCCTGGAGAGATAAAGTCCAGTTATACCAGGTGGTTGTACCAGTGAGGGAGAGGAAAGACTGGAAGCAGACGCTCAAGATCTCTGGCTTAGGCTAATGAAAAGGCAGTGGCACAGATCTCAGACATTTGAGTACCTGGTTTGGTGAGGGGAAAATGATAGTCCTCTTTTAGGCATATTGATTCTGTTTCAGGTGCCAATGGGTTATGCAAGCAAATGTGGTCAGTGGACAGATGTGAAGTGCACCTGGAGGTCAGGCAGGAGATCTGGGCTGGGAATATGATTGTAGGAATCCTTCCATGTGACTGAGGCCCTGAGGAAGAAGGAGACACAGCAGAGCCAACAAGAAGAGGGAGGAGGCAGGAATCCTGCAGAACTCTGTGTATAATGGCCATCGAAGTAACTCAGACCAAAGAATATGTGGGTCTAACGGGCTTAAAGATCATAGCAGTGGGGGGTGGAAGGATATGGGTGGGTTTCAGAGACATTACAAAGTGATTCCAAACTCTCCCTTTGTGAAGCCCCAGGACGTCTTCAATTACAATAAATGCTTGCTTGCCCAAGCGCTTCAGAAAGCAATCTTATCATTGTGTTTTTGATTTAGAGGAGTATGAAAACAGTTCAGGTATCCCAAAAGAGAAGGCACTGCAATACCGCTATGCAAGGGAATTTTCCACAATTACAATTATTTAGAGCCTGAGGCTGAAATCCTGTAGTGTAAGGAGGTCTCGAGGGTGTAAGCTGTAAACAAATGGAAAATTTGATAGCCAAGGTGAATATTCATTGTTCCTCAATATATCTGTCAGATTCCATAATGAATTCTTCCTCCTTGTCCTCTACTTGGCCTGGAATCTGGTTCATTTCTTGACAGCCCTAGGGGAGAGCCTGTCTTTTCTGGAAAATCAGGATTACTTCTCCATTTTTTAACAAAGGCATCATCCATGTATTAGCCTCATCATAGCCGGTTTGCTGAATTTTTCCTCCCTGTCTTTTATCCAGTACCATTTTAGCAATTCTCCTTTTTCTGAATTAGTTTTTCAGTCCAGAGAAATTCCCTCTTATAGCAGTTTCCCATTGTCAGGTTTTTCCTAATTGCCCTGCCTCTGGTTAATGTATTCCTATGACTTCCCGTCCTTACCTGAACTGACTTCTCTTGATCTTCTACCCGTGGGCACTGTACAGATAGCTTCCCTTACTCTTCAACCTTGCCCCCACTGTCAGCTGCTAACTCGCTCAAAGCTCCCCAAACCACCTATACATTTCAAATTCAGCATTTTTCACTTTACCTCATTATTGATAGCAACTTCGGTTAGGAGTGTTCTCAGTTTTCTCATGTATAAAATGGGGATAATACATGTTTATTTCAGTATCTGGCAGATGGTGAGAGCTCAGTAAATCTTAACCAACATTTTTATTATTTCTGTTTAAGTCCCAGCTTCCATATTCTCCGGTTGTGTAATAAAAGGTTGGACACTCACTCTCGATGACCCTGTTTTCTCATTTGAAAAATGGGGATTGTAACACCTGTCTAGCTCTGAATTAAGAGGTTCCATATGAGACAGTAAACAAAGGCCCTTGCGTATTACAGAAATGTATGAGAATGTTACTATTTTGCAGTTTTCTTTGAAGGTAGTACCTTGCCTGGGTTATCACTAGGAAAATCAACAGTAACTGCACAGAATGCTAGCTGGAGCTGTAGAAGATGTAGAAAATCAGAAATCTGACTTATTATAATTTTGTCACACATCTGCCCTTGATTACTAATGTTTGAAGGATACTCAAAGATTCTCTAACTTTTATTTTAGGTCAAATTTTTTCAAAACTACATAACGGAGCCATGAATACTTAAATCTCAATAAAATGTCTTCTCTGAATTATTTAACCATATGAAACTATTACAATTAAGGCTTAATCCAAAAATGGCTATGGAAAGCATTGTTCTGTCTCATTTATAAAGTTCTCATTGAAAACATTTGTCCATTCTTCTGTTCAGTGTTTATAAGGATCTACATAATAAACCCCACCAAAAACTTAATGTTAGGACTAAATTCAGTACCTCTTCATAAACAATTATTATTCTACTCATAATGCAATGCACACTATGTAACATATTCTTTCATTTGTTCTTAATTTTTACCTTGGTTTATTAAAAGGATTATATGGGTTCTGGACCTGGCCAGCCGACAAGGATTTAGCCTGGCTGGGAAGCAGCTGCTCATTTTCCCCTCTTATGATGCACCTGCATATTCCTCTTGTTTTCTTCTTGTTCCTGCTTTCCACTTATAACTTCCATGGCCCAGCTGCCTCATGACCTTGTTTCAATTTCAGCTCCTATCACGAACCGGACAGTTTCTTTCTTTCCCATACTTCAAATTCCTGAGGGAAGAGATGTGATTGCCAAGGCTGAGCACTTGCACATCAGTTTGTGTAGAGCCCCTGGTGCCAGCCCCATCATGTCTGCAGGCAAACTCAAGAAAGGCCACTGAAGAACAGGACCATTCCCAGCCCAGCCAGGACAAGGCAGGGTTGCTGCTGTAGAACATGAGATCCAGGCATTTTCCTTTAATGAGGCTTGCTCTTTTACCTTCATTTGTATTTTTGTTTGTTTGTCTTTTTATGGTACATAGAAGATGGATAATGTTTACCTCCAAGGCTTTTTTACAATACAGATTTTTTTTTTTTAATGAAGGAGCATATTGACTTAGAAATCTTTTTGGGTAAACACTAAATCAACACTAAATCAAGCCAAGTTATTCTTTCTAAAAAATAAAGCCTAGTTAACTGTGAGGTTGTTTTTAAGGATCCTAATTAATGAAGATTCTACCATACCAAAAGGTCCCTCCAACACAGTCCTTAAATTATGGAGTACCTGTGTTTGCCAGTGTTAATAGTGGAAAGACATAGAAGACGTTCTCTGTTGCCCTCTAGGATCTGAAGTCTAACTCAGTTTCCAAAGTGGTATCTTACCTGTCCTGAGATTGGGCATGAGCAGTGGTGTCCTGGAGTTGGCTTACACAAGCTCGTGAGAGTTGATTATTAAACTTCAGGAACTTTGTGAACTGCTTGATAACACCACCATCATTAAAATTAAATAGAAGGAACCTACCTCAACATAATAAAGGCCATATATGACAAACCCACAACTAACATTATATTGAATGGGGAAAAGTTGAAAGCTTTTCTTCAAAGATCTGAAACAAGAAAAAAGTTGCCCACTTTCACCACTTCTATTCAACGTAGTACTAGAAGTCCTAGCCAGAGCAATTGAGCAAAAGATTGCAATAAATGGTGTTTAAATTGGAAAGAAGGAAGTCAAACAGTCCCTCTTTGTAGATGACATAATCTTTTACATGAAAAACCCTAAAGACTCCACCAAAAAACTATTACAACTAGTAAATGAATTCAGTAAAATTCTAGGATACAAAATCAACCTACAGAAAACCAATGGTGTTTCTATATACTAAAAGTGAACTATCTGAAAAAAATTAATCAAGAATACTATCCCATTTACAATAGCTACAAAAAATTAAATACCTAGGAATAAATTTTACAAAGGAGGTGAGAGATTTCTACAATGAAAATTATAAAACATTGATAAATTGAAGAAAATACAAACAGATGGAAAGATGTAAATTTCATAGATTTGAATAATTAATATTGTTAAAGTGTTTATGCTACCCAAAGCAATCTATAGATCAATGCAATACCTACCCAAATACCAGTGGCATTCTTCACAGAAATAGAAAAATTTCTCAAATTTGTATGGAACCACCAAAAGACCCCAAAGAGCGAAAGCAAGCAATCTTTAGCAAAAAGAACAAAGCTGGAAGCATCCCACTACCTGACTTCAAAATATATCACAAAGCTATGGTAACTAAAGCAACATGATACTGCAATAAAAACAGGCAAACAGACCAATGGAACAGAAAAGAGAAGCCAGAAATAAATCCACACATTTATAGCCAACTGATCTTTGACAAAGGCACCAAGAACAAACATTGAGGAAAGGACACTGTCTTCAATAAACGGTGTTGGGAAAATGGGATATCCACATGCAGAAGAATGAAACTCGACCCTTATCTCTCAACATATAAAAAAAAACTCAAAATGAATTAAAGACTTAAATGTAAGACCCAAAACTATGAAACTATTAGAAGAAAACATAGGGAAAATGCTGCATGGCATTGGTCTAGGCAAGGATTTTTTTGGATAGGACCTCAAAATTTTGCTTTTGTTTTTGCAAAAAAAAGCAAAATTACACAAATGAGACTATATCAAATTTAAAAGCTTCTGCATAGCAAAGGAAACAATCAACACAGCAAAGAGGCAACCTATAGAATGGGAGATATTTGCAAACTACAGATCTGACAAAGGGTTAATTTCCAGAATATATATGGAACTCAAACAACTCAATAGCAAAAACTGAAAAATAAATTTAAAAAAATTTGATTGAAAAATGAGCAAAAGACCTGAATAGACACTTCTATAAAGAAGACATACAAATGCCGACAGGTTCATGAAAAAATGTTCAATATCACTAACCATCATGGAATACAAATCAAAACCACAATGAGATACCAACCCACCCCAGTTAGAATGGCTATTATCAAAAAGACAAAATATAACAAATGCTGGCAAGGATGTGGAGGAGGGGGAACTCTTATTCACTATTGGTGGGAAGGTAAATTAGTACAGCCATTATGATCAACAGTTTGGAGGTTCTTCAAAAAATTAAAAATAGAACTACCATATGATCCAGCAATCCCACTACTGGGTATATATCTAAAGAAAATGAAATCAGTATGTCAAAGAGATATCTGCACGTCCATGTTTATTGCAGCACTATTCACAATAGCCAATATATGGAAACAAACGAAATGTCCATCAATGGATGAATGGATTTTAAAATGTGGTATATGTATATACAATGCAATACTATTCAGCAATGATAAATCAATAAAATCCTATCATTTGTGACAACATGGATGAAGCTGGAGGACATTACATTAGTGAAATAAGCCAGATGCAGAAGGACAGATACTGCGAGATCTCACTCGTGGAATATTTAAAAAGTTATAGAAGTAGGGAGTAGAATAGTGGTTGGCAGAGGCTGGGGAAGGTAGGGGCAAGAGGAGATGGAGAGAGGTTGGTCAATGGGTAGTATTTTATGGTTAGACAGGGAAGATAAGTTTTGGTGTTCTATTGCATTGTAGTGTGAATATAGTTAACAATAATCTATTATATATTTTCAAATAACTGGAAGAGAGGATTTTGAATGTTCTTTCTGCAACGAAACGATCAGTGTTTGAGAATGGATATGCTAATTACCCTGATTTGATTATTACACATTGTATACATGTATCAAAATATTACACTGTATCCCACAAATATTGACCATTATTATGTGTCAATTAAGAATCAAAAAAATTAAATCATATCAGGTCACAACTTATACTAGCAATAAAAGTAACAAATACTCAGAACTCATCACTTCCTTGTAGTTTACCACACTTTACTTTTATCTCTGCTTCTGAGGTTACTTTATCTACTATATTTGTATGATTTAAATACTATATAATAATGTGCTACTGCATGTTTCTTCCCAACACCCTGCACAGTGGCATCACATTGGCAGCTTGAAATCACAGATGATAGGTGTATTTACACCAATGAAATAGGCAAACACTACAAATCAAGGTGTTTCCCCCTTCCGCTTCCTGCCTTCCCAGAGAGCCAGTTGTTAAATATTTACCAACATGCCACTTGGGCATATGCTATGCAAATTGAAAGTAAAACTTTAAAATTTGCTCAAATATGCAACAATGTTAGGTTTGGTTAAAAGATACTTTAAAAAATTGGGAACCATTGCACTAATATTGAGTTACCTACTTATCAATCCATTCAATTTGCTCATCAGTAGCATAAGCATTGAAACCTTTACGTATCACCTCCTCTATTTAACAGTCTTACTGCTAACCTTCTTCTGAGAAAATCTCGCATTGCATTTCTCAGGATGGGGAGAGGAGGCCTCTGAAGCTTGTAATTGTAAACCCACATGTACACACCTGTACAAAATACCCAACCAAGAATAGCAGTACATTCATCTAATGATGGAGGTTAAGCTTTTTTGAAACAATTTCGACTTCTATTTAAATTCAGATGTTTTACTGTCTCAACCAGTACATATATTCTTGAATACAAATGAAGAAGTATGCTTTACTCCACATATTTGATTCATGATGACCTCAGGAACTGCCAAGCAAATTAATCCTAATTACAACCTTTTGAAACATTGCTACATTAATAGGGTGTGGAAAAGAATTACTGATTGAATCTCTCCTTAGTGTATTTTGTCACAAGACATTACCAAAGTGGTTGAATGTTTCAAATTATCTCATAAAACAACTGAACAGAGTGACAGCAAATAGAAATAAATTATGACCTAATCACCCTTGGAAAGTCTACATACAGGATGGGAAAGGAAGGAGTTTTGTGAATCTGGTAACCTGGCAAGATAGGCCTGCCATAGGTGGATTTGTGTGATGAGCTAAGGAGTTTCCCAAGCAGATATCATCCTAATGGAAAAGAGAACCAAGCACAAGCTCGGTCAGGAACGGAGCCAGGGAGGGGTGATTATTAATACATCAGAGCATCTGTCACTTGGATTAGCTCCTAGCCTAGTCCCCCACCCTATGTCTGAGTCCTGAGTAGATTTGAGGTGCTATAAGTAAAAATAGATATAGCTACTCAGGAGATGCATTCTATGATTTTAAAGCACATGCAGTATTGCTTTGAGAACCCTCTGCAGTAAAAGAAGGCTAAGGAGAAGATAAGCATGGCCCCTGTTTCACAATGGGATTCTGAACAGCTGTGGCATCTCATGGGTGCCTGGGCATTGGTGGCATGGGAGCTGGGGGGACAGGAGCCCGCCAAAGCAGCAGCTGGGCCCATCAGACACTGCAGTCTTCTTGGAAAGGTGGCTGGGCAGATGCATCCATATCTAGTGGGAGTTAGAAATAGACATCAGCTGTGGTTCCACACACCAAGCACAGGGCAGAGGGAGCTGAATCCGAAGAACAAAAGCAAAAATGATGCATAGTAACTAACCTGACTTGTTTCTGTATTCATCGAATGTACTACTTAAGGATTCTGAGAAACTTCAGGGAAGGGGGAGAATTTGCAGAGGCCTAGAGTTTTGCATTAGTAGGTAGTGACAAGAGCTTACAAAAAAAAAAGGGTTGCATTCTTTTCCTCTCATGTTGGAAAATTCCTGATGCAGATCCTTAAAGCAAAGCCAAGAGCACATTTGCACCCTAATTGCCAAACTGCTAGTCAGTTGATGCCACAGAAGCAGTGACTGATGCTCAAGAGTTGTGCTGGTCATTGGGTTACTTCTCCAAAGAAGAGGAAAGCCATTGTGCAACTTCAGTGGAGTCCCTGAAGACATGTGAAAACGCTCACCACGCTAGTTATCATGACCTGAGAATGCCCACTTTCTAGTGAGTTGAGATGCCAATGTGAAGATCTCTTTCATTGGAGAATTTGGGTAACACGTAGGGTACTAGAAGCATGAGGCACACTGGGAGTTTGAATGGTAAGCTCTATTAGGAGATATGAGTGGGAAAAAATAGAGGGATGGTCTGTCTTCACCCCATGAATTAATGAGGTTTTTGGGAGGACAGAGACAATGGAAATCCTAGGCTGGCTCTCAGAGGATAAGTAGGATGGAGAAATAAACCACTCCTCCAACACCTGTCAAGACAAACAAACTGTCATTGTGAAAATGACAAAAAAGACACCCCCTCTGCATGGCCAAATTGCAGGGAAACACACCTTTCTCAGGCTGACAGCCCCTTACTCTGAGTACAGATTGGCAAGCAGGGAACATCTGATCTTCAATTCCTCAGTGCATTTGTGCATTGCACAAAATGCACAACTTCATGGGGGTAGTCCAGCCCAATGTAACATGTTATAAAGGTGGGAGTTCATTGAATGATTCCAATGTTAAGAAATAGGGGTAAACAAGGAAGAATGTGTTCTTGGAGGTATGAGCCATAGGCTTAGCTTGAGCTGCAACATAAAGAATGTGGGGCTGGAGCAGTAGCCTGGGGAATTAGCCCTTCCATCTGGCCCAGCAGTATATGCATAGCATTGTTTTGCAGCCCCAAACAGCTGCTGCTGTAAAGGACACAAAAGGCCTGGAAAAGAACTTTTTAGAACCAGGAAGTATCATATCCATGCCTGGAAAAAAAGTCATTGCCGGCCTGAAAAAGATCCTGGAATTAATGGAGGTCATCCCATCATGGCTAGGAAACCCACTGGTGTCTTGGTTGCCATAAGCTGCTCCAAGGACATGAGCAAGGGGCAGCCTCACACATTGCTGGGCTCCACATATCTACAACAATGATCCTGGCAGGTGAACCCAGAAGGAGATGGAGACTTTGAGAGAGCTGACATGGACACATGGGGTAGCACACTGAGAGAAAGCCATGTCCACTACCGAAAATCAGCCATGGCTGAACATATGAAGAAATTGGAAAGAATGGGCTTGTCAAATTTATATTTGCATGACTTCGAAGACAGAGATCTATTTAGGAGAGCAGAGTCTTAAACACCAAGCACCCTACCTGTTAAAGGAGAAGAATGAGTCTGAGAGCAGGATGGTGAACCCCATCGCATTTTGTTTTCTGCCTAGAGCACCACACACACTGATGTGTGCACCCTAAGGGCTGGATAGAGGGGCTCAGGGTGGCATTGTCAATAAGACCCACAAGGACTGTCACTAAACTGTGAAATAGTCGTCACGAGCAGCCATGCTTTTGAGCCCATCTACAGAACACTGTCACAAAAGGGGGCACTCTCTCCCACTGTTCAGAAACCCTTTACGATTTGGACACTTCAAGGGCTTGTGGAGATGCAGGTCTTTGGTGCCCTTTGAAGGTGCTAGAGCTTTTTTCCGAGACAGTGGAATGAGTCACACCCTCGGCAGAGGCGATCCCAGGCCTGGGGACTTGGTGGAATCAGCACATGGGGCAGTACACGTAGAAACAGTCTGGCCTGAATGAGAAGGGAAATCATAAAGCCACATGGCAAGAGATGGATTTATTTGTGAGCATATGTGAGCTACCCCTGGGACTTCCAGAGATGTCTGGGGTGGAGAGGTGGTGATTTTGTACAGGACTGGGATCCAGCATGTGCACTCCATGACAACAGCCAGCAAAACATGAATGATTATATAGTCTTACTTCTGAATAAAACAGATGTTTTCTCTGACTATTGGAACAATAGGTAAAAACTAAAACTTATAATCAAGTATGGTTTGCAATATTCTAAAAGTGCTCAAATTTTTTGGCGCGAACTGTAAAATCTAAAAATATATACAGACTGCTTAAATAAAAGTACATGATTCCTTGCCCATCTGCTCAGGCCTCACTGGCCTTATTTGTCCCCTGCACATGCCAAGCTTGCTCTTACTTAGAGGTCATTGCACTTATGGTTCTGTCTGTGGAATCATGTTCCTCAAAGCTTTATAAGGTTGGCTCCTTCTTACCATTCAGATCTCAGCTTCAATGCCTCTTTTTCAGAGAGGTTTTCTCTGACTGTAGTCACTCTCTCGCATTATATAGTTTTATGTTTTTAATGACACTTATCATTAGCTCAAATTACTTGGGATTTTTTTAGTTACTCGTCTATTGCCTATCTATGTCTGACAAAATGTAAGTACCAAAATACCCAGGACATTTGTTTATCTTGTTCTCAGTTGTATTCCCTAGCATATTAACGCCTGGCACATAATAAGTACTCCTTAAGAATTTAGTGAATTGATTAATTTCAAACATTCATTGTCAATTTCTCTGCAATTGGGAGAATTATTCATTATAGGTCAACATAAAAAATGGTATCTCGGCACTTTTTATCTTATTCATTTCCCAGGTAAATGAGAACCAGGAGAACTTCTGCCTCACATTTAGTATGTAATCTTGATTTGTTTACAGTGTTGACAGATCGTTTTCAAATTCAAGTCTCTAACATCTCTGTACACTATCACTTTTCACATATCAATACCTTAACATTCATTTTGCTAGAACATCGTATGTCTCTATCATTCTGACTTTGCCTTTTCTAACTTGGTGCTGTTAAAACAACACACTATTGATGAGAACCTGTGACCTATCAGCAATATAGATGGTAACTTTTTTACTACTTTAGCAACACTAAAATACTCTGTATATTTTATGGAAACTCTGATCCTCAAAATTGTGCCTGCTAAAAAATGTTTGTAACAGGGGGCTGTTTCAAGTTAGAATTCACGTCCCTCTTGAGTATTTTAGAAACTATGCATACCCACTGGTATTATGGCTAATGTTTTCCAAATCCTTTTAGGTGGCTAGTTTGACACCGAATGTGCTTCTAAGACACACTGTTGAATCATCTTCATTGAAAAGCTTTACGAATAGCACAGGCACTGTCTGTGCTAGATGAGGTGTCACTGTACTTAAAAGCTGGGACATAAACCAATTCACCCCTTGAGATTTGCTCCAGCTAGGTGATATTTTTTCTGTCTTTATATAATAATTAATCTTCCAAACTGTCAAATTTTGCTCTTAACAAACAAAACTATCTCAAGGGAGGGAACAAAATTATATTAATCAATAATAGGAGGTTTCTTTTTCTTTTTTCCATTAGGAATACAGCAGAGTGACTATTCCAGTTTGAAAGGACATTCAAGAGCACAAAAGACCAGTGACTTCTGGGGATATTTCCTGATGTTCTTGGCACTTTTACAATTTCTGCTGTTTTTCCTTTTTTACGTAAATCCTCCCCTAGTAACCAGCATGGGGTATTTCTGAAGTTCATTTAGTGCCATTTTTCTGTATTGTCCAACAGATTGTTTCTAGTACCTTCTGATGTGTGGCAGCTGTGTTTTAACAATTCCAAGTATACCATATGAAAGTAATCAAAGACATTAACACACTAGTGTCCGCAGCTCTAGGGGTATTTCCTGCATGTGGTACTGGTAGGCCATGTGAAGTTGTACATAAATTACTTTGTTTTGTTTTTTTGGTTTGGGGTATTTTTTTGCTTGTTTTGTTTTGTTCTTAGCATGCTGAAGTGTTCTCTAAATATATGTGAACTCATCACATGCTTGTATTTGTGGATCCATGATTCTGTGGACATAGCTAGCTACAAAGAGCATCATACAAAAATCAGCATTCAAGTATAATGTTTACAGAGCATAGAATATTTCACATATTAATCTGTGCAAAGTGATCTCAGATTCCCAAAGGAGGAAATAGTTAAAGTTTAGTGTTTTCTCTGATATAGTGTACCCTGGGTAGGGCAGTAATGGCTAACTACATAACATCCTAATGTAAGCAGTTATTGGGAAATGTTTCACATACAGTATTTTATTATAGTAAGATTGCACTGTACTTAAAGTAAATATCCCTGGATCCCCTCCAAAGCTGAAAGAATGTAGTTAGGTTACAGAATCTGCTCACTCAGCAATCTGTCTTATAATAAATTAGGGTTTTGAAAAAAGGGCTGTTTTGTTTATCACAAAAGGTAGGGAGAAGTAAAGAGTAACCTGAAAAAAGTATACTTTCAAAGTTTGTCAATAAGGCAGTAGGTTGTACAATCTTGAAAGAATGGATAATCATATGTACATTGTATTACCTCACTGATTGCAATATCGATTATATCATATAAGCAAAGTAGCCAAGGATGAAGCTTAGAAATTAAATATCCAGATGTGACAGGTGCCATCATAAGTCGTATTTTAAGATTTAAGTCTAGCTTATCGTATATACAATTTCACCACCATGTTTATCAAAAAATATACACTTTAATTGTTTTATGTCTCCTAGAATTTCAATGAACATAGAAGTAATAGATACATATATATAGATATAGATTATATAGCTGTAGATAGAACACGATTTTACTGTGCCAACTTTCTTGCTAGAGAAGGTATTCTTTCAAAACATGCTTTAAACAAGGGGTTCTAGGACCCCGTGATAAGTAGCTAAAAGCCCACATTTATCTGACGTTCCATTTCTCCCCAGTGACCACTACTGACAGAGCCTCAGCATGTCTGGCCCATGTAGAACTTTCACTCTTAATTAAAACAGTGACACCAAAAGCTTTTCATGATTCCCCAAATGCTATTATAAGGTACAGGGTAAATGTTAGAGCTGGAGCCCCTCTTTGGGGAATAACTATAAAATTTGGAAGTAACATTTTCCACGCTGCTTATCCATGGCCTTCCTGTGGACTCCCGTGGAACTTCACTAGCCACTGGGCCACATCTAATCTTAACTGCTTGCTGAAGGAATCTCTCTGGAATATCTAACCCCAGAATAGTAGATTTTTCTAATCCAAAAAAAAAAAAATGTTTAATCTTCAACTCTACCTCTTCAATTCGTGGCTTTCTTCTGGACACATTTGTCCTACTTCTTTGCCCAGATAAGTACAGAGAAATCATGAAAAGTACCCGTCTGCTTTCCTACAGTGCCCTAAAAAGCTTATGCATTAACCATCCTCAACAGGGTCTGCATTTATTGAGCACTTACCACCAGCAAATGGCAATACCAAAGATTGCTTTTTAATCTAGAATGAATCCCTGTTCTTATCATGCATAAATGTGATCTCATAGAGAGATGGAGATGAATAGATTGGTAGATAAGGTGTTGCTTTGAAAGGAAGAGTTGAAGATTAGGATAATATGGAATCCTTACAGTCTATCTCCCTTATTTCTGAGCCTTAACTTAGCCTGTTTTTCTCAAGCAAAGAAAATTAGAAACAGTTCCTGAAAAGTTGCCATTTGGATCAGCTACTTTAATTTACTTCACAAATTCTTTTGGGGATACTTAGAATGTGCAAGGTACTGTGCTATGATGGAGAGGTACACAAAATGGGGAAAGCAAATGCCTTTTCCTCTAGGAGCTCGTCATCCAGTGGGAGGGTCTTTCCATGTAAAGGAGAAGACTTTCAACTAGCAGAACAGCTGAGCAAAGACCCCGGGGTGGGACCTCCTACAGAATGCTTGGAAATCAAGAAGTTGATTGATTCAGCCAAAGACTAAGCTGTATAGAGAAATAATGAGAGCGGAGAGGAGAGAGGCACTAGCTATCAAACTGAGGCTGAAAAGGAAACCTTAATCCAGGCCGTGCAACATTGAATGCCAGGCTAAGCTCTGGACATTGCTTCCTAAGCAATAAAGGGGCACTCAAAGATTTGGAGGGACGATGAGTAACACAAAGTCGTCCGACTTATCTTTTTCCTATTTATGGCCAAAGTCTTCCATTAAAAACTCAGGCATTATTCAGAAGATCTTTAACAGCATCGCCAACATTATCCAAATTTTGTTAGAACCCAGTGGTTCCAAAGCTAGCAAATTCACTATAGAGAAGGCAGAAATAATGTTGAAAATATGTATTTTCCACTTCAAGAAGCTGTGTATATAGTCATGATTATTCTTAACACAATCATGGAGTAGGAAAGGCTTGTCGCTGGTGTGTCTCCTCCACCACTCCTAGCCGCCTCCTGTCATAATGTCTCCATGTATTCATCCTGTGTCCTAATCTCATCAGGAGGAGGGCAACTGGCCCTCCACCATCACCTAGACATTAATTGGCTTAACTCATGCCTTAATGAAAGTAAGGTGCAGGGTATTATATGAAACTAATGTTAGAAGTGTTCCGCTCTCTTCGGATGTGATTGATGAGGAGCATTTCTAATTTCCTTGCCTTTTCCTCCCCCACCAACAAAAACTCCATCTGATTGTTTATCCATAAAGTTCCTGGCGACAAAATTCTTTTAATGCCATCGTTGGAGTTAAAATCACAAGTTGTCCAGGTAGAGAAAAATGTGGAACTAAATTTTTTTTAATAAGATGTAAAAGACCAATTCTACACCCTAGTGTAGAATAGTGTATCAGTCAGGTTCCCAGCAGGAAATAGATGGCACGCTCCAATTAGGATTATTCCAGGAGAATTTAATAAAGGGACAATTTACAGAGGTGTGGGGAAGCCATAGGGTTAGTGCAGTACCCTGAGCTAATAAAAGCACAGCTGTTACCAATCTTAGGGCCAAGAGGGGAAGGGAAGAAGCCATTACTGGAACATAAAATGATAGCATCACTCAGAGACATTTGCGATAAGAGGAGCTAAGACTTTTAGAAACGGGACACAACTGGCCCAAGGTTATCACCTAGGTAGAGAGCCAAGGGAATGAATACCTTGATCTCACTCTTATCCACCCCTCTTTAGTCTATCTCCAGGGCTCCCCACTGGCTGAACGCAACCAAAGACGTAGAGCAAAGGAACTCATTGATGAAGTTCTTGTAAGTCAGCTTCCCCTGTGCAGAGCCAGGTAGAAATGAGTGCAAGGTAAATCTAGATGGGTCAATGGCATACTCAGCACCAAGACGGAGGGAGAAAAAAAGTAAAGCAGCAAGCTTGGGGTGGGCATGCGAAATGCTGAAGAAGAGGAGACTGAAACTGACTATTTTACCTGTGTTCCAGAGAACTGACCTTGTTCTTGAACACACACACATGCATATGCACACAAACACACTCCTTTCAAAACTGAAGCAACATAATGATGGGACATCTCTGTTCCTTCTAAAGTTGAAGGGAGATGCATTCAGGCACCCCTCATTCTATAAGACGGTCTCCTCCTTCTTCCTGTGAAGCACACTAGCTCATTGAAATCTAGACACTAACAAGGCCTTAAAGTGTGGACATAGCTCACTGTGAGATGCTAGACAGTCTTGTTTTATTTTCCACTTGGAAGTACACCTGAATTACAGCAGGTAGAGCAAAACATTTTTTCCCTCTTCTCATAGGACTGCCTTTCAGGCCATATAAAGTTTTAGATGGAAATCCATGAGTTCCTGGAGTCTCCTCAACACTCTTTCTCTCTTTTCTATCCCTTTTCCCTTCCCCTAACCAGGGACATTTTTCGATCAAAGCTTTGGAGCTCTCCTCATTCCTGGTTCTATCCTGGAAATGTATTTTGAAATTTTCATTCTGTTCATCTTCAGTTTTTCCCAGGAGCAAGATAAGATTCTTATGCCTGAAGCATCTACATGAGGAAACTCTCTTGCTAACAATGTGTATAACTTTGAGGCATTATTATGCTAAAAGAACCTCTTCCACTTGCCCACATCTCACCTCCACCCCTACTCCAACTGTTAGCCCTTCCCCAAAAAAAGTAAAGAAGAAAAAAGGAAGCTTGTTTTGTCACATTAACTTTGAGGAGTTCTCTTTTCTGTATGTAATTAGACAGCGAGTTACTTGGTGGGTTGGAATAACTTCATAATATATTTTCATGTTGCTTATATATAACAAAATTATCTTTTTATCTCTAAACTTTTATTTGGTTATTTATAGATGCATAAAACTCTATGCCAATATGTGGTGACTTGGAATAACAATGTATTAACTTTCAAAGTTTTATGGGCTGCCTGGATGCTTCTCGCTTGCACTTTCTCATGCAGTCCTTGGAGGCTCTGTTGGACTGGCCATCCAATATGGCACTTTCACATGGCTGGATATAGATGCTGGCTGTTGGCTGGGAGATGAGCACCTGCGTGTGTCCTCTCTCTGCAGCTTTATTTTCTCACAGCATGGCAGGTAGTTTCTGAGAGGAAGTGTCTCAGGTTGAGCCTTCAAAAATACCCAAATGCGAGCTGCCAGCATCTTATAACCTAGTCTCAAAAATGTTGACATAGCACTTTCATCTCAAACCTGTCCCTACATCCGCTAGATTCGAGGACTTACACTCTCCCACCTACTGATGGGGGGAGCAGCAGGCACTTACAACGAGGGGAAGAATCGATGAATTGGAAACCAACACTAATTTCCCACTCGCCTTTTGTCTTTTCCTACCTTTGTGTTTTCCTCCTGGAATCATAATCATTCATTTGTGCTATCATTATTCAACAGTCTGCTTAATATAGTGGAAAGAGCGCTGAATTCTGAGTGAGAACGCCAAGCTGAAGATCTCAACCAGAGACAAAACCAAGCCAGAGCCCCAGCTGGGCTCTGAGGTGCCTATGCATCTGTGCCTAGCTTTTGACTCTGGGACAGTTCTGTGCCTTCTAATTCAACTCCAGATGAGTGGAAAAATAAGAAGAATGAATCAACAGTTATTTCATTTCCATTTTCGCATCTCCTACCGCCTGCCAGATTAGTGGAAGGGAACTGAGCTGGCAAATTTATCTCAAGAATTCAGGAGTAAATGAAATAGGACCAGACAAAAATGACCCCTCCTCAACTAAATGAGCTAAAAGATAAATAGGTGTCTCCTCCATCAGCTGAAGATCAGTTCCCATCTCCTCTCCAAAGGGCACCATTGGGGGTGTACATACAGATCATTTTACTAATCCCAACTCTGTCATTCACAACCCCTGTGATCTTGGGCTAGTCAACTTCCAATGTTCACACCTGTGAAATGAGGAGAATAGGTATTTTAGAGGTGTTAGGTGACTAAGATAAATAAGGTGTGCAAAAATGTTGTGATCAATAAAGCCTCAGGTACAGGTAAAGTATTTTCGAGACAGTTGCCAAAATTAGGGGTCAGCAAACTTTTTCTGTAAAGAGCCAAACAGTAAATATTTATAGTGTTGTTGGCCATATGGTCTCTGCCGCAGCTATTCAACACCACGACTGTGGTGAGGGCAAAAGCAGTCCTTAAAACGGTGACCATTTGGGCATGATCAGATTTGGCCCAAAGGCTGTTTGCCAATCCTTGGTCTAAGTTATGATTTCATCTGGGAAAAGAATGGAAGAAAAGCCAGGACAAGTAATCTCTTAATAATATCTTTTATTTATACTTAACAATGGCTCAGACATGGACAAGGTAAGTTACAAATGTAAAGAAATGGGAAAATGATGTTTGATGCTGACAGTTGACACCAGACTTCCTTCTAGGAAGAGAATATTGTTAAGAGAAAATACCCTGACAAGCACTCAGGTAGAGAAAGCGAGAATGTGGCAACTGGAGCTTAGGAGATCTGTTGTATTTGAGAAAGAAGGAGTAATATTCCATTTATTCCAGATAGGAATCGAAAAGACAGTGGGAGTCTATATGAGTCTCAATGAGACTCTACACTGTGAACCTCTGAATCCTCCACAGGGTTATTTAACTCATAAAATGTTTAAAGTGAGTGTATTTTTTGTTTTGTTTTTTAAGAAACCAGCAAAGAGACTGGGGCCTAATACCTGACTCATTTGGAGCAGACCTTAAGTATTTTGCCAGGATCTTGGAGTATAGAGACAAAGAGAATCATAAATGCATAAGCCCTAGAAACACCTCAAAATTATAGGAAGGGCCTCTGGCTGTCACAGGCCATGGAAATGGAGTGCAGAAGCATTTAACCAGATGTCCAGAGGGCAGGGGCCCCAGCTGGAACCTCTGGCAAAAACATAGAGCATATCGTGATGTAAATAACAATGATTGTAACTGTCTTATAAAGCACACCGAATACTATCTATCACAATGTTAAAGTTTTTAAAGGGTCACTTACTACCCTATTCCATTGATTATGAAGGTTTTCCTAAAATAAGAAATGTAAGTTTCTGGCAATTTTACATAGTTTTTATAGAAATTTATCCAACAATTTTTTACCTTTCTAAGATGAAACTGTTTTCTTAAGTGCTCAGTTCTTTTTGTGAAAAGGTTTCTCATACATCATATTCTGTGTGGTCACGTTTCCCAAAAGTCCATTGCCAATTTTGGTTAAAAAAACAATAGGAGTTAGCAATTAACACTGGGCACTTGAAGAAAGAATGTTCATAATAATGAAAGCCACCAGATAACCCTTCCACAGAATATTGACACATAAATGCATGTGTTCACTTCTCTGAGAATGAATGCTGCTGAGAGTGCTATGGTCAGCTGTGTGCTCACGTATACTGGCATATACTTGGCACATCATATTCTTGGCTGCAGGATTGGAGTGAGCCACTGCTAATGATGGCTGAAGAAAAGATTTCAGAATGTCTTTATTTTATAGGAATGGCACTGTGATAGAGAAAAAAGACTTTTTACTAGGAAATGGGTAGCCTGAATTTGAGCTTGAACTCTGCTGCTTTTTACTCTATACTCAAGCTTCTAACTAGATTTTTAAGGGTCTCAATTTCATCATCTGCAACATGGCGATAATGCCTATTCTTTACATGTCACCTGGTTGTTAATCAGAAGTAAGTGAGAAAGGTAGGCAGAAAAATCTTTGCAAATTGATGAAGATATGGAAGTTCTTTTAAACTGGTATTTTAGATGATATTGTAATCCATTGTTAGGTATTTTAAATATGTTTTCAGATATCACTTAATAGAATTCAAGCATGAATCGACTGAGTCTGTGTGTTATCAATATCTCAATAATATATGTTAAACATAATCTTTGCCTCGAGTTTCTTCTCCTGACATTACTTACTCTCTGCAAACTGACAATGAACCAAATGAAAGCAAATGGCAAGTTGTGCATTGTGTGTTGGACATTGTTGCTCACCTCCCCAAGGGCCATCCACCCACTTCTGCCTCCCTTGTTAACAGCACCCAGATTTTATTCATGTATCTGTATCTAGACTCACGTCTTTATTCCCCATTTCAAGGATAACTATTGACTCATCAAAGCCAATCATTAACCTCATTCTCTTTGCCAGTGACCAACTAAGAGGTGGACATGTAACTCAGAACTATTGAATGCATAATGTTAACAAACATTTACTGAGCACTTACTATAGGACAGGCACTTTTCCAAGTGCTTTGCATGTATTAATGCTAATCTTAACAACAACCCTTTCAGGTAGGTTCTATGACTATCTTAGTTATACAGCTGAGGAAATTAAGAGCCGGAGAGACAAAAATACTTACCCAAGGAAGGAAATTGAGCCAGGATACAAACCTAGGCAGCATAGTTTCAGAGCCCATGTTCATTGCCAGTATTCCATACTGATGGGGAAATCTCCTGAGGGTTTCTGGGAAAGGTCTCTTCACTGATAAAAAAGAGTTATACAGGAGATGGCCTGTTTCCTTCTGCTGGATGTCCAAAGATTACATGTGATGCCTGGAATAATGGCAGCCATCTTGTGACGAGGGGAGCTTAGCTCATACACTGAGGATAACTGAGTAGAAAGATAAAAAACATTGTGTTGAAAGACTGAACTTGCAAGCTCTGTAGCTTGCCTACTTCATTACTTCTTAGATGAAATAATACATTTTTATCTGTGTTTAAACAATTTTGATTTGGAGGTTTCTATTACTTACAGTGAATCCCATCCCAGCTGACCTAATACAGGCATGCAAATAGGTATGGTTGTGCTGTAGTCCGCAGAATGATTGCCTTCCTTCTGAAGTAGCAATGTAGCACCACTAGAAATATGTCAGAGATGCTGAAAAGGAATTTTCACTTTGAGAGAGTAGATTAGACAAAATGATGCAAAATGGTTTCCAATTCTAAGTTGTCTACTTCAGTGAAATTCTGGTTTTCCCTATGGAGTAGGATAATTAAGATGGAAAGTGTTAAAATACAATTGAACAACTTTTTGGAGAGAAATGTAAATATTTAGAAGATAAATGAAGAACAAGATAAATTCACAGAACTTTAGGCAAATCCTATGGTTCAGTCAAGGAACAGAGACTAAAAGTAAATTGGAGATTAAGAATAAGTCAACTTACTTTGCTTCCTCAGTTCCATCCACAAAAATCAAGCAAACAAAATTCCTAGCCTCTATATCAAATATCTACATAGTTATTTTTTCCATTTACCTCCTTAGAAGAAAAGCTTTTAACTTTTTCCTGGGAAACATGCCTTTGCTTCTTCTTTGCCTTCCACCACAATCGTGAGGCCTCCCCAGCCATGTGGAACTGTGAGTCCATTAAACCTCTTTCCATTATAAATTACAAAGTCTTGGGTAGTTCTTTATAGCAGCATGAGAACGGACTAGTTCAGTAAATTGATACCACAGAGAGTGAGGCACTGCTGTAAAGATACCGGAAAAGGTGGAAGTGACTTTGGAACTGGGTAACAGGCAGAGGTTGGAACAATTTGGAGGGCTCAGAAGAAGACAGGAAAATGTGGGAAAGTTTGGAACTTCCTAGAGATTTGGAGCACTCAGAAGACAAGAAGATGTGGGAAAGTTTAGAACTTCCTAGAGACTTATTGAATGGCTTTGACCAAAATGCTGATAGTGATATGGACAATAAGGTTCAGGCTGAGGTGGTCTCAGTTGGAGATGAGGAACTTGTTGGGAACTAGAATAAAGGTCACTCTTGCTATACAAACAGACTGGCAGCATTTTGCCCCTGCCCTAGAGATCTGTGAAACTTCGAACTTGAGAGAGATGATTTAGGCTATTTGGTGGAGGAAACTTCTAAGCAGCAAAGCATTCAGGAGGAAGCAGAGCATAAAAGTTTGGAAAACATGCAGCCTGACAATGCAATAGAAAAGAAAAAACCATTTTCTGGGGAGAAATTCAAGCCTGCTGCAGAAATTTGCATAGGTAACAAGGACCCCAATGTTAATCACCAAGACAATGGGGAAAATGTCTCCATGCCAGAGACCTTGTAGGCAGCCCCTCCCATCACAGGCCCAGAGGCCTAGGAGAAAAAATGGGTTCATGGGCTGAGCATAGGGAAGGGCCCCCCTGCTGTGTGCAGTTTAGGGACTTGGTGCTCTGCTCCCAGCTGCACCAGCCATGGCTAAAAGGGGCCAAGGTACAGCTCAGGCCATGGCTTCAGAGCACGCAAGCCCCAAGCCTTGGCAGCTTCCACATGGTCTTGAGTCTGCGTGTGCATAGAAGTCAAGAATTGAGGTTTGGGAACCTCCACCTAGATTTCAGAGGATGCATGGAAACGCCTGGATGTCCAGGCAGAAGTTTGCTACAGAAGTGGGGTCTTCATGGAGAACCTCTGTTAGGGCAGTGCAAAAGGGAAATGTGGAGTCAGAGTCCCCACACAGAGTTTCCACTGAGGCACTGCCTAATGGAGCTGTGAGAGGAGGGCCACTGTCCTCCAGACCCTAGAATGATAGATCCACTGACAGCTTGCACCATGTGCTTGGAAAAGCCACAGACAACACCAGCCCATGAAAGCAGCCAGGAGGGGGGCTGTAACCTGCAAAGCTGTAGGGAAAGACTTACCCAAGGCTGTGGAACCTACCTCTTGCATCAGCGTGACCTGAATGTGAGACATGGAGTCAAAGGAGATTATTTCAGAACTTTAAGGTTTAGTTACTGCCTTGTTGGATTTTGGACTTGCATGGGGCCTGCATCTCCTTCATTTTGGCCAATTTCTCTCATTTGGAATGAGTATATTTGCCCCATGCCTATACTCCCATTGTATCTAGGAAGTAACTAACTTGCTTTTGATTTTATAGGCTTATAGGTGGAAGTGGCTTGCCTTGTCTCAGATGAGACTTTGGACTGTGGACTTTTAGTTAATGCTGAAATGAGTTAAGATTTTGGGGAACTATTGGGAAGGCAGGATTGGTTTTGAAATGTGAGGACATGAGAATTGGGAGGGGCCAGGGGCAGAATGACATGGTTTGGCTGTGTTCCCACCCAAAACTTATCTTGAACTGTAGCTCCCATAATTCCCACATGATGTGAAAGGGACCTAGTGGGAGGTAATTAAATCATGGGGGCGGGTCTTTACTATGCTGTTCTCATGATATTGAACAAGTCTCATGAGATCTGATGGTTTTACAAAGGGGAGTTCCCCTGCACATGCTCTCTTGCCTGCTGCCATGTAAGACATGCCTTTGCTTCTTCTTTGCCTTCCATCATGATTTTGAGGCCTCCCCAGCCACGGAGAACTGTAAGTCCATTAAACTTCTTTCCTTTATAAATTACCCAGTCTTGGTTAAGTCTTTATTAGCAGTGTGAGAACAGACTAATACACATAACAACAGGAAGATGTAATATTAGAGAAATATCAAAGCTTCTTCAGATAGTCCCTAAACTTAATTAAATCCAACCAATCTCGATATATTTTTTGAAACTTGTTGATGACTTAGGGTTCACATGAAATCAAAACAAAATGACAAAGAAAAAAGCAGAAAAGTTTGAGAGATCAGAGTAATGAGAGGGCCTTTTCATTAAGATGCTAAAGTGTGCTACAAATCTATAGTTATCAGAATAATATGGCACTGATGCCATCTTCTAAATGTGAATTATTTTTCTCTTCTTCTTTGCCTACCATAATCCCAACCTGCTGAAATGTATCCTTTTCCATGAGACTTCTTCACAGCCCCCAGTCTGGAAGTCACTCCCCATAATATGTTTGCTCTTCTTTTTGGCCATTAATTTCATACTCTTGGCTATATAAAAAAAAAATCTGCTGGGCACGGTGGCTCATGCCTGTAATCCCAGCACTTTGGGAGGCTGAGGCGGGCGGATCACAAGGTCAGGAGATCGAGACCATCCTGGCTAATACAGTGAAACCCCATCTCTACTAAAAATACAAAAAAATTAGCCAGGCATGGTGGTGGACGCCTGTAGTCCCAGCTACTCGGGAGGCTGAGGCAGGAGAATGGTGTGAACCCGGGAGGCAGAGCTTGCAGTGAGCTGAGATGGCGCCACTGCACTCCAGCCTGAGTGACTGAGCGACACTCCGTCTCAAAAAAAAAAAAAAAAAAAATCTATATGCCTTTTCTTCCACAGAGTTTAAATTCATTTGGTTTCATCATCTTTACTTGAATATGTTTATACCTACAAGATAACAACAGTTGTTTTCAATATCATCTGTGGCAGAGGACAGTATGAGATTATGAGATTTAATAACATAATGATGCCAAAGCATCAAAGTTAGGTCTGAGGACCACGAGCAGCAGCAGCACCTGGAAGCTTAGGCATGCAGAATTGAGGGCCCCATCCCAGACATACTGAATCAGTAGGTGCATTTTAACATGATCTTCAGATTACTTGTATGCATGTTAAATTTTGAGAAGCACTGCCCTAAAGAATTACATGGAATGAAAATATTTTGTAAGTCTCCTAAAGCAATCAGACATAGTTGGATATCTTCCTCTGTTATAAGCAAATAGGATTATTCACATTTTATGTTTCCTTGATAGGCAAAAATTTAGTGACATTTAAAAAAGTGCACTAAAGAAATCTGGGTTCAGGCGATGGGATAAGTCTAATGAGAAAGGCAGATGGAGAGGGCATGTACAGGGGATTGTGAAGGCAGCAGTTTATAACTTGGGAATGATTTGATACTTGGTTTACTCCCTCTACAGGGCTTTCTAATTTATTTTCCCAACCCCGATCTTTCTACTAAGATATTTTTCTTTTCCATCACCCGCCTAATCTACATTTTAACCTGAGCTGCTCTGATCTCACCTCCAACTCATTATCTTCTTGACAAAAACCACTCATTCCTCATGAGGTCCCCATTTCTATCATCCTAAGCCTCAGTCCCCAGATCATCCACTAGAATGTAAGGTCTCTAATAGCACAGAGTGGCTGTCTGGTTCACTTGCTCTATCTCTGGAGAACAGAATAGCACCGCATATATAGTAGGTGTTAAACAATAGAATGTTCAACACATGAATCCAAGCATAACAATTTGGAAAACTTTTATTATCCCAGATACTTCCATTAATTTACAATCAATTCCCACATCTCCTGGTAACAGTGCTTATTTTGCCCTGAAAGTTCCTTTAAGTTTATTTTTATTGTATTACCACCATCACTATGACCACTTCATGCCTGGACTATCATAGTAAAATCTGAGACATTCTCTCTGCCTCCTTTCTCTGATTCTCTTCTAATTTATATCCAAGGAACATGTCTGCTATTGCCAAACTCTTTACTCTGGCGTTCAATTCTTCGGAGTCCAAATCCAAGCTTCCTTCCTGGTCTTGTTTTATGACTTCCCAAAGGGAACCTTTGTTTTTAACTAAGATGATGTACTCATGCTTCTTTACTTTGCACTCCCTGATAGAATCTATTTTCTCAAAGTAAAATATTCCTCCCTATCATATTTTCCTATCAAATCCTACCCATTCCTCAAGACTTGGCTCTTCACACATTTTCAGCGAAACATAATACTTGACCACTCTAATCTGACATGAGTTACCTTTGTCTCATTCCCAGGGATATCAAGTGATAGCTCCTTGGAGCTCTCATGACAGGCATTATCTGTAATGCCCAACACTTACTATGTATATTTCTTTGAACGTATATCCTTCTGCATATGTATTGCACATATGGGTAAATGAAGAGGCCAAGTTAGGCAAACCTGGGATTAAAGTTTCTCTCTACCATGTAGTAATAATGTAATGTTAGGCAGTGTACTACCCCTCTCTGGGTCTCAGTTTCTTTATATGTAAAAAAGTACCTACCTTATAGGATTTAGATAATTAAAATCAACTGCATTTTTTTTTTAGATGGAGTCTCACTCTGTTGCCCAGGCTGGAGTGCAGTGGCACGATCTCGGTTTACTGCAACTTCCGCCTCCCAGGTTCAAGAGATTCTCCTGCCTCAGCCTCCCAAGTAGCTGGGATTACAGGTGCCACCACCGCGCCTGGCTAATTTTCGTATTTTTAATAGAGATGGGGTTTCACCACGTTGGCCAGGCTGGTCTTGAACTCCTGAACTCAGGTGATCAGCACCCCCCCTTGGCCTCCCAAAGTGCTGGAATTACAGGTGTAATCCACCGCGCCTGGCCTCAACTGCATATTTTAAAAAGCTCTTAGCAAAGTGTCTGGAATACTCAACAATATTGGTATCTTTTCCCCAGAGCCCCTTCCTATGGTTGAAACTACTGTTTATCCTTGTATATTTCAGAAGATCAAAATATTTACTTATTCATCGGTGAATTGATAAAGATTAACATTGGATATCAATATAGACGATTTTGAGAGCAAAATTTTCTACTCTTTTTGGACAGCCGTAGACACTCTTCTCTTTGCTAACGGTACTGGCAGGGGGAGTATGTAAAAGAGAGACAAAAGGTAGACACTGCCTTAGAGTCCTATCTTAATTACTTACTATATCTTTGATAACATGTCTTATAAGAGAGTGTAGTTTTATCATTAAAACTACACTGAGAAATAGAATATGTTGCAGAACAACTTCACTGTGTAATCTTAGACAAGTGGCTTAGCCTCTCTAAGACTATCTTCCCTATTTAACAATGAGATTACAGCAGGTGACCCCTAAAGTCCCCCTGGAATGCTACAAGGATATCGTTTCTTTGCTGTGCAATACCAAGATTGCATTATCTCCTTTATCTTTCATCTATGTAGCAGCCCTAAGAAATATTCTTTCTTTAAGTAATGAATTATTATGAGACTCATTTCAGATTATAAAGTAATAATTCTAATGATTATAAGATATTAGGTGGTAATTCAATTATTGTTAAACCCCAGCACTTTCACATTAACTCTGAAAAAAGTATGATGTCTTATAACAGTAAGTGATAACAATACTGAGTTTTACTTTACTTTGGAAAAAGGCAGATTATTACACAGAGGTGGAGCAACTCACTCAAAATTAACTACTAGCCTCTTGGCTGAAATAAAGATAGCCCACAGGTTTCCTAATTTCTACTTCTTAATTTTACTAAACACATGTATTTGAAGCATTAGAATTAGAATTATATTTTAATATGGTAATTGTCAAATATGGCAAAGTTCAAATAAGATACTATTGCTTTTTATTCAGCAATACAAAAAAAAAAAAGATTTGCTGTTGGGTCTCATGCATGCCCTGACTTGACAGGTGATGTTGTGTTTAAAATGCATGTATTTCTAGAAAATCAACATCCATGCTCTAGGTGACACAGATGAAGGGGCATGTCTACACTTGCCTTTTGACACAGATCTGTTGGAGTAAGTGTGTGTATGTGTGTGTGTGTGTGTGTAAAACACTAAATTGATATTTTTTCCAATCAACCTATTTCAGTATTCTCTTTAAGGACTGATAAGGCCAGACGTGGTGGCTCATGCCCGTAATCCCAGCACTTTGGGAGGCCGAGGCGGACGGATCACCTGAGGTTGGCAGTTCGAGACTAGCCTGACCAACATGCAGAAACCCCATCTCTACTAAAAATACAAAATTAGCTGGGTGTGGTGGCATATACCTGTGTAATCTCTGCTACTCAGGAGGCTGAGGCAGGAGAATAGCTTGAACCCGGGAGGCAGAGGTTGCGGTGAGCCAAGATCACACCATTGCACTCCAGCCTGGGCAACAATAGTGAAACTCCGTCTCAAAAAAAAAAAAAAAAAAAAAAAAAGAACTGATAAAAGGCCAGTTTAAGGTCATTGTGTGGTTGTGGCTGTGGCTGTGACTATTCACTCCGTGTCCCATGGTGTGGGAGCTGCAGACAATCTTCAGCAGCAGCTTGAGCCCTCAGGCTTCAATAAGAGACTGCTAAACAGGTTGCATGAGATATGTGGGCCTTTAGACCAATCTGCAATCCCAAGTTCAGCAGCAATGGATTTGGGAGCTGGGCGGTTCATTTCCTCTGAAACCCAGGTCACTATCTTTTCAGGAGAAATTGGGACTTTCCCATCTCATCTGTATCTGTGCTGAAGGAGAGTCTAGGTACAGCTTCACCTGGGAGTTTGTGGAAGATATACTCTGCACATGCAGAACTTCCTGGGTCAGTATTCCTCCCATTGCAGACACACTGGGAGCTCCCTTACTTTACACAAGATTTCAGTGTCCATATAAGACAGGCACATAGACCACCACCTTTGCCACAGAACCACAGGTCCACAGAAGATGCCCCTGTGAGAGGCCAGTGATCAGCCCTGGGATTGATAGCCACCAAAACTGAGGCTTCTTGAAAGCTATTTGGATCTGGTTAAACAGGGTTCAGGATTTAATTGCTCAGCAATGGATGAGTCTCTGCTGGCAACAGCAACCTCAGAACAACACCTTGGCTGGCATTCATGGAGGACAAGTCATGACATCAGTTCTGTTTTCAGTGACAACAAAGGCCCAAGCTGCCATCAGAAGCATCTCCCAGCTGAGTGGTCTGAGGCTTTCTTCTATAGATACAGGGTTTCATCTAAAAGTCAAACCAGGTACCAACCAAGCGGCTTCTGCAGCAAGGAAGTGGAGGACAATCTCCTTCTTCATCTGCAGGACAAGGGCTCTTGATATTGTGATGATTTCCCTTTAAGTTTATTCAGGAATCAAGGGCCACACCATATGAGCCCTTCAGGCAGTGTGGAAAGGCTTTGATTTGTTTTTATTCATTTAACTTGTACAATGCTCCCAGCAGGTTTCAGCAAAACCTGAGATTCTTACTGAGGTAGAGGAGCAGACAAATCAATTTGACCTTGGACAATGCACCCTTAGCTTTAATGGTAGAAACTGGTGATAGAGACTAGAAACACCATCACATTCATAAGACCCTATGAGGATTTAACTGTATCTTAGAACTAACCAGAAAAAAATGTTTAATAGAGAAGAATTCTTTCTCTGTCCTTAGAGATCCTTGGACCAGAATGCAGAAAGGAGGGCACCGTTCTGTGATTTTCCTCTGCAACTGGGGATCAGATCATTTATTTGCCTGAGGAAACAATAACTTGGCAAACTCTCTCTCCTCTCTTTCCACGTCCTAGGCAAGTGATGAAAGAGGAGTGAGGCTCGCTTCAGCTCTGTCACAGATGTTGACTCACCACTGGTCTGCCTTCCCTCTCCCTTGCCACCCTCTTCCTTCTGCCAAAGTTAGCATGCTGGATCAGTAGGATGCAAAGCTGCGCATGACCCTTTTTGGGGCTGGACACTGTCATCTGGCCAGATAAACTAACAGGCTAGCAAATCCAGCTGGGGCTGGTTGTACTTTGCCCACGTCTGTTGCAGCATATGGTGCGTTCACTTGAAGTGACTGACAGAGCTATTTAACTTTGCAGTTTGTTTTTCTGATGCCCCTACCCAAATACCACACACACTGTCAGATATTGGTGAACAGTCTTCAGTGTGGTTACAATTCATGGCTATCATAAGGAGAATACTTTAAAATTGGATTTGAACTCCATAGTTCCCAAGATGGCAGAGCTGGATGGAAACATCTGGAGACATTCCCTTTAATTGGCCCCATAATTTTATACAGAAAGAAATTGAAGCAGAAAGATTGAGTGACTCCCACAAGGACTCACACAGCCAGTTAGTATCAGGACTAGAGCTAGAACCTTCGACCCTGACTTCCAACTCTGTGCTTTTTCCAGCTCACGCTGTTCATATGTTTCCTTTCATTTTGTCTTCAAAATTTGGCCCCTTGGAAACTTTCCTAGGAATTGGACCTCTGAGCCTACAGTGGCTTAATGCACACTTTTGGGAAAGGATAGCCATGAGGCCTCTAAGTGGTTTTGATCAAGTTTGCCAATATTTACACCCTAGAATGATCTGCATAAACTTCATAAATAATGTAAATTCCTACAAAGTGAGTAAACAGTGAGCTACATGGTCTTTTGAAAAATCCGTGTTATGCAATCACCCTGGCAAAGTTAACAACGCAATAGAGTGTTGAAGGTAACCACTGATTGCAGTCACTGCTATTGACCATTTTAAGTGTGACTATTTTTAAAATACTGTATGCCTCATTAAGCTGGGCTCTGAAAATGAGGAATTTGCTTTAACTGCATTGTTTTGAATTGCTGAGAGAAGAATCTATCAACCACAAGGTGCCCTGCTGCTGAACTCAGCCAAAAAGCTGTTAATAACTCCAGCAGATGTTTCAGCTTTTTAGGCCAATAGACTCCCTCTCTCCCTGCCCTCCCCTTTCCAGAATCTGATGCCAATATGACTGAACTCCAGTTTTTGTGGTTGTTGTCGCCACCGCCGCCGCTGCTAGGGCTGGTGATACAGTGCCGCTGAGGAATGATCCTTTAAACAACCACTGGCCACAGAACCTCAGCCCTCTAAGGTCAGAATATTATTGCTTTTACCATCAGAAGTTTAAATCTTCAGGGGGAAAATGAAGGTAAGGGCACAAATTCAGTGTCTTTGTTTTGTTGTCTGCCTTCATTGCTAGTCATTTTGTTTAGCTTTCTGTGGCTTCTCCCAATGCTACAAGTCCATTTCTCAGACTCATCAGAGTGCTGAGCTTGCTCAGGTTAAGGGTCATTAATACACTGGAGGCCTTACTGATCTGGGAGAGAGGTTCTTGGGTTAGCAGCTTTACAAAGGGGGCCTCTGTGTGATGCAAAGTTTTGTGTGGTTGTATGCCTGATACTGTGTGGTTCAGATGCCCTGACCTCAGCAGTTCTGCAATATTAGATGTGTGTTTTATAAATATAGCTACATCCCTGTGAGACAGGTAGCGTATGAGGGCACACAGGGTCACCACAGTCCCATACCAGGATTTATCAACATCTCTGAACTGGGATAAACCTGACATTGTCACTTGAAATTACATCTACTTTCCAAGGCTTTCCAAATGAGAAGACATTAGAAATAAAGGGAGAGGAGAGATCCTGCCCCCTTCCCTGACACTCCCTGCCCTGCCTCCTACTCAATTATTTTGGAGAGAGTGCTTTAACATACCCTGGTGACAACAGGGTGACCAAGAAAACACAGGTGCACCGCATTAGGCAATGCTGTGTTGGCTAGGAACACATCTGAACTGCACATCTATACATATCATCATGCAGAGAATTGCCATTTCAAGGGCGGGAAAATGAGAGGCAGAATTAAGTTCATAAATATTTTGTTTCCTTATTTTGATGCAACACAAAGCCAGAATATCCAGGACTCTGTGGACCTCTATTGTCAGCTTCAACATTTGCCAACCATAGTAATTCAACCCCCAAATCTCTGCTGTATGCCATACTGGCTGTAAAAAGTAAGTGCCTTTTCCCTGGTGTCACTGCCACCATACTGTTTGCATGCTCTCAGCCCTGTATAATTCTAATTCTCAGGAAAAGCTCAGGAGTACAATGCAAGTCCCGCCGCCCTGCCACTTTCTTTAACCTGGATAAAGAAATAGATTACGTTGTGACTTGGTCCACATTCTCTTAAGTACATGTGCAGGGAACTCATTAATGCTAATGGAATTAGCGCATATGCATTGAAGGGAAAATATAGTTGCCCATGGCTGTGTATTCTTATTTTCTTACTGTACACTTGCGGGTTCTGTGGCATCTATAGCTTCTAATTCTGAAACATGAGTAAATCAGATTAAAAAGTATACCATTCATTTTAAAATACAGTGTTCCCACTAGCAAATGGGATGGGCATTTCTGCTTAGATTACTATGATTCCAAGAAGCCAATACCAGATGATGACTGTTTAGTAAAATAAACAACCAATGTTGTAATAATAAAATAGGGTTAAAAATAAAAACAGCAAAAACTCCCTACTGAATCAGTAGAAAATATATTCTCATTATTTAAAAAATACCTACTAAATAACACATATGCATGTCCAGAGGAGTAAAAACACAAGATGAAGGGGAAAAAAAGAACTGAAAGTAATCATGGGTAATCTGAGACTCCAGGCCTGCCAGCAGTGAATATTGGTGATAGGCATTAACAAACTATGTGGGGATGTCTGAGGCCCAGCTAAACCCAGACCATGTACTTCATTAGGTCTTGAATTTACCTGGAATCTTGTACTGCAAATGAGGATTTCCAAACTGTTTTGTTCTTGATTATTTCCAGTCCAAGTAAAATGGACAACAAAGAAAAGATGCTTCCATACTGTTTCCATGATGGATGTTCACAACCAAAATAACTTCACCATCTGATGTATTTCACAGTTTTAAGTTAAAACAGACATACTATAATATGCTTGTACATCTGGCTCAGGTGCTTCATTTGCCATATGTTTGTGAAATAATCCAAGGAGATGTTACAATTGTACGTTCCCCTTGGGACTTGAAGAAAATGTGCCCACAAACAGTTACCTAATTATTCATTCCTGCCAACAACATCCTCTCCTAATAAGAAGGTGGTTCTTAAAATGAGACAATAGTGCTTTCAGTCTTGAGAGTTGTCATTGCCACTTATTGTTTCATAAACAGAAAGTCTTATGTATTTTTTAAAATAAGAAAAAGATCTTTGGCCTTAAAGCAAATAAAATACTCTGCAGGCAGTATATTTGGTATTCTTATGGGGGCACATTCTGCAGCACTGATCAAGGCCTATTTTTTCCTGAAACTCATTGAATTAAAGCCCATGAAGCCACATAGAAATTAGTGACCTAAAAGTTGATAGTCTCTAAGAAATGGCTGCTGTGGCAATACTACACATTTATGGAGAACTTTGTAATCGGCAAATTGCTTTCATATATGTTACCACATTTAATTCTTATAACAATTTTGTGAAGCAGGTAAAAAAAAGGAATCCCTTGTTTAATCGTGCCATTTGTAGTACTGATTCTTCACAGCACTAATAAGCAAAAATATGAACATCTTTTTTAAAAAAATTGTAAATTGTAAATTACTTTGGTCTTGACCAATAAATACCAGTTGCCATAGCACACATTTCTCTAAGAGTCATTGACAATCTGCCTTTTTCCCTCTTTTCCTGTTATTTGCATCCTTCTAAACTATGACTTCTTCTGATTCTGTTTTAATTAAAAATTTGATTTTCTTTTAAGGATTAAAAAGTAGAGGGATAATTAGTTTATTGGTTAAAATACAAGCTAACCATCAAAATTCAAATTTTAATGAGGCCCTAAGCCAGGATAGAAGTCAAATGCATAAAGCATCTTCTAGGCCTAGCTTCATCCATTATTAAATCAATTTGAAAAACTGTGGCAATGATGAAGTTATCAGCTAATAAACCTCCAATAGTGTGTTAATTGTATACTGACTGAAGTAACAAATTACTTGGGGGTTGAATTTTCACAGGGACTGAAACAAAAGACCTTAAATAGGCAGATTAAGTTAGAGGTTCTTTTCCCCCTGAAAAACAAACCTCAGTGTCAAACAGGAAACAAAGGATGAGAGACAGAGGGTAAGAGATTTGCCTCAGGTTACCCAGCTTGCAAATGGGAGTCCATGCCAAATCATCTCCCTCCACAGCACTGGGTAACAACAGCAACTATTAAATTCAAATGATCTCTTAGCTTTTCTAGTAAATCCTAACATTTTTTCATTACTCAATGTATAATACTTCCAATTTGTATTTAGTATTGCCATTGAGAGGGAGAAAGACTTACTATGAGGAAATAATTAATTTTGGTCTCTTGTTGGGGTGAGAGAAATTAAAGAGAAAGTTCAGAGAACAAGTGTAAAAAACATCTCTCTAAAAAAGAAAATGCCACCGGTCTTCCCCGACCCTACACACAGGCCAGTGGTGACAGCTATAATCGTGGAAAGGGGCTTGTGTCTCTTCAGCCTCAGCATTTGATGGACTCAGATGAACGTCTGAAAAATCTGTGGGAGCTGAGGGGTCTATTGTTAGAAATACTGAAACTGGTCTCCCTTGAAGAAGAGCGCCTCAGCAGAGTATTACACGGACCTCACCTAATCTCTTTCCCAACGTATACTGCAGCTAATTCATGGGGATTGTTGGAGTCTGTTGGTCAAAAACATTAAGCAGAATCACCACCATAATACAGAGCTCTTAAAAGTGTGTGCATGTTTCGGTGGTGGAACACATTCTTACTGTGGCATAAACTGTAGTCAGGATACATCCCTAAGTGCGTCTCAAAAGTTATATATGTAATCAAGTAGGCATTCTGATTTTAATTTTGGCAGGGCATGCTTTGAGATTCCCCAGGCAATTTTTTTTTACTAGTCATTGCATTGCAATTATGTACATAAAAATACACACGCACATACACACACACACACACACACACACACACATACATTTTCTTCATTCACTAAAACTATACTACATGCCATGGATACAAAGTTAAGAAGGCAAGGACTTGCTCTCAAGTCATTTAAACAACCGGAGAATCAGACTTGCAAACATGAAAATACGAGAGTTGGATGATCCCCAAAGTTGAATGGCAGATTAGGATAACATGTCTAAATCCGTCCTGGAAATCTCCCCAGAGGAAGAAGAAACATGAATAGGTGTTTTCCAGGTAGACAAAAAGTTTTAAATTGTGTGCTGAGTTACAAGATGCTAAAGATCAATTGTAATCAAGGGAGTAACATCAAATTTTTCTTCGAGTTCCAGGGCCACAGTGAAAGGAGAATTGGAGAAGAAAATTCTTGGAGGCCAGGCAAATGTCATGCATTGTATTGCAGTAGTTAAGGAAGTTCACGGACTTCATCAGGTGACCTCATAGCCCATAAAATAAAGGAGAGATGCAAGAAGAATAAATAGGATATATTGTTTAGAAGGTGAGAAAGGAATCAAAGGCTCCCAAACGTTTGGCTTGGGAAACGGGGTAGAGAGTCGAAACCTTCACTAATATAAAGAGTATAAATATAATGTAAAGAGGTGGCACATACCTGTAGTCCTAGCTACTCAGGAGGCTGAGGCAGGAGAATCTCTTGAACCTGAGAGGCAGAGGTTACAGTGAGCTGAGATCATGCCACTGTACTCCAGTCTGGGCAACAGAGCAAGACTCTGTCTCAAAAAAATAAATAATAAATAAATAAATATAATGTAAAGACCACAGAAAGAAGAATAGGTTTTGTAGAGTAACTGGGAATAGACAACTAAGCGGAGATTAACGAGTTCAATTCTGGACATACTGAGTTTGCAAAGCCTGTAGGATATCGAAATGGAACTATTCAGAAAACAGTTGGTGTGGAAGGGACTAGAGCTTAGGAAAGAGATTTATTTATTTATTTTACTATACTCCGTTTTTTCTTCCCATTTTTTTTCTTTTTAATTTTAATTTTTGTGGGTATACAGTGGGTATGTATATTTCTGGGGTACATAAAATAAAATAATTTTATATAGGCATATGATGCATAATAATCACATCATGGTAAATGGAGTATCCATCACCTCAAGCATTTATCCTTTGTGTTACAAACAATCCAATTACACTCTTTTAGTTTTTTTTTTTGTTTTTTTTTTTTTGTTTTTTTTTTTTTTTTGAGATGGAGTCTTGCTCTGTCGCCCAGGCTGGAGTGCAGTGGCACGATCTCAGCTCACTGCAAGCTCTGCCTCCCGGGTTCACGTCATTCTCCTACCTCAGCCTCCCGAGTAGCTGGGACTACAGGCACCCACCACCATGCCCGGCTAATGTTTTTTTGTATTTTTGTTAGAGATGGGGTTTCACCGTGTTAGCCAGGATGGTCTCGATCTCCTGACCTCATGATCCACCCACCTCGGCCTCCCAAAGTGCTGGGAGTGCAGGCGTGAGCCACCGCGCCTGGCCACTCTTTTAGTTATTTTTAAATGTACAGTTAAATTAGTATTGACTATGATCACCCTACTGTGCTATCAAGTACTAGATCTCACTCATTCTTCTATTTTTTGCTACCCATTAACCATCCCACTCCCCAACCCCAAGTCCGCCACTACCCTTCCCAGCCTCTAGTAAACCATCATTCTGCTCTCTATCTCTATGAGTTCAATTATTTTAATTTTTAACTCCCACAAATAAGTGAGAACGTGTGATGTTTGTCTTTCTGTGCCTGGTTTATTTCACTTAACATAAGGATCTCTGGTTCCATCTATGCTGTTGCAAATGACAAGATTTCATTCTTTTTTATGGTGTAATAGTGCTCTATTGTGTATATGTACCACATTTTCTTTATCTATTTGCCTGTTGATGGACACTTAGGTTGCTTCCGAATTTTGGTTATTGTGAATAGTGCTGCTATAAATGTGGGAATGCAGATATCCCTCCAATATACTCATTTATTTTCTTTTGGGGTATATACCTAGCAATGGGATTGCTGGATCATATGGTAGCTCTATTTTTAGTTTTTTGATGAACCTCCAAACCATTCTCCATAATGGTTGTACTAATTTACATTCTCATCAACAATATATACAAGGATTCGCCTTTCTCCACATCATCACTAGCATTTGTTATTATCTGACTTTTGGATAAAAGCCATTTTAACTGGAATGAGATGATAGCTCATTGTAGTTTTGATTTATTGTGGGCTGTCTCTTCACTTTGTTGATTGTATCCTTTGCTGTGCAGAAGCTTTTTAACTTGATTTGTCCATTTTTGCTTTGGTTGCCAATGCCCATGAGGTATTACTCAATAAATCTTTGCCTAGACCAATGTCCAGGAGAGATTCCCCAATGTTTTCTTTCATTAGATTCATAGTTTGAGGCCTTAGATTTAAATCTTTAATGGATTTTGATTTGATTTTTTTAATATGGTAAGACATAGGGGTCTAGTTTTATTCTTCTGAATATGGATATCCAGTTTTCCCAGCATCATTTATTGAAGAGACTGTCCTTTCCCCCTGTATGTTCTTGCCGCCTTTGTCAAAAAGAAGTTCACTGTAGATATATGAATTTGTTTCTGAGTTCTCCAGTCTGTTCCACTGATCTAGGTGACTGTTTTTATGTCAGTACCATGCTGTTTTGGTTACTATAGCTCTGTAGAGTAATTTGAAGTCAGGTAATGTTATTCCTCCAATCTTGCTCCTTTTGCTGAAGATAGCTTTGGCTATTCTGGGTCTTTTGTGGTTCCATATAAATTTTAAGGTTGTTTTTTCTTTTTCTGTGAAGAATGTCATGAGTATTTTGACAGGAATTGCATTGAATCTGTAGATTCTTTGGACAGTATGGACATTTTGACAATATTGACTCTTCCAATTCATGAAAATGAAGTATCTTTCCATTTTTTGTGTGTCCTTTTTAATTTCTTTCATTGGTGTCTTATAGTTTTCATTGTAGAGAACTTTCACTTCTTTGGTTAATTCCTAGGAATTTAATTTTATTTGTAGCTATTGTAAATGCTACAAATGCTTTCTTGATTTACTTTTTCTTTCTTGATTTTTTTTCAGATTGTTTGCTGTTGGCATATAGAAATGTTACTGATTTTTGTCTGCTGATTTTGTATACTGCAACTTTACTGAATTTATCAGCTCTAATATTTCTTCAATGGAATGTTTAGGTTTTTCCAAATATACGATCACGTTATCTGCAAACAGAGATAATTTGACTTCTCTTTAGGGTAGAGTTTTAGATGTTAAACTGTGGTAGGGACAAGATCCCCCCAAAAGTGAATAAAGACGGACAGTAAGACACTGACATTTAAAAGGAGGGCAAACAAACAGAAACCAACCAAGGCACTGGATGAGGAGCAGCCAGTGAGGAAGGAGGTAAGCCAGGTGAAAGAGAAAATAGACAAAGCCAGAGCTCCAAGAATGGAAGAAGAGTCAGAATAATAACAACACTTATTCCATTGGGTTAGAAGGTGAAGCAAGACTGTCTCTGCAGTGATACGGGTAGAGCCAGGTTAGAATGGATCAGAGTGAGTGGATGATGTGGAATCATAGATAGCAAATTTAGGTTGCACTTTCTAAAAAAATTAGTTATCAAAGGAAGAGGCATGAGGGTGCTAAATAAATGGGTTACTAAAGGGGTTTCTTCCTTAATGAAAAGGATGAACATATTCTTAGCTAATGGAGAATAACCAATGGGACACAGAAGTTAAGAAAAGAACACTGATAATGCAAATTTCCTAAGGAGACAAGGTAGAATAATTTCCATCGCACCAGTGGATGGGCTGGTCTTTGATAGGAAAATTGTGTTTTGCTAGAAATGAGGACAAAGAAAAACTGGATGCAGACACAGGTGGGCTTATGGGTGAATGGACAGGGAAATGAAAGAAGCTGCTCCTGATAGCTGAGAGTCCCTAAATTAGAAGCAGGGTCATCCCAAAAAAGAGAAGATTGAGAGTTTTGAAGAGTGGAGAAAGTTTAGAACAGCAGCTGAGGGAAATGGGAGAAGCACATGTAATAGGACTGCTGAGTGACATTGAAGGCACAACTGAGATTAGTTTCACTCCAGATTTATGATCTCCATCCTATATGGTTATGATTTTTCTTTTTCCTTCAGCACAGCAGTGCTCAAGGAATGTTTACAGCTAAGGAGGCTCCATGGAGGATTGCCTGAAGGACATGAAGTCCATCCATCTCTCCAGATAGTTTAGATTATATCTCAAGATCAAGGTAAACCATCAAACTAAATACTTGAGCCATATTGTTTTGGCCCCTTTTACTATTACTCACTTTTACTGAATTGCATTTTGGCATGGGGCCTTGGCTCACATTGAGGGGCCCAACAAGAAACAGCCATAGCCCTCTCAGCCTTGTTAGCATCATGGAGCCTGTTCAAAAGGACAGGCACTGGCCTCGGTACCATTTATGTTCCATTCATGAGGGCACAAAGAGCCATTTCTTTTTTTTTTTTTTTTTTGAGACGGAGTCTTGCTCTGTCGCCCAGGCTGGAGTGCAGTGGTGTGATCTCAGCTCACTGCAACCTCTGCTTCCCGGGTTCAAGTGATTCTCCTGCCTCAGCCTCCTGAGTAGCTGGGACTACAGGTGCGTGCCACCACGCCTGGCTAATGTTTTGTATTTTTAGTAGAGACGGGGTTTCACCATGTTAGCCAGGATGGTCTCGATCTCATGATCCACCCACCTCGGCCTCCAAAGTGCTGGGATTACAGGCATGAGCCACCGTGTCCGGCCCAGAGCCATTTCTTTTAGACCCAAATGCCAGGAAACAATTGGTTTTGCGTGAGCAATGGCAATGTGTTTGCTTGTTTGTATGGTCTTGAAGCCAGAATGCATGGTTTCAAATTCAGCATCCATCATCTATTAGTTGGTTGATCTTGAGCCTGTTAACTTCTCTATGCTTCAGTTTCTTCATCTATAAATTAGCAAAAATAACAGTACCTGCTCCATATGGATGCAGTGAGAATTAAATGACACAATCAGTGTAAAACTGTTTAGCATTATGTCTGGAAAATCATAAGTCCTTAATACATATTAGTTATTATTATTATCTTACAACTGATATTTTTTGTTTTATTTTTGTGTTTTGCCTTCATCTTCAGTGTGGTGTGCCTTTGCATGTATTAGTTTCCCTCTGGTTTCCACTTAATATTATTTTCCATTTGTTCTTTAACTACACTTCACTTATTTTTCATCTGATATTCACCTGGCATGGTTTGGGAATGAGGCTGAATATAACAAAGTAAACAAAAGATCTTAAACCAGTCAATAACTATAAAGATTATTCTGTCTATTTTTGTCCTAGAAATAGTTTCAAAGATAGTAAAATGAACTTTCTTATACCACATTTGTATATGGAAATGAAAGTTTCCTTGAAGTCCATTTCACTTGATATTGACATTTCTTACAATCACTCTTGATCAGGCCCCTACAGGGACTCGGCCCTGACTCAGTATTTGCTCAAATACTTCTCACTGTGAATAAATAACATGTTACTTTAATTGGAGAGAGGGACAGATTATTGTAGCTTGAGAAGTAGCCAAATTTTGCAGGGGAATGAGGGCTGGATTTGAGGGTCAACGAACCTAGGTGTAGACACCAACTCTGCCACCAGCTCTTTGCCATTGGAACTCTCTGGCCTCAGTTCTTTTATCTGCTAAGTAGGGTTAACAATATTGATCTCACAGTGTGATTGTGAGAAATAAAGAAGAGGTTCTGCAAAAATAGTTGAATCTGCATCCAGTGCAGGCAGTAGCATTCAAGCAATCATTCACATTTGTACTTGAAAAATAAGGCCAAATGGCCAGGCGCGGTGGCTCACGCCTGATGCCTGCAATCCCAGCACTTTGGGAGGCCAAGGCGGGCGGGTCACAAGGTCAAGAGATCAAGACCATCCTGGCCAACATGGTAAAAACCCATCTTTACTAAAAATACAAAGATTAGCTGGGCATGGTGGTGCATGCCTATAGTCCCAGCTGCTTGGGAGGCTGAGGTAGGAGAATCACTTGAACCCAGGAGGCAGAGGCTGCAGTGAGCTGAGATCACACCACTGCACTCCAGCCTGGGCAACAGAGAGAGATTCCGTCTCAAAAAAAAAAAAAAAAAAAAGAAAAAAGAAAGAAAAATAGGGCCAAATGATTCAGTCTTCTTAACTGTGTTCAAAGGCAACTTGAACATACTTAACTTATTGAGCTATTTGAAATATGGATAGCAGCCATTTAGGAATATTTAGTCAAAAGTCAATTTAAAAAAAGCTTTAATTCCCTTTTAAGAATATTCAGGAAATTTCATCTTGGTATCAGATTATCAGCTTGGCCTGCAATGTCACAGGAGAAACAAGCAAAATATCCCAGATTGCATTCTCTGCTTTTAACTAAATAAATAATTGGAAAAACCCCTGATATACAAATAAGTCTGCTTTATTTCCTGGCAGACTTGTTTTGTTTTTCTTATTGTTATTGTTGCTGGTTTTGTTGCTGCATAAACCAGTAAGCACACGCAGATGAAAGGAAGCCTTTGTTTTGTTTTAACTGAAGGTACGTGGGCATGGGATGGCTTATCCCAGGTGTTAACAGCAAAAGGGTTTAGGCCAATTCTTTAAGGAAATAGAAGCACTTACTTTCCTAAACCCCTCCCACCTTTCAGGACCGAAGTTGAAAACCAGACAATGTTGTGTTGGTGGGCCACTCCCTGCCGCCCCACAGAACACCCAGAGAAATCAGTGCTGGATAGCAAAAAAAGAGCCCAGCTACAATGGTTGGTCTTCAAAGGGGTTCATTTATTATATTGCTCAGTGCCCCACAGAGTTGCTCCAAGCTCATAACTGCCACTGATTTCAAAGAGAGCTCTGAACTTGCATACGCTCCACAAGGCACGGCGCAGGATGAGAAATAGGCTGAGTGGCTTTAAGCCATGTTCAGACATTTTTTAATGTTCATAAATGTCTTTGGCACCATCACTTTCACATAGAAACCCACTTACCTCCTACCGCAAAGTGTGAAATAAAGCCACTTTCAAGCCTGGGTAGGGGATGGTCTGGAAATTGAGCTAAATCTTAAAACTGCATGAAGACTGAAAATAGGATTCACAAACTGGAGCTCAGCTCTCACCAAACCCTTTCCAAGGTCGGGTCACTGTGACACTCTGCTCTGTTAGATACCATCAGTGCTACCCTTGAAGGGTTAACACAGGGAACCGTGGTCATCTCAGTAGCTTCCAAATGACCCTGGGATGAAACTGAATGCCCTTAGCTCTAACACATCAAAAAATAGGTGGTCTACTGAAGGAGGGAAGCACTGTCTCAATTGAGGCTTGATTGGGATTCACCTGACACAGCCCTGGGAAATCTCGAGTTAGGGATTGGCATTTCTTACCACACTTCTCTGCCTTTGGAGATGCTGAAGGTTACCCAGGGTGTTTGTGGGAGATGAGGACCATCAGAGGTGCTCTCTCTCCCTGAATGCCTGCAGAAAGATTAGCCATCTTTCCCAGTTTTATTCCTGTGGTTGTCTGGTCACCAAGACAAGAGAAAAAGAGATCCCTTAGATACTCAGCAGTCGCTTTGTATACTCCAGGAAGCTCTCTGGTAAGTAAGTCTCCAGAGAGCCCCTTGCATGGCTCCATGAGCACCTTGCTTTTGGAAGAGGCACAGAAAAAAAAATGTGTCCTATTCATGTTCACTGCTAAATAAACATTAATTAAGTCTTGGGCCATATATTATATTGATTCCCATCTTTACTGAAAACAGAAAGTTATTTATTTGAGAGAAAAGTAGTTAACTGATTTCCAGAATTCCAGGGATGCGCTCTGGAAAAACGAAACCACACAGTCCCTTCTCTAAAGGTCTTTAATAAAATGTTGCTAAAGCATTTATCTACTATAAATCCTATCTATTTATTCCTTTAACAGATATTTACTAAGCACCTGCTATGCGCAGATGCAATTCCAATTGCTGGGATACAGTGGTGAACAGGGCAAAAAAAATTCCCTGCTCTCTGAGTTTGTGTCTGACTGGGGAAGACAGATGATTACAAAATAAGTAAGAAAACTTCAGAGTTTCTGACAAGTGCTAGGGAGAACATGAGCAGGAGTGAGGGCTCATGTCAGGACAGGGTGAAAGAGGGTGCAATTTGAGACTGGGTGATGTGGTGAGGTATCATTTGAATAAAGGATCCTGAGGGGAATTTATCTTTAAATGCTTGTCTTTTTTCGGTTAGTGTAAATATTAGTAGAAAGTGACTGAGGATTACCTCTGAAGTCTTTTTGAAACTTAGAAGGTAAAGCCAGCTTGCCAAAAATGATGAGAAGACAATGTAGCCCTGCTCTTGGATCCTGGTACCACTTGCCTGTGCAGTGGCACAATCATGAAGTTGAGTTCCATGGAAAAAGGAAGGGTACTTGGTATCATGTTGTGCACACAGTGAGTGCTCAGTAACTGCTGTTCACTCGTAGATAAGGTCCGTGGTCTTGGATTCAGATCTAAAAGTAATGTTTTTGACAAAAATACTTTCTCCATATTTTTGTATCTCTTCCAGGGGTCTTTGAGTAGATATAGCATACCAGCAGTCCCCAACCCGTTTGGCACCAGGGACCAACGAGTTTTGTGGAAGACAGTTTTTCCATGGACCGGGATGGCAGGGTGGGGATGGTTTCGGGATGAAACTGTTCCACCTCAGATCATCCAGCATTGGTTAGATTCTCATAAGGAGTGAACAACCTAGATCCCTCACATGTGCAGTTCACAATAGGGTTTGCACTCCTATGGGAATCTAATGCCGCTGCTGATCCTACAGGAAGTGGTGCTCAGGTGGTAATGCTTGCTCACCTGCAGCTCCCCTCCTGATGTGCAGCCTGGTTCCTAACAGGCCACCGACCAGTACTGGTTCGTGACCTGGGGACTGGGGACCCCTGATAGAGACAGATGAGACATCACAGATAGTTTCTGGAATTTATCAAGCCATATCTATCCACAATACCATCCCTAAATTCCCCCATCATCGATGTAAATATCTTTAATCTGTCTTTATTTATGACTGTCCTCAAATATTCAATGTAATATGTTAATGGGCTGTCTTCATTTCTTCTATCACATTCCCTTTTCTCTAAGAGGAGACATCCATCTGTACCATTAAACACTGTGCATTTTTATCCTCTCACCCTTCCTTCCTCCTTCCCTTTATCCCGCCTTTTCTTCTTTCCAATATCTATGTTGTACAAAGCATGGTATATTCCATAGGCCCCATCTTAACTGCACTAAAAAATTAATTATTGAACAGGTACTGCTAGAAGCACTGAAAAGAAGAGCATGGAAAGTGACTCAAGGTGAAGGGAGGATATATCATTTCCTTCTGTCTTTTGTCACCATTGTTGAGATGGCAGCTACTACCCATCATATTTGCTAAAGGGGAATAGTGATTACCAAACTCCTCCTGGTTTTAAGGGTGAAGTTAAAGTAACTGGGATAAAATAAAATAAATTAATTATTGAACAGGTACTGCTAGAAGCACTGAAAAGAAGAATGAAAGGATGTGAAAGTCAGTAGTGTTACATATGAGAGAAAATACATATTAGAGAAAATATGTAACTCTACTGACTTTCACATCCTTTCATTCTAAGTCGAATACCGTATGTGAATACTGCTATTAATGGCATTCCCTTCTATCTGTTGTACCCAAGAGTCTACAGGTCCTTTTTACATGTATAATATCTCATATAATCCTCTAAATCTTTGTTTCTCAAATGTGGTCCTCAAACCAGCAGCACTAGCATTTCCTGGGAGTTATTGGAAATGCAGAATCTCAGGCTCCGCTGCAAGCCTCCTGAACCAGATTGCATTACAACAAGGTCTTCAGGTGCTTTGTGCACACATAGAAGTTTGATAATCTCGGCTTCCAGTCAACCTGAAAGGCAATTAAAAATTCCCTTTCACGTTTTACAGATTAAACACACACACACAAAAAACTCAGTTTCAGAGATGTTTAATTAGCAAGTAGGTAACAGGACGTGGAGTCAAAGGCCAATATTCTTTCCACCACCCTATGCCCCCTCTTTGGATGCTACTAGAAAAAAACTACCGCATACCTCCTTTGGGGTCTGACGTCACTGAGGCCAGTATTTCGTAAGTAGCATTTACACAATAATTATAGCCTGATATTGTCCCCTGGTGGTAAGTAGGCCGATGCTAATCTCTTGCTGGATCATACATTCCTTATATAGGCTATTCTTGTCACCTGTTGCCTAAAAGGCCTCAGGTTAATTACATGAAACAAGTTTCATATTTAGAATGTTATCCAGTTTTCTGTAATTACTTACCAAAGAACATTTCACTGGTTAACAGTTTTTGAGGTTTCCATTGCAAATTTTCTTTCCTAAGCAGACTTTTAAGTGATCTATCTGACCACCTTAAAATGAAAGGGAAAGGCAACTAACGTGTCACACGCATTTCCTTGTGTACCAAGCTTGGTGCTTTGTATGTGTTGTCTCTTGATCTTTACAGAGACTTATCCATTTTACAGATGTGGAAGTCGAGATTCAAAGATGACACAGGTAGCAATGCTGGCCATGAAGCTAAAGTGTCATACCGTGCTGGCCTCTTCCTAAAAGTGAGTCTTGCCTGAATTAGCATGGAAAGTGACTCAAGGTGAAGGGAGGATATATCGTTTCCTTCTGTCTTTTGTCACCATTGTTGAGATGGCAGCTACTACCCATCATATTTGCTAAAGGGGAAAAGTGACTACCAAACTCCTCCTGGTTTTAAAGGTGAAGTTAAGTAACTGGGATAAAGTAAAAACAGAGAGGAACCAACTAGAAGGATACAAACTGAGTATGCAGAATCACCCAAAAAGGATTAATCAGCAGAGGAATGTTGCTGGCTAATATTCTTTGAGAATTCCATATCAACACCATATACATTGGCTAAAATCCAGACATATAATCTAAGCAAGGCCCTCTAAACTGGTGAGTTTTAAATTCCTTATGTTTAACAGAGAAGCAGCAGGAGGCCGCCTTATTCTTTAAGAAAGAGGAGGAATGAATAGATTCCTCAAGCTGATAGAGCTGAGAAAGGCATCTCCTAGGCTCTTGCATCACTTATGTTAATATGCAGGTCCTCAGAACTGCAGCTTTCTCATGAACATTGTACTGGAAAGTTCTCCTGTTACTCTCTGGGAATCTGCAGACAGTTCATGTGGAAGTCTCTCTCCCAGTCTGAAAGAATTAAATAGAATATTATAATTACTCAGAGTTTAATATATGCTACAACTGTTTTTGCCGGCTTGGCGTTTAAAGATGCAAATGTTCCAATCGCTTCTAGAAACATGACATTATAAAAGGGACTACCGTAATTAGGAATAAAAACTGTTCAGTCCTCATTAACCAGAAAAGCAGTTTCTAAACCCAGGGAGGCTCTACTTTTATTCCAAGAAAAGTCAGGAAGATGGCGCCGCAAGAGCCTAATAATGATTTTGGGTCAACTTGTGCTCACTGCAGTTGACTAGGATCCATGTGAAATGATTTTTAAAAGGCAATGAACAACAAATACTTCTAACAGAAGAAAACTAATCAGAGAAAAGCCTGAAGAATAATCTTAAGCACACTCTTCTTTAAAGTTTCACTATTATTTTATTCTTGATTGCCCAAATTCATTCAGCCTTAATGCATTGTTAAAGAGCCTGTCCTATTAGCCAAGGATGTTATGGTAACTGGTTGTAAGGCTACTGTTCTCCTCGTTACAACATCTGACTAGAAAAGTGCTTTCTTAATTGAGGCTGAGAGTGATAATTCCCTGGTGACTCAAAATAGTTAAGGAGTGTGTATAAAACTGAGCACAGGCTAGTCTCGAAGATGATGGCAGCCTTTACTTTGGTTCTTTAATCTCCGCATCCATTTCTGTCCTGCCAGAACTGTCTACACTGAGGCCTCACTGTGGCATTAGTCACGGTAAGAGCCAAATGTGTTCTTAGCCTGTGCCTTTTTAATACCTGTCGAAGGGAATTTGGTCACTGAAATCACAAGTGAGCCATGTTATAAGGTGTTTAACTGTGAGGCAGTCTCCCACACAGGAGGAAGGCAAGAACATTTGGAAGGAATGTGATTTATTTATGTTTTCTGCACAGGTACTTGTGACGTGTCTGCTTCTGAGAAAAGCAACGTCCGTAGATTGCAGATAGATAGCACATTATCTAGCCCTCATTCTTTCTTTTAGCTGAAGTTCTTATCACCTATGTTTCAAAACCTAATTAAGCGATGGTTCATTCATAACTAAAGGATGCTGGACAGGAACTAGGCTCCAGTCTCTTCTTTGTCAATAACGAGCGCTGTGGCTCTCAGCAAACTAGCTCTCCAGTGGGACTCTGTTGCTTTGTCTTGTAATAATAACAGTTCTATTTATTAAAGTTTTTCTCTGCAGTAGGGGCTTTAATAAGCACTTTAACTAGATTATTTCATTTAAACCTCATAATAACCCAATGGGTAGGTTCTATTTTAGCCTCCGTTCGGCAGATGAGGGAGTTGAGGCATAGAAAGCTGAAGAGTTTGTCCAAAGTGACACGACTTGGACATGAAAGAGCCAGGATTTGGTTACGTTTCTGCTGAACCTAGAGACTGCATGTTTATCTTATTGCCAGAATACTCCACCCAAGAATTTGTGGGGCAGGGAGATTTTCCTGCCCCACAAATTCTTAATTGTACTTAGAAATGAGTTGGCTTCACTCATGTAGCATGTCTATGCTGCCATATGTAATTTGATTTTTTTAATTTTTTTAATTTTTCTTCTTGTTTTCCCAACCAGAGTAAAATGTCCAGATGAGTTAGTGGAAAGACTACTTCCTATAGGATAATGAGTGAGGTTATCTGCCCTTATAAATTCCTTCCTTTATAAATAGAGATAATAATGCCTGGCTTATAGTGTTTTGATGCTTTAAGTACAAAATGGCTATAAGATGGATAGCAGCACTATATAAAGAGAATTTGTTTCTCGTATTTTAAAATATCAGCTCTCTTGGGAAAGACTCCTTCTTAAACAATGTATTTGCCAGGTCATGTCGTGTTGTGAGATGCTAAAGTAGAAGCATTGATCATTACTTTGTGGTTTTTCAATTTAGAAAATAATTCTTAAACACGCTCTTATTTATCTTTGCACTATTAATTAACGTAACAGGAAGAACAGTTTAATGGTGAATGTGAAACCTTTATTGAGTATCTAAATTTGTCCTAGATGTTAGCTTATTGAATTTTCACCATTGCTCTATGAGAAAAATGTGAGAAAACCGAGACTCAGAGATGTTAGGTAACTTCCACAGGACATACAGCTTTTTGTTGAGAACTGGCACTGAGTCAGAGTTTTATTTCTCTCCAGAGACCAGTTTCCACCATGTCATATTGAAGATAGGAATATTCTTTAAGATTTTTGTGCTTAAATATCTGTGTGTGTATTGTTCATGTACCATTTTACTAAAATATGCAACTGAATAGCCAACATTTTCATCATAAATATTATGATGATAAAATATTATAACTTAAAATCATAAAAGTACATATTGGAAAAGACCTTAAAATCAGCAAGCTCAACAAGTGATTCATTGCTTTTCCAGCTGGTGCTTGGACATTGCCTGCGATGTAGAACTCACTGCCTCAGGGACAAACAATTTCATCTTTAACATTTACAGAGTATTACCACTAGACTGTCCATCAGGGATCTCAAATGTAACATGTTCAATACTTAATTCGTAAAGTTGTTTCATAATTTTGTTTCTAGTTAATTGAGGAGCTGGGCTTACCAGAAAAGAGCAGGCAGTAATGAGGATAACATTATTCCATCAATAATTAACCACAGATTATATTTTAAGCATTCATTTTTATTTTATTACTAAGGCCAAAGAAAGAGGTCAGTAAAAATTGTTACCTTATCTCCTTGGGATTTTCCAAGATCACCTTGTTAGAGCTTAATGCTCCATTTATGTTAGAAGACAATTGCGTCAGTCAGAGTTCCAAGCAAAAAGCAGCTGGTACATTCAAAAGGGTTTGAGGCATGTTAATGAAGGGACATTTACAAAGGTGTGGGCAGAGTTCAGGGAAATTAACAGAGTAGTTGTTCACCACTGCAAGCATTTCAAGGATATCAATGGTGGAGAACCATCAGCAGCTGTAGGCATGAGAGAGTGAGAAAGGAGCAGGTATCAGAACCCAGGGCAAGTGATGATACAAAATGACACCCCATCCCCTGCCTCCAGAAAAACTGTGGCCTCGGGAGGAGGCATGCTGCCTGGAAGCTCAACCAGGAGAACAGATACCCTGACCCCACTGTCTCCACCACCCGCAGAGCTCCTGTTGGTGGCTGAGTTCTCGCTGCTACTAATTGGAAGACAGAAGACAAGATTCCTTAGTAACACAGCCCAGGACACAGTATTACATGTCGTCCAATACATTACCTGAGTCTTTTCTCTTCCTACTCCTCTCTGGACACTTATCCCTACCATATTCTCCCATTTCTATCTCCCAAATCAGCAACAGGAAGGCTAACTAGTTTGAAAGTAGCCTTAGATAATGAAGAGAAATAATAATCCTACAGATCTAGGAGGTTTTGCCATGTGACAATGTTAGCATGTATCTCTTGGATTGAACAAATTAATTCTAAAAGAAATTTTACGACCTTTCTTCCATATTTTTGTATCATAATTAGCAGACCAAACTGGCTGATATGCATGTATAAATTTTATACGCATACCAATGTGTATTAGAGACTATTTAGTGTTCACACATCAAATAAACTTTTTTCTTTTGCTCTGATTCCTTTCTGAGACTTATCTAACTATTCGTTGTTAAAGCCTTTATTAAGCTTTAAACACTGGTAATGTAAGTTCTAATCTCTGAATTACTAGCCTAATTGCTTTATCCCTATCCTCAATATCTTCAAAGCCTTGCCTTTTGGGAATTATGTCTTGACTAAAAGTTCTCTGAGACTAAAATTTTCTGAGCAAGCAGTCTCAGAACCAGATTTTCCAATGGGATCTGTTTACATCATTGAAGATGAGAGGTCTGATGAACAGAATTTATATCAGATAAGCCACGTACATTGTGAGAAAAAAGGACATCCTTTATTTTATTGTAGAACCCTTGAGATGGAGTTGACACAACTTGAAAGACAAGTTCAAATAAACTTTTGGACCCATTTTTCTTGAATGTTGATGTGACAGTCTCTTCATAGGTGTTTTGAGCTTGAGATAGCTTTTCAATTCATTTAAATCACATATTGGTTTACCCCACTGTGCACATTACAACAGATCTGACAGTGAAACATCAGTTAAAACCGACACACCTTGGTGATAAGAATGACAGATTTTTATGCGCATGAGCAGAATGAGGGCAATGTTTTGTCTTAAAAAACAGCTAAGGCATCAGCAAGTTAGGCAGTGAGGTCTTCAGAGTTTCCTAATTCTCTAACATGTGTTTATTTTTACCCCTTGATGTTAGCAGTGTGGCAGGTACACTGAGAAATAAGCCTTTTAAAGTCATATACTTTATTCAAGTATTTATTGAACCTCTTCTTTGAGGCAAACGTGGCAACAGAGGTGGGACATGAAATTGGAAATAAAACATCATCCCTCTCCTTAAAGAACTGGTAGTTTAGATAGGTGACAGTGTCACAACAAAATGAGGGGAACTTCTGGAAGCAGAATGTTGTCAGAGACTCTGTTCCAATGGCGTCTTTTTATTTGTTTAGTGCCATAGCCACTAAGCAGGCAAGGACCCATGAGACAGTAGGTGAGAAGGTACTGGGGTTATACATGTGCCATGGGCTTAGCAAATCACGACTATTGTGACTACCAATTGGTCCTGTCTCAGAAGTAGTATTACATGCATCTCATTCTCCCATCCTCATGATACTGTGTGGTCCGGATCCTCATTAGTTCTCAGGTTGAGCAGTTGCAACTGACCGCTATCCAGCTTCCTGGTTTAATACTCAAGATTACCTTCTATTTACTCTTCTTAAATCTATTCTCTGCCACCCCTGGAATAATCTTTGTAAAATGTGAATCTGGTAGTCACATTTCCCTTTTTAAATGGCTTTACAATTTCCCATGTCCACCAAGATAAAGTCCGAACTTGCCAATGAGCTCCACGGTGATCTGATTCCTATAGACTGCTCCAACACCTTCCCATGGCCTTTCCATGGATCCTGCCATAGTGACCTAAGGGTTCACCAAACTCAACTTCTGCTTCATGCTTTAATGCCTCCATGTCTCTGTGCATGGTGTTGGTCTGCCTGGGCCAGACTTCCCCTTTCCTTTTTTAACTGTACTCCTGTTCTAGAGGTCTAGCTCAAGTTCTCCCCATCTCTATCACCACCTCTCAAAAACACCATCATCTATTCCTGCAAACGCTTCCTAACTTCTACTTCACTCCCCATCCACTCTTGCCCCTTCCAGTCCATTCTTGACTGCTAGGATAAAGATAACCATTATCCATCCCTACTCCTATCACCCATAGGATAAAGAGCAATATCCTTATCAGGGCCTATGTAGGAGGCCCTACCAGGCCCTGCTTGTCTCTCCAGCCTCATCTCCTCTTTGTGCAGCTTGCTCCAACCACAACTACCTTATATTGCATGTCCTTGAATGCCCTTGAATGTCATATTTCCTCTGCCATAGGCTTTGCACATGCTGATCTCTCTTCTCAGATTGCTTGCCCACCTCTCCTACCCATTCCACAGATCTCAGCTCAAAAATTGCTCCGAGAGGCCGGGCGCGGTGGCTCACGCCTGTAATCCCAGCACTTTGGGAGGCCGAGGCGGGCGGATCACGAGGTCAGGAGATCGAGACCATCCCGGCTAAAACGGTGAAACCCCGTCTCTACTAAAAATACAAAAAATTAGCCGGGCGTAGTGGCGGGCGCCTGTAGTCCCAGCTACTTGGGAGGCTGAGGCAGGAGAATGGCGTGAACCCGGGAGGCGGAGCTTGCAGCGAGCCGAGATCCCGCCACTGCACTCCAGCCTGGGCGACAGAGCGAGACTCCGTCTCAAAAAAAAAAAAAAAAAAAAAAAAGAAAAAAAAATTGCTCCGAGAAGCAAGCCTTCTCTGAACCTTAGTCTAGACTAAGTTTCTTTACTCTGCATTTTCATAGAAAGTATTTCTTTACTTCATAGAATTCACCTCAGTCTGCAGTTGGTTGATGACTTGGTTAGTGTCTATCTCCATCCCAAAATCGTTTCATGAAAGATGAACAGCATCTGTTTTTGTCTATCACTGAATTCCTAGCCTAGCACAGTGCCAGTCACAAAAGGGGCACTCAAAAAATTTTTAAACAATGGATCAATCAGTCCACTAAGGCTCTTGCTCAGTTGCTTCATTTGAAAAGCCTTGATACCATCATCACCACTATCATCTTATATACCTTCTTTGGAAAAATGTCTATTCAATTTCTTTGCCTATTTTTTAAGTGGGTTGTTTTTATCTTTTTGTTGTTGAGTAGTAAGCATTCTTTTATATTCTGGATACTAGGCTCTTATCAGATATATGATTTGCAAGTATTGTCTCCTATTCTGTGCACTCTCTTTTCACTTTCTTGATAGTGTCCTTTGAAGCACAAAAACGTTTAATTTTGATGAAGTTCCATTTATTCCTTTTTTCTTTTGTTGCTTGTGCTTTTTGTGTCATACGTAAGAAACCATTGCCAAATACAAGATCATGAAAATTTACCCCTATGTTTTTGATCCATAAAGTTCTTTTGACTTTTAAAATTCTATAAGATAAGTCAATACTGGTCGCCTATTACACACAAAGAACTATTGGGATTTCAGGGGAAACTGGATATTGGAGACTCAAGCATCAGAATGGATAAGGCATCATTTTAGTGTTAGAATCAGATCCCAAGATGGAAACTTCAGAAATGCCAGGATGTGCAGGATGTGATTGAGTTATATGTAGACAAAGAGATTTGGGATAGAAGTGTTTAAATATAGAGTCCAAGGTAACTTAACAGACCTCTAATTAAAACAATGAAAGCAAAATTCCGAAATACATAAAGGCAAATAATAAGCTCTGAAGAAAACTGGAAAAAGTCTGACAAATTCCAAGCCTTGCTTGAACTAAAGAACACAATGCTATTTGTGTAGAGGGAAAATGTTAACAAATGCTACATAAAGTTGTGGCCTGAATATAGAAAAAGCCATCCTAGATAGTTCAGGAAAAGGAAAAAACTTAGTTTCTAATTTAGCTCTAAGCAAGATAAGAGAAAGACTTGCCTGATACATAGTAAATGCTAAGTAAAGAGTTTGTTGGATGTAAAATAAAATTCCTGAAAGAATAATGGAATATCCTGTGCAGAGTAAATGCTCAATCATGTATTTGTTGAATAAAAAGTAAAACTTATAGAAAATAAGTGAATTTGATGTGACCGATATAAATGCTCCTCCATTGAGAAATGACATTTCAAAGTAAATTGTTAATCAAGAATAAGTAAATAACCACATTTCATAGAGTGGCATCTCTGAAAAGAAACAAAAAGAAAAGAAGGAAGAAAGCAAGCAAGTAACTAACCTACTTGTGAGTCTATAGGCATGATGTTAGGCCAAAAAAAAAAAAAACAACTGTCTTGTGAAAGATAAATTATTCAGACCACAGGGATATAGCCATTTACTACAGGAGGAGGAAAAAACAAAATCATAATAATAGTCTAGTGTTATTCTTATTTAAATATGTTAACTTAGAATAAACATACTATTTCCTTCTCTCTTCCCTTCTCTCCTGTCCTCTCCTACGGGCTCCTCTCCACACCTTTTCTATCTTCCTTTTGTGTTCTAAAGAATCTTTTAGCAATAACAGGACAAGGATAAAGATATGGGAGTGATATTGTTTATTACCTGTGAACAGTAGTTTATACTACTGTTAATAATCGTGTATATATACCAGGTTTCTGTTTTGTTGAATTAATTAAGGCAGAGAAGTCAAATAATAACCCCTTAAAACATTCTGTATCACGACCTTGGTGGTGGTTTCAGTACTCCACAGATTTGTCAGAACTCATCAAATTTTACACTTAAGTATATATTATACCTCAATAAAGCTGACAAAAAGGAAATAGAAAGGTCAACCATAAGCAGCTTAATTGTGCAGGAAGAAGCGGCCTACTGCCCTCCAGCTGGAGAAGTTTTACCAAGCCTAGACAGTCCTGCAGGATGGCATTTACCATGGAAAAAGTGGAGAGATGTTATTAACAAGCACATCACAGAATTCAAGTAGATTTTACAGTCTCTGATTTGGTCTTGGAAACCAAGTCATGTGCCTTAGCATAAAAATGAAAATGGCAGTAACAACCAAAATTCAAGGGATTTTGAAAATTATGAGCATAGGATCAACATGGTGAAAGATAGAAATTTGACATTTAGCTTTCTGCTTAAAAACATTCCAGTTTTTAACAAAGATCAGTAATATAAAAATGGTAGATGATACCATCTCATACCCATTAGAATGGCTACTATCAATTAAAAAAATAAAAACCAGAAACCAGAAAATAACAAGTGCTGAAAGGATGTGGTGAAATTGGGAACCCTTGGGTGCTGGAGGTAGGAATATACAGTGGTATGGCCATTATGAAAAACAGTATGGCAGTTCCTGAAAACACTGAAAATAGAATTATGATATGATCCAAAGATTTCGCTTCCAGGTTTATACCCAAAAGAATTGAGAGCAGGAACCAGAACAGGTATCTGTAAACCTGTGTTCATAGCAGCAGCATCATGTGCAATTGCCAAAAAATGAAAGCAACCCAAGTATTTATTAACAGATGAAGAGGTAAGCACAAGGTTGTATATACATAAAATGGAATGTTATTCAGCCTTAAAAAGGAAGAAAATCCTGTCATATGCTACAATATGCAAGAAACTTGAGGGGATTATGCTCAGTGAAATCATCCACTCACAGAAAGACAAACACTCCATGATTCCACTTATATGATACCTAGAGTAGTCAAAATCACAGAGATGGAAAGTGGAAAGGTGATTGCCAGGGTTGTTGTAGGGGAAGGGGAGACATGGGAGGGAGAAGATTGGAAGAGACTTCTGTTTTCTCTAGAGAGGGAGGATTCAAGCAGGCGGCTTGCATGGGATTGTAGACTCAACTTTTCAATGCCTCTTCCATTCCTCCAATGATAAAAGGAGGCACTTGGTAATTAAAAGACTCCCTAGCTGTTGAACAGAAGTAACAAATAGCAACATGAGGAAAGGAACAACAAAGAAAGTGGCTGAGAAGAGCAGGAAGTTCACAAAAGCAAAGCTACAAACCATTTTATGAGTGGGAGAAGGAAATGGTGAATTCAAAAGTTGTAAAACAAAGGAGTGACAAAACATCTGAGCAAGAAAGAACAAGATATTCTACAGAAACATGCTGGGGTCTGGGGTTTTTAGCTGATGAACAGAGCTATTGACTGGCCAACATTTTATTGAAAAACACCATGTTTTCCATAGGTATCCAACGTTTATTGCCTAAGTGTTAGTTCTGGGGATACACCCAGCAAATTATAATATTCATAAGCAGATATTTTGTAAATGGAAGTCATGGATATGCCCACAGAAACCAAAAAGCAGAAAGTCACATTGTCCAGATTAATATATTTTGAGATTCTTTTTAATGAAAATTCTTATTTATTTTGTGTCAGAAGAACACCAGGGAATAAAATTATTTTGAAAAGAGGCTAGGTGGAGTACAATTCATAGTCTTCCTCAAAATGGGGAAAAAGGTAATTGTATCCAAACAAATTTTTATATCTAGTTATTTGAGGTAGTACTTAAGTCTTTCCTAAAATGATTATTCAGGGAAAATTATTCAGTTGGGATTATCCTTACTTTCTATAACTCCTTTTTTTTTTTTCCTGGTATGTGGCTTTAAGCCAGTCCTCTGATTCTTAGAATGCTCCAAAAAAACAAAACAAAACAAAAAAAAAAAAAAAAAGAATTAAGGAAAAGGAAAGAAAATTCAAATAAGTCAATGGGGCTGCTTGGCAGTAGTGAACAAAAAGCATGTGATTAGGAAGGGGCTGAAATGAACTAAAAGCAAGGCAACTGCTTTTTTCAATAATACTATTTCTATCCTCCATTTCCATAGAAGAAAGCAAGCTAAAATGGTATAACAAAAATAGTGAATATTTATCAGACTAAGTGTATGATGTGCCAAGGCCAGTCCTAAGTGCTTTGTATGTACAAACTCATGTAATATTCACAGCAACCCTGTAAGGAAGATATCCGTAAGAGCCGATTGTTACACTTTCAGGAATTTTGTGAGCCTGTTATTGGTAGCTTGAAATCAGTCATTGTGGCAGTACTTACATCATGGAAATTAAAATATGCTACAAATCCGAGACTTTAGGGTGAGAGCCGTTTGTTAAACATCTTCCAGAACAAAACTGCTATTGCCTTCATTCACAGATGGGTAAACTGGGGCACAGAAAAATTGAGTAATTTGCCCGTAATCATGCAACTAGTAGTTGGTGGAGTTGAAATTTTATCCTAGGCAACACCACCTGGGAGCCCAAGCTTTCAGTCATCATGTTACACTGCTTATGATATGACTAAAATGCATTGGCTAGATTTACAAAGCCTGGGTCCCAATTTGGACTCGTCTGGTACTCACTGTTAAAGCTGTCTGTCTCAAGACATTTCATAAGAGAATGCTTCACATTTATCTCTGCTATATCATAAATAAAATATATTATGTGAAAATGCAAAATAAGCCTTGATTCTTTTCATTCCTTTCTTTCCTTTTCCTTTCTTCTTCTTTCTCCTTCCCTTCCCTTCTCTTTTCTTTCCCTCCCTCCCTCTCTCCTACCCTCCCTCTTTTCTTTCCTTCTTTCCTCTTTTCTTTCCTTTTTTCTCCTTCCTTCGTTCCTTCCTTCCTCCCTCCCTCCCTCCCTCCCTTCCTCCCTCCCTCCCTCCCTTCCTCCCTCCCTTCCTCCCTTCCTCCTTTCCTTCCTTCCAACACTGATTATGTCTATGGTATTGAGTAGGATGTATGTGAATCTTGCGGGACTTTTGGCAGCATTTAAGGAGGACTGGAGTGAATTTTCTCCCTAATGCTTTCTCATTATCATAGAAAGCAGAACAGCTGTGCTGACAATGGGCACCATCATCATTAATAAATATTTATTGAGCGCGCCCTTTGTCCTGAACTCTGAGGACATATTAAGGTAGAAGATAACCGTCTTGGAGCTTGTCAAGCAGAGTGTTCTCTTCTCTTTCTGCCTCTAGCTGCATCTCTACCAACAGTTGGATCTCCATCGCTCTGAGAATCATCATGGTTTCAGGTTTCACCAGGAGACTCTGGTCTCTGGGCTTCTTTAATTATCTCTTGGTTTCTCAAAGCCTAGAGGGGATGACTGACACCTTACTGTTGCTACTCAATTCTTTATTTAAGTTCTTAGCTCTTTCATCATCTATGTAACCAATTCCCTGAATTAAATTCCTTCTGTTTTCCTGGTTGGACCCTGACTGATACAATTCACTGTATAAGTATGTGTATAACAGGTCATGATACATAATACATTTCTTACTTTGAGCAGTTAATAAAAGTTTGCACATTAGCATGCAATGGATGGTGCTGAGCCCATTTCTTTAGTTGGTCACTGACGGCTATCAGTGAGTTGCAGAACATGATCTTGGAGACATTTTTCTTCTTCTTTTAAGGAAAACTGTTATATAGTAAATGGTTTACTGACTGGGAATGTGGACACCACCATTCTAATCTTAGTGGGTGATCTTGGGTAATCCATTCAAACATGTGTTCCAGTGTATTATGTTTACTTTATGCATGGAACCAGAGGTTCTGAGATTGATATGTATTTTTTAAACCAGTGGTTATTATAAGAACTTTCAATGGTACCATTTTAAGTAAGACTGATACATAGTCTGCAATAGCTTAAAGACCAGTGATGATAGCATTTGAAGGCTGTTTAAAAGAATAGTCATTTATTTAGAACATTAAATTATGCTTTCACTATTATTTTCCTCAATTAGTAAGTAGTTATTTATGATGTTAGCATTAGAAATAATAGCTCAACATTCTGGTCTTAAGTTCTTGGGAACATAATTGACATTGATATGGGCCAAGAGAACTGCAGAATATTAGGTAACTGTGGCTACAGGTAATGTCAGTTGATAAATGTCATCATAAAATCTACCCCTGATAAGTGGATATATTTTTAAAGTATTTTAATAAAATATAGGTAAAGGTGAGGTCAACCTCTTTAAGATTCAAATATACCCTCCAACCCTAAGTCCTAAGTATTAAACAACCACCACAAAGTTGTATATTGTAATGTTTTTAATCTGATCAGAGAATTCCTTGTTTTCCCCATATTTAAGGAAAGTCTGCTATTGAAAGGTTCCAAATAGTCTTAATAATAAAATTCCAACAGGTATCACAATGTCTCTGGTTAAGATAAGCAATTGAATATGCACAGTTCCAGATCAAATGTGAGCTTTTCCTTTATGCCCAACACTCACTGAAGTCAGTGACTGTTCAGTTGAGTTTATCTGGAGGGGAGATAAAAGTTTCCTGCCTAGCATTAAACCTTGCCCCATGCAGAATCCAGATGCTTGCAACCCTTTCCTGAAACTTCTTATATTTGTTTTATATATTCATTACTTTCTGGCTGGTAACACCATTGAAAACTAAAATAAAGTCATACCGTTGTGGAATGTATTTTGTCCCTACCTGTGGAGAAACTAACTTTATTTTTCTCCAAAGCAGAATATTTATTTTGGGTTTTTAAAGAGTCATCTAATATAATTTCAATAGCTGTATCTGCTTTGATATATTCCTGGCTTATTTTCTACTCATCTCTTGAATTTACATAGAACTTCAAGTGTAGAAAACAGGACTGAAAAAAGACAATAGTGAATTGTGCTTTTGTGTACTGAACTTGAAGTAAGAATCTGGTGGGTGACATAACATAAGCCAAGCTGGAAAAGGGTCACACACCAACAAAAAGCAATGAATAGTAACTGAAAAGATAAGCCCAATAACAGCTGAAGGTGGTCAAAAAGTAAAATACTATAATAAAATATCATATAACAGCATGGGAGATGAATATATGGATTTAGCTGAGGGGCTTAGAGGTAAGCTACAGTGTTACATTGGTACCGAAGCACATTATCAATCAGAGAAGCACAGCACAGAACAAAGGGTAGCAGGTACAATGGCCAAACAAAAGTGAAAATATCTGAACAATTTACGACAGAAAATTTGAGAACCTGAATTCATGTTCTGATTCCTCATGTACAACTGCCCAAAGATGTGTCAAAACCTCAAAGATATATTGATGACAACACAAAAAATTCTTTCTAGTCTAGTCAACAATATATAATGCAGTATTATTGAGGAAATGCTTTAGAATAAACTTATCCTCAGAAAGCCCATCTCTGGAGATAAATGGAGTCCTTCTTTGGGCAGTTAGAATGCATTTGGTTTACCTAAAGAAACACTGAATTAGGATTTTAAAGGGTAGATATGTTTGGATATACAAAATGTGCACACTTAGTTTTATAAAAGTTATGGAGAGGATTAATTTCTTACCAGAAAATTATCCTAGGTTATTGAGGCTGCTGATACCTCTGGGTCAATGACTCTTACCCCTTTCCGGGAAGATCCCCTTGAGAATCTGATGAAATGTACAGACTCTGTCTGCAGAAAGCATACATTAACACGATCCTAGGATTTTGAACACAGTTTCAGGGGATTCTTAGATGTTCCAAAGATCATTTGTATTCCACCCCCATCAACCCTCCATCACGGATTAAGAACCCTGTACTGATGACAAATTTTGGGGCAGTTTTTACATGAGCAACACAGATTACTCTTGAGTGTGGAGTTCTACCAAGCTTAGTTAAAAATTCTGACTTCATCATTTAGTCATCTCCAAGTTGTTTAATCACATACCCCTTACAGTTAAAAAGCAAAAAAAAAAAAAAAAAAAAAAAAAAAAAAGATAGAGCATGATTTATGTATATTTACTCATAACACATGTATTCATTATTAATATATTATGTGCATTATAAAACATACACAAAATAAAAATTGTAAAAGAATAAGATGAATAGAAAATTTTCAATTATCTTGCTAAGCATGCTATCATACAATCAATAGTATCTCAAGGAAACATACATGCTTAGAACAGAATTAATCATTTATGAAAGTTAATATAAATCCAAATTTCAAATAGTCCTGGAAAATTATGAATGTTTTTGACCTATTTCTTTTTTTTCTCTTCTTTTTTTTTGGGGGGAGATGGAGATTTACTCTTGTTGCCCAGGCTGGAGTGCAATGGCGTGATCTTGGCTCACCGCATCCTCTGCCTCTCAGGCTCAAGCGATTCTCCTGCCTCAGCCTCCCGAGTAGCTGGAATTACAGACGTGTGTCACCACGCCCGGCTGATTTTGTATTTTTGGTAGAGACAGGGTTTCACCGTATTGCCCAGGCTGATCTCGAACTCCTTACCTCAGGTAATCCGCCCGCCTCGGCCTCCCAAAGTGCTGGGATTACAGGCGTGAGCCACAGCGCCCGGCCTGACCTATTTCTTGTTAGATCTCATTAGGCTGTCATTGTTTTAGTCCTCAATTTGGCTGGAAAAGAGTTCTCAGAGGTTAAACTGGCAAATTTGATCCTGATTTTCACCTGTGCTTATATTATTGGTATTATCTCAATTTTCTATTTCCTCACAGAAATTGTTTTTTAAGCCACGTGCTCCCCAAATAAGAGAGTTGATTGATATAGGCCGGGCACGGTGGCTCACGCCTGTAATCCCAGCACTTTGAGAGGCTGAGGTGGGCGGATCACGAGGTCAGGAGATCGAGACCAACCTGGCTAACACGGTGAAACCCCGTCTCTACTAAAAATACAAAAAATTAGCCGGGCGTGGTGGCGGGCGCCTGTAGTCCCAGGTACTCGGGAGGCTGAGGCGGGAGAATGGCGTGAACCCGGGAGGCGGAGCTTGCAGTGAGCAGAGATCAAGCCACTGCACTCCAGCCTGGGCAACAGAGCGAGATCTGTCTCAAAAAACAAAAACAAAAACAAAGACAAACAAAAAAAAAAACTAGATGATATAATCTTAAGAATTTATTTAACGTGGAACCTGTAAAATTAAGGCAATATCAATGCTTAAAAAGATGTCAATGACAATGAAAGAACCAGAAGGTGCCAGTATCACCCCTCTGCCTGTGGCGCTTTTTGTTTTTCAGTACTCTTCAGCTACACTACATGACACATGACCAGTTTACTTAGGGACCATGTAAAACACTCTAGGGTCAAGGGTCAATGAGTATAATAAATATACATAAAGCTCTTTTTTGTCCTTGCATCATTACTTTTTTCAATTATTAAAGAAAAAAGAAACAGATTTTCTTCTGTTCTTCCTATTTCACAGTAAATTGTCTTGGTCACTCCGCTTTGGAGATCCCTGCCTTAGGCAAATTACTTCCTGATTCTCAGTTTCCTCACCTGTAAAATGGAGATGAAGTCATAGATCTCGTAGGGTTAAATGGATTAAACAACATATGTACAAGTCTCTGTACAACTTCAGGCATGTAATTTAAAAGAGAAATAAAAAGGAGCTGCAATTATAATTGTGACTACTGTATTAAACAATTGCCATGTATGCATTCATGTTACTCCTAGCCTAATTTAAAAACAAACAAAACCTCTTGTCGGTGCTCTTTCTATGACTACAAGAGCTGTAGCTTCTCCTCATCTTCCCACATCCCCCCTCCCCAAAACAAAACAAAACAAAACCAAACAAAAACCAAACACATTTTCCAAGCGTTTTCAAGCCTTGGCAGATACTGTAAAGATTCGGAACACTTACTGATGTTGTTCATTAACATGATAATTACTAATAGTGAAGACCGGCTAAATTTTCTATGTCAGGTAATTTTATTATCTATCTCTCATCCTTTCCTTCAACAAAGTTTTTTTTTCTTTTCTTTTTTTAAATACAATGTGCTAGGTATCAGGGTAATTGCTGAGGTTTCAAAGATGAATCGAAACACCCTCCAGGCACTAACCATCTAGAGGACAACACCAAACAAATAATTGCATCAAAGTGATAAGTGCTATAATGGAGGCGCACACCGGTTGCTATGGGAGCAGAGTAGGACAAGCAGCTTCCTCTGCCTGGGGAGAACAGGGAAGACCACTAGAAGGATTCTGGGTCATAGTTGAGTTTTGAGGATGTGGGTTGAGGATCTGCACTTCAGTCAGAGGGGAGAATGTCCAATGTGGTCACTTAGGAACCAAACGGTAGACAGGTTTTCCCTGAGCCCAGGCATTTTTGGCGGCAGGGTCAACAACGCTGGTAGAGACCTGTCTATGCACAGCCTAGGATAACATGCCAAGAAGTTTGAAACTTACCGTAAAATGGATTGGGAATAGACAAAGGATTTTAAGCTAAAGAACGATATAATCATAAAGAGAATTGGGGGTGGTATTTTGGGGGAATGATTGTGAAAAACATAATTTATTGAACATGCCCATTAGAAAAAAAAGAGAGAGCGGGGTGTGGTGACTCACCCCTGTAATCCTAGCACTTTGGGAGGCAGAGGCGGGTGGATCACTTGAGTTCAGGAGTTCCAGATCAGCCTGGCCAACATGGTGAAACCCTGTCTCTACAAAAAATACAAAAATTAGCTGGATATGGTGGCGGGCACCTGTAATCCCAGCTAATCGAGAAGCTGAGGTTCGAGAATCCCTTGAACCTGGGAGGCGGCGGTTGCAGTGAGCCAAGATCCCGCCACTGCACTCCAGCCTGGGCAATAGAGCGAGACTCTGACTCAAAAAGGAAAAAAAGAAAAAAGGAGAGAGAGGAGTGTTTATTTCTGTAATAAATTTACTTGTTAATTCTAAACTATTCTTTAAATTAAATGTCAGCTGATTCAATTTGTCAAATCTTGGTTTCCATTACTGAAGATGAAATACTCACTGCCTAAACGGTCTTACCTGCTCGTGTTTGAAGCTAGGCAACATTTCAGGCAGCATTAACAGTTTGTCTGTTGGGACTAGAAGCTTCCTAACGTTGTGCATGGAATTTTTCTTTATGAGGGTGTTGTATCCAGATACCAAGTTTTAAACCCAGTATCTACTCTATACAGAATGTAACCAAAGCAGACTTACATAACAAGTGAATGTGGCCATACAGACATGAAAAAGTGACTTCTATCTTTTGATACCAAACTAGAAAGAGAAAAGCAAGTTCAGAGAACACATTATGACTCATCAAAGTCCAAAAAGAAAAGCTGCGTGTGAACGTAGCACCCTGTGCAGCCTCCTGGAGTCCTTTTACCCTCCAACCACATTTGCTTTTGTATGATTTTCTGCAAAACAAAACAAAAAAAACCCATCATTTTCCTCCTTAACTTCAATTGTTAAATTTCGTTTTACCTCAGAGGTGAAACTCATGCTATATGTTCTACAATCTTCTTTTTGTACCAAGTGAATGACGCTGCCTTTTCATTTCTCCTGTGTTGAGGCCTTATTTTATAAAATTCGTAACTGCTAGGGTACAAACTACAAACAAGACGAATTTTTAGAGGAACAACTTGAAGGGTGATGGGGGAAGGTGGTGCTTTCTTAGACCAATGCGAAGGGAGAGGGAGATGCAATATCTATATTTAATCTCTGTTCCCAACGATGTATTTTAATTCCCATAGCTGTGTGTATACAATGCGTGGATACCAACGCCTCCAAGGACAACATCAAAATTTTATATGAGCTGAAGAATATACACATATAACAAAGGGAATGTTTTCTTCTTTACTTTCCCTGTGACAAAATGCCAGAAGGAATGGACAGTTTCTTTCTCCAGGGACTTACTAATTGATTTGTTTTTGTTTTTGTTTTTTTGAGGATTTGCATGGCAAGTGGAAGTAGAATCTTAAGGGGATAAAGGGCATTTATTCACAAGGGAATAAAAGTGAAGTTATCAATTTCTGAAAATTGGCATGTGAGGCCGGCATGCCAGAGAAACAAATTAGACCCCAAAAAAATTAAAACCTAATACTCTCAATGTAATAAGCATTGCTATTAGGTTAAATCTCTTTATTAGAGACAGGTAGGTTATCTGGCTATATTATTAGTTGCGACTTATTAGGCAGTTAGAAGTTAGTATTTATGTTACACTTTTACTATACTACTAGTCTTGTTTAAAATTTCTCCCTATATATTTCTCAGTTAATAGTTATACCGGCATATCCTCAGGCAGAAAAACAAGTTCTTACAATGGATCCTTCAGGGCACACTATATTCTATTTCTCTTAGCTGTGTTATCTTTCGTTGTCTTGAGGTTCACTTCAAGATAGACAGAAAATGATGAAGCTAAAGTTAACAAGCAAGTAGCAAGACCTTAGAAAGCTATAGGGTGGGTGATCACCAACACTCCCAGCCATCATGAAAATGCTGCCCTAGTGGGCTCTGCTTCAGCCAGCAGTGGACCAGTGATATAAAGAATTCTTGCTTCTTAATGACTACATGGCAGTATTTGGCGTTCTTTCCATTACTTCTTGTCTTCAACTTATCCAGCCTGAAGTTTTAAGCATCCTAGAACTGCATTTCAGACCCAGTTGCTCAAATGGAGTCAATTTTGCAACAGTAAAATGGTCTTAAAATAGGATTTTACTCTAGGGGGAAGAATCCTCAACCAGATAGTCACAGTGCACTTTGAATGACTAATTTAAGCCATTACATTACGAAATAAGGGATAAATCATACTTTTCATAACACTACTGCATAGGAACAGTTTTAAGAGTCAAGCATCTACATTAATCTGAGTCTAAAATAATAGGCCCCTGATTTAAAGTCTCCTAACATTCTTTCACACTTCATAAAACTAAAAATAAAATTGTCTCACCAAACACCGACCTATTGGTCCGGCCAAAGTACTGTATTTCAAGGAAAATTGGAGCAAAGAGGTCTCAAAACCGCGACTTGCCAGCAAATTACAATTTGCAGCCTTAATTGGTCTCAAATGCGGGGTGAGAGGGAAGAGACTACGGTCTGTAGAAAATAAGAGATTTATTCCCCTTTTTAAATCAAAACCAGATTCCATGCTTCAGCCGCCCCCTAACCCGCCAGCCCCGCCCCCAGGGTTTGTTTTTCCATATTTTTGTATATATTTTAGCGAAGATGGCAGGTGAGGGAAGGTTATAGTGCTGTACCTAGTCCACGAAGTAAACAGAGAGGTTAGGGTGGGTTTACTTATTTATAAGGCGTTCAGCCTCTCAGCTGTTTCTCCCTCGTTGGCATTTGGAAGCTTGCAGTCCTTCAGGGAAGAGACAGATTTGGCAGGAACGTTCTTTGTGCCCGCCTCCCTTTTCTATTTTTTATTTTTTTACCTGGAATAGGGGGCAGATTTATAATGACAGCCTTAGGGAAGGGGGAGAAAAAGTTTCAGCCGGCACGACAATGCCCGTTTTTTCCACAGTCCACACTGTGCCACAAACAGCTTTGGTGCCACTCGGAGCCCGTCCCCCGTCCCCTCCCTCTCTCTCTGCAGGCTCGCACTGGCAGGCGGAGGCACAGTTAAATTCCAGCACCTTCTCCACATACCCCCGAACTACTACGCGCTATTACTACGGCTGCCCTCCGTTTTCGCTTCGCCTCCTCCCCTTCCGCAGTCTCCCTGGAGGAGCCCCGCGGCGCCCGAGGAAGAGGACTGCCAGGGAAGGGACAGCGGGCGCCCAGCTCCAGCAGGGCTTGGGGCTTTCTGCATCCCGCGCAGTTTCTCTGCTCCAGGCACAAACGCGGCCCGAGAGCCGGCGCCTTGCAGTCACACACGGATCCACGCATACAGTAGAGCTGTCTAGATCCACATTCTTGCACACCGCCCCCTCCTCCCCCCGCGCTCCCGGAGTCGCTGAGCTGAGCGAGTGACAGGCGCGTCCCGCCAACCCGCGCCCGGACGGGCAGGGAGGAGCGGCGCGCGGGGCCAACTGCGGCGCGTCTTCCGGCGCCCGCGGAGGAGGCGAGGGTGGGACGCTGGGCGGAGCCCGAGTTTAGGAAGAGGAGGGGACGGCTGTCATCAATGAAGTCATATTCATAATCTAGTCCTCTCTCCCTCTGTTTCTGTACTCTGGGTGACTCAGAGAGGGAAGAGATTCAGCCAGCACACTCCTCGCGAGCAAGGTAAATATAACTTACAACTCTTTTCTCCTCTTTCCCCTCCCTTCGGCCGCCCCGCTGCAGCCGCCGCTCAGACCCCTCCGGCACCACGCCGCCTTCGCCCGGGATTATCCATTATTATCCTAATTATTATTTATTGTGCATGCAAGGAGACCAAAACAAACAGGCGGGCCAACCGCCGCGACAAAAAAAAGCCCGCCTCCTCCCCGCGGGCCTCAGGTGGAATGCTCTAACGACAGCTCCCAGGCGGCGGTGGAAGAAACGAGAAAGTTTCAACCGAACCTTGCTGTTCTAATAATAACAGTAATAATTACTACTTCAAGGGGGCAAAGGAGGAAAAAAATCCCAACAAGCCACAGCCTTGATCCTGAGTGGGCAGTCAGAGGCGCTGCCAACTCAAGGTTGCAACACACACATTGGGCCAGGTTGCAATCCCCCCATCCCCTTAAAAGTGAGGCGGCGGGGAGGGGGGTGGCCGCAGGAGGGGGAAGGCCTGGGGGACAGGGGAGGAGGATGGAAACGCTACTGTTCATCCCGGGCAACCCTCCCCGGAAGAGTTGGAAGGGGAACGGGAAAGGAGGGCGGGGAGCCCAGGCTGGCGGCGGGGCGCCAACGGACGCTGTTGCCACCCGCTTCCCAGGGACTTGTTCAAAGGGCTCCGGCTGCGGAGACGTGAGCGGATCGCAGCGGGAGAAGCCTGAGCTGACGCGCGAAGGAGGTAGCGGCCACTGCCGCGGGGCCGGTGCGTGCCTGATCGGAGGTGTCACCTCCACTTTCCGCGTTTCCTCCGGCGTGGATGGGGAGGCTGATTGGTAGGCAGGCCTTTAGGCAAAGGGGCTGCCAGGGGGCTGCGCCCCGGGCGCTGCGGACGTCCCTGCCTCTGGTACCTGGCGGCAGCGCAGGCTCGGGTGTTAAAGTTCGGGATGTCCGGCCCGGGCCGCACTGCTGGAGGGAAGGGAGGAGGCCCCCAAGGAGGTCGGAGGTGCCCGCCAGCCTCCGTTACCCTGCCCTCCCTCTCCCCGGGTCCGTGTTCTTTTGCTTCGCGTCTTCCCCTTGCTTGCGCCGCGGGAGCTGCGGGCGTGGGGCGCCTGCGATCGTCCGGGTGCTAGGGGCGCGCCGGGACCCAGGAGAGCCACGGCGGCGGCTGCGGGCCCGGGAGGCCATGATCCGGATAATCCTGTCTGCCTGACTGTCACAAACAGGACCCGCGCACCACCGGGCAGCGGCGGTGTGGTTCGCCCGGGAAGGGGAAGGGCTGCGGTGGGGAGGGAATAGGGGGGTGGCGAGGGCGGGAGGCGGGGAGACCGGGTAGGAGCCTCCTCCCAACGATGACACGCACTCCTTCCTTCTCGCTCCCTGCTCAGGAGTTTGCTTTATTCCCATCCCAACCTGGTTTACCCCTTCCTTTGCTCTCCCCCTCCACCCGGCCGTCTTCCCTTCCTCCCGTTTGCGTTGCAAAACACGGCCATGCCATCTGCAAAGGTGTCGCGATGCACTTCCCTAAATAACCGGTCCGGCGCGCCAGCCCCTCGGCGCCCTCCGGCCGCAGGGCGCACACGGAGCACAGTGCTCCCGGTGCCCCGCACCAGGCCTCGCAGCCTGGGTGCAGTTACACGGCGGAGGGCGGGGCGCGGCAGTGCGGGCTCCGGCGGACACCCGCGCCTTGGCCGGGGCACTTGGGCCGGTTTCCGGTACACGCGGGGAAATCGCCTCCTGCCAGTGTCTGATCGCTCGCCTCCGCCTCCGCCTCTGCCGCCTGGATTGCATTATTATTTTTATCCGGGTTGCCGTTTGCTGCGGATGGTGGTGAGCGCGGGGCTGGCTGGGCTGCTTGGGGGGTGGGGTGGAGGGAAGTTGGACGTGGATCAGGCAGGAAAAAAAAAGTTTGGCAGGGCGGCTAAGTAGGGTGGAGGGGTGGGAGGGGGCTGCGAGCTCCCGCGGCTCCAGCCTCCGCGCCCTCCCGGCCGGCGCGAGTGTGTCTGCGCGTGAGTGTGAGTGTGAGTGTGTGTTGTGCGCGCAGGAGCCAGTGCGTCGGGAGCAGCGGCTCGGGCAGCTGCTCCTGCCCGCACCCTCCCCTGGAGCCCGGGGAGGACAAGGCGAGGTTTGGTGGCGAGGGCTGGTGGGGGTGGCGTGTGCGTGTGGTTGTGAGTGTGTGTGTGTGCGCGCGCGAGCGGCGGAGAATCAGGAAGTCACAGCAGCGAAGCGCACACAGCACACAGACATGTTTGATTGCCGTGACATGACGCGCGCGAGGGAGGAAGCGGCAGCGGCGGGGGCCGGGCCGCGGGCTGTGGCGCGGGCCTAGAGCCGCGGCTCGGAGACCGGTTCCCGTCCGCCGGCCGCGCCGCCACCCCAAGCTCCGCGAACCCCGCGCCCCTTTTTGTTCCGCGTCCTCCAGGTAAGGAGCCTGCGCAGCCCTGCCGCCGGCTGTGTGCGGAGCTTTCCAGTTCTTTCCCTGCCAGCCCCCTCCGGTCTCCCGGCTCGCCTTTCCTGCAAAGTCAGGCAGGCGGGGGAAATGGGCTCCTTGTCCTCCGATCGATTGCGTGGAAAACTTTCCAGCGGGAGGCACCATGAGGGGGAAGAAGGCCTTGCTGGCCGCTGTTGCTTGTCAGTTCTTTCTCCTCCGGGTCCGGAGAGTGTGAGTCGCTGCGCCCGGGGCTGTTGCACATTCAAACTTCGGGCCTAAACGTACCTCCAACTCTCGCAGGTTTTACTCCAGCAATAAAATAAATATTCAAAGTCGTCCACTAGCTCTTGCTAGGCGTTTGGATTTTTTAAGGGAATGAGGAAGGCTTGGGAATCGAGGGAGTGGGGGTGTTGTGCAGAATCCATTCCTTATTCAATGTCTGCACCGGGTGTTATGTAATTTTAGTGGCACATGGGTGCAAAGCCTAGACTGGGCTTCTCCCCTCCTTTGTTTATATAACTTTTGGGTGAGTTTTGCAAGGTTGTCTCTTTTTTTTCCTCCTCCCTAACCTGATGGAGGTTGGTGCTTTGGAAAAAGCAAAGCGACCTGGGCTAGTAATCTTTTGGAGAGGTGTCATCATTGTCTCCTTTCTGGTCATTATGTAGGCATGTATGACTTTGTATGTGTACTGTTAGAGCTCAAGGAAGACATTAAGGATACACAGTTTGTTGACTGCACTGAGCGGTTATTTTTAACATTTCTGCGTTACCAATATCGAATTTCAAACTTCCATTTCAAAGGACTTAAAATTTACACCTGGTTGTGTGCCTTGCTTGTCTGAACAGAATGCTTGCATAAATAATGAGATTGTTGCTTGGGCGTTGAGTAGCAGAAAATTTCTATCCAACCACCAAAGACTCAGAAACCATTGAGAACCCTAATAATAATTTAAAAAGCCATACCCAATGTTATGTGTGTGTATACTTACATATTCACATTCAAATATTTTCAGTAGTATTTTCCATCTGTTATCAGGGGGGCCACAACCAGAAGCTTGTTGGCCAGCATTGGAGTTTTAGGCTTCCAGGCTACCTCTAGCACACTGGTGAAGTGTTAAGAGGCGTGGCAGATTTGAATCCTAGTTGCTGCATTGTTATGCAAAATGAGACACACTTTTTCTTTGAGGAATCTAATTGCTCTTTTATTCTCTTGGACTTTCTTTCTTTTTTTCCTCAAATGCTTCTTTACAATGCAAATGTTTGCTATTGTAAAGAGGGGATTTAGAGACACCTGTTAGGTCCAAAAGATACTTATTGCGGTAGACTGAGGGGAAAAAAAAAAACAACCCAGTAGATCAGAGGTCCGTCTACCTTGGGGGCATCAGAGAGATGCCATTTTTGTAAAGAACATTTCAAATGAATGAGGAATGTGGGGTATCAGAACCCTTGAAGAGGGTGAGGGGAGGGAGGGCTTCCTTCAATGCAGCCTTTCTCTTATGACTTATATCAGTAACAGCCCAGCATCAGGACTAGGTGCACTGTGGTGTTTCACAGAAAATATTCACCACAAGAGCATGTTCAAAGCAGCCTTAGATCTTTTCTTTTGTTCGTTTGTAAAGTGGTTTTTGAGCATTTCTCGTCAAGTTTCTTGAAAAGTGCTTTGACCAACACCTGAGGCTTAGAATTGACAAAAAAAAAAAAAAAAAAGTGCCTCGGCTTGTATTATATTGTTAATGCTTGAATTCTATTTAAAGTATTCCTGACATGGTATAACTAGAAAGTGACACTTGTGCAGATAAGTATTTAAAATTTTTTTCTTTTATTAAGTTTAAGATAAATCATTCTACAGGCCAGTATAAAAGCATATCACATCCTTTTCTAAAAGGTAATTGTGATGCTCCTTATATTGTTGTAATATTTTGACATTTATTATTATGTATTACAGCAAGAGCATAAAAAGAAGAGTTTTATAAATTATAAAAGTGGTGCTGTCCTCCAGTGTTTTCTTGTTTTTTTTTTTTCTCCTTTAGAAATCTTCCTTTGTAAACAAGGCCTTTGTCAAACTCTTCTAGGTCAGCAGCTTTTTGATACCCCAGAGAAATAATAAATCACTATTTATGACATCTTGACATGGTGCCATGAGGACAACTGAATTATCACATATGTAATACTAAGGACTGTTTCCCAGCATTTGCAAGTGGAAGGAGTGTTGGTAGGACCTGATTTAACCACTTTAAGATTTGATTCTGTTTCTGGTCAAGATGATTTAAGGGACGATAGGGACAAATTCTTTGGTTAACTTGAGTTACCTTAGAAAACTATATGAGTTACATTTCTTTTCTGCTGTATTTCTTGTGAACAGATGAGAAAATTTCCCTAGTATGAAAGCCACATTTAGGGGCTATTTCTGATTTCTCCTTTTTAATGTAAAAGAATTATCTTCTAAATTGTTTTTTTTTCCCCCTTAAATATTGTGTTTTGGAGATGTCTTTGGCCAATAGAGGATGTGAATTTTCTGTCATTTTTGGAAGCGTTCTTATTAGGGGACTCTAACCTTTAGCCGGTTAATAAAGCCATGGGTCATTCGCTAAGTAGTGAATAGAAAATACACATGGTGGTAATTTATTTGATAGCATATTTAGGAAGGCCTGGAGTGATTATTTTTTCTATATAGAAACTTATGACTTTATACTTACTAGGGACTATAGGAGTCTAAAACTATGTTCTGCCAGAGTCATTATGAAAGAGAGCATATTTATTTACGTAAGATATTTATCATTAAGTTAAATGGGATCTTGCAACCTGGGCTGGCAAAACTGCAGCTTTCTTACTGTTTATTATGAGTTTATTATTACCCATGTTAATATAGCACTTTTCCTTGAAAGTGTAGGATATGTTAAAGAGAGCTTTTAAGTAGTAAAAGTTATAAATATATCGTCAAAGATGCTTGAATAATTGTACCTCAGAAAAACATACAATAGAGCCAATGAAATTCAGGAACAAAATAGCTGGTCTTTTGAATGTTTGATATAAACACCTCATTAATTTACACATTTGGAGTGATGGTTTAGATATGGAATACAAGATTTTGGCCTGAAACTCTGACATAATGTCCTTCTGGACTTCTGGGTTTGTAATACATTATTATATAATTGAAGCCTAGTATGAATTAGGATATTTTATTAGATAGCTACGACTTCCAGAATATTTGAACAATTGTAATCTGGCCGTATACCTGTAAGATTTACAACAGTTTTTAAAACCACAATATTCTATAGTATTTTTAGGTGGATTAGTATCAATTTAAGCATCAATCTTATGCCAGTATGTCATCTACATCTATGCAAGCAGTAATATTTTAGAAACTTTTTAGAAACTGGCCTAATTTAAATATGGGCTGGCCCTTTTGTAAGTTGATGAATGGGACCCACAGAAGTTGAAATAATATTTAAAGTTTGAAAACCATTAAATATAATTGAAACTCCCTCCTTTAAAAAAAACAAAAACAACTAAACTCAGAATTTGGAATTCAAAATTACTTAAAAATGATAAAAATCTCTAACCAAAAAGGAACGTCATATGTTGGCTTACAGGTTATCCAAGGGAAATTCTGTATCAGTTTGCACTTAAACTGTATTTTTCTGGTTCAGGATGATTATATATTTCTTTACCTACTTGATGTGGTATATTTCAGTTTTTACCATCCCACTGGGAGATGCTTTATCACACATGGATATTGGATGTCCAGAAGGAAAGCCCTCTCCCATCTTCCCCCCTGTGCTTTGTTGAACTGGACATGTAATAAATGGCTTTGCAAATAGTCACAATTATTTTGTGGCTTGCTGTTGTGCTATACTAAAAGACCATTAAGCAGAGTCCAAAATTCTGTAAAAAATAGATGATCTGTAATTGATAATTTATGTGTCTTAAAGAATGTACCTGAACATTTAATATTGTATTTATAATAGCATATTGAATACAAGTAACAAATGGTAAACTGCATGGGCCATGTGATACAGAGAGAGAGATCAGGGTGAGCTTTCTTGAGCTGATGGGGTAGATAAGGTCTTTGAGATGGGATAAGGTTGCTGTAGGGGGAGGGCAGAGGTGGGGGTGGTGGCATCTGAGCATCCCAGATCAGAAGAAAGCCCCGAGATCACAGAGACCCGGCGAGATCACAGAGACCCGGCCTGAAGGAACGTGGAAAGACCAATGTACCTGTTTTGACCGGTTGCCTGGAGCAAGAAGTTCCAGTTGGGGAGAATTTTCAGAAGATAAAGTCGGAGATTGTGGAAAGACTTGACTTGCAGGTTAAAGCATGAATATTTTATCCAATCTGTATTGGAGGCTTGTCTCAGAAGTTTTGAACAAGGGAATACATGAACAAAGCAATATTTTAGATTAATCTGGCAAATTGTGGATTCAAGTCCAGAGTGGGAATTGAAGCTGTTAGAAGGATCCTGGCAATAATGCGAGCATATAGTAGCTCACAAGGTGTCTTCATATCTCATATTTTATTTGATTCGTATCAAAATTGAAGTTGTAGTCAGCTACTGTTATGCCTATTTTGTAGGTAAGGAGCTTGAAACTCAGAGAGGTTAAATGAACTCATTTGTTGATTTTTTAAAAGGCATAGTAACATCATTAATGGCTATTATCCATTTTAACTGCAATGAACTTGGAGTTCATTGTTGAATTGTTGTTGCTACTGTGAAAGTCAGGGCCAGTTGACATTAATGAGTGCCTATGATAGAACTTTAGTTCATTCAGCATATGATGGTTGAGTTTTACTCTTCAGTAAAAATGTGCCATTTTAACCACAGGTTTTTAAAGTATGTATTTCAGACTCTTCTTTTTATATGTTTAAAGTATAAATAAACTTATCTTGGCAGTCAGAAAAGGAAGTGGCTGTTGTTGATTCTTATCAACATCCAGAATGAGGTTGCTTTGCAAAAGGGCCTAACCTAGGAGAGACAGGCATATGTGTAAATATACGTGACATATTACCTTTCAGGGTGTCATGATTTGAAACTAACTTTTTTTTGTTCAGTTTGTTAGCTTTTGTTTTGACCAGTTTGCCCAGCCCTTTGGGTTCCACTGAATTTTAAAAGTGATTTTCATCTGTGATTACCTTTATAACTACTAATGGACATGAGTCTCAGAGTAGAGGATGCTTTGCTCTAAAGGGTTTCTAACACTTAGGTTTTCTCGTAAATTCCCTTTTTAAAACAATTTTTCCTTTGTGGGATCACTGTCAGTCCTCATGGAAGAGGCCATGAAATTGCATCGCTGGTAGACTCTTTTGAGATGGCAACTCATGGTATCTATAAGGGTGGTAATGTTAAGAGCCAGGATCCTATTAAGGCAGTGTCTGAGGTTCATGGGGGACTAATTAGCTGCTGCCGAGTTTGTTGTTATCTTTTGTTGTGCACAGAGCTGCCTCACAGCCTTTGCCAGGTCTGACTCTGGGCAAGGACCATTCCCAAGGCAGTTTATTTAAAGTGAGGGTAGCAGCTCACCCACATCCTAATTTGTTGCCCTGATTGAAAGATGAAGGAGAGTTCACAGAAGCCCAAGGAACAGAGCAAAGTTTTAATCTAACAACTTTTAAAAAACATATTTGACTTTGAAACGAATGGGAAAGTGTTGTGAATAACCCCAAGAATGCTGAAGAAATGTTCTCAGTGATTTTCTAGGGTCTTGATGGAGCAACTTATAAGGTTAACTTTAGAACCCGGTGTGATTTGTATCTGACAGATCACATTATGCATTGTTTAAAGTTGCACAGCTCAGACCAAGAAGCAGTGTGGGCCTTGGTAATGTTTCACCGCTTATCCCGACAACCTTGGCCTGTAAAAAGGAAACTTCGGGTAGATTTATTTCCTTTATCTGCATTGCTGTTCTCCTTACCCACCCCGCACTGCTTCCCCATTAAGAATAACAGTGCTTGAGGCCCAGTTCTGAAGATGTTGCTACTTCTTGTGGGTGAATTATCAATTCATTTACAGAGAAAGCCACATACAAAACAAGAGGCAGCCCTTCAGGTCAGGGGAGATGTTCTGAATCAGCAAACAGACATAAAAAGAACTCTTATCTTAACTATCTCCTGAACCTTGCAGTTCTCCTGTAACAGCCAGAACACTTTAATAAGACTGGGATATTCTTGGAGATGTGGACTGGGCCTAACTTTTATTTCTGATATTCCACCTTTAACCTGGACCTCCAAGTTTTTCTGTAAAGTGAGCTGTGAAAAAAGACAGGCTGGAGATCCAAGATTTCCTTGTGCTTTCTTATGAAGTTTGGTGAAGAGCAATTTAAGAGATATTGTCAAGGTTGGTGTGCTGCCCCAAACTCTGCGACTAGAAACCAAAAGTTTCTAGGGAACTTTTTTTCTTTTTTTTAAACTTGAAGGCCTTGCTGAAATGCTACCTTCTCCATTACACTTTACCTAATTCCTTTCTCTCCTGTAACCTCTGAGCTAAAGGTAATGTCTCCCATTCTATGACTGTGTTGGATAGTTTGGCTGTACCCCTCCGTGTCCTGCAGGATCTTTCAATATTTTTATCTTGTTGCTACTTACGCACAAGTCTGATTTCCGTATCAGACTTCCAGAGTTGTGGGGTAAGCCTTCTATTCATTTTTGTACCGCCTGCATGCCTTGTACCTAGTAGATACTCGGTATGGTAACTAAAACATCATCGACCTTTTCAGTTGATGACATGGTCTTCTTTTCACATTCCAGGGCTTCTCTTTACTTCTCTAGCCTGTGGTAAGTTAATATATTATCACAACCAAAGCCTAGTCCTTGCAAGATATCCCTTCCACTGTTTCTGACCTTTTTTTCTTTGGCTTCTACTTTCTACCCCTGCACATTGCTCTGGCCTGGTGAAAACTCTGGTGGAAACATGGCTTGCTAGATCCGTGTCATAGCTCAGTGTTGGGCTGGGAGTCAAGGGATAAAAGATTCTGCCTGCGGTTTCTCTCCTGTTGCAGATGTTACTTTGGGCAAGCCATGTTTTCCCCTTCTGCCTTATTGCCCTCATCTTTTCAATGGCGTTGTGGCAAAATGTCTCTTCAAATCACCAGAATTATTAGGAAACACATGTAGGTGTGTTCAAATATTACTCCACATGTGGGGGTCTTTGGTGTTTCTGTTGGTTACAATTAGACTGTAAGACACAAGTTTTGTCATGGTTGGAGTGGTGACCCTTAAAATTCCATGAAGTTGAACTCCTTTTAATATGCAGATGGCTGTGCTGAGCCTTTCAGCTAAGGGCAGAGGAGATTTGGGCTGAGGGAGGATGACTGTGGTGTTTGGAGCTCTGGCAAGCTCCTCTGGGGCCTCTTCTTTTTAAAAACACACACTCTCTAGTTGTGAATGTAGGAAAGTGGGAAGTAAGGACGAAATCAAGACAGAGTATACTGCTGAGAAATTCTTGCCTAAGAACATAGTGGTTTGGCCCTCGGGGAGTCCTGGTCTGGGGGAGGGTGGGGACCAGCAATGCATGTGTATGGGGAGGTTGCTGTGCCCCCCTCTCCCCAGATACATTTTTGTCATTATGTTTTTAGCCACAGACACATAGTTGTGGAACAGGTCGTTCTTTTCTGTGACAACGGGAAACTCCCTCCTTCTCCTAACACAAAATAAAAATAGATTTTGTGTGTTATTATGTGAGCAGACCTACCACTGCCCTGTGAAGTCCATCTGGGCCCTCTCCTCCAGCCCACCCTACTATGCTTACTGCTGTCGTCACCACCCTATCTCTATTGTCTCATTAGTGCTTTGGAGAAGAAAGGGGTAGAGAGTCCAGGGGATACTGGCAGGGCTGGTGAGGGAGAAGTGGAGTTGGCCAATACTGGACTTTAAACCTTAACCATACTAACTTAGTAATGATGTGCTGCTTGAGACTAGCACCTCTTTCTAATTTATTTCCCCAGGTTTCTTCATACTGTGGGAAAGTTTAATTACATACTTGAACTGTAAAATAAAATTGCCACCCGAAATGTAGAGGAAGAATAAGAGGCCAGGATTATAGGCCTCATCTTAGAGAGTCCTCCCCTTGGGTTTACTTGGGTGATGGTAGCCACAGCAGATCCTAGGGCAGCCCTGATTTTGCCTTGGAAGTCCATTAATGGACTTTCCAACACACAGGTTTGGATGAAGTCTTCAAGATGCTCTGGAGGCAGCAGGCATCAAGTCACGGATGGACAGCTGGAAGGGACCTTTGAGATACTCCTATCCTGAGCCTAGAGGAAGTCAGGACCCCAGACGAAAGGCACTTTTCCCAGGGCCCTAGAGTTGGTGGTGACCCTGAGACCAGAACCCAGGTCTCTCAGCTCCCAGTGAGACATCAGTGAATATCACGTCACGTTCTATGAGAGTCCAGATCTCTGCCATTCATTAGTTATATGGCACAGGGTACATTTCTTCATTTGTTAAACTGTACTGTTAGTCTGAGCCACACACATGCATTGAAGTCCAGGCATCTGAGGTTCTCTTCTTATTAAATAGTTTCCTATATAACACGTTCCTATATTAACATTCCAATTATATGCCCGTAATTTTCCACTTCCCTTCCAACATGTTTTCCCTCTAAGACGTTTTTAATAGTTTCCTTTAGCAAAAAAAACGAGGAGCATTTTTATGGGACTATGTATGAGTAATTACAACATTCTCTGAGATTCCCAGGTGGAAATGATAATGCATGTGGAAAGTAGCATTATGGGCTAATGTATATTAGAATTTCATGTTTAATATACATCAATTATATTAAACGTAGGAATATCAGCCTAACTTCAGTGTTTGTATCTTCATTGTTCAAACTCGTGGTATATTACTTTAATACCTATTGAAGCTGATTTCAGTGTAAACCATAACAGGAAGTAAGCAATTTCCTTTTATTCACTAAAAAATAAAAGGGTGTATTAGTGTGCTCATATACATGAAAGAGCATTGTATCTTGTAGTAGCCCTGAATCGACGTCAGCTTCCTAAATTTAAAATGCTGACTGAACCTGTGTGAGGTGGTGGAAAGCAAAAAGAAAAAAAAGTTCCGTCTGCTTTGTTCATCACAAAGAATAAATAATAACATTGGGCTCTCTAGTGAATTCAAGGCTGTAATTCACTGTTGAGGCTCCCCTGTTGTTTAGAAGCCACTTGTACTGGGTTCCCTTAGTCCTGTTTTGATCCCCTGCTTATGATCACTCTGAAGTAGCCTTTGACTGCTTCCTGTTTCAGCTCTAATTTACTTGTCAAAATGGCCTAAATTCTTGCCTACACTTTAAGGATTTCTTTATGGGAACACAACTCAAACACTGATGACTCTGTGGTTTTTATTTATAAAATTAACTGAAGCTGGCTACAGTGGCTCACACCTGTAATCCCAGCGGTTTGGGAGGCTGAGGTGGGACGATCACTTGAGGCCAGGAGTTCAAGACCAGCCTGGGCAATATAGTGAGACTCTGTCTTTACAAAAGATAAAAAAAATTAGCTTGGCACGGTGGCGCCGCCTGTAGTCCTAGCTACTTGGGAGGCTGGTTGGGGAGGATCACTTGAGCCTAGGAGTTTGAGGCTTCAGTGAGCCATGATCTCTACTGTCCTCCAGCCTGGGCAATAGAGAGAGGCCCTGTCTCTAAAAATATGAAAAATTAAAATAAAGTTAAAATTAAAAAGTTGATTTTATTAATAGTTGGCCCTTGAAATTTACTCTGCAGTTGATTCATCAGATAATTTTTGAGCTATGACTATATGCTGGTTGAGGTGCTGGGAACGTGGAAGGGAAACTGAGCATGGCCTGCCTTCATGGCCCTCATACTCTAGAGATTCAGTGCAAGTGATGGGTCGCTAGGAGTGGAAAGAATGTGTTTTGTGTACTGCCCCTCCAGCCCGCCATTCCACTGTGGGTAAAGAGCCCTGCTATGGTGACTAGGCCACCACGGTCTCATTCCATCTCTGCCACTAAACAATGGGTAAGCAAATCACTTAGGGTATGTCATTCTGTATTTTGTGAGGCTGACAGCAAAAAGTTTCTCCATGTACAGATGTGTGCCTCCAAGGTAACATCATAATATAGAACAATTACTGTTGCTAGTGGAATTCAGCTATCTTGCCGGCATCATTGATCTCTATCAGAATGTGGAAAACAGCTTATTTGCTCATTCTGGCTCATAGCCAAGATGCAGTTGTACCCACTCTATGAGGCATTTCCAATGGGGATGCCAAGAAGCCTTGGAGTGTGGGTGGTGGAATATAGTTCTGCTGAAATTGTAGAACCAGAATTTCCACACCTCATCTGTGGTGAGCTCTGATCCAGTAGTCATGGATGACTTCTCTCAAGGATTCTTGACCAGAGCCAGGTCTGGGACAAATCCCTGGTTTTAACTGTCTGAGGGGGTCTCTGCTTCAATTAATTAGCTGGCAAGAGGATCACGTCTTAAACTGTCCCTCCTGATCACTTCTGGTAGGGTGGAGTTGGTGGGGAAAGTAATGCTAAATAAGGGTGGCCGTTTGTTGTGCTGAGACTACAGCTGTGTTTTTCACACATGTCATTGCATTGAAATCTCAAAAGAAGAAACATTAAATAACGTAGCTAGTAATTACATATATGAGTATTTGAACCCATATTTGTCTGATTCCTATAGCCTTTGCTTTTTTCATGATTGGGACTTCTCTTTCATTCTCAAATTAGAAGATTGTATTTTTCCCGGTTTAACTATCTTGAAGTTTTGAATGCCCACTCACTTATGAAAATGAGTCTTGGTTGGATACTTTTTAAAGGGTTCTGTATTTTAATGGCTTTGTGGGGGTTAATGTCTTGTAAGGTGTCCAAGGTAGTAAGTAATGGAGAGCATCTGTTGACTTCAGTAATAAATTTCAAACTTGTTTAGAATTCTGCTTATGTGTTAAATTTGAGTTTCTCCAGTGAGTCCTTTTGTATCTTAGATGATTTATATTTTTCTGGGGAATCATTTAGTGTGTGTGTTTTTTTTAAACAAGTGGTCTTCATAAAGACTAGGGCAGACGGATGTATATCACACTCACTCAAACATCTGGACTAGACAGGGCAGCTCTGTTTGATGTTTGTTACAGAAATGGCACCATCAAATGCTAACAATTGTTTTATTCTGGTCTTAACATCATGTTTAAAACATGCCTTCCTTTTTTCTGCTTTTCAACTTAGCATTACTCTACTGACTGGCAGAGACAGGAGAGGTAGATGTCCACGCCCACAGACCCTGGTGCGATGCCCCACCCAGGGCCTTCGCCGGGGCCTGGGCCTTCCCCTGGGCCAATTCTTGGGCCTAGTCCAGGACCAGGACCATCCCCAGGTTCCGTCCACAGCATGATGGGGCCAAGTCCTGGACCTCCAAGTGTCTCCCATCCTATGCCGACGATGGGGTCCACAGACTTCCCACAGGAAGGCATGCATCAAATGCATAAGGTAAGAGTTTGTTCTCCCATTCAAACTCAACTTCTGATAAGTGGATGGCTAATATTTCTGATAACCCCATCCCCCTTTCTACTGTTGTTAACAAGAAAATCATGCAAGATCTTTGTCTTGTATATCTCATATATTATTAAAAACGCATATTGTGAGGTACTTTTATTGCTACAGATGTTGCATCAGTTATGAAGATCAGATGTTGGCTTTTTAAAATACTGACATAGACTATGCAGTTCTGATAAGTAGATCCTGTGATTTGTGGGTTGAAGGTATTTTTGTCTTGGTGAATTAGTACATTAGTCTATAAGTCTTATTTTTTCCTATCTGTGTTAAGTAACTTATCCACTAATGAACATACTGAAAATTATTCTTTCCTAAAAAGGCTGACATTTATTAACAAAAATTAGATCCCAAAGAGTAGAAGGAAAAAGTCCTTATCTAAAGGATTTTTTGGAAAGGGCTTTATTGAAATTAAATAGTTTCTAGGGAATCCTTAAAATGCACATTGCTGTCTCTCTGTGAAGCACTTTTATTCTGGTTTTGGAAGAAGGTTCTGATTTTTGCAGAGCTCACGTCCAGCTGTTTATTTCTGGACTAAGGTTGTAATTATCCTTTATTTATGAGGCTTGGATTGTTGCTGTGGGGATGATCATATCTGTACAACTTGGCATTATGCCTTCACAGGAGATGCAAAGAAGAGAGACAGCCTTTTGAGAAAGTAAACAAGATCCTCTGTGACAGTTTGCTTTGAAAGTAAGCAATAGCCAAGAAAAATCTATGAGGACATTACATACTACCTGAAGGTTTTGCCTAATGAGACACGTAGAGGTTTTACACTCCTTGGGATGATATCACAGGTGGATAGGGTGGCAGGGCTGCTTCTTGACATTAAGTAGGTGTATTCATTAGGATTCTCCAGAGAAACGGAACCAATAGGAGATAGAGATATATGTAAAAAGAGACTTATTATGAGGAATTGGCTCACACAGTTATGGAAGCTGAGAGTTCTATTATCTGCAGTCACCAATCTGGATACCCAGCAGAACCTGTGGTATAGTTCCGGTCTGAGTCTACAGGCTCAGACCTGAGCCTGAGAACCAGGAGTTCCAGGAGAACTGATGATGTGAGTTCCAGTGATGTGAGAACCAGGAGAACCAGGAGAACTGATGATGTGAGTTCCAGTCTGAGTCCAAAGAGCCAGAAGAGTCAGTGGAGTAAGTTCAAGTCTGAGGGCAGGAGAAGACCCAGCTTAAGCAGTCAGGCAGAGAGAAAGCTTCTCCTTTCCTCTAGCTTTTTTTTTTTTTTTTTTTCTTATTCAGGCCCTCCATGGATTTTGGGTGAGGCCCACCGACATTGCTGGAGGCAATCTGATTTATTCAGTCTAACAATTCAAATGATAATCTCATCCAGGAATACCCTGACAGACATACCCAGAAATAATGTTTAATCAAATATCTAGGCACCTGAGGCCCAGTCAAGTTGACACATAAAATGAACCATTACAGTAGACAAGCCGTGGAAGATCCTGGCTTAAAACAAAAAGATTACCACAGAAAAGAGCAAGTCTTTCCTCCAGTTACGTAGGACTTTAGGTCAGTTTTAGGGTAGGGCATCAGAGCCCAAAAGGGAAGATCCTTTTGTTAAAAGTGTTGTAATTTGATGATTTTTCAAATTAGGAAAGTAATATATGGTTATTTTGAAAAGGAAAACAATACTGAGATAAACAGATAATCTTACCTTCACCCCAAGTAACAGCTTGTTGTACATGCTTTTTCTATCTTGCTTTTCTGTATGTTCATTACAAATACTGTGTAAGCACAGATATGTATATATTGGTGTTTTTTTTTGGTTACTTTTCTTTTGCTATTATAGAATCATGTTGTCTCTGTTAATTACTCTGTAACTTTCTTTTTTCATTTAACAATGTATTATGGATATCCCTATGACATTCTCTAGTTTTCTGTCTCCTCTTTTTAACAGATACATTTGTTAGCTTGTCAGAGATCTAGAGAAATAAAGCTGCTCGTTTTCCATGTCATATTTTTCAGGGGACCTATTGAACATATTGACATCCAAGTCCTGAAATTGTTTTCTGTTTAGATTAAATGAATTTGGGAGCTATATTCTGGATCTGATCAATGACTTGTAAACCTTCCTCTAAGTGGCTTACATAATTTCAGAATAATTTGAAGGTGTCTCACCTTCAAAATGAAAGATAAAATGTGAGGGAAATACTTAGCTAAACTTTATTGTTCTTTAGCAGTTAAAAATTCAATGTGTGAGTGTTGGGTCAGTGTTATGTTTTTCTCCTGGATTGTTTTTATTAATTGTTATCTCTTCTGATCCCTTCATTTTATGTCCTAGCATTTTTATTACACTTTCTCATATTCTCTCTACCCTCTTAAATACTCCCTCTTTTTGTTTTGCTTTGCTCGCATTCTGTGAGTTTTGCATTTTTTGCCATCCTGCTTCTCCTTGGCCCCAGCCCCTCAGATAGTTCCCTGCGTGAGGACACGGGTGAGGGTTTAGAGCTCACACCTGCTGACCAGATGCCTTCACTTTTTTCTATGCTTTTTATAGGCAGTTTTATTTCTTCTCTTATTCTTCCTTCTTCCTCTGAGGCTTCAGCTTTTTGCTTTTCAACATTACTGGAAATAAATAAACAAGTGGCCTAAATACATCTGCTGTGTTGCTTTGATTTCCTCTCTATTATTACTATTTAACAGACTCAGTGACACTCTTTATACCAGATTCTTCCCATTTTTCTTCCAAACATCCTCTTTATGATACATTTTTTCCTCTTTTCAAGTGCATACTTTTGACTCTGCAGAAATTAACTTTCTTTTCTCCAAAACTGCAAACACTCATACTTTCTTGCTTGAAGTCATTTGGTTTCTATAAACTCCTGGAAATATTTCTTTCAGGCTGTTTTGAAAATTGCTATTACAGTTTGGGGAGGAATAGACTTTTCCTTTTTCAAACACATGCTTCATTGCCCAATTCTGGATTGGATTAATGTCGATTCAATAGCTGTTTATTGCATGTCTGTCACGTATTATGCCTCAAGTTTTGGGTCCAGCCCCTGTGTTCGTTTATTTCCAAACTGTGCCTTTAACCTTTTCCGTTCCTCCTCCCTCTGTAGTACAGCTTTATCTATTGCACACACTTTCCTTTTCAGTATTCACCCCCCATTCACGGCTCTGTCCTGTCTGTTCCTCTCTTTCCAACTGCCATGGAACCCTGTGGTTTCAACTTTCAAACTTTCCATGGTTCCTTCCCTTCCAATGAAGAAAAATTACCAAAAACTGGATCATCACAGATGTGTCAAACAGCCTTCCTTCAGACTTCAGACTAACTTCAACATATAACAGGTTTCAAGATTACTTACCAGGGTATGGAAAAATAGCCTATATTTGTCTACCTTGTGACCAGGACTTCATTTTCATTGCCTGTTCTGATATTACAAAAAACAAACAAACAAACAAACAAACAAAAAAACAACCCTCCACTGTTTAAAGACTTAACATTTGACTTACAGATAGTTTGCTGATCCTTTTGGTCTAGTCTCTTTTTTTAACTCTAGAATGGGTAGTAGATGATAGTGCCACACTTTTAAAGAACTTAGGAAGGGGTCTGAAAACTCCAAATAGAAATATTTTACCTTATAGAGGTGTCTAACTAATGTCCTTTAAATGTTTCAGCCCATCGATGGTATACATGACAAGGGGATTGTAGAAGACATCCATTGTGGATCCATGAAGGGCACTGGTATGCGACCACCTCACCCAGGCATGGGCCCTCCCCAGAGTCCAATGGATCAACACAGCCAAGGTTTGTGTCCGCTGCACACCTGATACTGGTTCCCCAGCATAGTCTTTCAGTCTTTCCTGTTGGATATTTTAATTATGAATTCCAAAGAATGTGTCTAAGGAAGGTTGAACCTAGTAGGTTTCTTTTCCTTATGGAAATCTACCTCCGTCCTCACCAATACAACCTGATGATTTATATGGGAAATTTTATTTCCGAAGTCCTAGTAATTTTACTAGCCACCATGTGTCCAAGCAGTCTGCAAAGAGCTCTATGTACTTTATCTAGAATCTTTATCGTGATCTTTTAGGGTAAATTAGGTTATCCCAGTTTTATAGATAGAGAAGATAAAGCTGGACAATTTACTTTGTTTTGCTAAGTTTACATGTCCAATCGGTGACAGGGCCAGAAAGAGAATCTAGGCCTGCTTCCCAGCAACAGTGTAGATGTGAAGGTAAGGTGAACCACCTGTGTCCCTTGAATTGCATGCTTATCCATTGTCTATAAGGCAGCTTTATCTGGCAGTGAAATTATGTGTCATTTCTGGTGGGTGGCTGGGCCTGCCATAGCAAATTACCACAAACAGAAATGTATTCTCTTATATAATTCTGGAGGCAAAGTCTGAAATCAAAGCATCAGCAGGGCCATGCTCTCTCTGAAGGCTTTAGAGAAGTATCCTTCCTTGCTGCTTCCTAGTTTCTGGTGGTTGCCAGCAATCCTTGGCATTCCTGGACTTGCAGATGCATCACTGCAATCTCTGCCTTAGTATCCACATGAAATTTTTCCTGTGTGTCTGTCTGTGTCCAGATTGTCTTCTTTTTATGGGGGCCATTCATTGGATTAGGGTCTTCCCTAATGCAGTATGGCCTCATCTTAATGTGATTACATCTACAAAAATACTGTTTCAGGCCGGGCCTGGTGGCTGAAGCCTGTAATCCCAGCGCTTTGGGAGGCTGAGACGGGCGGATCACGAGATCAAGAGATCGAGACCATCCTGGTCAACATGGTGAAACCCCGTCTCTAGTAAACATACAAAAATCAGCTGGGCGTGGTGGCACATGCCTGTAGTCTCAGCTACTTGGGAGGCTGAGGCATGAGAATCGCTTGAACCCGGGGGCAGAGGTTGCAGTGAGCCGAGATCGCACCATTGCTCTCTAGCCTGGCGACAGAGCAAGACTGCGTCTCAAAAAAAAAAAAAAAAAAAAAAAACTATTTCAAAGTAAGGCACATTCCCAGGTACTGGGGGTTAGGACTTCAACATATTTGGAGGAGGGGGAACACAATTCAACTCACAACAATGGCTAAATCAGTATATGGCATATTTCTTTTCTTCTTCATACGTAACAAGTCCTCTTTCTTTTCTTCACTGGTGAAAACTATTCACGTACCTCAAAGCCTTTTAATACAATGTAGCCTGATTTCAGAGTCATTATGTGGTCATTTCAACATATGACGGACATGAGTTAATCTAGCACTAATTAAAATTAATATGTAGTTATTCCAATTCAAGGTTTATGGTTTATGCGTTGCTATATATAATCCTGTGTAATTAATGTGTGTGTTTCCTCTATCCATGATCAGCTATCCATCCACTCGAGGGAAGACTTTTGGCTGTGAGGATTTAGAGAAGTCTATGCACAGTTGTTTTCTTTTTGAAATATAAATAGGCAAGTCATGGAGGCATAGGAGTGCCTCCCCACTAGTATTTGAACAGGCTTTTGAACATCCCAGACTCTTATCTGAATTTTGGTGGCAGGCAGGCATAATTGTTGCAGATAACTCATAGAATCTTGACCATGTCAGAAGAGCAGCCTAAAAGCACTGGGAATTTTTGCAGTACAAGAAGAACAGATTTGACTCATTCACGGTTATGAATGAAGTAAGACAATATTTCCAGGCTTATCATTTACATTTGAAGGGGCCAAGTATGTTCATGGAGCTAATATAAGCCTTTATTTATTTATTTATTTATTTATTTATTTATTTATTTATTTATATTTTTGAGGCACAGTCTCCCTCTGTTGCCCAGGCTGGAGTGCAGTGGCATGATCTCAGCTCACTGCAACCTCTACCTCCCGGGTTCAAGCGATTCTCCTGCCTCAGCCTCCTGAGTAGCTGGGACTACAGGCGTGTGCCACCACACCCAGCTAATTTTTGTATTTTTAATAGAGACAGGGTTTCACCATGTTGCCCAGGCTGGTCTTTGAACTCCTGACCTCAGGTGATCCACCCTCCTCAGCCTCCCACAGTGCTGGGATTACAGGCATGAGCCACCATGCCTGGCCTTAAACCTTTATTTTTAATACCTGGGAGGTATAGATGAGTAACGTTTAGTGATTCTTGAAGCCAGGTGCTTACTTTTTCTGCTCCTGTTGTTGCAGTAGCTCTAATAGTGGAGTCCTAGGAAAACCTGAAAACTAAAACCACTTTAAATGCACAAATCATAATTGAGAGCATTTTTACTTTTATTTCTGTGATCACTTGGCTCCCCTCTTCAACTTAAGAATGATGTCTTATTTATCTTGGAATCCACAACACTTAGGATGATATCTAGCTAGCACATGGCTAGATAGATATTAGTAAATTTTGTTCAATTAGGTGTGGAAGTTTGTGTATTAAAGAGTCAACAGTTTAAAATGATCTCAACTTTTATATAATTTCAATGAAGTATAATAACTTTAAATGCAAAGGTCTGCATTAAAGGGAATCAGAATTAACATGTAATATTCTCTAAAATAGTGAAGTGCATTGTAGGCTGAGGAATGAGTTATTTAAGGGTATATTTTTGAATAAAGCAATATTAGTATAATGCAGTCCTATTTTATATAATGATCTAAAAAGAATTTAGACTTGGTAATAGCACGTGTCTTTAAAAAACTCACTGTGAAAAGCCATTTATTAATATAAAAACACAGGAACAGAGAGATGTGGTATTGATTGGAAGGCTGCGAGCTTTTAACTACCTAGCAACCTATTAGGTTATTTTAGGGTATTGGTCAAGAAGGAAAGCCATTTCCTTCAATAAATACTGAATTGTGTACCTTATGGTCCCAATGATAACATTGTTTATTTTTAGTCCATTGGATAGAAACCCTTCAAAAGCAGGTATATATTTAAATAGTGTGTGTGTGTGTGTGTGTGTGTGTTTGTATGTGTGCGTGTAGAGAAAATTCATGTAGAATTGGCACTTAGAAGTTCAAGATTATTAATAGGAGAGAGGTTATTGCATCTCTCTGAGGCAAGGTGAAACTGGGGAGATAATAGCCCTTGAAGACTAGGGAAAGAAAACTGCCACTTTTTGACTACTTTCGAATGAGCAAATCAAAGAAGATTCCAAAAAGAGCAGAATCTGCATCAACACTGTCATCCTACAGACCAATGTATATTCACTCTCAGGCAATTTCTTCACTCTGTTTTCTCAACTAAAGATAATTACCAAAATATGTGATGTTGTATCACTTAGATTCTGTTTTTCCTCAAGTTTTATGGGATGCTATTCATGTAGAAATAAAAATCTCTATTTTTAATACCATACGGTGACAGAATGATTCTATTCACATCCCCTACAAATTCTGGGAAATGATTCTTCTCACTTTCATTTTCTTCTGATCAAATTTGAGGTAAAATTTTGTTGTATTGACTAACTCAGAAATGATTTTTATTTCCCTCTCAATTTTCTGATCAAATTTGAGGTAGGAATTTTTTTGTATTGATTTTCCAGTGACCAGGTTCTTTTTTTCAGTTTGAATTCTTATGTTTAATGTAACTGTCTCACCTTCATAATGTTGCCTTGTTCATAGTTTAAAAGAGTGATTTAAGAAATAGTGTTATACAGTTGAATTTAGACTAGGTTGCCTAATATTTTGGTTCATTGTATTAGGCATCTTATGATTTGCCATGAGTGAGATTGTAATTGATGACCTTAGGAAATAGGAAAGACCGGAAATCAGGAAACATATGACTAATTTTAAGCCCTGGTCGTATCTCTTCTACTGTGAAAATGTTAGTAGCTTTGGTGGAAAGATTTTTCCTCTTATGGTAGACTCAGTGCTGGCCAGAAAGACGTCATAATGAACAGACTGCCATTTTGTACTAGCGTTACAACTAGGGGGTTAATGTAAGCCTTCTTAAAGAAGAATGTATGCTGAAGTTAAGTGTCTGTTATTGATATTCTCTAAGTGTTTATTGTTATAATAACAACATGTCAGGATTTAAATTTCTGCTAGTCTTGCAAGCTTTCAAGGGAATTTTCTTGGCTAATTTATATAACCAACTAAAACTGTAATCACTGCATGGTGTTTGTGCTTCCTCACGGAGTAGGGATTTGTGGAATGAAATTTAGCAATTCTTCTATTTACCTTTAGGGCAGGATTCTCCTGAATAGAGTTCTACTTCTCATCAGTTGGTGGAGCAAAACCCATTCTTGGTTTAGGGGATCACGCTAAATCTGCCTCCCTCTCCAAATGACAATTGGAGATAAAAGTAACTGAATCTTTTATTTTCTGTGGTCTTGTGAATTATGATGGTGAATCCCCAGTTGGTGGCGGTCATATATTCTCCGGCCTCTGTGATTCTGCAGATGCACAGAGCTCTTTCAGTTCAAATTTTTCTTAGGTTCGGGCATGCAGCAGGAATTTAATAAACACTTATGTGATGACCTTTGTGAGAACTGTGACACGATTACATTTATTAAAGGGCAGAGACTTTTCATCTATGTATGTAATGCCATATTCTGGGACACCTTTGACTTGATTAATTGGCACTTTGTTTCAGCTCAAGGACACCTTTTGGATTGCTTTAGGCCACTTTGTTCTTTCCTTCATCTTGGAGCTCCCTCCAACAATGTTCAGTCATATGTCTTTCTAGGAATTCTATGGCCAAGCTATGCAGGTCATCTCCTGAAATAAGTCCCTTGAGGTTTTTTGTGCATTTTGATTTTTCTTCCCCAGAAAAGTGTTCTTCAATTTCCCATTTAGATCTCTTATAAACCAAACAGTTTACTCTCATTTTTATGTTATATCACAAGTGGTTCTAGAAGGTTTTTGAAACTTTCAAGTCCCTAACTTATTTTCATATAACCAAATTTGTATTAGATCATGGAAAGGGCATATGCATTAGAATCAGACAGACCTTTGTTTAAATATTAAAGCTCCCAAAAGTTAATTGTGTGACTTTGGGTAACTGGTTTACTCTCTGAGCCTCATTTTCCTCATTTTAAAAAATGTGGTAACAGTATATATCTTTTAGGTTGTTGTAAGGATTGAAGAAATAATGTATGTTCTACCCATATCTTCTTGATTCCCCTTACCATTTCTATACCCCCACCAGCCTGATTTCCTGTGCCCAGAACCACTGTCTTGGTTCACTTCCGTCTACTGACACCTACCTTTCCCACATAATGGCAAAGTCCCTGGAGAATAATAATCTTTAGGGCATTAGTCATAACCAGTGGCTTAACCAGTGACTGCTGATTGCAGGAGTATAAGTACCCCAGCTTCTTTACCCCTTTCCTGAAATAATTTGGAGGCAAGTTATTTACTATATATTCTAGAGTTTCTGCACTGAATTAATCTTCAGGTACCCACTGCAGCAGCTGGCTTGAAAATACCCCCCCTTTACTGGCTGCCTTCCCTTCCTTATATTACCTTTTCATACCCCTATTAGTGTCCCCTTACCTTCCCAGTAAATTACTAGTACTCAATCCTTAAATAAGACTCTGCTACTAGGGAGAACCCAACTGTGACAGTTGAGTGCAAGTCAACTCCTTGCATAGTACCTACAACATGTAGGCACTCAATAATTGCAAGTTATTCATAACATGCATAATAATAAACCAAGTGTTCGCTCTTCACCTAAGAAATTCTTTATTCCCCATTGAGATATATCAGGTTATGTTCTCGCAGTTGGAGCTACTTTTACCATTCAGTACTGTCCCTTGGTTAGTGGTGAACAACAACCACTAACGGTTTACCTTCTAGGACACATGTAGCTATTGATCACTTGAAGTGTGGTTAGTTCGAATTGAGATGTCCTTTAAGTGTAAAATATTTAGTGGATTTCAAAGACTTAATATGAAAAAAAGAATGTAGAATGTCTCATCAACAGTTTTTACATTTTAAAATGATGTTTTGGGTATGTTGGTTTAAGTAAAATACATTTAAATTAACTTTACCTGCTTTTTTTTTTTTTAACACTTTAAAGTGGCTACCAGAAAATTTTAAATTTTACATATATATAAAGCACATATTGATATGTAAAGATCTTAAACTCCATATAATTAATAAATGATATGTCATTCAAATTTCTGTCAGACAGTGTTGCTGTGGACAATTATTAGAGTATTCAGGGATATCTCTCTTTCAGGGTTGTCAGGGGCAGCCTGTGATTTCCTTTTGTGTTTTATTTTAGGTTATATGTCACCACACCCATCTCCATTAGGAGCCCCAGAGCACGTCTCCAGCCCTATGTCTGGAGGAGGCCCAACTCCACCTCAGATGCCACCAAGCCAGCCGGGGGCCCTCATCCCAGGTGATCCGCAGGCCATGAGCCAGCCCAACAGAGGTCCCTCACCTTTCAGTCCTGTCCAGCTGCATCAGCTTCGAGCTCAGATTTTAGCTTATAAAATGCTGGCCCGAGGCCAGCCCCTCCCCGAAACGCTGCAGCTTGCAGTCCAGGGGAAAAGGACGTTGCCTGGCTTGCAGCAACAACAGCAGCAGCAACAGCAGCAGCAGCAGCAGCAGCAGCAGCAGCAGCAGCAGCAACAGCAGCCGCAGCAGCAGCCGCCGCAACCACAGACGCAGCAACAACAGCAGCCGGCCCTTGTTAACTACAACAGACCATCTGGTAGGTTAATACGCAACCAAATGAATAATGCCATGGTCCAACTCGGATAACAAAGACTGCTCACCAAAACACCGGGTTGTTAAAAGCCCGGGGCTGACGTAGCCTTTTGTTATACCTCACTGGCTCTCTATCCTTGCTCCACTTAGATGGCCAAGATTCTTGGTCTTCCCCTGCTGTTGAGACCTAGGGCAGTGTTTCTTAACCTTAAAAGGTGGTTGTGCAAGCTGGAGACCCAGGGAAAAAGCACCTGTGATTTTGCGTTCTCTTTGAAGCGGTTCAAGGTTTCTTGGAAGCCCATCCACACACACAAGGTTAAGAACCTCTGGACTTAGTGCATTTCATCCCCAGAACTCACTGCTCAGATCAGCCCCACTAGAGCCATTTTATAATTTGTTGATTTGTTTATTTCTATCCCTTTTTGTTATGAAGAACATCTGGAGAGGCTTACAAGAAGCATGCCTGTTGTAAAATAATTATGAGTAGCAAAATCAGCAACAAGGGAAAATAGAAAAAAAAGTAAGAAATTGAGGCAAGAAAGTAGGGCTGCAAAAGTTCTCATAGTTGCTGTATTTGCTTCAAAGATGACTTGAGTTTCTTGACAATCAGAGCCAAAAGGAGACAAAGTCCTGTATCTAAGTCTCGCCCTTTGGAAGGAAGTTCCTTACCAGTTTCTCAGAAAAAGCCATTTCTAGCATGAGAGTATAGAGTTGATTTCCCAGGTGAGATTATTTTTTAAATTATTATCATCATCATTATTGTAAGAGGCACTGCATGACAGAAACATCAATAGCATTTGTTCATAATAGACTAACAGATTCAACATGGCCTATTTCTTATACACCTTGGGATGAAGTCTGAAGCTATGACATTATACAATGGGTAGAAATGATACAATCCTTTGCATGGCCTCTTGGTCTTCTGTCTTGATCCCATTGATAGACTTCAGAGGTGCAGGGGACTGTGAAGTGATCTTCCATGAAGGTTGTTTTCTCTAGGAAGCGTTTTGTTAAAGAACTGGAAAAGCAGAGATTGTATGGGTCTACTCTAATGAAAACTTTGGATTCTAGGGAATGAGGTACTTCCTTGACGTTGATACCATTTCCTCTGAGTGGTTTCCATTCATTTAGGCAAGTTCTGACATGCAGGTTGTTGCAAACAGCTAGTTTGGGATATTGGTACTGTTCCTGGGTTTTGGGCCTTATACCATGGGAGAGAGTTCAGATTAGTATTTTTTCATTAATATTCTGCCTATTGAGTTTGTATACGTTTATTTTCTGGTAGAGGCAGCTCCAAGAGTAGGCCTACCTAAGAGATATCCTCATCTTATTAATTGTTATAGCCTTAAGAATGGATGTCTTAGTAAGTCTGAGCTGCTGTAATGAAAGGTCATTGACTGGGTGGCTTAAAAACAGCAAATTTATTTCTTACAGCTCTGAATGCTGGGAATTCCAACCTCAAAACACCAGCAGATTCAGTGTCTGGTGAGGGCCTGCTTCCTGATTCATAGATGGCTTCCTTCTCACTGTGTCCTCACATGGCAGAAGAGACAAGGCAGCTCTCTGGAGCCTCTTTTACAAGGGCATGAATCCCAATTATGAGGACTCTACTCTCATGAAATAGTCACCTCCCAAAGACCCCACCTTCTAATACCATCTCCCTGGGAATTAGGATTTTAACATATGAATTTTGAGGGGACCATAAACTTTCAGACCATGGCAGTGGGTTTTAAAAGGGCAAGAAAGTATCATTTCATCTCCAGAATTTCTGTGTGGCTACCATGGAGGCATTTGGTAGGTGGAGGATCATAGAGAACTGAGATTTGGGAACAGGAAAGGTTATACAAGAAACTATGCAGAAAATGGCAGTTTGAATCCTAAAAGTATTTAGAGGTTTTAAAACTGCAAAACTCCAGCTCTTGAGAATGCAGCCAGATAGAAGAAAAAAGCACGTATGTATATGTGTGTGTGGCTTATCCTCCCTGAGTGCCTGCTGGCCTACTCATGTGCCATTCTCAGTGATAAGTCCTTTGCATGTGTCACACAACTAATGATGGAGAGTCGGGATTCAGACCCCAGGAATTTGACTTAAGATCTCATGTTCTTAACCACTTTCCCATACTGGCTCCTTCATGGCAAAAAGGCTCATGACAAGGAAAAAAACCTATCACAAAGTCTGTGTACCAAGATGCAAGCATTGTACTTCTGTGTGTAAAGAGACAGTATCTGCACACCTTACTTAGATCCTTTTCCCTCTTACTCTGAGACACAATATCAACAAAATTGGTAATCTTTATATCCCATGTCTCAGTATGTGAAGAGTATTAACTAGGAGAATTTCAAGTAGAGGCCAGCTGGTAACTACCAGCTACATGAAAGGCTGATGGAGAGGAGGGATCAGAACTTGAACTCCCAAAAGGTAGTAGTCTGGGATGATGTGTTCTGGGTATGATCTGCTATACCTCACAGTTGGTCCTGGGATATCATCTTGTCACAGACATCACCAAGCATTGGTATTTTTAAGAACGAGCTAGACTCAGTAATAAAAGATTCGAAGATATCAGTTAAGAATGTAGGAAGCAGAATGATTTGTTTGAGAAACCTTTTTCATCCAAGGTTAAAATAATGTAACTGAACACAGTAGTAAAATTTAAAGGATGAAGTTCCATTTATCTGGATACCTGTACACAATAAATGCTTCATGTCCTAATCAACCCAATCCTGAGTGCCTTTTCTGGATCATTTTCAGGAGAGGGCTCTATTTTTTTTTTTTTTTTAACCTGGCTCCGGTACCTACATCTTTCGTCATCAGGTGCCTGTCATTAAAGGGAATTCACTTTATTACTCACTGCTCATGTCTTTTTAAATTTTCAATAGTCGGAGCTTCATTAGAAATGACAATATTTGGGCAGGTAGGGTTTTATGGAAGAGTGGAAAGGAGACGTGAATGAAGGAGGAAAGAAGATATCTCCTTCAAATAGAATGAGCCCATTTCTGTCACTGAGAGGGCACTGCCATTTGACAGCATTGCTGAACTTGTCCCCACATCTCAGGTTTCATTAGAGAAACAGATAACTTTACTTGCCAAAAATAATTTTTTTTTTAGATTGGCTTTTAGAAAAGATAAAATAAGGCATGATTTTCTTGTTAAAGTTCATATTAGTCTATTTATTGTTTATCTCCTTTTTATAAAATAAATTACTTTTAAACACCCCTGCTAATATTTCAGGATATTATTCACTTACGTAGAGGTAGTTGTGTTCCCATTTTGCTTCTGTTCCATTTCCTGGTGTTATTCATGTGTGAAGAGAATCTTTTTGGCTGGGTTGGCCTGCCTCAAAGCTGCTCCAAACTTATAATTCACCAAAAGTGACATCATCCCAGCCACCACCAAAGAATTATGATTGGAGTCGAGGCATTGCCCATGGAACACATAACTCTGCAGTGGTTTCCCCTACAAAATGTCAGCCACTCTTACGATGGAATGTGCCCTTGCCTGCTGTGGGCACCGCTCAAATCTAACCCATCATTTTTCTTTTCATTTTGATTCACTTTTCCTTTCAGAGATTCAAACAAAAAGAAAAATGGGAACTGAAAAAATTTGGGGTTTTTGAGGGGTGAGGGAGAGACCTTATGGTAGAAAATAAAGTGTTTTTTTTGATATCTGAAATTTTATATGCTCAATTTAAATGTTTTATTGCGTTTGTTTTTTCCAACCTGTGGAAACCCCTTAAATTCTTACTGAATGCATAGATCTTTTATTTGCATGAATGTCCTGTATGCCGGAAGACTAAGTGGGAGCACTGAATGCTTTGAAGTTCTGTGCCTGTGAGACTTGGGTATTTTAATACATTGTTACCCTATTGCATCAAATCACGCCTAGGGATGCATTCAATAAAGACTGCCCCCTCCCCGCTTAGCTGCGCTGGGACTCCCTTCTGGAGGGCCAGAGTTTCTACTTTGTTTCTACTTTGACTCCTAAAATGAGGACTGAAGGGAAAGCAGATGGCATTTTGTACCTCTGACAATGAAGCCTAAATTGTTTACGTTGGAGAGGGAGTGGGAGATAAGCTAAAGAATGTGATTTGTCTTCCATTTGAAGATACCAGGGAAAAGTCTTGTCAAGTAGCAGGCCACCGGTGTCTAGTGTAGAGGAGACGATTTCTGTCGATAGAGAGCAAAGCCAGCCAGGCAAACGAACCCGTAAGCCGCCTGAGGGACAGACAGGCATAAAACCTAATGAATGGGTAGGTAGACTTTGGGCAAGGCTAATTGCAGCAAGCTGTGTTCAGTTCCCCGGCCTCTGTTAAGTAGTCATTTTTATACAATCTGTCGGAGGGAAGAGGAAATAGACCCACACGGTAAATGAACTTGTGGTGTTTAGCTAGGAAGTGGAGTTTGCTCTAAGTAGCTCTGGTAGCAGACTCCAGGGAGCACATGGCAGGCGGACTCATCTGAGTATCTGTGCTGAGGAGTTGTGTTAAACTGTTGAAACACTTAGAAATTGCTATAGAAAAAGAGTACTCCCAAAGTTGCCAGCTAATATGGTACCGAATTTCCTGAAAGACCTTTCTTTTGCCATGTGGTTTTTCTATAAAGCTGAGTCAATTAGGCTTCTTTATCTCCCTGTCCTTGGCAATAAAACGACAAAAGCCGAGGGTTGAACAGGTAGACACTGTTATCTCACTGAATCTTCACCGCTGCCCTATGAGGTGGCTATTGTTACTCTCCCCATTCTATAGATGAGGACACTGAGCCACAGATTGGTTGAGTAACTTGCTCAGGCTCACACAACTAGCAGGTGATAACAGCTGAGGTGAAAGAACATTTTTTCTGGGAAGATACAGGGTGTTTAAAGGTACCTGTTTAGTGCACAGCAAGTTGCAGTACTTTTAAATTGGAGACTGGAATATGTAAGTAGATGTTTGAATCTCTCTCTGTCTTTCAGTGTTACAGGTGAATCAACAAAATTAGAATATCTTTCTATTTAGTGACTGAAGAAGGCGGTCCATGCATATATCAGATCTAGTTTGGAGTCACAGACTAGATTCTGGACCAGAGATGAAAGATATGCTTTGGGTACCTCTTTTTGATTAAATGTAGTTTTTAAAATAGTGACTTGACTATACCTCAAGGAGTCTTCATAATCTTCTGCATGGGTATTTATAGGCAATAATGCTAAAGAAGACAGTGCCAGTACAAGTGAAATGATAACATGATTGCAGTGTTACGGCTTTTGTTGATGAATTATTTGAACTGGGAGGAAAAACACTTTGAGAACTAAATTTAAAGTAATTCTTCCGATATTATCAGTAAGACCTAAAGATGGTTGCTTTTAGAGGACCTAAATGTATTAAATTCCTGATTTAGCATGCTTATAGCAAGGCTTCAAATATGTTTAATTCTACCAGCTTCTTGAGCTTCTTAAGGAGAGTCATAGAATCATAGGGAATTAAAATGAATGTTAGAAATCTGTATCTCCTCTGACTTGACTGGATCACACCTAGAGCAACCCAAATGAAAAATGTACCTTGTTTTAAAGCTCTCCAGGGAAAAATATTCTAAAACTTCCCCTGATAACTTACTCCAATGCATAGTAACCCTGAGACTTAATATTTACAAATTGGTTTCTTATATATGGATGAAAGGAACTCTAAATGTATCGTATTATAAAAGGTATGCATTACATAAAGGACCTTTTATACAGGAAAAAAAGTATTTAGATGAAAAAACTTCTTAATTATGGAGGTACATCTACAATACCTAAAATTAAAAATAAAATGAAGTGCATTTTCCTCCTAAGATTTTCTCATCAACCCCGAGAACCACTGCTGGAAATTACCTGAAGAAGAAATCTTACCTTGCTCTGTATCTTTAGGAAATGTTTTACCTAATTTTAGAAGGAGGGGAAAAGAACGATAACATCACAGACACACACACACACACACACACACACACACACGACACAAACACAGGCACACACTGTAGTTTCCTAAGCAGTTTGTTCTAATTCTTCACATCCCCCTGTCAAAATGTTTGCTTATAGCTTTCTTTGTATTGTCATTTAAGCCCATTTCTAATTGGTGATTGTTGGAAATTGAATAAATGTGTTCAGTTTTTCATAATGTATGTCGTTGTATGGTTAATTATTAAATCGCTCTGAAGTATGTAGACTATTATTTTTGTTACCATTTAATAGCTATTTTTTCTTAGAAAGGATTTAGAAAAAATTGGAAAAATGCTCTGGACTTTAACATCTGCTTACTGAGATTCTTTTAAAAAAATTTAACTCATCTGGTAGCATCACTAAAATTATAATTTTAAGGCAACTGAAAATTCATCTAGGAGAAGAAATGGAACACTTAAAAATTTAAGTCTGTACCTAGTAATTAACTTAAACTCCTGAAGTTCAATGCGGAAAATTATTTTAAATTAACTTAATCAATGCACTTTGACAAGCTTTCAGATTACATATTGTTTTATTCTGGTAACATGGGATAATGCTCCCTTGAATCCTAATATTTGCCAATTTTTATTAGGTGGAATGAGCAGATTTTTTTTGGCTAACAATGAATGTTTTAAGAAGTGTTTTCTAATATGTAGTAAGAAAAAATTTAAGTTCCCAGACTTCACTGATTAAACCTGAAATATGCTTTATAGGCCTTAAAAGAAAAAGTGTGTGCTCCTTGTAGTTCACATCAGAAGACTGATAAACTCGTTGCTCTGTTTGTAAAGCATGGGTTCTGACAGCAGGGCTCTTCCAGATTGCGATAGAGGTCTGTCCTAAAAGGGCTTCAGATTGGGATAGAGGTCTGTCCTAAAAGGGCTTGAGGTGCAATTTGCAAGATGTGATTTTAGGACCATACCCAAATTGCATCTGACTGTTGGGTGACTCCCTTTCTTTTCTGAACTCTCAATGCACCTGTAATTAAAAAAAGAAAAAGAAAGAAACCCATTGCAGAGCTACATTAAAAGCTGGCAGTAGTTTCCTTAATCAATTGTATTAAGTCACCGTCATTTTGGGATCATTTGCACCCGTGTTCGTTAGTGAATGCCATTTCCCGATGGGGATAGATGCCAGATTCTTTTTTCTTTCTGTGTCTTTTTCCTTCTCCGTTTTCTTTTTCCTTTTACCCCGTTCCCTGTCTTGCCCTCCTCTCCCTCCCTCCTCTTCCTTCTTGCCCTCCTTTTTTTTTTTTTCCTTCTCTTCCCTCAGGTGTTTAAGACACTTAATGGTCCCCAGCACTGGGCCCCGGGGGGCGGCGGGCAGGCCGGGTGTGGCCCGCGGGGCGCCGTCCCGCCCGAGCTGCCCATGTCGCTCTTGTCCCGCAGGCCCGGGGCCGGAGCTGAGCGGCCCGAGCACCCCGCAGAAGCTGCCGGTGCCCGCGCCCGGCGGCCGGCCCTCGCCCGCGCCCCCCGCAGCCGCGCAGCCGCCCGCGGCCGCAGTGCCCGGGCCCTCAGTGCCGCAGCCGGCCCCGGGGCAGCCCTCGCCCGTCCTCCAGCTGCAGCAGAAGCAGAGCCGCATCAGCCCCATCCAGAAACCGCAAGGCCTGGACCCCGTGGAAATTCTGCAAGAGCGGGAATACAGGTAACGCACCCCGCCAGCAAGGGGCCCCCTGCGGTGTGCTAGCACCTGCCGCCCAAGCCGAGGGGGGTGAGGCGCCTGCCTCCTTGGTTGGCCAAACTGTGATTTTCACCCGTGCGGTCGGAAAACTTTCATCCACTCCTGGGGCCTTCCCGGTGCTGAGGGGAGGCACCGGGGTTTTGAAGATCAAAAGCCGACGGGGACTTCCTGTGGACCCGAGAGAGTGATCATCTCACACTGCGACTGTGGAATACACTGTCCGTGTTTGTGCTTGTGCGGTTCGGTGATGACGGAGGGGCTGGGACGCTGAGTGTGTTGCGCTGGCCTGATTTTCATGTTAACTGTACGTTTCTACTAAAGCATCCTTCGGTAGCTTGGTATAATCTTTGTTTTAATTCACGTGTGTCTATGCAGTGATCCAGCCTTATGGGTATACCCTGTGCGAGTGTCTTTATACAAGGTCTATACTTAAATCATTAGTCCAGAAGCTTAATTTTTACCTGATTCAGCCATTTAGCAGAATCAGGGGTTTTGGTAAACTCTTCCTGTAAAGAGCCAGATAGTCAATGTTTTATGCACTCTGGGGCCATACCGTCTCTGTCACAACTCACCTCTACCCTTGCAGTGTGAAAACAGCTGCAGACAATAATGGGCTGGCTGCCTTTCGGTAAACTTTACAAAAACAGGCTGGAGGCAGAATTTGGCCTGCAGGCTGTGTTTACGAGACCCCTGATGTAAATGGTTAATGTCAACCCAAAAGGGAGTCCGGCAAGTATTAAGTCAAGATAAAATGAAGCTAAGGTTGTGGATTCTGGAGTCTGCCAGAAAGCATACTGTGTCATCAGTAACTTCTTACCGTGGCGAAGTTATGTCTCTTTTCTGTGACTCAGTTTCCTCCTAGGCTAAAAGAAGATACCTCTCATAGTGTTGGGAAGATAAAATGATACTGAAACATTCAATAAATAATACCTATTATTATTTCCCAAAGACTTTAATTTTAAGGAAAATTAGAGTTTAAAAATTATAGAGAATGTTGGTAAACAGTGTCTGGGCTTCCTTTTAAAAGGTTACCTTAATCTTTATTGAAAAGCACATCACTCATTTCTTATCAGACTAAAATACTAAGTTACCAGCCTAGAGAGGTAATCTGAAAGAAATCAGAATAACTTGCCATTAGATGTGTTTATTTTTTTGGATGAAGAATATAACTTTATTCTCATCACTATTAATAATCATCTGTTAAGAGATTTTATATTGCTATTTCCACCATTTCATGTATTCCCAGAGAGCTAGATACTCATTGTCAATTGATATTTCAGTGCTGATAGGCAGATTCTGCTGGGTGAATAATTGCTGTGTGTTATAAAGTCAAATACTAGCATATTCCTCTATTCATGTGCAATAGACTAATGTGCAGTACATTCTGTATGTTACTGTTGAGTTTTTAAAAAGCTAAAAGTATTGGAAAAAGTCAGTAATAGAATAGAGAAATACAATGTGGATGCTCTAAAATTCTGACTTCCTAAGAGCTGATATTTTTTTTCCTACCCTAGGAAAGGAAAAAGCTCTGTACAAGCTCCCTAGTTAAAACATTTTTTTTTTCCATTTGAATTACCAGTACCTTTGTTAAACTATGTGAACTACCCTTAGAAGAGAGATGCTTTCTATAGCTAGAAATTTTTACATATGTCTAGACTTCTTTCCCTTATTCAGCCTGGTATGTGTGTGTGCACAAGTGTGTTTTAACTTTTTATTTTGCTAACTCCTAAATGTTCTTAATCATTTTTTCTGGAATTTTCATTGCAGGACTTTCTTGTAATAAGTTTATTTTAGGAACTTTTTTGGAGATTACCTTAGTGGATGGTCTTCCAAAGTGCACAGTATTAAGTAGTACTATTTGGCCTATTCCAATGTGTAAAAAGCTTTTGTTCTGCCCTCCTATGTCAATAAAAAATGCTGTCAGTATCTTTTAAATTACATGCATTACAAAATGTGGAGAATGGCAATTTTTCATAGTATTATTATTGCTTTATAAATGCCTACTCTTTTGTAAAGCCATGTGGCTTTTGAAACGACTGATCTGGACAACCCTGAATCCAGAAAGGTCATGGGTCCTTTGGTCTGAATTTTCTCATGGCCACCTGGAGAAGAAGCACAGTTTGGTGGTGACAGCATTATGGGGCATGTTTTGTATTCTTTGGTTACAGAGCAATAGCTCTCTTCTGCCTATTTGAAGGTAAGTTGTTCAACTGCAGAGATTAAATTTATCCCTTAAAAGGGTTAAATGAAGTCCCTTAGGCACTTGCAAAAGACAACAAATGAACCATTTTTTTTCTTCTTTTGACCCTTTGTGACAGAATGGCTTACCAGCCTTTAGCATTGATAACTGTTAGGATCCAGTTCATCTTTATCATCCGATCAAAGATTAGAGAGGGGTCTAAAAAACCTCTTTTACAATTTGATAAACTTAGTTTCAGCAAAAATCATCTGTCAGAAATTCTTGAACAGATGTTAATTTCTTTGGGTCTTGTAATATCATTTACCTTGTCTATGAAATTTGACAGGAAGTTTTCAGCATCTTAAATTTTTTTAACGTTTAAGTCAGTTGGCTGCTTTTCCTTGTTCATCATAAAATCAGAACGTTGACAAATTGACCTTCTTTTTCATTCATAGCATAAATAAATGTCTGCCTATGAGCACTTTGCTGCAGCTCTGTACAAGCTCTCTAGTTCAAACATTTTTCCCACTTAAATTGGATCCTTTCTTTTTGACCATCTTTCTCTTATAATGGAACTTTATTACTTCCATAGTAAGTGTCAGAGAGATGTTTCCCTGTACTGCTTTTTTTTTTTCTTTTTTTTCTTTTTGGCACACTTTTGATGCCTTCTCATTGTGCCTAACTTCGCTTTCTTCTATTTAGAGTTAGATGTCTGATCAAAAGTACCTCAGGAATCATCACATTGGCATGTAAACTAATTCCACACATGTTTGCCTGGAAGATGTATTTCACACTTGAAGGGGTTTATTTGGGAAGAACATGTCTGAATTATATCAGCCCTCTTCGGAATAAAGTCAGACTTTAGTATGAAAAGAGCGGTATATCCTCTTTGTGTCAGGAAGCAGGCATAGGCTGCTTACCTGTGATTTTTTTTTTTTTTTGACCTGCCCTTGTCGCCATTGCAATCCTGAAAATTCCTTCTCAAAAATTACCAGTAGCTGCTTTACCAGCAGAGTTACAAAAAGTCACACACGCTCTCTTTTTAAAGTGTCACTCAGCTCCTTGAAGGAACAAAATGTACCAGTGTCATTTTCTGTTCAGATAACTCTCCTACAGGAATCATAAACTTCTCCTCTGGACCTGAACAAGTATCTGTTGCATTTAATGCAACTCTTTTTCTTGCCAGAACAGTAACCCCTCGTGATTTACTGTTCAATCTGTATGAAAAACCTGTGTGACCTAATTCTGCATCAATTTTCTGTACTCGTGAGGACGCTAAATGAGTCCCCTGCAGTTATGCAGTATTACATCTTGTTGTTGTTTGGGGAAGTTTAGAATCCTGAATCTCTTTATCGGACTACCTGCTGAATCTCACTGATGGGGAGATGAAATTGTCTGGAGAGGAACATTATTTAAAATGAAGATTTCTATTAACAACAACAACATCAACAAAGATATAATCTTCTGTGTTAAAGAAGCCCCTCCTGTACCTTTGCTTCTTCCCCACCATGTGCTGAATCAAATGCATATAATTTTACTATGGAGTCTACCTTTCCTCTTCTCCTAGAGTTTGCGCTTTGTACTTCTTGCCTCCCTTCCAGAAAAGGGATTCTTTTGTGCCAGGGAATCAGATTCACTGACAAATAACTGGGCTCCTTGGAGAAGGAGTCATTTCAGGGAGAGGTGCACCCCCCTCGCTCCCACTCTCTCTCTCCAGTGCCTAAGTCACACAGTGCCCCATCTCCCCGGGGTTCCCACCCCCCATCTCCTCATTTCCGCTCCACTTCCCTGCTTCCCACCTCCCAGTTCAATGTGATGTAATCTCTACCCTATCACCCCAGTTATCTGACGATTACTTATTTAGTCCTAGTTCCATGGTTGTTTGGAAGATTAAGTAGGAATTCCTCTAATTTGGCATCTGACCCACTTTGTCAAAGAGAGTAAATCAGAATACCAAGGGATAGTTTGAGTTCTAGGATATTCAAATAAGAAAGATCTGCAAGGAATCTAGAACCAAGGATGCGGAATAACCAAATCATTGGCCATGGGCTCACGCCACTATAATACTTAATTTTCCTTTGGTATGGCCTTAACCTGTGAAAGTAAAGTTGTCTCAGTTTTATTTTTTCCCTTTAAATTATATATTTCAAAAAAAATCAATAGTGGATTTTTTTCTTTACATCTTAATTGTTAAGATGCATCATCTGTTGCTGTATCCAGAGATTTGGGGCTACATAGATGTTGTAGAAAATGAGTAAATGAAGTAGATGTCTGTTTCATATAGTGAAAATTAAAAACCACGGTAATAATCTCACGAGTATCACTAGTACAAGGAATGTGGAAGAAAGTTGGGAGAATTTGAACAATTTTGCCAAAAGAGTAAAATGATGAGTTTATTATTGTTGCATGAAATACAAAACTTTCAGTCTTTTGAATGATTAAACCACTTAAAAATGCTATTGTTTGTGTTGGTATGCATAGTTAATAGCACGGGCCAGGCATGGTGGCTCATGCCTGTAATCCCAGCACTTCGGGAGGCCGATGCCTGCGGATCACCTGAGGTCAGGAGTTTGAGACCAGCCTGGCCAACATGGCAAAACCCCGTCTCTACTAAAAATACAAAAATTAGCTGGGCGTGGTGGCACGTGCCTATAGCCCCAGCTACATGGGAGGCTGAGAGGCAGGAGAATCGCTTGAACCTGGGAGGCGGAGGTTGCAGTGAGCAGAGATAGTGCCACTGCACTCCAGCCTGGCCGACAGAGCGAGACTCCATCTCAAACAAACAAAGAAAAAACAATAACGACAGCACGGTAGCAGTGATAATATTAACACATTATGATGACAAATCATTTAATAAATTAGAACGAATAACGTGCGTATAGCAAATAAAACAAGAATCAGTCTTAGATACTATTTTTAGTGAAGTCCCTGAAAAATAGTTTTCCTTACCACCATTTTTAAATTTTTAAAAATGATGACATTTTATTTCCCTTCCAAACTAAGCAACTGTAGGTTTTTTAAAAAATCACTCATTTTGATATTTGGGCTATATGAAGTATTAGATCTTCTACAGCATTTAGGTCCAGGAGGTTTCACTTTTTCACGTTAATGAAAATGATGGCTGTCGTCATCAGCATCTTGGCAAGGAAGACAAATGGTCTGGTTGCCTTAGGACAGAACCAGAAGTTAGAAAGAAAAAAGTCTGTCCTCCCAGCTCTGTACTCTGGCAACATCATCATGTTTGGAAAAAACTGTAATATTCATTTTTTAAGACAATTTCGACTTTTATTTTAGATTGAGGGGATTCATGAATAGGTTTCTTAACATGGGTATGTTGCATGATGCTGAGGTTTGGGGTGCAGTTGATCCCATCATTCAGCTAATGAGCATAGTACCTAAAAGTTTTTCATCCCTTCCTGCGCTCCCTCCCTCCCCCGTCTAGTAGTCCCCAGTGTGTATTGTTGCCATCTTTATGTCCATGAATACCCAGTGTTTAGCTGCCACTTAAAAGTGAGAACATGCGGTATTTGGTTTTCTGTTCCGGCATTAATTTGCTTAGGATAATGGCCTCCAGCTGCATCCATGTTGCTGCAAAGGACATGATTTGGTTCTTTTTTATGGCTGTGCATAATTTTTAACAGAATTCTTAATTTTCAGCTTTTATAGTTGAGGTCCAGGAAGGTTCTCGGAAAGTGTATCTTAATTATCTATCATTTTATTGCAGTGGTTTTGGTATCAGGCAAATTGAGGTTCCAATCTTGGCCCCCTTCTTTACTAGCTCTGTGGTATCTCCAGGTGTCTTCAGTTTTCCTCATCAGCAAAATGGGACCATTATAACTTTTACCTTACAGAGGCGTGTCTGTGTGTGTAAGAGAGAGACAATTAAATAACATTGTACATTAAAGGCACTTAGTGCTGTTAATATTAGCCTACTTTAACTTATTACTTATTATTATTCTTTCTTTGTTGAAATCTAGTTCAGTACAGTTTGCCTCAGATTTAGGGGATGTAGTTCTAAAAATAGTCTTAAATGGCATATAATTATTTTGTCAGAATAGGATTCAGGTGAACTCTAAAACCAGCAGTTTATATATCTAACAGTAATAGTATCCCAAGTGAATGGCTAAAGTCAGAGGTCTTTTATTTTCTACTCTGCCTTTATTATGAAGAAGTACATGCAGTTATATTTTTGATGGTGTGTAAAACGAGAATCCTCAACATCCTTTTCTAGAAACTCTTGGTTTTTGAGTACTATTTACTGCTGGCCCTGATTTTTTTAAAACAGCCTCATTTGTATTTTCTTTTCTCAAGCAAGCTCTGCTCACAGAGGAAGTGGTTGTGGCTGGCAGAGCGCTTTCTGAATGTTTAGGGTTGGCTGATTTCTGTGGCATCAGCACCTAAAACTGTTCTTGCTCACTGCGCTTTAATGGCTGTCGTCATCAGCATCTTGGCAAAGAAGACAAATGGTCTGGTTGCCTTAGGACAGAACTAGAAGTTCGGAAGAAAAAAGTCTGTGCTCTCAGCTCTGCATTCTGTCTGGCTGGGAGTTAGAAAGCTTGTCAATTGGTTCTGTCTCTTATATTCTCTCTCTGCTAAGAGTGAGCAAGGACATTTGACTTCCCCACTAGATGCAGGGTGAACCTTCTTTCCCTAGTGTTAGATAGAGGTTATGGAGGAAGCCACATTGTTAAGTAACATATACCTGTCTGCATTAATGCAAAGGTAGCTTTTCTCTGCTTAACATCAAAAATTCTAGTTGGGTGTTAGAGATCAACTATCAGTATCTGGAATATGTTTTGCCCCGGACTTAAACCTAATGTCATTGTTTATCATTTAAGATTAAATTGTAATGTGTTTTTCCCCTGCCCCCTTTTCCCCATTTTATTGTTTCCTTTAGACTTCAGGCCCGCATAGCTCATAGGATACAAGAACTGGAAAATCTGCCTGGCTCTTTGCCACCAGATTTAAGAACCAAAGCAACCGTGGAACTAAAAGCACTTCGGTTACTCAATTTCCAGCGTCAGGTAATACATTTTCCCCAGTGAATCTGAGATGTAGGAAATAAATGTAATTGTTCCTAAAGTGTTATCTGTGTTGCCTTTAGTCTATTCAATATTGTTACAAAGATATAAAGATATAAATATAGTAAAATAGTGAATCTTTTAGACCAACAGCTTACAACTAAAAATGATGAAGATGAACTGCTTATTATTCTGGTTTTCTCTTCTGTATATGGGAAAGAGTTTTTCCTCCTGTACTATGGGTTACAAAGTCAGAGTTATGGCGTTTTGTTACCATGGATGAAAAACCTTGGGAACAAGTGGGGTAGCTCATGTTTGCTTTTATGACTCCAAGGAAAAACCAGAAGGTAGTGGATTGGAGCTTCTTTGTAAGCACAGATGTAAAGTGCTTGCCACGACTGTGAAAATAATTTTAACAAATATGGTAGCCACGCTACTGAATTAGTGGTTCATCATTTATAGAAATACATAAAGCAATGTCTTATAGCTTATTTATTCACCGATGTCTAAGTTTGGAGTGTTTGATCACATCAGGCTCATGTATTGACTAATCAGTAAATTATCTGCTCTTGTAGTTTACAGCAGTTATTAAAAGCCAGTATAATGACCTATTTTCTGATTTCTAAATTAGTAAGAGACAAGTGGAATGAGTTAGAGCTAATTTTCACTTTGGCGAGTTTTGCCTTGTGGACTGAAAAGGTTCAAGTTTGCTAGTCCGCAGATTGCCTCACTAACCCAAAGGGGATAAGGAACGTTTCATTGTTAGTCAGATGGGTTTGTTTTGTTAAAGTCTGGAACATGCGAAATGAATAATTAATGAGTCAAAGTAGTTTGGAAGTATTGACTTGGTTTGTTGGAGGATGTGACTAAAATCACAGGCCACTCCAGTTGCTATTGTGGTAGGAATTTGGGTGTATATTTGCCTTACCGGCTATAATCTCACAGATGGACATTAGTGGTGGGTAGGTGCTACTTGGCTCTTGGTTTGTGAGAGTAGATTTCAGCTTAAATTTTAAAAAGAAAAGGGAAAATTCTCTGAGTTCTGTTTACTTCTTTCTTATTGGTGACCTCATAAGATGAATTAATAAAGTGCTGGATAAAATCTTACTAAATGAATATTAACCAAGTATATTTTCCGGAATATGTTTATGTTCAAATTAGCGTTGCCATGACGGACTCTTATTGATTTCTGATTTTTGTTTGATATTATTTTAAAAATCTGTTATTTATGAAGCTTCCTAATTAAATTAACTGTAACTAATGATATTTCAGATGCAGTGGAATGATTATTTAATGTGTATTCTCCAGTCCCTACCCCCTACCACCACATAACATGCAATACAGATAAAAGTATTACATTTGTGATCTGAAATAAGTTCATGATATAATATAAAATGTAGATCTCTTGGAAAGAAGATCATTATTGGAGTGGGAAGAAGCCAAAACTCATATTTCCCATCCTTTGTATGAGACTATGAATTAACGTTGTTTGAGTACCTGCTGCTACCACACGTGAAAGTAATTCTTTTATTCTTTTTTTGGAGCATCATTAAAATTAATCTTTAAACACAAAGAGAATGTTAACATGACACTTAAAACAAAGCGGAAAATTTAAAAAGCTTATTTAGCTAATTGGTATCATTAGAATAATTAGAGAAAATGAAGTTATTTAAAAGGCAAGACAACATCTTTTCTTTCTTTTACTGTTACAGTACTATAATTGCTTTTGATTTGAATTATTTGGGGAGAAAAATCTTGTACCGTTCTTGAAAATATTGCATACATTTGGCATGATTTTAGTTCCTTCATTTAATACAAACCAAAGGTGATTGAGAAGCTTGTGGAGATTCCCCGCCCCACTCTATTCCATTAAATGCAACCGCGAGAAGGCCAGAGTTCAGGAACCTAGCTTCTGTTAGGGAAGGCTGTCTAACTGCTCTCTTCTTGACAGCTGAGACAGGAGGTGGTGGCCTGCATGCGCAGGGACACGACCCTGGAGACGGCTCTCAACTCCAAAGCATACAAACGGAGCAAGCGCCAGACTCTGAGAGAAGCTCGCATGACCGAGAAGCTGGAGAAGCAGCAGAAGATTGAGCAGGAGAGGAAACGCCGTCAGAAACACCAGGTTCTTAGACCCTGGGCTTTGCTCACCCTCACTTTGGCAGAGCTGTCCAATGAATTCATCAAATGGGGTCAGAATGACTGAAAAATGGACCCTTGTGGGTGGTGGGGACATCACAGAACAGAACGGTTCCTTGACATGTACATAATCCAACCACATCATTTTATAGACAAAGACGCTTAAGCCAGGACGTATAAATGACTGCCCAAGGTCATACAATTGCTTAGCAGCACAATGAGGTTTAGTATTGTCTTAGTTTGTCTGGGCTGCTATAAAAAAATAGCACAAACTGGGTGGTTGATGAGCAACAGAAGTTTATTTTTCACCGTTCTGGAGGCTGGAAGCCTGAGATCAGGGTACTAGCATGGCTGGGCTCTGGTGAGGGTCTTCTTCTGGGTTGCAAACTGTTAACTTCTCCTTGTTTTCTTACGTGGTGGAAGCAGGCCAAGAAAGCTCTCCGGGCTTCCTTTATAAGGGCACTAATCCCATTCGTAAGGGCTCTACCCTCATGACCTTATCACCTCCCGAAGACCCCACCTCCTAATACCATTACATTGGGAGTTAGCATTTCAATATATAAATTTTGGGAGGACACAAACATTCAGTCCATAACAGGTGTCATGTTCATAATCCCATGGGAAGTTTTTGAATGGGTGGGCATAGGTGGATTTCCTAGAGCAAAATTCTGGGAGCAGGAACTTGGAAAAGGAAAGTAGAAAGCAAAAAGTTATTTTCATAACAAATATAATAGTGTCCTGGCTTCTCTGAAGGGCCTAGTTGAATGTTTCACAGAGGCAAATATTAAAAACATTCCTTTCTGGGGGTTTGGAAATATTTTGATGTAGGATTTGATTTCCTGTCATAGTCCTGTAAATTGTATTTGTTTTCCTGTGCTTAATTTAGTGCTTAGCTTAGTTTCCTTTTGAAAAAATGTTGGATTTTAGTGTAAATAGAGTATATATTTAAAAAGTGGATACAAATTCTGCATGGCAATTTTAACTTTGTATAAACTTATTTTGTGTCATACTCTAGGGTAGTTAGAGCAGAAAAACATTACTTTTGTGACATACTTTTTGCTGGAAATACTCATGTTCCTCAGGTTTATTTTGGAGTGAATGAGTGGTTTGCTTTACATTTTATCATTGCCATTTTGTAGGTCTCTTTCAGTCTTCGATCTTTCCATTCTCATGTGGCCACACCCTCAAGGCTAAGGAGGCTTCTCTTGCTAAAGCTTACAACAAAAGGAACCCGAAGAGGCTATCTTTCCCACCAGCCCCATGGCCCACACCTTAACTGCAGAGACACCAGGGCACCTATCCCCAAACAGATTCTAGTCTTCCTATGCTGTTAAACACACACTGAGAGTTTTCTTGGACAACACTGATAGCTCAGAGGACACTGGTCATTGGATTTTAAGTATCCTTTTCTTCCCTTTTTGGATCTTCTAGGAATACCTGAACAGTATTTTGCAACATGCAAAAGATTTTAAGGAATATCATCGGTCTGTGGCCGGAAAGATCCAGAAGCTCTCCAAAGCAGTGGCAACTTGGCATGCCAACACTGAAAGAGAGCAGAAGAAGGAGACAGAGCGGATTGAAAAGGAGAGAATGCGGCGACTGATGGTAAGGAACTCCCTGCAGGAGCCCAGGAAACTACTCAACCCACGTCCGTCTGCAATGAGACCATTAAATATGGTGGTAGTAGAAGGAAAAAATGAAAACTGCTTATCAAAAATTTTAGTAAATTTCTTTGAACCTTAGGGAGATGAAGTAAAAACTTTTTCTCTTTCCTGGAGAATGCATGCCAAAAATCTAGGGGGATGACTGATGCGTATAGTATTTCTGTGTCCTGGGGTGGCATTGCGCGGTACACATTACAGCTTCTCTCATAAAAGCAGGTACTGTATTTTGCATGAGTTTGATAACCAGATCTGGAAGGATGGCAAATGCAGTTCTTTTAAAAATATGGCCTCTTTGAGATGAATGACCACGTTTTTTGGAATGAATAACACATTAAGTCGTGTCTTCAAATCTAAGAAGGTCTGTGTTTTGAAGCCTCTGGTGCTTATCTTTCTTTTTTAATGGCAGAAATTATTCTCTAACAGTGTAATAAGTGATTTTTAAGTTGATTTTGAAATGTTGCCTTTTTTGTGATAGCCTTGTTATGGTCAAAGGCTATTCATGGATTATTACATTTGCACTGTTATTTTTTAATGGGCATATAAGCACAGAAGAGATAGGTTTATATCATTGGCCTGAGTATTTGTTTTTATTGACCATTTATTTTTGGAATTGGACCTCAGAGCACACTGTGGATTTTAGAAAAGCGTGTGTGTGTGTGATGTTATAATTATAGGAGACCTGCAGATTCTATCTAGGACGTAATGCCTGCATAGATGAAGATAAGGTCATTAGTCTCAGACCATAATTATGTTCCTGGAAAATTCTAAGTGACACTGTCTTCCTGGCTGGTATTACAGTTTGCATTTTTTTCATTTTTTGGATTCCAGAGAGTAAACACCATGTTTTAAAAGCCTCTGTGTGCAGGTACTACTACATCTTACTACCCTATCCTGCCTCCCTCTCCATACCAGGGAGAGAGGACTGTCCGAGAGGTTTCTGACTAGACCGTTTTTGTAGTAATTTGATCACTAAGCAGTCAAATTTGTCTGACTCAACTGAAGTGAAACTATATTAGAACTTCAGTAACAGATTGGTTTGACACTAATGATTAGGCATTTGCAAATCATTAATTTTTGCAATTAAGTGATGGAATATACAGATAATAGAGAAACTGAAGTTTTTTATCACTCTTTCTTCAAGTGAGTTCAACCATAACCGAAAGCAATTAGAGTTATAATAGCATTTGAGGCTCTTGCTCATCCACAGGGCAGACGGCAGCTAGACTGAGTGATGAAGCTGCTGTCACTCAGGCAGATGCTAGAGTGACACCCCTGGACAAAAGATCCCAAGTTTTTGTTTTTGTTTTTGCAATGGAGTTGCCTCTTAAAGATTTTGCAGCTTGCTCCTTTTATCGTGGCATTACATGATAAAAATAATTTGGAGTGTCCTTTTATTGGGATACACAAAGAGATTTCTCTCAAAATGGCTTAGAGTACATCAGAGTTTTATTCTGTTTAACCTCATCATGTTGCTTAATGGGAGGTGGAGGTGGGAATTACTGTATCTATTTTATTGCTCAGCAGTACCAGACTTCAGGTGCTAAGTGACTTGTCTCCAGTCACCTGGGCCCATTACTCAGTGCAGATCTGTGGCCAAAAAAAAAAAAAAAAAAAAAAAAAAAAAAAATCCCCCAAATTTGATCTTTCCTGTTAACCACAAAGTTTGTAATGCCAAAAAGAAAGACTTTTTAAAATATAAGACATTATTTGTTAAAAGCCCATTTGATTCCTTGCCTTTAGTAGTACTTTTTGAAATATTTATGAATGAAAGGATATTATGTCTGGAATTTGCTTCAAGACAATTCAGTTTGGGTTTAGAAGAAGAGTAGCAATGAAACAGGAGTCATCACAAGTGAATTTTTGTTGTTTGGGGTTGGTTATAGGAGAAATTAAACTATTCTCTCTGCTTTTGATTATATTTGAAAATGTCTAAAATATAGAGTTAAAGATAAAGTTTAGATCATGAATTGTCAAATTCTAAAATCTTTTTGTACAGTTAAAGCAACACAGAAAACAAAGAGCTTGGCTCAGAGTGCTTAATCACACCACACGTACAGTGTGGCTTTGTGCCCGGACTTTGCTGTAAACTCCAGTGTCCTGGGATGTAGGCGTCACACTTCTGTGTGTTTGTCCCACTTCAGACTCTGTGCAATGGCTTGAACAGCCCAACTCATCCAGTTTGCTACACTCCTACCAGTCAAAATGCAGACTGTCAAGGGGAGGACAGAGTGGAGAGTGGAGTTGTCTGCACGCTTATATTATGCTCTCATCCTGCTCTTCTTTCCTTAATAGGCTGAAGATGAGGAGGGTTATAGAAAACTGATTGATCAAAAGAAAGACAGGCGTTTAGCTTACCTTTTGCAGCAGACCGATGAGTATGTAGCCAATCTGACCAATCTGGTTTGGGAGCACAAGCAAGCCCAGGCAGCCAAAGAGAAGAAGAAGAGGAGGAGGAGGAAGAAGGTGCGTATCCTAGTGGTGGTGGCTGAGTCCAGGGTGTATGGGCAGGGATAAGTTTTTAAGGCGAGTATTGCTCTTTAAGTACTACTTCTTACACTGGTGGAAGGTTTAGATGATTGAATTGTGAAAATTGCATAAATGGGTATGGCATGGAAGTGTTGATTAGGTACACTAGACAACTATTGGAGGTAAGGGCATAATAATGGGATATACTAAACTAAAACAATGTTGTTCATAAATCATTGTTTAATAGAAGATTTTAAATTAAGTACATACAGTCAATTGGGAAAGGAAAAACAGACACAAATAAGTGTTCGCTTAAGTTTAATGCTAGGGTGGCAGGGGATTACTCAATTAAGAATGAAATTTAAGAAGAAAATGCAGTGTACAGGTTGGAAGAAGCCAGAGGAAGATATAAGCAATAGTTACTTGGACAGATGGCAGTGCCAAAGCTGTTCATTCAGTTCTGCTGTCCCTGTGTCGCAGTGAGGTGAGTGTGCACATTGGGGTTTTAGGTAATTACATAAAAAAAGAGTCCTATGTGAAATATCTCCTAATTATCATGAGAAATGAAGGGTAAGATTTAGAATCTCTGCAGCTATTATATCTCAATTCAAGAGTAACCTGCTGAGGATAGGCCTGTGAATATGATCCTCTTTGAAGCTTAAGTCATCCAGTCGTCTAGTTAGTGGTTGATACTGTGTGTTCATGATAAATTCTGTTTAGGCCAGGTACAAACATCAACTGGAAGTCAGAATTGTAAAGGTTGAGGATTGGTAGCATTTAATCATTCATTCTGTATACTGAATAAGTGAACAAAATGCTTTTCAAAAAACAATTAATTTCATGGCTCCTGAATCCTCATACCTGTCTCATAATTAAGGAGGAGGAATAAATGATTAAGAAGGCACCTTCTTGCACTGATTTCTTTAGTATAAGATAGCTTACCTCATTGTGAAGATGAACGAGAGATGACTCAGGGCTTGTGTTTAGACATTTTGTTGGTGAGGAATACCTCATTTTCTTGTCAGTGTAGCATTATAGACTGTGCAAAACTCCAGCTCCAATTCCTACCTTAAAAAGATGTTTTCAGAGTTAGTGAGGAACATATACGTAAGGGGGGAGGGAAGAATGATGGGGAAATAAATCATATAAATGTAGTTATTACCACTGAACTGTAGACTTAAGAATGGTAAAGGTGGTACATTTTATATGTCTAATGACTTCCAGAAAAAATTTTTAAAAATTAAAAAGGAATTACTGACATATTGATAGCAGAGAGAGAGATGGAATTCTGGAATATTCTGTAAGTGGACCCCATTAAATGGCAGTTTTAGTTTTTCCTAATTCAGCCATGTGTTCTGCAGAGGTTGTCACTGTTAGTGTTTTTAGTATTAAAATTTTTGTATTTTACATTTCTTTGTGATTAAAAGCTAATGACCCAGTTTTGAGATTATGGCTTACAATTAATAGATTTCTGCCGTGGTGTTAGATAGTTGCATCGTCGTAGGCAGAGAAAGATACACAATTGAGTGTTGATGATTATGCCTATATTTTTGTGTTCATCTGTACAGAACAGGGACTTGTCACAATTGTTTTTCATGGTGTTATTCTGCATGATCTGTAAGTTGGCACGCCCCTTTCAAACCCTTGCCTTCAATTTGGTAATAGCACTTATTCTTTGTGTCTTATGCTTGCACTCAACATGTGTTAACTGAACACTTACTATGAGCTAGGTCGTGTGCTAGAATGCTGGGAGAAGGAGGGGTACAATGGTGAGGAAAAGCATCCTGCCTTCTCTCACAGTTTAATCAGAGAGAGAAAAAGAGAGGCTAGACTGATATTAATCAGGGAGAGAAAGAGAGGCTAGACAGATATTAATCCAACATGCACCCAACTATACAATGACAAGCTGGGATGAATGTTGTGGAGGGAAACTGTTTCCAGTTGGAGGTGGGGCCTGATTTCTTGGCAAACGCGTAATAGTTGTCAAAGCAGCTACTGTCTACCTTACAGATATCTTTGAGTATCTCCCATTGATTATCTCACATGATCAATGTGCAGAATTTTTACTTTATGGTCAGCCATCTACCCTTCCTTGCATGCTCTTGGGTGCCTAGCATTTGTGCCCTCAGCAGGACTAAGTCGGAGGGGCTCTATTTCCTTCCAGGGTATCTTACTGGGAGAAGTGGGACAAAGAAGGGGGAAGAAAAAAAGAAAAGAAACTGAGGCCCTTAGCCCTTCCTGGTACCTGTCTCTTTTGCGGGGCTTTAAGACTTAGTTCAGAGCGAATTATCCAGTTCCAGATGCACTTTTATTCAAGTGCAAAGGAAGGGGATGCTTTAAGAAGCTGATTTGACACTTTGGATTATCTGTAGTTCTTCTTCCCTCCATTGCAGTGAATGATTGGGAGTTGCTTCTTCTAGCTTCTCTGTAGTGGAGGAAAACTTCTGTGTCTATGAGCATAAAAATCTCTGCTATCCTTTTTAGCACTTTTCCATAGTATTAAGTATTATGCTGTACCTATCAATATTTTTTAAATTAACAAATACTTCAATAAACCTTTGTTTTGAGAAAACCTACTTTACTCAGTGAGCTAGTAGTTAATAGCACTGAGCTGGTAGCAACACTTGAAGGACAACTAAGCTACTGATTACTCTAAGAAATGTGCTATTAAAGATGAATATGGTTGACTTTTTCACTTAATTTAATCTGAAAAAGATTACCTTTTATTTTCAGCGTTAAACTAGTGTACAATTTTTTTTTTTTAATTCCCTAGAAGGACAGAGGCCTCTGTCTTTCTTTGGGAGTTTATTGTGTTGACTTGTTGCTCGTGAATAATAGGGTAGGTTTCCTTTAACATGTTATGACCTTGTTTAATTTTCTCATCATTACAGACATTTTTAGGAAGTACACATTTATAAATCATTTTGTAACTTCTCATTTTCAGCCTGGTCTTCCATTAAAGCCCTTGAAATGGAAGAAGAAGAAGTGAACTACATGTATCTCCTTAAGTGTCAGAGGAGGAATAATTTTTAAAGTATTGAAAACCTAGTTATACGAAACTAATTTCTTTGATGTTACAAGATGAATGTGCTATTATGTGCGTTTAGCGTGACCTTGAGGTTTCCTACAGGGTACAAAAGAGAATGGGGCTAGATCAAGCCACCAGGGCCTGTAGAACTAGGATTGAACATGGCTGAATTAGAAAATTGGACCACTGTCTGAGTCGTGTTAGCAGGTAATCTTTTAAAATCAAAACTACATGAGAAAATATTTATACTAATTTGCTATTATTCTCTTGTAGGCTAGTTCGTTAAAAGATCTATTACCATAGTGCTTCAGTCTCATGATCTGTAAGAAGGCAATAGGAATGTTGTCTACCCCATAGATTTGTAGTGAGGATTACACGGGAAAGTTTATCTAAAGCATGTAGAATACACCCTAACATATAGTAAGTGCTCAGTAAACATTATTTCATCAAGCAATTCTATGATACGAAAGTGGAATCATAATTATAATACGGTTATGTTTTTCTGAAAACAAATGTCTTTTTAAACCTTTACTGCATATTCTTTGTGATGTTGAATCAATAATAATTGGTCACCACTTTTTTTCTAGTTGGAAATCAGTTGAATATTAGTGTGTAGGATATCTTTGAGGACAGTGACAGATTCTTTAAATACTGAGGCATGCAGAAGAAAAATGAGGCTTTATCACAGGTGATAAACTCTGCCTACCACCCTGTTCCCCCAACTCCTACAAAGAGAATTTTCTAATTACATGGCCTCTACTTTACTAGGGTTCCTGGCGATTATGAGGCATCTCTCACAGTACTTTAGGGTACATTTTTCCTTAAGCTGTGGTTAGGAGCCCATACCAGGAGCAGCCCTGCCTATTGCTTAAAAGTTTAGCCATCAGCTGGGTGCGGCGGCTCACGCCTGTAATCCCAGCACTTTGGGAGGCCGAGGCGGGCGGATCACGAAGTCAGGAGATCGAGACCATCCTGGCTAACATGTTGAAACCCCATCTCTACTAAAAAATACAAAAAATTAGCCGGGCGTGGTGGCAGGCACCTGTAGTCCCAGCTACTCAGGAGGCTGAGGTGAGAGAATGGTGTGAACCCAGGAGGCAGAGGTTGCAGTGAGCCGAGACGGCGCCACTGCACTCCAGCCTGGGCGACAGAGCGAGACTCTGTCTCAAAAAAAAAAGTCTAGCCATTTCAGAGGTTCAGTTTCCAGAGCCGTTGACATCAGCCAAAACTAAATATTTAATTCTCCCTTCCACATCTTTCAGTGGGATGTATACCAGCAGAACTATTCTTGTGTTATTTATTTGTGACATTTTTTGGAAACATATGATACTAATGGGCACATACTCAGAATCTCTGAGGCAACACTAGACCAGATATAGTCTTCATTGGAGTGTTCGATTTTCTTTCTGAAAGTTCTTTTATCCTGTCTCTCTCTCTCTCTCTTTCTCCTTACCAACCGCTATTATAAGTAAATCTCAGGACTGTGATATTTTGCAGGTTGAACCTTCCTGGCATAATGTATTGGCCAACATAGTGGTAGGAAATGTGTTTTTATCCTGTTTAGATACCAGAATGTCAGAATAGCCTGCCGTTGGCACAGTTTTCAGTAAAAAGAGCTTGAAAAGCAAAGCAGTAATATTGAGACATTTATTTTAAATACAAGCTACTCCCTGATTCTTCTCATTTTTTTTAATCTCTTACAGTTTCCCCAAAGATTATATACTTTATTACAGCTTTCCTCTACAGGATTTTCATAGATGAAAGAAAGGTTCTAATGTAATTCTGGACATTTGAGTGTAGGAACTATTGTAAGGATAGGCGAACACAATGCCACAGTGATTAGATTTATTTGATTAGTTGAGTGTCAAAATGGGGGAGACCAGAAGTTTCGAGAAAAGTCCTGTTTAACTGGATTGACCAGTTACTTGAGTCAAAATGTTTGAATTGATTTTCTCTATAAGAAACAACCCAAGTAATTTGCAAATGCCTGCTAATTTCATATCCCTGGGCATTTTTTAAAATTACCCGATTACCTATCTTAATGCTCAAAGGTCCCCTTAAATGACAGTAAAAATAACTCAAGTGGTTTTTGAAAGCTTAGGTTTCCAGCAAAACAGAATGGATACTTCAGATACCAGCACATTTGAATGTTGTTTCAGTATATTATAATAACACCCACTGGGGGATAAAGTACATTCAGTTTATAATATAGATTGTAAAATATTTGATTTAAAACTTTATGTAATGAGGCTGTTTATAGCCTATGTTAAAGTAATCTAAATAAAATGGCCTACTGAAGTCTTCTTTTGAGTTCAGCTTACACGGGATTTTCATATTTAGAGATTTCTTTCCCTCCTCAGCCCTGTTGTTGATTACTTTTTATACCTTCTGCAAGGAAGATGGGTAGCCATGCACATACCTTTGCTTGTGAACATTGCTAAATGGAAGATATGAATTGACGTTGGCCTTGGAAATTGGGAACACACACTGTCTTTAGTTTGAGTAATTTTTAGTTATGAGTAATCTTTAGTTATGAATAATTCCTATCATGTCCCCTTACATGATTAGGTTAATTATACTCCTCCCTTCCTACATAAGCATAATTAGTTCTAAACTCTTTTGCATGTAGGAAGAAGCCAGTACAAAGTTTCTTGTTCAGTGTTTTGTTTTGTTTTCAATCAATGGAAATAAGTGCAGGCATCAGCCCTTAATATTGATAGCATGTGTCTGCAATTAAACGATGCAGATAACTACATATGAAAATTTCTCAGGTGGCAGGAGACGCTGTAGCAGCTGCTGCATTCACACCAGGACATTTCTTTAGGTGCTTAGAGACTGTCCGAAGTCAGCTCAAACAGTAGACCAATCACAAACTCTTGGGTGTTAATTTTGAACCAAGAAAAAGGGACAGTTGTGTTTGTTTTGCTTTGTTTTTTTAAGTTTTGAGACACAGCATGAAGTTGATGTGAGTACATGTGCGCACCAACCAGCAATGTCATCAAACTGAAGGAATCCAAAGAATGATGGGAGGAGTTGATATCTCTTGTCATAGAGTAGACTGCCACCTGGCCTCTATCTCTTAGAATAACATGGCAGAATTAGGTCCAAGGACAGGGCATGCTTGCGAGGAAAGTCACACAGAGCACCAATTCAATGGCTAATTGTGTGCGTGCTTTTAACTATTTTATGACTTGCAAATGTATTGGCATCTATTTATGATAGTAATAATTTAATGAGCATATGCTAAGTGGAAAGCATTGTTCTTTGTGCTTTCATTCATTCCTTCAATCACCAAATATTTATTTAGCGCCTTTTAAGTGCCTGATGCCCTTGTAGGTGTGGGAATGCACCAGTGAACAAAACAGACAGAAATCCCTGACCTCATAGCCTTATGAAGCAGTTTTCAGGAAATGCGACAGCCAGTCTTAATTATAGACATAAAAGAATAGTCCTCGGACTATCGTTGACCCTTGTACAATGTGGAGATTGAGGCTGGCAGCATATATATTACTTGTGACACTGGATTGTACATGTCGAAATAGTGACCCAGTCCTGCAGAAGCCCTAGGAAGCAGGCACTGTTTGTTACCGTTCCTATTTTATGCAAGAGGGAACTAAGACACAAGAGAAAATGATTTGCTCAAGATCATACAGCTAAGATCTCTTGCACTTAATTACAGAGAGCTAAGATTGAAACACAGTTTGTCTAATTGCAGAACCAAATGTCTTAAATCTAATATTACTCTGTCTCTCAGATTTGATACCTAATAGAACTTTAAAAAATAGTTTTGGGGATTTTAAGTAATGGAAGGGCCTGACTGTGAGGCAGTTTTTAGATAACAATCTAGCTAGTCTATAGGACATTCATAGGAAAGTATCCTTCAGAATAGTTTTGATTATATTAATATATGATGCTTCAAGCTTTTTAATGTACTATTCATTGAAGTGGTGATCCAATTCCACTTGCTAGATATTTGAAATTGGCTTATTCATTGTCTCATTTGATTTTCTTTGTTGGCCAAATTTGTAGCTTATTTCTGATTTGTATGGAAAGAATGGTGGGATTAATTGACTTTCCCCCATTAATTAAAACAGTCCCCTGAGTATAGATTCTGAGAACTCCAAAAATGGAACCTTCAGTGACTGGTAGCAGGGATGGTTTCTTTTTTGAATTCAAGGGTTCTGTTATTGTTCTCTGTGTCACTAGCTTAGATGTAGAGCCTGATGCTCTTTGAAGCTGATCATTTCTTTTGAGCTTATAAATGTTTTTGCTCTGAGGTGACATAAATAGAAATTTAATTACTTGGAAAATCATAACCAAAGGGAGCATTTTATTTCCTACTGTTTGGTGGAAGCTGCATTTTTTTTTATGCCTTGTGCTTTGGCATACATACATACATGTATTTTTGGTAAAAATTGCATTGTAAAGGAACTTCAGAAATTTCAAATGTTGATGGAACTGCCTTTCTTCACTATGACTAAAAGGCTGATTTTAAACTTTAAGTGTTTTCGTAAAAGCTATTTTGTCAAAAGACAGTTGAGTTATTTTCATAGAAGGCAAAACGTATTATATAATCAATATCTTAAGTAAACAAAGTTGAGTTCATATTGATTCTGTATCGTCATTTTTTATTTTTAATTAACTAAAGAGCCCAAGGGAGGAAAGCTCATTTTCTCAAGCATCTTGGCAAAGGAAATGACTAAAGTTTTTTTTTTTTCTCTCATTATACTATGCAGAAATAGTATAGCTTTCCAGCAGTAACTTTAAAATAGTGATTCTGTAGAGGTGATTTTAAAGATTTCACTTGTCAGAGAGGTTATCGTAAGTGGAAGAAATTTTAGATTATTTTGCGTATATTACAGATGAGACTTTCTTGGATATGTACAAGATATGACATAACCTTTTGTTTTTTTTTTTGAGACACAGTCTCTCTCTGTCACCCAGGCTGGAGTGCACTGGCACCATCTCGGCTCACTGCAAGCTCTGCCTCCTGGGTTCACGCCATTCTCCTGCCTCAGCCTCCTGAGTAGCTGGGACTACAGGTACCCACCACAACACCCGGCTAATTTTTTGTGTTTTTAGTAGAGACAGGGTTTCACCGTGTTAGCCAGGATGGTCTCGATCTCCTGACCTTGTGATCTGCCCGCCTCGGCCTCTCAAAGTGCTGGGATTACAGGCCTGAGCCACCGCACCCGGCCGATATGACATAATCTTAACTTTTCATTTAGGTTGTTTTTGAGGCACATAGAAGTTAATGGACTAAGATATTGGGATATGTAAGAAATGGTAGATAGGCTGGGAGGCCGAGGCAGGCGGATCACGAGGTCAGGAGATTGAGACCATCGTGGCTAACACGGTGAAACCCCGTCTCCACTAAAAAAATACAAAAAAATTAGCCGGGCGTGGTGGCGGTCGCCTGTAGTCCCAGCTACTTGGGAGGCTGAGGCAGGAGAATGGCGTGAACACGGGAGGCGGAGCTTGCAGTGAGCCGAGATCGGGCCACCGCACTCCAGCCTGGGCGACAGAGCAAGACTCTGTCTCAAAAAAAAAAAAAAGAAATGGTAGATAACAGAATTCTTCATCAGATAACAATATCTGCATAAAATTTTCCCATTTACACATGGTAGAAATACTATATGTTATGAAAGAAATTTAGGTGGAATTAAAAACATCCAGGGAACTCATAAAGTTTTATATTATGTTTTTATGCCCATGGAGTGGGTCATAGCTTATTCTTTTTTTTGAGGGTGCAATTTGATTTTTATTATTTCAACTTTTATTTTAGATTCAGGGGATACATGTGCAAGTTTATTACCTGGGTATATTGCATGATGCTGAGGTTTGTGTTACAGTTGATCCTGTCACCCAGGTGGAGATCATCGTACCCAATAATTAGTTTTTCAGCTCTTGCCCCACTCCCTCCTTCCCCCCCAGTAGTCCCCAGTGTCTATTGTTGCCATCAGAGCTTATTCTTGATGGACAGTTTTAGAATGTTGTTCTTCATTGCTGAAGAAAACTTGCTTAGGGGATAGGAAAGTTGAGCTAATTATGTCAGGATATATCTTCCCACTCCCAAACACGAGAAGAACATTTCAGATTCTGACCACTGTCTTGATACTGCCCTGTCTTAAGCTCTTTGGGTCCCTGAAGACACAATCTACAAATCTCTAGTGTGCTGGCCTCAGATCACATCTGACTTTAAGTGACTCTCTACAAGTTGCTAATAAAATACATGTTTTGTCTCAGCAAAGACAAATGAACATAAAAGGCATTAACACTTAAGCTGTGTTAGATAATAATGGGGTAACAATGAAATCCTATTACATACCGGAGAGTTACCAGGAAGTCCTGTACCCCATCATCTTGGTTACTTATAACATTCGACATTGTTGTTTTGCAGAAGGCTGAGGAGAATGCAGAGGGTGGGGAGTCTGCCCTGGGACCGGATGGAGAGGTAAGGGATCGTCATCCTTTCCACTGTGTTCTGCTGAATGGAGTCTGTGCCATACCTGGCAGCACCATTCTTCATGCATACTATTTTATTCTTACTGTGCTATTTATTTTAAGTAAAAATAGTAATACATTAGCATAGTAGAAAATTAGAATGATACAAAAGGGATACAGTGAAAAATAATCTACTTACATGTCAGACTGTCAATCAACTGATATTAAATGTCTTGCATAGTATTTCAGAATTTTCTGTGCACATATAATCGTATGTTTACAAATATATAGGATGTGTAAGAATCTTAAATGATTCTATAATTATATTGCCCAATAAATGATACAGAAGCATAAAATATGACACAGTTTCTCTAGTTTATTATTAATTTGAAATTATAAAAATACATAAACTAAAGAAGTCACATATTTGGTTAACTTATTTTTGAAATTTTTAATGGGCTTGCCATATAGCTTCTATGTGTATGTTCATCAGCCTAGTCCTAAAATTCATTTCCTAGTAGTTCCAGTATTCTCCTGAATTATGAGGATACAATTAATTTATTGGATTTTTTTCTGAAGAATTTAAGGTTCCCTGCCAGCGATTCACAGTGAGGAGGCACACTCCCAGAGCAGGATGGGAAGGGAGTTTGTTTCAAATTATCTTCATTTTGTCTCATAAATTCTGATAAACCTACTTGGAGGATCAGAGTGGGTGGGAGGTTGCCACTTCCCATTCTGGTATCACTCTGCACACAGTTGTATTGTGAACTCAAAACAGTGGAGATGCAGAAAAAAAAGATTGAACCACTATTCTATGCAGAAACCTCTTGAACAATAAATGTTACTTAACCACTATAATCTATCACAAGGAAAGAAAGGATCAGGATAAATATCTGATGTGTGAGAAACTCCGTGGGCTGTTACTGGTTAAGAATACTATATATTAGAGCACTTAGAAACAACTCTAATTTGCAAAAGCCCAGCCTTACCTAAGAATGCCTCCCATTGGTCTATAATTAACAAGCACACAGGGAGAGATTTAACATGTTAGCGTAATAGTGTTCTTATATCTTATTATCTGTTGGGAAAATTAGCTACTGATCTTGGACTTGTGACATACATCTTTTTTTTCTTTTAATCTTAACACACGTGTCCTGTTTGCTAAGGATTGCAACGTGGACATCTTGCTCTATTTTGAAATAATGTTCTTCTGTTCTCATTCAGCGCTTTTGCCAAGGTTCTAATTCCATCTACAGTGATTTCCAGTTTTCTTAGAGGCATGACATTAGCACGAAAACAAGCTGTATTATAATGGTTCATGATAACAGAATATGATTTTTCCAAGGGAAATGATAGCAAATTGTAGATTTCCTTCTTTATCTCTTGAGTATATAGATGACCTTTTACATTAATGAGGAAGAAGTGTCATGTTGGCATGCAAAGTAATGATGTTCAAAACCATTGCTTTAGCACACACAAAAGAAAAAAACGACAATCTGGAGTAAGCCTTTTCTCTTTTTAAGGTTATTTTTGTGGATAATTGCTAATATATTGTTTCTTGTGCTGACAGTGCTTTGTTGAGGGTGTAAGGGGAAAGAACCATTGGGTATGTGTTTTTCATTTTGTTTTGTTTTTTGGTCATCTCCTGTAAGATATAGAAGATAAACGATAGCATACTGTAGGTTATCCTATCATTTCTGCTTAATTCCAATTGAAAGGAATCTAGCAAAAATTTTGGAATTCATGAATTGTCTAAAAATTCAATTTTATCACTTTTCAGGAAATAGATAACTTGAACCACTCACAGACCAAGCATTTCCAAACAAACATTTTACTTAGGGATCTGTTCTTAGAAGTACAGATCACCCTGCAATCAGGAGCAGTCATTCGTTACTGATTATATTCAAGTGTGATTCTTGTGTTCCTTGGATATAGTAGTCTAGTAATGAACTTTAGCTTAATTTTTGGTCAATTTGCCAGATTTCAGAGGAGCAGAGCTTTTTTCTTTGTCACACTCAAAGATACCAATAGTTGGGTTAGACCCCTGGGGGGTTAGTTTTGGAAAAAGGACACCGGTTCTGCAGAGACCAAACCAGCCACTCATGAGATGACATAAGTTATAATACCTTTTCTGTTTTTCATTCTCTCTGAAACCATGACTTTGCAATAGTTGTTATCTGGGAAGTATTAGTTGAGGAATGGGGATTGTTAGTTACAAATGACCAAAATCAAGTCTGCCTGATTTAAATAAAAAGGGAATGTATTGATAGGATACTGGGCAACTCATCAGATCTCCAGGGTTTCTGAAGAACCTGACTCAGGGCTATCCCCAATATTATGCTCTACAACTGGTCTAGTGAGGACAGGCTGTGGCTGGGAGCAGGCAGAAGTTTGACAGAGCCATTACCGCTTTCCTGGCATTGTTGCCACTGTGGTCTGCCCTGCACCGGTGCACCTGTTGGTTTCCACACCCTTGCACTTCTAGCTCTTAACTCACAACCTTGGTGATGTATCTGGTTGCTGGAGCTGAGGTTTGTGCCTGTATCTTAGCTACCAGGGAGGCAGCATTTTCAGTTTCTTTAGTGGGAGGTAGCCTCTCACCTCCCACCAACACTCATTAGGTAGTGAAATTTCCAAACACAGAATAAGGTTTCACATGCTGGGCAGCAAAAACTGCTGAGAAACGTCCAGTACAGGACTGGGGGAAGGTCTTAACATGAAACCGTGACATGATTTTCCCTCCTTTGTAGCCCATAGATGAGAGCAGCCAGATGAGTGACCTCCCTGTCAAAGTGACTCACACAGAAACCGGCAAGGTTCTGTTCGGACCAGAAGCACCCAAAGCAAGTCAGCTGGACGCCTGGCTGGAAATGAATCCTGGGTAAGGCATGAAAGCAGCGTTCATGGTGTTCTTTTAGCTTTTTAGATTTTGGTAATCTTGTACGATCTCGAAACTAAAACTACACAGCCTTTGCTGAGATGGTTGAAGTTGTTACTTGGATTTGTCTTTTATACATAGAATGTGCTATTAAGTCATGTGTGTCTTTATTGTATTGTAATTTAAAAAACTAAGCCCCCTCCTCTTCCTCACTCTTTTTCCTTAGTTATGAAGTTGCCCCTAGATCTGACAGTGAAGAGAGTGATTCTGATTATGAGGAAGAGGTATGTATGTATCTCTGTTTGGGGTTTATTGGTTTGAAAGTTATCAGAGGAAGAAATTCTTCCTGAATGTAAGCCCGGGCCTTGGGTCCTTCTATCATTTCTTCCTCCAGGATTGGCCTTTGGGTGACAGCTGGGGCTAAGGATTTACAAATGCTTTGATGGTGTATGCCTAGTGGTACAGTGATCTCTTGGAAGGCCCTGGCTAATGGGGAAACCTGGCACATTCTAAATTCACTTGAAACCAAGAGAAGAGAAGCTGGCATTAACTTGGGAGATGGTGAAGTGGTCTTTTGGGGGAGAATTGGAGATGGATTACCTTGGGAAAGGCCATACCATACCTCTAAGTGGTTCACATTGAGAATTAACTGCCAAAAAGTTCTGAAGTCCTTCAGACCTTCGAGTCTATTTGCAATTCTGAGTCTGGAAACTTTGACAAAAAGGGCAACGTGGGCTTGGTTTAATGAGTTTATTGATCCTCTTGATTTCTCTCCAAATGTGATTCTTGTTTGAATTCCTTAGATATACTTGTTATCCAAAGAGAAGCGCTCAGTCTCTTGGAAGGAATACTTAGTATAACTAGAACCTAAAATGGGAATCTTGGGTATTTTTAATAGAAATTGAGAAATAATAAAATATTTGTTAAATCAGCCACAAAATGTTTAATTTAATAATTACAAATAGAAGGATTAAAAGAAGATTTGCTCTCCTTTATTAGAGCATTGTTAATATATTGTCATTAGATCTGATATTTTTGAGAGTGCCGTAGTATAGGTGCCGAGGACAAGGTAAAACATCCTTACCCATAATAGCTTACCAGGGTCTCAAGACTATGGCTGTTTTCCTTCTATTTGTGGACCTGTGTTTTCCAAATTAGTCTTCCATGAGCACTTAATGCTTTTGTAAAGAGAAAGAATAATAAAAGTTACATTACAAAAAAGCATAATCATTAAAAAGCAAACATGGTTGGGCATGGTGACTCATGCCTATAATCCCAGCATTTTGGGAAGCTGACGCAGGAGAATTGCTTGAGTCCAGGAGTTCGAGACCAGCCTGGGCAACATGGTGAAACCCCATTTCTACAAAAAACACAAAAATCAGCGGGGCGTGGTGACGCATGCCCGCAGTTCCAGCTACTCGGGAGGCTGAGGTAGGAGGATGGCTTGAGCCCTGGGCAGAGACTGCAGTGAGCTGAGGTCGTGCCACTGCACTCCAGCCTGGGTGACAGAGCAAGATCCTGTTTTGTTGTGTTTTGTTTTTTAAAAGCAAATACTTTTTGGGGGATGCTATTTGTTTCCCCCAGCTACTCTATCTCTAAGATATTTAAAGGTGTCTTGTTTACTTGGATGAATGGGCTTATAAGTGACCTACTGGAAGAAGCTTCTCTTTGAATAAGAGAGCCAGAGAGGGCAGAGATAAGATGAAGTAGGCCGCCTAGCCAGCAGGTGCCATCCTGAGAATGACAAGCACAGACAGCCCTTGTCCCTGGGCCCATCACATGGGTCTGCTGCAGGTGAGCCTGAGTGACATGTGGAGAGTCATGTCCCCTCTCAGCGTTTTATTTCCTGGCCTGGAAAATGAAGGAGTTGTGCCAAGGCCTTAGCTGACTCCCTGCTTCTAAATGATCTGCTATCATAAGGTTTGATTTTTCTCCTTGATAGTTTGTCAATTCATACTTTGTCATTTAAGAGTTATGGAAAAGCATAGTTCTCTTTAAACCTGCTTTTCAAGGAAATTCTACTGGATTGTCTGGAAAGATTTAGCCTTCTACACCAGGTTAGTAGTGGACAGAATGGACACTTACTTAGTGATGCTTTCAAATGGGTCAGCTGGATGTAGCACTCGGTTGAGAAGGGAGAGGTATTGAATCCTTCGCCAAGTTATTGAGAGTTTTTAATCTCAGTACTCTGCAATGTGTGATGTGAATCAGCCACAGAAAGCAGTGTGTTTACAAGATCCAGGTCCTCTACAGTGGACATATATGGGGCCATCCAAGTCCCATGGGCATTATCAGAGAGAGTAGATTTTTTTTGTTTTGTTTTGTGTTTTGTTTTGAGACAGAGTTTCGCTCTTGTTGTCCAGGCTGGAGTGCAGTGGTGTGATCTTGGCTCACTGGAACCTCTGCCTCCTGGGTTCAAGCGATTCTCCTGCCTCAGCCCCCCGAGTAGCTGGGATTACAGGCATGAGCCACTGCACCCAGCCATCAGAGAGAGTGTTTTTATGAGAAGGAGGATCCTAAGAGCTCTACAATCTGGCTTTGGAGAGAGTGCTACTGAGTGAGAGCAGATATGCTCTACAGGACTCTGATAACCAAATAATGATAAACATTTATGTTTCTGGCATGATATTTACATACTCATTCTTGGGAGCAAGGGTTCTAGGGGATCCTCAGAGAGTTCCCTTCATTATCTCATTCATGATTTCAACAGCAGTTGAATTGGGGGTATTACCTTACTTAAGTAGATGTTACATTTACTTCCTCCCTGAATTTTATGATCTTACTTCATTTGTGAAGTTCAATACTAGTTTATGTCTTTTCAGAAAATGTCAATCATAGAGATTTCCTTGTTAAAATATAATTTCCTCCCTATCTTTGTTCCTTTTCCAGGATGAGGAAGAAGAGTCCAGTAGGCAGGAAACCGAAGAGAAAATACTCCTGGATCCAAATAGCGAAGAAGTTTCTGAGAAGGATGCTAAGCAGATCATTGAGTATGTACTGCATTTTTCCCTTGGAAATGCATTGCATGAGGATGATGCTTAATGAATTTTCTTTTAGGAAATTTTGTTCAAGGAAGGCAACTAACTTCACGCCTACACTCTGCTTGAAACTGTGCTCCTAGAGGTCACCACTGAGTTCTGGGTTCCCAGGTCTCGGGGTTTCGTGTTGATTCTCCATCCCTCCCTCCCTTCCTTCCTTCCCTTTCTTCCCTTTCTTTCTCACTTCCTTACCCTTCTCTCTCCTTAATCCCCACCTCCAGCTCAGGCTCACTCCTGAGCCTCACACCTGTCGTCTGCACCTCAGTCCCAGATTGAACTAATGAAACTTATCTCCCTAACTGGCTGCTTCGCTGCCTTTCCTGCCTCCCTTAATGATATCAGCAGTCTCCCTGAAACCCAAGTGAGAGACACCATTCCTGTCTTACTCCTGCTGCCATAGCCAAGTTGACCACCAACTCTCGCCCAGTCCCTGAACCCTCTCCAGCCCTCCGAGTGCCCTGGCTCTGTGTCTCATCCATTCCTGTGGGCCCTCTACGTCAAGGGTTTGCACATTTCTTTGCTTGTATAGCTGTACTATTAAAAGAAAACTGTTGTGAAACAATATAAAAGATGAGGTATTTTAAAAACCAGAAATAGACATCCTAATATTTCTCCCTTTTATTCCATGGTTGTGTGCCCCACTTTAGGGACCCTTCCTCCTAGCAGTCTGCCCTGATCCTTCACTGAAGGTGTTAAGAATCCCCCTCAGTGGTTCCTCATTGCCTGTAGAATAGCAGAGTAGCTCATGAACAAGGCACAGAAGATAGAAGCCTACCTTTCCTCCTTCCTACCCCTTTAATGTTGGGTTGCCCTCTCCCCCTGCCCTCCCAGCTTTAGCCAGTGTTCTGTGAATAGGATTTATCTTTGTATTTAACAGTCTAGGACAGCTTCATCGGCAAAGTATTCATCTGCAGGTGTAGGGTTCAGGCTCCTATCTGTCTTTTGGGTCAAGGGGGCCTGCATTCGAATCCTGGTTTCACTACCTTTTATGTGATCCAAACAAATGAAGTAACCTCTCTAAGCCTCGGGTTCTCCACCTGCATAAAATGGGGATGATCATCATAACGCCTTTTGTGCTTGCTTTTTGAGAGGATTACAGATAGTGTATATTAACTGCATGGCAAGTCGTGGTTGATAAATAAAACACACTTATTGCAGCTATTTTAGGTTCTCAAATCATTTTTTGAGTGAAGTAAAACAACACATGCACGCACATGTCTGTGTGTGATTCTCCACTTTTTCCTTTCCCAGGACAGCTAAGCAAGACGTGGATGATGAATACAGCATGCAGTACAGTGCCAGGGGCTCCCAGTCCTACTACACCGTGGCTCATGCCATCTCGGAGAGGGTGGAGAAACAGTCTGCCCTCCTAATTAATGGGACCCTAAAGCATTACCAGGTAATTGGCATGGTTTCAGTTTCCTTGGCAAGTTGTAACCATTTACCTAATTTTGATTGAAGTATGTCGTGCACATGTTGACTAAGGGCTTTTGATGATATTTTAGGCCACATCACTTATAATACTGAGGTTCCTTTCATTGTGCCTATGATTCTTCTTTTAGAGTACTCCATGTTACCATCTTTACTAGGGCATGCCATACCCATTTTCTCTTTTATGCTTTTGGGATGTATTTTAAGTGATCTCTGCAAAATGGAAAACCCAGCCACATTCTATTAAACTGGAGAACATCCACGCCTCATCTTGAAGTATTTCTTTAAAATTTTTAGGTGTGGCTGTGGTTTTATGCCGTGGATTGAACCCACCTAGGAGTAGCTGTCTACTACATTTATGCTTTTTCTTAAGACACAATAGGCCAGGCATGGTGGCTCACTCTTGTAATCCTATCACTTTGGGAGGCTGAGGTGGGTGGATCACTTGAGGTCAGGAGCTCGAGACCAGCCTGGCCAACATGGTGAAACCCTCTCTCTACTAAAAATACAAAAATTAGCTGGGTGTGGTGGCACATGCCTGTAATCCCGGCTACTCTGGAGGCTGAAGCAGGAGAATCGCTTGAGCTCCGGAGGTGGAGGTTGCAGTGAGCCAAGATCTTAGCACTGCACTCCAGCCTGGGTGACAAAGTGAAACTCCATCTACAAAAAAAAAAAGAAACAATAAAATTGTGAGCATCTGTGCTTTGATTAAAAATTAGGCCATTGTTTTATTTGACCTGTCTGGATTGAGGCTAATTCCCTGTGTTCTACCTTCTACCACTTAGTGACGTTTCCCAAATTGTGTTCCATGAGACATTTGTTCTATGAATTGTTCCTTAAAAATTAAAAAAGGAGGCCAGGTGCGGTAGCTCACGCCTGTAATCCCAGCACTTTGGGAGGCTGATGTGGGCCGATCACAAGGTCAGGAGATTGAGACCATCCTTGCTAACACAGTGAAACCCTGTCTCTACTAAAAACACAAAAAAATTAGCTGGGTGTGGTGGCGGGCACCTGTAGTCCCAGCTACTCGGGAAGCTGAGGCGGGAGAATGGCGTGAACCCAGGAGGCGGAGCTTACAGTGAGCCGAGATAGCACCACTGCACTCCAGCCTCGGCAACAGAGTGAGACTCTATCCAAAAAAATAAATAAATAAATAAAAATAAAAATAGATAAATAAAAAAAGAGGTTTGTGGCCAAATACTGTAACTAAGATTACCATATAAATTACTATTTCTAACTTGAATACTTGTGAACGTGAGTCGAGGGCCTTATTATTGATAATAGGCATAACCCTGGACTGTCCCTGAACAACAACCAGATACGGTCACTCTGGCAGTGACCCCTCTTGTTAATTCACATGCCCGTCAGCACACTTGGGACTCTGCGGAAATCAACATGTAACCATAAGGCACATCAGCATCCTGCAGTAAAATCACTTCTTTAACATTGTTTAACTTCATATTTCCCAAATTTCTTTGACTACCAAACCCTATTTTTATATCACCAATTAACATCCTGTAAGACTAGCGTCTTCTAGAATACACTTTAGGAAGTGTACTTGTTGGCATCGGGTCCTCTCTACTCTTAACACTTGGTACTGTGTCTGCTGCCCTTGCATAGGAGTGCAGAATACAATGACTGCCAGTACAGTACTGCCTTGATGGTGCTGAAGCACTAGCAGTTTTTACCTACCAATGCTTTTGCATCATCAGTGCAGACGTCAACACAGTAAAAATGACAAGTAATGCCTTAGTATTGTCATGCTAATCATTTTGACCTCGTGGATCTCCTTCCAAGATCTTGGGGGGCCCTGAGAACCCCTGGAACACATTCTGAGGACCACTGCTCTGGCCTTAGTAAGATCATGTTTTCTCCAAAGACCATGTCATAGTCCTGAGATCCAAAGCAGGTTTCATCTTGTTTGGCCTACCTGACATAGATGTTAACTCATAGCATGCTCTAATAAACTTTTGTATATCTGCATATGGGAGATCCATCTTTTGAATTATTTGTGAATAACTTGTAATGCCACATGGGTTTTCTTCTGTCATCCAACACCCTTCTAAGCAGTCTTCATCACTCTCTTTTCAAACCTAGCTCCTTCGACTTCCATATGTGAGTTTTATGCCTCTGTGTTGCTGAGCTGCTGTAGATTCCCCGAACATGCCTTGCAGTGTCTCTCTGGATTTATACCTTATGAAGTGCCTTCTTCCTGGAATCTTGACTAGCCATGTCCGCCTGATGAGATCTCACAAACCAGTTCAAGTTGTGGCTCAAACCTTCCCTGATCATTTCTCATAAACCAGTTCAAGTTGTGGCTCAAAGCCTTCCCTGATCATTCTCTCCATGAGTAAGCTTTCTATCTTCTTGCTTCTTGACAGGTTTTTGTGTCATTAATATTTACTTAACCTTGACACGGCTGAGGTCTTCCTGCTACTCCTAGAGAGCCACATAAGCTTGGTTCAATATCTAATCCTCCCCCTGGCCAATTCTGCCAGTTTCCAGCCTGAGAAAATCCAAATTACTTCCCACAATTTTTGTGAATTTCTAGTCTCCTCTGCTGCTAGTTTCTACTTCTGTTTTGTATTGAATTAGCACAAACGCAAAATTCAGCCCCTTTACCAATTTTCTCTAAAAAAAGCAGAAACAAAAATTCATCCTACAGAGTATCCAAAATGTTTCTTGTATTTAGTTGACTTTTCTAAAGCTCTAGTGGTTTCAGGGTCACGTTGCAGGCTGACAGCTTCTCCTGTCTACCACTGTTTGTTTTATAATAATTTCCCCTCTTTCCCTCTATCTTTTGCCCATTCTCTTGGAGGTTCTTCCTGTTTCTCTACTTATCTCTTGTTGTTGTTGTAGTTCTGCAGAAACCTTTAGGATGACTTTGGAATCTTGCATGGTACAAAGTATCTCAAGTGGCTTATGGAAGTATTGCTTCAAACCAATGCGGTGTCTCCCTAAGAAAAATTCTTGTCAATACAGTTTTATATGTATACATATACATTGGCACTGTCAACCACTTCTTGGCATATGTGTATATGTGCCTCATTCATTGTTTTCTCTTTTATTTGAGCTTCTGAAGGGAGGCATGCATCTTACAGACCTTGGTATCTATCTGCTACAGCTCCTTGCATGGCCCCTTGCACAGAATAGTCATTTAATAAATATTTTAAATAAACTAATTGCTTGCTTTGTTCTTACATAAAAAATTAACATTTCCCTAAGCATAACATCATTAGCAAGCTAAATTGACTTTAGCAAACATATATATAATTGATCCTATCATTTAAATCCAGCATCTGTGGTATGATGGTGGAAGGGAATTGTTGGTTGGGGGATGGAGGTTTAACAATTTTGTATTTTCACCCAACCTTACTTTTGTACTTAACGTGGGGAATCTCTGGTACAGTGTTTTTGTACTTCAGAAATACGTTGAGCATGTTTCCAGTTGCCAGCTTCCAGTGTGCAGCCTTTGGGTAGTACTCACATTACAAAGTTCCCATGTGCTGTCTGGGAACTTTCTCTCTGCCAGGAAGAGAAATGTCCTCCTGTGGTCCCAGCAGAGTGTCCCTGGCTCCCTGGTCAGTCCGCCTTTTCACTGAGGGGACCTCACCCATATTACCGAAAAGGCTGTTTTTAATAATCTGTGATCTGTGTGCCAAATCTGCCTTCACATTGGCTTTTTATTCTTGGAGTGGTTGGATTAGATTTTGGTTTGGGCTTTTTTCATTTATAATAATTCTAGAATGTCACATACTGTGAAATACTAAGTGTGGATGAGCGGCAAAGCTGCTTTAAAACTCACCTGTCAAGAAGCAAGAAGAGAGAAAGCTTACTCATGGAGAGAATGATCAGGCTCATATTTTACATTCTTTTTGCATTGGTGCTTCCCCCATTTTCCTACTGTGGGAAACCCAACATACAGCAGTGAGGAGTTAAGAAGTCACACCCTCACTTGGGTTGTATTAGGATTAATTACCTGTGCAGATCTTGGATAATTGAAGCAATTACTCTTCATTTCAGCTCCAGGGCCTGGAATGGATGGTTTCCCTGTATAATAACAACTTGAACGGAATCTTAGCCGATGAAATGGGGCTTGGAAAGACCATACAGACCATTGCACTCATCACTTATCTGATGGAGCACAAAAGACTCAATGGCCCCTATCTCATCATTGTTCCCCTTTCGTAAGTAAAGTCATTTATTCCACAGTCATCGTTCTGTATGTTGTAGAGTGCCCGATTAGTAGCTTGTCCTTGTTTTTTACTTAAGACAGAATTGTAGCATGTACTAACCTAAATCCAGATTACCAAGAGCATGTAATCTGGATTTAGGTTTTAATTTCCCACCCCTCCCCATCCTAGCCTGTTTGATTGGCTATTTAAGCACGGGACCGAGTGATTTTATCGGCCATCAGCATTACAGGTCTGCACAGCCTGAACACTGCATAGTGAGTCTTGCTCATCATTATTCCTTAAGTGGCTCACAAAGGGGAAAGGTGTGTGTGTGTGTGTGTGTGTGTGTGTGTGTGTGTGTGTGTGTGATTTCTTTGATTTTTTCCTTATTCCATTTCCAAAAGATGATATATTCTTAAATCTTCCTTTTAAAAGCAGAACATAAATCAAAATCATAACTAGGAGTTTTGCATTAAAATAACCTTAGTATGTGCACTGAGGTTATGTTTCAATGAGTTTGCTGCTTAGTAAGGACAGGAGTTTGCTGTTCGCCATTACGTTCCCAGTGCCTCACCTGCTAGGTGGTTCTTAGAAGGTCCTAAGTGGGCACTACCGAGTGAGGGCACAGTGATTCACAAGCACCCTCCTGGGAGTTCAGTGTGTCTGCCTGTGGGTGTTAGGTTGCAGTTTTGTTCACCAAGGTCTTGTTATAGATCTCAATGCTGATATGAACTTGGACCTTCAGTAAGAAGAAGGATTCTATTAATATTATTGTGTTTTCTTTGAATTTTTTCTAATGAAGACTATTTGCAGCCCTTTTTGTATGAATTATCTGTATCTGTAATATTTAGGCATCTTTTGCATTTGATCTATATTTTGCGTGTTCTGAATCATATATACAGTGACACTTTCAGGGCTTTAAAAAACGTCATTCAATATTTCTTCCCCTGTTCCCTCTTGACAGATTTATTTTATGTTTTCATGTGGTTTTATAATTTCTTTTTCCTGACTCATCTTTTTTCTGAACCTATATGGCTGTTTATGAAGATTCCTAAAATCATTCTGGCAATTGCTCTTTTTTAATATCATATTACAGTTTAGTTTTTTGCTCTCTATATTTATGTATTCTTTAGTTTTTTTCTTACAAGATTTTTTTATGAACCACAAACTTGTCATGTTTTGTGACAGTTTGTTTTGAACTTATCTCCTATTTCCACACCTTTAAAATAAATATCTTGTTGAGATATGTTATATTCTGTAGCCCCTTTCAAGGTGAGGCCTGAACATGAATAAGAACATCTTTTTAACCATTGATTTTTATACAAATGTCTTTTTTCTGTTGTTTTTTTTTTTTGTTCCATAGGACTCTATCTAACTGGACATATGAATTTGACAAATGGGCTCCTTCTGTGGTGAAGATTTCTTACAAGGTTTGGAATGCTGTATTTATATATAAATGTGGAAAAGCAAAAAATAGACCCTATTTTCTTCATTCCATATGCACATCTGTGAACTGTATTTGGTTGTAAAGTTTTGTCATGTACATCATGTACTAAACCGTGAGAGTTAATCATCCCAAGAAGATTACTGTAATAAACCATAATTACTTTCAGATAGTGAAATCCAGAAGAAAATTGTTAATTATCATATTGCAAGGTTTCTGATGAGAGTAATACAAATGACAAATATCACACATTCTGCGTGCTGCTGACTGGCTCGCTGTGGGCTGCTACTGTGCTGACTGTTCCTGCAAAGTCAGGCAATTACCCGGATGCCCGGGGCTGCCTGCTGTACTTTCTCAACAGAACTGGAGCCTTTCAGCAGAGCGGTGGGTTCTCTACTACCACAAATTCACTGTCATTTCCATTTCCCTTTGCCCTCCCACTGTCTTTGGTGGGAAAACCTTTCTAAAAAAAGATCTGAAAAGGGTCAAGACGTGTAATTTAGCCAAAACTTCCTCGTGTATAATAGATCAGTCTATGAGAATGTGTGTCTGTGCATTCTTCAGTCACATGTCTGGGCATCATTAAGCTATGAAAAGTGAGAAATAATGCACATATATGTCCATAGGATCATGCATGTATTTTTTTCTTTCCATTCAGGGTACTCCTGCCATGCGTCGCTCCCTTGTCCCCCAGCTACGGAGTGGCAAATTCAATGTCCTCTTGACTACTTATGAGTATATTATAAAAGACAAGCACATTCTTGCAAAGGTATGTTTTTAAAAAATTATTTTCTCTCTAATTAGGACCATTGCACTGGAATGTGAAGTATTGCCCAAGTCAGTAGTGTAATTGGATCCTTAGATGGCTTGTCCTTTTCTTTATTTTTCTAAAATTTTTTCAGAGTTTGATATGTTTTGGTCGTGGATTTGATTTCATGCATGCTGTGTGTGTGTGTGTGTGTGTGTGTGTGTGTGTGTGTGTGTGTGTGTTTATGATTGATCCTGGGGCGGCTCTTGTCTATCCCCTCAGAGTTGATGAGTTTACATCTCTTAAAAAAATTCACCTGGTTGCTTCTGCAACTCTTTTTCTCTCTAACAGCTTTGCACATTCTCGGGAAAGAAATAATTGTTTTTGTTGCCCTGAGATATTGTCAGTGTACCTTCATTCTTCTTGTGCCTTTGTTTCTCCAAAGATGAGCCAGACACCTCTCCATATGGTCTCCACCATATGAACATTTATCCAAGCCGTGGCTTTTGTGGTAGTCTTGTTTCAGGTTTTTCCTGGTGAAATAATAGACTATCATTGTTGGAGTTACTTAAGGTTGTTTCTGTGACTATTTATTTGAAACTGAGAAAGAGGTGTTTCTGTGACTTACATGTCTCCTAATTTTTATGTCCTAAGTTGTTCCTTAGCCACAAAGTAGAAATTTTTACTCCCATTTATATCATCTTGTCTTCTAATACGTTCATGTAGAAAGATGGAAGTGCTCTCTTTCGTGGAACAAATAATGAAAACTCTTTTTTTTCCTCTTTAGTAATTTTTTTTACCCCATGACGTTTTGAAAGCACTATAATCTGAAACTAAGTTATGTCCAAAATTGAATAGAACCTCTATTTCTGGGGTCTATTCTACCTCTGCATTAAACTCTTGCTCTGGGAACTGAGAGTTCCCTTCATGGCATCATAGGAAATAACAAAAAGGAAATGTGTTCCCAGGGGAGGTTTAATAATTGAGATGGCACTGGCAACAATGCTGTGTTCCACCTCCTCACACTCAGAGATGAATTTGGCAGTGTCAAAAATGATGTGTTTTCAATATTACTATGGGAATGTGTTTGTACATTTGAGATCCTTTTAAAAAAATTCATCTTGTGTCTTCTGCATATGTATTTCAAGATTCATTGGAGACGCCTGGTAATGAGATGCACTGCTTTTATTTGTTACTGGAGAAATGGAGCTATAGAAAGAGGTAGTAATTTTGTCCAAGTGGAAGACCTAATTAGTAGTAGACCCCATAGCAAAATCAAAGGCCTCTGATTCTTTATTATTTCATAAGCTAAATTAGGCAGGAAAGTAGATTTAGGATATTTATTTAAATATATTTTTTGTCTGCTTGCCTCTTTTCATGCTGTTGGTAAGTCTGAGGCAGTTGATTGTACAGCTTTAATTATCCTTAAACACTTTTCTTAGAGGTGGTGGAGGAAGGAAAAAAAATCGAGGTAGTTTTTTTTTTGTTTTTTTCTTACCTGTACATCCCAGCCTGACTGATGATTTTATTCCTTTTCTCCTGGCACGTCTGATGCTTCTAATGAGGAAGGCAAGGACTGTATAGAATACTTTCCTCATCTCCCTTCTCTCTCTAGGAGCTTTGCAGCAGGATCTGGGGACATCTGAGCACCAGATGTTTTTCTTGGCCATTGCCACTGTTTTGTAGAGAATGGATAGGCTTAGTGGAACATTCCTCATTGTTCTCACTTTAAGAAACTGAACAGTGCTCTTAAGAGGACTGAAGGGTAAGGTATGAGAGAGGGAACGTACTGTGTAGACAGGAAGGAGGACTGGGCCATATAAGCATTCTGGACGTTTTACGCAATCGTCATGTTGGGGAAGTATGCTGTATTTAATTCTGCAGTTTTGGCATAAATACAGGAGTGATATTTTTGCAGTGCGCTTTCTGCCAGTGAGTATATTCTTTTATTTTAGATAAAACAGGGGTCCTAGATCTGGCAGGTAAGGAATGTGCGTGTATTGAGGGAGCTTCGTTGTCAGACCTAATTTTTGAAAAGCCGTATGTACAAATTTAATGTGAAATAGTCCAACTTTTAAATGTTAGCAACCAGTCCAAACAAAACAAAACACACTTCCGGGCCAAGCCCTAAAGGTAGTAACCAGCCAGGCTAATAGAAAAGAAGGCATGGAGCCAAGAATATCTCAGCTGTAGAACCTGCTAGGGCCATCTTGGAAAAATCAGTCATTAACCTCTGCTTCAGGTGGGTACCTATATTCTGTGCCTGTCATGAGCTGAAATAGCATGACCATGAAATCTGGGATAGCTGTCATGATAACGTATTAATAGAAGGGGCATTGGATGGGGAGAGGCAGGATCCACACGTGGAAACAACCATGTCATTCTGGACCCAAATTTCCTTCTTTGTAAAAAGTTGATTTGGAATTACGTGGTCTGTAAGGAACATTGTTCCTTTAACATTCTATTATTATAGGATGTCTTATGCGGCCTATCAGGCATGAGACATTGTTGAGATTCCCTTGTCTCAAAGGTAATCACAGCATATCATATACCAAGGATGGGTTCTTTGGTTTTCCGCACCACCACTTGCTTGTTGGAAATAGTTGTATTTTCCCTTGCTTACTACACGTCCGTCCTTCCTCTTGTGTTATAGATTCGGTGGAAATACATGATAGTGGACGAAGGCCACCGAATGAAGAATCACCACTGCAAGCTGACTCAGGTCTTGAACACTCACTATGTGGCCCCCAGAAGGATCCTCTTGACTGGGACCCCGCTGCAGAATAAGCTCCCTGAACTCTGGGCCCTCCTCAACTTCCTCCTCCCAACAATTTTTAAGAGCTGCAGCACATTTGAACAATGGTTCAATGCTCCATTTGCCATGACTGGTGAAAGGGTACTGGTCTGAGTTCTGTTTTTTCCACTGCATGATAATGACATGAAATGAAAGGCCCTAAAGCTGAGAACATTAGAGCCACAGAACACCCGCAGGGTGGTTTCCACTGTTGTTTATTTTATGAAACCCATCGGTGGGTGGACATGGTCTTGTGGTGGGGTTATTTTCCCCTCCTAGGAAAATGGATCTAGTGGTACATGGGGCATCTAACCCCTTTGTCTTTTGCCAGCATGTTTACCAGGCTACCAGAAAAGGGTCCCAACCGGTGGAATGCTTAACTGCAGTGGGCCACAGGGAGGATGAACATGGAGATATTTTGCTGAAGTAATTTAACCAGACCAAATTAACCAACTAAATACAAGCTTTAAACAAATCTTTCCTTGTTACAAACTTGGAGTTCCCTTTAAAATATTTCCACATAAAGATTTTGTGTGTAAAACAGAACTAGTTTTCACACATTTTCTGCAGACCTTTTTTTTTTCTTTTTAGGTTTTAATGTGATTTTCAGTTTTGTGTGTACATAAATAGTCTTCCTGGAGTAGCCATTTATTTTCCAATTTCTTATTGTTCCTTCCACTGTCTTCTCTTAAGAGCTCATTTATGAAAGGTAGACAATGGGCCATTGCAAGAAAAGAAATGGGCACGTGTCATTTTCATAGTGGTTCCTCATTCATAGGAATGAAAAGCCACTAAAAATGCTTTAGTAAAATTTCGGTTTGAATTATTTGGCCCTTTGATGTTGAGGCACATGGGCCCATCCTCAGTAGTTAACTCACTGGCTTGCCCATTTGTAGAAAGTAGTGTCAATCAACTCTGCCCCCTAGAGGTTAATAGGAGAAGGTGAAAGAGAAAGCCGGGAAATGTATAAGATGGACTAAACTTGAACTAGATAGGGCTGAGAAAAGGAAAGGAGTGAAGTTAGAGGGACTTAGAGGTCCACCAGCATAAACTGGATCAACTCTTGTTCCTCTTCTTTATATGTTCAAGCCCCTGTTCCTTTAGTATGTTTCTGTGTCTGAGACAACCAAGACGAAGGGCCTAACTTAAGGCTGCCACTTTAAATAGGGAACATATTAACTGTTGCCCACCTTCTCCCATTCTATCTCAGTCTTCAGTCTGTCTTCATTGACAGTCATATCCCATACAATTTGAGGCTGTTGACACTACTGATAAAAAACTGGTGGCTTCCGGGCTCTTTTCCATAGAACTCAGCGTTAAGACAAAGACACCTATTTAGAGGTCATTTTGTTACCACTTGGTAGGCAGGTGGGAAGATAATTCAGAGGTAGATATGACAGGCTTAAACTTGGCTTTAATGCATGTAAAATGTCAATCATGTATTGAACCACACATATGTAACATAAAGCTTTATTGTATGAAACATCCTTTTCTTTAAAAAATCAAATTCATAATAAGCCTCTCTTACAGGTGGACTTAAATGAAGAAGAAACTATATTGATCATCAGGCGTCTACATAAGGTGTTAAGACCATTTTTACTAAGGAGACTGAAGAAAGAAGTTGAATCCCAGCTTCCCGAAAAAGTATGTTGCACAACCAAAAGTTGTGGGTTTTTTTTTTCCTCCAGCAAATATATTTGAAGTACCTGCCTCTGAAATTGTGTTTCTGAAACAGCAGACTCATATTGTAGTTAATAGTATCTTGAAAATATCTTAAATTGTTTTTTTGTTTGATAGGGCTAGAGAGAGCAGGGAAATTATAGCATTTGCAGCCTGTTTTCCAAAAGCGTTCGAGCAGATTTTATGAAATTATCAAATTCACTGAGTCTCATTTACATTTTAATTTTAGATTTTTTTTTTTTTTTAAATTACGGACCTCATTGAGTTCACTGTTGCAGGCACTGTAGAATTGTTCTGCTTATAAGTGAATGGAAGATTTGGCGTTGGGGACTTGTATCATCATTGAAGGGGGTGGTAAACATTTACAGGTTTTCTAGAAATTTATTTAACATTTGATGTTTGTGATGTCACCATTCTGACAGTAAGTGAAAAAACAGAGTTCCTGCAAATTACAGACACATCATCTAATTATTCGGGGACATTATTTTTGTTCTGTGCCATAAAAATTAAGTTCCTGTGAACATTTTAAGCCAGTATTTTTCGGACTAACTTTTGGAAACTTAGTCTGCAGTACTTTAGAACACCTTTTGAGCCCTTAGCTCCATGTTTTGGGGTTGGATGTGAGTATTAGTTTAATATGTTTCTGATCATATTTTGGAACCATGCATATTTGAATTCTAAGTTTCATTCTCTTAGAGACAGTTTAGCATTGTGTACTATTTGTTGCATGAGGTATTTTGATTTGAGTTTTTTCTTTAGAAGAGCCAATTCTGAAATGTCTTATTTTTGCATGATTGTGGTTTTTCTGGGTAACGACTCTATTTTTGGACAGATTGGTTCATCCTGTTCATTTTTAAGTGGGAGTTTTCAAGATGGTGTACAACGTTGATCACTTTGTTACGAGAGAATTTTATTCCCTAATCCTTTATGCATTGTCAGAAAAAAAATTAAAAATGACTTTTATACCATGCATATCTCAGTGAAAGTCTACGTATTTAAGTATTTTATTCTGCTGGTGAATGCATCTTGGACGTAGAATGCTATTGATATTCCCTTGGACTTCCTGTGGTCTTGGCCTCTGGGTAGCACCCTTTCTGTTCAAGATGGAGTTTAGTTACTGAGTAGATAAATTGATGAATGGGTATAGTGGCCATGTGGGTGCCTTGAATTACTTCCTAGCATACAGTTACGGTGATTCTGCAAGTGATAGAGATGGAATGTTAAACATTTTAATTTATCCCATAATTTCTTTTTTTTTCTTTACAAGAGGTATAAAATAAAAGGCAATTAACTGAAGCCCTTCATTTATTCATTCCATAAGACTTCTTAATCTTGTTCATTCACTTCTAAGACTGGCTAATACAGATAGATTTTTAAAAATATATTGCAAGTTGAAAGTATGTTATGTTGTAAGAAAATCCACTAGAGAAAAATTGAAATTTTTGCAGCTTAAGAATTATGAGGTGATTAATTATATCACAAAGGAATTCTTTGCTTTACAAAAATATTTATTTTATGGTTCTTTCTACAAGAGAAGTTCCTGAGTATACTTGAAGGATGATAAAATTTTTATGAAATGTATCTACCCTCAAATGATCACGAGTATGTCTCTTGCATAAAGTATACATGTATTTATTAACACCCAGAGTATTATATTTGAGGTATGTAAAATACTCAGTGTGTGGTATTATCTACCTTTAGAGGTATCTGTACCTTTAAAGGCAGCCATGTTATCTTTTCCTTTGGTGGAGTGGAAATCATGGGCTCTGCCTGTCAGAGTAGGCATGGGTTTCACCACATTCTCCATCTCTTACTATGTGAACTTGGGCAAGTCTTCTAACCTAAATGGGTCTTAGTGTTCTCATCAGTGAACTGGAAGATAAATGACTCTGTCTTATGGAGTTGTGAGGATTAAATGGATGTAGGGCTCCTAATACCATGCCAGGCACATGGTGGGCACCCAACCAATGACAGCTGCTTCTACCATATTCCTTATTTTCCACTCATGTTGCTGTCTCTGTTATTAATGGGAGTTCCATTTTCCTATTCTTGAAGCTCTTTCTCGCTGTTCTCTTGTCTTTGCTCTCCTTCCGGTAGCCCCCCCACATCTCTCTCCATAAACTTTTCAAGCACTTTGTGTGTGTATGTGGTTGTTGTTGATATGGCTGGGCTGATGTTCATTTTCTACTTTTTCAGCCTTGTTAGGATTTTTTTTTTTTAGCCTGGGGAAAGTTGGAAATTTCATTGCCATCCTAGGGGGTAAAGAAGTTTCTTCTACCACCACTGCTTACAGCCACAAACAATGTGCATGTCTTACTTAGCCTGGATAAAGAATCCAGAAAGGAACTACGGCAGATGGAGGAAAAGGCTAAATACTTTCACAGCAGTAATTCTCAAATGTTTTTATGAAAAAAGAGCCATATAGGAAAGAGGCTTTTACTTTTATTTTTTAATTTATGTGTAGCAAAATTTGCTTCTTTTGGTGTATAGTTTTATGAGTTTTGACAAATGAAGAGTTGTGTTAACCATGCCCACAACAAAAATTCAAAACAATGTCATCATCCACCGCTCCAAAAAAAATTCCCTGGTATTTCCTGGTACTACTTCTTTTCAGTGAAACCCTCCCTCGGCTCGTAGCCTCATGCAGCCACTCATCCGTTCTCCATCCCTGTCTATAGCTTTATCTTTTCCAAAATGTCGTATGAGTAGAATAAGACAATGTATAACCTTTTGCATGGTTTTTTTTAATTTGGCAAAATGTGTTTCAGATTCATCCATGTTGTTGCATGTATCAATAGTTGGTTCATTTTTATTGTTGAATAATATTCCATTACATGGATGCAGCGCAGTTTGTTTGACATTTGGGTCATTTCTAGTTTTTGACAATTATGAATAGAGCTGCTATAAACTTTTCATGTACAGGTTTTTGTGTGAACATAGGTTTGCATTTCACTTGAGTAAACGCCTTAGGTGTATGACTGGTTGATCGAATGGTCAGTGTATACATAGATTTGTAAGAAACTTCTGCATTGTTTCTTAGACTGTCTGAAGCACTGGGTAGTCCCACCAGAAATATATGACCATTCCACTTCCTCCACATTCTCATTAGTGCTTGCTATTGTCAGTTTTTCAAGATTTTTAGCCATTCAATAGGTGCATAGTGGCGTCTTGTAACTTTGATTGGCATTCTCTAATGTCTAATATTGTTGAGCATCTTTTCATGTGCTTTCTCAGGTGAAACTAAAGCAGGTATATAAAGGCCACGGTTTTGTAAATGCAGGTCAACCGCATAGGAAAATTAGCTTTAATATTGGTCTAATGAAACACTTAATGAGCAAGGGAATATACCCACCCCCCAACCACCAACACCGCTAAGCTGTTGTCATAAAATCCATTTCTTATGCACGGGAAAGAATGCCAAATAGAAAAGGGATTATGTAAGAACAACTTAAGCTAAATAAAAATTGATTTTTCTATTTAGCTCACATTTAAGGTTGTCTGTGCTGACTCTTTTGTTAATTCATATCATCAAGAACCAACTATACTTGCAATTGGCTGGGTATTTCTTTATGTCTAAATATGCTAAAATATGTATATAATATCTGAGGTTAACTAGAGGTTGACCTACCTAAAGTCAATCCTGATTCTGATATAATTTGTGAAAAACACCAACAAAGCTTTGCTTACATTGGCAATTTGTGTATTCATTATATCAAATTTTGGAATGCTTAGCATAATTAATCATTACTTTGTTCCTCTCTCATGCCATAGCGTTTAGAACCTGAGACTTTTCATAAATTGAATCATATTGTTTACAAATCTCAGTTCACAAAGTGGTGATATATCGCATGTAGTTTAGGTTTATTATTCCAATAAAACATCCTTTAGGAAGGGGAATTATAAATGAAGAATAGTATTCAGGCAGAAGCTATGAACAAAGTTCAAATACTTCTACAGGGGTATATAAGAAGAAATGCTGAGCCAGTATAATGACCTGATTTGCCTACTTTTAGGGACCAGTTAGGCCATTTACTAACATAAGAATGCTTAGGAGATAATTACCAGATACATGAGGTCAGCACCTCAGTTTTACATATGATTTAAACAAAAATAGCTCCAGTGGCTCTCACAAACCTAACTTACTGGGAGAATCACCCCCGTGAAGAAGTCACAAGTTTCATTTGCTATAGCACCAGTATATTTTGAGGAGCTTTCACATGCATGCTCTAAACAGATGCCATCACATTTTTTGGGGGATGAACTCAGACTCAACCGAGTTGGAGTTGGCACGATTATTATAAAAACTTCTCTCGTCACTGTGATTCAGTGTGGTGGCTGTATAATTGTTCAGTCCATCCCTTTTCTTGATACAAACCTGTTGATTGCCTGCTCTGTACGTTATACTGCACTCAGGCCAGGTGGGAGGCACAATATACCAGAAATGGGAGGCATGGTGTGAGAAGTCAACAGACTTGGCTGTGGAGATGAGGGCTACTCACACTGAATAATAGTGTGGCAATGCAAGGCAGCATCATCCCACCAATCAGAATGAATGATCCAGGCATTCAGGTGGTTTAGGACGGGGTACCCAGTATGTACACATGGGTGTATGTGTTGGGAAATGCTTATTAGTAATCCATTGGGTGGAGAAAGATGTTAGAACAATCATATATATTGATCTTTCTCTTAAAAAGTCTTCACTGATATTTAACATGCAGATTGACACCGGTACCTATGTGGTAGGTACGTATGTGTGTCTGAAAGCGAGTCATGTGCTGGGAGTACACTGTGTAGGTTATCCCAGGGGAAGCGTGAGAGTGGGTTTCCACCACTGGGAGCATCTGATAGTCCTTTCATCCTTGCTGCCTGGTTCATTTACTTTCTGCCAATGGTGGTGAGGCCTTATGGGTTTCCCCGTGCCCAGATAAGGAGATTTAGTATGATCTGATTTTAACTAAACTAACAACCCTGGTCCCCAGAAGGGCTTAAAAGGATTCTGCAAAGGAGTGCAGGTTGAAATCACATAGGCATAGATGAACAATGGGAAAAAGGCCATCTTGTCTCTTTTCCCATTCCTAGTATTGGTTTTCAACAGCCACATCATGGTACATGGGCTGGAGTTGACCAAAAATATTAGATATCATCAAATTGGCAGCTTTAAATAGGGCTATAAATCAACTTCCTTTAACATTGACCTGTGCCCTGAAAGTAACTCATATCTTGAGACATTAATATTAGTGCATGCATATAGTAATTCATAAATAAATATGTAGATATATGTTGGGAAAATGAGCTTCAGCATGTCTTCTTGTTTTTCTTCTCCATTATCAAAAAAGCTTACTGACAAACTTCTTTGAGAGAAATGAAAGGGAAATTGGCTTTGGCTGATAGTGTGATTGGGAAAGATCTTAAAAAGGGCCCTCAAGGTAGAGTAGAGTTAGAAAGGAGCCTTAAGACTAAGTAAGGATATCCCAGGCCTGGAGACAAGTACAAAAACAAACCAAGTGGCCTGGAGTTGTTTGAGAAGGCTCTGGGAGCAAACATAAAATATAGTTGTGAAGCTTATGTGATTTTTGATCCTGTGTATTAAATGCCCTAATTGTGTGAGGAAAGAGACTCTGCCTTCTAAGAGCAGCCATCAGGTCCTTGAGAGCTGCTTGCCTCTCTGCTGACTTGACCTCGTTGAGAATGCTTGGCATCCCTGTCTCCATGGTATCACCATGCATGCCTCCTGCTTTCCAAACTCCTTCACCTCCAGCCCTTAGCAGTGGCTGACTCATAGGAAGGTGCTTGAGTGTTCTTTCCTGAATTCTGGATCTGCCTTCCCCAAATGCACAAGCATCAGCCATGCCTTCCACATTCAGGAAGGTTTGATCAAGCCAGCAGGGAGGTGCAGGTGAAGGTGAACCTCAGGCAGAGCTAGGAAGCCTGAAAATCTCCTCAGTCGTCCTAACGTGGAGCTTAAAAGAGTGGATTCTATTTCAAATCCTAACTGTGCCATTCAATAGCTATATCTTTGGGTCTGTAGCTAAACCTCTGTGGTGCTCAGATTCCTAATCTATAAAATGAGAAGGCTAAATGTGGCTATCCCAGTACAGCTCTTTTGTGTGTTAAATGAGAGAAGGCTCAGAAAGCACTTTGCACAGGGCTTTTTCTGTGGAAAGAGCCCAGTAATATTAGTCCTTGATGTCATTTTACCATTATACTTGTTAAAGTCTAAAGTTGTTCAGCGTTTTTCTTTACCCTTATCAAATGTCACTGTGAGTTAACAGCTCTTGAAAAAGTAGAAGCCTGGGGTAATCATTTCACAATGTTTATGTATATCAAAATCTCACAGACGTACCTTAAATATACACAATATGTATTTGTATATATTATACCTTTCTAAAATATTATACCTTGATACAATTATACCTCAATACAGCTGAAAAAATTAGAATTTTTTTTTTTTTTTGAGACAGAGTCTTGCTCCGTCACCCAGGCTGGAGTGCAGTGGCGTGATCTCAGCTCACTGCAACCTCCGCCTCCCGGGTTCCAGCGATTCTCCTGCCTCAGCTTCCTGAGTAGCTGGGACTACAGGCACACACCACCATGCCTGGCTAATTTTTGTATTTTTAGTAGAGCTGGGGTTTCATTATGTTGGTCAGGCTGGTCTGGAACTCCTGACCTCGTGATTCGCCCGCCTCGGCCTCCCAAAGTGCTGGGACTGCAGGCGTGAGCCACCGCACCGGGCCAAATTATAGAAAATTTTCATAAAAAAAAAAGGAGAAGTACTTTAAACATATAACATGATCAGTTATCTAAAACACAAAGCCTGTATTAAATGCATACTTATTGATTAATCTTGGAGATTTTTCTTTCACCTGGCCAAGAAGGTCATTAAAGACTAAAGCATGTTTTTGGAGGGTTACTTACACTTCTCACCTTTTCTGTAAAAGAGCGGGCTTTTCTCTAATCTCATTTGATGCATGAAAATGTGTGGCCAGAAACTATTAATTGTGCTTCCATGTGGCCTGACAGATTCCTTCGAAAGCAACAATTGAAGGAATATTCAAGTTCTCTGTGACCTCTTCTCCCTGGCCCTCAGAGCTGCAAATAATGTGATCATTTTACATCAGTTTATTAAACATTAGTCAGCTTGCTGATTTATTTTTAATCACATTCTGCATATTTCTAGGCATTAATCTGATGTTTATTATGAGAATTGCACATTTGTATTATTGGGATTCTTTATTAAATAAAGAAAAACAATGGTAGGAAATAAGGCAGATTTTATGTATTAGGAGTATGATAAAGTACGCAGGTGTGTGATAAACCATGAGCATGTGAATTCCCCTTAACTTTTTAAAATTGGATTTTGATGGTATTTCAACTGGAAGCACAGGAGGCCTTGTCCTCCTTTAGATGACCATAAAGTAGTGTCCAATTGTGGATTAATTTCTCTTCCACCTGTTCTCACTATGTTGTATCCTGCCATTTCTCAAGAGTAGAAGTTAATGGTAGTCACCCTAGGGATGTTATAAATCTCACTTTAAGACTAGTATTAGAGATACCACATGTGACCATTTAAAAATGTTTCACAAAGAAAATCACAGGATATTTGCCAGTCACTGCTTTTCCTAAAACCGTTCTGTTCATAGGAAAGGAAGTATAATTGGGAAGTGAAGGAAATGCTAAAAATATCCCATATTGAACATTTTTGAATTTAAACAGTTTGTAAGCCATTCTCTCTCTCAAATTTGGAACCAAGTCAAGAAATTTCAGAAAACATGACCCTAGCATCAATTACATATAACCTTCAGAAGGCCCCCCCATCATAATGGTACCTTGAACAATGATGACTCTGGTCTCTTCTAACACCCCCATCTCACCCCGCACTCCGTGAATCCAAGAAAGAGAAAGAGAGACACCTTTGTGCTTCCAGGAGTGACACTGACTCAGCAGTCTTCTTAGAACAGGCGCCTTCTCCTTCCTGCTCTTGCCTACTTACTGTTCTCTTTTCTGCAGGTGGAATATGTGATCAAGTGTGACATGTCAGCTCTGCAGAAGATTCTGTATCGCCATATGCAAGCCAAGGGGATCCTTCTCACAGATGGTTCTGAGAAAGATAAGAAGGTACGTTGCGAAAGATGATGCAACTCAAGGTGCTGTGGTATGTCTTCTCATGGCTGTGACATTGAATATTCACAGGAAGCATCCCTGCTAATGCTGATTTGTTAAAGTAAATCACTGGACCTCCTTTGAGCTATTATAGCTGCCAAAGATAATCTCTTCACCTCTTAGCTGCATTGGGGCAGGAAGAAAGAAGGAATATGTTCATATTACCAAAATAGTTAGCTCTGCTTATGTCAATTTTGCAGCAAATATATTCTGCCTAAGTGTGGGGTGGCATTTTAGAAGGTTTTAAAATCCAGTTTCACTCCCTGGGCATCTGTTCTGTGCTTCTGTGTTCCGGAGTCCTACGGAATAGACAGTCATGTCGCAAAGCCATATCCCTCACTGGACATAATCCTTCAAGGTTCACTTTTTTTGTAGCGTAAGTTAATCACAAGAAAGACATTATGTCTAACTCAGGAACTGCTATATAATTAAAGAAGCTTTGAACCACAAGGTGTGTAGGTGACTGAAAAAACCTATGGTCCTTTGTCCTTTGTATAAGAAGCCCAGTGTGAAGGATCTGAAATGTCTGACCAGTTAATAATTAATTCTATTTTTCCCTTTCCACTGGTTCTTAGGGGAAAGGAGGTGCTAAGACACTTATGAACACTATTATGCAGTTGAGAAAAATCTGCAACCACCCATATATGTTTCAGCACATTGAGGTAAGTCTGTATTGTGTGTTTTGAGCCTGATTGTGCTAATCATACTAATGCTAGTTAAAAAAAAACAAACAAACAGGAAAAAAAAAAACCAAAATAGATTTAAAACATGTTGGCGGAAGTTGAGATGACATGATCTGATAGCTCGACAAGCAGAATTAACAAACATGAGTATTCTGGTTATGGGTTCTCATTGGCACCAAGCATTTGAGCATCTGGAATTTTATAACCAAGAGTTTAAAGTGGAGAGAAAATGCTATAAGCAGTGGCTCACTTGTGTGGGTTTGGGTAAGTACTGTGAATTACCTTGTTATACTGGGAGCTCTGAAATTGAAGATAATGATAAATACATTCAGCTTCCTCAAAAGAATGCCGTGAAAAATATTAAAATAATGTATTTATGACTTCTAAAGAGAAAGATTTTCTTTAAATATTTTCTTTGTAAAAGACACTGGCTTTAGTCTGTTACTTTGATTTATATTTTTCCTTTCTTGTTTCTGTCATGATGATGTAAATCCAGGCTTTCATCCTGATGCTCAGGTCTCTAGAAAGCTATTTTGCAGGGAGAGGACATTTTCTGCCATGTTCACTCCATGTGAATAAGTTTCCTAAATTGACAGTGTTTCACCCCAGTGGGCACAATTGACTGGAGCAGGAATGAAAAGGAGCCACAATTGTATTCCCCATTTGTCATTGCTGCTGCTGAGGCAAATGGTCCTGGTGGCAATTATTTGCCAGGGTAGTGCCTACTTGCTACTGCAAAATGGGCAGGAGACATAGAGAACATCACTGCAGGGCTCCAGTGTCTGCACCAATTTATTTTAAAAAATACATAGAAACTTCTGGAAAGTTAAAACTTAATCACAGTATAAAAATTGAGTTGGAGCACTCTTCTTTTCGAATATTCTTTTTTGTCCCTTATTTTTGGCAGTTGTACATGTCAGGTCAGAGTATTCATGGCACACCATATCCACATGTCAGAGTTCTTTCCTAGCTGTGCTGGATAATTGGAAAGATTTCTGACACTGCTATTCAAGGAGTCCATAGGAGAAAGTATCCATAGACACTGGGGAGTGTACCCATAGACATAGGAGAGAGTGTGTGGGCATAGAGGAGAATATCCATAGACACAGGGGAAAGTACCTACATACTGGAGTAAAATGACAACAGCAACAACACTTTAAAAATCTCATGGCTGGGTGCAGGGGGCTCACCCCTGTAATTTGGGAGGCCGAGGCAGGAAGATCACCTGAGGTCAGGAGTTCGAGACCAGCCTGGCCAACATGGTGAAACCCCGTCTAAAACTACAAAATTACAAAACTACAAAAATTAGCTGGGTGTCGTGGCAGGCACCTGTAATCCTAGCTATTCAGGAGGCTTAGGAAAGAGAATTGCTTGAACCCGGGAGGTGGAGGTTGCAGTGAGCCGAGATCGCACCATTGTACTCCAGCCTGAGTGACAACAGCGAAACTCGGTCTCAAAAAAAAAAAAAAAGTCACAGTTATTTACATGTATTGTTGAAGGGGATTGCAATGGCCAAAAATGAGTTCATATCCACCAGGTCACTTTGTAACTGTGAACTGGGGTAAGTCACTCAGATTCTTCATGTTGTAATGTGCTTGATTTGTAAACAGGGGTAATAATAGATTATACTACTGGCAGGAGGACCAGCTTTTAAACAATAACATGTGAAGCATCTTGTAAACTGATGATGTGTTATATCAGATTTAAGGTACCAATGAATTGGTGGTGGGTGTATGTTGGGTTTAGAGGAGCTGGGAGAAAAGTCTAATGATGAAACTGTCTGGGATTTTCTTAGTCTAACCTGTTACCCACTGTCCCATTTCTTCTGAAAACAATTTTAAGACATGTATGGTAATCTATGGGGGCCTTTGGGGACTTAGGAATTTTGAAGATTAAGCATCAATCTTACTTCGTTTTGGTTATCATAAAAGAAATGACCCCTTGAGCCATGCTGGGCTAAGTAGGGAAGGAAGGGAGATGATGCCTTCTGTCCTCCAGCTTCAGTTTGGAGGGTGGGAAAGGATAGAGGAGGAGGGGGAATCATGAAGGAAGCGAAGTTGAAGGTGCATGCCCTTCAGTACCTACATATTGACATTTTAAGTAGCAGTTGGTAGAAAGGCAGACTCTGATTTGCAATTTTTTTCCCTAGAAACAAGAGATCCACAGTTATTGGCAAATCTATTGACAACTATGGAACAGAGATGGTGTGTGAATTTGCCTTTGTTGTGTTTCGTTTGCCACACACCCTTTGTTCATACTAAATCCTGCCAGATGCTGAGCCTCAAAATGGGTCTCACTGCCTCCCTGGGGACCTTAAACTCAAGAAATGGAAACAGTATTTTTAACATGATGCTGTTACCTAATCTCCAACAGCATCCATTGACCCCTCTCTTTGGTTTTGACAATCCTGCTTGGAGACAGGGATGGAGCCTAATGGAGACCATGGGTTTGGTTCTAGGGGATGGAGTTGAGGTATTGGCCACAGTCCATCCTGTTAATTTTGCCACAGGGCTGGAGCCTACCGTAGATCATGAGCATATTTGAGAGTACTGTTGAGCCCAGAGGGAAAGATCTGGTCCCCTTGGAGGAAAAGCTGCAGGGATCCAGGGAGGAGGGAAAGCAGAAAAGGGAGACAGCCGGTGGCTGATGTGAAGGTGTAACCTGCTCTCCATTCCCACAGATGGTTGCCATTCCCATAAAGTCAGAATGGAGAAATGCATGGAGAACAGTCATTTCTCATAAAGTCAGAATGGAGAAATGCGTGGAAAACAGTATTTCTTTCTGTGAATCAGAAAGGACGGAGTTATGTGATTACGTTCTGTATTCTGAAAACAGAAGCTGGACACTTGAGGGGTGCTGTACATCTAGGACCTTATTTGTAATGGAGGAAAGCACAGTATAGAGGAGACATTAGGATTTCACCTAACTGGCCAGGTGTGGTGGCTCATCCAATAAGCCTAGCACTTTGGGAGGAAAAGGCAAGCAGGTCACTTGAGGTAAAGAGTTCAAGACCAGCCTGGCCAATGTGGCGAAACCCTGTTTCTACTAAAAATACAGAAAATTAGCCAGGCATAGTGGCACATGCTGTAGTCCCAGCTATTCAGGAGTCTGAGGCAGGAGAATCGCTTGAACCTGGGAGGCAGAGGTTTGCAATGAGCTGAGACTGCGCCACTGCACTCCAGCCTGGGCAACAGAGTGAGACTCTGTCTCAAAAAAAAAAAAAGAAAAGATTTCACCGAACTAAGAATTATAATATATTATATAATCACAATTATTTTTATTGCTGAATTTTTCCACAATACATATTGTATTAGTCCAGTTTGATGCTGCTGATAAAGACATACCTGAGACTGGGTAATTTGTAAGGAAAAAGAGGTTTAATGGACTCACAGTTCCACATGGTTGGGGAGGCCTCACAGTCATGGCAGAAGGTGAAAGGAACGTCTTACATGGTGGCAGACAAGAGAGAATGTGAGGCAAGTGAAAAGGGAAACCCCTTACAAAGCCACGAGATCTCGTGAGACTTATTCACAACCATGAGAACGGCATGAGGGAAACCTTCCTCATGATTCAGTTGTCGCCCCCAGGGTCCCACCCACAACACATGGGAATTATAGGAGCTATAATTCAAGATGAGATTTGAGTAGGGACACAGCCAAACCCTATCACATATATTTATATATACATATTAATTCTGATTTGCTTGTTTTTGTGCTCTTCTAGTCTAGACTCTGTATTCCTTGAGTTCAGATCCACCCTAGAGGGTGGATCTCCAGAAATAACTATTGGCTCCGCTATGGGCCAGTGGGTGCTCAGTGACTGTGTGATGGGTAAAGTAACCCTGTTACCTGAGAGTCTAGAGACTAGAAGAAACTCACAGGATACTTTTCTGATGGAACAAAAGTCTGCATGCAATATACTGAATTTCTGGTTCATTACGTGTGTAAGTTTTTTGCTTATTCATTAATTATTTTGTTTTAACTATAGAAATAGGTAGGATAACCTCACTAAAAGAGTAATCATTAAGTTAATAATTACATTTTTTAAAATCATTCTTTCTATCTCTCTCTTTTAAAGGAATCCTTTGCTGAACACCTAGGCTATTCAAATGGGGTCATCAATGGGTAAATCTCAAATTTTTTTTTCTTTTAAAAAAAAATGTTGTTGGCCTTACATAAACTCCTCCTCTCTACAGTGTTTCCTCTTGTGCAAATACTTACTTCCAGCCCTCTAAGGGCTCTTCAGTGGAGAAGTTAACCAAAACGGTATCAGCATTCTCTTTTACTTTACTGGCATAAATTATTACTTGCCTTAAGCAAGTGGCTATTCAAAGGACATAGATCTTATTTAATAGACTTAATAGTATCCTAGTGTTCTAAAAATGTTGTTGAAGCTTCAAAGGTTTGTTATTTATAACCAAAAGTATAGCTTGGGCTTGAAGAGAATGTATCTTATTAAATTTCACATTGACATTTGACATTAATGTACATGAGAAGAAATCTCTCATCTGCTGTAAATGTTTACAGTTTTATAGTCATTTGTTAGAGTGTGGTCTGTGTAAGAAATGTTTTTCATTAGCAATGGATGTTAAAGAGAATCTTGACTTGCAACAACAAAAATGAACACTGCATTAACAGAAAGTGTGTGTGTGTGTGTGTGTGTGTGTGTGTGTGGTGTGTTGCAAATTTGAAAAATTTATTATTAGGATGTAGTCATCATTTTTGGATCCCAAGGGCGGACAGTTTCACTGGGCTAAGAACCAGGAACTATAGCCTATCCTGAAGCAGTGCTGCTAAGCTTTCCCTACCTCTCCTTGCCTCTCTCTTCTCTGGGTTCTGTGGTTACTCCTGCTCCCATCAGCTTGGCCAGGGTTGCATGGTGAAAACACAGCTATAGGGTATTTGGAGAACAGTTCTCAGAGTGGAGGATGGATGTCGGGAAGACATACGTTTGAAAATGTGTCTGTTAGAAATAACATATCCTGTGTCATAAAATCAACTACCAGATGAGACATTTCAGTACTATAGATTACATGTGCACTGGCAAGTTTTCCAAACAGTATCACCTAAAATTCGGTTTTAATTGTATAACACAGTCCTGTTGATAAAAGAAAAAAATGGGTGAACTGTAGAGGGAAAAGGCCCTGCTTTAGCCTTTCTCCATATCACAGCGTCTTCTGCATCTCATACTCCCAACGTGTTTTTGACTTGTACTTGTATAGTAATCCAAGACTCTTGTCCTCCCCCAGTCCATTCTTACATGACGTCCATAGTGATCTTATAAAAAGGTACGCCAGACCTCATCACTCCCCTGCCTAAAACCCATTGATGACTTTTCATTGCACTGAAAATGAAAACGTTCAGTATAGCTCATAGAGCCCTAAAGAGTCTGTTCCTAGTCCCATCCTCCACCTCTCTGTCTTCATCTCCCAGTATTCTCTCCTCACTTCTGTTTAAGCCATGCTCCCTGTTTTTTTTTTTTTTTTAATTTCTCAAATCCTTCTGTCTCCTTTACCCCTCAGGACCTTTATGCATGCTCTTTCCTCTCCCTGGAATCTCCTCCTCTCCACCCCAGTGCCCCCGTTCTTCACCTGGATGCCTTTTTACTCATTATTTCAGGTTTTAGCTAAAATGTTATCTCTTCAGGGAGGTCACCTCTGACACTCTAAACCAGTGGTTGGCAAACTTTTTCTGTAAAGATCCAGATTGTAAATATTTTCAGCTTTGTGGGCCATAAAGTGTCTGCCACACCTGCTCAGCGTAGCCTCTGTAACATGAAAGCAGCCAGACAATAGAGATGAGTGAGTGTGGCTGTGTTCTGATAAAACCTTATTTGTAAAAACAGACAGCAGACGGGGCCAAAGGTTGCCAAACTCTGCTCCAATCTAAAGAAGGCATCACATGTTGCTGTGAGTTTTCTCATTGGAACTTGTTATTTTAATAGTATTTATTACAGTTTGTAATTATCCATTTAGTAAAATGAGACTCTGTTTTGCTTATTATTATATACATGGCTAGCACTGTGCTTGGTACATAGTAGGTGATCAGTAAGTATTTAGATGAATCTTAAGTGCCCTGAATTAAAAATTTAAAAAGTTATATACTGAATAAGGAGAAATTTACAGAAACATGGCATATACGTGTGTGTGTACGTGTGTGTGTGTGTGTGTGAGAGAGAGAGAGAGAGAGAGAGAGGGCGAGGAGAAAGAATAAGTTGAGAGAAAGATTGAAAGTATTAAGAACATGAAAGTGGTTCCTTTTCTTTCTAGAACCTGTCATCATACCTAGTATATGCAATGCACTTTTCATGGGTTTTATATGAATATATTTTCCTTTTCTGCTAAATATTCTCATTGCTTTGGAGTTCATATTCATTCATTCATTCATTTCACAGTTACTTATTGAATGTTTACAGTGTACAAAGGACTATATGAAAAGCAAAGCAATGCTGGATTTTTTAAGAAGACAGAAGTAATACTGTCTTCTTGTTTTTGCATTTTTTTGGGTTCAGGGCTGAACTGTATCGGGCCTCAGGGAAGTTTGAGCTGCTTGATCGTATTCTGCCAAAATTGAGAGCGACTAATCACCGAGTGCTGCTTTTCTGCCAGATGACATCTCTCATGACCATCATGGAGGATTATTTTGCTTTTCGGAACTTCCTTTACCTACGCCTTGATGGTAAGTGCATAAGGCATTAGGCTCGGAAGCCATACTACTGAAAATGAAGGGATAATGGGCACTTAGGTCCAATCTCAGCCAAAAAGAAGGGGTAAAATTGAAGAATTGACTAGAAGCATTGGGAGCAGTTTTTCTAGATAGCAATTTTTTGCATCCTTAAGCTTTAAATAAGCTGACCTCATTTGTGCAGCTGCATAGCCCACAAATAAACCAACACAAATGAGTTTAGAGTCACTTTTGAGTACCTAAATAAAATAAAATTAAACTAAATTAAAATTTTAAAATCTTCCTTGCTCTTAAAATTGTTACCTATGTGCCAAAGATATAGAATACATTGACACACCTTTAACTTTTTCAGTTAAGGCATATTTTAAGGGGATAAAGGCTATGTCACTTTTCTTTGTAACAATACAATCATTCATTTAAGATTATATTTATCATTAAAGCCCCTCTCTTCCTAAATAAGACGTATCCACATGTTACATTGTTAAGAGACATGACTTCATTGTTTCCTGGATTTTGCAAGCTATGTAAAATATTTGCCTGGTTTTAAGAGTGAAATTTAAATACCGTGTCCTAAAAATTAGTAAGAAAAAATATTAATGGAAGCAAATATGATTTTAGGGATAATCCCTAAATTATTTTACGATTTGGATATCAGCCATAATATATTAGAGGTTGAAAGTATCAGCATTTATACACAATGGAAGGGCATAAATATGGCATTCAAAGAGTGGTAAGTAGGAATAGAAGTTAATTTACAGTCAGGATGCTATTTAATCCCTGGGTAGAAAAGAGGATACTGCTAATACCAGTATTTATCTAATGCAGTATTACTATTGTTAAATGGGAAACTTAAGGTTTATGTTTCATTAAAAGACTTTATTTTCAATCCAACATTTTGTTTTCCTTTTTGCCTTAATTGAACGTAATTGGATAGATACCAAACTCAGACTTGCCGTATGTTCTCTGACTTAAGGTTTTAGGTGAATTCTCTTTATGGTCTGCCTCTTAGGGTATTGTTAATTAATTTTCAAATTAATTATACCATTTGACAAACTTGATTTTTTTTTTTATTTTATTTTGTTTTTATTGAGACAGAGTCTCACTCTGTCACCCAGGCTGGAATGCAGTGGCATGATCTCAGCTTACTGCAACTTCTGCCACCCGGGTTCAGGTGATTCTCCTGCCTCAGCCTCCCGAGTAGCTGGGATTACAGGCATGTGCCACCACGCCCGGCTAATTTTTTTTTTTTGTATTTTTTAGTAAAGATGGGGTTTCACCATGTTGCCCAGGCTGGTCTTGAACTCCTGACCTCAAGTGATCCACCTGCCTCGGCCTCCCACAGTGTTGGGATTACAGGCATGAAACTTGATTATTTAAACCCCTTTACCTCTCCCCTCCAAATTACGTAATGAATGAATGGTTACGTAAATGTCAATTTTTAGTTCACAAATACAGTCCTATTAGGCACAGTTTTTCTCTGTTGGCAAATTTCCTTTATTGTCTCTTCTCCTTTGACTGGATCCCTGCCTCCGGAAAGTGGAAAATTCGGCACTCTTCTTTCAAAAGACAAACTGTCCTTTACCTGCTGCTCAAGTGAGGGGCTGTGGGGTTGTGGGGCTGTATTTTCCCCTGAACTGACAGCCCCACACAGGCGTCCTGCGTAACTATCACTTGCTACTTTGTGGCATTTCATTTCCAATCTCAGGTCTCTGACGACTGCTTCTTTGGAATATTTGCATCTCTCAAACTGGTAAGAAGTGACTTCCTGGAAACAAATTGCTTTCATGTTTTCTTGTCAGCCTGAGAGGTTCTCTTTAATAGTTTATTGGCTGCTGTCCTTTTGTTAGTAATAGTCACAACAGCTAACATGTATGGAACACCGCTCTGTGGGACTCTGGGCCAAGCATTTCATGTGCATTATTAATTTGATTTTCTCAATAAATAAGCTACTGTTATCCCTGTCAACCAGTGTGCCATTATGATGCCCATTTAAGGATGAGAAAACAAAGGCATATGGTGAAACCAGGTTCTAACTTGGATCTGTTTGATTCCAAATTAGCTGAGTTTTAGCAGATCCAGAGAGGTATACCCCATCTCTGAAAATACAGGCTTCTTCTCTAGCTACAACATTTTAAGAATGATTTTGAACTTATTTAAAATTTTCAATTGACTAATTGCAAACCACCATGCACTAGAGATACAGGATGGATGAACTATTCACTGTTGCTGCTCTCAGAGTCCTTACCATTAGGTGGAAGGAGACAGACAAGCAAATTGCCTAACATGTTACAGATGGAATTGAAAAGGCATCTTTCCGTAAGAAACAGCAGCCGTTCCTTTTAAGGGTGGACAGAACTAATGGACAAACAATCAATATACACACAGATAAGTTAGTACACACACTTCCAGCTGAACCCCCTTCTGTCCCCCATCCCACCACCCAATTATTAAAATGACTTCAGATTTTCATTGCTGAATTTGATGTCTCAGATTTTGACTTTAGGGGAAAAAAAATCACTTGATGAGAGCTAAGCAGAAATTTTCTGCAAAGATTATGGTTGCATGAATAGATTTAGCTAATACTCCATATAGTTTTTGTTTTTACTGGAAATGATTTTTGAGTGAGAGCAAGTGGTGAGGTTTTATCCCAGAAGACAACACTTTCTAAAAGCAGGTGAAACTAAGTTAAAATTAGTCATCATGAAAGTCTGACAGTGTGTTCCTTCTGGTAAATTCTGTAATTTTCAACACAGTTGCCCTATTAATTGTATGCTTATAATTGGTTATGTATCAAAGTCTGAAAGACCATGAAACTGATGTTAGTATTGAGCACGTTAAATCTTGAGCCACTTGCAAGGAGTGTCTGCCTTTGGATAGACTGTTACATGGTAGTTTGAATCTCCCTGAACAATATTAAAAATTTTGTTAAATTTAACAAAAAAAATTTGTTAAATTAAAAAAATATTTGTTAAAAAGATTGCTGATGATCAGCAAAGATCTTGACTTGGAAATCTTTGACAGAAAGGGTTTTCTAGCAAATTGCAAACCTTATGATAAGAAATGCCATAGCTTTGTATGAAAAATGACTTAATCTTTTTTGTTTTTTATAATTTGTCAAGTTCCCAGCTATTTATACAGTTTATTTAATTTAATTTTATTTTATTTTATTGAGACGGAGTCTCGCTCTGTCCCCCAGGCTGGAGTGCATCTCGGCTCCCTGCAACCTCCGCCTCCTGGGTTCAAGCAATTCTTGTGCCCCACCCTCCCAAGTAGCTGGGATTACAGATGTGTGCCACCATGCCCAGCTAACTTTTATATTTTTAGTAGAGATGGGGTTTTACCATGTTGGCCAGGGTGATCTCGAACCCCTGACCTCAGGTGATCCGCCCACCTTGGCCTCCCAAAGTGCTGGGATTACAGGTGTGAGCCACCATGCCTGGCCTATACAGTTTAAATACACACCAGATATATGGTTGGCCTGTTTGCTTGAGGTATCTGTTATAGGGTCTGAAAACTCCTTTGACCAAATAATTTTATTTGGATATTCCTTTTGTTTTTCAGTGCTTTATTTTGCATGTAAGGTTATTTCATCTCAGTAGGCATTGGTTGTATTTATATCTTATGTTACTGGCCAGATCCACGTCTGTTCTGCCCACGTGCAGTAAATCAATCACTGTGACACAGGTTTTGCAAAAGAGAAAAGATTTATTCACAAGGGCACCAAGCATAAAGATGGAAGAACAGCCCTCAACTCTACCTCCCTGAAGATAAGGTTTAGGGATATTTATGGGGTAAGGAAGTGGGGTGGTGTAAGGCACAGGGAAAGGTGATTGGCAGTGGGGAAAAATGAAATCACAGGTTCGTTCTACACAGGCATAGCCAGGGTTCATGGCATTTCCTAGGACATACATACAAAAAATGGCAGAGTCAGCATGATCTGATGGTGGAGTTTTTGGCTCTCCAACATCAAAAGGCCATCTCTTGGGCACTTGCGCTCAGGCCCAGTTTAAGGGCCAGTGGTGTCAACGGGTTTGAACTGGACAGAGCTGGCCAAAGTTCCTGAAAAACAACTGAAGTAACCATTACCATGGTGACGTATGCATGTTATCTGTAAAGTAGCCAGTGAAGGTCAAGTTTGAGCATTCAGCAGCAAGACCTTCAGCTACTGCAGCCTTCAGCTTCATGGAAAAAGAGAAAACAAAAATAACAAAAAGCAAGAAACCAGAAGCATGCAGGGCAGGCAGACCTGATGAGATTAACTGTTCGGTTTCATTAATCCGTGTGATTATCAGCTGGTTCATTTTCAGTTAATCAAAACTGTTGAACTTCTATCCTGAGAGTATAGATGTATAGTTTTGTACCCAGTTTTCAGAAACACAGATGCCATGATCTCTTCTTTCCCCATTTTAGAAGAAATTTTTGGTTTCTGTGGCTTTTCATTCAGTTTAAGGCAGAGGAGAAATATGTGAACCATTAATACATGTAATTTTTAAAAAAATTCTTGTAGCTGGAAAGATGATAGAGAAGGTTTCACAGCAGAAATATCTTCCATTAGCGTCGTGAACAGATAGTTCACCATGATCTCAGAAAGCCAATTCTGAAAATAAAAGAAAAAAGAGCCCCACATTTGAAAGCTCACTCATCAAAGCATGTTTAGTGCTCCTCCTCCAAAATCTAAACTCGGACAGTTGATTGTGTCGGACCTCACCAGTTCACTAAACTCGAAACCTAATGTAGAAAGTAAATTGGGTCTAAAGAATGTGACTCCATGTGACTCAATGAGAGCCCCCAGACCCCTCATTTCTAATCCCTGTTTGCTGTATGCAGGGAAGTGATTTGTTTTCTCCCTCTTCAGGAGGGCATTTGTTATTTTTATTAAATGTGAAAAACAGATCGTCCCCATGTTTGAGAACTTGGCCCTCATAGTAACTTGATTTCATTAGCTATAGTCACTTAAATGTTTTAATCCTCTGAAATAAATTGCTGGTATGTTTTCATCCTTAAAAAATGAACAGCATGTAGGAATAATATTTGAAGAGCAGCTGGTCAGAGACTGTCATGTAACATGCATACATATTTCCCAACAGCCTAAAGCCTTCTTTCAAAATTCAGCATCTAAGCTTTTCTGGTGAAATATGTTCAGATGGAATACTGGTGTTTTTTTTTTCTCCCCTTCCACAATGCATTTCATGAAATGGCTGGGTAAATACATTACACATACATAATATGTGATTGAGTGGCTCATCTGGAATGCAAGAATGCCCCAAAAGTGAGCACCAGACTCTGAGGTTTGGTACTGTCTGCTTATTCACTATTTTGGAGCCTCTTCAGACCCCATGGGGCAAACCACCCCCAAGTATTTAACATGCTGCTCTGTTTAGTTGGTTTTGATTTAGCATGCTTTGAACTCAACAGAGCAGGATGATAACGTGAGAAACAGACTAAGAGATTTCTTGTGGGGGGGGTGGGGATTATTGTGGCTTTAAGTCTTGCTAACAAGGATAAAATTATTCCATTTGCAAAAAAAAAATTACATTCATAATTTATGTTTTTACCAACCAGACCATACTTAGTAGTAATCCAAATGGTAAAGTAGTAGAAAAGAACTTTCCTTTTTTTTCTATTTTCTTGGCATAAAAAAAGTCCTTGCTTTAATGCCTATTGGCAAAGTTTATTTAAGCCATTATTACAGTTTTAAGTGCACGTGTGTGTGTGTGAGAGTGAAAGAGACAGGGCGAGAGAGGAAGTGTGTGTGTTCTTAAAATTATTTGTTGTTATAAATCACAGAAATAAATCCAAAAAATGTTTTCATTGTTTTAGGTGAGAGTAAGGATTTTGTAAAATTTGTGAAGTTGCGAAGATGCCTCATTAGAAATGTTTAAGCTGTTTCTTTCTTTTTTTTTGTAATTGCAAAATGTTCAAAGTTTTTTATCCAGAAGTACAAAGCCCTGGAAATTACCTCACCAGTGTTAGGAGGAGTCTGGGTATATTTCTTGAAGGAAGCAAGCCTTTTTGTCTCATTCTGTGCCATTTTCAGACAAGAGTTAATTGGCAAATTAATTTTTCTGATCCCCTCAGGCACCACCAAGTCTGAAGATCGTGCTGCTTTGCTGAAGAAATTCAATGAACCTGGATCCCAGTATTTCATTTTCTTGCTGAGCACAAGAGCTGGTGGCCTGGGCTTAAATCTTCAGGCAGCTGATACAGTGGTCATCTTTGACAGCGACTGGAATCCTCATCAGGTCTGCATGTCCCACTCAGGTGCCCAGGCCTCCCTCTGGAGAGCAACTAAAAGATGATCAGTTTCATTATTCACATTTACAGGACAGAGCAAATATCTAAACGAGTGGGCTGTTGCTTTCTTGGAGCCAATTCTTCTGGCTGTTTTCTTATCTCCCTTAGAGCATAGATACGAGGTCCCACATATGCCTTTGAAGAGCTGAAGTTTGAGGTAGAAAAACTTAGTTTCTCCTTAGTTTTAATCCCATCTCTTGGGATTGCCATTGAACAAAGTATATTTAATGAGGGATAAGTCAAAAATGTTGCAAAATCATAGCAGTAAGAACAATAGCAACCATCATTCATGGGACCCTTAATCTGTGTCAGCCTCTTGGGCATTTTTTCATTCAGTTTTACGACAACCCTGTCAGACGGTTAATATGATTTGAATCTTTGCAGTCAAGGAAACTGAATCCTAGGCAGGGTAAGTAACTTCCCCAAGGCCAAATAGTATTACAGTAGTTAACCTTTTATTTTGTGTTTTATTTAAAGTCATCATCAAAACATATTCTAATGAGCATTTATTGTTGTAAAGCTCTTTTAGCCAGGTAAGTTCAGGGCTATCCTTTTAAAGCAGTACTTTGATGTTTTGTTTTTTTTTTTTTAAATTGAGCGGGTCTCTCATGGCACTGGTTTTCTAAGTTACTCTGGGAGGTGAGGCATCTGCCTGTAGGATATTGGGTAGGGTGATATTGGTCAAGATTTGATTCATACTGGAGCAAATGTTGAATTCAAAACAGTAAAAATGAAGAGCAGGTGTGGTGGCTCATGCCTGTAATCCCAGGACTTTGGGAGGTTGAGGCAGGAGGATTGCTTTGAGCCCAGGAATTTGAGACCAGCCTGGGCAACATGGTGAAACCCTGTCTCTACAAAAAAATACAAAAATTAGCTGGGCACAGTGGCACTTATACCTGTAGTCCCAAGTTCCTCAGCAGGCTGAGGTGGGAGGATTGTTTGAGTCTGGGAGGCAGAGGCTATAGTGAGCCATGATCGTACCACCGCTCTCCAGCCCGGGCGACAAAGCAAGACCGTGTCTCAAAAAAAAAAAAAAAAAAAGAAAAGCAAAAAGAAAATGGCAACTCTCACGTAGGAGTATGAATTCTACATCAGCTTTTCCTAGGCTCCTCGTTGAGCCCTGGTTTTCTCAACAGTAACACTATCTCACTGGGTTGCGAAGACTGAGTGGCAGTGCCATATAGCGTCACTTTTGGCAGGAAATCACATTCAGGGGTACATTAAAATTCTAAGGGAGCTTTTAAAAAATATGCATGCCTGCTTTCTGTTCCCTGCCACCGCACCCCAGTTTTCTTATTCGGTGGAGCTAGGTGCTTCCTTTGAGCGCTCCCAGGAGATTCTGAAATAGATTCTCATACAGATGAGGAGCACTGATTTAAAGACTCAACTGTGGGCCCAAACCACCAACACTGGGCCACTGCGTGTACTTACCATTCTCTGTAGGTGAATAAATTAAAGCGACTATTAAAATTTTCTGATCTTGAAAAGGATTGGGAGCCACCAGCACAGAATATATTAGTTCTAAGTCTTCAGGAAATATGGTTACGTATTTTTATAAATACATAAAAGTGTTTCATTCCAAGGCTCAGGTAGAATTCATATTGATGTGAGAGATCTGCAGTTTTTCTTTTTAGCATTATGGATTCAGTATTTGTTCCACAAACATTTATTGAGTGTCTGTTATGCAGCAGGCAGTGAGCTAGGCTGGGTATCTAAGGGGGAGGAAGGAAGACGTGATGTGACTCCTCTCCTCCTGGTGTGCTCAATGTGATTGGATGTTTAGATTATCCTTGCTGGTACCTAAGTTTTGAGGACGATCTATAGGTGAATGGAGAGTTTGCTTGTATTCTGTCTTCGGAGGTAAGCATTTCCACTGACTCTTAGATGTTTACCTTCACTGGCACAGTATACAGTATAAATCCTAAAAGCCACTGTTCCAGGAAATGCTAATTTAACATGGAAAATAACTCTGGGACATCTGTATGATGTTCCACCCCACCCCGCCTCTCATTTTTTTTTTTCGTACTTTCTCTCTAGCTCTGTTAAAAACTTTGAACTCTAGAATCAAAGTAAATTGCAGTAACATGAAATAGTCCCCTCTTAACTACATGGGAACTAAAGCTTTGGCAGCAAAACACAGGATCCCAGATTTTCTCTGGTGGAATTTACAACAGGTTCCTCACACTGGGCCTCTGCAAGTATTTCTAGCTGCCATAGGTAGATTCACTTCCACCTGATTGAATAAACTGAGCTGACCAGATTTTTCATCTGTCACTGAACAGGACCATTAGTTTGGTCAAATTTTTCTTTTTCAGGAATCAGTGATTTTATAGTGATAAAGATCCATCTGAGTTTTCATTTAAAAGGTACAGAACTCTACTAAATATTGTTAGGCACTTTGCATACCTCACCTCAAGTAATCGTCAAAATATCTTCTACATAAGGAAACCAGTCAATGTTAGCTTGCTCATGAACACCCCACCAGGATCATTCACACCCATGTCTGTTTAGGTTTCAGTTTGAATACTGGGTTTGAGCTCTTTCTACCTTGCACCCTTGCATATAGATTGTATAGCCCCCAAAATGAAAATTGTGAAGGTCTTTGTATCAGGTTAATTTTAGCATGCATTGAAGAAAAATTTCTATAAGTATGCATTATCATGTTGAATCAAAATTAAGGCACATTGGTGAAAATAGGGGATTTGACATAGGTTGACAGATAGAGGCCTTAATGTTGCTGATTGAGGACCCTACCTAGAAGCAAAGATAGAACTCGTGATTGTGGAATTAACAAAAAAAAATCCCACCAGGTTGCCAAGACTCTCATTTCCAAACTGTTGGTTAGAAACATGGGTTGGTACTCGTGTTTTTTACCCACGGAGCTGCAGCTGTGTTGCTATTACGGAATGGTCGACCACATTTAGCTTGCAGACCCTCTTCTCAGACCAGGCTCTTAGCTTCAAGTATTATCAGACCTAAGTCAGTGTGATGAAGTTTCAGACCACCGAAGTGAGACTTCAGAAACATGGAGTAATCCATCCAATAATTACAGCACTTCTTTGTCACAATATTCCCCCCACATTTTGGCTTAGGGACTCAAGCTCACATTTCGTTAAACTTCTCCAGTCTAGAAATATTAGCTTTTGTGACCTTCCAATTAGATGGGTGATCTGAAACACACAAACACACATCACTGCTACCACCACCAAACGAAACTTAACTGCAGCAAATTCCCAAGGATTCTGTAATGTCTGACCGTGTTCCTATGTTGTCCATGTGCCCTGCTTCCTCACCTGTTCTATTCATATTCTGCTGCCCCCTGCAATTAGTATTTTTGTGGTTTTGTCAGCATCTTCTTGGACAAGGGTCAGCAATCTACTACTCGCGGGCTCGGTCTGACCTGCCCCTTGTTTTTGCACCCCCACAGGTGAAGAATGGTTTTCACTTTTTAAAGTATAAATTAGAAAATGGTGGGGAAAAAGAGTATCAGCCTTCTGGTGAGAACAGTTGTTCAATTTTTGCTTCTGGGCCAGACAGCATAGAACGTTTACTATTGCGCCCATTTTAGAGACTGTTGGCCTCTGTTCCAGGAGATAGTGAAAAGCCTCATGACACAGACCTTGTCATCTTGACTGCTGTTAGCAGGTCTGGTGAAGATATGTGGAGAGGGACGGTTGAACTAAAAGCTTAAAAAGGAACTTTAGGGTGTTTTAAAGTTCTTTGTCCCCTTTGGATTTGAATGATCCACCTTACATTCTCCTCTTTAGAAAATAATCTAATATAGATGGGTCCCAGCTGTTTTCATGGCTTAGCACTATGATATTTATATTAACTTATTCAAATATCTGCTGAGGAAGAAGTTTTGCCTAATTGGCTACTTAATTTTAAAGGTCCCTGCAGCAAAAACAAATCTCCAGGGCAGCCTTTTGTCTGCTGCCTTCTTGTGCTACAACAGGTGACCAGGAGACTTGTCTGGTCAAGAAGACGGGTTTACAGCTGTTGAGCATCAGCTCTCTGCAAATTATGGTGCCAGGGATGTGGGATACAGAAAACAGACTTTTGCCCTAAAAATCTATACAGTCTAATGGGAGACATGTGTAAACAACTAATTAGCATCAGCTCAGATAACATCACCTGGACCACAATGAATAAAAGCCACATGCCAAGAAGTTTTTATTACGTAGCTATAAAATTAGGTAATTCTGTTTCATGGGCTCATGAAGGTTTTTATTTAAAAATTTCATGAAAGCTTTTTTCTTATTATTAATATATGAGTAACATTTAAAGCAGAAAAAAAGCAAAATGTAAGCAAAGTGAAGAAAGTGAAATAACACCTATAATCTTATCACCTGGAGATTTACGTTGTTGGCATGTTGGTGTTTGTCCTCCTACCTTTTTCTTTATATAGATAAATTTGCACATGTAAGATCAGAATGCACATGGTTCTTTTTAACTTGTTTTCACTTATGTCATTAAATCTCCTACAATATAATTTTTATGATACTTTGTTGATACATACATATAGTAGGATACTATAATTCATTTAACTAATTCAGTATTGTTGAATGTTTCTTTTTTTAAAAAAAAAGCCATTAGAGAGAGTAAATTATTCTGAGAAGGTACATCCTTATTTCTAAATCTTTGTGCATATCTATGATTATTTGTTTAGGATACATTTCCGAAGTAATATTTCTAAGTCGGAGACATAGACAGTTTTAACACTTCTAATAGGTAGTGACAAATTTCTGTCCCCAAAAGTTTACCAGTTGACTACCCAACTAGCAATCCTTTTGATTTCCCAGATTGAAGACCGAGTCTTTGATAAGGTTAGGTTCGAGGAAATTGACTACCTGAGCAGTCAGTGTGTGTGTATGTGTGTGTGTGGTAAGATGTATGTATGTATAATACCTGAATGTACAACTCAGTGATATTTTTAAAATAATCTTCAACACATCACGCCAAAGAAAAGGCGTTTCTTGCAACTTAAGGTTAGTTGTAGGTGTTATGTAAGTCATAATTCTGACATTGGACATTGGTGTCTTGTTTAATGTTTTAGATATGGACTAAATCTGATGGGGAACCTAGAGACAGATAAAAACAATATGATACCTGGATTTCAAAACCTGAGATGTATTTCAGTTGGCTTGGTTAATTTCAACCCAGGTTTCTTCAACTAGGAATGACACTGAATTTTTCCAAACGTAGCTTGTGTGTTTTTAAAATGTAGGCAAAATCTTACCTTAGTGAAGGTGAAATACAGAACCCTTCCATATTTCCCTCTGGGGTGGGGTCCGGTTTTGGATGCCTATGCCAGGCATCTCAGTCCTCATAGCATATTGACCCCCCAAACAGGATCTGCAGGCCCAAGACCGAGCTCACCGCATCGGGCAGCAGAACGAGGTCCGGGTACTGAGGCTCTGTACCGTGAACAGCGTGGAGGAAAAGATCCTCGCGGCCGCAAAATACAAGCTGAACGTGGATCAGAAAGTGATCCAGGCGGGCATGTTTGACCAAAAGTCTTCAAGCCACGAGCGGAGGGCATTCCTGCAGGCCATCTTGGAGCATGAGGAGGAAAATGAGGTATTAGAGAAAACCCCAAGTTTATGAAATCAAACAGTGGCCTTTTGTCTCTGAAGGACTCAGAATAATCCCTTTGTTTAAAAAACTTCCTGGGCTGGCGTTAATGAAAATGAAGAAATAAACTGCTGTTTTAGATCCCAACCACAGAAAGCCTGTGAAAGTTATCCAAAATGAGTGTCTTAAGAGCTATGGCTGGAGGAACCTCAAGGCTTGGCCTGTGGGTGCTCCCTCCTTTTTCCCAGGGTGGTAAAACCAGCTGCTTTATTGAACCATCAGTGCTGCCTTCTGTAGGGCAGATGCAGAACTGCAGAGGATACTTTAGGGACAAAATCAGCCGGACGAGACAAGACATAAATGGAAGGGGTCCTCTTTCTCTCATCCTCCAGAGCCCTCTCTCTCTTTTGCCTTTTGATCAGGGATCACAGAGCTTCAACATGTTTGTAGGACAAACCTTCACAGCCATCTTCCGCACATTTAGCTATACTTGCTCTTGGCAAGCATGACCTTAACCTCTACTTTAAATTTTTCTTTAAGAGCTGTCTGAAGGTTGGGAAAAATTCTGGTTAAACAGCCTTTATTTGTCAGGGTTGTATGAAGAATGCTTTGATTAGGTTTTTATTAGGGGAATGTTGAGTTGTCATTTGTATTATTTTTAGATTGCCAACGTTAGTAATTTTATAAATATTCATTCCAAAATGGATTTGAAGTAGATTTTTAAACGTATGTATATAGTGTAGCAAACTACAGAATATCAGCAGAAGTCCTTATCATAAAACTGGCTGAACATATTTTTTGTGTGTGCCCATACTTACAAATTGAAGAGTAAGTCTACCTTACATATTCATGTGGAATACTGTTTTCATTGCATATATTAGATATAATTTGATTTTTGCCTTAAATAGGATATGTGTTTTTGCATTCTTCTATAAATTATGAACCTGAGTCTTTTAAAAGTCTTATAAACAAATACTCCTCAACTTACAATGGTGTTACATCCCGACAAACCCATCATAAATTGAAAATATCAGGACATGGCCCCATCTTAAGTCTAGTGGAGTACTGAATGTGCATCCCTTCTGCACCATTATAAAGTCGAAAAATCCTAAGTCCAGCCGTTGTTAAGCCAGAGACTGTCTGTATATTTTTTTTTTCTAAAATGAATCTAAATGTGAAGTAAAGCTTGATATTTAAAGGTATCCTGAAATGAACCCATTTGCAAATTGAAGAGCACTTTTGTATTATGCCTCCTAATTTGTCCGTCTTATATTTTTGATTAGCTATCCACTGAGTTTCATGAAAATGATAAAAAATACATATGCACATGCACTCACTATCCACACACATTTGAAAAATTTTTATCTCAAATTATTTATAGTTTCTGATTCTAGAAATTGAATATTTGATACAGATATGGAGTCAAATTGTCAGGTGATTTTTTTGTTGTTTATACACTTGGACATTTCCAAAAAAACAATATGGCGAATGATCTATCCTGTGACAAAGCAGATATGAGCAGAGCTGACACTCAGCCAGTCGTCTCCACTACATTTTTGCTTATTTGTTTTGTGTAGGCCTTGTGAAAATAGTACCTGATCTGGTTGAGAATCAAGGAAGCCTGGAGTTTTCCAGCCTTCCTAAGCCGCAGGGAGTTGCTGATCTCCCCTGGGCCCGAGGGCTGCCAGGTGGGGCCTGACGTGCACTCCCCTCCCAGTTGTCCTGCCATCAAGGCTAGCTGTGAGCAGCCTTGCTGAGGCTCCTGTCCCTTCTTGGCTGCCAGTGTGTCAGAAAAATGTTGCCGTTTTCAGGGGGGCTTGTGTCCTGATGTAAAGATGTTTGAAAACACTGAGAGACTGCAGTCAAAGACTCTGGTTCTGAAAGATCAGGACAACATAGGCTGGCATCACCATGGTTGATGCGACCATGAAGTGCTGGGGCAGAGAACCCAGGAAGATGCATTGTGCACTTCCAGCTATTTGGTTTTCCATGAAGGTCATAAACAGGCACTTTACAAGAGAATCTTTTCATCTTGGGCATGGGGTTGTCTGAGCCCCTCATGGTCCAGGTGATGAGAGGGTAATGTGTGGTTCTAGGAAGAAAGTAGGCGAAGCGGGACATCTGTTCACCAGAGGAGACATTACCAGATATTTTGTACTGTGAAGTCTGAACCCACTCCCAGCTAGTCTGTGTCCTTGTCAGATGAAATGTAATATTTAGACAAATTGACTTTAATCAATCTGGAGGCAAACTAGAATAGAAGGTTTTTCAGAAATAATTATTATCTTGAATTGTAGATTTTTTTACTTTATTGGATTGCATTCATTTCTAACACTTATTAAGTTCCTGCAGTGCGAAAGACGTTATCTTGGGAGCCGACACAGTCATCTCATTTGAGCCGCTAGTACACTCATACTCTTTCTCTAAAACAAGTTGCCTCTTTTTGAATATACAGTTTGTGAAATTGGATGTCTGAAGTTCTGTGTTTTCCTCTTTCTTCCCTCGACTGATACACTGAAATTCCCCGTTTGATTTCTAACAAGCCCACTCAGCATATGATAAAAATAATTTGGGAAGATAAATCCTGAAGCATATGCCGAACTTTTAGAATCATTTTTTAAGTGTGGAAGTCATCCTATAACATTGCTAAAAATCCTGAGAACTGTTGGTTTCTGAGGAATTAGCAGAGAGATAATGTACCTTTGTTTGACGTAATATAAAATGAAAATTTTAGCCCATATGTAATTGCTTTCTCTGCTTCATTTAAATTATTTTAATTAAGTATAATTTTGAGGTTTTTTTTGTTACTGATACCTTTTTAGTTATCCCATCCATAGCTCCAATCATTAACAATAATACCCATAGAAATATATTAAGCACACTTCAAAGGCTATATATTTGGCACATATATGTGATTTTTATTGTCTTAGTGCCTAGTAACAAGGTTTCACATACTTATGTCTTTTGTAAGGATTTGAAAATAAGCATTTATATTTGGCATAAGGTAAATGGAATTAAAAGAATTAATGTTAGGTACTTTTTCATATGGATGTCCTTATTAAAATCTTACATCCCCATGTGAAATAGATGTCATACCCATATGACCAATGAGGTCACTGAAGCGAGGAGACATTAAGTAACTTGTTGTAAAAGTAACAGAATCAAGATACACATCCAGGAGAACTCATATTTCTTATAGTGGACCACAGTTTCCTCCCTGAACGGATTTTGCTCTGGGAAGATGGTTTTAATAGCTTGTAAAATAGTAACGTCAAGGACTAAATCCAGCAACCCCTTCCCTTTTCTTTCTGCCTTGAGAAATGGGACCCCTCTGGTCTGGAGGACAGATCACTTACTTGTTTGTACCTTGCCCCAGCTGTCCACTGGTTAAAATCACTCTGTTTTTAACCCCAGGAAGAAGATGAAGTACCGGACGATGAGACTCTGAACCAAATGATTGCTCGACGAGAAGAAGAATTTGACCTTTTTATGGTAATGTTACAGAAAATCATGAACACAAATGCTTTATACCTCTGCCCCTTTTTCTGTTAAGCAGAATGTCTGCAGCCTGCGTGCCTGGCAGAACTTCATACGTAAAGCCTATGCCTTTCCTTCAGTTCAGAGGCTGCAAACTGGCTGGAGTTAGCCTGCAGACATATTTTGTTTGGCCCACGCAGCGTTTTTTAAAATTTCCCATTCATTGCCAACATAAAAAAGAATCCTGATTTCTGGCTTCTCTTGAAAAATGAGATCGGGCAGTACCAGGCCCACATCTTTGTGTGGAAACAGTTGGCCAGGGCTGAGTAGCAGCTGCACTCTCTGGACAGGCCTCGCGGTCTACAGCTTACCATAGACGCCCTCCTGTTCCCAGTTCGTTTCTAATCCCAGGCCAGTGTCATTCAGGAAGCCTACCTGGCTCCTATAGGCATTGGAACTTACAACAGTGCCCTTACAGGATCAAAGCAACATGCTCCTTAGGGAGATAGGTGGACAACAGCTAAAACAACACACAGGTGTGCCTTTTCAGATTGTTGACGAGAGCCCGCTTAAATGAATGGGAACCTTCAAGGTGTGCATAAAGGTGTAGCCTTCATTTAAGGATCAAAATCAGTTGGATTTCCCTCCAGTATCTTCAATCATTTTCATCTTCATCAAAGACTGATTACAGAGAGAGTAAATATAAACCACAACTTTGGTGGTTGAATGCTGCAGAACCCTAAAGTTAGAGGTCCCAAATTTGAGTGCCATCAGATCTTACATGAGTAATTTGCATGTGTGAAGCAAGTGGGCAGAGGTAGGTGTACTGGAGATGCTTTGTCTATGGGGGGACAGAGCTGCAAGGTAGAAATGTGAGACCTATGTCGCCAGAAATGACAAATTTTCAAGGGGAGCTTGAAGTCTAGGTGTTTATATGTGATCTCTAGATTTTAAAACACTGCAACTAAATCCAACTTTTTAAGTTATTATATAACACTGCATGCCAAACAAAACACAACTGTGGGCCAAATATGATCCACAGGGTTTGCAATCTCCACCTTTTTAGCCTAGACAGAATGGAACTCCACCTGTTTGGAGAGGCTTATGTTATTTTGGGGTTTTGTGTGTGTGGCTTTTTTCTGGGAACATTGATTGTATATAATGATCCACAATAAAATTTTCTTTCTCAGGAAAATTCAGGTAGCTGTGGGAATAACTACTAAACTGGAATATGCACTTCCCTTTCTCCCTCCGTCCCCGAAATGAACCACCCTTCCCAAGTAAAGCTATTTCAGAGAGGAATGGTAGTAAGAAAGACTTAACAGCATGGTCAATGTAGGGCATTCATAAATTCTAGATTTCTTAACTCACACTGGTCAGCATAATCAAAGATTACAATATTCTCTATTTAGGGAGGTTAAAGATACCCATCAGAAATAGACATCCCCTCTGTCCTTGAAGAACTAATTAAAAGGCAGATTACTGGGGAACACCCAAGCAAGAGACCCTCAGCTGATCACTGTTAGGCAATAATTCAGCACTGCTAAAGCCGCAGATACTCTCAAGACACTGGAGAGGACAAGCTGCTTGCCATTATACAAATTAGATTAGGCCCAGAAATGGAGAATTCTTTCAGCAGCCCTGAAGTAAGGGGGTGAGTGTACTTTCCTGCCTTACTTTTGGGCTATTTGTAGAAATTGAAAACCTCAGAAACAATCTGAATATCTTGGAAGGCACAGCCTTCTTTTAATTTGGGACTATTTTACCACTCAAAGAACAGGGTTGTAACACAGGTGAGGCTGGCTAGGGAACACTTTTTGTAGGCACTTTGATTTTGTGAATTTTCTGCTGGTTTCTTAAAGGCTGGCTTCTATTTTGAGGATTAGACAGATTTTAGGTTTGGTTTAGTTTCTTCTAATCCACCGGCCGCCTTTGGCCAATTCACTATTCCTTAGCACCTCCACTTGGGGGCAGGAAATAAAATTTGAATCTCTGCCAGCTACAGATTAAAAAGTTTGGTGAGAAACAAGAATGGAATGTGAGCTAGAATAAATCTTTGGATTTTAAATATTTAAACTCTTTATCCATTATTAGAAAAGAGTGAGTTCTCTATAAAATTAATGCAAACTTATTATTTGATTTTGTATCATAGACACTGGTTTACACATGATAAGCAGATAGTTTATTTAAAATAACGTCTTTTAAAAAAAGCATGTCTTGCTTTCTCTTTCTAAAAATGTAACTTCAGAAAAAGTATCTTTTATACCAATTACTTAGGAATTTTACCAAAAAGATCTTTGGCAGCTCAAGATAAGTATCTGAGACATTTTGCTAACATACAAACATTAAGCTTTTAGATGCTATGTTCTCTACAAAGGGAAAAAGCACTTTTAAAACTAATTGTACTTGTAAGCATAAGGTTTATAATCAGATCTCAAGACCAATTATTCACAAAGTAACTAAATAGTAAGTTTGACTTTTGCCATAATGTTGAATTAATTATATTGGTATTTTGTGGGTAGAAATCTCTAGGGAGAGATGCAGTTATTAAGACTTTAAGCTTATCTTATGTAATCGAATCTACCTTTCCTAAAAGAAAAAAGAAACAAGTGCATAATTTACTTTTCTATCAGAAAAGATTTATTTTCTCAATTGTGGACAAATATATTAGCAAGAATAATGTCCATAGAAATGTATTGATTAAACATACCTCAAAGACTATTTTTTTGCTGTAGATAATAGTAGCAGTAAAACCAAAGATTGAAATGGCAGTATTTTGTCATCTCAGTATAGGACATTAACAAAATTTTTTTTTTTCTTATTAGCTCTCTAATAACTATTAGGAGGTTGCCTCACGAAGCCCCTCTTTAGAACTGCTGTAAAGAAGGCAACCTCTGTGTGCCAGTTATGAAGGTTTGGTGGATCCATTTCTCATACCAAAACATTAGAAGACAGGATTAAGCATCGTGAGCTAATTATAGCACATGACAGAGCAAGGTGGCCACATTTATCAACCAATGGGACTTCACCTGTCTCCCAAGCCTACCAGATTCTGGAAATGTAATGACTTCCAAAAATGTGGAAGAAGTATAAAGAGCTTTGACCACTAATTTTAAAATAGGTTCTAGAGGTCATATTTGGGTTTGCGTAGATATTTCATTTACATTTTATCAGTTTTAGCTTTTAAGAAAACATAATATTGAATCCCAATTTCAGTATGGTAGAACCAAAGGAAGAAGGAAAAGGTAAATAACAATGATTGATGGTCCATTTCATTGTGGAAATGACACATCTCGCTAGTGTTTATACATAATGTCTGTGGATATATAGTGGCAGTTTATTTTTTAAAAATCCATCGTATTGTTTAGTTATAGATTAAAGCCAAGTGTGTGGCCCTTAGTTTATTTACAAGTGAACTGGATTATTAAAAAGAGAGAAGGTGGGGAAGTAGGCATTTTGAAGGCTCTGAAAGGAATCCATTTCACTTACAACTAGATCAGTTGGGATGCGATTACCTCTGAGCTCTCTCTGTCTGTGGTATAATATATTCATAAGAGCACAAAGCTTAAAATGTAAAGAATTGAAGAGCATTCCTCAGACAGTGCCCATGAGGTATTGAAAAGTTAGTATATTCATGGCCAATGGACCAGTGAAACCATTTATGTCTCTTCCACATGTCCAACTGTGGGTAGCTATTCTGTACTGATACCTTGGGTCCCCCTTTTTTTTTTATTGCTGATTGTTTAGTTCAAAGCACAAGCCCTATTGAATAAAAGGAAACTTTCTTAAAGATCTTTCTTTTCTTTACTCAAAGAATAAGTTTCTTCCAGGGAAGCAATGAGTTGTATAGCCAAGAGGTCATATTTTTAAAATGCATTCCCAATTTGAATTTTTCCACTATTACTTTAAAGAGGGAGCTTTGCATACACACAGACTAAGAAAAGGAAATTCTTTAAAAGTACTTTTTAAATGTATGAATAAGTTTCAAAAGGTGGGTACAGAAAAAGGGAGGGGATTTTACTTAATGGAATCTCTCCCTAGATATTTAGGGATGAGCTAGAACAAGCCAACCAGGATGAGAGAGGTTGAAAGGGACCCTGCAGCCATAGGAAGTGACTTGGGGAAGTTGTGTAGTGCTGGGAAGTCTGCACCATACAGAAGCCCTGACTTTCGGTGACCCTCTTATTAATGTCTCCAGCGGATGGACATGGACCGGCGGAGGGAAGATGCCCGGAACCCGAAACGGAAGCCCCGTTTAATGGAGGAGGATGAGCTGCCCTCCTGGATCATTAAGGATGACGCTGAAGTAGAAAGGCTCACCTGTGAAGAAGAGGAGGAGAAAATATTTGGGAGGGGGTCCCGCCAGCGCCGTGACGTGGACTACAGTGACGCCCTCACGGAGAAGCAGTGGCTAAGGGTAAGCCTAGCTTTTCTAACCCGCTCTCACTAGGTGGAGGGTTTTTGGTGGCTTGGAGAAACCAGGGGCCTAGAGCTGGGATTTTCTGAGGAGGTTGAGTTCGCAATCAAAGGGAAGGGGCTCTTGAACACAGAAGATAAAGTCATTCTGCTGTTGCATAAAGTCATTGTGCTGTTGCATGAAAAGATAAAGGCGTTCTGCACTTCAAGGCGGTGCTTGGAAAAAAATATGCAGGATTTTTTGCTAGAGCAGAATTGGCCATTGGAAGCACAGGATTATGAGAGCTGTGAGACCCACTAATGTTTTATGACCAATTGCCTGGTCATGCCTCACTCTCTCCAACTGAGAATCAAAATGTGGAAGGGCACCTTAGAGATCTTTGTAATTGTTCCCCCTCATTTCATGGTCTTTAATCGAGGTTTTACTTCTGCAAGGTCTGCACAGATCTTTCAGGGATAGCAGAGTTTTCTAACTGTGTGGTTATTTTGTAGACCCATAGTACTTTTAGAGCTGGAAGGTACCTTTGTACTTGCTTGGTTTGATGAAGAAACTGAGGCCCAGAGAGGTGACATGGCTATGCAGGACACACAGCTGGTTAGAAAGCACAGAATCGGTGGGTGCTTATGTGTCTACATGCTCGATTTCCGCTTGATCTGATCTGTCCATCACAAACACAGATTAGAGCCTGGGACTCGGGTCACCGATGCTTGGAAATGTTATTCGGGAGTTTGTTTATGTTGTTTTTCCTTTGGAAAATGGTGATTTCTCATTTTGATTGAGGACTGAAATCTCAGAACGTTCCTTGGGCAGCACAGAAATATCAAAATGCTCTTAGGAGTCGCGTGTGTGAACACTGAGGCCCGGGTGACTGTTCCATTCGAAGGGTTAGCTCTACTTCCCATTTTTGGGAGTAGACTTAGTACCTAGAAAGGCACAGCAACCTGGGACGTGCATTCCAGACACAGCCAGTAAATGCATGCTGGAAATAGTAAGTGTAGTTGGGTAAAAACCAAGCAAAACAAAAGCTTTGGGGAGTTGTTCGTTTTATCCAAGGGGAGTACAGTTCCCAAGCTTTGTGAAACATGGATTTTAGGACCCAGGTTTTAAGTAGGTAGATGGGTAGAAAGGCAGTGGGCAGAATTTTGAGATTAGATACCAAAGGCAAACAGGTCTTGTCACCGCTTGAGATGTGATTTACTCAGGATGTTGTATGATGAGAGGGACGTGACCTGAATTTTGAAAAGATGGGAGCCTGTGATTCTGAAAAGCACTGCTCATTATTTGTGGTTGAACCGTTGTGTATAAAATAGAACATTTGTGTGATTAGTTTGTCGTATCCAGTCAAATATTCCAGTGACCTCAGAATATGATTCTGTGAATTTTCTTTGTTTCACTATTGAGATTATAGTTATGTAATTAGGATTCATTCTGTAATATGAAGAGTTTTTTGGCTAATATATATTTCTGAGCTTGGGAAAATTTTATTTAAGCAATAAATTGAGTACCTGGAGTATTATTACAGCAGACGGGACAATAATAATCTGGGCCAACCTTTTTTTTTTTTTTTTTTGAGACAGAGTCTCTCTCTGTCACTGAGGCTATAGTGCAATGGTGTGGTCTCAGCTCAGTGCAACCTCTGCCTACCGGGTTCAAGGGATTCTCCTGCTTCAGCCTCCCCAGTAGCTGGGATTACAGGCGCATACCACCATGCCCGGCTAATTTTTATATTTTTAGTAGAGACGGGGTTTCACCATGTTGGTCAGGCTGGTCTCAAACTCCTGAGCTCGGGTGATCCACCTGCCTTGGCCTCCCAAAGTGCTGGGATTACAGGCGTGAGCCACCGTGCCTGGCTGGGCGAAATTTTTAAAGCTAAGCTTTGATATGTTTACTCTCCAGACATTAAAAGCAAAATAACCTTGTTTATTGGGCAAGAATGTAGCTGAACTTAACTTCTTAAAAATAATCATTGGGAATTGCCCTGAAGAAAAACAACATTATGAATCTCAGGAAGTTTTCCAGTTTAAGATATCTGTTTTGTTTTCTCTTTTTCATTCAGTTTCTATCCCTGATGAGTAGCACAGTGCCTAGCATAGAGACTCAGTGAATGTTTGTGAAAATGAAAGTACAGCCTTAAGAGGAAAGGGAAAGTGACTAACTTATCAGCAGTGTTAGGAGAGCATTTCTCTTTTTAGCGCATCTAGTAAACTTCCTTTTATCTACAACATGCACATTTAAAAATGGAAAATTAGTTTGTTTTACAAAACTGCACTGTGAAAATTGGTTTTTATAATTGTAATTCTGAAATGCCATGCAACATACTAAGTCATCCAAGAAGGACGAAACTGTTCTCAAAACAGCTTTATTGTAACGTATCTTTTTGTAATCTAATCTTTTGAAAACTGCATGCCCGTATTTGGTATGAAACTGGCAACTTGTTATTAATCAGGACATGCAATGGATGCAACATGCCCCATGGCCTAAGCATTCAAAGTAGATGCTTCCTGTCTTTGGTGTTCACCAGCAGCAATCCTATTTAATATCAGCCTGTTAAGCTTTTTTGATGATGAAATGATATTGAAGGGGTTCTCATGGGCCTGGATGTGAAGAGATGTTCTCTACTGGCTTATGATTTAACACATTGCATGAACCCAGCCAACATGGCCTTGAAAGGGAGTTTGGCAAGGACCGTCGTGTAAGAAATGCTGTAACAGGGCTAAAATAATTCTTCTTTTTCCTGGCAATGTTGTACAAAGCCTGCTTGGCAGAGACATCCAAGATGCATAGCATCGCAGAGCTGCAAGGCAGTTGAATGGAACAGCTTCCCATCCCTTGCTTAAATCACATTCTCTGCAATCTCTGTGCCAGGAGGCTGGCCACCCCTAGAAGGAAAAACTACCTTTTTGTCTGTGTAGCCCCTCCAGTTCGTGGTCAGCTCTGATTAATAGTTCTTCCTCCCTTTGAATAGAATCTTCTTTCCTTGTAGCTTCTCCTCAGAGGCCTTGATTCTTTTCCCTGGGGTGAAGAGAACAATATTTTTTTCTGTCTTTAGTATCACAGCCCCATGGATAAAATGTTTGCAAACTCATGTTCAGTCTGGATTGAACTTTTCTACCTTCCTCTTTCTCTTGAACTTTCCTCCTCCTTCAAGGCCCAATTCAGTTGCTACCCACTCTGTGGCACCTTCACAGATAAATATTAATTGCACTTTTAATTGTCCTCTTAACATTTCTTTGCTTGTCCTTCAGTCACAGTTTCCTAGTATTCTCGGTAGTTGCCAACCTGCCTGCTTTCCTGACTAGTTGATAAGCTGGCTCTGTATCTTGTTAGAATTTAGGACTTCTGTGTACAAATACTAAGTGCCCATCAGTTGCCAAATTAAAGTAGCACTGGATTGACAGATAAGGGTATAGATAGATGTGGGTAATGTTCACTGCTGCCACAGATGGACCTCAACATGCCCTGTCCATGGACCTATCCAGAAAAATAAACAGAAGTTGATTTCTCCCTTCCCTGAAAGTCCATGGTAGGTATACCTGATTGGTGAGGACAGCTGTTCTCCATAGGGTCATTCAGGGCTCCAGGCTGACAGAGCCTCTGCCGGCTTGGTCATCTCCATCCACTTGAGCTGGAAGTGGGGAAAACAACATGGAGTAGTGGGTATGGAAGTCTAATGGGCCCTGCCTAAATGGTTATAATTCCATTGGCTAGAACTTGGTTATGTGGCCACTCCAGCTGCAAAGGAGATGGAAATGTGGTCTGGCTGTGAGCCCAGGAAAACAAAATTTTGGTGAATATTTAGCCATCCCTGCCTCAGCACACTTAGGTTAAATTTAAGTGTTATGGTCACTTTCTTTGCCAGTGGTGTTTTGGTTTCATTGAAGACAGGTTTTATTTTGTAATCATGGCATGCTAAAAATTCCTACAGTGTCCTTTAGAGAATCTGTTTAGTTGGTGGAATTTAGAATTTTTTTCTGCATTCATAATGTTGTTTTTAATCAGGAGGATCACAATTTCAAACACAGTTCAGTTTTTTTTTTAAAGGTATTTTACATTGTTTTGAAATTCCTATTTCCACTGAGGAAACTTAGATGTCCTTAGTGTTAGCTGGTCTCAAGTTAACGTCATCTTTTTGTGGTAGTCAGTTCAACATTCACATTCTGGGCTGTTTCTCTCTTCCCCGGGGGCTCCCATCCCATCCTCCTCTCCAAGATGGCATCTGGATAAAGACGTGGTGTTTAAGCACGGCATTGGGGGCGAGCATCCTGGTTCTCTTGCTCCCCATGGGTCTCCACTGATCTCAGCATATAGCTGCTGGTCTGCTCCTTTCCTGGGAGGTCTTTACATGCAGCTGGTTTCATCTCATTCTTTTAGAGACCTTGATGACATGTGCTGTTGAAATCTGGAGCCTGGCCACAGGCACTAGTTAGAAGCTGTCCTGCATTCTCACATCTCATAAGACCCCTGGCCTCTTTGGCCTCATGGTGCTCTTAGCTCTTTTGTGTTCTGTTTGGAAGTCTGCAAACTCTCCTTGACTGATTTCTCCACACTGTGCTAGAAGATGCAGGGTGCAGTGAAACTGGCCCCTTCCTCAGCAGTTGCTAAGTCAGCACCAGGGGTTGTCAAACCTGAAGCTTCTAGAATCTGATGGTTGGGTGGGTCCTGGAGCTTTTTAAAGAAAGCAATTCAAAAATGTCTTAAGTTTGCAAATTGTATAAAAGTATGTAACTGTATTTGGGATCACATAGTGAGGGATCCTCCCAGAGCTTTGGAAGGAGCTTGTGAGTGAGAGGCCTAAAGCCTAAGCTTCATTAGCTTTCCAATAAATCCACCTTTAGCAGTTTTAGTGCCTCATTATCTTCCTTTCCACTCAGTCTCTGCCTCCAAACACCCCAGGCTTGGATTCTGAAGGGGGAGTATTGCATTTCAACCCAGCTGCAATTCAGTGCTGGCACAAACTAGCCAGACTTAGCACAGACTCCATAAGTTAAAGTGCATAGTCCCCAACAACACTGCCCTGACTTCAGACACCAGCCACACTTTGGGGGTCCCGAGGCCCCCCACACTTTTGACTGACTACAAATTCAGGGGCTCGTGAACCCTTTAGGCTTGATAATTTGCTAGAACAACTCACAGAACTCAGGCAAGTGCCATTAGCAACGGATTCGGATTGATTATGAAGTATACAAATCAAGAGAACTAGGCCAGGCACTGTGGCTCATGCCTGTAATCCCAGCAGTTTGGGAGGGCGAGGCGGGTGGAACATGAGGTCAGGAGATCGAGACCATCCTGGCTAACACGGTGAAACCCCATCTCTACTAAAAATACAAAAAATTAGCCGGGCGTGGTGGCACGTGCCTGTAGTCCCAGCTGCTTGGGAGGCTGAGGCAGGGGAATCGCTTGAACCCGGGAGGCAGAGGTTACATTGAGCCGAGATCGTGCCATTGCACTCCTGCCTGGGCGACACAGCGAGACTCCATCTCGAAAAAAGGGGACTAGCCAAATGAATGGAAGCACAGCATGCAGTCTGGGAGGAAACCTGGGCTCCTCTGCCTGCTCCTCGTGGAGTCAGCGTCCATCAGTCCTCCAGCTCATCAGTGTGTTCACTAACCAGGGAGTGCTACTGGGCCTTGATGTCCAGAGTTTTCAATGGGGTTTCACAATGTATAGGCATGATTGATTAGATTGTCGGCCACATGCTTGAACTCATTCCCCAGCCTCTCTGCCCTCCCTGGAGGTCAGACTGGCTCACATCCCCAACCCTGTAGTCATGTGGTTGGTCTTTCTGGTGACCAGTGCCCACTGGAGCTGTTTAGGGGCCTATCACACATGACACTTCATTATCAGAACAAAGTTACTCCTGTCACTACGGAGATGTCAAACATAGAAACTCCATGTCAGGAACCCAGGACAAAGACCAGACAAATTCTTTTTTTTGAGGCAGGATCTCACTCTGTTATCTAGGCTGGAGTATAGTGGTGTAATCTTGGCTCACAGCAGCCTTGACCTCCCAGACTCAAGCAATCCTCCTACCTCAGCCTCCTGAGTACCTAGGACTACAGGTACATGCCACCATGCCCGGCTAATTATTGTACGTTTTGTAGAGTCGGGGTTTTGCCCCATTTGCCAGGCTGGTCTTGAACTCCTGAGCTCAAGTGATCCACCTGCTTCCGTCTCCCAAAGTGTTGAGATTACAGGCATGAGCCACCATGCCCAGCCTGACAGATTCTTTATTATATAATAGGTAGTAATATATTCAATCCTGACCTTACTTCTCTTCCTCTTGACTCCTGTTTCCTCCATGGAAGAAGGCTCTCCTCCTTGCCTTCCTGTTACGTGGCAACTTCCTGTTCCCGAGTGATAGCACCATGTGCTGTGGCTTCTTGTGCCATTCTGAGAATCCCGGTCCTCGGCCTTGTCGTGGCCGAGTGGTTAAGGCGATAGATGAGAATCCCAGTCCGCTAGGTTTGGCTCTTGATCGTAAAGGTGGTGAAGGGAATTCACTACCCTATTTTGGAAGTCAAAGATGTTGTCATTTTTGTCTCTGCATACCAACTTTATCCTAATTCTGCTCAAGGCAATGAGTAACTCTCCCGAACAAGGGATGGTTCTTTTAGAAAGTGTGAAAGAGAATATTAACATGGTTAACAAATATTCCATCCATTACAGTTTTGTAACTTTCCTATGGTGTGTGCCCAAGGTGATAACAGTGCTATATTACAGATTACATATATATATATTTGCATGCGCAATTATACATATACATACATACATACATATATATATACACACACATATATATATGTATAATTGCGCATGCACAAGAAATGGCCCATCTTGATAATTTCTTGGAAACATATATTTGCTTCTTTATATGTAAGAGCAGGCATTCCATCTACCTAAATTCTGACAAGCCCAGTGGGCCACGGTTTTCCGGTTTAATGTCAGCCCTGTGTACACTGGCTGTGCTGTTTCTAGCACCGTAAGGCAGTCATCATTATTGAGCCAGGGGCTGTGCAAAATTGGGGTGATTGCAGAGCCAAAAAGCGGGCTGGAGGGTGGTTTCTGGAATGCCTGTTTTACTATTCTTCCTGTTCCTTTGCTCTTTCTGCCAACTTCAGAATCCTTCCTTTCCTTAAAACATTTAGTGATATCCCTGAATTTATTTAATTGCTACGTGAGTGATTTTTGCCCCACAGCACTGGAAGATAATTGGAATGCATTCTAGCTTATGTGCTCTGGATAATATGCAATTACCAGCCAGCTGGAGAGTAGTATGCCTTTGTCTCACAATGTCTTGTAATTTTAAAAAGTTTCTCCTATTTGCTGTTGTCTCTTGTTACCTTTCTTACGGCATCATATATCTACTATGGGGTCCTTATGTCTGAATGTGTAGACACTTCTTTTGGTATACTGAATAAGCTCCTGGCGATGAGGGAAGACACCGCTTTGTTTTGTGATGTCCTGTGCAGTTGGGCCCCAGTAAACGCTACGGAAATGATGGTGATGAGACTTATTTCTTTAGATCTTTAAATTGGGCGATAGATAACAGCAAGTTTTAGAAGCCATAGAATTTCAAGAGGAACTTTGCAGAAAGACAGAACACCCTCCTTTTCCTTGACCAGTCTGTCACCAGGTGACAGCCTGAGCTTCCCATGGTGAACGTGCCTAAATGGGGTTCCCATCATCATGTCTGCTGACTACTAAAATAATTTTGGGGTTTTCTTCTTCCCAAAGTTTAACAAAGTAGAAAAAACAAAATGAGGCCGGGTGCGGTGGCTCACGCCTGTAATCCCAGCACTTTGGGAGGTCGAGGCCAGCATGGCGAAACCCCGTCTCTACTAAAAATGCAAAAATTAGCTGGGCGTGGTGGCGGGTGCCTGTAATCCCAGCTACTCGGGAGGCTGAGGCAGGAGAATCACTTGAACCTGGAGGTGGAGCCCGCAGTGAGCCAAGATCACACCACTGCACTGCAGCCTGGCGACAGAGCAAAACTCCATCTCAAAAAAAAAAAAAAAGGAAAAAAAAATGACATTTATAATACTAGGTGCTAATCAGTAAGGTAAAATGTGATACATCTCAAGAGAATTTAGTGTCTTTAAAAAGCTATGTAATACCAAGCTGCAATAAGCTCTCTGAGTTGGCCTCTCATCACAGGAAGCCAAACTGCTAAACTCTACACAGGAAAAGGCAGACAAATCCATGGTGAATTAGTCACAAAAAACTGGGGAAAATACGAAGAAAGGTTAAAGAACAAGACATTTGAAATTCTATGGAAATACACAATGATAAATAAAATATTTCCTCACAGGTGTAAAGAGGTGGGCTGTGGATTTTTCTCTGCCTAGAGATCTTGCAAGCAAGCTAATGCCTCCTCTGGGCTGCATTAAGTATGATCCAGCCTGAAATCACAGACAGGGGCTTGAATCACTCAGCTCTGTTTCTCCTGACAGCATTAGTGATTCTCGTAGATGTACTTTTCCCCTAAAATATTTTATTTTACACTGGCAAGATTTTTTTGTGGGGGGGGATCCTTTTTCTAAAGCATAATGTGCATCATGTTTGTAATATTTGGCTGCATTTGTTTTGTCATTTAAAATCTTTTCTTGCTTTTTCTGTAAGATGTGAGAAGCTTTGTAAACATGGACCCTTTTTTCTTTTATCAAATGGCATTTTAACTTTTAAAATTGGGTCATCAGATTTACTGGGGCAAAATTTTCTAGCAAGCTGCATTTCCGTTTTTATACACAAGGGAGAGCTAAGGCCCTAGAAAATAGATTTGGGTTTTGCCAAATTCCAAGTCCTTCAATACTTTAGGGTGGAAGTACTGAACTAATTAAGAGTGGTAACAGTTGTGAATTGTTTGGAAAAATACTTGATAGTAATAAAATAATTTTAAGAACTTTGTATAATTTTTATTTTTTTCTGAAATCCAGTGACTAGATTGCTTTAACAGCCCATTGGACTTAACATTTCCCATTTTATATAATTCGGGAGAATAAATTTAATAGAATAGTCCTCAGAGGTCTGACGGAAATATACTAAAATAAATAATAAAGGTTGAGGAGTGAGAGGGAATTGTTTTGATTTTTAAAACTTTGATGCTTGGAATTTCTGGTCTTGAGTTATGTCCTCTGAAATCAGGATTCAGCTCTGAAATCAAACTCACTCATCGAAAGTAACCATGGGAAACTGAATTTGGCCTACAGATACTAAGGAGCCCCAATAATTTCACATTATCTTTTAATGGAGCAAACTATTACAGAGAAATCAGAGAAATAATATTTTAGGAATTTGTATTATATTTTAGAAATAATATTTTAGGAATATGTCTATCTGAATCAAGATTTGGTTTTTGACGTTTTCTGCTTTTTTACTTTATTTTTTTAAGAGACAGGGTCTCACTCTGTCACCCAGGCTTACTGCAGCCTCAAACTCCTCGGCTCAAGCAGTCTTCCTGCCTCAGCCTTTTGAGTAGCTGAGACTACGGGTACGCACCGCCACACCCAGCTAATTTTTGTATTTTTTTGTACAGACAGGATGTCACTCAATTGCCTAGGCTGGTCTTGAACTCCTGCCCCTAAGTGATCCTCCTGCCTCAGCCCTGCAAAGTGTTGTGGTTACAGGAATGAGCCACCGCGCCTGGCCAGTTTTTGTTTTGTTTAGTTTTTTTAATCAATAAGGCTACATGTTTCAGTCAGTGTCAGGATTTAAAAAAAAAAAAAAAGTCTACATGAAGAAAATCTTCATTAATTTTCTTAATAAAGAAATGTAATTATTCATTAAGAGGTGGAGGTGGGGAAGAGTACAGTTTAGGAAGCAGAGACAGGGCAGGGTGGCCTCATCATCATTATGCCTCAGGGTTCGGGTGAGCATCAGAAAAATAACTGTGACTTTTGATGGCTCTCTATATGGAGAATTTAGGATAGTGATTAAGAGTACATGCCTTGAAATCTGATGAACCAAGAGGTTCAGATTCCGGTTCCATCTAATTAGCTGTGTGACCTTGGGGACCTTGTGTCACCTCTCATAGCTTTGCTTTCCTCTCAGGGAAAATCATAGAACCTACTTGATAGGGTATTCTGAGAATTAAAGGTGTGTAACATAGAATCTGGCATATAAGAAGGACTCAGAAATACGTATTAGCTATTAAGAAAAAGTTTCCAATTATTTCGAAGAAGACCTAATGGATAATAGAAAAAGAAGAAAATACGTTCTCTTTTGTGTCTTGATGACAAGACTCGGGGTGACAAGAGAAAGGTAAAATTGGGAATCAAGAAGCTCCTTTCGCTTACTCACTAATGGAATTAAAAGAGAACAATATGTTTACTTGCTGAATATGTTACAGGACCACAGGTTTATTCATCTCAAGCACTCCAGCTTGTACTCATTCAGCCATTAAGTCTCTTTACCCTGGTTTTTACCTAGGTGCACACCAACCCAAACTCGCTCGGCCATTAACTCTCTTTACCCTGGTTTTCTCCCTAGCTGTACACCAACCTATACTCACTTGGTTATTAACTCTCTTTCCCCTGACTTTCTACCTAGCCGCCTGCCAACCTATACCCACATGGCTATTAACTGTCTTTACTCTGGTTGTCTCTGTAACCCTGCATGCCTGCAGGAAAAACAATGGGGCTAGCAGTCAGGAGCCTGGAATGTGAGTTCTGACGCTGCTACCAGATAAATATGTGATCTTGGACAGGTCTCCTGACCTTCCTGGGTTGTTATGGACTGATGTTTATGTCCCTGCAAAATGGATATGTTGAAATCCTAACCCCCAATGTGATATTAGGAGGTGGGCCCTTTGGAAGGTTATTATATCATGAGAGCCCTCATGAATGGAATTAGTACTCTTATAAAGGGGACCCTAGAGAGCCCCCTAGGTCTTTCTACAACAGGAGGTCAGCAATCTGCAAGCTGTAAGAGGGCTCTCACAGAATCCAATCATGCTATACCCTATCCTCAGACTTCCAGCCTCCGAAACTGAGAAATAAGTGTATGTTATTTATAAGCTATATTAGGGTTATCCACAGAAACAGAACCAATGGGATATGTGGAGCCATGTATAAGAGGAGATATATTATGGGCCTTGACTCGTGCAAGAAATCCCATGAGATGCCACCTGCAAGTTGGAGACCCAGGAAAGCCAATGGTATAATTGAGTCCAAGTCTGAAGGACTGAGAACCAGAGCAGGGACCACTGCTGGTATAAATCCTGGATTACGAAGACCTGAGAACTAGGAGCTCCAGTGTCTGAGGGCAGGAGAAGATGGATGACACAGCTCAAGAAAAGAAGGAATTCCCCTTTCCTTTGCCTTTTTGTTCAAGTCCAGCCCTCAATGGATTGGATGATTCCTACCTATGTGGGTGAGGGTGAATCTTCTTTACTCAGTATGTAGATTAAAATGCAAATCTCTTCCAGAAACAACCTTACAGACACATCACAAAATAATATTTTACCAACTATCTGGGCATCCCTTAGCCCAGTCAAGTTGACACCCAAAATTAACCATCACATCAGTCACCCAGTTAATGGTATTTTGTTATGGCAGCCTGAACTAAGACATGCGTTGAGTTATATTATCTTTAATTTGCAGGATCCCTTCCATCTATCTAACAGTAACCTCTAAAGTCACCTGAAGCAGCTATTATGGAGTACAGTGGTGCAATCTTGGCTCACTGCAACCTCTGCCTCCTGGGTTCAAGCAATTATCCTACTTCAGCCTCCCAAGTAGCTGGGATTAAAGGTGTGTGCCACAATGCCTGGCTACTTCTTTGTATTTTTAGTAGAGATGGGGTTTCGCCATGTTGGTCAGCCTGGTCTTGAACTCCTGACCTCAGGTGATCTGCCTGCCTTGGCCTCCCAAAGTGCTGGGATTACAGGTGTGAGCCACAGCACCCAGCAACTTTTACTTTTTTTTTGAGACAGAGTTTTGCTCTGTCGCCCAGGTTGGAGTGCAATGGTGCAATCTTGGCTCATTGCTACCTCCGCCTCCCAGGTTCAAGTAATTCTTCTGCCTCCGTCTCCCGAGTAGCTGGGACTACAGGCGAGTGCCACCACGCCCGGCTAATTTTTGTGTTTTTAGTAGACATGGGGTTTCACCATATTGACCAGGCTGGTCTCGAACTCCTGATCTCGTGATCCGCCTGCCTCAGCCTCCCAAAGTGCTGAGATTACAGGCATGAGCCATCGTGCCTGGCAACTTTTACTTTTTATTGTGGTTTTTAATAATAATTATCCCCTGCTTCTTTTTTTTTTTTTTTTTTTAAGATACAGTTTCAATCTGTTGCCCCGGCTGGAGTGCAGTGGCACGATCTTGGCTCACTGCAACCTGCGCTTCTCGGGTTCAAACAGTTCTTGTGCCTCAGCCTCCCGAGTAGCTGGGATTACAGGCACGTGCCACCACCCCTGGCTAATTTTTATATTATTGGTAGAGACGGGGTTTTGCCATGTTGGCCAATCTGGTCTCGAACTCCTGACCTCAAGTGATCTGCCCACCTCAGCCTCCCAAAATGCTGGGATTACAGGCGTGAACACTGTGCCTGGCCTATTCCCTGCTTTCTCATCTTACATAAATGTACTGTGAGTACATTTATGGAGACTGTTGAAAAGCAAATTCAATTCAACATCCATTTGTCAAACATTGATTAGGTTGAGCAACACACTGTGATTGGCCTGGGGAAAGCAGTATTGTTTGGATTCCTTACAGTCATGGCAGACCCACCTTATTAGTGCAATTAGGAGCCAGGTTTGAGAGAGACTATTAATAGAGGTAATATTGCACAGTTAGCCACCTTGAAGAGCTTGTCAAGAGCAGGTCTCCAAGTAGACACAGATGGAAATTGATAGAGATTAAAATAAACCATGAGATGCTCTGACTTTTAGGGGTTTAAGCTGTTCAGGAAATCAGAGTTTAAACAACACATATTTTACTTAATGCTAGAATTTTAGTGTCATTCCTCTGGATGTTATTTGCAATTTTCCCTTCCACCATCCTCAAACTCCCAGAGGAGGAAAGGGCCACTGCCTCTTTGGCCAAGCAGTCTGGCCTCCAGACACAGCAGGCAACTGGGTTTATCTTCCTGGCTACTGCTAGGAGACTCAAGCCTTCTTAACACCGCCAGTGCTCGTGTGGTTTCTACCAACCCTACTTGGCCCAAAATGAAAAAAATGTACAGCACGGCCCATTCATTCACCTTTGAGAAAAGAAAGATTCAGGGCTTTAGGTGCCAAAGTAATAAGGATCTGGAGTGTGTAACATTTGCAGATTTTTGGCATTTTGGAGGATACCTTTCCTCCTTGTTCACAACAGTTCAGGTGGCTACCCAGAGAGGTCAGTGGGAACTTACCAAAAATCGGCCCTGATGACCACTCCTGCATCAGGTTCTCCAGTGGCCTTCCATTGTAAGTGTTATTAAATCTAAACACTTGAACATGGTCTATAAGGCCACAATCACCAGGCCTTTGCCTGGTGCTGGATTCCCACCTCCTTGCCTTCATCTCTGGGTGGCTGCTCCACTGAACTCTCCTTCTAGTCCTTGGCACTTCTAGAAGTCTTTCTCCCAGATCTTCATGTGGCTGTCTCCTCCTTGTCCCAATGATCTCCTTCCAGAGAGACCCTTCCTGGCCAACCTAGCTGAAATAGATAGCCCCTGGCAACAAGTCATATCACCTATGTTAACTTTCTTCATGGCATTTGCCACTATCTAAAAGTTATCTTACTGTTCCTCTCCACTGGTATAAAGCTCCGAGAAAGCCAGGGCCTTTGCCTGTCTTCTTGACTGCTATGTCCTGGTACCTGCAGCAGGACTTTATGCGTGGTAAGCACTCTTTAAATAGGTGTGGATAAGTGAATATACTAGGCAGAAATGAGGGCTAGGAGGGATTTGGTTGCAGCCCCATATCCTTTTGGCAAAGACAGTAGAATCATGTTTTTGTAACTAAGATGAGTCAAGGTAGAAATTGTCATTCTCTCCTGTTAGATTCCAGTGATCTGTGACTTCATGTAAAGATTTCTTAAAATAATTCTAAAGGCACACATTTTTGATGTAACAGTGCTTTTGAGCTTTAAGAATTTGAGGCCTCCATTCTAATTTCAGAACATATTAATGAAGATTTAAATATGCATTAAAAAGTACAAGCATTGCTTCAACCCAGCTATTTCTCAGAAATTCTCATTGATTTTATAACAGCTGTCTTCTAGCTTGAGCCTTCTAATTTCTTCAGCAAAAAACAACAACAACAACAAAAAAAAAACAGATAAATACATCTAACTTAAAATTAAGACAAAAAGTATTAATTGGATTTTTAGTTTTGTGTGTTTTCCGTATTTAAAATGTGATGCTATATGCCTTTTAGATGGCTTCCCTTCTTTTATGTTAAAGAATGAATTGTCAGAATCATGGAAAATTGTGGATGACACCATGACCCTTTCCTTGAGGCAAAACTTGATTCTTGTTCTGTCACTCCTATTGAAATAAGTATTTAAGGTCACTATGCTCTTAGGAAAGCATATTCCTAACATATCATGCTGTTTTGAAGAATATCTTTCCCTTGGACCTTTGTAGAACCTTTTTCCAAAGATTATTTTAAATATCATCCTCAAAAGTTGAGCTTTACCAAGGCTTCCCATAGTCCGTTCTTCTCTTCCACAGCTGCCTCTGATAACTTATGAAAGATGGGCTCAGGTGTCAGATGATCAGGGTTCTGCTTGCAGATTTGTCACTGATTTGCTCTGCAACATCTTGGATAAATCACTTTACGTCTCAGAGCTTCAGTTTCCCTGTCTCTACATTGGAGTCATGAAATGGGGAAAGGGGTAGGGAAGAGAGCACCATCTCTCCTGCTCTGTCATTCTCCAGCTTTGCCTTTGGCGGCCCTAGAAAGAACCATGTGGGTTTGCCTTGGCCTGGCTCCATCTCCGAGAACTCAGCTCTTAGGAACTGAAACTCAGAGGGGTGTGGGTGAGAGATTTTTCTCCCTGTTCTTAGCCGGAGTTTCTTTCAAAAATGCAGGCTTGACAACTAAGGGTTCCCTAGCATATCTGTAGCTTAGTAACTGGTCAAATGTGTAGAGCTTTTGGGGACTCACCTGTAGCATCTGAAGAGTTGAGATGAGTCCTGTGTGCTGACAGGATGTGATGGACAGGACACCAACATGGTGGAGTCAGTAAAGGGAGCACCTGCTTGCCACAGGGGTTTACTGTAATCACCCAACAGGTCTTCCTTCTGGCTGCACAAAGCCAGGCCACTGAGACCGTGGCATTGCGGTAAAGAAAGAGTTTAATTGACGTGAGGCCAGCCACACCATGTGGGAGATGGAGTTAGTACTCAAATCAGTCTCCCCTAAGACTTGTAGGTTTGGGTTTTTCAAGGATTGTCTGGTGGGCAGGGGGGTAGAGAATGGGGAATGCTGATTGGTTTGGGATGCAGTTATAGAAGTGTGGAAAATGGTCCTCATGTGCTAAGTTAGCCTCTGGGTTGGGGAGCCACAAGACTGGTCGAGTCACCAACACTGGTGTGATATTGTGAAGTCCAGCACGCTAGAGTGTCAACATTCCAGGAAGATCACTAAAATGAACATTTGTTCTGCAAGAGAATTAATAAGTCCAGCATAGGGGTTACTGGTATATATTTTTATTTGCTGCCATTTTATCTGATGATTGACTGTTTTGTTCTATTTTTCTCCATTTTTATAATCACTACCCCCAATATAGTCGCTACTCCAGGTGGAGTCAGCTGGTCGTCAGAAATGCAGAAGTCTGAAAAGACATCTCAAGACACCAATCTTAGGTTCTACGATAGTAATATTGTCTACAGGAGTAACTGGGGAAGTCACAAATCTTGTAACATCAGGGAAAAATACCTGGTTATTGTTTCACTTACATACATCTTAGCAGAATTCAGGCCCCTCTCATAATCCTAACCTGTGGGCTTTCATTAGTTTTACAAAGGTTGTTTAGTTTTGGGAAGGGCTATTATCATCCTTGCATGAAGGTTAAACTACAAACTAAATTTCTCCCAAAGTTAGCTTGACCTATTCCCAGGAATGACTAAGGACAGCTTGGCAGTCAGAAGCAAAATGGAGTCAACTATGTCAGATTTCTCTTACTGTCGTAATTTGCAAAGGCGGTTTTGCTACTTTCCTTGCAAATTAGTTGGGGACTTCAGCAGTTCTGCATAGACCAAGACCAAGAGTTTTCTAGTACTCTCATCAAGAAGTCACCTACTCTGGTCCCATTTTAAATCCCCTGCATACTGTCTAGAAGAATATATAACAGATGCTAACAGGATCCAATTTGTTCATTGAAATATATCAAGTTTTCTCCAAATTTTCAAGACCATATTCATTTGCATTTAATTTTAAAATATCAATACACTGATGTCATGGTATATCATTTGAAGGCACAGGGAAGGATATTGTGAAGTCCAGCAGACTACCGTGTCAGCATTCCAGGGAGATCACCAAAATGAACATTTGTTCTCAAAGAGAATTAATAAGCCCAGCATAGGGGTTCACTGGTATATATTTTTATTTGCCACCATTGTATCTGATGATTGACTGTTCTGTTCTGTCTTTCTGCATTTTTGTAATCACAACCCCCAAACGCCTGAAGCTTTGGGTTTTTATGTAAACTGTAAAGTAGAATTTATTTGGAACCAGTTCCCTGTCATAAAAGCTAATGAAAAATACAGAAGAGTGAAGAAAGAAACTAGAATCACCTATAATCTCATTGACCTTCAGGTATCCAAGGTTGGAGAAGGAGCCAAGAAAAATCATGGACAGAGTTATTTTGGTGCCATTACATTCAGAATTATTTTTAACCTGTTGTGAGGCTCAGCTCTTTTGTAGTAGCTTCAGTAAATCCTAACCCATGATGCACACCGAGCCCCTGCCCGTTAGTGGTAATGTGCATGTCTTTCCATTTGGTTGAGGACACCTTGCTGTACTGGGCACTTGGTGCCAGAGGACTTTTTTTTTTAAGGGCCATTAAGGGATACATGGAGACCTGCATTCTCACACTGGCGCAGTGATTTTTGCTTCCTCTCTGAACCGGCCTTTGGTATTTCACAGGCTGAACCCTTCTCTTTTTAAGTGACCTGTCACCTCTCATGTAGTCAATGCTTTCTTACTGCCACCAAGTTGGCAAGTGTCATGCCATTCCTCTCCCCAGGGGAGAGAATTCTTAATCCAAATTTATTCCCATAGGATTTTCAGGACTTTTCCTGAGCCAAATTAGACCCTTTCTCTCAGTATATCTACTATCTCCTCCTTTCCCTGTATTGGCCAGTGCTAGACTGGAAGCTATAAATAGACAGCACCTTTTAATTCCTTTAAAGATTTGGAGTAGGTATTATTTCTCCCATTCTGCAGGTGAGGAACTAAGCCTCACAGGTAGGGAGTATGGTTTTTGGATTTCGCATTTAGTTAATGACAGGTGTATTTGTTTAGTGAATGTTGAATGTAGAGTTTTACCTTCTTTCATATATTGAAGATGCACATCTATGCAAGTCTGTGCATAATGTAATGGCACAAGGTAATGGCACCAATGGCATCCTATAAATTTTATTTAATAGCCTGTAGCATTGAACGTCTTCAAGCCTTTTAACTCTCAAAGCTAAAATAAGAAGATTGTGTAGTTACTAGTTAAAATAAAGGCAGTTTAAAGAGGTGGGGCTGGAGTAGGGCAAACTGAGAACAAAGATCTTCATTTTGCCCCATTTCTCTGGCCTATTTTTATTCACTATGTAGTTGTGTGGCCCTCCCTTGAGCAGTAATCATCCAAGCCATCTATGCAAGTCTGTGCATAGATGTGCCTCTTCAATATGTTAAAAAAAACTATAGGACTATGGGAGTTTAGTGAAAGTCAATCACATTTTGGTTTACAGCCCCTTTGCCCACTGAGCTGATCTCCTGGCTTGTGAATTCTGGCCTCTTCTTGAAAAGGTGCAGGAGCGCGTCAGATCAGCAACAGGTGGTCTAGCTGGCCCGGGGAGGACTTACGCAGAATTGAAGACAGCCTCCTGGGGGCAGGTGATGAGACCTGCCCGTGAAGGCTGTTAACCTGGCTGCTCCTACAGTAGGGGCCCCTTAGTGGACTTCCTTCTGCCAAGCAGTTAGGACCTACAGGTTAGTTTCCCTCTCCTTGGTTGTCTCTGTTTCTCGAGAAGGTAGGGCCCTTAGCTCCATCAGTCAAGTTGCAGATGCTCTACCTTTGGGCTAGTGGGTGTTGGTCTTCACTGCTCCTCGTCTTGGGTGACACTGGACAATCTTTTTTACTTTGTCAAAAGACAAAATGACATCAAATTTAAAGTTTTTAATTGGCTTTTCCTGTTCTAGAATCAGACAACGTCAAGCAAAGGAAGTTGGCTTAATAGAAAGGGTAGAGGAAAGCAGAAATAGAACAAAAAGCATATTGGTTGTTTCAAAGTTAATTTTCCTTTTAAAGGTTAAAGCAGAGGGAACTTCCTTATGCTTGCTTAAACTGGCCTGTTTGGGGATTTGGTATTCTCTCTCTCTCTCCTGATTTCTCAGAAGGTCAGATAAACAGCTTGGTTTCAGTGGTGTGTAACTTCAGCAAGGGTGATTCCATTTTGGTTTGGCCTGTTGAGTCTAGTGCAGGAGGTCAGTCCAAACCAATGGCCTCCTATAAATGTTATTTAATAGCCTGTAGAGTTGAACGTCTTCAAGCCGTTTAACTCTCAAAGCTAAAATAAGAAGATTGTGTAGTTACTAGTTAAAATAAAGGCAGTTTAAAGAGGTGAGGCTGGAGTAGGGCAAACTGAGAACAAAGATCTTCATTTTGCCCCATTTCTCTGGCTTATTTTTATTCACTGTGTAGTTGTGTGGTCCTCCCTTGAGCAGTAATCATCCAAGCCAGTTGTTAGAACGCGTTTCCCTAGCAAGCTCTGTCATCCTGAGAAAGCAGAGGGGTAAACAATAAAGACTTAATTGTATCTCACCAACATTTTTGGGTCCCATTGGTGAGTAAGGCATCAATTTAAGTGCCTTTGGAAGCAATTTTGATTAAAATGATTTTTTTTAAGTTCTTAAACAGATTTCGGGATGATAGGAGATTCGGACATATTTTAAAACAAAAGAAACTTATACAAGCAGAATTAAACAACCTGGATAAAAGTACCTGTAATGTATTGTGCTAGTACAGGGGAAGGAGGGAACTGCGTAGGATGTTATAAAAGAAATGGTATTTTAGCCTTTTCTTAAAAGATGAGGATGCTTTGGGTAGGAAAGAGGGATCAGGAGAGTTCCAGGCCAAGGGAAGTATACGAAGGCTTGGAAATACGTGACCCCTGCTTACTGTGACTGTGTGTTTGGGACAGAGTTTTTAACAGCAGTAGATGTGGGGAGGAAAAATGAGGCTAGGGCCAGACCCTGGAGGCTATGCATGACCAAAGAATCTGGGCTTTATTCTATTTCACAGAAAGAGTTCAAAGCCTGAGCGTATTTGAAATGAGAGAATGAATGATGTGTCCCTCTGTTTAAGCAGAGAGAAGATACCATTTGCATTGAAAAAGATTAATTGAAGAGGTCAAAGAAAGGGCAGGGAAAACCCATAAGGGAGGCCATTTAAATGTGACCCTGTGGGAGAGGAGACCCGTCTGACAGCAGGGAGACCAGGGGGAAAAGATTGCTTATGAACTATTTCAGAGGTAAACTATATGATGACAAATAGGACTGCAGGGATGTGATAAGGGAAACTGATCATTTTAAAGATTTCCAGGAGAGATAACTGGGAAATGATGCTACCTTTAGATGAGACGGACAGGATCCACAAAGAGAAATATTTGCTTGGTTGAAGGAAAAGTGATAAACTTGATTTGTGATGTTTGGTAGGACAGTGGAATTCCCAATTGGTGACTCCAAAAAGAAGCGCAGGCTAGAGAGATAATTTTTGAAGCCATATGCATTGAGGTTGTAGGGGCCAAGGGAGAACTTCCCCCTTTCCCCTCTGAAGGTTCGTTGAGAATCAACTGACAAAGGCAGATTAATAGGAGAAAAGACATACAAAATGTTAACAGGCATAGCACGGGGAACTCACAGGAGGATGATTACCCAATAACCTAGTGCAATACAGAATCGTACATACCCTTTTCATAGGGGAGCCGGGAGATGGGGGGGGATGTAGGCATTTCTTTTGAGGGGGCAGTCAATCATTAGAGGAAATGAATGGACAGAAGTTAACTTGGAAATGATTTTTTTCTTGAAATTTGAATGAGCCCAAGAGGCAGGTATTATCTTGTGAAGGAGTCTTCTCAGATGTGGTTGCATTCCTCAGTCTTCTTTTCTGAGATAATGAAATTTCAGGGAGGAGAGGGAAACAGTTGTGTTTCTGTTGGCGACCCCTGCGTACTGTGACTGTTAAACTTTCTTGGCCAGATGAGGAAATTCCAGAGCAAGTCCGTTCTTGTGTCCTTCGCTGGATGGGGGTGGGACAAGACCAGGTTAGAAGGACCTCGATTCTGAGGCAGCTTCTAAGGCCTCTAAGCATGTCAAGGCACCAGTCTTTGGGGTATCACTTTCTGAGTCCCGACAAGGTCATGTTTGAAGCCATAGAGGCAAGTAGGATCCCCATGGCAGATTTTACACCCAGGAGGAGGGCTTAGATTCCTCTCAGGAGCCTCCCATCAGTAGTTAGGAGCTGCTCAGAAAGCACTCACCATATGGAGGATTGGAGTCTATGATCTAGGCTGCTCAGCAGGAGTCCACAAAAGAGCCCCGTCTCCAGGATCAGTAAAATTAACAGCCTTCCTGAATTATGGCTTATGTCCCCTCCAGGGGGGCAGTAGTGAAGTTCTCTAGCAGCGAGGCCTCCAGAGGTCATTAAGAGACTCACCTGTTGCTGATCACAACTCATCTCACCTGTTGCTGATCACAACTCATCTCACCTGTTGCTGCTGAGGACATCCAGACTTAGTGGTGCCTGGTGTGTACTCAGAAAGGGTAATTGCCCACATTTGACTGCATATTCACAATCTGTGAATGAAAAAAAAGCCAAAAGAAAAGTTGGGGAATCTGCATTTAAGGAGAGAAAAATGTGGCTAGTAAACTTAGAGAAACGCGCTGGTTATGGTGGCTCATGCCTGTAATCCCAGCATTTTGGGAGGCCTAGGCGGACGGATCACTTGAGGTCAGGAGTTCGAAACCAGTCTGGCCAAAATGGTGAAACCCATCTCTACTAACAATACAAAAATTAGCCGGGCATGGTGGTGCATGTCTGTAGTCTCTCTGAGCTACTTGGGAGGCTGAGGCAAGAGAATCATCCAAACTCGGGAGGCGGAGGTTGCAGTGAGCCGAGACTGCAACACTGCACTTCAGCCTGGGTGACAGAGTGAAGACTCTTGTCTCAAAAAAAAAAAAAAAAAAAAAAAAAGAGAGAGAAACCCAAACACTATAGAAAGGAGAGATATTTTAAGTAAGGAGCAATGGAGGAGAAAGTAAATAAAAGAGTTTAGACAAGACTAAGATGTGGGAATTAGAAAGCTTTTGGCAATTTTTTTAAAATTATTAATGTCCTTCTGGGTGCCAAGGAATTTTATTGTGTGGTCAGGCGGTAGAATCATCCGTAAAGGTGACCCTAGACACCTGACAGTAAAGGGGAGGTGAGGAATGGGTGAAGTAGGGAAGATGCAGAGAGTTTGATGCTAGAGTTTATCCTTTAGTACTTGAAGATTGACATTAAAATACCTAGAACAAATACATTTGGACTTAGTGTTCCATAAATGGATATATATCTAAGAGCAGTTTTCCCAGGGAACCCTATCTAAAAGTTGAATTCGTTCTCAACTGTTTTTACAGTATCTAGTTTCCCTCCCTCATTACTGTGCTATGTACTCTAGGGGAATTGAGAAAAACGAAGGCATTATCTTTGTAAGAAGAAAAAATCAAGATGATCTGGCACACCTGGAGGGGTAGTGGAATGGGAGTTGATCACTGAACATGTATGCAATGTGCATAGGCACAGGGGATTGGGAAAGACATCCCAGGCGAGAAGTAAGAGTAATCACAAAGGTGGGAATAAATATGGCATGCTACAGTGTGGCATGGGCTTTGTGTTCCTATTATTTGCAGAATGTTCGCATAGCTGGGTGTCTTAGTCTGGGATGCTATACCAAAATACCATAGATTGGTTTATAAGCAGTTCTAGAAGCTGGGAAGTCCAAGATCAAGGCACCAGCAGATTCCATGTCTGGTGATTCTGTTTCCTGGTTCATAGACAGTGCCTTTTTGCTGTGTCCTCACATGGTAGAAGGGACATGGGAGCTCTTTGGGGTCTTTTTTAATAAGGGCACTATTCCCAATCATGACCTAATCACCTCCCAAAGGCCCCACCTCCTAATACCATCACCTTGTGGGCTAGGATTTCAAGACAGGAATTCTGGGAGGACACAATCATTTAGTCCACAGCAATAAGAAATATGCGAAATCAGGATGGGTAGGATCAGATCATAGAGATCTCTAGATTCTGTTACCGGATCCCACCACTTACTCAAAGTTAGCCTTTGGATCGGGGGTTTCCTAGGTATTGTGGCTTTGTGGTCACCAGAAAGATGTTGCTGAAAAGGGGTCCGGATCCAGATCCCAAGAGAGGGTTCTTGAATCTTGCACAAGAAAGAATTTGAGGCAAATCCATACAGTAAAGAGAAAGCAAGTTTATTAGGAAAGTAAAGGGATAAAGAATGGCTACTCCATAGGCAGAGCAGCTTCGAGGGCTGCTGCTTGCCCATTTTTGTGGTGGTTTTTTGATGATATGCTAAATAAAGAGTGGATTTTTCATGCCTCCCCTTTTTAGACCACATAGGGTAACTTCCTGATGTTGCCATGGCATTTGTAAACTGTCATGGCTCTGGTGGGAGTGTAGCAGTGAGGGCCACCAGAGGTCACTCTCATCACCATCTTGGTTTTGGTGGGTTTTGGCTGGCTTCTGTACTGCAAGCTGTTTTATCAGCAAGGTCTTTATGACCTGTATCTTGTGCTGACCTCCCATCTCATCCTGTGACTGACAATGCCTTAACTGTCTGAGAATGCAGCCCAGTAGGTTTCAGCTTTATTTTACATAGCCCCTATTCAAGATGGAGTTGCTCTGCTTCAAACATCTCTGACAGTTCCATACAGGCAGGCTTGGAATTGATAGACTGAGGAGAATTTAAGAAACTGAGTAGTGCAGTAGCTCATGACAGAAGTGTTTAAGATCTGAGCAATAGGATACAGCTCATAACTATTTAGAAAAAGTACAGAATCGAGCTATTAAGTATTATTACAGGGAAAAAATGTACTGAGTGACCAAAAAAAAAAAAAAAAAAAGCAAGGTACTATGACCTTCTTTATGACCCCCATTCCAAAAAGATGGAAGAGCAGATGCCTTCTTAAATAATCAGAACCAGTGGTGCATTGGTCAACGAAAACATTCATTAGGGTGAGAAAATAATATGTCACTTATATGTACATGTAATTTTTAATTAAAAGCATATATCTGTTTGCCACATCTTTCATTGTAAGGCTGAGATTGCCTCTTTGAGTAAACTGGCTAGAACACATAAATCACACATAATCTTTCTCACAGAAATAACACCTATAATGTTTCACTTAGGATTTCCAGTTTTGGTGTTCTGGGCGTGGTGGCTCACGCCTGTAATCCTAGCACTTTGGGAGGCCAAGGCGGGAGTATCAGCTGAGGTCAGGAGTTCGAGACCAGCCTGGCCAACACGGCAAAACCCTGTCTCTACTAAAAATACGAAAATTAGCGGGGCGTGGTGGGCGGGCACTTGTAATCCCAGCTACTTGGGAGGCTGAGGCAGGGAAAATTGCTTGAACCCGGGAGGCAGAGGTTGCAGTGAGCTGAGTTCGCACCATTGCACTCCAGCCTGGGTGACAGAGCCAGACTCCGTCTCAAAAAAAAAAAGTAGGGCCTCACCCAGGCTGTAGTGCAGTGGCATGATCACAGCTCATTGCAGCCTCCCTCAAACTCCTGGCCTTGAGTGATTCTTGCACCTCAGCCTCCCAGAGTGCTGGGATTACAGGTGTGAGCCACTATACCCAGCCATGAATGAGAATCCTAATATTAACAAAGCATGCTGAGTTTACACTTGCCTCCCAGTTGTAACAGTCTAGCCCTCACCAAATTCAACAGCATTTCTGTTGCTGCTGCTGTTTTTAAAGAAACTCACCTTTTTGGAGTCTTGTATTGTTCATGCTCTTTATAGAACTAAGAACCCAATTTCTTCTCACAGTTACATTATATTCATTTATGTAAGTACTATCTAATTGAATTAATGTAGCTCCAGTAATAAGTATAACTAACATCAACATGTTTGGGAACACAGCTGATCATTGGTATTTGAGCCAAATGGCAAGAGCAGAGTGGCCTAGACAAGGAAGGTCTGTGCAGTAGGCAGAGTCATAAGTAGTGGTCAGTTGAGTGAGCCTCTTAATTTCCTTCAGATTTATTGACTATCAGTTGTATACCCTCTAAAATTTTCTCTAGATACTCCATTTCTGGAACACATTTTAGGAGATGTTTTCTTTTTTTTATTATTATTTTATTATTATTATACTTTAAGTTTTAGGGTACATGTGCACAATGTGCAGGTTTGTTACATATCTATACATGTGCCATGTTGGTGTGCTGCACCCATTAACTCGTCATTTAGCATTAGGTATAAGGAGATGTTTTCTTTCTTTTTTCTGAGACACACGCACATGCCACCACACCCAACTAATTTTTTTATTTTTTGTAGAGACAGAGTTTTGCCATGTTGCCTAGGCTGGTCTCTAACTCATGGCCTCTAGTAATCCTCCTGCCTCAGCCTCCCAAAGCACTGAGATTACAAGTGTGAGCCACGGTGCCCAGCTTGTTTTCTATAGATCTTGCCATTGCCCATTAGAGCACTTTGTGTTTGTCTCTCCTGCGCAAATCCTTGACTGTGCTTCAGTTGACCTGGTCTCCTGGTGTCTCCTTCTCTGCCACCAACTCTTCATGTTGATTTCAGCCATGTATTACCAGCAAAACGGCTAGTCCTGGCTTGGAATACCAAAAAGCTATGGAAGCCATGCAGGGCCAGAATATAGCTAAGTGTGTTTATTAGTAAAACCTGCCTGTATTAGTCTGTTTTCACACTGCTGATAAAGACATACCTGAGACTGGGAAGAAAAGGAGGTTTAATTGGACTTACAGTTCCACATGGCTGGGGAGGCCTCAGAATCATGGCAGGAGGCAAAAGGCACTTCTTACATGGTGGCGGCAAGAGAAAATGAGAGAGATGCAAAAGTGGAAACCCCTGGCTGGGTGTGGTGGCTCACACCTGTAATCCAAGCACTTTGGGAGGCTGAGGCAGGTGGATCACCTGAGGTCAGGAGTTCAAGACCAGCCTGGCCAGCATGGTGAAACCCCATCTCTACAAAAATATAAAAAAAATTAGCCAGGCATGATGGTGGGTGCCCGTAATCCAAGCTACTCAGGAGGCTGAGGCAGGAGAATTGCTTGAACCCGGGAAGCAGAGGTTGCAGTGAGCCACGAACATGCCATTGCACTCCAGCCTGGGCGACAGAGTGAGACTCCTCAAAAAAACAACAACGAAAAAGGAAACCTCTTATAAAACTATCAAATCTTGTAAGATTTATTCACTACCATGAGAACAGTGTGAGGGAAACCGCTCCCATGATTCAAATTATCTCCCACCGGGTCCTTCGCACAACATGTGGGAATTATGGGAGTACAATTCAAGATGAGATTTGGGTGGGGACACAGAGCCAAACCATATCACTGGCCATGTTCACCTTTGTTCTTATTTTTTTGCGCTTTAGAGATTCATTTTAAAGTTTATTGGATAGCAAATTGTCTTTGCCACATATATGTAGCTCTTAGCTAACCAAAACTCAAAATTTTGTTTGGCATTTTAGCTTTATTAAATAAAGTGGGATAGACATACTTGACAAATAACCTTTTATATACTTAGCAACAGCATACAGACTAGATCTGAAATGAGTGTACATTTCAAGTTGGCTTCTCAAATTTAACTAGAACCAGACACTCCTCTACTGACACTCTAATAATATGTGTATGTGCATCTATGTGTATTTATGTATGTGTACATACATGTATGTGAGTACATGCGTCTGTATCTATTGCTAACCAAATACTTGTGTGTGAGTGCAAGGAATTAGAACCTCCCTGGGAAGAGCTAGTCATCTCCTTCACACAGTATACTTTTTGCATATCTCCTGTTGGCCTCTGCTTATTCATGGCTTCTACTCATAACATCCCTAGCATAATGCTACCTTATGACCTATATTCAACTTCTACTGCCATACCAACTGGACATGTTCTTTCACACCTGCAGCTCAAATTCTTAATAGAAGTGAACTGACTGGCTCAGCCAATCACTCTGGCTGTGCTTGTGCAGAGACCCTCATGCCAGGCCCCACACAAGCTTAGAGACAGGGTACTCTGAGAACAGGGGACCATTCCCATCTCCATCAGGTGAGACTAGGACAGATAGCAGCTGCCTGATACAGAAGATGGCAGCGCAGGCAGCAGATGCTGTGGGTGGGGCAGTTTCCCTTAGATTATAGGATGGCAGGAAAGATAAAGCCTGCCATCGTTTACTCCGAGGGGTGTGTTATATGTGCCTACGAGCAGCGTTGCTTTGCACCATTCCATATGTACACATTCCCATCACTGGATATAGTTAAACACCAGTCCCTCAATGACAAATTTTAGTTACCCTATGTAATAGTTTGCTAGGACTACCATTATAAAATACCACAGATTGGTGGTTTAAACAACAGAGATTTATTATCTCACTGTGTGGAGGCTGGAAGTCTGAGATCAAGGTGTCAGCAGGTTTGGTTTCTTCTGAGACTTCTCCCCTTGGCTTGTAAATGGCTACCTCCTTGGTGTATGTATGCGGGGTTGTTCCTCTATGTGCATCTGTGTCTTAGCAGCCTTTTCTTAGAAAGACAGCAGTCATATAGGCCTAGGGCCATTTTAACTCTTTAAAAGCCCTATCTCAAAATACAGTCACAATCTAAAGTCTTGGGGATTAGGACCTCAACGTATGAATTTTAGAGGGATGCAGTTCAGCCCATAACACTATAGTATAGCAATTCCGAGTCACTGCACATAAAACACAGACTTTGGGGCTAACTTCACAAATCACTATGTACATGACACATGTACATTTTGATCAATAACTAATCATATCACTTCTCAGAATCTGGTGGTGATTTGTTAGCGAGCGTCTGTTCAGTTCATGCACAGACAGCAAAGTATGTAGCTGTGTTGCTGCCTTCTTTCTCAGTGAAAACATGACATTTAAAAAAATAGTTCATCAGGAGAGGGAATTGGCCACCAAAGATGAAAGTGCTGCAAAGAAACAGGTAGTAGTAATGAAGGAAGTGAAATTTGTTGTGATGAGATGTGAAAATGGCAACAGGATAACGAAGACAGTACAAGACCCAGGCCAGCATGAAGCTACAGTACGAACCAGATTGAGGCTGGGCACAGTGGCTCATGCCTGTAATCCCAACACTTTGGGAGGATGAGGCAGGTGGATCACCTGAGGCCACGAATTTGAGACCAGCCTGGTCAACACAGTGAAACCCCGTCTTTACTAAAAATACAAAAAAATTGGCTGGGCCCAGTGGTGCCTGCCTGTAATCCCAGCTATTGGGAGGCTGAGACATGAGAATCTCTTGAACCCAGGAGGTGGAGGTTGCAGTGAGCCAAGATTGTACCACTGCATTCCAGCCTGGGTGACAGAGCAAGACTTCGTATCAAAAATAAAAAATAAATGAATTAAAAAATATGTAAACCACACTGAAAATGTCCAATGAATATAAAAAAAACACAGTAAAGTCATCTCAATATATTTTAATTTAAATTGCGCTAGGAACAGAAAACCACTTATGATTGAAATTGAGTATTTTACTTTAGTTGGAAGACCATAATGATTTTTAAAAATCCTGCTTAGTTTGACTAGTATTCAGGCCAAAGTGTTTAAAAATCCTGCTTAGTGTGACTAGTATTCAGGCCAAAGAAGTTAGTTTCTGAATTAAAAGAAAATGGTAATTACATGGAGACTATAGGAGGACTTTTGACTGCCAGTAAAGACTGGTTTCATTGTCTCAGAAGTCACCATGAACTGATGAATGTTAAATAGTCTGATGACACCACTAGTGTAAATCAGGATGCTTCCGTGAAATTTCACCCCGAATCCCAAGATGGAGGCAGGTTTATGATGATCCTGGAATATTTCATGCTGATGAGATAGATCTTTTGGAAGACAACCCTATCAAGAACTTAAGTGAAGAAAGGCTGGGTGCCATGGCTCATGCCTGTAATCCCAGCACTTTGGGTGGCCGGGGCAGGTGGATCACCTGAGGTCAAGAGAGTTTGAGACCAGTCTGGCCAACACGATGAAAGCCCATCTTTACTGAAAATACAAGATTAGCCAGGTGTGGTGGCTCATGGCTCATGCCTGTAATCCCAGCTACTTGGAAGGCTGAAGCAGAATTGAACCTGGGAGGCAGAGGCTGCAGTGAGCTGAGATTGTACCGCTGCACTCCAGCCTGGGCAACAGAGCGAGACTCCATCTCAAAAATTTAAAAAATAAGGTCGGGTGCATTGGCTCACACCTGTAATCCCAGCGCTTTGGGAGGCTGAGGTGGGCGGATCACCTGAGGTCAGAAGTTCAGGACCAGCCTGGCCAACATGGCAAAACCCCATCTCTACTAAAAATATAAAAATTAGCCAGGCGTGGTGGTGCACACCTTTAGTCCCAGGTGCTTGAGAGTCTTGGGCAGGAGAATCACTTGAACCTGGGAGGCGGAGGTTTCAGTGAGCCAAGATCACGCCACTGCACTCCAGCCTGGGCAACAGAGGGAGCAAGACTGTCTCAAAAAATAAAAATAAAAGAATTTATAAAAAATAAAAATAATTTATGTGAAGAAAGATGTAGGATCACAAAGTGGCCATACAGGAGAGATTCTAGATATTCAGCTAGGGAAATTGGTGAAGGTGAACTTACCCACATAAATGAGGGATGTGGCTATCAAGAAAACGATGAAGATGACCCAGAGGAAGTGATAATGGCAAAAACAAACAAACAACCAAAAAAACAAAGTCACAGTAAAGGAACTCAGCTAATTCACGACATGGAAATGGCAAAGGATAAAATGTTGGAAGCCAACCCAAATTTAGGAGTATGGCAGTTTTCCAAGGCATAGAAAAGACGTGTATTCTATATCGTAAGTTATTTGACAAGGAGAAGAAAAGCACTGTTCAAAGTGCCCTCGATAGGCCAGATGTGATTGCTTGCTCCTGTAATCCCAACACTTTGGGAGGCCAAAGCAGGAAGATCGCTTGCGCCCAGGAGTTCAAGACAAGTGTAAGCAACATAGCCTGACCCTGTGTCTACAAAAAAGAAAATCGCCAGGCATGGTGGTGTGCGCCTGTAGTCCCAGCTCTCAGGAGGGTGAGGTGGGAGGATTGCTTGAGCCCACAAGGTTAAGGCTGTAGTGAGCTGTGATTGATTACACCACTGCACTCCAGCCTGGGTAACAGAATGAGGCCCCGTCTAGAATAAAGCAAAGCAAAGCAAAATACTCTGGATAGAGTTTTTTTAATAGGGAAATGAAACATTTTAATGCTCAATGTTTTTAATATTTTAAATTACTGTACTAAGCAAATGCTTATTTTACTAGTTTTTTCCTTCCCCTCTACATGTATGAGTTTTTAATGTTTAGACATAAATTTTTTAAAGTTGTGGAACAGTAATCCCATTGACTATTAAAATGACTTGTGCACTTTGAACTTGCATGGTTACTTTTATGGTTCCACACGTCTATGCAAAGCTGTGTGTGTGTGTGTGTGAGAGAGAGAGATCTTTGCTGGAAGTGTGTTTATCTGTGTGTGATATTTGCTGAAAGTCTTCCTAAGATGTATCATGTTATGTTTTTACTTGAATTATTCACCTAAGCCTGGCAAGTATAACTTAGCCTTTTCCTGATGGTGCAGTCATCATTAATAATAAGTTATTGTTTTCTGCTATAACGTAGAATAATCTGGTAGTTAAGGGTGTGGTTTATGCAGCCAGACTTTGAGTTCAAATACTGAGTCATCTTCTTACTATGATATGATCTGGAACAAGATGCTATATCTCTCTGTGCCTCAGTTTCCTCATCTGCAAAATGCAGAGAGTAAGAGTGGCTACCTTTTTAGGGTTATTGTGAGGTTTAAATGACTAAATGTACCCAAAGCACTGAGTGGCTGTCAACACAGCAAACGTGTTAGCCAATGTTGCTGCTGCTGCTGGCAGGGACAATGGTGGTAGTAGTAGTAGCTGCATCAGTAGTAGTAGAAGTATTAATGATGCTGTGTATCTGAAGATTTATTAAAAGTTGGGGCTATTTTTTTCTATATTAGACAGCCTCAAACTACTATGCTTTTGATTTCTTCTGTTGCTTTATTTACGTGTTTTCCTCTCTCATGATTGGGCTGTTAATGGACATTCTTTGCATTGGACTCAAGCAGAACAACTACCTCATTCTCATCAGTATCTTATTAATTTGATGTTCTTAACCACGATGGGTGTAGTGACCTTCTGAAAGTCTGACTTGTTGCAGTAGCGTGGAACCCTGGATTGTGGCTCAGTTCCTCATGGACGGCCTATCCCAGGGAAGCCCAGGAAAGAACCATTTATTTTGCTCAGGCCTCACACATTCATGAAGGTGCTTCCAAGTTGCCATTTGACATTATCTCCAAATGAGGTTATGCTCTTAATAGTTGTATTTTATCTGTCTTAAAAGCATTAAGTTATTCTTTGTGAGCATTAAAACTATATTAGTTTGTTACCCTCTTTTGGCATTTCATTTTTAATATACTGAGAACCTCGAAGTACAGAAGTGGCCCAGGCCCTTCTGAGGAGCCCTGCTCAACAGACAAGCGGATGGAGTTCCTGACTGTGTTAAGAGTAGATAGTAACTTGATTGATGATCTCGGAATAGGAAAGCAGAACTGTATTTCTTGCAGTTCTCCATTGTTTCTCTAAGTCTCTTGCAGGGTCTCAAGATCATCTCTCAGGTTTTTTGATTCTACCCCAGGGAGCTGAGCATAGCATGTGCCTAACTTGTAAGAACAAAGGTGTAAATACTTCACATTTATAATTTGGTAGGGTCTTCAGGGCCAGACGTTTTGTGGGCCAACCTCCACTAAATCTAAAAGTCATTCTCCAAATAGAGTATATTGTGTTTAATACTGCTTAAAAGGTATCAGTCACATGGGTTCTTAGTTGAACTTATGGCTAAAATAATTTTTAAACTCATTTTTCTTTTTATTTTTTTTTTGAGACTGAGTCTTGCTCTGTTGCCCAGGCTGGAGTGCAGTGGGGCAATCTCGGCTCACTGCAGCCTCCGCCTCCCGGGTTCAAGCGATTCTCCTGCCTCAGCCTCCCGAGTAGCTGGGACTACAGGCACGTGCCACCACACCTGGCTAATGTTTGTATTTTTAGTAGAGATGGTGTTTCACCATATTGGCCAGGCTGGTCTCGAACTCCTGACCTTGTGATCCACCCGCCTTGGCCTCCCAAAGTGCTGGGATTACAGGCGTGAGCCACTGCGCGGGGGCATTTTCGTTTTTCCAACCAAATTGCTTTTAACTAAAATAGTGTATTAATTGACCTTGTCTCAGATGTGTAAGCCGTAGCTCCCCTTTTCCCTTCGTCACCCACCTCCATGTGCTTATGGCATATGGGGAAAGAGAAAACCTTTTTTTTTTTTTTTTTTTTTTTTTTTTTTTTTTTTTTCAAAAGTGATCTGAAGTTATTGATCAGTAAACTGGAAAACCCACTGTACCAGAAATTCAGTTAAGCTGAGGCTCAATTTTCTTCCCCTTTATGGTCAGCTTTGTACATTTCAGTCCCAAATCAGGGAGAACTGGGAGTGCAGTTGGCATCCCAGTTGCCTGACGAATGAAATACGAAACAGAGTCTGTTGAGTTAATGTCATCAGTTTATTGAACCACAGTCGGAGGAAAAAAACTATATCCAAAAAAGTCCTTACCCTTCAGACCAACTCATCTCTTGAATATGGGAAGCATTTGTTAACAAAAGTATAAGGTTTGTGAATAGTTATGTGCTATACACAGTTATTTTCTTACATCATGGATATTCCCTTAATAACCTTTGAAAGAATAAATGGGGATTTTCGAAAAGTTCTAGCCATTGGCCAGGGCAAGACTGAACGTGCTATCTGTTGAAATGTTAAAAGGGTTGAATTCTGAAGGAAAGCTAGCAAGATTTCGCTAATATGTGCTGTGTGTCGAGGTGGTAAGAACATGTATGAACCTGCAGTTGTTGGGGTTTAATTGGGGTTAAGTTGTTCCTTAATTTAGATAATTTGGTTTCTTTTCAGGGACTTTTTTTTCTTATGGGAAAATACCATAAAGTTTACCATTTTAGACTTTTTTTTTTTTTTTTTTTTTTTTTTTTTTTTGAGGCAGAGTTTTGCTCTTGTTACCCAGGCTGGAGTGCAATGGCACAATCTTGGCTAATTGCAACCTCAGCCTCCCGAGGTTCAAGCAATTCTCCTGCCTCAGACTCCTGAGTAGGTGGGATTACAGGGCATGCGCCACCATGCCCGGCTAATTTTGTATTTTTAGTAGAGATGGGGCTTCTCCATGTTGGTTAGGCTGGTCTCAAACTCCCTACCTCAGGTGATTGACCTGCTTTGGCCTCCCAAAGTGCTGGGATTACAGGCATGAGCCACCGTACCTGGCCCATTGTAGCCATTTCAAGTGTACATTTCAGTAACATGAAGTACATTTACATTGTTGTGCAACCATCACCAACATCCCATCTTCAGAACTTTTCCGTTATCTCAAACTGAAATTCTGACCTCATTAAGCACTAACTCCCCGGCCGTCTTCCCTCAGCCGCTGGTAACCACTGTTCTCTTTTCTCATCTCTGAAATCATACAGTATTTGCTTTTTTGCGTCTAGATTATTTCACTTTAGGGAATTTGATTTTATGTCAGTTTTTCTAACAGGTTGCTTGTGGAGACAGTAATAATCAAAAACTTACTGTCCAAAGCCCTGAGTCTGAAATTCTGCATCCAAAAGTGCTACAGTATGCATTAAACCGATTAAAATAACGTAGCATCTTTGAGGACGAGCTCTATGTTCAACTTTGTTGTTGTTTAATATTTATATTGTAAGAAAATCTCTCATATATGAAAATGTAAATGTAAAATTCCACTATTTTGTTGCCATTGCTTTTCTTGTTTGGGGGATCATTACTGTATTATTGGCTTCCAGGATCTCAGCAGGGCACGAGGGAGGTTTAGCCTGTCTGAATTTTGGAATCAAGTTTGGTGATGTGTGAGCTGTCCCCAGAAAGCACCAGTATAATGTAGTGGTCTTAACCTGCATTCTTTAACGCTTAGCCCTGGGCTCTATAACCCCACCCCCATGCCCAGCAGCATCCCAGGGTCCTCTTCTGGAATCCAACTAGAGTTCCTAAGGGAGGAGGATCCCCAGAGGGAGAAAGAGAAAGTGTCAGTGGACAGAAATATGATACTGAAATAGCAGAGTTAGTGTTTGAGTACTGACTTTTCCCGTTGCACATGGAAGAAATTTCCATGCCTTGTCTGGATATCTTTAGAATTGCTCCTTTCAGTGTTAAGATGGTTTGTTCCACTGTAAGGACTGTGCCACATGGCTTGGTGGACTTGGAGAGGCGGAGGTGGAAACGATGCGCAGGAGTTGGCTTGGGGCTTTTTGTTTGCGTGTCCCTGTTTACCTATTCATAATCATGGATCCCCTCTGCTTTGTGATACTGTGAACCACGCATAACAGCAATTCTTTACACCACCGGGTTGAGAAGAAGGCGCCTGAGGCTGACTTTCTGGACCTGCCGTCACGCAGTAAAGATGTGGTTGGTGTGTGTCAGGATGAGAGGGCCACGACTGGACCCACGTGTGGCTGCTTCCCGGGTCTGCCATGTGCTTTGCTAGCTGCAAAGCGTTTCCTCTAGAACAGCTAATCCTGCATGACTGTCTCCTGCATTTTGCTGTCAGAACGTGCACGCCGCTTTCATAAGAACTAATTGAAGAGGGAGCTAGTTTGCATCTCGTTCTTGCACACCCTGAGTCATGAAAAACATTTTCTTTTAAGCAAAATTGAAAGAAAGAAAAGAGAGAAAGAGGGCCAAAAAAAAAAAAAAAAAAAAAAAAGGTTGCCATCCAGTGGAGGAAGGAGTAATTCCCAGCTTCATTCAGGAAAAACGCAGGCTGAAATATGCTTAACTGTTTTAACTTGACTGGGGATTTTTACCACCATATGGGTTTTTTTTCGTGACATCCGGAGCCAAACGGGTGCAGTGTGCCTTTAAGAAAAGAGGTGCCTCACTAAACTTCGCTGTAGTTGTGTTTCACCGTCTCGGTAGGGAAGGAAAGTGTTAATTTCTTATTTGTACACTTTTTTTCCCCGACTTCCTTCCTATTCACTTCATTAAATCTAGAGGCAGTTGAGCATGGGAGCCGTCTGTATGTTGAATTAGGGCTCGCACTCTTGCGCAACACGTCACCAGTCGGAAACTGGGGGTTTGCTTCTGTGATTTATTTCATTATTGTGCTGGTAAAAGGTTTGGAAGGGAATTCTTTTTGGGGGTAGTACTTTAGCATTGTGTAGCAAGTTTTGGGGTTTTTTTTGTGTGTGACCCCCCAGCCCCCAGCGCTGAGTTTGAGTCAGTTGAGCCAGTTTAGTAAATAATTTTTTAAAATAAAAGAACAGTTTAAAATCTCCATGAATAATTTTACTTACATGCAGGAGTAATCTTACTCTACTCTTTATGTGCGAAAAGCATTGGGAAGTGTTTAGTGAATTGATTTCCATTAGAAAAAGACCCTTAGAAATCACAGAACATAAAGCACTGCATATGGATGTGTTTGGGGTCTTTGGGGAGGAGGGAAGATGTTTTGTAGCTCTCTGCATTCCTGCATAAAACCTTAGTTTGAGGGGAATAATGGTCAGTACTTTGTGTGTTTCCTTGTAATTCCAAAACCTAAATTTAATAAGAATCTGCACGTATTAGCAGTTGTAATAAAAATTGTTTCAGTTGTTCTGTTTGCAATTTAATTTGTTTTCGCTTCTTAGCTACTCACAGATTTAGAGATTTAAAAGTCCAAATATCACAAGCTTATGCTTTTTCCCTCTTTTCAAAATTAAGGCGGGGTGAGAGTAGAAATATCCTTTTTACAACTCCCCCCAACTTCATTTATCTCAGTGAGAAGAAAAACAATGAAAAATTTTACAGCATGAAACTGAAAGTGAAGTGTTACAGTTGTTCTGAATTTTCTTTAAAGAGCAGAATAACATATTATGTTAAAATATTTGAATCTTAGAACATGTACATTGCTTTTATTTACATGCATTTAATTTTCTTAAAAAATTGTCTTCTGTTTTAAAAATCATTTAGACTGCTCCAAACCATGCTGCTATTTTTTAAAAAATAAGGTACAAAATACCAAAAAAGCATACCTTGTTTTAATTTTTTAAAATAAATTTGAATATTAATTTGTTTTCTTACTGGCTTAATTGTTAAAATGCGAGCAAGACTCAGAAACCATCTGAGCTAAAATCTCTAATTCTGCTGCCTGGAATAATAAGGGGAAAAAAATATGATAAGTAGTTGTCAATATTAAAACAGGCTGAAGGAGGAAGCCTTCGGGCCTTGTAGTAGGTAGCATGAAACAGCAGATTTGAGTATCCACAATCCTTTCAGTATTAAATTTTCAGTAAAATAAAATTACTTGTATATGAAAACACAGCCTTTCCCCAGCTCTCTTTTTTTTCCTGATCAGCTGATGAAGAGACTAGCAGCTCGCTGCTTTGCTGGCTTGTTAATTTTATCCCCACTAACTGTGATTTCTGATAGCCGGCCTGCTGATAGTGGTAAGGTAAATATCCTTTTTCGTTGCCGTCTTGAAGATTCAGTAGAACTACATCCCAGGCATGTGTAGGTGTGTAACACATCAAAAGCCGGTGTTCTCCGTATTTCTGTGTGCAACTGGGTGCTTGAGGAGAGCAATACCATTAACTGTTGACAGCCTTGCATGCTGTATTTATTATTAGCATGTTCAGCCTCCAAGATATGCGGGACAATTTCCTTTTCTTAATCTTCGCTTAGCTGCAGTGTGTTTAGCTGTATAGTGGGTGTCCTGCTTTTAGGCAAATGAATATTAATGCAATAATGTGAAGCTTTTTTTTTTTTTTTCCTTTTCCTTTTTCCTCATAACTCATCAGATCTCGCCTCCTTCATAGTGGTTATCTGAACACTGTAGGATCGTGATGGAAATTGTCTTTTGATTATTAAGGCCTAGGCTCAGACTGTCCCTTAGGAATCTGTCTGTGTGCATGTTGCTTCTATGGATTTGCACATTGGAGGATGCGTAGAAAACATATTTTTTTAAAAATCCCACTGGCATTTTTAACATGCCAGGTTGTTTTGTGTTCTGCACCAGGTTTTCTTCACAAAACCTTTCTTTTTCAGGAAGCGTTGTACATAAGTGAAAGAAATTATGTCTGAGCTGTAATCACTCTTTATATTGATTGTTATACTCACATGATCATAAATATTAGCCATGTTTGGTGCTGTGGAGAAATGAAGGTAATTGCCTTATGATTAGAGCTCTTTCAGCTACGAGAAAGGATTGATTATCATTTGCATACTGGAGGCAATATTGAGAGGCAGGAGGAACAAATAACAACATTAGTTATTTTGTGTGAGAGAGCAATCTCAAAACGTAATTTAAAGATCTTTTTTTTAGAAAATTTCTTTTCTATGTTCAAATTTTATGTTCTTTTTTTTTTTCTTCCTTGGCAGTATTTTTCCCCTTTATTTTTCTTCTTTTGAGTTTTGAGATTTACCAGGAAAAAAAAAAAAAGTTTAAACTTCTGGGTCTGTCACATGGATCTTTTAGCCCTTTATGAACAGGTTTCTTTTATACCTGGTTGTTTTTATAGCTATTTTATTATCTCTCTGCATTAGTGCTGCTGGCTCTGGTTTAAAGCAAGCGTTTGCAGGTAATTGGAAAAAAGTGTTTATTGTTTGTGAGTGTGTGTGTTCTTTATCGAATGATTTAAGTGCGTTTACCAAGGAATGTGGCTTTGTACTTTCCCGTTTCCTTGTTTACTAATTGCCACGTTAGAACAAAAATCTAGATGGAATTTTGATTTATATTGTTAATCATGAATAAATTGATGCAAAACCTGAAGAAAAGGTCAAAGCTTATATGATCGTGTGGATGTATTCTTAGGGATTGTTTTTTCATAACCCACCCCTCGTTTTGTTTACCTTTTCCTTCCCTTACAGTAATGAGAACATTAGGGTCTTGTTCTTAAACTGAGCTAAAATTTCATCTGGATTCAGTTATCATCAAACACTTGAATTTATAGATCTTTTAATATTTGTCATATTCTCCTTTACTGTGAGTGTTTTGGGCCTTCAGTGTGTTTTGCTCATGAAACAGACTTGAGTTAAAGATGCATTTATCCAATATGGTAGCATTCCTTTTTTCTTCTTCCTCCACTGATTACTGTTAACTTTTACTTTTTTTTGGTTAATTTCTTTCATTTTATTCTAATTGTTGGAGCTATATATAAATATACACATACTTTTTTTGTCTTGGTTATTCTCTTGTCTTGAATTTGTCTCCTTTGTTTCCAACGAACAGGCCATCGAAGACGGCAATTTGGAGGAAATGGAAGAGGAAGTACGGCTTAAGAAGCGAAAAAGACGAAGAAATGTGGATAAAGATCCTGCAAAAGAAGATGTGGAAAAAGCTAAGAAGAGAAGAGGCCGCCCTCCCGCTGAGAAACTGTCACCAAATCCCCCCAAACTGACAAAGCAGATGAACGCTATCATCGATACTGTGATAAACTACAAAGATAGGTGAGTGTTTGGTTCCTTCACCTTGATCATCTCTCACCAAGACGCCGAGTGGCGCTCCCTGAGGAGCAGGAGTTGTTAAGTTGTGCACTTAGGTTTTATTAAGGTTCTTTCTAGTTTGTGTTTTATGGCTTTCTCTCTTTGTACCTGTTTAAAATGGCCACTGTTGCTATTTTGTATGATGTTTCATCAGGTATTATTTAAGATAGTTGAAAATTTAGTTTAGATTACAAAATGTTTAAAATATCTAAATTAGAAAAGGATTCTTAAGGACCTCTGAAATACCATCTGAAAATGAAGATATTTCAGATGAAAGGGATTGGAATGATGGAGTAATATTATTTTTTTTAATTGAATTGTTAGAGAAAGAAGAATCCTAATATATTTAAGGTAAATATTTCATGTTAAGACTGTTTAAAGCAAAATAGATGCTTCATAGTAAATACAGTTTCTCCTTTCCTTCCAACACTTGAATTTCTGAGCACTTGAATTATCTCTTTCTTCCTAATACCACATAGCATGGTCTTTCAGCAAATTTACCTTTTTTATGGGATTTTTGGATACAGACTTTGAGAAAGCTGTGTGGGACACTCCTCCCAGGCCATTTTAAACAGTGAATAATTATTTGAAAACCAAAGACACTGTAGGGTGTCAGTCAGATCCATACAGTAGATGAACTAGTTAGGCTACGTTTTGGTTAGTTGACTTGGTTTCCACTTTATTATCACGTGGTAATGTTTTTATTTGAAGATGGCTTCTCGTTTCAGTTGAAAAATTGACAGGAAACAGACATTTTCACTCTCTCAGTTGCATAGTGGTATTAATCAGTTTTAAATTACCAATTGAAAAAAATTTTTTCTTAAGGGGGTGCATCATTCCTGGAGGTACTGCAGTACCAGGTCGATGTGTGGAGTGGATGAAGCAAGCTCCTCTTCTAGCTCCCTGCTTCCAAAATCCACTTAACATATTGTCCTCGGATAGAGGAGGAATCAGATATTAAGCATGTAACAACAGATACTACACTTGGTCTTAGCCAAAAGGCTGAGAAGCAGTTAGTTACCAGAAATGTTTGACATTAACTAGTGTTGCTCTGTGCACCTGTAAGTGTTTAACATGAATAACTACGTTGTGTTTTTAGTTTTTCATTATGGCTTTGCCGAATACATCATAGCAGGAAGGAAAAATTATTATAAAAATTAAGTGGTATAAAAAGCAAGAAACTTTCCACCATGGGGTTTTGCTGTTAAGCCTTTCTTATCTGCAAGGAGTTTTCAGAAATGGGGAAAGAGGAGTAGGTGGAGATGTTTGTCAAAAGGCCAGAAATTCTTGCTCCATTTTGCCCACCAGGTCTCTCAGATTTTGTGCTGTTTTCCTTTTTTCAAAAAATAAATTAAGTTCATCCCCTTTAAGGCTTCTGAAGTGGCCAGAATGGCAACCCCATTCTCTTGGGTTTGGACCAACGGTTCATTAATGAAGGGGAATGACAGCAATCCAGGAAGGAAATTTTGACCGCAAGTCCATGCTTTGTCCAGAGTGAACATGAAAACTTCCTTGTAAACCATGAATCAGTAACTCTTACGTTTTTACTCACCCCCAAGCTCCCCTTGTATATTTGCCACAGAAAGGGACAGTATTCTAGAAGCCAGCTTGGATTATTATGCCGTATTTTCTCAGTCCCTGGTTTAAAACAAAATATTACTAAGTAGAGAGCATCACTCTGTATATACATCAAACTTTTTTGCCTTTGTCTCAGGAGAGTGTAACGTCTGTTTCTCTGACCAGATGGGCTGTGATGTGTGACAGGCATTTTGTTCATTACTTGCTGAGTGAGTCAAGGGCTGTTATAACACTGAGAAGGGCCAGGAAAGTCCTTGGAGGTTGAGAAGCTAGGCCTTTCATTCTAAGGTGATGGCTGTGTCTTTCTCTAGTGACATAAAAGAAGTCACCAACAGGTGGATGACATACTGCCAACAGATTCGTTTGGTTTTATGCTTTTTTTTGAGGGGTGGGGGTCAGCAAATACATAAACCTGGAGAGATTTCTTGCAAAAATTTCCCTCCCATCCCCCACCCTTTTGAAAAACCAGAAACTCTGGCAGCACTTTGCCCAGCTCTCCCTAAGGTAACAATCAGTAGGCATGAAGAAGTGGCCATCCTTTCATTGGCAGCATCGCGCTCTAGGTTGTCACAATCCCCGTCACTCTGTATCATCTCTTCAGTATGGAGTGCGTCGCCATTTACCGTCATGCTTTTTACGCCCGACTCACTTCATTCATTTGTATTACCTGCTGGCTCCATAGCCTTTGAGTTTATGACTTCCTGGTATACATGGCTGTGGGCTGACCACTTTCCTAGAAACCATCCAGAAATACAGATTGGTAGGAGATTATATGCCTTAAACCTCAGCTAAGCATTGCACAGTGGTTTAGAGTACAGACTCTTGTCTGTCTTGATTTAACCACCTGCATTTGAATCCTGACTCTGACATTCACCAGCTATGGGACAGTGGAGTAATTTACTTAATCTCCCTGAGCCTCAGTTTCCCCATCCCAGAATCCCAGAAATGGGATTCATTACTGCGCCTGCCTCTAGAGTCCTTATGTGTCATCAGGGATTTAATGTAACTCAGGTTCTTTGAACAGTTTCATTATTAATAATCAGCCTTTCAGACTTTGAGGCTAATCAGGTAGGTGAATGGACCTCTGAGCACCAGAAAGAAAGTGTCCTTGCTGATGCTGATTTCCATGGTTTTATTTCTAGAAACAGAAAATGCCGTTTCAGTGGTACTGTTTATTGAGTATGTCTTTAGTTGTACTGTAGGTAAAGGGTATTTGAATATTTCAGCATGCAGATATTGAGTAGCTTTTTCTTTTTAACTTTTCCTTGTTTTATTTGCTTACTTACTTTTCCTTAAAAAGTGTCCTGGTAAGACACATTCTATTAGCTCCCACATTTAGATGCTTTCTGGGGAGTATGTACTAAATTTCCCACCACTGAATGTTTCATATACATTTCATGTTGGTAATCCTCTAGAAAAAGCACTAACTATTTATATTTTGTATTTCTCTTTAACTTGGTACTCAAGTAGGAGGCACTCAAATTAGGAGAGCCTTAATTAGATACAGTATCATATTTTTGGTTGGTTTTAGAAAATGCTGCTGGGAGATGTACATTTCACTGTGTTGAGATTTTTGCACCATTAAAGTCAGTTATTTAAATAGTAACTCAACCCACCTGTGAAAGAAATACCACCTGTGCTAACCTCCTTCCCATCACTTTGGTCAAATGTTAGGGCTCTGACAGTCATGTAGATTAACAGCATATTAAATAAGAACAGCCATTTATATTTAACTGATATATAAGAAGAATTAATTAGCTCTCATGAGACAGTTGTTTAAAAGTTCATGCATGATTCTGGGGCAGATGTATCTTGATATTTTCATAAAGAACTAAGATCATTTATGTGTGTGTTCGTTGCTTTTTAGTCAGTGATAGGACTTGTTTTTTAAAAAGGAGGGTGCTTCTAAAAATCTGACCCTTAAGAGCCAGATATTGTGTGATTCATAAGTGTAAAATCCTTCTGCAGTAACTGCTGTCTATTCAGAGGTAGTACTGGTCTGTTGCTACTGGCCCCCATCATTTTATTTGCACAAATAGAAAACTTTATATCAAGTAGTACCAGAAGGCTTTGTTTTGACTTGTTAAGCATGCTTTGTTTTCTGCTTATTTAGAAGCTTTTAAAAACTCATATTCTCAATTTATGTAATATTTAACCTAAGACTGTTCTTTGAGAAGGGATTCATCCTGTTTGCATTTGTACCCTTGAAAATTGCCCCTGGGATGAGATGTAGAGTTAGACGGTAAAGAGTAGAGTCTGTGGAGCTATTCCAACTCTAGAGACATGGCTTTCAGTTACTTGGATAAAGAAGAGAGAGAGATTCCTAGAGGCATTATTAACGTTGGAAGGGATGTTTAGCTCTGCCTGGCCCAACTTCCCACAATACAAGTAAGTCCCCTGTACCACCTCTGGCATGTGGTCATCCACCTCCATGTGGACACTGCAGTGTGAGCTCCCTGCTTCAGAGCAGTTCTTGACACCAAAGGACAGTTCTAAACACATCACCGTTTCCTACATTAAAAGGGATGCAGCCATCTGACCCCTAGCTATTTGTTCTACTTGGAACCTCAGAGAATAAATCTGCTCTCATTCTGAGAAATATCCTTTAAAATGTATCAACAAGCATATCTACCTCAGGACATTGTCCTTCAGGTAGGAACACTTCACTTTGCTCTCTGAGTGATGCCTAGACATTGGCCACATTCCAGTCTCCTAGTGTCCCATTTAAAACATGGCGCCCAGAACTCCAATGGGGTATTCTGATCATTAATTACAGGGTGGTTAGCTTCCTTATTCTGGACACCAGAATTCTGTTAGCATAACTCAAGGGTGTGTTTACTTTTTCCAGCAACCTTGACACAGAGTTAACTCATTGAATATGTGACTTCTTGAAATAACCCCCACTCCCCACCCCAGAACACACATACACTGCTCTGATTTCACATGAATACTGCCAAGGTTAGCTTTCAGATAAGCATAATTTTTTTGAACCTATGCCTACTGATTGTATTCTTATCCCTGTGTAGTTCCAGCCTTACTACTTTTCATCCCATCATCCTTGCATGATGCTGTACCTCTAAATTTTTATCTATGCAAAAATTATGTTTACTATGTTTATGTATCTAAGTTTTTTCATCCAAAGATTTGATATAAGCTATTGCTTAGAAACTTAGACAAAGGACAGGTCTCTGTGACATACCCCTGAAAATCACTTCAGGTTGACATGAATATATTAACCAGTAATCCTTAAGGTTGGCTACCCATCAGTGAACTCATATAGCCATGCTCTCATGTCACCCACATTTATCCTTTCTCAGCATTTTCAAGAAAGGCTAAAACCATGATACACCATGGCTAGCCTTTCCAATCTATCACCCTAGAAACCCTGCCGAAAAAGTGAAATGAGGTTAGCTTGCCATGGCTTTTTCTAAGAGACCTCCTGCTGGCACTTAATGATGTTATTTATCTTTTCTAAATAGCCCTGTGGCATCTGAATAATTTCTTCTAAATTTTTACCAAGGGTCAACATGAAGTGTAACAGTCTCAAATTTTCTTTCTCATATTGAAATTGGGACATTTGCTTATCTCTAGTGTTCTGATTCCATTTTTGTGCTCTGTGATTTCCTAAATGTTATTAGCAGAAGCAATCTACATGCTTTTCCAGGATTTAATTAGTTTGCAACTGGACACTTGAACTTACTTGAAGTGGCTTGATATGCTCTTTCTATCAACTCTCTTATCAGGAGCTTTTGTTCACCATTTATTATGCCTTGCTTTTCAAATCTGAGCATTGTTCTCATTCCTGAAGAATCTGGAAACAGAAAGTGAATAGGGTGTCATCACCTCCTCCCTCTCTATCAATTGCTCGAAGACAATTCTTTCAGAAGCAGTCCACAGGAAGACCAGCCCTGCTGTCTGTAAAAGGGTTTGGACATCAGGTCTAGCCTTGAAGATGGATGCAGCAAAGTGATGGAGGAGGCAGGAGATACCTGCCTGGTCAGTGCCTGGTCAGTCCAATTGGTGAACACAGCTCCGGGGCACAGAGGGGTGGCAGCCACGTGGCTCCTGCCTCCCTGACACTCTTCAGTCTCTGCTGTCTTCCCCTAGCTGGGAATGTGTTCTTCTTGCCCCTAAATTTAATAAGCCCTTGTGGTATCTCTGGGAATTGTGGTAAGACTCAGCTTGTCCTGAATTTTTAGTTCTCACATTGGAGAAAATCATTCATTCTTTTTAGAAATATTTCCTTCATTGTTTGCTTATTTCCAGGACTGTACTCTTGAATATAACTATAGGGTAAAAAATTCCAGGTACTTACCCCCACTAGCTCATCATGCAGTGGAAGAGATAGCTTTCCTATGGGATATTACTGAAGAGGTAGCTGGCCTGGGGAATTCAGGGAAGTAGGGGTCGTATGAGCCCCATTATCTGAGGATACAATGACATTACCTGGTACTTATAATCAATTCAGGACATTATAATAATATTTACCTGGGGAAATGAGCTTTTTTTCTTTTTCTTTTTTTTTTTTTTTTGAGACAGTTTCGCTCTTGTTGCCCAGCTGGAGTGCAGTGGCAACATCTGCCTCCCGGGTTCAAGCAATTCTCCTGCCTCAGCCTCCAGAGTTGCTGGGATTATGGGCGTGCACCACGATGCCTGGCTAATTTTGTATTTTTGGTAGAGACAGGGTTTTGCCATGTTGGTCAGGCTGGTCTCGAACTCCTGACCTCAGGTGATCTGCCTTTCTCAGCCTCCCAAAGTGCTGGGATTACAGGCGTGAGCCACCATGCCCGGCAAATGATCTGATATTTTATTACATTATAGCAGCTTTCCAAGAATTTGGTAAACTACAAACCTGTGGACTAATTGTAGTTAATTCCTATACACACTGAAAAGTAATTTGCAGCATTTTTCTCATTTTGAGTAGGGCTGAAACTCTGCTGAAGGCCTACATATAATCAGCCCATTCTCCAGAAGGGCAGGGCTCTTATTTCAAAATATTGCCTTGTTCCAAGGCTTCCTCTGTCTCGGAAGTTCTTTATTTGAAGTGCGTTAGGTATTTACTGTGTCGAAGGCTTTCCCACACTGATTATCATCTCAAGGCTTCATCAAACCAATGGATCTTTACACTGGCATTCATACTGTCTTTCTAAAATAAGTTTTCGTAACAAACATTTTAAACCAAATCTATGTCATTATGTAGTTATTATTTTTTGTTGCTTTGTTTTAGGGTTTTAAAAATTTGTATTTTTTTTTCCCCAAGCCAATCAGATGGCTGACCTGCATGGACTCCTTATCAGAATGATTTGAAATTATTCTGCTGGGATCTTTGGTTGTTCAGAACCCACTGAGTTGTAATCTGCGTCAGTCTTAGATGACAGAGCCATACCTAGCTTCTCTGAGTTAGTTACAATCTACTCTGTAAAGCGTTCTAAGGTAGCACTTGTTGTTTTCAGGTTTTCCTCCCGTCACTCGTGCACATTCGGAGATGACATGGTCTACTTAAGCTTCTGTGTCTCCTTGGTCAGCACCATCATTAGCCCAAGGTCCTAAAAGTGAAATAATGAAGACTTTCCCAATTCTGTGCCTTATTGCTGACACTCAGAGTCCCCTCAACCTGCTCCTAATTGTCCCTACAAGACACCCGTTCACCTGCCTCCTCACCCCCTGTCTTCCTGAGGCCCTTGCACTGCTGGCCTGGCCTGGCAAGCTGCAGGGTGGACTGCGTGCCCTGCCTCCAGTCTCTTCCTGTCCTGGCTTCTTTCTGAGGCACCTAACTTGTCATTTCATATTGTAACTTTAGAACTCTTCACAGCGGCCCCGTTGCCTACCCGATGATGACCAGACTTCTTAGCGTAGGAGAATTGTTATCTTCCACAGTCTGAACCTTCGGATCTTCCCAACTTTTTTTTTCCAACGCACCCCTCCCAGCTCTCCTTATATTTCAGACATTCCAAAGAATTCTGTGTATTTTGAAGCGAGCACATGCGCTTCCACCCCTCTGTTGATTTGTTTATGGGTTTATGCTTTTCCCTCTCTGCAACACCCCGACCCCACACTGACTCTAGAGCAGAATGGGGCAGTGACTCCGAGAAGGGATTTATACATGGACAGGCACAGGCTGTGAATCCCAAAGGGTGCTGTCTACACCTGGAGGGAGATCTAGAGGGTATGGAGGGTCTTCCCAGGATCTGTGAAACCTGGCAGCTGCTTCCCTGCCACCACAAAAAGGGACACCAACCTAGCAGTTTCAAAAATCCTCAACTGAAGAGGCTTTTCTAGAGGCTTGTAGAAGTGCCCAAGACGCCAGGTGGTGGTTTATTTTCATTTCCCACTAAAGATCATGAATTCAGTGATCTCTCGAAAAGGAATAGAGCTCTTGGAAGCAGAGCTGACTAGTTAGATGGTGTTCAGACCCAAATTGGCTGATGCTTGGAATACCTTCTTTGTGCAGGCTACTGTAAGAAAGCACTTTATCCTATTTAATTTTTATAACTTTCTGAGGTAAGTATTTCCCCCATTTTACAAATGAGGGGCTAAACTCAGATAGACTAGCACTACCTTCCCAAGATCACACGCACCTCTAGCCAGTGGCTGCCTGTCTCCCACCTTCTGGAACAGTGAATGGAACATGTAAGAGGGAACAGGGTAACAGGAATTTCTGTGTGTGACGGAAGTAGGAAAATCCCAGAAAGGTTAGGAAATCCACTTCCCCCACCATTTTTAGAGAACTATGTTATTTTTCCGAATGAGGTTCCAAACATAACCCCGTGTAATCTTCCTAACAAGGCAGGTTGGTGAGGAGACTGAGGCTTGGCCAGGTCACCCAGCCTAGGAAGAAGGAGCCGGGCGGGGACGAGAACCCAGGTCTTCTGACTCTAGTGTTCTTTCTACTCTACCGCAGGTGTAACGTGGAGAAGGTGCCCAGTAATTCTCAGTTGGAAATAGAAGGAAACAGGTCAGGATCTGTCTTGTATTCCCCTATCTCTAAATACAGGTATCCCTCGTTACGTGAAACAGATTGAATCATATAATCGGCCTTTGGAAGCAAATTTCTTCGGTCACCTCCTGATCACCCCTACTTGGAGAGCGGGATAGAGGCACAGATACTCTTAAACAGCTGTCATGGCTTCTGAAGTTGTTGGTGCTGTATTTTAATCTGGCTGTGCCAATTCTATACATGCACTCCTTACAAGGGTATTGGGAGCTCCTGGAAAGCCCGCCCTAACTGCAGCATCTTGGAGATGGGTTTCTGTTGCTTCCCCCTCCCTTCCAGCGCAGCTTCTGTTGTGTGTTCCTTGGGCCTCTTTAACTCTGTGCTGTCTTGGTTTAGAAGCTTAATGCGAAGCACCTGTAGTGACTTGATCTCCTGCGAGACATGAAGAAGCGTGCATGTTCACGCTGTGTCTGCATTCCAGAGTTGATCATGGCATGCAGAGGGCAATTGCTGAGTTGTCTCTTGTTTGTGTGATGGGTTGGGTTTCAGGGTGTGACTCCTGGGCCTACCTGTTGTGTGTAGTCCCAAGCATCTAAAGCCAGTCTCTTTCAACCTCTGTGTGCCTTTGCTTCTGTTGGGTAGAAAGCAGAAATGCTTTTCTCCTAGAGATAGTGTGAATATTAGATGACATTGGTTGAGCTGGAGAGATGGATGTGCATGATACGCCAAGGCTAGGAGCTCTTATTAATATAAGAGAGATAACATTTCTTTCTCCATTTCGGTCAACCTGTACTTAAAAAAAAAGTTGATACAGTGCTTTACCATCCATATTTCAATTTTTTCAGCTGACCCAATAACATCCTTTACAACATTTTTTCCACCAGCATAGGATCCAATCTAGGACTGGAGAGAGAGAATTGAGGATGTATCGTGTATTTCAGAATGAACACAGATCACTGGTTGTGGTATTCTTCTTTATATAAGGAGATTAAAAACTAGTGGTGATTTATACTTATACTTATCCATTTTTGTGTGGAGATGAAACTGTCGGGCAAGATTGTCAATTTTTGATATTTCTTATTGCAGTCCAGTAAACAATGACTAATCCTGGAAACCAGGCACATAAACTATAATGTCCATTGAGAAACGTCAGGAATTTTGTTCTGTATTTGCCATTATGAGAAAGAACTCAGTCTGGATTCTGACTTGGAGATTGAAACAACGAATAGTTGACTTCATAAGTTTGGGCAGTTTAAATAATCAACCAACTTGGGTAAATATTTCCACCCCTAATACCTAGAAAGGAGGCCTTAGGGCTAAATGGCATGATGTAAGCTGAATGCCCTGCCCAGGAAACAGGGACAGGCAGGAGCTCCTTTCCCTCTTTGCCCTCTTCCATCAAGATGGTCATGTGACCACGAAAAGTAGATCAATAACTTTAAAGGCTATTTATTGCAAGTCCCCAGTGCCATGCCCAGGCTTTTTGAGGGGAGATGACATGACGGTATATGGTTAGGAACTAGATAAATTCATTTTCACTAAAGACACATTTAAACTGTAATTTCCAGAGACATAGCAGTGGGCTTGGTGTTTGCTTCCTCAGGGCTCTCTGGAGTCTGTCTTGTCCCTTGCTGTCTGTCACACACACTTCCTTTTCCCATAAGCCTGAGCTGACAACATGGTGTTTGGAGATTGTATTATGATGAATTAACCCTTTCTTCAGAAGAGCTTTTAAAAAATCTTTGCTTCAGTGGTCAAAAGAGGCTCTTTGTAAGTACTGAAAATGGAAAAAAAAAATGAATTAAATGGAGTTATTTAAAGCACAATTGGAAAGAGCTATGTCAACAAATAATGCAAGTACCTGGTATGAATGACACATATACACAGGGTGGGATGGGAAGGGATGGGGCAGGAGTGGAGAGCGCTTCTAACTGGCTGTGAGCAGAGTGGGAGTTTCTCAAACAGACGGGTGAAGGGAGGATGGGTGGGGGGGCAGAGCTTGTGGTGGTATGTGCGGGAAGGGGGGATGTAGCCATGGAGGCTTGGAAAGCAGTCCCCCTCTAGAGACTACACCATCTCAGTGTGACCAGCTCATTGGAGACGAAGGAAGACTGGGACAGCCTGGATGAGGCTGGAGAAGCCTGAGAACAGATCCCGGAGGGCCTTGAACACCAAGCTGAGGAGGAATTTTGATGTACTCTTCTAGGAGTGGGGTCTTGAGGGCAACCTGTAGTCATCGCAGTGACTGTTACGAGCACTGTTTCAAGGAGGCCAACGGAGAGCACACCTGAGTTCTGGGCGTGAGCGTGCAGGGACCAGTGTGTGATGTCTGTCATGTGGGAGAGGGGAGGTGACACCCAGGGAGCCGACATCAGCCCTGCAGTGGAAAGTAGATAGCCAAGAGAGGATCATGGGGATACAGTGAGATTTGTGTTCGGAAATGTCACTGATAGTCTGTGAAGGATGGATCGAAGGAGGCATACATTAGGAGAATGTTGTCTGGTAGTGGAGGAAGATAGTCCTTAAAATAAGGAAGTGGCAGTAGGTAGGAAGACAAGGGAATAAATATTCAGAGGTAGGATTGACAAGACTTAGGGGCAGTCTGGATGTGTGAGGAGGAGGAGGAAGAGAACTCACATAGCTCTTGGATCTCTGCCCTGAGTGATCAGTGAACAGCGGTGCCATTTACAGAAATGAAGGTGGCAGGAAAATTGGTGTGTGTGAAGGCACTTGTATGTATGTGTGTGTGCACATGTGCATGTATGTAGTTACCTGGCCCTGCATACACCATCACAGGACAGCTGAACTCTCTACTTGGCCATTAGCAGCCCTTGATGTTGTGATGATGTTGTTAGTATTGACTGCTCTTTCAGGACCAGCCAACAGGCTCTTGTAGGCAAAATTTATTTTTAGTACCAGACATCTTGTATTACTGTAAATGAGAGCGAGAGGCTGTAATGATAGCTCTCAAGCCCAAGCACCTCTGCATTTAGTGGCTCTAATTTCATTATAGAGAAATTACCATGAAATAGCACTGTGACCAATTAGATACACTTCTGGGAAATTTTAGGTGTAGGTGAAGCACCTTTTTTCATTCATTCTCTGTTTCTGATAGTTTGGACCCAGAATCAAGCTGACAGTTTATCGTGTAGAGTAGCAGCCTCCTGAGGTCAGCGCCTCATGCATTGTCTGGTGCATGAGCATTTCATGATGCTTCCCAGAGTGAGTTCTTCCAACTCTAGCCTTCCTACTCCTTCTTGGAGATTCCCAGTACAGCCAGAGGCCCTGGGAAGTCTTGCTGTAAAGTCAGCTGTTTAACTGCTTAACCCAGCATCTCCCAAACTTATTTGACCAAAGAACCCCCTTTTCACGGGACACTGTTACTAACCCATTAAGCTAGTGTTCTGTGGAGCACACTTTGGGAAATGCTGAATTGGAGCCCAAATATTACATTCAGTGCAGAGAGAATCTGCTCGGAGATGTGGACTCCAGTGCTTTATTTTGCCCTCATTACAAATATTGATACTTTAAATGTTTGCTGAAACAGGCTGCTTTGACTCTTGGTGACTCGATACTTATTTATGGTGCTCAGCCAGTTATGCCCACGTACAGCAGGTGGGCAGCCCACAAATAAACTTAGTCCGTCTGTTTCCCGAGACACAGAATGCTTCCCCTTATCTTCCAGCATTAGCCTGGCCCTGAAGCCCCTCTTTCGAGGGTCTCTGCCTCTCAAGCTCCAGGCCAACACCAGCATAAAGGACCCCTCTCTGAAGGAAGGGAAGGAGGCTCAGCTGGAAATAACAAAATGGATTTTCTTACAGGGCTGACACACTGTTTTCCAAACCACTCTATAAATGTTTTGATTAAAAAGGGATTGCTCTGAGAGATCGCAGTTATTTGGATATATATATGTCCTTGTATATTAATGGGGGAAAAAAATCTGTCTCACTCCTTTAGAATCACACCTAATATGTCTTCCTTGAGGATTTATTACAACAGCCATTGTAGGAAAAAGCAGCACTCCGGTGCCTGCCACGACCCACCCATTTAACAAAGCAGCGTGTGGGACTTGGGCACAGATGGAGAGGCATTTGATTTTGTCTGCAGAAGCTTTGTGCTTTTTAATTTGGTCGCAATTCAGCCAAAAGCTTTGAAGCATTTTACCATTAAGAAATGGGGAAGCAAAGGCCAGGCACAGTGGCTCACACCTGTAATTCCCAGCACTTTGGGAGGCCGAGGCAAGCGGATTGCTTCAGCTCAGGAGTCCGAGACCACCCGAGGCAAGATGGTGGAAGCCTGTCTCTACAAAAATGCAAAAATGAGGTGGGTGTGGTGGCATACTCCAGTAGTCCTGGCTACTTAGGAGGCTGAGATGGGAGGATTGCTTGAGCCTGGGAGGTCGAGGCTACAGTGCAGTGAGCCCTGATCGTGCTACTGCAGTCCAGCCTGGGGGACAGAGTGAGACCCTCTCTCAAAAAAAAAAAAAAAAAAAAAAAAAAAAGGAAATGGAGAGGCAGGAAAGGATCAAAGGACAGGATATTCAGTGGAAGGGAACGTGTGGGTTCTTACATTTTGAAAGACAGGGACGCTTTGAGTCATGAGCGCGTGTAACGTCTACAAGGTGGGGTGGGAAAAACTGTAGAAATGGCCGGCTGAGGAAGCTGCGGGTCATCCGGTGTCTGTCTGTCATCACATTTAGTCAGATGGGCAGTGGAGTTCTGTACCTGCACCCACTGTTATGAAACGTCAAGTGAGAAAGAGGGCAGAAAAGTAGCCATCCTAAGACAGTATTTCCGAAAGCTGAGTGATAGCTGACAAATCTACTCAAAAACATTTTTTGAAAATGCTTGTCCCCGCCCCCCCCCAACAATACACACACAAAAACACTCTCTGGATCTTACGTCCTGTTTCAAGCACCTTTGCTTTGTAGTAATAAATGCAATGGGAGAATCCTGAAGAAATGCATAGAAACTGAAAAGAAGATTCTGATGGTTGCAACATACAACATATTAAAACTTTTGTGTAATGATTGTATTCTTTTATTTGTTTGGCTTTATGTGATAGTTAAAAAGTGCCAGTTGGTAAAACGTGCTGCTTATGGTGATAAAAATAAAGGTTGGTCCTATGATCCTTAAACGTAATTTCTTTGGAAAAATAAAATTAGATATTTGACTTATGGCATGTTTTCAATGAAGGTAACCCAATTAAAGTGTTTGTTGGGACCTACTTTATTTATGGATAAAATGGTTCTAAATTACATTCAATCATAAATCTTCATTTTGGTGAATAAGAGTAAATTATTATTTTTCATTATGCTTTGGCATATCTCCTTCTGGTCGTTTTTCAATGCCTTTTTTAAATCCTTGTTGAGGTTGAAGTTGTACTGCACTACAATTTGATATCCTCTGTTTTTTTGGGTTTTTTTTGTTTGTTTGTTTGTTTTTTGAGATGAAGTTTCGCTCTTGTTGCCCAAGCTGGAGTGCAAATGGCACAATCTCGGCTCTCTGCAACCTCCGTCTCCTGGGTTCAAGCGATTCTCCTGCCTCAGCCTCCTGAGTAGCTGGGATTATAGCCATGCGCCACCATACTCGGCTAATTTTTTTATTTTTGGTAAAGATGAGGTTTCTCCATGTTGGTCAGGCTGGTCTTGAACTCCTGACCTCAGGTGATCCACCTGCCTCGGCCTCCCAAAGTGCTGGGATTACAGGCATGAGCCACCGCGCCCGGCCTGTTTTTTTTTTTTTTTTTTTTTATAATGACGTAACAAGCATTTTTTTCTTTAAAATACATAATTTTAGACTCTCTTGCATTCTATTACTTGTTCTTTCCACAACTGTTAAACGTTTTGGCTGCTTTGAATTATTTATTTTAAGTAATCCTGTCATGAACATCTTGATGATTATCTGTTTCAGCCCAGAGTAGATTACCAAAAGTAAAATCATGCATCAGAGTGTGATTGTTTTTAAGACTCTAGACAAAGTCTTGGTGCCTTTCTTATTGAGCTGAGTGAACCCTTTTCAGTCTCCTAACAGGGAACTTTGTTTGTCTTGGTAACTCAGGGACATTATTTATCTGTAGTCCTTTATGACTATTAGGGTGATTTTTTTGGTGGTGTTGAGACAACAAAGTCAGCTCTGTTGACCAGGCTGGACTGCAGGGGCATGATCTCAGCTCGCTGCGACCTCTGCCTCCTGGGCTCAAGCGATCCTCCCACCTCAGCCTCCCAAGTAGCTTGGGACTACAGGCACATGCCACCACGCCTGGCTAAGTTTTGTATTTTTTTTTTTGTAGAGATGAGGTTTCTCCATGTTGTCTGTGCTGGTCTTGAATTCCTGAGCTCAAGTGATCAGCCTGCCTCAGCCTCCCATAGGGCGGGGATTGCAGGTGTGAGCCACTGTGCCCCAACATTGGGGTGATTTTAACAGCTACTGATTCCATGACCCAAACAAGTCTACTCCCATCCCACCCTGTTTTGCTCTTGCTTCAAGGGTCTAGGTGATGATATTTCCAAACTTGTTAGGAATTATCACCAATCAATACTCAATAAGGCTGAGATGAGAGATCTCAGTAGCAAATATGGAGTGCAGATGCTTGTAACACCTGCTTCATGACTGGCTCAGGTTTCTGCAGGCTCTCTTGATAAGTAGGGGCACTAATGTGGTCTAGTAAATTCTTCAATGATATATATTAAACTTCATAGGAACCTGAACCTGAAAAGAAGCAGCACACTTCACCTACTGCCCTGCAGTGTTGACCCAATTTTTAAAGTTTTCTTCCCAAACGACTTTGCTATGTTTGATTCCTTTAGGATTGTGATAGCTTTTCTGTAAAATCCTTCCAACCTCAAGTGAGTATTCTAAATCATGACATCATTTTCTAATTGAAGTAAGATAGTCACATTTTAACCCTTATTAATATAAACAATTTATTTCAGCTATGGTTAAGATTTCTTTCTCAGCACTATCTATTAGCTATTCTGGTCAACAGATCAGCTTGAGCAGGTAAAAAAGAAAAACCATAAAAGACCCTCACTAATTATCAATTTTCGCCTGGTCCTGGAAAAAAAAATCATTAAAAGACATAACCAGTATTCTAGAAGTAGATTTCTTTTTTTTTTTGAAACTGAGTTTCGCTCTCGTTGCCCAGGCTGGAGTGCAGTGGCGCGATCTCAGCTCACCACAACCTCCGCCTCCTGGGTTCAAGCAATTCTCCTGCCTCAGCCTCCCTAGTAGCCGGGATTACAGGCATGCGCCACCACACCCAGCTAATTTTGTATTTTTAGTAGAGAGGGGGTTTCTCCATGTTGGTCAGGCTGGTCTCGAACTCCTGACCTCAGGTGATCGGCCCGCCTCTGCCTCCCAAAGTGCTGGGATTACAGGCATGAGCCACCGTGCCCGGCCAGAGGTAGATTTCTTAACTAGCATATCAGCCTTCAGCATGTCTCTAAGCTTAAAATATAATCAAAGCTAAAGCTGACATTTATGTAAAGTTTATAATGTATGCAGTCACCAGTTTAGAGTCATAGTATAGATGTGGAATTATACTTTTGGTTTGTGGAGGTAATGAGGAAAAAAAAAAACGGTTCCCAGATGAAGCATAACAAATTAAATCTCAGTAGTGTGTGTATATAAGCCATGCATACAAGGAGTTCAAACTACCACTTGCACAGTGGTATGTGGCTCTTTTCCATCTCGTACTCTATGGTCTCATGGCCACGTCGCGGTGTCTGTTCACTTCCATGAAGAGGAGAGGTTCTTGTCCACCAACACCTGTGAACCGTAAGACCAGTGAGTGCCTTTAAACTTGTATTTCAAGTTGTACCCCTCCCCCACTTACCCCATGTCTCATCAGAGCCATACTTTCTAGCCTGAGGTAGATCATTACGTAAAATCCATCCGATGTCACAGGCCATCAGTGGTCTTGGGGAGGGGGTCTCATTTTTGTCTGGGAAGTAGTGTACTTTCCAAGTAGCAATTTATATTTAGGCCTTAAATTGTGTAAAATGACATAATGGAAAACACCTTGGGATAGGATAAGCATTTCAACAGAAACAGAACACCTTCTGTAAACAACATTGTACAATTAGACTATTGTTCTGTACTTAAAAAGGAAAAAAGCAACTTTCTGGCCGGGGGCAGGGTGGTGCATAGAAAACCACCACATTTCAAAAGGTGTATTAAAAAAAAGCCCTCGCTCAGCTCAAATTAGAGAAAGAAATGACAAGAATTCAGAACTGTCAGGCTGCTTCACTTCCTTTTTTGTTTGTTTGTTTAATTTTTTTTTAACCTGTAATTTAGGAAAAAAATAAATTACTCCAGCAAGTGTTCGTGCTACCTCAAGGTATTCTATAGGTAATGTGGAAGCTAGGTACTGCCCAGGACCTCCTGGCTTTGTCTGCCGAAGCTGGCCATCCAATCCCTTGCTCTGGGAGGGAGGGGGATGAGTTTGATGTCTGTAAGAGAACCCCACCCTGTAGGGAGGAGAGAAACAATAACACACATGGAAGAATTAGGTTCTGAGCAATGAGGGGACTGAGAGTAAGTGTAGTTGATATTTAGGAGAATTTCCTCCATTTTTCTGGACAATGGGTTCTTGGTCCTGGAGGGATAAGGAAATACTTGGAGAGGAGAAAAAACCACAGAGAACTTTCCAGCTATGGAGTGAGAGCTAGGTCAGGCCTGGAGACCTGGAATGGGTCATAAAGAGGGGATTGCCCATGAAAGTTGGGGGTACACAGTAGAGACTCTCCTGACTAGAAGAGAAGTGTGTTGGTGGTACCAGTTGGGTTTTTAGAGAATGAGGACATATCCTGGAGGGCTTTGGAAGCCAGACTCTGAGATATTTCAGTGATGATGGAAACAACATATCCCAAGAAGTCTTCCATAGATAACTTCCAGGTCCTCCTTTTGCCTTTGTCCTTTATTCTTAGGAGAGGAAAAAAGAAAGTGGGATAGGTATATTAAGTCCAGTGAGCCTTTATTTTTTAAACAGAATAAATGTGTTTATTTCTCATTTTACAGTATTGGCCCCAAGTCTCAGAGCATTCAGCTCTCTTCTTTATGAGCATAGAGAACTCTGGACTTGTCTCCTTATGGGGTTTAGAATTTTTAGGGTCTTACTGAAGACAGAGATGTCATACCTAGATTGTTTTAGCCTTACCCCTTAGAGCTTTGTTGCACTATCGGTCACAAACTGCTTATTTCTTATTTATTTCACCAGTAGCACAGTTAAAATTAAGAGTGTGTCCATCACAGGTGTACAGAGATGTGCCTGTACTCCATCAATAGAAACATGACACCATCTGTTGGCAATGTAGAAGATGACACCATGAAGATGTGTCATTGAGGGAGAGTCAGGTGTTAAATCCGCGATTACAAAGAGGTCTGACTTTTGGGGTGCTGCTAGCTGATAAAGAATGCTCATTAAGCAAGTTGCTCTCTACAAATTACTCTCACTGCATTTCATAGGCACCTTTTCAAACAGATAAAATGTTTGGGTGTATAAATCTCAGAATGGTAGGAAAAGAACAGACCAGAAATTGTGGCCCTGTGTTGAAGGTGATGGTAAATAAAATAGTTCTTGTCATATACTATGTGGCATAAGTTAGGGAAGGACGAACGCATTTCTCGAAGAGATGTGAGGGGTAGGGGTGGTTGAGAGGGTGAGAGAACACCTTGGTTCTTGCTGCAGTGATCCAGAAATCCAATTCCTGAGTAAAATGCAGTCTTCTTAAACCTCTTGCGTTCACCCCTGATTTTCGTACTCATGAGGCCCATATGTGCATTAAAAAAATAAAACAAAAACGATGACCCAGTGTAGCAGAAAAACTAGCCCATCTCTTTGACAGAGGATTTTCGGTTAATTTATGCAGGCCTCTTTGCACTTCAGCATTTTTTCCACTGGTTGCTAAGCAACTGTTTGAGTTACTGCGCATGCCTTTTTTATGATAACTGTCATTATGATTACTTTTTAATTATACAACTGGGACTGTGGATTAAAACAGCATGTTGTCACTCATGCTTTGCCACTGCCTTCTAGTATTCTCACAAGCTCCTAGAATCACCTTCTGAAATTTTTATGGCAGTGATTTATGATTAATTTTTGATATTTCTGGCTTCACAAAGGAAGTAGAGATGGCATCCTAAGGGGAGTGAGACTTTTGTGAAAAATGACTGTATCACACACCACAAGCTGTTATTGATCTGAGTAGACCAAATCAGATATTAGGATCTTGAACCTAAATTGTGAATCTCTTTGTGCCTTTAACCACATCTGCTTCCAACAGTAAGTGATGTTAAAAGCTCATATGCTTTGTAGCCTGTGTTTGAAAATTACAAAAATGCTAAGCATTTGTTGCTATAGAACCTGCTTTCAAATAAACTTACCATGAATTTGGGGGAGGGTACAGCACTAATCCCAGAAATGTGAAGCATCCACACTTAAGCTTGTGAAACATGTTCTTCTTTCACCCAAATTGCTCTACACACACACAATGGCAGTTAGGCAAGATGAAGGGGTTCCTCTGGCAAGTAATAATAAAGGTATGTGTGGTTTACAGTATGTAAAATACCCTAAAGGAATAAGACCAAGAAAATAGTCAGCCAGTAGGTACGTACGAAGGCTTTTCACTTGAGTTTCCAGAGTATATTCTAACATATTATTTTGAGTTACTTTCTAAATACAATGTGAATTTGAAAACAAAGGAGTATGGAAATACAATGTTTAAATATGTATATTTTTATATATATGTACGTGTATATATATACATATATATTTACCAATTCATTTAAAAATGAAATTTTTAGCTAACAAGGATATTTTAAATATTTCTATCAAAATAAAGAGATATATTTGCTCTGAAAGGGAAATCCACAGTGTATTTCCCATATTGTATGTGTGACAGAAGTGGGGACCAAATTGTATTTTACTGTGATCTTAAAATTATCACAAGGGACATCAATCTCCAATAGAGTTGTGGGATTTTTCCTGACTTAAAAAGCTCCATATCTATATGCGTGGAATATAATTTACTTTGTTGACATGTTCTGAAATAAAAATAAAACCTTTCCTCAGTAATGTTTGATGTGGCTTGTTTTTGTTTGTTTCACCCATCCTACAGTTCAGGGCGACAGCTCAGTGAAGTCTTCATTCAGTTACCTTCAAGGAAAGAATTACCAGAATACTATGAATTAATTAGGAAGCCAGTGGATTTCAAAAAAATAAAGGTAGATATTTTGTTTACCAACTTTATTCTTCAAGTAAATAAAGGAGCAGTGTAAAGTCATTGAAATGGTTGTAGTTGGAGCTGACCGCCACTGATGGGTACCCAGGGCTCGCGACAGGAAAGGTTGGGATGTCCTTGTGCTTTTCCGTGAGTGTTACTTAATCATGTTGAGAGCTCACGTTATATTGCATTTTATTGAAGAGCTTTCAGGCTCCCTGCTCCCCCTGCCCACATTATTGCTCTTCTCATTTCCCATCATATGCTCCTCCTTGGCAAAAGGAATGACAGTGGGAGTGGGAGGGTGGACTTGGTGAATGGCGCCCCCTGGGGTTATGCAGTCCCAGATCCCTGGCAGGGCTTTATGCTGTGAAGACAAAGGGAAAATCAGGCTTTGTTAACTAAGTAATGATCGCTGAATTTTCCTCTCCCTCTTTTTTTCTCCATTTTCTCCAAAATTTCCATCAGGAAAGGATTCGTAATCATAAGTACCGGAGCCTAGGCGACCTGGAGAAGGATGTCATGCTTCTCTGTCACAACGCTCAGACGTTCAACCTGGAGGGATCCCAGGTCTGTCTTGTTAAGTTGTCTAAAAGTTCTTAACTGTAAATGTGCCCGTTGTTCTTTTTAAGTAGAATATTTCATTTTCTACCTCTTGAATCATTGCTACTGGCAGAAGAAAAATAACTAAAAGCCTATGTTCCTTGCTACCTGTGTAAGAAAATAGAGGCTTTGGCATCTGCAGATTACCTTTGTACCACAGCTGTGCTAGCGCCTACTCACACTTCTTTTCAAAGCTTATAGTCTTTTTTTTTTTTTTTTTTTTTTTTTTTCCTTTTTTGAGGCAGAATTTCACTGTCTCCCAGGCTGGAGTGCAGTGGTGCCTTCTCGGCTCATGGCAACCTCCGCCTCCCAGGTTCAAGCCATTCTTCTGCTCTCAGCCTCCCAAGTACCTGGGATTACAGGCACCCACCACCATGCCTGGCTGATTTTTGTATTTGTAGTACAGATGGAGTTTCACCATGTTGGCCAGGCTGGTCTTGAACTCCTGACCTCAGGTGATCCGCCTGCCTCGGCCTCCCAAAGTGTTGGGATTACAGGCATGAGCCACCACACCCGGCCTCAAAGCATATATTTTTTTTTCGAGATGGAGTCTCGCCCAGGCTGGAGTGCAGTGGCATGATCTCGGCTCACTGCAACTTCCACCTCCCTGGTTCAAGGGATTTTCCTGCCTTAGCCTCCTGAGTAGCTGGGATTACAGGCATGCGCCACCACGCCAGGCAAATTTTTGTATTTTTAGTAGAGACGGGGTTTCACCATGTTAGCCAGGCTGGTCTTGAACTCCTGACCTCAGGTGATCTGCCCACCTCAGCCTCCCAAAGTGCTGGGATTACAGGTGTGCACCACTGTGCCAGGCCTCAAAGCTTATATTCTAATTAGAGGAGGGATTCAAGTAAATCATTGAAGGTAATGCTGAAAGGCTGGCAGTACCATTTTTGCTTTTTTGGAGATTGTATATTTGATTACATTTACCTTTATTTTTCTGATTGTACTCTTGGATCAGGAGCTGAAACTACTAGAATTTAAGACAAAACAAACTATAGGAAAAAAAGAAACACTGCCTCTAATTGCTTTTTAATCCTTTTTATCAGCCCAATTGCAATTCTCTTTTTACTCCCCTTCTCCACAGTCAACAATTCTAAGAGTATATAAATGAACTGAATTTATTAAAATAACCAAGGTGAGGGCACTTTCATTTTAATTACACCTCAATTACTGTCACCTTATGTAGGACTTTTTTCCTGTCTGTATCTCTGGCCTGATGCCTTCAGACCCATGAAGAAGAAAGAAAAAGACAAAGATGTACCCCTCAACCAATGCAGTGTCAAGCCACCTTTAAATTCCTTAAGCCTGTTTCCTGATCATACCCTTCTGCCTGCACATCAATTTCAGTCATCAAACAAAGGAATAGAGAAATCTTCAGAATGTGCCTTGAACAGACTTAAACATTTCCAAGTTAATAGTAGTAGTATCTTGACCAAAACAGGAGGTCTTGAAAGCAAGCCTTCTGTTACTCAAGACACTCTCCAAGGAAAAAGTTAAGCTTGAAGCCAGGACATAGAAAGTAGAAGAATCAACAAAGAAGGTTTTGTGAATGACAGACAGTTTGTTTTAGTCTCTGGATAGATATTTGGATTCTTTATGTCAATATGGCATTATTATGATATACATCCAGTCCTTTTTTCTACAACCTTCCTATCTGTTTTCACTCTGACTGTCTCACAACTGAAATAAGGTGTCAAGTGGCCTCTTGACTGGTTTCTCCCCCAGGCCATCTGGACACTAATTTGTCTTTCTCTAGCCACCTTCCTATCCTGTTCATTTACTGCCTCTCTTCCCAACCTTTGAGGTTCCCCTGCACTGTCTAGAATGAATTTCATCTCTGTAGACTGCTTGCTGAGGTCTAAGGTAAGTCTTTAGCTTCATCTGCTACTCCTCAACCTAAACAGCCCATAGTCCATTCGGACTGATACTATGATCACCTGCTTCCCCAGTTACATTTCTTTTACTCTTTAAGATCATTCGAGACTCACATGCAGTTGTAAGATACAGTACAGAGAGATTCTGTGTACCTTTTACTTCTCAAGATGGAAACATCTTGCAAAACATAGGATAATATCTTTTTTTTTTTTTTTTTGAGATGGAGTCTCACTCTGTTGCCCAGGCTGGAATGCAGTGGTGCCATCTCGGCTCGCTGCAAACTCTGCCTCCTGGGTTCAAGCAATTCTTCTGCCTCACCCTCCCAAGTAGCTGGGATTAAGGCATGCACCACCATGCCCGGCTAATTTTTGTATTTTTTTTAGTAGAGATGGGGTTTCACCATGTTGGCCGGGCTGGTCTCGAACTCCTGACCTCGTGATCTACCCACCTCAGCCTCCTAAAGTGCTAGGATTACAGGTGTGAGTACCACACCTGGCCCAAGACAATATCTTAAGCAGAAAATTGACATCAATACAATTCCCAGATGCATCTCTTTTATTCTTGCCTCCTCATCTTTCTCATTTGTTTTCCTTTCTAAAAAGCCCCTCATTTCTCACCGCTGAAGGAATTCTTCTCATCTTTAAGATCCAGCTCAACTCTGATGTCTCTGGAAAATTCTGCCCTGATGGTCCCATCCTCTCTCTCTCTCGCGCGGGTCCTTTGTTCTGTCATACTCATACTCACTGCCTATATTGTTCATTTGGTGCAAACTGCAATTTGCCCAGTCACTTTTTTGAACGAGTAGGTCTTCTTTACAATAAAAGGAATATGTTCCTAAAGAGCAGGGGTTGTTTTATTTTCCTTTAAATTTTTAAAACACTGTGATTAAGAGACATAACAAAATTTATCATAATTTTTCAGTATACAGTTCAGTAGTGTTAAGTATATTCACTTTGATGGGCAACAGATCTTCAGAACTTTTTAATCTTGCGACTCTGAAACTGCGTGCCTACGAACAACTAACTCTCATCTCCTTCCCCCAGCCCCTGGCACCCACCATGGCACTTTCTGTTTCTATGAATTTGCCCATTTTAGATACTTCGTATGAGTAGAATCATAGAGTTACTTGTCTTTTTGTGACTGGCTTATGCACTTATGGACTTAGCGTAACAATCCTCCAGTTACAGGATTTCCTTCCTTTTTAAGACTGAATAATATTCCATTAAATGTATAGACTATAGTTGCTTATCCACTCATTTGTCGATGGACCCTTGGGTTGCTTCCACCTCTTGGCTATTGTGAATAATGCTGCTAGGAACATGGGTGTGCCAATGTCTTTTCAAGACGCCTCTTGTGATTCTTTATATACCCAGAAGTGGGGCTGCTGGATCATATAGTAGTTCTATTTTCAATTTTTTGAGGAAAAGGACCATTTTTGAACTTATATCTTTCAGCACCTACCCAGGGCCATGCTCAGACATGTGTATCCATTAAAAATAGAGTGTTGATTGGATAAGTGTTGGCTGCTACTGATAAACTCAGTAATAAGGAATAGCCCCCACTTGCTAGGGGCACTGCATTTTAAAGAAGATTGCTTTACCACAGTCTTACTACAGCATTTGGTAGAACAATTCAAATAAGAAATGTAGTTTTAAAAAATACCATTTTTGTTGTCCAATATGAGGATATTTTATCTACTATTCTCCTCCAAGCATCCATGCACTTTGAAATAATTTCAACTGCATTTGGACTTTCTGTATGAATGTGTATGTCTGTATTTGGGCTTGGCGTTTTGCTACTGGGTTTTCATGTGGGCATAAAAGCTAACGGTGACATTTCTACTAAAATTCATGTGAATTAAGCTGGTGTATTGCATAAGGAAGAGTTCACTGCCATGGTAACTCAGCTTGCAGTTTTAACAGATGCCCCTTTGACCATTTAGATCTATGAAGACTCCATCGTCTTACAGTCAGTGTTTAAGAGTGCCCGGCAGAAAATTGCCAAAGAGGAAGAGAGTGAGGATGAAAGCAATGAAGAGGAGGAAGAGGAAGATGAAGAAGAGTCAGAGTCCGAGGGTAAGCCCAGACATTCGGGTCCTGTACATCTTTGCCCCTCCTCACCTGCATAGCTGTCTCCACAGATGTTCACAGAAGAGACTTTAGAGTGGGGCAGATCTGGATTGGAGCCCTTATTCCACTTTGTCCTTGCTGGGCAACCGGTGGCCATGTCCTTATCCCTGCTCATGCTCAGTTTTCTCATCTATAAAACTGAGGTCATAAAAATGACCTCCAAGCATGTAAAATGTTTAGCATAGGCTGGGCTCCTAGCAAACACTGTTTTATTTCTTTTATTTATTTATTTTTGAGACAGGGTCTCACTCTGTCACCCAGGCCGGAGTGCAGTGGCATGATCTTAGCTCACTGCAACCTCCACCTCCCAGTAGCTCACTGCAACCTCCACCTCCCAGGTTCAAGTGATTCACCTGCCTCAGCCTCCCGAGTAGCTGGAATTACAGGCGTGTGCCACCACGCCCGGCTAATTTTTATATTTTTAGTAGAGATGGAGTGTCACCATGTTGGCAAGGCTGGTCTCAAACTCCTGGCCTCACGTGATCCACCCGCCTCGGCCTCCCAAAGTGCTGGGATTATAGGCACAAGCCGCCACACCTGACCTGCAAACACTTTCTGAATGTTGCCTTTGAATATTAGCCTACTACACATTTTCTACAACACTGCTGCTAATGCCACCTATCTTCTCTTCTTTACCACGGTGGTTCTCAAACCTGGAGGGCTTGAAGAATATGCCAGTGTTTGATCCAGTAGCCTGTTGTGGGGCCTGAGAATCCGTATTTCTGGCAAATTCCCAGGGGGAACTGATGATGTTGGGCCAAGGACCACACCTTGAGAATCACAGCTTTAGAAAATAATTGTCAAACTGAGTTGGAACTGTGAATTTTGCATAGAATTTTTTTTTTGCCAGGGGAAGAGGGGTGATGACAGGGTACTGTCTTTATTTAAAATGTTGATAGTTTGTTTATCATGGATTTGGGGGGCATTAATTTGGGTTTTTAAAATATTTACCTTTTAGGATATTAGTTGATGACTGGGTTTTGGTGCCCCCTTAAATTTTACACCCAAGGTGCGTGCCTCCATTGTTTGACCCTAGTTCCAGCCGTGACTGATAACCCAAATATTCCAAAGGTTAAGGGTGCTGTCAGAAGTTGAAAATTTCTTCTTAGTGAGGCATGTTGGCTCACAAATATAATCCGAGCACTCTGGGAGGCTGAGGCAGAAGGATAGCTTGAGGCTAGGAGTTCAAGACCAGCCTGGATAACATAGCAAGACCCTATCTCTACAAAAATGTTTGTAAAAAGAAATAGCCAAGTGTGGTGGCACGTGTCTATAGTCCCAGCTACTCAGGAAGCTGAGGCAGGAGGATTGCTTAGTCTAGGTGTTCAAGGCTGCAGTGAGCTATGATCATACCGCTGCCCTCCAGCCTGGGCAACAGAACAAAACTCTATCTAAAAAAAAAATTTTAAATATAATTAATAAATATTTTAAAACATAAAATTTCTTCTTTCCTATGTGTGTCTTCACTGTATACCTCTCAAAGTAAAGTACTAAAACCTATGTTTTACAGTATAAGCCGAGCCCAGTGGCTCATGCCTGTAATCCTAGCACTTTGGGAAGCTGAGGTGGCTGGATCACTTGAAGTCACCAGTTTGAGACAAGCCTGATCAATATATTCATAATAAGTACAAAAATCATGCCACAAAACTGTGTGCTATGTTTTTATAAACAAATTTATGTGTGGAAAAAAAGGTAACGTCTCAAAATATTACATGTATGTAGAGATATAGAATTACACGTTTTTTTACCTTTTCAAATATATTAAAAGTATAGACATGCTTTTAAAAAATTATTAGGTTTCTAATTACATGTTAATACAGATGATTTGGAAAATGTAATGATTTTTGTACTTATTATGAACACTTTCCATGGCAATGAGGGTTTTTCTACAGCAACATATATTAATATGTATAATACATATTAACATTCATTAATGAATGTGAATGTACTGTAACGTGTTAATTATACTCTGTTAATCAGGCTGTTTCCCAATAATGCTGTCCTGAGCATTTTACCCATAGATTATTGAAAAGATGTAAAATGTATGTGATGTATACACATTGCCACAGAGAATGGAGTTTCCATTCTTGCCCTCAACATACATAAGCGACTCTTTCCCAACGTCATTTTCTATTATCTATATTCTAGTTAGTGATTCTGCCTTTTATTTGTTATGAATTTAAACTGTCCCAAATTCATGTAGTTATTCCTTTGTTCTAGCATTTGAATACATCTGCATCATCTATTTTAGCTATATATTTCATTATTTTAGAGCCAGATTTCTAATCTGTTTTCAAAGAGCTGCTCTCTTCCCCCATCCATCAATTTAGTTTAATTTCTCAAGCCTTGGTATATTAATTTTCTATTGCTGCTATAACAAATTACCACAAACTTAGTGACTTTAATACAACACAAACTTATTACCTCTTGTGGGTCACAGGTTCAGCATGAGTCTCCCTGGACTAAGATCAATGTGTCAGCAGCCTGCATTCCTTTCTGGATGCTCTAGATAGGAATCCCATTTCCTTGTTCATCCTGGTTCTCAGCAGAGTTCAATTTCTTGTGTTCGTAGAAACAAAGTTCCCACTTTCTTGCTGGCTGCCAGTGGAAGGCTGTTCCCAACAGTGTTCTTTGGCTCATTGCCTCCCCACCCCTACCCCTTGTTCCAACTTTAAAGCCAGCAATGACAGGTACAGTCCTTCTCATGTTGTGTCTCCATGAATCTCTCTTTTGCGTCTTCCTCTTCCACGTTTAAGGATGCAGATGATTAGACTGGGCCCACCTGGATAATCCACTATAATTTCCCCATCTCAGGGTCAGACAATTAACAGTCTAAAATTCCTTTTGCCATGTAATATAACATATTCAGAGGTTCTTGGATTAGGATATGGACATCTTGTGAGGAGATGATATTCTGTCCACCACACTTGGTAGCTAGAACTTTTCATAGGTGCATATGGTTGTATCATAAAACCTTAGGAAGCTGTTTATAGGGCTCACCTAATGGTCCAGTTTATTAGCCTGCTTGTCCATAGTCTGTCAGGTGGGTTTTTTGGAGAGACATATCCACTGACGCGTGCCTGACAGCATTAGAGTGCGCCACACTCCAAGGCACATTTAGATTACGCTCTCAAGGATACATTTTCTTACCCCTATTGCCTGTCTTCTGCCCATTCATTTCCTATACTCCTGTGTCAGGGAGAGCCCACACCTGTATAAATGGACATATTTCACTTTGTCTTTCCACACTGTTTAGAAATGCCCATTATGACTGGCTTCTTTCATCTATTTCTTTCGACGTCCTACATCTTTCCGTTTTCATTAGTAGGTAGGCCTTTTCATCTCCAGTCTCTTCTTCTTCTCCTAAGTTACTCCACCCAAAGCAAAGGGCCCCACCTTATAGCTTGTCAAGCAGCAGACAGTGGGTATAATAGATAGAAGCCTTGGCTAGGAGTACTATTTTGTGTATTAGGATTTGGAATGGAGGAAAGGCAAATGCTACCACCACACTTGAGTTCATAACAGCACAGCTCTCATCTCTTCTGTTAGCTTATGTTTCTGTGGGAGATTTTAGTTTTGGAAATATTTTGTGGGTCCCTCTACTTCACAAAAGAAGTCTGAAACAAACACTCTCATCTCCTTCTGGAGCTAGGATTCCCTCTATGACAACATCTATTTCTAGATGCCTTGAGACCCACCAAACATGGTAGTCTAGCAAAGCTAGCTTGAATGAGAGACCCACATTTTCAGTGCCTTCATCATCAAATACCAAAAATGGTATTCTGTGGATACCTATCCCAAATAGCTACCATGGAGCAGATTGTCTTTGTTCTTTGGGATATGTACCTATATTTGTGATATTGTACCTTGAACTCTTCCAAGTGTTTCCATTGGTATCCCCAGAATAGTCCTGTGAAGGTGGAAATGGGTGCAGTCTTTCTGAAGGCTAATCTGACAGAGCACTGTTAGAAATTTACCATATGGACATGTCCACCATACCTCCCTCAAATTCTACCAAGATACATTGAAATAGGTTCACAGCAGCTTTGTTTATACTAGCAAAAAAAGCAGCAAACTTCAGCCCTCATCATATGAGACTGATTAAATAAATTATAGTATACCATACGATGGAAAATTTTCAGGTATTTAAAAGAATTAGGCAGGTATGTATGAGGCTTTACCTATAAATATCCCACATATGTGAGTAAACAGCCAAGTGGAGAATATGGACATGTATAAAGATCCCTTTGGGATAACTACATAAAGAATTCAAGTATGTACGTGTGTATATATACTTACTTGAATTCTTTATATTCTATAGAGAGACTTTTATAGAATATGTAGAATCACACACACACACATACACACAGAGAGAGAGAAATGGATGTACTTGCAGGTATGGACATAAACATTTTTTTTCCTGGAAATAATTAGTTATAGGGAAAGAGACTAGGAATGGGGGAAAGGAAGCATTCAAAAGTGTTTTCTTTTTACTTTCCATTTTGTACCTTTATGTTAAAAATATGATTGAACTATTTGAATTTTCTTTTTAAGTCAATGGAGTTATCTACATGGTAAAATTATTGGCCTTTAAACTCTTTACATTTATTTATATTTTTAATGTAAAAGTTCTATTAAATGATTGCCCAACACCTCCACAAGTAGAAAACACTTCCCCTCATTATCCTTGGTCAGCCATTGGGAGACAGGTGAAGGATCCAGCCCCACTGTCCTCCATGAGACCTCGGTCCCTCTTGTTGCCTGTTTAGCGTGACTACATCATTTATCTTCCAAAAGAAGACAGGTTGGCAAGTGAAAGGGGTCGCTGACTAGACAGAACCACACAGAACAGGCATAAACCGGGAATGTTCTGGGCACTCTGGGATGTTTGTGTTGTCTGTAGGTTGGTGATAGTCTTACCACCTATACAAAGATCTCCTTGTGATTACTCACTGGTGTCTATTTCATTTGCTTTGGTTTTAGCAAAATCAGTCAAGGTGAAAATTAAGCTCAATAAAAAAGATGACAAAGGCCGGGACAAAGGGAAAGGCAAGAAAAGGCCAAATCGAGGAAAAGCCAAACCTGTAGTGAGCGATTTTGACAGCGATGAGGAGCAGGATGAACGTGTAAGTGTAGCCGACTGGGACTGAAGGCGGAGACGCCCTCTCCCCTGCTTGCTGGCCTCTTGCATTTCCATGCCCCTTCAGCCTTTTCGCTTTATTACCCAGGACTGGAAATGTCAGGATTTAGTGAGATTTCATTATTGAGGGATGTGAACGGAGCTGTATGATTTAGAACAAAGGATTGGGGGCTTTGTTTATTGCCTTTTTAATAGTCTTCAAAAATGAAAAACTACCAAATCAAGCTTCCCTTTCCCCCTTTTTAATCTTCCCACATGCTTTCTTATAAATATGGTTTTCCCCGTAGCCAGTTAATATTTTACATGCATCACAGCCAGCATGGTGCCTGGTACATAACAGTAGATTAGATGGAAGAATGAGAAAAACTGTTATGACGTCAGAGTTATTGGCTCGAGTTGCTACTTAAGGGACCATGTAAAAACTCAAAGGACTTTTTAAGTACCTAGGGGTGTTATTTTTCATATTTGAAAAATTCAGTGAGCATCTATTGAGCCAGGCCTTGTAATAGGTACCTCCCTGTGTGGTAGCATATTAAATACTGATGTCGGCATCGTGAGATAGATGTCACTCTCAAATAACATGTTATGGAAATGGTTAGGTTATGGGTGTTTTGCTACAGATCACGTCGCAGAGGTGGAATTCGGACCCGAGTAGCATAACTCAGTCTAGTGTGCTATGTCTGACTGGGCAGCAAGGTAGAAGAGTGGGCAGAAGCTCCTAATACCTTGCCTTTTGAAATACCCTTCATTTCATCCATTCACTTTCCAGAGGATGGTTTCCTGGCACCCACATTATTTTCTTTCTGGAAAGATAAATTTCCCTTTTCCTAGTTTGATTTTCCTTCAACACATTACCATTTTGGTAAAATTTCAGAATTATGATCTCACCCCAGCCTTAACCCTTGATGCAAGCATTTTCAAATACATTTTTCTTTAGGAGATGTCAAATGCAGGGTATTTTTTTTTCTCCCATGAATTTTCTAAAACCTGGGGCTGAAAAAGAGAAAATATTAGCCATAAACCTTTCAAGCCAAAGTGAAAGGGCACAAACAATAGCTTAGAGGGTGGGCTTTGCTTTGGGGTTTTTCAGTAAGAAAAACTTCTCAGCTTAGAGACTGTCGATGCCTCTTTAATGTGTTTCTGTCCTCCCACGGAAAGAGATTTGGCGAGTTGTTTCCAAAATGTCATTTTTTCCTACTGGCCTCTTGATGGTTTGTTGTTATATCTTCTTTTTCTTGCATGTGATGTTACTTCATTTTATCTTCTTATTTTTACTTTTAGGAACAGTCAGAAGGAAGTGGGACGGATGATGAGTGATCAGTATGGACCTTTTTCCTTGGTAGAACTGAATTCCTTCCTCCCCTGTCTCATTTCTACCCAGTGAGTTCATTTGTCATATAGGCACTGGGTTGTTTCTATATCATCATCGTCTATAAACTAGCTTTAGGATAGTGCCAGACAAACATATGATATCATGGTGTAAAAAACACACACATACACAAATATTTGTAACATATTGTGACCAAATGGGCCTCAAAGATTCAGATTGAAACAAACAAAAAGCTTTTGATGGAAAATATGTGGGTGGATAGTATATTTCTATGGGTGGGTCTAATTTGGTAACGGTTTGATTGTGCCTGGTTTTATCACCTGTTCAGATGAGAAGATTTTTGTCTTTTGTAGCACTGATAACCAGGAGAAGCCATTAAAAGCCACTGGTTATTTTATTTTTCATCAGGCAATTTTCGAGGTTTTTATTTGTTCGGTATTGTTTTTTTACACTGTGGTACATATAAGCAACTTTAATAGGTGATAAATGTACAGTAGTTAGATTTCACCTGCATATACATTTTTCCATTTTATGCTCTATGATCTGAACAAAAGCTTTTTGAATTGTATAAGATTTATGTCTACTGTAAACATTGCTTAATTTTTTTGCTCTTGATTTAAAAAAAAGTTTTGTTGAAAGCGCTATTGAATATTGCAATCTATATAGTGTATTGGATGGCTTCTTTTGTCACCCTGATCTCCTATGTTACCAATGTGTATCGTCTCCTTCTCCCTAAAGTGTACTTAATCTTTGCTTTCTTTGCACAATGTCTTTGGTTGCAAGTCATAAGCCTGAGGCAAATAAAATTCCAGTAATTTCGAAGAATGTGGTGTTGGTGCTTTCCTAATAAAGAAATAATTTAGCTTGACAAATGCAGCCTCTTTCTTTGAATTCTAGAGGATTGAAACCCTTGTGCCTGAAGTGGCAGTTTCCTGCAGAGGGCTGGGCAGGCTCTTGCTACTGAACACTGGATAGGGAAAAAAAGGGAGAGGTCGAGAGAGCCAGTCTCCTTGAAGTGGTCCAGCTATGTCCACCAGGGGAGCCTGTTGCACCCATGACTTTATTAAACAAACAGCAGAAGAGATGCTGCCATGGGCCAAGCCATATGAAGTCCCTGCTCAGCCTTAAATTCTGTTTCTTAGTTGGAAAATCTCTCTCTATTGCTATTTATGCCTTTTGATTTTGAAAGATTTCAAAAATATTCCATCGAAAGACTGGTTCAATGAACACCTATATACCCTCCACCTGAGATTCAACAATGATTAATAGTTCATCCCCACCCCGTTTTATTTTACCAAACCATTGGAAAATAAGGTGCCGTCAGTCATTACGATACTTCGCACCTAGTATTTCAGCACAAATCTAAGAATAAGCGTATCTTGTAGCCAACCACAGTCCTATATCATACCAAAAGGAATTAACTAACAATAGTTCCCTGATATCTAAGAAACAAGCCATAGTCACATTTTCCCAACTGTCCTAACATCATCTTGTATTTGTTTAGTTTTAGCCAGGATCTTTTCAAGGCTCACACTTTTTGTGTTTGATTGTAACATTTGTCTCAATATCTTTTTTAAAGTTCTCAAAAAAATAGCACAAAGATGGGCAATTTTTTTTTTTTTTTTGAGACGGAGTCTCACACTATTGCCCAGGCTGGAGTGCAGTGGCGCGATCTCAGCTCACTGCAAGCTCTGCCCACCTCCCCCCCACCCGTTTCACGCCACTCTCCTGCCTCAACCTCCCAAGTAGCTGGGACTACAGGTGCCCGCCACCATGCCCGGCTAATTTATTGTATTTTTAGTAGATACAAGGTTTCACTGTTAGCCAGGATGGTCTCGATCTCCTGACCTCGTGATCTGCCTGTCTCGGCCTCCCAAAGTGCTGGGATTACAGGCGTGAGCCACCGTGCCCGGCCGATTCTTTCTTAAGGAACTGGTGATGTGATGATGATAGGATCAAAATGGGAGAGTTTTCCTTCAACACTGCTGGGTTGGTGAAAGCTTCCTTTTTTAGAATGATCTAAGGAGAACTCCAGGATCCTTGCTTTTACATGTGAGGATTTGCCAATGCCGCATACTGCTGTGAATCCTGAAGGAAATTTGATCCACACAGAATACAGTCCTGAGAAACTTCTTTGTCTCTCTAAATGTCAACTCGTTTGTTAATTTCCAGTAGTCTGAGAGTTCAGGAGAAGTTTCCCTTCTCGGTTGGTTTCTCGGATTTGCTAACTGCAATAGGATTGGAGACCTCCATGAAACAGTATACCCATATTAGTTTCTCTTACTGAGATGATTTGGTATCAGTTCAAAGAAAACAATCATCTTTGCTTGCTTCTATTTCTGTATTTTCTGTATTTTTTGTGCTCTTTGCAATCTCTCCTTGGCTTCAGAAGCATTGCTGTTTCTAACGCCCTCAAAACCACTGTCTCCATCGTTCAGGATTTCTATTGTGTGAAGAATGTTCTCTAATCCTTCAAGGAGAATGTGTTATTCTCTTTGGCTATAATGGAAATGAGAGCCAGGGATGATCATTGAGAACAGGAGTCTCTTCTCCTTCGGGTGGGACTGGTGGTAAACAGTCCAGGTGATAATTGAGGTGGCAGCAGAGTGAGCATGCACTAACAAGAAGACGGGCCATCGCGAGGGCTAAGGATGGGGCGGGCCATCCCGAGCATGTGCCTATGCGGACCTGTTTACCACGTTGTGGCAGCCTTCTTGTTCAGCTCTAGTTGCTGAGCCCATCAGCGTAGTTCTTTCCAAGGTCAAAGGTGTTTTAGGAACAGAGGAAGGAATCTAAGAGTATCAGGCTATGTACTGATTGCGTTATTTTATTCAATTACAAGAACGTGAGGAAGGCATAGTTCTTGTTCCCATTTGACAAATAAAGATAATGCAAAGAAGAGATTGAAGAGCAAAGAGCTGTGCACCAAAAGTTGGAAGTTAGATTTGTTTGATTCCAGACCCCATATTCCTTGGAGCTTCCCCACCTCCCCTCAGTGAGTGAGGCCTGGAACTGATCTTGTTGATAAGCTTCAGGCACCCATTTACCTGGCACTTGCTGACACAATTGGGCTTACAGAGAAGTCCTGGCTCAGGTTTCTAGTTCCCGTGAGCCTTTCCACTGAGACCCAGTTTTCTTGGCTGGGCCCTGCTACTCTGGCTCTTCCTTCACAGTCCTCTGCAAGGGCCAGAATGGGGTCCTTAGGTCCCAGCTACTGATGGTTCCTAAAGGCTACTGACTTAGATATCACTACTGCCATCATCCACCCATCAGATATAATGCCATATGTATACGTAGTGACCAAGTTCATGTTTGCCCCACACATTGATAAGACCACGTGTTTTCTGAGAAAGAGGTTTTTACACCCCATCATCTCCATAGGTGCTGGACAGAGTAGGCTTAGCGTGCAATTATATCTTCAAGTCCTCCAGTTCCATATCCAACCAGACTGGAATTCCTAAGCACTTCCCATGTGGAGAGTCTAGAGCCACCACCAGTGCCACCTGAAGGAACAGACGCCTGACTGCCCCCCTATCCAAGCCTGGCCTCTTACTCTAGTGTCAGTCTGCTACGTGGACCCGAGTTGGCACACATCACAGCTGGATCTGCCTGAGTTATGCCACCAGAAACATGATTCTCAGACTATTTTCATAGGTCAGACCCTTAAAATGGGGTGTTTTAAATATGAACCTCTCAATTTCCCATTAGAGATATTATATAGCCAGAATATACTGGAACCAGATGTACTGTAGCAGGAATATAAAGGTTTTAAAAGACCTTTTTCCCTCTAAGGCTGCTTATTTATCTTTAAGTGTAATTATTCAGATGAGAAATTAGGATCATGGCCCTTAATTGGGAGTCAAATGTGTGGGTTATTCTGGATTTTGCCACAGCCTTATTTGAGTTTTGATTTCCTCTATAAAACGTGAAGAATAAGTGAGTCGTCCTGTAATTGCAAGCTGTGTAGTTGAGACATACTGTCGTGTTGTCAAAGGTTTGCAGTATGTTAGAAAAAATTGCTTGTAAATTAAATGTCATTAAAACATCCAGAAAGATTCTCAAAGTCAAGAAATAGACTGGAGATGGCTTTTAAGGGCCCTTCAATCATTGACAGTTTTGAAACCAGTGTTTCTCAGAGTGTGGTCCCCAAACTAGCAGCATCAGCATGACTTGGAAACATTGGAAATGCACATTCTCATGCCTCATCCCAGACCTGCTGAATCAGAAACTCTGAGGGTGGGGCCCCCTAATAGAACATACGCTCCAGATGATTCTGATATATACTCAAGTTTGAGAACCACTAGTCTATTAGGCTTTTAATAATCTCTATTATTTCATTCCTGAGGAACAATATGAGGCCATACTGGTCTTGATTTAGATCATCGGTACAGGCATATACACCCAGCACGCAATTGTCATTCTTCTAAAAAGAAAGTCACCATCAATGGGAATAATAGGAAAAGCTGAATATTTTTTTTTTCTCTCTCTGAAACGGCTTTTCTGTCTCGTACATTACAAGGCAGCAATCTTCATTTGTGCTTGACTTAACCTTCATTGAGAGTGATGTGGTGTAATACTTGGGGGAAATATCTTTGGTTTACTTAGCAGAAAGGTAGAGACATACTCTCCCTTTATGAATAAATGTTTTTCCCACAAGAATTTTAGGAGTCAATCTTATTCTTGAAGAAATGGGCACATCTAATCCTTTTCTTAAAATTTACTAAGAGCCTGCATCAAACTAGATAAAGTACAATTTCTGTTCTTATTTGTATATACTGTCATATAGTGTGTGAATCTGTTTTGCCTGGGGAGGAGTAATGAAAAATGATAGAGCATAGGGTCAGGAATAATGACTGATAGGGCTAGAATCGCTAAACCTTGGTCCAGGTGAACTGTATTCATCCCTGGTGTTGTTTAGGACATTGAGCTTCATAGAAGGAAAGTGACGTGTTCCAAATGCCTGAGCCGCTTTATGCAAGAAGGTGTTTGTGTTCTGCGTCACTTTCCGTAAGGGCTAAGTTGAATAATACAAGGCAACTAAGTCTGGCAACTACAGGGAAGCAAGTTTTCCGTTTCTAAACACTAATTTTGCTATACACAAGAACGAGGCCTCTTTGTGAACCCAAACGCAGTTATGAAGCAAGGCTCACTGTGGGATTATAAACCTCAAAGTGAACAGACTCATAGTCCCTCAAGCAAATACATGTATTTCTTAATTCTCTTGTAAAAATTTTAATTAAATTCCTCTTCTAGGATTATAAAATGGACATGTATCCACCACAACCAGCGAAATAATACAAAGAAAATTAATTTAGCATTCACCTCCCCCACTAGGCAATCAGCTTTAATAGTCTGATGTGGTTACTTCTGCACCTTTCTTCTTGCACACATTAACACATACAAGCATAGAGGCTATCAAATGCCACTTCCCCAGTTATCTCAATACAACCTGAGACTGGTGCAGTGGCTCATGCCTGTAATCCCAGCATTTTGGGACGCCAAGGCAGGTGGATCACTTGAGGTCAAGAGTTAAAGACCAGCCTGGCCAACACGGTGAAACCCCCATCTCTACTAAAAATACAAAAATTAGCCAGGCATGATGGTGCACGCCTGTAATCCCAGCTACTTGAGAGGCTGAGGCATAAGAATTGCTCGAACCCAGGATGCAGAGGTTGCAGTGAGCCAAGATCATACCACTGTACTCCAGCCTTGGGGACACAGCGAGACTCCATCTCAACAAAAAAAACCAACAACATATAACCTGATAATAAGATTAAGTTGAATTTATTGTTTACTGTGGTAAGGGAGGCCACCACCTTGATGGAGTTTGGTAGTTTCTTTGAAGGAGGTCAAGATCAGATTTTATTGAAATTTAAAGTGTGTCAATACAGGGATTTGGCTAGGGCAGGTCATGACACAGTTTAAAAATTGTGGAAATAGCAAGGTGAGAATTTTGACAACAACTTGCCTAAGTAAGAGTCTCCTGGAATAGTAAAATGATAATAAACACAATGGAATAGGAAAGCCATTTTAATGTAGCCAGTAAGCTTTGCGAGGGTAGATGGCTTTAACTCTCAGCTCTACTTTAAGGATGTTTCAAGGTTTTATTCTTTTTTTTTGGCGCTATACTATTCTCTGCAACTTGCCTTTCTCGCTTAACAGTGCATTGAGTATTTTCCTCCAAGTCAACAGATAGAGATTGAACTCATTGTTTTTATTTTTCTCTATTTTAAAGAACACTTTAACTTTTTAATTATAAAATGGATTGTAGAAAAGATGGAAAGTAAGGAAAGTACAAAGAAAAAAATTTACTCATAATATTACCACTCAGAATCATTCATACTACCACTCAGAGAGAAGAGATTGAAAGTAAGAAAAGTACAAAGGAAAAAAATACTCATAATATTACCACTCGGAGAGAATCACTGGCGACTTCCAGTTTTTGGTACAGCTTGTATGGAACTTGGAAGTTATCTGTCACATACAACAAGTACAACCAGAAAAAAGCTGAACGAACTGAAAATTAACAACTCTTGTGAGATTTATCAAAGAACTGAGTTCATAGGGCAAACCACTGCCCCCAAAGCAGAAGAGACAGCCAGGCAGTATATTAGTCCATTCCTGCAGTGCTATGAAGAACTACCTGGAACGGGGTAATTTATAAAGAAAAGGGGTTGAAACTGACTCACAGTTTCACAGGCTGTACAGGAAGCATTTCTGAGGAGGCCTCAGGAAATGTATAATCATGGTGGACAGGGAAGGGGAAACAGGCACATCTTACATGGCAGAAACAGGAGGAAGAGAGCAAAGGGGAAGGTGCTACCTTCCCATACTCTTTTAAACAACCAGATCTTGTGAGAACTCACTATCATGAGAATAGCAAGGGGGAAATCTGCCCCCATGATTCAATCACCCCCTCACCAGGGTTCTCCTTGAAAATTGGGAATTAAAATTTGACATGAGATTTGGGCAGGGAAACAAATCCAAACCATATAAGTCCACCCCCAAGCCCTCCCAAATCTCATGTCCTCCTCACATTGCAAAATATAATCCTCATTTCTCAACAGTCCCCCAAAGTCTTAACTCATTTCAGCATTAACTCAAAAGTCCACAGTCCAAAGTCTCTCTAAGACAAGCAAAACAAAAAACAAGTTACTTACTTAATACTCCCGTTCCAAATAGGAGAAATTGGCCAAAACAAAGGGGTTACAGGACCCATGCAAGTCCAAAACCCAGCAGGATAGTCATTAAATCTTAAAGCTCCAAAATAATTTCCTTTGACTTCATGTCTTACATCCAGGCCACACCAATGCAAGGGATAGGCTCTTAAGGCCTTGGGCAGCCCTACCCCTGTGGCTCTGCAGGGCTCAGCTCCCATGGTTGCTCTCAAGAGCTGCCATTGAGTACCTGTGGCTTTTCCAGGTTCCTGGGGTCTGTAGAACAGTTGCCCTCTTCTCACAGCTCCACTAGGCGGCGCCCCAGTGGGGACTCTAAGTGGGGGTTCCAATCCCACATTTCCCCTCTGCACTGCCCTAGTAGAGGTTGTCCATAAGGGCTCTGCTCCTGCAGCAAACTTCTGCCTGAACATCCAGACATTTTCATATATCCTCTGAAATCTAGGCAGAGGCTCCCAAGCCTCAACTCTTGCCCTCTGTGTACCTGCAGGCTTAACACCACGTGAAAGCCACCAAGGCTTATGGCTTGCACCCTCTGGAGCACCAGCCTGACACGTATCTGGTGCCCTTTTAGCCATGGCTGGAGCTGGAGCCCCTGGGATGTAGGCAGCAGTATCCTGATGTGGGGCAGGGAATCAGGGCCCTGGGCCTGGCCTGTGAAATCGTTCTTCCCTCCTAGGCCTCTTGGCTGCCACAAAGGTCTCTGAAATGCCTTCAAGACATTTTCTCCATTGTCTTGGCTATTAACACTCATCTCCTCTTTACTTATGCAAATTTCTGCAGCTGGTTTGAATTCCTCCCCAGAAAATGGGTTTTTCTTTTCTACTACACGGTCCCGCTGCAACTTTTCTAAACTTTTATGCTCTGCTTCCCTTTTAAATATAAGTTCCAGTTTCAGATCATCTCTTTGTGTACACATATGCACATATGCTGTCAGAAGCAGCCAAGGCACTTCTTGAATGCCTTGCTGCTTAGAAATGTCTTCTGCCAGATACCCTAAATCATCTCTCTCAAGTTCAAAGTTCCACAGATCCCCAGATCAGGGGCCCAAGCCACTAGTCTTTTTGCTACAGTGTGGCAAGAGTGACCTTTACTTCAGTTCCCAATGTGTTCCTCAGAGGCTTCATTTGAGACCACCTCAGCCTGGACTTTATTTTTTTTATTTTTATTTTTATTTTTTATTTTTGAGAGCGAGTCATGCTCTGTCACCCAAGCTGGAGTGCAGTGGCGCGATCTTGGCTCACTGCAACCTCCGCCTCCTGGGTTCAAGTTATTCTCCTGTCTCGCCCTCCTGAGTAGCTGGGACTACAGGTGCGTGCCACCACACCTGGCTGATTTTTTTTATTTTTAGTAAAGACGGGGTTTCACCATGTTAGCCAGGATGGTCTCGATCTCCTGACCTCGTGATCTGCCCGCCTTGGCCTCCCAAAGTGCTGGGATTACAGGCGTGAGCCACTGTGCCTGGCAGCCTGGACTTTGTTGTCCATATCGCTATTAGCATTTTTGTTACAAAAATTTAACAAGTCTCTAGGAAGTTCCATACTTTTCTTCATCTTCCTGTCTTCTGAGCCCTCCAAGCTGTTCCAACATCTGCCCATTACCCAGTTCCAAGGTCACTTCCACATTTTCATGTATCTTTATAGCAATACCCCACTCTCTGTACCAATTTTCTGTATTAGTTTGTTCTCACACTGCTATTGAGAACTATCTAAGACTGGGTTATTTATAAAGAAAAGGGGTTTAATTGGCTCATGATTCCACAGGCTGCACAGGAAGCATGGCTGAGGAAGCCTCAGGAAACAATTATGGCAGATGGTGAAGGGGAAGCAGGCATGTCTCACATGGCAGAAGCAGGAGAAAGAGAGCCAGTGGGGTGGTGCTACACACTTTTAAACATCCAAATCTTGTGAGAACTCACTCACTATCACGAGAACTGCAAGGAGGAAATCCACCCCCAAGATCAAGCCACCTCCCACCAGGCCCCTCCTCCAACATTGGGGATTACAATTTGATGTGAGATTTGGACACAAACCCAAACCATATCAGGTGGATACCGAGAATCATGACCTACAGGAGTGGAAGTCCAAGAGTAGCAAACTCACCAGTACCAGAGGAAGAAAACTTAATCTATAACTAATGAATTGCTGGAGGTTCAGTGTGGACAGTTCGAGAGTAAAAAACTCCAGGGGACCCAGTCTTAAGGGGCCCACCCTTTGTGAATTTTACCCCCAGGAGCCTTATTAGATTCTCACAGGAGATTAGAACAGTATCACTTTGTATTTCCAGCAGTGGGAAGGGAAAAGCAAACATTTAAACATACACCAGAATATTCTGTTCTTCTTAATAGGCCTGCCTTCAAGAGAAACTGTTGTACCAGAGCCTAACTCATGTGGAAGAAGGGAAGTCCCAACTAGAGTATTCTCTAGCCTTCCTGTGTCTCTTACGGGGGCAAAATGAAAAAGCAAAACAGAAGCACTCATGAAGGTCACAACCCAGGTGCACAGGCTCACTAAGAGACTCAGACCTAATTGTAAGACGATCAACTGCTTTTTCTCCTCCTAATACCTCATCACCACATCAATAGGGCTTCTGTATAATAACAGGGCAATACAATGGAAAGGACTATACATAGCAGGTGATATTTTTAAAATCTCTAAGGAAACTCAAAAGCAACAAGAAAGACAAAAACAAGGACACCAGAGGAAAGTTTAGCTTCAGATACTTATAGCTACAGCAAACAGTAAAAACAGCCTAACCCCTAGCCAGATAAACATAAAACCTCACACTAAGGCCTATTTATCTCAGTTCTTTCTACCCTGTACATCCTGTGTGGCTTGAAACAAAAAATTACACTAAAATTTTTTTTTTTTAAAACATTTTGAAGAGACAGAGCAAGCATCAGAACCAGACTCAGATATGGCAGAGATGTTAAATTATCGCCATAAATTTAAAAGAACATAAATTTATAATTAATATGCTAAGTGTTCTAATGAAAGAACAAATGGGTAATGTAAACAGGTAAATGAAGACTCTAAGAATCAAAAGGAAATGCTAGAAATCAAAATTACTGTAACAAAAATAAAGAATGTCTCTGCTGAGCTCATTAGTAGACTGGACACAGCCAAGGAAAGAATTAGTGAGCTTAAAAGAAATGTCCATAGGAACTCCCAAAACTGAAATCCAAAAAACAAAAAAAACAAAAAAAACCTCCAAAAACCAATAAAACAGAACAGAACAACCAAGAACAGTAGCACAAGTATAAAAGGGACAACATATGCATAATGGAAATACCAGGAGAAAGAAAGAGAAAAAGGAACAGAATATGTGAAGCACTAGTGTCTGAGAGTTTCCCATACTAAAGATAAGTACCAAACTACAGATGCACAAAGCTCAGAGAACACCAAGCAAGATAAATGCCAAAAAAAATCTACATCTAGGCATATCATAATCAAACTGCAGAAAATCAAAGAAATAGAAAAAATATTGAAAGAAGCCAAAGGGGGGAAATGCCTTGCCTGTAGAGCAGCAAGTGTAAGAATCACATTAGACTTCTCTTCAGAAACCATGCAAGCAAGAAGAGAGTGGAATAAAACACTTAGTGTTGAAAGAATCACCAGCCAAGAATTCTGTACCCAGAGAAGTTATCCTTCCAAAATGAAGGAGAAATAAAAACTTTCTCAAATAAAAATTGAGGGAATTTATCAGCAGTAAATCTGCCTTGCAAGAAATGTTAAAAGTTTCCTTTAGAAAGCAGGAAAATGCTATAGGTCAAAAACTTGGATCTAGGTAAAGAAAGGAAGTATCAGAGAAGAAATACAGTAAAATAAAACCGTTTATTTCTCTTATTCCTAAGAGACAGGCAACAGTTTGTTCAAAATAATAATAGCAATAATGTATTCCACGATTACAGCTTATGGATAAATGAAATGAATGACAACAATGTTATAAGGGATGGACAGTGGCAGATGGGAGCACTTTATTATAAGGTACTTAAACTGCCCGTGTAGTTGCCTAGTATTATTTGAAAGTGAAGTTGGAAAAGCTGTAAAAGTATATTGAAAATTCTAGAGCAACCACTAAAAAAGTAATAATAAAAAACATATAATTCACATGCTAAGAGAGGAGAAAAGATAGAATCATACAAAATACTCAAAACCAGAGGAGGCAGAAAATTGGAAGACAAAAAAAGAAAAAACAAGAGCAACAACTGGAAAATAGTAACAAATATGGTAGGTATTAATCCACCTGTATCAATAATCACTGAAACATCATTTTTATTTATTTATTTAATTTTTTGAGACAGGGTCTCACTCTGTCACCCAGGTTGGGGTAAAGCGGTGCGATCATGGCTCACTGTAGCCTCGACCTCCTGGACTCAAGTGATCCTCCCACCTCAGCCTCCTGAGTAGCTAGGACTACAGGCGTATGCCACCATACTGAGCTAATTTTTAAAACCTTTTGTGGAGACAAAGTCTCATTTTGTTTCCCAGGCTGGTCTCGAATTGTTGGGCTCAAGCAATCCACCGGCCTCAGCCTCCCAAAGTGCTAGGATTACAGGGATGAGCCACTGCACTGACCTAAAACATTACTTTAAATATACAAACTTAAAAGACACAAACTGTCAAAGTATACCAAAAAACAGGACTCAGCTCTGTGTTGACTATAAGAAACTCACCTTAAATATAAAGACATACACAGATTAAAAGCAAAAGGATGGTGAATGATCTACCAAGCTAACATTAATCAAAAGAAAGCTGGAGTAGCTCTATTAATATCAGACAAACCAGACTTCAGAACAAAGAAAATTATCAGGGATAAAGAGGTGCATTACATAATGCAAAAAGAATTAATTCTCCAGAAAGAATCACTCTTTAATATTTATTTCATTTCCATTTTCTCCTGGTTATGTACCTTTGCCCCAGGTTAAGATATAATTCCCAAACAATAAAATTTGTTTATTGTAAAAGTAGAGTTATGGTACTTGTGTACAGTAACATAAGATACAGAGCATTTCAACACCCTAAAAGGTAGACTCATCCCCTTTGCAGTCAGTCTCTTACCCTCACCCCCAACCTCAGGTAACTACTGATCTGCTTTCTGTCACTATACTATTGCTTTTTCTAGGATCTCATATAAATGGAATCACACATTATGTAGTCTTTTGTGTCTGATTTCTTTCAATTAACATAAAGTTTTTGAAATTCATTTATGTTACGGTATTTTTGTACCTTTTCTAAATGTTGTTTCCAGCTCTTGGCTATTAAAAATAAGGCTGCTGTGAACATTGACACACAAATCTTTGTGTGAACATGTTTTCAATCCTCTTAGGCAAATACTGAGAAATGAGATTGCTATATATGGTAAGGATTTAGCCTTATACGATGATAGCAACTGAATATCTGTATGAGAATAAAAATGAACCTCAACCTTTACTTACCTCATACCATGCACAAAAGCTAACTCAAAATGAATAAAAATGGATCATAAAATTAAGAGATAAAAGGTTACATTTCCAGAAAAAAAAAGAAAATTTTTGTGGTATTGAATTAGATAAAGATTTCTTAAGCAGGACACAAAAACATGAAGCAATAAAGAAAATGTTGATAAAATGCACTTCTTCAAAATTAAAAACCTTTGCTCTTTGAAGCAGATGGTTAAGAAAATGACAAGGCAAGCCACAGACTAGGAAAAAACATTCACAGCATATATCTGAAAAAGAGCTTGTCCCTTGAATTTTTATATGTAAAGATCTCTTACAATTCAACAAACAAACAAGCTACGCAATAAAACCATGGGCAAAAGATTTGAACAGATACTTCACAAAGGAAGATGTATGAATGGCCAATAAGCACATGTAAAGAAGTTCAACATCTCTCATCAGAGAAAAGCAAAATAAAGCCACAATGAAATACCACTACATACCTACTAGAATGGCTACAGGTAAAAAGATTGACAGTAGGGAGCATTAACAAGAATGGAGCAACTGGAATTTATACATTGGGCAAAAGGGTATAATCACTTTGAAACTCATTCTTTTTAATAGCTGTATGATATTCCAGTGTGTAAGTGTGTCATGTTTAGATAACCTTTGCTCTTCTAACAGAGATGTGGGGTGACATCAGTTGGGGTTCTTCTCCTCCATTATAAATAATTCTCACAAATAAGTGAAACCCATTCTTGCTACAATTTTTGTCTCTAGTTTTTAAAACAATAAGCCAATTTTCTTTCTTTCTTTTTTTTTTTTTTTTTTTTTTTTTTTTGAGGCAGAGTCTCACTGTGTTGCCCAGGCTGGAGTTCAGTGTCAGGATCTTGGTTCACTGCAACCTCCACCTCCTGGGTACAAGTGATTCTCATGCCACAGCCTCCCGAGTAGCTGGGTTTACAGGCATGTACCACTATGCCTGGCTAAATTTTGTATTTTTAGTAGAGTCAGGGTTTCACCATGTTGGCCAGGCTGGTCTCAAACTCCTGGCCTCAAGTGATCCGCCTGCCTCAGCCTCCCAAAGTGTTGGGATTACAGCCATAAGCCACCCCATCTGGCCCCGGTTTACCTTTATATCATTGCTGGAAACATTGTATTTCCAATTACAGTGGATTAAAATAAAAAAAAAAAACTAACAATGACTGCCTTTTTTCCTCAATCATGTTTATGCTTAGCTAAAGCTTCCAGATACTTATTTTCTTAAAAAGTCCATCTTCCTCTTCTTTTAAAGACGACCTGCAAAATTACGTTCCTTGTCTTCTTTTCCTTTAAGCCTCTTATTTGGTGAAGGAGATGCTGAGTTTTCTCTCAGCTGCTTCTGCTCCTTAATTTAGTTGCACATAGAAAGGGTTTCTTCAGAAAGCAAACAACCCATATTTTCCCTAGCATTCAACTTTGTAAAATGGTCAGTGTGCTTCTGGAAAGCAAAGTTTTCAAATAGCAGGGCCTTGAGTCTAGTTCCTTGCCAGCTCCCTGAGCTGACAGGAAGAATCTCAAGAAAAAGTACAAGCTTTTTCTTCACCCCTAGGCTTCTGGAGAAATTTCCTCAGGCTGGTAGCTCTTGGGAAAACTGGCCCATAAAGGTGATACCAGTTTAAATTACCTCTCTGTGGTGAGGAGACTAGTTTGCTGTTTGCTAAGGTTTAATAGAAATATCATTATTTCACTCATTTTGAGTAGGTTTGGCATGTGGAATATTTGGAGTGTGACTGCTAGTGAATGTGTCTCTGGAGAGGGACAGCCTGATAGTAATAATGTACATTTAAAAAGTCCAGATAATTTATACTCATTATAACATTTTTAAGCTGTTTGATTTGGAAATGTAGGCTCTATTTAAGAGCATTCAATATTACAGATTCAAGCATGAGCGCCATATATAAATAACTAATGCTTCCAGGAAAGGACCACACTAATGGACTGTCAGAAAACACAATGCAGTTTCTTTGTCCTACAAGAGTATTAGAAAGGGATTGCACTATATTTGCACGCCACGATGCATTCCAGGTGTGTAATTCTGAACACACTTTCATCAGTGGGCATTTGAATCATCCAACCTAGCAGAATTTTTTTTTTTTTTTTTTTTTGGAACAGAGTCTTGCTCTGTCGCCCAGGCTGGAGTGCAATGGCATGATCTCGGCTCACTGCAACCTCTGCTTCCTGGGTTCAAGCAATTCTCGTGCCTCAGCCTCCAAGTAACGGGATTACAGGCATGCGCCACCACATGGGCTAATTCTTATATTTTTAGTAGAGATGGGATTTCACCATGTTGCCCAGACTGGTCTTGAACTCCTGACCTCAGGTGATCCATCCACCTCGGCTTCTCAAAGTACGGGGATTACAGGCGTGAGCCACTACGCCCGACCAACCTAGCAGAATTTCTACAGACTTACTGGAAACATCACTGGGAGTCCAAGTTTTTAATAAATACCAAAATAGGGACAGTTTCCCTAAGGTCGAATACCAGTTTCCACTGCTTTCAAAGTCTATTCCCAACTTTCAGCCTGTTTATCTCCTTTAATGATCTTCTTTTTAAAAATATATTGAAGGTACCTGATGCCATGTCCTTTGCTCAAAACTGCGGAAACGACCAAGGCTAGTAAACTCAGTACCTGCATCTCCTGTGTAGAATCACAAAAACCCTTACCTGCCCATTCCAATACACTCCTCTCCAAAGCCAAAGCCAACTTTTTTTTTTTTTTTTGGAGACAGGGTCTCTGTCACCCAGAGTGGAGTGTAGTGGCGCTATCACAGCCCACTGCAATCGTGACCTCCCTGGGCCAAAAAGGTGATCCTCACATCTCAGCCTCCCATGTAGGGGGACTACAGGAGTATGCCACCACTCTTGGCCAATATTTTTTTGTATTTTTTAGAGAATGGGGTCTCACTATGTTGCCCAGGTTGGTCTTGAACTCCTAAGCTCAAGCAATCTGCCTGCCTTGACCTCCCAAAGTGCTGGGATTACAGGCATGAGCCACCGTGCCTGGTCTCAACATTCTTATTAAAAGGAAAATCTGATGTGGTAACTAACTAGCTTAAGACCCCTGCAGTGGTGTCTCATTACCCAATGAGTACCAAAGTCTTTTACCTGCTTTATAAAGCTGAGCAAGTGTAAACCACAGCATCTGGCCTTGGTTACAGAACGGATGATAATCACAACTTGGATTTGGTTCAAAGTTGTTTCACCTCTGTTAACTTCCAAGCAACCAAGCAAGCAGTATATAAAGGTTGTAGACCAGATAAGGATACTAGTACATCAGCACCCCAGGCAAAGATACCAGCATGTGACACACTACTCTGCAGCCTCCCGTCAGCAGCTTACAGAGGGATATTTATAGTCAGCACAGCCCATACAGAATGAGAAGCCCACTGGGTCAGAGCAGCTCCGTCCCCAAAAGACCTTATACGATGTGAGAACTGGAGATATTCCATATAAGCCAATATAAATACACTAAATCCATATATTTTTACATCTTTGAAAGACATCAATGCCTTTCAATCTATGATGTCATAATTTTAATTGGCAACAATTTTCCTTTCTTAATAATAAATAAAATAAAAACACATTTACAATTTATGGTACCTTAGATTGTGGCTTTCTTTTCCTTTTTAAACACAGATTTTATGTAGCATAATATATGCACTTTCCTGCACCTTACTTTTTTCACATAATTTACCTTATCAAACATTCATATCAGTGCACAAAGAGCTGCCTCATTCTTCCTAACCACTGCATGTATTTCATCATATTGACACTTCCACATTGATGGGACAGTCTGGTCATTTGTAGTATGTGTTTATTTATTGCTGCTGAAAAGGATGAGTGCTATAAGGAACTGAGAGCCAAGTGCAATGGGGACACAGAGACCAGGGGTAAGGACTTGAAGGTTTTGTTGTAGATGTAAAATCAGAATTGAGACTGGAAGGAGGGGGAGACATGAGACAGGACAAACTGTTCTTGAAATTTTCATCTTGGTAGGCCATCAGAAAGTAACTCACCATCTGCCTTTGAAAAAGTGGGCTTAGAATGTGCAGCTTTCAAACAATTCACATGAAATGTCTGCCCAAAGCTTCTCTTATCTGCTCAAAGCCCATTCAGCAATCATGGAAGAGTCATTCTTATCTCACTGTCTTCAGAGGGTATTAGAAATAGTCATTACTCATTTCCTTCATCAGGCTGACAAAGGACACGTGGAAATGGATCTGAAAGGGGAAATAGTGAAGGACTTTATTTGATGATGACGATGATGATGATTTCAACAAGACTGAGAAACTTGCAGTGGGCTCTTGGAGAGAAGTGAAAGCATGAGGGCTGAAGGATGAAGGTTGGGGTAAAATAAACTGAGAAAGTGAAAAAAGTTAAATCAAAGTGGCCCCAGCCTGAAGAAACTCCAGCCATCCTGTTCTTGTGCATTCAGATTCAGGAAGAGCAGCATTTTAAAACACCACCAAAACAGCAGCAGAGTAAAGGCTAGCTAATTCCTTAACTTGGCCCCATCTTCCCACTCTAGTTCCCCTTGGATTGTGACAAAAATGGCAATACACACACACACACACTTATTTGAGTCTATGCAATAGATTTATGAGGTAGACACTATTATTATTTCTCTTCTACAGACAAGAAAATGGAGGCTTAGAGAACTGAAGTCACTTGCCCAGGGTCACTCAGCTAGCAAATAATTGAGCTGGGATACAACTCCAGGAAGACCAGCTCCAGAGTCCTTGCTCCTAACTAGTACTTCAATTAGAACTACAAGCTGCCCCTAAGGGTTTTCTGTACTAGACTATACACTCCTTTGAAGACACAGATTATGTTACTCATGTTTGGGTGAAACTTCCCCCTTCACCCAGCTAAGAAATATGCACTGAATAAATATATTAATTGAATATACAGAATGTCAACGCCAGTCCAGCATCTTCCTGCTGGATTATTCCATCCAGTCTCAGTGTGTATAATCTGGCATCCCTTCATTGTATGAGACATACTCCAGTCAGTGTTTGTCTAAAACACCAATCTGATCTGACTTGTCATCCTGCTTAGATCATTTTGAGGGTTTTTTTTTCCTTGCTCTCAAAATATAGATCTTTAGAGCATGACCTACAAAGTCTTGTAAGGCTTGTTGTTCTCTGCCTTACAAAATAGACTGTAGACTAGCACTCGGCAATGGAAATACAATACATGGAATTTTGAATTTTCTAGTAGACAGATTTTAAAAAATAAAAAGAAACAGATGAAATGAATTTCAATTATATATTTTACTTAACCCAATACATTCAAAATATAATTTCAGCATGTAATCAATATAAAAAATATTATTGAGATAGTTTACATTTTGTTCGTACAAAATCTTTGAAAACCCGTATGTATTTCACATGTGGCACACGTCTCAGTGTGGAGAATCAACATTTCAGGTATTTAATGGCCCATGTACCTACCATATTGAATAGCACAGCTGTAAGCCTAGGGGTTCTCAAACTTCAGCTGCATCAGAATCACCAGGAGGGCTGATTAAATCACAGATTGCAGGGCCATCCACAGCATTTTTGATTCATTAGGTGTGAGGTGGACACTGAGGATTTGCATTTCTGAGAAGCTCACAGGTGATGCTGATGCTGGTCTCTGAACCACACTTGAAGAATCATTGCTCTAGATCAGATATTATCAACTAGTAGCCACAGGTTGGATCCAGCTGGCAGACCATGTTATTGGACCACACTATGTTTAAAACATTTCCTAATAACTAACATTTAAAAATTGGCCAATTTCTCATAAAAATCCAGACTCCAAGTTTCTGTTGGAAAATTTATAAATATAATAATATAGGGCTATCCTTCTGCCTGGCAGTAACCAGCAGGAGCTAACTTGCAGGTGCCTTTTTTTTTTTTTTTTTTTTTTGAGACGGAGTCTGGCTCTGTCGCCCAGGCTGGAGTGCGGTGGCGCGATCTCGGCTCCCTGCAAGCTCCGCCTCCCGGGTTCACGCCATTCTCCTGCCTCAGCCTCCCAAGTAGCTGGGACTACAGGCGCCCGCCACTACGCCCGGCTAATTTTTTGTATTTTTAGTAGAGACAGGGTTTCACACTGTTAGCCATGATGGTCTCGATCTCCTGACCTCGTGATCCGCCCGCCTCGGCCTCCCAAAGTGCTGGGATTACTACAGGTGTGTGTGAGCCACCGCGCCCGGCGCAGGTGCCCTTTCTTGAAAGGTCATGAAAGCTCACTTTACTTATTCACATTACTGAGACCCCTGTTGTAATTGGGCTTCCATTCCAAACCCTAGACCTTCTTGGGCTCCTTTCACTTCCTAAACACATCAAGCTCTCTCTCTTGCCTCTGGGACTTTGCACATGTGGTTTTCTCTATCCTGGCTAACTCACTTAGCCCTCTGGCTTCAGAACAGATACCACTCTCCAGAAAGCCTTCCCTGCTGTCTTCATGATTGAGTGTAAATGCTTCTTCCGTGCGTTTCCACAGAAGCCCTGTGTTTTTCCCATCAAAGCCATTACACCTTACTATAATGTCTCAGTGGCTTACCTGCCCTCCCCATCATTCTGAGTTTTGCCATCATTACGAGTTTTCTGAAGGAAGGGAACCACTTCTTTCTTATTCACCACTGTATATTCATAATACCTAGTCCAGTAACAGACTGGCACATGGCAGGTGTTTAATAAATAATTATTGACCAAATGGATGAAGATATAAAACAGCTAGAAGAGGTCTTTAAATGTTACTGCCCAACCTTTGACTTTCTCCTAGGTGGCTGCAATGGAATCTCAGTTTTAATCCTAATTCTAGAAGCAACAATAACAAAAAGCAAATTGCAAATTTTAATTAACTTACTCTTAAAACTGAAGCTCAAGAAGAAAAATGAATTTAAACTCCTTAATTATTTAAAATATTCCACAAGTTTGAGCTTGAGCTTTATTTCACCCTGCTTAGATTTACTTAAAGCCAGAAATAAAGAAATGAAGTACAATACTATTACATGATCAAGTTGCAGACTCCTCCTGCATATTGGCTGTACTGCACCATCATCTTACCAGTTTAAAATTAACAGAAAATTCTTTCCTCAGAATAGAAGAGTCAATATTATTTTAGAGACCCTTGGAAAAAGTTTAGAGGGGCAGGGGAGATGAAATAAGGGAAAGAAATTGAGATTCTATGTCCACACTAACATAGTCAGTGTACTAAGCACTTAGGGAATCGGGAAGATATGAAAGAAATTTTCCTCTTAAGGAGCTCATTGTCTACTAGAGGTGATAAGACATGGACCCAAGTAAATGTAATATAAGATGGGAAGAGGCAAGTATTATGTGATAGGTGAAGAATGTCTTATGGGAATTCAGAGAGAAAAGGCTCTTCCTGCCTGGGGAGAGAGTTGGAAATTTTGCCTGCTGTATGTCACATCTGACCTGGTCTTGCAATAAAATTTAAAATATACACGTCCTTCAGGAAATTAAATTTCTTGTCAAGTACATTCAAAAATATTTTTTTCAAAATGTAAAGTATATAAGAAAGTAGGTTAGCTTAAGAAAAAGGAGCACTGTACAGAGGCCCTGGGAAGTGAGATTTTTAGACCCAGATCTTTCTGGGCCTGAGTTTTCTCATCTGTAAGCTGAGCTGATAATAAATTATCTCTAAAGTCCTTTCTGATGCTGTCATTCAATGAGTGTCTATATTCTATTTTTTATGCTGATTAGACTTTTGTAGTTAAATGCAATTAGTTTTGCTATGTGCTTCATCATAAATCCAGGTTTTTGGAATCCTTCATTATGCAGAGGCAGTCATGTCTTATTGCTTAGGAGAAAAATGAATTGTCAACTTTATACTGAAGAAAATGATTAGAGATTATGTGTCTGGAGGGGAAAAGCAATTCTTATTCAAAAGTTAAATAATAACTTCAGATCTTGCAAAAATATTGAATGTTTGGAGTCAGGTAATTAAAGAAAAAAGATTGCATGTGTGTAAGTTCCCAGATGCAATGGAAATAGGCAAAGCATATGTCATTAAATACACGGTACTTTATTAGTCTTGACTAGGTAAGCGGAGCAAAGGAAGAAAGAACTTGCTGATATATTTTGTCCAATTTATTAACTCCTGGAAAACGGCACTCAGTCTATTGCAAGAAAAGCCTTTGCTGATGAGCATGACCAGAATTTGCATACTTTCTTGTTTACATAACACTTATTCTTTACTAGTGGGCATATTTGCTTATAAGCTGTTAAGCAGGGTATTGGAAGGCCTCTATGGAACTTCACTTATCAGTGATATTTTGCTTAACCTAACTACATGCCAGGTATGTAGTTCAGTGACACTTAAGGACAAAGGTGGAGTCACTCCCCAAACTTAACATCAAAACAACTCTCTAAGAAGCAAGCCTGTGGACATAAGAAACCTCAAATTGATTTGTTATTTTGAAAAGTCACTTGCTTCACTGAAATTTGGGAACACAGGGAAGATTCCCCAACTATGGGATGCCTAAAGCAATACTGACGCAGCATCTTTCCTTTGGAGCCACAGTAAAAATACAGTCTTCTGTCTGATCCATGGAATGAAAACAACTCAAAGGCAAGAGGAAGTATACACAGCTCAGGGCACACCCAGGGGCCTGGGCTCCCTGTTCTTCCCAGCTCAGGCACTAGTTTAGCTGCTTCACAATGGGTTTGGCAGTTGAAGCACCATGGCCAACAGGGTCCAGGGACAGGGAGAAACAGGACCGACATAGTGAGAAACAGGACTGAGATAGGGAGAAACAGAACCGGGACACTGAGGGGCATGAGTATCTGGAGCTGATCTTAGATGAGTCTCCCCCACAAGAAAAGAAAAGAGAGCTAAGGTGGAAAACAGGAGGAGATAGCGGGCCAGGGAGGTTACTCAAGGTCACGATGACTGAGCAAACTCAAATCCACAGTCATGCCTTCTTACACAGTTTACTGGATAAAGTTGGGCAGGAATTTTGTTATATTTGGGAGGGAGAGTGGCACAGCAAGATTTGGACTGTGCAGATCTGGATTGAATGCCATGAACTGTGTGAGTTAATAAGGTGATTTCCATAAAGCGCCTGGCATGTAGATGACCCTCAACAAGTGGTGGTTTTCTTCTTTCGCCCCGTCAGCCCCATCTATCTGTGTAATGGCAAACCTTACTCATAAGTATTTTCCATTTTCACTACAAGGTTTGAGAATTATCTTTCTTGACAATATACAAGCACATGGAAAAGACAGTCGATGTTTACTAGAGAGTGATATATTATTTTTAGGCTTTTCACCTACTTTTTACTAAATGACGGTAATACTTGCTAACTTTATTGTGCTAAGCACAGGTTACGTGCTGTGCTAGAAATAATCCTCAAAATGAGTCTGCAAGGCTGAATATTATGATTCCTGTTTTACAAATGAGGATAGCAGGCATGGAGGGTTAAACAACTTGTCCAAGGTCACTCAGTAAGTGGCAGTGCCAGGATTCAAGTAGACAGTGTGGTGCCAGAGCCCCTCCTTGTTTTTAATCCCTCTGTAAGGCTGCCTCCCAATGCGCACATGTCATTCTTTATTAAGTGCATAGCATCCAGATCTAAGACAATCAGACTAGAATCAACAGAAACACGAAACGTCTGACTGATTCATTATCAACCTTAGAGACAAAATTTATCCTTGGGAAAGAGGATTTCAGAGCGATTACAAATCTTTAACAGTACAATAAATTAATTGACCTATAGCTGCCAGCATCTCCCTTCTTCCTGCATATTGCTAAGTGTCCACAATTGAGCTTCAAGGGAAGCCAGAATTTAGTAAACCACTTTACCCTACAAAATATCATCAATTCACCCCACAAAAGTTATTTAACTTCTAATATGAACAGAGTACACTTGACCCTTGAACAATGCAAGGCTTAGGGGTGCCAACCCCCACACAGTTGAAAATCCATATATAGCTTTTGACTCTCCAAAAACTTTGCTTATAGCCTACTGTTGATTGAAGCTTTAGTAGTAACAAAAATAGTCGATTAATACATATATTTTATGTTATATTTGTTATATACTCTATTCTTACAATGAAGTAAGCCAGAGAAAAAAAAATGTTACTAAGAAAATCATGTGGCCAGGCACGGTGACTCATTCCTGTAATCCTAGCACTTTGGGAGACCGAGGCAGGTGGATCACCTGAAGTCAGGAGTTTGAGACCAGCCTGGCCAACATGGTGAAACCCCATCTCTACCTAAAATACAAAAATTAGCCAGGTGTGGTGACAGATGCCTGTGATCCCAGCTACTTGGGAGGGTGAAGCAGGAGAATCGCTTGAACACAGGAGGCGGAGGTTGCAGTGAGCCGAGATCCAGCCACTGCACTCCAGCCTGGGTGACCAAGCGAGACTCCATCTCATAAAAAATAAAAAAAAATAATAATAATAATGAGAAAGAGAAAATACATTTACAGTACGGTACTGTATTTATCAATACTGCAAATTTATGTTATCTGTTTACAAGATGAATCGCCTCTCTGACACGGTGGGCAACCGCAGCTGCAGACCTCAATCTATGGTACATATCAAGCAGTTCAAGTTTTTCTTGTAAAGCCATGAGTTTTCTCTGCTTCTTGGAAGCACTCCCAGCATCAGTAGTAGCACTTTGTATGGGTTCCATAGTGTTATTCAAGGTTTACGGTATTGCACAAAACACGATGGAAAATACCCAAGAACTTCAAGAGATCACATTTTACTGCAATATGCGATTTACTGGAAAAGCGAATGTTCACGCAGAGATAATTAGCATCAGGGCATTTTAAGCAGATAGTCACAACACTTGAGCTCACTGCAATAGCAACAGGAGGCGGCTACAAAATTCCTACGGTAGTACAGTATGTACTGCAGTTAATTTTATGCAGTTATGATTTAATAATGCAACTATTTCTGTTTGCATTTCTTTCTGCTGTGAATGGTGTCATGTATGGTCAGTAAGTGTGGAAGTTTTGATACATCTTAACTTTTTATAAGAACTATGGTAGTAAATGATAAAATAAACTAGTATCTACGTATATATTATGCATTTATGACATATCTAATTTCTTCTTAATTTTTTTGATATTTTCTAGGCTGTGTGGTTCATCTGTAGGTTTTTTTGAATTATCACAAATCTCCAAAATATTTTCCAATATGTTTATTGAAAAAAATCCATGTACAAGTAGACCCATGCAGTTCAAACCCTGCTATTCAAGGGTCAGCAGTACTGCATAAGACATGCTAAGACATTGTTAAACTACATAGCAAAAGGCCACTGGCCTAAGGCTATCTCTGTACTTCGAGTTTCTACCTAACAAACTGCCACCCAACTTAGTACATAAGCAAACCAGAACATAACTAGGAGTACATTTTTGTGGTAACAAATAGCCCGGTTTCAGCCAGCCACAAATATCCCATCTTCACCCAATCAAAGGCAGCCAACTCATCATACCATGCACAAAGAAGGCAGAAGCCTACCTGTAGCCAATCAGGTGATTTCCTTACTTTGCTTCCATGTTTGTCCTATAAAAGCTCACTGCTCACACTACTGAGTGGAGTGATCTAAACCTCTTCTGGTCTCCATTTTCACTATAAAATTTAGTAATTGTCTTTTCAACAATATGCAAGCACATGGAAAAGAAAGTCTACGTTTACTAAATAGCACTGCATTATTTTTTAGGCTTTTCACCTACTTTTTACTAAATGATGATAACACTTTGCTAACATTATGGCAACTCGTGTGAGTGTTGCCCAATTCATGAATTGTTCTTTGTCTGAATAAACTGTGTTAAATGTATTGGGTCTAAACTTTTTCTTTTAATAACATGTAGAGAAAGAAAATAAACAGGAAATAATATAATCTCTTGTAGTCTTTCATTACAGTATTAACTGAGTTCTTCCAGAAGTAAACCTGAAAAAGGTTTTCAGGGCAAGTAGTTTGTTTGAGAGGTGGTCCCAGGGAACACTGGCAGAAGAGCGGGAAATTGAAACAAGGAAGGAAAGAAAGCCAATGCAATGTGTGTGGATAAGAAGGTTACTGCTGTGGACCACTGGGGTACAATCCCACTGGGGGTCTCTCGCATATGCCTCAGAGTTGTCCCCTGAGAGCAGTGAGGAGCTGAGTTATTTATCCACCAACTTCTGCCTTCCATTGTTTGAGGCTCCTCTGCAGGGATAGATAACTTCCCAACACTTCTGTCCTAGCCAGCATAGACTTCACATGCTCCTACAGCCAGAGATAGTTCTTAGGTGGACTTTCATTAAGAAGTCATCGGCATGTAAGAATCAGGAATGCTGAGGAAATATGCATGGGCCACTGAGAGCATTTGCTATCCTCATGCATGTCCCTTTACTTCAGCTAGAGTGAGTCTCTCTTGGCAACCAAGCCATCTCTTACGAGAACAGTTCCACTAGAAAAGCCTTTGGTAGCAGAGTTCAATTCATGGAATTTCTTGATATATCTTCACTTCAAAAAACGTGTCTTTTATTCATTCTAACTGGTTCCCCTCCAACCCCCTCAAGCCTCTACAGTCTGAATTAGTGTCATTTTATTGCATTACTGAAAGTTGATTCTATGCCGTAAAAATTTCAATAAAAAGTCACAGGAAGGGAACTGAAATTGGACTTCAATCCAATGGGCCTGACAGTTTTCTTCACTAGAAAAGTCCCCTTTCATTAATTATTTATAGGCTAGTGACAGTACTGTATCACAAATTAGAATAGCTTCACAGGCCATCCGTCTCATAAACTATCTGTTAATGACAAAGCAAGACCAGACAGAGAAGACTAGACACCCGATATGCAAATCTCTAAATGTTTACTATAAAAAAAGAGGGATAGAAGTCAATGAGGAAAAAAGTTGATTTTCCTTCACTAAAAAATGGAAGTGACTAAAAAGGCTAGGGCTTAAGTATTGATAATTTATAGTCTTACTTCAGCACTACTCTTGCTACTAGAATGCAAGCTATCACTTAACACTGCTATGTATTATTAAAGAAGCAGTTATCCCCACTATTAAATCAAGGGACGGACTTTATAAGTCATAGAATAATGATATGATTCAAGAATATGCACGGGGAAGGCTAGGATTTACCACTGAGTAGGAGAAAGAGTTGACTATCCATTTCTTCTGACCCTGGGTTATTCTCTCTACTAGTTAGTAACAGGATTTAAACCAAGCACTTCCAAATGACCTGGAAGAAAACCTTCCATATTCTATCTTCAAGGGTCTCTTCATAAAAGAAACACCCAGTTTCTCCTTCAATGTCAGATTTTAGAGTACTTCATCTTCTAGGTTCTAAGCTTAGTAGACCTTGTTTATGTGGCCCCTCATTCTGTCCTAGGGTCTGGCCTAGTGTTTGGAACTAAGGGCGTAATGATGTGTTTGTTGACTCACGGGATGAATGACAAGTGTTAGCCCTCCAATTTAGGGGAATTTCAATTGTAGCAAAGATAAACAATAAATAAATAATAATAAATAAAATAATAATAAATAAAAAAATAAAGAAGAGGCTTCCATTACATCTTTTGGAAACTGATGTTACACTATTTTAATTCAATTATCTAGAGTCCTCAAGCATCTGAGGATTGATAGGGACCTCAGAGTGCAGAAGGTAGGAAAAATCAGTGGTAAAATGCTAGGAAGAATTTCAAGGTCTTGGGGTTCTAGAATAAACTTTATTTCTAATTATGTGGGTAATCATAGATGCATCACTTCCTCTCTCTATTGTGCTAGTTGAGCCCTATTGATCCTTCCAGTTTTATTTACACCAAGCTGTGTGTCATCCTATCCATTCTTCCCCACCATTCTAGGTTAGAAGAGTCAAACATCATGAATTGAGGTATGGAAAGCCAGTGCTCAAAAGTTTATCACTGACTACTAAACTGCTGAACTGAAGGAGGTTACCTCTAGTTCTTCCCAAGACAGATGGGGACTGAAGAGTCATCTTGGTAGCTATGTCTTCCTTCAAAGAGAATTACTGAAGAGAGAAGTTTCTGGTGGCTTAGGTCTCCATTCAGCCTTAAGGCTTCTAATCACTGCTCCCGAATGAGGGAAAGGGATGCTCTAGTTAAGGCAGTAAAACAAATTTTGAATAACTTGAAAACTAGAAGTGGTAAGAAACAGCCACTTTCAAACTTTAAGCAGGTCATCTCTTTTTCCTGGTAGCTGAGTTTTGGGTTCACAATTGTGAGCCTGCGGGGACTTTGGTGGGAAAATGGAAGGAGTGGTAAGATCATGTTTTGGGCCTTTCAGTCTTACAAAATAAAAACCATTATCATGGCATGGTTTGAGAATGAGAAAAGGTAAGTGTTCTCTAGGTACCACAGTGGAACATTTTTAATTTAGGTCCAGGGGTACATGTATATATATATAGGTTTGTTGTATAGGTAAATAAATTACTCGTTGTGGGGGTTTGGTGTACAGACTGTTTTGTCACCCAGGTAATAAGAATAGTACCTGTTAAGTAGTTTTTCTATCCTCACGCTCCTCCCTCAAATAGGCCCTGATGTCTGTATTTCCCTTCTTTGTGTCCATATATACTCAAAGCTTAGCTTCCATTTATGGGTTAGAACATGTGGTATTTGGTTTTCTCTTCCATCGTGGAAAATTTTATCTATGGGCAGAGCTGCAGCTCTGAAATATGCTTCCTTTACTTTTTATTTTTAAATAAACTTTATCTTTTAAAGGAGTTTTAGGTTCACAACAAAATTGAGAGGATGGTACAGAGATTTCCCATCTACTCCCCACTGCCCCTCCACATAAACAGCCTGCCTCATTATCAACATCTTCCATCAGAGTGGTATATTTGTCACAGTTCATGAACCTACACTGACACGTCATTATTACTCAAAGTCCATAGCTTTCGTTAGGGTTCATTCTTGTGGTAGTTTTCACAAATGTATAATGACATATATCCACCATTATAATATCATACGGAATAATTTCAGGGGACTTCCACCCTGGAAGTCCTCCATACTTTGCTAATTAATTTCTCTTTCCCTCATAATCCCAGGCAACCACTGATCTTTTTACTTTCTTCATAGTTTGCCTTTTCCAGAGTGCCATACGGTTGGAATCATACAGTATGTAGCCTTTTTAGACTGGTTTCTTTCACTTAATAATACACACTAAGTTTCCTCCATGTCTTTTCTTGGCTCGATAGCTCATTTCTTTTAGCACCAACTATCCCATTCTCTAGACGGACCATGATTTATTTATCCATACATCTACTGAAGGACATCTTGGTTGCTTCCAAGTTATGGCAATTATAAATAAAGCTGCTATAAACACCCACGCACATGTTTTTGTGTGGACATAGTTTTCAACTCCTTTGGGTAAATCCAAGGAGCACAGTTGCTGGGTTTTATGATAAGAATATGTTTACTTTTGTAAGTAACTGCAAACTGTCTTCCAAAGTGGTTATACTGTTTTATATTTCCACCGACAATGAATGGGAATTCCTGTTGTTCCACATCCTTGTCTGCATTTGGGGTTGTCAGTGTTCTAGAGTTTGGCCACTCTAATAGTTGGGTAGTGGTATCTCAATGTTATTTTAATCTGTATTCCCCTGATGTCATAAGATATGGAGCATCTTTTCATGTGCTTATTTGCCATCTGCATATCTTCTTCAGCGAGATGTCTGTTAAGGTCTTTGGCTCATATTATTTTTATCAAATTGGTTTCTTATTGTTGAGCTTTAATAGTTCTTTGTATGTTTTAGATAACAGTTCTTTATCAGACATGTCTTTTGCAAATATTTTCTCCCAGTCAGTGGCTTGTCTTCTCATTCTTTTGACAGTCATTCACAGAGCAGAAGCTTTTAATTTTAATGAAGTTCAGTTGGTCAATTTTTTTTTCATATGTTGTGTCTTTGGTGTTATATCTAAAAAGTCAAATCCAAATCCAAGGTCATGTTGATTTTTTCTTATGTTATCTTCCAGTAGTTTCATTGTTTTGTTTTACATTTAGGCCTATGATCTTTTTTTTTTTTTTTTTTTTGGCCATACTGACCAAGGTAATTTATAGATTCAATGCCATTCCCATCAAGCTACCAATGACTTTCTTCACAGAATTGGAAAAAACTACTTTAAAGTTCATATGGAACCAAAAAAGAGCCTGCATTGCCAAGTCAATCCTAAGCCAAAAGAACAAAGCTGTAGGCATCACGCTACCTGACTTCAAATTATATTACAAGGCTACAGTAACCAAAACGGCATGGTACTGTTACCAAAACAGAGATATAGACCAATGGAACAGAAAAGAGCCCTCAGAAATAATGCCACACATCTACAACCATCTGATCTTTGACAAACCTGACAAAAACAAGAAATGGGGAAAGGATTCCCTATTTAATAAATGGTGCTGGGAAAACTGGCTAGCCATATGGAGAAAGCTGAAACTGGATCCCTTCCTTACACCTTATACAAAAATTAATTCAAGATGGATTAAAGACTTAAATGGTAGACCTAAAACCATAAAAACTCTAGAAGAAAACCTAGGCAATACCATTCAGGACATAGGAATGGGCAAGGACTTCATGTCTAAAACACCAAAAGCAATGGCAACAAAAGCCAGAATTGACAAATGGGATCTCATTAAACTAAAGAGCTTCTGCACAACAAAAGAAACTACCATCGGAGTGAACAGGCAACCTACAGAATGGGAGAAAATTTTTGCAATCTACTCATCTGACAAAGGGCTAATATCCAGAATCTACAATGAACTCAAACAAATTTACAAGAAAAAAACAAACAACCCCATCAAAAAGTGGGTAAAGGATATGAACAGACACTTCTCAAAAGAAGACATTTATGCAGCCAACAGACAGATGAAAAAATGCTCATCTTCACTGGCCATCAGAAAAATGCAAATCAAAACCACAATGAGATACCATCTCACACCAGTTAGAATGGCAATCATTAAAAAGTCCGGAAACAACAGGTGCTGGAGAGGATGTGGAGAAATAGGAACACTTTTACACTGTTGGTGGGACCGTAAACTAGTTCAACCATTGTGGAAGTCAGTGTGGCGATTCCTCAGGGATCTAGAACTAGAAATACCATTTGACCCAGCAATCCCATTACTGGGTATATACCCAAAGGATTATAAATCATGCTGCTATAAAGACACATGCACATGTATGTTTATTGTGGCACTATTCACAATAGCAAAGACTTGGAACCAACCCAAATGTCCAACAATGATAGACTGGATTAAGCAAATGTGACACATATACACCATGGAATACTATGCAGCCATAAAAAATGATGAGTTCATGTCCTTTGTAGGGACATGGATGAAATTGGAAAACATCACTCTCAGCAAACTATCACAAGGACAAAAAACCAAATACCACATGTTCTCACTCATAGGTGGGAACTGAACAATGAGAACACATGGACACAGGAAGGGGAGCATCACACACCGGGGCCTGTTGTTGGGTGGGGGGATGGGGGAGGGATAGCATTAGGAGATATACCTAATGTTAAATGACGAGTTAATGGGTGCAGCACACCAACATGGCACATGTATACATATGTAACTAACCTGCACGTTGTGCACATGTACCCTAAAACTTAAAGTATTTAAAAAAAAAAAAAAAGAAATACCTGAGCTGGGTAATTTATAAAGAAGGGAGGTTTAATTGGCTCATGGTTCTGCAGGCTGTGCAGGAAGCACAGTGCTGGCATGTGTTTGGTTTCTGGAGAGGCCTCAGGAAGCTTACAATCATGGCGGAAGGCAAACGGGGAGCAGGCATGTCACATGGCCAGAGCAGGAGTGAGAAACAGAGATGGGGGAGGCGCCACACACTTTTAAACAACCAGATCTTGTGAGAATTCACTATTGTGAGGACAGTAGCTGAGGGATGGTACTAGTAACCATTCATGAGAAATCCACCCCCATGATCCAATCACCTCCCACCAGGCCCCACGTCCAACATTGGGAATTACATTTTAACATGAGATTTGAGTGGGGACACACATCCAAACTATATCACTGTTTACTGAGAGGTTTTTTTAATTTACAAATCATGAATGAATGTTGGATTTTGTCTAATGTTTTTTCTGTGTCTGTTGATATTTTATGCAATTTAAAAAATTTAGCCTGTGATGCAATGGATTGCATTAATTGATTTTCAAATGTTGAGCCAGCCTTGCATACCTGGAATAAATCCCACTTGGTTATGATGTATAATTCTTTTTATACATTGTTGGATTCAATTTGCCAAGATTTTGTTGAGGACTTTTGCATCTGTATTTAAGAGAGATATTGGTCTGTAGTTTTATTTTCTTGTAGTATCATTGTCTGGTTTTAGTATTAGAGCAATGCTGGCCTCATAGAATAAGTTAGAAAATATTCCCTTTGCTTCTATCTTCTAAAAGAGATTGCATTAAATTGGTATAGTTTCCTTAAATGTTTAATAGAATTCAGCAGTGAACCCTGATGGGCCTGGTGCTTTCTGTTTTGGAAGGTTATTAATTATTGATTCAATTTATGTAACAGATATAGAACTATTAAAGTTGTCTTTATCTTCCTGTATGCATTTTGGCATATTATATCTTTTAAATAATTGGTCTACTTTATCTAATCTATCACATCTGTGGACATAAAGTTATTTGTAGTAGCCCTTTATTTTCCTTGTAGTGGCCATTGAATCTGTAGTGATGGCCCCTATTTCATCTCTGATATTAATAATCTTTATTGTCTCTTTAGTTAGTTTGGCAAGAGGCTTTTTTATTTCATTGATCCTTTCATTCAAACAATCAGCTTTTTGTTTTGTTGATTTTTTCCTATTGACTTCCTGTTTTCAATTGTATTGATTTCTGCTCTAATTTTTATTATTTCTTTTCTTCTACTTACTTTGAATTTAATATTTTTGAGACAGGCTCTAACCCAGGCTGGAGTGCAGTGGCATCATCATGGCTCACTGCAGCCTCAAACTCCCGGGTTCAAGCAATCCTCTTACCTCAGCCTCCCGAGTAACAGTGACTACAGGCCTATGCCACCACACCCGGCTAATTTTTTATTTTCTGTAGAGATGGGGCTTCACCATGTTGCCCAGGCTGGTCTTGAACTCCTGGGCTTGAGCTATCCTCCTGTCTTGGTCTCCCAAAGTGCTGTGATTACAGATGTGAGGCACCGCTACTTTGAATTTAATTTGCTCTTCTTTTTTCTAGTTGCTAAGGTGGAAACTTTGATTCTTGATTTTAGATCTTTCTTCTTTTCTAGCATGTGCATTCAATGCTATACATTTTCCCCTAAACACTGCTTTTATTGCATCTCAAAAATTTTGAGGCCGGGTGCGGTGGCTCACGCCTGTAATCCCAGCACTTTGGGAGGCCGAGGCGGGTGGATCATGAGGTCAGGAGATCGAGACCATCCTGGCTAACAAGGTGAAACCCCGTCTCTACTAAAAATACAAAAAATTAGCCGGGCGTGGTGGTGGGCGCCTGTAGTCCCAGCTACTCGGGAGGCTGAGGCAGGAGAATGGCGTGAACCCGGGAGGCGGAGCTTGCAGTGAGCCGAGATCACGCCACTGCACTCCAGCCTGGGCGACAGAGCAAGACTCCGTCTCAAAAAAAAAAAAAAAAAAAAATTTTTGAAAAGTTGTATTTTAATTTCCTTTTATTCAAAATATTTTAAAATTTCTCTTGAGATATTTTTGACCCATATGTTTTTCAGAAATGTTTTATGTAATCTCCAAATATTTCAAAACTTGTGTGCTATTTTTCTCTAATTGATTTATAGTTTATTTTTACTGGGGTCCAAGTGGAGACATTGCATGATTTCTATTATTTACAATTTGTTAAGGCATATTTTATGGTCCAGAATATGGCCTATTTTGGTGATTGTTTTACGTGAGCTTGAAAAGAATGTGTATTCTGCTTATGTTAGAGGGAATGGTCAATAATGTCAATTATATCCAGCTGATTGATGGTGCTATTGAGATCAGCTCTGTCCTCACTGATTTTCTGCCTGCAGGATCTGGTCATTTCTGGTAGAGGGGTGTTGAAGCCTCCAACTATAAAAGCGGATTCATTTATTTCTCCTTGCATTTCTATCAGTTTATGCCTCATATATTAATATTTTGACACTCTGTTGTTAGGAGCACACACATTAAAGATTATAATATTAACTTTTCTTGGAAAATGAGCCCCTTTCTCATGATATAATGTTCATCTTTAACTCTAATAACTTTCCTTGCTCTGAAGTCTGCTCTGTCTGAAATTAATGTAGGTGCTTCTGCTTTTTTTTGATTAGTGACAGCCATGACATATCTTTCTCCATGTATTTACATTTAATTTATATGTGTTTTTATATTATAAAGTGGGTTTCTTGCAGACTACATGTAGTTGGGTTTGATCCGTTCCAATAATTTTTGTCTTTTAATTGGTGTATTAAGTCCATTGCCATTCAAAGGCTTTATTGATATAGTTGGATTGTTATCTACCATGTTTGTTAATATTTCCTATTCGTTGCCTTTCTTCTTTGCTCCGATTTTGTCTTCCACTTTTTGTCTGCCTTTTGTGGTTTTAATTGAGCATTTTAAATAATTCAATATTCTCTTCTTTTAAAAAACATTTTAATTATACTTTTTATACATTTTTAGTGATTTTATACTTCTTTTTACACATTTTTATAAAATATTTATAATGAATCCAAGTTCATACTGAAATAAAATTATACCACTTCATAAGTAGTATACCTGAAGTGAGTATACTATAATATACTAAATAATAAATAATAAAAGTTATAATAAAAAATACTAATAGAAAAAATATCACCCGAATACAGTTTGGGTAAACTTTATGGAAATGTAACACATACAGAAAAGTCATACTTGAAAATTTAGCCCCATACATTTTCACCCGATGAACACACCCAGTGCTCAAATCAAAACTCCCCCACCCCTTTCCAGTGACTATACCACCTCCCAAAGGGAATGGCCACTATTTTGATTTCTAACACATAAGTGCATTTTTATTTTTAAAAACTCCTGCAATTCACTTAAACCATGATTCCCCAGTCTCCTTCCCACAATGAGTTTGGTGTGTTTTTTCTCATTCATTTTTTAAATAACATGTACATACAACGTAAGTTATCTACCTGTGGAAATGTATAGTTTTGCTTTCTGAATACATTGTAACTTTTACATTTATTTATGTACAATTTGGTTTCCTGCCTCTGCCAATATCTGCACCTCGTTTTCTCCCCGGCAGCCATACGTGTTCCGTAAACGTGGTAAATAAATGAACGAGTATGCCAGGTGCTGGGGCTATAGAAGCGTACAACACAAACACGTTCACTGCCCCCACCCTCTTCTGGTTTATAGAATGTGATTGACCAGAAATTTGTCCTAAAACCTCTCCGAATGTCCTAAAGTAAAGTCCTACAGCTACAATCTTCGTCCTTCCCTGAGACATCCCATACCTCAGCGAGCTCTTCTTGCTGGCTGACTCCCTTCCTGGGCTAATAAAGGGGCGCCTGCTCAACTTCCCCATGCTTCCCACCCACCTTCACTGAGCTTAGCCCCTCTGTGTATAAATATTGTCCTTCTACCTTCATTCTACAAAGCTCAGCATGTCTCCTAGAACTAGCTAATAACACAAATGCGGTGAATAGGATTTTGTGCTTGAGAGTTAGAAGACACGGGTTCAAGTCCTAAAGCTTTCACTCTCTGGGTAACCCTTGGCAAATCACTCCACCTGTCTGGTGTAAGTTTTTATGTCTATCAAATGAAGGGGATGAACTGAAAAGCTCTAGGGCTCCTTGTAGCTCTAATATTCTGTGATTTTTATGATGAAAACTACCAACACGTAAGTGCAGACAGCTTATTTTTCTACAGATAGCCTAAGTCCCAGTGATCATTTGTTTCTCCTAGGGGAGGCTTAACACTTCTGAATCTCTGTTTGGCTTCTTCATTACACAGGTCTGTCTCACCCTAGCCCTCTACTTTGATAAGGCAGACTGCAAGTGGCAATAGTGGAAGGCAGACAAACAGTTCTTCAGGAAGGTTGACATGGATGATCAATACTATCCTTGTAAAAATGCCAGCAAGTTTGAACACTTCTTTAAAAAACATCTTCCTTCAGAAAATTGTCTTTTGAAACACCATGACCTGATTTTCAGGGAAGGACTGATTACAAAGCCTGGGGTTTCTTGCCAAGGCAGTGAGTTTTTGACTCCCACTGGATGATTAAAGACTAAGGGAAAAGCAAAACAACAAGTGCCTCACATCCCTACTGATTGCATCATGCTGGGTTGAGATCCATGGAAACTGAACTGCTATCTAGACAACAGGCTGGCCAATCAGCACGCACGTGGGATCAGCTGACCATGGGGACCCTGATTTCATAAAAACACCACTTGGCACCTGGCAACACAAGTGCCCCCTGTTCTGAGCCATTCCAGTGTGTCTGGATCTGCTCTAGTTCTACGTATGAGGACTAACTCTCTAGGAGTGGGACTGGCTTGGTCTCAACTCTATTTACTCGCTGAGACAACAAAGACCCTCCGGACTTTGGAGACTGAAAACATGGGTCATATCATCTTCTCTGGGCCATTTTGAAGTTCATCTGTAAATCACTGTCTAATTTTATTCTAACAAAAACATTGAAATTAGCCATTATTGGCCCCGTTTTACATATGAGGAAATTTAAGCCACTTGTCCAATGTCATTGGACTAGGGCAGAGCAGAATTAGTTTTCATTGCACATCTTAGGCATCTTAGCCTCAAGTTACACTAAAGAAAGCTTCCAGGGACTGCAGTCTCCCCTTCCCCTGACCCCTAAATATTAGAAAATTTAGGGTACATAAAGTTTATCATTCAGGCTGGCCTCCGTGGGCCCCTCAGTTCCCCTTATCTGTTAGTGAGCAGGAAAGAGGCCCATTGGGTACCCCTGGGGGGCGCCAAACCATCAGGTCCTGTGGGCTTTGCACAAGAAACAAAACACATGGTAAAAGCACTTCCTCTGACCCTTCTTCAAAACAAAGGAAGTGATAAAGTTGGAAAGACTTGGCTTTGAGTGGCCCTGAGCATGAGGCAGAAGCACACCTGGAAGTGGTTTCTGGGGAAGGAGTTCAGGGAAGAAGAAAGAGTGGAGAGTGAATTTTTTGTGTGTGTTGTCAGGGGACATCATTTTGTTCCAGAGTCTAGCACTGGCCTAGTGCATAGTAAGGAGAATGGGATAAACCAATAAATCAACGTGCAAACACATGTACTGATACTATGGGAGAAGTACCTTGAAAGACACTGTCGGTTTCTCCTCATCCTCAACATGGCTCTATCATTTACTAATATGCTCAAGCACCCTTACCCTCAGACACACACTATAAATTAATTCTTCACTCAACATTGCACTCACCTGGAGCTACCTTTCTCTTCACCATTAATCTTTTGGGAAACAGTAGTTTACATCTCTAGTTTCTTAGCATCACCCACTTCCTCTTTAACCTTATGAAGTATTATTTACTCTATTAGAACAGCACTGAGTCTTATCATTTTTCCATTCCCAGCACTGGGCACATATCTGAAGATAGGGAGGGTTTGTTTGTTTGCTTTGAGACAGGGTCTTGCTCTGTCACCCAGGCTGGAGTGCAGTGGCACAATCCCGGCTCACTGCAGCCTTGACCTCCTAAGCTTAAGCAATCCCCCTGCCTCAGCTTCCTGAGTAGCTGGGACTACAGGCATGCACCAACATGCCCAGCTAAATTTTGTATTTTTAGTGGAAACAGGGTTTTTCCATGTTGTGTAGGCTGGTCTCAAACTCCTAGGCTCAAGCAATCCCCCTGCCTTGGCCTCCCAAATGCTGGGATTACAGGCATAAGCCACCTCACCCAGCTAAGAGAGAGTCCTTGCTTTGACAGTTCCTACATTTTCTAAGTGTGTTCCTCCTGCCCCACACAGGAACTAGACACCCCTTTGTAATTTCCTCTATATTGTTGCATCCGGATAGGACTAGAAAGCATTTTCTTTTTCGCATGAAGCCAGCTGTCTCCCTGCCCCATTCCTCCACCTGAACTAATTTGTTAGCTTATGGGAGACGCATTATCACAGGTATTAGGGAAATGCTAGCTAGAAAAACTGGAAGGTCTACTAGGGACTGACATTGTGACCACAGTGCTATTTTAAGCCACTGGAGTACAATGGTGGTATCTGTAGGAACTGAAACTATTTGTTCAAAGGAAAAAAGCATTTAGTGACTGTTCTATTTGTATATTCTATGACTTGTGAACATTAAACCAAAGAAAACAAGGTTAAGGAACACTGTTGCCCTGCTAGACATCCTCTACCTTGCTTAGACCACCAAATTGTAAAAACCACACATACTTTGCATTCATTCTTGAACCCTCCACAGTTTGTGTCGAAGGTTCTCAGCTTAGCGAATCAAATCCAAAGCAATCGCCAATCAATTATTTACTAAGTGATAGCTTTTTCCAGAGAATCCTATTTTCTATCCCGAGGCCTAGCAAGGCAAAGGAAGCATGACCTTCCTAAGAGGGAGATTTGAAACTCCTCTCAAAGGAAAAACCTGCTGATTAAAATAAAGTCCAAAATCTTATTCCAGTGGAAAAGCATTTAGCTAAATGACTTAGATAGAGGCCTGAAGCATGAGTACTTTCTTTGTCATGTATGGATTCATTGTCACCCTCTGCTTGGCTTAGCTGGAGGGTGAGATGACCTCCACAATTTAGGAAGGGCAAAATTCTTCAATATCAGACCAAACCCAATACAGGTTTGCCGAAAGCAGGAGTTTCTTCTTTTCCCACACCTCTGAAACAATGACTCATATCTGGAGACACCAAGGGGTAGCTTCTGGGAGAGGCATTATAGCAATTTCTGTTAACCCCCAGCCTCTAAAATCTGCTCTGAATAAGCATATAAGCCAAATACAGCATGCTGGCCATGTAACTGTAGTTTCAAGTTTCCTAATTTTATCTAACAAACAGGTTGCCACTTCTAAAACTCTCTTACACAGAAATTCCAGAGGGTCTCACTGCTTTAGAGGTAGCAAAAAAAAATCATGTCCAAAAATCCGTAGTGTTGTAGAATAGATCCAAAAGAAATTTTAGACGTCACTGATGTTAGCCCCTACTTTTATGGTGATGATTCTAACCTAGAACCTATTTGGTTCACTAACCTGGAGAGGGCACCAAAAGGAAGTTGATCATTTGTCTTACCTTCTGCCAGTTTTTTTTCATAAGTAGTACTGTGTAGTCTTAAGTGAACAATCTCTGTGTTAGAGTGCCAGGATTTGAAGCTCCTCCCTTCTGCTAATTATGTAACCCCTGTAATAAAGTGAAATAATAAAATGAGTTAGTTGTTTAAGCACACTGTTGAGTGCTTAAAAATGTCTGGTATACAGTGAATGCTCATAGGATACTAGCTAATTGATCCCTCAAAGGGCTGTTTCTAGGATTACGAGATGACACCTACCAAAGTTTCAGCATAGTACCTGGCATATCATGCTCAATGAATGTGTTCTTACAGCCTTACAGCAAGGGTGGGAGATAGCTTGCTAGAGCTCAGGCCATTTATTGATTAGGGAGGCTGTAGTACTGAAGACTTTTATTTCAAAGTGAGGATATTTTGATATTTGGAAGTACTCTTGTAATTTAGCTAATATTGAACATAGAATGATTAACAGAAAAGCTTTGAACTACTGCTTTCTTTCTAAAGCATGTTTAAGGGAATTCCACAATATCTGTTATCCACGCTTTTGCTTAGTTGGGGAATCTGGACCAGAACTATCTCTTTGGCCACATTTGTTAGAAATTATTACTATTTAAGAAGGATTGAAATATTCCTACCAGAGCCCAGAGTTTGGCTTTTAGTGCTCAATGAATATCTTTATGTTTAGTAAACTCCATATAACTCCCAAACACAGTGAGAGGCTCACATTCCACTGTCTCCCCCTGGGTGTTGTTTAAGTATGTAGTGGACTGACTGAGGTTGAGCTGACAGTTCAAAACAAGGTTTTGGAGCTCAGAGCAGGGCAAACAAGGCCAGAAGTGCCTTCCTGATGGGACTTCTCTTTTGGTGGGCTTCATGATACACAGGCCATTTAAATGTCATGCTTATAGCTATCAGTCTCAGTGAAAAGAAAGCTCCTCTCTCAAGATTCCAGTAAAATTCCCATAACCCAGTTTCATTGGCCTGGCGTAGTCATGTGTCCATCCCTAATCCATGTGTCTGTGACCAGGCTGGGGTCAGAGTTTGGATAAATTACTCTGGCCAGATTGAGTCATGTCCTCACCCTTGAATCTGGAAGCATCAGTTAGTCCCATCCAAACCACATGAACAGAAGGAGGAGGAAGGAGGATACCCCAAGCAAAATCTGGGTACTATTACCAAAAGAAAGGGCTGCGAATACTGAATAGGTAAAATTAACAGCTACCCACTCCACCTGACTCTATCACTACTCACTCTAGGATCATGAATGAGCCATTGATCTTTTTGGGATGTAGTTTTGTCATCTATAAGATGAGAGATTTGGGCTAATAAGATCAGGGCTTCTCAAATTTTAAAATGTCTTAGAACCCTCTGAAGGCCTTGCTAAAACAGTTTCTTAGACCCCGCCCCCAGAGATTCTGATTCAGTAGGTCTGGAGTGGGGCCCAAGGATTTGGCTTTCTATCAAGTACCCAGATGATATTGCTGCTGCTGACACACGGACCACACTTAGAATAACACTGAGCAGCTACTGGCACACAATAATGCTTTGAGCAATTAAAAGTCTTCATTCTGAAGCTCAAGCTAGAGATTCTGCTTCTGTCCCCACTGTAAGAAGAGCAACATAAACCCCTGACAGAAACACAAGAATGGCAGCTGTGAATTCTCAACTCAGGCCCCATCACTGGAGATACTAAGTCATATCCATGACTCTAGTAGTTACTCATTTGAGGTAGGTCACAATGGCTAGATTGGGTGAGGCTGGACTAGGAAAGTCCTCTGACTTCTCAATTCTAGAGCTCCTGGGGACTCTGTCTTCCTGATTCATGCTTGTCCTCATTCAAATCTCTGCCGAGGCAGCTCTGAGGATATGAAGGTTCCACAGGGAAGCAGAGGGCTTTTTGGTTAAGAACACAGACTTTGGTGACAGGTAGACCTGGACTCTACTGCTTATTCGTTCACTCACTAAAGACTGTGTAACCTTAGGCCAGGCATGGTGACTCACGCCTGTAATCCCAGCACTTTGGGAGGCCGAGGCGGGTGGATCAACTGGGCTTGGGAGTTCAAGACCAGCCTGACCAACATGAAGAAACCCCGTCTCTACTAAAAATACAAAACTAGCTGGGCGTGGTGGTGGGTGCCTGTAATCCCAGCTACTTGGGAGGCTGAGGCAGGAGAAATGCTTGAACCTGGGAGGTGGAGGTTGCAGTGAGCCAAGATTGCGCCATTGCACTCCAGCCTGGGCAACAAGAGCGAAACTCCATCTCAAAAACAAAAACAAACAAACAAACAAAAAACACAAAAAAACACTGTATAACTTTGAGCAGATTACTTAATCTCTCTGTCCCTTAGTTGCAAAATTGGGTGTATTTAGAATGTGCCTCATGGAGTTATTGTAGAGATTAAAATAAAGGAGGTTATGCATAGGTGAAGGATTTATCACAGTACTTGGCACAGATAAACTCAATCAATGCTATTAACACTGTAAGTTTAGGTCCAGGATGCCCCTGCACACTACACAGCTGAACATCATTTAACAAGGTGTACTAGCATCCATCCCTGATTATTAACAGCTTCTCAGTTAGGAATGCCCTGTTCCTCTGCTCTGACATCTGTGTTTTCTCAAGGTATCTGGGTATGTTCTGGGGTCAAATGTGTTTGTAAAATGCTGGGTAAATGGATGTTTTCTTGACTGTAGGACTTTTTAGAGTCTTTACTGTGGTAATTCAAATTAAGAATCTCCAAAAGGGCTATTTGGTATTTGGTGGTTCCCAAACCTCGTGGACCATGGAACCCTTTTGTACACATGTTAACATTTTTTGACATTCTGCATGCAAAATGCAGACTTGGAAACTCTGCCCTGGAGCAAAACTCTATCCAAAAGTCTCCAGTATGCTGATGAACAGGCATATTCAGAGATGTCCTACAGGTCCTGTGAATCAATACTGTGACTATGGAGATAAGTAATACGTCATGTTTAGCTAGGTAGTAGTTGCCATACATTCTAATGGATGAGGATGGAGGATAAAAGCTATATTTTGGCAATAATTTAGAAAATCATTTTCAACTAGAAGAGATAAACGTTTTGAAATTGAGGTGCTCATGTTCTAGTCTGTGCTCTGTTGTGATTCAAGGAGAGGGGTAGGAGTTGGGGAAGTAGTGTGTGAATGTCCTGTTCTCAATAGAAGGAGAGCGTGGAAGAGTGTTAGTGGGAACAGGTAACACTTTATGTAAGAGTAGGGGAGGGCAGCAGTACCTCAGGCGGGCTTGGGCTCAGGTAACAGCTCTCATTGCTGATACCTGTTGTGGGTACTTGCGGCATTACCAGGAGGTTTTTATGCCCTACAAAATAATTTTAGAGCGTTCTAGGTCAACAGCCAACCTTAAGTGTGGTGAAGATTATACCAGATTTATCTGTCACAAAAATGTGATCCTGGTGATTAAATCAGGAGAGAAAGTGGCTGCCCTTCTTAGAATAGCACCTAATGCAACTGGGATCTCTGAAAAATGAAACGTAGCTGATGCTTGGGCCAGTTACTCTGATTTGAAGAGTCTCTAGCTCAGCGAAGCTGCTATGTCAGCATACCTTCGTGAGATTATATGTGATTTGCTGAACTCTCTCAATAATATAAAATCAATTAAATTAAAACAACTGATACCACCATCACAACTTTTTGTTCCATACTTCATAGGTCTGGCTGTCTTACATAATTAGGAGGAGCTGAACTTTAAGGAGACCTTGAGTATGGGAAACAGGCTGCTGGTGTTGAGGTGCTCATCATTAAAAAATAAACAAGTTGGTCTTACTGCCAGCAGCAAGACTGTGACTCCCCCGCCTCTCCCTGCTTCTCAGGCTCAACCAGCTCAAACCAGCTGGCCTGTGTCATCTCTCTATTAGCGTAGGGCTTGAAAGCTCCACCACAGATGGACTCAAGATTGGGGGATCTGCCACTTATATTTGCTGAAATGCATTACGCACATTTTTGAGAGTGTGGCACATGAGGTTGCTGCCTTTTAATTGCAAGGAGTGGCAAGGGTTTTTAAGGCAGCTGGCATGTCTCATGGGAGCCTCTGCCAAGGGAGCCTCCTACAGCAAACTTCATTTACCCCAAGGCTGAGGCGACTCATGTGGCTCTTTATTAAGTCATTCTTTCAGCTGCCCCCTTCTCTCTGTGTCTGGCTTTCCTCAGGCTCTTAGATGTACTCAAAAGCCTGCCAATGCTAAACTGGGCTGGGCATAGACTGACTTGCCTCCCTTCTGCAGCAGGGGCTGTTGGTAACTGGATCAGCGTGGCAGGTTGTCCTCACAGCTGGGGAAATCTTCAGCTCTCCTGCACCCAGTGTGCTGACGGCAGGTTCAGCTCAATGCATTCTCATTTCATTTCTGTGTGTCACTAAATGAGAGTCTTAAAAGTTGCTGCCATGGGGCTTATAGCAGAAGAAGGGGTGAGGGCAGGAGAGCATACAAATACTGGGATGGTGGGGAGAAAAGCGGCAGCCCTGCTCTTCTGTATTACGGCAGGATTTGCCAGAGACAAACCAGAGAGAAGGTGGGAACTCGCCATTTCAGATGAGGGCTTAAGGTGACAGAGTTGGTTAAGAATGACATTGGCATGAATAAGGCCCTGGGTCTGCTGAGTGCTCTGCCTCCCTCACTGTTCAATACCCATGTTCAGCTCCTCTTTCCACCGGCTAGCATGTAATTGGAATCAGGAATCTGTGAGCTCAGCGGCCCACTGAGGAGCCCACAGGTCCTTCCCTCAAAGTGTCTACTCTGAATAAAGGACCCAGCACTGACCAACTGGTGTCAGTGGACAAATGCACAGAGCACAACTGTGACAACGTTGAGATACTGCAGCAGCGCTGCGGTTATATACCATAGCACTGAAGATGCATTGGTGATTCCTAAACCAAAAGACAGTCCTGAACTGCAACTGCCTATTCCATATAATACTCACTGTGTCTGAATATTTGTTACTTGATCCCTATCTGTAAGCTTGTCCACCTCTTCTCCTTTCTGGGGACAAGAATTTACATGTAGTGGAAACCACCAATAAGATGTATCGGCAGGAAGGCTGTCCATGGGATCTCACTGAGACCAGAATGAGTGTCGTACTTATCTTTGGGCTCCATGTGTTAAGGGTAGCAATTGGATTCTAGGGGACTAAAAAATATTTGTTAAGTGGCATCAGATCACCATTATCTTTCATCTGTGTAGCACCTTTCTACTTTTATAAATCAGCTTTGTTGTTGTTGTTAGAGATAGGATCTTGCCCTGTCGCCCCAGGCTGGAGTGCAGTGGCACGATCATAGCTCACCACAGCCTACAACTCCTGGGCCCAAGTGATCTTCCCACCTCAGCCTCCAGAGTAGCTGGGACTACAGGCACACACCATCGTGCCTGGTTAATTTTTTAATTTTTTTTTTGGTAGAGATGAGAGCCTCACTATGTTGCCCAGGCTTGTCTCAGTCTCAAACTCCAGACTCAAATGATTCTCCCACCTTGGCCTCCCAAAGTGCTGGGATTACAGGCGTGAACCACTGTGCCCAGCCAAAGACACAGCTTTATATGTTTATTCTTACTGGAAGCCTTTGTTGTAGCACAAATATTTTTCAGTTCTTCAAATGTGACACCAAGGCACAGATGGGTTAAGTGACTTGCCCAGGATGACAGAGCAAGTGTGCGTCAGGGTTGGCACTCAAGCCAGCTATCAAGACCGGCTAGGGGGACACTTTGGGAATGGACGAGAATCACCTACATCTGCATCCTTACCTTATTTATAAGTCTTTAAATGTGTATTTATCTGACATAAATGATAAAATATTGAGTTTTTTTCAGTTGTAAAGTAAAAGTGAAAATACATATTGAGGCCGGGCATGGTGGCTCATGCCTGTAATCCCAGCACTTTGGGAGGCTGAGGAGGGCAGATCACTTGAGGTCAGGAGTTCGAGACCAGCCTGTCCAGCACAGTGAAAACCTGTCTCTACTAAAAATACAAAAATTAGCTGGTTGTGATGATGTGTGCCTGTAATCCCAGCTACTCAGGAGGCTGAGGCATGAAAATCGCTTGAACCTGGGAGGCTGAGGTTGTAGTGAGCTGAGATCATGCAGTGGCGTTCCATCCCAGGCAACAGAGCAAGACTCCATCTCAAAAACATAACAAATAAAAGTAAATAAATAAAATACATAATGATAAGGATCCCTGTAGCTTATGGATGAATAAATGTCTGGTTAACACTCATGCTAAGAGTTTTTTTCTTTAAGCTGGTGAGTAATAGTAAAGCATCGGACACCACCATAAAGCACAAAGCTCCATCAGAAAAAAAAAAATCAATTTTGTTAATAATAAAAAATAAAAATAATGACTGAGTAATTGGGGATTATTTACCATAGAAGCAGTTTCTTTTGCTAGGAAAGTAAACATTTTCACTTCTTAGTACTTATCTACCAGCAGGGGACTGTCACATCAGATAGTGCCTGGTTCAATTAACAGCACCCCTTAATTATTTCTAACATCTATTAACAACATAATCGAGTGAATCCATGGCCACAGTGCTTAATTTTGTACCTCCACTGCTATGCTTACAATGGCAGTTTTGCTTTCAAAGAGTAAATTATTAACACCCGAATCTCAAACTGTACCAAGTATTATTTTTGTTACTATAAATCATTCTCTAAAAGCTATTTCTTGTTCTCTAGATCATGGATTCTCAACAGGGCCAGTACTGCTTTCAAGGGGGTGAAAATTGATCAAGGGCTGTAGGGTGGAGGGAATTGACAAAATCTTACCCTTTTTATGTATAAAGTACAGATATACCTACAGCACATAAACACATACACAGTATATCTGTGGTATTAACATTTCATGGGGTGGCGATTGGGAAAAAACGTATCTTAAAAGGATCCTGGAAAGGCTGTGGTGATGGAGGGTGTGGCAATAATGAAAACAGGTTTAAGTAACACTGCCCTACACCTATGCATCTCAAATCTGGCCTACTCATTGGAATCACCTTGAGGGTTTTGAAAAAATACAGATACCTGGGCCACTCCCAGAGTTTCTGATGTAGTTGGTTTGGGTGGTGCCTGGACTTGGTATATGTAAAACCTCCCCAGATGAGTCCCCTTTGGGGTAGCCAAATTTGAGAACCACCGCTCTAGATTGCAGATGACAGAACTATTCACCCACACCACAGCAGATGTGACTAAACTGTCATGACAGTCTTTCCTAAACCCAGATGTGACTTTGGAATTTTTTTCCATACATTATTGCAAATTGGAATTCACATGTGAAATGAAACCAATTTGCCATTCCTGTTCTAGATGGTCCCCTGGGCTAGAACAGAACCCAAAACCATATCCCAATGTTTTAGCACCTAGAAGGTTCTCATTAAGTGTCATTATGCCTTACATTTCCTCATTATTCTTTTATTGATCAAGGAGGAGAACACAGAACAAAAATTGGTGGCTAGTGAGCAGAGAGTAAGAAGTTTGCTGAATGCCTAAATATAGTGGTGCAAAGGTGTGTTTGGTCATACCTGGGTCGGGCTGGCTGATATTCTGTTTTCATTATATGTTCATTACACATGAACAGACAAATCTACCAGGCAAAAAAACAAAAACAAAAAAACCCACAAAAGTTTTCATTTCATGACAGGCCCTTTTTGAAGGATATTTGTTCAGCTTCATGCTAGCATCTATGGTTAAGGTGTATGTCACCCAACAGGCATGAAGCAAATAGTTATTTTCCAAGAGCAGGGATTAATGTCAAGTTTTAGTGAAGTTAGGCAGATCTTCAAGTGGAAAGTCAAATGAAATAGTTTCAAGAGTAAGAGTTCCTAATTAGCGCCCAAAGTTTTAAGAAATGATACCTGCTGAGGTAAATATAGATTAAACAACAAATGTATTTGTAAGAAAATTTGAACACAATTTTCCTTGAATTTGGTGGTTGAATAAAACATGAAATTTGATCTATTTATTTTGATCATTTAAGTTGAACTGTTAATATACACACATGTATGTGTGTTTGCGTGTGTGTGTGAGAGAGAGAGAGAGAGAAAGAGAAAGAGAGAAATAGTAATTAGTTTTTGGAGACAAATGTCCAATACAAATATGGAAAGCTGCACACCTCCTCAGTTTTCTGGTAATCGTAATAAAAACAAAGTCACCAGATGGGCAAAAGCTAAAAAGATGAAAATATCAAGTTTGGAGAGGATGTAGAATAACAGAATCTCTCATACTCTCTGTTAGGGCAAGTGGGGCTGTAAATTGGATCAACTACTTTGGAAAAACAGTTTGGCATTGTCTAGTAAAAGTGAAGATGTACATAACCCTATACCCCAGCAATTGTACTCCTAGAGATTTCCCCTGGACAAATTTGATTTCATATATCAGGAGACATAAATAAAAATGCTCATAGCAACACTGTTTGTAATATTCCCAGTGGCAACAATGCAAATGTTTGTCAGGTATGTAATTAATAAATAACTGTGATATGTTTACAAATGGACTATCATACAGCAATAACATGGATAACCTACTTCTATACATAATAACATGGATGACTCCCACAAATGTAATGTTGAGTAAAGACACAAAATCCTCCTTCCTTTCACACAAATGTTAAAACAGATGAAACTAAGCAACATGTGTAGGGATACATACATCAGTGATAAAACTGTAAAGCAAAGCAAGGAAATGATGGTCAAGAATGTTAGCAGAGTAGTTAGGGAAGAGCAAGGTGGTTTTATCATTAAGGAGAGGAATGCAGTGGGTTAGAGAGGGCACCCGGGCTACTGATAATATTCATTTCCCAACCCTGGTAGTAAACACATACGTAACGTTCACTTTATAGTTGTTTGTAATACACTTTAATGAAGTTTTCTGGATGTATATTTCACAAAAAAAATTGATTTCTAAACTTGCTATTTTCTGTATGACTTGTGTATTAATGTATTAATTGAAGTTAAGCAAGAACAAAAAATATTTTCTGAAGCCTGTAAAATGGAGAGAAATGCTCAAGAATATGTTTTGGAAGGTACCAGCAACAGGGCAGCTCCAGGGTTCACAACCCTTGGAACCCTGTCCTTAGGGTGTAGTTACGGGATAATTTGTTCAACCTCTTATATCCTGGGTCTCTCTATTGAAAATCCCAGTTCCTGGAAGAGAGAATAGGATTGGCCTGGTCATATTCCCTATTGGTCACATGTCCTGATTTACCAGAGCCATGTGGAGTCAGAGAGGGGTCATTCTTCAAAGGCCAGGGAATGAGAGGGAAGGAAGACTGCATGGATGAAAATAACCTCCAATCTGGACACTGTCAAAGCCAACAGACAGAAAACACCAAGATCCAAGAAGGCATGCAGGTAAGAAACACTGACAAAGCCAAGATTGTTCTTGAAGAATTCATCCCACAGAAGGGCAGCAGTTCACTTGCTGCATTCTGTTGACCTTTGGATTCCAGGACTGGAGTACATAACTAATGTAAAAGAGTGAACAATGACATATGGATGACACTCTTCCCACGGTGCCTTAACTCGCCATATTCCCTCTGTCTGGGAAATGTGTGCCAACCCCAAATGTCACTCTGATCATCTCTCCTGTTCAGAAAACTAGACTTTGATCATCCTTTATGATCTCTTCTCTTGTGAACTTTATGGTGGTCAAAGTCACAGCAAGGTCGATTAAGAAAGGCCAAGAATCAGTGCTCCTGTTTGCTGGGACCAGGAGGCAGAGGACTAGCCTGTCATTCACAGGTCTTCTTTAGGGGAGGGGGCAGGGCTTGTAAATTGGGGAAGTGGGTGGGGTGGTGGGAAGCAGGAAATATTGCCAGGCCGGCAGGAATCCTGACCCTCTTGGTAACTCATCCTGTACCAAGCAACCAAGATAATTTTTTAAAGTACAGACTTGTGTGTGGAAATATATCCTTCCCACAGCTCAACCTCAGCTTTGAAATGATTCTCAACAGAAACACACACAGGTAAACAGTAACTTTCTGAAGCACAATGAGTGGCCTCTGCTACAGAGACCAGTTTGGAGACTGCCACATAATACAATTTAAATTAAGCATGAGTATCTTTTTTTTTTTTTTTTTGAGACAGAGTCTTGCTCTGTCACCCAGACTGGAGTGCAGTGGCGCGATCTCGGCTCACTGCAACCTCCACCTCGCGGGTTCACACCATTCTCCTGCCTCAGCCTCCCAGGTAGCTGGGACTACAGGTGCATGCCACCACGCCCCGCTAATTTTTGTATTTTTAGTAGAGATGGGGTTTCGCCATGTTGGCCAGGCTGGTCTCGAACTGCTGACCTCAGGTGATCCACCCGCCTCTGCCTTCCAAAGTGCTGGGATTACAGGTGTGAGCCACCGCACCAGGCCGCATGAATATCTTTATTCATGAGCCTGGATCCCTAAGAATGAGGGTGCCTCTGACTATTCTTAATTCGTTCAGCAGTCACATTCATCGCACAACACCCAAAGACATATTTGGTCTGCAGTTCGCACCTATTCCTCTGGAGCTTTGAACAGTTAATAAACATTAGCTCGTTAGCATTAATTAAAAGGCATCTTATTACAGCAGGATCCAGAGTTACCACCTAGCCACTCTAAAAACCAGCGGTCGGCTTGACTTCCAGCAAAGCCTCTTTTATCGATGGCTTCTGTGGGTGTAGTTAACCTCCGCCGTCCCCCGTCTGATCTCATTATTTCAGATCCTCGCATCCTGGCTGGCTTTGCCTTCTCTCTCTCCTCGATCCTCCCTTTACATAAATGCGATTGTTTCGTTGCTTCCTTCCTCGGAGCCCGGGTTTTGTCCGGGCTTGGCTCGGTTTGCGCGTTTAAGAACGAGCGCCTAGGCCTCCGGGCAAGGGTCTAGAGCTCCCGCAGCCCTTCACTGGGTGACCTCCTCCTGTCGGGGCCATTTGTCTTCAGGGCCTCTCTTTGAGGCTCTGAACAGGACGCTCCAAGTGGGGCCCGAGCGCTTGGCAGACAAGCCCCTGGATTGTTGCTAGAGACCCTCAGGTCGCCTTGGGGCGGAGCGCGCCTTTCATGAATCCGGGAGCCTGGGATGCGCATGGCGAGGAGGGGGGAAACGTGCTGGGGAGAAGGCAGGCCTTGATGTACGCCCTGGTGGACAAAAGCTGCTAGTGTCAGCTTGATTTGCAAGATCAACATTCATGAGTTTCACCGCTTAGAAAGGGGCATTATCTGCAAACCGGAGACTGAATGGAAGCCATAAACAAGTGATTTCACACTACCAAGCAGGAAGAATATTCTACCTCCTCAATTATTCTGAACAGCATGTTTGGCCCCTTCCAGGTTCCCACCGCTAGCGAGCCCTCCACCCCTGGTGTGTGCAAACGGTGGACCTTTCGGCGCCTAAGAAACCGGGTGCTGAGCCCGGGAGCAGCGCCTGCTTTTCTTCCCAAGATCCACTCCGGGTTTTGCCTAGCGCTGCTCCGGGAACCCATTCCAGACGCAGGTAACGCCAGGCAACGTTTTCCTTCTCACCCGCCCAAGGCCAGCCCCGAGCCGCCGGGGTTCCAGGCCCAACACAGCACAGATGCACGTTTCAAAATGTGCTCGAATATGCAGCCTGCATCAAAGGCGTTGGGAGGCTCTTTCATCCTCTCAGCTGCCTAAGAAGGGACATGCTCCCAGCTACCCTCATTTGTGGCTGGGTTTACTCTGAAATGAAGATGTACCTCTGGATGCAAAAAGAAAGGGTGGAAGGTTTTTTTCCCCCTACTTCTTGCACCCGATTTCTCATTTTGCCTCGCCCTCATCCTCATCCTTTGTGTATGCCAGGCTGTGTTAACCCTTTGAGAACCCCCGTGGCTTGCTCTTTTCTTTCTTCCTTACGGTTGTCATCCGGTTTGTAGCCTGACTTCTTCGGCCTGTCACGTACCCCTTTCCTTTTCCTGGAAGTGGTTTTGTTGTAGGACAGCCACAGGTGGACGGCTGGACCTTACCAAGCTTTGAAGGGCGAGGACCGGGCGAAGGCAAAACCTGGGAAGGCTCTGGCTGCCGCCAGAGGACCGGGCGGAGCAACCACAGTCACTGTGGTTATCATGTCCAGCCTCCTGGGACCTCCACTTAGCTTGGCTGTCACCCTGACCCCCGCCCGCACCTCCCCAGCTGCTGATCTCGGGGAGGCAGCCCTCCCTGAGGTGCTGAGGGCAGGACCCTGGCGAGCAGAAGTGAAGGGTTTAAGAGCCATCTCCCTACTAGAATGGTGCCCTGATGTTTAATGGCAAATTACCCAGCAAGCACCTATTTTTAAAACTTTCACCCCTTTTCCTTGGGAACCCCCCACTGTTATGGAAAATTTAAGCCTTTAAAGAAAACACGTGTGAGTGTGTGTATGTGTGTGTGTGCGCGCGCATGAGCATGAGAGAGAGAGAGAGAGAAAGAGATAGCTGTCGAGGTAAGTTGAGAGATGGAGGGGAGGGGAAGGATTTCAGCATCATGACGTAGTATAGGAGGAAGCTTTGTTCCTGGAGGATTGATTTTGTGAGGGAGGGCAGAACCAGACAACAAGGAACATTTAGATAATACGTCTGTACTCCGTAAAGGTGAGGGTCTACAACAGTCATCTAAGGCAGTGACAGACATGGGTCTGCACACTGAAACCGCAGGGTGTCAACAAGGCACAGAAAAGAATGCAATGTAGGGCGCAGTCCTTTGGCTGGGCTAGGCGTGAAGCATTCCTGAGAAAGGTCTACACTATGAAGCCAGCTCACTGTAGACTTGGGACTCACTGATCAGCCTTGGCTCTCTGTGGAGACTCAGGTGTTTGCTAAATGAACATAAGATACTGCAGAGAAGGCTGCTAGTCTCCAAAGCTCATGGAAAGCGTTTCTTCCTGACCAACTGCAAAAGAGTGGATGTATACTGTGCTAACCTTTGTGAGGAAAAGGAAAAATGGGAGAAATACATGTACCTGCATATCTTTCAAAAAAATAGAAATATAGGAGGAATAAACCAGTAAAGAATGAAGTGAGATGAAGCAGGTCACCTAACAAGAAGGTGGGAAACAGGGTGGAAGGAATATGAGAGGGAGAAACACTTCTATGGTATAGCTCTTTGTATTATTTTTGATTTTTGGAAGTTTATTAATGTTCTATTTATTTAAAAGATTAAACCAAAAAGTATGGGAAGGGAGAAAAAACTAAAAACCAAACTGAAAAAAATAAACTCAACTGTATTTCAAATGAATAACCACACTGAAAGGGGGAAAAAGAAATCTGAGTAGTTTATGAATACCCATTAGACCATATTCCATTAGACTTAGGTAGCGTGGGAGTCAGGAAGGACTTAAACACTAAACTCTTTTTACTGGGTTTGTTTTTGTACAGCATGGACACAGAAGGATTCTGAAATGATTTTAGATATTTCGTGGTATTGAGCAAATCAGTAAACACATTGTTGTTGAGATCCAGAGTTCTCACTGTGGAGAAGAAAGTTACAAATACAGAAAGAGAGAAGACATGGATGTAAGAAGAATGGACTGCAATTGGAGGTATTGCTGTGGACTCATAATTTCTGAAATGTGTATATATGTGTATGTATTAATGTGATACATATATATGTATATCTATCTCCTGGCTTTGCCCACTGAAGCAGAAATCTTGGTAGCAGTGGCCATACCTAACAGCGACACCTTGCTTTTGAATGTAGTATTCTAACTAAGAGGAATAAGGGATCCTTAGAGAAAAAATGTTTCCAGGGCAGAGGCAGGAAATACGTAAGATAAGCCTGGAACTTTTTTTTTTAATCGAGGTGAAATTCACATAACAAAATCAATCATGTTAAAGTGTATAATCCCGTGGCATTTAGTACATTCCCAGGGTTGTGCAACCACCTCCTCTATTTAGTGAGGGCCTGAAATGTCTTGTTATTCCAGAATGTAAGGAAATGTACAAAACATACTGGGGGCATGTCATGAGGACAGAGGAAGCAGGCTGGAACGGCTTCCCCTGCCCATGTCTGGGACAGTTTGAATACCAAAATAATTATTGGTAGCAACAAAGTATAAAACATTGAAAAAGTGTATAGAATCCATTCTATATACTCATAAGCATAGAAATAAATAAGTAAATGTGTGAGAAGGATGGCTCTTTTTACAGTAGACTACTGTTATAAACAGAATTGTGTCCTCCTAAAATGTGTATGTTAAAGCTGTAACCCCTAATGTGACTGTATTTGGAGATAGGGCCTTTAAGGAGGTAAGCAGGGTTAAATGGGGTCAATAGGGTGGGGCCCACATCCAATAAAACTAGTATCCTTAAAGGAAGAGGAAGAGACACCTGGGGCATGTACACAGAGAAAGACCAGCGAGGACACAGCAAGAAAGCTGTCATCTACAAACCAAAGAGAGAGGTTCAAGAAAAACCTACTCTGCTGGCACCTTGATCTTGGATGTCCAGCCTCTGAACTGTGAGAAAGAAATGTCTGATGCTGAAGGCACCCAGTAGGTGGTATTTAGTTATGGCAGCCTGAGCAGGCTAATACAAATACCTAGTGTCAACTGGTAGATGTAGCAGGAGAGCTGGAGTTGGGGGAAAAAAGTATTATTTTACCACCACTGTGTACTTAAGATTGTTTCTGGCAAGAGTCACCCAATGTTCAATTTAGATAAAATTTTGGTGACGAATGAGCAATTTACATGTTCTTAAAATGTCTCCTCATAGATTGCCTTTTGGTTGCAAGGGGAACAATAATAATTACACAGTGCAGAAATCAGATACCCCTTTGACTAGTGACTGAAATGAACATCACCAATAAAGGACAGACAGACATCATGTGCCTCTGGATACGATGCCCCAAAGAGGAGGTAATACTACTCTTGTACTATTTGACTGGAAATGCATAGCCTGAGTTTAATGATGAGGAAGCGTTATAGAAGCCCCAAACAAGGAACATTCCATCTTACAAACAGGAACTGTTTTTAACATGTCAGTGTCATAAAGAAGAAAAAAATCTAAAGAGATATGTCAACTCACTACGATATATGATTTTAGACTGAATCCTGTACTGAAAAAACATTACTGTGTCTGATAGGCAGCCACTAAAATGGTCCCACTTCCAGATATTTGCCCCTCTGTATAATCATTTCCCTTGAATGTAGGCTGAACTAACGACTTACTGACTTGCTTTTAATGAATAGAAGATGGTAGAAGTAATAGAATGTCACTTCAAAGATAAGGTTACAAAGAAATGCTGGAAGTTTCTACCTGTGGGGCTTGTTCCCTCACTTATTCTAAGGTACTAGCTGCCATGCTGTGAGCAGCCCTATGGAGAGGACCATGTGGTGAAGATATGAGAGAAACTTCTGGTCAACAGCCAGTGAAGTACTGAATCCTGCCAACAACCATGTGAGTGAGCAGGAAAGTGGATCCTCCCCACACTGAGCCTTCAGATGAGACCACAGCCCTAGCCTACACATTGATTATAACCTGGTCAAAGGACCCAGCTAGGCCACATGCATACACCTAACTCACAGAAACTGAGATCATAAATGTTTGCTACTTTCAACTGCTAAGTTTTGAAGTAACTTGTTATGTATCTATAGATAACTAACACACCATGTTCCTTGACAAAACTGGAAGCTGCATAGTAGATTATATTAAAGTATTATATCAATGTTAAATTTACTGAAGTTGGTAATCTTACTCTGGATATGTAACACTAAGATAATATTCTTATTCTTAGGAAATATACACTGCACATTGATAAATTAGGTCAAAGGACATGCTATTTCCAACTTTCAAATATATATTATCTGTCTCAAATGTTATATATTGAGATAGATATTTGACATATATGTAAATACAAATAAATTTGTATATATACATAGAGAGAAGAGAGAAAGGGGAGGAGAGAAAGGGGATGGAAAGAAGAATGGAGGAAGGGGTAAGAAAGAGAGGAAGAGAGCACAAGCGCAAACGATAAAGCAAGTACAGCAAACTGTTAATGAACAGTGTATACATAAGTGTTCTCTGTACTATTCTTATACCTTTTCTGTATGTTTGAAATTATTTCTAAGTAAGTTTTTTTTTTTTTTTTTTTTTGAGACAGAGTTTCACTCTTGTTGTCCAGGCTGGAATGCAATGGCGCAATCTCAGCTCACTGCAACTTCTGCCTCCCGGGTTCAAGCAATTCTCCTGCTTTAGCCTCCCAAGTAACTGGGATTACAGGCATGTGCCACCACCCCGGCTAATTCTGTTTTTTTAGTAGAGACGATGTTTCTCCATGTTGGTCATGCTGGTCTTGAACTCCCGACCTCAGGCAATCTGCCCACCTCAGCCTCCCAAAGTGCCAGGATTACAGGTGTGAGCCACTGTACCCTGCCCTAAATAAGTCTTTTTTAAAAAAGGATCAGACTCTGATATGTGTTTAACAAGGCATTTACAAATAATAATTCCATGCCTTTAAGTTATCAAAGTAAAATGACACGTAACACTCCATTTTCACCCTTATTTCAGGTCTATCTTACAGGATTTGTTTTTAATTCTTTGCACAACATTAAGAGAAACAAAGCTCCAGAGAGAATCTTGTTTCTATGAATCTCCTATATTTTTTCCATTTATGTTCTTCATTTCTCAGGTGTCTGTTTTGTAATTGTACTCTTAGGAACTAGCATTCTTAGCAACTTTGAGAGAGCTATTCATTCTAGGCTTTTTTTTTCCTTTAACAACTTTATTAAGATACAATTAATGTACCATAAAATTTATCTTTTTAAAGTGTACAATTCAGTTATTTGTTTTAGTATATTCGCCAAGTTGTGCAACCATCACCACTATCTAATTTTGGAACGTTTTTATCGCCCCCCGACAAAAAACCTCATTTGAACCTGTTAAGCAGTCACTCCCTGTTCTCTGCTCTCTCCAACCCCTGGGGATCACTAATCTGCTTTCTGTTTGTATGGATTTGTCCATTCTGAATATTTTATATGAATAGAGTCATGTAATACGTCATGTTTTGAGTATGGCTTCTTTCACTTAGCATAATGTTTTCAGACTTCATCTGTGTAGAGTGTGTGTCAGTAGTTAATTCCTTTTCCTTGTTCAGTAATATTACATCGTATGGGTATAATAATTTATTTATTCATTCATCAAGTGATGGACATTTAAATTGTTCCCACTTTCTGGCTATTTTGAATAATGCCACTATGAGCACTCATGTACAACTTTTTGGGAGGACATATGTTTTCAGTTATTTTGGGTATATACATGTGAGTGAAATTGCTGGGTCACACATTAACTTTATCTTCAATATTTAAAAATTCTTGCCAGGGTTTAATATACTTTTAAGCTATGTTATTTTTTCTAGCAGTGCCTTGGCCCATTTTATAGCATTGCTGTCCTGTGTATACATGTTTGCCTACATTTCTCTTCATGGATTTATGGTAAGTAAACTTCATCGTGAATTAAAATGGTTTATAAACAAAGACCCACAGGTACTATCATGTCCTTCCTCATCAATGAATCCCATTGCAGCCCACCCTTGTTTTCCCGTCTGACAAATGACTGTTTAGACTCTGCAAACCATTCAGACACTTACATTTCCTGCCTGGGAATATTTAAACATTTTAAATATTTCAAGAGCATGTCTTTCATTTCCCACAAAACCATGAGGTCTTGGAAAGCCAGGTCCATGTATTATCTTCCTTTCATGTCTTTCACCACCTTTAGCCAAATATCTAATTTAATTAGATGCTGAAGGCTAAGTAGGGACTATCTGTTATACTTATTTAATGTCCTTCATAGCACTTAGCTGAGGGATGGGTATCTGGAAGGTGTTTATTTAATGCTAAATAAACAGATTTTAAGTTCCTAAGACTTTACCCTAAAATTATTTTTATTTTTGGGTTTCTTAGCATGACTTCTATTTGACAAATATAGGTATGGCAACCAGCATGTTCCCTCCCCCGGTACCCAGAAAAGATGTTCATTTCTCTACAAAGACACTGCCAACACATTAAATACCAGTCTTTTAGTATGTTTGGAGGGGAAAAGAGAGAGAAATGGGCAAAGCACTTCCCTCTTTTCTCCTGATCCATAGCAACTTCTCTGAGGCGGATCTGCCTCCTCTTTTCTCAACTTTTTCTCATGGTACCATTTCTCAGCAAGATTTTCACCATTCTGCTGGGAACCAAGAAAGAGAAGAGGGAAAATATTAAATAAAAGTGGTATTCTGGAGATTTAAAAACAGGGACTTCAGCTCTAAAACTATCATGTCCAAATGAGCTCTCATATATCCCCTTTTCCTTTCCCACCTATTTCAAACCAAGACATCTTGTCCTGGTATCTAGAAAAAAAACTTACTTGAAAAATTATTTGTTCTGGTGTATCCTAGTTAATGATTATTTAGATTAGTCAAGCCTTACCACACACACACAATACCTGTCTCATCGTTTTTAAAGAACTAGAATACATAATATACTCAACACCACAGCTGTCCTGACATAATTTCAGCCCCTTTTGATGATTCAAAGTATTTTAGGATTTCCATGACATTTAATTATTTCAGTGCATATGTGCAAGAGTGCCAAAGAAGAGAGCCTTGTGGGGAGAGGAATTCCAGATCACAGAAGAATTCCCATATTCAAACAGGATGTCCATTATACATTCCTTGCTCATCATGAAGAACAGAACAATGACAAGGACCAAGCAGAATCAGAAGGTGGGAATGGGACAGCTCTGCCAATCACCATCTTTTTTTTTTTTTTTTTTGACAGAGTCTCGCTCTGTCGCCCAGGCTGGAGTGCGGTGGCATGATCTCGGCTCACTGCAACCTCCACCTCCCAAGTTCAAGTGATTCTCCTGCCTCAAGCTCCCAAGTAGCTGGGTTTACAGGCACGCACCACCACACCCTGTTAATTTTGCATTTTTAATAGAGACGGGGTTTCACCCTGTTGACCAGGCTGGTCTCGAACTCCTGACCTTGGGTGATCCACCCGCTGTGGCCTCCCAAAGTGCTGGGATTACAAGCGTGAGCCACTGCGCCCGGCCCACAGTCACCATCTTTAAAAGTCGTACCTTTCTTATCTCAGAGTTCCCAGTTCTCCCTGTAATAAGATTTCTTTCTGTCCAAACATAAAATAAAATAAATCGGTGAAACTTGGTTTGTTTATTGAAACAAAATACAGTGAAAAAGCATAAGACAGTTTCCTCTGGGTTTTGTGATTTATATTCACAAAGTTATTCTTCACATTGACCTTTGCAAAGATCCTTCTATTTGAATCACTCACTTCTCTTTAGAATTGTGCGATAGCTTGTCAAGCTTCAACTGCACGTGCCTCAGTCTAACAAAGGCTATTATCAGGGACGATTTGTTTCAAGGGTTCCTCCTCTAGCGGGATGATTATTTAGACAGAAGTTGTCCCCCTGAATGTCTCCTCAAGAAATTTGAAACATAAAGACTATAACAAGGTTGAACTTTGTCTTCAATCAGCTATAAACTTTCTTTATTCCTCTTCCATATGCAAACTGTTTACATGTCAGCAATTTGTCTATTTTTATTTTTAAAGGGACTATGGGAATGTATCTGTGTTAAGACTGGATTTGAATTCCTTACTCATTAAAAAACCTTTTTTAAAAAAAGTAATCCACCATTCAATAAATTGGACAGCCGCATTCTCAAATGCATTTGGCTATTGAAGTCATTAGACAATGGAAACATTTAGACCAGGTTTGCAAACCTTATCTGCATGGCTCATTCTCTTGCTGCATTCAGATCTCTGTTGAGATGTCACCTGCTTTGAGAAACCTCCCTTGATCATCCTCTCTAAACTAATTATCCTCATCACACTTTATTATCTTATTCCGCTTGATTGTTCTTTCTAGTGCTTATCACTATCTAATATAATAGCATATACGCAGCCTGAGCAACAAACCAAGACCCCAGCTCCACAAAAAAATTAAAAAACCAGCCAGGTGTGGTGGTGCATGCCTGTAGTCCCAGATAGTTGGGAGGCTGAGGTGGGAGGATGCTTGAGTCCAGGAGGTGAAGGCTGCAGTGAATCATGATCACACCATGCACTCCAGCCTGGACAACAGAGTGAGACCCTGCCTCAAAAAAAAAAAAAAAAGTATATATGTGTTGATTTATTTGTCATCTTTATCTCCCAGAATGGAAACTTCCTGAAAACAGAAATTTATTTTGCTCGTTGCCAATCCCTGGAGCCTAGCGCTTAGTAGATGCTCAATTAATTTTTTTTATTTTTTATTTTTTGAGACAGAGTCTTGCTCTGTCACCCAGGCTGGAGTGCAGTGGCACAACCTTGGCTCAATGCAACCTCTGCCTCTCGGGTTCAAGTGATTCTCCTGCCTCAGCCTCCCGAATAGCTGGGATTACAGGCATCCGCCACCATGCCCGACTGATTTTTGTCTTTTTAGTAGAAACAGGGTTTCACCATGTTGGCCAGGCTGGTCTCGAACTCCTGACCTCAAATGATCTGCCCACCTCAACCTCCCAAAGTGTTAGGATTACAGGCATGAGCCACCATGCCCAGCCAATAAACATTTGTTGAATGAATGATTATTTCAGTCTTATTAATAATACAAAATTAACCTACATTTCAGAAATTCCTAGTTGACGCTAGAAGCAGCAATTTCGTTTTTAAACACCAAAGTGTTTAATTGAAAACAATGTGCTGGCTAGTAGAAAGGGTGCAAGAAACAGGCTGAGGCCTCCAGGCACTAAAATCTAATACATGACATGTGATAGATCTACCTATCAATATGATCAATAACAAAGCCAGAAGCCATTTCCCAAATACTGTAAGATAATTACAGGTGAGCCCTACACAATCTAAGAATTCAGAGGAAGATTTTTTTTTTTTTTTAATTGAGGTGGTCAGGAAAGGTTTCCTGGAGGCAGGGTGTATTTTCATCTTGAATGGAGGTGCAAAAGTTAACTAACTGCAAAGTTAGGGGAACAGCTCTCATAGGAATACACTCTTCTGAAACCAATTGTGAGTTCGAGGTGTTCCCAAAACCACCCTTGGTTTTGATAACTCATTAGAAAGACTCTCAGAGGTCACTGAAAGCTATTTTATACTTGTGGTTATGGCTTATTATAAGGAAAAGATGCAGATTAAAATCAGCCAAGGGAAGAAGTAATTCATAGGGCAGAGTCAAGGAAAGGTAGCTGAAAGTGGAACTTCTAATTATCTTCTCCCCCATGGAGTAAGGAAAGTGCTGTTTTGCAGCACTGATGTGTGATAATGTGCATGGAGTATTGCCAACAAGGGAAGCTTGCTAAGCCTTGATATCCAGAATTCTCACTGGGGCTCCATCATGTAGGCACAGTCAACTGCCCACATGGTTTTTCTCAACATTTAGCCCTGCAGGAAGTCAAGCTGATACTACATGACCCAAAACTCCCACCCTAAATCACAGTGTTGTTGTGGCTCAGGGCTCCAACCTTAAAACACATTGTCACTACATGGCTGACCCAAGACACCCAGACAAACAAAGACACACCTATCCAGCATGATACTTCAAGGACTTGGAGATTACCTCCCACAGTCTGTCTTTGGGCTGGGTTAAATTCTTTACTACACAGGGAAAGAGTTTAGATAAACCTATGATCAGAATAGTAGATCACCCAATAATAAATGATCAGTAAGCCTGTGACTATATTGTTCCAGGATAATTCTGACTGTCAGAATTTGTCAGTTTTACACATAATTTTTATAAAAATAACTGCTTTTGAGAAATGAAGGTGGGTATTCAGAGTGAGCATTTATGAGGGATTCAAATTGTTTGACAGACTGTTCACATTTTCTAAGTGTCTCCAATCCTCTAATGTTGTCTCAAAGATTTAGTAAATGGGAATACTTCATTGATTGAATATTTTTTGTAATTGAATATGATTTTCTTGATTTCTCAGATGAATCAAGCACTAAGCTAGAAATGAATCCTATGGCAGTTATCTATTGCTATGTAACAAACCACTCCAAAATTTAATGGGTTAAAACAACCAAGTATCTTATTTGCTTATGATTCTCTGGGTCAGTGCTTTGGGCTAGGCTCAGGTAGATGGTTTGATATGGTTTGGCTGTGTCTCCACCCAAATCTCATCTTGAATTCCCATGTGTTGTGTGAGGGACCCGGTGGGAGGTAATTGAATCATGGGGGCAAGTCTTTCCCATGCTTTTCTCATGATAGTGAGTCTCACGAGATTCAGTGGTTCTATAAAGAGGAGTTCCCCTGCACAAGCTCTCTCTTTGCCTGCTACCATCCATGTAAGACATGACTTGCTCCTCCTTGCCTTCTGCCATGATTGTGAGGCTTCCCCAGCCATGTGGAACTGTAAGTCCATTAAACCTCTTTCTTTTGTAAATTGCCCAGTCTTAGGTATGTCTTTATCAGCAGCATGAAAACAGACTAATACATGGTTCTGCTGCTTTAGCCTGGGGTCACTTATGCAGCTGCAGCCATCTGTGACTTGACAGGGGCTGGGTGGTCTAAGAAGGCCTCACTCACATTACTGGTGGTTGGTGACATTAATCGGGGTGCCTCAGTTCTCCTCCATCTGGCCTCCCCAGCAGACCAGCTCAGACTTGTTCATATAGGGCAATATCCAAGAGGGTGAGAGAAGAAGCTACAGGCCTCTGGAAGCCAAGACAAAGAAGTCTCACAACTTTACTTCCAATGCATTCTGTTAGCCAAAGGAATCTTCAAGACCAGCCTAGATTTAAGAGCAGGGGAAATAAACTTCACCTCTTGATAGGAGTAGCTACAAAGAATATATAGCCATTAAAAAATGTCACAAGTCCTAAACACAACTTCTTTTTCTTCATTCTTTAATACAGCTTTGTAAGTAGATGGCTAGGCCCTCGCTTTCCTATAAAAAGTTGAGTGTTACTCCTGCATAAGTAGAAGACGACATTGGTTTGACTTCTCTAAGTTGCCATTTAAAAACGTTTTCAAAAGCATTTGAATGACTGTTTAATTTGTAGTGGTATTTTCTGAGTTGTTACTAATTGGTAAAAGGTTGTTTTTCTTTTCTTCTTCTTTTTTTTTAATTTGGTATTTTACTCAGGCAGACTTTTCCATGGTAGAGAAACTTGCATCCTTTAGATCTTCTATAAAACGACTCCGCGGCCTGTCCTCAATGAACACACCCACCTTCAGAGCCTGGCTAATGCGGCTGCCCTTAAATGCTGAACACCTGTGGGGAGGCCACTTCCCTGGAGAACAGGCTTCTGAAAGTAATCCCCTTCCCTGTGAGAAAGGCTTCCTGGAAACAACTGGAGCCACTCTATAGAGAAAAAATATTTAATAGATGTTGCAGCTGGGCTGTCAGAGGAGTTTAATTCCAAAGGAAGGAGAACTGACTTGAGGATGAAATAGATGCACAGAGATAAGTGAGGTGCTGGGTTGTGCTGTGGCTTTTACCAAGGCTTTGTGCACTGCGAGTTCCCCCAGTACCTTGAGACTTGCATTTCTGGAGAAGTAAAAATTAGTCACTCAGAGAACAGAACTAAAATTTCAAATAGTGTAAGTTGTCACCAGTGATCTTTATCAATGCAGACCTGAGTCTTATAACAAAATACTTTATTCCCTCTGTGGTTATTAAAATTTCATTGCTCCAAATGACAGTTCCCTTTTCTGGCTCCCCTGGGGAATCAACTGTATTTGACTTCATGGTCAGTGGTCAGCTGGATGGCTATGTTTTCGGATGTCTACTTATTCAGATTTTTCTTTCCTGCTGCCTGAAAGCAAGGCTCAACATTGGCGCAATCTGCCCTGGTGCAGAGGAAGTGATTGGGAATGTAGAGGAACCACCCTGCTCATATCAGCAGTGAAATATTTTCAAGGAATTGACCTTGGAGTTTCTGCCAGTTGGAAACCATGGTAACCACTGCTTGCCCCTGGAAAATTATTTCTCCTCACAGCATCCCTGTCAATCAGTATATGCTTCCTCCAACCTTCAAAGCTGTGATCCTTAAAAAGGATATCGCAGCTAAAACCTATGATTCAAAAATGTGGATGACCCTTGGTGTTTGAGACCCAGGGAGGCCCAAGTCCTTCGTGCTCCAATTCAGAGGCCTTAGGCAAATAATAGTAGCTAGTATTTATATGGGACTGAATATCCAGCAATAACTTTTTAAAGAATTTTATACATGCTGTATTAGCTCATTTAATGCTTACAACCTCCTAAAAGAGGTGCAATTATCTTCATTTTGCATGTGAGGAAACAAGGCACACAGATTAGAACACTGACATGGGATCAATGAGGCAGGCTATCTAATCCAGGCAGCCTGCTCTGGAATCCATGTAAAAACCACTGTTTTGCCTATCATTAAAGAGAGTAAACTCTTTCTGGGTTGAGAGGAGATAGCAACCCTTTGCCGGTGAGTTTTCCCCTTTGGAATATATCACTCCTTGCCACCTCATCATCCTGGCTGTTAAGGCCCTTGTACTCATCTGGGTCTAAATAGAAAAGCAAAAAACACTTCAAGTATTTATAAAAGAAGAAATTTACTACAAAGCCATTGGTTACCCAGGTGATGGAGGAGTTGAGAGCCAAATATGGGATGGCAAAATCACCTAAAACTAGTGACAGCAGGCGGCAGAGCCAGAGGAAAGGGGTTGTGTTTCAGAAGCCCAGCCGCTGATGTCACCTAGCTAAACCTGGAACCACAGCAATATCTTCTGGAGGCAGACGGAGCCACAGGGGAGTCTCTCAACTCCTTCTTTCCAGTTCGTTCTCCACATTGCTGCCAGGTTGGCCCTTCTAATCTCAGATCTAATCCTGTCGTGTCCTGACGCCATAGTGTACAAACATCTGACACTTCTGCCCCACCAGAGAGCGCCTTATACCGCAGCATCTCTGAACTCTACAATGGCTCCCAAACACACTGTACGTTTTTCCACTCTTTGTCTCTGATCTGTCTGTCCACGCATTCTCAAATGCTGTATCAGCCAGAGTACCAACTGGGAAATTGTAGCACACCCAAAATGTTGTCCAAAGGGATATACGTATAAAGGGAAACTTTCACAGGAGGGGGAATGCAGGCAGGAGAACCTCAAGGGCTGATGCAGTAACATAGGGTCAGCCACAGTGGAGACATTACTACTCGCGTGCTGGAAGGCAAGAGGGGAGAGTATTTACTGGGACTCAAAAAGAGAGGTTCCCGTAGGGTCACTTTGAGAGGAGCCATGTCCTTTGATTTAGAAACGGCCAGCCTGAAGCAACTTCTCAAGGAATGAAACCAGAGGAATAAAATATCCTGACCTCACTCTCCTCTTCCACCAATTGCCTGTTTGGGCTACCCATTGACCACCATAACTTAAAGCCAAAGGGTTCAAGAACCTGTTGATATGATTCATCCAGGTCAGAAGTGTGGGATTTGGAGGGGCAAACAGGATGTCTAGCACACATGCCTTTTCCTGACATTTCCACTGCACATTTCTGCCATCCATTCTGGAAGACAAAGCCCACATGTTACCTCTTAGTGCTACCTCCAGGTCTCCCTAGCTAAGACAGTTACTCGTATCTCCCATAGTCTTTCTCACCCCTTGTGTCTGCATTATAGATGGTGTACACTCAGGGTATGTTCGTCTCCCTATTTATTAGACAATTAGTCCCTTGAGCACATACACCATCTCTATTCATATTCACAATATCTGCACCTAATGCTAGGGCATTTTTTGCACTGAAAAACATTGTGGTTGAAGAAATAAGTGAATGAATGAGCCATCTACAATAATTGGTTCCACATAGATGACACTTTCCATTAGCTCTGAGAACAGGGCATCTTCTTTCACACAGGGGTGTCACATCTTTATACAGTTTTTTATGCACTCAATTAAAAAAAATTTCAAGAACCAGACAACTAAATTTTTTTCTATGTAAACTCATCCAGACTTGATTAACCATGAACATCATCCACCTTAACTGGCCATTATATTTACAGAAGAAAGGCTCCAATAACAACTCCCATTCTTACTCCTCATCCTCCTAAGGAGATGTCAGTGTTTCAAGATGAGATTTCATGTCACTTCTCTTCTAGAAGCCTTAGATAACTGGGATATGTAGAGTTTAATATGATTCTCATGTGCAATTAATAATGTTTTTTCAGGCCGGGTATAGTGGCTCACATCTGTAATCGCAGCACTTTGGGAAGACGAGGCGGGTGGATCACCTAAGGATAGGAGTTCGAGACCAGCCTGGTCAACATGGCAAAACCCCAACTCTATTAAAAATACAAAAATTAGCTGGGTGTGGTGGCGGGAGCCTGTAATTCCAGCTAGTTGGGAGGGTGAGGCAGGAGAATCGCTTGAACCCAGGAGGCGGAGGTCAAGACTCTGTTTCAAAAAAAAAAAAAAAAAAAGAATTTTTTCAACAAAGCTGTGGATTCAGCTCTAGCATAGGTATCTGTTCAAAGCTACTTTTCGTTTGATTTAACATTACATATCAGTAAACCAGCAAGTTAGGAGCAAGATTTGTGGCCACATTACAAACAAAATCTTTCCGAGGAAGAGGATTCCAACTAAGAACCTGGGCGTTCCTAGTGTCCACCAGTCAAATAAAAACTGTATTCTCTCCTTTTTGCTGTGCTGATTAAGACAGACCACTAACGAAACAAAATTATGAGCTTAGTCCCAACGTGAGGCAGATGGTTTTGTGTTTATAGATTTGAAATGTCTGAGCTAGAAGGGGTCACAGAGGTCATCTAATTCAATTCCTTCATTTTATAAATTGGAAATAACAAAAAAAAAAACAAAATGAAAGTCAGAGGGGTTAAGTGACTAGCTCCTTGTCATAATTATGTCTGCAGACTGCTTTTAACCTTGGATCATCACACGCCCATCACTTTTGGAGAAAAAAAATGTCAAAGCACATCTCTATAATGGTGTGCATCCGATGTTTCATCATTAAGCGAGAAGGATAATGCATTGCTCTGGGGAAAGATTTTAAGGGCTTACATACAATGGAAAGAGGTACCGAAGCAACATCCTGACCATGTTAATTTCCTTTTGACTCCCTTACATCTTGTTTCTTCAGTATGTCTACTAATAAAGGGGCTCATAGCCCCCACACATTGTGTCGCTTTAATGCTTTGAGAGTTCAATAGTAAGCAATGACAAACATGTGATGCCCTGGCTCTTTCCTCTGAGAGTGCATTGGGCTGGAAAAAATGTTCAATCATCAGCAAGCTTCCTCTTTCCTGCACCTGCTGACAAACCCCAGGAGCACCTGTCTGCTGATGGACGCTAACATCCACAGATAATGCTTTAATCTTACTTTAGCTACAAGGAAGCATGGCTAGGTACTCTATATATCATTCATTTTATTCATACTCTTTGCTTAAGGTGATTTTAATGAGAGAGAAGAGAGGATAGGAAGAGAGGGAGAGGGATAGAGGATTTGTATAGAGGATCTGGAAAAGGAAACGGGGTTGTGAATTAAATATTTTATTGTCCTGGTCTGTCAGTTTTGTAATTTTGAGAATTTTTTTAAACCATTTGTGTCTCAGTTTCCCTATCTATAAAATGGGACAGATTGGACTAGGTGAATTTAGTTAAAACCCTTTTATAATTATAACACTCTGTATTTTTCCTTTAGAAAAGAGGATAGCAGCAATAAGTCAGATTCTTCCATAGGTTGCACTGATGACCTGGAGGAGCAAACACCTTGACTCTAGTTTCCATTTTAATAAAGGGAACTGTAGCTATTCTGCAGTCCTTCTCTACCTCTCTTAACCAAGCACTAGGTACATATGTTTAATGACTTTTGTTATTCTTTTAAGGCTATCTTCACACTAGAGTAATGACTTGGACAGCAACAGAAGCCTATCAGATGATAGAAGAAAACAAGGAGTGACCTGCAGAAAGACAATAAAACCTTGGCTCTATAGACTGCAGTGTCTACAACACACACTGAAAAAAGTAAATGTCAAGTGCCATATTTTGGGCTGCTTTGCCTTGTGCATCATCTTGCTCACCATGCAGTTTTTAGCAATTGAAATCAGTTGGCCTTTTCTGTGGAATACCTACGTTTCCATATCTGCTATCTTGGCAGGCCTCAGTCTCTTCTGGCGAGTAGAACTAGGTATCTTCCTCCCCACCGCCCACCCGATAACTATTTGTATCTACTCCCTAGCCATGGAGACTTCTGGTCTTTGGATAAGGAGGAAGGAGACATTTTGAGGTAGAGGTGCCTGGGGAAGAAAGAGAGATAGGATGAAGGCCACAAAGAAGATGACATGGGACAGGCCTTTCTGAGCCTGCCCACACTTGTCTTCACTTCTGTGGGACAGAGTAAGGAATTGAGAAGACTTAGAAAGACACTAGGAGGCTCTAGGCACAGCACTGGCACATCCATGCCTGAAGTCAAGTATAATGCAGAGCTGAGGAAAGGGATGTTTTGCCCACTCTTCCCAGGATTCTGCCTGTTTGGCACCCTGACCGTATAGACATCCTGTCACAGAAGACAGCCTTCATTAACACCAGGCACACAGGCAGCTACAAGGCACCTCATGAGCCCAGGAGAGAAGAACATGGGCACATTACTCGCAGAGGATTCATGGAGATAACGGCCAATGTGCGGGCTGTGCAGCAAGACTGAGGTGCTGCCATTAAACAGGTCTAGGCTCAGAGCTACTAAAAATTGGCAACTAATGTGATCTCATGTATACACGGAAGCTGCTTAGTGCTTACCAAATGTTCTAAGAGTGCCCCTACATTTCCCAGTTTTATTTGTAGTTTAGTTGCACCACAGGACTAGTTTAAGCCAGTGAGCTGTAGGCAGAAGTGAGATGTGCAATTTCTGGGTCAAATGTTAAGAGCTGGTGTCTTTCCTCCATCTCTGTCTTCCCTTCCTGTAGGAAATCATAGAGACCAGGCATTGGAAATGAAGGATCAGTAGATGGATTAAGGCTGCTCTGCTTGAATCACATGGGACTTAATGTGAACCCAAAATAAGCCTTTCTTGTGTTAAGCCATTGAGATTTAGGAGTTATTATAACATATGCTAGAAATTAAACTATTACAACTGGGTGCCAGGCCTGTAAAGGCAAGATCCTCTTCTCTTTGGAATGTAATTCCTGCCTCAATATATCATCGGTACCCAAGTGCCACCAATTTTACCTTTCCGGAGTCTCCTCTCCCATGCCACAATGTGTTAGGGACCTCATACAATAACCTCCTAAAACTATTCTCCCTACCTCCAATCTCCCCCTACCTGTAAGTCATTCTTTATCCCACTATTGGAATTATCTTTGTAAAACATTGCCTATAGTGTAAAACACAAACCCATTAGATACACAAAGTCACCCTGGAGGAGCCCAGGAATCAGGGTGGCAGGTAGATGGAACAGCCTCTCAGCACGTGTGTCACCATTGTCTCTGTGCATGTCTGCCGGTGGTCCTACTCTCTGGATTCTGAAGTGACTTCCTTGATCACTGCAAATAACTTTCTTGAGTTCAGAGATCAGGAGTCCAAATTCTAATTAAGTGAATCAAGACAATCTCATATTCTAACTCAATTAAATATTTAAGAAAATAACTTCAATTCCCTGTCTCTTCTTTACATGAATATTTTTCTCACTGAAACAAATTATATTCACACTTGGTATTTAAACTTTTAAAAGTGTTTTTAAATAACGATTTTGGTTTTTGACACAATCATCAAGCATTTGTCTGCATTCGAGTAGCTTCAGACAGTACGCAAAGGGGGAGGGCAATCAACAGCTTGTTTTCAAAAAATAGGTCTATATGTATATATATGTTTGTGTGCATGTATGTACACAGGTATGTGTGTATACATCCACGTGTGTGTGTTAATTATTGCCATGCCAGCATCGATCTTGCTCCTCTCTGTATAACCTACTGTCCTGCCAGTGATAGTCCTTCATAAGACTGCATTTCATTAGCATATGTTTAAGAGATGACTAAAATAACTCACTGTGCTTCTTCTCACACTGCAAATGTGTGTGGCCTGCCTCTGTGTAGTGTCCCCGGGGGGCATTTATGGGCCATATCTGTACTTGTGGCTCTGCCTCTTTGTCCCCTAGAGCTTCTGATGTGCTTTTGCTCAAAATGGCTGATGGCCAGCTAAGCCAGTCCACCATTGTCCCTCCTCAGCTGCCTGTAGCCACAGCCACTTGTCATGTGGCTTAGTGTTCTACTTCAGTGCATCCTTGCACTACCCATTTGCCCCCTTTGATTTGGCAGTAACTGGCTGTATTTTATCAATTAAATATAGCAGGGCTTTACACAGCACTTTCCCCCCTTCTGAGTCACCCTGCATGAAAGAAGGGATGAATCAGAGATGGCAACACAGTTTCAAGCAGGAGCTGACTGGCACAGAACAAAGGGACCATGCCATACTTTAGGGAGGTCTCTTTTGCCTGGTGATTTGGCCCCTTGGGGACAGCCTGTTTCTTGTTTCTGAGTCAGTGACAGTTATTTTGTTGAATGAGAGGTGTTCTATTCAGTCCCTGGTGACATGAAATCAATGAATCTCAAGATTTGGGGCAGGCTCTAGGGCTTGCCACATCAGAGGAAAACACTGATTAAGGATTAATGTGATCTGGGGAACACCCAAGTCCAAACAATGGCATTGACACAGTGCCAATATATGGCTGGGCTACCCAGCAGCATTCTGGGATCCACTGAGAGCCGGGGCTCTTTGATTTCTAACCTTTGAAGGGTCGGGGGAAAAAGACTTGCTGGAAAGCCTTGATTCATGCTGTGGGTGGTGGTAATAAGTTCAGGATCAAATGACCACTTCATCTTCAAAGACTCCTGAGGCCACGCAGCACTGAAGGAGACTAGGGTAGGAAGTGTTATTTTAATAGTGATTCGATCAAGGGCTCAAGTAGCTTGTTCTAAGTGCCTTGTGCCAAGTGGACAGTGGATCTATCTTCTTTGTATAGACCCCAGAACTGTCCAGCTGGAGAAATTCCAACTCAATTTATCAGGAATTGTCCTAGGACTCAATGAAGAAGCTTCCCTATTGAATATGGACATGCTTGTGAGCACCTAAGTAACATGTCTTCAAATATCTGTTATGCACACCAAAGGTGTAAGATCACATATCAAATGTCCTCTCTTCCTCCTTCCACGTGCTTTTGAGGTGATGTCAGATTCTTTGGAGATCCATGCTTTCCTTTCTGACTTTTGAACAGCTATAAGTGAACGATAGAGGTCTCAGAAAATGGTCCTGAAGTGGCATTCAGGATACCTTTTCGTTCTGAGGTGGTGTATCCAGGCCTTCACTGGAAGATAATTTTATTGACATAACATTCTTCAGATAAGTTGCCTTCATTCTTTATAGAAGACTCTTAGTGCTTTTTAAATTCTTGATATTATGCCAGGAGGAAAACATCAGATAGATGCTTATATCTATTAACATCCCTCTTTGATCACTTGCTAATCTCCTCCTCCAGCTCAAGACTGTCTGTGGACATCAAAGAACAAGAAATAGTAAACACTGGGATCTGGTAATCCTGACCCCTGTGCACCAGGAGGACTCTTTGAAGAATTTGGAACGGATCTGAGAAATGTTCTTTCTCCTTCTTTTTCTAATTTCATTACTTTAAGAAAGCAACTATTTACTTGACTTTCACTCAGTTTTCTCATCTGAAAAATGGACGGGTTAGGCTGGAAGGTCTCTAAGTATCTTTCCAGTTCTAAACATTCTTAGCATTTTCTACTGAGCATTATTCCTCAGTTGTCATGATCTGCAATATTTACAACAGTCTTAAGGCAAATAATAAAAACTGAAATTGTCCTCAGGACTCTTCAATTTAAAAAAGCTTATTTATACATGTTATTTCATTTGTTCTTCCCCCAGAGTCATGTCCAGTAGGTTGCATAGGTATTACTATCTTTCCCACTTACAGATGGAGAAAGTGAGGCTCAGAGAAATTAAATGATTGGCCTCAGATCCTGCCTCTGAGAAGCAGAATAAGAATTGGAATCAAGTGATCTAACAGGCAGAATTGAGGCCGGCTCTTCTCTGTGCAGCTGCGTCTTGGCTGACAGAGGTTGCCTCTATCAATCTTGTCTATTCCTTAACTTTGTGGGAGAGCATGATGACCTACTTGATCATTTATACACATGAACTAAAACTTGATTGTTAAGAGCCTGGGAAATTATAAAAGGACTGCTAAAATATTCCATAACATCAATTCACTGTACAGTCTGTCAATGCCATATTGCATCTTCGATGCCAGCTCTTTTTGTTAGGTTTTGTTAGGTGGGGGAGGTGGAGAAAAAGCTAAAGCTATCATTTTATTCCCTCCCCTTTAGCAACTGCCTGCAGCCTCCTGGGCTTTCCCTTTAAAAACAAAATCATCCACAAGGCAGAAGCGGTTTGTCATCTTAAGACCTTTGGAAGAATTGCTTGGAAAATGAACTTTGACAGCTCTGCAGGCACACTCCTGCAACAGGCTGCTGCACTGTTCTCCTCCATCAACCTTGCTTTCTTCCAGAACAAAGCCTCAACAGTTGGAGAAAGAGGGGCTTGAGCCAATATAAATAACCACCACCTAAGCACAGGCCTAGGAGGTTACTGTAGGTTTCTCAGTGCTTTGCCACTTAGAGAAGATTATTTAGGGAAGAGAGGTAGAAAGTGATTATACCAGGGCTTCGATAAAAGTTGGGCACCAGGTGGGTCAGCATGCAGAGAACTGCCCTGGGCTCAGCCTCTTGAAATAGGGGCTAAGGTTTGATCTCAGGCATGCTTGTAGAATAGAAAGTAGTCTAAAATGTCACTAGTCCCTAAATAGTCTAATTGCAAATCTGGACTCTGAAGTCAGCACCAAGAGTTCTGGTCTGCAAAAACAATCTGTGAGCTGAGCACAGCTCTGCCATTACACTTATTTTTCTGGTCTTCCCTTTTCTCCCTCTCATCTGTGAAAGAAGGGTTTTCAACTAGCATTCAAGCAACAACTATAAGCATTCAACCAACCACTGTAAGACACTGTGCCCTTCATTGTGCCAAACACTGATGATACAAAATGGATAATAAATAAGCTCATTTGTTAGTGAATTAATTCCTGCATGTTTTGTTATTATCAGGCATTTTGATTCCACATGTGTTTTAAACCCCACTATCATCATTATTGTTTAAGACAGTCTATTGTAATTTAAAATTGTCCACATTTTTTTTTCGTTTTCATTGATCTTTATTGCAGCCTGCATTTCTGTAATTCCTTTTGAGTTCCTCTTTCCTCTTGCCGAAGAAACCTCCCTTCCTCTTTTTCTCCCTTTTCTAAGTGCAGTTCTGCAAGGGTTGAAATCCTCTCTATTTTTATTTGACTAGAAAGGTCTTCATTTTACTTTCATTTTGGAAGGCTGTTTTCTCAGGTGATAGATGCTAGAGTGGCAAGCATTTTCTCTCTGCACTTTAAAGATGTCATTCTTTTGTCTTTTAGCTTCCATTGTTTCTCTGGGGAAGTCTTCTGTCTGCCTAATTTTTGCTCCTACGGTGTAATGGATCTTTGGATCAGGCAGCTTTTAAAATTTCCTTTACTGTTTGGTAGTTTTATTATGATGTGTCTAGGTGTGGTTTTCTTTATATTGAGCCTGTTTATTAGAATATAGGATTTCTTGAATCTCTCAAAAGTCTTAGAAAATTATCAAACATTTTCTCTTCCAAGACTGCTTCTTTCTCATTCTCATATCTCCTTCTGTTACCAGGGGTCTTTGCTCCCAGAGCTCCCAAGATGGTGGCGGGCCATGGCAGTGGCGGCAGGCCACGTCCAAGATGGTGGCAAGCCTCGTGTTCTCTGACCTGGGGTTCTTGGCCTCACGGATTCCAAGGAATGGAATCTTGGGCCATGCGGTGAGTGTCATAGCTCTATTAGAAGCCTTGGGTCATTGAAGAGAACCGTGGAACCTAGTGACTAGTGTTCAGCTGGATTAGGACGAACCTGGGCACTTAGCCGGGCAGGAATAATGGCAAGCCTTTAGCCTATTCGGGAGCGGCAATGGGCGCCTCGCTGGATCAGGAGCGCAGCAGACACCCTGCCGGATCCGGAGGGGTGGAAGTCAGCAGTGGGTCTGCGACGGAGGCAATCAGCAGCAGTGGATGGTGAGCAAAAGCTCAGCTCCAGCCGTAACAAACACGGACCAGAATAGTGTATAGTTGAAAGATTCAATAGAGTGAAAACAGAGCTTCCATAAAATGGGAGGGGACCCAAAGTGGGTAGCTGTTGCTGGCTGGAATGCCTAGGTTTATATCCTGATCAGAGCCTGTGCTCCCAGGCGATAGATGATTGGCTATTTCTTTACCTCCTGTTTTTGCCTAATTAGCATTTTAGTGAGCTCTCTTTACTATCGGATTCATTGGGTATGAGCTAAGTTGCAAGCCCCGGGTTTAAAGGTGGATGCAGCCACCTTCCCGGCTAGGCTTAGGGTTTCTTAGCATAGAAAATCCAGCTAGCCCTGTCTTTCACTTCCGGTATTGCAATTATAAATATATTAGACGTTTTCCCTGTATTTTGTCTCCTGCTTTTTTTATATTCTACATTCTTTCTCCATCCCTGATTTAGCTTGGATATTTACGACTGACCCAACTTTTAGTGAAGTAATCTTCAGCAATGTCAACCATCTGTTAAATACACTTATTGAGATCTTAATACCATTTATATAATTCTCATTTAATTATTTTAAAAAATAGATTCTAGTTCTTGGTAAAATTCTCCATCTTATTGTTTTCCTGAACATGGTCAAACTGATGTTTGATAATACCGATATCTAATTCACCTGTGGGTCTGTTTCTCTTTTCTTTCTGCTTTGTCCTATTTTTTTATTCCTAGTAAATTTTAATTGCTTGCTAGACACATTGCATATGGAAAATTGGAGAGGCTCTGAATGATGTTATCTTCTTCCAGAGAGAATTTACCCTATCCTCTGGCAGGCTGCTAGATGAGGGACACTTCACTTCAGTACAATTAGGAAGTAAGCAAACCTCACGTTACTCCTGATTTTGCCCTACTCCTAGAGGTTTCCTTCAGATGAGATCTTGGGATGCCTAATAGGGTCTATCCTGGACACTGATTTTGGTTTCCCTGGGACTAAGAGACTGCTAAAAACTCCACTTTGATTTTCAGATGGTATTAACCTGGTTTTTAAGCCATTCATTCAGTCATCAAATGCCTTGCAGGGTAAACCACCTCCACTTCTTTGCATGTCCCCTCTTTCAGAGCCTGGCCTACACAAGTCCTGGATGCACTGGAAGCCACAAACTTGCATTTTTTTCCTTCCTAGTTCCAGAAGGTTGCTGAAAGCTCAGCTGGCTCCTCTATCTCTTAGATGCCACCCTTTGCCTGGCTTCTGACCCATGACAAAACATGCCAAAAAACTACATACATTCTGAGGTGAATGTTGGGGTCACATCAGCAAACTCCCTTCTTCCTGGGGTCTTGGCCCCTTGAATCCTAATTTTCTTGGTTATTCTCTGATGTTTTCAAGCAGATAAATATTTTTAGTACAACATTTCTTGATCCTTGGTTTTGCTACAAGCTACTTCATAGAAGGAAAACGAAAAGCAAAGGAGTACCTAGAAGTTTCCAAAATTAAGTATCAGGAGTGTGTGTCAGATTGTGAAAAGCAAGCATTTCTATAAATGTTTCTGGAAAACACAAATTTTAAGCAGGATTTTAAAGAAAAGTAGACTACTAAGCGCAAGCCATAGGAGTCTTCAGTAAAGGAAAGCATATATGCACACAAGTAGATGCTTGTCATTCATTTTTCCAAGAAATGTTTATCCAGATTTTGCTGTATGTCATCCACTGGGATAGATGCTACCTAATACACAATAAACATTTTGGAGCTTACAGGTCATGGGGTAATACAGAAGTAATCAGGAAATGACAATATATTGTAATAAACTAAGACAAGGATCTGTTTGGTTGAAGCAATGGGGCTAGGTAGAGAAAAATACAAAAAATGAGAAGGTTAATAAAGTATTAGTGAGAGCAAGATAGCAAGAAATGCAGCTGGGTGGTGGGAAGAAATAGGTGATAGACGATTATGCCCGGAGGATGGCTTGGATTTGTAAGGCAGGATTTGTAAGGCAGGCAGTACAGTTGCATTCCAGGTTGAGTAGGGAAGTGTATCATAGCATCATTGTCTTTAAGAAAGGCTATTCCTGATGTAAAATTTTTGGATAGACTGGCAACCAAACTAGAGAACCTAGGGGTGAAGCCCCTTTGATGTTCAGAGTACAACAAAGGCATATCCTGTATCAGCACTTCCCCTACCTAGATTTGTGTGAATACTTTGGGTCCTATTCTATTTTAAAATGATGCTAGAAGGTCCAGAAGTGATTAGGTCTCTGGCCCCACTAGAGCTAAAAATTGTGACCTTCTTAGTCCTTTGCTTCTCTTTCTCTTCTACTCTCTACTTCATATTCCTTTCCCTTTTCTCTGTCCTCACTTCTTCCCTCTTTCTTCCTCATTCCTCTTTTATTTTTTTCTTTTTTCTTGCTTTATTACTCTCATTAGAAGCATCATCATTTGAGTAGTTTGAAAACCTCTAAGAAAAAATATTCCGGGAACCTTTTTATCACTCCTGGATCTTTACGAACAGCACAGGCATGGGTTAGTTCCAGCCCTCAGGATTTACTGTCTTTCGCACTCCATTTTCTTGCTTGGCTAAAAGAACAGCTATTTTTGTGGTGCAGGTTTACCCTGTCTCCCTTTTTCTGTATCCCTAGAGAGAAAGTCTGATAACCGAGGCCAGACTGCGATCCCTTCCGAGGACTGACTGCAGCCAAGTTTTGAGAATGTGTCCTCCTGGGTCTGTGTCAGCAGCTCACTCAGCTCTGCTGGGAAGAGCATGCCAGGGTCACTCACTGTGCATTAACCTCAGTGGCTTGCTCGCTCCATCTCTCGTCAGCTGTTTCTTTTCCGTGAAAAGCACACACAGTTCAGATAATTAAACACTTGTGGGGCATTTTACATTTCATGAATCAATCAGCAGTGAATTATTTTTGAATGTGCTCATGCAATGTACTCCAAGTCTCTTAGCTATATTTTGCAAATGAACAGGAGTGGATTTATCATGAAGCAAATGAGGCTTAAGTTGGCCTCTTACGTACAGGGGCCCATTTCAAGGCCCCAGGAGAATCCCTGGTGATTTCATATTTGTAATTTATATTTTTTCTTAATGATACTCTTCCTTCATCCCCAACACCACTTTTACAAGCTTGAGATCCCACAGTAACTGAATCTACCCCTGGGAAAACTAAGACTCTCTTTCTTGTTACCAGGCTAGGTCTTATCACCATGTGCATCAGATATTGCTTTGCCTTTATCACTGATTTCAGATGGACAACTTTTGCTTTGTGGGCAGTTTGTTTCTCATATATAGGCCAGCTCACTTTTTCTAAAGATCTGTCTTCAGAGTGATGGTGACAAAAATGTGCCTTCTGAACCCAAACTACAAGGAGCTTAATTGATCAAGGGGCCAGCAGCTGAACTCTGAAAATCCATCGCCTTATTTGTACCAAGGCAGTGCTTCCCAGGAGCTGGCTGCTCATGCAGCAGGAATACTAAGGCAGAGCTAGTCTGGGGAGATGTAGGATTCTTCTGACGGCTGGTTTTGACATAAGGACTCCCTGACAGTATTGCTGAAAACTCCTTAAACTTCCTGGCAGTTTAGTAGATGCTTCTACTTAATTTTCCTTCCCTTTCTCCTTCACTTGGGGTCAGACTTGTATAATGGTCTGATGGCTTTCCCTGGTTTGTCCCCATTTTCTGTCACACAGGCATTTCCCTTAATAAAATTCTTATACTCTGAATCCTGTCTTAGTGTCTGCTTTAGAAAATGCAAACTAACACAATGAGTTAATAGGAAAAAATAGGACTGGATGTTAGAATGCATTAATCAAGTCCCACTGAATTTTCAGGGATCTTAGTAAATTAAAATTTGAAAATTAAAATACCCATTGTCATGACCTCCCCATCTTTCACTTTTGCCCACACTTGAAATTTCCTTTTTTTGCATCTAACTAAATCTTGTTTATAATGTGAATCCCAGCTCCAGTCCATCTCTTCCATAGAACCTTGATTTTCTCTCTTCTGAGTTCTTATGGTCCTGGCCCTATGAACTTAAACATCATGGTAATTCTTGATTAAAGGGTCAGTCAAATAGTCAATCTTCAAAATCCCCTAAGGGCTAGCTCAGGCTAACAACTTCTATATGCCCTTCTTCTGTAAAGCTTATAGACTAGTATTTTAAAAATTATGTTCCAGTAATAGCAATAGACTATGTATATTTTAGAAGAGAAAGGGTCCATGGTCAAATAAATTTGGAGGAAATACCCACCACGTATATGGCCATTTCTCAGAGACTTAACTGCACGCCAGTGCACTAAAGACTTGGAAACAAACTATGGGAATGGTTTCAACTAACTCCGAGTTCCCCAAACCTATTTGATATTGCAAACCTTTTTCCATAAAATTACTATTAACAACCACATGGATTTATTTTTTAACAACACAATTTGAAAATATGTGTTGATATTTCTGAAGATATTTCTTTCAGAGGTGCATTTGTATTAAGTCACTCTCTGGATATATTGAATAGGGGTAAGGAGGAGGCAAGTCAATTGGCAACATTGGCAGGTGGGGGAGCTTCTGGACCTCAGCCATGAGATCAAAATGAAAGAGGGCAGGGTAGACTAACGCCAGGTGTGCAAAGCAGGAGCTGGGAAAGCAGGTCCAAGAATGGCCTGAGCTTATTCTTACCAGTCAATGTTTAAAGGGGACAGTGACAGGTTATTTTTCTTTCTTTACAGGAATCACATAATTAGCACCCGTAGGGAATACCCTTCAAAGATGACCCAAGAGCTTCTGGTCAACTGCTTTCCTTTGCAGGCTTTCTTACCATTTATACAGTTTCCTTTCCAGCTAGATTACAAGCCAAGATTAGGGAAAACGTCTTACCATTCTTTAATTTACCTCGGTATTTAGTATTCCTTCATTCTTCCAATAAATCATTATTATGCCACTACTGTGTGCCAGACAATGTTCTTGGTGATAGAGATGCAGCAGTGAACCAAACCCAACAAGGTTCCTGTCCTCATGGAACTTACATTCTTATTGGGTAAACAGATAATAAACCCAATAAGCTGAAATACAACAAATATTAGTGGCAAGTGCTATGAAGAAAATAAAGTGGGATAAAGGATTAAAGAGCACACCAGAGACAGAGTAGATACCGAATAAATATTGACGGATTATGTAGGACTTTTGAATTGCCTCAGTGATTTTCTGCAGCCCTCAAAGAGAATTTAACAGGAGGAAAGTGCCATTGTGGCTTGCATAGGTGTGATCATTTTTTAAATGGTGACAAAACCTCAAAAGTGGGCAATAACATTGATGTCTTGTTTCTGCTATTCATCAGCAGGCAAACGTTCTATCTGCAACTGTCAGAACTACATATTTAGCACAGTTCCTCTTACTATTAGCGTCTTCAACATGCTGCTACCTTCCCCACATCTTCCTACCCATTACCCCCTTGTAATTACTGCAATCATTTCAGATTAAGATGTTAAAGTCCAAAATGTTTGTGAAAAAAATTGGCAAGCTGTCACCTCCAAATACCCAGCTGAGTTGCCAAATGAATAATAATGCAAAAATGCTTGCTGGAAAAATAATAAATAAAAGCTTTTTGTTGTATAATAAATCCTTTTCTATAAACCACCCCTGAGGAAACTGGCTCTAGGCTAGTTTCCTAGTAACATTTTCCTCCAAGTAAGCAGGCCATTTTATTTCATTCTTTTCTACACTTTATTTTTTTCCAAGAGCTGCTGTATGGTCCTACCCCATTGTTCTTCATGAAATATGAATGCCACAGGAGTGTATGGGGAGAGATGCCAGCTACATGGCTGTGGATAGGAGCCACTAGTGACTAGAGTAAGTGATTAGTTCAGAAAGTGGCAGCTGAAAAGGAAGTGTGCATTGTGGGAAAACAGAGTTATTTTATTAACCATTAGCCAAAAGAGAAGACTTAAAAAAATAAAAAACCCCGAGAGGCTGGATTTAAGGGCATCCATCTTGCCCATTGCAGAGCAGCTCTGTTCATGAAAAAGGGGAAGAACAACACAAACCACTTGGGCTGGATTTGGATATTCATGGAAGGCTCCATTATGCTTGGGGCAGACCGTGGGCAAAACTGTACCCAAGAGCTCATTGTCACATTTGAGGAATTGGCGAGGCATGACAGATAATTAGGCAATAACTAACACTCTGCATATACTACGTTGTCTATGTATATAGGATTGCCACATATGTTGTCATCTCATTTGATTCATCAAATAATCCTAGGAAACAGGATTATTTTGCCTACCTTAAAGATGACGCCATTGAAGTTTAGAGATGTTAAGTAATTTTTCTAAGGTTACATAGCCAGCAAGTGGCAGAGCTAGAATTCAAATCCAGGTCTCTCTGACTCCCTAGGTGGGGCTTTAGCCACTCTTCGAAGTTTCCTACTCTTCTTTCCCAGACTCAGAGAAGGAGGCAGAATCTGGCAATAGACAATGCACATCCTCCTCCTCCCCAGCTGCCCCACGCTCCTACACGAGGCAAGCATTGTGAGCCATCAAGGCCACTGACACTAGGTGAGGCCAAAGAGGCCTGGGTGAACTGCTCATCACCTATGGGGCATGTTCACCTGCAGCCACAGTACTGGTATGCTCAAAGACACAAAAGGCCCCAAAGATCCAGGAAAGTTTAGCATCGAAGAAAAGTAGATGTTAGAAAAATCCATGGAAAGCCAGGTTAAAAATTCTACTAAGGAGGATCGTTGACGGTTAGTGGAGTGCTAGAGTCAAGTATGGGAAGAAAAGAGGATGGTAGGAACCCGTCCTAAAGAATGTTTAATAATAGTTTATTGGAAAAGTAACTTTGGCATGGGACCAATAATTGAGGTTTAAAAGCATAGTGTACAAAAACAAAACAAAACATAGTGCACATGAGAACGGAGACATGCTGGTAGAAAACAGGAAGTTCAGGCTTCTGAAATGAGACATCAGAACTGGTGAATTGTGTGTAAGTCAGGCTGGCAGCCAAAGAAACAGCCCGGGAAGGTTGTCGGGGGAGGGGGGAGATACTTAAGCTCCACCTTCCTCTCACCTGATTGGGCCTTGAGTGGCTGGGGGTGGGACTAAATTGGCAGATGGGCATCAGCCTGGGTGTGTGGAAACCAACCCGAATATGATTTGAGGCAGATTCTCTCCCTCCTTCTTTCCCCCAGGTAGGCTATGTGCTCTAGTTTCCAGAGCCTCCACCTCTGTGCCATGCCCAAATCTTTCCTTCTACTGTGAGTCCTAAAAACTCCCCAGGTCTAATGCTAGTAGAAATCCTACTTCTTCACTGCAAGAATTTTTTTTTTTTTTTTTTTTTTTTTTTTTTTTTTTTTTTTTTTTTTTTTGAGACGGAGTCTCCCTCTGTCACCCAGGCTGGAGTGCGGTGGCGCGATCTCGGCTCCCTGCAAGCTCCGCCTCCCGGGTTCACGCCATTCTCCTGCCTCAGCCTCCTGAGTAGCTGGGACTACAGGCGCCCGCCACCACGCCCGGCTAATTTTTTTTTTTGTATATTTAATAGAGACGGGGTTTCACCGTGTTAGCCAGGATGGTCTCGATCTCCTGACCTTGTGATCCACCCGCCTCGGCCTCCCCAGGTGCTGGGATTACAGGCGTGAGCCACCGCGCCCGGCCTGCAAGAACTTCTCTCTACGTTAGCAAGAAACAAACACTTGAGAACTAAGTTACACTGCTGGAGGAACGATGAACGTCTCCTTACTGCCAATTACGTTAACCTTCCCAATGACTTGTTTTCACTTTTTAAATAGAAGCTTGTTAAATTAAAAGAATGCTTTGCTAATAGTGGGATTATAGGAGAGAAGTTTTTTTGAGATTGTGGTGATGGGGCAGGAGCTGTGATGTAGATGGGGTCCCTTAAAACTATTTGTTCTTCTTGTTCAGATTTTGATTCAGCTCATGTCTGTCAAGCCTTTAATAAGCACCAAGTCCCAAGCTACTTGTCATCCTCCCCACCATGATCAAGGTCTAGAGGATAGAGGTGGTTTCTTGAAAGTGAGAAAATGTTTATTTCATATTGTTTTCAACAAGACTAAATTGGAAAAAAAACCCTCAACATCCTTTTAGTGATTTCTACAGTGCTGGGAATTACTGGCTTTTTAAGTCCTTGTTCTCTACTGTAGAAGCTGCCTACTCATTCCAATTGCCTGATGTTTGCTAATTAAGCATCGTTAAAGGAAGAAATTAACTCATTTGTTAAATGCCACCTAAGTTTCTCTGTATATTCAGAAAAAGCATTAAACCCAATCCTGAGATGGTAATTTCAACCTAATTCAAACTCTTGCTTGCTTTAGGGATCAAAATAGTTATGCTGCAGGTTTACTAATATCAACAGTGGCACTGACGACAATAACGAATGATGACCCTGACAATGATCATGATGCTGAACGCTGTTTGTTACTTTTTAAATCCTTTGTTTCAAAAACTACCAAAAATTCTCCACATTTTTAGAAATCTTGTATTGAAGCATCGTCATTAGTATAATTTCTGATCAAGTAAATCCATTGCTGAGATGTTTATGCAGTATTCTCTGTGCAGAAAATAATACATGAATATAGGTAAGAATCTGATACAGATATTCAGGATGAGACACTTTTTAATTGAGAAAAATAATTGGACAGATTTTCATTCATTGCACATCTGTTTTCAAATCTATTTACTGTATTTGTCATCTCCCTTTCTCCTTTCATCTCCTTCTTCTCTCCATTGTCCTGCTTTTTTTTCTTTGGTTCTCCTCTCATCTTTCACTCTCCTTTTCAGCAAACAAATCAGGGAAAGAAACAGCTTCCTAGATAATGAATGGTATTTTAAATCTGGTTTGTTTTCAGGGACTCTAGTCCTGACTTAATGTATCAAACGAAGCTCCAGGATTTAATCAAGAAAGGAGGCCATCAGGAAAAAGAAAATCAACTCTGAAGCTTAGCTGAAAATAATTTGCATTTTGGGAGCTGTGCGTTAGGGATGTTTGGTCCAAGCTCTTTCATGGGGAGATAAAATGAAAATGATGTGCTTTATTACTTTGAAAGTCATACCCTTCTAATAACAGGGAGAATAGGAAGCTTTTCTGATTTATTCTGCTGAACCATCACTATCTGGAGTCATTTGCACTCATGGACCATTGGGAGAACATTAATTGACCAAAAAGAGGCTGCTGTTATTGTCGAGGCAGCATTGTGTATCCTTCTGAAATGGCTGATCCTGACCTGGGCTCTTGACTTTGCCCCCTCAGACTCTAGCTTTTATGGGACTGGATGGATCTACTGCCAGAGGTCAAGTAGTGCCAGACTGAAAAGCTTTATCAATTCCAGAACCTCACCGAGTACCTCCTACTAGGAAATTTGAATGTGAACACCTTGGTAACATCTCAACCACGCACTTGGGAGCTTTTGCCTATAATTCAAAGCAAACCGAAAAAGAAATTATTCCCACCATGTTGCAAAAATTGAAATGGAAAAAGAACTGTTGATTCTAATTCCTCAACCCAGGACTTCAGATGCCAATAATGATTGCAAAGAATAAACACCCACTGAGTGCATCTCAGAAACCGAATTGTTTTCTTGTTATTTAACATTTACAGTAGTAAGAGTGTGTTGGCACTGCTGGGCTCCTGTCAAGAGCCATTCCTGAAGTCCTCAGTGTTCCCACAGTGATGGCTGCACGTGTGAAAGGTTAGGAATCCAGGAATACTAACATGGAAAGTAAATTGTTCCTCCCGTTTCTTTTCTGTGCTGCCCTAGAAAGATCTTACACCTCTTGTCCTTTAAGGTAATAGCACTAGTTCCCATTCTTTTGGGTTCCATGTATATTAGGGCATCCACATCTACTGTTAAAAAAAAAGGAAGAAGGATTTTGAGGAAGAGCTTAAAGGAAAGGGGGTATTCAAAGAAGAAAATGCTTCAGGGCAATTGGGGGTTTCCTTCAGAGCAAAAGGGAGATTAGAGGAGAGGTGGGAGAGAGATAGAGAAGGATTTACCTGATGAATAACCCAGAACTTGGAAGTGATTCTGGGTAGGTCTCTCAAAACAGGAGAAAATTATTATATTTAAAAAGTGGGTGGCCCTTGAAGAAGAATCATTTGAAAATTCAGAAGCTACCTGGGTGCTGAATCATTGCTCTTCTCACTTCATTTTTGCAAGAATGAATAATTACACATTCGCCCCATTGCCTGTGCCGGGGAATGATGTAGTGAAGGACTTCATTTTGTTATATGCAGGACTGACCCTGGCTGTGCACTGGGGCATCTGCTGGCTCCTTCAAATTTATTCCTTATGCATATGACCCACCCTTTCCACACCCAACTTTGCTGACTATGCATAAAGCCAAAAAAGGAAGGGGCCCTAGTTACCTGAGGTCTGTGTACGTATGGGAGAGTGAGGGGTAGAAGGAAACTTGGCCTCATCTCTATCTGGGGGCTGCTGAATGCTTATCACACCCACAAGGGAGGGTCAGTAGCTAATGACCCCCATGTTAAAAATGAAAAAACTGAAACCCTAGATTGTTAGCCCGTGACTTGCTTTACCTTTGCCTTCTGTTCAGGAGGGATTTAATTCTGCTTAAAGTAAATGGCAACCACATAACCTGCCATGTTTTTGGACCCCTTGGTCACCTAATTTTCCCATTAGGCTTCAGCCCTGTTGGCACAATGAGGCTGGACGCTGAGAAGCCACAAGGGCCGGTGAGAGAGAATGGGAACCACAGTGAAATGTGCATTTTTGGGGAGACTCGATGGAGTGACCCAGAGCCAGCTTATTGCATCTTAGAAAGTTATAGGACAGAAAATTTATATCTTGTAGTTTAGTTTGAAAGTGGGGGAACAGACTATAAACTAGGAAAACAACGAAGTGCTTTTGAAAAAATATTTGCTGAACATCTTAAGGCATAGGTTTCTGAGCGTAGGGTCAGTGTTTTTATTTCTTCCCAGATACTCTGCCTTTAAATACAGATCTAGCGTCTGCTGTATGCCGTCTGAGACAAAGGTTAATTTCCAATGCTTGAATTATCCACACCACTTTCGGCCCTTATCCTGTAGGTGGAATTTGTGAAACATCCAAATAGTCACTGTCAGGCCTCTGAGCCCAAGCTAAGCCATCATATCCCCCGTGACCTGCACATATACATCCAGACGGCTTGAAGTAACTGAAGAATCACAAAAGAAGTGAAATTTAAATGGCCTGTTCCTGCCTTAACTGATGACATTACCTTGTGAAATTCCGTTTCCTGGCTCATCCTGGCTCAAAAATCTCCCCCACTGAGCACCTTGTGACCCCTACTCCTGCCCGCCAGAGAACAACCCCCCTTTGACTGTAATTTTCCTTTGCTTACCCAAATCTTATAAAACGGCCCCACTCCTATCTCCCTTCACTCTCTTTTCGGACTCAGCCCGCCTGCACCCAGGTGATTAAAAGCTTCATTGCTCACACAAAGCCTGTTTGGTGGTCTCTTCACACGGACGCGAGTGAAGTTTCGTGCCGTGACTCGGATCAGGGGACCTCCCTTGGGAGATCAATCCCCTGTCCTCCTGCTTTTTGCTCCATGAGAAAGATCCACCTACGACCTCGGGTCCTCAGACCGACCAGCCCAAGGAACATCTCAGCAATTTTAAATCGGGTAAGCGGGCTTTTACTCTCTTCTCCAACCTCTCTTACTATCCCTCAACCTCTTTCTCCTTTCAATCTTGGCGCCACACTTCAATCTCACCCTTCTCTTAATTTCAGTTCCTTTCCTTTTCTGGTAGAGACAAAGGAGATGTGTTTTATCCCTGAACCCAAAACTCCGGCGCTGGTCACAGACTTGGGAAGACAGTCTTCCTTGGTGTTTAATTACGCTGGGATGCCTGCCTGATTATTCACCCGCGCTTCAGGGGTGTCTGACCACATGGGGACACCTGCCTTGTCCCTTCACCCTTAGTGCCAACTACCGCTTTTCTGCGGGGCAAGAACCCCTCGACCCCTTCTCTCCGTCTCTACCCCTTTTCCACTTTTCTGGAGGGCAAGAAACCCCCAACCCCTTCTCTCCTGTCTCTACCCCTTTTCTGCTTTTCTGGAGGGCAAGAACCCCCCGACCCCTTCTCTCTGTGTCTCTACCCCTTCTCCACTTTCCTGCGGGGCAAGCACTCCCCACCCCTTCTCTCCGCGTCTCTACTCTCTCTTTTCTCTGGGCTTGCCTCCTTCACTATGGGCAGGCTTCCACCCTCCATTCCTCCTTCTCCCTTAGCCTGTGTTCTCAAGAACTTAAAACCTCTTCAACTCACACCTGACCTAAACCCAAACGCCTTATTTTCTTCTGCAATGCCGCTTGACAAACTCGACAGTGGTTCCAAATAGCCAGAAAATGGCACTTTCAATTTTTCCATCCTACAAGATCTAAATAATTCTTGTCCTAAAATAGGCAAACAGTCTGAGGTGCCTGACGTCCAGACATTCTTTTACACATTGTCCCCTCCCTAGTCTCTGTTCCCAGTGCGACTCGTCCCAAATCCTCCTCCCTTCCCTCTCACCTGTCCCCTCAGTCCCAACCCCAGGCGTCGCTGAGTCTTTCTAATCTTCCTTTTCTACAGACCCATCTGACCTCTCCCCTCCTCCCCAGGCTGCTCCTCGCCAGGCCGAGCTAGGTCCCAATTCTTCCTCAGCCTCCGCTCCTCCACCCTGTAATCCGTTCATCACCTCCCCTCCTCACACCCGGTCTGGGTTACAGTTTCGTTCCTTGACTGGCCCTCCCCCACCTGCCCAGCAATTTCCTCTTAAAAACATGGCTGGAGCTAAAGGCATAGTCAAGGTTAAAGCTCCTTTTTCTTTATCCGACCTCTCCCAAATCAGTTAGCATTTAGGCTCTTTTTCATCAAATATAAAAATCCAGCCCAGTTCATGACTTGTTTGGCAGCAACCCTGAGACGCTTTACAGCCCTAGACCCTAAAAGGTCAAAAGGCCGTCTTATTCTCAATATACATTTTATTACCCAATCCGCTCTCGACTTTAAATAAAGCTCCAAAAATTAAATTCCGGCTCTCAAACCCCACAACAGGACTTAATTAACCTCGCTTTCAAGATGTACAATAATAGAAAAAAGTTGCAATTCCTTGCCTCCACTGTGAGACAAACCCCAGCCACATCTCCAGCACACAAGAACTTCCAAACGCCTAAACCGCAGTGGCCAGGCGTTCCTCCAGGCCCGCCGCCCCCAGGAGCTTGCTACAAGTGCCAGAAATCTGGCCACCAGGCCAAGGAATGCCCGCAGCCCGGGATTCCACCTAAGCCGCATCCCATCTGTGTGGGACCCCACTGAAAACTGGACTGTTCAACTCACCTGGCAGCCACTCCCAGAGCCCCTGGAACTCCAGCCCAAGGCTCTCTGACTCCTTCTCAGATCTTCTCGGCTTAGCGGCTGAAGACTGACACTGCCTGATGGCCTCGGAAGCCCCCCTAAACCATCACGGACGCCGAGCTTTGGCTAACTCTCACAGTGGAAGGTAAGTCTATCCCCTTCTTAATCAATGCGGAGGCTACCCACGCCACATTACCTTCTTTTCAAGGGCCTGTTTCCCTCGCCTCCGTAACTGTTGTGGGTATTGACGGCCAGGCTTCTAAACCTCTTAAAACTCCCCAACTCTGGTGCTTAGACAATGATCTTTTAAGCACTCCTTTTTAGTTATCCCCACCTGCCCAGTTCCCTTATTAGGCCGACACACTTTAACTAAATTATCTGCTTCCCTGACTATTCCTGGGCTACAGCCACACCTCACTGCCGCCTTTTCCCCCAGTTCAAAGCCTCCTTCACATCCTCCCCTTGTATCTCCCCACCTTAACCCACAAGTATAAGACACCTCTACTCCCTCCTTAGCGACCGATCATGCACCCCTTACCATCCCATTAAAACGTAATCACCTTTACCCTGCTCAGTGCCAATATCCCATCCCACAGCATGCTTTGAAAGGATTAAAGCCTGTTATCACTCGCCTGCTACAGCATGGCCTTTTAAAGCCTATAACCTCCCCTTACAATTCCCCCATTTTACCTGTCCTAAAACCAGACGAGGCTTACAGGTTAGTTCAGGATCTGCACTTTATCAACCAGATTGTTTTGCCTATCCACCCCATGGTGCCAAACCCATATACTCTCCTATCCTCAATACCTCCCTCCACAATCCATTATTCTGTTCTGGATCTCAAACATGCTTTCTTTACTATTCCTTTGCACCCTTCATCCCAGCCTCTCTTCGCTTTTCACTTGGACTGACCCTGACACCCATCAGGCTCAGCAAATTACCTGGGCCGTACTGCCGCAAGGCTTCACAGACAGCCCCCATTACTTCAGTCAAGCCCAAATTTCTTCCTCATCTGTTACCTATCTCGGCATAATTCTCATAAAAACACACGTGCTCTCCCTGCCGATGGTGTCCACTGATCTCTCAAACCCCAGCACCTTCTACAAAACAACAACTCCTTTCTTCCTAGGCATGGTTAGATACTTTCAACTTTAGATACCTGGTTTTGCCATCCTAACAAAACTATTATATAAACTCACAAAAGGAAACCTAGCTGACCCCATAGATCCTAAATCCTGTCCCCACTCCTCTTTCCGTTCCTTGAAGACAGCTTTAGAGACTGCCGCCACCCTAGCTCTCCCTGACTCATCCCACCCCTTTTCATTACACACAGCTGAAGTGCAGGGCTGTGCAGTCGGAATTCTTACACAAGAACTGGGACCGCGCCCTGTAGCCTTTTTATCCAAACAACTTGACCTTACTGTTTTAGCCTAGCCCTCTACTCTGCGTGCAGTGGCCGCCACCGCCCTAATACTTTTAGAGCCCTTAAAATCACAAACTATGCTCAACTCACTCTCTACAGTTCTCATAACTTCCAAAATCTATTTTCTTCCTCACACCTGACACATATACTTTCTGCTCCCCGGCTCCTTCAGCTGTACTCACTCTTTGTTAAGTCTCCCATAATTACCATTGTTCCTGGCCCGGACTTCAATCCGGCCTCCCACATTATTCCTGATACCACACCTGACCCCCGTGACTGTATCTCTCTGATCCACCTGACATTCACTCCATTTCCCCATATTTCCTTCTTTCCTGTTCCTCACCCTAATCACACTTGGTTTATTGATGGCAGTTGCACCAGGCCTAATCGCCACACATCAGCAAAGGCAGGCTGTGCTATAGGACAAGCCACTAGCCCGCCTCTTAGAACCTCTCATTTCCTTTCCATCGTGGAAATCTATCCTCAAGGAAATAACTTCTCAGTGTTCCATCTGCTATTCTACTGCTCCTCAGGGATTATTCAGGCCCCCTCCCTTCCCTACACATCAAGCTCAGGGATTTGCCCCCACCCAGGACCAGCAAATGGGCTTTACTCAACATGCCCGGAGTCAGGAAACTAAAATACCTCTTGGTCTAGGTAGACACTTTCACTGGATAGGTAAAGGCCTTTCCCACAGGGTCTAAGAAGGCCACCACTGTCATTTCTTCCCTTCTGTCAGACATAATTCCTCGGTTTGGCCTTCCCACCTCTATACAGTCCTATAAGGGACCGGCCTTTATTAGTCAAATCACCCAAGCAGTTTCTCAGGCTCTTAGTATTCAGTGAACTAATGGTCTTTTAAAAAGACACCTCACCAAGCTCAGCCACCAACTTAAAAAGGACTGGACAATACTTTTACCACTTTCCCTTCTCAGAATTCAGGCCTGTCCTCAGAATGCTACAAGGTACAGTCCATTTGAGCTCCTGTATAGACGCTCCTTTTTATTAGGCCCCAGTCTCATTCCAGACACCAGACCAACTTGGACTGTGCCCCCAAAAACTTGTCATCGCTACTATCTTCTGTCTGGTCATACTCCTATTCACCGTTCTCAACTACTCATAAATTCCCTGCTCTTGTTTACACTGCCAGTTTACACTGTTTCTCCAAGCCATCACAGCTGATATCTCCTGGTGCTATCCCCAAACCGCCACTCTTAACTCTTAAAGTAAATAAATAATCTTTGCTGGCCAAGGCTATGCTGAACCTTCTAAGGCACTCTCTAATTAGATGTCCTAGGTCCTCCCAATTCTTAGTCCTTTAATACCTGTTCTCCTTCTCTTACTCCATTTACTTTTTCTATTCATACAAAACCGTGTCCAGGCCATCACCAATAATTCTAAATGACAAATGTTTCTTCCAACAACTCCACAATATCACCCCTTACCACAAAATCTTCCTTCAGCTTAATCTCTCCCACTCTAGGTTCCGACGCTGCCCCTAATCCCACTCGAAGCAGCCCTGAGAAATATCGCCCATTATCGCTCCATACCACCCCCAAAATTTTCACCGCCCCAACACTTCAACACTATTTTGTTTTATTTTTCTTATTAATATAAGAAGACAGGAATGTCAGGCCTCTGAGCCCAAGCTAAGCCATCATATACCCTGTGACCTACACGTATACATCCAGATGGCCTGAAGTAACTGAAGAATCACAAAAGAAGTGAAATTTAAATGACCTGTTCCTGCCTTAACTGATGACATTCCTCCATAAAACAAGTGAAAATGGCCAGTCCCTGACTTAACTGATGACTTTGCACCACAAAAGAAGTGACAATGGCCGGTCGCTGCCTTAACCGATGACATTATCTTGTGAAATTCCTTCTCCTGGCTCATCCTGGCTAAAAAGCTTCCTCACTGAGCACCTTGTGACCCCCCATCCCTGCCCGCCAGAGAACAACCCCCCTTTGACTGTAATTTTCCTTTACCTACCCAAATCTTATGAAACGGCCCCACCCCTATCTCCCTTTGTTGACTCTCTTTTCGGGCTCAGCCCGCCTGCACCCAGGTGACTAAAAGCTTTTTTGCTCACACAAAGCCTGTTTGGTGGTCTCTTCACACCGACACGAGTGAAAGTCACCTGTCCTGGAGCTAATGTACCTGCCCTGATGAGGGAGACAGGCAAAACAGGGTCCGCCCTCTTCCTGCATGCGAAGCCCTGAAAGTGTCACCAGGCAACTATTTGGAGAATGTGCGGGTGAGGGATCAGTGTTTTGACTCCTTTAGTTATTTCAACCAGAGCAGAAAAGAAGGACCCATGGCAACATCCAATTACAAGCATCTATGTTCTTATTTGAGACTGATGGCCATGCCTTTTCTCAATCTTTGATAGAAACATATTTCAAAAAGCAAGTACACAAAATTCTCCGTTTTAACAAAGAAACTTTAGAAATAGTGTAATTTTCCAAAATAACTTTTCATCCCAGGAACTTTAAACATTGTGAAGTTTTTCTTCCGTAATCAGATAGGATGATAACTGGAATGAGCTCATAGCCTTATCTTTCCTTGCTCATGAATAAAAGACAAAAGTCTGTTGATCTGTTGATCTAGTGGTTTCCATGTGGGGAGAAGAAAAATTCCTATATGGATATGTCAGGGAAGTAGGCCTTAGGACTCCCTCCATCCCCATCCTGAAGACAATTCATTTAGTGCTAGAAAAATCACCTCATTGCCACCTCTGCACCTTGGGCTCTGGGTGCATAAATGCTCATAAAATTATTAGGATAAGCACTGATTCACTGTTAGGCTGAAGTTATAGAGCCAAATTTAATATCAGATTCAAGGTTTTTATTGCCAGGGTTCAAATGCTAAAGTCACATTCCACTTTCTGTTAATTTAGAGAAAAAAAATAAAACCTAGTATTTTCTACAAAGTTGGAGGAAGGAAACATTAGATATGGCCTAAGGCCTTTTTATCAAATGCAATTAGGCTCAGCTGAATATGGTAGAAAATCCAACATGGCTTAAGATAAGGGTTTTAATTTTTTCGCAGAAAAAGGATATCTAGGCAGGTAGGATGACTCGAAGCACAGAGTGGAAACCCAGATTCTTCTGTCTTTATGTTCTACAATACTTAGGGCTTGATTTCTACCCTGAAGGTCATATTCTAGTCACAAAATAGCCACTGTGGCTCTAGCTAAACGCAGTGGTTCTCATAGTGTGGTCTCCAGACCAAGAGCCACAGCATCACCCGGGAACTCGTTAGAAAAGAAAATACTCTGGCGGCACCTCAAACCAACTGCATCAGAAACTGCTGGGTGGGACTCACCGATTGGTGTTTTGAAAAAAGGTGCCCACCGCACCAGCTGAGGCACCTCCCTTGAAAGCCCCACCAAATGACTTCCAGATACTTTTCCCTGCACCCTACCCCAGCCTTCCCAAACCTGGAGATGTTGGCTTCAGTTGGTCACATTGTCACCGACAATGTAGAGATTCTGTTAGTAAAGAGAAGCAGCAATAGACACTTGGTAAGCAACTAGCAGAAGAATCATAGCAATAAAGTGCAGGGCTAGGCACATTTTCATTCTCGAGGAAAAGAGTCAAACTCTGTAAAATATTCGAATAGATTTATTCTGAGCCAAATATGAGTGACCGTGGCCTGGGACACAGCCCTCAGGCGGTACTGAGAACATGTGCCCACCCAAGGTGGTCAGGATGCAGCCTGGTTTTATACATTTTAGGGAGGCATGAGACATCAATCAAATATGTTTGAGAAATACATTGGTTTGGTCCAAAATCAATAGAAAGGAAATGTTCAGATTAAGATAAAAGATTGTGGAGACCAAGGTTTTTTGTTTGTTTGTTGTTTGTTTTTTTTTAAAGACAGAGTCTCGCTTCATTGCCCAAGCTGGAGTGCAGTGGCATGATCTTGGCTCACTGCAAACTCCACCCCCAGGGTTCAAGCAATTCTCCTGCCTCAGACTCCCGAGTAGTTGGGGCTACAGGCAGGCGCCACCACACCCAGCTAATTTTTGTATTTTTAGTAGAGGCAGGGTTTTGCCATGTTGGCCAGGCTGGTCTTGAACCCCTGACCTCAGGTGATCTGCCTGCCTTGGCATCCCAAAGATTAAGATTCTTTTGCAGTCTCACAGCGGCTGTCCTTAGAGACAATAGATGACAAATGTTTCCTTTTCAGACCTTTAAAAGGTGCTAGACTCTCAGTTAATCTCTTCAGGATTGGGAGGGCCTGGAAGTAAAAGATCTAGCTATGCTAATAGAGATTCTTTACAGATGCAAGTTTTCCCCCACAAAGTATGGCTTTGCAGGGCTATTTCATAATGTGGCAAAGAAACATGGTTTGGGGTAAAATATTTTGATTTTCTTGTCACATAATGGTATGCCAGAGTCAGATTGGAAAGTAAGTCAAGATATATAGGGTTAAATAAAACCCATCTGATGAGAATTTGTGGTTTGTAGGGCATGACTCCCCAGACCCCTTAGGTAGGAATTTGGCAAGATAAGAAAAAATTAGAGCTTAGTCCTCATCATTATTGTTTTGAAATCAGGTATATTGGTGGTCAAACAAATTATTTTGGTGGGTAAATTATCATATGCTTTCAACTTTCAATTTTTTACTGTGACAATAATATCAAATGCCTATATAGATTATGTATGACAAGATTTAATTCAACTGAGCAGGAACACTCAGTGGACCATTTATTAGTAACAGGAAATTCTTTAAGGTTCAGTAACATTTTCTCTATGTTGAGCATTTTATATTTTTCAAACATAGGAAAAGTGAATAATCAAACTCCTAGAAATTTCTCGTTTTAGCCTCGCTCTGTCACACAGGCTGGTGTGCAGTGGTGCAATCTCGGCTCACTGCAACCTCCACCTCCTGAGTGGCTGGTACTACAGGCATGAGACACCATGCCCAACTAATATTTTTGTATTTTTAGTAGCTACGGGGTTTTGCTGTGTTGGCCAGGCTGGCAAACTCCTAGAAATTTCTACTTTTGGACGTTTATTCACATGTAGTCAAATATTGTTAATATAGTCTCTATATCCTTAAATGAACTAATTGATTGACTCATGAGTATTAAAGATAACTAAATTAGAGTAAAACCAGTTTCTAACTCATCAGAATACTCTCCACCTCCTCCACCTTTCTTGTCAGTATTCCACTTTTAAAGAGCCCAGTGACAAAAAAATGATTAGCCTATGCCAGGAATTTAATTAAAAAATTAACTCATTGATCAGAATAGGTTTGTTGTCATCTTGTACTTCTCTATGTACAGATACGGGCCTATATAACATAATTTATTGTTCACAATTGCCTTCAGTTGAGTTTACCAGGGTAGAGACTCTGATATTCTAAGATTTGTGTGCAAGAGTTTTATTGGGTACTGCTCTCAGGATCAACACCTGTTGTAAAGTCAGGATCAACACCTGAGTAAAGTCCAATCCCTCACTGTGACCGACAGACCCTACAAGATCTGGCTCTGGACCACTTCTTGATGTTACCCCTAGCCTCTCAAACCTGTCCACCCCTGCTTTCTGCTCCTTAAGCATGTTGAGCACCTCAGGGCCTTTGCACATACTGTTCCCTGCCCTGGACCATGCTTATCTCTAGATAACCATATGGCATGCTGCCCCTTTCCATCCTATGTCTGTTCAGATGTCACCTCTGCTGAGAGGCTATTTTGACCAGCCTTTCTAAAGTAACTCCATCCTATAGTTTCTTGATCTTTACAACACTTAATCACTACCTGACAATATTAATATATATTTCTTTTCAGTTTTTTGTCTGTCCTTCTATAAAGGAAAATCCATGAAGTCAGGGCCTGATATGTTTGGTCAATGATATGTAACACCCCTAAAATAGGTGTTACAGGGCCTGACACACAATGGAAATTCAGTAGTAAGTGGTGAATTAATAAACTAATTCATTCAAATAAATTTTCTGATGAATTTACTGAAATGGAAGAGGTTAATTTTAGGCAGAATTGAAGAAGGTGAATAATGAGCTTCAGATAACCAGATAATTTTAATTAGTATATCACAACCTCACCAACCAGTCTTTTGAAGGAACTGTTACTGTGATAATTTGCATCAACTTGTAATGAATATTGACTAAGTTAGTTTACCTGTAGTGAATCATCTGCATTTTCCATTTGGGATAGTTTCATGTTTCAACAGGTTTTATGCCTCTGTCACGTTAACCAGGTCCAAGAGGGAGAAATAGCTGTGACGAGCTGGCAGGTGTTAAGTATAGACCACAGCTAATTCCTCTTAAAGGCTTAATTTACATTCCAAATAGAATGCATCTGTTTTTCAGATTCTAATTATTTTAATGTTGTTTTTGCAAAGGGTGATTTCCATAACTTGAATATTTGAAAAATTCAAATTGTAACTATGTAGAACTGAACCAATATAGAATGAAAGGAAACCCAATGCGTTCGTTTGTGAGGCATTGCCCTCAGGAGATATATATAGCTAGAATTTGCACTGCCCTTATTTTAAAAATGTCCAGAACCTCTAGGCTCCTACTGTTTCCCTGGCTCACTCATAAAAAGCTGCCTAGCAGTCTACTTTTTGCCCTTGTAGTAATGCCTAATTTTCTTTGAACTAAATGCTTTATGCTTATCTCTTTTAATTGTAACCACCTGAAGTAGAAGAGGGTTTTTTTTTTTGTTTTTTGTTTTTTTTTTTTGTTTTTTTTTTGAGATGGAGTCTCACTCTGTCATCCAGGCTGAAGTGCAGTGGTGCGATCACAGCTCACTGCAACATCCGCCTCCCAGGTTCAAGCCTGGGAGTAGCTGGGATTACAGGCATGCGCCACCACGCCTAGCTATCTTTTTTTGTATTTTTAGTAGAGACAGGGTTTCACCATGTTGCCCAGGGTGGTCTCGAACTCCTGAGCTCAGGCAATATACCCGCCTTGGCCCCCCAAAGTGCTAGGATTACAGGCGTGAACCACCTCACCTGGCCTAGAAGATAGTATTGATCCCATTTTATAGAAGAGGAAACTGAAGTGCACAGATCAAAGCCACACAGTGAATGAACAGGAAAGTGGGACTCTAAGGCCCCTCCCTAATGTGCACTGTGTACTACATCCAATCAAGAGCCTTCTGTATGACAGACACACCTGACAGCAATAACATAACTTAGGCACACTCTGAGAATGACCCTATGGTCTAAGAAGAATGTGTGTTTGTAGCTGTAAGCTAAGGAATCCAGAAGTAGCCAACATGGAGATTCATTCCTTATCCCTTGGCCCATCCTGTGGAGCACAGGCTGTACAGAGGATCAAGGCTCTTTGTTTTGGGTTAAGTGAAGGTTAATGGGTAGAGGTTCCTAGGAGGAGGGTGTTAAGTGAAAACACTATATAAACTGCATGCTTTATACAAGTTGTTACAGTTCTCCTGTCTAGTCCACCACCACTGGACGGGACTGCCCTGTATGTAAGTTCCCTCAATAAACCCTATGTCTTGTTCACTGGTGCCAGGTCTTTAGCCTCTCAAACACGATGCCATTCCTATTGAATGAAGTCAACAGGGGTCCAGCATGATACCTGCCAGTCTTGAATTCTTTTTACACCATTTTGCAGCCATCCCCCTCCCCCATTCCATCCTTGAGTTCTAACTCCAAGGACACACAGTAGCTGCTCAATGAGCTTTGGTTGTGTTGTCAGTTAATCATTAACAAAATGACCCTCCAGCTCCCTTTTAGAGTATCACCAAAAAGTGTTTTATGAATACACCATTTGCAAACGTTATCATGAATCTGGGCTGGATTCAGAGCCTAAAGGAGGGTAGAGTGCCCGCCTGGCTACCTGCAGGGCACTCACCTGAGCTCTTCAGGAATGATTTCACATGTTTTTGCCAATTCTAGAGCCATTGAAGTCCACAGCAGGTTTTTTTTTATCCCAGCAGTCCCTAGCCTACCTGATATTCTGACAAGCAATTTGATTTATCTCTTGGCTTTTATGTGGCTCTATCTGGAGTAAAAGTGGCAAGGTATTTGAAAGTAAGTTAGAGTGTACGGTTGCTTTTCTTGAGCATGGGAGAACCACTGGAACTGATTTTTTAATTAAAAAATTAAAAAAGGCTGGCCAAGGAGGTAAAGGGCTCAAACAGCCTGGCTTTGGGAAACTTGATTCCTGCTTTCAGCTTGATGGAGTCTCTCCTGAGCATTTCAGACTGTACAGCTGTCCACAGTTTGGAGGTAAAAAATGCCATCACCCTCTTAACCAAGCTTCTCTTTGTCAGAAATTCGGTTTCCAGTCCTCAATGACTTTGCATTTCTGTCTCCACAGCCTTTTTGATATTTCATTAACACACATGAAAATCCTTCTGAATGATGTTCCTGTGCTTTGTAAAAACGCATCTAGCATCCCACAGGTGATATAGACAGGAGACAGGGAGATACTGAGTAGAAGAGGGTGGTTTCCTGGCAAGAACCCCACCCTCAAGCCTGAAGAACCTTGGCCCTAAATGAGGACAGGCATTCCTGTTTTTGCACTCAAGAAGTTGCCTTTCGGCCTGCTACGTTCCCTATCCTGCACCCATATAAACCTCAAACCCCAGGCTCCAGGAGCAGACCAGCAGATGAAGAGAAGCAGAGGGACGGCAGAAGGACACAGCAGGGAGACAGGAAGAGGAACGTTCAGCTGGGGGTGGTTGGAAAGGAGTTTGGCAGCTGGACAGCCCAACTCCAGGGGAAGATCATCTTCCCACTCCATCCCCCACTTCCGCTTTCCCATCCATCCCGCCAAGAGCCACCTCCACCACTCGACGAAACCCTGCGTTGATCCTTCAAGCCCGTGTGTGACCCGATACTCCCGGGATGCTGGATAAGAACTCGGGATACAGAAAGATTTCACACTGGCCCTCTGACCTTGCAAAAAGGCAGAGGGTCCATAGAGCTGGTTAACACTTAAAGCCATCTGTGGACAGCAAGGCTAAGACAGCATTGTAGCACTGGGATTGCAGGCGCCCACCTCGAGACCCTACCATGGGGCTGGAGCCCAAAGTGCTCGCCCCAGCTCTGCATCTGCCCTTCTGCGTGCTCCCTTTCCCGCAAGGGGTTTGAGAAGCAGCAGGACGGTGACCTGTCAGTCACTCCACACCCCTGTCACAAGTACTGAGAGGGGGAACCGGGAACTCTCCCATTTCACAGGGACTCTAACTTACTTCCTCATCACTAAGTTTAGAGTTGCTCCACACTTGCTTTTTTCTTCTGTGGGTATAGGGGAGTTGGAGTTGCTAAAATGTGCTGCAACCCATGTTTTCCCTTTAGCCTGGAGTACTCTTGCTTGGTCCCTTCCCTCATCCTACTCTCACCCTACAGTCACACTCCCAAAAGTTTGCCCGGATATGGCTTACTTACTGTACCCATTCTTCATGTTACCTCCTCAAAGCCTTCTTTGAAACTTTCCACCTTCAAGATCAGGTATCCTGTAGTACTGATATATATGTAGTTGGTGCTAAATAAATGTGATTGGGTGGATTAACGAATACATGGACAGTTGGATGGAGACCAAGCAAGGTGGTGTAATCCCATTCTGTGAAAATTTTAAAAAATAAGAAATTGAACTCACAAAGGGACAACAAATATTTTGGTTTCCAGGGAAGATAAAAGAACATTCTATATGTATTGTGATTACTTTTTTCCAGGGACTCTTTAATTCCTAACTTCCTAGCAAGGAGTGACCAAGACAGCTTTTTGAGCTATCATCTGGCTCTATGACTGTGGTGTGAGGAGGGTTTGCACTTGGTGCCAACACAGAGAAATCACCCTGTTTAGAGTAGAGGGGATGAAGGACGGGGGGAGAAATCACATCCCCTGAACTCTCAGCTATGGAAAGGCCTGGCTCTTGGCACAGTTACCGGGTATTACCAGGTACCAATGTCTGTCTTGGATGACTCCAATACTCTCTCCCTCTACTCTTCCCTTGTCCCTCACTCCCTGACCCTCGCCTCTCTGGGCATCAGCAGAGGGAAGCAGGGGCCTCTGCCATCCCATCAGCCTGTACCTTCCTGCCAGACAGCCTTGGAGATGATTGTCACTGCAGTGGCATCTGGGGAACCCTGCTTTCCTCTGTCTTGGCTCATAATTTTTCAGAGCCGGAGGAGCAGCCACTCTAAGCAGCTCTGCACTGCTGTGCTTGGATGCTCACAGTTCAGACACGTCATCTCCCTCCTCAGCAGAGAACAAGCTCACATAGCTGCTGCACAAATTTATGGCTCAGCCTGAACATCCATTAGCTATGCTTCCCTTTTATTTTTTAAAAATGTTAATTATACAAATAATACATGAACACATTTTAGTTGTAAAATTTAAAATCTAAGCATAAAAGTAAAGCTAAAGTCTACTTTGACCATACGCTTTCTAGACCATACCCCTTTCTAGAGGTAACTGTTGTTACCTTCTTTTGTGCATTTAGGCTCTTATACAGAAATACAGAAAAAATGGTTTTCATATTTAAAAAATTTAAAAATCATGTTATATATAGTGTTCAGTAAATTGTTTTCTTATTTCACTAATATTTCTTTTCCTATTAATATATACAGATTAACCTCATTCTTCCTAACTGTTGCATACGGAATGGCTATGGATATAGTAGCATTTATTAACCCATTCCTTATTCATAGATAGACTCATTAGAGTTTTTTTTTTCCCACTAGAGACAACACAGCTACGAAGATCCTTGTGAACTCTAGTTTGTGCATGAGTGGTTCCCTGAAACAGCATGGTAGGCACATATGAAATTTTAATGCATACCAGCAATTGTCCTTTAAAAGCGCTAAAGCAATTTACATTCCACCAGCAAGATATTTAAGGACAATTTAATACATCCTAAGTAACACTTGATTATTTCATATATTAAATTCTTCATATTTGGTATACCTTTATTATTATTATTCATTTAATCATTCATTGGCTTATTCAACAAACGTGTATTGAGTTTCAGATATGTTTCACCCACCAGGCAACAGAGTTGTAAAGCTAGCAGCTCTGCAAACAGCACCTGCATGATGATTTCAGTGTCAGGAAAGCCTCTACACCAGAGCAGCCCCCTTCTTCTGCTTGCTGTAAGTGTCTTTAGCAGGGGATCTCAGATCCCCTTGCCCAGTGAGCCATTAGGCTGTCAGTGCAAACCTGCTCATGGGAAGTCACATTCACTGGAGTCACTCACACCACGCTAGAGGCCCCATGGGCTCATTCCTGAGAGAGGGCTGTGTTGGAGGAGTTAGGAAAGGAGGAGGGAAAGCTGCCAATTGTAGGCAGGGGTGAAGATGGGAGATCTTGTCTACTTCAAAGCTCCTCCTTGAATCAGCAGGTTGCTACTATATGTGTGGTGGCACATTAGTGTGTTTTTTCTTACATTTTAAAGATAATTTACATGGACTGTTATAAAGGGTCTAGTATAATAATGAGGATGATGATGAAAATAATAATGTTTCATTGACTCTTAACACTCTATTGATTGTGACATGAGCCATTATTTTGTGAGCCACTGAGAAAAAAGTCCGGAAGAGAAGCAGATAATCACCTCTTGCAAACCAGTGAAAGCTGACCCTAGAACAACACTAGATAGATTTCATTATTATTACCATTTTAGAGATAAGATAACTGAGGTTTAGAAAGATTAGATAATTTGTGCAGGACTATATAGCTAGTAAATAGCAAAACTTGCCACTTCACCACTGCATCCTTACAAAACCCTCACTAATAGGGGCATGAGTAGTATGGATGAAGGACTTGGAATCATTCTTACAACAGCCTGCTCTGATGAGCAGTCAACTTCAGCTGACTCCTAAATCCCACTGCTGGATCATTCTTGGGGATTACGGGAACAACTGAGTTCTGTTCTCATATAGTCCCCGCCCTTTTCCCTCTGTGGATATATTTGTTCCTTCTTAATTCAACACAACAAACATTTATTGAGCACTTACTGTATGCAAAACATTGTCCTAGGCACCATCCTCTTGGCTTCCAAAGGACATGGGAAGGCACCACTCTAACTTCCCAGTGGAATCGGAAGAATAACTGCCTACTAAATATTAGAACTACCTAGAAAAACACATGAAATCATCTCTGAAAATTTTGAAAAATAAATCAGGATTCTATTAGTGTTGAGATAGAATAATAGAACATTTTTAGCTAAGAAAGAAAATTAAAACCTGCTTCTACCATATACCCTCCTCCTTCCTCCTAAATACTTTAATTAAGCTCTCCATGAGAGGTCACCAGGATGAAGACATAGCAGCTCTGACTTTTCTCATTATCCATCTCCTAGAGACTAGATGTGATTAGACTGACTGAATCTTTTGAGCCCAGGGAAGCATCGTGAAATTTGTGGTGTCCCTGAAAAGATATATCTGAAAAGATATTATCATTAGTTGTGCAAATATCCCAAATAAGGGAGCACTATAGAGAATTTAAACTTTGCAAGTTCACTGATGGATAAAAATTCTGTATGTGTGCATCTGTCACTTCTTGGATATCTGACTCTGCTTCCAAAGAGTAGATTATATCCAGATGGGCTTCTGTCACCTGGCTACAGCAACAGCATGCAACATTTTAAATTTATTTATTTGCAGCCATACCCTGTGTTCTTTTGTTTTCCCTGGCTACTTCCCGCATAGCCCAGAGGCAGGTGTTACAATCCCAGTGGCCTGATCCTCTTGTAAGAACACCACCAGCACACCAGGGCATGACTGCCTAGGCTGCTGCCAGATGGGGAGATCTTGAATGGAAATAGTCACACATTGAAATGGTGCCAAGTAGCAGGCAGTCTTGCAAAACCAACATGGCTTTGGAGACACAATACCTCTGATGAGTGAGAGGCGTGGTGGTATTTGTGGAAACCCAGCTGTTGCAGACGGTGGCATTAACTTGCCCAGCTTTGGCGACAGTTGTCTGAGTTTGGGATCACTGAACCTTAATATAGAATTTTTTCTGGCCCTAGTATTATCTGCGGGTAAACCGTAGCCTTGGGTCTCAGCTGCAGCTGTATACAATATTTCTAAAGACAGACTTTTCCAGTTCGACTAGCGAGAATGTATTAAATCACATGGCCATGTGTTCACTTCTAAACTGGAAATTCAACTTTAGTTGGGAACTGGCCTAGCAGGAGAACAAAGGCCATATAAAAGTTTCAAGGAAGAGGAAATTGTTCTCTTACATGACTGTGGACCTACTAAATGAAGCAATATTGCAAGATTCAGCTAGGAGGTTGAGTGAAAACAGAAGCCTTGGGCTGCCTTCTGGCCACTTTGAACAAAGAGACATAAAGCATGTTTAGGAGGAAGGAGTGTGGATTGAGCTTTGATCTTCTGGACACTGTTAAACCCACTCTTACATCCAAACATAAGAAGGGCTGATTATCTGTTAACTTTCTCTAGTTTCCTTCCTCGTTCCATCTTCTCAGTGGGAAAATGAGTGGGTTTATTCTCAACTCCCTTTCAGCCTCATGACTTTACAAATGATTTATTGGATGCCTGTCCTTGTGCCCAGCCATGTACCAGGAAGACTGAGTGATATAAAGGACTTCTATTTTTGAGAAGTTGAACAATGAAATATGCACTCACTGTACAGCACCAGTAATAAAAGTGAGGGAGAGAGGGGGAGGCTCACTTAAGTGTGGTCTAGTTTTCTCGCTGTAATGATGGCAGGCTCTGATCAGCCTCTTTTTCTTCTCTCTTTAATTCCTCTGTTCTTTCTTTCTATGAGACAGGAGCAAGAATTAAATGAATGACGTGAGGTAGGATCTAGAGAACTCCAGAAAATTGAATTGTCTGAGCTGTAGTGGCTTGACTGGCTGGCTGAGATAATCAGTCCTCCAAATTGGTCCTGCAATCTTAAGCTAGGCATTGGTAGACTGTGCCAAACCCACACATGGTTTTCACTGATCTCTCTATTTGTTCTCAGTTTCCACCTACCTCCCAACTCCTAAGCCTTTTCCCCCAGATGTCCATGCCCCAGGCTCTTTAAAATTACTGTTTAGCTGCCATTTACCAAGCTCTGAAATGTCCCATGTGCTATGTGGGTGCTCCATGATGTTCCAAGGGAGCAGTGTTGTAATCCATTTCAAAGGTGAGAAATACATTCTGCCTGAATATCCAGTAGGTGCTGGAGTTTTAATGCAAACTTGGAATTGCCCATTCTTAGAGCCTGTGCTCTTTTTCTCTTGAAGTTTGTACAATGTGAGTTTTTGTAACACAGGGAATGAATAACGCTAAAATACTCACAGGGCACATCTGAGACTTTGCCTGGCAACTTACTAGGATGATAAGCTTCCTTTGTTGAAGTTTCTTTAGATCTCAGATTCCCTAGTTATGAAATAAGTGGGGTTGGACTGGCTGATCCCACTCCAACCTCTTAGAGTCTGTGAGAGCTCAGGACAGAGCAGTTATATTTCTGTTAATCCTGGGAATTCTGCCTCTTAGGCCGGAGTCCTGGAAACTTAGCTATTGGAGAGTAATCCGCTTCAGACAATGAGCCCTCTAAATGAGATTTTTTCAGACTAGATTGTAGTATTTCAGCTCTTTGTTCCCATGAACACACACATGCTTGGAGGTCCATGAGACCAAATCTGTTCTTTGGGAAAGATGATATCCCTCTTTCTTTGGGAAAGATAATATCCCATCTTTGGGAAAGATATCAAATGCAGGAATGTAAGCAATTCCTGCATTTGAAAAAGACCAAATTTGGGGTATGTCCTGGGGGAAACTGTATTTGAAGAAGAAAGTTTATTACAAAGCTTTATGGAAGGAAAGAAGCTTAAGCGGTTCATGTAGATGAGCTCTAAGGCACTGCTGAAATAGGGGCCTAGGAAAGAAAAAGTGATTTAACCTGATCATATGGAACAGAGGTAAAGCAGCAGCACTTTTACTGCCAAGATAGATGAAAGGGATGAAGAGAAAAAAGCCAAGGGCATATTACAGTAGGCTTGATAAATGTCATCCTGAAATCTAACTCAGTATTTGAATGCTATAAATTGTGTTAAGAAATATAAGGCCAAATAAACCTTTGGGACTGTTTGTGACTGATTCAAGGCGACTGAGTTTAAACTGCTGCTGATGAAATGGATGAGGGTAGAATAATGGTATTAGCAATTTAACAAAATCCTAATAAATCAGAGACGAAACTTGATTTAAGTTACACAGAAAGCCTTGCCAGAGCACATGGCCTCAACTCGGCTGAAGCCTGTGATTAGGATGGGAGCTGAAGTTGGAGCATGGAATCGCTGCTATTTTGGATTCACTTCTACATCCTAAGGAGGTTCCATCAAGTGGTAACAGGGAAAGCATCTGCTCTGAATTCACTCACCACATTTGCAAGCCTTGCGTTTTTGTCACATGTGAATCTCACCTGTGTACTCCCATTTTATCAACTCTCTGGTTTGAAATCATCTCATCCATCCCTCAGTTACCACCTTAGGAGCAAAGGTTTCATACCCAGTTAAGAAAGGACCTGGGAAGAAGGTAATAGGAAGTGAATATTTTATCAGCATAAGAAAGAGCTTTCATCTTATTTCTTAACCCCTGAGAGCCCTGTAATGTCAATATTTGTATAAAACATGAAAACAATGTTTGTAACATATATGCATATGAGGGCTAATAATTTAACATACAATTTCTGAAGTGTTCCATCTCCTAGAATGATGGTTGCCCTGGGGCCTTCCAGTCATGAAGCAATGGATTTAAGATCTTCAGGGAAAGGGTGGAGGCCAACTCTAGCAATGGAGTTATTTCTCATCTTTGACTAGCAAATAGGATTTTTGAGTCACTAGCAAGATAATAGTCTTCAAAGTCAGGCTTTGGTGAAGAAAAATAAATTTCTAAATTCCTTGAGCTCCCATTAACATGTCAGGAATCATTGCTGGTGGACTGGCTCATAGAGTTTCTATAAACCTTGATAGAGAAAACTTAGCATATAATGTAAGGGAAGCCTTGGCTACACCGGAAAGGCAGGGAGAAATCTTGCATCTTTAGGGTTGAGGAATTGTGGGAAGAAGAAGATAGGAACCAGGGAACAGCCAAAGAGTTAAACACATGTGTTCACAGTTTCGCTTCTTGGGAGAATCTTGAGTGAATCCAACACTGAGGTTGGTGGCCTGCTACCCTCACTGGAACCTCTGTGCTTTGCAACTGCAGGGGCACCAGTTACATTGTATTCTTTGTGAACGGCCATTCCTGGAGTTTTGTAATGCTGTGGCCCTTTTTTCAAGCAAGGCCTTATGAGGACTTCAGGTCTCTAGGAAAAATCTGGTAGAAGGATATGGGGCAGCACCAGTAGAGGAAAGTGGCTTGAGGGGCGAGCCTCTGGAAGCTCTCTTGGCTCTGCTGAACTTTGGTGTGTTGGGTAAAAGGTCTGAAGCTTGCTTCATGGCCTGGTGAGAACTCACAGAGCTGCCAAGAAGGGCCTGGCATCAGAAATAAGCAACTACCAAGGACAGGAAAGTCAACAACAAATGCCAGCCATGAGCATCAGATGATAAACTTCATGCCACGAGGCCAGGTGAAATTGTCAGAATTGGCAAATGCCAATCCTGAGATCAGATCGACACCCCATGCCAGGTTGGCAGAGAGGGGCAGTACCCAGGCCAGCTTTCTCTCACCACCTCAACCCCCTTCCTATGTCTCCACTCCCCCAGTTATCAGAAATACCCTCAAGCTTTCACCTCCACCCAGAAGCCATCTTGAAAAGCAGGAAGAAGACGGGGGTAAACAGCTCTGTTCAAAGAGTTTAAGTTAAAATTATATGAATGTTTGTTCCCAAAAAAGCATTTGAATATGTAGATACTATTAATTTCCAAATTCTGCCCTTATTCTCACCCCATCTCCCTACTATCTAGCAAGATTGGGAGGGAGACTGGCAGTTAATAAGGAAGACTGGATCAGTTAAAGACTATAAAGAAGCTTGTATTTTGTTTTGTTTTGTTTTTGCCAGCTTAGTGAAGTATGCATTTGCAATCCTGTTCTACCATGTTGGTGCATAGCTCTTAGTCCTTTAGACAAACAGCTCTTAAACAATTCTACTGTGATTTGTCTGAGATTCCTAGAAATCTCCTACCTTCCAAGTAAGGAAGGGATTAATGGCTGAGTACACACACTCTGGGATGGAGTTAAAGCATCAGACTCTTGGGGCTGGAGCCATCTGGGAGACCATCTCATTAATGAAAGGTTTTATTTTCAGACAGAAAACTGCAACCCAAGAAGCTTCTACTTCTTGTCTTCTGGAACTCTATCTGGGGTCTCTGAGTTGCTGAAAAGAAGCCTGACTACCCACCTACACATGCTAGAGAACATCTAGACACTCCATTCCCACCAATGTGTTAAACATTGAGTGAGCTGTCTTAGACCATACTTACTCATTCACCAGATGAATTCCACCTAGTGACTTCAGTTTATATCACGTGAAGAAGAAAAATTGCCAACCTGAGCCCTTTCCGAATTCCTGATCCAAAATCATTAGATAAAATAAAATGCCAGTTGTTTTAACTGGTTACAGTTTGGGATGGTCTGCTATCCAGCCATAGGCAACTAGTGTAGTAGAAAGAAAGTGCAATAGAGTGTTAGAAAAGAAGAAATTAATGCTAATTTGGGAGATCTCTGGGATAGGGGGAGGTAGGGTATAAGTATAGCTTTAGAAATGGCCAGACCTTGGGCAAGTGGTGATGGTGAGAGGCATGGAGAGGAGAGTAAGAAAGCTGTGGAAGTGGAAGCACATAGAGAATGTTCTGAGCTTGCCCAGAGTGACTGGAGTGAGGCTGGCATGAATGGGAGCAGCAACAGGGAGAGATTTTTGAAAAAAGTCACTGGTTAATGCCAAGACTGTGCATGACATTAAGGATGCTTGTTACTACCAAAAAGGAAGTTTTAAAGTGAAAGCCTTGTCTCCGGTTATTGCTCCAGTGTCAGAAGCTGTCTATTGAAATATGTCACAGTGATAAACAACTAGGTTCATGTGTTCAGCCTGAACCCTAATGTGAGTTTTCTTTCTCCAGTGGAAGTACTAAACTGTGGCTTACACTAAATCTATATGACCTTTGGGTGGTTCCCTGGTAAGGAGTTAAACCTAAAACCTACATCCTCAAAAGTCCCAGAAAGAAATTCTGATTTACCCTTTATCAGTCTATTCTCACACTGCTATAAAGATACAATCTGAGACTGGGTAATTTCTAAACTAAACAAAAGAGTTTTAATTGATTCACAGTTCTGCATGGCTGGAGAGGCCTCAGGAAACTTACAATCATGGCAGAAGGCAAAGGGGAAGCAAGGCACATCTTACACGGCAGCAGGAGAGACCGAGCAAGCACGAGGAAGTGCCACACTTTTAAACCATCAAGATCTCACGAGAACTCCCTCACTGTCATGAGAACAGCATGGAAGAAACCATCCCCATGATCCAATCACCTCCCACCAGGTCTCTCCCTCAACATGTGGGGATTACAATTCAAGATGAGAGTTGGGTGGGGACATAGAGCCAAACCATATCAGAACCCTTGGTTAATCTCCCTGCAACATAGGGATGGCCATTCCTAGAGTTGTGCAATTTGTGCAATTCTGAAATTCCAGCTATGTGTGTAATTCTGAAATTCCTGTATTAATGGCCCTTCCTTTTCAGGTTTCAGAATCCCCTTATTAAATCGTCACCATTCTGCTCATTTATTTGTTTAACAAATGTTTCTTGATGGCCTACTCTATATGCCAGGCACAGCTTTAGATACTTCCCAACATTGAGTAAGATAGACAAGCCTGTGGTTCTGGGAGGAACACCATTGGAGGAAACCAATGGTAAACAAGTAAACAAGCAAGCACACAGGATAATTGCAGGAGGTATAAGAAAAGAAACTAGCACATGTAACACAAAACCAGCACATGTGGAAAGAGAGTGTGGAATAGTGAGTGAAAGGGGGACAGTCAGAACAGATCAGAGAGTCAGGCAGTGTTGGCCATGGAAAGTCTGTGGGGCCTGGGCAGAAGCTGGTTTTCATTTCAAGCGTAGAGGGAAGCAGTAGGAGAGAGCATGAGTAGGTTTATTTTTAAGCAGATCTTTGGCTGATGAAATGAATTGTCAATATTAGTTATGAAGTTACTGGGGATTCAACCAGAGGTTGGCACACTTGTTTTCTGTAAAAGGCCAGAGAGTAAATATTTTAGGCTTTGGGGCAATTTAGTCTCTGTTGCAACTACTCAATTCTGCCTCACAAAAGCAGCCACACACAAGATGTGTAACTTTAGTTACAAAAACAGGTGGTGGACTAGATTTGTCCCAAGGGCTGTAGTTTGGAGACCACTATATTGGATAATGGGGTGTGGGAAAAGTAGGCAGTTGAGTGCACCAAGCAGAGTGGGGATGTATGGTTAGTGGGAGCATGGAGAATTCTAAGAGGCAAGGCCACAGGCTCTGAGAGAAAAGGCAGGTGGAGGAGAAGGATGTCAGTGACAGATTCTGCATTTTCTAATTTCGCAAGGGCTGACCCCCATGAGCACGTGTGTGCATGTCTGCGTTCAGCCTGGTGGCAACATGGACCAAAGGCTCTGGTGTACTGGGGTGGCTGGTTTTGTGGGCCATGAAACCTAACAATATGGGAGTGCTCTTTAAGAAAGTGAGTATAAAATTACAAATACAAAATTGAGGACAGGGCCTTGGAAGAAACGTAGGCAAGTGACAGGCCGTGAAGCGTGAGGCTTATTAGCTCCAGGGTAAATTTACCTCTGCTTGTGTATACCTACTCTCTCCCCACAAGCTCACAGCAACAATCTGAGCCTCATTAAGTCAGACTGTTTCAAATAAAACCTCTTTTAGTGACATCTGGTGCATGATCGATACTTCGAAACACTCAGAATCCTAAACAAGGAAAAGGGCACCTGCTCTGGGTCCTGCTGTGTCTGATTTGTCATCACCAGGGTGCAGGTGCTCAGGCCTCGCCCCACCCCGCTGTCCTTAGCAACACAAACAGCAGTAACTGGAAGCCACACTGCAGCTTGTGTGGCTGATGTTTGCTTTATGTCCTCATACTTCTATTGCTGGAAATGACACTGGAACCCAGAAAGAATGTATGCTGGTGCTTTAGGTCATGAAATGGGAGAAATTTTGTGGATTGTGTTTATTCTATCTTATCCTGAAAAATTTTGTCTGTGAGACAGCCCCTCCTCTGGATTCCACAGATCTGTACGGGGAAAATACTGTAATAAGCACCTGCAGTGGGAGCTCAGTCTCCAGTGCATCTAGGCATGAGTGGAACTGCCCTGTGGAAGGTTGGAGGAGAGGGTGTGCTTGGTAGCTTAGGAGAAAGAGAGAGAGGTAAGGGCAAGGGGGAGAGAGGGATGGAGCCAGTGGATGGTGAAAGGCCTTGCCCTCTGCAGTGTGAGCTCCCTTCAAATCTCTGCTCTGTCCTTTCCCTATTATGCAAATTGTCAGTTAAATTTATGAAGTCAAGGAAGGAAGGAATGAGGGACATAAAGTGCTTGATGCACATGATTTTCTTTAGAAACAATAGAAGTAGCTGAATTCTTCAGCAAGCATGTGGAGGAGGATGTTGGAAGTGGGTGAGTGGTAAGCAAAATGGATAAGGAGGATGGAAGCCATGGAAACTCGTGGGAATTGTGCGGGAGGCTTAGGTTGCCACAGCTCTGGATTTAAGGTTGGTTCCAAATTTAACCACATCTATGAAATACAGAGGGGCCCTGCCTGAGAGCTCTGGTGGTGGCAGATGGCACGTGCCTGGGTCGCACAGCAGCCAGCAGGCACAGCCTGTTGATGAGCACATGTGAGACATCCCTTTAGGCCTCCAGAAACATTGGGCAATTTAGCAAGGGGCTGATTTTCTGTGTGAGTAGATGGGTCTATGGAAATCAATGAGATGTGGGTATAAAAGTCCTGTGACCTCATTGGAGACCACAGGGGAGAGAGGCCTGGGGACATTTAGGCTGCCATGGGTTGCATATCTACCTACATCACCTGATGTAAAGTTACTGAGACCACAAACCTTGTCTTATTCATTGTCATAACTCTTCCTGTCCCCCAATCACCTTTCCCAACTTACCCAGTGCCTAGCATAACCCCTGGCATATATGGTATTCACTCAGTGAATATATGTGCAATGAATAAATGAATAAAGAATGCATGAATAAAACACTCTTATGCAGGAGTCTGTACCCTGGCCCATGCTATCCTTCAGGCTTGATCAACTCTAGCTTCTTCCTGGACTTTTGGTCTCTATCTGCCATGAGAGAATTAATGGTGCTATCACAGCATCATTCAGGCTGACACTTAGAATTATAGAATGGCAGAGCTGGAAAGGACCCTAGAGCAGAGTCCAATGCTTTTGATGAAATCTGAGCCCTTAAAAGAAAAGCCAAGTGACTTCCATTTATCTGAAATCAAAACAAGCAAGAAATGCGAATGACTAGAATATTTTTTATACACCCTATTTATAAGAATACCTTATATATGTGAAGGTTTTTATGGGATATCAAGTTCTCTCACTTACATTATCTCACTGGATTTTCATAGTATATTTTTAAGTAGTCATTGATCTCCGTTTTAGAAAGGGTGAGTGACTTAACCCAGATCATTCAGCTGGCTAATGACAGCCGGTGTTCAAAGTGGTTGCTTTAGTTCTTTCTCACACAGCTACAAAGAACTACCTGAGACGGGTAATTAATGAAGAAAAGAGGTTTAATTGGCTCACAGTTTTACAGGTTGTACAGGAGGCATTGCTAGGGAGGCGTCAGGAAACTTACAATCATAGTGGAAGGTGAAGTAGAAGCAAGCACGTCTTCACATGGCTGGCAGGAGAGAGAGAGGGAGGGAGGGAGGGAGGGAGAGAGAGAGAGAGAGACAGAGAGAGAGAGAGAGAAGGGGGAGGTGAGACACACTTTTAAACAACCAGACCTCATGAGAACTCTATCATGAGACAGCACTAGGGAATGGTGCTAAACCATTAGAAACCACCCCCGTGATCCAGTCACCTCCCACCAGGCCCCACCTCCAACACTGGGAATTACAATTCAGCATAAGCTTTGGGTGGGGACACAGAGCAAAACCTTATCAGTGGTCTACCGATTCCAGGTCCAATGTGATATCCACCATCTGGCAGGAAGCTTACCAGTTCATGGATAACAAATAGGCAAACTGATCTCAAGCATCTCCTTGGTAAGAAACACAGCTTCTAGGTGCTCTCAGTCTCCTATTTCTTAGATAACTCCAGAGCTATATGGCAAAATTCTAGATAAAAGACACATGCTGTTCCACTAATTCTGCCAAGCTGTGAGAGAGTCCGAGTTTCCCATTGCCCCTGTAACAAATTACCACAAACTTAATGTTTTGGATGTCTTATGGTTCTGGAAGTCACATGTCGGAAATGAGTTGTACAAGGCTAAAATCGAAGTGTCAGCAGGGTATATTTCTTCTGCAGCTCTCAAAGGGGAATCTGTTCCTTTCTCCTTTCAGCTTCTAGAAGTTGCTGGCATTCCTTGGCTTGTAGCCCTCTCACTCCAATCTCTGCTTCTGTCCTCACATAGCTTTCTCCCCTGACTCTCTGACTCCTCCTGCATTCCCTTTATAAGGACTATTGTGATTACATTAGGCCCAGAATAATCCAGGATAACCTCCCCATTTCAAGATCCTTGATTTAACCATCTTGACAAAGACCCTTTCGCCATGTAAGGTTAAATTCACAGGGTCTGGAATTAGAGCATGAACATATTTAGGGGATATTATTCAGCCTACCACAGGGAAGAATTTTACTTTTATAATGTGTCAGGTTCAGCAGTTTTCAAAGAAATATTTAAAAATTATACTTGCCAAAGGGTTTATCTGAGAAGAGAATGGGAAGATTATGGTATAAAAGCCACTGTACTCCCAACAATGAGGAAGAAGCTATCTTCCTCAATTTCTCTAGGGCATGGACTGTCCTCCCATGTACCCTCCTTAGTCTCTGAGTTCAGAGTAGAGATGGAGGTAGCCAGACTGGTATCTATGAATAGAGAAAAATTTTTTCAGTCTTGGCTTTTGAGCCTCTACTACCTATAGGTATGAGTGCCAAATGCCAGTATTTACATGCATATTAATCAGTCTTTGGTATCAATGTGTTTTTCAGTGTGAGGTTGTGGGTCTCAGCTTGAGAACCTGGGCTGTCTCTATCCTAGGATTTAAACCTGTCTGAGCATGTCCAGAGGGCCCAGCAAAGCCCTCTTTGCCTGTGGGACCCAGGAGCCTGCAAGATGAGACAAAAAGAGCACGGAAGCTGCGTGCTTGGAGCAAAAAAAGTCTAAAGGCATTGGAGAACAAGGGCCATGTCTCTCACTAAGAGTACCCCTTGCTCCAGCTCTATAGGCTCATAGCCAACAAAGTTAAACAATGAGTACAAGCTAAAAGGTCTGTTTCTCTAAAATCCCTGGGGGACATTGAGAATGCAGAAAAGCCTTCACTGACTTGGCAGCATGATGCTGCTGGTTTGAGCAGCAACAGGAAATGTAATAGGCAGCTTTTATAGTGGCACCTCATGCTTTTTAGGGTTTAGAAGGCAGTTAGTAGGTGTATTAGTCCATTTTCATACTGCTATGAAGAAATACCTGAGACTGGGTAATTTATAAAGAAAAAGAAGTTTAATGGACTCACAGCTCCACAGGGCTAGGGAGTCCTCACTATCACGGCAGAAGGCAAAGGAGGAGCTAAGGCATGTGTTACACGGTGGCAGGCAAGAGGGTGTGGGCAGGGGAACTGCACTTTATAAAACCATCAGATCTCATGAGACTTATTCACTGTCATAAGAACAGCATGTGAAAAACCTGCCCCCATGATTCAATTACCTCCCACAGAGTCCCTCCCATGACACATGCGGATTATGGGAGCTAAAACTCAGGATGAGATTTGGGTGGGGACACAGCCAAACCATATCAGTAGGGGAGGAGAACAATAGTAAGAACACATTTTAGAATTCCCCAAGGATGAGTTGAAGGGCTGAAGAGCTTTGAAGATGAGCTGAAGCTCTTGAAATTGCTAGTTGCAACAAAACCAGAGAATATTTGTGGCAGAATAATATTTTTAAATATTAACAGGAATCATAATTTTCCTATTATTTTCTATTACCCTGTAATCCCATGACCCATTTTTGTTTCAAGCCCAGACCCAGACTTGGAGGTGTTGATTACCACGGACAATTGATGTTATTACAACAGCAGAATAAAGGCTTTGAGTTTCATAAGCCTAGCCTTGAGGGCACTTAAGGCATAAACAGTAGATTTGCATTAATATCTGATGAGTTAGAAAAAGGTGGTTTACTTCCAAACTAGAAAAAGATTCCCTGAATCTGGGGAGAAGGGGATGGTGGTGGTGGTGATGGTGGGGAGGAATAAAGGGGAAGCCAGTAATGAATGTATGAGGTGGATTTGGGGAAGAGGATATGGGAGTTTATTCCATTCTATTCTATCTGTTACTAACCTGGGAGGTGAAAGCACCTCCAATTCGATTAGGGATATCTGAGAACAAAGATCCCTTGAGCCTCCCTGTCCTAAGTAGCTCCCTAGGAAAGAGACTACACCCCACACTACGCTCCTGCATGTTGTTTTGGTACATGGGGTTCTACACAGCCTTGTGGATCTTACCATGGCTCAGCGTGGTGTGGGAGCCCACAGAATTGTGCCCCGTCCCTCAGTGGAGCATGGCAGTAGGCATGAAGGACAACCCAGTGATTGTTTTCATGTGCAATTGATGTACTGTTGGAAATACGAATGTCTCAAAGGATGTTGATCTGGAGAGACGATGACATAGAGTGCCTCCTTCTCACAATGATACCACTTAAACCCCCTCCCCAGACTTACACACAATCCCAGGGAAAAGGTAAATCCAAAATAGAATGTGATTCAGTCTATGCTATTTTGGCATAAAGGGAAATCAAAATAGAAATCATATTGTTCAGTTGCAGAAAAATAAATACAATCGTACTTTGTTGACATCTGAGTGAGGGGACCACACTTTGCATTCTCTACATTCTGTAGTTGCATTTGCAGGTGACCTGAAACTCCCTGGTGTATAGCAAGGTACCATTTTGATGAGGCAAGAATTTCAATCCTTCACGTATGGTAATGAGATATTTATCTGAAATGTGCTTCTATTTGATCAGCAGCATCTCAGTGTTGCTCTTGCATATGAAGTTACTCTCAGTGAGGGTCTGAGCAGATTACATAAAATTTAATTTTTATTTACCTAATATATTGCCCAGGACTTGGGGGAATGTGATCACAGCAAATTCTATGCTGTAATGATTTTGTTAATCTGAATATTTGGAACAGCTTTGGGATATATTTAAGTCATTTGTGATGTTTGATGTCTTCAAAAATTGATCAGCAGTAGAGAATATTTAGAGAAAATAGATTATTTTTTGAATGTGTTATGCAAAGTTTTGAACATATCCCAAATAAGAGAGAACAGTATAATGTTCCCCCATGTTCCCATTCCCCAGCTTCAACTATTAATATTCTGCCAATCTGAAAATACAGAATTTTAAAATGGCAAATGCTTCATTTGAAAAGTGAGGAAACAGAGGGGAGGGGTACAAGGGATCTTTCCAGTCACACATCAGTGACCTTTCTGCTCTGAAGTGAATAAAATTATGCACTAATCAATATTTAATAGCCATCATATTTCATAGTTCAGCCATTCTGAATATATGGGAGATTGCCCCCAAATCTTGATTGAGCCTGAATCCTCTGCAATTTCTGAAGAACTCCCAAAGTGAAGGTGGTTAAGCACAGGGTTGCCAAACACTGGGACTAAGCTTAGGCAGTGAGGCACCTAGGACACAACATTTAAGGGGCCCTGAGTCTCAGGTTCACCCATACACAGGGCCAGCACCTCATTCACTCCATCCCATCCCTTGGGCTACCACATGCTCATTCCAATTTCTGACTCATATTAACCCCAGGATCCCCAAACTAGCTGCTCAACCGCCTTGACTCTTGGGATCACACACTTTTGTGAGAAGAGGTGGTCGACAAGGCACGACTGACTCCTCCTGCACTCACAAATTCACTTGATGTGAAGTGACTCCTGGATGCCAGAAATGAGGCTAGATGCCTGGTGTGAAGATAAGTCAATGGCCTTGACTTTGAGGACATTGCAGTCTGCTAGGGATTCTCTCTAAATGGTTTATTTTTCCATTTGCATTTGAAGCAGTAAACTCTAAACCAGTATTAATTCCAGGGAGCACATGGACTATGGCTGAATGGAAACTATTTATTCCTGGCAATTTAGAGGATGCTGGAGGGGGTAGTAGTAGTTGACAATACATTTTTCCTATAGTTGTTTATACTTGATTCTCACAGCAATTCTATGAGATGGGCATTATTTCATTCTTTTAGAATTGACAAAATGTTGGCTTAGCAGTATTGAGTAATTTGCAAAAGATCCAGCAACAAATGTTTCCCATTGGGATCTGAACGCTAGCCTAGTGCCTCAAATTAAATGTCTTATGACATGATAACTACAACAGTCAAAAGGTCCCCACTAGAAATGACAAAGGAATATTGCAAAACTGGGGACTTGGAAGGAACATGTTACAAAGCAGCTACCAAGGTGGTGAGAGAGGCCCTCGGGATGGCACAGACACGCCCAAATTCTCATCCTCACCTGCAGTTCTTCCCTCGCCATCCTCAGATTATGATCCATAAAGCCTCTCTGAAGAGGCAGCCGACAGCCCTGTGCTTGCTAACAACCTGCGTATCCTCTGAATAGTATCTCCATACTCTCCTGACAATGGGGAGTTCCTGTTACTGTCTGCTGTTAGAGGCAGGAAGCCACAGAAGAGAATGGCTTCTTCCTAGCTTGAATGCTTCAGTTCCATAATGGAGCTGACTTCCAGGCACTGATGGGGCCTGGGCTAAGAAGCAGTGTGGAGTGGGGACTCTTTCCAGGAGGCAAAGGATGCTGGGATTTCATATTTGAAAGTGAATTCAATTCATCCCAGCGTCACTGATGACTAGTAAAAAACCAATTTTGGAGTCTACTGGGTTGGAAGGGTGGGACAGTCCTCACACTCTTGTGGAGCCCTGAGTTTGGTGTCAGAGATCTCTGAATGAGATCAGACATAAAGCCATAGGGGTATGCTAGCAGACTCAGAGGAAGGCTATCATACAGCTCTAACCTGCATCCACATTGTTTGTGGTGCCCTGTGAATTAAAAATACATAGAAACTCTGTGTCTTTAAAATAGCACAGATATGTGTATACTGTTAACTTTAAAAATAGCAATATTTACTGCATTTTGTTACCTTCTTTTGACATTTCTTCATTTTAATCTTCAGAAGCATCAAAATGTGAAATTGGTCTTTTATGACATCTGAAGGTCTTGCCTAGCCTTAATTTTTTAGGAGGCCTAGTCCCAAGAAAAGAGTATTGTTTCATAAGCCACTGATGTGTTCAGGGTCTAGATTTTATTTAACGTCTTCAAACCACATCAAGAAATTACTTAATAAGCTGTGTCTACCACCGCAGAGTGACTTTGAAGAGTTTGAGGCAGTTGCCTGAGTTATTATAGTCCTAAAAGCTGTTCATCTCAAATATGCAGGTAGTAGACACAAGGATGACTTCACCTTTATCTGGGTAATTGTATCAATTGCCCTGTAAATCACAGTAAATCAATGTATTATATAGGTGTGTATGTATAACACTATAAAATATATAACATGGCCTGGCTCAGTGGCTCACACCTGTAATCCTAGTACTTTGGGAGTCTGAGGCGGGAAATCACTTGAGGTCAGGAGTTCGAGACCAGCCTGGCCAACATGGTGAAACCCCATCTCTACTAAAAATACAAAAAAATTAGCTGGGCGTGGTGGCGGATGCCTGTAATCCCATCTACTCAAGAGGCTGAGGCAGGAGAATCGCTTGAACCTGAGAGGCGGAGGTTGCCGTGAGCCTAGATAAAGCCACCACACTCCAGCCTGGGCAACAGAGTGAGACTCTGTCTCAAAAAAAAAAAAAAAAATTATATATATATATGTATATAAAACATTGAATAAAATATTTTTATACTTTAGTACTCATGTTCACAATCAGTTCTTAACGTTTAAAAAATAATGCATTGTAGGTTATATAAACATTTCTCCTACTTTCGTTTACATCCTGTTTTCTAGTCAACGTCTTCCTTGTTTGGTTGTTTAACTTTGGAACATGTGCTTTGTTGGTTCAGTTCAGGATTCACGCGCCCAGTACCTAACCTAGTCATGCAGTGATGTGTCACAGTTTCTACATCTAGGTCCCTGTGATGGTCCTTGGTGCTGTTCACCAGCTATTTCCAGGCATTTCCTGTTTGCCTTGTGTTGGGGAGGCCATGTGACTTTCTCTGGCTGAATTTTAAGTGGAAGCACATGTTCCTAGGCCAGACCATTTAACTCCTGACATAATACCTCTGGAGCTTTCTTTGCCATTTCTGGGGTAACCAGGAATCTTGCAGACTATGGCTGCTCCATCAGCTTAAGTGTTGGAGTTAAGATGATCTGGAACATAAAAGAGAAATAAACTTTTGTTGTATTAAGCATCTGAGATCCTTTTTTTCCCCATAACATAGCCTACTCCATCTTGACCAGTAGAGAATGTACTACATTTCTTTTAATTTTTTAAAAAACATTTTTATTTTGTGGATACATAGTAGGTGTACGTATTTAGGGGGTACATGCGATATTTTGGCACAGGCATGCAATGTGAAATAATGGTATTATGGAAAATGGGTATCCATCCCCTCAAGCATTTATCCTTTGTGTTACAAACAATCCAATTATACACTTTTAGTTGTTTTAAAATGTGCAATAACATTATTATTGTTATTATAGTCTCTCTGTTGTGCTATCAAATAGTAGGCCTTATTTATTCATTCTAGCTATTTTTTTTTGTACCCATTAGCCATCCCCACCTTCCCAGCAAGGCTCCCTTCCCCAATACATTTCCCAGCCTGTGGTAACCATCCTTCTACTCTCTATCTCCATGGGTTCAATTGTTTAATTTTCAGATCCCACAAATAAGTGAGAACATGCAATATCTGTTTTTCTGTGCCTGGCTTATTTCACTTAACATGATGATCTCCAGTTCCATTCGTGTTGTTGCAAATGTTCCAAATGACTGAATCTCATTCTTTTTTTATGGCTGAATAGTAATCCATCGTGTACAAGGACCACAGTTTTTTAATCCATTCATTTGTTGATGGACACTTAGGTTGCTTCCAAATCTTGGCTATTGTGAACAGACCTGCAAGAAACAAGGGACTGAAGACATCTCTTCAGTATACTGATTTTCTTTCTTTTGGGTATACACCCAGCAGTAAAATTGCTGGATTGTATGGTAGCTCTATTTTTTATTTGCATTTCTCTGATAATCATTGATATTGAGCATGTTTTCATATGCTTGTTTAGCATTTGTATGTCTTATTTTGAGAAATGTCTATTCAAATCTTTTGCTCATTTATTAATCAGATTAGATTTTTTCCTGTAGTGTTGTTTGAGCTCTTTGTATATTCTAGTTATGAATCCCCTATCAGATGGGTAGTTTGCAAATATTTTCTCTTATTCTGTGGGTTGTCTCTTCATTTTGTTGATTGTTTCCTTTGCTGTGCAGAAGCTTTTTAACTTGATGTGATCCCATTTGTCTATTTTTGCTTTTGTTGCTTGTGCTTGTGGGGTATTACTCAAGAAATCATTGCCCAGATTGTTGTCTTGGAGAGTTTCCCCAATGTTTTCTTGTAGTAGTTTTATAGTTTGAGGTCTTAGTTTTAAGTCTTTAATCCATTTTAATTTGATTTTAGCATATATCAAGAGACAGGGGTCTAGTTTTATTCTTCTAGGTATGGATATCTGGTTTTCTCAGCACCATTAATTGAAGAGGCTGTCTTTTCCCCAGTGTGTGTTCTTGGCACCTTTGTCAAAAATGTTTGTTGTAAGTGTTTGGGTTTGTTTATGGATTTTCTATTGTGTTCCATTGGTCTATGTGTCTATTTTTATGCCACTACCATTCTGTTTTGGTTACTATAGCTCAGTAGTATAATTTGAAGTCAGGTAATGTGATTCTTTCAATTTTCTTCTTTTTGCTTAGGATAGCTTTGGCTATTCTGGGACTTACGTGGTTTCATATAAATTTTAGGATAGGTTTTTTTCTATGTCTGTGAATAATGTCATTGGTATTTTGATAGGGATTGCATCAAATCTGTAGATTGCTTTGGGAAGTGTGGATGTTTTAACAATATTTATTATTCCAATCCATGAACATGAAATATTTTTCTATTTTTTACTGTTCTCTTCAATTTCTTTTATTAGTATTTTATAGTTTTCATTATAGAGATCTTTCACTTCTTTGGTTAATTTCTAGGTATTTAATTTTATGTGTGGCTCTTGAAAATAGGATTACATTTTTTATTTATTTTTCAGACTGTTCCCTGTTGACATATGAAAATGGTATTGATTTTTGAATGCTGAGTTTATGTCCTGCAACTTTACTGAATTTGTTTATCAGTTCTAACAGTTTTTTGGTGGAGTATATAGGTTTTTCCAAATATAGGATCATACCATCTGCAAACAAGGATAATTTGACTTCTTCCTTTCCAATTTGGATACGCTTTATACCTTTCTCTTGTCTGATTGCTCTAGCTAGGACTTCCAGTACTATTTTGAATAATAGTGGTGAAAGTGGGCATTCTTACTGTGTTTCAGATCTTAGAGGAAAAGCTTTCAGTTTTTCCCCCATTCAGCTGTGGGCCTGTTGTATATGGCCTTTATTATGTTGAATATGTTCCTTCTATATACAGTTTTTTGAGGGATTTTATCATGAAGGGATGTTGAATTTTATCAAATGCTCTTCAGTATCAATTAAAATGATCATATGGATTTTGTCCTTCATTCCTTTGATATGATGTATCACATTGATTGATTTACATATGTTGAACCATCCATGCATCCCTGGGATAAGTCCCATTTGGTTATGATGAATAATCTTTTTAATGTGTTGTTGAGTTTGGTTTGCTAGTATTTTCTGAGGTTTTGCATCAATATTTATCAGTGATATTGGCCTATAGTTGTTTTTGCTTTTGTTGTTGTTGTTTGATGTGTCCTTTGTCTGGTTTGGGTATCATGGTAATACTGACCTCACTGAGTTTGGAAGTATTCCCTCTTCCTCTATTTTTCTGAATAGTTTGAATAGGACTGGTATTAGTTCTTTAAATGTTTGGTAGAATTCAGCAGTGAAGCCATCAGGTCCTGGGCTCTTCCTTCTTGGGAAATTTTACTTATGGTTTTGATCTTGTTACATGTTATTGGTCTGTTCAGGTTTGGGATTTATTTATAGTTGAATCTTGGTAGGTCATATGTGTCTAGAAACTTGTCCATTTCTTCTAGATTTTCCAATTTATTGGCATAGAGATGCTTATAGTAGCCACTAATGATCCTTTGAATTTTTGCAGTATCAGTTGTAATGTCTCCTTTTTCATCTCTGATTTTATTTATTTGGATCTTCTCTCTCTTTTTTCAGTCTGGCTAAAGGTTTCTTAATTTAGTTTAAGTTTTTGAAAAACTAAATTTTAGTTTCATCGGTCTTTTGTATTGTTTTCTTCATTTCAATTTCATTTCTGCTCTGATTATTATTGTTTCTTCTATTAATCTTGGGTTCAGTTTGCTCTTGCTTTTCTAGTTCTGTTAGATGCATTGCTAGGTTGTTTATTTGAAGTTTTTCTTCTTTTTTGATGTAGGCATTTATAGCTATAAACTTCCCTCTTAGTACTGCTTTTGCTGTATCCCATAGGTTTTAGTATGTTGTGTTTCCATTATCATTTGTTTCAATAAATTTTTCAAATTCCTTCAACCCAATTATGCCTAGTATTCCATTATTGGAATGCTAAGCATGTGGAATTATTTATATTCTACTGCTCAAGGTCATCGCCAAAGTCTGATTTTTCAAATTAAAAAAATTGCAACCTCTGGCATAAATGGGTTAATTTCTTCATGAATCTACTGCTCATTCAGTACCATAATGTTTAATTTCCACTTATTTGTATAGTTTCCAAAATTCCTCTTATTATTTATTTCTAGTTTTATTTCATTGGGTTTAGTGAAGATGCTTGATATTTCAACTTTTTAAATGTTTTCAGACTGGTTTTGTGACCTAATATATGATTTATCCTTGAGAATGATCCACGTGCTGAGAAAAAGAATGTGTATTCTGTAAGTATTGGATGAAATGTTATGTAACTATCTATTAGATCCATTTGTTCTATAATGTAGATTAAATCCAATGTTTCCTTGTTGATTTTCTGTCTGAAAGATCTGTCCAATGCTGAAAGTGGGGTATTGAAGTCTCCAGCTGTTATTGTATTGGGGTTTATTTCTCTCTTCAGCTCTAATATTTGCTTCATATATATCTGGGTGCTCCAGTATTGCATGCATATATATTTAACATTTATATCCTCTTGCTGAATTCACCCCTTTATCATTATATGGTGACTATCTTTGTCTCTACTCATAGTTTTGGTCTAGAAATCTATTTTGTCTAATATAATTACAGCTAACTCTGCTCTTTTTTTTGTTTCCATTGGCATGGAATATCTTTTTCCAACCCTTTATTTTCAGTCTATGTATATATATCCTTATAGATGAAGTATGTTTCTTTTAGGCAACAGATCATTGGGTCTTTTTTTTTTTTTTAAAATCCATTCAGCTACTCTATGACTTTTGGAGAATTTAGTCCATTTACATTTATTGTTATTGTTGATAAATAAGGACTTGTTCCTGCCATTTTATTACTTGTATTCTGGGTGCTTTGTGGTCTTCTTTTCCTTTCTTTTTCCTTCCTGTCATTCTTTAGAGAAGGTGATTTCCTCTGGTGGTATGATTTAGTCAATTGCTTTTTATTCTTTTTGTATCCATTGTATGATTTTTGGTATGAAGCTACCATGAGGCTTCCAAATACTATCTTATAGTCCGTTACTTTAAGCTGATAACAACCTAACACTGTTTGCATAAACAAACCAACAAATCAGCAAAAAGAAAACTAATAAAGACTCTATGCCTTAATTTCATCCACACAGCTTTGTTAATTTTTGCTGTTACTATTTATATCTTATTGTACTCTGTATGTCTTAAAAAGTTGTTGTAGTTATTTTTTGTTGTATTTCTTATTTTTTGTTGGTTCATTGTTTAGTCTTTCTACTTAACATAAGAGTAGTTTACACACCACAGTTACAGTGTTATAATATTCTATGGTTGATACGGTTTGGCTGTGTCTCCACCCAAATTTCATCTTGAATTGTAGTTCCCATAATCCCCATGGGTCAATGGAGGAATCAGGTGAAGACAATTGAATCATGGGGTGGTTTCTCCCATCCTGTTCTCATGATAGTGAGTTAGTTCTCATAAGATCTGATGGCTTTATAAGGGGCCTTTGCCTTCACTGGGCACTCATTCTCTCTCCTGCCATGCTGTGAAGAGGTGCCTCCCACCATGATTGTAAGTTTCCTGAGGCCTCCCCAGCCATGCGGAACTGTGAGTCCATTAAACCTCTTTCCTTTATAAATTACCCCACCTCGGGTATTTCTTCATAGCAGCATGAGAACAGACTAATACAGTTAATTGGTACCAAGTAGTGGGGTGCTTCTGTAAAGATATCCCAAACTGTAGAAGTGACTTTGGAACTGGGTAACAGGCAGACGTTGGAACAGTTTGGAGGGCTCAGAAGAAGACAGGAAGATGTGGGAAAGTTTAGAACTTCCTAGAGACTTGTTGAATGGCTTTGACCAAAATGCTGATAGTGACATGGACAATGAAGTCCAGGCTAAGGTGGTCTCATATGGAGACGAGGAACTTGTTGGGAACTGGAATCAAGGCGACTTTTGCTATGCTTTAGCAAAGAGACTGGAGGCATTTTGCCCCTGCCCTAGAGATCTGTGGAACCTTTGAGCTTGAGAAAGATGATTTAGGGTATCTGGTGGAATAAATTTCTAATCAGCAAAGTGTTCAAGAAGTGACTTGAGTGCTGTTGAAAGTATTCAGTTTTATGCTTTCACAAAGATATGGTTTGGAATTGGGACATATGTTTAAAAGAGAAGCAGAGCATAAAAGTTTGAAAAATTTGCAGTCTGATGATGCAATAGAAAAGAAAAACTCACTTTCTGAGAAGAAATTAAAGCGAGCTTCAGAAATTTGCATAAGTAATGAGGAGCCAAATGTTAGTTGACAAGACAATGGGGAAAATGTCTCCAGGGCATGTCAGAGGTCTTTGCAGCAGTGCCTCCCATCACAGGCCTGGAGGCCTAGGAGGAAAAAATGGTTTTGTGGGCTGGGCCCAGGGCCTTGATGCTTTGTGCAGTATCAGAACTTGGTGTCCTGTTTCCCAGCTATGCTTAAAAGGAGCCAATGTACAGCTCAGGCCATTGCTTCAGAGGGTTCAAGGCCCAAGCCTTGATGGCTTACATATGGTGTTGGGCCTGCAGGTGCACAGAAGTCAAGAATTGAGGTTTGGAAACCTCCACCTAGATTTCAAAGGATATATGGTAATGCCTGAATGTCCAGGTGGAAGTTTGCTGCAGGGGTGGAGCGTTCATGGAGAACCTCTGCTAGGGCAGTGTGGAAGTGAAATGTGGAGTCAAAGCCCCCACACAGAGTCCCAACTGGGGCACTATCTAGTGGAGCTGTGAGAAGGGCAACACCATTATCCAGACTGCAGAATGGCAGACCCACCAACTGCCTGCACCATGTGCCTGGAAAAGCCGTGGACACTCAACACCAGTCTGTGAAAGCAGCCGGGAGTGGGGCTGTATCCGGCAAAGTCCCAGAGGTGCATTTGTCCAAGGCCATGGTAGCCTACCTCTTGCACCAGCATGGCCTGAATGTGAGACATGGAGTCAAAGGAGATCATTTTGGAATTTTAAGGTTTAATGACTGCCCTATTGGATTTAGGACTTGCATGGGACCTGTTGCCCCTTTTGGCCAATTTCTCCCATTTGGAAAAAGTGTATTTACCCAATGCCTTTACCCACTTTGTATTTAGGAAGTAACTAACCTGCTTTTGATTTTACAGGCTTATAGGCAGAAGGGACTTGCCTTGCCTCAGATCTTGGACTTGGACTCTTGAGTTAATGCTGGAATGAGCTAAGACTCTGGCAAACTGTTGAAAAGGCATGATTGTGTTTTGAAACGTTGGGACATGAGATTTGGGAGGGGCCGGGGTGGAATGATATGGTTTGGCTGAATCCTCACCCAACCTCATCTTTAGTTGTAGTTCCCATGATCCCCACATGTTGTGGGAGGAACCCATTGAGAGGTAATTGAATCATGGGGCAGTTATCTCCATGCTGTTCTTGTGATAGTGAGTGAGTTCTCACAAGATCTGATGGTTTTATAAGGGGCTTCTCCCTTTTGCTTGGCACTTCTCCTTTCTGCCATCATGTAAAGAAGGATGTGTTTGCTTCCCCTTCTGCCATGATTGTAAGTTTCCTGAGGCCTCCCCAGCCATGCGGAACTGTGAGTCTGTTAAACCTCTTTCCTTTATAAATTACCCAGTCTTGGACAGTTCTTTATAGCAGCATGAGAATGGACTAATACGGTGGTTTTCTGTGTACATACTATTACCAGTGAGTTTTGTACCTTTGGATGATTTCTTTTGCCTCATTAACATCCTTTTCTTTCTGATTGAAGTATTTCCTTTAGCATTTCTTTTGGACAAGTCTGGTGTTGATGAAATCTTTCGGTTTTTGTTTGTCTGGGAAAGTTTTTATTTCTTCTTCATGGTTGAAGAATAATTTTTGTAGATACACTATTCTAGGGTAAAACTTTTTTTTTCCTTTAGCACTTTAAATATGTCATGTCATTCTCTCCTGGCCTGTAAAGTTTCCACTGAAAATTCTGCTGCAAGATGTATTGGAGCCCCATTGTATGGAGCTCTTGCTGCTTTTAGAATCTTTTCTTTGTCCTCAACCTCTGGGAGTTTGATTATTACATGTCTTGGGGTAGTCTTCTTTGAGTTAAATCTTGGTGTTCTATAGCCTTCTTGTACTTGGGTATTGATATCTCTAAGTTTTGGAAGTGCTCTGTTATTATCCCCTTGGATAAACTTTCTACCGCATCTCTTTCTCTACCTCCTCTTTAAGGCCAATAACTCTTAGATTTGCCCCTTTGAGGCTATTTTCTAGATCTTGTAGATAAGCTTTATTGTATTTTATTCTTCTTTATTTTGTCCCTTCTGACTGTATTTTGTAATATCCTGTCTTCAAACTCACTAATTCTTTCTTCTGCTTGAATAATTCTGTTATTAAAAGACTCTGTTGTATTCTTCAGTATGCAATTGCATTTTTCAACTCCAGAATTTCTGTTTGATTCTTTTTATTTCAATCTCTTTGTTAAATTTATCTAATAGAATTCTGAATCCATTCTCTGCGTTATTCTGAATTTCTTTCAGTTTCCTCCAAACAGCTATTTTTAATTCTGTTTCTGAAAGGTCACATATATCTGTTTCTCTAGGATTGGTGCCTGGTGGCTTATTTAGTTCATTTGGGGAGGTGATTTTTTTCTGGATCATCTCAATACTTGTAGATATTCATCTGTGCCTGGGCATTAAAGAGTTAAGTATTTATGGCCAGGCATGGTGGCTCACACCTGTAATCCCAGCACTTTGAGAGGCCAAGGCAGGCAGATCACAAGGTCAGGAGTTCGAGACCTCCCTGACCAACATGGTGAAATCTCATCTCTACTAAATATACAAAAATTAGCTGGACATGGTGGCACACGCCTGTAATCCCAGCTACTCAGGAGGCTGAGGCAGGAGAATCGCTTGAACCTGGGAGGCGGAGGTTGCAGTGAGCCAAGATTGCACTACTGCCCTCCAGCCTGGGCAACAGAGAGAAACTCTATCTCCAAAAAAAAAAAAAAAAAAAATAGGTATTTATTGTAGTCTTCTCAGTGTGGGCTTGTTTATACCCAAACTTCTTGGGAAGACTTCCCAGATATTCAAAAGGACTTGGGTTTTGTGATCTAAGCTGTATCTGCTTTAGAGGGAACCCCAAGCTCAGTAATGCTGTGGTTCTTGCAGACTTGTAGAGGTACCAACTTGATGATCCTGGTTAAGATCCAGAAGAATTCTCTGGATTGCCAGGCAGAGACTCTTGTTCTCCTCCCTTACTTTCTCCCTAACAAATGTTGTCTCTCTTTTGTTTCTAAGCCACCTGGAGCTGGGATTGAACGGACACAAATACCCCTTTGGCCACCACCTCTAGCACCATACTGGGTCAGACCTGAAGTGAGCACAGCCCTGGGTCTCTCTCAAGGCCTTCTGTAACCACTCCCTGGCTACCACCATGATCACTCAAAGCCCTATGGCTGTACAATCAACAAGTGGCAAAGCCACCCAAGCCTATGTCCTCCCCTTCAGGGCAGCGAGTTCCCCCAGTCCCTGGGTAGGTCCAGAAGTGCCATCCAGGAGCCAGGGACTAGAGTCAAACATCTTAGGAATTTACCTGGTGTTCTGTTGTACTGCAGCTGAGCTAGCACTCGAACCACTAGATGCAGCCCTTCTCATGCTTCCCTTCCCTTTCAAAAACAGAGAAGTCTCACCAGAGTCAGAGGAGTCTCACCTCATGGCCAGTATCACCTCAGGCCCATCAGGAGTACTGCCAGACTACTGCTGATCTTCCCTTAAGGCGCAAGGGCTCTTCAGCCAGACTGTGGTAAATACTGCCTGGCCTAGGACTCACGCTTCAGGACAGTGGGGTCCCCTCTGGCCCAGGGAAGGTCCAGAAATCCCATCTGAGAGCCAAGTCCTGGAATCAAGGACCCCAAGAGCCCACTTGATGCCTTACCCACTGTGGCTGAGCTGGTACTTAAAACCAGAAAGTCTCAGTGTCTCATCCAAGGCACTCAATGTACCTGGGTATTGCTCCTGGTTATTCAGGGCCCAAGGGCTCTTCAGTTAGTAGATGGTGAATTCTGCCATGACTGGGTCTTTTCCTTCAAGGAAGCAGGTTCCCTTTGGCCCAGGGTGTGTCCAGAAATGTCTAGGAGTTAGGGCCTGGAAAGGGGGCCTCATGACTCTGACTAGAGCCCTATCCTGCTGTGGCTGAGCTACTATTTAAGATGCAAGACTAAGTCCTCCCCACTCTTTCTTCTCATTTCCTCAATCAGAACAAAGGAGTCTATTTTGAAGTTGCAAGCTGTGCACCCTGGGGTTAGGGATGGGGTGATGCCAGCACTCCCTGAGCCATCCAGGCTGGCTTAATCTTAGTACATCATGTGTGTCTCCCCCACAACACCCCACCCAGTCCACTGTCTTTGGGCCTAGTTCAGCCCGAGGACTCATCTAGGTGTTACATTCCTTGTGGCCTAGACTGCCTTTCAAGTTTATTTGGAGTTTCAACATACTTTAGTCCATGTTGGTAAGGCTTGTGGGAACTCAAGTTCTGACCCTGGGATCAGCTATTCCCCTCTGGCTAGGGCTGGTTTAGATGCTTCCTCCATGGAGGAGTGTCAGCTAAGTTTGGTCTGATTTTGTTTTCTGCCATAATAAGGGCAGCACTGAGTTCAATGCCTTACAATTGCTGGCTCTCCCCAGGGCACAGAAATGCTCTCCATACCATGCTGCAGAGGGAGGGATGGCATGAGTGAGTCAAGACTGTCTTTCCTATCTCTTCAATGCCTCTTTCAGTGATACAAGTTAAAACCAGGTACTATGAGTGGTCATCTGATTTTTGGTTCTTACGAAAGTTTTTTTTTGTGTGTAGATGATTGTTAAATTGTTGTCCTCAGAGGGATGATTGGTGGAGCCTTCTATTCTGCCATCTTGCTCCACCCCTCCAGTGCTACATTTCCTAACGAAAACATTTAAAATCACTTAGGTGGCTTGCTAGTCTGAAAGATTACACAATTTTACATTCTTTTTCTATATTTTTATCTCTATCACATCAGGACAATCATATAATATCACACTAATACTAATGAGCAGCTTTTTCTTATGGATAGGAATAATCACATTTCCATCTACATTTGAACACCTCTCATCAATATTCAAATAGGGTCTACATTTTATTAGCATTTCACTTGTTTTTAAAGCCACGTGCCTCAGTTTCCATCAGAGCTAAAGGGTGGGAGATGAAAAGGTTTTATGGGGGGAGGTAGGTAGTTTTAAATATGGGCTGTGCTACCGTAACCAGAGAAGCAGGTCAATCATCTCTGTACATTGAGCTTCTGTGTAAATTGTTGTTGAAGAGAATATTCTATTGTGTGAAATAATCGCATCACATGAAACAAAGTTTGAGGTCTTTCTGATGACTTTGACAATTATAATTCTTAATCTTATGCTTACAGAATATTCTAAGAAACACATCGTGAATTAAGGATTGTGTACAGTGGAACCATACAGACCTGGGATCAAATTCCAACTACTAAACTGGCTAGTTGTGTGGTCTTAGGCAAGCAGCTTAATTCTTTTTTTTTTTTTTTTTTTTTTTTTTTTGACGGAGTCTCACTCTGTCACCAGGCTGGAGTGCAGTGGCGTGATCTTGGCTCACTGCAACCTCTGCCTCCCGGGTTCAAGTGATTCTCCTGCCTCAGCCTCCTGAGTTAGCTTGGGACTACAGGCGCACGTCACCATGCCCAGCTAATTTTTGTATTTTTAGCAGAGACGGGGTTTCACCATGTTTGCCAAGATGGTCTTGATCTCTTGACCTCGTGATCTGCCCACCTCGGCCTCCCAAAGTGTTGGGATTACAGGCGTGAGCCACTGCCCCAAGCCTGGCTTAATTCTTTTATCCTTACTCCAACATCTGTAAAAATTGAGGTAATAAGACCCTATTGTAATGATTAAATGAGAGATTACCTGTAAAATGCTTAGCACACTAGGCAAGTGTTTAATCAGTGGTGTTACTTGTTGTTGTTATTACTATTATTTGTCAGATTTATGAAATGAAAGCAATAGTAAGGTAGAAAAGTCATTTGAAGAAAACAAAGGAATAGAGCCTGGGTAGAATCTAAACCTATTTGTTTTGGAATGATTGAGATATCCAATATCAGCATTGGGGTGTGTAACACAATACAATCTTCTATAATGAAATAGCTTGTTTCAGCCCGGGGGTGAAAAAAAATAGAATGAAGCTGTGTTGGCTCTTCTCTTGCATCCAGTGAAACACATTTGTTGAGCACAGAGGAGGAAGAGACAGTGTGGTAGACAGAGGAAGGTATGCAGAATTTAGAAACAAGCAGGACTCCTCAGTTTGAGTCATAGCCTTTCCTCATCCCAGCTGTATAAAGTGGAAGAATATAGTTAATTTTCTTTTCATCTCAGTAACTCTCATCTGTAAGGAGGTATTGGCAGTCCAATTGGAATGCATCCCTCCAATTTAGCCCAATTTGATTGGGATATTGGGAGTATTAAGAATAGCCAATATAGAGGAAATACTTACTAAGTACTTATATGTATTACTGCATTCACTGTGAACCCATGAGGTAAGTTACTACCCCAATGAGACAGGTAAGATGATTGAGGTACAAACATCTAAGGAGTGGTAGAGCTATGCTTTGAGACTGAGACATTTCCAGAGGCTGTGCTCTTAACCACTAGCCTACATTGCCTCTCATGGTAAGTGAATGCCAGGTCAAGTATCCTATACACAGAAGCTCTTCCAGAACTATCCCATGACTTCTCTCTCATGGGAAAATCACTTTGCCTGTCTCTCAAACATTCTAAACATCAATCAGGATGCAGTCAAAGGCCACTTTCTTTATGAAGTCTTCTCATATTACCTCAGCCTGCTCAGCTCTCAGCTTCTGTTGAACCCCTGTGATACTCACTAAAATGCTAAAGAGATCTATTAGTCAGAACTATTTCTATTTAAAGAAGCTTAAGATCTATAGGTCAAAGCCATTCTAAATATTCAACATGTAACACATAAATTTGGTATTATGAATGACTCCAACCTCTTAACAGCTAGAGGAAGACAGTCTCATCCCAACAACCGAGGGTGCACTTTCAGTCTGACGTGGCACCTAACAGAAAGTTCTGTGACCTTTGGAATGAGTACATGCTCGTGCCGTTTCAGGGGCTTCCAGCCTGGAGTTGATGGAGGCTCGGATGAATTATTTTTTTGATATTTTTTAAAGTTCTAAAGGAGCCATAATGAGTTATTGGCTCTCTGACCCAACAATTTTTTTACGTTTTTGGTGGGAATTATAGCCATTAATATCTACATTGGACACTCTGATTGGCTGTTGATGACTGGATTTTTGAAACATGAATGATTAGTAGTCTTGACAGGGTTATTGGAGCCAGGATCAGGGAGTGACGATACCTGACAGCATGCTTCCAGGACAGGTCAAACTTGGACAACACCCCAAATAAAGGAAAGGGTAACAGTGACTGCCCAGAGTTGGTTTGCTTACTTGACTTATTGCATACTAACCCCACAGTCCAGCCAGGGTTTACCTGATTTCACAATGTATCACCACTTTCTTGGTGTCTCAGTTGTTTTGGCTGCTATAACAAAATAGCCTAGACTGGGCAGATTAAACAACAGAAATTTATTTCTCAGTTCTGGAGGCTGGGAAGTTCAAGATCAGGGTGCCAGCCAATTTGTTTCCTTGTGAGGGCCCTTTGCACGCCAGCTGTCTTTTTGTTGTATCCTCACATGAGAGGTAGAAAGTGTGGGGGAGAGAGAGGGGGAGATGAGGAAGGGAGGAGGGAGAGAGGAACTGGAGGGAGAAGAGAGAAAGAAAGAGGGAGAGGAGTAGAGGGAGAATGAGAAGGGGTAGAAGAGGGAGGGATATGAGAGGTAGAGGAACACAGAGAGATTAACAGAGTGAGGGAGAAAAAGAAAACGCTAGTCTCTTCCTCTTATAAAGACACTAATCCCATGATGGGGGTTCCATCCTTATGACCTCATCTAAACCTAATTGCATTAAAAGTCCCCACATCCCCAAAACCCCCTCATCACACACATCAACATATGAATTTTGGGGGGACACATTCAATTCATAACATTTTTTAATTATGAATCCTTATTGAACATTGAAATTATTAATTGCATTATACTGGTTTTCTCTCTTTTCTCTCATTCCCTGATCCCTGAGTTTCAATCCTCTCCCTTCTTTGCCCTACTCTTGCTCTGAAAGGCCAACCTTAACAACTGCAACACCTGGGCACCCTGAATCACCAACAGAAGATTAGAAGGTGGAAGGAGAAAAAAATGTGGTATTTTTTCTACTTCCTCACCCTCTTTGTGCTGTTCTGGGAATGCCTACTTCCCTCTTTGACCATAACTTCTGTTAGGCAGTTCCCTTTTCCCTCACCTGGATCTCACTTGGGTGTTTGCAACACTGCTTCATTTCCTCCTCCTCAGACCTAGGGGTGGTAATGGCTTCCTCCTGTTGCTAGGTCCTGAGCACCTTACCATCTCTTGTCTGGTACCTTAAAGCAGGATTTCTCAACCTCAACACTACTGATATTTTGGGCCAAATAATTCTTTGTTGGTGCAGGCTGTTCTGGGCATTGCAGAATGTTTAGCAACATTCCCAGTCTATGCCCACTAGATGTCAATAGCAACCACCCCAGTTGTGACAATAAAAAATGTCTACAGATATTGCCAAATGTCCCTTGAGGGGCAAAGTTGAGACCCACTCTTTTAAACTCCTCTATATTTCTGTAAATGGTCCTTTCATTTAAAAACATGTCTAAATATTCCAATTGTGTTATCTAGTTAAATATTCCAATTGTGTTTTCTAGGATGCAGATGAAAACATGGGTAAATAATAATAGAATAAATGGAATTTATTTATGACTTATTACATGTTGATCAGGATAAGAATCTTTCAAAATGTGGGATACAAAACTGAAAACAACGTGAAAAAGGGTATTGTTGGTGGCAAGCCTAGAAGTACTGATCATCTCAGTGGCACAACAGCCATTGGTGGTCTAAATGGTTGCCACACTGGAGCTGTGGTTTCAAACAGGGGCCACAATACAGGGAGGAGGTACATGGTCTAAGGCCTTGGTTGCATGGTGATTACGATCGGTGCTCTTGGATTAGACTGCTCAGATTCAAATCTTCATCCTATTGCATGCTAGTCCTGTGATGGTGGGCATGTTAATCTCTCTCAGATGGGATGTAGACAGTTATTGGTGTCAGTGGTTATTTTCTTATCTGAAAAATGCATATAATATTTTCTCATATTTTTGTGAAGATTAAGTGGTATAATGTTTGTAAAGTGGCACAGTGCCTGGTACATTGTAAGTTTTGCAGTAATGACCATAATAGGATTATTTCTGAATTATACACATACACATATACATACCACATTAGGTGCACACATATTAATCACGCAGACATATATCACAAGGTAAGCAATTATTACTCATAACAAATATGTCAAATCTGGAGTTTTACTTTTAAGACATTAAACATTTTATTCCATGATACATAAATGCATAACCCCTATAAAGACTTAAAGAATACTATAAAGTGTGTTTCTTCTCTTAAATATACCTTCTGTATTGTATGCCATTTAATTATTTTAATAATATCTTGAACCATATGACATTGCCATTTTTTAGGTCAAAAACTGTCAAACATTGCAATATCACGTAATTCAATCTAATAGCGCCGTGTCTTTCTCTAATTTTGTTCCACGCATTTACACACACTTATAGGTACATATGCTACATGACTTTCAAAAACATGAATGGCACTGTAACTACTTATCTTTTTTGTTTTAGAGATAGTGTTTTGCTCTGTTGCCTGGGCTGCCCTGCAGTGTCCTGATCCTGGCTCATTGCAGCCTTGAAATCCTGGGTTCAAGTGATCCTCCTGCCTCAGACCCCTGAGGAGCTAGGACTACAGGAATGCACCACCATATCCAGCTAAATTTTAATTATTTTGTTGAGGTGGGGTCTCACTATGTTACCCAGATTGGTCTCAAAATCCTGGTTTCAAGTGATCCTTCTACCTTGGCCTCCCAAAGCGCTGAAAATAACTACTTTCTTTACTAATAATGTGCTGTGGCGGTCTTTCCATGTCTATCTTGCTTTTTTGAAGGTTGGCAAAGTATTCCATCTTATGAGTGAACTAACATTTATTTAAATTCTCCTTTATTGATATGAATTTTCCAAATTTATTGCTGTATGCAAATTATAGTACAATCAACACCTATTACATAAATATTTGCACATATGGGTGAGCATCTCTGTAGAATGGAATCCTAGAGTAGAATTGAGGGGTCAATTTAAAATTGAAATATTTAAAATAATAACAGGTTTACCAATCTATATCTAATACTATATCTATATTTATACTAATCTGATTAGTTGTTAGTAACCCTCCATTTTCTTACATGTATAATTCTATGTTAAAAGAGTTTGATACTGTATAAAAGTGCCAGGTCCTCAAACTTTTAAATTTTTGCAAATGTGATAGAGAAAAAGATAGGTTATTATGGGTTTAATCTGCATATCTCTGATTACTAATAAGGTTGAAAATCTTTTCATGTGTTTATTGAGTTTTTGCTTTTCGTCTGTGAATTGCTTGTTCATTTCTCAAGCCCATTTCTCTGTTGGGACATTTGTCTTTTTCGCATCAATTTGTAGGTGCTTTTTATAGATTCTGGATGTAAATCCTTTGTTGTACATGTTACTAATATCTCTGTTTGTCATTTGTCATTTAGCTTTCTTTATAGTATCTTCTATCACCCAGAAGTTACAATTTTTATGTAATTGCATGGCAGACATTTCTTTGTTAACTGTGGGGTTATCAAGCCTGACTTCTAGAATGCTAGGGTGTTACACCAAGGGAACACTCAAGTCAGAATCTGGATACTGCCTTGAACTGAATTATTTATGGTTTTTTTTTTCCTTCCTATTATTGATGGTATATTTTTACTTGGGAAAAATAATCTATTATATATAAGCAAAACCAAAACCCAGAGCACTAATACTTGTTTACACCAACTGAAAAATAGACTAAAAATGGAGACTTGTAGTCTCATAGCAGAGAGTCTTCTTACAGAACAATAACAATAACCACACACACATACATACACACACACACAGAGTTCTCTGTGAATATACAATTTTTAATTTGTCCACTTCACCATGTCAAAAGCTCCAGATAAAATGGGCACACAGTAGAGCAAGGATGATAACGCAGAAGCACTAGCTAATTTATCATTATAAAGATAGGCAACCTACAGGCAAGTCTGGAGGGACTATAAGTTAATGAAACTGATTTTCTATTGAGTGGGAGCATTTTTGGGGTCAGTGAGTATTCTTCTATTTGCTTTGTGGGAATTGGGATTTGCAAGGTTATAGAGTTACTGTATGGTTGACCTGGTCAGGTTTTGATGGGGTTATCTCACCTGGCTCAAGAGGAATACAGCATTTCTGGTCCTGATAGTAAGGAAATGTACAAGATTGCTGCTCATCCCTCTGAAGAGAAGGAGGCCTAGACAAGGAGGTAGCCAAAGGTGCAGACAGGTTGTACACTTAGGCCAAGGGATGTCTGCACGTATGAGGTCAGCCTGGAAAGAAAAGCCATCAGCAGGGAACAAGATGGGAGGGCAAGGTGGAGTGATGAAACATGTATTTCATGTCTACCAGGTTGAAGGCTTGTCATACATCATGCCTCCCACTTCTGACCGCACTGACTGATTCTGAATCCATCCTTTACACTCAGCTCAGGTTACCCTCTTCCAGCAAGATTCCCCTTGTCTCCTTATCACTGGCCAGGGGTCTGTTTTCTAGGCTTTCGGATCTCTCAGTGCACATCCCCCCTTTTTTTTTAACCACATTTAACTGTGTTAGATTCTAAGTGTCCCTTCATGCATCTGACTCCTTCACTATGAGCTTCTCATTCATCTCAGTATTTCCAGGACAGACACAACTGAATAATAATACTAATAGCCATCTTTTATGTAATGGATTCTGTATGCCACATCCTCATCTAAAGCTTTACATATTTGAATGCATTTAGTGCTCACTAGGATCCTGGGAGGGAGATACCATTAATATCCCCATACAGAAAAGAAACCGAGGCACAGAGGAATGTAACCAAGGTTAAGCACTTGCTCAAGGTCTCCTAGCTGGTGAGCAACAGAGCTGGGTGTAGGATTTCTGCTGTCTGGTTCTTACTAAACATACGAGGCTATACAAATGTAGCATGAGGGATGAAAAATATTTAAGTAAAGGAGCAAATGACTTATTTCATCCTGACAATGATCCCTCAAAGAAGGAGAGCATTAAGAGAAGAACCACATAGCTAGGAAGAGGAAAAGCCTGGGTTCTTACTCATGTCTATACTCTGAAGTCCATGTTTTTCCAGAATTATATTAATACTAATATCTGGAAGGGATATCAGTGAGTTAGCCCAAGAGCTGTGTAAAGAATCTCCATTGCATGTACATTGGGTAAGAAGTGACCAGAGGGACAGGCTGATGATATTGGAGTGACGAGAACCCAACCAGGCCAGGAACTATACTCTGTACTGGGTCTTTTCTAAGTAGCCTTTTAGAAAACCTCAATATTTTATTTATTTATTTATTTATTTTTGAGACAGAGTCTCGCTCTGTCACCCAGGCTGGAGCGCAGTGGCACAATCTCTGCTCACTGCAAGCTCTGCCTCCTGGGTTCATGCCATTCTCCTGCCTCGGCCTCCCGAGTAGCTGGGACTACAGGTGCTCGCCACCACACCCGGCTAATTTTTTGCATTTTTAGTAGAGACGGGGTTTCACAGTGTTAGCCAGGATGGTCTCTGTCACCTGACCTTGTGATCCACCCGCCTTGGCCTCCCAAAGTGCTGGGATTACAGGCGTGAGCCACTGCGCCCGGCCTATTTATTTATTTATTTTAATGGAAAAGAGGTTAAACCCAGGGAGGAATTTTTCTTGAGGTTTCTTGAAAGCATGAGATGGTGATGATGATAATGATAGAAAAGCACAAACGGAATGGTTTCAAATTCTAGCTCCATATTTTTCTAGCCATGTGACCTTTGACAAGTTACTTAACTTCTCTGTACTTCAATTGTCTCAGCTTTAAAATGAGAACAATAAAAGTAAGCATCCACCTCACAGGGCTGTTGTGAAAATTAGGCAGATTAATTCATATGAAGCACTTAAGATAATCCCTAGCATATGTAAGCACTCAACAAATGTTGCTACTATTATGTTCATACATCCATGTGGTATTAGGAAAGAGCACTAGATTAGGAGTCAAGGCCCTTGGGTCCCAATTCCATCTCCCTCGCTAGAGGTGTGACGTTAGCCATATCCTTCTTTTCTAATCTGATTAGTTGTTAGTAACCCTCCATTTTCTTACATGTATGATTCTATGTTAAAAGAGTTTGTAAATAAACTTCTCCTGTTTTAGGTTTGTGAACATCCACGTGCAGAGATTGGATCTATGGAAACGGCACTGCTCCAGAGACTGCGCTGAACCAGCAAAGAATGAACTGTGATAACAAGCAGGGAGCTCTGTCCCTGAGAACGCCTCACAGAAAGACTGAAACCACAGTTGCTGACCTGAGAGGGGAGCAGGAGGTGGAAACTGGAAGGCAGTAGTCTAACATGAGAGCTGAAGAGGCTACACAGAGATGGGAAGATCTCCTAATGCACTGATCATTTGTTGTCTCACATGGTTAGGTAGATTATCATACCACCTGCAAATAATTACAGTTTTGTCTTTTTCTTCCCCATACTTATACCTCTCATTTTAAAATTTATTTTGTATCATTTTGTCTAGGGACCTCAGTACAATTTTAAATAATCATGGTTACAATAACCAAATGTATCCAGCTTAGATGGAAATGTCAGTGTTTCAACATAAAGTATTTATTATAGATTAAGTATTTATTATAGATGGCAGCAGATACCCTTATCAAATTCAAAAAGGTTGGTTCTAGTGCCAATTGACTTAGAGTTTTTCTTTCTTTCTTTCTTTTTTGTTTTTGGTTTAAAATTAGGAGTGTATCAGTTTGTCAGGGTTCTCCAGAGAAACATAACCAAGAAGATGGATGATGGATAGATGGATGGATGGATGGATGGATGGATGGATGGATGGATGGATGGATGGATAGACAGGCAGGCAGGCGGATGGATGGATGGATAGATAGATAGATAGATAGATAGATAGATAGATAGATAGATAGATAAATTTTAAGGAACTGGCTTACACCATTGCAGAAGCTGGCAAATCCAAAATCTGCAGGGTAGGCTTGCAGGTTGGAGAGTCACGGAAGACCCAATGCAGCAGTTTGAGCTTGAAAGTGGTCTGCTGGGAGAATGTCTTCTTCCTCTGGGGAGGTCAGTCTTTTTTCTCTTAAGACTTCCAACTGATTGAATGAGGCCTACCCACATTACAACAGGTAATCTGCTTTATTCTAAGTCTATTGATTTTAATGTTAATTTCATCTAAAAAATATCTTCACAGAAACATCTAGAATAGTGTTTGACCAAATATCTGGGTACCATAGCCTAGAGAAGTTGACACATAAAATTAACCGTCACAAAGAGTTGGATTTTATCAAGCACATGTTTGGTATGTATTTTATGATTTTTATCCTCTGTTAATATACTTAATTTTATTAATACATTTTGAATATTAGACTCTCTTTGCACTCCTAAGAGAACCCACACAAATTTTCACCTAAATATTTTTAAAGATTCTATATATTTTACCCAAATATTTCAAAAGGTTCAAAATAACAAGTTTTGGCATGGATATTTCATATGGATGTAAAGTGGCAAAGTCTTTTTGGAGAGTACTTTGACAGGATCTATAAACATTTAAATGTATACCTTTGACTTATTGGTTCTATTTTTTTCTTCTGGATCCTCAAAAATACCTTTGCGTATGAATAAAGAGGCATATGGCAGGCTGTTCATTATAGCATTGTATGGAAAGTAAAAAATTGGAAACAGCCAAAGTGTCATTAAGAGAGGAATAAATGAACAAACATCTAAGAAATACTGGCAGCAGTCAAAATTAATACATATATACTAGCCAGACACGGTGGCTCACGCCTGTAATCCCAGCACTTTGGGAGGCTGAGGCGGGCAGATCACAAGGTCAGGAGATCGAGACCATCCTGGCTAACATGGTGAAACCCCATCTCTACTAAAAATACAAAAATTAGCCAGGCATGGTGGCATACGCCTGTAATCCCAGCTACTCAGGAGGCTGAGGCAGGAGAATTCCTTGAACCAGGGAACTGGAGGTTACAGTGAGTTGAGATTGTGCCACTACGCTTCAGCCTGGGTGACAAGTGGAAATTCTGTCTCAAGAAAAAAAAAAATCTATATGAATATATTTATTTAGAACTCTATAACATATTGATATTTGTTTTTATAAAAGCAAGTTTTAGAACAAAATCTCAAAATGACATGACATACTAAATAATCAAATTTTTGTATATACATTATGACATAAATGCAAAGAAAATCATTTAAATTATACTTATTACTCTGATAATAATTGTTACCTCTAGAGGCTCAGGGAGGACTGCTATTTATCTGTATTGTTTACATTTTTTTGCAACGAGAAGGTACTAACAAATTACTTGTCTAATTTAAATTTAATACCAAAAGCTATAAATTAACAAGACATTCTTTTATCTCGAATATTAGAATTTAGTCTAGAACCCTGATGTGTTAACTACATATATTAAAACTCATTAGAAAATACTTTATATCATGTTTAAAATTGAAATTTATATTGAAATGTTAAATACCAGATTCTTACAATATTACTTTAATTTACAACATACAATGTGTAATCTCCAGGCAAAAAGTGAATGCATTTCATGTAAGTTGATAATGGTACTTTGGTAAGAAGTCTCTTCTAGTTTGGTTAACACAAATAGATATAACACCTAATTTTAGCTCACATAGTAGTAATTTGAAAAGCAAAGATATATTACTGTTTCATAAAATGTTAGCTTTGTTACAAAACAATCCCCAACATACTAGGTGTTTCGCTTTGGAATTTTACAGTAATAACCAAGGGGAAAAAGAAAGTAGTAACAATATGATTTAATAAACATGGTTTCATATAAAAAAACTTACAAATAAGTGGAAATATTTCTTTGTAATTTCATTAAAGAAACTAAAATATCCTCTAGGCACTCGAGGCTGAAAATTATCTTCCGGTAACTTTCATTATACTGATCAATAACATACATAGCTTTTATGAGATGGTTTCTTGCTTTTGAGAGAAAATATAACACACGAAAATAAAATAATCTCATATTTACCTTGAATCTTATGTATGAATTTAAGCTATATTTTTAATAGAGAAAAGGGGGGACAAAAGGCCTTGCCTCATGATTGAGGGTACTGTTCTCAAGAGAATAAGCTATTCCCAGCCAGCTAGATCCCTGGACCTTGGATCCACTACATAGGTCTACATATCACTACATAGGTCTAACAGAAAGGAAGCCTCTTTTGAGATAGAACATGGGTTTCCCCTACATTTAAAAAAATTTTATTTTATTTTAAGTTCCGGGATACATGTGCAGGACGTGCAGGTTTGTTATGTAAGTAAACGTGTGCCGTGGTGGTTTGTTGCACCTATCAACCCATCACCTAGGTATTAAGCCCAGCATGCATTAACTATTTATCCTGATGCTGTCCCTCCCCCTGCCCCTGACAGATCCCAGTGTGTGTTGTTCCCCTCCCTGTGTCCCTGTGTTGTCATTGTTCAGCTTCCACTTATAAATGAGAACATACAGCGTTTGGTTTTCTGTTCCCACGTTAGTTTGCTGAGGATAATGATTTTCAGCTTCATCCATATCCCTGCAAAGGACATGATCTTGTTCCTTTTTATGGCTGCATAGTATTCCATGGCATATATGTGCGACATTTTCTTTACCCAGTCTATCACCGATGGATTTCCCCTACATTTTTATGGCACTGAATGTGTGCCTCCCTCCACCCCCTCCATCTCACCCGATCCTCTGTCTGGAATGCCCTTCATAATTTTATATTTTCTGCGTCATCATTCTAGCACCCAAATAGGCTGGCTTTGCGGGTATGCAACCCATGCAGGGCACAGGGCCCCATGCTCAGAAGAGCCCTATGCATGGTTTAATGCTCTGTGCTCCCTGTCTTGAAATTCTTAATAAGTTTATTTTTGAACTTGTGTTTTGTAAGTGAAGCCTGATGGGACAGTGGAGCATGCACATGAGCAAAGGAGATGCACAAAAATATGAGTTTCCTTCCTTCTTTCTTCCCCTATTCACATAAAGTGTTCAAGATATTCCATGAGCACAGGATTTTAGTGGGCCCGTCATGCATGGCACTTCAAAGTGAGTTAGCACAAGGAAAGCATCTTAAGTATGCTCAAGTAAGAGGGGTGCTGATATCCTGCAGAAGCCCTGATTTCTGCTCTAACCAGAACTTCCAACATGGAAAGAAGGCAGTGATGATGTAAGAAAGACTGACAACGAGATCTTATACCCATTCTTACCCATGTTACTTCCCTGTATTAGCTAACCACTTAACACTGAAAATGGTAACACAGAAGGCAAGGGAAAGATAGGGCAACCATAGTTTCTTTTCCTTCAATCTTTCCTTACTGATCAATAAGCTGAAGGTAGAGAGCGTTGATGGAATGTGCACATGTAAAGAAGTGAAACAAAAGAAGCTCGGTTTTGTGCAGTGTTTTTCCTGTTTTGGTAAGAATGAAATACACACGTATGTAGGAACTCTGAAATATAAATTGTGTTATATCAGTGATTTTGCATATGAATTAAATGCTCTCAAATTTGCATTCAAAGCTGACATTGCACAACATAAAGATGAATGGTGGCCTGGTGCGGTGACTCACGCCTGTAATCCCAGCACTTGGGGAGGCCAAGGCGAGCGGATCATGAGGTCAGGAGATCGAGACCATCCTGGCTAACATGGTGAAACCCCGTCTCTGCTAAAAATACAAAAAATTAGCCGCGCGTGGTGGTGGGCGCCTGTAGTCCCAGCTGCTTGGGAGGCTGAGGCAGGAGAATGGCATGAACCCAGGAGGTGGAGCTAGCAGTGAGCTGAGATTGCGCCACTGCACTCCAGCCTGGACCACACAGCAAGACTCTATCTCAAAAAAAAAAAGAATGGTAAATTTATGCAAACAATTCAATTTTAAAACATTTTGAACTTCATTAAATAGCAAGTGAAAATCAGCATAACAAGTTGAGAGACTGAGAAAGAAAGGAAAATTTTATACTTTAGTGCCATTAATATGCTTTTCTTGCCTTTTGAGAAAATGACCCCAAATTTTCATTTTGCACTAAACTCTGCAAATTATATGGCCCAAATGCGTCACTGAAGTCATCTTTGGTTACTGCCATTGCCCATTAAAAATTAATTGCTGGCCCGGTGCAGTGGCTCACATCTGTAATCCCAGGACTTTGGGAGGCCGAGGTGGGTGGATCACCTGAGGTCAGGAGTTCGAGACCATCCTGGTCAACATAGTGAAACCCCGTCTCTACTAAAAATACAAAAAAAAATTAGTTGGGTGTGGTGGCACGTGCCTGTAGTCCCAGCTACTCAGGAGGCTGAGACAGGAGAATCGCTTAAACCCGGGAGGCAGAGGTTGCAGTGAGCCGAGATCGCACCATCCAGCCTGGGCAACGAGAGTGAAACTCCACCTCAAAAAAAAAAAAAAAATTAATTGCTGTCTGTCATTCACATCTAATTATTTTAAAACTTGTATTTAGCACTTCATTGTGCCATGCTGTTTGGAATTATAGATACTATGCACTTACCTATAGCTACCGTTAGCTGACATAATTTATCCCAAATATCACCTGTGGGTCACCTACATCAGAATCACTTGGAAGTGCTGGTGGCAGGGGGACCCTCCTAACAAGTTCCCTCTCAGGTTGGAGGGCATTGATACGGTGCAGTGATCTGAGGACATCACCTGGGATCCTGTTAGACACGCAAATTTGTGGGCCCTCACCCCTGGGGTGGGAAGGGGACTGGCAATCTGTGTTTTAACCAGTCCTCCAGGGGATTCTGATGCATGCTGTAGGTAGAGCTGATAGAGCTGGAAGAACATAAGCTCTTGAAGCAGCTAGACTTGGGGTTGGGTCCTGGCTGAACCACTTACTACCTCTCTGACCTTGGGCAAGCTCTCTCTTCCTGAAGCAGCCTGAGTAAGAACCTGAAACAAGGGAAAAAAACTTGTAATACCTGCAAATGCCCTGTTAAGAGTCTTTGTTTAGAAACTATACTTTGCCTTTTCTCTTTTTTTTGAATAGGGAGAAACCTAATCCGAATGCACTGAAAGAGTTCTAATTAGACATTTCATGGGCCTCTGAGGCTCCCTGAGGAAAGTAAGAGAGAAGGTCAAAACACATGTCCCTCTTGGAATGGGGGCCTGAGTCCATGCTGCAGGGAGCTGGCTGTGGAGAGTGAAGCCCTTTCAGAGGTCAGCACCCACTGACCTGAGCCACTGAGTAAGTCGATCCAGCTCATAGGCAATGAACTGACGATGGATGAATCCCTCTCTCAGAGGTGAAAAGGAAATCCATCATGTATGACTACTGCTTGCACTGCATTTATTAAGGGCTAAAACAATGAAACCCTTTTGGCCCGTCTCTAGCTCCTGGTATCCTGTAATTTCTATTTGATTGTGACATAGGAGCAACCACAGTATGGTTTTAACCAGATTGAGATGACAGTCCTCATTTTGAGAAGCTCTGAGAAACTTGTTTAGCATTCAATTTAACAAATGGTGGAAATCGGAATATAAGGGGGAAAGATATAGAAACCAGTTCTATGCCTTAAATGTTCCCTCTGCATCTATATATGTGTATAAATGTGTGTGTATTATGTGTATAATTATGGGCTTTTATTGTTTTATTATTTTATTTATTATTGTTTTACTGTTTGATTTATTTGATTACAATACCAAAGCAAAATGCCAGTTTCAGTAACTTGATATTTATTTTGCATAACATTAAAATACTACTATTGATACTGGCATTTTATGTTTTTTAATGTATTCAGAGTTAGTGAAGCAAAAAATTAAACCAAATATTTAATGTGTTAACAACTAAAAATTCAATATACCTTAAGACAAGTAAAAATCTAAATTTTTAAATGTATGTGTACTAAACATACATTGTTATTGCAAAATTGTTTATTAGCAGTAAATTAATAAAATTACTAAAAACTTTATATAAAATAAAAACTTTAACAATCCCCAGAAAGTTGAAAATTTAAGTACTAAATAATTAAGTATTAATTAACTTATTAATAAAGTACTTAAAAATTTACCAAAAAAAAGGTGTCATAATGAGAGTTTACTGTCCTGCAAATTTGTTCAGCTGTTGAAAAATCTTTGACATTTTATTGGAATGTAAGACATCATGCATGAATGGTGACATTAGGGTTATAAACTAACTCCAAATATTTTCCTCTGGCTTAACATTTTCAAATAATCCCTCCTTTTATTTAGCAACTTTGAGGAAGTGTTTCTGCAAAGCTCTTCCTTTTTCAAGGATCTTTCTGTGGCTCGTGAGCTATAACCTTGTTTTAAAGAGAGCACTGCCAGTTTATCTTGGACTCTTCCAGTGTCACCATCTGTAGATGGGGTATCTGATGCAGTTACCTGCATCAACTTCAATTTTGTATTGTTTATATTCCACTTTTTCAAAAAGTCTTTGAACTAGAATAAGAAATATTCCTTGCAATAGATGCTTGGTTTTGATTGTCATTTTCATTCTCCTCTTGAGGATTATGGAGGTATAGAAGAGTATTTTCTAAACGAGTGCAGTTTTGTTGGATTAGAAATTGCAATGCAGCAAATAGCTCTCTGGGTATATCTCAAGTTGTAAAAGATTCAGATTCAGAATTTCAAAAAATATTTAAAAAATTGTTCCAAGAAAAATATAAGTATTTCAATACTATGATTCAGAATCTTAAAAAAAATTTCAAAAATACTGCTTCCAGAAAAATGTAAGTATTTCAATACTTAAAAATCATCCACTGGGCTGGCTGTGGTGGCTCATGTCTGTAATCCCAGCACGTCGGGAGGCCAAGGCAGAGGGATCACTTGAGGTCAGGAGTTTGAGACCAGCCTGGCCAACATGGTGAAACCCCATCTCTACTAAAAAATACAAAAGGAAATGGCTGGTCATGGTGACAGGGGCCTGTCATCCCAGCTACTCAGAAGGCTGAGGCAGGAGAATTACTTGAACCTGGGAGGCGGAGGCTGCAATGAGCCAAGATTGCACCACTGCACTCCAGCCTGGGTCACAGAGTGAGACTCCATCTCAAAAAACAAAACAAAACAAAACAAAACACTGCAATTATTTACATAGACATAAATAAACAGTATACTTGTACACATACTAACACATCTAACTATTTTTTAGTAAAGTTTCTCTCTATTTCAGTCATTGCATGATGACGTGAACTCAACATAAAATGTGGGGAGTGGGAGTTTCTTCTGAGAACAGTTCCTGTGATGTCTGGCAATAGGAGCGTTGACTGGAACATGTGGATATACCTTTTCCACCATGAAACATTTGAAAAACTCCAAAGTTTGGACTCAGGCAAGTGCAAGTCCAAAATGTGTGTTACAGTCCACTCTGGTTTTGGAGGTAGTTGTGGAGTGCCCCACAGACCTCTAGGGAGTAAAACATACTGGATTTTACTCCAGTGGACCACTTGGAGCTCCTGAGCCAGCTGAGAAGCCTGTTCATCCCCAGCAGAGGCAAAGCCAGTTTGGGAGGCCTCAGGATTGTCATTTCTCCTGTTCACAGCATGGCTCTGGGCAGCGCCACTCAGTGCCATCAAGGAACCATGCACCTGAAGTTTGGAACCCAGCTGAGTATGCAATACAGAGGAGGAGAAGACTGCAGTGGGGTTTTGTAAGGTGCTCCCAGCACAGCGTGCATCCGTTCCTTAACTCTGTAAAGCAAATGTGGAAACCACTCACAGTTTTCTAGCTTCCTTACCCTTTATTCAACTCCCCTAAGTGCTGAGGCCTAATTGCTGACCCATCTGGCCTCTGGCCTGATTTCCAGTGGATATCTGGCCAGTGGTGGCTAGGTCCAGCATTTCCTCCTTCACGATAGCCAAATCATCCAGGGCAATCTCTTGGCAGCAAAGGAGGCTAGAGAAGTTGCTTTTTCAGCAGGTCAAATCAAAAGCATACGGGGAGAGGAAGTTCAGGGCTAAGAGGCTTGCTGATTCTCCATGACTTATTTTCCTCTGGGAGGCTGGATCCCATCCAGAACTGCACACCTCCCAGAAACTATGCTTTCTGACTTTGTGTCTCTGTAAATGACTCTTTCCTGATTGAATTGATAACCAACTTACGAGTCTAAAATCACAGTATGAAATAAACTGAAAAAATCTACAGACAATATGAAATTTAATTCAATAAACATTTGCATATCTTTTTATATCAGGCATTATATTAGAAGTTGGGGTATAAAGACAAGTGGAATAAAAATCCAAGAGTTCAGGAAACTCATGCTGCAGAATCATAAACATTCACATGGCAATCAATGAGACAGAGGCATGGCTAAGATGCTTGGGAACAAAGAGGAGGTCATGTAAGGCTTTAGGCTTCTGACACAAGAAAGGTGACCTTGGCTGGGTCTTGAAGGGTTAAGCAGGACCTCAGCAGATACTAAAAGGGAAAATAATGTACATAGAAAAATGAACAGATACAGGTAGTGGGCAAGAAAACCCGTTATTGTGTTTAGAAGACAACAGGAAACACCATGGGGTTATGCATTTGAGCAGGTAATGAATGACCTGAAATAGGTTGGTAAGTAACGCTTGGACTCAGCTGCAAAGGGCACTCAATATCTGGATGTCTGAGATTAATGGAAGAATGCCATTGCCAGATTTCCAGCAGGGGGTGCAGTAACAGCTTATGTTTCAAAAAGTTCACTTAGATGGCAGCACAAAAGAGAAATGCAGGCAGACAGGAGATAGTTAAGCATTCCAAACGAAGGAAACTGGGTACTCAAATACACACCGAACCCCTTTGGGCAGTATGCTTAAGGGAGAACAGGATTGAAACCAGATTTTTTTTTTAAGATGGAGGAGATCTGAATATGCTGTAGGCTGAAGGTCAGTTGCCATTGGAGATGGAGAGATTGATAGTACGGGAGAGAAGTGGAGATAATGGATGAAGACCTTTACCCATGCTAGCCTAGCATGCTGAGTTTCTTTTAACTGACTACATGCAGTGCATTAGCATCGGTCACTTTGTAAAAGAACACATGAAATACTCAATATCATTGCATAGTAATACAAAAATATAACGAAAAGATAGCAGAAGTCATTACAGAAATACCTTAATCTCAGGGTACATGAAATGACATGAACTAAGATAGTCTACCAAGAAAGGGCAAAATGATGAATGAGACAACGTTGTACTACAGGATAGTCAAGTTAGCAGTAAACCTAAGTAATGTCATCGGAAGAGAGAGGGAAACTGGGGAGAAAGAGAGATAATGGAAATCAGACAGCACAAAGAAGAAAACAACAGTCAGAGGAGAAGAGAAACGGTCAGAAGAGTCCATGTATTTGTACAAAGGAGAAAAATGACATAGGAAGTTTTAAACAGCCCATAAATCCTGCTGTCTCCTACTTCTCACCACTCTCACCTAAGGCAAACGCTGTAAAAGAGCTGCCAGCTGTGGCTTGTAGCATAGGAGGCTGGGGATCTTTGGAGATGGTTTTGCAGCATCTCTGGGTCTTTTTTATCAGCCCACAGTAAATGGACTGCCCATATTTTCAGCCTGGCTGACTACTACCCAGTTATAAAGAGAGCTGTCTGCAGGAGGAACTGGCCCTGAGATCCTTGGACACACGATGGTTTTCCCTTCACCTTCAATCACCTGTGGCCTCCTAAACAATGAATAAAGAAAGTGCAATACCTCCTGGCTCAAGGAGTGTTTACCTTTCCCAAAGTGTCAGATGAGGACCGTGGTAGGCAAAGCTGTACTTATACTAATGAGACTCCTCCATAAGATGTGTTCAGAGCCCAGCTCAGTGCTTCTCAAATTTTCATGTCTACATGTATCACCTGGGAATCTTGCTAAACTGCAAGTTCTGATTCAGCAAGTGTAGAGAGAGGGCCAAGATGATCAATTTCTAACAGGGTCCCAGGTGATACAAATGCTGATGGTCTTTGAACCACACCTTGAGTAGCAAGGCATTAGGAAATGCTCTATTATGAACTGAGAAGGGTGTTAGGTTAAAAAAAAAAAAAAAAGGAAAGAGTTTTTTTGCTGTCTTTGTAGAGAATCCACATGGAAATATGGCAGGATGTCATTTCTGCCTTACCACTAGCCGGATACTGCCACGGAGCTGTCCTTGGCTCTGGGTTCAGTTTCCCAATGAACTTGGCCTAAGTTTTCCTGACCGCAATCAAATGAGTCTTGGCTTAAGGAAATCTCTAAGTACAATTCCCTCTTCTGTCTTAATGGCACAGAAAAGGCAGGAGGGTGCTCCTGGGATTCACCCACGCAGCAGAGCAGAATAGATGAGCCCACAGAGAAATAAGATTTCCAAATGACTTTTGCTTATGACCTGATTTACATCTCCACAAAGAGTGAGAGAAATGAGTTACTTTCCCAGTCCAGGCCCTACTTACTTGCTGAATAAACTCTGTTTAGGGAAAAAACCCGAACAACCCAAAACTTGAGGCTTTGTGCAAGGTTCACTTGACTAGTGAAACAGATGAAGGCAAAAGTTTTCTAGAATGTTTATATTTAAGTTCTGCCTAAGGGGAGCTCTTTTTATCACCTGAATATGTCACTGTAATTTGATAAACAGCAGGAGAGAAGAGGCTGGCATTGAAAAATGTTTAAAACACTGCACGATGTTTCAGTTAGCTCTGGCACAATGGATTCTCATAAAAAGGAAGTTTTATTTTCAGTGCTGTCGCCCAGCTTTGCTCAGTTCAACAAACACGCATTTGAGTGTCTGTTATGTAGCAGGCACTGTGCTGGGTGCTGAGCACACAGTAGTAAAAAGTGGTTGCTGTCCTTGGGGAGCACCCCGTACTATGTGGGAGATGGACAAGTGGAGAGATAATGTCTATGCTGTATTGTCTATGCAATAATGGAAGTAAGTGCCTGAAGTCTGAAGCACAGGTGGGATCTTCTCACCCACTCTGCAGGTGGGGAGCATGACACAAGGAGGGTCTCTGAATAGATAACATCTGAGCTGAATCTACAAGCTCGAATAGGAATTAGGATGGTAAAAAGATTTTAGGAAGGTGCTAGTCATTAATGCTAACCATTAAGTATTTCTGATTTTTCCCTCTTTCATGTACATAGAATAGCCTGTCCCTGACCTCTTACATGTAAGTATAGCCACATGACATGCTCGAGCCAGTGACAGGTGGGTGAAAGCAATATATGGCATTTCTAGGCAGAAGCTTTAAACACGTATATGTGATTTACCATATTCCCTTCCCACTGCTACAGAAATTGTAGAAGCTTGTGTTAAAATAAACACTCCATCAGTCTGGGTCCTTGAGTGACTACCATGAGCAGAAAGAAACCTTTGTTGTTTAAAGCCATAAAATTCCAGAGTTGATACTGCAGTGTATGCTAGTCTATCCTGACTCATACAGAAGAGCAGGAAATTCTATTTGCAAAATCTCAGATGTGTAAAACCTTTGATTTGGAAAGTGCATGGTTAATAACACTAGAATATGTTATGCAGAGTGGGATAGATGGGGATTGGGATGATGTTTAACTTCTCTGGGTCTCAAGATAATAGAGGCTTAATTAGGTGATTGAATAAAGGGCTAGCCAAATGAACTCTTGTTTCCTTTCTAACTACAGACTTTGGTTTTACAAAATTGAACGCAGTTTATGATCTTTTCCTCCAGGAACTTGTCATGCTGGACTCCTATTGATTTCAATAGGGATGGCACCATGTTTGAGAGGCCAAAGAAGAGGCGCAGAGCCAGCAAATGAGGCACGGGTTTTTTTTGAGGGGACTCACATACAGGGCACTCCAGTGGCAGCAGGCTGGACAGGAGAACCACTGCCATTTGTAAAAATCATGCAGTTCATACAACATTTTTGCTTAACATCTTTCCCCTAGCACCTTCCCCCTAGCAACCTTCATTTAACCCAAAACAAAGGGCCTTGATTCCCTGTATGGCCTGCATTCCATGGCTTGGGCCAGGGGTTTAGATGTTCCTCATAGATGAGGAATGAATCTGCAGGTTGGTCACTCCCAGATTCCCCCGCTCGAAACTCCCAACGCACATTATGTTTAGACCATAGGGTCATTCTCAGGGTATCTTAAGTCATTGTTGTCAGGAACATCTGCCAAATTTCTAGACATGACTGAACTTTCGTTTACCTCTAGGAAGCCATAGCGTTTTTTAAAACCCATATTATAGTAGTAAGTATTTTACAAAGCGTTTATTTTTGTTATCTTCACTAGATGAAGTTTTTTGATCACAGAAAATATTCCTATTGTATTCCCAAGACCATGCACAATGCCTAGGGGTGTAATAAGTGTCTATTAGACCTAAGCCACTCTTGTGGCGAGGTGTCTCCCTGTTAGCCCGTTTGGCTCCACTGCCTGAGGACAACCAGTCACAGAGCGTCCAGCTCCTATTGTCACTTCCAGACTCTGATGAAGTACACACTGCAGAGTTTCCCAGACACCTGCTGAAAAGACTAAGAAAAACAACTCAGAAACGAGTCTTTGTAGCAATGTTTTAAGAGTAGCAGATGGGAAGGAGCCATTAGATAAATTCTCCTTTCCTCCCTACAATAGGTTGTTCCAAGGAAAAGCATGTATGGAGGTTTCCTGCATGATTGGGCAGGTGAAGCTGCTGAGTAATTGGCTAAATCTCTTCATGACTCATTGTGAACTATTGTCCAGGTGGTAACACATTACCTTCTATTGCTTACCATCCTTGTGTTTCAACTCTGTATTCCATTATTTTCACTGCCCTGGGCTCCAAATAATATATTCGCACATAATCTTTGGTACAGACTTTGTTTTCTAAGAAACTTAGGCTAAAACAGTTTGTTTCAGAAATGGTTATGGAAAGCAGGCCCTCAGTAAGATTTGGAGTTTGACTGCCCACAGATCAGAAATTAATAAGGACTGCAATGCTGGTAGTAAATGGATTGTTAATAACCCCTGGTATGCAATGATGTTGCAAGTACTTAGGCATTCACTTGCAGCTGGTTGAGGTGAGCTGCATGTGAAAAGCAAGGCATTGAGAGATCTAGTAATTGTGGCATTTCATCAGTATGAGGACAATGATAATTATATATATTTTGGAGTAATGTGACTGTACTGTACTCCTTGCAAAAAGAAAGTGTTTGTCCCAGGGCTTGTAATTGCACACTGTGAAAATCTCTCTTTAGTGTCTTTAAAAGAAACTCTTAGCTTCTTAAATTTCAAGGTAGACTGTGATGAAAATCAGGCCTAGGATCTAATTATAAAGCACAGTTCCTGCAAAGTATGCTTATATAATGTGCACAGGCCTCTTGTGTGAAAATTAGGGCCTTGATTGAAACATAGAATGAGGATATCTGCATGGGTGAACCTGACAATTTTAAACTCCCAAGTTCTTCTGCGCTTTCTCTATAAGCCCAACAGCCCACTTGCCTGGATACCATTCAATGATGCTTATTCTTGTCAGTATCTTCCCTATCACCTCTCATGGTTTCTAGGCCAATAAACAGAGTCAGGAGTCAGCGCAGCCCAAGCGAAAAAGTACAAGCTCTGCTTTTGGAAAAGAATAGTTTACATACTAAGAGAATTATTTGATCTGGCTGATATATACGGACAGGCTCCAGAAGAACACATGATATGAAAATGGATCCTGAGAATGTTGGGCTGAGAGAGAGACGGAGGGAATAGAATATACACTGGATAGAGAAGAATGTATTGATATGGGGAATGCACCATGATTTGAGCTTCAGTGCTTTGGCAAGGATATCTGGAGCTTGTTCAATATTCTGTAGAAAAGGATGTGGAATATTGAACATGATGATGGCTTCTATAAAAATGAAGTTAAAGATGTCCAGATTTCCCTGGTGTCGTGTTAAGGAACACATCAGAATACTTAGGGAAGGGGAGTATCATTAACTTAACCAAGCAATGTCACAATCACAACTTTTAGGCCAGATGTAGTATATTCAGTAGAGAATTTCAACATAGCCTTTGGTCCATAATCTACTGCTATGGATTTAGTGAATGCTTTCTTCTGGATATGCAACAATAGGGAGAATGAAAAGTAGCATGTCATTACATGAAAAGGATATCAGTATATGTTTACTGTATTGCTGTAAGGCTATAATGTAGTCCAGAGAACTTGATCATCTTGACATTCTACAGAACATCACATTGGTCCACTATACTGATAATATCACGTTAAGTGGACTGGATGAACTAGAAGTGGAGCTTACACTAGCTGCCCTAGTAAGAAATATGCATGCCCAAATTTGGGAGACGGGAAAAAAAGGAGATTTAAGAGTCTGCCCCATCAGGGAAGTTTTCAGGTGTCCAGTAGTTAAGGACGTGCCAGGGCATTCATTCTAATGTAAAAGACAAGTTATTGTACCTCTCACTTTCTATCATTTGTGATGAGGCACAACACTTGTATCTCATTCTGGATTTTGGAGGAAGCATATGGTATACTTGGGAATCTTTCTGCAACCCATTCATGGGTTGACTCAGAAGACTTCAAACAAGGCCCAGGGCAAAAATAGGGTTTTGTAACAGCTCTAGACTCAAAAGCTGCAGTTTCAGTGGTGGCTAATTGTTTGGATAGATAGAGGTAACGTATGGAGTTTCTGCAATGCCATTAAAAATGAGCTGTGGGCAGATCCATAGAGTTCTGGAGAATGCCATGCCTTCTTCAGCAGAGAATTATGATGTTTGCAAAACAGCTCCTGGCATTTAAATGTTTCCTACTGGAGACTGCACACCTCATCATGGAGCACCAAGCGCCTCTATGAATGGAGGTGCTCTTTATGGTCTGGATATCACCAGGTCCACTGAACCAAGTAGTAGAGCAGGCACAACAGCAAATCACTGTATAATGAAAGGGGTTTATTGGGGACAAGATTCCAGTACCTCCGAAAGAATGAGTAAATTACAAAATCAGATGGCCCAGATCCCTGTATTAAGTACTTAAGTTACATTGATGCCTCTCCCTCACTCATCATACCTTTGACCAATGAGATTTTTTCCACAATTGACTATTGAAGGTCTAAAGGGTTCTAGTCCAATTCACTAATGAGTCTGAGCAATATGTTGGTGCTAGTTGTAAATAGGCAGCTGCTACACTACAGCGCCACACAGGTTTGACCTGAATTGATGGTGAAGGAAAGGGGTAAAGGGAAACCCTCTAGAGGGCAGAGCTGTGTGCAGTAGACTTACCATCATTTCATATGGAGGAAGAGGCAGCTTGAGGGATAGATATACACTGACTCAAGAGCAGTGGTGAATGGGTGCTTGAGGAGGAGACTAACAAGACCAGAAAATCATTGACTAGGAGGTCTGGGAAAAAGGTATGTGGATGGGTCTGTGAGAATGGGCACAAATTGTACAGATATTTGGATTTTGTATTAATGCCTACCAAAAAAAAATCAACTGCAGAAAAATCTATCAACAGCCAGGTAGTCAGAATGTTTTATCCTATGGGTACCCATAAGCTTTTTTTTTTTTTTTTTTTTTTTTTGTCTTTTCTAGGGATTCTGCAATGGACTAACAGAGTGGCCATGGTAGCAGGAATGGAAGCTTTGTATGGACCCAATGGGCTCCCTTCTTCAAGGATTGTGTAGCTAGTGCCACCAATAAAGGCCAATCAACCACCAGCAGTGATCAACACAGAGCCCGCAGTATGACACCGTCCTTGGAAAGACCACCAAGATACTTTGTGGCATATTCATTATTTTAGATCTTTTCCACTCTGGAGAGGGTAATGATTTACCTTTGAAGTGACTATTCCTGGTGTGGATTTATCCACAGTGCCTTCAACCATCTGAGGGCTTATAGAATGTCTAGTCTATTGGCATCAGATCCTATACAACACTGCCTCAGACCAACATGCATAATTTATGGCAAAGGAGATGACAAATGGACTCAATCATAGGCTTCACTGATTTTATCACGTACACCATCATCCTGAAATTTCTAGATCTCCCCACTACTTCTTAATTTGGATGAAGAATTACCCTATAGGACAGGGGTCAGCAAACTGTGACCTGTGCCTTGAATCCAGTCTGCTGCTTGTTTTGGTAGATAAAGTTTGATTGGAACACAGTCATGCCCATTTATTTATGTATTGTATATATTTGCTTTCACAGTATAATGTCAGAATTGAGAAGTTATGAAAGAAACTGCATGGACTGCAAATTTACTAAAAGCGATTCTCCTGCCTCAGCCTCCAGAGTAGCTGGGATTACAAGAGTGCACCATCACACCAGCTAATTTTTGTATGTTTAGTAGAGATGGGGATTCACCATGTTGGTCAGTCTGGTCTCAAACTCTTGGCCTCAGGTGATCCACCCACGTCGGCCTCTCAAAGTGCTGTGATTACAGGTGTGAGCCACCCTGCATGGCCAGCATCTGTCTTTTACTTGAGCATAGGTCAGATTTTTCAGGTCTTAGTATGTCTAGTAATTTGGATTTTGCCTGGACATTTTGTGTATTATACTGTGAAGCTCTGGGTCTTATTAAAATCCTCTGGAGAAAATAGATTTTCTGTTTTTGTTTGTTTGTTGTTTTTTAAGCAGATAATAAACCCATCTTGTCTTCTGTGAACAGTGGTTCCAATGTCCGTTCCATATTCAAAGTCTATTTGGATCTGCTTCTCACATATGTTACAGGAAGGGTTAATCTTGGATGTGGGCAGTGGCTTATATGGTAGTTCACTTCTCAAAGCTCGTGCTTCTTTGGGTGTGCACATGCAGTTTGGGGTGAACCTGGGAATTGTATCAATTCATATGTGGAATTGGGGGATGTCTTTCTCCCATTCTCCCTTTTGCAATATTGTTTCCACTCTTTGGCTCCATGGGGTATATTTTTCCAATTTACTGGCTGGAAAGACAAGGTTTCTCTTGAAGTTGTGGCCACTATTACTACTGCTCTCATGGAGAAATGAAGAGAACAAAAAGAAAAATATCAGGAATTTATCTTACGTTCTTTGCACCACAGGGACCCATTTTCCTAATTCTTCTATTCAGAGAGATGGATGGATACTTACAGTATCAGGTTATATCTATATCCCTTCACTCCTACCCCAGATTCCTTTTGCATATTTTTCTGACCAGATCAACTAGAGGCTCATTTGTTTTTTGGAAGAGAGATTACACAGGTCATGGAGGAGGGCACAGAAAGTCTACAGGATGGGAAATGAACTGGGGCGGATTAGTCTTGTTCTGTGGAGTTCAACCTGGAAATTCCTCCCAGTTGCCCCTGGTATTTTCAAAATGATTAGTGTCTGAATGAAAAATTAGTCAGGGTATGAAACAGACGTGGATAACAAAATTTTTATTTGACACAACCTTTTCCGAATAACTAACAGACTACTAAGAAGAGAGGAGATCTCAGAAGGATAGCTCAGGTGAACCTGGGGTATGAAATGCAAAGAAATTGTATAAATAAAGGCAGTTCCCCACCCTAAAAATGCTGCATAGCTGAGTGATCATTTACAAAGGCCTGAGAAGTAGATTCCCTCTCCTCAACCAGAAGCACGTTCTTCTAAGGGCTTGAAATCTGAAAGCATGGCCTGTTTTTCAGTTCTCTGTTCTCAGGAGGCCACTGCAAAGGGTTGAGTTCTCCTGTGGCCATTGCTGACACTGAGCTACAGTCATGGGCGTGCCTAGCCTTGGCCTTCTGTCTCACTCACACCTACAGTGAAGTGCAAGCAGAACTCGACATTGGGTTGAAGAGGGCCAAGGGCACGTGCCTTGCAGCAAGCAGACCCAAAATGTGGTTGTTTACTGTTCAGGGAGACTTGAGCTAGGCCCTCTCTTTCTAAGCCCTTATCTGAATTGCCTATAAAGCTGGAATAATGACAGCCAGATTGAAGGGCTGTGGGAAAAAACAAGATAGTGCATAAAACTAAAACTTCCTCATCTCTAACTGATCTCCCCCTCTAGGCTCCAAATAAGACTTGAATTAGACATTATATTATTCAAAAGTGAGATTTGTATATCCAAATGTTAGTTAAACTTTGCCTATAAAATATAGCAAACACGTTTAGATCTCCCTTATTGAACAGATAAGAATGATTAATAATTGACATGCATTATTTATGTAAAATGTAACTGGGTGTTTCAAAAATTGTGAAGTTCACTATCTAAAGTGGGTTAGCATTCCCTGTCTCTACTTTATGATATAAAGTGTTGGCATACTCATATCTTTCTTCATAGGAAAATTCTAAATTGAAAGGACTGGAATAAATTACATCTTATTTCCTTATTCTAAGTATTGGTTTACTTTGTGTTATTCAGTTTTTAAAGTAAAGTCATTACTTTTATACAGTTTTTCTTGTGCCATGCATAGAGACCAACATCATGTTTTGCACTTAGCAGGCACCTAATAACTATTGATCAAATTAATTAATGATCAATGACACACTCTGAGATATGATTTCTCCTTAGATTGAAGTAAGAACATCCAGTCAATGCAAACATTAACATCAAGAAGGGAGAAAAAAGGAGAAGCTAAAAAGCGTTGGTTAATTAATTAATTTGCATATCTCTTGAATTTTGGTCACTTAGAAATTAAAAATTACTGAGCATAATTGTTAATGTGCAACAGAATTTGATCATTGAGATGCCTCAGCTGCATTTATAATTCTACTGTCTTCTAGCTGAGCAGCTCAAGACTAAATCTGTGGTTTACAATTATTAAAGAAATGTAGTATAAGGAGAGTAAATGGCCTTTGAGACAACAAGTCATTTATCACTATTTACATCTTTTAGGTGTACTTGCTTTTATCATGGCACACTGTCAGGAAAGATGATTCTGAAACTTTGTTGAGAAGACAGGGAACATTTGCCAGCAATGAGGGCTATTATTAGGTAGGTGATACGGGAATTGGAAGAAGAGACAGAGAAGGACATGCACATTCATTGAAGGCCTGCTCTGCTTCAGTAGCTTTAGGTGCCTTATTTCATGTACTGCTCTCCATAGCAGTACTGTGAGGGAATAATAAGTGATGTTTATTGAGGGCTTCCTCCAGGCCCACCGTTGTATCTTCTGCCTGAGCACCTAGGCTTTCTGACACATTGTCTGAAATCTAAGTAGAAGCTTCCAACCCCCCCCTTTACTCTTGCATGCCATGTGCCTGCAGGTTTAACACACATAGAAGCCACCAAGCCTTATGGCTTGTGACCTCCAGCAAAGTGTCCTGAGTTGCACCTGAGCCCCTCTGAGCTGAAGCTATACTTGGAGCAGCCAGAATGCAAGGAGCAGCATCCTCAGGCTAAGCAAGACAGCAGTGCCCTGGGCCTGGCCCCTAAAACCATACTTTTCTCTTAAGCTTCTGGCTCTATGATGGAAGGGACTGTCCAGAAGACTACTAAAATGTCTTGGGGCATTTTCCCCATTGTCTTAGATATTAGCACTTGACTCCATTTTAGTCATGCTAATCTCTCTAGCAAGTGGTTTCTCCCCGGCCTGCTTGGATTCCTCTCCTGAAAGGGACTTTTCTTTCTCTGGCACTTGGGTACTTTTTAAATGTAAGTTCCATCTTTAAGTCATTTATATGCTGTCACATCTGATCCAAGGCTTTTAGAAGCAGCCAGGCCACATCTTGAACACTTTGCTGCTTAGAAATTTCTTGCACCCAATACCCTAAGTCATCAGTCTGAAGTTCAAACTTCCACAGATCCCTAGGACATGGACAGAATGCAGCTGAGTTTTTTGCTAGGGTATAACACGGGTGACCTTTACTTCAGTTTCCAATAAGTTCCTTATTTCCATCTGAGACCTCCATCTAGCCTTCACTGTCCCTACCTCTATCAGTATTTTGGTCACAACCATTTAACCAGTCTCTAAGAAGTTCCAGACTTTCCCATATCTTTCTGTCTTTTTCTGAGTCCTCCAAACTCCTCCAACCTCTGCCCTTTCCCTTATTCCAAAGCCACTTCCACATCTTCAGGTATCTTCATGGCAACACCACACTCCTTGGTATTAATACAATTTTTGTTGTTAGTCCATTTCTGCATTGCTATAAAGGAATACTTGAGGCTGGGTAATTTAAAAAGACTAGAGGTTTAATTTGCTTGTGGTTCTGCAGAGTATATAGGAGGCATAGTGCTGGCATCTGCTCAGCTTCTGGTAAGGCTGTAACCAGTACCCCCATCTTTCTCAAAGATAGTTTAATTATTTTTTCTCTCTCTTTTCTCTTTCCTCCTATCCCCCACTTCCTACTGAGATAACATGGTTTGGATCTGTGTCCTCACTCAAATCTCAGGCCAAATTATAATCCCTAATATTGGAAGTGGGGCCTGGTGGGTAGTGATTGGATCATGGGGATGGATTCTCCATGAATAATTTATTGTAGAACCATTCCCTTGGTGCTGTCCTCATGATAAAATTCTCACAAGACCTGGTTGTTTAAAAGTGTGTAGAACTTCCCTCCCCACTCTTGCTCCTTCTCCTGCCATATGAGACACCTTGCTTTCCCTTTGTCTTCTGCCATGATTGGAAGCTTCCTAAGGCCTCCCTAGAAGCACAAGCCACTATGCTTCTTATACAGCCTACAGAACAGTGAGGCAATCAAATCTCTTTTCTTTATAAATTTCCCACTCTCAGATTTTTTTTATAGCAGTGCAAGAATGGGTAAATACAGAAAATTGGTACCAAGGAATGGGGCATTGCTATGAAGATACCTGAAAATGTGGAAGCAGCTTTGGAACTGGGTAACAGGCAGAGGTTGGAAGAGTGTGAAAGGCTCAGAGGACAGGAAGATGAAGGAAAATTTGGAATTTCTTAGAGACTGCTTGAGTGGTTATGACCAAAATGCTGGTAGTTCTATGGACAGTGAAGGCCAGGCTGATGAGGTCTCAGATGGAGATGAGGAACTCATTGGAAACTGGAGCAAAGGTGACATGTGTTATGCCTTAGCAAAGAACTTGGCTGCATTGTGCCCCTGCCCTAAACATCTGTGGAACTTTGAACTTGAAAATAATGATTTAGAGTGTCTGGTTGAAGAAATTTATAAGCAGCAAAGCATTCAAGAAGTGACCTGGCTGATTCTAACAACTGATGCTCATCTCTGTGAGCAAATAAATGACCTAAAGTTGGAACTTATATTTAAAAGAGAAGCAGAGCATAAAAGTTGGAAAAATTTGCAGCCTGGCCATGTGGTAGAAAGAAAAGTCCATTTTCAGGGGAGAAATTCAAGCAGGCTGCAGAAACATGTATAATTAAAAAGGAGCCAAATGCTAATAGCCAAGATAATGAAAAGGGCTTGAAGACGTTTAAGACCTTAAGACCTTCATGGCAGCCCCTCTCATCATAGGCCCAGAGCTCTAAGAGGACACAATGCTTTCTTGGGCCAGGCTCAGGGCCCCACTGCCCTGTGCATCCTCAGGGCACTGCTCCCTGAATCCCAGTTTTTCCAGCTGTGGCTCAAAGAGGCCTAGGTACAGTTTGGAGAACAGGCTAGTACATTAGCTCTTTAGAAATGCAATCATAACCTTTTACCTCTTCTTTACCAGACACCCTACAGGAGAAGCTCATTATGCTTAGAAGCTCCAGGGCAGAACTTTCTCCCACCAGGAAACTGCCTCAAGAAACAGTCAATTTACAATCCAAAATATGCCTGCTATAAAACTTTCTTCCACCTGGAGAGTTTTGGCCACTTTTTCAACCCAGTTCTGCCCACAAAGATGCCAGCAGTGGCTAGCTCAATCACCCAGTGGGGTATAGCATCAAAATGAGTTCATGATCCCCCACCTGCATTTCCCTCCTCTAAGTGCCATTCATGCCACTCTGCCTTTTAAAAAACCTAGTTTCTGCTCCAAAAGCCTGTAATTTTTCCCCTAAGCTAGCTTTGGAACAGAAAGGCACTTTCTTTATACTAGAATTTTCTTTTGTTAATTGGGCGAGAGCTCACTCGTTACCATGAGGAGGGCATCAAACAATTCATGAAGGATCAGCCCCCATGACTGAAACACTTCCCACCAGGCCCTATCTCTAACACTGGAAACTACATTTCAATATGAGATTTGGAGGGGACAAGGATCCAAGCCACATCACTATTTTATTAATTTCTAAAATTAAAATTTATAATTTACTTTATTACTTTCTTATTAGTGGGCACTCAAGTTGTTTTCATTTCTTTGCTCTTATAGAGAATGCTAAAATAACCCCTCACGTGTATCATGTGTCTTTAAATCTAAGCACTAGTATATCTGTCGAATGTATTGTTGGGTCAAAGAGTAAAGGCAGGCACTTATAATTCTAGTAGATACTGCCACGTTGACCTCCATGGATTGTGTGAATTTGTCCTCTCACTAGCAGAGTTTAAGGGTGACTGTCTTCACATAGCCTCGCTGACAGTTTTTATTAAACTTTTGGATCTTTGCCAATCTGATAGATGAAAAACTGATGTCAGGTATTTTGAGTTATATGTCTTATAATTAATGAGGTCAAGCATCTTTTTATATGTTTGAGAAATGTTTATACTAAATATTTCCTTTCTAGTGCATTATCTATTTGTACTCCGTTCATTTTCTACTTGTGCTTTTTCATATATTAGGGAGTTAGCGTTTTGTGATTTGAGTTGCAAAAAGCTTTTCTTAGTTTGTCTTGTAGCTTTTGACCTTAAGCACTGCATATTTCCCATGGAGAAATTTTTCTACTTTTTTTTTAAGAGCCAAATTTACTAGTCGTTTCCTTGATCACTTCCAAATTTGAGTCCTAATTAGAGAGACTCACAACTCCAATGTTATGAGATAATTCTCCCATGTTTGCATCTAGAACTCTTCTGTCGTCAGTTTCTTTTCATTTAACCCTTTGATCCTTTTGGAGACAATCCCACTGTTTGGATGGAAGCATACATCCAATTTGATACATATCTCTAGATAGACTTCCAATTCTGCCAATACCATTTATTGAATCATTCCATGACTGACTTAAGATAACTTTTTAATCATATACTGCATTCAAATCTCTGTATAAATATATGTCTGTATATGTGTCTTTTTGGATTTTTTAGTCTATTCCTTCAGTCTATCTATTCATATATTATTACCATACTGTTTTAATAATAGAGGATTTTAAATATGTTTTAATATCTACTATGGCTAATTCCCTGTGTCTCACCATTTTTTTTTTTTTTTCAGAGTATTCCTGGTTATTCTGATTTATGTTTCCATGTGACTTTAGAATGACACTATCTAGTTTTTGTTAAAATAGGCTTTTGGGTATTTTCCTTGGGATTGCATTACAATTATAAATTAGCATGAAAAATTCACATCTTTGTCATGGTGTGTGTTTGTATTTCCATTTTTAAAAAGTTGTTTTAGGCTTCAGAATTATTAGAAACATTTTTTCTTATGGGTCCTACTTATTTTTATTAATGTAATTCTTTTTTACATTTTATTTATTTATAAAATTATTTATGTAATTTTATTAATGTAATGTAGTCTTGGTTGCTATATTGATGTGGTCTTTTCTTACATTATATCATCTATGTGGTTATTGCTTATATGTACATATGTATGGGTGTGTATGAAAGCTAATGTTTTTATCTATTATTTCTATACCCCTAATACCTTTCTGAATTCTCTTACTGATTGTAATAGCTTTTCAGTTAGTTTTCTTGTTTTCCAAGTATGTAGTCATAGCCTCTGTAAATAATAGTATTTTTTCCTTTCTCTTTTCTAACTCTTTTCATAACTCTAAGAATTATGATTTCTTTCTCTTCCCCAATTTTGTTGGCTATGACTTCTAGTACATGTCAAGTTCTATTTCTGACTATAATGGGACTATTTTAGTGCTTCCCATTAAACATAATGCTAGTTTTGGGGTTATGACTGAATTACTTGATTTTGCTATAGATTTGATTTGTCTAACATTATTTTGTTGCAATTTAAAAAAATTAAGAATGAATATTGTATTTTGTCTGGTGACGTCATTTAATACATTTCCCCCCATGCTTATATAATCTCAAACACAGGGGGTTTGTCATTGACTTATAGAAATTGTTTTGTGTTATATACACCTACGTTTATCTTATTGCTCATTATATAATACTTCGTGGAATTTTTTTTTTCCAAATTAGATTTAGCTCATTGTTTTAATGGCTGCATAATAGTCCCTGGTTTGGATATAGGCCATTTATTCAGCCATTCCTCTATGAAAAGCATTCATTTTTTCATTTTTCCCCTCTACTATAAACAAATCTGAAGTAATTATCCTTGTATTGTAGTTTTATGTGATTGGCCCTTTTATTTCTAAGGACCATATTCCCAGGGATGGGAGTGCTGAACTGAAGGTTGTGTATAATTTTATATTAATTGCCACTTTGCTATACTGCTCAAAATCTCACAGCTAGAGCTGGACTCAGTGAGCACTCTCTGACTCCAAAGCTCATTAAACCAAATTGCTGCCCAAATCAGAACCATAGATAAAGCAAATTATATAAAATCACTGTGCTCATAGTGAGATTCCTGCTACACTTCACCTAGTGGACAGGGTATAAACATCAGATTATTCCCTAATAAGAATCTTCACCTCACGAGGATTTGTCTCTGTGAATCTTTGAAGTTAGATAGGCCTTGGTTTCTGCAATCTTGGACAAGCTATTTTGTCTTTCTGTGAATCCATTCTCTGATCTGAGAAATGGGAATAACAATAGTGCCAACTTTACACAGTTGCATCTAAGGTCTATTGCCTCTAAAGCCCAGGGCAAGGTATCTGGAACAAATTTTCTTAAAATACAGAAAATAGCAATTCATTTGAAGTTACCAGGCTCAGGTAAAATTTTTGCTATGTGCTTTGAAGTTGTCCAGGGTCCAGGCTGACAGGACGTTGGGCATAGAGAGTTAGCTGTTGCAGGGCACCTGGACCCTTGGTCCTGAAGAGGCTTTTGCAACTGTGACCAGGGTGAGCATCCACAGGCTAAAGGGACCACACAGCACTCTCCTCAGGGCAGCCTCTGCCAATTCATGATTCACAATAGCCAGAAAGCCAGTGGGGAAGGTTGAGAAGAAGGGCTGAGTGGGTAAGGGAAAAGGGGGAGGGGGTTTGGTAGTGAAGAAAAGAGGACAGGAGGGAAGGGGAGGAGAGAGGAGAGGAGAGGAGGGAAGGGGAGGGGAGGGGAGGGAAGGGAAAGGGAGGGGAGGGGAGAGGAGGGGAGGGGAGGGGAAAGAAGAGGACAGGAGAGGCAGGGGAGGGGCCAAAAGTATTGTGTTAGTTTCCTATTGCTCCTGTGACAAATCACCACAAACTTAGTGGCTTGAAACAGCACAAATTTATTATAGTACATTTCTGGAGGTCGGAAGTTTAAAATCAGTCTCTTTGGGCTAAAATAACACGTTGGCAGGGCTGGTTCCTTTTGGAGGCTCAAGAAGCGAATCTATTTTCTTGCCTTCCCTGCTTCTAGAGGCTGCCCACATTTCTTGCCTCACGGCCCCTTCCTCCATCTTCATAGTGCATCACTCCAACCTTTGGTTCTATTGTCACATTACATTTTCCTTCTGTGATTCTCTTTCCTCCCTCTTATGAAGACCCTTGTGATTTCATTGAATCTACTTGAATAATCCAGGATAACTCTAATCTCAAGGCCTGAGTCCTTAATCACATCTGTGAAGTCCCTTTTGCCACTTAGGTAACACATTCACACGTTCAGGAGATCAGGACACGCGCATCTTTTGAGGGGCACATTACTCTGTCTACCACAGACATGATGTGTATAACCTGTGGCACCAATGCATCCCCTTTCTGCTCTTGGGAGGTCATCTTAACACTGAAGGTACCGGCTTTGTTCATCTGCCTTCTCTCTGCTTCCCTAAGAACCTCCTTGCTTAGTTGAGTCCTGCTGTCCTGCTCACAGAGAAAAGACAGGATCTATTTTATTGCACATGGGATGGGAAAAGTGTACATTCGACTTGGTAGTTTTTACTGTCATGCCCGTTTAGTAGAGGAAGAGCGTGCTTCATAAGCCGAAGGGCTGAAAACTGTGGTCAACAGAATTTACCACCTGCCATACTTCATGGCTGTCTTCTTGGCTGCATCTGATGATTCCTCAGACATTGGACTTCCTGTTTTGTCTCACTCGATTCCCACCACCTTTCTCCTTGTGTGCTTGTTTCTTATCTCTATCGCGACGTGGCCTTTTCTCTGAGTGTGTATATCCCCGGTGTCTCTCTCTGTATGTCCTAATCTCTTCTTATAAGGACACCAGCCAGATTGGATCACAGCAAAAGGCCTCATCTTAACTTAATCACCCTCTTAAAGACCCTACCTCCAATATAGTCACATTCTAAGGTACTGGGAGTTAATGCTTCAACATATGAATTTTAGTGGACAGGCAGGTGTGCTGGTGGCGGGAGCACAAGTCAGCGCATAATAACCTTCATGGACCTTTTTCTTCCCCTGCTTAAAGTCAGGCCACACACAATGCATGCCAACCCTGGTGTCTTTAACCACCACCTGCCTCCATCTCTCCTGGTTGCCCGGTGGAACCATGGACAGCCCAGCTGAGGTCAGCTGCAAAACACAAGGACCTAGTAAAATCAGATTAGGTAAACCCAGAGGACTTATTCATCAGGCTAAGCCATTGTAGGTCTTGGAATAATACAATTTGGCATTTGTTAGTATAACATTTTGGTTTCTACAAAGATAAGTCCCACCTTCTTAAAGTAAGTATAAACACTTCAAAACACAAGTAACAGCCTAAGAGCTAAAGGATACATAATGGCAGAAGGTCCCATGATTTCACCCCCCAAAGGGCAGCTACATCAGGTGACAGTTCTGGAGAACTGGGACCCTGGCTTCCGGCCTCAGGCCTGCAGCCAACAATGTAGAAAGGGGAAGTCTCAGAACCTCTTTGCAGTTCAGGGTGTCCACCAGTAGAAGAGGAGTAACCACATTTTGCAGATAATATAAAGTAAAAGCTTGGGAAGTTCTTGGGATCTGAAGTAAATGTGTAACCATAAGATTTTGTTTAAAAGCACGCTATTGTTGCCCAGATTTTATCCTGTGTTAGTCGTGTCTCAGTCTACGCAGTGCCAAGTGCCTTGCTATTGTAACAGAGAAAGCCTGGAAGGCAATCATTCTTGTTAGCCCCTAATGCTAGAAGTGGCCACATACAAGTCCTGGGTCATTTTTATTTTCAACTCCTTACAACAGAAACATTAACGAGGCCAGAAAAAGGGAGAGAAAAATAAAACAAAGCTTTTGAAATCATAAAAGAAAAGGAACTTGGGTTTTGATTGTGTTTCTAGAAAAATAAAAACAAGGCATAGATTCATCGATTCTCCCTCAAGTATTTCCTGTAGTGCAATAAAGCAACCCCAAGTGTGACCCCCAGAAGCAGGTACGGTGAGCTGAGAAGCTCAGGGGCAAGGTAGGGAGGGCATCTGTCCCCATAACAATCTGCAGACTTTAAACACACAGGGAGAGCCTTGCAGTTACCCTGAGGCGGTGGGTTGGGTGGGGAGGGTAGAGTCAGTGCCCATGCCCTGTCCTTCACCTGAGGGAACGTGGCTTCTCTGCGGCTCTCCGTGTTTTGGAACTCGTTTGAGTTGTTGAAATCAGCTGGGTGCAAGTGAGTTTTGTTTTTGTTTTTCTGGGGAGAGGAAAGATTAGAGTGGGAAAAGGGAGAACAGGAGTGTCAGAGAAAGATTTTTCATGGCCCAGCCCTCGGCACATGTTGAAAACATCTTATAGGCTGATTTTAATTAGAACTCTCTATCTGGAGGGAGAAACTGAATACAGGTTCCAAAAACCATAACCTTTTTTAAATGGCATTCTTTTCATGGGCCTTTTCCAAAAAAGTTTCTATGCATTTACTATCAGTCTAAAGACATTTCCTGTTTCCCCTCTTCTCAGTTTACATTTTGGCATTTTCACAGTTTCTTCATTCCTGTTTCCCATGGCCCTTTACTATGCAAAAAGGGTGTGTACCTGTGCAAATGTGCAAGAAATGAAGGAAAATTAATAAACTAGCAAGAGAATTGGAGGGCAAGTTATGAAAAAAGAGTGAAGAGCTAAATTTATATAACCTAGAAAAAGAGAAGGCTCTGGAGGAACATGATAAAGTTACACTTCACAGAAGCAATGTAAATGAAGGGAGGGAATTATTCACAGTCTCAGAAGATGGCAGGACAGAAGGGCTGGCCCCAAGCCAAGGCGGGAAAACAGAATAATGAAGGATGATAAAGGCGAAGACCAGAGGGAGCGCCTGCTGTGGGGCCAGTGACCCCACCCTTCCAGTTCATTTCCGACAGACACGAGGGATCCAGCAGCATCGAGGTCAGCTGAGCAGTTCCACGTGGAGCTTTCCCACCCACAGCTCCTTCCTGGTCTGGTAGAATCTCCTGCACTGCTGTGGACAGTGGGGTGAAGGAAAAAGGATATGTTTTTCCCCAACATGGACAAACTTCCTCTCAAAGTAACTTTAAAGAACCAAACTTCCCTCCCTAAACACAGAAATAATTTCAAGCATAACACTCCAGTGACTTGTGTTCATTTTTTAATTCTATCTTGCTCTGTTTAATTTTTGATCAATTGGAGCTATTTTAATGCTTGTGAAGTCTTTCGTCTGGACTAAAAATGAGGACGATCCTTTTACTCTGGGCATAATAGCACAGACATTTAGTGATGGATTAACAGGGCTCCATGCCATCAATATCTACAGTGCATTGAGTGATGAATAGAAGGCCGGAGGTTGAGGTTTTACTGCTTACTTTGCCATTGTATTTGTTTAGAAGGCTATTAATATACAACAAATTTCCACAAAGGTAACACCTTAAAACAATACACTTTTATTATCTCCCAGTTTCTACGGGTCAGGAATCTGGGTATGGCTGGGTGGGGTCATCTGCTTCAGAATTTCTCCACTGCTGCAATCGAGGTGTCGGCCCAGGATTTCTTAGAAGGCTGTTATAAAGACGCAGGCTGAGCCACAGGCATCTCGTGGTTTGACTGGGGCAGAATTCACTTCCAACTCATTCAGTGGTTATTGGCAGGATTCAATTCCTCATTGGGTGTTGGACTGAGGACCTCAGTTCCTTGCTAACTGTTGGCCAAATGCCACCCTCAGTTCCTTGCTTTGTGGGCCTTTCTAACATGAGAGCTTGGTTCACCAAAGTGAGCAAGCCAGGAGGGCAAAAGATTGAATGAGAGAGTGCCAGCAAGACAGAAGTTACAGCTTTTTCTTTCTTTCTTTCTTTCTTTTTTTTTTTTTTTTGAGACAGAATCTTGTTCCGTCACCAGGCTGGAATGCAGTGGCACAATCTCGGCTCACTGCAACCTCCGCTTCCCGGGTTCAAGCAATTCTTCTGCCTCAGCCTCCCGAGTAGCTGGGACGACAGGCACGTGCCACCATACCCGGCTAATTTTTGTATTTTTAGTAGAGACGGGGTTTCACCATATTGGTCAGGCTGGTCTCGAACTCCTGACCTCGTGATCTGCCTGCCTCAGCCTCCCAAAGTGCTGGGATTACAGGCTTGAGCCACCATGCCTGGCCCAGAGGGTTTTTATAACCTGATCTTGGAAGTGGCTTTCCATTATTTTTGCTGTCTTCTATAAACATATAGAAGCAAGTCATTAGATCCAGACCCCATAGAAACAGCAGGAATTACACAAAGAGTGGATAACAGGAGGTGGGGACAACTGGAAGCCATTTTAGAAGGCTGCCTACAGCATTAACCAGATAAGTGGCCTTGGGCCTTAGCTCTTTCATGTGTTTAATAAAATAATAAAAAGACAAGTTTAAAGGTGGTTTAACTGATCATCGTGCAAATTTGACTGCCTGCCAGAGTCTTGTAGGTCACATTAATTTGTAAAATGTATCACATGTGAGATAATAGGCAGGGTTATGGGGACTCCAATGAGCTATACCTGCTCTACTGGACCTATAGCATTCAAAATCAAATCTCTTAAAAATACATGGGCCCATCAAAGGTAATCTCAGTCCAGGTTGGACCTGCAGATCACCAGTCTGACACCATTCAAGCTAACATGTTGTTACAGATGGATGACACATAGTAGGGACTCTAGATATTTTTGTTTCCTTCCATTCTTCTATCAGCTGCATCACCTTCCATTTGGCCAAAGCAAAGGGCACAGGCCGTTCTGTAGGTCACCGTTCCTAACTCCCGTGAGGAATCAATGACATTAATGACTGTAAGAAGAATGTTTCTTTAAAACTCAGAAATGGTTCTTGCTAAAACAAGTGAACGCTGGTTACCAGAGGGAAGACAAGCTGGCTCCAGGTTCTTCTAGCCCTACTTATACCCTTCTCACCAAAATAAAAAGAATGGCATTCACTAAAGTAGATTATGTTGAGTCAAATCAATACCTTTTGATAATAGAAATGATGGGCATATAATCACTTCTTCAACTAATATTTCTTGAGCTCCCACTGTGCCACCAAGATGAATAATATATGGTTCCTCAAGTTCTCCCAGTGTCTTGAGGACACATTGACAACATGCTCTGATGACTGCCAGAGAGAAGTGTACGCAGGTGGTAAGACCACAGGGGAAGGGACAACAGGGTCTATGTGGGATTAGTTATGGCTTTGCAAAAGATAGAGTGATGGGCCTCCCTCTCTCAGGGGCATGATTCATGACTCCCAGTTTTGTTTTTGATGGTCAAAATGTTTTACAATGGGATTATCTCACTAATCCTCCTAACCTGCTGGGACTGCAGGAAAAACACAGGTGCTATATTACTCTGCCTGATAGATAGCCAAATGGGAATCCTACAACATAAAGCAGGAGTTCCCCTAAAGACTACTCTAGTGCCTAACAAGATCTCAAGGTAGGGGTATAATCCAGTCTATGGCAACAATTGGATTACTCAGCTCTGCTGAGCCAGAGAGAGGACCTGATTTGAAATCATACTATTATTATTATTACTATTTTTGGAGATGGAGTCTTGCTCTGTTGCCCAGGCTGGAATGCAGCGGCACAATCTCGGCTAACTGCAACCTCCATCTCCTGGGTTGAAGTGATTCTTCCTGGCTCAGCCTCCTGAGTCACTGGGACTACAGGCACCCACCACCATGCCCAGCTAAGTTTTGTATGAAATCATATTACTTATGGCATTTACACATTGATATTTTGGGATTAGCTATCTACATTATTATCATCGATGTGGCTAGTAAAACAAACAATTATAACAACCTTATACTTTGTCTTTGTATAGTGTTTTAAAAACTTCTCACTTGATAGCAGCATAGAAGTCTGAGTTTAGAAAGAAAATGCATCCTATTCTTTCATCAAGCCTTAAGTGGCCTGAATTCAAAGTTTTTAGAGAAATCAATGAAATATTATTGAAGTGCCAAGTCCAGGTTAAAGACAGAGTTTTTATGTAGGATGTACAATTATTTAATATTAGGTCTAAGAGATTCACATTTTTTTCTTACAATATGCTATTACAAAAAGTAAGAAAGCAGTGATTTTTACCCTTTACCTTACCCAAACTGTCCATAATTCAGTTGTTTCTTTGCAAAGCTGTACTTTGCCATTAGATACCTGGATATTTCCAAAAAGAGCATTTGTGTATCAAAAATTACAGAGGAAACTACTTCAGTTCCCCACCTTAGTTTAGGTCTATCAATGCATCCGAAGTGCTGCTTTTTTTTTTATGATCACAGAGAAGGAAAAAGTGCATTTATTCATCTGGGAGGTGTATAATCAGTCACTCTCTCCATCAGCCCCCAAAAGCAGTTCAAACAGCATCTATTTAAATTGAAGACCAATTAAATAATTATCAAAAGCATCAAGAAGACAGCAAGGCTAAGACTCAAAGGAGCACATGGAGTCCGGTAGAAAAACATAGTTGCTGTTGTGAATTTTTCCCTCACCATTTATTAGACCATGTGCTGCCAGTGACCTCCGCATATCAAACAGGGCCTTGGGCAGCTTCTTTTGAGTGTATGGACCTCCCTGAGCACAAAAATGTTTCCTAGTGTTTTGCAGATTTAGAAGGAGATGTATTTTTTGTTTGTTTGTTTGTTTGTTTCCAGCTAAGCTGCCAGGCCATTTGGCTTTGCAGAAATGAGCCCTTTGGTTCAGGACTGAGTGAAGCCTGCACTCTGGCCACTACGCATGAGGAGTTTTCTCCTTTGAACTCTGCCCAGCATACCCACTTGGCCAGCCCGATGTATCTGTAATCTTCAGAACGCTCAAGAAGAGTGCTAAATTCAGATCCTTGTTTTCCATGGATAATTTGCTTCTTCTCTGACTCCTTTTCATTGTTTCTGCCTCTTTCCAAGAGGCAAACCCAGGAGAATGTAAACCAGCACCTTCTGAAAATAAACCCAAACTGGCCACCTCGAAGCCATGCACCTGGCTGGTGATCTTCCTAAGGGCTGCCCCCGAGGGCTGGCCATTGTCTTGCTGCTGTCCCTGTACTCAGGCAGGAGTAAGACAATGTGCAGCTGTCCTGCTGCAAACAAGCCCTACGCATTCACCCTTGCTAGAGAAACAAATGTCAGCAAATGGCCTATTCACAGTGGGTTTGGAACTCATCATCTGTCTCTGAAAACCAGAAATCTCTGAGGTGGCCTAACACAAAAGGATGCCAATGACAAAGGGTTAACAGCAGATGCTGAATAATGGAGTGGGAACAAATTGCATTCATGGGCTTCTTGTTTTTTGTGTCTCCTTCAGATAGTGCCTCATTCTTCCCATGTCATTTTCAATTTCAACCATTCCTATTTTCATCACCAAGGGAGTCACTTGAGGGGCATCTGGATGGATTTCTGCTTGAGGTTTTCTGCCTTTGGATTGAAGTGGGCCTCTCTGCACTTCAGTTTTTTTTTTTTCCTTGCAAAACAGTGACATATGTCTGCAAAAGCTTTGTAACAGCCACTTCATCCTGCCCTGTGTGGCAGAGTTGGCTATATTGTCATGCTGGGCGGAAGTAATGCAGTTTGCAGAGCAATTTAAAATCTGGAATGAAGAAACTATAGGCTTGCCAGAGTTTTTGCTGACATTGAGCTTAAAGATAAAATACTGGATCTATAACTTTTATTAAAACCAGGTCATTCTTTGGTGTCAAAAATCATGAAGGAAACATGTATACAAATATACACCTACAATTCTCACCTTTCTACAGGTAAGGAGGAAACAAAGGCTACTAGCAAGAAGCTCCCTCTTCATCTGTGATGTAAGACTCAGATGAGTAGAACTTGAGCAGTTTTCAATGAAACAGTAGATATAACAACACTGAAGAAAGCCAAACAATCAATATACAAACAGGTGTTCTCCTTTCATGTGTAATGATAATACTGGTAATAACAAAAATAACATTTATTTAACGAAGATTGTGCCAAGGACTATTCTAAGGACTTTATAAGTATTATCTAATTTGATCCTCTTAATTACTATGAGTAGGTGCTCTAATTATTCTATTCCTCATATGAGGAAATTAAGCAGGCACAAGGAACTTGAATAAATTGCTCAAGGACACAAGGTAAGTATGGGGCAGCTGGGGATAGGATCCCAGGAAAACCTGCTCCAAACCCAGCTCACCACAAGAGGACTTCATCAGTTCTAAGTAGGAAAAGGTGCCAACTAACAGAAGACTGAAAATAGCAAGAGCCAGTACAATTACAGGTTTATTTTTCTGTCTAGTAATCAGTGTCTGGAAGTAGCAAGTCCAGGGCTGATACGGCAAATCCTATCACAGGAATCAGATTCCCTCTTACCTTTCTGCACTGCTATCCTTGCTTAGTGCCTACCTGCAAACCTTAAGTTTACGTCAAGGTACAAAGCACTTTTAGAACCTTGGCCATTTGTATCCAATTCCAGGACCTAAGGAGGAGGGAGGAGAAGGGCAAACATGTGCCTGAGCTTGGGTCTCTTTCTACTTTAAGGAGAGTTCCTGAAGCCCCACCCACTTCTACTTCCATCTCATTGGCTGGACCTTAGTTGTATGGTCACCCCTATCTACAAGAGAGATTAGGACACACAATTTTTAAGCAGAATACATTGTCACTCTGAATAAAATTAAATTTTCTTTTTCAAAAAGAAGAGGAGAGTAGATATCGATGGGTAGTCTGCAGGGGATACCAAAGACCTCAGTTGGGCTTAACCCAAGATGTGGATACAACAGTCATAGAGGAAGACAAGTGAACCTTAATCCTTACTGCCTACTTGACTACTTCACCCTCTTGTTATCATGGGAGCCAAGGAGCCTCCTGGGAATACTTCATACCAGCCTGAAACTGAACTTCAGACATACACCACCTGGCATGTCACATGGCCTGGGCAGAGTTAGGTAAACAGGTCCTCAAAAGTCTGTTAGAAAAAGTCAGGGTTGGGCCAGGCACGGTGGCTCGTGCCTGTAATCCTAGCACTTTGGGAGGTCAAGGCGGGTGGATCATCTGAGGTCAGGAGTTTGAGACCAGCCTGGCCAACATGGTGAAACCCCGTCTCTACTAAAAATACAAAAAATTAGTTGGGCATCGTGGTAGTCACCTGTAATCCCAGCTACTCGGGAGGCCAAGGCAGAAGAATCGCTTGAAGCCAGGAGGTGGAGGTTGCAATGAGCTGAGATCACGCCATTGCACTTCAACCTGGGCAACAAGAGTGAAACTTTGTCTCAAGAAAAAAAACAAAAAAAGTCAGGGTCCTTGAGAGAGAATTCACCATGAGGAAGAAAAAATTTGCACGTCTGAGTGTGAGGTAAGCATGACTCTGGGTAAATCTTGGCAGCTGGTACTAAGATCCACCCTGACTCACCTACCTGTGTGTTAGTCCACACTTTGCATAGAAACTCAAGTGGCTATATTATTAAACTCAGTAACATGTCTGGGCATAAACAATCTTGCCGTGGCACTCCCTCTAACTGAGTGTGACAGAGGGAATAAGGCATTCTTATTATTGTGATTTCATCTGCTGAATTAGTGAGGTGACTTGAGGATTAAGCATATGACAGCCAGGCCTGGTGTGTTGGCTCATAGCAGTAATGCCAACACTTTTGGAGGCCAAGGAAAGAGGATCACTTGAGGCCAGGAGTTCAAGGTTGCAGTATAGCTTGGATGACACAGCAATACCCTGTCTCTTAAGAAAAAAAAATGGCAGTTAAGGATATCCACAGGATGTCTACCTCATTGCAGCTGACAAGAAAGGCAGCATGGTAAAGATAAAAGGGACAGAGAACAATGTTGAGTGATGTATGTAGGATAATCCTGGATACTCTTCCAAGTTACTGGTACGGGGTTCTTTTCATGAGGTTGGAAATTCTGTATGTCGTGGTCCAGATACTAGAGTTTGTAACGTTCAGATTTAACTGTAATATGATGTTATTTGTTCATAAACATATTGAGACCTGGGGTTATTTGGGTTACTTTAAGTTCACATAGGTTTCAGCTGAGTTCTATGGGTAGCTCAAACACCAATCCCTGAGCCCGGAAAACACAACTTGAAACTAACTTAACCTCCTCCCTTACCCTCTCCTAAATCCCCCTGCTCAATTTCATTCAAATGCAAATGGAAAGCTCTGTATAAAAAATAAACAAGAAGAGAGAAAAGAAAGAAGAAAAGCACGACAAGAAGAATACAGTAAAACAAGAAAGAAGGGAGGGATATAGCGAAGGAGATGAAGAGAGAGAAGAAAGAAAAGGTGTGAGGAGAAGGAAAAGAAAGCCAGATTCTTAAACTCCTAATTATTAGTAGTAGAATGAGTGGTGATGGTAATAATAATACAAATAATAATGGTGACGTTCGTTTTTATTTTCAGGATGGGAAATTGCGTAACTTGTGAGAAGAAGGGCTGTTGACAACTGTTAGAATGTACACTCTCATTCTCACAGCTCAGTTCGTAATATTTGACTATTTATTAAGCAGTACAGCTTTCACAGTTTTCATTTTGAGAATATTCTATGTTAGAGTTGTGCTGATGCTGAGCATTGTGGCTGAAGAGTGCTAAATCAACAGAACAGCCCTGGCTCGTAGGTTCCACCTCCCTCCTCTGTGGAACACTAGCCTCCTCCTTGGAGCACTTTCCACAGAGGAGGGAGGTGGGACCTAAGAGCCAGGACTGTTCTCTTATCCACTATCTTATCCACTTGTTAGTGAGTAAGGAGAACAGTCCTTATCCACTATCCTTGCCTTGCTTAGCTGACAAGGATGATGTGAGGGTTAAATGAGAAGACAATGCTTAAAGTGCTTTAAAAACTCAAAAGTTTTGTAAAGATATAAGTTGTTGCCTTTAGCAAAGATTTTTAAGACCTAGTACAATCAAGCCAAACTCCTTAGAGTTGGAATTCATCTGATAATCAGTTTTGCTTAAGGATTTTGTAGGCATTGCTGAGCTCTACCAAAAGAAAGGGACAAAGCATGATTCCTACATTCTGAGAGAAATGTAGCATTTGGGGAGGCAGAAGGCGGCCTTATGGATTTCAAGCCTGACAAGTGGGTCCCAAAATAATATCCCCTGGCCATGTTAGGATCTATCATTTCAGAGGCTCAACCATATTGTATGGGACACCCCCAAAACATTCATACAGATATACATACACACACATACATGCATAGATGTGATTTTGAGAATGGAAAATTAAGTTATCTAAACCAAAACTTTAAGTAAAAGCAATTTAATTTTTTAAAAAATCTTTAAAATATCAAACAGGTCACATGATAAAAATGAACTACAGTCTAAGTGAAAATAGAACTTGGGAAATTAAGAAGAACCCGAACGAGTTTTATATACCATGTTCTCTGACACGTTGCAATTAATCTGGAAATCAATAGCAAAAAGAAAATTAGAAAATTCTTGTTAATATAGAAACTAGGAAATCTACTTCCAAATAATCTATAGGTCAGAGAACAAATTATAAAATGAAAATAGAAAATATTTTTAATTGAGCAATGAAAATGACTTTATTGCCTTTCTGTAAGGGGAGAAAAGTGGCAGCATTTGGAGATTTATAATTGTAAATTCTTCTTTTAGAAAAAAATAAAGGCTGCAAGTTAATGAAATATAATTTACCTGAAGAAATCAGAATAAAAGCTAAATGAACTCAAAGAAAGAAATGAAGATAAGATTAGAAACACTTTAACAGTTACACACAAAATAAAAAGAATCCACAAAGTTAAAAGTTGGATTTTTGAAAAGATTAATAAAATTGAGAAATTTCAGGCAAGACTGATAAAAAAGAAACAAAGAACACAAATCATGAGTATCAGAAATGAAAAAATAAATATTTAAAAGGTGTTGCAAACATTTAAAAATGTAATAAGTGGATACTTATTATGTAAATAAGTAAATGATTTATATAAGCAAATAACTTTATATAAACTGGAAACACTTAACAAAATGATCAAATTCCTTAAAAATGTCATTTATCATTATTGTCTTAAGGAGAAATAGAAAAGCTGAACAATTCTACAACCATTAATGAAATGGAATCAGAAGTCATATATCTTCTTACCAAGAAAGCCATTGGTGGATTCCACCTCAAGTCTTAAAAAAATAAGTTTTAAAATATAATACAAATTCTTTTTTACAAGATAATAGAAAAAGATGGAACACACTCTAGGGGTAATTCATACTATACCCCACTGCTTCTCTGTCTTGGAATTACACCATCTGGAATGCAAATGGCCTACAAGAGAAAATATGGAGAAGGTGCAACCACTCTTATAGGACGTAGGCTATAAGCACATATTCTTTGTACCCATATTTCTATTGGTTAACATAACTGCAATGGAAGTTGAAAAATACTGTCTCATATATAAAAAATGTCAAAATGGTATGGTATAAACATAACATGTTTTCATCACATGATACTTACATTTTATGAAAATAACTCTCTTACTAGAGCTTTACAAGGACAGTAATAAGAAAGGAACACTACAGGCCAACTTCCCTCACTAATATAGTTGCCAAAATCCTAAACAAAATACTAGCAAACTGAATCTAGTAATATATAAAAAAGATAATGCATTAGGACCAAATTGGGTTTATTCCAGAAAAGCAAGGTAAGTTTAAAGATTGGTTTGGAATTAATGTAATTAGCCACCTTAAGATATTAATTTTAAAAATCAAATAATCATATCAATGAATAAAGAAAAAGCTTATGATAAAATGCAATATCACTTGTGATTTTTTAAAAAATCTTTTAACAAATGAGTAGTAAGAAAGGAACTACCTAATTCAGAAAGAGTATATAGAACACTGTTCAGCAGATACCATGCTTAATTGTAAAATGTTATATTTCCCTTTGAAATCAGAAGCAAGAAAGTAACTGTTATGACTACTGTTATTTCAAATTGTACTGAAGATCGTAGTCAGTGCACTAAGTCAGAAAAAGAAAGTTTTAACAGTTGAAAACAAATCTCCCACCATTGTGGGTGTTATAATCTTTATCTCTAAAATAAAAAGATACATAGAAAATTTCCAGAATTAACTTGAGACTCTGGCAAGTGTCTAGATACACAATTTAATACAGAATCATTTATAGTCCTATAAATCAGCATCCAAGATAAATTTTTAAAAAATAAACCAGAATAACAAAACACACATAGCACCTATAATGAGAAAGGAATTAAGCTTTATTGAAAAATTTTAAAGATGATAATAAATATAGACATACTATGATCATGGAGTGAATGACTCAATACTGTAAAAATTGTCAAATCTCCCCAAATTGATTCACAAATTTAATAGAACTTGTGGAATTTGGCACGTCAATTATAAAATTTATATGCAAGTACAAATAGCCAAAAATAGTCAAATAGACTCTTGAAGAAGAACAATGGAAGGTGTTTTTCTTCAAGAATGGGAAGAATTGTTTTATTAGTTTTCACAACTTATTTTACACTTATTAAGACAGTATTATATTGGTGTGGAGATATACACACCAATAATACCGATATGGTGATTCTGTGCCAATGGAACAAAATAGACAACCTAGAAAGCACATCCGTGCATACATGGTCCCTACATATATGAAAGAGGGGCCCTGAAGAAAAACAGGAAGGAAAGTATTGTCAGTAAATTCTGTTGGGACGAATGGGTAGCAATATTGAAAAATAAATTATTGGATCCCTATGTCACAACATACACAAGTAAATTCTAGTTGAAGACCTAGTATGAAAGTCAAAGCTATAATGCTTTAAGGAGATAATATAGGAGAGTGTCCTCAGGGTAGGGGAGAACTTAAGACACAGTAAAGCACTAATCATAAAATAAAAGACTGATAAATTTGACTACCTTAAAAATCAAGAACTTTTCTTCATCAAAAGGCAATATAAAAGGAGTGAAAACAAAAGCCATAGAATGAGAGAAGTGATTTGCCTTACATATAACTAACAAAAGGCTAGTATCCAGAATTTATAAAGAACTAGAAATCAATAAGAAAAACATAAATTGTTAGGAAAAAGGATAAGAACTTCAGATAATAAGAAAATTCAAGTGGACAATAGGCATATGAAAAAGTCCTCAATCTGTAATTACGAAAACACAAGTTAAACCACAGTGAGATAAGTTTACCTCCAGGCATCCTTAACAAACTGACAAATAAAACCTCATATATTTGACAGTATCAATGTTGATGAGAATGTGGACCAACAGTTGGAGTATAAGTCTATAAAACCTTCTGGAGACAATAGATAGAGTGATGTCAACAAGAAGGTTTACTCGAGATGCCTGGCATTTGTCCCTCTCACAACAAAGCAGCAAGGCAATGAAAAAATAGCTAAGCTTTGACTGGAGTGTTGACGCCAGAGTGCTGGAGTGCATCAGGTGAGTAGAGACACACCTGTGGTGATCAGAAGTCCAGGACAGCAGTATGGAAGCACCTGAACTGTGTAGCCCCATCTCCCTCACCTAGATCAAATCTGCCTAGAGTTAGGAGGCACTTTCCTTTGGGAGGTGTGGAGGAAGGTAAGCAGAAGATCTCCACCAGCCCACATTACCACCACAAACACCTACAGTCCTTATGACAGGAGAATCCCACAGTCGCCCAGTTTGAAGAGGTGCTGAGGATTCATGCAGTTGCATTACTCTGGATTGGGAGGTCAAGGTTTAACTTCTCTACCCCTCCACCCATTCCCTGTGGGCCATGCTGCTGCAGCATGGTGCTATCTTGAGACCAGAGCCACCTCTGGAGTGTGCCCTGCTCTAGAGACCAGTAGGCACTGTACTTCTCCAGCACTGGAATCCTATCTTCATACTACTGTGCCCATACCAATAGCTGAACACCACAATCCCAGCAGTGTGGAGCCTAGGCCCAGGATTGAGTATGAGGCTGATCCTAGACAGCAGAGAAACCAACTCCTGCCACCCTTACTTCCAGCCAGAGGAACAGACTGGCAATCCTGCCCAGAGTAAGGCTGCCTTTGGGCAAGAGAGACTCTCAAGCCTCCAAGCTGCTGACATGCTCCCAGGCCAGCAGAATGGTAATGCACCTGGGCCCAGAGCCTGAGAAACAGCCCTGAGGTACCCCAAACCCTGCAGACAGGCCTATGACCAGTCCATCAGCCCTGCATCTACAATCAGTCTGAGAAACAGATCTGTGGGCTGCCTCTACCAGAAACTCCCTTAGGCTGGCCAAGGAGCTGTGCACACACACCCTAGGACTGAGAAATAACTCCACAGGCTGCCCCTAGTGGTCAAGGCCCCAGGCCAACCAAGCAGTGACACACCAGCATCCTGGACCCATGAAACAGCTAGGTGGGCCACCACCCACAGACAAACCTCCTAGACCAGCCAAGTAGTCATGCAGCTATGTCCTGGGCTTTAGAAACAGTCTCGTAGGTTGCCCCCAGCAGACATGACCCCAGGTTAGCTGAGCAGATGTATGCCTGCATACTAGGCCTGAGGAACAGTCCCACAGGCCACTCCTGGTGGGCATTCCCTTAGGATGGCCAAACAACCATGGACCTGTGCTCCCAGTCAGAGTAACATGCCCATGGCCACAACTCCAGTGAGCCAGACCCCAAATTGGCTGATGCATCATGTGCACACCTGTGCTCCTAACCTGAGAAACAGCCTGGTGAGCCTACCCTTGGAAAAGCCACACCACTTCCATCACAGATGCTCTCAGCCTAGGTCACTGAGAAACTCACAAACATCACTACTGTGGATTACAACTAAAGACACTACTTGAAGACTAAACTACTGAGTCTACCTAAAACCAAGACCAACACATGCCACCAAACTGACACCCCAAGACCCATTCATCTGAGTAAGTCGTTCCCTATGAAACCTCCTCTGCAAAATTGGAAGAGGTGACTTTTCTCTTAGATGTGTAGAAATCAGTGTAGCAATATGTCAACCATGAAGAAGCAAGGAAGCATGTAACCTTCAAAGGAAAACAATAATTCTCCAGTAATAGACCTCAATCATAAGAAAATATATGAAATTCCAGAAAAAGAATTCAAAATAATAATCTTAAGGAAGCTCAGTGAGATACAAAACAATTCAGAATTCAGATAAACAATTCAATTAAATCAAGAAAATAATTCATGATTTGAATGAGAAATTTAGCAAAGAGATAGATGTCATAAAAAAGAACCAAACAAAAATCCTAGAACTGAAGAATTTAGGGAATAAAAATAAAAAATACAATCAAGCACCTCAACAATAGATTATACCAAGCAGAAGAATTTCTGAACTTGCAGACAGGTTTGAAATAACACAGAGAAAAATAAGTAAATAAATGAATAAAAAGAATGAAGAAAGCCTATGAGATTTATGCAGCACTATTTAGCAAATAAATATTCATATTATGAGTATTCCAGAAGAAGAAGAGAAGAAATAAAGGTGAGAAAAAACATATGTAATGAAATAATAGCAGAAAATTTCCCAAGGTTTGGAGAGAGATGGACATCCAGGTCTAGGGAGCTCAAAAAAACCCAAATAAATTCAACCCAAAGAGGTCATCTCTGGGACACATTATAGTCAAATTATCAAAAGTCAGAAAGAAACAAGGAATTTTGATCCAGTAAGGCCAGATTTTTTTTTAACAAAAAAAAAAAAAAAAAAGAAGAAGAAGAAACAAAGATTTTTAAGAGCAGCAAGAGAAAAGTTTCAGGTCACAAATAAAAGAATCCTCATTAAACTAACAGAGGACTTCTTAGCAGAAACCTTAAAGGCCAGGAGAAAATAGGATAATATATTCAAAGTACTGAAATAAATAAACTACCAGGCAAGAATATTATACTTAGCAAAATTATCCTTCAGAAATGAAGAACAAAATCTTTTGCAGACAAGCAAAAACTGAGAGAATTCATCATCACTGAAACAGCCTTATGGAAAATGCTCAAGGTAGTCTTACATCTGGAAGTATAAACACCATCATGAAAACATGTAAAACTGTAAAATTCACTGGTAGAGTTGACACACAAAGGAGAAAGAGAATCTAACCTTATCACTACAGAAAAGACCCAATAACAAAAGCAAACAATAAGAGGAAGTAAGGAACAAGCGATTAATAAAATATCCAGAAAATAATCAATAAAATGACAGAAGTAAGTGCTCATCTATCAAATTTTGAATGAAAATTTGAAGATATAGATTGGCTGAGTGGATTAAAAAAAGAAGAACCAACTATAAGCTGTCTATAAGAACTTATCCCACCTGTAAAGACACATATGCTGCAAATGAAGGAATAGAAAAAGATATTCCATGCAGATGGACACCAAAAACAAGTAAGAGTAGCTGTCCTTATAGCAGATAAAACAGACCTCAAGTTAAAAGCTGGAAAGAGACAAATAAAGACATTATATGATAATACAGTGATAAATTCAACAAAAGAATATTTCAATTATAAATATGTATACAACCAACACTGGATTGCCCAGGTATATAAAGCAAATATTATTAGATCTAAAGGGAGAGATAGACCTCAATACAATAATATTTGGGGACTTCAGCACCCCAACAGATCATCTAGACAGAAAATCAACAAGAAACACTGAACTGAAACTGCACCATAGACCAAATCAACCTAACAGACATTTACAGAACATTTCACCCAATAGCTGAAAAATGCATATTCTTTTCATCAGCACACAAAACATTCTTCAGGATTGACCATATGTTAGGACACAAAACAGGTCTCAAAAAATTTTTCAAAATCAAAACCATATGAAGTATCTTATCTGACCACAATGGAATAAAACTAGACATCAGTAACAAGAGAAACATTCAAAACTACACAAATATGTGGACATTAAACAACAAGCTCCTGAGTGATCAATAAGTGGAAAAAGAAATTGAGAATAAAATTTAAAAATTCCTTGAAACAAATGAGAATAGAAACACCACATACCAAAATCTATGGGGGCAAAGCAAAAGCATTATTAACAGGCAAGCTTTTAGCATTTAATGTCTATATCAAAAGCCTAGAAATATTTCAAATAAACAACCTAATGAAGCACCTTGACTAACTAGAAAAGCAGGAACAAAACAAACCTAAAGTTAGTAGAAGAAAAGAAATAATGAAGATTAAAGGAGCAGAAATAAAATTGAGACTAAAAATTGCAAAAGATCAATAAAACAATAAACTGTTTTTTAAAAAAGATAAAGTCAACAAACCATTAGCTAGACTAAGAAAAATTAAAGAAGGCCTAAAAATCAGTAACAAAAAGGAGATGGCATACTGAATGGCAAAATGAATACTACAGAAATACAAAGAACCATTAGAGAGTACTATGAATGTACATACCAATCAATTTGAAAATCTAGAGAAAATGGATAAATTCCTGGACACATACAACCTACGAAAATTGAACTAAGAAGAAACAGGAAACCTGAACAGACCAATCACAATTAACAACATTGAGTCAGTAATAAAAAGTCTTCCAACAAAGAAACATTCATGAATGGATGTCTTCACCACTGAATTCTACTGAAACTTTAAAAAAGGATTAGTACCAGTTCTCAAACTACTCCAAAAAATTGAAGCAGAGTGATTTTTTTTCCAAACTTATTCTATGAGGCCATCCTAACTTTATTATCAAAAGAAGACAATGACACAACAACCAAAAAAAGGTCCAATATCCCTGATAAACATAGATACAAAAATCCTCAACAAAATAATAGCAAACCAAATCCAACAACATATCAGAATGATAATAACCATGATCAGATGGGACTTATCCCAGGAATGCAAGGATAATTCAACATTTGCAAATCAATAAACATCATACATTACACCAATAGAATAAGGGACAAAACCCATAATCATCTCAATAAATACAGAAAAAGCCTTTGATAATATTTAACATCACTTTATGATAAAAACTGATAATAAATTACATATAGAAGAAAAGTACCTCAAAATAATAAAGTTCATATATGATAAATTCACAGCTAACATCATACTAAAAGGAGAAAAATTGAAAGCTTTTCCTCTAAGAGCTGGAAAAAGACATATTGCCCACTCTCACCACTCTTGATCAACACAGTGCTGGAAGTCCTAATCAGAGCAATTAGGCAAGAAAAAGAAATAAAAGATATCCAAATTGAAAAGGAAAAAATCAAATTGTACCTGTCCACAAATAACATTGCCTTATATATAGAAAAATGGAAAGATTCTACCAAAAAACTCTTAGAAAAGATAAATGAATTCAGGAAAGTTGCAGGATACAAAACTAGCATACAAAAATCTGTAGCATTTCTATACATGAACCACACAATGGCTGAAAAAGAAATCAAGAAGGCAATTCCATTTACAATAGCTATAGAAACAATAAAATACCTGGGAATAAATTTAACCAGGAAGGTGAAAGACCTCTATAAGAAAAACTACAAAACACTGATGAAAGAAGTTGAAGAGCATATAAAGAAAATACTCATAAACTGAATCCAGCAGCACATCAAAAAGCTAATCCATCTTGATCAAGTAAGCTTTATCTCTGGGATGCAAGGTTGGTTCAACAAATGTAAATCAATAAATGTGATTCATCACATAAATAGAACTAAAGACAAAAACCACATGATTATCTCGATGCAAAAAAGACTTTCGATAAAATTCAACATCTCTTCCTGTTAAAAACTCTTAATAAACTAGGTATTGAAGGAATATACCTCAAAATAAAAGCCATCTATGACAAACCCACATCCAACATTATGCTTACTGGGCAAAAGCTGGAAGCATTCCCCTTTAAAACTGACATAAGACAAGGATGCCCTCTCTTACCACTCCTATTCAACATAGTATTGGAAGTCCTGGCCAGAGCAACAGGCAGGAGAAAGAAATATAGGGCATCTGAAGAGAAAAAGAGGAAGTCAAACTATCCCTCTTTGCTGATGACATGATCCTATATCTAGAAAACCTCATAGTCTCAGCTCAAACGATCCTTCAGCTGATAAACAACTTTAACAAAGTCTCAGGATACAAAATCGATACACAAAAATCACTAGCATTTCTGTACACCAACAACAGCCAAGCCAAGAGCCAAATCAGGAATACAATCCCACTCACAACTGCCACAAAAAGAATAAAATACCTAGGAATACAGCTAGCCAGGGAAGTAAAAGATGTCTACAATGAAAATTACAAAACATTGTTCAAAGAAATCAGCAATGACACAAACAAACAGAACAACATTCCAAGCTCACGGATAGGAAGAATGAGTATCATTAAAATGGTCATACTGCCTAAAGCAATTTACAGATTTAACGCTATTCCTATCAAACTATCAATGACATTCTTCACAGAACTAGAAAAAACTATTTTAAAATTCATACAGAACTGAAAAAGAGCCTGAATAGTCAAGGCAATCCTAAACAAAAGAAGAAAGCTGGAGGCGTCACGTTACCTGACTTCAAACTATTAATATACTGCAGGGCTACGGTAACCAAAACACCATGGTACTGGTACAAAAACAGACGCCTAGACCAATGGAACAGAATGGGGAGCCCAGAAATAAGTTCAATATTACCGATTTTTAGAGAAATGCAAATGAAAACCACAATGAGATACTATCTCACATCAGTCAGAATGGCTGTTATTAAAAAGTCAAGAAATAACAGATGCTGACAAGTTTGCAGAGAATAATGAATGTGCATACACTGTTGGTGGGAGTCTAAATTAGTTCAACCATAGTGAAAAGTAGTGTGGTGATACTTCAAAGAGCTAAAAACAGAACTACCATTCTACCCAACAATCTCACTCCTGGGTATATCACCAATGGAATATACATTATTGTAGCATAAAGACACATGAAAACATATGTTCATTGCAGCACTACTCAAAATAGCAAAGACATGGAATCAACCTAAATGTCCATCAACAGCAGATTGGATAAAGAGAATGTGGTACATATATGCCATGGAATACTATGCAGCCATAAAAAGAATGAGATCATGTCCTTTGTAGGAACGTGGATAGAGCTAGAGACTATTTCCTTAGCAAACTAATTTAGGAACAAAAAATCAAATACACGTGTTTTCATTTAAAGTGGGAGCTAAATGATGAGAACACATGGACATAAAAAGGGGAACAACAGACATTGGGACCTACTTGAAGGTAGAGGGTGGGAAGAGGAAGGGTATCAGAAAAACTAACTATCCAGTGCTAGGCTTAGTACCTGGGTGATGAAATAATCTGTACAACAAACCCCTGTGACATAAATTTACCTGTACAACAAACCCGCACTTGTACTCCTGAACCTAAAATAAAAGCTTGAAAATATAAAATAAATAAATAAATAATATAAAAGAAATTGAAGAGGACAAAAGCAAGTAGAAGGACATCTCTTGCTCATGAATCAGAAGAATTAATGTTAAAATGACCATACTACTCAAAGCAATCTACAGATTCAATGCAATCCCTATCCAAATACCAATGACATCTTTCACGGCAATAGAAAAATATAACTCTAAAATTTGTGTGGAACCACAGCACCTTGAATAGCCAAAGCAGTCCTGAGCAAAAAGAACAAAGCCGGAGGTATCACACTTCCATACCTCAAAATATACGATAAAGCTGTAGTAATCAAAACAGCATAGTACTAGACTAAAAACACACACATAGAATAATAGAATAGAACAGAGAGCCCAGAGATAAATTTATGCACCTCCAGCCAACTGGTTTTTGATAAGACCACCAAGAACACACATTGTAGAAAGGACAGTCTCATCAATAAATGGTGCTGGGAAAACTGGATGTCTATGTGCAGAATAATAAAACTAGAACACCAGCTCTCACCCTATACAAAAATCAACTTAAGATGTATCAGAGACCTGAAACAATAAAACTACTAAAAGAAAACATAGGGAAAACGCTTTAGGACACTAGTCTGGGGAAATATTTTATGATTAATGCCTCAAAAACTCAGGCAACAAAGGCAAAATAAACCAATGGGATTATATCAAACTAAAACCTCTGCACAGCAAGAAAACAATCAACAATCAACAAAGACAATCTACAGAATGGGAGAAAATATTTGCAGACTATTCATTTGACAGGGTATTGATGCCCAGAATATATAAGGAACTCAAACAGAACTCAACAGAAAAAAAATCCCAAACAATACAATTAAAAAATGGACAAACCATCTGAATAAACATTTCTCAAAAGACATACAAATGGCCAACAAGTATATTAAAAATGCTCAACATCACTAATCATCAGGAAAGTGCAATCAAAACTACTACGAAAGAACATCTCACCCCAGTGATGTTTAGTATCAAAAAGACAAAAAATAACAAATGCTGCCCAGGGTGCAGAGAAATGCAAAGGCTTATACACTGTTGATGGAAATGCTAACTAATGCAATTACTGTGGAGAATATGGAGAACAGTATGGGAGTGTCTCGAAAAACTACAAGTAATTCTACCATATAATCTAGTAATCTCACCACTTAGAATTTATCCAAAGGAAAGAAAATCATAATATTGAAGAGATATCTGCCCTCCCATGTTTATTGCAGCAGCAGCACTACTCACAATAGCCAAGTTATGGAAGCAACCTAGATGTCTAACAAGAGAAAAATGGATAAAGAAAATGTGATATATACACAATAAAATACTATTCAGTCATAAAAAATGAGTGAAATCCTGCCATTTGCATCAACATGGATGGAGCTAGAGGACATCATATTAGTGGAATAAGTCAGGAACAGAAAGATAAACACTGAATATTCTCACTCCTATGTGGAAGCTAAAATAAGTTGATCCCAGAAGTAAAAAGTAAAGAAGAGGATACTAGAGGCTGGGAAGGGTAAGGAGAAGGGAGGGATAGGGAGAGATCTGTTAAAGCAGGGCTTCCCAACCTTTTTGGCACCAGGTACTGGTTTTGGGGACAACAGTTTTCCACAGATGGTGGGTGGGGGATGGTTTCAGGATGAAACTGTTCCACCTCAGATCATCAGGCATTAGATTCTCATAAGGCACACACAACCAAGATCCCTTGCATGCGCAGTTCATAATAGGGGTTGGCTTCTATGGGAATCTAATACCACCACTGATCTGACAGGGTGGAGGTCTGTTGGTAATGCTTGCTCACCCACTGCTCACCTCCTGTGTGAAGCCCGGTTCCTAACAGGCCACGGATTGGTACCAGTCAGTGGCCCAGGGGGTGGGGACCCCTATTTAAGGACAGAAAATGACAACTAGATAAAAAGAATGCGTTCTACGCCACTGTAGGATGACTATAGTCAACATAATATATGTTTTCAAACAGCTAGGACGATAGGAGGATATTGCATATTTCCAGCAGAAATAAATGATAAATGTTTGAGACGATGGATACGCTAATTGTCCTGATCTGATTACCATACATTATATGTATCAAAATGTCATTATGTACCCCATGAATACGTATGACTACTGTCAATTAAAACAAATAAACAAACAAACAAAAAAACAGACGAACAAAAACCCTTTGGAAACAAACCTGGAATGATCTATTAAAGTTGAAGATAACATATATCCTATGACCCAGCAAGTCTATTCTTACATATATACCCAACAGAAACCCATGTAAATGTGCAACAGGACACTTGGACAAGTAATCTATTATAATTCTTTCTTATACAGTAAAAAAAAGAGGCAAATCTAAACTATACTGTTTAACAGCATGTAGGAGAAAAAGAAAATAAGGACCACAAAAGGCAGGATAGTGGTTACTGATGGAGAAGAGAGATGAGGCTATCAGCAGGAAAGGCATAGGGCAGACTTCCAGGATGCTGCCAATGTTCCTTTTTCTCATCTAGGTTGGGGCCAGCATATCAGTCAGGGTTCTCCAGATAAATGGAAATAATAGAATATCTATCTATCTATCTGTCTATCTATCTATCTATCTATCTATCATCTATCTAACTAGATATGGAGAGAGATTTATTATGAGGGAATGGCTCACACATTTATGGAGCCTGAGAAGTTCCACAATATGCTGTCTGCAAGCTGGAAACCTAGGAAAGCCAGTGATGCAATTTCAGTTTTAATCAGAAGGCCTAAGAAGCAAAGAAACTAATGATGTAAGCATCACTTCAAGGATAAGTGAAGATGGATGTCCCATCTCAAGCAGGCAGGCAGGAAGAAAAAGGAACAAATTCCTCCTTCCTCTGCCTTTTCTGTTCTATTCAGGCTCTCAGGAGATTGGATGATGGCCACTCCCATTGGAGAGACCATCTACTCCTCTGAGTCCACTGATTCAAATGCCAATCTCATCTGGAAGCTCCCTCACAGATACACCCAGAAACAATGTTTAATCTGGACACCCTGTGGCACACTGAAGTTGACACATAAAATTAACCAACACAGTCAGCAAATTTCTTCTGAAAAGGGTGAGGCGGTAGTTATTTTAGGCTTTATAGGCCATATGGTTTCTGTCACAACTACTCAACTCTGCCATAATAGCCTGAAAGTAGACATAGACATTATGCAAAAGTATTGGCACGGGTGTATTCTAATAAAATTCACTCACAAAAAATGGCGGTGGGGTGCATTCAGCCCATGGGCCATATTTGTCAACCCCTGTTAAAGGTAATGTGGGTGTGCTGTATGCAATTTGTATATGTCATATGTCACAAAAAGAAATGAAGGACTCAGATCTAAGAAAGAAATTTAGCCCAAGTGCTACGTTTGAGGGTTGTAGAGTCAGAAAGCCAGAGTGTGACTTGTGCCTTATCTACTCACAAAGTACTGGGCCTTGGGCATAATGTACACCTGTGAACTAGAGTCATGGTAGCACCCATCTGTTTTGAGGATTAACTGATGGATAAGGTTAGGTGTTTAGTAAAACTCCTAGCACATATTAGCTCAAGATTTTTTTTTCCTCTCAGATAAGAGGATCATTAAAGTATGTTCAACCATACTTACCAAGACTTTAAGAACGTACTAGTTTCTTGCTGTAGGCAAAAATTAGCTCTTACAGAAGAAATTTATGGAAGAATAGAAAATATACATAATCCCTTCTATACATAATGTGGAAAAAATCACAAGTAAACATAGTATGCTGCCTACTATTTCTTGGAAAGCATTTTTTCCTTAGCATACTTTGGGTGCTAAGCAAAGGACTTGTAAAAAAATATTAAAATGTATTCCATATGTAAATTATAAGAGGAGAAAATAGTGTGAAGGGAAAAGTTCACTCCTGATTCTCAAACCAGAATGACTATGCTTTATTCCTCAGGGAAGTCTTATTGAAGGGGTAAAACCTGACCATTTACAAAAGGGTAGGCTTTCATAGTAGGCAGAATAATGGTCCTTGGGGTTTCCACATCCTAATTCCCTGAAGCTGTGAATATGTTACCTTACGTGGTAAAAGCTGTAATTAAGCTAAGGATCTTGAAATGGGGAGAATAGTCTGGATTACCCAGGTGTTTTCAATGTAATCATAAAGCTCTTTATAGGTGAAAGAGTGACGCAGAATGGTTGGAGCCAGAGAGAAATTTGAAGATGCTATGCTGCTGGCTTTAAAGATGGAGAAAGGGGCTCCAAGCCAAGGAACATAAGGCCTTTAGAAGCTGGAAAAGGCCAGAAATGGATTCTCTCCTACAGCCTGCATAAGAAACACAGTCCTGCAGCTATCTTAACATTAGCCCGGTAAAAATCATTTCAGACTTCTGACCTTCAGAGCTCTACCATAAACATGTGTTGTTTTAAGCCACTAAGTTTATGATAATTTCTTAGAGCAGCAATGAGAAACTAATAAAACTATATAATGGATAGTGTGTTCAGTTGGGCTAAACGTAGCTCCTTAAACTGCCCTGCCATTTTATTGTGCATTTTTATAATTTATTCAAAAAGTGCTTATTAATGACCTCCTGAGTAACAGGCACTAGAGTTATAAAGATGAATAAACTTAGCCCCAGTCCCCAAAGAGCCTACAATATAGCAGAGTTGGAAAACTGTCTAGAGTTTCTGTACATCTTGTGAGCAGAGGTACTGGTTGCCTTTGTTCAAGACTATCATTTCAAGGATTTCTGTCTGTATAATGAACAACTTTGAATTGTAAAGATAGTATCTCCCTCCAGAGCAAAGGGCAGACATGCTTACAGTTCAATGGGAAAGCTTCAGGATCCCTAAGCTCAAGGTTCCTGTCTTGACAGGCAACCTTGACAAGACTTGTGTGAATATATCATCTTGTCCTCTTTGTGTCACCCTGTGGAAACTGGGATTGGAAAATCATCTCAAGAGATTGCTGACACCCTGGCTGCTGCTATTGCTGCGTAACAAACTTCCTATTTTTCTCTAATCCAGCTATTTCATGTCTTCTTTTAGCATCCATGATCTGTAGTAGGTTAACTTGTTAGTTTGCAAATGGAAAAATCTCACAACCTTCACAGTTCTTAACAAATAGTAAACAAAACAATGCACACATCTTTATGAACATCATGGGTCAGGGTCTCCTAAACATGTTTATAATAGAAATGGAAAAGAAACAGGTACTATGTGTATTAGGTACTTTATACATATTCTTATTAAGTTTTCATACTACTCTGTAAGATTTAACAGCCATCTAGATATCCTGTTTACTTATGATTCAGATAAGAATGGCCCACCACACTCCAATTATCTCCCCCATTACATGTCCTTAAGAAAATCCAGGGCACCCAGAAGATTCCAGAGCAGTGGTTTTTTAAGGGAAGTAATTTACCCCCGATATGGTTTGGATGTTTGTCCCCTCCAAATCTCATGTAATGCGATCCCCCATGTTGGAGGAGGGGCTTGGTGGGAGGTGTCTGGATCATGGCAGCTGATCCCTCACGAATGGCTTAGCCATCCCCTTGGTGATGAGTGAATTCCTGCTTTAGTAGTTCATATGAGATCTGGTTGTCTAAAAGAGTGTGGCATCTCCTCCCTCCCTCTCTTGCTTCTGCTCTAGCCATGTGATATGCTGACTCCCCCTTTGCCTTCCACCATGATTGTAAGCTACCTGAGGCCCTCACCAGGGACAAATGCTGGTGCCATGCTTCCTGTACAGCCTGCAGAACCATAAGCCAATTAAACCTCTTTTCTTTATAAATTACCCCATCTCAGGTATTCCTTTATAGTGACACAAAAAAGACAACTACACTCTCCATTTGGCAATGACTGAAGATGTTTTTGATAGTCACAACTTAAGGTAGGGGTATTAGAGGTATCTAGGGTGTCAGGAATACTGCTAAACATCCTACAATAACTATGACAGCCCCCATAAATACTCATCTAGTCTGAAATGCCAGTAATGCTGAGGTTGAGAAACTCTGCCCTGGAGTAATATCATCTCTGACTCTCATTTCTGCCTCCATTGATATCTTTTGCCTGGTTTTTTATCCACTAATGTATTTATCTCATCTTGGCATGTATCCAAATTTTCATCTCTCCCTCCCTAAAATAAGGTCATTACCAATGTAAGCCTATTGCATGGAGGAGAAATTTTACTAAAGATTTGTAGGTATGAGGTAGGAGGTTACAAAATTATATCAAGAGCAAATAAATTGAAGAGCATATTAGACAGCCCTGCTGTTAATGTCCTATTAGTCCCTGCACCTCTGGACTCGGGCTTTCTCACTGCCCATGATAACGGTTGCCCATGTCAACTCATGCAACGCCTTAGGCTTTCACCATCTTACTGGTTCCAGTCTTCATATATCCCCTTCCTAGATTGTACCTAGGAACTCCAGGTTCCTCTCACTCTATTATGCAGCAACTATTCAATTCTCTCAATTCTCTGCATCTAAACTCAGCTTGAAGCCTTTCTTTAGGCTGTCCAGTGGTTTTCAAATTTGAGCATGCATCAGTCATACACAGCTTGCGGGCAGGGGCAGATTTGATTCTGTAGGTGTGGTTGAGAATTTGCATATCTTAAAAATTTCCAGGTAGTGTTAATTCCTCTGGTCTGGGACAACACTTTTAGAACCACCATGAAACAAACAAACAAAAAACAAACAACAACTAAACAAAATACACAAACCCATCCAAACAACAGAGCCATTATTTCTGTAGCAGGATAAAAAAACCCTACAGAAAACTTGACATGAATGCCTTTCTCTTACCTTGATCCATGCACTTCAGAAGACAGTAGTAATTCTGTATAGCGTTTGCCACCCTTCTCAGTTACACACAGAAGAGGAATTGGGGGCTCAGAGAGGTTAAGTAACTAGGAAACTATGACCCAGAGCCCAGGTCTGTTGGATTCTGAAACTCCTGCCTTTTGTAAACGAAGATTAGGTGTTTGCAAGTGGTTAAATGGGATGTGAGAAACATTCCCCACTTCGGATCATGCACAATTTGTTCAATGGTATGAAGCAGCTTTTGTGGTACAATTCACAAATATATCTCAGGAGTTTATTTAAAAATAGTTCATATTCAGTAATAGGAATATGAACCTTCACTGCAATGTTTCATTATAAGTAATTTCTCAGGAAAATTATGATAACAATGCCATCAAATGAATGGCACTTGACAAGAAGCTGTGAAGTTGTCCTCAATGACAACCAGTAAATCTATATATGCTATAGCATTCAGAATACCTATAACTAGTAGATCTATAGATGTTAGTGCGTGGGAGAAACCCGGCCTGAGATGATTGATGCCCCTACAAAACCTTTGGGAACTGAGGCATAATTGCCCTCACAATGAAGACTGAAGGAGTTACAAGATGTCGAGACTTCAGGTGTATTTTTCAGAGAGAAGAGCCTACTGATGCTCCTTCTTCTTGTTCCCCGAAGAAACAAAGGTGAAGTTTATGTTTGCTACTGGAGCTTTAAGTTTACTGCTTGGCTAGTGTGGTCTAATCCTGGCTGGGAATGCTGCTGGTGAGATCTCATCTTCACAATTCAGAACACGGTACTTCTTGGAAAGTACTGGTTTCAGAACTGCCCGAGATGTTGCTTGGGGGTTGTTTTGTCTTTATTCCTGACAGATTGCTGTATCAAATCAAGCTTATACACAATGTTGACTGCTAAGATAAAAAGCAATTCTTGTGATCACAAAAAAGTCTGCCTGCTGGGCAGAAAGTAAAACAAACAGCACAGAGGTGCTTGACGATCACAGACGATGGCCAATAAGTGATCATTTGTATGAAGTACAGAATGCAGTGTTATTTGATGAACATGATGTTCTGCATGCATCCGGCCATAATTTAGGAGGTATTTGCTCAGGTATGACTTCGGATGTGCACTATATGCTACATAGAGTCAAACACGCTGGCTTTGGTAAGGCCTGAAATATAAATTAAACAAAAACACATTGACTAATAACAGTGATGCTCCCAACAGGCTTTCTTCTTCTTTGGAAATTTCTTAGGGTCTGGCTTATTTCAGTGAACACAGGGACCACATTTTCGACTAACCAATAAAACCCAGAGCGGAGGAGAGGATTATACATGAGTTTCCACGGACAACAAAAGTCAGAGAGGAAGTAGGGGAAAAAAAAGGCATGGAAAGATAAAAATTGAGAAAAGTTCAGGGTAGAGGTGGGGGCATATTATTTTCCTGTGCTTGCCATAACACAGTACCACAAACTGGGTCGCTTAAGCAACAGAAACTGTCTCACAGTTCTGGCAGCTAGAAGTCTGAAATCTAGGTGTCAGCAAGGGAGGTTCTATCTGAGGGCTGTGAAGGAGAATCTGTTCCATGTCTCTCCTCTAACTTTCTGTGGACCTGGCCGTCTCTTGCCCGTTACATGGTGCTTTTCCTGTGTCTTCACATTGTATTCCCTCTGTGCATATCTCTGTGTCCAAATTTCCCCTTTTAATAAGGATGCCGGTCACATTGGATTAGAGCCTATGCTAAAGACTTTATTTCAACTTGATTAACTCTGTAATGACCCTACCTCCACATAAGGTCACATTCTGAGAGACTGGGGGTTAGGACTCCAGCATATCTTTTTTTTTTCTGGAAAGTGGTAGAGAATAGAATTCAACCTATCACAGGAAGAAAGAAAGAACTGTGGGTAGGCAAAACACTGAAGTCACATTGCACCTTTGTGCAGGGCCCAGTCTGCACAACTGAACACTACAGCCCTACCAAAAAAGTTCTTTGAACTCCATGTCCCCAGTTTCTTATAAGACAGAATTCTCCTTTTTAAAAGCTGGTAAAATAAATGGAAGAGCCATGAAGAATTTGCTAGGTTTTGGGTTACTAAAATTATTGACCTCTGCAGATTTTTATTTTGCTTTGTATGTAGCCATAGGGGACACCATTAAATGAGATGAACAGTACTATTTACCCATCAGTCTCATTTCCAAAAGTAAAAAAAATAAGCCAAATTGACAGATTTTTAACATTCATAGGTCCTATCATCTCCTATATGGTAGACATGTGTATTAGGTCATTCTTACATTGTTATAAAACCTAAGACTGGGTAATTTGCTTTTTACAAAAGAGGTTTAATTAGCTCACAGTTCTGCAGGCTGTATAGGAAGCATAGTGGCATTTCCTTCTGAGGATGCCTCAGGAAGCTTCCAGTCATGGTGGAAGGCAAGGGAGAGCAGGCACATCACACAGTGAAAGCAGGAGCAAGAAAATGAGGGAGGAGGAGCTACACACTTTTAAATGACCAGGTCTCATGAGAACTCATTCACTACCATGAAGACAAGCAGGATGGTGCTAAACTATTCCTGAGAAATCCACCCCCATAATCCAATCACCTCCCACCAGGTCCAACATTGGGAATTACATTTCAATATGAGATTTGGGCAGGGACACAGATCCAAACTACATTAACATGTAAAATGAAGGGAAGTCTGGGATTCCAAATTAGCTCTTCTTGGCTCCCTGCTTTTCAACTACACTGCAAAAATGGAGAGAATTTTATGGAAAAATAAATATTTGTTCTTAAAATGTACTTGAAATAATTAAAAGGGTCCATAACCTGACTGAGAGCCCAGACTGAAATGGTAGAGCCACACAACAGAAAATAATCTTCCTCTCTAGGTTCCAAAGGAAACATATGTGAAAGAGTGCAAAGGAAACAGCTGAGACCAACCTAGGTTTGTCAAGCTTTTCTTGTGTTTGTTTTATTTTCCAATTTCTTTGTAAAAATTACTAAAGTCATAGATATTTGTTGCAAAACATCAAACAGAACACTTGTGTCAATGAAAAAAAAAACAATTTTTCTTCCTCTCTCATTTTTAGTCCATCTTCCCAGGAAAAGATCACTTTCCCAGGTTAGTCCAAATACTTCTAAACATTTCCCTGCAAAATCTATATATTATATAGGTATGCAATTTTGTGTTTTACAAGCGAGATCATGATATATGTATCATTTTCTCGTGCCCATTTTAGAAAGTATGGCTAACACCCTAAGAAGAAAGTAAGAGTAGAAACCTATCCATCCCCTACACTATGTCCCAGAGAAAACCCAGTAGTGGTGGGTATATTTTCTCATTGTCTATTCTCTGTTCACACACATTTGTTTTGTTTTACTTATTCTTGATGTTCTCAAGTGCTATCCTTTTTTTTTCTTGTTGTACAAGTAATATATGCTCATAGGAAAAGTAAAATTTAGAACATGAGCAAAAGAAGAAAATAAAAATCATCTCAAAATCTACCTTTCCTAAACTTTAGTCATTGTTTACATTTTTGTGTATACCACAAAGACATTTTTCAAGTACTTCAATTTAAACAGAAAAGGATAAATACCACGAACAAATCTCAATAGATTTGTTAAAAGCTCAATCCAGTTTGGGTTATGTATACAAGACATCTACATGTGGCTTTATTTTTGTCTTGACTCAAAAGGGGAGAAAGGGTAAAGGAGTTTTCACAGCTTAATATTATCACAGAATCAGCATTTAGGGAAATTTGTCATTTTCTTCCCATCTCTTCACTTCCAGCTCCATCATCCCCTTCCCCCCTCCAAGAGCTTTTCAGAGAATGTGACATTTGCTGCCTTTTCATCCCTCAGAGTTGTGGTTTAGATTTGTTTTTTTTTTTAAAATCAGATTAAAGCAAAACGTACTTAATAGCACTTCCAGGTCAGAAGTGCAATTTCTTGCTTGAGAGCAGGGTGATGTCCTCACTGGCATTTAAGAGGCAGATCTCTGTTGAGCCTCTCATAACACCCAGAATTACAGTCTTGAATTTTCCACACACATCTTGTCAGGAAAATGTTTCAGGGGCATTAAATAATTACTACTGATTTACACCAACATTTTTCTGGCTATAAATATTTGTTACTTAAACATTTTCGGAAAATAAAGAAAATATAGGAATGAAAATCAAAGTCATCCATAATTCCACTTCCTTGTGATAATCATTGTTACTTAACATTTTAGTGTGTTTCCTGTCAAACTTGCTTTTATGTGTATATATATATATATACACACACACATTTTAATCACAATCTATACGTGATTTCAACGGCTATATGGACTTTTATGTTATAGCAACTACTATTGTGAATGCTATTGTTTAAATAAAAATTTTAAAACTCAGCCACATTAAAAAAATCTCTCACCAAGTATTAACACGTCTTTCATCAGTTTATTCCTATCCTGATTACCTTGATTCAATTATTCTTATGCTCCTCATCTTGGCTTGTAGCCAAAACCCTAGAGCCCCCAGGTAGGGTTTCAAAGACCTCAATAGACTCTCCCTTCCATCTTTCAGACACAGACTTTAATTTTTTGTTTTTTGTCTTACTCACAGTTTTGGGAGGTTCATTTTGTTTTTCTTCTGCTTTTTAGCAACACCAGCCAATCAAAGGTGTGTTTGCCTTTGCAGGGGTCCCATTAAACTTCTAGTTCCAAAATGAACTGCCTCCATGCCATGACCTGCAAGGTGGCAGAAAATAGGGAAAGCTTAGCTTATCTCTGGTCTCTTTATCTCTCAATTACCTATTTAATCCCAACAAATTTTATTGCGTGTCTATGAACCACAGGTTTCTGTAGGCACAGGGCTACAGCAGTAATTAAGGTCCCTACCAGCCTGGTGCCTCCTGTCCAAAACGCTGTGCTGCTTATTCCACTGTAAGCTGCTTAAAAGCAAGATCTATGTCTGTCCCATCTGCGCATCCATCAGCTCCTGGCAAAGTTCCTCTGTCACGGTAGTAACTTAATTCAACAGCAATTGGCCAAATTAGGGAGTGAAAAGCATATTGCTTAAGAAAATAAATCAGTTGGGCCGGTAACAGTGGCTCACGCCTGTAATCCCTGCACTTTGGGAGTCCGAGGCAGGTGGATCACGAGGTCAAAAGTTCGAGACCAGCCTGGCCAACATAGTGAAACCCCGTTTCTACTAAGAATACAAAAATTAGCCAGGTATCGTGGCATGTGCCTGTAATCCCAGCTACTCGGGAGGCTAAGGCAGGAGAATCGCTTGAACCCGGAAGGCAGAGGTTGCAGTGAGCCGAGATTGCGCCACTGCAGTCCAGCCTGGGCGACAGAGCAAGACTCCGTCTCAAAAGAAATCAGTTTTGCCACAATCTTCATAGATTTATTTCTTTGAATGTGGGCAAATCAGTTCTGGTAAAAATACAAACCTCTCTAGCAGGAGTAACATATGAAAAACGTCTCAGCCATTAATAGGTTAGTGAGAATACATTTTCCGGCCAACTGACTTCCAAATTTGAAACGGGAGAGAAAAAGGAGAGAACGTCTGCTTTGGATCATGAAGGGGTGTTTGGGACAAATATGGGAGTAATTTGGAAAACCCAGGGATCAAAATGTGGTGCCTATGAGGGTCAAGGTGAGGGACAAGAGAACTTAGAGAATCAACTTTACAAATTTCACAATTTCTATTCAAAATTCTTACAAAAAGACAGAAACCAGAAAATATGAGATATGTTTTCAAAGAGCTTCCAGCAGTAACTAAGGAAGTGACAAATCACATGCCTGGATCCATTTGGGAGCTGGGAGACAAAGACAAAGTGAATGAAGTTTCTTCCCCTCCAATCCCACTGCAAAGATCCTGCCCTACAAACACATATCCTCACATTGTAGTATATTTTCAGATTTACAGAAAGTAACCTAGTGGGAAATTCTCTTTTAAGCAATATTTAGCTGCTTGAAGTCTTGGTTTTATGAAAGCCAGAATGTTGGCAAACTGAGAAATATGATCAATGGGGTAGAAGCCACAGCTTGGAGGTAAGCTGAAATGTGATGGCCTTTTAAATAGTCCCTGTAATTTCTCCTTAATTGAGATCCTATTTGTTAATCATTCATGTAAACGTTAACGGAAAACATGCAGAATCAATTTGCAAGTACTGGCATTCATTTAAAAATCTATAAAGGTAATTTTACTATAGTGACAAAAACACACAATTCACAATTACAGACCCTAAATATATATAGTTTTTAAATTTGGAACTGAATTGACGTGAGAACTAAGAGTATTTAAAAAACTAAGTAGAACAAATTTCAGGCAGTATCTGGTAAATTTCCAGAGGATTTATTGACTTGCCAACTTAAAACTGGAGTTTCTTAGATTTTACGTTCCTTTTGGAAGTGTTTGACCGTCTTTGGCTGGTTTGTAGCCTTTCGTTTCAAGTGGCCTTATCTCAGTGTCCAAAGCAAGAAAACAGATAATGAAAGAAAAGCAACATCTAGAATTTTCTAGAAGACATATATGCATGTACATTCATTCACACAGGTATGATAGACAAGCAACACAAATAGTTTTATATTGCATTTATTAAAATAACTTAACATAGTTTAAGTAGGGTACCTATTTAGAGCATCAGACTATCTAAAATTCATATTTAATTACTTTGTTTCCCTACTTTAAAAATATTATAGGGATCCCCATTGAATTTGGATTAAAGTTTAAATAAATGGCATACTATATCCATCATAATTTATTATTTAGCCTTATCTCCTAGGCAACCACCATCCTTACCATGAGCCCTAGGTGCCCTTCTTTTCCTGGCACAAAGGGCACTTCCTTCAGAAAGTCTACCCTGAATTTCCATATTGGGCCTAGGGCCTCTTCTCTCTATTCCCCCATTACAGTCTGTATAGCTGTCTTATTCATTAATGTTACTAATTATACTATAATAATAGTAATTAATATTATTCAATAGTAATCTGGTTCCATGTCAGTCTTTTTCTCCAAACTGTATGTTCTCCAAGTATGTGGACACAATGGCTCTAGGACATAGCCCCTCAAAGTGTAAGTTCAAAATAATTACTTGTTAAACTGAATAGAACTACATTTATTAAAACACTTATTGTATATAAGTGGATAAACACTACCCAAGTGGAGTGGACACTAAGACGATCTTCCCAACACTGGGCAAATTCTCATTTGGATAGGCCACCTGTCAACATGTACACCTGAGCTACAATAAAGAAGGACTGGGGACAGGGCAGAACTGGAACTGACAGGTGCCATGTTTTTCTGTTTCTTCTCTTGTGTCTTGCCCTTTTATCTCTCCTGCTTCCTGTACCATTTTTCACCTCAACACACATGCACTCTCAGGTACCCACCACGGTAAAATGGTCAACTGCTCATTAGACCAACTCTTGTCTTGAAAGTGGGAAGGATTTAAAGGCTGACTGGCTTATATGCAGAGCTGGCTTAGATTAGGGGGTACATTTAAATACCTTCAAGAGCTAAGGAGGAGAGGTAACTATGTGAAGAGTATTTGTATTAGTCCATTTTCATGCCGCTGATAAAGACATACCCGAGACTCGGCAATTTACAATAGAAAGAGGTTTAATTGAGCTAACAGTTCCACATGGCCGCAGAGGCTTCACAATCATGGCAGAATGCAAGGAGGAGCAAGTCACATCTTACATGGATGGTGGCAGGCAAAGAGAGAGCTTGTGCATGGGAACTCTCATTTTTAAAACCATCAGATCTTGTGAGACTTATTCACTATCATAAGAACAGTGCAGGAAAAACCCATCCCCATAATTCAATCATCTCCCACTGGATTCCTCCCATGACACGTGAGAATTGTGGGAGTTACAATTCAAGATGAGATTTGGGTGGGGACACAGCCAAACCATATCAGCATTGAACTCAGATTAAAAAAACAAAAATGTTTGCAAACCAAGCCAAATAGGACTGACTATATTTCACTGGCTGGCTGCTAGTTTGGGACCTCTGGCTTTAACTATTAGTGAAGCTCCAACAGTGGACTCAGGAGCCAACGGCTGGGAATTCACATCACAAATGTAAAGAATTTTAAGGCAGAATGCATTGAAAGAAAGAAAAATGAGGCCCTGGCATAAATATGGTTGAAAAGATATGCCTCCTACATATCAAATAACCTTCTGTTGAAGGTGGTGGTGAAACACACACAAATACATACCATCTCAAAGACCAAGGCTTCTGGGCCCACATGCTTGTAGATCCAATCATGCTGGTTCTCTCTTTTGTTAATTCTTGATTGTCTATGTTTTTTTATAGGGCATCATATGTAAGCTGAATGGGCTAGACATTGGGATGGAGAAATGAATAGAAATGATTACTGTCCTCAATGACTTAATGGGATTGTAAAGGAAGACAGACATTTATATTTTAAAATGTACTAAAATGTTAGAGGGAATAGTAAGGTCTACAGAAGAGTGTCATTTCCACCTTAAGAAGCCTCCCTGAGGGGATAAGCCTTCTGCTGAATTTTTACAGATGAATGAAGTTTACTAAGGAGATGGGGGGGAGGGCACACAGAGACAGAAGTTTGAACACAGTTGCTTAAGCATGAAAATGCCTTAGAAGAATGTGGGGGAACTATGAGTAGTTATGCAGAGCATTAGAAATGTAGAGAATGATAAAAACTAGAAAAGCAAACAGAAAACAGATAATGCAGGCCTTAGAGTTCAGGCTACAGATTTTGAACTCTATTCTATTTTTTTTTTTAAATGAGACTATTTGAAAGTGTGGCAGTATAATTTTATGATTATTAATTTGCATTTTCCATTTATACCTATCCAATCCACTGCAGTTTCCTTTCAAGAAGACAGCCTGAGCTTTTCTCTTCCCTTGCCCTGGAGCTTTGGCAGGGCCAAAGGAGAAGTTGTTGGAAGAACAACGTTCTTTGTGCATGTGTTCAAAGACTCTGTCTTTGGGGGAGATTGTGCTCACTATCCTGGCTGGGGAGAAGAGAGAGAAGAATGCCTGGGAGCAAGACAAAGACTCTGTCTTTGGGTGAGATTGTGCTCAGTATCCTGGCTGGGGAGAGAAGAGAGAAGAATGCCTGGGAGCGAGAGACAGGAGAGAGAGACGTTTCTTCAGGTAGAGAAGGGACTAAGGTTGGCAGTTCACCAAGGAGTCAGGGATGCGAACCTGGTGACCTAGATAGTGAGAACTCAGAGAGGTGATTCAGAGAAGCCTGCCCCAGGCACTGCTGCTTCTTGCTAGGCAAATGCCTCAGTTGGCACAGTAGCTATAGAGATGTCAACACGTCAGATGCCATGTAGGTTTGGAAAGTGAGGCTATCAGTGGCATCTATGACAGCACATTAGAAGCTATGTTCATTTTTTATGGGCATCATGTAAGGTTTCTGGACTACTCTAGGCAGAGGGAAGAACTCCCATTAAGTACTGATGGAATTTTCTGCCAGCTATAAAAATTGGGTCTTAGAGTTAGATTTAATTTGATTTTTAAAAATGTGATATCTTTAAAATCTGTAGGATAAAATGTATGTATTCACCACAAAGTCTTTTATAAAGGAAAATAACATGAATGGGCTTGAGTTGTGACAGGATAATGTTCGAGAAAATTCACCTGGCATCCATGAACTTTATTGCAATTTGGGAATCAGATTTTTCCAGAAACTGAAAAAGGTGGATGAGGGACCAAAGGTAAAACCCACAAAAGAAACAGAATGTCAGTCTTTAAGAAAGGTCAGCCCCTCCCAGATGGAAGAAGTATATTCTAAAGTCTGTGCTTAAGGAATGAGAGCTCAGAAATGGAGACCAGCATTGGTCCCACTCTCAACAGCTAAGGAAATGATGACACTAGTGCAGCCTTCTCCACATCAGTTCAATCTTACAGACATCTGTGTCCACTAAAATACATTTTAAAAGTCTTACATGTGATAATGGATCTAAAAAAAAGCACCACAGTGTCCTAATCTATTTTCTGTTGCTATCACAGTATATCATAGACTTGGTAATTTATAAGAAAAAAAAGTTACTTAACTCACATCTAAAGACTAGGAAGTTTAAGACCATGGTGCCTGCATCTGGTAAGGGCCTTCTTGCTGCATCATAAGATGGCAGAGAGCACAAGGAAGACAGCCAGTGAGAGTTCACTTTTATAACAAAGTCACTCCTGTGATAACAAAGCCATTCCTGTGATAGTGACATTTATCCACTTGTGAGGGGCAGAGCCCTCACTAATCCACTAATCCACTCATGAGGGCAAAGAGATTAAGATTCCAATACATGAACTTTTAGGGGACACATTTAAACAATAACACTTAGTATTATTGGATCCAATCCATGCTTTCAGGGATAAAGTACTGTTATTCCTATTTTAGAGCTAAAAATATGAAATCCCAAAGAGATTACAATTTTTTAATTAAATTATTTTTTCAATAAATATGGACTGAGTTCCACCATATTCCAGACACTCTGATAAGAAGAGTTTGGAGAATTCTAATGATGGGAAACAAATATATAAGTAAGTATTTATTACATATATTGATAAGTGGTATAGCATGTTTTCCACTTTTCCTTTGAAGTGTGTCTTCCCCACATAACCTTGTATCTCTGAGAACTTTTCACTCTCTGCTCAGTACTGACCTCTGGCAGACATATTTTTGTGATTTAATGCAACATTCTTCTTTTAATTGATTGTGTCTGGCATCATCACTAAACTGAAGAGTAGCCAGCTAAATTCTCTCTTCAGACAATTTAGAATTGGGCTTGAGAAACAGTCAGTCTGAGCTGGTCTCTCAAGTCACAGACAGTTCTAGTTAATGATTTATTTCTATGAATTTCATCAAAACTTTTAAATTAATCACATAAAGTTGTTCAGAATAACTTATCTTTTTAATATCTGTAGCATCTCTGGTGGTGACCTCTCTCATTCCTAATATTGGTTATTTGTGCCTTATCTCTTTTTTTTCCAGATTGCCCTTGCCAGAGATTTGTTAATTATATTAGCTTTAAAATAAAACAACATTTGGTTTTTTCATCTTCTTTATTTGTTTTTGTTTCTATTTAATTAAATTCTGTTCTTATCTTTATGATTTCATTTCTTCTATTTCTTTGGGTTTATTTTACTGTTTTTCTTTCTGAAGTTTTGAGATGGATACTTTGCTCATTAATTTTTAACCTATCTTCTTCTCTAATACAAGCATACAAGGCTATACATTTCTAGGTACTGTTAAAATTGCCTCCTGTATGGTATGAAACTGTTTTGTTAGAATTAAGTTGAAAAGGTTTCTAATTTCCCTTGTAGTTCTGCTTTGAACTTTGGGCTATTGAGAAGAATATTTCCTAATTTACAAATATATAGAAAAATTTCCAGATATCTTTTTGTTACTGACTTCTGGCTTTATTTCACTCTGGTCAGAAAACACAGTTTTAAATGCTCGGAAATTTGTGAAGACATGCCCAGACTATGGTCAATTTTTGTGAATGTTACATGGTTGTTTATAAAAAACAAAGGTATTCTTCAATTCTTGAGTACTATATTCTATAAATATGCATTAAGTCAAATTTCTTAACCATGTTGATCTTCCATATAGTTGGAGCTTTGCTTTTTGCTTTTTATTTTGGTCCTTTTTGTTTTGCAAATTCCCAAATGAGGTGTAATGTTAAAAACCTCCCAATATGATGATAGATTTTCTTATTTCTCTTTAGATTTTGTTTTTTTCTGTTGGGAACAGGCCCCCCAAAATCTGGCCATAAGCTGGCCCCAAAACTGGCCATAAAAAAATTCTCTGCAGCACTGTGACATGTTCATGATGGCCATGATGCCCACACTGGAAGGTTGTGGGTTTACCGGAATAAGGGCAAGGAACACCTGGCCCACCCAGGGCGGAAAACCGCTTAAAGGCGTTCTTAAACCACAAACAATAGCATGAGTGATCTGTGCCTTAAGGACACGCTCCTGCTGCAGATAACTAGTCAAACCCATCCCTTTATTTTGGCCCATCCCTTTATTTCCCATAAGGAATACTTTTAGTTAATCTATAATCTATAGAAACAATGCTTATCACTGGCTTGCTGTCAGTAAGTACGTGGGTAAATCTCTGTTCCAGGCTCTCAGTTCTGAAGGCTGTGAGACCTCTGATTTCCCACTCCACACCTCTATATTTCTGTATATTAAATGTATATTTGATTTAAAGATAATTTTGTCTAATATGAATATACTTACACACTTTTTTCTGATTGTTGTTTATATGATACATATTTTCTATTCTTTAACTTTTTAACCTTCTATATCCTTTTATTTTGGGTGCATCTCATAAATAATACATACTTGGATTTTATTTTTTAGTAACCCAGTATGACAATCTTTCTTTTTTAACTAGAGTAATTGGTTCATTTACAATGAATATAATTAGTCACATACTCAGATTTATGTACCATCTTATTGTGTGTTATTTATCTTCATCTGTTTTGTTTCTTTTTGTCTTCATTTCTGCCTTCTTTTGTATTAACTAAGCATTTTATTCTTATTTCCTTTTGTTCCTGAACTTCCTTCAAGGTTATATACTCTACTCATTTAATGTGTAGGCTACAATTTACAATATACATATCTATTTACCTTATCAAAATTAAATTTAATCAATACCTTTACCATTTCCCTTACAATATTTTGGAACTTATTAATTCAAGTAAGTACTACCATCTCCCAACTAAAATGTTATTTTATATCGTCAATTTTTTTGAATGTTTTACATACTACTACTTTCTTTTCTATTCTTTCCTACTTGCATATAATACTTTCCATTTTAGGTCACTCTTTTCAGACTAATGAGCATCCTTTAAAATGTCCTTTAGTGAATATCTATCAGTGACAAACTTTCAAATTTTTGTTAGAATTAAGTTTAAAAGGTTTCTAAACCTTTTGTTAGAATTAAGTTGAAAAGGTTTAAAACCTTTTCAGGAGGTGAATTAGAAACCTTTTCAACTTAATTCTAACAAAACAGTTTCATACCATACAGGAGGCAATTTTAACAGTACTTAGAAATTTATAGCCTTGTATGCTTGTATTAGAGAAGAAGATAGGTTAAAAATTAATGAGCAAAGCATCCATTTCAAAACTTCAAAAAGAAAAACTGTAAAATAAACCCAAAGAAATAGAAGAAATGAAATCATAAAGATAAGAACAGAATTTAATTAAATAGAAACAAAAACAAAGAAGATGAAAAAACCAAATGTTGTTTTATTTTAAAGCTAATGTAATTAACAAATCTCTGGCAAGGGCAATCTGGAAAACAAGAGATAAGGCACAAATAACCAATATTAGGAATGAGAGAGGTCACCACCAGAGATGCTACAGTTATTAAAAACATAAGTTATTCTGAACAACTTTATGTGATTAATTTAAAAGTTTTGATGAAATTCATAGAAATATATCATTAACTAGAACTGTCTTTGACTTGAGAGACCAGCTCAGACTATTTCTCAAGCCCAATTCTAAATTCCCTGAAGAGAGAATTTAGCTGGCCACTCTTCAGTTTAGTGATGATGCCAGACACAATCAATTAAAAGAAGAATGTTGCATTAAATCACAAAAATATGTCTGCCAGAGGTTAGTACTGAGCAGAGAGTGAAAAATTTTGTTTCCCTTACTGTTGAAAGACATTGTAGATTGGTAAAGAATTCTAAGATTGGACATTATTATTTTTCTGCACCTTAAGGACATTGCTCCACTGTATTCTAGCTTTGATTTTTATTGTTCCTAGTCAGCTGTCACTCTGTTACTCCTAGAGGGTAATATATAATTTTTCTCTGGATGTTTTCAGATCTTATCTTTGTCTTTAGTATCTTACAGTATTTCTATGCTGTGCCTCAGTGTAGATTTATTTTTATGCATTCTGTTTGGAATTCACTGGGCTTCTCAAAAACAAGAACAAACTATAGATTAGGCATTCCATCAATTGTGGAAAGTATCCCATCATTATACTTTCAAATATTGTCACTATCAGATTCTCTTTCCTTTCTTCCCTGAAATAGAATTAAAAATGTTTTTTATGTATTTTAAGCTTTCTTAAGTTTTTCTTCAAGTCTTTTAATCTCACCTTCCTTTTCCTATTTTATATTCTCTCTATACTTCATTGTGGATTTTTTTTTCACATTTATCTTCCAGTTAATTAACACTCTCTTCAGCTATAACTAATTTACTGTTTAACCTGATGACTACGTTTTAAAATTTCAAGTATTATATTTTTCACTTCCAGAATTCAGTATGGTTCTTTTGAATATCTTCTTGGTTATTCTTTATAGTTTTTTTGTTCCCTATAGGTAGTTTTAATTTTATATCTTATAATTTAATCAGAGTAGGCCTATTTATTTACATTGTGTCTGTTAATGCCAACATCTGAAATATTTAAACATCTTTGCTGTTATTGCTGTTCTTCTTTTTCATGAAGCATTATTTGCTTATGTGCTTAAATTTTTGTGTTTGTTGCATACTTTCCTTGGAAAATTCATTTCTAGGAATTCTTTTAAGATTGTGATAAAGGCACATTTTTCTCAGAGAATTTGCTTTTCTTTTGCTATGAATCCGTAAGTCCTACCAATTTGAGATCCTTTTTTTTTTTTTTTAAGAGGAAGATAATGGTTGTGATTTCTTTGGACAACCTGGGTGATTTTAGGCTTCAAATCTGCATAAAGTAGTTTACTTCTTACCTGTTCTTATTTGAAAGTATAGTCATTGGGGGTGTTCTGGCATTATAGGAGATTACACATTAGACTTCCTAACTTGAGAAGGTCTGGCCATTATCTTCTATCCCTATTGTATGTGATCTCAAAATACTTAGACTCAAGTTTATCATATGTGGAAAGTGACATCAGCGAAATGGCAGAATATTTTCTCTGGCTCCAGTCTAGAGAAATTGAACTAGCAACTAACCACAGACAAGAGTACCTTCGTGAATATCCCTGAATGTGTGAGAGAGGCTGAGACACCCACTTGGACCACAGAACTGAGAAAGGTACATTCAAAAAGTAAGAGTTTTCACTTTGACTACATCATCTTTCCCTCAAGCCAGCACAGCATCACCCAGCACATCACTCCTGGGCCCATGGTTTCTACAGTGGGAAAAGAGAGTGGGAAGTAGAAATTCAGTTTCCTCACCATTTCCCCCATGAGAAACATTGAAAGTTTTGTTGGGGCTAGACTAGGTGGGTTCAGTTAAAAAACAAAGAATAAGGGTAAGGCTCACAGCAACCAATGTGCAAATCTTGGCAGTGGCTCTGCATTATGGCAAAAGAAGGCATTCCACTAGAAAAACTAGCCAATAGCAGCACTCCAGAAGAAGCACAGCTGACAAGTCTGCCAGACTCCAGTCCCTACTTAGCTTCTCCACCCAGCCCTGGTGCTCTGCATAAACCTTCTCTAGATTGGGGGAAAGTGCACATTCATGAATATCTGTAGAAGGGAACATCTGGCCATGCCAAACTCCAGTGGCTGAGCAGCAATCCTACATACCTCTGGTGCTTTTCTTAAGCCTTTCTCAGGCAAGGAGGCAAGTGCAGGTCCTGGAATATCTGTGGAGGGGTGCAACTGGCCTGAACAATGCCAGTAGCTGAGTAGCAACCTCACTTAGCCCCCAGTGCTCCCATTAAGTCATCCCTAGGCAAGGAGGCAAGGGCAGATTGCAGATTAGTGACTATCTGTGGAGGGAAGCATCTTGCTTCGCCCAACCTCTGGCCCAGCACATCCCAAGTGGCCAAGGGACAACACCATCAATCTTCAGTGCTCTCTTTAAGCCTTCCCCAGACAGGGAGTCATGTACAGGACCTGGAATATCTGCAGAGGAAATCATCTGACCCAACATAGTTTCAGCAGCTATGTAGTGCCCCACCAAGTATTGGCACTCTGCTTTAGACTTTCCTGGGCCAGAAGGCAAGTGCAGGTCAGCAATTACCTGCAAAGAAAAGTATCTGATCTTGCCCAACTCCAGCTGCAAGCAGTGACCACACAAAGCCTCAGTGTTCTGCTTAAAGCTTCTCCAGACCAGGAGACAAGTATGCATATATGCACATCTGTGGAGCAAAGCCTCTGGCCTAAATCTACTCTTAATACATTCAGACACATAAGATACTAATTTCATCTTCCTGAGTAAACATTCCCTGGAGACTTCCAACCTCTTTCAATCTGGACAGATTGTCCTTACTGCTCAATTGTCCTTTCAAGAGCTGTCTTTACCATTACCCAGTGGATTCTATTTTCCCTCAATCCTGTATGAATCTTCTGTTTCCTAATCTTGTGTTCATTTTGGTGGAGTACATCTTTGATTAATTTTCTGAGAAAAAGGGCGGGTAGGTACATATTTTGAGACCTTGAATGTCTAAAAATATTTTTAACCTAACCTCATATTTGATTCATAGTTTGAGAGGGCAAATAATTTACAGGTTATTTAAATATTTTTTCAAATATTTATGGCATTTTTCCTTTGTGTTCAATTCCTATAAATGCTCATATATTTTTGTCTCATTCTTACTCCTAAGGAGTAACACTTTGGGTTCCGACAGAAAATCTGGAGTGATTACTGCAATCTCTTATCTTTGGTGAACTATAACTTTTGTCTCTTGTGACCACATGAAACTGCTAAAAACTCTGCACAGCTTCTCAGCCTCTCAGCTACTTATCTGTACTTAGGTTTTCAACTTTTAGCTACCATTTTCTTTTTTTTTTTTTTTTAATTACACTTTAAGTTCTGGGATACATGTACAGAATGTGCAGGTTTGTTACATAGGTATACATGTGCCATGGTGGTTTGCTGCACCCATAAACCCGTCATCTACATTAAGTATTTATCCTAATGTTATCCCTCCCTTAGCCCCTCACCCTCTGACAGGCCCCAGTGTGTGATTTTCCTCTCCCTATGTACATATGTTCTCATTGTTCAACTCCCACTTATGAGTGAGAACAGGTAGTGTTTGGTTTTCTGTTCTTGTGTTAGTTTGCTGAGAATGATGGTTTCCAGCTTCATCCATGTCCCTGCAAAGGACATGAAATCATCCTTTTTTATGGTTGCATAGTATTCCATGGCATATGTGTGCCACATTTTCTTTATCCATCTAACATTGATGGGCATTTGGATTGGTTCCAAGTGTTTGCTATTGTGAATAGTACTGCAATAAACATGCATGTGCATGTGTCTTTATAGTAGAATGATTTATAATCCTTTGGGTATATACCCAGTAATGGGATGCTAGGTCAAATGGTATTTCTGGTTCTAGATCTTTGAGGAATCGCCACACTGTCTTCCACGATGGTTGAACTAATTTACACACCCATCAACAACATAAAAGTGTTCCTATTTCTCCACATCCTCTCCAGCATCTGTTGCTTCCTGACTTTTTTATTATCGCCATTCTAACTGGCATGAGACGGTATCTCATTGTGGTTTTGATTTGCATTTCTCTAATGACCAGTGATGATGACCTTTTTTTCATATGTTTGTTGGCTGCATAAATGTCTTCTTTTGAAAAGTGTCTGTTGATATCCTTCACCCACCCTGTGATGGGGTTGTTTGTTTTTTTCTTGTAAATTTGTTTAAGTTCTTTATAGATTCTTGATATTAGCCCTTTGTCAGATGGATAGATTGCAAAAATTTTCTCCCATTCTATAGGTTGTCTGTTGACTTGGATGATAGTCTCTTTTGCTGTGCAGAAGTTCTTTAGTTTAATTAGATCCCATTTGTCAACTTTGGCTTTTGTTGCCATTGCTTTTGGTGTTTTAGACATGAAGTCTCTGCCCATGCCTATGTCCCGAAAGGTATTGCCTAGGTTTTCTTCTAGGGTTTTTATGGTTTTAGGTATTACATTTAAATATTTAATCCATTCTGAGTTAATATTTGTATAAGGTGTAAGGAAGCAGTCTAGTTTCATTTTTCTGCATATGGCTAGCCAGTTTTCCCAACACCATTTATTAAACAGGGAAACCTTTCCCCATCGCTTGCTTTTGTCAGGTTTGTCAAAGATCAAATGGTTATATATGTGTGGTGTTATTTCTGAGGCCTCTTTTCTGTTCCATTGGTCTATATATCTGTTTTGGTACCAGTACCATGCTGTTTTGGTTACTGTAGCCTTGTAGTATAGTTTCAAGTCAGGTAGCGTGATGCCTCCAGCTTTGTTCTTTTGGCTTAGGATTGCCTTGGCTATACGGGCTCTTTTTTGGTTCCATATGAAATTTAAAGTAGATTTTTCTAATTGTGTGAAGAAAGTCAATGGTAGCTGGATAGGAATAGCATTCAATCTATAAATTACTTTGGTCAGAACGTACATTTTTACAGTATTGATTCTTCCTATCCATCATCATGGAATGTTTTTCCATTTGTTTTGGTCCTCTCTTAATTCCTTGAGCAGTGGTTTGTAGTTCTCCTTCACATCCCTTGTAAGTTGTATTCCTAAGTATTTTATTCCCTTTGTAGCAATTGTGAATGGGAGTTTGCTCATGATTTGGCTCTGTGTCTATTATTGGTGTGTAGGAATGCTTGTGATTTTTGCACATTGATTTTGTATCCTGAGACTTTGCCGAAGTTGCTTCTCAGCTTAAGGAGATTTTGGGCTGAAACGATGGGGTTTTCTAAATATACAATGATGTCATCTGCAAACAGAGACAATTTGGCTTCCTCTGTTCCTATTTGAATACCTTTATTTCTTTCTCTTGCCTGATTGCCCTGGCCAGAACTTCCAATACTATGTTGAGTAGGAGTGGTGAGAGAGGGCATCCTTGCCTTATGCCGATTTTCAAAGGGAATGCTTCCAGCTTTTGCCCATTCAGTATGATATTGGCTGTGGGTTTGTCATAAATAGCTCTTATTATTTTGAGGTATATTCCATCAATACCTAGTTTATTGAGTGTTTATAGCATGAAAGAGTATTAAATTTTATCAAAAACTTTTTCTGCATCTACTGAGATAATCGTGGTTTTGGTCACTGGTTCTGTTTATGTGATAGATTACATTTATTGATTTGCGTATGTTGTACCAGCCTTATATCCCATGGATGAAGCAGACTTGATCGTGGTGGATAAGCTTTTTAATGTACTGCTGGATTCAGTTTGCCAGTATTTTACTGAGGATTTTCGCATCAATGTTCATCAGGGATATTGGCCTGAAATTTTGTTGTTGTTGTTGTGTCTCTGCCAGGTTTTGGTATCAGGATGATGCTGGCCTCATAAACTGAATTAGAGAGGATTCCCTCTTTTTCTATTGTTTGGAATAGTTTCAGAAGAAATGGTACCATCTCCTCTCTGTACCTCTGGTAAAATTCGGCTGTGAATCCATCTGGTCCCGGGCTTTTTTTTGGTTGGTAGGCTACTAACTACTGCCTCAATTTCAGAACTTGTTATTGGTCTATTCAGGGATTCAACTTCTTCCTGGTTTAGTCTTGGGAGGGTGTATGTGTCCAGGAATTTATCCATTTCTTCTAGATTTTCTAGTTTATTTGCATAGAGGTGTTTATAGTATTCTCTGATAGTAGTTTGTATTTCTGTAGGATCAGTGGTGATATCCCCTTTATCATTTTTTATTGTGTCTATTTGATTCTTCTCTCTTTTCTTCTTTATTATTCTGGCTGTTGGTCTATACACTTTGTTATTGTTTTCAAAAAACCAGCTGCTGGATTCATTGATTTTTAAAAGGGATTTCCGTGTCTGTGTCTCCTTCAGTTCTGCTCTGATATTAGTTATTTCTTGTCTTCTGCTAGCTTTTGAATTGTTTGCTCTTGCTTCTCTAGCTCTTTTAATTGTGATGTTAGGGTGTCGATTTTAGATCTTTTCTGCTTTCTCTTGTGGGCATTTAGTGCTATAAATTTCCCTCTAAACACTGCTTATCTGTGTTCCAGAGATGCTGGTACATTGTGCCTTTGTTCTCATTGGTTTCAAAAAACTTATTTGTTTCTGCCTTAAATATGTTATTTACCCAGTAGTCATTCAGGAGCAGGTTGTTCAGTTTCTATGTAGTTGTGCGGTTTTGAGTGAGTTTCTTAATCCTGAGTTCTAATTTGATTGCACTGTGGTGTGAGAGACTGTTTGTTATGATTTTCATTCTTTTTCATTTGCTGAGGAGTGTTTTATTTCCAATTATGTGGTCAATTTTAGAATAAGTGTGATGTGGTGCTGAGAAGAATGTATATTCTGTTGATTTGCGGTGGAGAGTTCTATAGATGTCTATTAGGTCCACTTGGTCCAGAGCTGAGTTGAAGTCCTGAATATCCTTGTTAATTTTCTCTCTCATTGATCTGTCTAATATTGACAGTGAGGTGTTAAAGTTTCCCACTAAGATTGTGTGGGAGTCTAAGTCTCTTTGCAGGTCTCTAAGAACTTGCTTTATGAATCTGGGTGCTCCTGTATTGGGTGCATATATATTTAGGATAGTTACCTCTTCTTGTTACATTGATCCCTTTACCATTATATAATGCCCTTCTTCGTCTTTTTTGATTTTTGTTGATTTAAAGTCTGTTTATCAGAGACTAGGATTGCAACCCCTGCTTTTTCTTCTTTCCATTTGCTTGGTAAATCTTCCTCCATCCCTTTATTTTGAGCCTATGTGTGTCTTTGCACGTGAGCTGGTTCTCCTGAATACAGCAAACCGATGGGTCTTGACTCTTTATCAAATTTGCCAGTGTGTCCCTTTTAATGGGGGCATTTAGCCCACTTACATTTAACATTAATATTGTTATACATGAATTTGATCCTGTCATTATGATGCTAGCTGGTTATTTTGCCCATTAGTTGATGCAATTTCTTCATAGTGTCGACGGTCTTTACATTTTGGTTTGTTTTTGCAGTGGCTGGTACTGGTTGTTCCTTTCTATATTTAGTACTTCCTTTAAAAGCTCTTGTAAGGCAGGCCTAGTGGTGACAAAATCTCTCAGCATTTGCTCGTCCATAAAGAATTTTATTTCCCATCACTTATGAAGCTTAGTTTGGCTGGATATCAAATTCTGGGTTGAACATTCTTTTCTTTAAGAATGTTGAATATTGGCCCCCACTTTCTTCTGGCTTGAGGGTTTCTGCAGAGAGATCCACTGTTAGTCTGATGGGCTTCCCTTTGTGGGTAACCCAACCTTTCTCTCTGGCTGTCCTTAACATTTTCTCCTTTATTTCAACCTTTGTGAATCTGTTAATTATGTCTTGGGGTTGCTTTTCCTGAATTTGAATGTTGGTCTGTCTTGCTAGGTTTGGGAAGTTCTCCTGCATAAAATCCTGAAGTGTGTTTTCCAACTTGTTTCTATTCTCCTTGTCACTTTCAGGTACACCAATCAATTGTAGGTTTGGTCTTTTCACATAGTCCTATATTTCTTGGAGGCTTTGTTCATTTCTTTTCATTCTTTTTTCTCTAATCTTGTCTTCATACTTTAAGTTGATCTTCAGTCTCTGGTATCTTCAATCGATCTACTGTTTGATCGATTTGGCTATTGATACTTGTGTATGCTTCATGAAGTTTTCGTGCTGTGTTTTTCAGTTCCATCAGGTCACTTATGTCCTTTTCTAAACTGGTTATTCTAGTTAGCAATTCCTCTAACCTTTTATCAGGATTGTTAGCTTACTTGCATTGGGTTACAACATGCTCCTTTAGCTTGAAGGAGTTTGTTATTACCCACATTCTGGAGCCTATTTCTGTCAATTCATCAAACTCATTCTCTGTCTAGTTTTGTTCCCTTGCTGGCAAAGAGTTGTGATCCTTTGGAGAAGAAGAGGCATTATGGTTTTTGGCATTTTCAGGCTTTTTGCACTGTTTTCTCCTCATCTTTGTGGATTTATCTACCTTTGGTTTTTGCTCTTGGTGACCTTTGGATGGAGTTTTTGCATGGTCATCCTTTTTGTTGATGTTGATGCTATTGCTTTCTATTGTTAGTTTTTCTCCTAGCAGTCAGGCCCCTCTTTGCAGGTCTGCTGGAGTTTTCTGGGGGTCCACTCCAGAACCTGTTTGCCTGGGTATCACCAGAAGAGGCTGCAGAATAGCAAAGATTGCTGCCTGTTCCTTCCTCTGGAAGCTTCGTCCCAGAGGTCACCCGCCAGATACCAGCTGGAGCGCTCCTGTATGAGGTGTCTGTTGACCTCTGCTGGGAGGTGTCTCCCCATCAGGAGGCATGGGGGTCAGGGACCCACTTGAGGAGGCAGTCTGTCCCTTAGCAGAGTTCAAGCACTGTGCTGGGAGAACCGCTGCTGTCTTCAGAGCTGGCAGGCAGGAATGTTTAAGTCTGCTGAAGCTCTACCCACAGCCATCCCTTCCTCCAGGTGCTCTGTCCCAGGGAGATGGGAGTTTTATCTATAAGCCCCTGACTGGGGCTGCTCCCTTTCTTTCAGAGATGCCCTGCCTAGAGAGGAGGAATCTGGAGAGCATTTTTTTTTTTTTTTGATGGAGTCTCACTCTGTCACCCACACTGGGGTGCAGTGGTGCAATCTCAGCTCACTGCAACCTCCACCTCCCAGGTCCAAGCAATTTTCCCACCTCAGCCTCCCAAGTAGCTGGGATTACAGGCACCTGCCATCATGCCTGGTTAATTTTTATATTTTCATAGAAATGGAATTTCACCATGTTGGCCAGGCTGGTCTTAAACCCCTGACCTCAGGTGATCTGCCTCCCTCAGCCTCCCAAACTGCTGGGATTATAGGCGTGAACCACTGTCCCCAGCTGAGAAGTGATCTTGAGATCTTGCCTAATCTCAGAGCTTAGCACATGGCTTTGCTCATCTACAGATTCCAAACAGCAGTATTACCTAGTGAGAGAAGACAATCTGTAACTCTGCTCAGAGGCAATCACAAAACTTAGCTAATAGCTCTGCCTAACTACAGAGTCCAGCCAGTGATCTCATCAAACTCTAGAGCACAGCCAGCATTTCCATTTGACCTCAAAGCGGTCAGCAGTACAGCCCAGCTAGAGAATCTGACAGCAAGGCCTGCCTGCCAGGACTTGCCACCAGCTGGGCCATCCAGAATCCCAGGCTAGACTAAACAGTGAAGGTTTATTGCTACTGAAGAAAATTAGCAAAGACTGGAAGAGGTAGCCATTTCTTCAAATGTGTAGACACTAGTGTAAGGTTTACAAAGATCCAGAGAAATATCACACCAAAAAAAGCAACTAATAAATCTCTAATAATGGACCCTGAATAAATGGAGATCTATAAAATGACTGACAAGGAATTTAGAATGATTATCTTAAAGAAGCTTTGTGAACTAAAAGAAAATATCGATAGAAAATTAAATACAATTTGAAAAACAATTTATGAAGAAAAGTGAGAAGTTTTAAAAAGAAACAGAATCATTTTTAAAAATCAAATAGAATCCTAGAGATAAAAAATACAACAACTGAACTAAAAAAAATTAATAGAAGCTTCAACAGCAGACTTGATTCAGCAGAAGATATTATTGTGAGCTTGAAGGCAGGACATTTGAAATTATACAATCAAAAGAGCAGAAATAATGAAAAAAAAAAGCCTATGTGAATTATGGGTCACTATCAAAAGAATGAACATTTGCTTAAGATTTTCAGAAGGAGAAAAGAGAAAACAGAGCCCAGAAAGCATATTTAAGTAAACAGTGGCTGAAATTTTCCCATATCTGGGGAAAGATGACAACATTCAGGTAAAGGAAGCTCAGAGGTCTCTAATTAAATTCAACCCAAAGGGAAGTTCACCAAGACACATCATAATTAAATTATCAAAAATCAAAGACAAAAATTCTGAAAGCAATAAGAGATAAGAAAAATATCAGATTCAAGGGAGTCTCAATACATCTATCAGCAGATTTCTCAGCAGAAATCTTGCAAGCCAGGAGAGAGTGGGATGACATATACAAAGTGCAGAAGGAAAAAAAACTACCAACTAAGATTACTTTGCCTGGAAAAGCTGTCCTTCAGAAATGAGGAAGAAATAAAAACTTTCCCAGATAAACAGAAACGATGTCAGTTCATCACCATTAGACCTGTCTTACAGGAATAGTTAAAGGGATTCCTTTAGCCTGAAACAAAAGTCCAAAGTGATATTCAGAACACTAATACTGTAAGGGTGATATATAAAGCAATTTTATCTCTATTACCAGGGTTGCAAAACAAAACTATCAAAAACAACAGTAGCTACAATAAATGGTTAAAAGATACAAATTACAAAAGTATATACATATTGACACTTAAATCATAAAAGTGGGGGAGGCAGTAAAAGTGTAGCATTTTTGTATGATTAAAGTTAAGTTGTTATCAGCCTTAAATAGCCTGTTATAAGTATAATATATTTTCTGGAAGCCTCATCGTAAACACAAAGCAAAAACCTGTAGTAGTTGCACTAAATATAAAAGGAAAGTGTTCAAAGCATAGCACCACAGAAAATAATCAAACGACAAGGGAAGACAGCAAGAGAGGAAAAGAGAAACAAAAGATCTACCAAACAACCAGAAAACAAATTACAAAATGGCAGTAGCAAGGTCTTACCTATCAATAACTACCTTGAATGTAAATAGATTAAATTTTCCAACACATTAAAATTTCCAAATTTTCCACAGAGTGGCTGAATGAATAAAAGGAAAGAACAAACTACCTATATATTGCATACAAGAGACTCACTTTACTAGCAAGAACACACATAATCTGGAAGTGAAGCAATGAAAAAAGATATTCCAACACAAATGGAAACCAAAACAGGGCAAGGGTAGCTATACTTATATAAGACTGATACTTATATCAGACCAAATAGATTTTAAGTAAAAAAACAGTAAAAAGGGACAAAGAATGCCATTATGTAATGGTAAAGGGAAAAATTCATCAAGAAGACATAAAAACTGTAAATATATACGCACCCAACATTGGAATACCTAAATATATAAAGAAATTATTAAATTATCTGAAGGTAGAGATAGGCCACAATGCAATAATAGTAGGGTATCTCAGTACCCCACTTTCAACAATTGACGGATTATCTAGACAGAAAATCAATAAGGAAACATTAGATTTGAAGTTTATCAGATTTGATACATGCCCTCAAGGCAGAAGCAGCTTCCTCCTTTCTCTTGAATCTCTCTGAGTTCTGGGCTCCCAGCTTCCCTTAGATTTGGTCCTGATAATTATTTTTCCTTTCCTCTTACCTCTTAAACATTTTCAAAAGATGTTTTCTATATTTGATCATTCATTTTTAGTTCTCAGCATTATAAAGGTTATTACAGATACCAGAAAAAGTCAAATGTATTACCAGAAAAAGAAGTCTCACTTTAACTCTTGAACGGTAATGGCGGCAGTGGCGGAGCATCTGCAGCAGCTGCTGCCATCACGCCTGCAGCAGCAGGGAGGCATGGCCAGGGCTGCACACTCCGTGGAGCTGGTGGGAGGTGGGCACAAGTGGGAGCCCCGCCCCTTCCAAGTTGGGGTGGGATGTCCCCTGGGGCCGCTGCAGCCACCCAAACCATGGCTGTAGAGCCGACCTCCCACTCCAGGGAGCAGGCAGGAGCCCTGCCCTCTGAGCGCGGCTGCAGTTGCCCAAGTCATGGATGCAGAACCAAGTCTCGCTGTGTTACTGGGGGGCCAGGAGCAGGAAGGAGCCCTGCCTTCCCAGGTACAGACGCAGCTGCCCAAACTATGGCTGCAGACCTGGACCTCCCTGCACTTTTGGGGGCCCAGAAGGTCCCCATGCCCTTGCAGGCTCAGAGGTGCCAGCTCCCACTGCCTGGCTTCTCCCTGCTGTCAGTACCTGCTCCATCAAAGCAAAGTCTGGCTCAGCCCAGGTGCCATGAACAGCAGCAGAGGCAGACAGATTCCTGGGTGGAAGGGGGCAGGTTCCCATGAAGCCCCACCTTCAGGCAAGGGAGGGCCTGAAGGCTGGGGGCTGGGCTGCCAGTCCCACCAACGGAATGGGAGCTTGTGGTGCCTTTTCTGGGCACCGGTGGCTGCTCATGGACCAATCAGTGCACACTTCCTCCCCTCTGAGGCCATATAAACCCTGGGTTCAGCCAGAGCTGAGCAGATGTCAAGATGACCAACAGCAGAGAGGAGCTACCCACTCTAAGGCCTTCTCTCTGCTGAGAGCTTCAGAAACTTGCAGAGACGTCGGGACTACCAGCTGCAGAAAGGCATAACCCACTCCAGGGCCTCCTCTCTGCTAAGAGCTAAACATTCGTCAGGACACCCTGACTTTGGAAAGGAGCTACTCGTTGCGGTCTCCTCTGAACTATTCTATAACTCAATAAAGCTCCTCTTCATCTTGCTCACCCTCCACTTGTCTGAGTGCCTCATTCTTCCTGGTCACAGTACAAGAACTTGGGACCCGTTAAATAGCAGGACTAAAAGAGTTTTAATACAAACAGGGCTGAAACATACCCCTTCCTCACCATGTTGGGGGCAAAGAGAAGGAGAGAAGAGCTGCAGCCCTTTGGGGAGCCCAGACCTGGGAGCTCCCTGAGCCAGGGATGCGACTCTCTCTTTGTAGCCCTGCAGTTCCCAGCATCTCCAAGCTTCCAAGCACCACTGCATTCCCCAGTGCCAACTGGCGAAAATGCTTGCAATGCACCTGGTTCTGCTGCAGCCTCACAGAGATCCAGTGCCTGTGCCGGCACCTGGAACTGCCCACACATGGCAGCAGCCAGTGTTTCTAACCATGCGCAGTGGCTGGACCTCATGCTTGCTCACACACCCCTTGCCACTCTGCCACATGGTTCACCCGTGGTAGGCGTGGGATCCAGGCCAGTAGCGTAAGCTGAGTGCAGCCTGTTAAGCTGAGTGGGCAGAATGAGCCCAGCAGGCCCAAGCAAAGGTTGGGTAAAGGCATCACTGGCCACAGAGGTTTCCGGCCAGAAAAGTAACACCCAAAGATCCTGTTACAGTCATTTAGCTGTTATTTCTTGAAGGTAATTTTTTGATGTCTTTGAAATCATGGGATAACCATTATTTCCTTAAAAAATTTCAGATATTACTTTAATATTTGTTTAGTATTTATTTATTGAATTCTATTGTTGCTATGTCTAGTATATTGAAGTTTTAAGGTTCATTACTGCATTCTGTGCTTAGTTGTTCTTAAGATTGTTTATCTTTAAAATTATATTAAAACACAGCTTTAGCTATATCTCCTTAGTTTTTTTATTATTATTATTATTTTTTGAGATGGAGTCTTGCTCTGTTGCCCGGGCTGGAGTGCAATGGCGAGATCTCCACTCACTGCAAGCTCGCCTCCCAGGTTCATGCCATTCTCCTGCTTCAGCCTCCTGAGTAGCTGGGACTACAAGTGCCCGCCACCATGCCCAGCTAATTTTTTGTATTTTTAGTAAAGATGGGGTTTCACCGTGTTAGCCAGGATGGTCTCGATCTCCTGACCTCGTGATCCGCCTGCCTCGGCCTCCCAAAGTGCCTTAGTTTTGATATGTCCACTTTTCATTATTATCCAGTTAAAACATTTTCTAAAATTCATTGTTTTTTTTTATCCTGTGTGATATTTAGAAGCATATTGCTTAATATCAAAAGATTTAGGGACAATAAAGTTATCTTTCATGATTGATTTCTAGCCTAGTTTCACTGCGATAAGAAAACATTATTTAAATTGTTAAAATGTGTTCAGGCTCACTTCATGGAGAAGCATAAAGTTAAATTTGGTAAACAGTTCATACGTGTTTGAAAATCATATATTCTATGGTTGTTGGATACAGTATTTTATACATGCTCAAGTTTGTTAGACTTGTTGTTCATATGTTCACTAATCTAAACTAATTTATCTCTGCTTGTTCTATCAGCTATTGAGAAATGTCACGGACAGTTTCTATTCATGGCTATAACAATCCTCATCTCTTGGTACTCAGGTCCTTCTGTGATCATCTCCCCCTAACTGTGGATTCGACCAGTGACTTGTTTCTAAGGAATAGAATATGGTAAGTGATAGGATGTTACTTCCAAGATTAGGCTGCTAAAAGACTCATGCTTTTGCTGGGCTTTTGCTTGCTCATTTTGATGGACGTAGGCCCACCATATGGTGGGCTTCTTTTTGTGGGGGTTCTTATGGCAAAGAACTGAAAAAGGCTTTTGGTCAACAACCAGGGAAAAAATAAGATCCTAAGTCCAGCATTATTCAAGGAGCTTAATACTGCAATAACCACACTGGAAACAGATATTTCCCAAGCTGAGCCTTGAGATAAGATCGCCCTTGGAGAGACCTTAAGTCAGAGGATGCAACTAAGCTACTACAAGACTCATGATCTATTGAAACTGAATAATCAGTATTTATTGTTTTAAGCAGCTAAGTCTTGGGACAATTTGTTCTGCAGCAATAGATAATTAATACCAAAGAGATTCAATTATAGAGTTTTCTGTTTCTTCTTTTATTTCTTTTTTATAAATAACTTAATTGTGGTAAATATTCATAGGAGAAATTTCCCATCTTAACCATTTTTACTGTACAGTTCAGTGGTGTTAAGTACGTTCACACTGTTGTATAACCAATCTCAAGAACTCTTGTTATCTTGCAAAACTGAACTCTATACCCATTAAACAATAATTCTCTAGTACCTTTCCCCCCGGCCCCTGGTAACTTTTATCATGGAGATACAAAGAGATGTATTCACATATATACAAAGTAGCAATTCTACTTTGTATCCCTAAGAATTTGACTACAGTAGGTACCTCTTACAAGTTGAACCATACAATATTTATCTTTTTGTGACTGGCTTACTTTACTTAGCATAATGTCCTCAGGGTTCATCCATGCTGTAACATGTATCAGAGTTCTTTTCCTTTTTAAGACTGAATAATATTCCACTGTATATAAATATCACAATTTTATGGATATATACTTGTATACACCACATTCTTCTGTTGATATGCTCTTCGGTTTTTTTTCCACATTCTCATTTTTGTGAATAATGCTGAGATGAACATGGATGTAGAAATATCTTTTCAAGATCCTGCTTTCAATTCTTTTGGGTATATACTCAGAAGTATATTTAATTCTTGAGGAACCACTATACTGATTTCCACAGTGGCTGCACCATTTTACATTTTTACCAACAGTACACAAGGGGTCCAATTTCCCCACATCCTCACCAATGCTTGTTATTTTGTGGGGTTTTGTTTTATAGTAACAATACTAATGAGTGTGAGCTAAATTCTGTTACTTTTTTCTTTATATATTTTGAAAAAAAATTTTTGAGACTGACTTTCTCTCTTATTGCCCAGGCTGGAGTGCAATGGCATGATCTCGGCTCACTGCATCCCCTGCCTCCTGGGTTCAAGTGATTCTCCTGCCTCAGCCTCCCGAGTAGCTGGGATTACAGGCGTGCGCCAGCATGCCCAGCTAATTTTTGTATTTTTAGTAGAGACAGGGTTTCTCCATGTTGGTAGGCTGGTCTCGAACTCCTGACCTCAGGTGATCCACCCATGTCGGCCACCCAAAGTGCTGGGATTACAGGAGTGAGCCACCGTGCCTGGCCTTGAAATTCTTAATAAGAGCATACACATTTAAATTTTCATGAATGATTGACTCTTTCATAAACATAAAATATCCCTCTTTCTTTTTAATAATATTTGTTGCTTTAGAGTACACTTTGATAGCTGTCTGATAGTAATAATGCTATACTAGACTGCTTTTCATTGATATGTGCATGTATATATTTTTGTATTCTTTTACTTTCAAATTCCCTTTCCTTATGTTTAATGTACAGCAGATAATTAGGTTGAAATTTAAAAAAAAATAGAATCTGATAATCTTAAACTTTTATAGTTGAATTTATTTTTATTTTTATTGATATAGATGGGGTTTTGCTATGTTGCCCAGGCTAGTCTTGAACTCCTGGCCTCAAGTGATCCTTCCACCTCAGCCTCCCAAAGTGCTGGCATTACAGGTCTGAGCCAGCATACCCAGCCTCCATTAATATTTAATGCAATTATTGATATATTTTTATTTTAATCCACCATCTTCTCTGTTTCTCTCTGTCCATTTTATTTTAAATTTTGGTTTGTTTAATGTTATTATTTTCACAATTTCTACTTGATTCTTTTCCAAATCTGCTTTGTCTTTTTTTTTTTTTTTTTAAATAGCATCCTCTTCTTTCACTATGGGTTTTTTGCTTTAATTTTGTAATCATTTGAAACATATTTATTTATAATTTCTTGAAGCTTGCTATCTCAGTTTGGGGAAGTGGTTACTAATTCCCCATCACTCTGTCAATTCTTTTTTATGATAGATGAAGTTTTTCATTATATTATTGACTTTAATGCATTTACATTCATTTAAAATTCTTGTAGTCCTTACCTGCTATTATTTTAACACTAGAAAAGTTTATTATAAAAATTTCCTGAGAGCATTGTATTTTATGATTGCATATTCATAAAGTGCTCAGCTCAAGCAGAGTTCTATACAAGCTTCTCTGTTAAGGTATGAGAGTGTGACCAGGCTCTTTGTCTATCTTCCTTTGCAAAATATAATCTCATATTGATTATCACAGTCATTAAGTTTGTGCGGAATTATTTCATCTTCCTCTTCTGTGAAGCATATGGTAGGACTGTCATTCTCCTTTTTAAATTTAGGTGTGGCCACGTGGCTTGCTTTGGCCAATAAAATGTGAGTAGATGATATGCCTTTGCGGTGGAAGCTTTAAGAGCTAATGTGTGCTTCATCACATTCTTTCCATTCTCCCACAGAGACTGACAGCATTCCTGGTGGTGTTGCTTTTTTAAGCTTAGATCCCAGAAAGAGATTATGCAGAGTAGAGTTTCTAGTTGATTTATGGTTGAAATGGAGTCTGAGAAACAAATCTTTGTCATGTAAGATTGTTTTTTGGGGCTGCTCGTTATTGTAACATAATGTAGTCTTTTTTGATTGATACAAGGATCAGCGGCACAGCTTATTTCTTACTGTATTCCCACATGTTAGCACAAGGCCTGGTACAGAAAGTATTTGTGATTTGTTGAATCAAATTTTAGAATCAGAGTTCTTCAACGCCTGTGGTGACAATGCAAAGATGGGGGCTGATATTCTGTGCCATTTGGTCTTGAGTTCTCAATACATTCCATTCATTTTTCCAGCTGGAGGGACGAAGAATGACATTTGACTTAGTCGCAAATGGAAATCATTTTGTTTGGTACAAAGCCCATTGGAAAAAGGAAGACAAAGGGCATTTCTTTCAGTGGTAACCTGCTACTGCATTTCCTGTAAACACTAAATATTCTCCTCTGTTAGCCTATGAGAAATGGTGCTAGGTGGGAGAAGAGGCAAGGGTTTTCTTGTTTGTTTGTCTCTTAGCTCAAAAGAATCAGGGGAGAAATCTCTTCTAATTACAGAGTTATGTGCTTTGGAAGGACTTTTTTATTCATTAAGTCTGCCCACTGCCTATAAGTAATCTATCTTGGAAAAGATGTTTTATTCTTAGAAGTATGAAACCATTTTTGGTCTCTGAAGCAAGATGATTGGATCCACCAATAGAAAGTCATATTCTCTTGGTCAGATAAATATTTTATGCATTTTATTTTTCAAATAAGTAGAGCAGTCATGTTATTTACTATCTAAGCATAGAGACATTTGATCATGAAAGAGGGCACTGTTACCATTTATACTAGGACAACTAGCATAAAATGGTATTTTCCTGGGCAAACTATATGAACACCTTACAAATAAGGCCACTTATGAATGTAACTTTCATAACATGTAATCAAGTCATTAAGTCCCTTATTCTGAGAAGAGCCAGCTGACCAGGAGACCAAAAGGCCAAGAGAAAGAATGTCATCCTCAATTAAGCATTTCAGTGAGTAAATCATGATTCCATTAGTTGATTGTTACTAAACTTTCTTAAGACATGCCCTTAGTGAAACCTTTTACACCAGCGTACAAATGCATGGACTATTTGCCTGAACTAGAAGGTCCTTCCCCGTCAGCAACCCCTGACTATAAGACCCAGACTAAATGTTATTTCCTCTGAAATGGCTTCTTCACCATTCCTGGATGTGGCTCGTCTGTGATAACTAGGTTTCCCCAGCACAGTGTAAACACTTCTACAGTAGTACTTTTCACATTATATTATAATTCTTCATTTATGTCTGTCTTCCCTCATGCGCTGTTCAAGGGTAAAAACTGTGTCTTATTTATTTTTGTGTCTTTCTAAGAAAAGCTTTTTTTACTCAGTGTAATTGTTCAATACATTACTGAAAGAATGAATGCAGAGAACTACTTATTTAGAAAAAGAAGTTTATGCTAACAAGGCCTTCCCAGCTTGAGCTTGAGATAGAAGGAATAAAAAGAATGAACTGATTTACCAGCTGTTTCCTGATTCATAAGGAAAGAAATATGGAGTAATTCTGAGGTGGGAGGCAGGGGAGAAACAAAGCATAGTTCATTTTAATTACATTTGGCTGTGGTACCGTTTCAGGATAGAACTCACAAAGCTGTAACTGCTAGGAGCTGTGTATGTATTGCTTAAGGGAAAACAAGATGATGTACTAATCTTTAAGATATTTTAAAAAGACTCTTTTGTGGTACATTGTCTAGAAGTGAATGTAGGTTATATCCCCTCCAGTGGTAACTACAGAAATTAGAGATGCTGAGAAATCATGTGGTCAACCCTCCCAGCATCGTACGCACAACGTCACCTGAGCCATGTTTATGTAGCTCCTGTGACTTCCCAGGAGTGTGCAGAGCTCCTAGCAGAGCAAAGAAGGCTGCTTTGGAAATCTAAAGCAGACACTTGGCTCCTACTGCTAGATGGCCTTGGTGAGGCATTGGGAATTGACAGATGTTAAATTGGCAGCACAATTCTCCAACCTGGGAGTTAAGGCTAAAGCCTGAAGTATTGAGAAGCCATATATATTTATGTAGAGAGGAGGGACCTCTCTTGAGCCAAAAGGAAGTGGGTGGGTAGGGGTTCTGTTTACTTTATTAAGCTGTTTTGCAGGATTTGGGGAACCAATTTCATTGAAGCATGTGTCAGGACAGGGCAGTCATTCTCAGAGTCAAGTAGTACTGTCAATAAATAATCGCATGGGGCCTGAGACTGGTGGGATTACTTTAGGTTCTAATTCTGGACTGACACATGAATAGTTAGAAGCATGAAATACCCATGTTTCTCCCCAGGACTAGAGTTTTCATAGCTCTAGGATATAAGGAGGAGTTCTGGTGACTACAGGAGGCGGTGACAGAAAGAGATACATAGAAACAGCAACATACATTTCTCCCTACACTGAGTCTGTCTCAGCCTCTACCATTCTTTCACTCTATTCCTTCAAAAGTATGTTCTAAGCCCATAGTACTGTGCTTAGCAGTGCAACATTAATGGTAAAGAAAGCATTGGCTCTCAAGATCTCCTGGCCTAGTGGGGAAGGCAGCCACATAAACAGATCACCATCATTCACCATGATATGTAGGCTATTGGAAATGTGTATAGGAGGTTATGAAAATATAATGGAAGGAGTTGCTGATTCTGTGTGGTTATAATCAGGAAGAACTAGAGTTTAGGGAAGGCATCACATATGGCTCCCCATTATAAAACCCAACCCTCTTGGCGTGGTATTCTGGCCCTTCAATGTGTGTCCCTGCCAGTTGAAATCTCACCACCCACCATGCCTGACACCAACTCTGCTCCATCCAGAGTCTGCCTGAATCTCAGCTTTGTCCTCTTTGTTCCCTGGCTGGAATGTTGCATTTTTCTCTACTGACCTAATCTTATCTGTTAAAAGTCAGCTCAAGTCCTACCTCCTCCGTAAGTCCTCTTCTGAGTATTCTAGCCCATAGTGAATTGCCCATTCTTGACTCATTGTTTGGAATTCTACCTTGACACTAGATTTTATCTTGCATTGTGACATCTCTTATATTGCTATATAGTGCTTCTAGTATTGATTTAATACACACATGTTTCTCTTCTCCCAAACTAAACTTAAAGACATTCAATGGCAGAATGCATTATCTAATATTCCGTATATACCAGTGATCCCCAAACTTTTTGGCATCAGAGACTGGTTTCGTGGAAGACAATTTTTCCATGGACCAGTGAGGTGGGATGGGATGGCTTCGGGATGAAACTGTTCCACCTCAGATCATCAGGTATTAGATTCTCATAAGAAGCACGCAGCCTGGATTCCCTGCCTGGGCAGTTTACAATAGGATTCCCACTCCTATGAGAATCTAATGCAGTGGCTGATCTTACAGGAGGCAGAGCTCAGGTGGTAATGCTTGCTGGCTCCCTGCTCACCTCCTGATCTGTGGCGTGGCTCCTAACAGGCCACCAACAGGTACCTGTCTGTGGCCCAGGGGTTGGGGACTCCTGATATAGGCCTTAGTAGAGTGTAGGGCACAGTACTCAGTAGATACCTGTTGAGTAAATGAACATAAGAATTTTGTTACTTGGGAGAGATTCAGGATAAAATTGTCTCTCTCTCTCTTTTTTTTTTTTTTGCATCCAGATTCAATATGGAGTGTGAAACCTCTTCCTGTGGCTACGAATTTGGGTAACATTAATTTTTCTTTAAGACTATCCATGCATTCCTCCATCTACCAAATATTTACCTAAGAGTTTACTATTAACCACTACTTGGTGCCGAGAAACAGGTGAATTTGCCAAGAGGTGGAGTTCTCTGGAAGTAATTTTTCCCCAAACTTCTTTTTTTTCTTTTGTTTTGAGGCAGTGTCACCCTTTTGCCCAGGCTAGAACGCAGTGGCGTGATGGGAATGCAACCTCTGCCTCCTGGGTTCAAGCGATTCTCCTGCCTCAGCCTCCCGCATAGCTGGAGATTACAGGCATGCACCACCATGCCCTGTTAATTTTTGTATTTTTAGTAGAGATGGGGTTTCACCATGCTGCCCAGGCTGGTCTTGAACTCTCAGCCTCAAGTAGTCTGCCTGCCTCGGCCTCCCAAAGTGCTGGAATTACAGACGTGAGCCACTACGCCTGGACTGCCCTCAAAATTCTGAAGGCATTGCCCAATTATTTCTATTAGTTTGGCGCAAAAGTCACTGTGGCTTTTACCACTAAAAGTAATGGTAAAAGCCACAGTGACTTTTGTACCAACCTAATAACTTTCACTGTGACCGAAGTCAAATGCTATTTCTGGTTCTTGATATTTTATGTGAGTCCTCTTTTCTTCCTAATTGATCCTCAAAGTTTTGGGGATCCTCTATGTGTCGCTGGTATCAATGACTCTCTACCTTGGTGGTTTTTTTGTTGTTGTTTTCATTACGGTAAAATACAGATGAAATAATTTACCATCTTAACCAGTTTTAAGTGTACAGTTCAGTGGCATTAAGTACATTCACACAGGTATGCTGTTAATTTTAAATTCACAGTTTTAAGCACTTAGTGGGACCTTTCAAACTGGAGATGTATATTCTTATTTAATAATTTCATCCTCTATTTTCTCTCTTTTCTCTTTCTGGAATTTCTATTAAACAGATGTTTGATCTTCTGCACTACACATCTAACTTTATGTCCTTCCTATCATCTCTCTAATCATTTGTTCTACTTTCTGGGGTTTCTTTAACGTTTTCTTTCAGTTATTTACTGAGTGTTTTATTTCTATATTTTACTTCTCTGTTTTTCTTGCTTTGAATGTATTTTAAAAATAGCATCCCATTATTGTTTCATTGATGTAAAATGTTATATTATTCTCCAAGAACAGTAATCACATTTTTTGAAATTTTCTTATAGGCCCTTTCTTTCTTCCAAGTACCTTTTGCCTTTTTTTTGTTTGTTTAGTTTGGGGTCTCTCATTTTAGAAAAGTTTTCCTTAACTATTAGCCATCCCTGGCTATCTCTTTTTGGCTAAGAATCTGTCACTACGAAGCTGAATGGATGATCTATGTACATTGGACAGGGATGGTTTGATTAGTTAGAAACCAATAATTTTCTTGGCGAATTGCTTGCAAATATCCGTGGGTTTTCTGTTAAGTCAGGATGTCAGCCATCTGAAAACCCAGCGGCATAGGAACAGAAGTGGGGATCTCACCGTTTACAAGGTAGGCTTTTATTTAATTACTGTGTTTTTTAGCACAGCATTCCACTATCTCCTTTGCCTCATGTGCTTAACTCTGGGAGCTCTCAGGTTCATATTCCCAGTAAACCTCTCACCTCCTCTAAGCATGATGTAGGGAAGGCATCAGGCACCACCCTCTTCTTATATAGATTTTCGACTAATCATTCCCCACCTCAATGTCTTCTAAGGATCCCAGTGCCCCTCATTTCTGAGACTTTCCATATTTTTGCAGCTTAATCAGCTTCTCTCCTCTTCAATCTTTCTCCCCTATGCTAAGTAGGTTGCCATGTGTGTATTACTTTGTATCTCCAAATTTTTTTGAAATCTATCATCTACTTTCATGTTCTATTCCCATTTCCTTCATAATTTATGTTTTTTATTATCTATTATTTTGGAGATTTTCTGGATGGAGTTGACATTCACCTGTGTCTTTATCTGCTGTATTTAACTGGCAGTCCTTTTCCTTATATTGGCCTTTAGCTTTCCCCTACAGACTCTCCTGAAAGTTCCCCTCACCCTTGTCTTCCACCCTACAGCCAATGCTATGGTATAAGGTTACCATATTTAGCAAATAAAAAAACAGTTATTTCAAACTTCAGATAAACAAAGACTACATGCAACATACTTAATCTACAAAAAACATTATTCATTGTTTTTCTGAAATTCAAGTTTAACTGGTCATCCTATTATCTTATTTCAACTTGTCTTTGTTCAAGCTGTTTTAACACCATACAGGCTGGGCAGCTTATAAACAATAAAATTAAGTTCTCCCAGTTCTTAAGGCTGCAAGTCCAGGATCAGGGTGCCAGCATAGTCAAGTTCAGGGGAGGTCCCTCTTCTGGGTTGCAAATAGTCAGCTTCTCATTGTAACTTCATGTGGTAGAAAGACAGCGAGAGAGCTCTCTAAGGTCCCTTCTATAAAGGCACTGATCCCATTCATGAGAACCACACCCTCATGACGTAATTACTTCCCAAAGATCTCACCGCCTAATGTCATCACCTTGGGCATAAAGATTTCAATATATAAATTTTGGGGGAACACAAACATTCAGTTTATAATATAACTCTTGTTGGAGAGGAACTTCTCACCCTAGCTTTGGCTTCATAGTACCATAATTCATACGTCTATCACACATAATTCTTATGTCTAACCACATAGCCAGCACCTGAGTAGCCCTTCTCTGTTCTCTTACCACCACAAGAAAATAGTACTAGACATTACCTGTGGTTCAAGAGCTTCTACACTCTACCAAAACAAGATGGGTAAAATGTCTGCTCTTCACATTTTGCTTATGCTAAGCTAAAGGCTGTGAACTGCATCATTAAAGCTTTGGAGCATTCTCAAATATTTTCAACAGTAAACTGACTGTTTACTGATCAGATTTGGATTTTTAAAAAGTCATGCTGTGGCGTAAAGGGTGACAAGCCTAGGAGCTGAGAGACCTTTGGATGACTACTGTAGACAGTAATTCAAGCAAGAAAAGATAGCATCCTAAACCAGGGAAGAACAAGTGAGAAGGGAGAAGAGAAAATGCAAGGAATATTAAAGAGGTATAAACCACCACCAGATTCAGAAATTGAATTACTGTGTTGAAGGGAAAGGAGGTATTGAGTAAGTGCTGAGTTTCTGGCTTAGGCAAATGATGGTAGGTAGAGCCTTTCACAAAAAAAAAAAAAAAAAAAAGAAATTCAGGACGAGAACAGATTTAGGGGAGGAGATTACCATTGTTTCTCTCCTAAATGGTTCTCATTTACACAGCAGGAGGGTGATGTTCTTCCAGGAATTATGAATGTCTTTGGCCTTGTTCCAAACTCCCAGCAAGAAGAAACCACAAAGATACATCCAGCTTACTGAAGTCTTTTTCAAATGGTTGCTCCTATTCTGACCCTGAGCTCAGCTGCTGGAGGAAGACCTTGCATTTCCCACATGCAAGCAAGGGAGGGGCCTTCTCACATGACGGTCCTGTCTTTTCAACCAGGGGGTGACAGCTATTGGCAACTGTCAGCTCAGCAACACTGGAAATAGGCTGTCCTCATTTTGCTCTGGTGCATGGTGACCAGCAGGAATGGCAGGGGCTGTTTTGTGCTCAACCTGAGTTGAAGTAACCCATCCTGGACTGAGATCTGATAGCACCAAATGGGATTGACTCTCTGGAGGGACCATTTTCTTACCAATTGAGGAGTTTGCCCCTTTGCTTTCTCTCTTAACTTTCAGATGACATCATTTGCATCAACTTCTCTTACTGCACTGTCTTCCACTTAGAATAATTGTCAGGAATAGTTCATCAGCTGTAAGCAGCACATCTCGCTTCCTGGGGAGCTGGAAATAATGTAAACTCCTCTGTTTTTAAATTTTTTTGACCACGCCAAATCTCATTATTGAATCAATTGAGTTGATTGAGAGTTTAACATTAACTTTAGTGCTAATTCTTTGCCCTGTTAATACTCAAGTCAATACAGGCACCTGCTATCTCTGTTAAGCTAATGAGGCAGGAAAAAGGATGGGAAAGATGGCAGGTGAGGTCAGTTCTTCATCCCCTGAGTCTCTGTGTTGTCCAGGCAACTTTCCTGCGACTGTAAATGGCAGTGTTTTGCTTTCCAGTGTTTCTTTCCTTTGTACTGTGTTAGCAGACTGCCATTCCTTTGGGAATGGCCCCTCTACTTTGTCTTTCAAAGAGTGTGCAGGATGAACTCGAGCAAACAGTCTTATGGCAATTGCAGACATAGCTACTCCATCAATTTCTATTGTTTTTGATTCAATCTGTTTTTGAAAAAGTGTGGAGTTGGAAACACAACTTGGTGTGTTGCACAAAGCAACAAACGGTTTTAGTGCCTGGGAAAAGGGAAGGCACAGGTTTCAAGGCACATTTAAAGAACTTGGGGGGTGGCGGAAGGAGTAGGCCATTCTGAAGCCCATACCTCTAGCTGAAAAATTCTAATCTAATGAGTCTATAAAGAAGCAAAAAAAGAGTTTGTAAAAATTGTAGCACTATGAATTCAAACAAACATTATTATGCCTAAGTTTGCCTTATCAGGGGAATTGTTAAACTCAAGTCAAAGGACAGGGAAATAATATATAATCAACCAAATAGATTTTTTAAAGTGGATAGCTTAGAATACAGGATATCAGTGGAAGCAGAGACATTGCACCTTACTTATAGGAATACAGGAGAAGAATAACATTCATGCACCAATGTGGGCTTGTTGCTAGTATGTTTTTTAAACAGCCCAACTTTCATGAAGTATTTAGGGAACATAACGAATTAAGTTTAGCAGTCAAATTCTTTCTCTCCGTGTGTGTGTGTGTGTGTGTGTGTGTGTGTGTGTGTGTGTGGCGGGGTGGGGAGCAGAATTATTCATTCTCTGAGCCTCAGTGTAGTCCTCTGAAAAGTGGGTGTGATTCAAAGAGAAAAAGCCGTGAAGTACTGAGCATAGTGCCTGGCACTTCCTAGCCACTGCATTGGTATTAATTTAGGAAACTTGCCTACAAAGACCACGTCCTTTCTACTTCTTCAGTTCACCAGCTGAAGCACATCACACACCATTCCAGCTTCCTTTGTTTCCTTCTGGGTGGTGTTTCCTAGATCTTTGCCTCCCTTGTTTTTTGTTGCGGGCCACGTACAAAGCCGCCTGGCTCTGGATGGTGGAGACTTGGTTATTTTCCAGGCTGCTTTGAGGATTCCCCAGGAGGACTATGTCAGAGGTGCTAATGAGTCTCTGTTTAACCATGACTGTGCACTCCCCTGGCAATTGGGACAGAGAGAAACACCTTGCACAACAATTAGCTTTTCACAGCCATTAGCAATTTGCAGTCATTAGCACCATAGAAACACTGCAAATAACACCCAGGAAGCAAACACCACTGTAAGGTGCCACAGGGCTCCTAAGCTGCATCAGCCCTCAGCAAGGCAGGAGTCTGAGAGCCCTAAGGTCCCCTGTGCCCACTTACTCCAGCAAATGGGTTTTGTGATTCAAAGCGCCTCTGTTCCTTCCCGTCCTATCTTTGAAAATGGCTCTATCAAGCCCATTATTTGTTTCAGTGGGACATAAACCTTTCAGAAGAAAAGTCCAGAAGATGTAGTGCATAATAAAGCGATTGTGAATTCCCTCAAGACCAAGAATCCTAAAGGAGTCTGGAAGGAGTGGTGTGAATAACTGAAATTTGAGCGGAGTGAAACTCCAATGCAATGCAATGATTTAGCTCCAAAGCTGTTCATGGCAGCATTGCTAAATACCAGAACCATCTATATCTCTAACGGTAGGGATTGGTTAAATAATTGTGCTATACCCATTGAACTGAACATAATGCAGCCTTTAAAAACAATATTCTGGAATTTACAGGCAGATTATATCAAAAGGTTATAAAACTTTATTAACATTATTTCTTTTTTATTGTAAAATATGATATGCACCTTCTAAAATAGTAGTGATGATTGTCTCTGTGTGCTGGGAATGGAAATGGATAATTTTTAATTTTTAAATTTTGCTGTTCTGTGTTATTCTTCTAAAACAAGTACAGATGTATGTGTAATCCTTTTAATTAGAGAGAGGGATAAAGACAGCAGAGTGAGAAGGTAAGCCCTGTCTGGTGTAGTGAGTTTAACATACCTAAAATAATTTTAAGTAAATATTTTATTGAAGCATAACATATATACAGAAAAAAGACACCAATAATAAGGACAGTTTGATGATTTTTCATAAACTGCATAAATCCAGATACAGAACGAATCTTAAATACCATGATGGTTATGCTTGTGGCTCCACAAATGTCTGCATGGTGAACAATTACAGTAGGAAGTCAGCTGCGTGTTGAGGAGTCAGTGATGCAAGTTCATCAATTGAAAGCCCATTATGGTAATTGCATTAGTCTGTTTTCACACTGCTACAAAGAAATACCCAAGACTGGGTAATTTATAAAAGAAAGAGGTTTAATTGACTCACAGTTCTTCATGGCTGAGGAGGCCTCAGGAGACTTGCAATCATGAGAGGAGGAGAAGCAGGCACATCTTACATGATGGCAGGAGACAGAAGAGAGAGCGTGTGAAGGAGAAACTGTCAAACACTTATAAAACCGTCAGCTCTCGTGAGAACTTACTCACTATCACGAGAACAGCATGGGAAAAGCCGCCCCCAGGATCCAATTACCTCCCACCAGGACCCTCAACAGGTGGGGACTATAGGGATTAATTTTCGAGATGGGATTTGGGTAGGGACACAGAGCCAAACAATATCAGTAATGCTGGAACGAAAGGTGGTAAATCTCCATTTTACAGGTGCAGAAACTGAGTCCCTGGGAGTAAGAGTAACTTGAATCCCATAACTGCTAAATGGAGGAGCTGAGATTTATTCCCAGTCAGGCTCTGGAATCAACGCATTCCCAAGAAGAAAAAATACAGCTGGGGCAACTAGAGAAGGCCAGGGCATCTCTAAAAGCTTGATGACCAGAGAGTAGGAGATAGGGAAGAGCTGTGTCAGGGAGGGCTGGAAGGCTTGTCTGTTAGGAAGGAAGGGCAGAAAATCAGTTCCTGGCAATTTCTACAAAAATCAGACCAGTGGGGGAAACTAATAATGCTAAGTCTGGTGCCTTTGTGCACTTATATTTCATGTGGACCTGAAAGGTGGCCTTGAGGCTGATGGAGCAGAGATGCAGAGCACAAGAGCTCTGACCTCCTTCAGAAGTCATGGTTATCTAAGAAGAATGGGGTCTAAATTATTTTTATTTTATTTTATTTTTTTGAGACAGAGTCTTGCTCTGTCACCCAGGCTGGAGTGCAATGGCACAATCTCAGCTCACTGCAACCCTTGCTCCCAGGCTCAAGCAGTTCTTGTGCCTCAGCCTCCCGAGTAGCTGGGACTAGAGATGTGTGCAACCACATCTGGCTAATTTTTATATTTTAGTAGAGACGGGGTTTTGCCATGTTGGCCAGGCTGGTCTCAAACTGCTGACCTCAAGTGATCCGCCCACTTCGGATTCCCATAGTGCGGGATGACAGGCGTGAGCCACCGTGCCCAGCCAGAAAGGGGGTTAATTTATGTTTTCTTTATATTTACTAATACATAGGGGAGGAAGGTAATACTCATAATCCTCCCACGTAGAAAAGTGGCCCCCCAAATCTTCACTGAATGATCCAACTTCTTTTCCTTTGAAATAGGTGTTCTGGGGGAACCATGCAGAGGGCACACTCTGGGCAAGGGGTGCCTCCGGAGAACACAGGATACGTGTTAAGGACCTTAGGTGATGAGAGCAGAAAGTCACCTTCCAAAATGAACTCAGCCGGGGAGGGACCAAACTTGGAAAGTTTTCATGGAAACCGTTTCATCAAAGATATATATCTAGGAATTTTGTTATCTTAATTAACTCAGAGGTAGCACCATACTATGCTAAGAAGACTGAGTGTAAGACTTGTAATTACCTCTCTTTAGGCCGTTAACCCTATTTGGTTACTGTAAGCTTTTCAAGGATTGAGGCCGTGTGGTTGGTCATCTCTATATGCCCAATGCATAATAATGTGCCTGGTAGATAACAGACATTAAACAAACGCTTACTGAATGCATAAAACATGGGTCCTAGATATTCTAGGCTAATACCACTTTAAATAGTCCACTGCTTATGTACACTGGTTTGAGTTCAGAAACATTGATCATCAGAGAGTTAGGTCTGAATGTGACTGATGGAATTTCCGGGAATTTCCAAGAGATACTTCTCAGCAGTAGCCACTATACCAGCCATTTTTCGTATTTCTCAATCATTCATTCATTTTAGTAAAGGTAGAATCAGACAGAAATGAAGACTACTCCAGAAGTGAAGGAAGCGAGAAATTTATAGAACCTGAAATTGGTTCCTGGTCTTCATATTTCAGCAACTTCAGAATTTTTTTTAAATCCTCTAAGACCTTTTTAAACAGTCATTTATTGAAGTCTTACTAAGTAGCAGCCTTATACTCAGTGCTAAGAATACAAAAATCAGTAAGACAGAACACACAGATCTGAAAATAGATAAATTACAATCCAAGTTGGATAGTGTTTGTATTATGTAGGATGTCTTCAGTTGCAAGTAACAGAAAAGAAATAATGGCTAAAAAAAAGAAATGTTTAATCATCTCACAAATCATGAAAGACTAAAAGTAGATGGTTCCACATTGGTCCAGCAGTTCAATGATATCATAAAAAAAATCCAATACTCTGTCTTTTCACTATTCTATCCTTTGTCCTTGGCTTATTGCCTCATGGTCACAGAATCGTTGCTGTAGCTCCAAGTAACATGTTTGCACACAATTGCATTTAAGTCAGGCAGGAAGGAACTTACTGTTTCTCTTTATAGCAGGAAACAAAAATCTTCTGAGATAAGCTGACCAATAGACTTTTTCTTTCGTCTCATTGGTTAGAACTGGGTCACTTGCCCATTCCCAAATCAATCATGAGAAAAGGGGAATGGGATTGCCATGGTTGGCATAAGCCAATGATGCTTTATTCTCTCAGGCTGGAGGAAGGGGCTGCATCTTCCTTGAGCATGTTGCTACCACCTAAAAAACTGGATCCTATAACCTAAAGAAGGTGAAAAGAAGAGCAGAGGAGAAGTTAACCAACGTGTTTGCCACAGGGTTAAGCACAGAGTTGAGTGAATCAGTGTACCTTATTTTTTCTAATTTGATGCCAAATCTTCAGCTCCACCTCCCTTCCCTAGCATAAGGCCAACAGCCCAAGGCTACAAGAAAACCTGGCCTTTCCCTGACACTGCCTTGGCCTTGATTGCCTCAGTGCGGAGAGTAAAACAAGCTGTCAGACTCAGCTCCTGCCCTATCCTTGAGCTCTAATAACCTCAAGCTTTTACAATTCCAACCAAGTTTAAAATTCTAGCTTGTTGATGTGAGTGGGAGTTTGGAATGCTGGAGGGGAAGGGTGAAAGTCAGGTCAACAAATGAGATTTGAAGTGGTTTTCCTTCCTCAAACGCAAGCCTCACATCAGGACTCTGAACTCAAATGGCCTCTCCTGAATGAGAGGGAGGGGGACACATGTAGGGAAGGCCAGGAGAGCCCAGCCATGGGTGTAGCTGAATGTTGTTTCAGAGAAAAAACAAGATTTCTCTCCCTGAAGACCACTGGGTACTACTTTCAGAATTTACATAAGAGAGAAATAAGGTGCGATCTCAATCTGGGGAAGAAAGTTAAGGAGGTGATTGGAGGAGGACTCTGTGGAGGATGTGGCTTTGTTCAACACATCCGTAGACACTGGTTTTACAAGGCCACGATCGATATGCTACTGATATATAATAGATGATATGATTGATATGATACAATATGATTTAATGTAATACAGTAGTATAGCAATTCAATATAATGATACCAGTAACTAAAATTCATTGATCATTCACTGTGTGATTAACACAATGCAATGAATTATCCTTACAGGACTACTCATAATCATACTTACAGGCAAGTTTCATTATAATCCACAGGCTGAGCAAAGTCACTCTGTTAAACGGTGGACTCAGGACTCAGGACTGCAGGGCTCTCTGCCTCTAGAACCCTCCTCTTCACCATTTTGCTATTTTGCTTCCATTTGTCTCTTTCCTACCTGGGTGTTAATGCATATAGTAGTGAAAAGGCCAAGTGGTGACTACAGACAAAGACACTAAGCAAGGTTAAGTGAAAAACAGCTCATTGGGATAAATATTTCACTGGCTAGAAAAAACGAAAGAAATAACACCAAAAAGTTATTTTAAATGTTCAGAGAACAAAAGAGTTAAAAGTTTCTTGTTTTAAAGAGTTCAAGAAAGTAAAAAACATAAGAGGAAATACAGTTTTGATAGGAATTATATAAACAGATGAACTTCTTTCTCCATCATAGAATGCATGAACATTTATGTGTGTATTATGGAGATTTTGCAATGCCCTTGTGGTTTTTTTGGCAGTCATTCTCTAGCCTATATAGTTCACTCTTTTTCTAACTAACTCAAACACTCACTTTATTCTTTCATTCATTCATTTACCTAGTCATCCGTCAGATGTTTATTCAGTCTCTTCCACGCACTGGGTACCAAGGAGGATAATGGAAGCTTAAGAATAAAGAGACACTGTCTCCTGCCTTAAATGGGATGGAATTTAGTATGCTCAAAAGGCAATTTTCCCCTTCAGATCCCCCTCAGACTCACTCCATTGCCTGTGAATGGTCCTGTGCAATAGAGAGAACTCCTTTAGCCCTCTGGCATGTGGTATCGCCGTACTGCAGGGAGTTGCCTATCTCTGATTTAGGACTGGAAGTGGAGGTTCAGAAGATGAGAAAATGTGGAGAACAGAGGACAGTAGATATGTTCCCTGTCTGTCTGATTGAAGCGAATTCTGGTTCAGGAACCCCCTGGGAAGTTCTATGACTTCAATATCCTATGGGATTTTGAAAACATCAAAGCTTCCTGGAATTGATCAACCCATCTTGGTTCCTTAAGATTTCCCTTCCACCTACTGGGAGGCACTAAGCTAAGGGTAGGGTAGGTACATGGGGCAATGTTTATTTCCGGCCCCACTCTAGAGCTAACCTCTGCTACTGGATGCCTGAAACCACATGCCTGATTGTAGCCTTTGGCTTGACTCAAGAATCCTAATGAACCTCTCCAGCACATTTCTCTGTGTACTGGAGAACCAGTGATGAACACTATTCTTGAAACATCGCTAGAATTGTCCATACTTCTTTTCTGTATGACACCTCTTTTCATTTGGTTGTTTTCTTTTAAATTTTATTTTGCTAAAATTCATAGTGAGGTAGGTTTACATTCTCACAAAATATAATACAGGCAATCAAGAGATAGTCTAGGAGCCTCTCTTAAGGCTCCTATTACACACAGCCCCCAAGTACTGGGACCCCTTCAGACCATCTCATTTTTAGGAGGTGTTCCCAATCACTAACAATGGCCTGTGTCAAAATGCCTCCCCATAGTGATAGCCAACGTCCTGAGCAGGTGTCTATGTCTCAGGCAGCTGGTCTCTGTAAGGGGTATCCAATTATGATGAGGCTCCAGGAAGACGTATATGGGTGTAATGAGAAGGATGACGGAATGGGACCCAGGAGACACCCCACAACCACTATCACCAAAGCCTGGACATTTGTTCCTGCCCATTTCTATGCCCATATTTCCTCCTTTGCAAAATAAATAGTTCAGACTAGAAGAGGCCTCAGGTGCTATCGAGCTTAGACGATTTATGACCTTCTGAGTACTGTAAGTGTTACCTGCTTTGGCAGTTTGCACTAAGAATCGGACTTTAGAGATTTGGCACACTCTGATGTTTGTTCAGTTGGTAAGTGTGCTCAGTTTTTGTGGCATGTGTCTACAAAGCACAAAAGCCTTGGTTTCTCTGGACTTCTGAAGTGCAAGAGATTGATAGCAATCCCAGCCCATTCCCAGGGAGAGACGCAGAAACAACTCTGTGAAAGGTTACTTTGGTCTCTATGGGAACCACTCTGTGCCCTTGACAGAGAAGACAGCTTGGGGAAGGGAGGCACATCCGAGAGCTCTGAAGCCTGGGCAGAATGCCCCATGGGCCCACAATGCCACATACCTGTGAATGGAGAGAAGGGAACAGGCAGTCCCAGTGTGCATATTTGGAATCCAAAGTCCTATTTGACCTTAGATATTTGGAAGTAGGTGGGACCTGGAAATGCTAACACCCAGAGGCCGTGCAGTGTAGTGGAAAGAGAACTGGCTTTGGAATCAGAGGTTCTGGTTTGACTCTCAGCTCTGCCCTTACTAGCTACGTGACTTGGAGAAGGTCTCCTAACCCTGCTGAGTGTGGGTTTTCTTGTCTGTCCAGTGAGAAGCATTAGGTCTTTCCTGATGATCTCATAGGGCTGATGTTTCTGGTTACTTTTCCTGCACACAGTGTACAACCCCCGCCCCCCGTGATGCGTCAGTCACAGTCTAACAACAATATTAAGGAAGGATAATGATAAAGTTAATTTTTGTGGAGAATATAACATTGATGATATTGCTACCCACTGTTGCATTCTTAATATGTACTAGGCACTCTGATAAGGACTTCAGAAACATTAATTCATCACCTGAGATCACATGGTTGGTAAATCACATGGCAGAACTAAACTCAGACGCTCTGACTCCAGAGCCAAGGTCTTAACCCAGTGCGTGGTTCATCCCTCCTAAGCCAACAACCAGATTTCTTCCAGTCCTGGCTTGTAGAGAGTGAGAAAGATGTGCTGGCTTGTCTACTCACATATTAACAAACAAACAAACAAACAAATAATTAAGCAAATCAGTCAAATCCTTTAAAAGAGTCAAACACAGCAACTTTGGAAAATCATATGTTAAAAGATATTTATGGATCAGATTAAATAAATAAATAAATGTATGAAAAAAATGTGATTCTATTTTCACTAATGGTTAACCAACATTGCTTATTGCCTATGTATGACCTTTTCTTTGGCTTGTATCAAACAGGTATTTGTCCCACCCATCCACCCAGCTAAAAAACAAGCAAAAAAAAGTACTGAACATCTTCTCTGTACCAAATATCCATGAAGTGCTCAGATTTAATGGTGATTGAGGTGTTTCTGCCCTCAAGCATCAGTCTAACCAAAGATACAGACAGAAAATTCAGTAGAGTATGACAGTGCTTTGATAGGGAAATGAACAGGGTACTAAGGACAGACAGAAAATAAGAAGTTAATTCAGTCTGAATATGTCAGAGAAAACTTCCCAGAAAAGGTGACAGCTAGGTTGAGTGGGAGTCAAACTGTTGGTAGGAAGGCACATGGAGAGGAGAGAAGGGGAAGGACATTTGGGAAGTGGGAGTGTCTTATGTGATGGACAAGAGGCAAGAGAAGTGTGACCCACTCAGAGAGCCAAAAGAAGTTCACAGTGGCTGAAACACAGAGTCTAAGGACTGGAGAGGTGACAGCTGAAACACAGGCCATATCATGCAGGGCCACATAGAGTTTTGAATTTTATTGTAATCACACTGAGAATTAATTGAAGGGTTCAAGCCAGGGCCTAAGGAGTGGGTCATAATCCCATTTGTGTGTTAGGAAGATGATTCCGGCTGCAGCATGGAGAATGGATCTGTGAGGGGAAAAAGGGGTGACTAACAGAACATAGGACTAGTTACAGAGTATTGAAATAATCCAGCCAACAGATGAAGATGACCACCCAGGTACTGCCAGTGAGAATGGAGAGAAGTAGATACCACCTGAACACTTAGCAGAACGAGGCACGTTTAGCAATTGAATGAAGGCAGGGTGAAGGAGGGCATGGTGTGAAGGATGCTGTGTCTGCTGGTCCCCTCAGTCCCCGAGCAAAAGGACTGATTTTTTTTTGGTTCCAGGTTCTTTTCTGGTTCAGATGACATGGCTGTGTGTCCCCTAACTTTTGACCCATCAATCCATACTTTTTGACATCTCTCATCTGTTCTTTTGCCCCGTATTTCCTTCCACCTCCCAGTACATTAACTAGGGCAATGTGAACTGCTGTATCAAAGCCAAAACTCAGTTGTTGACACAATAGAAGCACATTTCTTGCTCATGTAAGAGTCTTCTCTGGTCAATCAGAGGCTTTCTTCCATATGTGGGTTTACATAGGAGGCTTCCTTCTGTTGCATGGTTTGCCATTCCCTAGGACCTGAGTTCTCAGCATTTAGATGGTAGAGGGGCAAGAAGGTGGAGAAAGTATCTTTATTACTTAAAACCCCACCTACACCTCCATTAATAAGAACTTACCACATGAGGGAGGGAGCAGGAAGTTTTGCTTGACAGCAAGCCACCTCTGTCACATCCAGCCTGCCTATGTCTTAACTCCTTTTTTTTCTCTTGTCTTTATTTATCTCCTTCTCCTACTATCTGACAGTTGATCACTGGAATGGTTGTAAACATCTTCATTCATCTGGTTTTGATATAGAAGGAGGATGACACTTCTCAAATGCATCAACAACGGAGAAAGAATAATTCACAAACTACTTATCACAAGGTAAACCCACGATCATTTTTCTTCTACTGAGCAAAGAACACCTAAGAGACAGGAGACCTGGCTTCAAATTCTGGCTCCATCAATAACTTACAGCATGACTTAAGCAAGACACTTCACTTCTATGGACCCCAATTTTCCCATCAGTAACATGGATGGAGTGTGCTACACCAATATTTCTCCAAGTGTGTTCCAAAGAACATTAGGTTCATGAGGTGCTCTTTGAAAAACTCTTCTATGGTCAAATAGATTTGGGAAATACTGTGAACTTTAACCACTGCTTTGAGGACAGCTGAGGCTCATAACAATAAGAGAGGCTCTGATAACTCCTATGCTAAGGAAATCTGCTAGACTTTAACCTGACATTTCCTAATCTTGAGAGGTGAAATTTATATATTCAAGTATTAATCTGTTATTAAACTGTTTTACCACTCATGAATTGGTCAATGGTACAGAGAAGCTCAGATTCCAGTGAGAAAAATGAATTATCTCAGTAACTAAGACTCAGAGTAAGGGAAAAAGAGGGAGAGCTGAGGACTGACATGGGGAAAAAGAAACCTTTTATGCATTGAGAAGCTGCAGGAAATCTTTCATGCATCGAGAAGCTATGAGAAAGCTCTGCACCAAGCCAATGTGTCCCTCTTCTATGTGGGTGACCTGCAAACTGCTAGCGACTAACCCATGGAACTTTGAGAGTCTGGATGGAAGTGATGTTTATCATTGCCCATGAGATTCTGCCTAAACCTCTCACCTGTTCCAGATGGACCATCTCCTGTAGACAAGCTGCTGATGTAAAGGTCCTAGACACTCATAAGTCACTCAGAACAAAAAGGGATTTGGCCACCTTTTGAGGGGAGGATGATAATGAGAGGAAACGCCTTCAGATCAAGGTGGGGCAGGTACGGCCAGTTGGAAATTCCCTTCTGAGCCAGGAAAATGGTGGTGATTTCATTTCCATTTATGTTGTTTAACCATGAGACATCGTAGTAGATAATGCTTCCTTATACCATATTCTCATACTCACCTAGATCGTTTGCAGCTATGGTGTCAGTACCAGAAGCTGGCAGCTTCTCTCTCAACTCTCTCTCTTTTTCTAAGCCTGAGGATATTTTTTAGCAGAAGCATGTTCTACAGCAAGCAGACACAGCTCAGAAGTGTAGGAAAATTAATACCTCCAAAGGTAGTCTCCAGCCAGAGGGAGATGCAAACTGGTGGATACAAGCCTCAGTCCCCCTGTACTCGTGTAGGGTAATTTTGAAGTATACTCTACTTTTTTCGGAGCATCTTCAGCAGAGCTGAGCTCCAATAGCCTATATTAGTAGTTCAATTTTTATTGCACCTTTCCTTGGCTTTTCTCCTTTCTGCGTCTTAATTTATCCATTTCTCCACTTGTATTTCTTGAGATAAACACCCAAGTAAACTACCTGAAGCCAAAACTGTGTATCAAGTTCTGCTTTGGGGGAAACCCTCACAAAAATAAAAACTTTTTCATGTGGCACTCCTTAGGTAATCATAAAATTCCCTCTTGCCCTAAACTTCAATGCTCACTCCTTTGGTCACTCTCAGTGGCCAACTCTGAGCCAGTCCCCATTTCACCAGGAGTGAGAGAATGAAGACAAGTTTGACCACATTTGGATTTTTTTTTAAAATTATACTTTAAGTTCTGGGGTACATGTGCAGAACGTGCAGGTTTGTTACATAGGTATACATGTGCCGTGGTGGTTTGCTGCACCCATCAACCCGTCATCTGCATCAAGTATTTCTCCTAATGCTATCCCTCCTTTAGCCCCCCAGCCCCTGACAGACCCTGGTGTGTGATGTTCCCCTCCCTGTGCCCATGTGTTCTCATTGTTCAACTCCCACTTATGAGTGAGAACACGCAGTGTTTGGTTTCCTGTTCCTGTGTTAGTTTGCTGAGAATGATGGTTTCCAGCTTCATCCAAGTCCCTGCAAAGAACATGAACTCATCCTTTTTTTTGCTGCATAGTATTCCATGGTGTATATGTGCCACATTTTCTTTATCCAGTCTATCATTGATGGGCATTTGGGTTGGTTCCAAGTCTTTGCTATTGTGAACAGTGCTGCAATAAACATGTGTGTGCATGTGTCTTTATAGTAGAATGATTTATAATCCTTTGGGTATATACCCAGCAATGGGATCGCTGAGTCAATGGTATTTCTGGTTCTAGATCCTTGAGGAATCGCCACACTGTCTTCCACAATGGTTGAACTAATTTACAGTCCAACCAACAGTGTAAAAACATTCCTATTTCTCCATATCCTCTTCAGCATCTATTGTTTCCTGACTTTTTAATGATCGCCATTCTAACTGGCATGAGATGGTATCTCACTGGACCACATTCTGATTTTAGCTCTCCTTCTAATTACTTAAGGTTAAAAATAGTCTTTACTGCAGTGGACCATTTTTCCAGAGAAGCCCAGAGCTTGTGAGAAGACCAGGGAGTTGTGAGCTGGTTTCTGGGACATTTTAATAACTTAAAACAGAAGTGCACATATTTTATTAAACATCTTCCAATTATCTTTAATTTTTATATATAACAGCTTTGCTGAGCTTTAACAGCTTTATATAATTCATATACAGAACAGTTCACCTATTTAAAGTGTAGAAGTCAAATATTTTTAACATATAGAATAATGTACAACCATCATCATAATAAATTTTAGATCATTTTCATTACCTCCAGAAACCAATTAACCAAACAAACAAAAAACCCATACAATTCACAGTCTCTCTCCATTTTTCTGCAAGTCTCCTAGCCATAGGCAACCATCAAGTGACTTTTCATCTCTATAGATTTACCTAATTTGGACATTTTATATAAATAAAATCATACAACGTGTGGTCTTTTGTGATTGGCTTGTTTTTCTTAACATAATGTTTTCAAGGTTCATTCATGTTGTAGCATGTATAGTACCTTATTTCTCTTTATGGCCAAATAGTATTCCATTGTACAGATATACCACATTTTATTCATTCCTTCATTAGTTTATGGACACTTCGGTTGTTTGCACTTTTTGGCTATTATCAATAATGCCGCTATGAACAGTCATGTACAAGTGATTGAGTGAACATATGTTTTTATTTTTCTTGGATATACACCTAGATGTCCAATTGCTAGGTACCATGGTAACTCTATTTTTTGACCTTTTTAGAAGCTGCCAGACTGTTTTCCAAAACGGATGTAACATGTTCTATTCCCATTAGCATTGTATTAGGGTTTTAATTTCACCCACACTGTTTAAAAATGCCTTTTTAAGGCTGGGCGCAGTGGCTCGTGCCTGTAATCCCAGCACTTTAGGAGGCTGAGGTGGGCGGATCACTTGAGCTCAGGAGTTCGAGACCAGCCTGGCAAACATGGCAAAACCCTGTTTCTATTAAAAATACAAAAAATTAGTCAGGTGTGGTGGTGGGTGCCTGTAATCCCTGCCATTCTGGAAGCTGAGGCAGGAGAAACGCTTGAACCTGGGAGGCAGAGGTTGCAGTGAGCTGAGATTGCACCACTGCACTCCAGCTTGGGTGACAGAGCAAGACTCCATCTCAAAAAAAAAAAGCTTTTTAATTATAGCCATCCTAGTGGGTATGAAGTGGTATCTCATTGTAGCTTTGATTTGCAATACCCTGATAACTAATTATGTCAAGTACCCTTTAATGGACTTACAGGCCATTTGTATATCTTCTTAGGAAAAATGTCTATTTCTATTCAATTTTTAAAAATTTTATTTATTTATTCTATTTCAATACCTTTTGAGAAACAGGTGGTTTTTGGTTACATGGATAAGTTCTTTAGTGGTAATTTCTGAGATTTTGGTGCACCCATCACCTGCGCAGTGTACACTGTACTCAATGGGTAGTCTTTTATCTCTCACCCCTTCCTACCTTTCTCCATGAGTCCCCAAAGTCCGTTATATCATTCTTATGCCTTTGTGTCCTCATAATTCAGCTCCCACTTATAAGTGAGAACATACAATATTTGGTTTTCCATTCCTAAGTTACTTCACTTAGAATAATGGTCTCCAACTCCATACAGGTTGCTGCAAATGGCATTATTTCATTCCTTTTTAAGTCTGAATAGTATTCTGTGGTACATATTTATCACATTTTCTTTATCCACTTGCTGATTGGTGGGCATTTGGGCTGGTTTCAAATTTTTGCAATTGTGAATTGTGCTGCTATAAACATGTATGTGCAGGTATCTTTTTCGTATAATGACTTCTTTTCCTCTGAGTAAATACCCAGTAGTGGGATTGCTGGATCAAATGGTAGTTCTACTTTTAGTTCTTTAAGGAATCTCCAAACGGTTTTCCATAGCTGTACTAGTTTACATTCCCACCAGCAATGTAAACGTGTTCTCTTTTCACCACATTCCTGCCAACGTCTATTATTTTCTGATATTTTGATTATGGCCATTCCTGCAGGAGTAAGATGGTATCACATTGTGGTTTTGATTTGCATTTCCCTGATCATTAGTGATGTTGAGCATTTTTTCATATGTTTATTGGCCATTTGCATATCTTCTTTTGAGAATTGTCTATTCATGTCCTTAGCCCACTTTTTGATGGGATTGTTTGTTTTTTTCTTGCTAGTTTGTTTGAGTTCCTTGTAGATTCTGGATTTAGTCCTTTGTTGGGTGCATAATTTGTGAATAATTTCTCCCATTCTATGGGTTGTCTGTTTACTCTGCTGATTCTTTTGCTGTGCAGAAGCTTTTTAGTTTATTTAAGTCCCATCTATTTTCTTTGGTTTTGTGGCATTTGCTCTTAGGTTCTTGATTATGAAGCCTTTGCCTAAGCAAATGTCTAGAAGGAATTTTTCAATGTTATATTCTAGAATTTTTATGGTTTCAGGTCTTATATTTAAATATTTGATCCATCTAAGTTGATTTTTATGTAAGGTGAGAGATGAGTATCCAGTTTCAGTCTTCTACTTGTGGCTTGCCAGTTATCCCAGCAGCATTTGTTGAATAGGGTGTCCTTTCTCCACTTTATGTTTTTGTTTGCTTTGTCAAAGATCAGATGGCTTTAAGTATTTGGCTTTTGTTCTGGGTTCTCTATTCTGTTTCATTGGCCTAGGTGCCTATTTTTATACCAGTACCATGCTATTTTGGTGACTGTGGCCTTATAGTATAATTTGGAGTTGTGTAATGTGATGCTTCCAGATTTGTTCTTTTTGCTTAGTCTTTCTTTGGCTATGCAGGCTCTTTGTTTCATATGAATTTTGGGATTGTTTTTTCTAGTTCTGTGATGAGATGGTGGTATTTTTATGGGAAATGCATTGGAACTCTAGATTGCTTTTGGCAGTATCTCTAGATTGCTTTTGGTAGTATGATTATTTTCACAATATTGATTCTACCTGTCCATGAACATGGGATGTGTTTCCATTTGTTTGTCTCATCTATGATTTCTTTCAGCAGTGTTTTGTGGTTTTCCTTGTAGAGATTTTTCACATCCTTAGTTAGGTATATTCCTTGGTTAGGTATATTTGCAGCTATTGTAAAAGGGATTGAGTTCTTGATGTGATTCTCAGCTTGGTCACTGCTGTTGTATACACAGCAAAGCTACAGATTTGATTACCTTAATTTTGCATCCTGAAACTTTGCTGAATCCATTTATCAGTTCTAGGAGCTTTTGGAGGAGTCTTTAGGGTTTTCTAGGTACACAATCATATCATCAGCAAACAGCGACAATTTGACTTCCTCTTTACTGATTTGGATGTCCTTTATTTCTTTATCTTGTCTGATTGCTCTGGCTGTGATTTCCAGTACTATGTTGAATAGAAGTGGTGAGATTGGGCATCCTTGTCTGGTTCCAGTTCTCAGGGGGAATGATTTCAACTTTTCCCCCATTCAGTATTATGTCAGCTGTGTGTTTGTCATAGATGGCTTTTATTGCATTAAGGTATGTTCCTTCTATGCTGATTTTGCTGAGGATTTTAATTATAAAGTGATGCTGGATTTTGTCAAATGCTTTTTCTGCATCTATTGACATGATCATGTAATTTTTGTTTTTAATGCTATTTTTGTGGTGTATCACATTTATTGACTTGCACATGTTAAAGCATCCCTGGTATGAAACCCACTTGATCATGGTAGATTATTTTTTTGATATGCTGTTGGATTTGGTTAGCTAGTATTTTGTTAAGGATTTTTGCATCACATTTGTCAGGGGTATTGGTCTGTAGTTTTCTTTTTTTTGCTATGTCCTTTCTTGGTTTTGGTATTAGGGTGATACTGGCTTCACAGAATGATTTAGGGAGGATTCTCTTTTCTTCTATCTTGTGGAATAGCATCAATAGGATTGGTATCAATTTTTCTTTGAATGTCTGATAGAATTCAGCTGTGAAATCATCTGGTCCTGGACTTTTTTTGTTGTTATTGGCAATTGTCTTATAATCATTTCAATCTCTCTGCTTGTTATTGGTCTGTTCAGCATTTCTATTTTTTCCTGGTTTAATCTAGGAGGTTTGTATATTTCCAGGAATTTATGTATCTTCTCTAGGTTTTCTAGTTTATAGGTATAAAGGTGTTCATAGTAGCCTTGAATATTTTTTTGTAATTCTGTGATATCAGTTGTAATATCTCCCATTTCATTTCTAATTGAGTTTACTAATGTCTTCTGTCTTCTTTTCTTGGTTAATCTCGCTAATGGTCTATTAATTTTATTTATCTTTTCAAATAATCAGCTTTTTTGTTCCATTTATCTTTTGTTTTCTTTTTTGTTTCAATTTCATTTAGTTCTGCTCTTACCTTTGTTATTTCTTCTGCTGGGTTTGGGTTTGGTTTGTTCTTGTTTCTCTAGTTCCATGAGAAGTGACCTTAGATTGTCTATATGTGCTCTTTCAGACTTTTTGATGATCATTAAGGAATAGGTTATTTAATTTCCATGTATTTGTGTAGTTTTGAGGGTTCCTTTAGAAATCAGTTTATAGTTTTATTCCACTGTGGTCTGAGAGAGTACTTGATGTAATTCCAATTTTTAAAAATTTATTGAAACTTGTTTTGTGGTCTATCATATGGTCTATCTTACAGAATGTTCCCTGTGCTGATAAACAGAATGTATATTCTGCATTTGTTGGGTAGAATGTTCTGTAAATATCCATTAAGTTCATTTGTTCTAAGGTATAGTTTAAATCCACTGTTTCTTTGTTGACTTTTTCTCTTGATGACCTGTCTAGTGCTGTCAGTGGAGTACTGAAGTTCCCCACTATTCTTGTGTTGCTGTCTATCACATTTTTTAGGTCTAGTAGTAATTGTTTTATAAATTTGGGAGCTCCAGTATTAGGTGCATATATTTAGGATTGTGACATTTTCCACTTGGACATTATATAATGTCCCTCTTCATCTTTTTCAACTGCTGTCGCTTTAAAGTGTTTTTTGTCTGATATAAGAATAGCTATTCCTGCTCCCTTTTGGTGTCCATTTGCATGGAATATCGTTTTCCACCCCTTTACTTTAAGTTTATGTGAGTCCTTATGTGTTAGGTGAATCTCCTGAAGAAAGCAGATACTTGGTTGGTGAATTCTTATCCATTCTGCCATTCTGTATCCTTTAAATGGAGCATTTAGGCCATTTACATTCAGCATTAGTACTGAGACGTGAAGTACTATTCTATTAATCATGCTATTTGTTGCCTGAATGCTTTGGGTTTTTAAAATTTTATTGTGTTTTTGTTTTACAGATCCTGTGAGATTTATGCTTTAAGGATGTTCTATTTTGACGTATTTCAAGGATTTGTTTCATGATTTAGAGCTCCTTTTAGCAGTTCTTGTAGTGCTGGCTTGGTAGTGGCAAATTCTCTCAGCATTTGTTTGTCTGAAAAAGACTGTATCTTTCCTTCACTCATGAAGCTTAGTTTCACTGGATACAAAATTCTTGGCTAATAATTGTTTTGTTCAAGGAGGCTGAATATAGGGCCCCGATCCCTTCTATCTTGTAGGGTTTCTGCTGAGAAGTCTGCTGTTAATATAATAGGTTTTCCTTTATAGATTACCTAGTGCTTTTGCCTCACAACTCTTAAGATTCTTTCCTCATTATGACTTTAGGTAACCTGATGACTATGTGTCTAGGTGATGATCTTTTTGTGATAAATTTCTCGGGTGTCGTTTGAGCTTCTTGTATTTGGATGTCTAGATTTTTAGCAATGCTGTGGAAGTTTTTTTTTTGATTATTCCCTTAAATATGCTTTCAAAACTTTTAGATTTCTCTTGTTCCTCAGGAATATCAAATCAATTATTCCTAGGTTTGGTCATTTAACATAATCCTAAACTTCTTGGAGGCTTTGTTCATTTTTTATTCTTTTTTCTTTGTCTTTGTTGGATTAGGTTAATTCAAAAACCTTGTCATTAAGCTCTGAAGTCCTTTCTTCTGCTTGCTTGATTCAATTGCCAAGACTTTTCAGTGCATTTTGCATTTCTATAAGCATGTCCTTTATTTCCAGAAACTGCTATTTTTTTATTTATGCTATCTATTTCACTGAAGATTTTTTCCTTTGTATCTTATATCATTTGTTTAAATTTCATTAAATTGGACTTCACCTTTCTCTGGTACCTCCTTGATTAGCTTAATAATTGACCTTCTGAATTCTCTTTTTGGCAATTCAGAGATTTCTTCTTGGCTTGAATCCATTGCTGGTGAGCAAGGGTGATCTTTTAGGGGTGTTAAAGAACCTTGTTTTGTCATATTACCAGAATTGTTTTTCTGGTTCCTTCTCATTAAGGTAGACTATGTCAAAGGGAAGACCTGGGGCTCAAGGGCCACTATTCAGATTCTTTTGTCCCATTGGGTACTCCCTTGATGTAGTGCTCCCCCAATTTCCCCAGGGATGGGGTTTTCTGAGAGCCAAAGTGTAGTGATTGTTATTTCTCTTCTGGATCTAGCCATCCAGCAGAGCTACCTGGCTCCAGGCTGGTACTTGGGGGTGTCTACACAGAGTCCTGTGATGTGAACCATCTTCAGGTCTCTTAGCTGTGGATAGCAGCACTTGCTCTGGTGGAGGTGGCAGGAGAGTGAAATGAACTCTGTGAGGGTCCTTAGTTGTAGTTTTGTTTATTGCACTAGTTTTGTGCTGTTTGGCCTCCTGCCAGGAAGTGGAGGATCAAGAGAGCATCAGCTGTGGTAGTATAGGGATGATCAGGCAGTGGGCAGTGCCCTAGAGTTCCCAAGGGAGCTCTTTGTTTTTGGCTACCAGGGCAGGTAGAGAAAGACCATCAGGTGGGGGCAGGGTTAGGTGTGTCTGAGCTCAGACTCTCCTTGGGTGGGGCTTGCTGTGGCTGCTGTGGGGGATTGGGGAGTGGGGGTGTGGTTCTCAGGCCAATGAAGTTATATTCTCAGGGGGATTATGGCTGCCTCTGCTGTGTCATGTATGTGACCAGTAAGGAAAGCCGACAGTTATAGGCCTCATCCAGCTGCTATGCAGCCCAAAATGCCAGTCTCACTCCCACCATACCCCCTCCCCAACATCACTGGGTTGTTTCCAGGCAGCAGGTGAGCAGGGCTGAGAACTTGCCCCAGGCTGCCAACCTTCTGGCTATGAAAGTGAGCGGGGCTTTCAGGTTTCACACTTCCTGCCTGCCATGGCTTCTGTGCTGTGTCTGCACTCCAGATTCATGCCCTCTCCCAAGTTATGCCCAGGAAAATTTGCATTCAGTTGAAATTGTTACAAAGTTCAGCTGGAAGCTTCCCTCTCTCTGTGGTCTTTTTCCAGTTCCTCTGGCAGCCCTCCCCAAGGACCTCTGTGAGACAAAGTCAGACATGGCTTCCCTGGGGACTGTGAGAGCCCACGGGGCTCTTCCTGCTGCTTCTTCTATCCCTGTATTTTGCTTGGCTCTCTAAAATTGTCTCAGCTCCAGGTAAGGTCAAATCCTTCTCCCCTGATCTGGACCTTCAGGTTCCCCACTGAGGGTGTATGTTTGGGAGCAGATGATCCTCCTTTCACATTTTGGGCACTCACAGTTTTTGGGCTGTCTCCTAGGACTGCAGGAGCAACCTGCTCCCTTCAAAGTGTCTGTGGATCCTCTCGGCTTTCCTGGTACGTTCCTGCAGCAGTTCTTGGAGCAAAAGTTCATGATGTGATTCTCCACATAGTGCTCTGTCTCTCCAAGTGGAAGCTGCAATTTGGTCCTGCCTCCTATTCACCATTATCCTAACCTCTCTGATATGAAGCTTATTTTTGCTGGATACAGAATTCTTAGCTGACAGCTATTTTGTTTCAGGAGGCTAAAGATGGAATCCCTATCCCTTCTGGCTTGCGGGGTTTCTGCTGAGAAATCTGCTGTTAATCTTATAGGTTTTCCTTTGTAGGTAATCTGATGCTTTTGTTTCACAGCTCTTAAGATTCTTTCCCTTGTCTTGACTTTAAATAACCTGATGACTATGTGCCTAGGTGATGATCTTTTTGTGATGGATTTCCCAGGTGTTCTTTGAGCTTCTTGTATGTGGATGTCTAGATCTCTAATAAGGTCAGGGAAATTTTCCTCAATTATTCTTTCAAATAAGTTTTCCAAACATTTAGATTTCTATTCTTCCTCAGAAACAACAATTATTCTTAGGTTTGGCCACTTAACATAATCCCATTTTTTTGGAGGCTTTGCTCATTTTTTAAAAAATTCCTATTTCTTTGTCTTTGTCTAATTGGGTTAATGTGAAAGCCTTGTTTTTGAGCGGTGAAGTTCTTTCTTCTACTTGGTCTAGTCTTTGTTGAAACCTTTGAGTGCATTTTGTATTTCTCTAAGTGTGATTTTTATTTCCAGAAGTTGTGATTGTATTTTCTTTATGATATCTATTTCTCTGGAGAATTTTCCATCCATATCCTGTATTTTTTAAAAGTTTCTTTACATTGTTTTTCACCTTTCTCTGGTGCCTCCTTGAGTAGCTTAATAATCAATCTTCTGCATTCTTTATCTGGCAATTCAGAGATTTCTTCTTGGTTTGGATCCATGGCTGGGGAGCTAGTGTGATCTTTTGTGGATGTTATAGACCCCTGTTTTGTCATATTACCAGAATTACTTTTCTGTTTCCTTCTCATTTGGGTAGACTATTTCAGTGGAAAGGTCTGCAACTAAAAGCCTGCTGCTCAGATTCTTTTGTTTCACAGGGTGATCCCTTGATGTGGTGCTCTCCTTCTCCTAGGGATGGGGCTTTCTGAGAACAGGACTGCAGTAATTGTTATTGCTCTTCAGGGTCTAGCTACCCCGCAGGGCTATCAGGCTCCAGGCTGGTACTAGGGAATGTACAAAGAGTCCTGTGATTGATTCGTCTTCAGGTCTCCTAGCCATGGATACCTGAATCTGCACTGACAGAGGTAGCAGGGGAGTGAAGTAGACTCTGTGAGAGTCCTTGGTTATATATATGTTTAGTGTGCTGGCTTTCTCAAATGCTGGCTGTGCTAGCAGTGAAGTTGTCATGTGGACACACTCAGGACCTCTGGTTAGCCAAGATGTTTCAGACAGTGAAATTAGCTATTGTTTTCTCCTTCCTGGGATCAGGGTTATTCTGCCATGAGGTGCTGTAATAGCCTGAGTTGGTTGGCCTCTAGCCAGGAGGTGGTACTTTCAAGAGAGCACCAACTAAGGTAGCAGGGAGATCCAAGCTTGCCCTAAGTTGGCCAGGGTAAGTCTTTTGGTTTCTCAGGCAATGGGCTGGGCCATAAGGCTCCCAAGAGTTTCTATCTTTTGTGTTCAGCTATTTGGTCTAGTAGCAGACCAAGAGAATTCTCTGGGTCAGAGCAGGTAGAGAATTACCATAAGGTGGGGACAAGGCTAGGCAGTTCTGAGCTCAGACTCTCCTTGGGCAGGGTTTGCCATGGCCATTGTTGGAGAAGGGAGGTGGTTCTCAAACCAATGGGGTTATATACCAGAGGGGATTTTGGCTGCCTCTGATGTGTCATATAGTTTGCCAGGGAAGTAGAGGGTAGCCAGCAGTGAGAGGCCTCACCCAGCTCCCATGCAGTTGGTGAGGCCTGTCTCACTCCTGCAGCGCCCCACTCAGGCCTTGCTCCATGCTGTCAGCTTCCCCATTGAGAGAGCAAGTACAGCTTTTGGACCTCCTCACTCCCCATCTGCCCACTCTGTTGGCAGCAGCTCCTGCACCCATATCTGCAGAAGTTCCTGCTTGTCGCCTGGATTCTGCTCAAGAAAATGTGTGCCCAGTCAAGAGTATTACTAATTTCAGTTGGAAGCTTCTTTTTCCTTGTGAGCCCTCCCTAATTCCACTGGCTGCCTTCCTTGTGGGTCCCTGTGAGATATAGTCAGGAATGGCTTCCCTGAACTCAAACTGGAGACTGGAAGTGCCTTCTAGGCACTGCTTCTACTTATTTTTATTTTATTTTATTTTATTATTATTATTATTTTTGAGACAGAGTCTCACTCTGTCACCCAGGCTGGAGGGCAGTGGTGCAATCTTGGCTCACTGCAACCTCCGCCTCCCGGGTTCAAGTGATTCCCTTGCCTCAGCCTCCTGAGTAGCTGGGAAGCTGGGATTACAGGCATCCACTACCACACCCAGCTAATTTTTATATTTTTAGTAGAGACAGGGTTTCACCATGTTGGCCAGGCTGGTCTTGAACTCCTGACCTCAGGTATCCACCTGCCTTAACGTCTACTTTTATATTTCATGAGGTTCCCTAAATCTGTGTCAGCTCTAGATAAGGTTAAATTCTTCTCCTGTGATCTAGATTTTCAGATTCCCCAGTGGGGATATATGCTCTGAGGAAGGTTTTCCACCTCTCACACTTTGGGAACTCACAGTTTTTTGCCTGTCTTGTGGAATTTGCAGTGGCGTGCTACTTCTTTCAACTGATCTGTGAATTCTTTCAGTTTTCCTGGTACATTCCTGCTGTCATTCTTGGAGCAAAAGTAAGTTCATGATGTGAGTCTCTACACACTGTTCTGTCCATCCAAGTGGGAGCTGCACATTAGCTCTGTCTCCTATCTGCCATCTTGTCTCCTCACCCTTTGTCTATTTTTAATTTTTTTATTATTGAGTTAAGAGCTCTTTATCCCTTATCAGATATATGATTTGTGAATATGTTCTACTATTTAGAGGATTATTTTTTAACTTTCTAATATGGTTTGGCTTTGTCCTCACCCCAATCTCATCTTGAATTACAGCTCTCACAATTTCCTTGTGTTGTGGGAGGGACCCAGTGGGAGATAACTGAATCATGGGAGCAGTTTCCCCCATATTGTTCTTGTGGTAGTGAATAAGTCGTACGAGAGCTGATGTTTTTATTAGGAAAAACTCCTTTCACTTGGCTCTGACTCTTCTCTTGTCTGTCGCCATGTGAGATGTGCCTTTCACCTTCCATCATGATTGTGAGGCCTCCCCAGCCACGTGGAACTGTAAGTCCATTAAATCTCTTTCTTTTGTAAATTGCCCAGTCTCAGGTATGTCTATCAATCAACAACATAAAAATGGACGAATACACTTTCTTAATGGTGTCCCTAGTGGCTCAAAAACGTTTCTTTTTTAACTTTTAAGTTCTGGGGTACATGTGCAGGATGTGCAGGCTCATTGCATAGGTAAATGTGTGCCACCGTGGTTTGCTGCCCATCATCTAAGTATTAACCCATCACCTAAGTATTAAGGCCAGCATGCGTTAGCTATTTTTCCTGATGCTCTCCCTTCCCCTGCCACCTCCTCCAACAGGCCCCAGTGTGTGTTGTTACTCTCCCTGTGTCCACGTGTTCTCATTGTTCAGCTTCCACTTATGAGTGAGAACATGTGGTGTTTGGTTTTCTGTTCCTGTGTTAGTTTGCTTAAGATAATGGCTTCCAGCTCCATTCATGTCCCTAGAAAGGACATGATCTTTTTCCTTTGTATGGCTGCGTGGTATTCCATGGTGTATGTGTACCACATTTTCTTTATTCAGTCTATTACTGATGGGCATTTAGGTAGATTCCATGTCTTTTTCATTGTGAATAGTGCAATGAATATACATGTCCATATATTTTCATAACAGAATAATTTATATTTCTTTGGGTATATACCCAGTAATGGGATTGCTAAGTCAAATGATATTTCTGGTTCTAGGTCTTTGAGGAATTGCCACACTGTCTTCCACAATGATTGAACTAATTTACATTTCCACCAACAGTGTAAAAGCATTCCTATCCCTTCATGGCCTGGAGAGCTTTTGTTGCTTCTTGATTTTTCAATAACTGCCATTCTGACTGACATGAGATGGTATCTCACTGTGGTTTTGATTTGCATTTCTCTAACAATCAGTGACGCTGAGCTTGTTTCATATGTTTTTTGGCTGCATAAATGTCTTCTTTTGAGAAGTGTCTGTTCATGTCCTATGCCCACTTTTTAATGGGGTTGTTAATTATTACTTAATATATAATTTTATGTCTTTTAAAGGAGCTGAGAGAGGAAAAGAAAGCAAGCATATCAACAGAATATACATTCTTCACAGCACCACACCGCACCTAATCAAAAATTGACCACATAGTTGGAAGTAAAGCACTCCTCAGCAAATGTAAAAGAACAGAAATTATAGCAAACTATCTCTCAGACCACAGTGCAATCAAACTAGAACTCAGGATTAAGAAACTCACTGCAAACTGCTCAACTACATGGAAACTGAACAACCTGCTCCTGAATGACTACTGGGTACATAACGAAATGAAGGCAGAAATAAAGATGTTCTTTGAAACCAATGAGAACAAAGACAAAACATACCAGAATCTCTGGGACGCATTCAAAGCACTAAATGCCAACAAGAGAAAGCAGGAAAGATCTAAAATTGAAACCCTAACATCACAATTAAAAAAACCAGAGAAGCAAGAGCAAGCACATTCAAAAACTAGCAGAAAGCAAGAAATAACTAAGATCAGAGCAGAACTGAAGGAAATAGAGACAAAAAAACCCTTCAAAAATTCAATGAATCTAGGAGCTGGTTTTTTGAAAAGATCAACAAAATTGATAGACTGCTAGCAAGACTAATAAAGAAGAAAAGAGAAGAATCAAATAGACGCAATAAAAAATGATAAAGGGGATATCACCACCGATCCCACAGAAATACAAACTACCATCAGAGAATACTATAAACACCTCTATGCAAGTAAACTAGAAAATCTAGAAGAAATAGATAAATTCCTCGACACATACACCCTCCCAAGACTAAACCAGCAAGAAGTTGAATCTCTGAATAGAGCAATAACAGGCTCTGAAATTGAGGCAATAATTAGTAGCTTACCAACCAAAAAAAGTCCAGGACCAGATGGATTCACAGCCAAATTCTACCAGAGGTACAAGGAGGAGCTGGTACCATTCCTTCTGAAACTATTCCAATCAATAGAAAAAGAAGGAATCCTCCCTAACTCATTTTATGAGGCCAGCATCATCCTGATACCAAAGCCTGGCAGAGACACAACAAAAAAAGAGAATTTTAGACCAATATCCCTGATGTGTTCATCAGGGATATTGTTGTTTCGATGCAAAAATCTTCAATAAAATACTGGCAAACCGAATCCAGCAGCACATCAAAAAGCTTATCCACCATGATCAAGTGGGCTTCATCCCTGGGCTGCAAGGCTGGTTCAACATATGCAAATCAATAAAAATAATCCAGCATATAAACAGAACCAACGACAAAAACCATATGATTATCTCAATAGATGCAGAAAAGGCCTTTGACAAAATTCAACAACGCTTCATGCTAAAAACTCTCAATAAATTAGGTATTGATGGTACGTATCTCAAAATAATAAGAGGTATCTATGACAAACCCACAGCCAATATCATACTGAATGGGCAAAAACTGGAAGCATTCCCTTTGAAAATGGGCACAAGACAGGGATGCCCTCTCTCACCACTCCTATTCAACATAGTGTTGGAAGTTCTGGCCAGGGCAATCAGGCAGGAGAAGGAAATAAAGGGTATTTTTTTTTCAATTAGGAAAAGAGGAAGTCAAATTGTCCCTGTTTGCAGATGACATGATTGTATATCTAGAAAACCCCATTGTCTCAGCCCAAAATCTCCTTGAGCTGATAGGCAACTTCAGCAAAGTCTCAGGATATAAAATCAATGTGCAAAAATCACAAGCATTCTTATACACCAATAACAGACACACAGAGAGCCAAATCATGAGTGAACTCCCATTCGCAATTGCTTCAAAGAGAATAAAATACCCAGGAATCCAACTTACAGGGGATGTGAAGGACCTCTTCAAGGAGAACTACAAACCACTGCTCAATGAAATAAAAGAGGATACAAACAAATGGAAGAACATTCCATGCTCATGGGTAGGAAGAATCAATATCGTGAAAATGGCCATACTGCCCAAGGTAATTTGTAGATTCGATGCCATCCCCATCAAGCTACCAATGACTTTCTTCACAGAATTGGAAAAAACTACTTTAAAGTTCATATGGAACCAAAAAAGAGCCTGCATGGCCAAGTCAATCCTAAGCCAAAAGAATAAAGCTGGAAGCATTGCGCTACCTGACTTCAAACTATACTACAAGGCTACAGTAACCAAAACAGCATGGTACTGGTACCAAAACAGAGATATAGACCAATGGAACAGAACAGAGCCCTCAGAAATAATGCTGCTTATCTACAACCATCTGATCTTTGACAAACCTGACAAAAACAAGAAATGGGGATACAATTCCCTATTTAATAAATGGTGCTGGGAATACTGGCTAGCCATATGTAGAAAGCTGAAACTGGATCCCTTCCTTATACAAAAATTAATTCAAGATGGATTAAATACTTAAATGCTAGACCTGAAACCATAAAAGCCCTAGAAGAAAATCTAGGCAATACCATTCAGGACACAGGCATGGGCAAGAACTTCATGTCTAAAACACCAAAAGCAATGGCAACAAAAGCCAAAATTGACAAATGGGATCTAATTAAACTAAAGAGCTTCTGCACAGCAAAAGAAACTACCATCAGAGTGAATAGGCAACCTACCACGAATGGGAGAAAATATTTGCAATCTACTCATCTGACAAAGGGCTAATATCCAGAATCCACAATGAGCTCAAATAAATTTACAAGAAAAAATCAAACAACCCCATCAAAAAGTGGGCAAAGTATATGAACAGACACTTCTCAAAAGAAGACATTTATGCAGCCAAAAGACACATGAAAAAATGCTCATCATCACTGGCCATCAGAGAAATGCAAATCAAAACCACAATGAGATACCATCTCACACCAGTTAGAAAGGCTATCATTAAAAAGTCAGGAAACAACAGGTGCTGGAGAGGATGTGGAGAAATAGGAACACTTTTACACTGTTGGTGGGACTGTAAACTAGTTCAACCATTGTGGAAGTCAGTGTGGCGCTTCCTTAGGGATCTAGAACTAGAAATACCATTTGACCCAGCCATCCCATTACTGGGTATATACCGAAAGGATTATAAATCATACTGCTATAAAGACACATGCACACGTATGTTTACTGTGGCACTATTCACAATAGCAAAGACTTAGAACTAAGCCAAATGTCCAACAATGATAGACTGGATTAAGAAAATGTGGCACATGTACACCATGGAATACTATGCAGCCATAACAAATGATGAGTTCATGTCCTTTATAGGGACATGGATGAAGCTGGAAACCATCATTCTCAGCAAACTATCGCAAGGGCAAAAAACCAAACACCGCATGTTCTCACTCATAGGTGGGAATTGAACAATGAGAACACATGGACACAAGAAGGGGAACATCACACACCAGGGCCTGTTGTGGGGTGGGGGGAGGGGGGAGGGATAGCATTAGGAGATATACCTAATGTTAAATGACGAGTTAATGGGTGCAGGACACCAACGTGGCACATGTATACATATGTAACTAACCTGCACGTTGTGCACATGTACCCTAAAACTTAAAGTATAATAAAAAAAAAAGAAAGCAAGCATATATTTTGGGGGGGTTGTAATATTAACCAGCTAATTTGCTATTTCTTGTTCATCTTTTCCTATAGTTTTCAGTGAGCATATGGTGTCCTTTCCTTGCTATAATACAGCTTTGTCCACCTACCTCCTTTCTGCTGTTATGATCAAGTATATTATATTTCTACATGTTATAGGTCTGCAATATAATTACACACATATTGCTTTATACCATATTTTTTTAAGTAAGTTAAGAGAAAGGAGAAGAAATATGCATTTATGCTATCTTTCATAATTACATAATCACCTCTCTTAGTGCTTGGTTTCTTTATGTAGATTTAAATTACTGTGGTCACTTGCTTTCAGCCTGAAGAACTTCCTTTGCTATTTCTTGTAAGGCCATTTCTGTATTGTAGCAGCTTTAGATAGTGATTTTCCTCCGTTTCCTGTGCTTGTTCATGTTACTTGCTTATTTATTTAGTAACTTGGGTAGGGTATTTTATTAAGTCCATTTCCCATGCAGTGTGAAGCCTCTGATGTCATTCTTATGAGGGTTCAGTCTTGGGCATGGGCATAGTCACCCTGGGATGACCGGTTTTGGCAGGCTCTCTTTGTCTCTATTTCTTATCTGTCTCCTAAACTGTATGTCTCTGTAGCACCACATCCAGCTGTTAAGTTTCATTAATTGCTGGCTGATGACTCCATTTTTTAAAAATAATGTGCTGGTGCATAAATTGCTTCACACTCTGATCCAATTAAATTTGGGTGTCTTGGCAGGGCCAGGCTTTGAGGGTTTCTCTGACCACAGAAGGACTCATCTTAGAGTTATCTCTTCACCTGCTTTGTCTGGTAATACAGCTGGCTTATAGTTTTGCTTGTTGCTCTCATGGAGCTACCAGCCTCTCCTTAATTGCTTATTACCAAAATCTCCATGGTCCTTGAGAGTTCCTTTAGGATTGAACTTACCCGCACTTTGTTCCAAATAAATTCAATTTCTTCGGGGGAAGTTTCTGCATCTTATGTTATTTTGACTTGCCTCTTCATCTGGCAAAATCTCTGAACCACTGCTCTGGAGATGACAGCAGGCAAAATCACCCACTTCTCTTGGAATACCATGTTTCATGAACTGAGCACTGAGCTGGGGCAGTAGCCTCTGGTCTTCTCAGCTTGCCTCTTCCAGTATGGAATATTCTCCTTATGAAAAGATTGGGGTTAAGATAATTTGGCCCAAGTTTTATTACCCTTCTGTACCTAGAGTAGAACCAGTGAAATTGGAGCTGGGTAGGTGAATGAAGTTCCTGATGTCTTGGCCACACTTGCCTGGAAACTAGCCTTCGTAACATGCAGCTAGGAGAGGATAAAAAATGTTGGCAATCTCTTTATCCCAGGAGAATACCTTACCACTTGACTGGTAGCTTAGAGGAAAGGGAGCCCCTTTGGAGTGGGGCGTCTATCATGCTGAGCTTTAGGGGTAAGGGTAAAGGAGGGAGTGGATAGTGGCATACGTGACACAGGATCTCACTGTTACTACCAAGATTTAGTAGATTTTATTATTTTCTTTTTTTTTAAATTTCAAAGTACTTAATTGAGAACTAAAGATTATATGTATTCAAGGTGTGCAATGTGATTATTTGATACACATGTACACTGTGTAATAATTGTCACAATGAAATTAATCAACACATCCATCACCACTTAGGCTGTGCACTAGATCCCCAGACCTCATTCATCTTTTAACTGAGAGTTTATACCCTTTCATCAAATATCTCCATTTCCTCACCCCCAGCCTCTGGCAACACTATTCTACTCTCTGTTTCTCTGAGTTTAATTTTTTAGATTTCACATATAAGTGAGATTATACAGTACTTTTATTTCTGTGTTTAGCTTATTTCACTTAGCATAGTGTCCTCCAGGTTCATCCATGTTGTCTCACAGATGGCAGGACTTCCTTATTTTTTATGGTTGCCTAATGTTTCATTGTATGTATACATACACATACACACACCACATTTTTAAAAATTAATTTATCTGTCAATGGACAATTGGCTTATTAGGCCAAGGGGATATGCAGAAAACAGAACCCCCTCATGTGTAACCTTCTGCAGGCCTAAATTTTTGTGGGATGGACAAGAACCCCATTGTGATGGTTAATACTGAGTGTCAACTTGACTGGATTAAATGATGCAAAGTATTAATCCTGGGTGTGTCTGTGAGGGTGTTGCCAAAGGAGATTAACATTTGAGTCAGTGGGCTGGGAAAGGCAGACCCACCCTTACTCCCGGTGGGCACCGTCTAATCAGCTGCCAGCATAGCTAGACTATAAAGCAGGCAGAAAAATGTGAAAAGACTAGACTGGCCTAGTTTCCCAGCCTACATCTTTTTCCCATGCTGGATGCTTCCTGGCCTGGAACATCAAACTCTAAGTCCTTCAGTTTTGGGACTCAGACTGGCTCTTCTTGCTCCTCAGCTTACAGATGGCCTATTGTGGGACCTTGTGATCATATGAGTTAATACTTATTAAACTCCCCTTCATATATATATACATATATATACACATACATATATACACATATATACATATATATACATATATACACATATATATTCACATATATACATATATGTGAATATATATGTGTATATATGTATATATATGTATATATATGTGTATATATGTATGTATATATATGTATATATGTATATATGTGTATATATGTGTATATATATATACATATACATACACACACACACACACACATATCTGTATCTATCTATCTCCTATTAGTTCTGTCCCTCCAGAGAACCCTGACTAATACACCTATCTTTAGCTGAACTAAGGAAAAGTCCTGCAACAATATGTTTTGCAAATATTTTCTCCCATTTTGGAGACTTTCTTGTCATTTTGCTGGTTGTTTCCTTTGCTGTGCAGAACTTTTTAGTTTTATGTAGTCCCACTTGTTTATTTTTGCTTTGTTGTCTGTGCTTTTGGTGTGCTATCCAAAAAACTATTGCCATGGCAATGTCAAGGTGCTTCTCCCTGTTTTTTTTTTTTTTTCTAGGAGTTTTATGGCTTAAGATATTACATTTAAGTCTTTGATCTATTTTAATTTATATATATAGTGTAAGAAAAGGGTTTGATTTTTTTTTTTTTTTGCATCTGGATATCCAGTCTGCCCAACACCATTTATTGAAGAAACTTTCCTTACATTGTGTGTTTTTGGCGCACTAGAAAAATATTAGTTGACCATATAGATTTTCTTGAATAAATATGTCTTCATTTCCTGTATGCCCTTAGGAAATTTACAGAGACTTTAAATAGGTGCTAGTTTTTAAAAATAATTTTCACCAGTTAAAGCTGTTTTGTATGGGAGCAGCTTTGAGCTCCTCACACTGTCATTCCAGAAGTTGTATCTCTCCAATTATCTGTAGAAGAAATTTAACTGATTAGGGTAAAATAAACAAATTAATGTAAATGCAAAGAGAACAAACCTGAAGTCTAACTAATTTGGTCATTACCAGTAATTATTATTTACAGATAGATTTATTTGTAGTTCATTAACTGCAAACTTGCTTCATTTGTGTGCTGTAACTCATTAATCAGAAAGCTGCATTGAGTGATGGGACTCTAATGTGGTTTGACTTTTTAAATAAATTTCAAGATTTGAATATCAAATTTCAGTGGAGCATTAAATAAGCACTTTAGGGGATGGAAGAATTGGTGATTATATAAAGCAAATACTTCAGTATCTTAAGTTTCAGTGTGCTTATATACCCAGGTTTTAGTATGTCTGCACTGTACCATATCTTATGTTTGCAGGATTAGCATAGTAAAAAATTATGTTATTTTATAGAACACACAGCCTCTGGTTTAATTAACTAAGAAATATTTATAGAGCGCCCTCGGTCTAGAAATTCAACAAATGTAATACAAGATACCTATCTCCAAGAAGCTAATTATTGAACTGTTAATATATTCTCCAAACACATCAAAAATAATTTCTAAGATATAATAGTTTAAAAACAGATGAGTAGTGCAGATGGATTAAGATGAAGTGAGGCCCTTAAAAGTTGAAGTATTTTCTGTTAAATCATTGGCTTAAGATTATAGCAATCTTTTTTTCCCCTTTTTGTTGGAAGTCTTCAGTTTTGATGGGGTACAGTGGGGAAGGTTTGTTTCTGCTCCATGCAGTGTTATCTGAGGAGTGGTAGGTAGTGGATAATGATTAACTGACGACTGGAGAATTTGCTTCCAATACAGCTCCCTCATGTAACTATTTAGAATTACTAAGGAATTTCTTGGATTCTACGTGAATCTTGATTTGTTTAGATGCTCCTGTGCCCCATGAAGGGAGAGTCTGAGAGTTTGCATCATCTCATCTTTATATAATCCGAATCCAAATACTTCCAGAAGAGAGAAAGTAGTTTTCTTTTTCTGTCTCCTTGGGAATAATCCACCTTGGAGATTAAGAGAAGGTTGAGTAGTTCCTGGCTTCAAGCAATTAAAACAAGGCTGAGGGGGCAGACAAAATTATCACACTGAGTGGAAATTTTCATACGAATTACAGTAATTTCCTCCAAAGAACTATGTGGCTTTATTAATAGTCACCTATTAGGTAGCCAAAGCTACTAGAGACTGTAGTCCATAATGGACTATGCTGATGATTTGCCTCAGAAAAAGTGTTTGCTGCCAAGGGGTTGCACTGATACGAGAGAAGGCAAGGGGTGTCAGGAAGGTAATTTAGATGAAAGCCACCACTTCTGAGAGCAATGACTACTAAGGAGAGTTCCTCCTGTAGAAAGCTCCAGGGTATAGCCTCCAGTGGGAACCAACTTTAGCTCCTGACCATCAGTAGTAATGGAAGAAGTTCCAGCAGGGCTAAAGATGCTACTATCTTGGCTGGAAATGTCAGCAGGCACTGCTGTGAGCCCCTGAAGGGAAACTATCAAAGAAGCTAAATTTGGATTCAAAAATAGGGAGCATTCTTTGGAGGTCAATGGCCCAACCTTCCCTCCTAGTGAGCATTGACCTTAACATTTATTGGAAGAGTAGATTGACATTTAATAGACTTCAATCAAAAAGCATATAGCATAGCGGAAAGAGCATGAGCCTTGGAGGCTGTTTGACATGGATTTTCATCCATGCTCTGCCACTTACTAGTTTGTGCCCATTGGTGATTTGTCTCAGTTCTTGTCATCCACTAAAAAAAAAAAAAAAAAAAAAAAAAATAGGGTGCTATAGAGAGGGCTGAATGAGATAATACATGCAATAGAAACTAGCACATTGCAGGTACTCAAAATATAATAGCCAATATTGTTCTTTCCTGTGTGAATTAGAAACTGATGAAACTCCAAGGCCTCTAACCAATTATTGAGCCCTTGAATTATGTCCTGCCTCTTGTATTCTTCTAGAAATCATCTAGGGGAATGTAGTATGGGAAAGTTATTAAATAAGTACTAGAGGCAGGCCCTGTGCCTGTGAAAGCCAGCACACTGTTACATAGAGAAGGACTTGGAATCAGTCCTAGCAATTTCATGAGCTCTAGAGACCAGCATTCCCATTTTATGTATTTCCAGTGATAACTGCAGGACACATCATTAATACACCGGTGAAAGAATTGTAGTCACAAAAGATTTGGTTTCTGCAAAAGATTTTCAACATAAGTTTCCTTTACCTCATGTATAAAAGATGTAAGCCAAATTTCTCTTTTAAAAATCCTCTGCTTGGTTTATTTCCCCTTGCCCAGCTCTATGTGTAATAGCTAATGTTTTGGGGATCACTTTGCAATTCAAAATCTGAGCCTTTCAAAGATGCTTCTTGATTTGATGTTCCAGGTGGCTGAAGAGGAAATGGACTTCAAGTGATTGTTCGTGGCTTTGAAAGGTCATGATCTACTTCCTGCAGTAGGTTTAATGTGCACCTGAACTTTGGCCCTCACATTTTTCTGATTATGGAACAAAATCATATGACAGTGGCAAGTAGCTCATTCTCACGCGCATCCAATGTTCAATCAAGGCAGGGTTCAAAGCTGATGGGCACTTCCGTGATTGGCATTTCAGAAGTGCATTTATTTCAGTCCTACACTGCATTTCCTACTTAACTCCAGCGTCAAAGGAATTTGAACAATTTGGCTGGTGGGCACAAGGGAAGGTTACGCCTCACTGTATGTATAATCATTTACACACTTAGTGCTCTCCAAAATGGGTCATTCTTTCACAACGCAAATTTTGCATGATTTATCTATAAAAGATAAAGAAATTGACATATTTCAAGAAAATATTGCAAGAATTATGGATGTGAGCATTTGAAGCATCATTATACATTAAAAATCCATAAAGTTTTCAGACATACTGCTATTTTGGTATAGCATCAAATCATTGTTCTAATAAGGAACACTTTTGAACATTATGAAATATTATTGGTATCTAGAGTTTGGTGCAGATAATACAATTAAAGTGTTTTTATATTATCATTTATACACTCAATCTCAATGATGTAAATTCTTTTTATTATATATCCTGTTTGTTTGTTTTTTTATTTCAACAGGTTTTTGGGGAATAGGTGGTGTTTGGTTCCTTGAGTAAGTTCTTTAACGGTGATTTCTGAAATTTTGGTGCACCCATCACCCAAGCAGTGTACACTGCACCCAGTGGGTGGTCTTTTATCCCTCGCCCCCCTCCCACCCTTCACCCCAAGTCCCCAAAGTCCATTGTATCATTCTTATGCCTTTGAGTCCTCATAGTTTAGCTCCCACTTATGACTAGGAACACACGATGTTTGGTTTTCTAGTCCTGAGTTACTTCACTTAGAATAATGGTCTACAATTCCATAATGAAGTAAATTCAGATGTTTAATTACCAAATATTTATTAAGAGTCTGTTTTGTGTCAGGCCCTGGACTAGCACTGCATTTTAATAAGGTCTCATTCTAGCTGTATGTACAGACAACAGATTTTATACACACAGATGCGACAATTAGATTGTTACACATGCTATGAGGGAAAGAGTGTGCAGGGATGACAAAGCTTATGAGGTGATCTACTTTAGATAGAACAGTGAAGGAAGAACTCCCTAGGACTAAAGTGAAGTCACATATAAGGTGAGAGCTGAAGAATGAGAAACCAGCCAATTTTTTCACTTTGTTTTGTTGGCTTTTAATTTTTGTCGGTATACAGTAGGTGTATATATTTGTGGGGTACATGAGATATTTTGATAGAGGCAATGCAATACATAATAATCACATCAGGGTAAATAAGGTATCCATCACCTCAAGCATCTATCCTTTGTGCTGCAAACAATATAATTATACCCTTTCAGTTATTTTAAAATGTACAGTTAAATTATTATTGACTATAGTAATCTTGTTGTGCTTTCAAATACTAGTTCTTATTCATTCTAATTTTTGTACACATTAACCATCTCCACTTCTGCTAACCCCTTCACCCCCACTACCCTTCCCATGGTTCTATGTTTTCTCACATATTATATAGGGGCAATCATAAAATTCACTTAGCATCATTCTGACACTCCTCCTTGCTCATGCTTCTCTAGTTACATTATGTAGTTCCTCAGCATGCCAAACTCTTCCCTTGCCATGATTCTGTGTTGTTTTTCCTCTGCCTGAAACACTTTTCCTGCTACTCTTCAAATGGCTGGCTTCTCCAAAATATCAATGAAATAAAAACTTCATTTTTTGAAAAGATAAGCAAAATTGACAAACATTAGCTAGACTAAGAAAAAAAGAGAGAGGATCCAAATATGTAAAATCAGAGATGAAAAAGAAGGCTTTACAACCAATACCACAGAAATTCAAAGAATCATTTGTGGCTTCTACAAGGAACTGTAAGTCAATAAATTTGAAAATCTAGAAGAAATGGATAAATTCCTAGACACATACAACCAAGACTGAACCATGAAGAAATCCAAAACCTGAACAGACCAATAACATGTAATGAGTTCAAAGCCATAATAAAAAGTCTCCCAGTAAAAACAGGCCAGGACCCGATGGCTTCACTGCTGAATTCTGCTGAACATTTAAAGAACTAATGCCAATCCTGTTTAAACTATTCCAAAAAATAGAGGAGGAAGGAATGACTTCAAAGTAATTCTATGAGGCCAGTATTACCAGGATACCAAAACCAGACAAAGACACATCAAAAAAAGAAAACTACAAGCCAATATCCCTGATGAATATTTATGCAAAAATCTTCAACACAATACTAGCAAACTGAATTCAACAACACATTGAAAAGATCATTCATCATGACCAAGCATGATTTATCCCAGGGATCCAAGGATGGTTTAACCTACATAAATCAATCGATGTAATATATTTTATATCAACAGAATGGAGATCACAAACCATAGGATAATTTCAACTGATGCTGAAAAAGTACTTGATAAAATTCAACATCCCTCATGATAAAAAAAACATAAAAACTGGGTACAGAAGGAACATACTTCAACATAATAAAAGCCATATATGATAAACCCACAGCTAGTGTCATACTGAATGGGGAAAAACAGAAAGCCTTTCTTCTAAAATCTGAAACATGGCAAGAATGCCTACTGTTACCACTGTTATTCAACATAGTACTGGAAGACCTAGCTAGAGCAAACGGACAAGAGAAAGAAATAAAGGGCATGTAAATTAGAAAGGAAGAAGTCAAATTATCTTTGTTTGTAGATAATATGATCTAATATCTGGAAAAACCTAAAGACTTCAAATTGAGCCTTCTCTACAATTTGACTCTCTCTCAGTTAGGTCCTGGGACTAATTTTTAAGCCAATAGGCCTTCTGCCTATAGTAATAAAGGGTCTCTTTAAGTGCTGTCAGAGAGGTCTTTTGGTTTTGGGTACATTATGTCCTGAATTAGTTCATTATTCTTTGCCTAAAAATATTACAGAGGTATCTCTTGAGGCAGATACTTTGCAAGATGATAATATTCCTTCCTCAAGATTTGTCCCCCTCCCATCATGGCATTAACCTTGTTGGACTGGTTAATATTAACCATAAGCAAACTGATGTAAAGTAACTTTTCAAATACTGTTTCCAATTTCTATATCCAAAATGTTTCCATTGCTCAACACATTTTTGAAATTCCATTTATGAAAATATCTCATATTTGTGCAGTGCTTATGTGGCTCTGAATGTCTATAATATTACTTTTTGTGATGGATGAATGATTAAAAGATTTTTGAAGTCCAGAAATAAGATTAGATTTGCACAATACTTACTGTGACCTTTACTCAAATAGGTCCTTTCAATGACAGTAAAATTTGGTAATTTAGTTCTTAAATGTCCTATTCATGTCAGGTCATTAAGAAGTCATTTTTTTTTTTTCTTTCTGACCCACCTCCTAGCTCTGCTGTAATACTGTCAAGGTCTCCTGGGATAGTTGCTGTGTTTTACTTGTAAGGGCTGTACATTTTATTGGTGGATGAAGTGATTCATCCACATGCCAAATACAAGCAAAGTTCTTTAGCATGACAGATATTACACAAAAAGAGAAAACACTTGGAATAAACGGCAACATACAGGTGCAGCTTCCTTTGGAGCTTTTCAAATCCGGAAAATATTGAGTTAGGGAAAAAAGAGTTTAGTGCACTCAGTTTGTAGTTCAACCCGTTTACTAGATTATCCTTTTCTATACCAAATAATATTGAATAATCAATCTGCATAGCACCAAATGGCTTCAGAGAATAATGGAAACATATGTGGGTCACCTGTGGAGTAACACTTTTTTTATGTAGCATCTTAGAATTAGAATTGTCCCAACTTGCTTTGTGAGAGCAGGAAGCACTCAATAAATACTTGGTGAAATGAATCCAGGTCAGACTATGTCCCCGGTGCTGGGATACAAAGGTAAATAAGACACATTCTACCCCGGAGGAGCTCAGAGTTTGGCAGAAAAATCGGAGATGCTAACAAAGGAGGATAATAAAATATGATATAAGCAAGGTGCTATAGGAATCTAGTAAAGGGGAAGATTGTTAGGTGGAATCAGGGTTTGCAGGAAAGGTGATACCCTTCAAGATCCGCTAGGTAGAGAAACAAGGGGAGATAGGAAAGAGAAGAGGGATTTCTAGGATGCAACTATGACGTTTCAATGAGTAAAAGCACTGAGTATTTTCATGAGATTCTATATAGTTTGGTTTCAAGGAAGCATGAAGGTGCTAAAAGGAGGACAATAAATTCGGTCTAGAAAGCAGGTTGAGGTCAGGTTGTGAAAAGCACCATATATGATTTATGGTGCTTTTGTGACCATACCCAAAGGAGTTTGGATTTCATTTTCTCCATGGAAAAGTCAGTTTTTAAATTTCCATATTGCCTACAGGACTAGGTTTTCCAAAGACTATTCCTGGCATGCTAGTTTTATAGGATGTTAGTAAGAGTTATACCAAAACACCTATGCAGGTTTTAGTTGAAAGGGGAAGGATGATTGTCTGGCATGGACAGTATGATACAGTGGTTATGAGAAATAACATTTATAGAGAATTTTTTTCTGAAACATGCACAGTCCATCCAGCTCTTAGATAGCGTAAGTTAAGCCAAACTCAACTGCATACTTAAACCCAATAGTCTGCCTCTTCCTAGAATGGATTTTACCATTCTACTCTTCCACAAGATGAGAATGGCCTATGTTGAGAATTGTAAGAAGAAATGGTTTGATTCAACATTTGTGAGTGCTATCTTCAAATAGCTGGTTCGTCTTTATCTTAGTGTGTAGGTGCTGTAGTTGATTGTGTATCTGTTTTTGCCACAAACACTAGGAATCTTAGAGCCAAATTTGTGTCTCCCTACCAACAGAGGATCCTTAGAACATTCATTTTGGGGTAATAACTAAACCCAGGATTTTTCTGACTTAAACCAGTTATATTCCCTTTGCTACAATGCCTTCATCTATTTATTTGATTCTATTGCAAGCATTTTGCAACCTCTCTCTGATCCTTTTGTGGGGGAAAAGCTGAGCTTAAGAAATGTAATGAACATATATCACTTACCACAGCATCTGGCATACAGTGCCTACTAACTAAGGATTTGTTTTTAATATGATGATTTTTTATCAACCCCACCCATTTCATTTCACAGTCCTCCCCTATTGACAGAAGATGAAAAGAAGCATATCTGACTATCAGAAATGTTTTTCAAATTCTACTTTCATGGTCTCAAGTTCCATTAAGCACATTAATAAATAGACAAATATTAGCCAAGCAATTACTGATTGCAAGGCCCTGAGCTTTGTGCCATGAAGGAGACAAATCAATAAGTCAACGAGGTAAGTGGAGCTTCTGATCTGATTAGGGAGGTATGATATTACTATGTGTCTCAGGATCCTCATCTGTAAAATGGGAAAAATAATATAACCTACCCCATGGAGTCACTGTAAGAATTCTGACTTCATACATGTAAAGTGCAAATATAGTGCCTGGCACATAAGTACTCAGTTAATGTCATTTATTTCATTAGTTTTTATTACTGTAAATTATCTTTGTGTGCAGGCAACACCAGAATATGCAATCATTAGGGGCTCTGTGTTCAGACATAGGGGAAATTACTTCCAGCTCAAGCCATTCAGGAAGGCTTCCCAGAAGTAGTAGGATTTGAGTTAGTCTTGAAGGATGGAGAGAATTCAACTAGGCAGAGAGAAACGTGGACATTGATCCTTGTGGGATCTCAATTTAAAAAGGTGGAGGAGGGGGAATATCCCCTTGGAAGAGACCTCACGAAGGCAGGGGATTCATGAAGGGGGCTAGTAGGTGGCAAGCCAGGCAAAGGCTCCTGCCTCCTCTTCCCTAAAGGCTCACACCATCAGCAATGACATCCTGCCTCTTCATGGGCCCTCCCAAACCATCCCCAGAAAGAAAATTGGGTGCTATTTTCTGAAAAACCTCTGAGCATCCTTCTGCATCCTTTAAGTACCTTTTAGTCATTAGGAAAATTACTTCATGGTGTGGTAATTATAGGGAGCTACAGACACCCTGTCCATTCTCCCACTAAATTCCTACACGCAGACTGAAAAAAACTATGATTCTATTTCAGGCAGGCGAGTGCTTTGGAAAGAAAGTGCAGGAAATGTGAAATGAGAAGGTGGCAGCAGAATTCCCATCTGTGCAGACACTGAAAGTCCTTTATTACAGAATGTGAGAGAGAAATCCGGCAAGTTGTGGCAGTGAAGGCTGGACTGGCTCCAATGTGCAGGCTGCAGAAGGCAGCTGCCAAGATGGCTGAAGCTATCTCAGAGACAAGGGTTCCAGGCTTCTTACCCACATTTATCTGTTTGTTTAAAGAGAGAAAATGTATATTTTTTAAATATCCCATAGTCTGATATTTATAGACCTCTTAAAATTTGGAGGAGAAAAACTTCACCAGCTCAAAGACGTTAATTTGGATAATTAAGCACAATTCTTGTAGCAAGAAGAGGAAAACCAATTTTAAACTGCAACGGTGATATGTGAATCAATAAGGTCTGTGACAGATTTGATTGATGTGTGCAAGCCAATAAGCTTATACCCATTGAAGACAGAAGCCTTAAGAGCTGACGGATGGAGATAACAAGAAAAGAGGAAAATTCCAATTCTAACTTGATTATTTATACCCTGAATTATTCCAAATTATTTGCACTTTCTGAAATTCAAGTTGAGAAATCAAACTATCCAAAGAACACCTGCTGACACAATTGAGCATCACCTTTCTTAAAGCAAATGCTAAACTCTGTCTAGGAAGATGGTTTTTCTTTTACTTTTCTTTTCTACCATCCAGCACCATTCTGAGTGGGGAAAAGAGCATCAATCAAGCTGGCGACGGATTTGAGTCAAACTCACACTCTCCATTTCCATCACTATCCTAAACGCCACAGAGAAATATGTTTCACAAAGGGAACTTTCCTCAATTAAAATTTTACGGAAGTATAAAATACAGACACATGCATAAATCATAAACATACAACTTGATGAATTTTTACAGTGTAATGATGTCCATGTATCCAGCACCCAAATCAAGAAATAGAACATTACTGGGGTCCCAGTTGCCCCCTATCAGTTACTCTATACCTTCAAGGTAACTACTCTCATGATTTCTAATACCATGGATGCGACTTTTGCCTGCTTTTGAGCTTATATGAATGGAATTATACATCACTGACTCTTTTATGTCTGGCTTCTTTCACTCAACGTTATGTTTGTGAGATTCATTCATGTTGTTGCATGTAGTTGTAATTCATTCAATCTCATTGTTGTATAGGATTTATTTAAAGTGACATGATTTACTATCCATTCTACAGGTAGTAGACATTTAGATTATATTCTGTTTGGAATTAACTCAAGTAATGCTTGTGTAAACATTCTTGAACATATCTTGCAAATATTAGGATTATACCCACGAGCAGAATTGCTGCATAGAGTTTTGAGTGCTTGCTATTTACTGAGCTAGGCTAGATGCTAGAATAAAACCACAAAAAGACCCAGTCTCTTCTTGCAAGGACCTTAGGATCCAGGGAAGGACAGAGATGACTGACAAATACTATTCCATGTTCATAGGAGCTATGCACAAGAGTATCTTGGGCTGGATGGGGGTACAGTGGAAGGTGGTGGAGTCAGGCGAGGCTTTCCAGTGGAAATGACACTCAAATGGACTTCTGAAGGATAAGGAGGCATTGGCCAGGGCACAAAGTGCAAGGGCAGAAGGAACAGCATGTAGAAAAGCAGAGATGGGTGAGAAAGCAGGTCAAGTCCAGAAACCTCCTGTTATGCCATAGAAAGAGGTGGGAAATATGTGGTAAAGATGAGGGCTGAGTAGATAAGTTGGAATCCTATCATGAAGAACCTTGTTCACCGTCTAGGAAATACATACATAATCCTGAATGTGACGGGAGCTACAGAAAATTCAAGAGACATGGAGTGACCAGATCCACTCTTTCTGGTGGTTATATGGAGTCTGGACTGGAGAAGGAGAGCCTACAAGCTAGAAACTGACGAGAATGCATGCTTTGTCTGGAAACAGGAATGAGGTATGGTATCTTAGCAAATAGAAACTAGGTGATTCTTTGAGGAAAGTCTTGCTTTGGCCCAATATCCAAGCCAAGAATCTGGATGGCTTCTAATGGAATACAGAGTGTTGCGGGGAGAGGGGAAAGGAGCAAGGGAGGTGTGTGTATGTGTGGGTGCCAAGTTTCAATGTGCAGAAACCACACACAGTAATTCATGCAGAAAGCTTTTGGGGCCAGCAGGCCACCTGCTGACATCCAGACTGGTGCAGGCAAGGAGCCCTCTGCTTGAAAGCGGAAAGGGAAAGCATATGTGTGGGGAGTTCAAGCCAAAAAGCAAATTCACTACAACATGAGTCTGCAAAGTGGTGCCAAGATCTCATAGCAGCTTTCCGTCCCCTCTGGAGACCGAGATGGAATGCTGAGTGGAGATGAGCAAGGTCTAATCCTGCCCAGCTCCCTGCTGGAGTCACAAGAGGATTCTAGAAAGTCTCGTTGTCACTGATTGAAATAATAAATTCAGTAGGAATATTTTATGTAAATTTTCCTAAAGTGGTGGCTTGGTTGCAGTCCAGAAAGTTGATGTTAGGACTAAGAATGGAAATTTGATACAGCAGAGAAGTGGGTAAAATAAAATATGACAGAAATATGCTACTTTATTAAGTTCAATTTTACATTTAAAAAATAAAATTATTTCTAGTTTTTATAAGTATAAAATTGGTAATATATTAGAAAGTATAAAAGTTCATGAGAGTTGAAAATATTTGCCCCAAATTCTACTGGCCAAAGAAAACAAGTTGGAAGAGATGTCTTCTTGCCTGCCTGCCTTTCATCCTTTATTCCTTTTCTTTCTTCCTCCCTTTTTTTCTTTCTTTCCTTATTTTAATGTATACATTCCTACATAGTTGTAATTGTAAAGCAACATTTATCTTTTGCCATAATTGGCATAATCTCATCTTATTAAAAATTTGTTATGACCTAAGTTTATATTTTATTTTTATTAAAATATTACAATTTCATTGCAAAATGTAAAAGAAAATGCTATGCAAAAAGCAAAGAAAATAAAAACCACCATTGTCTCTACTACTCAGAGATAATCATTATCAATTCTTACTACATTTCTTTCTTGACATTTTATGTGTTCTTGTCAACAATTTAACAAAATTATTGTTTTTTATATTTAATTTTGTAATTTTTATTATTGCCTATGTATTATGGACATCTTTTCTAACTGTATCCCATTGTATAGCATCACATTTTATTTAAATAATTCCTATTTTTGGACACTTAAGATATCCCAATTTTTCATAATATAAGAAATGCTATTCTTGTCCTAATTTTAAAATATATAAATATAAATACACACACATACATACACACACACACAGACTTCCCATGGAATCGCTCAGCAAAAAAAAATTTACATGAATTTTTAGGGCTTTGGCTACATACTCTCAAGTTTTTATCTGGAAAGTACATACCAACTTATACTACCAGCAGCAAAGTAATACCCATTTCTCTACAACTTCACCAACACTGGCTATTACTAATCATTAAAGAAAAACTATGTGGTATTCTGGTGGGTGACAATGAAATTATGTCCTTTATTACTAATGAGGTTAGATATTTCTTTATGTGTATACGGCACATTTTTATTTCTTCTTTTTTTGAACTGCCTGTTCAAAGCATAATTTTTATACTGGCATAGTTCTGTCATGTGGATATACCATTGTTTATCTAAGCATTCTCTATTCAAAGGGGAAAAGCAAAGTATATGTTCGAGGAGTTCAAGCCAAGAAACAAATACATTACTATATGTGTCTGGAACAATATAACAAGATCTTACTGCCTTCCAACCCTTCTAGAGACTTCCAGAGTTTTGCTCGTCATATATAATTCTGGAGTGAACATCTTTGAATACAAAGGGTTTTTGTATGTGTATGTTTGGGGTATTTAAGATAGATTCCTGGAAATATTGCTACTAGTTCAAAAAGTATGGCTATTATGAATATACTAATTGTACCCAGTATTACTTTAATGCAGAATTATCCTTTATTATAGCAATTATATAAACAACCATTAGTCTGAGAACAGATGTCTATAAAGGCAAAGTAGACTAAATTCTGGTACTAGCAGGACAAGGTGTTCTTTTGTATTTGATATGAAATATCAAGTAAGATAGGAAGCATATCTTGCCAAAGGTTCCACAAGCATGGGGTCATTCATTCATCTCATCATACAAACACACAGGATTCTGGAGTTACTAGCCAGAACAACATGTCTTTCAATCCTAATCATGCATATGTTAGTGAAGACGGAAGCAGAAATGGAACTGTGAGGTCAAAGATGTTTGTACTAACTCCTTTTCCTTGTTCTTTTGGGATCAACTTCTGGCACTATGTAGCATGGTTACTCTAGAAATTATTGGGAAAAAAATGCTTTAGAAATTATCCCTTCATTTTTTTAATGGGAGAGGCTGGGAAGTAAATTTAATTAAAGCCTTGAGATCAGTGTGTGAGTATACGCACATATATGTGTGCTTATGTACATGGTGGTAAGGAATAAAAGAGTTTTTACATTGTATTTTAATGTGCTTTTCAGGTGTTTCTGATGTTTGGTCAGACTTGTCTTCTGGTCGCTATTGGGCTGATGTCCCCTGTTATTCTAATAATTGTCCCTTCATATATTGTCTGTCTTTTCTCTCCACTTGCTCTTCAACTAGAATTCCCTTATCTTCACTGTTCTGCTCTTCATATGATGCATCTAGCTGTAGATTTATATATTATGCACAGGACTCAGTGTGCTTCTTCAATCTGAGAATCTGCTTCTGCTTTTTATAATTTCTGGAAAATTCAATCTGCTTCTGCCTTTTATAAGTTCTGGAAAATTCCCAGCCATTTTCGCTGAAAATATTGCCCCTTCACCATTTTCTGCTTTTGCAATTTCCATTAGACCTAAGTTGTAACTTTTAATTTAATCTTCCATATCTCTTGATTTCCCTTTCGGATTGTAGCCCTCTTTATCTTTCTCTGCAGCAGTTTGGGTAATTTCCTCAGATACAACTTTCATATCACCAACTCTCTCTTCAACCATGCCTGATCTGCTTTTAAAGTTGGCCACTATGTTTAACTTTATTCATGATTTTTCATTTTGAATTGTTATATTTGGTTGTTTTTCAGATGTTCCTTTCTTTTTTAGTCCTATTTTTTTCATGAGAGTTTTTATTCCTCTCTTTATCTCTTTAATGAGTGTAAATATATTTAATTTCTAGACAGTTTTAGGTTGTTACATTATCTCAGGTTCTTGGGGGTGCTATTTCTCTCACATGTGTCTGCTGACTCTCCCTTATTTGGATCTTTTTTTTTTTTTTTTTTTTTGGTTTGTTCTTTTTCATTGTAAACTTATTTTCAGCTAGAGTATTTTTTCCCTGTGGCACCCCTGTGTACTTTAAGATGTGGTAGTATCATTTTAGACAAGTTTTACATTTGATTCTTCTGGAAACTCCAGTAGTTTTACTTGCTTGAAGTAATTATGACATCTACATTAATATATTCATTTGAGATTCCTGTACTATGCAAATAGTGTAAAATTTGGATTCAATACCCATGCACAGCACAGATTTGTTTTCAGAGACAGAGTCTTGCTCTAACACCAGGCTGGAGTGCAGTGGCTCAGTCATAGAAGTCTACAGCCTTGAACTCCTGGGCTCAAGCAATCCTCCTGCCTCAGCCTTCCAAGTAGCTGAGACTATAGGTGCACCACCAAGACCAGTTAATTTTTTTATTTTTATATTTTGTAAGGACGGGGTCTTGTTGTGTTGCCCAGGCTGGTCTTGAATTCCTTGCCTCAAGCTATACTCCCACTTTGGCATTTCAGAGCTCTGAGATTTTGTAAAGATTGGGTCTTGCTATGCTGCCCAGGCTGGTCTGGAATTCCTGGCCTCAAGTGATTCCCCCATCCTGGCCTCTCAAAGCTCTGGGATTACAGGCATGAGCCACCATGCCCAGCCAGCACAGGTTTTTAAATTTCCATTTATTGTGGGGAACTTTTTCTCATCCAGATATCTAATCAGTGAGAATTTTACCAGTTGCTTTCTAGTACACGAACAATGTGTTTTGTAGTCCCCTTGTATGAGGGAAGCAGGTCTTCAGTTCTAAGTCCTCACCTTTCACAGGCCCAAGGTTAAGTCCTTTATTGTGTATGTGTGTTAAAGCCTAACCCATAGCTGTTAGATCCTATAGCCATGTCTAATATCCTCTGTACTGTTCTGGTATCAGCTCATGCATTTACCACATTGACTATAAGATTCTTCCTTCTCTGTGGCACATGGACATTTCCTCTTTTTTTTTTCTTTTCTTTCTGTTTACCTGTCTGTCTCTGTTTCAGCTACGTATGCAAAATAGTTTTGTTTTATCCAGCAGTTCTGTGTGCCTCAGCACATAGAAGAATTTCAGTATGCTAAGGAGGTGGAGCTAGAAAGCTATGTCAGTCAGGTTTGTAGACTACTGACTGGTGCAATAGAAATACATGACCTTTGGAACTGAAACCTGAGACTGAGCTGTGACTTCACCACTTACCATCTGAGTAAGCTGTGCCTAGTCATTCAACCTCTCCAAGCTATATTTTTCTCATCAATAAAAAATAGATAATGTTAGTATTGATCTTCATTACATGGTTTTCCTTATTGCTCTAAATTCACTTTTATTTAAATTCAAACCATTTTCTCCATCCCACTTCCTAGAAAAGCTAGAGAAGATTGCAATTTTCTTATATATCTTATTCAATATTTTCCCTTATTAAACAAATATGTTATGAAGGAATAAAGCAGTTATTGATTGAATGATCTTATTACCTTTCCTCAATGTACTTTTCACATACCAATGGACTGAGAAAATCTCTGACAGAAAAAAGACCTAAAATAGGAAAGAAATGATAAATTCCATTTCTTGGTAAATATGCAAGGATGGGGTTGGGGTGGAGTTACATTTCTGTGGAGTTTCACCCCTCACAGTTTTCATCTCTCTTTCTCTCCCTGGAGAGTGCAAATGAGTGAAACCTTATATTAGTTTAGACGTTCTGCTTCGATACATGTTTAAGAGCCAATAAACCTGTCAGAGTAGATTTCAGGCTGAGACAAGGTGAATGGCCTCACAGTAATTCTGCCAGCGCCTCAGGGTACCAGGCAACATAAGCAGAGAGGTCACCAAATGCCTGCTCACCCCATGCCCAGGCGCAGAGATATTCCACATAGGAATATAAGGACCTTTCCCAAAACGTTGTGTTTGGCATGTGGTAAAATTCTTTGTCAAACAGCAGAGCAGTCCGATAAGAAAACAACAACAACAACAACGAAGAAAAACAGAGCAAAAAATGAAGGCACATAGAAATAACAGGTCCTCTTAGTGATTCTGGTGGTTTGTAAACTCCACGTGAAAGTTATTATTTATCATGGAAGGCAATGTGGAGGTGTACACACCCAAAAGCTATCCACTTTTACCCCACAGACAGACTTACACAAAAACACTAGGTTGTCCATGGCAGTTTAATTTTTTTGTTTTTACTTTCTATAGCTTGTTTCTAGTAATGAAGACCTATAGGTACTGATCTATAGGGATTGCAAAATTAAGAAGCCAATTCCACCAATTATTCCACAGTGTGCCCTATAGGCAACAAGCCAAGTCCTACTGCATAGGACTTCCTATTGGCATTTTTTAATATCTAACTTTTAAAATATGAACAGATAGCCAAGAATTATCTGACATTTCAAGAAAGCCTCCAGCAGAAAAGACAGAGACATCAAATCAGAAGAAAGGAAGAAAGGAAACTCAAAAGAAACAGAGACAATATACTAAAGAAGAAAACTTTAATCAAACTATGTTTAATGATCTCAGAGGTATAAGATAAGCTATTTATCCTTAAAGTTAGGATGCTAGTAAGAAAAAAAGAGAAATAAATGAAGCTTATTGTTTAAAAAATAAAACGTTCTTAGAAATTTAAATATGATAACTAAAATTATGTGTGCATGTGTGTGTAAGATTTGGAAAATAAAGGTAAGGAAATATCTCAAAACATTAAGAAAAAGTAGAAGGCAAATCAGAAGAAACTAAAAGTCCAGTGCAGCAGGCCCAACATCCTACCAATAGGATCTAGAAAAAAATATGTCAAGAGAAAGATTATGGGAAAATTTTTTGGACCTGAAGAACGTGAGTCCCCAGATTGAAAAGTCCTATTCAGCAACTAGCACAATAAATGCAAAAAGACCCAGCTCTGTCATAAAACTTCAGTACACCAGGAAGACAGTAAAATTTTCAAGAAAGGAAACAGTAGGTCACATACACATGATCAAGAATAAAACGGCAGTCAATACTCAGTACTAGCAAGGAAAAATACAAATGTTTTCTGACATTTAAGATTTAAGAAATCTTGACCCATGCACATTTTCTCAAGAAGTCTTCTAAAGGATGAGCTTCACCTAATGCAAGAAAGACAAAACAATATCCAGAAAATAAGGAATCAACACAGGAGGAAGATGAAAGAAATTCCCTGGACAATAATGAAAATAAGTCTTAATATGATAACCGTACACAGGTTTAGAAAACAAGCAACACAGATACAAGAGTCCAGAGACATATGGAGGAAGAGCTCCATTAAAAAAAAAATTCAACTAATTGGATTAGGTGGTACAGCTGCTAATATAGGTAGTTATACATTGAGATACTGTATGTCTTGTGCTTGGGAACATGAGTGCAGGAGTCAGACTGCCTGGGTTCGAGTCCTGGCTCTGCCACTTACCATCTTATGTGAGCCAATTAATTTCTCTGTGCTTCATGCTTCCCATCTGTGAAATACAGATTATAGTTACCTACCTTATAGAGTTATCATAAAAAAATTAAATGCGACACTGATACTGTGATGAAAACAGTGTCTTGAATATTGCTGGATGTTAGGGGAAGCAAAGACAGTAACACGTACAGAGAAAACTAAGTCATTTTTTTAAATGAGTAAACTATCAGCTCTAGGAAAAAGGATAATTGAACAAGAAAGGAATTGTAATGATAGTATGCTCCTTGGCTCAGCAGAAAATATTTCCATTGTTGGAATAATGCAAATCCTGAAAATTGTGATGTAATAAACTGGAAGGATAAAGGGAGGAAAACGGGACTTAAGGGAGAAATCGTTATTTACCATAATAGAAGTGCGTAGAGGTAGTATTCTATTTAGAATATGGAATTAGATATTAAAATAAATGGCTAAACACATCTGAATTAATCCTCAAGGAACAGGACTTGGTTAACTATGGCATTTGGTTAGCATAAATAAAGAAAGAAGGAGGCAAGGAAGGAAGGAGTACAGGAGAACCGGCGCTGCTGCAGTGATTCTGAAGCACGAAGTTCTAAGAGAAGCCTCAAGATTGTAGGTCATGGTGGAAGTGCCCACCGTGGAGTCTGCACTGCTAGGAAGCATTCCCAGGAAGGGAAGAACCTTCTATTCCACGAACCCATAACATGGGTCTCCATTACCCTGAAAGGGTTTTTCCTGTCTGGAAAAGGAACCTGCAGAGATAATCTAATAGTGAAGGAGGGAAAACTTTTTGTTTTTACCTCTTCTACCTAGAACATGAGTTAAGTTTGGCTTGACACTACAATCACCCATTAAAAAAAAAAAAAAAAAAGAAAGAGTACATTTTGGTTTGAAATAGTATTTCCTAAAACAGCAAGTCACAGTACTAAAAACTGACATTTAATTACAGGTAACTGACATATAAATAAAGGGATAAATATCCCTGTTGTGCTCTGAAATTAAATGAATAAAAAAGGATTCTGCCAAATAATCATTAAAAAGATGAAAGAGAAGGCATGCAGGTTGCCCGCATAAGGATAACACTTAAGTGAGGCCTGAATTTGTCTGAGCTGCACATGATGTTTCAAAGCCATGGCAAGCTGTGAACAGCCTGAGGGTTGTGAACATCCGGGTGTCATGACACTTTTCTACATTAGTGACCCATCACCGGGTGGCGCCTCCATCCTTGGGCAGGACCTGTTGAGGTCCTCAGCACTCACACTGTCTTTAAAGGCTGCACAAAAACCACAAGACGAGCCAGCATGGAGGAAAACAACTCATTAGGCATTTTCCTGTCTGGGGTACAGATGTGTTTGGATTTCAATGAAGGAGCTGAAACTTCAACAGCTGAGCTAGAGACAGCTGTTCCAGAAACCCAGAGGGAGACCTAAAGGTCTTATTTTGTGTTGTGTCTTGGCAACACTCCTTGCTATTGCTGACCCGTAGCAAAGGGCCAGTCCTTTGTGATAGGCCTTGAGGCGATCATATTTCCAGCTGTGTCAAGAAGAAGCAGTGTGACACAGTCACAGGAACTCCTTGCTTGGGTCACAGAAACACCAAGACACCACCTAAGCATGAAATCTCACACAAAATATAAGCAAGTAGATATTTTATGACAGCTATGGGAAGTGACGATTTTGTAAGAAGCAAAATAAATGCAAATGAATTTTTTTTTAACATGTAAAATTCTGAGCCAAATGGCTTTGGATTTATAATTCCCAGGGATTTTGGTGCTTTCAGTAATGAGCAGGAGCATGGAGTTTTGGGGGGGTTAAATCCTTTAAGTGTTTCTCTATAAAACCAATTCATGCCATGCCAGCTTTTCTGTCCTAAAAAAGTATTTCAGTTTACTTTCTCACTTTTTCCCCTAGGTTAGAGCAATGTTTTTTTGTTTTTGTTTCTGTTTTTTTAAAAAAAGCAGGGGCAGGGGAAGGGGAGAGATTGAGGAAGGGAACAAATACTTATGAAATTCCCATCCTGTGTGGGCATCGTGGGAGAAACTTTGTCCACATAATCATAAAAATTCTCATAATTCTAAGCCAGGAATTATTATTATGATACCCATTTTAAACATAAAGAAACTGAAACTCACTGTAAAACATGTTTAAAATCACAAGGCTAATGTGAAGCAGAGCTGAGATTAAAAATGAGGTCTGTTTGAATATTAAATCTATACCTTTTCCCCATATCTGCATCCCAGTGTTCATTGCAGCTTTATTCATAGTAGCCAAGAAATGGAACCAACCTAAGTGTCCATCAGTGGATGAACTGATAAAGAAAACATGTTCTATATACACAACATAATACTATTCAGCCTTAAGATAAAAGGAAATTTTGTCATTTGTAACAACATGCACAAAACTCGAGGACATTATATTAAGTGAAATAAACCAGGCACAGAAAGACAAGGCACCATCTCACCTATGTGTGGAATCTAAAAAATTGAAACCCCTAAGAGCAAAGAGTAGAATGGTAGGCACTGGGGGCTGAGGGAAGGGTGAGTGAGGAGATATTGATCAAAGGTTATAAAATTTTAGTTAGACAGGAGGAATACGCTCAAGAAATCTATTGAATAACATGGTGACTATTGCTATTAACAATTTATTGTATACTTGAAAATGGCTGAGAGTAGATGCTAAATGTTATTACCACATACAAAAAGGTAGGTGAGACAATGCATATGTTAATTAGCTTAATTTACCCATTCCACAGTTTACACATATTTCAAAACATCATGTTATACGTCATGAATGTATACGATTTTAGCATACATATATATACATACTAAAAATTAATAATTATTACTAAAGGAGGTATAAATAAGTGAAGAAAGAAAGAAAAAGAACTATGCTCTTTCCTTTTGACCATGTTTCTTCTCATAAATGTCAAACACAGACCTTTGCTTTCTCTTATGCAGTAAGGCAGCGCTGTCACTAACAGAGGTAATACATTCCTTTTATTCATGTAAGCCATATAGGATAGTCCATAAATTAAAACTGTGAGAATAAATGTGCTTATCTCTAGTTTATCAGTTAAGATTCCTGCTGTGACATATTTCTCTTTTGCCAAATATTCTAAAATCTTCCTTATTCATTGCTTCTCATCTTGCCCAAGTAAAATTGGCAAGCACTGTTATCCTCACTTAATAACACAAGTTACCCAGGGAATAGCCTGGATTAGAAGCTATGATGCCCACAGCTTATGGATAAGCACTCCGAGTCTTCTATTTGGACTCAGTGAAGAATTCAGAGGTCTATTTGGTAGAAATTCAGTTAAGAGTCTGGCAGATTTGATTATTTCAGAGCCACGGTTTCCAGGACACACTACCTTTGCCTGTTTTCCTTCTCTGATTGCTTCTTTTTAGACGGAATTTTCCTATTCCCCTAACCTTTTAGAATTGGTATAACATACAGTTCTGGTCCCAGACTTCTCCCTGATTATTCTCTTTCTTCATTTAGCCAAAAAGTATTTGAGCTTCTATTACATGTACATGTCAACTGCCTTTTACTTACAGGCCTATTTCAGCTCCTACTGTGGGTCTATCTCCTGTTAAACAACAAGCTCTTCCTTCAGTGTCCCTCAACCCTAAGGGTGATAGCAGCTTCTAGCTGGTACTAATCGCTAGGCTACTCCCTGCTTCTTGTAGGGCTTTCCAGCTTCTCCACCATCCTTTTAACCAAGTATCTGTATTAAATCCAATCTGTATGAAAGACCTAGGAGGCTATTTTCCTGGCTGGATCCTGATGGGCACAAACAAACAGCATTCTTAGTTACAAACTATAGAAACAAACTTTAGCATTTTGGCAGGAAAGAAATATAAAGATATTGGAGAGCTCAAAGAATCTCTAAGAGGATCAAAGAAGCAGGCTGGGAGACCACAAAGGAAGGAGCAGTGCTCAAAAATCTCAAAGTAGAACTGTTCCGGCAAAGCCACCATTACTGCCATGCTCCACGTCTTCGGTTGCACCACATGTCACCAACACTGGATTCTGGAAGCTACCATTCAGATTGTTGTATCTTCCACCATCTGTCAACAGAATCAATTCTGGGCTTTCCTACCTCTTCACGACATTAGCTTCCAGTTTAGAGACTGAGGTGGGTATGCCTGATTGGCAAAGTACGGGTCATGTGCCTAATCCTGGCTGCAAGGACAGCTGGAGATGCAAGTGTATCTGACATTTTCAGTTCCTATCATGGGAGATGGGCTCTTCATAGGCAGTGACATTCCCTAAAAATAGCACAGGGATTTAGATGCTTAGGGGACATTTTATTTTCAACAGACCCTGAGACAAGGATTGAAGTATAAATGGAGGAGGGGAGATCCCAGGAATCACTGGTAAGGAAGTGGGGGAAGTGAGACAAAAGAGAAAACAGTCAATGGACAGTAAATTATTCATCAGGTTTCCACTATGGGTGACTAGAATTAAATACCACTGGGGAGATTCTGGGAGTCGGTGTAGAACACACACCTTGGAGCGGTCCCACCCAAGGGCCAGGGAGCTGGTGTACTTATCCATCACCTGTTATCTGACACTGTTGAAAACATCTGGGAGGCAGGGTTCATTCCCTCACATTCCCAGCCTCTCTTCCTCTTGCATGAGCTGAATGGGCCTCAACATTCAGAGGAAACTTTCAGACAAATAAATGTAGGCACTGGCAGTTGAAAGTTGGGCAGGTGTGATCTGGAAAAGAAAATGGAGGTGGCAGGACACCCACCACATCTGCTGCAGGAGATAAGATCCACAGGGACCTGGAACCTGGGAGCATCAAGGGTATATCAGTAAGCAAGAGAGAAGCATTCCTGGCCTCACTAAGCTGGTGGCCTCCCGGTTCAGACATGTGAAAAGGAAGTCCAAACAGTGTGCAAGAGCAACAGAGGCAATACAGGGAACCAGAGCTACACTTCTGGCCTCCAAGACCCACGAGCATGGGGTCAGCATCCTAGTCATTTTTCAACCCCATTGCCTATAGTAGTATATATTCAATACATGTTTTCTGGCCCTACACTGAATAGTCAGGCACATTCCTGATGCATTATATTTATTGTCTCTGACTATTACCCAATAAGGAAGGTGTGCCCCCATTTTACAGTGGAGGAAGTTAAGGCACTCCTAATTCCTCCTAACTGCCTTACTACTAACATCCTTCATATCTCAGCTTTGATGTAATCTCTCCAAAAGGCCTGCCTGCACCATGTGCCTCCATCTCCAAGCTGAGGTTATCTTTATCACAGAACTTATCCTCTGTTTTGTAATTGGCAACTCATTCTCATGAATTTTCATGAGCAGAGCTCTTTAAGAGCAGGAACTGTGTCTGTGTTGTTTAGCAATGTATACTCAGCATCTAGGCTTATGCTGGCACATTTAATTTGCACCAATCATTTTTTGAATGACTTGAATAAGTGACTAAGGCTCAGAGACATTAAGTAACGTGACCAGTCACAAAGCTAAGAGGTGACACAGCTGAGGTTTCAACTATAGTCTGTCTGACCCCTAAATCTCTCCTACATTTTGCTGAGGGGTAAGCAACTTAATCCATTTACAGCAACCAGAAAATTTAAGTTGGATTAAATGCTTGTATTTTAAGCTCAAAAGTAACGGGTAGGGAGTCTAAGAACTTCTCATAATCATCGGGTTGAAGAATTACCAAACAGAACTCTGGACCCAAAGCTAGAAGAAGGTTCCTAGAGGACAAGACTCCTTATCCAAACTTTGCCTGGGCTGGACAACATTTAAAACTCTCCCTTAATTTAACATTTTAAGATTCTAAGGTTTTTAACCTAATCTCGCGGTAAAAGGAAAATTTTTCCCTCTAGCACCAATAACTAATCGACCTCATCAGCTTACTAAAATAACTTTAAAATATTAGAGATAATTTTAAGGCACCTGATATGGTTTTTTATGCTCCTTTAGACATTGCAGAAAAGTCGTCTCAAACTCACACTTGTCAGACATACACAGAGCCACATTCAAAATAAAGAGGATGGGGGAGATACTGGTTTGGAAATCAAAGGAATTCTTTTTCTGCCTTATTTATCCAGACAATATTCTCACTCCTTCATTTTTGCCAAGTCAATGAGAGCTATCCATCCTCTAAGCATGCATTTCCCACAGACCCTCAATTCTAAAATGGCCAAGAAGCAACATCGATTCAATAACAGCCTTTTGGTACTGGGGGTGGGGATGGGAGGTGGAGGTAGGGAAGCGAGAGATGAAACAGACAGGAAACATTCAATGAAATGTTCACTGAAATTACAGTGCACAAATCCTGATTTCAGAATGCTAACATGCAGCACTAAGAGAGCCTTAGAATTGAAAAAACATGCTAATTAAACAGAAAATTGTCAAATGATATTTATAAAGTGCCTACATATTTTGTCCAGATGATATTTCTAGACATAACTAAAAAATAGTGGGAACAACAAAAGGAAGTTTCACATAAATTACATGTTTTGAGGAGGTAAAATGCATTTTTAAAGTTCCTTGAAGAGTTTAAGGTGTTCAGATTTGTTTCTGAAACTAGCAAATTGAAAAATTACCAAACTAATCAATACATATATACATATATAATAATGTGGGTGCTTGGATAATCAGTGTGAGCTTTCTTGGTAAAAGCTGAAGTAGGGGTTAATTTCTACTTTAGCTCTTTTTCTTCTGGAGAAAAAATATGTCTGTGCCCCATCAGCTTTCAAATGAAAATCCCTACATGCAGCAAATCAAATTAACAGTTAATCACTCATCCCTTTGACTTGATCACTGATTCAGAAACTCAGAAGTGAACACTGCGTTGTATTTCATCTGTTTTTTGCCACTTCACTAGTTTCTAGCCGAGTCCTGCCACAGCACTTATCAACAAGACTGAAATAACAGCCAATAGCAAAACACCCTTGTGAAAGGATCAGCATTTCATGAATCCCTCAAGGATCTCAATATACAATCCAAGATATCACAATGAGAATCAAGAGCAGGAGAAAAACATTTTGATTACCAATTTAAAAGAAGGTGTGAAAGAAAACACTAAGATCAAGAATACATATACGAAACTTACACGGTGTAGCGGAGGGATACAAAATGTATGGCACTGATACTCTGGTGCCCACTCTTATGCCCACAGCTAAGCCCCAATCAACCCCAGAGCCAGATGCAGCCTCAGAATCTATCTTAACACATTTCTTCAAAAAGCCACTCCAGATAATTGGCCCTAGAAGCAAGATAGAATTCTTTGCTCCTGCCACTGAAAACTGAATTATTTCAAGCCATGATGGCTCTCATATATATTGGAGCCTGGCTACACTGAGCTACTTAGTCATCTTTAAATGTACTGTGAAACTTCAAGCCCTGTGCCTTTGTTTTTTCTGTGTCCTACCTGGAAATATCTTTTCTCTACTTCTCTACTGGTGGAAATCTTATTTTTTGTGGCTCCATGCAACAATTTCCTCTTTTGTGAAGTGTGCCTCATTCATTGCCTCTAACCATAATGAATTGTTTGTAGTTGTTTATTTATTCCACGAGTTTCAGTGAGAGGTACTTGGGCAATCTGAAAGAAATATTATGACCAAATAATGATAATAATAATCACTATTATTATTATATATAACATATTTATATAAAAAATTCATTTCGGTCAAAACACAAAACTAAAGAGGAAAATGATAAAATTTATGAACTGAAATTCCTTTCCCTATTTTTAAAATAAAGCTGTGCTTCTACTATAAAGTCAGTCAATATATAAAAGTTTAGTGTTAACCTGCATCCCTAATGTAAAATGTAACAAGCAGACAAATTCAAATATAATATCACTTTGTCCTGGGGTATAAAAATGTCTATCAGTGCAGAATATCTTACACCACAAAAATTATGTCAAGGGTTAGCAAATATGTCTAGTTCAGCTGTTCCCACACTGGACTGATAACTCAGAAGCGTTAAGATTCTGTATTTGAAGAATATAGATTTCCTAAGTCTCATACTTAGCATATGAACAAGATCTTTAGGGTGTAGGGCTCAAGAATCCATACTTTTTTTTCTTTTTTTTTTTTTTTTGAGACGGAGTCTCGCTCTGTCGCCCAGGCTGGAGTGCAGTGGCAGGATCTCGGCTCACTGCAAGCTCCGCCTCCCGGGTTCACGCCATTCTCCTGCCTCAGCCTCCCCGGTAGCTGGAACTGCAGGCGTCCACCACCACGCCCGGCTAATTTTTGTATTTTTAGTAGAGATGGGGTTTCACCGTTTTAGCCGGGATGGTCTCGATCTCCTGACCTTATGATCCGCCCACCTCGGCCTCCCAAAATGCTGGGATGACAGGCGTGAGCCACCGCGCCTGGCAAGAATCCATACTTTATAAAAGCTCTCTTAGGTGAACTGGCGAACTGCTAGGTTGGCTATCTTAACTGATGATTTTTATAATAAATGTCTGAGCTGGGGACATTAGTAAACATTCCTTACAAGCATAACATAAATGAATATACACATTCAGGCACACAATATTTGGATTCCATTTATGTTGTTAATTTCAGGGAAGACATAGACTGTCAGTTCATTCGTTTTGCTATTTTGGCATTGTAATTATGGGAGAAAGGCTGCTAAAGGTTTCCAGTCTGACAAATTTCTGAAGAATCAAAAATTGATTTATCTTAAGATAAATGTTTCATGTTTGTCTTCAATCTAAACAAGAAAACATTTGGGGGCAAAACTTTGTTAAAATTCAATTTAACTGATTTATCTAACCATGTATAACAGCTGTTTTTCACATGTTAAAAGACAGTGTGAAAGTATGGGTTTTTCATTTTGTTTTGTTTTACATGTCAATATTAAAAGAGCTTAATTTTTAAAATTTCTGCTACATGATGACCTTAACTTCTTAAGGAAAACAGGAAAAAAACCATGTGTATGTCCAAAGAAATAAAAATTTACAATAATAGTGTTCTTAAAAAGTAGAATCCCCAAAGACGTAATTTACAGCTCGTTTTGGGCTAACAATTCACACCATAAAATAAAGGGAAATTCTAATCTAGTGGACTCCATTAACGATGTTTTCTGACAATCCTCTAAGCACTACTCTATGGCTAATCAATAAATACAGGGTGATCAGTCTCCTGTTAATGGTCTAGCACACATGCCCTAGTTGGAACCAAAGACATCAGGGATACAGATGAATGAGTTGACTCCAATTCTAATAAATAAATAATATGAGAAATGAATCCGACTTTCAGACAACACAGTAAGTTCCACACAGCCTGTAAAAAGCACAGCTGGTACACAGGAAGGACACTAATGTGCATTGAAGAGAACAATTTGAAATTCCATTGCAAACATTCATTTTCATGAATTTCCTTTCTGTGCTTTATCTTTGTTTGCATTTGAGGAGTAAGCTTAGAAACAAAAACAAATAATAGAAACCTACCAGCTTCCTGGGTCAGACCAAGCAAAGGCAGACTTTCACTATGCCTGGAAAGTGTCAATTTGCCTTTTAGGTTAAAATAAATTTGACAGTGCACTGGGAAATTAATTTTAAAATCATCACTGTGCTAAGCATGGGAAAGATAATACTCCATTACTAAAATTATTTGGCTTACTATGTAAAAATACAGCTCTCATAATGTATGAATGTGGTTTTGGAGTAGAGTTGCAATTCTCACATTCAGCTGTGGCAACTAAGAGAATCTGCATAATTTTTTATATTTGCACTGCAAAATTGTGGCACAGATAACACTGGAAAGGAGGACTTATTTTGGCTATTTGCATTTTCCAAAAATGGTCACGTTAATATTTCTGATTCCACATGCTCTTCCAGAACTTGTTACTTGTTCATCAAGAAGTAGAATCTACTTTTTCCCTCCTTGGATCTGGGTGATGCATTGTGACTACCTTTACTGAGAGAATGTGGAGGAAATGATGCTGTGTGACTTCCAAGAATACATCATAAAAGTTGTCTAACCCAAGCATGGTGGCATGCATTTGTTGTCCCAGCTACTGGGAAGGCTAAGGCAGAAGGATCACTTGAGCTCAGGAATTCGAGGCTGGCCTGAGCAACACAGGAAGAAATCATCTCTAAATAAATAAGTAGGCAGGGTGTGGTGGCTCATGCCTGTAATCCTAGCACTTTGGTAGGCTAAGGAGGGTGGATGGCCTAAGTTCAGGAGTTTGAGACCAGCCTGGGCAACACGGTGAAACCCTGACTCTACTAAAATACAGAAAATTAGCTGGGCGTGGCAGCATGCACCTGTAATCCCAGCTACTCTGGTGGCTAAGGTAGGAGAATTTGCTTGCAGGTGGAGGTTGCCGTAAGCCGAGATTGTGCCACTGCACTCCAGACTTGGTGACAGAGTGAGACTCCGTCTCCAAAAAAAAAGAAATAAAAATAAAATAGAAAGTTGATACAGCTTCCACCGGGCTCTCTTGGGACACTTGCCTTTGGAACTTAGCCACCATATTATGATGCAGACAAACAGCCACATGGAAGGGCCACATGTAGATGTTCTATATAGCCACAACCACATGGTGGTCCCAGCCAACAGCCTGTACCAACCACCAGACACAGGAACGAGTGCCCCTGAAGATGATTTCCCCCTTTAGCCTTCTGGTCACTTCATCTGATGTCATATGGAGCAGAGACAAAATGTGCCCCTAGGCAAATTGCAAACCTGTGAGCAAAATAAATATTGTTGTTTTAAATTACTGTATTGGGTGGTTTGTTGCGTAGCAACTGAAATACATATCAAGTGTCTTGATTTTGTTTTATCTTCTCTACCATTTAAGTAACTTTTTACCAGGAAAACAATTCAACAATCATTTCACAGTGATTCTATCTGCAATAATTCATACATGGCAGTACCTGACTCTCAGAGCTGCCTTGCATCCACTATGTGTTTGGTCACTGCTTGACCAGCATCATGTGAGAGCTATGTTTGTTCAACTTATGCAATGTAAATTCATTTTCCAAAGAATTATAAAAAGAATGCATACTCATGAAAATTCAAATTTTACAGATTTTTAGTTAAAAAAAGCCGTGTTTGTTGCCTGACCCCCCCTCAATTCTACATCTTTCAGAGGTAATTTCATCAAATCTACTATGTATCCTTTCCAAGCCTTTTGTACTTATCTACACCTTTGCACACACACAAACACAAAACATACACACACAGACATACACCTTAAGTATATATCTTAGACATTTTCCCCTAAATATTATGAGTTTCTTTTTGATACATTGATAAAGCAAGCCTATTGATAATAAATATTAAGTAATTATAATCCAGATATTAAGAGAAGAAGCAGCAGCAGGAGGAGGAGGACGAGGAGGAGGAGGAGAGGAGGAGGCGGCGGCAGTGGGGGAGGAGGAGGAAGAGACCATTTTCTGAGTTCTTACTATGGGCCAGGCACTATGCTAACCAGTTTGTGTGCACTACTCTAGTTAATATACTGCCAATTAAGTGAATACAAATCTTTAAAGAAAAATAGTTCAGAAAATAAATTCAGTACTCCCCAAATCTTATTGAGTTGCCTAGATGCATTACTATCCCCTTATACAAATGAAAAAGAATCCCAGAAAAGAAAATTTAAGCCATGTTATATGTGCTTGGAAGATGTCTGCTGCCCAGAGTAGGGTTAATGACACGGGATTCTTCAATTTTCTTTTACATAAAAATTACTCCAAAATCTAGACTCTAGGCCAGACCTCTACTCTGAATTCTAGGCCTATATATTTAACCTATTTGACACATCCACTTAGATGTCTCAAAGATTATCCAAACTCATTATGCCCAAAACTTCTGATTTCCCCCTGCTGCATGTGCACACGTGCATACACACACGCAATGGTGTTCTCATACTTTCTCTCTGGCATTACTACCCAGCCAGTTGTGCAAACTCAGGACTTGGCAACATATTATTGGACACTAACCCTTATTAACTCATCTTAATTTAGAGTCATAAATATCTCTGAAATCTTTCCCCTTCTCTCCATTTTTATTGCCAACACCCTAGGCCAATTTACGAGCATCTCTTACATAGACTACTGTAATAGACTATTCATCGCCTCCCAGCTTTCCATCCAGGTCAACTCCAATCTTTTCTCTTGCTGTAGCCAGAGTGATATTTTCAAAACACAATTTCATCATTTTAATCCCAGGCTTAAAACTCTTCAATAGATAACCTCTGCTTTTGGGATAAAGATCCACATTTTTCTCATAGCTTTTAAGCCAAGAATGGTTCATGCCTACCACTTCAAACTCAGCACATGCTCCTTTTCCTCTCACTGTTCAGCCACAAAGCCTTCTTTTATTTTCTTCAAATACACCAAGTTTTCTCCCACCACAGAGCCTTTGCATGAGCTATAACTTCTATCTGAAATGCTCCTCCTTTCCACGAGTAATCTTGTGCGCCTTCAGCTCTCAACTTAAATATCAGTTTTCCAGTGAATACTTCCAATAATTTCACAAACTAGTTTATATTCACTTATTACAGTCTATCGTAATGCCACATTTCCCTTCTTCACAGCCCTGTCATAGTTTGAAGTTGCACTTTTACTAAAGTAATATTTTAAATGTATGTCTTCCCAATTTGACTGTAAGCTCTTGGACAGCAAGGACCAGAAGTGTGCTGAAGCCAGCTCATGCTGGCTCACATTTGCTTAATGCCTCCATATCTTCTTACACTGTAGAACATCGATAGCTTGAAATTGGCTGTAGTGGGAGTATTTACACCACAGAAATGGACAAATACCAGAAATCAGAGTTTTTGTTTTTGTAAAGCCAGGTGTTAAACATTTACCAGCAAGAACCATGTTTGCCTTTGCTTATTAACGTATCACCAGCACCTAGGACAGTGTCCAGTACATGAAAGCCTTTCAATAAAAATGCACTAAATAAATGAATGAATGCTCTAATTATAAGTTCAGCCAGCATTCCAGTGGATGCCCTCTTGCGATGAATGTGACCTCTTGGTTTTATGAATGAGAATACTTCCAAAATGCAACTGCTATTTGTTGTTTGTTTTCAGACATTTCTTTATTTGAATAACTACCCTCTGTCTGAGTCTCCAGAGTCAATGACATAGTTGAAACATGCAATTCACTGAGAGCACAGTTTCCCATGCTCTCATGCTATAATACATTCCCATGGGAATGCTCTCATTCCCATGCTGATCATGCTATAATACATTTAAACCTTATAACCAAAAAGGATCATCCTTTCTCCCTCACCCTTCCCTTTTTCCAGGATTCCTAGAATAACTGAGTCAATAAATGGAATAATTGAGTCAAGAAAATAAAAGAATATATCAGGAAGCGTAAATGTACTATAAGTATATGTGTGTATGCATGTGCACATGAGCACACATGGGCATATGTCAATCTTTTTGGAAGAATCTACATATATAATGAATAATATATTATTAAAACAAAAATGGTGGGAGGGTTGGTGGGAGATAGAGGACAAAGTATGTAAAATGAAACATAAAAAGGATAGCCATCCAGGGTTTGTCAACTATGAAGGAAGAAAATCATACCTGCAAGATGGCTGCCGCCAAAATTAACCAACTACCCAGACAAATATAAGCAACTCATGCACTTAGGCCTAAAACAGCCAACGCAGTGTGACAATGATCAGATAGGGAACAAGACAGTCTGAAGAGTAAAACTGTGGACATTATTTAACCCTTAAAATCTGCTCCAGGCTTCAGGTCACTGACAATAATCATGATTTATAGAATGATAGATGTCTACATGGCACTTCCCCAAATTCCATCTCTGCGTAAAATATAGATGTTTTCCAAAGCAGACTTATCTTTTCAATTAACATTTTGTGGGCTCCAAGAAATTCTACTGGGTAAGGCTGAATATGAAGGAGATGAAGGATAGCAGTATTGGTACTGGTTGATTCTCCAATCGTTCTTTAAGACTGGTGAATTCCAATGCTGGGCTAACAAATGAGTATTTTGTTGAATTCTTTTTTCTTTCTTTTCCTTTTTTGTGAAATCCCAGGAAATGTTAGAAATCTCTGTTCTGTTTATGTGAAAAAACTCATTAGTGTATTATAAATAATGATGTGGCTTTTGCAAGAAATATACATCACTGCTGGAAAGTAGATACTCCATGATTGCTTGCTTCTGAGACATATCAATAATTTCTACCACAGAAAATGCAGCTTTCATTCTGGTGGCATTTCCAGAAGCAAAGGCACTAGAAAAATGCAAGGAAGTCAAGAGAAGCCTTGTATTCTTCCGTAAAAGTCAAAGAGAATGAGTTAAGAAAATGTCTAAGAAAATTTCTAGCATTCCAAATCCTTTTCAGGTCAGCAAAATACATTATCTAGACATCTTAAATAAAAGAGTAGAAAAAAATCAAAGCAAAGCACATTTCAAAGTCCAACGGTGAGTCAATATTAGAGAAACCTATTAGTATAATTCACTAAATTATAAGGCAAAAGAGAAAAACACCTTCTTCCTCCCACTCCTCTTCCCTTTCTGAACAACTCAGCCCAAAAGTCATTAGCTAGCTCCAAGAAGGAGTTGGTGGGGAAAGGGGGCATGTTGGAACATGAGTGGCATGAGAAGGGCATGTGCAGGGTATAGGACATAGAAGGTGTATAGAAAATTGGTTTTGTATAAGGCTTTGATCACATAAATACCTATCTAAAGGAAAATGGAAGTTGAGTTTCTTACTCTCAGAGAAGAGTTACAAATAAGGGAAAGGGGAGAAACTAGTATAGACACATAGAGTTGTATTAGAGTAAAAGTACCAACATTAAGGCATTTTTAAAATATATTGAAGGATGGATAGACAAATAATAGGTGGTTAGATATGTAACATAGAAAATCACCGACACATGAGTGTGTACACATAAACCTATACCTATTCTTTAGCTCAGTCCAGTAGGAGGGGCCTGGAAGCAATGACACCTAAAGAACAGTGAGCGTACCTTAGACATTAAATTGTCGTTTCTAAATATCATCTCTATTGAAAAGACCAGGGCTTTTTGGAAAAAATAGATGATTCTAGGGCCGGGGTAAGCGGAGTACAAGATAAACCCGGAGGAGCATCTTCTTTTACCAGAAAATAAGGAAGTGCTCAAAGAATGAAGGGGACATACCACAAGGACACAGAAACCAGTTTGAAGGTGCTCCCACTGGCCTAATCTAGGATAATTTGAACACTAAAATAGATAATTTCAATAATGGATCATAACTTGACAAATTAAATATGAAAGTATGAATTCATACCAATATAAATGAACAAATTTTTGAAGAAAAGTGGGACATTTATACAAACTCAAAGTAACTTTCCACAAAACAAAATGATTTCAAAGGGGAAAAATTAACTTTATGGGACAGAAACGTGACAGATAACATCTTAAGCAAGCAAATTGAATATCACCAGTAATGGGATAAATCTAAATCATAAACCATTTGGTAAGATACAATGAGAAGAACACTGTATCCATCCTGTGATATTTGGGCCAAAATGCAGAACCTGAATCTAATAATGAGGAAACATTAGACAAACAGAAATTGAAGATCCATTTATACAACAACGGGCATGTAATTCTTAAGTGTCAAGGCCGATAAAGTTAAGAAAAGGGTGAACAATTGCTTCATATTGAAGGAGACATATGACAACTAAATGCAATATACAATTCTTATTTTTGAATAACAGATTTATTGAAATAAAACTTAAGTCGCAGAAAAGTCACCCTTTCGAAGTATACAATTTAAAATTTATTGACATATTTGCAGAGATATGCAGGAATCCACACCATCTAATTTTAGAATATTCTCATCCCTCCAAAAAGAATTCCCACACCCAATGGCCATCACTCTCTAGTTCCTCTCCCAACACCCCCTAATCTATAGGCAACACTAATCTACTTCTAGTCTCTATGAAATCTTAAAACATACTGTCAAATTGTTCAGAAAAAAACAGGTTTTTTTGTACTGTACTCACAACTTTCCTCTAAGTTTAAAATGGTTGAGAGATAGAAAGAGACAGAGAAACATCACATTCACATAAACAGATGCTGAAAGATTTTTTTAAATAAAATTCAGCATCTACTGTTGATTTTTTAAATTGTGAAAATGTCAGAATAAATGGACATTTCTTTAACAAATATGTATTTACTTTGATAACTAAACCAAAAAGCCAGTATCATGCTTAATAATAAAACACTAAGCTATTCTTATTAAACTCAGGAACAAATCAAGATGCCCATTATAACCACTATTATTCAGCATTGTTCTGGAATTGCTAACTAATGCAACAAGACAAGAAAAAAGGATGGGCTGGGCGCAGGGGCTCACGCCTGTAATCCCAGAACTTTGGGAGGCCGAGGCGGGTGAATCACGAGGTCAGGAGATCGAGAGCATCCTGGCTAACACAGTGAAATCCTGTCTCTACTAAAAATACAAAAAAAAATTAGCAGGGCGTGGTGGCGGGTGCCCGTAGCCCCAGCTACTCGGGAGGCTGAGGCAGGAGAACGGCACGAACCTGGGAGGCAGAGCTTTCAGCGAGCTGAGATCGTACCACTGCACTCCAGCCTGGGCAACAGAGTAAGACTCCACCTCAAAAAAAAAAAAAAAAAAAAAGATGGGATTCAAATATTAGATTTAAAAACTATTTACATGAATATGAATGTTTAGCAAGCTCACCGTTAGGTAATACATATTAGATTGGTGCAAAAGTAATTCCGTTTGTGTTTTTCTCATTGTGGCAGAAACCAAATTACTTTTGTGCTTTTGCCATTATGGCAGAAAGAGCAAGTACTTTTGTACTAATTTATTACACAAAAATATATAACTTTCCTAAAATCAAGAATAATCTAGTAGTGGAATCTCAAAATCAAAGCAATTAAATTCATGGAGATGGAGAATAGAAGGATGGTTAATCAGAGACTGGGAAGGGTAGTGCGGGAGCTGGGGCAAGGTGGGCATCGTTAATGGGTACCAGAAAAAGTAGTTAGAAAGAATGAATAAAACCTAGTATTTGATAGCACAACAGGGGGACTGTAGTCAATAATAATTTAACTGTACATTTTAAAATAACTTAAAGAGTATAATTGGGTTGTTTGTAACACAAAGGATAAATGCTTGAGGGGATGGATACTCAAGCCTCCGTGATGTGATTTTGACACATTGCATGCCTGTACCAAAATATCTCATGTACCTCAAAAATATATACATCTACTATGTACTCACAAAAATTAAAAACAAAACAATGTTTAAAAAATAATAATCTGATAGGAGACACAATCCAGAACACATTCCAGTCATAATGAAATAAAAAACTAAAAAGAAAATCATGCATTGGGAAAATTATTCGGGATTAATAGCCTTTGCACTTAAATAACTATTACAAATCATTAAGAAAAATAAAAATGTTCTGATAGAAAAGTTTATTCCCTCAAAGAAGAAATTTAAATGGCAAAAGACAAATTTTAAAATGTTCAATCTTACTAGTTATTAAAATGCGAAATAAAACAATGGAACTCCATTTGTTTTTGTTCATCAAAGTGTCAAAGGCGTTTTTTAATGAATGTGGGTGCAGATTGGTCCTGTGAAATTACTGTTAGTGATAATGCATTCTATTATTAAAACTTTCCTAAAGGACAATATGACTGATTATAATAATAAGCTCAAAAACCTTAATTATCCTGTCTTTTAACACAGTAATTTTACTTATAGGAACCTACCATTTTCAAAAATGTATATAAAATTTAGGTACCTGGTGTTTACAAACGCACTGATTAATAACAAAAAACAATCAGAGACAACATGAATGTCCAATAATAGGAAACTGGTTGAATAAATTGCAAAAATTTCAATGTGATTAAATATCATCTAGCTAATAAAAATGATGTTGTTCGAAACATGTTCACAAAAGATTGTTCAAGGCCCTTATAAAATGTAATCAATAATCAATGCAATCAATCATCCCTATGCCTAGAAAAAAATTGATTTTTATATTTCAACACATTAAGAATGGTAATTTTGCTTGCTCATAATTTCTAAATTTCTAAATATTTCATAATAAAAAAAATCACAGCTTCTTTAAAAAAAAAATCATCTCCACAATGCTAGATGAGTCTATGGCAACCAGTGAGAAAAAAACTGGGCTTTTTTCTTATCAACCAATTTCATTCTGAATCTGAGGTTTAATGTAGCTGCCAAACAACCAAGATGCTTGAGGATTCTCTGGCAGAAGTAGGGAATCAATAGCTAGATAAGTAACAAGCCCATTTTATTCTTTCATGTTTGGAGAAAGCTTGGAACATTGTGCTCAATTAGAAGAGGGGCACTTAAGGCACATGATTCCTGGGAAATGCCAGGGAGTTCTGTGTTTAACAGCTAAGTTGATGAGTAGATTTAATCCACTGAAAAGAAGGGTTAAGAGTAATATAAAAAATTTTCTTCAAATTTCCAAATGACTGTCAAGAGAAAGAGGTGTTAGACTTATTCTTAGCAGTTCTAAAAATAGAACAAGAACCAATGTACAGAAATTGCCCAGATAGCTTCTAGGGACAAGACAAACTGTTCCAACAATAAGACTCACTCCACAAAGGCAGAGGAGGTGAAACACAACAGAGGTCTTCCAGCAGGGGCTTCTAATGACTCATTAGGGCTGTTGCAATATAGATTCCAGCCTTGGTAAGAGACTGTAGTAGACACCAGGTCTCTAAGACCTGGCAACTCAAAGTGCAGTCCATGACTGGCAGCACTGACATCACCTGGGAACTTGATAGAAATGCAGATTGTTGCCCCATCCTTACATCTAATTCATCAGAATCTACATTTCTAAAGAACATGACTTATATGCACATTAAAGAGTGAAAAGCAGATGTGGAAGAGGTCTTCTAACTGTAGCCTCTCCATCCACTTGGGTTCTTGGGTTCTCCTGTTGCTACCCCTCTTTCACCTAATCTTACATGACCTACCAAATCCCCACTGAATACATAATTCATTAAAGGCAGAAGACCTGTGGGTGGTTTGGAATAGAATAATGAGCTTCCAAACTAATGTAATCTGATGAATGACTACATTGCTTATTAGTGAGAATTTGGGAGGAGAGGGATTCCACTGAAATCCATTGACAGGTAAATGGATGTGAATGCAGCCACGTACAGTCTCCTTGGGCCCAATGATTCAGACCGTGTGAAGGGCTCCCACCTTCCTATGATTCTCATTCATCATTCTTACTCACCTCCTGGCAGCAACTGTAGGCTGCCCATCTACTCTTTAGGATTATCTACAGAGGAAAAATGACATTTTGCCTGCCAACCAGCAAGTGTGCATACATCAGTCCTATCCTCTAAGAAAGTCTATCCTCGTAGATGTAAACCTCCAACTGTCGGCAGCTGATAGTCCAAAACGTCAAAGAAATAAATAGTGGAAAAATAACCAGACGTCATGTATAAGTCAAGGACCAGAGCATTTAATGGTAGCTAGATGTTAAAGAATTGCAAGACCAGGCTTCACTTCTCTTGCAGCTTCATCTTCTGCCAGTCCCTAATTCATAATGCTTTATGAAGAACCAAATGCTTCCAGTGCCTAGAAATACCATGTCTTTCATGCCTTTCCTGTTACCTTCATCTGGAGGGCCCTTTAGACCTGGCTCTGCCTGGACAACTTCTGCTCATCCTTTAACACTCAGCACAGGCTTCACCTGCTCTCCCGGGGAGGAGGACAGGCTGCATGACCTGCTGCTTCTCTGAGTTCCCCCTGTACCCTGTTTTAACCTCCACTGTGTCACATAAGACCAGTTCTGTTCAATAGAAATAGAACAGGAGCCACTGGGCTCAGTAATCCCGGCACTTTGGGAGGCCGAGGTGGGCAGAACATTTGAGGTCAGGAGTTTGAGACCAGCCTGAACAACATGGTGAAACCCCATCTCTACCATAAATACAAAAACATTATGCAGGCATGATGATGTGTGCCTGTAGTCCCAACTACTCAGGAGGCTAAGGCAGGAGAATCACTTGAACCTGGGAGGCAGAGGTTGGAGTGAGCCAAGATCGCGCCACAGCACTCTAGCCTGAGCAAAAGAGTAAAACTCCGTCTCAAAATAAAAAAGGAAGGATATATAACAGGAGCCACATAAATTTAAAATGTCCAGTAGCCACATTTTTAAAAAAAATCTAAAGAAACAGGTGAAATTAATTTTAATTGTGCACATATATATATATATATATATATATATATTTTTTTTTTTTTTTTTTTTTTTTTTTTTTTTTTTGAGACGGAGTCTCGCTCTGTCGCCGAGGCTGGAGTGTAGTGGCGCGATCTCGGCTCACTGCAAGCTCCACCTCCTGGGTTCATGCCATTCTTCCGTCTCAGTTTAATTGTATATTTTATATAACTCGATATCTAACTGATCTAATTATCATTTTGACGGGTAATTGACACCATGTTAAAACAATTAATTAGATATTTTACATTATTTTATCAATAATAACTTGTTAAAATCAAGTGTGTGTTTTACACAAAGAGCACATCTCAATTCAAACTAATCACATTCTCAGTGCTCAGTAGACACATGTGGCTGCTGATGACTATGTTGGACAGTACAGCCTTATACTGAAATAATCAGTTTCTGGGTTTGCCTTCCCTTCTAGAAAGTATGCTGCTTAAGGGCTAGTCAATGTCACATGTGTGATATCATCAGTGTATCTTCAGTGCCTTACATATATGGAGCATTCATGAAATGCTTGCTGAACTTAACTGACCTGAAGGTACTTTGAGAGAAGGTAGAATTTTATTTAGCACCTGCTCAAACGAAGAGCAGCTTATGCATACTTAGGATAATTATGATGACAGAAATGACAGATATTTTTTCTTGAATGATGTTCTATGCTTTTTAAATATATTATCTCATTTAGCCCTCACAATGACCCTACATACCATATACCATTATTATATCCATTTATGAAAGACAAAACATTCCCCAAATTATACAGCTACTAAGTGAAAGAGCCAGAACTTTTTGAAATAGAGAAAAACAAAGTAAATAATATTAATTACATGTACACTCACCCACCACAATAAACCAAAAGTTGAAAACAAGCTACTCCACATAAATTAAAAGCCCTCTCCAATATGGAAGACTTCTCTTAAATTTCATTCACCAACTCCTGCAATATCTTTTCCAGAGCCTGGTGATCTGCTGAGTTTTCCCTTATGCAGGACCTACTTCTTTACAGATTTCTGAGCCAGACATTTCTGGCTTGGTATTTAATACCTTTCATACTCTCCTTCTATATTTGCATTCTGCCTGTCTGGTCAAAATGGCAGAGCTTTTCACAAACCACTGCAGTGACTAAAGTCACCTTTCTCAGGTCCTCATCTTCTCCCAAAATAGTGAGAAACAGCAGTGTATAAACTGCTTTCCTCTTCCTGCCGCCTGAAGGACCCTGCAGTCTCCCTCACATGGCCTGTGGGGGAGGTAAGCAATAATTGTTCACATGTGCTTTTGTTTAAGGGAACTGGGCTGAACTGTGCCTAAGAAAAATGACGCAGATCTTAATTTTTTTTTTTTTTTTTTTTTTTTTTTGGTGTACAAAAATCCCATTATCTCTAAACCACAGGAACCAGAGCCACATCTGGCAAGGGAAATAAAGCTGGAGATGTAAGGAAAGAACAGATTAGGAGAAGCCTTGAAAACAGGCAGCTGAGTTTAGATTTGAAATGGTGGGAAATAAAAATCCCTTAAGGGTTTCTGAGCATGGGAGTGATGTGATGAAAACAGTGATTAAAGAAGATGAAATACAAGCAGGACAAATTGAAGGGAGGGACTAGAGTCTGAGAAGAAGCAGTGATCTAGGCTCAGGGGAAGTGGAGAAGGCGAGGGTATTTATTAGAAAAGGGGTCCAGGATCCTATACAAATTAATTAACATATGCCCACCCCTAATTCACTTTACTACCAAGTTGCTACCCCATCTTTTGGTGGGGTTTTTTTTTTTAATGCTTTTCCTATATTGGGAAGGCAAAAATAAACCCAGGAGGAAGCAAATATTTTCATTAAAATGATAATAAAATGTCATCCCTATGAATATAAAGGTTTAACCGAGTACCCTGCTGAGCAAATGAGCTTTATCATAAGCATGTGGAACAGTGTGCTGGGCTGAAATGGATTTCAGAAAAATTTATATTAGAGCCTTATTCACAGAATTAAACAAACACAATGAAAACAAAGTAGTTTTTTAAAGCAGCTTCCTGCCATGAAGGCAATACGACGGCACAGAAATGGCTGCCCTCAAAGGGGCAACTCCAGCCCGAGGGCGCACCTAACTCCTTGCCTTCAAGGATGCCAAAAGCATCCCATCCAAGCCAGGTTCTACGTGGCAGGAAGAGAACATTGACACTCAGATAAACAAACACTGTTTGCCTAGCCCCTACTCACGAAACTTTATACCATAAGCCATCTTTAATTCTGGCTGCAATTTTAAATGGTCCAGAGACTTAAAAATTACTTCCATTTGTTTAGATCTGGAAAGAGCCTTGGAAGACATCTAAACCCACCATTTAAGAATACTTTTAAGCTACACAACCCTTTTGCCAATTCAATCTAATGGATACAGAATGGATCAATATTAAAATGGAGCTCCTTGGGTAGGGACTGTGGTAAAAGACCCAGAACTCCATCTACTCATTCTCTCCCGTTCCCTGTGTCTACCTCTACCCCACAACTTACCCACACTGTGGCAGACCCCCATAACTCTCCCCAGGGCTGCAGAGAAAGGACCCTACAAAATACGGAAGGGTCTACTACCTTTTGTGTGTGTGGTTTCTTGTGACAGATAAAAAATTGAAACCCAGAACGTTTAACACAGGACTTCCATTTCCAGCAAACTAAATAACCTGGAAAGCCTCCTTCTAGAAATACATGGAATGCTAGCTAAATACAAATATCCATTTAAATTCATAAAATGAACTCACGTAGACAAACTTATCAGTTTGAAAATGGGAACAACCTATGATCCAGCAGGTCCATGTCTATGTATGTATCCCAGAACTGTTCTTCAACTTGTCAGTGAAGATGCATCACTGGGTCATAAAACCCTTTCCTAAATTAAAATGGTGTATGAAATAGTCCAGGTTAAACTGAATTAGAGGTTAAGTGTGGTGGCTCACACCTGTAATCCCAGCCTTTTGGAAGGCTGAGGCGTGTGGATTGCTTGAGCCCAGGAGTTTGAGACCAGCATGGGCAATGTGGTGAAATCCCATAAATTAAAAAAAAAAAAAAAAAAAAAAAAAAAAAAAATTAGCTGTGCGTGGTGGCACACACTGGTAGTCCCAGCTACTCAGGAGGCTGTGGTGGGAGGATCACTTGAAGCTTGGAGATCGAGGCTTCAGTGAGCCATGATTGCACCACTGCACACCAGCCTGGGTGACACAGCAAGACACTATCTCAAAAATAAATAAATAAGTAGGCCAGGAGCAGTGGCTCACACCTGTAATCCCAACACTTTGGGAAGCCAAGGTGGGCGGATCACTTATGGTCAGGAGTTCAAGACCAACCTGGCCAACATGGTGAAACCCTGTCTCTACTAAAAATACAAAAATCAGCCGGGCATGGTGGCATGTGTCTGTAATCCCAGCTACTCAGGAGGCTGAGGTAGGAGAATGGTTTGAACCTGAGAGGCAGAGGTTGCAGTCAGCTGAGATCGCACCACAGCATTCTAGCCTGGGCGACAGAGCAAGACTCTGTCTCAAAATAAAATAAAATAAAATAAAATAAAATAAAATAAAATAAAATAAATAGAATTAGAATTAAGTAGAAAATAAAGATAAATATTATTCTGAGAAACTTTTGTTCCATATATGCATACATGTACATAAATGTAGCACATGTATGTGCTGGGTTTCCATGTAGCTGTGTGGACAAAACATTTTGAAAAATGCTATTGTAGAGAAGCTTTTGTATGTTAGGAGAAGGAAATGTACAAGAACACTCACTGAAGCATTGTTTATAATTGTGTAAAATTAAAAGCAATCTAAGTGTTCATCAACAGAAGAACAGATAAATATATAGTGGTCTGTTCATGAAACAAAGCAGTTCAAATGAATGAACTAGAGCTAAATCGTTGAGATCTTATGCTAAATTAGATAACAAACAAATGGTAGAATATGTGTGGTGTGCTTCCATTTATTTTAATTTTAAAAAAATGCAAAATGACAGTACATATTGTGGAAAGGTGCATGTGCATGCAGAAAAGGTCTGAAAGCATGTACCTGCAAGATAGTGTTTATCTCTGGATGGAAGAAAGGGAAATGGGATTAAGAAGTCTGCAAAGAACTTCAACTATGTCTGAATCAAACCCATCAAAATGTTAGGATTGCCTCAGACTGGGTGTTGGGACACAGAGTTTTGTTATTTCATTCTATTTTTTTGTTGATTAACTTCCTATGTCACCTGTGTCCATGAACTACGTGAGTTCATTTTATGCATTTGCACATTTAATGTCTTTTAAAATCACTCACCTAGGGCCAAAAAGCTGATTCGCAGAGTATTCTAGACTAAACCGAGGGTGGGATCCTAAGTGATTCGCAGTCTAGTCTTCTTTCCACATGGCTGCCAGTTCATGATCTGTTTGCAAATGAAAGGATTTGCATCATTTGGTCCTAATCTTAGTAATTTATTTTTACCTGAGAGATGATGCTCCCCACAGTCCACCAAGGCCACATCTGCTCTGGCAAGGAAGTGCACAAAGCACATTTGCTTTGTGAAGGCTGAGCTGTTACTTCACAGCTTGTCACTTGGCTCTGTTTCCCAACTTCACTTGTGCATTGCAACAAAATGCTAAGCCACTAAAAGGTCAGTAGAGAGATGATCTAAACATGCAAAAAATATCAGCAGAGACAGAGAGAAACACAAAAGGGAGGGAAGGGAGAAAAAACAGCTTTGAATGGGAAAATACACAAACATAAAAAGCAATCAAATTAAAATCAGAATATTACTGAGAAACCACAAAATAAGCATCAGGTGTATTTTAAATGATGGGAGTAACTTGAAAGAGTAGCATTTTTATAGCCTTGGATCACAGATACACAAACTAACAGAAGGAAGTTCGTTAACGTTTGTTTTCGTCTATCTGAAGACAAAAACAAAAAGACAAATGATACCTTGGCAACAACTGGAGAATCATAACAGAGAGATTTATGGTGCTTTGGAAAAGTTCAGGGCAATGTTTTTTATCATTGGCTCCTTTACACTCTTCAAGTTATATAAAAGGCTCTTCTGTTCCTTCTTTCAGACTAAATAAATACATAATCATAACTTCCAGCTCAGCTTTAGCTTTTCAGGTGGGTGAGTTAAAGCCTTCTGCTTTGTTGAGGGGGGTGGGGGCAGAGGGGTGATACTGGCAGAAAATGAAGATAACCCTTGTTGTATAAGGTCCGAGCAATCATTCCCCGGAGTTAAGTAAACTGGGCCAGGTGCGGTGGCTCACACCTGTAATCCCAGCACTTTGGGAGGTCAAGTCGGGCGGATCACCTGAAGTCGGGAATTTGAGACCAGCCTGACCAGCATGGAGAAACCCCATCTCTACTAAAAAATACAAAATTAGCCGGGCATGGTGGTGCATACCTGTAATCCCAGCTACTTGGGAGGCTGAGGCAGGAGAATTGCTTGAACCCGGGAGGCAGAGGTAGCCGTGAGCTGAAATCACGCCACTGCACTCCAGCCTGGGCAACAACAGTGAAACTCCGTCTGAAAAAAAAAAAAGAAGTAAACTGTATGTGATTCTGTCTTTTGGATACCTGTCACCCTGGCATGCCCACCGAGTCCATGAACTATGAACATATTCCTTTTGTACTCCTGGTGAAAACTCAGCTCTGTGACAGAATTCCTTCGGTTGTCTCAAGAGCAAATGCAGCAGCAGCTAGTATTTATTGAGCACTTTACTCTCCTAAGTTTTTTACCTCGTTTAGTCTTTACCTTCTCAGGAAGGTACTATAACTAGCTCCCTTTTATAGATGGAAACACTGAGATGCAGGAAATTTAAATAATATCGCTCAGGTCATCTAAAGCGACAGAACCAGGAATTGGAGTAGCCAGCAGATTCTAACAGCTTGAGCTTTTCAGTGCCACACTATCCTGGGAGGTGGTATTTAAGATAAGGAAAGGCAGCTGCTGAGATGACAGCACCAAATTATGTTAGCAGCCATGAGGCCCTTGCTCCAGCTACAGTGGTTCTAAGAGGGAAGTATTTACATGCCAATGAAGGTGAGTCACTAAAACTCAGAATCCTTTCTTTAGAATTTCTAGCAACCCACAGTATCTGCATCCAGAATAGGGTAGAGACTTTTAGAGCTCCTATATATCTTGCCCTACCCAAGTTATGGCTAATTTCCACTATACCCTCAATCCCCAGAGAATCAAAGTGGAGATGGACTTGGAAATGATATTGAATAAAAGGCAGAAGATTGAAGCCTGAGCTCAGGATTGCCACTTACTAACTGAATGGACTTAACCTTTCCGGGCCTTGTTTTCCTTGTGTGTAAAATGAGAAAAAATAATGCCCACTACATAGGATGGTGAGAATCAAACCAGACAGAGGCATGGAGAACTTTGATGGCACATATTGTTGACATGCAAGGATTTTTTTTCTTCGTCCTATAAGTCAGAGGGCACATTACAACCAAATTCTATAAACACCTATGACAGGGCCATGTGAATCCCAAAGAGCCTTCCTTTGCAGTATTATTATTAACCTTGGTCAGGTCATGTTCCTTTTTTTTTTTTCATCTGTAAGAGGAGGGATATTAATCACTAAGGTTGCCTCCAACTTTGGTATTTTGTGGTTTTGTGTTCGGGGTGTAGGAAAACCAAACCCAGGATTTCTAAATGGCAGGTTGGGTACTTCTAGGCAACCTTACTCTTCTAAGTGGAACAATCACGTTCCTCACATCCCATCACTCACACAAGAAATCTAACATCTATTATAATTATAGTGGTTCCAATGGCCAGCAAGTTCAAGTGTTAGAGAAAAGAAAACTGGATTGTCTACCAGAGGTGAGTGGATATCCCATTTCACAGGCAACCTGTTAGATGTTGGGGTGGTAGCATTCTGACACTTTTGCTCTGGGTTAAGCCAGACATACAAGGAATGCAGGACATTGTGACCTTTGAGGGATCTTCTAGCCCTGTGATCTCATGTGACTGCTTCACTGATAAGTATCACTTGAAACTGATGTCAGGTATGACCAGCCCAGGGCCCTTGCAGGCTTCCTGCCTCTCTGCAGGGTCTCTACACAGGGGACTCTCAAGCACTAGACAATGTCAACAGGGGCAGTCATAACTTGAGGGGGCAACTGGAGCGTGGTCCTGTAGCATTTGTGTGCTAGCTGAATGCTCTCCCAGTCCCTCCAGAGCAGGGCTGACCCCATTCCAAGGGAAGCTAGTCTCCTGGAGAGTGTAGGAGCTGCAGCTGAGAATGATGGATCCATTCTCAAAGGGAAAGAACACGAGGGAATTGGTCACTCTGTTCAGAGAGTCCACTACATAGACCACCCCCAGTGGTCTCACCCCCTGGGCTCTGCCAGCCTCAAGCAGGTGGCGGGACAGTTCACCTATGCAACATGAAGCCCAGTTAGCAGCCCGGAGATTCATCATGATGCCAGTAGGCTGAGTTGCTGGCACATTACCATGAGATGAGCATGGGTAGCCTCCCCAGGCCCTGTGCAGTGGGAACCCACTAACAGTTCATTCTCGGTCTCCAGCAGGCCATGCTCATTTCTGCCTTGGCCGTTCCCTCCTGAAATATTTGGTCCTCAGCCTTGCACAGCTGGCTCCCTTCTGCAACTCAAGTTTCATTTCAAATATCACTTTCTTAGGCCTTCCATGGTCACAGCCTCCCCAACCCTCTATCACACACCCTGTTTTGTTTTTCTTATAGACCTTTTCAATTTCTGAAGTGATCCCATTCGTTTTTCGTGTTTATTTTCTATTTTCTCTTTTAGAATGTGAGCTCAGTTAGAACCAAGACCCTCTCTGTCTTCACCAATCAATCCTCAGCACCTAGAAAAATGTCAAGCAGATAATGCAGAGTCAATAAATATCAGTAGAATTAGTTAGTTAATTCTATCTAGGACAGGTGTGCAGTGGCATGAACAGGGTTTCTCTCTATGCTCTAAAGCAGTGGTGAGATTTCAAGACTCCAGGGTGGCTTGGTAGATACTTTTGAATATCTAACCGTTGTAGGTGCCATCCCCTGTTCTTCTATCCCATTAAAGATCTGAGAATCATTCTCTGAGCCATAGGAGTTGGCTCCTGGCACCCGTTTTTACTATATAATTTTCTCACTTAGGAATGTTTTTGGTTGCAGGTAAAGGCAACAATAACAACAACCTATTAAAGTACACTGTGATGTCAACAAATAGGTTTTCATTTTTCTCAAATAAGAACAAATCAGGAGGGATGCTGTCCAGTGTCAGTGCAGCAATTCAACCATACAGAGACCTTGGCTCTTTCTCCTTTGCACCCTCTATTCTTAGCACACAGCTTTCCTCTCATACTTGTCACATCATGGTTACAAGATGGCTGCTGAATCACCAGGCATCATGCCTGCATTCCAGAGAAGGAGAAAAGCAGAAGGAGACAGAGCCATGCTTGGTAAATCTGTTGTTCCTTTTTATAGGAAAGACAAAAGCTTTCCCAGAATCATATCCAACTAACTTCTATTTATAACTGCTACATTAGAATTGGGTCACAATGCCACTGTCAACCAATTACTGACAAAGAAAAATGGGATTACTATGACTGGTTTAGACTATCACAATTCATCCTCTGGGACTGCAGTGGGAATTTATCTTCCCTGAGATCAAGCTGTTGTCACACTCTTCTGAACAAATTGGGATTCTAACAGAAAAAATGAGAGAGACATGGCCATTAGCTATGCTATAGCTAAATGAACTAGAGTGGGGATTTGACCAATAATTGGGCCTATACAATTCTCTTTGCCAAGAATTACAGCTGAGACACAGACACAGAGAAAAAGGCAGATCCCCTGCACCATTGTGTTTCTGAACTTTGAGATGTGGTTGCTTAAATTCTTTAAACTTTATCAGATGCTTAAGTATTTTACTACCCTAAAAGTGTCTTCTTTTCCCAAAGCAAGTTCAAGGTGGTTTCTGTTGTTTAAAACCAAAGGGTCTTTGTTATAGGAGCATCTAACTACAAACATTCTGTGTGGCCCAATCAGGCTGTGCTGCAGGGTTTATATAGGGTGTCAGGCAGTCATTCACACCTCCCTCAGGAACAGCAGGGTCCTTTGCACCAAACCTTCTCCTCCTGAGGTGACCGGAACATTGTAGACATTATGTCATCAGCCCGACAACATGCTCCTTTTCCCTTTCACCTTCAGACAGCATTTGCTGAGGTCCCAAGTGAACAGAGAGGCCTTTGGACACTAAAGGCCTGTGTTGCACAGAGGGATGGAGGTTGTACAACAGCATCCACACTAACTAGTGGAGCGCTGGGACTGCTGAGATGTCACATCACAAGTCCATGATAAAGGCCAAAAACACACCGTACCTTGTGATCATTAGGCCAGTGCTCTATTTCTTTTCTAAACCACCTGATTATCTAGGTCAAACACAAATACATTCACACAGTCATCCACACCCCCTCACACAGTCATCCACACCCCCACAATGAGGAAAGACTGTAATGTGAAAAGCCTGCCCAGCCCAGCTTAGGATTCCCTTCCTGCTAATAGCCACAAGGAATATTTTGGGGCCGATTATAAGGATTATCACTCACCTGTTCTATAAGGATATCTCCATAGATCTCTTGCTCTGTCATCTCTGAACCTGATCTAAATTATTTGTTAATGTATATGTTTCCCTGACTTACGCAAATTTTAGACAGGGTTTCTCAAAATGTGTTGCTTGCAACTTACGGGTTTTATATGAACAAATGGTTCTGTCAGATAACTTTTGGAAACTCCTGGTTAAAGAAAGTTAAATGGCTTTTTCATTGCCAGACATTGCAAAGCTGTCAATATGCTAACATGCGTGATGAATATCTAAGAAAGGGATGCAGTACGTGGCATTTTCCAAATTTGTCTAATCACTTAATGAAAGTTTTTTTCTTGACATATATGAAAGGCTGATGATCTAAGAGGTGAGCATTGGGAGACACTGCTGGTGGGGAGGAGTGCAGGGGTACATCCTAAAACCTCCTACCTCTAAGTACCAAGAGACATATTCTGTGACTTGGTTTAGTAGGTAAGGCCCAAACTTAGGTGTTCCCTAGTAAATACTGCTAGACAGTTAGAACTGCCACTTAGCACACAGCACCTGAGTCCTGCATTACACCTGCTATACTGGGCAGAAGCACATTGCTGTATGGGAGGAGTATACTGTGTTCTTGGACTAATCACGTTATTTCTCTCAGCATTAGGTTCCCCTCCTTGAAAATAAGCATTTTAGGCCATGTGAGAATGGGAAGAATGAAGTCATTATTGAAGAGTTTAATACCCTATTAGTTTTCTTCTGTTCCAACCTTTAATCCAAGCAATTTTGGTTGATGTGAGGGTGATAGGCCACATTGGCTTCAGTGACCTGACATGAATTAAAAACTTATTTGTCTTGTCTAGACCCATTTTCCTGAAAAGACCACTTGGTACAACATAAAAATATCCTGCCTACCTACATGCAAACATATCCCTAAATATCCGGCACTGATTCCGTTGCCTCCTAAACTTTATATGCTTCAAGCATCCCTGAACTGACAACATGATTTCAGGAGAATTAAATGCCTGGATTGACAATGGTTCTGCCAAAGCTTCATCTGTAGGACATCCAGAAAGAAAACCTCCTTTCCCTGGTAGGCTATTTTTCAGAGGTAGAGAAAGTCAAGTCAAAGAAGAGAATAACTGAGCAAACTCATTTATCATCACAATTTAATAATATAAACTGCAGTTCATAAAATAAGTCTGAGAGAATTTTGTGTCTAACTCTAAAAGTTCAACATTAACAGCCATGTGATCATAAAAAAAAATCATTGTTTATCTTTATCCCCAAGAGGAGTATGTTCAGGTTATATTAATAAGGATCATAACTTCTCTAAATTTACTTTGGCCTTATATTCCCCTAAATGGAATCATTTGAAGTGTCTGAGAAAAGTTCAGGTTTTAACCACATCCCTGTCTCTTAGTTCTGTGAAAGAGGGAATGGTCTCTGTAGCAACGGGAACAAGAATATTAAAAGGCACAGTAGTGTAATAGGAAAAAAATGAACAAGAGCATCAGAGGACCAAGATTCTAGTCAGTTTTCAGACAGTCGATGTGCTTAGGGGTTGGACTGTGTCCACCAAACAATTCATATGTTGAAGTCCTAACCCTCAGTACCTCAGAATGTGATCTTTAGAAAAGAGGGTCTTTACAGGGGCAATCAAGTTAAAATAAGGTCATTAGAGTAAGCCCTAATCCAGTATGACTGGTGTCCTTATAAGAAGAGGAAATTTGAATACAAACATGCAAAGAGGGAGGATAATGTGAAGAGACACAGGGAGAAGATGGCCATCTACAAGCCAAAGAGAGAGCTCTGGAACACATCCTTTCCTTACAGCCATAGAAGGAACCAATCCTGCCAACCCTTTGACTTGTGGATGCTCCATCTCCAGAACTGTGAGACAGTAAAGTCCTGTTGTTTAAGCCACCCAGTTTGTGATACTTTGTTATGGCTACCCTGACAGATTAATACAGCTGTTTTCCTGGGTAAGTCTTTTAATATCTCAGGGTCTCAGTCTCCTCATCTATAGCATTAGGGGGTAGATGGCCTTTGAAATTGCTTTTATCTATAAAGGTTAGTGATCAATGATGCAGGTAGCCTCTCTCCAATTCTCTTGAGATGTACACAAGTACCATCTTCTGAGACAAGCTTTCTGTCTTATCTATGGATCAACGGATTATAGATGGGTTGAAACCAGCTTTGATTATCCCATCTGGCCACCCTAATTTATAATTCAGTAATGACTTTAATAGGCAAAATAAGGAGGAAAGGAGGCTCGCAGTTACAAACTGTGAGCTACAAACTCACAGTTCATCTCTTTTCACAAGGAATTCATCATCTGGAAAAACTTACTTCTAACAGATTCTAATGGAGGTATTAGGGTGGGGCTCAGGCAAAAAGATCAATAACAAATGTAAATTTTATGATGTTGTTCTCCATGGCGGAACCTCTGCCAAGCAAACAATAAAAGCACACACTTTGTGCTCTCTTCACAACCCATTTCTGGACTCTCTGTCACTCAAATGTTTATCATGAAAGAAAATGTGTTTCAGGCACAACTATTAAACTTCTGAGTGTTACTATCCTGTTCCATCTCAGCAATAAAACAGTTAATAACAAGGACTTTTTGCAACATTTATCAACCTCTCATCCGCATGTATCATCTTGGTAAAATCCCAAACTATTAATGCTTCTTCAAAGCCTGGAATATAGTATTAATGTCAGAATCATAATGGGTAAGAGGAACATTTTGGCAACAGAAATTGTAATTCTAAATGCTGTAAAACAGAACTAATGTTCTAGCTCCCCTTCTCTGTACCTCATTGAATATATACTTTCCTGCCAAAGGAAATAGGGAGATAAGCATCCTACTCTATAATAGAATTTTATCATTGCAAACCAGGGTCACCTTCTTAAGTAGCTGAACAGCTGGCTTAGCATCAAGTATACTAAAGCAAAACTCAACATACTTTGCAAACATATATCCACCATTTACATGGAAACTGCTTGTATCAGTCAGGATCCCAGTGAGACAGAACACTCATATTAGGATAATTCAAAGAAGGTTTATTTAATAAGGAACTTTTTACAAGGGTGTATTCAGGATGTAATAGAACCACAATGGTTTGCAGGCAAAAAGCAAAGATTAGAAGCTGAAGTGCTTACACCACCCTTATGCACAAGGAGACAAGAAGGAGTTGCCAGAATTGGGAAGAAGAAAGTCATGTTGAGAGGACTACCTAGAAATGAGACACAGCCCAAGGTGGGCTCCCAAGGAGTGAGCCAGGTGAATCAATACCCTGATTTTACTTACCTCCCTCACTTCAGTTTCCTCCCAGGACACCCCGTTGTTCACACCCGATTACAGATGGAAAAAAGAGTGCCCATTAATGTGTTCCATGAGGGTCAGCCTCTAAAGACCAGAGTGAGTAGATTTGGAGGGGGTGATTGGACAATATACAGCATAGTGCTAAATAACCCAACAGACTCACTGGGATACTATTTGTAAATTTCGAGAGTAGAAAGATGTCTACTCTTGTTCACCACTTTATTCCCAGCTATGTCATCCCAATACCAACGAATTCTCTGATTCTCTTGTTACCAGTGGAATGTGTCCAGGTTCTGGGCATCTTGAATGAAGAATTGGTCAAAATGCACAAAACAAGGAAGGAATGAAGGAATTTATTGAAAATGAAAGCACACTCCACAGAGTGGGAGTGGGCCTGAGCATAGGGGCTCAAAGGCCCCGTTACAGAATTTTCAGGAGTTTAAATACCCTCTAGATGATTCCATTGGTTACCTGGTGTACGCCCTACGTAAATGGAGAGGCTGAAGTAAAGTTACAGTCATTTACTCAGTGTACACCCTATGGAGAGGATATTTCCTGTGATAGCTGAAGTATGAATCGGCCTATGTCCCCTGCCTCTAGACCCTGTTTTCCTGCCTAACTCTGAAGCCAACTGGGTGGCAACAATTCAACTTGATTCAGACACTAGCTACCCAGAGTTAGCCTAGACCACACACAGTAAGGCTTCAGTTCCATAAGAAACCCTCACTTTAGATGCTAGCTGTACATGATGTCTCCAGGCTACCTGCACTTCTGCCCAGTCTACCACAAATTTGGGGGTTTCCACAACCACTCCCCAGGTTCAGTGGTTTGCTAGAATGACCGACAGATTCAGAAAAGCTATCTACTTTCAATTACACTTATTATAAAGGACACAATTCAGGAACATCCAAATGGAAGTGATGCATCGGGCAAGGTATGGGGCAGGGAGAGGACACAACTCTTCCATGCCCTTTCTGGGTAAGACACCCTCCCAATATGTCAATGTAGTCACCAAACAGGAGGCTCCCTTAGCCTTATTGCTTCAGTTTTTATGAAAGCATCATTACCACATAGACAGTATTTACTAAATCATTTCCCACTGCTGATTGAACTCAATCTCCAGCCCGTCTACCCTCTCTGGAGGTGGGGAGGAAGGCAGTGCAGAGCTGACAATTCTAACCCTATAATCAGGTGGTTGGCTTCTCTGGTGACCAGCCCTTATCCTGAAGCTATCTAAGCATGGCCCTCTTTAGTCACCTCATTAGCATGCAAAAGACACTCTATCACTCAGGAATTTCCAAAGGTTTTAGGAGCTCTGTGCCAAAAACTGGGACGAAGACCAAATACATTTTTTTTCTCATGTTACAGCAACACATTGTACCACACAGGGCCTGGCCCATAACAGACACTCAATATTTTCTCATGGATGATGCAGTCTTCAGTAGGGCCACTCTAGGGTTCTTTCTTCATTCTTTCCTGCCTTCTTTTCAAGGTATTAGTGCATCCGTTAAGCCTAAATTCTACATGGTTTTAAGATCCACGTCCCCCTCTAGCTGGATACCTTAAGAAGACAAACCTAAATGGCTCCCTGAACGTTAGGGCAATTCATACCTCTTGACATCCCAGGCATAGGTAGACTCAAAGTAAGATCTTTTAGAAATGGAATCTTAACTATTGATAGATTAGCTTCTTCGGTCTCTTCACAGTTTCATCTCTTCCATCATCAACCACCAGGCTCTTATGTCCTTAAAAAGAGGAGGAAGCTAAGGTTGGACATTTTCTGGGGGTGGTAGGATATTTTGTCCTAATGTCATATGTTGTACATCATGCCACCAAAAAGAATGTACATTCTGGATGGTTACACAATGATATGAGTTCCACCTTATTCTTCAAAAACTCCAAATGATCAACATTTTACATATTATGGGGGGAAATTACATTTCTACCAGGAGAAAATGTGAAACCAGGAATGAGGAAAACAAAGGATGTAGCAAGGCTATTCTAAATCAACTTGAGAAAATGAAAGTGAAAAATATAAACCCATTCAGGGCTAACATATCTTGAAAATATGATGTGAAATTTCGAGACTTAATTAGGGGTAAGGGGGAAGAGTGTTGAAGTTTTGTACCTATCAGCAGAGCAAGGTGTCACTCTGATGGACTGATAGGTTTCCCTATGGCTAGTAATGGCTTTCTAACATTAATAAAATGGGCAAAGCTCTATTACCAAACTCTGGGTTCTCTACCTGAAGAGTTATCCAATGGCTTGAATGGGTCCTTTAGGAGAACATTTTTAGCCCTGCTCACACACTCACAGCCAACCTTTCTGTGGAAGTGGGGTGCCTTTCAGCCTGAGCAAAAGTAGTAAATGGATTCCTGAATTTCTTCAGTTGAGTGTCCTCTCTGGGTAATGCACCCTTTGTGCATGAGACACTTGCTTTGATCAGTAAGCACACATATCATCACTTCAGGCACTGATCAAAAAAATGCAGCCAAGAATAGACTGTGATATACAGCTTGCAAAAGTTTGCTAGAGACTCTTGATACTGGGAAAAATTGCCTAAGGCCATTGTTCTAAAGCCAGTTGATCATCCTGGTTATTTAGAACAATAACCAAGTAGGGAAGGATAGACAGGTAGGTCATTGAAAGGAAAGACAGCAAGAGAGAATGGAGTGAATATCTAGGCCCCACTCAAAGTTGTACTTAATCAAAATTTCTAAAAAGAGGGACTTTTAAAAGTCGCAGCCTTTCCGCCTCCCTCCAATCATACAGCAGTGAAAGGTAAATCAATTATCCTTTGCATATCTCTAAACTATACTTATCTGGATTGGGTACATTAAAATAACATGGAGAATCTTTTCCAAATATTCTGAACCTCTTCTCTTCCCTTCGTCCTACCTCTTCTTCAGTTGAGATCCACTGAGCACTACTTCTCTATTACACTCAGCTACTAAAAAGAAATATATTTGGGTCACATATCTTAATTCCCTGCTGACATACTTTAATGGAATTAATATTTAACAACACACACTTGACTTAGATCAGAAATGCCTTACAGGAGTTACCTATTTGAATTTTACGTTGTTACATCTTCTGGAAAATCATAGTTTCAATCATCTGACACGTTATCCCATGTCCATTACATAAACCCTTCACAAAAATTCCATATCAGAAGAGAGGTGGTCCCCCCAGCAGAACATGTCAGTTCCTTTCTAACAGACAATGATAATGAGATAATGCAAAGCATTGCCCCAGTGTCTCAGCTGCTAGGAAACAAGCCTTTTTTTTAAAGAAATAACTGCACATATTGATAAGAATCCTTTGAAATGGAGCCTTGTAAGACAATGTTGTCCAATAGAACTTCCTGTGATGATAGAAATGTCCTACACCCATACTGTCCAATTCAGTAGCCAGTAGTCACATGGCTAGTGATCACTTAAAATGTGACTAGTGCAACTGAAGAATAAATTTTACATTTTATTTAATGTCAACTAATTTAAACAGCAGCGTGTGGCTAGTAGCTACATTGAACAGCATGACTGTAAGGTTACTTCTTCTTTCAGACTTTGCAGTTAGTACTTACACAGAAGTAAAACAATAGAATTTTTTTATGGCAGTTTCAATTTAGGTGCAAATACTATGTTTAAATTATAAGAGTGTCACTGTCTTTTAGTAATATTGTTTGAAAGGATTTGTGCTTAACTGGCCTTGACTATAGAAGCTTGGCTGCTCCCAATAAAGAGGAAAAGTATCACGTCTTCTCTCTAGGGCAGACTTATTTAACAGGACATGTCTCTGGTCTGGGCTGATGATAGAATTGCTGACCTTCTGCTGAACAGTGCCACCACCACATCCCACCTAAGTGATGGTGGGGAGTGGGGATAACATTTATTCTCCCCTCAGCTAGGGAGGGACCCTTCAATATTCCAAACCCACCTAGTAGAGGGAGGGCAGGAGGTGGCTTTAAGGCTTGCTTTGTTTAATTCACACACGGAGAATGTGCTCTCTGTTTAAGGAAGAGCCCAGTGGGTTTGCCAGATTTCTCAGCCTCGACACTATTGACATTTGGGTCTGATAATTTCTTTGTTGTTGGGGGCTGAATTATATTTTATTGGATGTTCAGCAGCATTGCTGGCTTCTACCCATTAGATTCCATTGCAGCCTTCATCCCTCCTAGTAGTGGTAACTGAATATTTCTCCAGACGCTGTCAAATGTCCTCTGGGGGGCAAAATCACCCTGGATTGAGAACCATTGACCTAGACAGTAAGATTTTAGACTGCAGACAACTTAAGAAAGGAGACCCAATCTAGCTTAGTTTTTTTTTTTATGTTTGTTTGTTTTGTTTTGTTTTATTATTTTTTAAAATATCCAGTCCCTAGCAGATACCTGGTGCATGATATGCATTCAAGTAAACATTGCTTGGATGAATGAATGAAAAGCCACTGTTATATATTTTTAACCTTTAAAATATCTACTTCAGTGCCTAATATAGTGTAACAGCCAATGAACAAATGTTTTCTGGTCTCTCTTAATATTCTTACAGGTGTTAACAAAGAGCAAGAATTCCTACTAATGAGTACTTGAGGAAGAAAAATCACAGGAAAAATAAATCTTTTGCATGCCTTAATGTGCATGAAGCCATCTTCCTGGCCTGTTAGGATTTTAAGCTAATAATATAAGTCTAAAAATATAGTCTTACCATTTCCAAAGGAAATGCCGTAATTGCAAGTGAAAAAGCAAGGCTCATTGACTTCCTCACCTCCTCTCCTCACCAAAGTTCATCTGGATGCTGGGTCAGTAAAATTCCTCCCTCACTGAGTGTGGGAGCCAGTCCTCTCCGGCACCAGATACAATCTCCAAGAGCCCAGGCTGCCAGCTTCCCTGCAGGAGAAAAATAGATGGCTCGGTTCAGTTTGTGGTTACTGAACCTTTAAGCTTCATTTGCCAGCAGGTAATGCTTTTATCTCACTTGTCACAATCAACACCTGAAGAATAAATCTACTGCCTAATTAAAGCTAAACCCTTTGCACCTAAAATTTAGGAGATGTCTCATCTCCAAGTACATACGGAATAGCACGGCAGAGAGAAAAAGCCATTCCCACCACGCACAGATTTAAACCGACAATACATATAGTATAATCTGCCCTTCACTGTCTCTTTACCTAAACTCTTTATGGCATTTTAAGCTTCTTGGACAAGATTTTCTATTTAATGGGAAATATCACTAAGTTCCATATCACTGGCTGTACATTTAAAGAACTGCTGCATTCAAACAACCAAAATCGTTAAGGCACACTGCTATTTTTATCAGGGATAAGGTCAGAGCATTTATTATAATTAAACAAAAGAGCAGAAGGAAGGAAGAGTAGTGGTTTGCCGGAGACAAATTAGAACCACCTGGGAGGTGTTTAAAAGTCCCAAGGGTCAGGCCACACCTCAGATCAATTAAATCAGTATCTCACGGCTGATACCCAGGCATTATAAGTTTTTAAAAATAAATGCTTTGGCGGCGCGCGGTGGCTCACGCCTGTAATCCCAGCACTTTGGGAGGCCGAGGCGGGCGGATCACGAGGTCAGGAGATCGAGACCATCCTGGCTAACACGGTGAAACCCCGTCTCTACTAAAAATACAAAAAATTAGCCTGGCGCGGTGGCGGGCGCCTGTAGTTCCAGCTACTCGGGAGGCTGAGGCAGGAGAATGGCGTGAACCCGGGAGGCGGAGCCTGCAGTGAGCCGAGATCGCGCCACTGCACTCCAGCCTGGGCGACAGAGCGAGACTCCGTCTCAAAAAAAAAAAAAAAAAAATGCTTTATTTTAGAACAGTTTTAAGTTTACAGAAAAATTGAAAAGGTAATAATGAAGTTTCCATATATGCCACATCCATTTCCCCTACTAATAACACCTTATATGAGCATGGTACATTTCCTGCAATTAATGAGCCAATACTGATACCTTATCATTAACTAAAGTCTATAGTTCATTCATGTGTCCTTAGATTTTCCCTAATATCCTTTTTCCTTTTCCAAGATTCCATCTGGAATACTCCCGTACATTTGCTTATCATGACATTTTAGGTTCTTCTTGGCTGTAACAGTTCTCAGATTTTCCTTGTTTCTGATGACCTTGACTTTTTTGAGGAATACTGGTCGGATATTTTGTAGAATGTCCCTCAGTTGGGGTTTGTCTGATGTTTTTCTCATTATTAGACTGGGATTATGTGTTTTTGGGTAGAATACCATAGAGGTAAAGTGCCATTCTCATCACATCTGATCAAGGGCACATACTATCAACATGTCATTGATGTTAACCTTGATCACCTGGCTAAAGTAATCTATGTCAGGTTTCTTTAGTATAAAGTTACTCTTTTTTCCCCCTTTCCATATTGTACTTTTTGGAATAAAGTGACTATGTTTAACCCACACTTAAGGAATGGGGGAGTTATATTCTACTTCCTTGAGAGCAGAATATCCACATAAATTAGAAGTATTTAGCACAGGAAATTTGCCTATTCTTCATTTATTTATTTATTCAATAATGTACTCACATCAGCATGGATGTATATATATTTATTTCATGTTTTGGGTATAAATTCAATATTAAAGTATTGTATCTATTTTGTTGCTCAAATGTTCCAGCTTTGGCTACCGGTAGTTCTTCTAGTTGGCTCTATGACCCTTTGACATATCCCCTTTGTTTTGTGTGTGTGCATGTGTGTGAGGGTTTTTTCTTCCTGGAACTTCCTTACTTTTTGGCATACAAGACGCTCCATGCACACCTTCTATATTTTCTTCTGTCATCCTAGAATCAGCCAGTTATCCAAGTTGTGGTTCATTTAGTTGGAGAATAATATTAGAAACCAAGATCTTGGTGCTAGGTATACTCATTGCTACTGGGGTGTCATTAACTCTACACCCTCTCAGCTGACACAGCAAGGAAATATGTGTGCATTTACTAACCCATATCTATATAAATACACATATCTATAAATATTTCTATATGTAACCATCAATATCTCTATTAAGCTAATAGGAGTTGATATGATGTCTTCAACTGTTATCCATTACCTCGTAGATGATTCCAGCCTCCTCCTTTTGCTTATCTGTAACCTCCCACACCAACAGCGAGAAACTTAGCTCTCACCATTGTCCATCTATTTACTTAACTGCTCAATTCCAGTATGCATGTATAGCAGAGTCAGAATTGCTAACCTGTACTTCCACAGGAAACAACTTTATCAGCTAGGGTAGCATGCTTATGTTATAGGCTCCTTTATAGCCTTTAGTCTCACAGTCTCCATTCATTTCTAAAGTTGTTTAGGTCAACACCATCTTTCCTTCACACTCCTCAGTGAGGTTGTTTTAATACATTTGTAATACAGTTAGCTTATTTTGTCATAATTTTGCATTTCATCTTGGAAACCTCCAATCCCCTAAATGATTTGTTAAAGATTCGCATACATTAAAGTTCACTCTTTGTGTTATAAAGTTCTATAGGTTTTGACAAATGCATAAAGTTATATAACCATGATTACAGTGTTATATAGAATAGCTTCACTGTCCTAAATAATCTGCTGTGCTTCACTTATTCAACCCTCTCCCCCTTTCCGTAAGCCCCTGGAAACCACTAATCTTTCTATTATCTCTATAGTTTTGCCTTTTTCAGAATGTCATTGAATTTCAATCATATTTTCAGAATGTCATTGAATTTGAATCATATAATGTGTAGCCTTATCATACCGGCTTCTTTCACTTAGCAATATGTACTTAAGATTCGTCTATATCTTTTTGTGGCTTGATAGTTCATTTTCTTTTACTGCTGAATAATATTCCATTGTGTTGATATGCCGCAGTTTGTCCATTCATGTACTGAAGGACATCTTGGTTGCTTCCATCCATAATTTTAGCAATTATGAAGAAAACTGCTATAAACGTTCACATACAGGTTTTTGTATGGATATAAGTTTTCAAGTCAATAACTTAGTTTTCACATTAGTAAAAATATTTGATTACTAGACAGTATGTTAAGACTGTCAGGCCTCTGAGCCCAAGCTAAGCCATCATATCCCCTGTGACCTGCAGGTATACATCCAGAAGGCCTGAAGTAACTGAAGAACCACAAAAGAAAGCCAGTTCCTGCCTTAACCGATGACATCTCTCCATTGTGATTTGTTCCTGCCCCACCCTAACTGATCAATCGACCTTGTGACATTCCTTCCCTGGACAATGAGTCTCATGATCTCCCCACCCTGCACCTTGTGACCTCCACTTCTGCCCAAAAGAGATAACCACGTTTAACTGTGCTTTTCCACTGCCTACCCAAATCCTATAAAACTGCCCCGCCC